>NC_000007.14:10240242-12740242 GCF_000001405.40 Homo sapiens | reverse complement strand
AACATAGTGAAACCCCATCTCTACTAAAAATATAAAAAAATTAGCTGGGCCGGCCGTGGTGGTTGGTGCCTGTAATCCTAGCTACTCAGGAGGCTGAGGCAGGATAATCGCTTGAACTCGGGAGGCAGAGGTTGCAGTGAGCCGAGATTGTGCCACTGCACACCAGCCCCTGTGACAGTATGAGACTCTGTCTCAAAAGAAAAAAAGAAAAAACACAAAGAGGTATTATCTTTGCTTCTGAACTGATCGTTGAGATCACAAATTTTTAGAAAAGTAAATAAACCTCACCAAAGTAAGAAGCCCAAGATGAGGCCCAAGTATCTCTTTTTAGCAACAAAACTCATGAAAAAATTCTCACTACATTTTAGAAAAAAAATTTTAAAATATGCACATTGAATAAGCAATTTAAAAATGTCTGTGATATAACATATTTTGAGAAGAGATTTTTACCAATTTCATACATTAAAAATAATAAAACCACAGTGTTAATAGATTCATTTATTCATTCAACAAATACTAATTGTTAATTATGGACTGGGGGTGTCTATATAAGCTGTGAACAAGATAAATTAGGTCCCATTCTTATTTAATAAATAAATCACAAAATTTCAAGTAGTGATACGTATTTTTAAAAAATCATATAATTTCAGCAAGGTAGGAAGGGAACAAAAAGCTGTAAATAAAACACCTCTCAATAAGGTCTTTATTTGTCTATTTGAGAAGTAATCTGAATGATGTGAATGAGATAGATGCGAAGAGGCTTTGGTAAAGAGTGCTTAGGCAGTGGGAAAAGTAGTGTACAGATTCAGATGCAGGCAAATCTTGACCTGCTTAAGGCGGCAAGAAATGCATTGTGAGCTGAAGCCAACTGGGTCAGGGTAAATAGTAGGACATTAGGAAAAGGTTTGTCCATGTAGGGTCTTGTAGCTAATTGAAAATTATTTGGCTTTTACCCTGAATGTGATGAAAAGTCTTTGGAAAACATTGACAAGGAGATTAAAAAACTAAATTTACATTTTTAAAGGATTGAAATCTGCTATATAAAAAATAGATTGGACGGGTACAGTGGCTCTTGCCTGTAATCCCAGCACTTTGGGAAGCCAAGGTGGGCGGATCACCTGAGGTCAGGAGTTCAAGACCACCCTGGCCAACATGGTGAAACCCCATCTCTACTAAAAATACAAAAATTAGCTGGGTGTAGTGGAGCATGCCTGAAATTCCAGCTACTTAGGAGGCTGAGGCAGAATTGCTTGAACCTGGGAGGCAGAGGTTGCAGTCATCCATGATAATGCCACTGCACTCCAGACTGGGTGACACAGCAAGACTTCGTCTCAAAAACAAAACAAAACAAAACAAAAAAAATACATTGTAGGTGAGCAAATACAGAAGTAGGACGACCAGTCAGGTAGCTTTTGCAGTAGGCCAGGCCACAAATAGCAGTGGCTGGGATGAGTTGGTAATTGTGGAAGATGTAAACAGTAGTTCAATTCAGAATATAGTTTAAGGTAGGGCCAAAGGACTATTGCATTGGACTCTGAGAGAAAGAAGTTAAAGACAATATCTAGCTTTTTTGCCTAAGAGCACGGATGTATATAAATACTGTATACTGAAGTGAAGAAGGGAAAGGCAAGAGCAAATTTTGAGGTAAGAAGGTGAAATTCAATAGTCCTATTTCACACATTAATTTCAAGATGCTAATTAGATGCCAAAATAGAAATAAGGAATAAACAAACATATGTGGAAGTGTAGGAGTCAAAGGGAAAGTCAGAGAAGGAGATTATTTAAAGCCGTGAGATTGGATGAGCTCACCTAGAAAGTAAAGTTAGCAAAGTGAAAAACACTCTAGTATTTAGAAGCTGGGAAAAGCAAGAGAGCCATTAAAAAAATCATGAAGGGGCAACCAGTGGATTAGGAGGAAAATGGTGGGAATCTGATGTCCCATAAGGCAGGGAAAGAAAATACAAATAAGCATAATGGAGATTTTCCTTTTGTGGAAAGGCACAGTGCTGAGCACAGTGGAAAGATTATGGGAGGTGGGGGGTAGGAGACTAGATCATGTTGAGGGTGGTGTGACATGGACGCTGGGTGGCATGAACTTCTGATAGTAACTGAGGGAGTCCAGACCGGTTTTTAGTTGCATGTCTATCATGATTACTTAAAAGCATGGAAAGATAATGCTCTATTTGTAAATAAAATTAAATTATGCTGAGTATAATTATATTGATTTTTTATCATAAAAATTCCAATTTGTGGAATGCTTAGGAATTGTAATTTTCTGATTAGCTGAATTTTCTGGGTAGATGCCAATCAGGGTTTCAACTTTCAAATTATTCTCAAATACATCTATGCTTTGGTATTCAGTGTACTTCATTGTATAAAAGTGAAAATGGACTAATACTTTTTCTAAACATCATTTCTCAGTTTGAATAACTATAAGCAGTAATTACATTGTTGGCCAGCCCTCACATTTAGATACAGGGAAAACTGGATTAAAATTAATGTCTAAGACAGCATTTAGACAGGAGTACACAGTTCAAACAAGCATAAATCAGAATAAATTCTGGTGCTCATAAAAAGAAAGAAAATTCCAACATGAACCCTTTGCCTTGGTGATAGGAGGCAGCTGGCAAACTGCTTCATGCACTAGTTGGAACTGCTTACTCTGATCAGATGATTGGTAAAGGCACAGGTGCCAATTACCACAGTAACCCTAAGGCATGTCCCTGAGGATCAGAAACTAGACTAAATGTGACGTGACAGAAGTGCCAGGGAGGTTTTTCCATCTCCCAACTCCTCCTTTTAGGAGTTTCTTATTAGGAGCTTCTTATTTTGTTATTTTTCTCTATTTTTATATATACATAAGTAAGTGAGTATGTAAGCATATACATACAATTTTAAAAGAATATAATAGGGAACACTGGCCAGGCGCAGTGACTCATGGCTGTAATCCTAGCACTTTGGGAGGCTGAGGCGTGCAGATCACAAGGTCAAGAGATTGAGACCATCCTGGCCAACATGGGGAAACCCCGTCTCTAATAAAAATACAAAAATTAGCTGGGCATGGTGCTGCGCGCCTGTAGTCCCAGCTACTCGGGAGGCTGAGGCAGGAGAATGGCTTGAACCCGAGAGGCAGAGGTTACAGTGAGTCAAGATCCCGCCACTGCCCTCCAGCCTGGTGACAGAAGGAGACTCCGTCTCAAAAAAAAAGAGTATGGGGAACATCAAGCTCTGCTTTATATCATTATATTTTCATAATATAAAATAGTATAAAAATACTTTTAGTATAAATAGTATACTAAATTTATTTAATTTACACTAAAATTTTAAACTATAGATATAAAAGATCTATATATTTATATATAACATAAATATATTTAATTTATACCAAATTTTTTAGTATAAATGAAATAAATTTAGTAATAAATTAAATTTAGTATAAATAAAATGTACTAAATTTATTTCATTTATACTAAATATACATTTAGTAAATATACTAAAAATACATTTTTTACTATATACTAAAATATATTTATAGTATAAATAGTATAAAAATATATTCTAGTTGGCCGGGAGCAGTGGCTCACGCCTGTAATCACAGCACTTTTGGAGGCTGAGGCGGGCGATCACGAGATCAGGAGATTGAGACCATCCTGGCTAACATGGTGAAACCACATCTCTACTAAAAATGCAAAAAATTAGCCGGGTGTGGTGGCACACGCCTGTAGTCCCAGCTACTCGGGAGGCTGAGGCAGGAGAATCGCTTGAACCTGGGAGGTGGAGGTTGCAGTGAGCTGAGATAGCACCACTGCACTCCAGCCTGGGCAACAGAGCAAGACTCCATTTAAAAAAAAAAAAATATATATATATATATATTCTAGTTATGCATATAGTACAGCTGTATCTCAGCTATTGATCAATTAAACTCTAAAAATAAGAATATCTTTTTTGTATAAAAGTAATTTATACATGATCAGGTATTATTTAAAATGACATCAGTAATGTATAGTATTAACATTGTGTTAAAATCAAAAAAAAACTATCTTCCATACGGTTTAAAATTGTGTCATAAATACAGTGATAACCTAAAATGTTAACCTAATACTAATACACGCCTAATATTAACCTAATATTAATAAATACAATTATAACCTAAAATATTAACCTAATATTAGAGTATAAAATATTTTACCAGCACGTGAATTCTTTTCATATCCTTTGAGTTTGGGTTTTCTAAAATTTTACAAGCTCTACATAATAATGGGGTAATTTATAAGTAAAATAATGGACAGTATACACTATCTAAAAAAACATTACTTTTAAAACATTCTTCTTTTCATACATTTCCTTTCACTGATGGAACTCATATACTTACTATTGTCAAATATGGGTTTATTCACTAAAGAAATGATTTTGTATCCTGAAAAGCAATCATGAAACAAATGATAGAAGATCTGTTTTCTCAAAGTATTAATTCTTTCATGTTATTCATTTCAACACTCCTTAGGAATGGATGTTTATAATCATTGTTATTTTTTGTGCTGATAAATTAGGGTTCAGAAAGATTGAATGGCTTGGTTATAACCAAAAGACATAAGTAATTTCCAGTTTTCTTTATTTAGTAATATAAAAATCAAGCACTATGTCCTCTACCTGTACAGTATTCTCAATGGACCAGATATAATCCTTTAATACACAAAAGCTCTTGCAATTCACAAACTCCTTTGAAGTGAACAGAAGGGCCAGGGATGTGTGAACAGTAAAGACTTCAAAAGATATTATGATTCTTAATGTACCTTTGAAAGTATACTAAATTTATTTTGTGCCTGATAAATCTAAACTGCATCGGCTCTCATGAGAGAGCTGCATTATTTTTTCAGATACAAATAGTCCTGTATTTGTTTTTTCCACATTTACTTGTATTACTTGAGTACTTAATTTACTTGCAGCTACTACTTGATTTACTACAACTAATTAAAAATGCCTTTTTTCCCCTTATATTCCAAGTACATCCTCATGGACTGCTAAATCTCACTGAATTAGACCATGTCTACTTTTACACTATATCTCTTGGAAAAGTAGCTGATTATTTTCTTGTTTCTTAAATTATTAACTTGTTCTGATAAAGAGCAACACAATTTGGAACAGAATGTAAAGACATTGTTTAGGGAATATCCAAAGTGAATCCCTTTTTTGCTTCCAAGGTTATTATAAAATTCAAACCAGTCTCTTATTTTGGTAGTTGACAAAATTAACTCTTGCTGCAGCACATATTTATGTGCACAAGTACACAAAATACAGAAAGGAAAAAAAACTATCATTTCCTCAGACTGGCTATAGAGACAATTCTACACCCCCAATTCACTCAGGAATGAGAAAGTAGAAAAGGTTGTTTTCATGCACTAGAAGATTGGAAAAGAAGCTATATCTTCCAGAAGTAAACTAAGGTTTTTTCTGAATTTGATTGCAAAAGACTCACGGAAATGTACAATTTTTAGTTTTCTGTGCAGTTTCATGTAAAAGAAACATAACTACAGTGGCCTAAGCAAATAAAGGTTTATGTTTCACATAACAGGAAATTCTAAAGCAGGCAATCCAGGGCTGGTGAATCAATTCAAGATATCATTATGAAGCCAGGCTCTGTCTCTTTTATTCTGCCATTTTTAATATGTGCCCCTCATCTTCCAGGTCACAAAATGGCTTTACCTCCTCCACATACCATATTTGCTTTTGGACATAAAGAACTAAGAAACTGCAAAGATCAAAAAGAGAAAATGGAAGTCAATCATTTGACTTCTAATTATATTTCATTGGCTACAACTATGTGTCCAACCACCAGCCTAACTGGGGGCTGGAACACTAATTTAGATTGGGCAAGATGCCCTCATCTCCAAAAAAAATTTGGTACTCAATACAAAGGGGTAAGTTTGCCAGATATAATATAGGACATGCAGCTAAATTTGAATTTCACAGAAACAGGTAAAGTTTTTAATGTAAGTAAGCCCCATACAATATGTGAGACATAGTTATACCACAACATTTATTGCTTATCTGAAATTCAAATTTAGCTAAGCATCTTGTTTGTTTTTATTTTTGTTTTTGCTTTTTTGAGACAGAGTTTTGCTCTTGTTGCCCAGGCTGGAGTGTAATGGCAAGATCTCAGCTCACCACAGCCTCCACCTCCCGGGTTCAAGTGATTCTCCTGCCTCAGCCTCCTGAGTAGCTGGGATCACAGGCACGCGCCACCACACCCAGCTAATTTTCTATTTTTAGTAGAGATGGGGTTTCTCCATGTTGGTCAGGCTGGTCGTGAACTCCCAACCTAAGGCGATCCGGCCACCTTAGCCTCCTAAAGTGCTGGGACTACAGGCATGAGCCACCGCGCCCGGCACATCTTGTATTTTTATTTGCTAAATCTAGCAACTCTGTTAAGCAGGCAACTAATATTATCTGCCGCAGAACCCATGGAAAATTTCTCCATTCCCTTTATAGTGTTGATATATTATTTCTTCATAGAATCTAACTTGATTATCTAACTTCAGAGACTAAAGGAGTAGTTTTATAATTGCCAACTCCAATGGTTAACTTAGCTAGGCCACAGTACTCGGATATTTGGTCAAATACCAGTATAGATGTTGCTGTGAAGTTTTTTTTTTAATGAGATTAACATTTAAACCAGTAGATTTTGAGCAAAGCCGATTACGCTCCATAATGTAGTGGGTATCATCTAACTTGAAGGCTTTAAGGGAAAACAAACTGGAGTCCCACAAGAAAGAAGCAACTGCCTCAACACTGTCTTTGGACTTGTACTATAATAACCCTTCCCTGAGTTTCCACATGGCTGGTCTGCCCTGCAAATTTTGGGTTTATCAGCCTCTACAGTCATATAAGCCAAATAAATGTGAATTAAACGTAAATTTCTAGTTAGTTAGAATAAATACACACACACATACACACGTGTGCTATTGGTTCTGTTTCTCTGAAAGACCCAGACTAATACAGCATCTGAGTCAAAAAGTTAGGGAAAATAGGCCGGGCGCGGTGGCTCACGCCTGTAATCCCAGCACTCTGGGAGGCTAAGGCTGGCGGATCACCTGAGGCCAGGAGTTCGAGACCAGCCCCAACATGGAGAAACCCCGTCTCTACTAAAAATACAAAATTAGCAGGGCGTAGTGGTGCACGCCTGTAATCTCAGCTACTCGGGAGGCTGAGGCAGGAGAATTGCTTGAACCCGGGAGGCGGAGGTTGCGGTGAGCCAAGATCGTGCCATTGCACTCCAGCCTGGGCAACAAGAGCAAAACTCAGTCTCAAAAAAAAAAAAAAAAGTTAGGGAAAATATTTAATTGAAGAAATTTAAGACTCTAGGTAGGCAGCAAGGCATGATGGCTCACACCTGTAATCCCAGCGCTTTGGGAGGCTGAGGCAGAAAGATAACTTGAGTCCAGGAGTTTGAGACCAGCCTGACCAATATAGTGAGACCTCATCTCTACTAAAAATGTTTTTTGAAAATTAGCTGGTCATGGTGGTGCACACCTGTAGTCCCAGCTACTCAAGAGGTTGAAGCCGGAGAATCTCTTGAGCCTGGGAGGTTGCAGTGAGCTATGACTGCACTATTGGAACACTGGCCTGGGCAATAGAGCAAGACCCTGTCTCAAAAAATAAAAAGAAGAAGAAGAGTATAAACAGGCCTACAAATCAATTGGAAAATATGAACTATGCAAGCTGGATTCATGTACACTTTTTGTCTTAAAATAAGAAAATAATAGTTTGTAACCTGCTTCTAATCAGCTTTTCCACTAAATTCAAACCTTTTCTTCAAAATTAGCCTTGAATTTGAATTTAGCTGTAGGTGAATTTAGAGATTAATTTATTTTTAATCTGTACATGCTTTATAATCTAGTCATAGTAGATGCTTCAAAATACTTGTTTGAATAATTACATATATTTTAATAACTTTTTCATTTCACTAAATTGGGGTCTATAAACTTCTCCACCCAATTAATCTACTTGTGGGAATTCAAATATCTCACAGAAGTTCATTTAGTGAAGTTGAACAAAATCAGAAGCTAAAGTGTTATGGTGATTTTTTAAAGTTTATATCAATGCATTAATGTATACACATTTTCTAACATTTTGCTTCACCGCATACTTCGAGAAAATATTTTTTTCCACAAAATATAAGTTTTGAACATTAGTAATATGTTTATTTTCTTTTACCCAAGAATATGTCTGCAGTGACAGCTTTATCAATATTTTTAAGAGACTTCCTGGGTGTGGCTGGAGAACCTGTCATCCTTTGATAAAGAAACCACATGTTCTAAGTGAAAGCCAAAAGAAATTCTTCTTTTTTCATTCACTACTTTGTTTTATTTTAAAAATCTTTGTGAATTCAACTAAGATTAGATAGTTTTTCAAATCAAAAATATAAAATCCAGATTTTAGATCAAATTTGTATGCAGAATGCAACATGTTAAACTATAAACAAATAGAAAATATGAAATAGAAAAAAGAAGAAAAATTATCACACAGGAAGGATTTTGAGATTTTTCAATCAATATATTTCCTTTAGAAACAAGTATGGAGAAGAAAACAAGAGTATTCCTTTTTTTTTCTTCTCCTTAAAGGGCAACCCAGCTTTTGTCTTTGCAAGTTCAAAGCTTAGTGAGAGATGTGCCTAAACATGCTGTTTTGGGGATGTTTCCCAGGTCACCCATATCCTGTTTACTTCTAATAGAGTCTGCCTTGCCCCATGCATGCTGTTTTCCTCCTGGTGTCTCAGCACTGCCCTCCCCTGCCTGACTCAAGTTCACTTGATAGAAATAACCTAGAATGGGTGTTTGTGTAAAGTTTGCAGGACATCTCCTTAAACTGAAACCCAAAATATCCAAGTCAGCATATGTTGTTGGTACATGTGAACTCTGAATCTGTCTCCCTAGATGCTAACCTTTTGTTCTAAGCTCCAGAAGCCAGCATGCTCTACCTTTCTCTAAAGGTTGAGATCAAAAGTAGCCCTTTAAAGGGTGAGGAGACGAGGAATGAGGAGGGTGACAAAGGAGTGGACCTTAAAAAATAGGTATTTCCCCAAGAGGGAAAGAACTGTGGGGCAGGCATGAACAAAAAACACAGGGATCCTGAAAATCTGGATCCTGTTTTTCCACTTTGCTGCTAGCCATGACAATTTGGGGGCTGTATGCTACTTTCTACCCTCTTTAATCTGACTGGGAGGGATTGTGAGTCTTCCTTCAAGACCCTTGTCAACCTCCTGAAGCAAACCCTAAATTTTTTACTTTATTTTATTTGATTGAATGTTGATGATCTATAACTGCATATATTTATGAGCTACAAAGTGATGCTATGATACCATATGGAATGATTGAATCAAGCCAATTAACATATCCATCATATCAAACATTTATACCTCCTAACTGAAACACTGTCTTCCTTGACCAGTATTTCCCCATTTCCACCAGCCCCCAGCTTCTGTTAACTACCATTCCACTCTCTGTTTCTATGAGTTTCATTGTTTTAGATTACACATAGAGTGAGAACATGTGGTATTTCTCTTCCTGTGCCTCGCTTACTTCACTTAGCATAATGTCCTTCACGTACATCCCTGTTGTTGCAAATGACAGAATTTCTCTCTTATTAAGGTGAATAGTTGTTTTCCATTGTGCATATGTACTACATTTTATTTATCTATTTATTTGTTGATGGACACTTAGGTCCATTCCACAACTTAGCTAACTCTCTTTTCCAGCCCAGGCTTATGATGTCTCCCTGTTCCTCAGTGTTTGCATAATGATGGATTAAAAAAATTACAATAACAGGTGACATTTGGTGGAAAGAGGACTGTAGCTAGAGACATAACATATGGATAGATGTCCTAGATCTGTCAATTAGAAGCTGCATAACTTTAAGCATATAATTTTTTGTGCTATGGTGGCTTTGAGTAAAAAAGAAAAAAAAAGTTTGCTAAGAATGGGAGGTCTTATAGGAACTTCAGTTTACTCTTCTATAAAATGTGATTTTTAAAATTCTCAATTTAGGGTGAAGAGAGAGTTCTTGGGAGGTGCTGTTATGAGATGAAATTCTGTATGTGAAGTACCAGTACAACCTTGGCACATTACAGTTCAGTGGAACTCAGAGGTTTTCTCCAGGGGGGGGTCTATGAATGCCATGATTAGTTAGCCAAGATCCCTGTCTTCGTGGACTGTACCTTCTAGAGACTGTGTCGGTTATTTGGAGGAGTAACTGAAATAACATACTTCAAAGTGCTTGGTAAACTAAAGACTTTTTCATGTGTTGTTTTTTAAATTAAAATGTCCTCTCAAAAATATAACTTCAGGCTTGTACATTTATCAGATGTCAGTCCTCTTCACTTGTGGTAATTTCATACAGAGTAATAACAAAATTGCTGAGAGATTCAAAATCCAAATATAGAAGGCAGCAGTTGCTTATTTAATGCAATGAAATGCTAATCCTTGCATTTTTTATTGTTTTATTTGTTTTAGTCTTTATAATCCCAAGTATAGTGCTAAGTCTTTTGGAAATAAGAAAGAAACTAAAAGAATATATCTATTTTTAGCTTTCTGCTAAGCTATTTCTTGCTCTCCTGTAGTTATTCCAAAATTGGTTGCAGTTTTATTTAAATAATTCTAAGAGGAAAAAAATAAACTTGTAAAATAGAATATTAAATGCACACTACCAAATTTAATTGATTTTTAATGCAAATATAAGTAGTACAGGCCATGCTAAACGTTTATTACCAACTGTTTGCAAAACAATCTGTTTACCCCATTCCGAGCTTCAACCTGCCTTAGACCCTGCTCAGGTAGCCCGACACCCAAAGAGGGCAAGATAGGCTTCCTCCCACAACACTCAGGCTGCCTGTTGGCTCAGCTGGGGCCACCCATTGTCTGGCTAATGGAATCCTGGAACCCAGCCAGAGCTGCAGCCTGCTTGCGAGGTTTAGTTCTGTTTTTGTTTTTAATGATCACACACATTTTGGCCTAAACTGCAAACAGAAGATAGTGGGGCGGGAGTGGGGCGGTGGTGGGGAAGAGGGGCGGGAGTGTAGTCTTATTTTATTTAGAAGAGGAAATCCAAAAAAGTGAGCTCTGAATACAGTTTTTTATGTTGTAAGAAATAAGTTTAGGTAAATGATTGAAATCGAAAACATGGCAAAGAAAGAAAGAAAAAATGGAAGAAGCCCAGCATCTCAAATTGTATCACAACAAACTGTCAGAAATATCACCAATAAATACACAGCCTTATGAGTAGACTCAAATTTTTAAATTACCAAAAATAAAAAAGTCAGCCTGGGCTGGGTACAGGGGCTCATGCCTGTAATCCCAGCACTTTGGGAGGATGAGGTGGGCAGATCACGAGGTCAGGAGTTCGAGACCAGCCTGGCCAACGTGGTGAAACCCCATCTCTACTAAAAATACAAAAATTAGCCGGGCGTGGTGGCATGTGCCTGTAATTCCAGCTACTCTGGAGGCAGAGGCAGGAGAATCACTTGAACACGGGAGGCAGAGGCTGCAGTGAGCCAAGATCACACCATTGCACTCCAGCCTGGGCGACACGAGCGAAACTGTCTCAAAATAAAATAACAAAAAATAAGGCCTGAAAATAAAAAGGGTTTTAATTTTGCTTACAATTTCTAGACTTTTTAAAGTTTTATGAACAGTTATTCTTTAAACTACATTCATGGTGTTTGTGTGCGTGTGTGTATACAATTTAATCACATCAAAGAATTCACATAGATGAAAACTCTAAGAAATTACCTTCCAAAGATGATGTCAGCAAGTGAAGAGGGAGTGTACATAGCTGCTTGTTTTTTAGTAAACTACAATTTAAGAGTCCTGAAAGGCAGATGGCTGGCTGTCAGGAAATGAGCTTAGTCAAAGGAAATGGGAGATGTCTGGTTCAGGGGATTTGAGGAAGGCTATTACCAATGGGTGCTTTTATTTTGCTTTCCACTCTAAGTCAGGATACATGCTTTGTTGTTCCCATGTACGAAAAAGAAATACCAAGGTGATAAGATAACATCTGGGACAGTACAGGGCTCCAAGTTTCTCTATTATATATAGAAAGCTGTTCACTTGCATCTTTCTTGGTTTGGGCCAAAACACTATGCTGGAAGAGGAGGGGAATATTAATAATGGGTTGAGCACTGATGAGAGATTGAAGCTGGGCAACTATTCTCTGGTCTAGGAATTTGGAATTGAGACACTGAAAGGCCACATTGAATCATCTGCCAGGATTTTCACAGACAGGCCAGATTCACAGGGACGTGTGATGGTGTGTCAGTGGTAGCTGAAACCCCCTACAATCCATCCCAAATTAATACACGGTCTAATTTAAAACAGTCAGCTCGCAGCTTCTGTACAAGTCCTATAACACTCCAACTACAACTACCACAAATTTTTGTTCTTTTACGCTTCCTATATGGAAATGTTTATAGGAAATTAGTCTCCAGAGACCGAAGAATATAGCAGACACACGTGGAGAAGCTGGGACAAAAAATCATGTAGCTCTAGGGAGGGAGAAAAACAGAGAGTCACTTCCTGACAAATGTCCAGTTCGCGTGAGGCCAGCTATATGTGCTGCACTTTTCTTTCATGAGAGTCCCCAGGGTGCTTACAAGAAAATTCCCAAAGCAGGTTGTGTGGGAGTTTGTAGCATGCAACCTAATAATTTCTCACCAAAACATAGATGGGACTTAGAATGAATGAGACAAAATATACTTGGAAGTGTTTTCACTAGGGAAAAACCTGTGGCTGAAGACAAGGATGTAATACCACTTTTCCAGAGTTTAGTAGTTAGTTGGCCTTAACAAAACTGGGATGCATCTTATCTCCAAGACTGAGCCATAGCCACATTCCTTGCGTTTTGTGTTACCTCCTCTGGAGGAGCCAGCAGATTTTGCCTATCTCTGGAAGTTCCAATTATTACAAGAGACTAGCATGAGTTCTAGAACTGCTCTCCCTTTGGGCTCTACTCCAAAACTGAACTTCATTAATACCTTAAAGCCCACATCCACCCATCTTCCCTTTCTCATTCACTCCATCCTACCCCACCCTGCATTAAAACTTACATTTACTCAAGAAAGCTGATTTCAGCTTACTGGTAGAAGGAAAACTATTGAAAAAAAGGTTCAGTTTAAGCTAAATAGTGGCAACAAGTGTTAACCCTTTCAGGCAAATTAAACAGCTTTAAGTGGCTTGTAAAGCCAAAGGAGCAAATTTCTATTGATGAAATTTCTATGGAGATAGTTTTGGTCGAGGCCTTCTCTCGTTTTATACTGTGCACAAAAATTGACTATTTTGTTCTGAACAAAGGCAACTCTAAGTAGACTTATGACTTAATGGAAGCAGTACTTCGATGACATGATACCTTCAAGGAAGGCCACCTTCCCAATAGGTGGAGGGAGGTGTGGAGTAGTGGAGAAAGCCAACCAAAGAGGAGTCCACTGATGCTACCTGGGCTTGAGGAGGGGTTGGGGGAGCTGCAGCAGATACGATAAGTGATGGGTCATTTTTAAAATCAGCCACTTGGATACAAAGTTGATCTGCTTTAAATGATTTAAAGTAAATCACTTGAGGATAAAAGCAGTGAGGCACCCTGGAAAGAGAACAGTCCCTACAGTTAGGAAGAAACACCAGACCCCACAATTTACTGTACAAGGGACTCTGGACACATTATTTAACCAAACCTAACCTGATAGGCAGTTTCTTCATTTCAAAAATACATAATTAGAAGATTTGAGATAGCTTGCTGCGTATATTAGACACTCAATAAATTGAAATATATAAAATAATTACTTACTATGTATATCCTGGGGGAAGAGCTAATGTCAGAGGCACAGTGAAGTAATGGTGACCTAGGGCTCGATTTTTCTCTCTTCATATTTTCTATCTAGCAGCTGGTTAGCAGTTATTACCAGAATTAACAACTTCAACAAATTCTACTTCTTCAACAAACTCTTCTTCTGACTCTAACTACAGCAACCTTTCTTTCTCTCTTTCTTTTCTTTCTTTCTTTTTCTGTCTCTCTTTCTTTCTTTCCTTCTTTCAAAACTTAAGTGTAGATAGAAATGAGCTATTTATAGCCACTACACTAGGCTGAAAATCTTGGAACCAATGTGGGTGCTGGGATGGGCCTCCAAGATTCAAGCCAATGTTAAAGGTGTATAACTAATTAAGAGGCTGGGTTCTAATAAATTACCCATTTATTTCAGCTGTGTGGGAGTAGCTATGGGGGTAAATAAAGGGGGTAAATAAGCATCAAAATGAGGAAAGGTGCAGCTGTTGACAATCTGATGACCTGCTTCAAGTCAGAAAGAAAAAGGTAAAGATTTTCTTTGCAATTAAAAAATAAGAAATTGCTGGGTGTGGTGACATATGCCGGTAGTCCAAGCTACTCAGGCGCCTGAGGCAGGAGAATCGCTTGAGCCCAAGAGTTCAAGGCTGCAGAGAGTGATGATTGCATCACTGCACTCCTGCCTGGACAACAAAGGGAGACCCCATCTCTTAAAAAAAAAAAAAAAACGAATAAGAAAGAAAACTTAAAATGATCTAAGGAGTCTTGATAACATCAATACCATAGACCTCAAATTTTCTATTAGTTTACAGAGTTATCAATTACATATTTATAGGCTATCATATTGAAAAGTAACAAAGGGCAGACAATGATTAAATACATTTTATAAAATATTTAGTCCTTCTATCCAAATAAAACTTAATATCCCTTTTCAAGTTTAATAATATGTCTGAAAGCAGTTTTGTCATATTAAGTAGAAGTAACATACCATACAGGATTAAGAAATGTTTTTATAATTAAGAACACTCAATTTTATTGAATGAATAATTTATTTATTGGACATCAAAAATGTATCATTTCTGGGAACTTATTTTCTAGGAAAAATTTTGCAGATGTAAATATTTCTCCGATAGAAATCTCAGAATTTTTAGAACATTGTTCAGTTATTTTTACTTAATCCTAGTACACATCTAATATCCAAAGTGAGACTCTACAGAAAATACAATCATTATTTAAGACAGAATATGCAAAGTAGAAATGGGAAATGATTAATACATTGAACATCATATTCATTCAGTCAATGAATATTATCAAATGTCTTCTATGTGCCAGGCACTGGGGAAAAACAACCATGAAGAAGACAGATATGTTCCTCACCATCAAAGTGGAATATAGGAATAATGGCCAAAGAACAAAATTACAATTGTAATAATTGGTATAAAAAGGTAAGAAGGAGAAACTGAATTCAAAGGAAGTAGCCCATCATAATAAAGTGTTTTTTTCTCCTAAAATCTATGAAATACTATGCAGGCCTAGATGCAAAGGAGAGAATGGTCCACTCAAGTAACAAAAGAAATCCAGAATTGCTGGAGGGAAAAAATCAAAAGAAAGAGTAGTGAAAAATGGTAGTGGGACTTTAAACTGTGGCTAAACAACCATACGGGATCGCAAAAGCCATATAAAGGTCAATCCACTGGGCTCTTTTTATCTGAGGGTTCTGTATCCATGCATTCAACCAATGAGGATAGAAAATATTTGGAAAAATTTTAAAAACAAAAATACAACAATAAAAATAATACAAATTTAAAATACAGTATGACAACTATTTATATAGCATTTACCTTGAATTAGCAATCTAGAAATGATTGAAATTATACAGGAGGATGTGCATAGGTTATATGCAAATACTATACCATTTTATATAAGGGACTCAAGCACCTGCAGATTTTGGTATCCATGGGTGTCAGGAATAGGGGAGAGGTACTATAACCACTACCCAAAGGATACCAAGGAACCACTGTAGTTTAAAGACATTAAAAGCCATCGAAGGCTAGGCATGGTGGCTCACGCCTGTAATCCCACCACTTCGGGTGGCCCAACCGGGTGGATCTCCTGAGGTCAGGAGTTTGAGACCAGCCTGACCAATATGGCAAAACCCCATCTCCACTAAAAATACAAAAATTAGCTATGCGTAGTGGCGCATGCCTGTAATCTAAGCTACTCGGGAGGCTGAGGCAGAAGAATGACTTGAACCCAGGAGGCAGAGGTTGCAGTGAACCGAGATCGCGTCACTGCACTCCAGCCTGCGCGATGGAGACTGCTTAAAAAAAAAAAAAAAAAAAAAAAAAAAAGGCTGGGCGCGGTGGCGCACGGCTGTTAATTCCAGCACTTTGGGAGGCCGAGGCAGGTGGATCACGAGGTCAGGAGTTCGAGACAAGCCCGACCAACATAGTGAAACCCTGTTTCTACTAAAAATACAAAATTAGCTGGGCATGGTGGTGCATGCCTGTAATCCCAGTTACTCGGGAGGCTGAGGCAGGAGAATCACTTGAACCTGGGAGACGGAAGTTGCAGTAAGCCGAGATCATGCCATCGCACTCCAGCCTGGGCAACAAGAGCAAAACTCTATCTCAAAAAAAAAAAAAAAGCCATTGTAGGGTTTTTAAGAAAAGTATGATGATTTGATTTGCATATTTAAGGATCACTGTCACTGAGTGGCTGATGGGCAGAAGGGGAGTAGCAGTGGTTCATAAAAATTTATTGTGAGCTTCTTGTGTGTCCCATACATTACAAAGAGATTTACATTAATTACCTATGTAACTCATCTTAAAATCCTTTGAGGTAGATACTATTTTATCCCACCCTCATAGAAGAAGAAACTAAGGTTAAACAAGTTTTGACAAACAGATATTTTAAAACCTAAAAGTCAGACTCAGAGCCCATACTTAATTACCATTAAGAAGATGAATTAGAAGCCTATTACAGAAATTCTGGCTGAGAAAACTGTGGCTTACACTAGAGGGTATGTAGTGGGGTTGGAAAGAAGTGGAAAGATTCAAGAGATATTACACGCATTCTGGTGCTAGAGCAGAGGGAGGGAAGAGGAAGGAGATGGCTGTCCCTAGGTTTGAGCATTTGGGTAGAAGCTGCTTCGTTTAAGAAATACTTAGCAGAGAAGTATACAAATTTTACGTTTGAACACTTTGCCTGAGAAACTTCCAGAGGAAAATGCCAAAGAGGCTGTTGGCTATATGGGTTGGGAATACAACAGTGCAGTCTGGGACACAGACATAAATTTAAAAATCTTCAGCAAATGCATAGTGTTTGAAGATACAGGAGAGGAAGAAATTTCTACGGCCACAATTTTCAAATGTAGTGTGTTGAAGACTCACTTAAAGAACTTGTTAAAAATGCAAATCCATGATCTCATCTCCCTCAAATACTAAGTATTCTTACTCTGCATGTTTCCAGGAAAAGGAAGGCAAGTAATTCTTATGCAGTTGGTTAGTTAATCTTTGAACAAATGAGGTAAAGAGAGAATGAGATAAAAAGAGGCAGTAGGACAGGGCCTGATGAACTCTAAAAAGATAAGTATATGAGAAATACTCAGCAAAATATATAGAAAAAAGAGCAGCCAGAATGATAGGAAGAACAGAGATGAGAATTGTGTCAAGAAATTTAAGCCAAGAGAGTGTATTTATAGGAGGAAGTTGGCAATAGTGTCAAATGCTGACATCTTAGCAGCATTTCTGAGCCAACTCTCTTCTTGGCCCTGAGGATCCCAAAAAGAACATGATATACCCACAGTTACGGGGGAGATACAACTACATCATACTAGGCACTAATTTTTATGTTGTATACATTTTATTTTACTTAAAACTTATATAGACTTATGTTTACTTACACTTGTAATATAGCTGTTATTATCTGTATTATTTATAGATAAAAATGAGGTTTACTGAGATTATATTTCTGGGTTGATATTAGTAAATGGCAGACTCATAATTCAAGCCCAGATCTGTCTGATTCCAGTGGCAATGCTCTTCTCAGCTATTGAGTATCACATTGCCTTTTACTATTGTGTCAGAGCACGTACAAGATGTTGAGGAAACATAAAGGAGGAACACATTACTCAGAAAGGTGGATACAGAAGTGTCAGGGAAGGTTGCACATCAACTGAGCCTTGAATGAGAAGAAATTGGCCAATCATACGAGAGTGGGAAGGGGTTCCAGTAAAGCAGTATGAGCAGGCAGTGCTGGAAAGAGAGAGCATCAACTTCAGGGAACTTCTGAAGCACAGGCTTCATGTAAGGGAGATAGGAGATCTGAGGGGGAATAAGTGAAGGTAGGAACTTTATCTTAAAGAGGAATCATCTAAGTATTTCGAACATGGGACTGTCTAGGGCGGATTTGTATAGAAAATTTATGGCAACAGTGTGAAGGATGAATTTGAGGAAAAGGAGGAGAGTAATCACAGGCAGACCAAGTGAGAGCCTCGCCAGTGATTGAAAATAGAAAAAAAGACCAGGCGCGGTGGCTCACACCTGTAATCCCAGCACTTTGGGAGGCCAAGGCAGGTGTATCACCTGAGGTCAGGAGTTTGAGAACAACCTGGCCAACATGGCGAAACCCTGTCCCTACTAAAAATACAAAAATTAGCCAGGCATGGTGGTAAGCGCCTGTAATTCCAGCTACTTGAGAAGCTGAGGCAGGAGAATCCCTTGTACCCCATAGGTGGAGGTCGCAGTGAGCCGAGATCACACCACTGTACTCTAGCCTGGATGACAGAGCAAGACTCTATCTCAAAAAAAAAAAAAAAAGAGAGAGAGAGAGAAAGAGAAAAAGGAGGCATGTCAGAGAGATGGGGAAGACACAAAGTAAAAAGAACTGGGTGGCTTGGATCAAGGGTGAGAGGGCGGTGACAGAGAGAGAGCCACATGGCATGAATACCAATTTTCTGACTTGGGCAATGGGATAGCTGGTAGGAAATGAAGCTGATATGGAAACAAACACTGAGAGTTAAGTTTTGGAGTTTGAATTGCCTGCAGAACTTCCAGGAGGACACATTGTAAACGTGGCTGGGTACATAGGTCTGGAACTTAACAAGAAGTTAAGGCCTGAAATCAGAGTATGTAAGCAACATTGATCCCCAAACTCATCTGACCACTAAACTCTTTGTCTAAAACGAAAAAGTTGTAGGAAAAGTTTATAATTCTCTCCTACTGGGAAAATTTGGAAGCTTTATCAGTGTCTCTTTTCTTCCCCATTTTTTTCAATAGTCACTGGAAAAAACAAGGAAGAAGGCAGAGCAGGAGCTCCTACCTGAATCTTCTCCATAGTCTATTATTTTACCAGAGATTTTTATCCATTTGCTTGAAAACAGGTGGGAATATCACTCAGAAGGATAGATTTTATCTAGTTAATACAAAAAATATTTTATGATTCATCCTGTTTTTTTATTCCCTACTTTTCATAAGTTTGTGAATCTCATTGCCAGTGACTTGGTTTTTTCTCAGGTTGTTTTTTTCTTTTTTTGAGATAGAGTCTAGCTCTGTCACCCAGGCTGGAGTGCAATGGCGCGATCTCAGTTCACTGGGACCTCCGCCTCCCAGGTTCAAGCCATTCTCCTGCTTAGCCTCCTGAGTAGCTGGGACTACAGGCGCATGCCGCCACGCCCAGGCTAATTTTTTGTACTAATTTTAGTAGAGATGGGGTTTCACCGTGTTTAGCAGAGATGGGGTTTCACTGTGTTGAGGGGTGTTGAGGACTACCGTGTTGCCCAGGCTGGTCTTGAACTCCTGAGCTCAGGCAATCCACCCACCTCAGCCTCCCAAAGTGTTAGGATTACAGGCGTGAGCCACCACGCCTGGCCATGTTCTCGGTTTTGATGTATAATTTGGATTAAAGAGAGAAAAGGGAAGAAATTATGATTGTACCATATTTTGTCTTGTGATATTTTCAATAATCAAAACAATTTAGCTGTCATGTGAAGAATTCTGTCATCAAGCAGGCAAAAATCAATCCACAAAGAATGATAAGGGCAATGTTTATCCTGCGAAGCAACAGGCTGCTAAAATATTGCTTTCATTTCTCTCTAACGGCAGCAATCCTACAGAAAAAAATATCACATCATTTATTCTTGGTGTGATGTAAGTTTTTTTTAGGGTCTTGCGGCGGGAGGGGGGAGGCGGTAACATTGCACAATTTTTTAAAGTAATACTTTTAAAAGGGAATTTCCATAACAACCCTGTAATTATTAAGTGGAAATGGCTTCATTGCTAGACAGGAAGGCCTATCCCAGCCAAAAAAAAAAAAAACCCTCAGTAGATTTCCGTTTGAAAATTACTCTTGAGAATCTAAAGTAGTAAAAATAAGTAAAGATTATTCTAGTTCATGCAGCTAGAGGCTTCTCCCCCTCATTTTTTAGCATGAATGCCACTTTCTTTTAGAAAGATAGATTGTACAAACCAGCTCTCCTTCTGTGATGCGCTTAGTATGGATGAAGATACAAAGGAAAGGTGAATCTTTATCATCCTTCAAACTTTCATTGAATTGTCAAAATTAGGAGCATTTGCTCTTTTTTTTTTCTCTCACTAGATTTCTTCTGTTTTGGGGAATTCCTATAATTGTGCTCTCCCCACCCCCACCCCCACCACCCACAGTGACTCAGGATCATATTATAAAGGTTACAGTTGAGACAATTTTAACAGACTCGGGTTGAATTTGAGGGTACTTAGTCATCATAGCTTCTAGTATATTTGATTACTCCCTAAAAGGCCTACTTGGCAAGTGCACGTTGTCTAAACTCGGCTGGCACATTCAGGGAAAAAATAAAGTAAAATAAAACCTGCTGGACTGATCTTGAAGAAAGGTCTCATATCAAGGAGGGATGGTAAATCACATAGGCCAAGTTATTTCTTAATCAGTAAGAAAAAGACAAATGATAGAGCAGAAAAAGAAGTCTTTGGACTACAGTCATGACTGATAAAAGCATGATCTTTCCTTTCTGATTCTTTACATGAATGTGCAAGTCAAGGGCGTCAGGAATATAAAAACTCCTGAAAATTTGGCAAGGCTGTGTAGTAAACATTACTGGGAAGACTGCGCAACCCATGCATCACCAACTGCCTTCTCTGAAAATTGCCCCACCCATAGCCATGCCTGAGACCTGATCATAGAACATGATTATTATCCTATTCTGCCTGTGGAGGATCAGGATTTATAGCTGACATAGCCTGATCCACAGTGACTTTTCCAGGCCAGGGGCTGGAATTGGGATCCAGCCCTGGCCACCAGCCCTAGGAAAGTAATACACAGCAGAAAAGCTAGTCTGTAGAGAGAGAAGAGAAGAGCTATGGAGAGGTACAAAAACAAAAGACTATGAAATGGCTTGAACAACAAGGTAAATAGTGGTTTAATTAGTTGGACAAGGCTAGGATAGTTAAAAGTCCTTTTCCATACATGTGACAACCATTTTAATTAAACATACAAAGGGAGATGTGGATTAGACATCTGAAACCAGCGGAGATGTCAGGATGGAAGACAGAAATTTTAGACTCATCAGCATAGAGATCGTTTTTAAATTCATGGGGTTGGATGAGGTCAACAATGAATAGAAAATGGATAGAGAACAGAGACTGAAGCAAATCCAAAATGCTGTAGCATTTGGCAATTGAGTAAAGAAGTAAAAATTAGCAAAGGAGAACAAGCAGGAACAGCAAGAGAGGTAGAAAGGAAATCAGTTGAGTGTGATATCACAGAAGCCGAGAGAGTAGTGTTTCTAGAAGGAGTGATCAAATCAGCTCAATCTTACAAAAACAATTAAGATAAAAATATTAACACTTCTTGGAACTATTTGTATTTAGTTTTTCTTATCAAATGAATGTTATTTATACTGATTTTGACTGATATTAAGGTTTCATATCTAAAATAAAAATATAAGTCAAAAACTTTTTAAATGCCTCAGACAGACCCAATTGGCTTTAGTTAAGAAAAAAATTGGTTCAAGCCAGGTGCAGTGGCTCATGCCTGTAATCCCAGAACTTTGGGAGACCAAGACAGGTGGATCGCTTGAGCCCAAGAGTTTGAGACCAGCTTGGGCAAAACAGCCAAACCCCATTTCTATAAAAATATAAAAATTAGCTGGATGTGGTGACTTGCACCTGTAGTTCCAGCTACTTGGGAGGCTGAGGTGGGAAGATTGGTTGTGCCTGGGAGGTGGAGGTTGCAGTGAACCGAGATTGTGCAACTGCACACTTCAGCCTAGGCGACAGAGACAGACGCTGTCTCAAAAAAAAGAAGAAGGAAGGAAGAAAAAAGGAAAAGAGGGACGGAGGGAGGGAGGAAGGGAGGGAGGGAAGGGAGAAAAAGAAAAAAGCGGCTGGGCAAATGGTTCATTCCTGTAATCCCAGCATTTTGGGAGGCCAAGGCAGGAGGATTGCTTGAGGCCAGGACTTTGAGACCACCCTGGGCAATACAAACATCCTGTCTTATGCCTAGTGGATGTGTCTGTGTGGACGTGCACACACATTGGCTGATGAACCCCCCTTCCTGTTTTACAAACAGGCTCTACAAACAGACAAAATATATTTACAAAAAAGATACATCCATCTATACACACACATATATTAGCTGTCTATACAGCTATCTCTACAAACAGACAAAATATATTTACAAAAAAGATACATCCATCTATACACACACATATATTAGCTGTCTATACAGCTGTCTCTACAAACAGACAAAATATATTTACAAAAAAGATACATCCATCTATACACACACATATATTAGCTGGGTAGCCAGGTGTGGTGGTGCGTGCTTATAGATCTAGTTACTTGGAAGGCTGAGGCAGGAGGATCACTTGAGCCACAGAGTTTGAGTTTTCAGTGAGCTATGATTGTACCATGGCACTCCAGCCTGGTACGGGGTGACAAAGCGAGACCCCATATCAAAAAGAAAAAGAAGAAAACAAACAAACGAAAGGGTAGGAGCAGGTTGTTTTACAACAGTTTTTTGTAATAACTAAAATTGGTAGGTGTAGATTAGTCTAGGTGTGAGATTCTAAAAAGAAATGTCATCATGAATGTTTTCTGAGA
This sequence comes from Homo sapiens, assembly GCF_000001405.40. Lineage (NCBI taxonomy): Eukaryota > Metazoa > Chordata > Mammalia > Primates > Hominidae > Homo > Homo sapiens. The sequence goes on along the minus strand of NC_000007.14, from coordinate 12,717,323 downwards.
GTCACTTTGAAGAAGAGTTAGGATATTGTTTGATGGATGATAATGAATGTCCATTCCAGGGAGGGGGTCTGAATGCAAAAAGGAAGACTTAAAAGAGGTCTGCACAGCTGGAGCAAAAATGATCCCCAAATAATTTTATGAAAACTGTTGCAAAGCAATAAAAGAGGCAATGGTGATTGTGCCAAGCGTATGCGGGAGAGAGCTTGTTGGGCCAGTGGAGAGAGGTGCTTACTTGTCCGGTAATATTTATCAGCACTTCCCCTACACCATCTAAATAAAAACAACGTGCTTCCTAAGTCAGCACTTCAAAGCAAGTCTTCTGACCCCCTAGTTTGACCAGACTGGCCTCCAAGCCCTACTTTATGCTAAGGCTGCTGTAATTAATGGGCCACGTTTCTTAGCAGATGCAATCTTGAACTCTGGAGACTACCAGATCTTGCTAGAAGCTCTGTTCTCCCCATTATTAACAGTGTGGCCATGTCTAGAGATTTAACATCTCTAAGCCTCTCTTCCCTCATTAGTGAAAAGAGGATTACAGAAGTGACTTCATAAAGTGATGCTGAGAATAAAATGAGAAAATGAGCATAGCATTTAGTATAGTGCATGTAATCACCATTCAGTAAAAGGCAGTTATTTATAGTTATTTGAATTCAAAATGTAATAATTATGTAAGATGCATTTGAGTCTGTAACAGGGTTTGAGGAGAACAGGAATACAATTAAAATCTCATGAAGATGATTGCTCCCAGGCTGGAAGGCAGGGGACTTACGCTGCCAACTGAAGCTCAGTGTCCAAATTCAGCCGTCCTTCCGCTACACCACTTCTTTCCTACAGCTGCCTGTGCACCAATGGTCATTTACTGACCGTATATATGTGTGTGTGTGTGTGTGCGTGTGTGTGTGCTATACATGGATGTGTGGGGTTTGTTTTGTTTTTAAAAAAAAAGAAAGAGTAGGTAGGTGTATGCGCCCCTGTGGTTCCAGCTACTTGGGAGGCTGAGGCAAGGGGATGGTTTGGAGACCGGAGTTTGAGCCAGCCTGGGCAACATAGTGAGGCCCCCTGTCTAAAATAAATAAATGAAACATAAAAAATAAATGAATAGATTTTTTCTAAATCAAAAAGCATTATTCCATTTTTTTCTCACTGTCATTGAAATTTTTTTTGGTAATAAATGGATTTCTGAGCCTGTTTTAAATGACAGGGTCTGTTGTTCAAAGCCCCACTAGCACGGTAAGCCATTAAACCAGCAGTTGTGAAGCTGCATTATAACACAGGGACAGTCACTCAGCTCAACACTTTACATTACAATAGGCAAGCCTCTGTGAGGCAGCTTTGAAATCCCAGAACTGTGGTCAAACTACGGACCTCCTGGAAGGACAAAGTGTTCTGTTTGTGTAGCACAAGGGTGTGGCTTTTGTAGCTAGTAAAATAATCTGAACACAAAGGCCTCCAGATCCTGCAGAGCACTCTGCAGTGAACTGACTCAGCGGAAAGCGGTGGGAAAGGAAGCTGGTTCTTAGATTTCAGAACCCTCCAAAGCTACACCCACCTCGCTTAGTTCTGACCCTGTGCAACAGGAAGGGGGTTTCATCAGCCAATGTGTGTGCACGCCCACGCAGACATATCCACTAGGCAGAAGACAGGATGAGAAACGCGGTGGGAAGGAACTCTAGTGGAGCCCAGTGCCGTCTCTTTGCAGCCTCTTGCCAAACTCCTGCTTTTTCTTCCTTTCACTGATGCAAAACCTAGTTGCTCTCATGGATTGAGGGAGGGAAGCCCTCTTATGATGTGGAGCCACTTTTAGCAACTGCTCTGAAAGAGGCTGCAAAATCAAACATCCCAGTTAGCATTGGGTGGATTGCTGAATATTGTGAAATAATCATAGAAGCTTTGATTGTCGATGTCCACTGGAGATCTGTGTGCCGGGAGCAAAATATTGGTATGTTACACATTTCATGTACGCAAATTAATTGGACAGTTAAAATCTATCAAAGGCGTCAATGGTAGGCTTTTTCTGTTTCTATTCACACACAGCCCCCACTGCCACCACCAATTTAGGCTTCATCTCAATAAACAGAATACATGTTTAGAAACTTATATAATTTAAAACCCTCTGATCCCTGAAAATTAAGAAAAAGGGGTCTGAATTTTTCATAATCAGTCCATATTGAATAGATTCCCCTCCTAATTGCTCAATTTTAATTTCATCAGATCATTTTGCCTAAAGACCACTTAGCCACCATCACCAAAAAAATGTGTAAACTTCTTGTGAAAAAGACTATACATATCAATGATCTGTGGAACTTAAATTCCAAGGAAACACATATTCAGAAAAAAAAATCATTCACTAGGATAAACCAGAAACACTATATTGATTTACCTTTCCTGAAACTACTAAAAAGTCCAGTAACTTAAGAACACATTTTTAAAATTTAATTCATTAAATTACATATAATACATTTCCAAAAAAGTTCAAAATATGCATGGACAGTTAGCAGAAGCTTTATTGTGAGATTTTTGCGAAAAAAAATTTATAAAGTTAACCCCAAAGCAACCTAATATGTTGATAGTCTCCTGCAAATTAAAATTCAATACACTATTGAATATTTTTATTATAGTTTTGAAAACAAAAGGTTAAAATACCTATAATTGGTAAAATATATGACTTCCCTTCCCTTCACCAAGATTACTAAATGTAATAGAGTGGGTTTTGTGTATGTGTGTTTGTGTGTGTGGTTTTTGTTGGACAGCGATTTATTTCAAAGCTTTTCTTTGTATAACTAGATTACATGACTCCTTTTCTAAATGTTCTGAAGGGCACAATTGGGAGCAGTAAAAGATAAACTGCACTGTCTATAATTATGTGATAATAGAACTCCAAGAAAGGTGAAGTTTCTTACAAAGTATATGGGAGTTAGAGAATATTTCTATCTACAATGTACTGTCCTTGAGAATGAACATTTGTCTTTGGAAGATGTGTATTCACCCAAACAGTGTGTACTGAATATGTAGTATACACTAGGCAGTGTTTTAGGTTCTAGGAATACAGTGGGGAACAAGGCAGAAAACTTTCCTACTCTCTTGGACCCCATAGCCCAGTGAAGGAAGACAAACATTAAACACATAAACAACTAAGTAAACAAGAAAATATCAAGTCATGGTAAGTGCAAGGAGAAAATTACAACAGAATGTAATTTTACTTAGCAAATAAAAATGCAGGAGACTGATTTATATGTGTGTGTGTGTGTGGATGTGGAAGGATGGCTGGATGGATAGATAAGAGAGTTCAGGAGAGAGAGACACACACATCAGGACACACTACCCCAAAATATGGCACCTTGGCATATTGAATATTTTAAGCTGAAGGAATTTGAGAAAATAGCATAAGCAGGAAGGTCTCTGTGAAGTTCCGCCTCCCTTCTCCCCTGAAGCAGATCATAAAACCTAGGAAGCATGTTCTGACCTTCCCTTGAAGCAGTGCATAAGATCCTTATGTGAGAGGTGCTTCCCTATTCCTGGAGGAAAGGAATATCCTTATCTCCAAGGACACAGAGTCACAGAGAGTAATCTGAACAAATAAGCCTTGACAAGTTTCTCCCAGCTCATTACATGTAGCTCATATCCCCTTTGTCCTATCATATTTCTCCATGACTTTCCACTCTTCATCAAACCTACTATGGAAAAACACTCAAGTTTAAAACTGTTTATTGAGTTTTCATTTCCTTCTGAAGGTTCCCTTGTCACGGAAAACTGATATTAAATAAATGTGTATGCTTTTTGCTTGTTAGTCTTTCGTTTGATACAGGGGTCTCGAGCACTGAACCTAAAATAAGTAGAGTAAAACTATTTTTTCTCCCCTACAATACACACACACTCTTAATGCTGCTAGGACCGTGGTTCCCAATCATGATACCGTGAACCCACAGGAGTGTTATAGTGTTTTTAAATTTTTAGGGGAACACAGAAATATCAGTCAGACACTACACAAACTGCTACTACTAAATTTGGGCCTAACTACTTAATAAACGAATGAGGTATTCCTATTTTCCTAGAGTCACCATGAAAAAATTACCAGATATTAAGGGTGGAATGAACTAGGAACATTTGAGAATCTTTGTGCTAGGAACATCTTTAATGGCTATGTGTGTACATAAGAATGGCTTTGTTGCATTGTTTTTAAATTAAATTGAAACCATATTAAAAAGAAATACTTTCAATCTGTTTTTCTTTCTTCAAAACAAATTTTACAAACTTACTCTAAGCAAATCCTCAACTAGATTTTCATATTTCAGTTTAGCATTTATATTTACTGCCATTGTGACTTGGAACATATCATATTACTTTTATGCCTCAAATTTTTATATTTTAAAAGACCTATATTTATTATGATTGCAGATATTGTAACTTAAAATATAATGATTTTAGATATTTGTTGGCAAAAATACAGAATATGTTATGTTTCTTGATCTTTGTGTTACAAAAGTTTAAATGAATAAACTAATGTACAACTTATAATTTTATTTCTGCCATGTAATATTTATACCAGTAAAGTTTAGCAAATGATAAACAAAATTTCAATAAGCTTACGAAATTGCTGAATTTCAAAATGAAAGTCTATTGTCATTTCATTTCACCTGCTGGGAGACAGACACACTAGGTTTTCCAAGGAAGATAAGAACATACTGGAAGATTGCTGTGAAAAATTTAAAAGAAAAGGTACCAACTCCATGTCCTCTGTCAGACTTTATAGTTTTAACTGTACATTACCAAACATTTAAGAGTCAACAGAATTCAATTACTTGCCAAATCCTTATACAATGTCATTAGCTAACAAATCTGAGGACAAAGGTCTCCCTAACCATGTTACAGGATGTTCCTCCAGTGGTTTCGATAGTTTGCTAATTATCTACATTACACAAGAGTCATGAGCATTACAGAGGCAAGTCTAGCCTGCTATGCTTTATTACTGCTATAATTACTGCTGTCGTTTTCTCAAGTACTTTCAGTAAATGCTTGTCAAATGACAACTTTAGCTGGAAAATTAATCATTATTTTAAAATCAATTGTTATTGTGAGCCTTAATATTTCTATCACTAAATGCAAAATAATACTTATTACCTTTTTTCCTGAGACTGTGTAATAAGGGTAGTATTATAATTTGCTGAATTTTATGCTTGATAGTATCATTGTGAAAATATTTTTCTTACTAATAACAATCCAGAACGGAAACACTCAGAAGAGTATTTTCCTTTAACAACTTTGAAAACAAATTTTCAAAAATTTTTATCTACTCACACGACATTTACCTTTTTTATCAGTTGTGAGTGAAACCAACAGGAATAAAATGAAGGCCTTAAAAGAATGAACAGGCCGGGTGCGGTGGCTCACGCCTGTAATCCCAGCACTTTGGGAAGCCGAGACGGGCAGATCACGAGGTCAGGAGATTGAGACCATCCTGGCTAACACGGTGAAACCCCATCTCTACTAAAAAATATACAAAAAAATTAGCCGGGCGTGGCGGCGGGTGCCTGTAGTCCCAGCTACTCGGGAGGCTGAGGCGGGAGCATGGCGTGAACCCGTGAGGCGGAGCTTGCAGTGAGCCGAGATCGCGCGGCTGCACTCCCGCCTGGGCCACAGAGCGAGACTCCGCCTCCAAAAAAAAAAATTAGCCGGGCGTGATGGCGGGCGCCTGTAGTCCCAGCTACTCGTGAGGCTGAGGCAGGAGAATGGCGTGAACCCGGGAGGCGGAGCTTGCAGTGAGCCGAGATCGCGCCACTGCACTCCAGCCTGGGTGACAGAGCGAGACTCTGTCTCAAAAAAAAAAAAAAAAAAAGAGAATGAACAAGGTGGTTGTGCTTGACTTGGTGACTCTCTGGTTTTAAAAGTAGCAGTGAAGAAACCATCTAGATTCAAAGTAAGTAATGATGAGTAATTCTACCTACACTAAGATAGGAGTCCAAGACGTTGACTGAGGCAGAATTTCTAGATACATAGAAACGAGCAGAAACCTAGAGACAAAGGGACTGCCAAGCTGAAGTCGTTCGTGTGGCTATTCAAACATTTTGAGTTTACATGAATTGCCTATGAACTCTGTGAACTTCTAAGCCATAAGAAAAGTGTCGGCCGGGCCGGGTGACTGACGTCTGTAATCCCAGCACTGTGGGAGGCCGAGGCAGGTGGATCACCTGCGGTCAGGAGTTCTAGACCAGCCTGGCCAACATGGCAAAAACCAGCCTCTACTAAAAATACAAAAATTAGCTGGGCGTGGTGGCTGTAATCCCAGCTACTTGGAAGGCTGAGGCAGGAGAATTGCTTGAACCCGGGAGGCAGAGGTTGCAGTGAGCCGGGATCATACCACGGTACTCCAGCCTGGGCGACAAGAGCGAAACTCTGTCTCAAAAAAAAAAAAAAAAAGAAAAGAAAAGTGTTACTGTGCTGTGTCCAAGATATAATCATAATGAGCCCTTCATGCAAACTGCATCCTGTTACAACCAGCTTTCAATAGGCCTGAAATGCTTGTCAAGATGTGACCCATTATCCATGTCCCATATCAAATATACACAGATGATTTCAGTAGTAATACTACTACTTAGTTTAAGAAGTATTTTTATATTATAAAATATATAATTGGGGTAGTGGTATGTTTTAATATTTAAATAATTGTCCATTTCTATAAGGCATAGAGAAATGTAGCTTTAGTGGATTTTGTATTACATGACTATTCCCTTTTTTATCATCTCAAAGCATATTTTTTCTTTCTAAATTGATTTTCTTTGAAAATTGAACATATCAAGTTTTAGAAGGCCAGTACTGAGAAGGCATAATGGCTTCCTGAGCTAGAATCTGAGACTCAGTTATTACAACAGAGAATCTATTTATCTCTCTGATGATTTAGGGCAGAAAACAGGTTGAGAATCAGTAGTCTGGATTTATTTATTCTATTTGCACAATGTAATACTGAACCAATTTCTCCAAGTGCCTAACTTCCTTTCTTGGAAGTTATGGAGCAATAACTTTTAATTGGAGAGTGATAAAACCAACCCACATTCCACATTGTTGAGATGCTTAACTAATAAGCATGTTTTAAAGGCACTTACACAATGGAGAGCCCTTTAACCAAAAAAATAAAAATTGATTTGCCTACTAAGTCCATTAACTGTACATAATGACACAATTTATTTGCACAAGAATTTTAGAATATTGGCAGTATTGGGTAATATAAAGATTTTGAATAGTGGCTTTAAAAGCCACCAAAAAATACAGTACTAAAAAAATTATATGGTATTAAATATAATAAAATTCCGTTCCATTGCAAAGTCAGAGGTTATATGCAAAATATGCGAAAGGCTCCCAACCTGAGGGCTGGAAAAAAACAGGGCACCAGGCCTATAAGGAATAGTTGTGTTTCCTGTTGCTCAGTAACTGTCCTGACCATGAAGAGAGATTTCACTGTGTCTAATTTTTTCTGGTCCTCTATAGGATGACTAAAGCAGAAGAAAAGAGTTAAGAAAAAGCCAGAATTCAGAAGACCAACTAGAAATTAACCTTTAGCATGTGGATCATTACTCTTAATGAAGAGAAATCATTCTGCTGCTTATGCAAAATCTATTGGTCTCTTCTGTGTTATAGTGTAGCTCAGTTTCTTCCTGAAACTCTTTGTATTCCTCTACGATAACTCTTCTACTATTATAGGAATTATTAATATTTTAACCTGTCTGCTTGTTTTATCATATCTGAACTCTGCAGACTTTGTCTCATTCACCTTTGTATGCCTAATGCTTGTTAATGTGTGAATATATAAAGACAAAATATTAGGATGTATTTTCAAGATTTTTTTTTTTTTTTGACACAGTCTTGCTGTGTTGCCAAGGCTGGAGTGCAGTGGCACGATTTCGGCTCACAGCAGCCTCTGCCTCCTGGGTTCAAGCAGTTCTCGTGGCTTACCCTCCTGAATAGCTGAGATTACAGGCGTGTGCCAACATGCCCGGCTAATTTTTGTATTTTTAGTAGAGACAGGGTTTTACCATGTTGGCCAGGCTGGTCTCGAGCTTCTGACCTCAAGTGATCCACCCGCCTTGGCCTCCCAAAGTGCTAGGATTATAGGCGTGAGCCACCATGCCCGGCCTATTTTCATGATCTTAAAAAACTAAGAATAAACTCGATTCCCAGAACCTTACTTCTATACATATAAAACATGCAAAAATCTACCTTTAAATTTTAATTTAGATTTCAAAATGTGTTATTCTCTTTCTTTCTTCCTCCTCTTTCATTCCACCCTTTACTTTGTCCTTTACTTACTATTCGTTGAAAAAGCAATTAGGTAGGAAGTCAGTCTAGCAAGCTTGGTAGATTAACTACATATGGGGGGATTGAGCAATTAATACAGTAAGATAATGGAAGCCGTCATCATCTTACTGTCAGAGAAGGAATATATGAATATGACAAGGAATAAAACTATAATAAAGTCTGTGGTGACAGGAAATAGGAATTGGAGGTGTTGGTGTGTACTCATAAATAAGTATATTTGTGTATATATAAATATATAGGTAGGTAGATACACATACACACACATGCACACATACAAATATGTGAGGGAGAGAAAAAGAGAGGAGGAAATAGAGCAATAGCAATATGCATGTATAGAAATTATTTTTCCACTGAGGAAGGCCTAGAAGGAGCAGTATCCTTTTAGCATATCAAGTACTCAGATCTTGATTTCTAAATGCCACTCTACTGAAAGAAACAGGGCTTCTTGGAGGAATGGCTGATCTCAGGACTGGGACAAGGAAAGAACAAATGAACATAAATCATCTGATTGTGCCAGGAAGTAATGAAGTGCTGAAAGAATAATGAGAACATGTCAAAAGTACACAGAAGCCAACCTGGAAAAGGGCTTACTCCTACTGGTCAAATCTATTTTTATTTATTTATTTTTATTTTTATTTTTTTTGAGCATCAAAAGAAATGATGATAGTACTGAATTATAGTACATTGAATAAAATAGGAATTCATGAGTCCTCTATGATAAAGATAAATAAATGGGGAGTTTAATACTAAATAATGTAGAAGGAGTGAAAGCATTAGAAAATCAACATTTTTCAACCAATATAGCAATAATCAGGCAAGACATAGCAATGAATGCTAAAACTAATGGGTAAAAGTAGGTGGAGGAACAGAATTTTACAGTCTCAAAATTTCTCCCCACAAAGTAATTACTCATTCCAAAATGTATAAAAACATTGTACCTTTACAATAGAGAAGCCTCACAGAAGCCACCTTATTTAAACGATCAAAGTTAACATCACTAGTAATGGGAAACATTGACACCATGTGCCACATGATAGGATGCAAGGAAAGTAGCAAAGCGTCACTTCTGTGAAATTTTGTCAAAAAAATGCATTACCTGAAAATAATTACGAGGAAACATTAGATAAACCCAAATTCAGGGACAGTTTCCAAAACAACTGACTTATAATTTTCAAATATGACATGGCCATGAAAGGAAAGAGGAAGAAACTGTTCCAATATGAGACAACCAGATACCATACTAATTCTGGACTACATCCCTTTACCATAAAGGACATTATTAAAACAACTGGCCAACCCTGGATGAGGTCTCTGCATGAAGGGTATACATACCTTTTTTTGTATGATTCTTTCAACTTTTCTTCAATTTTCAAATTGTTCCAAAATTGAAAGTGGAAAAAAAAAATGTTTAAAGTGCCAGTCCTTGACTCTGACTTGGATGATTAAATATCCTAATAGTCAATTTCATATAAAAAATAACTTGATACATTTGTATAACCAAGTTCAAACATTGTGAACATTGTGAACACACAGTAAGTGGTGACTCACAAAATGCCTCACCAGTGAATTACCAGTAACATTAGCAGTAGTACTTAACATTCATGTAGCACCCACATTATTGTACATAATACAGCAAAGTAATGGCTCCCTCAAGGAGCTGCTTTTCTAAGAAACAAAAGCTAGTGTGTGTGTGTGTGTGTGTGTGTGTGTGTGTATCCAAATACAATGTTTTCAAAGAAATGTAGACCATGGGTCAGATGTCACAAAGACAGTTGACTCAGACTATTCCTCTCCCTTTTATTTCAGGTTTAAGGAGGCACAAATCCAGGTGTTCCCACATTACCAAATTACTACTCTGTAGTTTGAAAGGAATGACAATGACATCCTGTTTCTGGTCATGGCTAATTTAGTATACACTGCACCTGTAAAACTCCAGGCCATCAACATTTCAGGAAGGCTATGTAATCAAAGTGGTGACACTTACTACTGAGAATTATTGGTGACTTCCAGAGTACAGCACAAGCCCTCTCTCCACCTGACTTTCAATTACAACAGAGGGTCAGAAGAGTCCAATAAAGGCAGAACCTGAAGATGTCTGTGGCTGCCTGCTGCTCCTCCTGCAAATCAGAGCTCCCTGAACATTCCTCTGTGTAGCCAAGAGGCAAAATTTTAGCTCTGCCTCCTGAAAAATCTCTTTGATCCTCCCACATTTACTTACGACAAAATCCACCCTTCCCTCTTCCAACAGAGTTTTAACATTTGCTTATCCATTTCTATCAATTATTACGCAGACCACAGACTGCCATATACAGAATTGGTATAGATACGAAAAATATCATATGCGGAGTGAGCGTTAGCTCATTCAAACTTCTGAAGAATTACTGAAAATGACATTACTTGACAGAATGTCAGAAATTTCATATGTGTTCTGTACAAACCTCAGACAAAATTTTATTGGTAATCTAATAATAAGAATAATATTGGATGATTACTAAGGGTAGGGCAAGATTCTAACTACTTAACATGTATTGATTCTTGTAATCCTCATGACAACTCTAAAGGGGTATATTATTGTTATCCATTTAATAGTTGAGAATAGCATGGCTCAGAGAGGCTAAATAACCTGTCCAAAGTTATATAGCTGATAAATGGCAAAACCAGCATTTTTACCCAGGCAGCCTGGTTCCAGAACCCAAGTCTTAATAATATCACACTTTCTCTCTCTTCGAGAGCTCTTACATGTCATCCCATCACACTTTTAGTCTAACTTTTTCTATTCTATCCATCGGATCTGAAATCACAGCATTTCAAATTTAAGAAATTAAAAATAATCATTCCAAGATACATAAGTGATTCATTATATTCCAAAATATGTTAGCTAGATAAAAATGATATCAAGAAGGCTGGGCACAGTGACTCATGCCTGTAATCCCAGCATGTTGGGAGGCCGAGGTGGGAAGATTGCTTAAGTCCAGGAGCTTGAGACTAACCTGGACAACAGTGAGACTCTCGTCTCTACAAAAAATACAAAATTAGCCAGGCACGGTGGTGTGGGCCTGTAGTCCCAGCTGCTCAGGAAGCTGAGGCAGAAGGATCACTTGAGCCCAGGAGTTCAAGGCTGCAGTGAGTGGTGATCATGCCAATGCACTCCAGCCTGGGTGACACAGCAAGACCCTGTCTCAAAACAAAACAAAACAAAATTAAAAATTTTTTAAAAATCACCTGCAAATCATATCAAGAATTTAAAGTATACCTGAAATGGAAATTGACAATTTAATCTGATAAGTATAAATGGCAGATACTGAGGCTTAGATTAATGGGAAGAATATCAATAGCAATTTTATTCAAAACAAAAAACCCACCAAAGGCTCTGCTTCTCCTCACTCCCAATCCATGTCCATGCTTGTAGGGATACATGTATCTTAGTCTCTGGAGAAATCACTGCTTGAAATACTCAATGTTTCTAAAAACACTCAGAAATGATAACTATTGTAGTACCTAGTAAAGATTAAATTAAAGACTCTGTATACAACCACTATGGAAAACAGTTTGGATGTTCCCCAAACTAAAAATAGAACTACCATATGATCTAGCAATCCCACTGCTAGGGATATCAACATATTGAAGGAAATCAGTATATCGAAGGCATATCTGCACTCCCATGTTTGTTGCTGCACTGTTTACAAGAGCAAAAATTTGGAAGCAGTCTAAGTGTACATCAACAGATAAATGGATAAAGAAAATGTGTACATATACAAAATGGAGTACTAGTCAGCTATAAAAAAGAATGAGATTGGCCGGGTGTAGTGGTTCACACCTGTAATCCCAGCACTTTGGGAGGCCGAGGTGGGCAGATCACCTGAGGTCAGGAGTTCGAGACCAGTATGACCAAGATAGTGAAACCCTGTCTCTACTAAAAATACAAAAATTAGCCAGGCATGGTGACGGGCGCCTGTAATCCCAGCTACTTGGGAGGCTGAGGCAGGAGAATTGCTTGTACCCAAGAGGCGGAGGTTGCAGTGAGCCAAAATTGTGCCATTGCACTCCAGCCTGGGTGACAACAGTGGGAAAAAAAAAAAAAAAGAGATTTTGTCATTTGCAACAACATGGATGGAATTGGAAGTCATGTTAAATGAAATAAGTCAGACACAGAAAGACAAACTTCACATGTCTGCACTTATTTGTGGGAGCTAAAAATCAAAACAATTGAACCCATGGAGCTAGAGAGTAGAAGGATGGTTACCAAAGGATGAGAAGGGTAGTGGAGGGGTGGAGAGGAACTGGAGATGGTTAATGGGTACAAAATAAAAATAGATACAAAGAATGAATAAGACCTAGTATTCGATAGCACAACAGGGTCACTATAGTAAATAATAACTTAATTGTACATTTTAAAATAGCTAAAAGAGTATAATTGGATTGTTTGTAACACAGGGGATAAATGCTTAAGGGTATAGATATCCTATTTTCCATGATGTGATGATTATAATGCACTACATGGCTGTATCAGGGCATCTCACGTACTCCCATTAGTATATACACCTACTATGTACCCACAACAGTTTTTTAAAAAAAGAATCTGAAGTTTGGAAAAAAAAGCCTCTGATCTTTTAAAAATATATATTGATCAATGAATAAGGAATTACAAAGCACTAAATTATACCTTATACCCTCTTTTAAAAATAATATGATTACATATATGAAATCAATGTAAATGTTTATGTATAAATAGAAAGTATACATATTCTAGAATTTCATATTCTAGAATAGTATAAATAATGATACAGGCTAGTGTCAAACGTCTCTGAAAAGATAGTTGGAAACAAAACTGAAATGAATGTAGTAGCTAGGGATCAGCTGTGCTTTACTTCATGTTCTTTGTTTGGAAAGAAATTAGTTCTTTCTGGAACCTTGGTCTATATTGAGTCATGCTGGGGCTTTTCTTGGCTCAAGGCTTCACTTTTTATTATTATCTGTTAGCAACCACATCTGGAAAGATTGCCTTTTTTTTCACCCCTAACATGGTAGCTTTTCATAGTTTCCTCATGCGTTACAGATCTATTATAGAAGAATGATGGAACTAATATATAGGTGAAAGAAAGAATATGCACTTTCTCATGCTGTTTTGGCTAAATATCTCTATAGTCTTATTTACCCATATCCAGGACTTTTTTTTTTTTTTTTTTTTTTTTTTTGGAGACAGTGTCTTGTTGTATGGCCCAGGCTGGAGTGCAGTGGCACAATGGCACAACCTTGGCTCATTGTAACCTCCGCCTCCAGAACTCAAGCAATTCTCCTGCCTCAGCCTCCCAGCTAATTTTTATATTTTTAGTAGAGATGGAGTTTCGCCATGTTGGCCAGGCTGGTCTGAAACTCCTGACCCCAGGTGACCCACTCGCCTCAGCCTCCCAAATTGCTGGGATTACAGGCGTGTGCCACCACGCCCAGCCCAGGACTTTTTATTTATGGGATTTTAAATCCCTGAATCTCTAATTGAAAAAAAGAAAATACAAAAAAAAAAAAAAAAAAAAAAAAAAACTCAGATGTTCACAGAGAAGGGTTTCCTCCTGGATGGCCTCATTCCCAGTATGGTTTCTGCCATTCTGAAAGCACCAGTCACTTGGTTTGAAAACTCTTTACTCAACTTCAGCTCAAGCAACTTTGACATCAATGAGCACAAACGATAAAAGTTTTAACTTTTTATTATTACTTAAATTTTAAGTATTTTTTTAGCAGCAAAAGAATATAAATGCTGCTTCATTTAAAGAAAATATAATTTGAATGCATATCTACAATATGAAATAATTGATATAAGTTCTAAAATTAAAGAGATCCAGATTCAACAGGTAGCTCTGCCTTAACTGTGTAACTTTCAGCAAGTTAATTAATGATCTTAAGTTGATTTGCTTTTCTGTGTGACTAATAGTGCTACTTTAAAAATCCCATCGCTTTTTCTTTTTTGAGACAGACTCTCTCAGTTGCCCAAGCTGGTGGTAGTGGCATGATCTTAGCTCACTGCAACCTTTGCCTCACCCATTCAAGCAAATCTCATGCCTCAGCCACCCAAATACCTGAAATTACAGGTGTGTGCCACCACAGCCAGCTAACTTTTGTATTTTTAGTAGAGATGGGGTTTCTCCATGTTGCCCAGGCTGCTCTCGAACTCCTGACTTCTAGTGACCCACCTGCCTTGTCCTCCTAAAATGCTGGGATTACAAGCATGAGTCACCACACCTGGCCTTCATAGCTATTTTTAATTTGCAAATCCAGACATAAAAGAAATCAAATCTCTGGATAAAGAATCTAACATCGATATGTTAGATGGCTTTCAGGAGACCAAGAAAGTGAGATAAAAACAATAATCCGGCCGGGTGTAGTGGCTCATGCCTGTAATCCCAGCACTTTGGGAGGCCAAGGCAGGCTGATCACAAGGTCAGGAATTCAAGACCAGCCTAACCAACATGGTGAAACCCCGCCTCTACTAAAAATACAAAAATTAGCCGAGGGTGGTGGTGCACACCTGTAATCCCAGCTACTCAGGAGGCTGAGGCAGGAGAATTGCCGGAACCTGGGAGGCGGAGGTTGCAGTGAGCCGAGATCATGCCACTGCCCTTCAGCCTGGGTGACAGAGCGAGACTCAGTCTCAAAAACAAAAAACCAAAAAACAATAATCCAAGTTAGTGACTTAGATAGAGTTTAGACCAGGATGATAACAACAGAAATGTAGGTAAAAGAAAGCTTTGGGGACATTTTAAGGAAAGATATGACGAAACAACTAATTAAGTTCATTTTAAAATGGAAATCAGGTTATGTCAATTCTTTACTTAAAACTTTTTAGTATCTTCCTACTGTTTTTAGAATAAAATTTATTTTTTACTGTTTCAGAACAATCTTCCAGCTGAGAGAACTGGAAAAACTAGACAATTTTTGTTTTTTAACTGTTTGAAGGCATCAGAGAGCTACAAAGAAAGTGAAAATGTGGGGGAAAGATCTGAAATAAATCAAACCCACAGAGGTGATCTAACTCAACCCTTGCTGCCAGTAACAAAAATAAAATCTCTCTGGGGAAAGATAACACCCTACTGAGCCTCAAATCATAACTAAAATCCTACTGAGCCTCAAATCATAACTAAAATTTTTATTTACAATGTTTGGCAGTCAATCAGATAAAAAGAAGAAATGTAAAAGGGCAAAAGTTGATTAAAATAAGAGAGAGACCCATAGATACCTAGATGTTGATGTTATCTGACAGGTGCTTCAAGCCATGTATTCAAGAAGCTCTACAAAGCTCTAACAAAAGAGTACAAAGAAAACCATCCCTAGACACATAGTCCCACTGCAAAAGCTAAAAACAAAGAAAAATCTTATAAGCAACCAGAGAATAAACGACATACTACCTTCACAAGAGCAAAAATTAGACCAACAGCTGACCTCCCAACAAAAACAATGGAAACAAGAAGAAAATAGAATGACGTGTGATATTATGAGATATATATAAATAGATTTTATAATATCTATATATATGGGCTTTTGTCCATAGTTCCTGGCTTATAACTCCCATATCCCTTGTTACAGTCTTTAGTTATAATGTTGGGGCACTTAAAACCTCAGATAACAGGCCTCAGAAAACAGAATCTCTCTTACCTCCTGCCTCCTTTCATCTGCTCCTCCTCTTCCAAAGTCAGAAATCTTCCCTGCCTTTCTGTCTTAGAGCTGGCCATAAAGAAATTCTCTGACTTATGTGATTGTAGGTCATAAGACACCCATTTCAGAAGAGGTCCTGCCCCATTCCCTGGAGGAAAGAATGTAGCAGAGAGAGGACAAAAAGAATCTGAACAGATAGACCTTGCTGGGTTTTCCCACTCAGCCTATTAGTATTAGATCATACATTTTGTGTCTAATCACATTTCTACACAGCTGTCGATTTTGCCTATCCAGTGAAGCCTCCATAAAAGACACAAGAAGACTGGGTTTCAAGAGCTTCTGGATAGCTGAACACATTGGAGGCTCCTGGAGGCTGGTGGTCAGGAAGGGCATGGACACCCTGAACCTCTTCCCCTATACCTTGCCCTGTGAATTTCTTCACCTACATCCTTTGTAATACCCTTTGTAATAAACCAGTAAATAACACTCTCAGCTATGTATAGTTACACCTGGCTTCACTTGTGTGACTTTTGCAATGGGAAGAGAGAGAGAAGGTCCCCTTGGTACCTCAGCTCGGCCTTATGGTGGCCTCTTTCCTTGAAGGGTGCAACAAAAGCAGGAGGAAAAAAAAAAAGCAAGGAAATAAACTTATATATTCAGTTTCCCTGAATTCTGCGAGCCACTCTAGCAAATTAATCAAACCCAAAGAGAGGGTGTGGAAACTCCACATTGAAGCTGGCAGGTCAGAAGTTCCACAGGCCCAGACTTGTGACTGATGAGGATCAGGGGCGGTCTTGGGCACTGAGCCCTCAACCTGTGTTTTTTTTTTCTTTTTGAGACAGAGTTTCACTCTTGTCGCCCAGGCTGGGGTGCCATGGTGCATCTCGGCTCACGGCAACCTCCGCCTCCCATGTTCAGGCAATTCTCCCGCCTCAGCCTCCTAAGTAGCTGGGACTACAGCCGCCTGCCACCGTGCCCAGCTAATTTTTGTATTTTTAGTAGAGATGGGGTTTCACCACATTGGCCAGGCTGGTCTTGAACCCTTGACCTCAGGTGATCCACCTGCCTCAGCCTCCCAAAGTCTTGGGATTACAGGTGTGAGCCACCGCACCTGGCTTCAACCTGTGGTCTTATGTGCAGGAAAATAGTGTGAGAATTGACTTGAATTGGAGGACACCTAGGTGGTTTGTGCTGCAGAATTGATGGCTTGCTTGCTTGCTGGTGAGGAGAAATCCCCACACATTTTGTCACAGAAATCTTCTGTCTGTGATTATTGTTGTTGAGAGGATAGCTCACTTTCTCAAAAATACTTTGAATTTCTTTCCCCACTCTCCTGACATACTTTGGCAGATTTTTTTTAGAAAATATATTAGAAAAATTTTTGGAGATTCGGAGCAAATTGAAAAACTCACAGATGAACTGCATCACCTAGAAAAGCAAAAAACTTTTAAAAAGGTATGTCATGAATGCATAAAATATATGTAGACATAGTCTATTTTATTATTTACCATCCTAAAATATACACATCTTTTATAAAAAGTTAAAATTTACCAAAACTTTCCCTCACACATTTACAGACCATACATGACACCACTTGCTGTTGACAGAAATGTAAACAAAAATAAAGATGCCGTATTCAATCATAATTGCATAAAATTCACTGTAGTACATATCTTACTACTGTAACAATTTCGTAGCCACCTGCTGTGGCTATTGCAGTAAGCTCAAGTGTTGTGAGTATCCACTTAAAATGTTGTGTCATGCTCACACCTGTAATCCCAGCACTCTGGGAGGCTGAGGTGGGTAGAGGCCAACAAGGGGAAATCCCATCTCTAGCAAAAAATGCAAAAATTAGCCGGGCATGGTGACGCACTCCTGGAATCCCAGCTACTTGGGAGGCGGAGGCATGAGAATCACCTGAAACTGGGAGGCGGAGGTTGCAGTGAGCCGAGACTGTACCACTACACTCCAGCCTGGGCGACAGTAAAACTCTGGCTCAAAAAAAAAAAAAAAAAGTCATGTCACGCTAATCACTACCGTGTGAGCAGTTGTCTCTCCAGTAAATTGCGTATTGCAGTAAAAAGTGATCCCTCACGGTTCTCACTTGTTTTTCACCATGTCTACTGCAATACCCTAAACCTTGAATAAGAAACATGGGAATCATATGAAGTGCCCCAAGTGGTGCTGGAAGAGCGCTCAAAAAGCAGAGAAAAGTTATGACATTAAAAGGAAAAGTTGAAAATCTGGATATATACCATAGATTGAGGTCTGAAGCTGTATTTCAGGCAGACTATTCGTCTTATAAACAGATGACATAACCTTACAGTATCAATCAATACAGTACAGTACTTATGTCATCTATTTTCTCTTCCTTATGATTTTCTCAATACCATTTTCTTTTCTCTAGCTTACTTTATTGTACGAATACAGCATATAATACAAATAACATACAAATTATGTGTTAATTTTCTTTTTGTTATCAGTAAGACTTCTGGCCAATGGTAGGCTATTAGTGGTTAAATTTTTAAGGCAGTGAGCGAGGTACGGTGGCTCACGCCTGTAATCCCAGCACTTTGGGAGGCCGAGGTGGGCGGATCACAAGGTCAGAAGTTCGAGATCAGTCTGGCCAACATGGTGAAACCTCGTCTCTACTAAAAATGCAAAAATTAGCTGGGCATGGTGGTGCCTGCCTGTAGTCTCAGCTACTCAGGAGGCTGAGGCAGGAGAATTGCTTGAACCCGGGAGGAGGAGGTTGCAGTGAGCCGAGATCACACCACTGTACTCTAGCCTGGGCGACAGAGCGAGACTCCATCTCAAAAAAAAAAAAAAAAAAAAAATTAAGGGAGTCAAAAGGTACACACAGATTTTCAACTGTGTAGGGGTCAGTGCTCCTAATGCCCTCCTTGTTCAAGAATCAACTGTACTAAAAGAAAATGAATGCCAACCTTGAAATTCTGTACACACAGAAAATATCACTTAAAAGTAAAACTAAATAAATCTTTTCAGAAACCAAAAAGGAAAGAATCTGTATTTAGAATCTGTACTGAGAAAATACTAAAGTAAGTTCTTCAGACAGAAGAAAAATGATCACAGACCCCAAAATTAAAGTTTTGCTAGATTTTAATTCTAATGAACCTCTAGAGATTAAAGAAAAAAAATTAGTACAGAAAGGATAAATATGCAAAAAGTAATAATAGTCATGTCTCGAGGATCTTAAATGTGTTGAGCTAAAAATTCAAAAACAAAAGTCATTGGGGTACAGTGGCTCATGCCTGTAATCCCAGCACTTTGGGAGGCCAACGCGGGCAGATCATGAGGCCAGGGGTTTGAGACCAGCCTGGCCAACATGGTGAAATCCCGTCTTTACTAAAAATACAAAAATTAGCCAGGTGTGGGTCGGGCACGGTGGCTCACACCTGTTATCCCAGCAATTTGGGAGGCTGAGGCGGGCAGATCACAATGTCAGGAGATCGAGACCATCCTGGCTAACACGATGAAACCCCGTCTCTACTAAAAAAAATACAACAACAACAACAACAAAATTAGCCGGGTGTGGTGGCACGTGCCTGTAGTCCCAGCTACTCAGGAGGCTGAGGCAGGAGAATCACTTGAACCCTGGAGGTGGAGGCTGCAGTGAGCCTAGACTGTGTCATTGCACTCCAGCCTAGGCTACAGTGCAAGACTCTGTCTCAAAAACAAAACAAAACAAAACAAAACAAAAAAACCCATATATCACAGGGGGAAGCAAGTGGGGAAGGTGGTAAATACAGTTGTAAAAAGTTTTATGTTTTTATATTGTCCAAAAAGTAGAAGTGGTAAATGTACTAATTTACATTAAGCTTTACTCAGCTAAGGATGTATGCTGCAGGCCAGGTGCGGTGGCTCATGCCTGTAATCCCAGCTCTTTGGGAGGCTGAGGCAGGTGGATCACGAGGTCAGGAGACCAGCCTGGCCAACATAGTGAAACCTCATCTCTACTAAAAATACAGAATTAGCCAGGCGTGGTGGTGGGCGCCTGTAATCCCTGCTACTTGGGAGGCTGAGGCAGGAGAATCGCTCGAACCCGGGAGGCAGACGTTGCAGCGAGCCGAGATCACGCCACTGCACTCCAGCCCGGGGTGACAGTGCGAGACTCCAAAAAAAAAAAAAAAAAAGATGTATGCTGCAACTATGGAATAACAAAAAGAATAGTAAAAGAATGTATAACCAGGGGGGAGGGGTGAGGGGGTGAGAAGAAAAAAGACTTAATCTAAAAGAAAGAAAGGACATAAAAATAAACAGTCAAATGGAAAAATGTGGTAGATTTAAACAAAATATCAGTAATTTGTAATTAAATATATAAAGACCAAGTAAAAGCAAACTATCATTAAAAATACAATTGTCAGACAGGTAAATGCTCTATTCTGATTTTGCAACTTCATATCCTGCCATTCTGTCGATTGCTCACCAGTTCTAAGCATACTTAGTCTACTCGGTTCAGTGATTTTCCATCTCAGGGCCCTTGCAAATAAAGTTCCCTCTGCCTGAGATGCTCTTTCTTCTACTCTTCTCATAGCTCTTTAGATAAATCAGAAAAATCTCCAACCACTTTATCCAGTGAAAGTCACCCCTATTGTTTTCTCATCCTTAGCCCTCTGTTTCCTTCATAGCACTTTTCACATTTTTTATTTTACTAACTGCAACCTCTACCTCCTGGGTTCATGCCATTCTCCTGCCTCAGCCTCCTGAGTAGCTGGGACCACAGGCGCGTGCCACCATGCCCGGCTAATTTTTTGTGTGTATATTTTTAGTAGAGATGTGGTTTCACCGTGTTAGCCAGGATGGTCTTGATCTCCTGACCTCGTGATCCACCCACCTCGGCCTCCCAAAGTGTTGGGATTACAGGCGTGAGCCACCACGCCCGGCCTATTTTATTAACTTTTGTCTGATATCCCTTTAGAATTAAGCTTCATTTATTTGTTAACTATGCACATATGTGAGTGTTTAGTATGTGCTGTGTGGTTTATAAGAGCTAGGGATATGGCAATGGATAAATGCCCCGTCCCTGTGGAGCTTACTTTCTAGAGTAGGAAAGAGACAAACTACCCTTCTGTTTTGGTGATTGCTATATTCTAAACACCTGGCAGCATGAGGCAGTTGTTCATATACCTGAGTGAATGTTTGGTCTACTTGCTAGAAATCATGCCAGATGACTCATAAAGCTTCCTTCATAAATAACCTTGTAAGAGAGATAATGTTGCCATTTAAAGGTGAGAAGGCTGTAGCTAAGAGAAATTAAGTAACTTGCATTCAGTTACACAGCTAATACATGTCAATACTCTACCTGTATAATTTAACATAAACACCCAGTTTCTAACATGAGAGCTGCTGACAGATTGATCAAGCAAGAAAGACCATCTTTCTTTATAGAATAGACTGAACGTGTTTTACTTATTTGATGAATCAAATGCATCTTGGGTTTAGCCTATTGGTTATAAGCCATTTGGATCTGCCCGTTTTCTTCAAGTATTCCTACTGTGATAGGTCTTTGATTTTTCCTTACCATATCTGCTAGTCCTCAAAATAATTGGCTATCATCATTGAAACCCGTGACATTCAAAGTTCTCAAAAGGGTTACAGAAAAAACAACACTGTAGGCACTACTTATTAATAGTACTTCATCTCTAAAGCTTTAACTGGTCTCTTGTGAGATGGGCAGGACTATTTGTAAATTTCTAAGATATCACCTATTAAGCATACAATATATATAAAATTAGTAAAAGGAAAAGTGTCTATTCCATATTGCCTTTCCCTGGGGTTGCTCAGATTTCTCCTAAGCCATCTGATCTGAGACATCCCTGGATCAGACAGCATTCTGTTTGGTTATTATGACATAAATGTCAAGCCAATGAAAAACATTCCACTATGTAGAAGAAAAGGGTCTAAGACAGGTAAAGTTTCACTAGGCCAGTTCTATTTATGATCCCTTTATTCCTGCCACTAAAAGTATTATCCCTCTGGCATCCCCAGCCCACAATTTTTAAGTTCCAAAACAATGGTTTCTAAATCTGGCTGATCTAGGTGTGTTTAAAAAACATCCTACAAAGAGGTGGAATATAAATTACTGGACCCATTTCCTAAAGATTCCATTCAAAATGTCTGAAGTGAAGTGTAGGAATCTCAAGAGCTCCTTAAGTCATTCTGAAGTATAGCCAGTTTAGAAAAATGTCATTCTAGGGAACTCCATTTTGTCACTCACCCATTTCTGGGTATCTTCAGGTAGATGACAGATTAAGGGAAACAAGCACTTTTCATCTGAATACTTAAGAAATACAACAGCCCACTGGATGCCCACAATTTCTAATCCCCTGCTGTTTAGTTATTCAGTTTCTGCACTAAAAAGGAACAAAGAAAAAACCCCATAAAACAAATATTCAGATTCTCGTTGACATTACAAAGAGCTGCAACAGGAAGAGTTCTTTTTCAATCAGAGGGCTGTTATATATCAGATGTCTTCCATGTAAATTACTTAAATTTTCACAAAACAATTCTACTGCTTGAACTGAGAAGAAAAATATTGCCTAGAAAAAATTCCTCATGATTGTGGAAAATATTCATGTACATCAATTTTAAAAGAGAGGTTCCTAAAGTATTGTGTGTAAAATTTTTTGTCCCAAATTCAGTATTTTTAAATATACTTGAAGAACTGTATATATTAAATAAACCAGACTCAACATGTCTACAAAGCAAGTAAGAGATTTTGTGAAACAAATATATCTAAAACATAATCCCACATAAAATAACAATTCCAAGTGACCTTAAAATACAAGAATTTACCTCCAGTGAGATATACCTAAAGGACAAAGGTAACTACAACATTCTTAAACCACTACCAGTCATCAAATTATTGACAGTAGTATTGCATTGAGATTAAAGTGGAATAAAGCAAATAAACAACTGTGTGTTGCTCATAACTAATATTTTTGGCATGAGTGAAAAGAGATAATAATATCACTGAAACTAAATAAATGCCTTATCATTCTGAATGTAAATCTTTGAATTGGAACTATCACTGTGAATTAATAATGTATCTAATCTTAAAAAAATAGAGTTCTAGTACTATCCACTGAAAAGGCCTAGAAACAATGACAAATCCAGTAATAGACTGTGGACTCTAAATACCATTTCCTAATACAAGGAACCTGGCATCCTAGAAAAACAGATCTGGGACAGGAAATGTACAGGTTAAGGGACTTTGTGTTAAATGAGAAATCAAAAAAGCCATCAAAAACTACTAGGGTTCTGTGAAAAAGACTCAGTTCTCTCTAAAGATGAGACAATTTATGCATAAATGGGAATAATAAGCTGCAAGAGATAGAAATATATCAATATATCAAATATATATATATTTTTTGAAATGGAGTTTCGCTCTTGTCACCCAGGCTAGAGGGCAATGGCGCAATTTTGGCTCACTGCAACCTCCGCCTTCTGGGTTCAAGCAATTCTCCTGCCTCAGCCTCCCGAGTAGCTGGGACTCCAGGCATGCACCACCACGCCCAGCTAATTTTCTGTATTCTCACGCCTGTAATCCCAGCACTTTGAGAGGCCGAGTTGGGAGGTTCACGAGGTTAGGAGTTCGAGACCAGCCTGGCCAACATGGTGAAACCTCGTATCTACTAAAAACACAAAAATTAGCCCTGCATGGTGGCAAGTGTCTGTAATCCTAGATACTGGGGAGACTGAGGCAAGAGAATGGCATGAACCCAGGAGACTGAGGTTGCAGTTAACTGAGATCATGCCATTGCACTCCAGCTTGGGTGAAAAGAGCAAGACTCTGTCTCAAATAATAATAATAATAGAAATCTAAACACTGGATGGATATTTGGTTATTTTGAAGAAGCATATTTTTTTTACATGTGAGTGAAATTTTTTTAAGTGATTATCTTTTAGACACATATACCACTATTTATAAATGAAATGTAATTTCCAGAACTCACTTCAAAATAATCTAGAAGTGGAGGAAAAAGGAAGGTGGCATGGAAGGAAGTGAATGGAAGTATAGAGGAAACCAGATTGGCCCTGAGTTGATAATTAATGAAACTAGATGACAGATACTTGGGTGTTTGTTATATTATTCTACTTCTGTATAAGATTGAAATCTGTCATAACAAAAAGTTAAGATTTTATCTAAAGGTAGACCTTCACTGAAATGAATCAACTTCAACATCTCTCTTCAACCACTAATACAGGTAATCTCCACTTCAGTGCAACATAAACAGGAGACATAAAACAAGACCAAAGACTGAAAGTAACTGGAAAATAACACAGCACACATAATCACCCACAAACACAACCACCATCATCAACCAGATGTGCCCACAGATACTGCAAATTTGATCTTATCATTCGATCAAATTTGTGAATTATAGATAACAATCTTGAGGCATTTTGAAGAACCATAATATATAGTTTCAAATTTTAATGTCTGAAAAGTGAGGTATTGTATTTTGATATATGCCTACACCAGAAAATAACCGAGATTTTAAATTAAATTTTATCTCTTACAGGGAAAGGTAAGATAATATTGTGTTACAATAAATTGGTACTTTAGAAACCTAAGTACCATATGATCCCTTGAAATGATCCATATTTCAAGGGAGTTCAGCATATTTAGACTTTCACTAAGTTCCACCAAGTTGCCATTTTGTGACATGTATGAGCTCACTATGTTATATTCCCCTGCCAAAACAAGTATTTTCTTTAAATACGTTGATCATAAGGTATTCTGGCTATTAATAACTATCAATTGAATGCTTACTAAAGTGTCAGTTACTCTGCTAAATATCATTGCTTGATTTAATCCTTTTAATCAGTTATACCCCAGTGGTAGATATATATAACCCACACTTTACAAATTAAGAAACTAAGGCTGCAAGTAAATTGCCCCAGATGAAATAATAAACATATTGATTCCTACTGGTTAACAATAGTAGGTCAGTTTTTATCAAATGCTTGGCAATATGTGAAAGTTTGTACATGTTATTTCAACACTCTCAAAATTCTATGAAACAGTCTTCATTTAACCAGGAGGGCATTCTCATCATAAGTTTCAAGGAATTTGCTAAAGGTTCATGTGTAATAACGGGAGAGCCAGGATTTGAACACTGATCTGACTCCAAAGCTCATGTTTTTAGCCAGTACATTTAACATCCTCCTAAACTAGCTTCCTGTACAGGTATTCCCATATTTTTAATGTGCATGCACAGAATTGAATACATACTCTGGCTATGGTTTGTTGAGACTATTACTTCTGATCTTCATAGATTTTAATATTAACATTATGATTTTACATTTCCAGAATGTTCCGCCAAATTTAAACCTTAAAGGTAAAATTCCAGCTTCAAATGATGGTGTACTCAAGATTCTCAATTGCATCAGCTGAATGCTGAGTTTTTACATCATATAAAGTTTGATAAAACTTTTTTTGCATCTTTATTATCGCTGATGAAATCATTGTTTACATTACAGAGGAAATTGTTGTATTAAATAGAATCTTGAAAAACCAAAGATTTCCTTCAAGGTCACCATGAATTATTAATGGAACAATCCTTGCATCAAATGTCTTGTACAGGCTGGGCATGGTGGCTACTTTCTGTAATCCCAGCACTTTGGGAGGCTGAGGCGGGTGGATCACCTGAGGTCAGGAGTTCAAGAACAGCCTGGCCAACATGGCGAAACCCCATCTCTACTAAAAATAAAAATTAGCTGGGCATGGTGGTGTGCCTGTAATCTCAGCTGCTTGGGAAGCTAAGACAGGAGAATCACTTGAATACAGGAGGCAGAGGTTGTAGTAAGCTGAGATTGTGCCACCGCACTACAGCCTGGGCAAGAGAGCAAGACTCTGTCTCAAAAAAAAAAAAAAAATGCCTTGTACAAACAAAGTCTATGCCTTTCCCTCTGTTGATAAACCATCACTCATTTACAGACCAGTAATTATTCTTATATATTATATATATATTTACATTAATAACTTCATTTTTTTGTCTCCCTATAAAGATTTAGTTCATTTTTCCATGATTAAGTCTTAGTAAACTTCTGATGGTTTAAGAATACCATTTATAAACCATTTTAAGAACTCTGCACATTTTAAAAATTATCTTTAACTATCAAAAGGTTTTATTTTTCTTACACTTTGTTCTTTGATATTAACTTGGATTCAGTTGAGCAGTCCTTAATATTTTGTATTAAACCAAGTAACTTCAAATACAAGAAAATATTTTAGAACTATGCACTAGAAAAGGTGCGCCATAAGAAGAAACTAGATATGAAAGCATAGTCTAAACTCTTCAGAATTTAAAGACTCATTATACTACAGTGTTAATAACTAGAATAGGCGGTAGGGAACTTGAACTTAGCAAGCTAGAAAATCTTAGGATGGGTTTTATAGCTGAAATTGTCTTTTATAAATCAAAGTTTGTACAGTGTTCATACCATTTTCTCTTTTGTTGTCCATGAAATATGAAAAACTTAGATAACATTAATTTGTTTACGTACTTAGGCTACAAAGGGTCAACACACAAGCTTTTGAAATACTTAAAAACAGCACTATTTTACATAGTAGGTAGACAGAAAGTACAGGCAAACTGGTAAATCTAATTGATACACAGATTTTTTTTTTCAGCAAGCTTTATTAATCCATCATGGATCTACTCATGTTTGCAGCAGATACCATGATTTCAGTATCAGTGAAGGGAGAAAAAAAAAAAAACAGCCTTCAATGCCTGTCACATCTAAGCAGATCTGAACTACTATGGGACTAAATAGCCTAGCTGGTCAATTGTTTTTACACATCTGATTAAAAGCTTCAGCAAAAGTGGAAATACATTAAAATTCAAAGTCAAATACTGTTCTCCTAGTGCCTCAAGTAGTTTATTGGTAGTTATTATCCACATTTCTATAAACATTCTAAGTGACCATCACTAGTGCAGGAATATTTAACATATGAAGGCTCCACATCAAGCTACTTCATTCATTTTGTGTGACACAAGAATCAAGGTTCCAAAAACTGTTATGCCACTGAAAAAAAAAAAAAACAAAAAAACAAAACCCAAAGCCAAAACAAATCCTGCTAGCAAAGTGCATTTCTTTTGGTGATTTTTCAGAACAGCTGTTGCTTTAGACATAAAAAATAAGCTGATTTAGTAAAATATGGTCACTGGAAGTAAGTGTCTGTAGATAAGAATTAGATAAAGGCCTTTCCTCCTTATAGAGCTTTTTATTCCAATGTAAACAGCACCAGTGAATTTTCATAAAACAGGTTTGTTATTTTCCCCTCATTTTCTATAATTGTAATTCTTATCTGCCATACTGTTACCATTTCTTCCTCTCTATAATCAGGACTGGACAGCCCATGTAACACTGTTCAATTTGTAAACAAAAAATTAAAGCTCGGAACACATACAGGTTATCTTTTACATTTTCATTCTACAGCGCATCAGGTATATTTATAAAGCTTTTGCTCTTCTCAACACACTACAAAAATATATAAAAACCACATTTGTTTTTAGCCAGCAAATATTAATAAAACAAATATCTTGTAACTGGAATATTTTAGAGACCACATATTTTAATTACATCCTCTTGACTAAATCGCCTTCTTCATAAATCCATATATGTATCCAGTGCATATTTATTAGTTTACATGCCCATATTTACTATGAATGAGTCAATCATTTTAGGTTCTTCAAGTGAAAGTGCTTCTGACAACAAACTATTCCTATAATAGCCCTAAATCCCCAAAAAAGTTGTTTTAAACCTGTGTAGAACGATGCATAGCTATTTCTAAAAAGTAAGACTACACACCAAAACATGCTTTGTCAGGAAAACTAATCCATGCACTTGAATATACCCCAAATATCTTATTTTTAATAAAGGTAGACCAACTTAAACATTGTCTAGAATTAAGCTATACTATTAAATTACTTGATTCCAGAAAGCGTCAAAAATCATTTGGCAGAAACTTAAAAAAGAAAATACTTACTCCTTGTCCCTTACTTCAAAAAAGGACTGGTTGGACCAATGTGATCAATATAACTGCATATATGTTAATCTACCTTAACATTTCCATCGATTAGCACTTGATCGTTACAAAGCCTTGTATGCAATTTTCTTGCAAAGGCTTCCCCCCGAAAGATGTAAGCACAAAACACTAGGCAGACACTCTTTAAAGTTTTATTTCACTAACTTCAGACCAAATTCCCACAACTGTGTTCTGGTCAATTTACTATCCTTGCTTGGCTTCCCCAAATGGTAGTACCAAAAGATTTGTGGGGTAGGGAGAAGAGACCACTTTAAGAAGCACTGCATTTACTCATCTTCCACAAGGCAACAGAGTTGGGCATCTGATTGTTCAACAAAACAAAGCTTTAATAGCATCCAGGAGGGCAGACAGGCAAACCACGCTGTAGACACTCTTCTATTTGTCAAAATCAGACCAGAGAAAACCTACTCCACACAGATATAATAGGTATTGATATTCATCTTTTCTTTTTCTGTTGCCGCAACATTTTTCTTCTTTTAATGATCATATCATGTAGTTTCTCAAGTCCTTCCTTTAGGCCATCTCCTATGATTGCACAGGTAGGCTGCAAATGCCAAGGAGTTGATGAGCTCAGTTCACCCATTGCTAACAATTTCTCAATTTCTGAAAGTGACAATGAGTTCCTCAAATCTTGTTTGTTAGCAACTATAAGTACAGGGACTCCCTGATTTTCTGATATCCTAGTTATTTTGTGAAGTTCAGTTTTGGCTTCTTCCATCCTTTCGACATCAACAGAGTCCACAACAAATACAATGCCATCTGTGCATCTGGTATATGACTTCCACAGTGGCCTTAATTTCTCCTGACCACCTACATCCCAGAAGTGAAAAGTGACTGTTTTAGAATTTCCCAAGGTTACCTTAATTTTCTCAGTGTTAAATCCTTTGGTAGGTACGGTATTTACAAATTCATTGAACTGCAGCCTGTATAAGACAGTTGTCTTTCCAGCACAGTCCAAACCCAGAATAACAATGTGGAAAGACTGAAATGAAGGCAGGTTGGACAGGATAGAAGTCTGGTCTGACAGCCCATTCCCCATTTCCAGGTGCAAATAAATGTCCCAAATTGAAATGCTTTTCTCTTCTTGGTTTACAACTTCTCTTGGTAGCTGATCCAGCTATAAGACTGCTGGGAGACGGAAGAAGGAATAAGTTATTCTCCCGAAATAATACATTAAAACAGGTTTGCTCTACTTTGCTAAAATAAACAACACGAAGAACTTACTATAACTTGCTGCGCTAAACAAACCAGACGAGATATGAAACGTACATGAAAACACACACAGTCCAAGACAAACGATGGAATAACAGTGATTGAAATTATCTGGTTTACTTAAATTGCAGTAATATGTACGTTTTTCTCCTGGGTCCCCAAACCTCAAAGACCTCATTCTGGAAAGAACCCAGTCACCAGTATCTGGTCTAAGTGGCCGTAACCACAAAGTGCCTATCTGGCAGAAAACTCATAGCAGATAGTCCTATCTTCGGAATCTAATTCCACATGCTTAACAGCATACCCAAGATCACTATTACCTCCTACCCCTTGCAAAATAACAACGTTCTCACCTCCCGATCTGGAGTCTGGGTCCAAATGAGAAAGCATTGGCAGGCGTTTCTACGCAGGGATAAGCACCCTTCCAGCTTAGCTCTCCAAGCAGCTCTGGCAGTTGCCGCACGAGAAACCTTGGACTCAGACTCCGACCACGCCCACTCCTCCCGGTCCACTCATGATCCCAAATCCCATTGGTCACCCGCATCAGGGAAGCCATGCAACTCCCGCCCCCGCTCCCTAATTGGTGAGGGTAACTGCCGCTCCCAGCGCGGCGGAGCTGAGCTCTCTCTCGGTCCACCGGCACCACCTGTTGCCCTTAAGTTAGAAAAGGCGGCGTTCCCAGAGGGAGCCGAGCAGCCGCTGCAGGTGAAGGGGAGCCTCGGGCGGTCAGGTCGCCGCCAGGCTGCCGGCTCCGTTCGGCCCGGCGCACCTGCAGCGCAGCCAGGGCGTCAAGCCAAGGCTCTCACATCCGGGGCCCGCAGTCACTGCCAACGCGTTAACCCTTTGTCCGCGGGCCCGAGGGTGCCGGCTGTTGCCGCGCGGGCCCCTGAGGCGCTAGAGATCCCACCTGGCGCGCCCGCCGGGATAAGCCCATCCTCCCCGAAGTGGGATCCCTTCACCCTGTCCCTCCGCACACGACCGGCTCTTCTCCCTCGGCAGGGCGTGGCCGCCCCGGCCGCCCACCCCGCCGCGGCTCACCTGACTAACCGTCCTTCCCTCTTCTTCATTCAGCGTCTCTCCCAGCCGCTGGGGAGGCGCGCTGATACCTGTTCCCTGGCACCAGGGAGGCGTGGGCGATGGCAGAGGACTGGGCGCCTGGCGGGCGCCGCGCGCCAGGCTGCCCTAACGGTGCTCGCCCGGCAGCTCCACGCGACAGTCCCCGCCCCCTGCCCGCGCGCCGCCCGGGCGCCGGCCTGTAGGGGGCGCGCAGGAGCCGCGTCTCCTAGCAACGCCAAAACAAGGTCGAGTTCGAATCGGCCTAGCGCTGGCTGCCCGCGAGGTCGGATGGGACTTCCGGCCTCACCCCTGAACGGTTGCTCCGGGTAGCTCTGTCTGCGGCGGCCCGCCAGCCTGGCACAGGCCCCGCCCGGCACCGCCTTCCCTCACGTCGTCTAGGGCGTCCGCGGGGCAGCAGCCACGTGATTCGCGGTTAGGGATTCCATAGTTCACGGGTTACGGCACACACGCGTTACGTATATATCGAGGTGACGTGGAAGTCCCCCAGTAGTTGACCTTAAACAGCCTGGGTTGACTGGCCTGGTAACTGCGCCTTCATTCGCTTTTTGTAGAGCAAATGAACGCGCTGTCTCACGTGTTTCTAGCAGCATCCCGGGGAACTGGCCACAGATAGAAATATTCCAGTTTGACACATAAGGAAATACACTCTGAAAGATGAAAGGGATGTTTCTTTTTTTCTTTTCTTTCAAATTGCTCACACAATTTTAATTGCAATAGATATAATTTCCAATATACCATTCAACTACACCATTTGTATGTGCTGGAGTGAGACAGGAGTATTTTGATTGAGTGTCCAGTTCTCTTTAAAACTAGCGTTTGCAGTTAACGACTTGGAAAATACAACACAAAAAGCCATCTAGCCTTTTTTTTTTTTTTAATCTCTATTTATCCCTTCAAAATTCCCTTTGTGGCCATATACATACTAGGTGGCTCTACCTGCAGAAAGCTGCATTTTCCAAGCAGCGGGAGAGTTTAATTCTTAACTTTCCTGTACTCCAGCCTCTGCTGGCTCCCTTGCATTTTTGTTTCCATCCTCTTCTTTGTCTTCTGTGCCTTTCGTTCTAGGTTAATCTGCGCAAGCTCTTCACTTTTGTCTGAATGTATTTTAGCGGTGAATTACTCCTTCTGGCTAAGAGCTTCACATCTTCAGTGTTAATGGTGGTGGTTTTCGCATGTCTTGCACACATTTCTAGATCTTGCACTGTCGAAAAGTCAGCTCCGAAATTGCTGCAATGATAAGTTTGCTGAACTGCATCTCTGCCCAATGCCACTTCCTCGCAAAGACAACCCACAGTGTAGTCCACTGCTGCCTCCTTTGGCCTCTGTTGGTAAGAAAATGGCTAAGAAAATCGCTGCTGCTCCTCCACCTCCACCTCCTCCTCCATCAGAACGGCGAGGCAAACGCGCAGAACAGAAAGGGGCTGTGGGGCAGCGGCCAGATTGGATTTTCTCTCCGCAGCCCCAAAGGGATGTTTCTAATGACCCAAGGAAAATTAGTGGTGGTCCTGGAACTGTTCATCTAAGTCTACTAGTCATCAAATGCAAAATGCTTTTCATTGGATGATTCTGACTAAATTTTGTCTTTGATCAATAAGTTCACAAATATTTATTGAACACCTAATAGGCAGTAGACACAATTCTGTGTGCTTGGGGATAAAATGGTGAGCAAAATACACTGTCCCTGCCCTTGTGGAATATTGGAGTCTCTATGGATGACTAAATTTATAAAATGTTTTCAGCGGTAATTTCAGGGTGCTTATGACAACCTGCAAAAGAAGTAATGACTTGAAGTTGTAGGAAAGCTTTAATCGACAAACATCTTTTTGGTGAAGGCTGTAAGACTGTAACTTGGAAGAACCTATATGGTACACTTTTTTAAAAGTGTGCTTTTTTTCTTTTTAAATATGGATTGGAGTTTCCTCAAGAAATATCCTAGTTTTTCTCAAGACCGCTATTGCCAGTGATATTTATTTCTTTTATGACTAGCACAGGAACATGCATACTTGTCATACCGGATTCTTTAAAAAGTCGAGACCAACCTGGCCAACGTGGGGAAACCCCATCTCTACGAAAAACACAAAAAATTAGCCAGGCGTGGTGGCGGGCGCCTGTAATCACAGCTACTCAGGAGACTGAAGCAGGAGAATCGCTCGAGCCCGGGAGGCGGAGGTTGCCGAGCCGAGATAGCGGCATTGCACTCCAGCCTGGGCAACAAGAGCGAAACTCCGTCTCAAAAACAACAAAAACAAAAACAAAAAACGACGTAAAAACCTAAGTTCTGAGCACAATGCATAATCTCAAGACAGCCACACTAATTTTGGGAATAAGAGCTAGAAATATCAAATGGCATATTCTATAAACATGAATCTATTATAAACTAAGGATTGCCTGATTAGTTATAATTGTGAAATCTCATTAGCCATTCACATAATCAGCTAATAATTGATAAAGGGCTTAGTGCAATAACCTATTTCCTTTTATTGGAAATTCAATAGGGATTCTTTATTAAACTGGGATAACTTGCAGATTCTCCTTAAGTCAAGAATTTAGAGCAAGAAAATTCTGTGGCCACCCTCTGTTTACAGTAGTTTTGAAATCTCTAAGTCCTTCCAGTGTTCCTTGCACAGTCTTCCCTGGAGCAAAAAGGGAAAAAAGGAAAACAAAAACACTGAGGGCTTCCAATCTTGCAGAATCGTCCTCACTGAATTGCACTTTAATGTTATACCCTAGGTTTTAAAACTACAGTAGTGGTTGGCAAACTGCAGCCTGTAGGTCAAATTCAGGAGATAAGAATGGTTTTTACAAGTTTAAAGGGCTGCAAGAGAATGGATAAGAAAAGAATATGCAATCAAGATCATCTATGCCCCCCACAACACACACATACAAAATAAATGTGCTCTCTGCCTCTGTAGAAAAATGTTTGGTGTGCCTGTTCTATATATAAAAACCATATGAAAACAGCAACAAATGATATTAAAAGCAATGGAATTTGTGGAACACAAGGTTCACTTTGTTGCCTGATCTTATAGAAGGCCCATTCAGAGCTTTTACTTACATTCTATGCCAGAAAAAAATTCCCTTTAGGGCCTGTAGCTTGTAAATAGTGCTCTGGGGTGCCTCAGAATTCCTAGGGGTTCTGTGGGATAGTTTAACTTTTTGAGGGAAACACAGTGACATCTGTTGGACCATATTAACAACTACAACTATCAAGTTTGGATCTATCAATTTCATAAATAGAAATGTTGGCTATTTATTTTGGCCTGAGGTACCATGAAAAAGTACTGAGGCACTAGGGCCTCTGCGAACCTCACCTTTAATTGTGGTTTTCCAAACTTGGCTAATGATGAGAATCACCTGTTAATGCTTGTAAATGTATAGATTCCTGGTTCCTCCTATTTCAGACCCCCCCAAATCAGAATCATCAGGAGAGGAGCCAGTGATCTGTATTTTAAGTAAGTATTTCAGATAATTAATGATTAGACACTTTGAAGAAATACTAATCATAAGAAATGGGTAAGTTTTCTCCTTTTAAATAACTACAACTGAGTAATTTACTTTGATTCTCTTTTTGAATTAAATATCAGGACCCAGATCAAATCTGATGCCTGTGTTCTGACTTCTAAGTAGAAGCTAAACAATGGATGCACATAGACATGTAGAGTGGAATCATAGACATTGGTGACTTCAAAAGGTGAAAGGGTGGGAGAAGGGTGAGGAATGAAATACTACCTATTGGGTACAGTGTACATTATTTGGGTGATGGCGACACTAAATGCCCAGACTTCACCACTACACAATATATCCATGTAACACAACTGCACTTATACCCCCTTAATCTATGAAAATAAAAATTAAAAATCAGATGCATGTAGCATTCTTCTTCTCTTACATAGCCTGATTTTTTATGATATACATAAGTTAAGCATGCACATACTGAAATCGTGTCCTTCCTCACCTTTGCCACAGCCTGTGTATGTGTGTGTATGTGTATAGATAGATATAGATGTATATGTTTAGGATACCTCACTTTAGTTGTTTCCATGCATATTTATTATGAGAATAATAGAGAATTTCTTAGAGAATTATTGAGAGGGATATAAACATTGATTCCCTTGTATCATTTTATTAGCATCCTTGCTAAACACATGGCCTTCCTCTTTTAGTTCCTGTTTTGGTTGACGGCAATTTATTCAGCAGTTCCAAGTGGAAATTTCAGGGCCATTTAAAAAATTATCCTATATCCCACTTATGATTAGCTATCAAGCTCCCTTTAATTCATGTCTTTCCATTCCCATTTCCACTACTTGGATCTGGTTTTTGTGACCTCTCACCTATACTAATTTACCTCCTAACTGATTTTTCAGCTAAAAAGCAGTGGAGCAGGAGTTTGTTTCCTGTGTCTGGCTCTGAGTCTCTTCTCTTACCCACTGTATTCTAGGGAGTTCTCATTTCGGTTAATTCATTTTGATCCATGGCAGCATAGAGCCAGGGTACAATTTTTGACAAAACTTTAGAAAGAGGATGTCAGAAGGGAAGTACAACCCAAAATTCACTTGGAATGGGTCCTAGATAAGAATTTCCGGAGTCCACAAGTCTAAACCCTCCTCCTGAACTTCTTTTATGGACAGCTTCAAGGCCTAGCTCCACCTAGTTTCAAGTCACAGGACAGTTTGTCCCTTCCTCTGGAAAAGCCTTCACATGCATATCCATACCTGAGTGCAGGTCCAACTGCCAGGAGGCCCAGTGGTAAAAAGGCATTATGCCACACTACAAGAGGCAGATCCAAATATAAGAAATAGGGACACAGAAAGTGAGTCTTGTGTAGTGTGGCATGATGCCTTTTTACCACTGGGCCTCAGAAGTCAAAGCACGAGACGTGAGATGTAAAAGGAAAGCAGCTTTTTTTCAAATGCTGACAGATGGAAGAATGGCTGGGCTCAGGCCTCGAACCATCTCAAGCTTTAGGCTGGGGAGAGGAGTTTTAAAATGGGAACCTGGAATGGAGGCAAGTGGGAGTAGTGCTGGGTACAAGGTCTATGTGTCTTGTTCTGGTGGCTGTCTTGAGTCATGGTCTACCTGGAGTGCAGGCTGGCATCAGAGTCTCAACAATGGCCAGGTTGTAGATTAACCACCTTGAGGTAATCTCTGGAATTTCACAACTGGGTCTTTGTGTCTAGTTTGTCTCAAGATTAGGCCCTGGGGCCAGGGCTTGTGGCTCACGCCTGTAATTACAGCACTTTGGGAGGCCAAGGCGGACAGATCATTTGAGGTCAGGAGTTCGAGACCAGCCTGGCCAACATGGTGAAACCCTGCCTCTACTAAAAATACAAAAATTAGCCAGGCGAGGTGGTGGGCATCTACAATCCCAGCTACTTAAGAGGCTGACGCAGGAGAATCCCTTGAACTCTGGAGGTGGAGGCTGCAGTGAGTTGAAACCGTGCCACTATACTCCAGCCTGGGCAACAGAGTGAGACTGTCTCAAAACAAACAACAACAACAACAACAACAAAAACTTTGGCCCCTTGAACTTCTAAGTAAGCACATAATTAGATAAGCTAGCAGGGCAAGGGAGTGTCTGGTGTGAAGGGCCGGAGACAGAGTTTTAAAGTATGTTTCAAGGCTAAAAGCAAGAAAGGAAAAAAGTTTCAATATGCATTTTGAAGCTAAACTACTTGGTTACACTGGCATGATTGACAGAACATCCAGTCCAACAGGGCCTCAATAGGGGGACACATCAGAACAAATGAGTCCTAATTATTTCCAGCTTTAACTAATATTGTGTGTTATATTTTATTTCTACAGTCCAGATCTGTGCACGCTTTTGTGCATTTCTGTCTTCTTCCATGAACATTTTAATCCTCTCTGTCACAAGTTTCCATGGCCTCTTGTTGGAGTACTCCAAGGCTCCTTAGGTCTTTATACTTTTTCCTTACGTAATTTCATCCATACCAGGGATTTAAACAATCTGTATTCTCCCAAATTTGTCTCAACGTAGACATCTTTCTTGAACTCTACAAATGAATGGCAGATAAGCATCTCAGCCCCTAAACCTGCTCTTTTCACTCAATATTTATCTCATTCATTAGAACCCAATATATCTACATCCTCATACATCCAACATGAACTCTCAGCAAGTCCTGTTGACATATATATTCAAACCTGACCACTTATCACCACCACCACTGCTGTGTCTCTAATGCCCATCAAAATTCCAGAGCCTCTCATGTAGTGTCTCTGCTTCTGAGGTTAAGCTCTTTCCCAGGCTTCAATATCACCTCCTCAGAGAGGCCTTCCCTGAAAGCCTTATTTAAAATATCTGCCTTGTACCCCTCTCTCCACCAGAACTCTCTATTCCTATTCCTTACTCTGCTTTTGTTTTTCTTCTTTGCACTTGTTACTACCTGACATGATTCATATCTGTCTATTGTGTTCCTTCTCTAACTGTCCCCCTCTTACTTCCTATTGTAAGTTCCAGGAAGCAAGGATAATGTCAATTTTGTGTGCTGCCTTCTCCCCCATATTTACAGCAATGTGTGTGTGGCACACAGTAAGAATTCAGTGGATTTATTGAATGAATGCTTATTATCCTAAGAATAACTACTCAAACAAGAATCCACAGACCTCCACAAAAAAAGTGATAGTTTTTTTTTTTTTTTTCTTTCTGAGATGGGGTTTTACTCTTGTTGCCCAGGTTGGAATGCAATGGCACAATCTTGGCTCACTGGAACCTCTGCCTACTGGGTTCAAGTGATTCTCCTGCCTCGCCTCCCGAGTAGCTGGGATCACACATGCGTGCCACCATGCCCAGCTAATTTTTGCATTTTTAGTAAGGAAGGGATTTCACCCTGTTGGCCAGGCTGGTCTCGATCTCCTGATCTCAGGTGATCTGCCCACCTCGGCCTCCCAAAGTGCTGGGATTACAGGTGTGAGCCACTGTGTCCGGCCAGAAAACATGATAGTTTTGAAGGCAAATTTTCATACAGAGAAAATACAAATGACATATACCTTTTTGTTCTTAAATAGACATGAATCCTGGAGAAACCACTTTTAATGCAATATTACACAATAGAATGCCTAGCTTTTCAATGTAAAATATCTGCATTAACAGTTATTTCACTATTAGTAAAACTAATAGTTGGGTACTTGTTATGTTGTTATACCTAATGGTCCCATTCAAGGGGTTTTCTAGGCCGGGTGCGGTTGCTCACACCTGTAATCCCGGCACTTTGGGAGGTCAAGGCAGGCGGATGACCTGAGGTCAAGAGTTCGAGACCAGCCTGGCCAATATGGTGTAACCTCGTCTCTACTAAAAATACAAAAAAAAATTAGCTGGGCGTGGCGGCGTGCACCTGTAGTCCCAGCTACTCAGGGAGGCTGAGGCAGGAGAATTGCTTGAACCCCAGGAGGTGGAGGTTTCAGTGAGCCGAGATCGCGCCACTGCACTCCAGCCTGGGCGACAAAGGGAGACTCTCTTCTCAAAAAAAAAAAAAATGAAAATAAATAAATAAATAAAATAATAATAAAGGGGGGTTTTTCTAAATCCTAAAAGCAGGAGGCCCCAAAGGAATATTCAGACTTTTACAACTTTTAAGGCAGAGACTAATTATAATTTTGAGAAAAATAATTTTTCTCTACCTTCAAACCATCAATGTTTAACTCACATTTCAGCCACATTTTTTCTGTTTTAAGTATTTCTGGTTTAAACATTTTTTTTGTTTGTTTGTTTTTATCCAATATTTGTTTATTTTATTACTGTTGGTCATCCTGTGATAGGGGTGGAGGCAGAAATATCACAGTGCATATGGTTAACACTATCACACTATTCCCCTTGAACAAGAAGTGAAAAAAACATTTTACCACCGTGAGTTGGAAATGGGCAGAAGTTTCCCTTTTTAATTTCATAAAATGTATTCCTTATACATTTATCTGTCTAGATAAAGCAAAATAACTCTTACTACCAAGGGTTCATATGTGCCTGATATAAAACATATAGCAATCACTGTTCAAATGATTGTTTAGAACAATCATATATAATTGCAAATGCTCCCTCCTTTGTGAAAAACAGAATAAAGCTGGGAGTGGTGGCTCACGCCTGTAATCCCAGCTACTTGGGAGGTTGAGACAGGAGAATTGCTTGAACCTCGGAGGCAGAGGTTTCAGTGAGCTGAGATTGTGCCATTGCACTCCATCCTGGGCAACAAGAGTGAAAATCCATCTCAAAAAAAAGAAAAACAAATAAAGAAATTAGATAACTAATTTCAAATTATCTAATCTATACCATCTGTATAGTTAATGAGAGAAATTTAGTTTTTGCTCAAAAGAGAATTTGTATCATAGCACTTTGGGATGTTTTAGTTAAGACAAAATATTTTTATATCTAATGAAATGATACAGAGTAGAAATATTGCCTCAAATACCAACAACCCCCAATTTTTAAAGAATTCCTAACAATTTAAGATATCTTTAAATGAACTCTATGGATATATACAAAACAAATAAACAATATATTAGTTCTTTTTGCAAGGGACTACCCACTGAGTAATTTTATCAAGACAATTTAAAAAGACTATGGCCTAAGATTCTAGGGAAAATAATGGGAAGAGAAAGTTTTATTACATTTCTCTTAAACCTATTTTATTAATTCACTTATTTATTTTATTTTATTTTTTGAGACGGAGTCTCGCTCTATCACCCAGCCTGGAGTGCAGTGGCGTGATCTCTGCTCACGCAAGTGCTGCCTCCCGGGTTCACGCCATTCTCCTGCCTCAGCCTCCCGAGTAGCTGGGACTACAGGCGCCCGCCACTACGGCCGGCTGATTTTTTTGTATTTTTAGTAGATATGGGTTTTCACCGTGTTAACCAGGATGGTCTCGATCTCCTCACCTCGTGATCTGCCCGCCTCGGCCTCCCAAAGTGCTGGGATTACAGGCGTGAGCCACCGCGCCCGGCCCAATTCACTTATTTAAAGACAAATCCCACAAACATGTTATAAAGCAGTGGGCTAGTACTGGAACAGACGCTTAGAAAACTGTAACTTGGCCAGGCGCAATGGCTGGCGCCTGTAATCCTAGCACTTTGGGAGGCCAAGGTGGGCGGATCACGAGGTCAAGAGATTGAGACCATCCTGTTCAACGTGGTGAAACCCCCTCTCTACTAAAAATACAAAAATTAGCCGGGCATGGTGACGTGTGCCTGTAGTCCCAGCTACTCGGGAGGCTGAGGCAGGAGAATCTTTTGAACACGGCAGGCAGAGGTCGCAGTTAGCCGAGATTGCACCGCTGCACTCCAACCTGGAAATAGAATGAGACTCCATCTCAAAAAAAAAGAAAGAAAACTATAACTTGAACTTTGTCATATTGCGTGTGTTAGTGTGTGTGTGTGTGTGTGTGTGTGTGTGTGTGTGATCGTTTGTACCTAATGGAAGTGGAGGAGTTGACCAGGTGAAGCAGGTGATAATGTGGAAGACAAAGGATAAATCAAGTAATTTTAGGATATCCTTGTTAACCTTCTGTCTTGTTGATCTGTCTAATATTGACAGTGGGGTGTTAAAAGTCTCCCATTATTATTGTGTGGGTGTCTAAGTCTCTTTGTAGGTCTCTAAGGACTTGCTTTATGAATCTGTGTGCTCCTGTATTGGGTGTATCTATATTTAGGGTAGTTAACTCTTCTTGTTGAATTGATCCCTTTACCATTATGTAATGGCTTTCTTGTCGCTTTTGATCTTTGTTGGTTTAAAGTCTTTATCAGAGACTAGGATTGCAACCCCTGCTTTTTTTTTTGCTTTCCATTTGCTTGGTAGATCTTCCTCCATCCCTTTATTTTGAGCCTATGTGTGTCTCTGCACATGAGATGGGTCTCCTGAATACAGCACACTGATGGGTATTGATGCTTTATCCAATTTGCCAGTCTGTGTCTTTTAATTGGAGCATTTAGCCCATTTACATTTAAGGTTAATATTGTTATGTGTGAATTTGATCCTGTCATTATGATGTTAGCTGGTTATTTTGCTCGTTCGTTAATGCAGTTTCTTCCTAGCATCGATGGTCTTTACAATTTGGCATGTTTTTGCAGTGGCTGGTACTGGTTTTTCCTTTCCATGTTCAGTGCTTCCTTCAGGAGCTCTTGTAAGGCAGGCCTGGTGGTGACAAAATCTCTCAGCATTTGCTTGTCTGTAAAGGATTTTATTTCTCCTTCACTTATGAAGATTAGTTGGGCTGGATATGAAATTCTGGGTTGAAAATTCTTTTTTTTTTAAGAATGTTGAATATTGGCCCTCACTCTCTTCTGGCTTGTAGGGATTCTGCCAAGAGATCTGCTGTTAGTCTGACGGGCTTCCCTTTGTGGGTAACCTGACCTTTCTCTCTGGCTGCCCTTAACATTTTTTCCTTCATTTCAACCTTGGTGAATCTGACAGTTATGTGTCTTGGGGTTGCTCTTCTAGAGGAGTATCTTTGCAGTGTTCTCTGTATTTCCTGAATTTGAATGTTGGCCTGCCTTGCTAGGTTGGGGAAGTTCTCCTGGATAATATCCTGAAGAGTATTTTCCAACTTGGTTCCATTCTCCACATCATTTTCAGGTACATCAATCAAATGTAGATTTGGTCTTTTCACATAGTCCCATATTTCTTGGAGGCTTTGTTCATTTCTTTTTATTCCTTTTCTGTAAACTTCTCTTCTCGCTTTATTTCATTAATTTGATCTGCAATCACTGATACCCTTTCTTCCACTTGATCAAATCAGCTATTGAAGCTTGTGCACGCGTCACATAGTTCTCATGCCATGGTTTTCAGCTCCATCAGGTCATTTAAGGTCTTCTCTACACTGTTTATTCTAGTTAGCCATTCATCTAATCTTTTTTTCAAGGTTTTTAACTTCCTTGCGATGGGTTCGAACATCCTCCTTTAGCTCGGAGAAGTTTGTTATACCGACCTTCTGAAGCCTACTTCTGTCAGCTCGTCAATCTCAGACTGCTGCGCTAGGAGTGAGCAAGGCTACATGGGTGTGGGACCTGCTGAGCCAGGTGCAGAATATAATCTCCTGGTGTGCCATTTGCTAAGACCAATAGAAAAGCACAGTATTAGGGTGGGAGTGTCCTGATTTTCCAGGTACATGGCTTCCCTTGCCTAGGAAAGGGAAATCCCCTGATCCCTTGTGCTTCCCGGGTGAGGTGACACCCCACCCTGCTTTGGCTCACCCTCCGTGGGCTGCACCCACTGTCCAACCACCAATGAGATGAATCAGGTACCGCAGTTGGAAATGCAGAAATCACCTGTCTTCTACGTCATTCACACTGGGAGCTGCAGACTGGAGCTGTTCCTGTTCGGCCATCTTGGAATGGAATCTGGAGATCTTTTTATCATTGAGCATAAGGTTCTAGAAGCTGGATTTTACAATTTTCCACTCAGATCTACTTAATCAGATTATCTCAAGGTAAGGTCTTTAGAAACTAATAGAACAAGAAGTAACTGGAAATCACTGACTGAAGCTGTCAGAAGTTGGTGCAGGATAAATTTCAAGTCACTGATAAGATGGAATGTAGGTGATAATACTAAAGAAGACAGAAGACGGAAACTTGGAGAAAAGCCTATATTTTCAGGTTCACAGAATTTTTAAAAACCAGATTGCTTTGTACAATTCTTTAATTGTTGGGAGGGAGTCAGAAGAGATGGTGCCAGGTACAGGTGCGTTTACTCTGGCAGGGGAGACTGCTTCTCTACTATGCTTACAATCCAGGCCAGTATGAATCCATATTGTGATCTTTGTCTACAGAACTAAAAGAGGGCTTGGACAGAGGTGGAGGAAGAAGGAGTTGCAACTGCTCAGCTGTATTGACAGCAGGACTGTATGTAGGTCTTACTTTCACTTGTAGTGAATGTAGGTCATCCCTAGCACAGAAGGTTGTGTTGCGAAAAGCAAAACAAGCTTTCAGGGAAGATTCAAGATAGGAGTGGTAAGTGCGCCCTCTTTAGGTTGTGCAGGATCAAAGGAAGAATCAAACAGGACTGCAGATCTCATAGTTTCTACCACTAGTTCCAAACCGGGCAATTGATAAGCGTTTAGAAAAGATTTATAGAATGAATAAATGAGCAAATTAAGTGTGCCTTAGAATCTTTGTGCCTCATTTTTCTTACTGGGTTGTTCTGGGGAGAATGAATGAAGTTGCTGTAGCTGTAATATGAATAATTGTTAGATAAAATAGTACTTTATTGATATATGATTACTTTTACTTTTTAGGTTTCTGAAGATCACAGAACTTAACTAAAACAACATATTTGTCATAAGCAATTAAGATTTAAGCATTACTCTAGACTACGGAATTCTTTTTGGTGTAAAGCAGGTAAACTGAGCAATGATGCAGCATAGTTTCTGATCTAGTGAAGAGAAAGATAAAATCGCTGGCTATCTGCAAGTAATTTAATGACCAAACTGAGATCTAAATTTGACATTTGAAAAAAAAATTAGAATTTCTCTAAAAACCAACATATGTTAAATAAATGAATGCAAGGCAGTTAGTTTACAGGGTTTTTTTTTTAGTTTCTCGCATTTATCAATTATCCTCAAAACTGTCCTCTAGGGAAAGCAAGATCTGTGCGATTTACCATTATTTTATAAATGAGGAAACTGAGGCTTAGTTAGGTTAAGAGATTTACTTGCTGAAGATTACTAAACTAGTAATTTTTGGATCTGTAACTTGGCTTACTTCAGGTAAAAGCTCTGTCCTGATTACACACTGACCCGCTTTGGGATGTGGAATGCAGGTAACTCATCATGAGTCAAGGAAGGAAGAAGATTCTTTCAGAAAGTTTCAACTATGACAGATGAAGGCAGAAAAAAAAATATGGAAGGTCAACATATTCTTGTTTTGAAAGTACATTTCCTGTTTTTAGCACAATTATCCCTTAGTATGCTTCATTTATCATAAAGATGTAATGTTAAAGGATTAATAACTAACAGTCTGGAATCTTTGAGAATCGGCAGCAAATTGATGACATACTCAATCCAGAAGAATGTTATGGTCTTAAGGCATCCAGATGTAGTTTCAAAATCAGGGAATGAAATAAAGTCTAAAGTTTAACACTCACAAGAGAAATAACTGATGTTGGGGACTGTCATGCTATCTTCTATTTAAAGGTAACTGCCTAGTAGTAGAAAATGTGATTATCTTTTTTTTTTTTTTTTTTTTTTTTTTTTGAGACACCGTTTGGCTCTGTCGCCCAGGCTGGAGTGTAGTGGTGCAATCTCAGCTCACTGCAACTTCTGCCTCCTGGGTTCAAGCAATTGCTTTGCCTCAGCCTCCTGAGTAGCTGGGACTACAGGCGCGCACTGCCATGCCCGGCTAATTTTTGTTTGTGTTTTAGTAGAGACAGGGTTTCACCGTGTTGCCCAGGCTGGTTTCCAACGCTTGAGCTCAGGCAATCTGCCCACCTTGGTCTCCCAAAGTGCTAGGATTACAGGTGTGAGCCAACACACCTGGCCAAAAATGGGATTATCTTAATGCCCCATGTGATCACCAAATATTAAACCTATATGAGTCTTTGTATTTTCCTTAGAACAGCAACTCTCTATGACATAAATTGAAAATGTATTTGGTGGCTCATTTAAATTCAGAGTCAATGTGATTCTTCAGAAACTTTAAAGATTAAATGAGCCTGAGAGACTGATAAATCAATTCTGTTGTAAATAATATCTTAAGACATTAGATAGAAAGGTTGTACAAAGCCAGATTTTCAAACATTTCAGTAATTCTGCAATTAAACTCTTCTCTAAGGTGTCCTGGTACTAAGTACAATAAGACAAGGGCATGTTTCAGGAAAAATCTGAAATATTAGGAAGTTACGTGTGTAATTTGTGTGTTGGACGATTACAAAGATAAGTGGTGTTTAATTTGAAATCCTGCTATATAGACAATAGTTTATGTTCTAGACTAAAAAACAGAACTCAATCCTACTGTTTTTGTCTCACACTGGAAATAAACTTATTTTATTCTAAAGCAGAGGTATAGGGAAAGTACAAATGATTCACCAAAATATCTTGGGATGACTACAGATCTGTGTGTTTGTGTGTGTATGTGTGTGTGTATCAAAATCAGACCATAATAATGGTTGCTAAACTATTAGTATCAGAAGACCAGTTTAAAATGTATCTTATATCTAAGAGAAAAATTTTAATTCTTA
Source organism: Homo sapiens (assembly GCF_000001405.40). Lineage (NCBI taxonomy): Eukaryota > Metazoa > Chordata > Mammalia > Primates > Hominidae > Homo > Homo sapiens. Next base: position 12,672,831 of record NC_000007.14, on the reverse strand, counting down.
GTTTTATTTATTTGCATATACAAGTGGTAAACACCTGGAAAAGGTTAAGAATTTTGTATATTTTATTAAAAATGGAAATTACGAATGATAGGCATGGTTAATATTTTCTGCTTTCTGTTACTAAATAGACTTCCCATTTATTAAGAGGTTATAGGAGTGCATTGAATTAACTCATAACACAGGAATGAAAGGCAGGCTATAATTGGATCTTTTGAACTTCATGTACACCTTATAATCTTACAAAATATCATTATATGTAATAAAGCAAAATTCCTATTTAAAGAAATGATTTTTTTTTTAAGAGATGGGGTCTTGCCATATTCCCCAGGCTAGTCTTGAACTCCTAGCCTCAAGAAATCCTTCCACTTTGGCCTCCCAAAGTGCTGAAATTACAAGTGTGAGCCACTGCGTCTGGCTGGAGAAATGGATATTAAAATCAGGCTTTAAAAAATCAATTATTGTGGTGTCTCACACCTGTAATCCTAGCATTTTGAGAGGCCAGGTGGGTGGATCACTTGAGGTCAGAAGTTCGAAACCAGCTGGGCCAACATGGTGAAACTCCATCTCTACAAAAAATACAAAAAAATTATCCCAGTGTGGTGGAGGGTGCCTGTAATCCCAGCTACTCGGGAGGCTGAAGCAGGAGAATTGCTTGAACCCAGGAGGCAGAGGTTGCAGTGAGCCAAGATCATGCCACTGCACTGCAGCCTGGGCAACACAGCAAGACTCCATCTCAAAAAAAAAAAAATTATCATTTAAAATTTTAGATTATAAACTATAATTTCTAAACAGTTAAAAAATTTTCTTTGCTTAGATTTTACTCAAATATTAAGGTGTATTAAATATATAAATTCAAACTTTTTATGAATTCCAAGAATATAAAATTATTTTGATGGCTAAAAAATTATGTGCAAAGCTAACGGGAATATAAAATGGTACAGTCACTTTGGAAAATTTTCTGATGGTTCCTCAAAAGGTTAAACATAGATTTGCCATATAAACCAGTAATTCCATTCCTACGTACATACCTAAGAGAAATAAAAACGTATTATATTAGTCCGTTTTCACACTGCTATAAGTAAATACGTGAGACTGGGCTATTTATAAGAAAAGAAGTTTAATTGGCTCATGGTTCTGCAGGCTGTATGGGAAGAATAGCAGCTTTTGCCTCTGGGGAGGCCTCAGGAAACTTGCAATCATGGTGGAAGGCAAAGGGAGAGCCAGCACTTTACATAGCTGAAGCAGGAGGAAGAGAGAGGGGGAAGGTGCTACACACTTTTAAACAACCAGATCTTGTGAGAACTCACTCACCATCATGAGAAAGGCACGGAGGGGATGGTGCTACACTATTCATGAGAACTCCACCCCCGTGAATCAACCACCTCCCCCCCAGGCCCCACTTCCAACATTGAGGATTACAATTGCACATGTGATTTGGGTGGGGACGTAGAGCCAAACCATATCACATATGTCCACACAAAAGTTTGTATATGAAAGTTCATAGCACCATTATTCGTAATAGCCCAAAAGTGGAAACAATCCAAATGTTCATCAGCTGAGGAATGAATAAACAAAATGTAGTGTATCCATACAAAGTAATATTATTTGGCAATAAAAAGAAGTGAAATACTGATGCATGCTATAACATGGATGATGCTTGGAAACATTATGCTAAGTGAAAGGAAGTCACAAAGGATCAAATGTTGTATGATTCTATATCATATGTATGTATGACTCCATATAAATATTGTATGATTCCATATATACACATATATATGGACGTCTGGTATAGGCAAATCCATAGAGACAGAAAATCTATTAATGGTTGCCTAGGGCTGGGAAGGAGTAGAGTTAAGAAAAAATGGGAAGTGACTGCTAATGGGTGTGAACTTCCTTTTTAGTGTACTAAAAATATTCTAAGACTGATTTTGATGATACTTACACAATTCTGTGAATACACCAAAAATCACTGAACTGGGGGGAAGAAAAGCAAAAGCAATCTCTCAAAACTAAATGGCTTCTATCGGTAAACCATGTTTCTTTAAAAAGACTTGCACACTTGCCCATGTACAAGGAGTTTTAAATCTAGCACATGTCTACAGGTTAAAAAAATTTGCAATACTCTAGCTCTTTAGGATATATATGTAGGCTGTTATCCATGTCATGTTTAGGAGAACTGAATTTTGATTGAATTCATTACAGTTTTTTTACTTCAAAGGAAAAAGATCATCAGGCTTCAATAGATCTCACTAAGTTTTTGCATCAAAATATCCAGTTATCTGAAGAGTAAGATTTGCTGACTTGCAAACAATTAGTATATACTAACTGATTATCTCCTGTGTCATATGCAAGACTTCACAAAACAACAGAATGCCTTTGAGGGGTTCAATTTAGGTTAGGATTGTGTCCACTATGTTTTCACGTCACAAATAATTCCATTCCAAATAAAGTAGAAAAATTGCACTGCTACAACATCAAAGAAGAGAACTAAACAAAGATTAAGCAAAGGTATTTGGCAACCCATTGTGCCAGCACATGGAAACACAAGTCTCCACTTTGGCAGCTGTGTTTGTATACATTCCAGTCCAGGCTGAACATTAGGACTCCTTACCAAACTGAACACCATGTGACTGGTGAAGCTTCAGCATAAACACAGACAGTGTTATGTATATGGATTCACTTTGCAACCTGATATTTATGTCATGTAAATTAAATATGCATTTGTACAAAGATTGAATATATCAGTACATATGCACAATATTTAGAGACTGCCTTCTTGCCAGCACTGTACTAGACTGGAGAATTATAAACACATGACTATATCCTAGCTATTTATAAAAACATGCAAAATAAATACAATACGTTTTCAATCATTGTCATCATGTATCTCACCACATATTATTTTTCTTCATAATTTTAACCCTAAACACACTACAAATTATTTAATTAATACATAGGAACACTAAAATTTAAATTTGCTTTTTTTTCCTTTGTGCTTTTTCTATACATATGATTCTAAGTAAGTTAAAAGGGCCCAGACTTCTCTTTTTCCATCCTAATGATCTCTGATAACAAATCATTTCACATATAGAAGGGAGAAAATGTTGTTGGCCTTTTCTTAAATTTTTGATGTTTCCAAAATTATTTGCCAAAGCCACTTTGGGGACTCTTCTGAGGTTGTGGAACTTTCTGCTTTATCCACTAATGTCCTGGAACCATAGCCTTCATTGAGGTCAGAATTATAAGTGACTATATGGAAAGATCTTTTTTTTTTTTTTTTTTCTCAAGAAACCCTCAAATCCAACACTCTGGTCTGCGTGTATATGTCAGGGTTCCTAGCTGCCAACAAATGAAATCAATTCTGGTTAGTTAAGCAGAAAGTAATCTTAAAAAGATGTTAGGGAGCCCTCTGAATCTGCTCGGGGGCCAGAGAGCCAGGCTTAGAGACTGCACAGTCAAGAACAAAGTTCTAACTTAACCATTGATTAACTGCCAGCAAAGACAGACCTGCAGCCATTGTTGGGCAATGCCACCATAGACTGGTACTTCTCAGGATGTGCCCTGGACAAGACTGCCACAGCCTCAGCCACGGGCACCTCCATAAACTGGGCACATCCACCACTGTCCTCATCAAAGTAGATCCCACGGTGCCATTGTCCCTGGCTCCAAATTTAAGCCTGATATGCTTGCATTTGACAGGTGGTATTTAGGCCCCATGCTTGTGCGCCCCCAACCCTCACCACTAACTGCAAGGACAGATGGGAACACTGGCTTCTAGGTTCTCTGTAGGAGATGGGCTGTCAAAAAGTAGAGAAAATGTTGGCCAAAGAGTTGGATGACATAACAGTCTAAAATATTTGACGAAATATGTAAAATCCCACATTGCTTTTTAGGTTACTTAGCTTATTTGTGAGCAATATCTTTCCTTGCACTGAGAACATAACTTCTAAGATAGATGGAGAGGATGGGAGAAGGGGGTTTGAATTAACGATTCTTTCCCAACCATGTTATTCCCTGACTCAAAATTCTCCTATCTATTTATTTTCTTATGTGTAAATTTCAGCAACATAGAATTTCAACTCCTGGAGTATAAGATTTTATAATAAATTTTGTGGTAGAAAATTCGAAAAAGAGAAAATAGGGCAATTGAAAATCTGGCCAAAGAGGCAATGTGTCTCTGCCTTCTTTATGGGCCTGGAATGCTGCTGGAAGTAACTTAATTATCCACCCATAATAATTGAAACTTTTACAAAGTCATGGTTATAAAACACATCTGGGCTCTCATCACCTGCCACCCCACCCCACCTTGCTTCCACATTTTTCTTTCTTTTGAAATATCCTTCTCTCCATAGTGGTTATCTTAAATCTTTTCTATGTGCCTCGTGTTCGAATACACCATGTCCTTTCTCACTCTGTAGATAATCATACCTCCCCAAACTTTGTGGCACCATTCTTTTCTCCGGTGACACTGGAAGTGAAGAGCCATCGGCCTGAGGCTAATCTTGCTCCAGTGCCTAGATCTATTTACCCCTGCTTTTTCTCAGTACCTACCATCTCTTATTTAACTTTATGCTGTGCTCTGAAACTTTACATTTGTACTAGTTATTTCCCTGCAGTATGCAAATATTTTCAAGGCTTTTACATTCTTAAAAAATCTGCAACCCCAGATCCTGCTGTACTTACTGGGCTTTCCATTGCCATGACTGCCAAACTTCTTCAAGAGTATTTCCTGTACTAGCTTTTTCTGTTAACTCATTTTGCTGAATCCAACGAATATTTCTGGGATTTTTATCTTCCTTGAATATGCAGCAGCTTTGACAATACTGACACCTTCTCTTTTTCCTGGATTTCTTTTTTTTTTTTTTTGAGATGGAGTTTCGCTCTTGTTGCTGAAGCTGGAGTGCAATGGTGCGATCTCAGCTCACTGCAACCTCTGCCTCCTGGGTTCAAGCGATTCTCCTGCCTCAGCCTCCCGAGTAGCTGGGATTACAGGCATGTGCCACCATGCCTGGCTAATTTTGTATTTTTAGTAGAGATGGAGTTTCACCATGTTGGTCAGGCTGGTCTTGAACTCCTGACCTCAGGTGATCCACCCGCCTTGGCCTCCGAAGGTGCTGGGATTACAGGTGTGAGCCACCACACTCTGCTCTTTTTCCTGGATTTCTTTGATGCCTCAGTCTTTTCCTTCTCCCCTCCTCCCTCGTCCTCTTCCTCTCAGGCTCCTTTGCAGATTTTATTTTCCGTATTGTTTATCTGTCTGAGTTCATTTGGACTGCTACAACAGAATATTATAAACTGGTTGGCTTATAAACAACAGAAATTGATTTCTCACAGTTCTGGAGGCTGGGACATCCAAGTCAAGGTGCTGGCAAATTCAGTATCTGCTGAGGGCCCACTTCCTGGTTTATAGACTACTGTCTTCTCCCTGTAACTTCAGATGGTGGAAGAAGTGACAGGTCTCTTCTCTCTCAGACTCCTTTTATAAGGGCACTCTAAAGGGTTAAAGTCAAGGATGTATATAGCTCAATGATTTCTTACAAAGTGAGAACCCCCTAGATCTTTGCAGTGTTGTATTTTTGGGACTTGTGTATATGTGTGTATTCTATTTTATGTGGGTTTTTTTTTTTTTACAACGAACATGTGCATGGGTTGAATTATGCCTCTAAAATGATTTGTCCATGTCCTCATTATCAAAAACCAAATATGTCCTCATTTAAAAAAAGGATTTTTTCAATGTGATTAAATTAACAGTTTTGAGCTAAGATCATCCTGGATTAACTGAGTGGACCCTAAATCCAATCACAAGTATCTTTACAAGAGAAGACACAGTGAAAAAGGACATAAAGGAGTCAGAGATTGGAGTCATGATGCCACAAACCAAGGAATGCCTGGAACCACCAGAATCTGAAACAAGGAAGAACTCTCTCCTAGAGCCTTTGTAGGGAGCATGGTCCTAAAGACACCTTGATTTTGAACTTCTGGCCTCCAGAACTGTGACAGAATAAATTTCTGTTGTTTTAGACTACCAAGTTTGTTAGGACATTCCTGGGGAAATAATACAGCATGTATAATCATTATGACAGCAATAAAGTAAATATTATTAAATTACAAGATTTGCAGTCCTCCCCCTCCCCCTACCTTCTAAGGAGGCAAGCAGCCTTTGCCAGCTGAGCAAGCTTCTGATTGTTGTTTTGTCCTTGATCATGTCGAAGGGTAGAATTGAGCTGAAAGCTGAGGATTAAACTCTGATTTTTTTTAATCTTGCCCAAATTCCTATCTAAGGGGTCTGGGGAGTCATGCCCTCAGACGGGTTTTATTTTACCCTATATACCATGATTTACTTTCCAGCCTGACTCTGGCATAACATTACGAGACAAAGAAGAAAATCAAAATATTTTACCCCAAAACATGTTTCTTTGCCATATTTTGAAATGGCACTGCAAAGCTGTTCTTTATGGGGGAAAATTTGTGTCTGTAAAGAATCTCTATTAACATAGCTAGATCTTTTTCTTCCAGACCCTCCCAATCCTAAAGAGATTAATATCTGAATAGGAAACATTTGTCATCTATTGTCTCTAAGGGCAGCCACTTCAGAAGAACTTTGGTCTCCACGATCTTTATCTTAACTTGAACATTCCCTTTCTATCAATTCCAGGTCTTTAGACAAACTCAACCAATTGTCAACCAGAAAAGATTTAAATTCACCGATAGCCAGGAAGCCCCGCCGCTTTGAGTTGTTCCACCTTACTGGACCAAACCAATGTATTTCTTAAATGTATTTGATTGATGTCTCATGCCTCTCTAAAAATGTATACAACTAAGCTGCTCTGGGACCACCTTGGGCACATGTTCTCAGGACTTCTCGAGGGCTGTGTCACGGGCCATCATCACTCATATTTGGCTCAGAATAAATCTCTTCATATATTTTAAAGAGTTTAACTCTTTTCATCGACAAAGCCTAGGATAATGAGGTTGGGATATGAATGAAGAAAAACGTTAGAAAAATGAGCAGCTTCAGGAAAGAACAGAAGATCTGGGGGAAGGCTTGCTCTGGGTTATAGCCCCATGGGCAATTTACCAAAGAGTAAAAGATGAGGCCCAAACATGACAATATCTCTGCTCTGACGTTTTGATTTTGTTAATTTTCATTTGATATCAATGAGTGAAGCCAGCATGAGCATCAAATACCCATATGCAACAATCTACATAACTGAAAACTCCAAGGCCACATGTGGTGTGTCATGCATGTCCGTGTGAAGAAGACCACCAAACAGGATTTGTGGGAGCAACAAGGCTGTTTATTTCACCTGGGTGCAGGCAGCCTGAGTCTGAAAAGAGAGTCAGCAAAGGGTGATGGGATTATCATCAGTTCTTATAGGTTTTGGGATAGGCGGTGGAGTTAGGAGCAATGTTTTGCAGGCAGGGAGTGGATCTCACAAAGTACATTCTCAAGGGTGGGAAGAATTACAAAGAACCTTCCTAAGAGTGGGGGAGATTACAAAGAAACTTCTTAAGGGTGGGGGAGATTACAAAGTACATTGACCAGTTAGTATGGGGCAGAAACACATCACAATGGTGGAATGTCATCAGTTAAGGCTATTTTCACTTCTTTTGTGGATCTTCAATTGCTTCAGGCCATCTGGATGTATATGTGCAGGTCACAGGGGATATGATGGCTTAGCTTGGGCTCAAAGGCCTGACATTCTTGTCTTCTTATATTAATAAGAAAAGCAAAACAAAATAGTGGTGAAGTGTTGAAGCAGCGAAAATTTTGGGGGGATTGGTATGGAGAGATAATGGGTGACGTTTCTCAGGGCTGCTTCAAGGGGCGGTGTGGGAACCCAGAGTGGGAGAGATTAGGCTGAAGGAACATTTTGTGGTAAGGGGTGATATTGTGGGGTTGTTAGAAGGAGCACTTGTTGTATAGAATGATTGGTGATGGCCTGGATGTGGTTTTGTATGACTTGAGAAACTAAATGAAAGACACAAGGTCCGAATAAAAGAGGAGAAAAATAGGTATTAAAGGACTAAGAGTTGGTAGTACCCAGGATGTCCAATTAGTGTCCAAGTGGATTCAACGTTATTGTTTGCTTGGTTGGTGAAATTTTGGGCTCTATCCTTGAGTTTTTTTATGTTGTCATATACCAGGGCAGATTGATTTAGGTAAAAACAACACTCTTCATTTAAAAATATAGAGTCCTCCTTTTTCAGCAGTGAGTAAATTGAGGCCTCGGCAATTTTGGAGGAAAGAGAAATGCAAAGCCAGCAACTGTTTGTTAAAGAAGGATTAGAAACGGCTAGGAGAGAGAATGAGATTGATAGTGTGGTGGAGACAGCTGGGGAGAGATAGAGGGTGGCATAAGAATGGGAACGAGAATAAGAGTGAGTATAAAAGTAAAGAGTAGGGCTTCATCAGGGCGAAAGTATTGGAGTGTGCCCTGTCAGCAAAGATCATCTATCCACTCTAAGAGGGAGTCAAGAGTGGCGGATGGTGGATAGATTTTCACAATGGAAAGGAAATGAGAGGTTTTAAGAGGCAGGCTAATGGCTTGTAACCTACATGGAAGAGGTTATGAAATGATGACAGAATAGAATGGGCCTGTGAGGCTGGAAGGAGATTTTATTTATTTATTTTTTTTTTTGGTCTAAGAACCATCTGCCTTGAGTGGAGAGGGATTGATAGGTGGAAACTTCATTTGGAGAGTAAATAGGAGTGACCAATGAGAAGGAGAAAAACTGGCCATGCCATGAGGGACAGAAATTGGAAAGCTAGCTGCTTCTTTAGCTACCTTATCAGCATAAACGTTGCCCTGAGCCATGTGACCTGATGCCTTTTGATGGCCCTTGCAGTGAACGACTCCAGCTTCCTTTGGAAGTAAAGCGGTTTTAAGAAGAGTTTTTATTAAAGAGGCATTAATGGTGGAGGACTCTTGCATAGCGAGGAAATTTGTCTTTGCCCATATAACAACATGGTGGTGCAGGATATGGAAGGCATATTTAGAGTCAGTATAAATATTGATGCGTAGTCCTTTTGCAAGAGAGAGGGCTTGAGTTAAGGCAACGTATTTGGCTTGCTGAGAGGTAGTGGAGGGGGGCAGAGTGGTAGCCTCAATGATAGATGTGGAAGATACTATAGCACAGCCTGCCTTTGCTGGTGTGTGGTGATTAGGCCTGGTGGAACTGCCATCAATAAACCAAGTGTGATCAGGGTGAGGAACAGGAAAGAAGGAAATACAGGGAAATGGAGTGAATGTCAGGTGGATCAGAGAGAGACAGTCATGGGGATGGGGGCAAGCCTAAAACAGTAAGGTTAAGTTGTTTGGACAAAAAGGCTGCAGAGCATGGTCTGGCTGTTGTGAAAGAATTTTGACTGCACAGCCCTGCACTTTAGCTGTGTGCAATGAAAAAGGTTTGGAATGAGTTAGGGAGATCTAGTGAGGGAGCACTCTCTAAAGCTGTCTTCAAGGAACAGAAAGAGGAATGGGGAAAGGATTTAGGATATATGGGATCAGCTAGGTTTCCTTTTGTGAATTTATATAATGGTTTTATTAGGTTGGCAAAACCAAGTATCTAAAGATGAAAGTATCCAACCATGCCCAGGAATGAAAGGAGCTGTTTTGTAGAAGGGGTTGGGGTTTGAGAGATCAGTCGGACATGATCGGCAAGGAAGGCGTGTGTGTTTTTATGAAGAACTACGCTGAGGTAGGTAACGGATGGAGAAGAAATTTGAGCTTTGGAGGCTGATACCTGATATCCCTTGGAGAATAAATGTTGAAGGAGGAGGAGGGTGTCTTGTTGAGAAGATTCAAAGGAGGGGCTACAAAATAGAAGGTCATGCATATATTGAATAAGGTGAGAAGTGGAGGGGTGGAAAGAAAGTCAATCATGAGAAAGAGCTTGGCTGAAGTAATGAGGGCTGTCCCTGAAGCCTTGTGGCAGTACAGCCCAGGTAAGCTGCTGGGACTGATGGGTGTCAGGGTCAGTCCAGGTAAAAGCAAAGAGAGGCTGGGATGAGGGGTATAGGGGAATAGTGAAAAAGCATCTTTAAGATCAAGAACGGAATAGTGAGTTGTGAAGGAAGGTATTGAGGACAAAAGAGTGTACAGGTTGGGCACCACAGGGTGGATAGGCAAAACAACTCTGGTTGATAAAGTGCAGATCTTGAACTAACCTGTAAGACTTGTCTGAATGTTTTTGGACAGGTAAAATTGGGAATTGTAAGGAGAGTTTATAGGCTTTAAAAAGCCATGCTGTAACAGGTGAGTGATAATGGGCTTTAATCTTTTTAAAGTGTGGCAGAGTAAGGGTGATTAGGTTTTAATGGGATGGTAAGGGGTGCATGATCGGTCTCCAAGGAGGGAGGAGAGGTGTCCTATACTTGCGGATTAAGGTGTGGAGATACAAGGAGAGGATGCAAAAGAGGCTTTGAACTGGGGAAAAGGGTGGTAATGAGGTGTGGCTGTAGCCCAGGAATAGTCAGGGAAGCAGATAATTTGGTTAAAGTGGCTTGACCTAATAAGGGAGCTGGGCAGGTGGGGATAACTAAAAAAGAGTGCATAAAAGAATGTTGTCCAAGTTGGCACCAGAGTTGGGGAGTTTTAAGAGGTTTAGATGCCTGGCCATCAATACCCACAACAGTTATTGGGGCAAGGGAAACACGCCCTTGAAAAGAAGGTAATGTGGAGTGGGTAGCCTCCGTATTGATTAACAAGGAGACGGACTTACCCTCCACAGTAAGAGTTATCCAAAGCATCTGTGATGGTCCTGTAGGCTTCCGAGGCGATCGGGCAGTGTCAGTCTTCAGCCACTAAGCCGAGAAGATCTGGGAAGGAGTCAGTCACAGAGCTTTGGCCCAGAGTTCCAGGGCCTCTGGGAGTGGCTGCCAGGTCGGACAGTCTGATTTCCAGTGGGGTCCCGCACAGATGGGACACGACTTAGGAGGAATCCCGGGCTGCGGGAATTCCTTGGCCCAGTGGCCAGATTTCTGGCACTTGAAGCAAGCTCCTGGGGAAGGAGGTCCTGGAGGAACCCCTGGCAGCTGTGGATCAGGCATTTGGAGTTCTTGTGTGCTGGAATGTGGCTGGGGTTTATCTCACAGTGGAGGCAAGGAATTGCAACTCAGAAATACATTTCTACTTGGCTGCCTCTACCTTGAAGGCGAGGTTAATTAAGTCCTGTTGTGGGGTTTGAGGGCTAGAATCTAATTTCTGGAGCTTTTTTTAAAGTCAGGAGTGGGTTGGGTAATAAAATGTATATTAAGACATATGGCCCCTATGGGTCTAGGGTGGTAGAGCGTCTAAGGGTTGTTGCCAAATGGGCCACGGACTGGCTGGGTTTTTAAATTTGATGAAAAAGAGCCTAAATTCTAACTGATTTGGGAGAGGTCAGATAAAGAAAAAGGAGCATTAACCTTGACTATGCCTTTAGCTCCAGCCACCTTTTTAAGAGGAAATTGTTGGCAGGTGGGGGAGGTCTAGTCGTGGAAAGAGACTGTAAGCTGGACAGGGTGTGAGGAGGGGAGGTGATAAAAGGATTATAGGGTGGGGGATCAGAGGCTGAGGAAGAATTGGGACCTGGCTCAGCCTGGCCAGGAGCAGCCTGGGGAGGAGGGGAGAGGTCAGATGAGTCCGTAGAAAAGGAGGATTCAAAGGACTCAGAACTTGGGGGTGGAGACTGAAGGAACAGACAGGAGAGAAAGAAGAAAGATTTGGGATGAGTCGCATTGGGAGCAGAGACTAGGGAGGGACTGATGTGTAAAAGAATGCCTGGACATCAGGCATCTCAGACCATTTGCCCATTTTTTTGACAAAAATCATCTAGGTCTTGTAAAATGGAGAAATCAAAAGTGCTGTTTTCTGGCTACTTGGAACTATTGTCGAGTTTGTATTGGGGCCAAGCGGTATTGCAGAAGAAAATAAGGCATTTAGGTTTTAGGTCAGGTGTGAGTCGAAGGGGTTTTACGTTTTTAAGAACACAGGCTAAGGGAGAAGATGGGGGAATGGAGGGTGGAAACTTGCCCATAGTGAAGGAGGTAAGTTTAAAGAGAAAGGTAGAGACATGGAGAAGGGGGGTGGGGAGCAGCCCTGGGCTGCAATGTGGGTGAGCAGCCAAAGCAGGCGTCCTCGCAATTGACTTTCCACCAACGGAATGTGGGTGAATGACCAAAACAGGCATCCCTGCGGTGATCAGACACCAATAGAGTGTGGGTGAATGACCAAAACAGGCACCCCTGCGGTGATCAGACACCAATGGAATGTGGGTGAATCATCAGGCAGGCATCCCCACCAGGATTAAACACCAAGGGAAGACTGTCTTCCCGAGTCTGTGACTGGCGCCAGAGTTTTGGGTCCACGGATAAAATGTGTCTCCTTTGTCTCTGCTAGAGAGGAAAAAGAACTGGAATTAGAGGGACAGGGGGATTGAAGGGTAGTGAGAGAGGCTGGAGGAGAGAGTGAAAAGACTGCTTACCCAATTTGAAATTGGTGAGATGTTCCTTGGGCTGGTTGGTCTGAGGACCTGAGGTCGTAGGTGGATCTTTTCACGGAGTGAGGGTGAGGACAGGGGACTGGTCTCCTGAAGGAGTCCCTCTGACCCGGGTCTTAGGCACCAAATGTCACACGTGTCCATGTAAAGAGACCACCAAACAGGCTTTGGGTTAGCAACAAGGCTGTTTATTTCACCTGGGTGCAGGCGGGCTGAGTCCGAAAAGAGAGTCAGCAAAGGGTGGTGGGATTATCATTAGTTCTTATAGGTTTTGGGATAGGCGGTGGAGTCAGGAGCAATGTTTTGCTGGCAGGGGGTGGATCTCACAAAGTACATTCTCAAGGGTGGGAAGAATTACAAAGAACCTTCTTAAGGGTGGGGGAGATTACAAAGTACACTGATCAGTTAGGATGGGGCAGAAACACATCACAATGGTGGAATGTCATCAGTTAAGGTAATTTTCACTTCTTTTGTAGATCTTCAATTGCTTCAGGCCATCTGGATGTATATGTGCAGGTCACAGGGGATATGATGGCTTAGCTTGGGCTCAGAGGCCTGACATGGTGTACTCTGTGTAAAGTGGGGAGCTAGTTATTTTGCATAGGGCAGTCCATGGTCAGGATTTGCCACTGTGCCATTTTAGCCAGCCACTGTGGCTCTTTCAAGACACTAAATATGGCTCAGACTAGGGACAGTGATTTGCACTGTTTACCTGTGATATCTGTCTCTGGGTTAAATATGGTATATAAGTTATGTACGCCATTTTCTTCCCCTGGATGACCATGGATATACTTATCCTGCAACTTATTTCCTTCATTAATATAAAGCCATCATGGTGGCTTTAGATATCCATGCCAAAATGGCACATGTTTGGAAGACTCTTTATCCCAACTTCAGGCATCACCAGTTAAGGGAATCTCCTGCTTTCATGGACAAATCTAGCTACCTGATTTCTGGCTTCTGGTTTTTGAAGGTGCTGTTCAAATACAGCCAAGTCTGTATTTACCTGTCTATTGTTTACCAGCTCATAGAGACATAGATTAAGTCCATAGACAAATGGGTGGTAAATGGTGCTTTTAAAAAACATAAATAGGGCTGGGTGCGGTGGCTCATGCCTGTAATCCCAGCACTTTGGAAGGCAGAGGAGGGTGGATCACAAGTTCAGGAGTTCAAGACCAGCCTGGCCAACATGGCAAAACTCCGTCTCTACTTAAAAATACAAAAAATTAGTCAGGTGTGGTGGCGGGTGCCTGTAATCCCAGCTACTCAGGAGGCTGAGGCAGGAGAATCGCTTGAACACGGGAGGCAGAGGTTGCAGTGAGCAGAGATCATGCCACTGTCCTCCAGCCTGGGTGACAGTGCAAGACTCCATCTCAAAACAAAACAAAACAAAAACAAACAACAACAACAAAAAACATAAATAGTGGTGTCATTGCCTACTTTCACCCCTCTGAATTTGTATGCTGAAAAATACAATAGCCATTCAAAACACTATACATTCTACAGTAATTACAATTTCTACTCGTAATATTCCATGAGTTGCCCAACTTTACTGATAAACTCTAATGCTATCTGTATCTAAAATAAATGATAGGATGTATATTAATACCTTGAGGACTCCTTCCCACAGCAGAGGGTGCAGCCCCAAGCTAGAGAGGAAAATCATACAAGAGAGTCTTGGCATCACCTTTCTGTACAACCAGGTTCCCCAAGCACCTGGCTCCTTCAAAATAATGGAGATAATCAAACAACATCAGTTGCCTCCCTTTCTTGTTTCATTGTATCCTCTGAACTCTGCCATAAACTCCATTATGCATGCCAAAACTCTAAAATGTGGAACAACATTGTTTCTCAGAAGGCATTGTGTTACTGAAGAATCCAGGCTCAGGTTCGTTGGAAAGGGAATGCATTAGGAGAGATTTTCACCTACATAGCATCTTTGGTGTGTCAATACTCCAGTGAAACCCTGCCCACATTCACCTCTTCCTTTGACCTTTCTAAGGAGTTAAGGGCCCTGCTCTATCATTCTCACTACTATTCCAGTTAAAGCTCATCAGTTCCCTGGGAGGTGAGATCTGGCAAAATATATTCCATCTAAGGATCACAAGCTAATGACAATGTCAAATAATTAGGAAAACTCAAATTTGCTTATTCTTGTTTACTGTTTACCTAGAAGTTGGCGTTAGAATGATTTGGATAACATCAACATTAGTTTTATTTCATGAATTATTAAAACCTTAGATTGAGTCACAGTGAACTTGCAGGGATATTTTAATTCAGTATTGTTTGCAATCAGCACAGAAATAATGGAAAACAATTTATGATGAGACATTTTTAGTAAAGGTGTCATTTTTATTATAATAACATCAAAAATAATCTCTCTAAATAAGATGGAGTTTGTCATGTTAACTAAATTAAAGCATCAATTTTTTATAGGCAACAGGAAATATGACTACTGAATTCTTATTCCTATAATAGAAGAAAAGTATATTAGAAATTATCATTCCGAAGAAATGGAGACATGATGAAATGCATGCAAATGCCATAGTCAATTATAAACTAGAAATAACATCTTAATAAGGGACTGATGTTGTCAAATAATACTTGGCTGCTTTTCACATCAATATGAAAAAGAGAAAAACAACACAGGCTGCAAAGGCCCAAGGGAAAATAATACCTCTGATTTGTCTTCCACTGATTGCATTATACAAGGAAATTGCTAAACAATATCTTTGTTTTTTTGCCAATGCAAAAAAAAAAAAAAAAAAAAAAAAAATATATATATATATATATATATATATATATATATACACACACATATATAAAACTTAAAAATTCGTGTCCAGATGCGGTGGCTCATGCCTGTAATCCCAGCATATTGGGAGGCCAAGGCAGGTGGATTTCCTGAGTCTAGGAGTTCAAGACCAGCCTGGACAACATGGCAAAACCCCATCTCTACAAAGAATTAGCTGGGCGTGGTGGCACGCACCTAGAGTCCCAGCTCCTGGGGAGACTGAGGTGGGAGGATTGCTTGAACCCAGGAGGCAGAGATTGCAGTGAGCAGAGATCGCTACTGTACTCCAGCCTGGGCAACAGAGTGAGAACCTATCTCAAAAAAAAAAAAAAAAAAAAAAAAATCATATTATATCCTTTAGTACACACATGTATGCATTTTTGTTGGGTACACACCATGGAGTGGGATTTCTGGATTATAGGATATGTGTATGTTCATTTTAGTAGAAAATACAAAAACTGTTCAAACCCATTGTATCAATTTATACTTCCCAAGTAGTGGATGTAAGCTCCAGTTTCACTATATCCTCTCCTGTATTTTTACTTGGCATTACCAAGTAAAATATTTGATTTTAGTCATTTCCTAATGAATATTAAAGTTGAGCCACTTTTTACAGGTTTTTTTTTTCTTCCCCCGAGACGGAGACTCTCATCGTCACGCAGGCTGGAGTACAGTGGCGCGTACTTTCGCTCCAACCTCCGCCTCCCGGGTTCAAGCGATTCTCCTGCCTCAGCCTCCCGAGTAGCTAGGATTACAGGCGCCCGCCACTACGCCCAGCTAATTTTTTGTATTTTTAGTAGAGACGGGGTTTCACTATGTTGGTCAGGCTGGTCTCGGACTCCTGGCCTCGTGATCCAACCGCCTTGGCCTTTCAAAGTGCTGGGATTACAGGCGTCAGCCACTGCGCCCGGCCTTTTTACAGGTTTAATGGCTACTTTTCTAACAGTTTTTGTGAAGTGCATTTATAAGCCAGTTTTTTCTCTGAGTTGTCCGTTTTATCCAAGAGCAAGAACACGGAATGAATGATAATTCTACATATGCGGGGCATTTGTAGGCTTTTAAATTCAAGTTCAGTTCAAATGAATTAGGTTTAAAATAAATGTTTAAAATAAATAAATTAGGTTTAAAATAAATTAGGTTTAAAATAAATAAATTAGGTTTAAAATAAATTAGGTTTAAAAGAAAATAAAATAAGTGTTTTCTTTCAGTTCAAAGTAATTATCTACCTACTTTTTCAGCAGAAGGGCTTGTGTCACTACACAACAGTATAAATTCACAGTATATAGCTTTGGAGAATGATTGGGACAAGAATTGCTTGATGACTGAATAATGAGTTAAGTGGACTGATGTTTTATGTTTATAGTGTGTTCCTAATCATTACTGGAGGCCAAAACATTGTTCAAAATACAATGTGAAGGCCATTCTCTTTACCAGAACTGCTAGAAATAAGTGGTGGGAAATATTATTTGATGAGCTATCTAAGACGAGAAGAGAACACTGAGGATTGTGCTTGAGAAGATACAGAGGATCTAAATGGCTCACCAAGGCTCTCCGGCACCAAGAGGTAAATGCAGGACCTCTGTTTGACTGAGTTGAGTATGAATTTCTTGAATCAGAGAGAAAAGATGAGGCTGACCTCTACTAACAGTAGGCTTCCTGGGTCTTTCTGTTCTTTCTTTCTTCTGATTAAATATTAGATAAATATGCCAATATATTGGTTTGAAGAGACACAAGCATATTAACTTGCTAGGGAACACCTGTATCTCTTTCTCCACATGTACCTAGTCTAATGTGTTTGGTTTTAGATTAGTACATACGTTTGGCAAATATATAATATTTTTTGTGTATGTTTACAAAAGTAATACTGTGCTATGGATCAAAAAGTTTTGACCAGTTTATACATCTATTAACAGTGTATGGGTGAACCTGTAACCCTACATTTTGATGACCACTAACATTTTAATATTTTAACATTTGCTAATCTGGTAGATAGATAAAAGTATGATTATTTTATTGTGAATTTATTTAATTAAGAGTGTCTTAGAACATCTTTTCATTATTTACTGGTCATTTTCATTCTTTTCTGTGAACTTCTATTCATGTCTTTTGGCCATTTTTCCATTGGGTTGTTGACTCATTGATTTGTAAGAGTTTCTTTTCAGTGAAAGGAATTCCTTAAGTAGCTATAACATTAGCTGTATGTATTACATATTAATTTCTAAGTTACTCATCTGTTTTGGGTACTAGATACAGTTGATTTATCATATCTGTGGGTTCTACATCTGCGGATCAAAACTATTTGGGGAAAAACAATAAAATAATACAACAATACAAAAGTAATGCAAATTAAAAAACCAATATAGTATAACAACTGTTTACACAGCGTTTACACTGTATTAGGTATTATAAGTAACGCAGAGATGACTTAGAGTATACAGGAGAATGGTATAGGTTTTATGCAAATACTATGCCGTTTTATATAAGGGACTTGAGCATTCAAGGATGTTGGTATCCATGGGGTTCCTCGAGCCAATCTCCCGCGGATACTGAAGAAAAACCGTATATCATATTTTCATGTAGTGAATGTATCATATTTTTAATTTTATGCTTCATGAGTACATGCATCTTTGCCGTGATGCATTCAGAAATTATGCTTATGTTCTTCTTTTTCCATCCTTTGGGCAGGTTAAAACCCTGCAACAGAACTGAATAATCATTTTAGGCTCTCAGCAACTTTTATTCTGCCTTATCATCTTGCTGCTGATCTCATTTTTGATATTGCCATTCAATAAATATTAACTGAGACCCTACTATATGCCTCGGCCTGTGCTATAAATTGGAGATGAGAAAAACCACTGGCTAAACTAGAGAAACATCGTAAAATACAGTGTACCCTAAGCCACTCACCTTGACCTTTACTAATTTTGTGAAAAAGTACTACTTATTAAATCATTTTATTCTCATCATCCTTCAAAAAATATTCAGCTTGACCCAGAAGATATTTATAAATATTTTTAAAAATTATTTTTCACTCAATTACATTCCTAGAAATGTTAAATGTCTACTTACATCATTTTTGTTGCATGCAGGACTAGCACTATATTTATTAGTACAGGTTACACTGCCATAGCAAGAAAACGCCTTTTTAGGTAAATTTTCCTTTAGGCAAATGTCAGAATTGGGTCACATGGTCATAATCAAGTTGAAGTAAGGCTGAGAAATCTCATGCCTGCCTGGACGGCCACATTATCTGCTAAAATATCAGTGAATTCTATGATTAAAAGAAAATAGAGATATTCAATACTAAGGGACAGCAGCTTCTACCATAGTCCATTTGTGTGGTAAGTCAGTTGTCTCTTTAGTTTTTTCATTCCACATGAAGGATGAGAAAAATTCATGTGGGATGAATTGTTGGACCCTACATTGTTCATCCTTTAGGGCCCAACAATTCTGAGCTTTTGGCTAAGAATCTAGAATCTCTACATGAGGCAAAGTTCTTTCCATGGGTTCTAACGTAGCTTCTTCTTTTTCAATGACCTATATAGATTAGTAGATAATGCAACTGCCACTCAGTGTATCAGTATATACTGATATACAATGGTATATTGGAAATAAAATAGAATGAAATAATAGAATAGAATAGAATGGAATGGAATAGAATCAGGGTAACTGCGATAAAAATTATTACTTAGAAAAGGGAAGAATGGAAAACATAAAAACTCACTTTTCTGTAGCTTTGCTGAAATCTTGCAGGACAAAAATTGCTAAGATTCTCTAGTGGCTACCTGCCAGTAAGTAACTTGATATCGTTAACTTACTTGAACTTGGCTCTGCTCCCTGGGATACTCCCCTGTGCATTGTCTTTTTGATCTCCTGTGATATTAAACATGTACTGTACATGTACATGTATCTAAGTGGATAACAATACAATTCATTTTGTCATGAAAGAGCTGTGTTTTCAAAGGCTTTTAATAAGGTTAAAAAAAAGATAAAATTCCTCTTAGAAAATAACACTTAGCAGTTAATGACATCAAAGTCATATTGACTAAAGAAGGAAAATAGCAACCAATTGTTAAAGCCACCTTAACATAAACCTTATTGCAAGTATACACATCTTTTGAACACAATCTATAGAAAAGAGAATAACTTCCAAGGCATTACAACTTTTTCTCTGGCATGTTAAAAAACAACTCTGACTAATGGCTAATGCATTATAAAATTTCCTATCTGACAAATCTTTCTAGATTATGCATAGTATTTTACTTTTGAAAGGTCATAAAAAAGATATAAATCAGTTTCCATAAGAGCTAATATTGGCCCATAACGAAAGTTTCCTTCAGGTTATTTTAATGTATTAACGTAAGAAAACTCCAGGTGAAGAAGAATTTCAAGCCAAAACTAAGCATTAAAAAATAGGCGTTTGGTTGAGGTTAATTTTTTTTTTTTTTTTTTTTGAGACAGAGTCTCTGTTGCCCAGGCTGGAGTGTGGTGGCGCAATCCTGGCTCACTGCAACCTCAGCCTCCTGGGTTCAAGCAATTTTCCTGTCTCAGCCTTCCAAGTAGCAGGGACTACAGGCGTGCACCACCACGCGCAGCTAATTTTTTTGTATTTTTAGTAGAGGCGAGGTTTCGCCATGTTGGCCAGGCTGGTCTCGAAATCCTGACCCCAGTGATCCGCCTACCTCATCCTCTCAAAGTGCTGGGATTACAGGTGTGAGCCACCGCGCCCAGCCTTAATTTTCAAAAGACAAATAAGCAAAAAGCTTTTCCCGTTCCTCTCCCAAAACAGCAATGAGATAACTGCCTTGTAATGTTTGTTTGCTTTTTACAAATACCAATTTACCACTTGCTGGAATCCCAGCCCAGGAACCAGCCTGTGAATGTGGGTGGCTCATGGCCCTGTTTTATGATGACAATTGGTGTCCTCTTGTCTCTTCCAGAAGGGTCTGTCTCAAGGTACATTTTGGCTAAAAAAAGTTGTAAAGACATATAAATTCAGTTAGTTTGGGTTAAACTAAAGTAACTGCAGATTGAAAATTCTTCGAATAAAAGTAATGAATTAAATTTCCAGAAGAACAAATAAATATTGGCTACATTGAAAATGAAAATTCTTCGAATACAATTCTTCAAATCAAAGTAATAAATTTCCATTGACCAGGTAGACAAATACAATTTCTTTTTGATTTCTCTCGTCTGCCATGAAAGGCAACATGTGAATCTCATTAATGCCTGAAAGAATTCCAAGTTTTATGGAATTGTCCTTGTGGCATAATTATTGTTATACGTTTCAGTAAAAGGAAAATTGTGCCAGAAAGAACAGCATAGTCAAAAGGAAGTTTAAAAAATCTGGCTTATCACAGTCATGGAGGTTTTACTCTTATAATAAAACAAGGGTTGAAATTAATTTAAGTTTTCAGATTAAATTGATATAATTCTATTCTAGATTAGATAACAAAACATATTGTTTTCTTGTGCCCATTTGGAAATTCTCCAGTTCAAAAAATCCCATTACTCTTTAGTTTTGAGGAGGAATGCTAAGCTACTTCTTGATTTTGAAATGTATTTTTGTAAGACATGGTGGCAAAGAGCAAGCCAGACACTCGGTCATAATGGTGCCCGGTTACTGCTATAATGGTCCATCGATTGAGCTTACCAGACTTCAGAGATTCTTTTTTCTCAACTTCATTAGCATCTTTGCCAATCCAAATAAATATCTGAAAAATGAAACAATAACAATATGTATGATTTCTGGGATGTTGACTCAGTGCTAGGCCCTATGTAAAGTGCTTCACACACACATTGCTCATTCAATCTTCACAATATCCGCAGAAGTTAGGGACGTGGAGGTGGTGGCCCAGAGAGGTACCATCACTTTCCCAGTGTTCACACTCATCAGGAGACACCTAAATCTACATCCAGCCTGTTTCACTTCAGATTTCACACTTGGATATTTTATGTTTACATGGTACTTTCTAGTTTGTAAAGTGATCTTTCACAAAAAAAAACAGATTGTCTGGGTGGACTTTTTTTTTTCATCCACCCCCTAGGGTGTGACAGCAGTCGAAGGAAACCAAAATATTTCACCTCCGAATACACTTCTTTGACATATTTCGAGATGGCTGTTCAGAGGACTTGCAAACAGAAATAGCCCTGCAAATCTGCCTTTTGTAGGGGAAGATCTGCATCTGTAGAGAATCTGCAGTGGTGCAGCCGGACTTTCTTTGAGGCCCTCCCTTTTCGGGATCTAGGGAAGATTAACTGAGAGTATCACACTCTTAAAGGTCTGAAAGAAACATTTACCATCTATACTTTATGTGAGGTTTTATCCATAACAAGACCATCTTTCCTAGCCAGGCCTCTTCTCTCCCTCCCATAACCAGTTTTGCCATCCTGCAATCCCCCATTCTTTCTGTAACTTCAAAATGGTAGAAAAGCATCAACCATCCAGCCATTTATTTAGTTCTTGCATTCTGTATGACTCCTGTGAACATTAATATATTTGTATGCCTTTTCTCCTATTAATCTGCCCTTTATCAACTGATTTTTATGTGAACCTGTGGACAGTGAAGGGGAAATTTTCCCTTGGCCCTTACACAGTCATTATCCCCATTTCCTAGAGGTGGATCTTGGCTGGAAGAGACCACATGTAGACCACGTGTAGAGCTTGTCTGTGGGTGATCCCAGACTCCCTCTAGGAACCTTTGATTTAAGGTTAGTGTTTTTCTCCTCTAGTAGCTTGCCCTCCCTATAAGATGTTGGTACAAATGCTATAATGTTTAGTATTTAAATAGCAATGTGTTTTTTAAAAAATTGATATAATTATACAATCTGTATATATCCTCCTCCTTGTCAAGTGTGTGGGTGGGGGTACTTGAATGCTGAAAAAAATGTCCTGAATTACCTTATTTTTGAAATCACTTTAAAATCACTTGTGGCAGAGCAATTTCGGTCACTTACATTTAGATTGTGTTCTATTTCATACTGAAAGTGCTGAAACATTTGTGTGCAGGGAACAGAACAAACCATGAAAGCATGGTAATGTAAATAAAAGGCATGATTTTAAAAAATGAAATGTGGCATGGGAAATCTTCCAAAAAGTACCCATGATTACAGAAACAGGAGTTGACTGCAAATGAGAAAAATTAAATATATATCTGAATAAGGAAGTGTAATTCTTCTTTAATTCTTAAATACACAAGAATGTTTTATTGACCTGGAGATTTAATTCTCATCTAGAAATAAGTAATCCATTCACTTGGCAAGAATCTGAGCCTGGGCCCTCAAGTCAAACATGGTCATTGTAGATCAGAAGCTAGGGTGTGATATAACTGAATGGTTTATTAATTGGGAACAAACTTAAAAGGAACAATCTCTGTGCTTGACTCTACGACTAGGCCTAATTCAGATAAGCATTTCACACTTGTTCTATATAATTTAGTTCATAATATATTTACTTTTCTCTTTCACCGTTAATTTAGAGGTTAAAAACCTATCAGATGTGGCACGTCAAATCACCACTAATTTCCTTGAAAATTAAGATAAATAAAACAGGAACATATTTTACTGTGTAGATTCAAAACTATTCTGCCTGTTTCTTCCCCAGGGGAGGGCTACCCATGACTTCTTGTCAAATTTCAAAAGAAACTTTGAATATGTCGGTTTCCTCAATGGCATTGTACCCCCATGACACTGTACACACGAATGCACTTGTTAGTTAAATGAATTATAAACAAATTAGGAATGAGTAACTTTTACAAATAAATGAAAAATAAAAGTTTTTTGCCTACAACTGTAAAGCCAAAGATGGTAGCTCTGGAATTATTTTCATACTAAGAAATCAACTTGCCATATGTGTTAGTTTCATTTTTTACCAAATGTGTGTGTGTGTTTTTTAAATACAGCCTAAATCTCTAGGCTCATTTATATCTAGACTTACCATTTCTCAGATCAAGTTCTGTCATCTCCCAACCAAAAATGCATTCTCTTCTTATGAACAAAATGTAGTTTTACCTGTTCCCAAGCATCTAGTAACATGACATCATCTTCAGCTAAATCATCCTGGGTGAACTCTCCTGGAATCTCTTCAATCTGAAAGGTATAAAAAGCTATATGAGCAAAAAGTAAAGCAGTAATTTTTCTAATACATAGGATAGAAATGCCCTGTATTTTTTTTGAGTATAGTGAAAATAAAATTTGGTGGTAATTTTTTTCTTCTTTTTCACGTAATAAAAATTTAAATAATTGTTCATTGATTTGGCATCACAAACTAGTAGTATTTTATTTGGCCAGAACAGTATTTAATATAAACATTGCATTTGTGAAATTAAATAAGTCAAATATAAAGCTGGTGGAACCTTAAATTATTCTGAACTTTGAGAGGAATGCGGCTGTGTGGCCTGAGTCTTGAGGCATGCACTCGAGCTTTTGTCTTTTTTTCTGCAAATAATTAGGAAGACCAAAGAGTGCCAGAGATAAGACCCCCCTCATATCACCACTCCTCACAGAGTAAGAAAGTACTCTTCCTTGGAATGTATTCATAGCAATCTGTAACCAATCAAATCACTGTCAGTATACACTGGTCTTATATAAAAAATTACATAATCCTGCTAAAATTTCTCTGTTTCTGCCTATTGTCAGTGAAACTTTAACTCCTCCACTTTAAAATGCTGACCCCATTCATTTGGAGTCAGCGTTTTCTGGGTGGCTATCCTCAAGCCTTGCATCTCAATAAACTATATATTTAAGCGTATTTTCTAAATCTCATCCTTAGGGTTGACACATTTGAATGCCCACATATATAGTCAATTTGCTCACAATCCTCTGTACTTCCAGTCCTTTATGAATAGTTGTTTCACAGATTTATGTTGCCTATCTAGTTCCTAAAAACATTTGAGTTTATGGTCTGAGTATTAAATTATCTTTCATTTTGTAGGTTAGGATTACTTTTAAAAAGTCAATAGGGCTGGGCGTGGTGGCTCATGCCTGTAATCCCAGCACTTTGGGAGGCTGAGTTGGGTGGATCACGAGGTCAGGAGTTCAAGACCAGCCTGGCCAACATGGTGAAACTCTGTCTCTACTAAAAATACAAACATTAGCCAGGTGTGGTGGCAGGTGCCTGTAGTTCCAGCTACTTGGGAGGCTGATGTAGGAGAATTGCTTGAACCTGGGAGGTGGAGGTTGCAGTGAGTCAAGACCGTGCCATTGCACTCCAGCCTGGGCAACAGAATGAGACTCCGTCTCAGAAAAAAAAAAAAAAAAAGAGAGAGAGAGAAAAAGTCAATAGGCCTAGTCATTTTAATAAATCAAAAAATTTCAATAAGATGACATTATAACATAATATTTGCATGTACAAAATTTTTTTTATTTTTAATGGGTTAAATTGTGTTAAATTATAGTTAGCATTAAAGGGTAATGGAAGGGTTAGCTTCATCCACCCATTGGTAATACATACCAATGGGCATGTATTAATCTAAAGTTCAGTATTTTTAGAGAATTCTGAGTGAAAACCCCCCTGATCCTTACGCAGGAGTTTGGATTATGGTTCCCCATTCTTTATTCACTCCCTCTGGCATGTGACTTTGCGGTGCTATGGAGCTGACTGGGGCGTTGGCCATGTCATATTAGCAAAGGTGACTCAGCAAGGGCCTTTTTGTGTCCTTGACTTTGTCACTGGAAAAATATGTATAAACTCAAAACATGCGCCCAGCATAGATAAACCTAGTTCCTGGCAGCCTGCAGACATCTGAGCATGACAATTCATGTTTGTTCTAATCTGATGAGATTTTGAGATTGTTATACAAAATAAACAAAACAAAAAACCTTGACCATTTAGAAGGCAAAGGATTTGTTTATATTATCTTTTTAGAGGACATACACCAATCACATAATCATTTTAAAAAGAAAAACTTTAGCACTTAACTTGACGTCAGCACTGTTCTAATGTTTTATATGCAACAGCTAAGTTAATATTCACAGCTCTATGAAGTAGGTACTAAGATTACCACCATTTTAGAGTTGAGACAACTACAGCCCAGACAGGCTCAGTAACCAGCCTAAAGTCACACAGCCAGCAAGTACTACCACCAGATAAGTGACAGCACATGGGCAGATTGGTTCTAAAAGCTGTGCTTTTAGTTAATAAGCTCTGCTGCCTTGTAGCTGCCTTGTAGGAATCTACACGTGTAAAGCCTACTTTCTGATAGTAATTATAAGATCAAAGATTTGTTAGCAACAATCCTTTGCCTTAAACTATAAAGGGAGCAGAAGGGGTTCCAAATATCAAACAAGAAAATGAGTTGGTGCAGAGGAAATGTATATTTCTCTTAAAGGCTAATATATACGCATAACAAAAAGCCAAAGACTAACAGATCTTTTTTCTTTAAACACACTGAGAACAAAGCCTAGGTACTTATTTTTGTAAAATACATTTTTCTTGGAAACAAACAACTAATTTATAGCAATGTTAATAAATAATTCTAATAAGAAATTATAGGAGCATATGCTGAAAAATAAGTTGCTTGGATGCAATATCAAGTCAAAACAATAAAACAGCAGATTTTTCTGATGACAAATCTATAAAATATAGCAAGTTCAGGGATTTCCTGTAAAGTAGGTGAGCAAATTGTGGTATACAGCAACCAAATATTTATCTCAATGCACTGTTTAAATCTTTAACTTGTAGGTCAAATCATTTATAACCTTCAAGGGAGACTTGAACCACTTCATCTCAAATAATTTTATTTCTAGTAATCAAAATATCTGACAAAATACGTGGGAAATTTTCTTTCCTGTGTTGAAAAATGAAGTTTGCATTTATTCACTAGGGCATGTTGACCAAAATCTGTGGATCAAATTTTATATAAAAGAAGAATTCATTCTTTAAATGAAAAATTTACCAAAAACTTAGCACGTCAAACAGAGAAAGTATAACTTTTTTTTTTGAAATTTAGGTGAGAGGCTGTGGTTCAGGATGATATTTCAGAGCCTAGTGTAAAATCACTCCTGTATTCTTTTGTATTGGATGTTTGTTTGCCTCCAGAATTCCTATGCTAAACCCCTAGCCTCCAATGGCATGGTAGTAGGAGGTGGGGCCTTTGGGAGGTAATTAGGTTCAGATGAGGCCATGAGGGTACAGTGCCCCTGCTTAGTGTCTGTCTTTATAAGGAAAGAACACGACTAGAGCTTGCTCTCTTGGCCATGTGAGGACACAAGAAGGCTAGACAGTGGTCCCTCACCAGACATCAGATCTGCTGTTGCCTTAATCTTGGACTTCTCAGCCTTCAGAACCATGAAAAATAAATGTTTGTGGTTTAAACCACACAGTCAATGGTATTTTTGTGATAGGAGCTTGAACTAAGACATGCATACACATACTTCTAATTTTACTTCTGACTGGACTGGAAGTCAAAGCTTGTAAATGACTATGAAATAAAACATTCCTGTTGATATCAGTTAATTTGTAACTGCATATATAGCTTTCTGTGATTTTTGCCCAATGATCATAATATTTCCATAATATTTTTAATTCAGTCAATATGGTGAAAATTTTTACTCCGCTGGGAAATTGACATGTAAAATTTACATAGTTTGATCAGAAATAATGATTGCTGCCCACAGAAAATGCCAAATTATTAAATTAACACATCTAGCCACATATATATTCATACAGCAACTGCATGCTCACACAGGTGTAAAGTAGCTAGTACTTTTAAGAACAGCTTAATCTATATAGGACATCACAACATTAATGCTTTCACATTAATTATATCATTAATCCTTAAAATACCCTGTGTAAGGAACAGAAAACCAAATACTGCAGGTTCTCACTTATAAGTGGGACCTAAATGATGAGAACACACGGACACATAGAGAGGAACAACACACACTGGGGGCCTATCGAAAGGTGGAAGGTGGGATGAGGGAGACGATCAGGAAAAATAACTAATGGATACTAGGCTTAATACCTGGGTGATGAAATAATCTGTACAACAAACTCCCACAACACAAGTTTACCTATGTAACGAACCTGCACATGTACCCCTGAACTTAAAATAAAAGTTTAAAAAAAATACCCTGTGTAGAGCAAAGGTTGTCACCGTGGTTTGTAGGCAGGCTGAAACTGAGATTCAGAACAGTAGCATGTCTGAAGGTGTCAGAGCCACATGGGAATGCCCTTCCCGGCGTTGTTAGGTTCTATCTCACTGTTTTTTGTTTTTTGTGTTTTTTTTGAGATGGAGTCTCACTCTGTTGCCCAGGCTGGAACACAGTGGTGCCAGTGGCACGATCTTGGCTCACTGCAACCTCCGCCTCCTGGGTTCAAGAGATTCTCCTGTCTCAGCCTCCCAAGTAGCTGGGACTACAGGCACCCACCACCATGCCTGACTAATTTTTGTATTTTTAGTAGAGAGGGGGTTTCACCATATTGGCCAGGCTGGTCTGGAACTCCTTGATCTCGTGATACACCCGTCTCAGCTTCCCAAAGTGCTGGGATTACAGGCATGAGCCACCGCGCCCGGCCCTTTTTTTTTTTTTTTTTTAACGGAGTTTTGCTCTTGTTGCCCAGGCTGGAGTGGAGTGGAGTGGCGCGACCTTGGCTCACTGCAACCTCCGCCTCCTGGGTTCAAGTGATTCTCCTGCCTCAAGCCTCCCGAGTAGCTTGAATTACAAGTGTGCACCACCACATCCAGCTAATTTTTATATTTTTAGTAGAGACGGTTTCTACATGTTGGTCAGGCTGGTCTCGAACTCCTGACCTCAGGTGATCTGCCTGCCTCGGCCTCCCAAAGTGCTGGGATTACAGGCATGAGCCACCGCAACCAGCCCTATCGCACTATTTTTAAGGACACTTACAACAAATCTTCCAGTTTTGTTAGAGCAGCCGTAAAGCCGAGGTGGATGGTCTTCAGCCTGGGTTTCCAGTAGTGGTGAGGTCTGGTAGTCTTTTTTCCCTCCAAGGGAATTCCAGAACTCCTCTGTGGAAAACACACTCAGTTATCCAGTGCATTTTCAGGGACATATGCTTGCTGTCGCTTTATATGAACAAATATTATCTCACCTTGATTTCAGTGTTGAGAAATTACTTAAAGAAATCAGGTACCATCACCCACCCACCTCTGCAACTAATGGAGAGATTGTTAACCCTTATAAGCCATTAGAAAGTGACTTTTTGGTGAAAAAAAGATGATTAGCAATCGTATCAGTATAAATTCTAGTTAGTGCCCTTGGCCCCAGAGCACACACCTGGCTCCTCGCCTTCTTGGATCCTTAAGGTTTTGCACTTTAGGACACTTGCTACATACTCTGCTCCTTTCTCCTCCTCCTGGCTAGCACCTTTTCCTACCCAGATGTAGCCACTATTTTGTGGCAGTTTCAGGACAAAAACATCGTTAGAATTCAGTGAATTTGCATCAACATCAACCTGGAATATGAAGAAAAATAAAACAATGATTCAAATTCATTGCTGCTCCCTCAATAAACATGTCCCAGAAGCTGTGACTGTGGCAAACCATACATCGCCTTCTGCCCTATCCCAGGAAATTAATTCAGAGCCGCTCTGGGACACCACTATGGTATTTTAAACCCTAGAGTAGGAGCACTTCGGTCTGTGTCACTTGTGGATTTGTGACTCTGTGTCTGTCTCTGTGAGAACTGTCTGACCATATGACTGTGCTACTATGTCACTGGTATGACTTTCTGTATAATTGTCAAACAAGTGTGATGTGTGATTCCAGAAAGAGGAAGAAGAACCAGTAAGCAAGACTGAGGGGGAGCAGCTGAGACGGAGGAGGAAAACAAGAGCGTAAAGTGATCTTGAGGCCAAGTGAGGAAAATGCTTCAAGAAGGCAGGGGTGATTTGCTGTGCCAAATGGTGCTGCTTGGCCAACCACACTGAACTGCCAGGATGAAGGCAGCCATGATGTGGAGAGTTGAATTTCACCAGGTTTGTCAGGAGCCTGTTGAAGGAGAGAACACTAGAGGTGGAAGGAATGGCTGTTGGAAGTTTTAAA
Source organism: Homo sapiens (assembly GCF_000001405.40). Lineage (NCBI taxonomy): Eukaryota > Metazoa > Chordata > Mammalia > Primates > Hominidae > Homo > Homo sapiens. Next base: position 12,643,548 of record NC_000007.14, on the reverse strand, counting down.
GGAATGTCCAGGAATTGGGAACATTCAGGAAAATAGTTAAAGTCCTCTCCCAGCAGGAATGAGGCCTCACAGAACAAGCTCAAAGGAATCTATCAGATGTGATTATGGAGAATTACAGGAACCAAGTCTGGCTTCCAGGGCTTCCAATTTCTAATACAAACATCTCATTATGGGTACAGAGGAAAGAGCCCGGATGATGGATAGAAGCTGACAAGAGACCTGTGCCCAGACTGGTGTGAGATCAGGAAATGAGATCTAAAACAGAATCTTTATAAAGCCTTAGCCTGCCGGGAGATGAAGACAGAAAGACCTGTAAAATGATCTTGACTGGTGCATTTCAGAGAGGTTGGGAATGTGAAAGCTGGTTTGAGAGGCTGCAAGAAAATAAAGAGATGCACAGAAAGCAGCTGATGAGGTCTCACAAAGGAATGTCCACTGGGGAAGAGATCAGAATGTAACAATGGTGCATTTTGGTTGACTTTCCCATCTGAAATCAACTGAGAATGCCCGTAGATAATGTATGCTTAAATGTCATTTTGATAGTTTTTAAATGTCAAAAAAATAGTCATAATTAAACACAGAAGAATCCGTGCACAGAAGGTTCTGGATGAGATCAATACATATGGTAGCATTTAAACCATATGACTGAATGAGACCACAGTGAAGGGGCCAAGGCCGAGACTTGGAGCGCTCAAGAACTTAGAGGTCAAACAGAAGAGGAAAACGCAGCAAACTAGCCCGAGAGGAGTGGCCGATAGATTAGGAAGAAACCATTGTAAGTGTGGGGATACATTCACCTAGTGAAAAAAGAATTGCTCAATAAAACTGGAAAGGCTGACTGGCAAATGCTAGTGGGAGGTTGAGAAAAATGAGATCAGAAAAGTGACCTTTGTTTGTGGCATGTGGCAGGTCACTGGCAAACTAGATAAAAACCATTTCAGTGGACTAGTGGGATGGATACCTGATTGAGGTGGCTTTAGAGAGAACTGGCTTTAAAAAGTAGAGATGGTGAGTGAGTGAAAACACTCAAGACAAACCTTTCAATGATATGTGCTCTTAAGAAGGACAGAGAAATGATGCAGTAGCTGGAGAAGGTCATGGTCAAGGTCAAGACACAGTTTTTAAAGAAATGACAGGAGGTTTCTGTTACAGCCATCTTTGTAGTTCAAAGTGAATGATTCCAGATAGAAAAATAAATTGATAATACAGAATGAAAGGAGATTACTGCCTGCAATCATGATGAAATAGAAATGGAATAAATGCACGGGAAAGACAGAAATCCAGGAGATTCCTTAGGAAAGCAAAAGAGGGAAGGATCCGGACAGAAGTTGGTGGCCAGATGGGTGGGGGAGGAATTGGGCCTTAGATAGGAGCAATAGTCTATGTAATAAACATTTAATAAATTATTTATTGATATATCACTGTACACAAATATATTATTTATTGCTAATTTATGGATAATAGTATATATATAATACATATAGTATATAATATTCACTTACAAGACACTTCATCATATGGAAATTCCTAATATAAAATATTAACTTAAAAAATAAATAAAAATTTGATATTTATTTCATAAAAGAGGAGGGAAAGAGAATATATACACAGATGCAGACAAATTGATAAAGTTGCAGGGGAGTAGATAAGGAGATTTATGCCTGATTTATCTTCTCTGTGAACTCTGAATCAAAGTTATCAGTAGAGAGAAGGGGGTGCTGGGGATCTGGGGAGAAAGGAGGACATGAAGCATGGGGTGTGAAGGAGGCAGCGGGTTCATGGATTCAGCTATAGGCCTGGAGAATTGCCAGAATGTGCATTCTGGAGTAAAGGAGCCAAAGGACAGGAGAGAGTTGTCAGAGATTAGATGACTGAAACAGATTTCTGAGGAGCTATAGTTATTGCAAATGGCAAAATTTAGTATAGGACCATGTGAGTGTGAGATGAAATGCGGTCAAGGAAAAGACTGCTGGAAGAGAGAAGCCGGAGAGATGGAAATAGTGAGATAATGGCTGAAGTCATCAAAGAAGAGGAGGACTGGCAGTTCAGTCTATGAAAGCACAAGAGGTCTAGAGGACGGAAAGTCTGATATAAAAGAGAGAGGCAAGATAAAATCAAAGAGGTAAGGGTGAGCAGGGAGGGAACTTGTCCAGCCCCATCCCTGAGGCCATGGTGAGTGGGTCTTGGGAAAACACAAGTTCCACTTGAGAGGGCTGCCAGGGAATCTGTCCTCAGAGGACAGTCGTAGAGAAATCAGGTGCAGGGAGAGGGAGGCTTAGAGAAGAAGTTGCAGGTGGAGGGATGAGATGACCAACCCAAGTTTAAGGGGTCTGCTGATTGACTTGTATGGAGGGCAAGTTTGAGGGACAGCTCCAGGCTTGATATGCAGAGCATGCCAGGCAGCGTAAGGGTGATGTGGAAGACCTGGATTTCAATGGTGACTGGGGTGACAGGATTGTCCTAAGGTGAAAGCACTTAGCCATTTAAAAACCTGGGCAGGCTGGCCTTGTCTATACCTGGAGGTCTTCTTATCTTATGGCACCATGGCATGGGGTTTGATCCCAGCTGCTGTCAGAAACAGCTCATGGGGCCAGTTCAGTTATGGTTCTGGTCCAGTGTGGTGGGACATGCCTCCCATATTTGTTACACTTGGGCAAACGAGGGCCTTCCCTCTCAAATGTCTCCAGTGTGATCAGTCACCTGACCATCACCCATGATCTATCCACCTAAGGCCTTTCAAGATGGAGCTTAAGCAGCCTCACGCTTTTGACAGCTAATTTGTGACAGTATTCTTAAAAATTTATCTGTTTGGGTTCAATGTAATTGAAAATTGCGAAAGGCCTGGTATCTGGAGTTTTACTTTTTACTCAACTCTCCTGCTTTAAATGTTTTTAAAATTTTGAACAGTGGATTAATTATAGGAATGAAGGGAGTTTATTTGCCAAGTTTTTAAAGTCTAATATTTGCTGATGGCTCAGGTCCATTGGGAAGTCCATAACTAGGGCATGTTTTATGGAATGCATGACATTACCTCCACAATTCTGGTGATAGATGCCAGGTTTCTCCGGACTTGAAAGAGGCGTGTAGGGGGAGCAGGTGCCTGACCTCCTTTCTTTGATGTTCCATTCTTGTAAATAATGAGCGGTTTGTCTTTGAACAAACTCAGTAGGTGAACAGGCTCTTTGCCTTGGGAGACTCGGATCTGATGGGGGAGAGGGGGAATAAAAGAAATATAATTAAGAGTGCTGTGAAAGAAGGTTTTAGTTCCAAATGTGTTCTTATGTTGTCTTTTTGAAAATAAAACAAAAAATAAAAAGTCAAGAGCAGGAGGAATGATGATTAACAGAACATATAGGTTAATGATAATTAATTTTCCCTGTTGACTTGAGAATCTTTTGTTATCGCAGGCACGGTGTCCATGAGTAGTTTCTTGTCAGGGGAAACATCACCATGCTCCAATACTTTCTGTTTTTGAAAAGTATGAAGATGTAAGTCTGTTCATCTACATCTCCGAAAGAGAAAAGGTGCTGGTGTCTGCGACCTTATGTGAAAATCACTCTTCTTTCAAGGGCACCAGTAACACTTACAGATATTTACAGAGGTACTAGAATCTCACGTGTTTTGGATCTGGTTCAGAAGGTTAAGAGATGTGCATTCAAATGCTTCACAACATAAGATGACCCCAAATCATACCCATTATTTCTATATCTCTGTATTTGTAAAATAAAAAAATTACACACACACACAAAGATTGCTATGCAAGCACTAAAAATGGGCAAAAATAAACAGAATATGTTTTCTACTTTTTAACTTACCTATAGAAATGTAATAGTAGATATGCTCAATATAAGAAACTTTAAAAAATACAATATAAAGACTTTTCAGGATGAGGAAATTGAAAAAAAAAGGGAAATTATTTTCTTGATTTTATTTATTAGCCCCAAATATTGGATTAGAATTTCCTATTTCTCACACAAACTATTGATGCATTTACATAAAGAGTTCAAATTTCATGTCAGTCTCCCATTGTTTTCATTTGTTCTGCCCTGTGCTAAAATTGAACTGTCTCACTTCCCCTGGTTTGTCTTTTTCTAGAAGCCAGGTGAATGGGAATGCTGATGCATGTACTCATTACATGCATATACATACCTGCATATAGGGAGGCCGAAAGGCATTGAAAATAATTGACTTCATAAATATATTTCAATTAGTAGGCATTCAAATAAGTGAGCAGCAAATTATGGAAACGTTTTGTCAGTTATAGTCTCACAAATACCTAAAACTGTTAGCTTAGCATTTCATATAACATGGAGAAAACTTTAATTGCCAACATGAGAGAAAGAGAAACACTGATTAAGGCCCATCCCTTACTGTCAAAGGAGAATAAGAAAGAAAAAAGGCTGATTAAAATATGTTCAATATGGTTAATATATTCTACAAAGGAGCGTTGAAAACCGCAATACTTTAGTTTTTTCATGCATTATTGTAAGCTACTGCCATCTAGTGATTAAACTAAAAATTACCATTTTGTTGTCAATTTAGGATTCAACCGGCTAACAATTCATGGTAACTCATTAATCGAGTGCATCAAATATAGTACTATGAAATATGAAATATGTAAGACAATGCATGTCTTCATAGTTTTTTAATAGTTTGGTAAGTAATACCTTAAAGATCAACTAAATTCCATAGAATTGAGTGCATTTAAAGAATTCAGTCATTTCATTAATTTATTGATTAAAAGTAGCAAGTTAACTTATTTTTAAAAAGTTAACATGCGCCTTTAAATTTAGATTTAACTTGATTTTTGTATCTACTAACTTGTATCAAGATGGAAAGGAGACCAGCTGGAAGACCAACTTCAGCCTTCACATCTTATACTTTATGTTCTGAAGTGTCTAACTTGCCTCTCTCTATTTAATTATTACATTAAAATAAGCAATTACACACTTACAAAGATTTGAAAACAAGACAGAAAAACCCTTTTGTACCATATAGAGTCTTAGCTCCCTTGACATCAGGAATGAGGAAGTTAAACAGGCACAACCATGTAAAGGGAGTGTTTAATGCTGCTGTATCAGAAACATCACTGCATTGGCCAAGTAAGCACCTGCTTTCAGTTTGAACTCTAATCTGTAAGATGCTTTTCCCACCAGATGGGAGCAGATGGCTTCTCAGAAACTGGCCAAAGACAACAGGCAGGCAGAAAACAGGCAGCAGTGTGTGCAGCTCCAGCTAGGAAGACACAGGGAATGAGAGAGAGGGAGAGAGATAGTTCCAGCTAGCTGTAGGAAAAAGGAACAAGAAAGTACTCTCTCACAGAATGAACGAGAAAGCAGACGGACACATTGGGGCACACTAGAGGAAAATAGGGTCTTCTTGAAGTCTGTATGTCAGTTATACAGTAAGGGAATCTAAAAAACAAAGACCCAAAAACTTTTTCATGGTAACTAATAAGCGTCCTGAAACAAGTAGCAGATACTCCACCATAAATATAAAAGGAGGAGCAGTTGAACTTAGGAGAGTACAGAAGATTGAACCAGGCTAGAAACAGCAGTCTCTTAGACACAGTGAGGAGATCTAGAACTAGACATTGATATCGTCTGATATTGTATAACATTTAAAGTTTTATAATAAATAAAACAGCATATTATCTCTTCCTGTCCCTTTTTCTCTATCTTAATCTGTCTCTAGATAGAGATAGCTAAGATAGATAAGTTAGATAGATAGATATACTAAAAAGTTGACTCATTTATAATTACATGAAATTTTCATTTTGAATTTGGATTCAGTCATTCTCGACAAGTAATTTTTTATTTCAGAAATACCCAAGTAAAAAAATACATCTCTCCTCCCTCTCAATCTCTCCTCCCTCTCACACTATCCTCTCCCTTGCCCTTCCTCTTCTCTCCTCCTTCTTACTTGTCTCATTTCTTCCTCCATGATTTCCCTCTCTTCTCTTCCCCCTCCTCTCCTCCTTACTTGTCTCATTTCTTCCTCCATGATTTCCCTCTCTTCTCTTCCCTCTCCTCTCCTCCTATCCCTTTTCTTTCCCCTTTCTCCCTGTCTTTTCTCTTTGTCCCTCCCATTTCTGTTCATCCTTTCTCCCTCTCCACCACTTCCTCCCTCACTTTTGGGTGTTGGACTTTGTTTCAGTAAAGATTCTGGTACCTAAAAGGGAAATATAAGGACCCATGCTATTTTATCAAGATTTATTTCTGTTTACTTGTGCAAAACATAACTTACGCATGTTTACGATTTGAGAGTGTAAGAAAATGCATCTTTTTTTAACCTATTAATTCGAATTGTTAATCTGTGCTTGTTCTGCACTGTTGTATTTATTTCTCATTGTTGCTGTAACAAATTACTATGATTTAGTGGCTTAAAACAACACAAATTTATCATCTTACAGTTTTGGAGGTCATAAGTCTGAAATGAGTTATGGGGCTAATTTAGTAACTGGGCTAAAATCTGGAATAACAATTTAGTCACAGGGCTAAAATCAAGCTATTGCAGGGCTATAGTCCTTTCCAGAGGCTCTAGGAATCAATCTATTCCTTGCTTTTTCTGGCTTCTAGAGGTTGCCCATATTCCTTTGCTGGGGACTCTCTTCCACCTTCTTTTTTTTTAATTTTATTTTTTAATTGATTAATAATAATTGTAGATATTCATGGGGTACATACAATGTATAGTGATCAAATTAGGGTAACTAGCATAACATCATCTCAAATATTTATCATTTCTTTGTGTTGGGAATGTTCGATATCCTCGTTCTAGCAATTTGCAACTACATAATATGTAATTGTTCCTTCTATCCTCAAAGCTAGCAATCGCTGGTTGAGTCTTTCCCATGCTGCATCCCTCTGACTCTGTCTGGCTTCTGTTTTACTTACAAGGACCCTGGTGATTACGCTAGGCCCACCCAGTAATCCCAGATAATCTCCCTAGTTTAAGATCTGCTGATGAACAACCATAACTCCATCTCCGACCTTAATTCTCCTTTGCTTTGTAACATATCACACTCACAGGTCCTGAGGATTAGGACATGAACACCTTGGGGGCATTATTCTGCCTACTGTATCTGTTGAACAACAGCTGGAAACAGTAATACAGATAAAACCGTTTTAATGTCAAGAGGCTATCATTGACATAGGGTGTGATTCTATTGGGAAGATTCTTTTGGAATCTTACACCTGTTGATAGATTTTTGTTGTTTTTGTTTGCTACCTCCTTTCCAGAATCTGAGATAACTAATTTGAAATGAGAGTAGGAATATTTGAATTTCAAAATGAAAACACAGTTCATATCAAGAAAATGTCAAATTTCTATCCCAACTTGGGAGGGAGCTATAGCTATCCATTGAGCTAGCAAGACTTTAACTTGTGTGAGTTTTGGGGGTAAAAATATCCCAACCTGCACAGCCTGTCCTCCAAGGGACCGATCCAACTGAACAGTCAGGAACGCAGATGTTGTCAGCTCATCTCGTGTGGCATTTGCTCCTTGCCTAGAGGAATGAAAGTGAAACGAATTAGCTTGCCTTTAAGTTTTAAGATCGTCACATGTAGGCATTGCAAGCAGAGACAAGTTATTATGAAAGATCAAGAAGAAGCGAACTGTTTTAACATGATACAAGCTGTTAAGCTATTGTTTTTGTCAAGGTATCTAACATTTAATTGTCCTATGTGTTGTCTAGAACTGTATATGGTAGGCATTTTTATCTCCATGTTAAAGAAATTGAGCTTTTGCTTCTTACATAATTTAGCTAAGTAATTGGGTTCACCTGATTTTAAGTTGGAGCTGCCTGCTTTTTAGAAAACACCTCTACAGTGAAAAATAATCCATCTGAGATGAAAATACGAGCCAAACTTATTAGGTTGAATGTTAGGGGCATTTTGTCTTTCTTGCCTTTTTTTTTTTTTTTTTTTTTTTTTTTTTTTGAGACGGAGTCCTGCACTGTCGCCCGGGCTGGAGTGCAATGGTGTGGTCTTGGCTCACTGCAACCTCCACCTCCCGGCTTCAAGCGATTCTCCTGCCTCAGCCTCCCAAGTACCTGGGATTACAGGCGCCTGCCACCACACCGGGCTAATTTTTTGTATTTTTAGTAGAGATGGGGGTGTCACTATGTTGGCCAGGCTGGTTTCAAACTCCTGACCTCATGATCTGCCCACCTCGGCCTCCCAAAGTGCTAGGATTACAGGCATGAGCCACCGCGCCCAGCCAGCATTTTGTCTTTCTATGAATATTTGGTGAGCATGAACCAAACGTCTGTAACCCAGAAAAATCAAGAAAATAATAATGAGAAGTAGACAATGGAGAGGTCCCATTTTGTCATCTTAGCAATTCCATAAGGAATTATTTATTATTATTATTATTATTATTTGAGACAGAGTCTCACTCATCACCCAGGCTGGAGGGCAGTGGCGTGAACTTGGCTCACTGCAAACTCCACCTCCCAGGTTCAAGCAATTCTCCTGCCTCAGCCTCCTGAGTAGCTGGGATTACAGGTGCTAATTTTTGTATTTTTAGTAGAGACGGGGTTTCACCACGTTGGTCAGGCTGGTCTCAAACTCCTGACCTCAGGTGATCCACCCGCCTCGGCCTCCCAAAGTGCTAGGATTAAAGGGGTGAGGCACTGCACCCTTCCCACCATAAGGAATTATTAATAAGGCTATACAAGAGGCTAAACTTCCAACACTCAGATAAGGGTCAATCAACATGTCCAGTTCATTCGTAGCCTCTCTTTCTAGGGTGGCTTGTGGCTGTTAACTCTGTGTCACCTTAACCTGTAAAGCAACTTGTGGGAGATCTGCTGTTTGATGAGCTTGTAGAGAAGACAGTAAAAAAACAAAACAAAGCCCCAAACATGGTAAAAGCATTCATTGAGCATTATTTATTTTTAGCCAGGTTTCCCATTTCTATTTGACTAGTGGTTAGCTTAGCAGCAGGAATACTAAACTTGGATTTAGACTTTGAAAGTTAACTATTAGATTGGTGCAAAAGTAATTGCTGTTTTTGCTATTAAAAGTAATGGCAAAAGCCGCAATTACTTTTTTTTTTTTTTTGGAGATGGAGTTTCGCTCTTGTTGCCCAGGCTGGAGTGCAATGGCGTGATCTAGGCTCACCACAGTCTCCGCCTCCTGGGTTCAAGTGATTCTCCTGCCTCAGCCTCCCGAGTAGCTGGGACTACAGGCATACACCACTATGCCCGGCTAATTTTGTATTTTTAGTAGAGACGGGATTTCTCCATGTTGGTCAGGCTGGTCTCAAACTCCTGACCTCAGGTGATCCACCTGCCTCGGCCTCCCAAAGTGCTGGGATTACAGGCGTGAGCCACCATGCCCGGCCTACCTACAATTACTTTTGCACCAATCCTAATATATCTTTTCTTCTAAAACTTTGACAGTAAACTGTTCCATACTCGGAACAGATTAAAATAACCTGCCACGTTGGGCAATACCCACCCCCCTCCGCCCAAAACACTGGGAACAGGGTGTGTATCTTATCACAGAATTTTCCACTGGACCAGAAAAGGCAAATGGTTGATGTAAAAATGTTCTACAGAGGGGTGCAAAAAAAAAAAAAACATGCACACAAATGTTGATAAGAAAATAAAAAATGCTTTCCCTAATAAAGGAACTACTAAAAACGTAGTGTTTTAATGTCAATAGCCTACATTTCCCAAGAGCCTATAATGCTAGCCAACACATCTGTGTGCACTGGAAGCACAAGGTGAGGAGTTACACAGAGCTGCATGATGATGGGCCACCGCAGGGTCTGTTATCATGCATTGTTTCTTTGTCACATCTGTGGTTTCCTGAGTTCTCGCTTCCAGCTGTTAAAAATGTCTGCTTTCCATTTTGCTTTTATTCTGGAGGGAAGAAATCCAACCACCGAACAGACAATATTACCTAACTTTTGTCTTCATTTTGCTCCTTTTATTTTTTTGGAGTATTTCAACTAGCAAACCTGCAAAACATCACTAAGTTCTGCCTCATGACACCCTGAACAAATACTTCTCTACTCATCTTAAACCTCTCTTCTGGATCCCAAGTACCAAACTGCCATCCACACAGATTCAAGTATTCCACTCCAATCAAGAAATAACGCAGTCACTCTTTGTTTCTAATTCTGAAATTGTATACTGAACAAAAAAAGCAATCTACTTTGACATATTTTTTCTTTATAAACCTGTGGTGGTTGTTGCTCATTAAAGATGAGTGCTGTGTAAAAATGGGAGTTACTACTTCAAGAGATTCATCATTGTCATCTGTTCAATTTTAATTACCTGTTATTTCAGATAAAATATCATTGCTGAATTTTTTTTTTGTCCTGTCATTTCAGCATACAAGTGATTTCATAATTGATTTAATTCTAGTTTCTCACCTTTAACTCTGCCTCTTGGACTTAACCTGTTTATGTCCCTGTATTGAAATTATCACATAAACTGGAAAGTTGTTTAATTTAAAAGCCAGTCTTCAACGGAACTGCTTATTTTTTGAAAGCCTCTTCACTATCTTTATGGAAGCTTTTGAAGTTCCACAAACCATACAACACTAACAAACTTACATACTTCACATCCATGATTTCAAATGGTGAAGACTCACAAGGACTCTGAAGTATCTAACTTACATTCTTGATATCCCCCCAATATATACATTCTTATGATGGAAATGTTGAACATTTCAAATTGGAAAGAAGAAAGCTAAATGACCATCCCCTCCAGCCGCATTCCAAAGACAGTAACTTTTACCGATGTGGTGCCTTCTCTTTCTCTTTTTCCTTTTGCATTTTTTTACAGTGTGGGCCAAACCTGTCTTCTTAAGATTTTTAATCTCAGGAAATAAAACACTACCCATTTATGCTCAGACCAGAAACCCAGGGGTCATCCTCAACTTTGTCTTCTCCATTCCCCATTAACAGTTTTTCTGGTGCCAATACCTTAACACCTTGCAAATTTGTTTCATTCTTTCCTTCCCTGTTGTCACTACACTAAATTCAGGCCACATCATTCAGCTGGATTATTGCAACACATTCCCAGTGGTCTTCCTGTTGCTAGCCTTCCTCCACCAATCCATTCTGTACATGTCAATCAGAATAATTTATCTAAAATAAAAAACAGGCCAGGTGCAGTGGCTCATGCCTGTAATCTCAACACTTTAGGAGGCCAAGGCAGGTGGACCACTTGAGGTCAGGAGTGCAAGACCAGCCTGGCCAACATGGTGAAATACTATCTCTACTAAAAATACAAAAAATTAGCAGGGCATGTGGTGTGCGCCTCTAATCCCAGGTACTCGGGAGGCTGAGGCAGGAGAATAGCTTGAACCCGGGAGGCGGAGGTTGCAATGAGCCAAGAGTGGCACCACTGTACTCCAGCCTGGGCAACAGAGTGAGACTTTGTCTAAAATAAAATAAAATAAAATAAAATAAAATAAAATAAAATAAAATAAAATAAAATAAAATAAAATGAAAACCAATCATATAACACCCCATACAAACTCTTTGAGTGACCCCCAATGTCTTAAAAATAAAGTTTGTCCTCTTCAGCATGGTTTATGAGGCCATTTGCAATTTGGCTCCTTCTAATTTCCCTCGTTTTATCTTTTGTTCCCTAAATGTTCTTCAGCCATACTCTATGACGAGTAGATTGGAGCACACTATTTTCCTGCATTTCTTGGATCAACTTCTCTATTTGCATGCCTGTCTATCTCCCACTTCAATGTCACTTTTTCTAGGAGCCTGTCTTAGTTCATTTTCTGTTGCTTATAACAGAATACCTGAAACAGGGTAATTTATAAGGAAAAGGAACTTATTTTTACAGTTATGGAGGGTGAGAAGTCCAAAGTCAAGAGATCACATCTGGTGAGGGTTTTCTTGCTGGCAAAGACTCTGCAGACTCCTGAGGCAGTGCAGGTCATCACACAGTGAGGGGGTTGAGTATGCCAGCTCAGGCTTCTTTCTCTTCTTATAAAGCCACTGGCCCCATTCTCATGATAACCCATTCATCCATTAATGAACTCATCCATTCATGAGAGCTATCACCTCTTAAATGCCCCATCTCCCAATACTTCCACACTGAAAATTAAGTTTCAACATGAGTTCTAGAGGGTACAAATATTTAACCAATAGCCTAGGGGTATGGTGGAGGGTCTGTATATAATTATCCAAAGATCACTCAACTTGATCTTACATAAAATCCTTTATATTGCACTAAAAACACCTGTTAATCATCTGTTTCTCATTACGTATAAGCTCCTGAAGGCACGGGTTATAGTTTTCTTTCCACCACTGTATCTCCAGAAATTAGTACAATGCTTGGCACATAAAGTGCTCAATAAACACTTTCAAATGATACAAGAAATAGCTACTATTTAAAACTCAAATTTAGCATTTAAAATTTGTAACCTGATTTATTCTATTTTAATATGTCCACATAGGCATTTATATGGGTTGCAAACTGTTAATTCCTCAAAACACTCTTTTGCATTACTTGCTTAGTCTTTTTTCGTTTAATGTAAGTACCACAATCAATTATGTTTTTCATATTCAAAAGAGAATTAAGAGGAAGACCATGAAATAAAATGCAAAAGAAAAGTTAACTGGGAATAATTAATTTATCCCTATAAATGCCATGATTTTGTTGCACAAACACTTTTCTGAATTAAAATTTTAGAAAAGGAAATTGCAAAATAAGGACATAACTACCTGGTATTGATATACTCAGGCCTTAAAGAGACCAATAGATTAAGATTTAAAATGTTGCTTTACCAGTTACAACAGCTGTGACTTTGAGTTAAATTACTTAATCTGTCTAATCTCCCCTGCTCCACTCTTTTTGGAAAGAAATAAAAAATACAAGGAAACATCTGGCACTTTGCCAGTGCAAACATGCTGCTCACAGAATGGTTGCTATTAAGACGACATGTTAATCGCAGAGCTAAATAGCTAAATGCATTCGTCTAGGACAGCATATGGATTGACTGTGGCGTCAGAGTGTTCTGGGTGCGGTGGTGGTTCACACCGATGTGGTGGTATAGATTAGAATCTCAGGATTCCCCCCAGCTGAGATTTTGATTTATTTGGTGTGGGTGACAGCATTTGGATTTATGAGAAATTGTCCAGGTTATTCCAATATGCAGTCAGTGTTCTAAACCACTGCCTGAAGCAGTGCCTGTCAATCATTAAAGTGCATATGAATTACTTGAGGTCCTTGCTAAAATGCAGGTTCTGCCTTTGTGGGTCAAAGGTGGGGCCTGAGAGTCTACATATCTAAGAAGCTCCCAGGTGATATTGATACCTCCGAGTTCCCAGACCACTCTTTTGGTGTCATCCCATCTCCTGAACTTGACTGGGCTCAAGGCACTGGGCAGTGTGGATGACCAGACTATGGGGATGCATGTGACTGTCTCGGTGTGAGGTTCACCAAAAAGAAATGTCACCATATCAGCAGAGGACTGAATGCATCTATATTCTATATACCTATTATAGGTTGTTATCACTATGTAGGCAAAGGTAGGCGTCTGCCCTGCCTTTGTACCTTACGCCCACAGCCCACATTTCTCTGCTTGAAGATCTTTTTTAAGAATTATTTTCTTTTTTCCAGCCGTCTTAGCAATATTCTATTTTTACCTGATTTCACTTAATAAAAAGTTAGAGAATTTCACATTATATAATTTGTTGCAGAATCCCTATCCCTTGACATATCCTAGCATGGTGTATGCACATAAATTACTTGGTTGGACATTTGATCATTTCCTCCTTGAGCAGGGCATTGGCAAATTTAGACTTCAATTAAATCATCATGCAAAACCATGTAATATGAAAACACAGTTGCATATTTTTTCCATTATTCTTGTGAATTTAATGGAAACAAGAATAAGAATTGCATCAAGTTGAGGTATCAGTGGAATCACAAATTGTATCTCCTACAGGTTTTGCCATATTGCAACTTTGCAGTTCCAATTAGGATGGACCTCTGTGAATTTTAACCATAAGAAACCATGGTACCTGACACTTGCTGTTGCAGTGTTAACCTGCATACAAGATGAGATATTCAACTACATATCCACTAGGAGAACATCACTGGTTTAGGATATCAAAACTTTTTGCCTAGACTAGATAGCATGATCTTTATGTGACTCCTGCTGCCTGTGGATGGCAACTGCAAAACATAGTCAAAATCATGTAAAAAGAAAATACTATATGCATGCTATACAAATCTCACTGGGATGATTATAGGATTATTCTACCCCATAATGCATAGAATTTAATACTTTGGAGCAAAATCTGGCTCCTGTGGAACTCGAGATCTTTACCCGTATAAACTCACCACGTGTAGATAATCTGTCCTCTGGGATAGGTGTAGAGTATGATGTAGCAGTCACCACCATAGAATTCACCATATGAGTTTTGGTCAACTTGGATCCTACCATTGTTTTCTACACGCCAAATCTGGAAGGAATGGAATATATACAACAAATTACAATTTTCTTGATCTAATAATATTTCTCATAAGCTTTAAATAATTTTTGGTTCAAATCCATTATTAAACAACTTTTAAATTATTTATTAACTAGTTTACAAATCAAGCAAAGAAATTGTTATCGATTTGCCAATTTATTGACATTTTAACTACTTTTATGTGTCTTTTGCTTCCTCTACAGTATTAAGCTCAGTTCCGAGCCCATTGATTAATAAATACTTATTGTTTCATCTACTAGTGGAAATAACATGACACTCCAGTGGAATAAAAAACTGCAAGATTCAGCTCAGAAATATATATCTATTTTATAGTTAATTTTTTTCTTCAATTATGAAATAACATATATATATATTTTTTTCCCTGTGCTTTAAGATAGCGGACTATTATTTTCCCAGGCAAAACTTGATAGACTGTGACCAAATACTAAAAATGCTACAACACACTGAATGTTTGAGTCCCTCCACAATGTATGTTGAAATCCTAACCTCCAGTGTGATGGTATTAGGAGGTGGGACCTTTGGGAGGTAATTAGGTCATGAGGCTGGAGCCTTCATGAGTGAAATTAGTGCCCTTATAATCAGAAAGCTCTCTAGCTCCTTTTCCACCATGTGAGGATGCAGCAAAAAGTCTATGAACCTGAAAGTGGATCCTCCACCAAACACTGAGCCCATCAAAACCTTGAGCTTAGACTCCCCAGCCTCCAGACTGGTGAGAAATACATGTTTCTGCTTAAACCCCCAATCTATGGTACTTTTGTTATAGTAGCCTGAACAGACTAAGACCATGCCAATAATATGACTTCTGTTTTTAAAAGGTGCCATCCAGGAATAAGACCGAAATGTGATGCTGGGAGAAAAGCAGGCAGAACCACTTTCATTCTGCCTCCTCATCTTCAGCACAGATTAAACACCCTCCAACTTGGAGAGATGAGAATTGTAGATGAAACAGGAGAGTAACAAACGAAGGAGAGGCTGCCAGGCACTGTGTGTGTACATGCAAGCAAACACACACACACACACACACACACACACACACACGCGCGCACACTTGCCTAAGTTCTCAGTTGGGAAGGGCAGACTCTTTGCTTTGAAATCTGAAGATAAGCAAGTGGACAGGAACAGTGCAGTGCTTCTAGAGAGAGGCCACCCCATACTATCCTAGTGAGCAGAAGCCTTAGATCCTAGAGAGAGCACAAGATCCGAGAGAGAGCCCCCAGATTTCAGCAGCCCTAGGATGGCACAGGAGAAGGCTGCAGCCAGGACACAGCTGGTGCTGGGGACCAAGTTTGCCAGGAGGGCTGAGCTCTGGCAGGAATGTCTGAGCAGGAGACAGATGCAGACCCAGAAGTCAATACCCCTCTGACAACAGCCATGAGGGACATTTGTGACCTTCTCCCTTGGCACTTCCCACTCTCCAACACCCATGCCGCTTAGATTCACGCTTCACGTCTTTGAAAAGAGGAAAAATTATTTCCCTAATTTCTTGACCATATACTTTGGTCCAAGAATTGTAGTAAGCCCTAGGAATATAGAGATGAAATATTTCATTCCTGTCCTCAAGGAATCGATGAGAGCTCTAGGAGAAATCTGGCAGTAAATGAACAACTCTGTGGTAGGTATATGATAAATTATGTGAGAAGTATCGCTAGAGGTTGAGCACAGAGAAAGGCCACTTCAGCGCTGAGGGAAGCCTTCTCAGAAAAGGTATGGCTTGTGATTTAACTGAGTTGCCAAGGAGGCGTAGGAACATTAGCTAGATGGCAGAGGGGAAGTCAGTCCTCAAGGCAGTGGAAGGGTGAAGCCAAGATGACGGAAAGGGTCAAGGGTCCAGCTGAAGATGGATCTTCTCAGGAAGGCTGTGGAGAGCCATTAAATATGTATAAATATATTTAGATATACATTTATAAATATATATGTATATATACACACAGATATATGTGTATATATACACATTTATGTGTGTGTGTGTGTGTGTGTGTATACACACATTTCTCACTCTGTCACCCAGGCTGGAGTGCAGTGTTATGATCTTGGCTCACTGCAGCCTCCACCTCCCAGGCTCACGCGATTCTCATGCCTCAGCCTACCAAGTAGCTAGGACTATGGGCGAGCTCCATCACACCTGGCTAATTTTTGTATTTTGAGTAGAGGTGGGGTTTCACCATGTTGGCCAGGCTGATCTCGAACTCCTGTCCTCAAGTGATCTCCCCCACCCTCCCCCTACATACACTGGCATTAATGGGCTTGATAAAAACAAAAACAGGTAAATACCTCCACTTTGCCAGAACCATCATCCACCATATTGTGCTGGGCTGCCATCTGCGGAGAACTGTGTAATTTTGAGGCATCAAAGGGAATTTGTTTTATTTGAGCCACTTTCTCTGTGACATAAACTTTCCCGAAGCCATCACTCTGATCTTTATCTCTCCAGTCCTTAAAAAACTGTTTGAAGATTGGTGTTTCACCTCCTTCTGGAAGAACTTGAATCTGAAATTTAAAATAATAATAATAGTAAACAGGAAAATAAGAAATTAAGGGAAAATATGAATCTGGCAGTGGAGACAAAAGTAAGGAAATGGAAAATTATCCTGGTTTAGCTATCAAGCTCATATAATCCAAAATTGCTTTTTCTCACAACTAAAGTAATTGCCGCTGAATTTGAATATTTGAGAGAAGAATCAAGTTCTTTAATATGTTACCCCTGCAGTAAAATAAGTTTGTCTTTCTACATAAGGTTCACAAGAGCTCTGTGACCTGGAAGAAATGATCTCATTGTGTTCCTTGTGCAGGGACATAAAAATGAGGAGAGTAGATGAGGCTGAGAGATTCGGAAAGGAAAGGAGTAACTAGCCAGGGTCTAAATTGATTTCGATGAAGACAAATATCATCTGGGTTTCAGGCCAAGTCTGCACAACTTGCTCTAAGGAATAATAACTCTTAAGTGCTCTTAGCTAAACCTACTGTGGTTTACTATCTTGAATTAAAGGCTGTGGAGGAAGTGAATGGGCAGCTCTATGGAAAGTCTGATGTGCAGTTTCTAAAAAATTCTAACCCCCACGCAGATAAAGAAGAGGGACACCAGATTGCAGCAGACAGGCAGGTGGAGAATCACTTCACATACAGACGTTACTTTGACCCAAACTTTTTCATGAGTTTCGTGGAGATGTCATGAGCTCCAATGTTTTCTATTTTTTTCTAGCCAGTTCAGTTTCACACATACTTGGGTATTCTTGGAATAATTCATTTGCTGTAGAAATTCTTCAGCTGTCTTCATTGCAGCCTTCCTCTCTTGGGGATTAGCATCTTTACCTAAAATACAAGGTAAATTAAAGAGAAAGAACTTCAGAGAAGGAAGACATTCTATGATTAAGAAATACTTGTGTACCATAATAAACATGATTATAATTGAAGTTAAATACAGCAGTGAAAGAATAGCAAAATTGGCCGGGTGCGGTGGCTCACGCCTGTAATCCTAGCACTTTGGGAAGCCAAGGCAGGTGGATCATGAGGTCAAGAGATCGAGACCATCCTGGCTAACACGGTGAAAGCCCATCTCCACAAAAAATACAAAAAAATTAGCTGGGCGTGGTGGCGGGCTGCACTCCAGCCTGGGCGACGGAAAAAAAAAAAAAAAAAAAAGAATAGCAAAAATTTCCTGGTATATTAAGTGTATTTAACAATACAGGAAAAAACGTTATTTGTAAAACAATTCTTTTTATATTGCCCAAATGCTTTTTTTTTAACTCCATAATCCCTGGTATATGATGTTGGTAGGAGGAAAATGGCTGCATTTTATGTGAGACATTTATAGATCATGTCTTAATTAAAAGGTGGGCTTTTTTTTAAAATCAAAAAATATATTTTATTTACCCTTATAGAGGAAATATCTATAAATCTGAAATACAGCATCGTCAATGGAATTTTTTACCTTTCCATACGAAAATTTGTTTGGCAGCCCCGTGGTCCAAAATAAAGCATTCTTCAGACAGCAGCATTGCCATTGAGAAGGGGTTTTCTTCTGCCACCACAGTCACTCTCATGGAGCCACTTGCATCTGAAACCTAATATAAAAACCATGACCTCCATGTTTTCATTTGGGGATGATAAGGATGTTCTATAATTAGATTATGGTAATGGTTGTACAACTCGGTAAATGTCATCAAATAAAAAGCATTGAATTGTACACTTTAAATGCAAGAATTTTATGGTGTATAAATTATATCTCAATAAAACTGTTTCAAAGAAAATGAAAAGAATCCACAAGACTAATTATACTCTAATTTTTTTGAAAGTCCTTTGGGGTAAAGGAACTACAAATAAAAAGTTAAGTTTTGACACTGTGCCTAAAACATCAGAAAAGAATAGTGATAATAATAATGGCTGAGGTCTATTCAGATGCTCTTATGTACTAAGCATCATGTAATTAACTTTCCATGATTATTTCTTGTACATTTTAGAGTAATCTTTTCAAGTAGGTAATAATCTTAAAATCATTACATACACACAAGATGAAGTTTAAACAATCACTCAGTCAACATTTACTGTCTACCATATACCAGTCGCTTTGTTAAGGAGGATATTGATATAGTTTATGCACAAAGATTTTTTCAACATAGGTCCTGCAATTTAAGTAAACTTTGTATAAATTATCAAAGTAAATTTCTTCTGTCACATTTAGAAATGACTACAGACTATTAAAACAAATTTTTAAGTGGTCTTACAAAATTGAAAGTGATATTCATGTGCAGGTTAGGATTTACTGGTTTTCAATGGCCAGCTTGTATGCTACAGTTTAGTTACCTATTATACAGATTCCAGAGCCCTCCCTAGATTAGTGGAGTTTTGCAGGACCAGGGTGGAGTCTGAATTCTGTAGTTTTGAAAATGCCCCAGGTGATTTTGCTTGCCAGCCTTGTTAAGAAACCCGAATTATTTTCAAAGGAACTTTATACTTTATATCCATGTAATACAGCATAGCTCCACTAGAGGAAGCTATGACTCAGGATGAATATTTTCCCATTTAAAAATACTTCTTTAGTTCATAATGCTGTCCAGGAGGGAGAACAGTTTTGGTTGATGATGTGAAATAAAAGATATCTGTTAGGCTGTTGAAAATGAGTTTTAGAAATAGTAATTTTTAAAAGCAGTCACAAAATATTTAGCTAACACTTTCTGTATGGCTCATATTAAAATTACCAGTATTTAGCAGAAATGGTAACCATATTTCCTTTTGCATCTAGAAGAAAAAAAATCCACTTATTCATTATGAAAAGGAAATTACGCTAAACAAGTTATTAATTTGGTCTTCATGTAAAATCACAGAGTTTCGGAGCCAAAAATCCCTTAAAGAGCAGCAAATATAGTTTCTTTCTGTTACAGATGAGAAAACTACTAAATTCTGCATGGAGATTTACGATCTGCTCCAAATCACACGCTTAGAAAGTTGCAAGGGGAGGGAACACTGGAAGAATACCACTGTAGCAACCTCCTTAACTGGAGTGTCTTGCAGTTTTTGTTACCCTCAACAGAAAAAACAAACAAACAAAGAATAAAAAAAACTATAGAGTTGGAAGGAACCTACTTTCTTTGTTGTGTGTGCATAAGAATACTTAGACCCAGAGTGGTTATGTCCTGTGCAAAGTCATGCTCCTAATCATGTGCTATAGAGCTGATATGGAAGTAGGTAGGTTAATGCCTGGAACAGAACTGTTTTTACCCTGTTTCCCTCCAGCTGTTTCATTTGGTAGCTCAGCCCTCCTGTAACAAAGAACTCCTTCATTATGGCTAAAGACAATGTTTTAAATAGGGTGAAGACTTTACATTCTTATCAAGAATTTATAAGAAAAAGCTGATAAAATATTTTTACTCCATAAAGGAAACATTGTATTGAGTATTATATATCAAAAGATCGTTGCAAACTAGTACAGCAACAATATATAATTTTATGAAGTCACAGCAATAAGTTCACATATTTGTTGTTTTTCATAAAAATAACAAAAAGTATTAAAACTTAATTAAAAAAACATACAAGAGCAAAGAACTGATTCTATCTACACATTGCTCTTGGAGAGCAATGAGGAGAGTTCTCAACTGCAGCAACGGGAATCCCGCCCAATACAGGCCTCCCTAGCTACATCCAGTACTGTTGAAACAATAAATTTGGTTACAGTGAACTCACCATGTATAGTTTAGCCATTTTCCTGTTACTTATGTCTGCTATAATGTCATCATCATCACCTCCATCTGGAAGCTCTGGCTTTTCCCCTAAGACCTGGAAAAAAGTGAGCAGTGGATGCAAAGATAAAGATCTCCCATTGAAGGATGCAGAGTTAGAAAAATACACTTATAAAGACATGGATTATAAAATATTTGCAATTAAAATGACCAGGCTCAAACACTTCTCATCAATGCATACAAGGTAGTCCTTTTCATATAGGCCAAATCAATCAATTGCATTAAGTAAACAAGCACTGAGGTTGCTTGTTTGCAACCTCAAACAATGAATTTCAAGAAAGGAAAATCCCTAATTTGAGAGCCTAGGTGTCCATATTACTGAAAGCTAGAAGGAATTAATTAAAATTTGAGCTCTATGTTCAGCTCTGCAGCAGAATTTCTTCTATGACCTCTGCTTCTAGAAATAATCTCTCAGTTTTATGAGTTTATTATAATAAAGATTTGAATCAAAATTACTATTTGGAGGTAAAATACTACTATAATTATTGACATATAGGATGAAGTGCAAGCTCTTGATCACCCAAATCATGCTTCGTTTTCTGCTGTATCCTTGGCACTTGGAACAGTTCTTGGGACATAGTATACGCAGAGTAAGTGTTTGTCAAAATAATGAATAAATGAATTTATCTATTCTGTGCATATGTGATGCAATCCAAAAGTCCAAAAAAGTGTTTGGTAGAAAATACATTTGAATCTGCTTTGAATTTCTTTATATTAAAATAAAAAATATGTCTATGAGTACCTTAATTAATTTATTAATTAACACAAACAGCATAGAATGTCAAGGACAGGAATCAAATATAAACTTATTTTAAATAATTTAATTTTTATAATATAGATATAAATTCAAGTTTAGAAAATGCAAAGATGTTCATTTAGATACAACAAATATTTAACACACAATAAGTTCCTTACATAATGTGTTTTATATTCGCTATTCCTTACAATATATTGCATAAAAATGTGTACTGCAAAATACCAGAAAACAATAAAAATGTACTTTAATCCTTGCATGAGTGTAAGTACACTCTCAAATTTAGAGATGCATCAGAGAACTTATGTCCTCTGGGAACATACCTATCTTTTTATTTGTACTGTGATCAATAAAATGTTTTAGATACTGTACATGCTAAATGATTGTAATGCAGTTTTTCTTTTTTTGCTAAAAATAGAATCAAGCAAAAAAAAAAAAAAAAAAAACTAAAACACTTGTGACCAAAAGCTTTTTAAAAAAACACTTTTGCTAGAAGTATGTATAGCTTGTAAGAGCCATCAAAGATCTCCTCACATATACTTTTCTAATTCTCCTCCAACTAAGACCATAGTTAGGAATAAACAGTTTGTGTTAAGGGCATATCTAATATTAGGAAACCTCCCAGTGGGCGGACCCAGTCTGGGATTTGAGGCACACTCTAACTCTTAATTTTCAGACCACAATTCCCATATTAGCCAGGCATCTTAATTAGCTTCTCAAAGGACTGCAGCATAGTTGGGAATTGAACCCAAGGGATTTAGCAAAAACAGGCTTAACTCCAGAGGTAGAGAGATGCCATATATTGTCAGGTATCATCTCTAAGGATCACTTTAAAATTGAGCTCAACTAAGCATTTATCAAATATTTGAGGTCACTGGGGTATATAAATGAGTTTCTAACCATGTTGTCCAACACTTAAGGGCTTTACATCTGGCGTAGAAAGAGCAACATAACTAAATATGTTCACTTTATCAACTAGGCCATACATTTTGATCTTTGACATAAACTGTAAACACAGCTTGGAAGATCATGCCTGAATGTGAAACATTTTCATTTTGGGTTGCCCACGCGATTGGCATTTAGCTCATGTAATCCTTTGTATGTGAAATAACATATATTTTGACAATTTAATGGGGTACAAACACAGAGAAGCCTCATTTGAAGGTGTTACATAAAAATTTCGTCAGTTGTTCTAGCCAAGATGTATCTTGCAAGTTTGGAGCTCCTCTTTCAATTACTTTCTGTAAGTTTCTGTTTAAAAGTATTGCCGTCATCTAAATACTCCAAACTGAACTTATTTTCTACAAAATTAGCCACTCTCAATTCTCCATTTGTGTCAATGTATCTCTATTCTCTCCTCTTTATATGGACTTAAAATTATGTGGTCAGTTTTAAATACTTCCTCTCCTCCAATTTGGATCTCCTACCCACTTAGTCATTATTATTATTTTTAATCATGGTTAGTCACTGATTCCTGTTTATTCCTGGACACTGGCTGCAAGGCCCCTTATTTCACATTACTCCTATGTTGTAGGAATATGACTCTAGATCAAGGAAATCCTGTCATTTGCAACAACATGGATGAACCTATTGTATATTATGCTAAGTGAAATAAGCCAGACACAAAAAGATAAACAATGCATGATCTCATTAATATGTGGAATCCAAAATATCCAATTCATAGAAATAGAGTGGTAGAATGGTGATTGCCAGGGGCTGAAAAATAGAGGAAATGGAGAAATGTTGGTGAAAGAATTCAGACTTTCAGGTATAAGATAAATAAGTTCTGGAGACAAAGTATAGTATGATGGTTACAGTTATTAATAATGTAGTTTATACTTGAAATTTGCTAAGAGAGAAGATATCAAAATATTTTCATCACACACACACAATGTGAGTTGACAGATGTTAATTATATTGATTGTGGTAATCATTTCACAACTTATACTTCTATCAAAATATCACATTTTGTATATGACATTTTGTATATGACAAAGTTTGTACATATATGTCTATCATTTGATAGATATATATGTACAAACTTTGTCAATTATCCCTTTATAAAGCAGGAAAACATTTAAAATTTATTTTTAAATTTTAAAAAACTAAAAAATAAAAAAGATTTATATTTTACATCTGCTGCAGTGGTTCCTGAACTTCAATGTACTCAAGTAACACCTGTGTTACTTTGTAAATACAGATTCTTAGCTGCCAGCCATTGAGTAAATAAACAGGTCTATGGTGAGGCCCAGGAATCTGCAATCTAGATTATTCTGAATTGGGTGCTCCCACTGACCCAAAACTTCTGTCTGAAACCCAAGTCCCCTTCAGATGCTGAATGTCATCTACCCTGCCTTATTTCTCAGCATTCCCTACCTTGTACCTGTCTCTAATCAGGCTGACATACTCGGCATTCCATATGGAAGCCATGCCCATTCTTTCCCCGTAGCTAGCTAGGAGATTAATAATCGACCAGCTTCAGAGTTTCTCATGACCTGTCTCAAGACCACCCTTGGTGTTTGTTTATTTCTTTCCCTACTATGATCCAAGGTGAACTTTTCTTTTTAAAACTTAAGCAGGCTTATGTGGAAATTTGTATTTTCAGATAAAAGGATCAGGCAGCCAAGAAACAATTGCTATACTCTTTTACTCTCTTAATCCTTAGTTTTTCACAGCATGTACCTCTGTTTTTATTTATTTATTTATTTTTTACCTTTTAGTCAACTTTACCTACTTTGGATAAAAACTTCCAACATTTACACTGGCTTGTTCTCAAGATGTGGTTTCCCTTCTTTATACAAAAAAGTCAAGATGTTTGGCCACTTTAGAATAAATATTTGTAATGCATCATAAGAAAACAATAATGATGCATGACCTTGAAGAAGCACAATATGTAACTCAAAGCTACATATCACTGTGGATGAAAATGTGCCAAGCTGGTGCCAAGTCCTAAAGGCATTTATCATTGAGGGTCTTATGTGCTCCCAGCAGAACTCTGAGAGAGAGGCAGAACCTGTATCATGATTACTTTAACTTCATAGATTAAGAAAATGAGCCTGAAGGAAGTTAGGAGTTTTGCCTTAGATCCGTGTCTCATAAATATTAAAGCAAATATGTAAACCCCAGGCCTTCTAACCTCTACTTCAAAGCTCTTTATATAGAAAATGAGGCATTTCATTCTTCTCATCTTAATCATTTTAGGGTAGATGACTCTGTTTTATTTTCACTAAAAACAGAATCAGCTCACAGGTTCCAAGAATGAACATTTTAATTTGTAAATTCTGTATCTTACTTCTTTTCCTTAACTGAGAAACAATCAGTAGAGTGTAACATAGGGAGCATAGAAATAAATTGTAAGAGTGAAGCTAATCCTTGTTGTTATGGTATATTTACTTGCTGCAAGGCATTTTATGCCTTAGGTAAGACAAATATTTGATATTAGGGAAGATCCACAGAGATATAAAATGACCAGTTATTCCGAGAAAGCTGTGGTCTTATTTAGCCAGCTCCACCCACTCTGGATATAAGATTCCAACATTTACTCTGCTGCTCTCTCTCAGTGATGGCCTCAAAAATACCTTTATTCCTTTATTCATAAGTAAAATAGAGGGTGATTTCATATATTAAAGAATGGATAAAGGTATTTTAGAGGAGGGAAAGCATGTGAGGTATTTTAGAGGTAGGAAAGCATATTTGGATAAAAAGACAAAGTGAACTGGGCTTCTGCAAGAGATTTAGCTATAGCGCAGTGCTGTCCTGTAGAAATTTCTGCAATGATGAAATATTCCACATCTTTGCTGTCCCACACAGTTCTCACTAGCCATTTGTAGCTAATGAGTACCTGAAATGTGGCTAGTGTGACTGAGTAGCTGAATTTTACATTTTATTTAATTTTAAGGAATTTAAATGTAAACTTAAATAGTCACTCATGTCTTGAGGATGCCAGACACAGAGTGCAGCCCTAGAGGCCTCAGGGAATGCTGTGGCAGTGGGGAACTTATCAGGCAGGACTGGACTTCAGCATTCCTAGAATATCAGCGTATTAGAGGATAGATGTTGAAGGGTCAAACTCATAAGAAAATTACCCCAAAAGTTACTATAATATGGAAAGTTACCTTACAAGTTACTATAACACAGAAAGCAAAATCACAAGTCATTAAAAGCCATAAGCCAGAATGCCAACTTATTAAACAAGAGCAGTTGTTTTCACTGGCTGCATATTAGAACCATCTGGGCTGATATAAAAAAGAATGCCAATGTCTGAATCCAATCTCTAGAAATTCAGATTTATTTATTCTGATTGGAGCCCATGCATTGTATATTTGAAAAGCCTTCTAGGCCTGCTTTGGTGATGTGATTCAAGTGCTCTGTGGCATCAGCTTTGCTAGCCTGGTTTATCTACCTCAACCATTGGGATAGGTCTGCCAAGCATTTCTGAGGTTCACATTAGCTTGTTAGAACACATCTCCCCTGGACAAATTATTAGGGCCTGGTGGTCTGAGAGCTGCTCTGGGGCAAATCTCAGGTATTAAGATTTCAGGTCATTTGCCTTTTCTAGACATCACCAAACCTTTTTCCCTAAGGCTTCAAACCCACTTTGGACATTTCTGTCTGATCAGTGCTTGGATGAACGCTTCCGAAACTTGCCTTTGGGGTTCCTAATTTCTGTGCATTCTTCCATTGTCTTTTTGACACCTCCCTTCACTTGGCAGGATCAGGCAGGCTGAGCTGGGTGGAGCCGCTACTAAGAGTCTCTGTAATCTAATTTCCACACTTAAAATGGTATAATAAATAATATGGCTCAATTATCATGTGATTATTACTATGACTAGCATATGGTGAAAATTCAACAAATGGTAGATCCTGTACCCTTTCTTCACCTTTACATATGCAGAGTCAAATCTTTCCCTGGTCAAAGCATTACTCTTTCTGTCTTATACAACCCTGCAAATTACTGGACTAATCCTTTGCATAATGATTTTACCACTGGACTTCTTGCCACACACCTCCTCATGGACTTACACTTTATTATTTGTTCACGTACTGATCTAATGATTTTATAAAGCAGTCTATATGTCTTGGTAATGTACCTTTGTCAAAATCTTATATCTTAGATTTAAACTACAAATTGAATATAGACCTGTATATCCCTCTCCAGGCAAAACCTGGAGAAAAGTCTTTTATGCAATCAGCAGAAGAGTAGGTGACAATGCTGAGAAAAAGGAATATGATATAGTAATCTCTTCCTTTCATTGAAGTCCACAATTGTGTTGTCTATGATGTCATTAGTCCTTGATTATAAAACGAATTCTCTGATCCTCCTCTGTGTTTCCATCATATTTTCCCATATAGTCTTGTACATACGACCTTATTTTGGTGAGGCAAGATATATCTGTTATGTAAGGTTTATTTCTTGCGTGTCTATAATATTCTGGCTCTGTGGGAAAGAGCTGAGTCTACAATGGTTAACAGGTTAGCTTTGATCCCTGCTTTAGGTGAACTAACTTTCAGTGCAGTGTTTTCGCTGTTTGGAGTTGCTACAACAGAATACCACAAATTAGGTAATCTATAAAGAAAATAAATTTATTTCTCACATTATGAAGTCCAATATCAAGGTAGCAGAATCTGGTGAGGCCTTCTTGCTATCTCTTCTCATGGTATAAGGAAGAAAGGCAAGAGAACATGGAGAGCAAGAGAGCAAGAAGGGGCCAAACTCACTTTTAGATAATAATAAACCCACTCTCAAGAAATAACCCATTTCTGCAATAATAATGTCAAACTATTCATGAGGGCTCTAGTCATCTCTTATTAGGTCCCATTTCCCAAAACTGCTGGGTCCATAAAGATCATTCTCCTCTCACCGCTGGGGCTTCACTACAGTGTCTCTGGTAACATTATTAGTCTCAGTAACTTCTTGCTTATTTTCACTGATTTTGGAAAAGATTACCCTCTGGTACTCTAAGTTGGATAAAAAACTAAGTTGGGTAAGGGGAGAAATGGAGAAGAAAATAGGGCACCCCTATAATGAGAACATGAGCTAAACCTCCAGGAGTATTTTTTCACTGCCCTGTATCACCATATACATATACATATACACATATTTATATGAACTTGTTTAATTTTATCTCATCTTATCCTTTGAGGAAAAGGTACATAAACCTGATTTATATATAACTTTTAATTCAATCTGGCCAAGTTTTGTTTCAATGGCAAGGGAGTTGGGAAAACTTTTTTATCTACATAATCCAGAAAATTTCCAAGCATGAAATTTTAATTGAGCAAACTCAAAAATGGCTTTTCAAGTACTCTGAGGCACTTAAAAATATTTGCATAACTTCTATGCTATACATTAAGAAAATGTATATTCTTTCCAAAAAAAAATGTGTACCTCAATTACCCTAAACCAAATGCCCCTGTAATTTGGATGAAGGGCTGAATGCTAATGGTAAGAGATAAAAAACAAAGGGGTAAGCCAGTTGAATTAGTCAATTTTCACACTGCTATAAAGAAATACCTGATACTGGGTAATTAATGAAGAAAAAAGGTTTAATTGACTCTCCGTTCCGCATGGCTGGGGATGCCTCAAGAAACTTACAATCATGGCGGAAGGTGAAGGGGAAGCAAGGCGCATTTTACATGGCAGCAGGAGAGAGAGAGGGAACACAAAGGAAAAAACTACCACCTTTAAAACCATCAGACCTCATGAGAACTCCCTCACTATCACGAGAACAACATGGGGGAAACTGCCACCATGATCTAATCACCTCCCACCAGGTCCCTCCCTTGATGTGTGGGGATTACAATTACAGATGAGATTTGGGTGAGGACACAGAGCCAAACCATATCACCAGTCCACTGAGTACAAACACTGTGCTATTAAAACTAGTAATTATTATATGGAATATATAAAATGAGGCATAATTATCAAACATTTCTGGCAAAGTTTTTGAAGTTATAAAATAACTTCACAGCAGTTGGGATTTCCCTTGCTCTGTATGTTTAAGATCGCAGTGTCTGTAAGAAAGACAGTTTGGGTGTGATCCACAGATTTCTTATTCTTATTTCTACTTAAGCAAGTTACATAGCCTCTCTATGACTCAGTTTCCTCATCTGTAAAGTAAGGATGTAGCAGATGCTATTGGTGCTCTGCCCATATCACCTTGATCTAACTTAGAGTTCATTTGCAGATAGTGTCTTAAAGCTCTAAGTCTTCTGCTCTCTACATGGTGGCATTATTTGGCCATGGAGCTGTCTATAGATAGTATCTTAAAGCTCGAAGTCTTTTGCTTTCTATCTGGTGGCATTCTCTAGCCATGGAGCTGTACTGTGTCCAAATACAAGGCAGGTTCTGGGACATTAAGAACCAAGGAGCAATGCTCAAGCAATGAGGGATGGGAGTTACTGGCTAGACCCAGCAACCACTCAGCCTTCTGAGGGCTAATGCCTGAGGGTCTCTTTGGGACTCAGCCCCAGTTGCTCACTGTAGTAAGACACCTGTTAACAAAATGTTGTCTCACTTTACTCCTACTTGATGCTTTCAGGATCACCTTTCAAATAACAACCTGCCCCCAAGTCCTTGTCTCAGAGTCAACTTTTGGAGGAACACAACATAGACAGGGAATAAAAAATGTCTCCATATCACAGTAAGGGTTTTAAGAGTTAAATCCTGTAAAGCTCCTAGAAGAGTGCCTCTTCTATGGTTAGCACTGAATGTTTGTCAGGGTAGTAGTTGTTAGCTCTTTTGCAGCAATTAAAATCCATTTCCTAGATTATTTAATTCCTGTGTTAATAAGAAGAAGCACTTGTATGCCATCAAGAAAATGTAACAAAAAGATTAAGGAATGAACAGGAAGTTCAGCCTACCAGTGAGCCATCTACATTTACCCTTGTAGAACACAAGATGAGAGAAGTCGTGCCATTCCCTAACAATAGTGTTCCATAACAGTGAATATCACAATGCAATTGTAGAGCATTTGCTCCTTGTTTCAAAACTGTTTTTAATCAATATATTTGTCTTCTCTACATGCACTCTATCAGACATCGTTAAGATGTATTTTTGACAGCAGATTTCAGACCATTAATATTTAATTTCTCTGTGATACATGGTACATGACTTCACTTACCAACATAGTTCTATGAAGCTTTTTTGTTTACATACAGATATTAATATATTTTAGCAGCATGTTGGTACCTTTTTCATGATTAGTAGATTATGGGATATCTAACACTGAGAATTTCCTATTGGTTTCCACTGAGCAGAATACTATATTTACATGAAGAAACCATCCTTTCCTTACAAAGTCACTTTAAAGCCTTTAAATAAACATATTATTACATATACATTTTTTCAAAATAATGTAATTCTAAAAATTGTGATGCACTAGATACCCCTGCAAACATAACAGCAATTCTGATACATTAACACTAGTTTATACAAGTGCTGTCAATATAACCCAGTTCCAACACTCTGTGATTCTAGGCTCTGGAAAAACAGTACTTGGAAGCACAATCCAGGTGGCCACCATTTTAGGAACCTCTTTCCAATATGTGAGCATATTTCCTCATGATATTAAACAAATGCTTATTATCAAATACATACTAAGGAGATATGAATGGCTGAATCTTGCATATTTAACATTTTCGTATCTGGGCTTGGCTAACTCTAAGCACAATATGTAAGAGGAAACTGATACGAAGTAAATACTATTGTTTATTATTATATACTTAAAAACTAATTTACAAAATGAATGCAAGAAATCATGAATCACTGAATCAGAGACCTGGCCCTTTTATATCTGTGTTTAGCTGAGTCTTAGCACAAAGGATAAGATGAACTTGACCTAAAATTACTGAAAAAATACAGTCTGTTAGTTTTTTTTAAATATATTATCACTATTGTGACAAGTGGAACACTAAAAGGATAGAATAGAAACTGCCATTATAGTTCAATATTTATATTAGCTTATCAGTTCAGATATACGTCTTGTGGGGCAAAGATCCATCCCTCTCCCCTGTCCTACCCATTAAATCCATCTGTCTTGGAACTGCATTATCCTATTTACAGAGTCTATTGATATTCCCTCACTTCAGCTGCAAGCTAAAGGGAAAATTAACTCATTCAGAGATGATTGCCAAGTGGTGTTAACTTGGACTGATTAATATAACAGTGGTACCTTGTCTGTAAGGTTACAAGTCTTCGTTATGAAATTTGGTGTGACAAAGGGGGAGATTATGTGAAATGTTATCACTTTCTTGCAGCATATGATAAGCTGTTACTATATGAATTTCTTATCTTTGTTCAGAACATTTCAACTTCCCCCACTGGATGAATTGGTGAGGAACAAAACGGGTATCCAAATTCAATACTAGAAATCCAAGCAACAAATTCATTAAATTAAATAACAAGGAATGAATAGTGTCTTGAACAGTGCCTGGCAAACAGTAAGCCATCAATACATGGTAGATCTAAATAGCTGGAGCAACACTAGTGTTCTAGAGAGCGTCGCAACTTGGGGCAGGTACTCCTTATCACTGTAATACTTTGGATTTCAGGAGTGTACTAAGTATTATTGCAGTAAAGCAAAATGGAGAAAATGCATTAATTACAATGCAGCAAAGAGGAGAAAGAGAAAGATTCCTACTTGCTTGTATCTCTGATAGTTCATCTCTTCTCTATATGCAGTGTAGCCTCAGGACTAATTTAGAGAGGGTTGCGAATATATTTGCTCCCTTTAACTTAAAAATCTTTGAATGGTAAGTCGGTAAATGGACCTCCTCTTTCCCAATGACTCTCATAATAATGTTATTTCAATCAAACGACAAACACTTGATGAGCAGTGCCTATGTGTCAGGCACAATGCTACATGAATGAGGGATTACAAAATATTTAAGACATTGTTCAATTTCCCAAGGACTTACAAAAAGTCATAGGAAAATAAAAGCAGGATAAATAAGGAAGCTAAAACTACTTGGAAAACATACAAATATTTAGACCCAACTGATAACTCAGACAATTCAAATTTCCATTCTTACAAAGTACAGAGTTTCGACTAGAATGAAAAAAAATAGGAGGGCAACAGAAAAATAGTTTAATGACTTATTTTTTGTGTGGGTATTACAAACCCATAAAGCAACCTTAATCTTTTTTTTTTTTTATTTTAAGAGACAGGGTTACTTTATGTTGCCCAGGCTGGAGTGCAGTGGATATTCACAGGCATGATCATAGCTCACAGCATCCTTGAACACCTGGACTCAAGCAATCCTCCCACCAGAGCTTCCCAAATAGCTGGCACTATAGGTGTGCACCACCAGCCTAGCTATATATTTATTTATACCATTTTCCTATAAAGCCTTAGACTCTTTCAAAAATGCTAAATATATTGTTACAAAGTGGTCGTGAGAGGGATTTTCACAAAGCTCCCCATTTCAATTACTAGTACTTCTTTGGTTCATTCGATACAACCCTATAAAGATAAATGGAGAATGATTGATTTATCTAATCAAAGGTCACGCCCCAGAAATAAAGCTCTTTCCTCTCTCTGTAGTATCATTTTCAAAACAATCATTCTTTATTTAAATGTACAACTATATTTTCATTAAAATATTAAAATACAAACCCATGTAAGTCTAGTAAACTTAGGACAAACATTTCCACAGAAAAACTTTAAGGAATGCTGACAAAATCCTAAGCTTCCAAATTCCAATTTGATTTGGTAATCTTTTACTTTGTATTCCAAAATGTATGAATGTTCCCATGATCAAATTATTAAAATTTAAAAATCACTCATTTCTGTAAATTTAAAAGAACTTTGGAAGCACTAGCAATGTGCACAGCCTTTTGACATTAACTTTGGGGGAAGAACAAGACAAATGTACTAGATGACTCAGTAATAAAGCACTACATCTGTGTAGATCCTTGGAGTTCATGGAGCAAATTCACCTTTAGTCCAGAGCAGTGAGCAGTGGTGGCCCCAACAGTTCCCAAAGAGGCAGCACTGGAATTGCAGGCAACAGCCAATCAGGGTAGCCAGGCAGCGGGCAGCAGTGTTACATGCTGTCCTGGCAAGAAAAGAATTGGAGTTTTGTGGCTGCTGGATTCTAAAAGGGGTGATGACCTGACCTGAGAGGGACGTAAGGTAACATGCATTTTAATTCATAGATGAAGAGTTTTAGATACTAGCTACATGTTTCCTACCGTGTGAAGCACTTTCACTTGGAGTATATGCCATCTGCCTAATATGTGGGACAGTATTGCACTAAGTATAAATAAGCTCAAGACCTGTTTGTTGTTTTTCGAGAGGCTGGTTCTAACTATCACCTGAAAAAAGAAGAGGAGCAGAATATTTGAATTATCCTTTCTAAGTACCAACTGCCTTTCCATGTAAATCTAGTTGGTCTTAAAACTTACTTTAATCAGCATATGACTTTGTTCATGTCTACATCAACAATATCACCTAAAATAAGGGAATTTTTTAAGCCATACTATCCCCTAAAAAACAGAAAAACAAGCATACTTAGTTTCTGGAACTACATATTTCACAGTTAATTGTCTTAATTATCCAAATACGAGTGGGCAATGAGTTAGAGCTGTGAGGGCTACACAAATATAAAGGCAGTGCCTGCCCTCAAGGAACTTAGCATTGATAACATATAAATTTTATTTTGCAAAGTACTTTGAAGAAGTATGGCTAAAAATTTACTCTTTGCCTTAACAGGCTTTGTAGAGTACATCTCTAAAAGATAACTTAAGAACTATCTTCACTATTCAACTCTAGTTTTTACTAACAGGACAGCCAGATCAGCATAGGGTAAATATCCCATCAACTTTCCAAGAGAATGGCTGAATACATTCTTTTGTTTTCATACTGTGAATTATGACTTAAAAAACAAAAGGAACACATTTTCTATTTTGGGAGAACCTTTGGAGTTTAATCTAGACTATATGCTAACATCATAAAGTCTAAAATAGGATTTTCATCATGAAAAGTCTTCCAACAAATTGTGGTGTTATTCAGACCATGCTCTCTGGCCTCTGAGGACCCTCACGATTCTATTCCCACACTTTCTGACTATTTTCTAGTGCATGCTTATCTCCTCAACCAGACAATAAAGTAAGCAGAGTCTTCAAACTTCATTGGGAACCAACCCTGCACTTGATAAACAGTTATTAATGGAGACATAATATGTTATTCTGATTTTCTTTTTTTTTAGGTCAAAAATCTGAAACAATCATTGCATGTATGACTTTCCAGAGAGCCTTACAGTCATTTTTATAAAAGCAAGAGTTCAACAACAGTTCAGCAACACAGCATCTGCCTACCATCTCCCTGTAGAATTTTTACTGCCAGTATTTCACCACCAGCATTTACAATGATTATAGGCTTAACGAATTCATTAAACTATATTTAAAAAGTCTTTCCAGAATAAAAAAAATTGTTGTTGTTTCAAACAACTTGCCCTTTCTTCATCTTCATTCTTTTTATATCTACCAGATGCTGGGTTTTTTTCTTAATGAAAGTCTAAAAAACATAGTATTTTTTTCCTTGGGGTTTTTTTTGTTTGTTTGTTTGTTTTTTGCTTTCCTCCTAATGTTTACAAAACGATTAATCAAGGAATAAAGTTTGGGACCTTAGGGCTAGTGAAATATTTAATTTTTCTTCACATTCACTGATTATTTTAAATATGAAAAGAAGAAAGATCACGAAAAAAGCTTTACATAATTTATGTGCAGTCATTTATGGTAAATATATTTGCAGCAAAAACAAGCTCAGAGTAAAATTTGACTTTAGTTACAGAGTTTAGTTTTTTCCACATATAGGATTGTCTTCCTATTTAGGCACACGGGCTTTTAAAAGTACTAAAGATACAGAAAGGAGGGTGAGCACACATCCTGTTTCCCCAGACAGTCTTGTTAATGATGGTTGTGTCCTATCTCCTCAGTGCCCCCTTTTACTCTACAATGTGCTTTGCTTTGGAGGATAAATTTATGGTCACCCTGGAGATAAGCCATATAAAAACTGTGTGAAAATACTGTGATCAATAGCTGAAATACTTCAAACTAAAGATAAATTTTTCAAAAGACTCTCAGAAAAGTGTGAGTTTCAGTGTTGAGCACTTTAATGTGTTAGACAAGTTCAAAAATTTCAGCACTCAATACAGAGTAATGAAAACAGGCTCATTTAATTGATTAAAATATCCGTGCTTTCAAGCCATTTCTAACTTTCACATAGAGAGACTTTCAAAGCTTTTAAAGTTAATAATTTTAAAAGAACCCCATTAGAAATGAGTCTTTTAAAAGGTCAAATTTAGGCCGGGTGCGTAGGCTCACATCTGTAATTTCAGCACTTTGGAAGGCCAAGGCCGGCGGATCACAAGGTCAGGAGTTTGAGACCAGCCTGGCCAACAGAGTGAAACCCCGTCTCTACTAAAAATGCAAAAAATTAGCTGGGTGTGGTGGTGGGTGCCTGTAATCCTAGCTACTTGGGAAGCTGAGGCAGGAGAATCACTTGAACCCAGAAGGCAGAGGCTGCAGTGTGCCGAGACCGTACCACTGCACTCTAGACTGTGTGACAGTGCAAGACTCCAGCTCAAAAAATAAATAAATAAATAAAACCTCAATTTAAAATATATTTGAAAAATTTTTAGATTTTCAGACTCCATCTCTAGTAAAATCAACTGTTGCACCAGGGTCTCAGAAAAAGAAATGACATTTTCAAATTTTAAACAAGGATACTCTGTGTGTGTGTGTGTGTGTGTGTGTGTGCATGTGTGCATGCATAGTATAGACTGGTTTGGAACACTTCTGAAACCTATTAGTTCCCTTCTAAGAAAAATATTTGCTAAATGCATAAAACAAGATACAAAGTATTATAATGGAAATAAATTACATTGAAATGCAGCTATTAAAATATCAAAATACATATTTTAAAGTTTGGTAAAGTAATATATGAGCTTTTCATTAACTCATTAAATACTAGTGAGCAGAAGATCTAATAACAATAATAATTACCAAGTAGCAATGAGCATAAACGTATTTTGAGGTTGTGTACAATAGCTATAATGTGAGCTGAAAAGTCACAGTACTGTTCCTGCTACTCACGTTTGCTTATTACTTTCACAATTGGAGGAAAGGCCGTATTTCAGTTAAGAGGTTAGTGAAAATAAAGTTGTAATTCTTCCCAACCAAGTTCATGGGCTTTTTGTATTCTATCCTTATCATTACAACACTAAGAAAGCCTAGAAGTCAAACAAGTTTGTTATAGGTGCTCAATTAATTAATCAAATAATTACTCTTTCTTGTAATCAGGCTACAAAACTACATTTCCAAAAGCGAAAAGACCACTGAATGCTTTTTTTCCTTATCTAATAAAGGTTTTCACTGAAAATTCATCTCAGTTCATTGTGTGAGTGAAAGCAGTCAAATAAAATGTAGTATAGACACTGAATGTATTGAATGAAAACAAAGTGGGTGCTTTGTAGGATTTTTCTAAAAACCAAACTGAGGAGTCTTGGAAACACAGACATCACATTTTATCTTAAGCATTATATCTCTTTATCCTTATCACTAATATTTTAAAGCCAAATTATATTTTTGCACAGTTTTTCTTCATTTGCTTTTTCTTATTTTAATTTTACAGTGTAATGTATTGACTGTTTACACTTTCTTTTTCGAAACATTGAATGAAATCCAATAAGCCAGGACACCACATATGTACATGCCCAGCAGGGCCCCTCAGCTGCAGCAGCATCACTTCCTGGAACAGACTACAAGTGGCAAATGAGTGGTAATTAAACACAGCTGCTGCCCAAGAGGTAAGGTAGAAGGATAGATCATTAGAACCTAAAGGGACTGGAGAAGCCATTTTGTCTAACCCTTCACTTTGCATATGAGGAATCAGACACAATGAATAGTCAGGAGACTTGCTTTGGGCCAAGGGTGACCCTGGAGAAGCATGAGTGATGTCCGATAGTTAATGTAACACTCTTCTTACCACTTCACAAGGCAAGTCCTGTTCCTGAATCTGCTTCTATCCAAGCATAGCTATTGAGACAAGGGATTACAGTCAACTAGAAATACATCTTATTTATAGATTTTTGCTTCCAAATATGCCAAGTTAGAAGACTTACATGGTTGATCCCATCTCTAGAACAGAGGCCTTAAAAGAATATTAAAAGATCAAGAATTTGTTTTGAATACTTTTCAAAGTCTGATTTATTAGCTATGTTATTCTAACCAATGAAAATCCAGTAAAACCATCCCTAATTTTATCTTAATTTTTTAAATGGACTTTTTTTCTGATTATAAAATGAATCATATATGTTAATTATAACAAAGACAAATGAAGAAGAAAATAAGCAGCCACATCCCAAGATGTAATACTGGTAATATTTTAGCACAATTTTCTAGGTATGTACATATGTATGAATACAGAGCTATATACACATATTATATGTTAGTATAATATTGCATATAAAATTTTATATTCTGTCTTTTCTCCTAGTATTATACCATGAGAATTTTCCCCACTGAATTAAAATTATTTCCAAAACATCATTAATGTGAAAGTCTGTGTCTGGGCATTATTAAAGCAATAAAGTTTAAAGACATTACAATACATAAAGTTATTTCATATAATTTCTGATCACTGGATTTTTAGGCTATCACTGGACCATGTAACTACTGCATTAAATTTCTGTAAGTCAAAAATATTAAAAATGTTTATGAGATAGCCTTTAGATAGATTTAAATGCAAATCTAAAATTACTGGAGGAATATGTATAATATTCCAGGAAATCAGAGAAATGAAAACTCAGAGATACCACCTACCACTATTAAACGCAGAAGTTTCAAAAAGGTATTATATCAACAGATTTTGACAGGGCTCTGTAAAGTCACGATGGAACACAGTGCTCGTACAAGGAAGTAGCAACTGGTGCAAACATTTAGTGCCTGGCGCATCGCAGGAGTACAATAAATATTTGTTGTATGAACAAATGGAAATTAATTTGTGAATACGTATGAAGACATCTTAATATAGTTATACTCCTTAACTGACAGTCTTATTTAAGGGAATATATACAATATATATACTTAGGTAGTCACTGCAATATTCTTAAAAGACAAAGTTTGGTCACAACCAAATGCCTAAGATTCATATAATCGTTAAGTAAATGATGCAGGGTCTATAGAGCCATGAACACTTAATTTTCACATTAATTTAAGAACTACACTAAAATCATAAGTGTGTTGCGTATAATTCTTAGCTTAAAATGATTGAAATATTTTAAATACTGGCATATTTAATCTCTTGGTATAAGATTGTATTTAATTCCTTTAACGAAATACAAGTTGAGCATCCCTAATCCAAACATCTGAAATTAGAAATACTCCAAAGTCTGAAACTTTGAGTCCTGATGTTATGCCACAAGTGGAAATTCCACCCACAAGTACTTAACACACATTTTGTTTCATGCGCAAAATTATTTAAAATATTGTATAAATTTATCTTCAGGCTGTGCATATAAGGTGTATGTGAAACATAAATGAGTTTCATGTTTAGACTTGACTCCCATCCCCAAGATATATCATTTTGTATATACAAATATTTCCAATACCCCGGAAATTCAAAATCTGAAACACTTCTGGTCCCATGCACTTTGGAAAAGGGATACTCAACCTGCAACTGTTAATTTTAAAATTGAAGAAAACCACCGTGTTTGAAAAAAACCCTGAGAAGGCCGGGCAGGGTGGCTCATGCCTGTAATCCCAGCACTTTGGGAGGCCAAGGCGGGCGGATCACAAGGTCAGGGGATCAGGACCACTGGCTAACATGGTGAAGCCCTGCGTCTACCAAAAATACAAAAAATTAGCCAGGTATGGTGGTGGGCGCCTGTAGTCCCAGCTACTAGGGAGGCTGAGGCAGGAGAATGGCGTGAACCCGGGAGGCAGAGCTTGCAGTGAGTGGAGATCGTGCCACTGCACTCCAGCCTGGGCGACAGAGCAAGACTCCGTCTCAAAAACAAAAACAAAAAAACAAAAAACAAGTAAAACCCTGAGAAGCCCAGATGAATAGATGAAAGAACTATTAATATTGTCTTCCTTCCAAAATACATTCTTACGGTCAATTTCAGAAGTGTCACTCATTTGTTTCACCTCATATACTATAGAAGATAGGCCCAGGGCTCCTTTGATAGTGACACCAACGGTAAGAGAAAGTCATGACTTTCTGTTTTCCCAGTTCCATCACTTAGATAACCCTGTTGTTTCCTCTTACTAATTGTAGCTAGGCTCACTATTGAAACATGTGTTGAATCTCTTTCCCCTTCTTCCCCACCCTGCTGCCTTACACACACACACACACCACACAGACACATACGAGTTGGAGTGGTAACCCTTTAACAAACAACAGGAGTCACAATACCTTTATAAGTTCTGAGGGTTCACTTCCTTCTTCCACGACAATTAGTTCAGACCTTCCTTTCCTTTCATTGTACCGAATGCCAGTAGCTACCTGGTTTGCCTTCAGACGTTCATATTTGTTGCACGAGGAACCACACCACTGATAAATTTCCTAAAAGAAAGAGACAGATCTGTTGACCCTAAGAATATGAGGAAGACATTCAGCCTCAGTGTAATACTTGTGATTAATTAGGAAAGAAAAAGGAAAATTAAATGACCTATTGTTGAGGTATATACATAATTGTTACACTTCATTCTGCATCCTGCTGCTTTCAGTTAGCATTACAAAGTAAGCAGTTTTTAAGCATGGAAAATATAAATATATATATCACCATTCTCTGTGTATATAATCTATAAATTACAATTTATAAAAGTAAACATATGGATTAAATTTGAAATAATAAATATACCACACTTCAGAAAAGTAGTAAAGAATCTGTAAAAATATGATACTCTTGATGATCATAAAATGGATATAACATTTTTGTAAAACTATTCATGTTTTTAAATTGACAAATACATGTTGCATGTATTTATTGTGTATAACATGATGTTTTGATATATGTATACATTGTGGAATGGCTGAATCAAGATAATTAATATATGTAAAGCAATTTAACAATTCTTATCAAGAGCCATAAAAAGAGTGATATTGTCCCAGTAATATCACTATCTGGCATTTACTTTAATAAATTATTCATAAAAGGAGAAAAAAACCACACATATAAGGGTTTTCGTTGCTATGTAATTATATTGGTGAGGCCTTGGAAAGGCATTAATTGTTCAAGAATAGGATAATAGTTATATAAATTATGATATATAGGGAAAATTTGATACTTAACTGTTAAAATTAAACTTTAACATCGAAACATGAAAAAGTCGAAACAGAATAACAGTGTGACATATAGTAGAGATTATATTAGCTACCATTTAGATTAAACTACTATATATTTTAGATTGTAGATTTTGGTATAGTGTCCAGAAGGTATAAGGATACAAACGTAAAATAATAATGAAAAATTACCTCCTCCATTAACATTGTTTACCA
Source organism: Homo sapiens (assembly GCF_000001405.40). NCBI lineage: Eukaryota > Metazoa > Chordata > Mammalia > Primates > Hominidae > Homo > Homo sapiens. The sequence continues at coordinate 12,603,577 of NC_000007.14, read as the reverse complement.
AAAGAAAGAAAGAGAAGTTGAATAATACCCAGACCTGGAGTGGCTGTGGGAGTGGGCATTATCACCCACTATTTGGGTGGTATAAACTGACACAGGTTTTTTAAGGGTGGTTTAGCATCATTATAAAAAAATTAAGGTCAGGCATGGTGGCTCATGCCTGTAATTCCAGCACTTTGAGAGGCCGAGGCTTGCGGATCGTGGGTCAGGAGATTGAGAATATCCTGGCTAACACAGTGAAACCCCGTCTCTACTAAAAATATAAAAAATTAGCCAGGTGTAGTGGCGGGCACCTGTAGTCCCAGCTACTCAGAAGGCTGAGGCAGGAGAATGGCGTGAACCCGGGAGGCAAAGCTTGCAGTGAGCGGAGATCATGCCATTGCACTACAGCCTGGGGGACAGAGCGAGACACTGTCTCAAAAAAAAAAATTAAATGTGCTTTTAATAACAAGAAATTCCATTTATAGGAATCTATACTACAGAAATATTCGAACATGGGATATAAAAACAAAAGAAACTGTTGCGGGAAGTCAGGGACCCCAAACGGAGGGACTGGCTGGAGCCACAGCAGAGGAACATAAATGTGAAGATTTCATGGACATTTATCACTTCCCAAATAATGCTCTTATAATTTCTTATGCCTGCCTTACTTTAATCTCTTAATCCTATTACCTTCGTAAGCTGAAGATGTACGTCACCTCAGGACCACTATAATTGTGTTAACTGTACAAATTGATTGTAAAACACATGTGTTTGAACAATATGAAATCAGTGCACCTTGAAAAAGAACAGAATAACACTGATTTTTAGGGAACAAGGGAAGACAACCATAAGGTCTGACTGCCTGCAGGGTCGGGCAAAAAGAACCATATTTTTCTTCCTGCAGAGAGTCTATAAATGGACGTGCAAGTAGGAGAGATATCGCTAAATTCTTTTCCTAGCAAGGAATATTAATATTAAGACCCTAGGAAAGGAATTGCATTCCTTGGGGGAGATCTATAAACGGCCGCTCTGGGAGTGTCTGTCTTATGCGGTTGAAATAAGGACTGAAATATGCCCTGGTCTCCTGGAGTACCCTCAGGCTTACTAGGATTGGGCAATTCCAGCCTGGTAAATTTTTGGTCAGACCAGTTCTCTGCTCTCGAACCCTGTTTTCTGTTGTTTAAGATGTTTATCAAGATAATACGTGCACAGCTGAACATAGACCCTTATCAGTAGTTCTGTTTTGCCTTTTGTCCTGTTTCCTCAGAAGCATGTGATCTTTGTTCTCCTTTTTGCCCTTTGAAGCATGTGATCTTTGTGACCTACTCCCTGTTCTTGCACCCCCTCCCCTTTTGAAATCCTTAATAAAACTTGCTGGCTTTAAGGCTCAGGTGGGCATCATGGTCCTACCAATATGTGATGTCACCCCTGGAGGCCCAGTTGTAAAATTCCTCTCTTTGTACTCTTTCTCTTTATTTCTCAGCCAGCTGATGCTTATGGAAAATAGAAAGAACCTATGTTGAAACATTGGGAGCGGGTTCCGCCGATATCTGGCTCCCAACCTGGGGCTTAAACCCAGGACCCTGAGATTAAGAATCTCATGTTCTACCGACTTCCCCCAATAAGAAACAAAACAAATGCCCATCAATAAGAGGATGGCTACATAAATGTCATTGCATGAGTCCTGTCCACTCCTCTTCAGTAGTTAAAAATTAAGAAAAATGTTTAAATACTGATGTAGAAAATTAGTGAAGGTATATCATCAAGAATACAATAAAGACATAGAATAATATAATTACATTTAAGTAGAAACAAAAACACAAGCTCTGGCTCTGTGTTTGCACAAAAAAATGATAAACAGTTTTAAGAGATTCAGAGGGCATGCATATGCAGAAAGAAAGCCTTCAATGTTTACTGTATCTAAGTCAGTGATTTTTTTTTGTTTGTTTTTATGTCACATACATTACTCACTGCTTATTATGCTGGGGATACAGAGATAATTAAGAAAAAACTAGCAAGGAGAGGTGGACTGGTAGAAAAATTGGCTAATAATACATTTGCACTGTGCTTGGTTTTCACAACACTCCCACACACGTTTCATCTAGTCAACCATGTAGAGTTGTGGTTAAGTGTGAGGGAAATGGACCTAGGCTGCCACTTTCTGGGTATTTGATAGTGTGTTTGCAATTTTTCAAAAGAGTAAATAAATTAGAAATAGCAAAATAAAACATCCAGAGAAATGGATTCTTCTCTGATTAAATTTCCAGCCCAGAGTCATTTCTTCACTCAAAAAATGGTTTACTGAGTGACTAAAATGGGGCAGCCTCTCCTGTAGGTACTGGAAGCACCATTCTGAACAAAGTAGGCTTGCAATAGTCTCTCTGACCCCCGCTTAACATTCCTGATGACCTAATCCACGGTCCTCTTTAAGAATAAAATACACATTTTAGGAATGCAAAACTTTATAAGAAATAAAATCAAAAGGACTACGTCTAGCAATCTCCTTCTCTCAAGAATCGAATGCAGTTATTTAGTATGGTCAAAGGGTGTTTCTTTCCTATTTCTAAAAGAATAGTGCACTTCTATTGCTTCTTTTTAACCTCTTTTCTACATCTGGGCATTGGAATATGAGGCATACATGTGGAGGTCATTTGAATACCATGACAAAGTTAGCAGTTACAAAGAGTAAAAATAAAGGGCTCCCAGTGATAAGTCAACTCTTAGCCACTGAGCACTAAAATCAGATAATAGAGTAGCAAGGTAATTTTTAAAAATACAGAGATGTGAGCCCTATCCTTAGGAAATCTCAGGTGTGTTCTGGGCAGCTGTGTTTATTAAAAGCTCCTCAGGTGATTCTAGCATTCAACCAGTGTGTGCCAAGTGTGATGTACTCTGAGCACACCACACTTGTGCACAACAGGGAATCTGTAACATCTAATTATCCAGTGCAACTCAGTAGACTTTTCTGCTGAGCCCAAACTAATGTTTTTGTTTTGAAAACATTTTACTTATACTTGACTCATGACAGAAAAACATTGACCCTATAAATCAGAATATTTTTTCCTACACGTATCTTTGTTTTTGTTTTAAATTTTTAATTTTAATAGATTTCTGGGGAGCAGGTGGCATTTATTTAGATGAATAAGTTCTTTAGTGGTGATTTCTGAGATTTTGGTGCTCCCATCACCCGAGCAGTTTACACTGTACCCAATGTGCAGTCTTTTATTCCTCACCATCCCTCACCCTTTCCCCTGAGTCCCCAATGTCAATGTATTATTCTTATGCCTTTGCATTCTTATATCTTAGCTCCCACATATAAGTGAGAACATATGATGTTTGGTTTTCTATTCCTGAGTTACTTCACTTAGAATAATAGTCTCCAATTCTATCCAAGGTGCATGCGAATGCCATTATTTCGTTCCTCTTTATGGCTGAGTAGACCTAAATCTAAGACCTGAAACCATAAAGATTCTAGAAGATAACATTGGAAAAACCTTTCTAGACATTGGCTTAAGCAAAGACTTCATGACCAAGAACCCAAAAGCAAATGCAACAAAAACAAAGGTAAATAGATAGGACTTAACTAAACTAAAAAGCTTCTTCACAGCAAAAGAAAGAATCAAGAGTTAACAGACAACCCACAGAATGGGAGAAAATATTAGCAAACTATGCATTTGACAAAGGACTAATATCAAGAATCTACAAAGAACTCAAAAACACATCAGCAAGAAACAATCCCATCAAAAAGTGGGCTAAGGACATGAACAGACAGTTCTGAGAAGAAGATACATAAATGGCCAACAAACATGAAAAGATGCTCAACTTCACTAATCATCAGAGAAATGCAAATCAAAATCACAATGCGATACCACCTCACTCCTGCAAGAATGGCCATGATGAAAAAATAAAAAAAAAACAGATGTTGGTGTGGGTGTGGTGAAAGGGAACACTTTTATACTGTTGCTGGGAATGTAAACTACTAACGACCACTATGGAAAACAGTGTGGAGATTCCTTAATGAACTAAAAGTAGATCTACTGTTTGATCCAGCAAACCCACTAATAGGTATCTATCCAGAAGAAACGAAGTCATTATATAAAAAAGATACTTGCACACACGTGTATAGCAGCACAATCTACAATTGCAAGAATATGGGACCAGCCCAAATGCCCATCCATGAGTGGATAAAGAAAATGTGATACACACACACACACACACACACACACACTCACCATGAAATACAAAGCAGTGTTTTGCTAAAATTCCTCTTCCTATCTTATTCCATGATATTTTGCAAGTGATTATTTTCTCTGCAAGTCTGAGAATACAGACTTCTAATAATTATATTTTACATTAAAGTGAAAGATCAAAAGTAGATCAGAATTTAAAAGTCAAGTTTTCTTTTTACCTCAAAGGTGACTAAATTACTAAGCAAAGTGGTTACAGAAAACTTCTTACTCAGCATGAAAATGAATGACCTGTGTTCTCTTTTTTATTTTCACCTTATTTTATGCCACTATTTACATACGAGTGATATATTTTCCTATTTAGTAGACTTACTTTTCAATGGTTGATATAAAAAATTTAATAAAATAATAACTTTAATTGTAAATGGCTAAAAGTCAGAATGCTTGACAAGTCATTATTAATTAAAACACTGTTTTTTTTTCTTTCTCTCTCTCTTTTTTTTTGAGACAGAGTCTGGCTTTGTCACCTAGGCTGGAGTGCAGTGATGCAGTCTTGGCTCGCTGCAGCTTCTGCCTCCAGGTTCAAGAAATCCTCCTGCCTCAGCCTTCTGAGTAGGTAGGACTACAGCTATGTGCCACCACGCCTAGCGAACTTTTTTTGTTTTTTTGTTTTTTGTTTTTTGTAGACATGGGGTTTTACCATGTTGCCCAAGCTGGTCTCGATGTCCTGGGTTCAAGCGATCTGCCTGCCTTGGCCTCCCAAAGTGCTGGGGTTACAGGCATGAGCCACTGTGCCAGGCCGATAACACTGTTTTTATTCAATCTAATTAAATGTTCATTCAGTGGTGGCAGCAGTACATTAAAACTTGCTTTAAAAACACAATTTTAGTATTTCATCAAATTTGAAAATGTATATTCCACCATGTGTGGATAGTGTGTTTAGGACATCTCATTTTAACAGAGCTCTACTGTGCTGAAGTAAGTGTGTGTAGTTTTATTAATAAACTGTGCGGCCCAACACTTACTCTATTCAGAGGTAGTTAGTTATGACTACTTCACCACTCTGGCAGAAGGAAACTTTGTATTCATTTGGCACCATGCTTGAAAAAAACTCTGTTCTTAATTCACCTTACTCTGTTTCCACCAGGGAGTAGGCTTAAAAAATAAATTCCTTCATAAAGTTAAAAAAAGTCTGAATAAATGTGATAGGTAAATACCTATTACTACAACAGAAAGTTTTCACTATAATCTAAGTTATTTTATGTATAATGCTTTAACAGAATTTAGTTTAAAAACCATTCATTGACTTGATTTAAGTATGCTAGACACTGAAAATTGTAAAGCAAACAGTTTCAGGGGCAACTATTTCACCATCTAAGATCTTAAGGCATTTAACAACTCAACACTAAATATCATATTTCTCTAGGGAAGCAATGTTTAAAAAAGCCCTGTAAATATGAAATTATCCATTTATAAATAATTTGGAATGAAATCCACTTAAATTCTGGCAGAAAGCTGATGTACATATTGTATATGAACATCCTCTAGCAGAAGTTTGTGAAACTATAATTAACTCTTAATATACAAACTATTAAAGAAAAACAAAATTATTCTGCACAATTGGAAAAGGAAGAAATGAGACTATAAATACAATCTGTTACTGGCAGTTAGTCTGGTCCACTAGTTACAAGAAATAAGAGCAAGCAAGTTATATTTATAGAAACAACCACATTTGGGGAGGGGAGTCCTATTATTGGTCTTGAAAATCAGAGGTTTCTAAAATTTCTTTAAACTATGTGTTGAGTTAATAAGTGCAGCCAGACATCATTTGAGGACAGAAAATAAGGGCAAAAGTAAAACAATGCTCAATGGTGCCCTTGAGGAAAAGCAAGATTTCAGAGGCTGTGTTTAAAGGAGCACCCAAAACAGCCTATGCGATGTTGACTCAACATGTGCAAGGAATTCAGCATAGGCTTGCTGCTCTTTGGTCCTTTTCTAAGTTATTATTCTAAATACATCTAAAATCTGATTAAAGGAGAACGTGAGGCCAGACTTCTTCCTCTTCCTGGCATCTATTGGCTTTGTCTTTCCTGTGTTTAGCTTTCCCTTAGATCTAGTTACCCAAATATAGAAATTCATTAAGATGTATCTTTAGCCTAGAGGTTCTCTAAGTATAGTTTAAAAACAATGATTTGTGAGATAACTCCACGAACCTTTTTTATTTTAAAAGTTTAAAATATGACATCTCGTTTTTGAATAAACAAATGTTTCTTTATATCTATTTTGTTGTCTCCTCAAAGCCAGCTCAACTCAATATCCTTCAGTTACGTATGTATTGAAAGATATTGTGTGTGTTTTTCAAACTACCTCTGAATGAAGGACACAAGATGAATGGAGTGGTGTGCAGGGCCACTGAAGGCTTGGTGACCAGAAAGGAAGCAACTACATTTGAATTAGGGCAGATCAGTGGTGATAGAGAGAAGAGAAATAAATATTTAGAAGGTCTAAGCCTATAGGATTGGTCAATAATGCCATTTGGATGTGCAGTAGAGGGACAGGGAAAAGGAAAATGACTTGGACAATTCTAGCTTGGTTGCTGGTAGTGATGCCACTCATCAGGACCAGATGAACAGTTTTGGGAGGGATCTTTGCGTAGCACCAGTGAGCACAGGTGAAATTATATTCTCTTACTACTCAAAGTGTTTGCCAAACCAAAAAAAAAAAAGCTTACAGTCATACTTTAACAAAAAGCATTTCTGCCAGCCACCTAAGTTGGTGACTCAACTGCTCAATCAACATCAAGAGTTACTGCTTCTTCATGCGTATTGTTACAGGTAGTTACGCAGGCATGAGTGGGGCAGGAGAGGGCCCTCCCCCAACCACTAGGAATGTCAGTTGATGGTTCAGCAATGATCACATTGCCTCTCTAAAAGTGATAAATTGGCAGCTGGCACCAGAAAGAGGCCATTTCCTGAAGGTTCACACCTGTTGCACTAAAGTGAATGCAGACATCAGGGAGGCCATTTCCTGATGGTCCACACCTATTGCACTTAATTAAACGCAGACGTCAGGGAGAAGCAACTTCTTGGGGATGTGCAAGATGAGACAACATGGTGGAGTATGACCTTCTGGGGACACGCCACTGGAAAAAGGAAGAAAGACTCAGGTTGGCATGTGTACGACTTCCTAGACACACTGCATATTCTCACCTCCCAAGGGTAAGGAGGGCACTGCACATGAAGGCAGCCCACCCTAAGGGAAGAATCATGGGAAAGGAATCTATAAAATCCTAGGATCAAAGTAAACACCGCGCTTGACCTTGGTACCTGCTTGGGTCTCTTCCAAGCATACGTTCCTTTCTTTTCCTTCCTGTTCTAAGCTCTTTAAAAATAAACTTCCACTCCTGCTCTGAAACTTGTCTTGGTCTCTTTGTCTGCCTTATGCCCGTCAGTCGAATTCTTTCTTCTGAGGAGGTAAGAATTGAGGTTGCTGCAGACCCATATGGATTTGCCACTGGTAATTTGGATACCTTCTACTGGTAACAATACGACCCTGAATTGTCCAGCATCTTTAGACATTTTCTTGAAGTGATTTACAACATTCAGTGTACCTTATGTTATGGTATCCTGGAGGGAAGGAGTCTTAAGAAGTCCAAACACCAAATTCCAAAACTTTAAAATCAGAATCTTCAGGGGTCAAGTCACAGTTACCAGTACTTTAAAAAACTTTTCCAAATGATTCTAATGTGAAGCTATGGCTGAATATTAAAGTACAAATCGTAACATCTTAAGAGTTGTCTTTCCTAGTGCCTGCTCCTCTCCCCTCAACCATTGCCCCTATCCAGCAAGAAGCAGCCAGATGACAACAGTGCCCCTCTTATATTACCTATTAAAAGGCTGGAATGTTAGGAACAATCTGCCCCAGGACCCCTCCCCCCACCCCAATGCAACAGACTCTTACCCCAAATACTCTGCAGCTGCATTCCTGGATCCTTATCTAGGCCTACAGCAAGGTCACCAGACTTGCTTACAGCCCTACGGGCAGCATGGGGGAGGTCACGAGAAACGTGGATAAACCTAAGTTACGCCCTCTTGTAAATTCCTATATTGAAACCTGGTCACAAGATGATATGTGGTAAAGTTAACTCACAAACAACCCCAGGGTCTCTCTGCCCCATATAAACCCGTCATTCTGTAAGCTCAGCGCTGCCTCCTCTGACTGTGGTGGAGCAGCTCAGCAGGATAATAAGCTTACTCGCCTGACCTTGGGTCTCTCTCTCATCCTTTCTCTTGGCTAACCTTCATTTTGGTGCCAAAACCCAGGAAGGGGATAGGCTCTGGCTGGGCGTCCTTAGAGGATTCTCTCTCTCTCTCTCCTATCATCCCTTACCCAGCCAACCTCCCCTTCCCGAACCTGCTAAAGACCCTAAGGATCTCCCAAAATTCTCCCATTGTTGGCCACCTCATCCACCATCAAAGCCTCTGAGAGGGGTGAGTAAGAGAGACTTTTGCCTATTACCTGGAACCCTTGACCATCTCTTCACTCCCAAAAGACCCAGCGCTGGGCCAAGGGCTTCCTCTGGCCTCCAGGCCTCTGGTTCCTCTGTTTCCTGGACGCCTGACTCCGCAGCTACCTCCTCTATTCCATACAAGGCCTGCAAGACAGGCGCCGCCCTCTCTCGTCTTTGTCGTCTGTGGTCCCTTCTTCCTCTACCCTCACCTCCTCCATTCACTATGGGAGCCTCTCAGTCTACCCCTCCCAAGACCACCCCCCTTGGGTGTCTCCTCCGCAATCGCAAGGCTCTCGGCCTCCGTTCAGGGATCCGTTCTAAGAGGCTTATCTTTTACTGCAATACTGCATGGCCTCAATACCAATTGGACAATGGCTCCCAATGGCCCGAAAATGGCACTTTCGATTTCAATATACTTAGAGACTTAGACAACTTTTGCCATCGCAATGAGAAATGGTCTGAGATTCCTTATATTCAGGCTTTCTTCATTCTCCGTAACCACCCTTCTCTCTGCCACTCCTGCTCTACTTTCCAAATCCTACTCACCAGCTCAAAACCTGACTCATCTCCCGTCACCCCACCCACAGACCCAGCCGATGACTCCTCTTCCTTTGACCCCGTGGATTTTCTCCCTCCTCGACAGCATCATGATCCTCCACCAGAGCATCATGATCCTCCACCGTATGTCCCTGCTCCGGCTCTACCCCTCTCCCCCACTCTCTCCAACCAACCCACTTCTGACTCTGAGTCCTCTCTGCCTCCTCCCCTCACCCGCTCTCGGGCCCAATGTGCTCAGCAACCAGCTCCCTTGCTTCCTCTCCGGGAAGTAGCGGGAGTTGAGGGGATCGTCCATGTCCACGTCCCTTTCTCCTTCTACGATCTCTTACAGATTGAAGAACGTCTCGGGTCCTTCTCCTCCGATCCTGATACTTACATCAAAGAATTTAAATATCTTACTCAATCTTATGAACTCACTTGGCATGATCTCTACTTTATCCTCTCTTCTACCCTCCTTCCAGAAGAGAAGGAAAGAGTGTGGCTCGCAGCACAGGCATATGCCGATGACCTTCATCAGCAGGATCCTACTAAGCCCGTAGGAGCTGCTGCTGTTCCCTGGGAAGAGCCTTCCTGGGAATACCAACCCACAGACCCTGGCCAAGTGTACTGTAGCCATATGATTACTTGCCTCATTGCAGGCCTTAACAAAGCTGCCCATAGGCTGTAAATTTTGAAAAACTTAAAGACATTTCCCAAAAGGCAGATGAAAATCCTGCCCAATCTCTTTCCCGCCTTACAGAAGCTCTCCAAAAATATACCCGCATCGACCCTGCCTCCTGAGAAGGAACTATTGTTCTTTCTTTAAAAAATTTTATTTATTTTTTAATTATTATTATACTTTAAGTTTTAGGGTACATGTGCACAATGTGCAGGTTTGTTACATATGTAGGAACTATTGTTCTTAATACCCGTTTTATTTCCCAATCTGCCCCTGACATCCGGCACAAACTTAAAAAGGCTGAAGATGGCTCTCAAACCCCACAACAAGACCTCCTTAACCTGGCTTTCAAAGTCTTTAATAACAGGGACGAGCAAAATAAATTAGATAAAGCCCAAAGAGATCGTGCTAAATACCAGCTTCCAGCAGTGGCTATCTGTCAGTCTAGCCATAGTACCCAAGGGCACAAAAGACCTGATAGCAGCAAACCTCCTGGGCCTTGTTTTAAGTGCGGCAAAGAAGGCCACTGGACGGGGCCATGTCCCCACCCATGAGTGCCGAAGAGCCCTTGCCTAGTCTGCCAGCAGATGGGCACTGGAAGTCTGACTGTCCTCTCAACAGATGGGCAGACAAGCATGCTCCTCAGAGCCACCATCCCTTCAACAAGACAAAAAGTGAAGAATCACTTGCACTCCCATAGCTCCTTGGCCTAGCCACTGAAGACTGATGAGGCCAGGGCCCCTGGGCCCCGGCTCCCGGCCCCCACTGCCATCACTGCATCGGAGCCCAGGGTAACTCTACTAGTAGCAGGTAAGCTGATCTCTTTTTTAATTGATAGTGGGGCCACCTACTCAGCTTTGCCTGAGTTCTCAGGACCCACTCATCCCTCTCAAGTCTCAGTTGTGGGGGTTGACGGACTCATCTCTTGTCCGCTTGCCACCAGACCTCTTACTTGTTCCCTGTTTGATGCCATTTTCTCACACTCTTTCCTTATCATGCCTCATTGCCCCACCCCCATTCTAGGCTGAGACCTTTTAGCCAAAGTCAAAGCTTCTATCACCTTTTCTTGCCCCCTTCAACCAGAGTCCCCTCCTGCTCCTCTCCGCTAGTCCGGCCCCTGACCCCTTTCCCCAGTACCCACTTCCTGCCTCTCTCATTAACCCTTCCGTAGCTGCTCACCATGACCCCATCAGAATCCAGTTAAAAGACTCTTCCAAATTTCCCAATGTTCCTCAATACCCCATCTCTCTAACCCACCAAAAGGGCCTACAGCCCATCGTAAACAAGCTCTGCTCATGCAGTCTTCTTAGACCAACACACTCTCCATATAACACCCCTATCCTCCCTGTTAAAAAGTCTGATGGCTCATACCGACTCGTTCACAACCTCCGAGCCATCAGTCAAGCTGTCCTCCCTATTCATCCCATAGTCCATAACCCCTATCCACTTCTCTCTCTCGTCGCTACCAACACCACCCTCTACACTGCAATTGACCTGAAGGATGCCTTCTTTACCATTTCCCTACACCCTGATTCCCAAAACCTATTTGCTTTCACCTGGACTGACCCTGACACCCTCCAGTCACAACAACTCACATGGACTGTCCTCCCTCAGGGCTTCAGGGATAGCCCTCATTTCTTTGGACAAGCTCTAGCCCGAAACCTTACTTCCTTAAACCTGTCTCCCAGTCATCTTCAATATGTGGACGACCTTCTTCTTTGCAGCCCCTCTCTAAAAGACTCTCAAACTCACACGGCCACTGCTCTCTTAAACTTTCTCGCTATCAAAGGGTATAGGGTCTCCCCCTCCAAGGCCCAACTCTCCATCTCCATGATGACTTACTTAGGAATTCAACTTTCCCCTGGGGCCCAGGCTATGACTCCAGCCAGGGCAGCATTAATAGAAAATCTACCCCCACCCTCCTCCAAAAGCGAAATCCTTTCCTTCCCAGGGCTAGCAGGCTTCTTTAGAATATGGATTTCCAACTTTGCCCTCCTAGCTCATCCCCTCTATGAAGTGGCCAAAGGCCCTCCCAATGAACCCCTAAACCCCTCACATAACATACTCCCCAGCTTCCACAAACTCCAAACTGCTCTTGTCACTGCGTCAGCTCCGTCCTTACCTGATATCTCCCAACCTTTCACTCTCTATACTGCTGAAAGCTGAGGAATAGCCCTCGGTGTCTTAGGACAACAGAAAGGAAATCCTCCTTCCTTTGCCCCTGTAGCTTACCTCTCTAAACAACTAGATAACACAGTCAAAGGGTGGCCAGCCTGCTTTAAAGCACTAGAAGTGGTAGCCAGCTTAGCTCTAGAAAGCAGGAAACTAACTTTCAGCCAGAATACCACCGTCCACAGTTCTCATAATCTACAAGATCTCCTCTCCTCCCAAGCAGTAAGCTCCCTTCCTCCTTCCAGGATTCAATTACTCCATGCCCTCTTTATAAAAAATCCCAAATTCAGTCTTACCAGAAGTGCTTCCCTCAACCCAGCATCCTTACTCCCCGTATCCTCTTCCCTTCCTACTCATTCTTCCACTGATATCCTGGACCACGTACAGCCACATTTCCCAAACATTTCCTCCGAGCCTCTCACCAACCCCGATGATCAACTATTCATAGATGGCTCCTCTTCCAGGCCCACCAGCTACCCCCCAGATTGCTGGATATGCAGTTGTTTCCCTTGACCAAGTAATTGAAGCCAGGATCCTCCTCCCAAAAAGCAGAACTCATAGCTCTCACCAGGGCCCTAAATCTTTCCAAAGGCAAACGAGTCAACATTTATACAGACTCCAAATATGCCTATCACATTCCTCGTTCCCACGCTGCTATCTGGCAAAAGAGAGGACTCCTTACTGCCAAAGGAACCCCTATCACTAATGGCCACCTTATTTACTAACTCCTTCAGGCCACACACCTCCCAGCTAAAGCAGGAGTTATACACTGTTGAGGACATCGAACAGGTTCAGATGAAATCTCGAGGCAACAGAAAGGCCGATGAGGCAGCAAAAGAAGCCTCCCTTTCTTCTGCCTCTGCCCCTCTCCTTCCTGTTATCCCAGCAATCCTACCCAAGAACTCTCCCACCGAGAAAGCTTTGCTATACAGCAAGCAGCCTCCTTTCAAGGGGACTGGATAGTCAAAAATCAAAAGCTCGTCCTCCCCTAAGAGCAGACCAAAGAAATTCTGACATCTCTTCACCAATCCTTCCATATCAGTGTGCGCCCCCATACCTACTCCTTCACCCTATTTCTCCTCCCCCCATCTATTCACCTCACTAAGAGACATAACCTCAAACTGTCCTATATGCTCTGTTACTTCCTCCCAAGGGGCCCTCCACTCTCCCTCCATCCCTACACATCCCCTCAGAGGAACACTCCCAGGGGAGGACTGGCAAATAGACTTCACCCACATTCATCCCGTCAAGAGGACAAAATTTATTCTTACTCTTATAGACACCTTCTCTAGGTGGGTAGAAGCATTTCCTACCTCTTCAGAAAAGGCCGCAGAAGTCTCCCAAATTCTTGTAACAGAAATCATCCCTACATTTGGTCTCCCTGGCTCCATACAATCAGACAATGGCCCCTAGCTTCATCTCCCAAATCACTCAACAGGTTTCTCAGTCCCTTGGCATCCAGTGGCGTCTCCATATCCCATGCTGGCCCCAGACATCCGGAAAAGTCGAAAGGGCAAATGGGATCCTTAAGGCTCAGTTAACCAAACTCACTCTTGAAGTCCAAAAACCATGGACCTCCCTTTTGCCCATAGCACTGGAGAGCATTAGAGCCAGTCCAAAAGCACCCTCCTTCCTCAGTCCATTTGAGTTAATATACGGACGCCCTTTCCTCTTACAAAACAGGCCCCCTTCTAACTCTCAGCTAGGAGAATACCTCCCAACAGTCTCCCTCATGAGCTATCTCCTCTGCCAACAAGCCGACCAGGCCCTCCCAAAACCCCACGAAGGGGTCTCCAATCCCAAATAGACTTGCTCTCCAATTCCAAAAGACTCTTTAAGCAGCAGTGACACTTCAAAACCATCGAGGTTTAGATCTCCTCACTGCCGAGAAAGGCGGCCTGTGTATCTTTTTAGAAGAGGAGTGCTGTTTCTATACTAACCAGTCAGGACTAGTACAAGATGCTGCTGGACGAATAAATGAAAAAGCTTCTGGCCGGGTGCAGTGGCTCACGCCTGTAATCCCAGATCTTTGGGAGGCTGAGGCGGGCGGATCACGAGGTCAGGAGATCGAGACCATCTTGGCTAACACGGTGAAACCCCGTCTCTACTAAAAATAGAAAAAATTAGCCGGGCGTGGTGGCCGGCAGCTGTACTCCCAGCTACTCAGGAGGCTGAGGCAGGAGAATGGCGTGTGGGGTGAACCCGGGAGGCGGAGCTTGCAGTGAGCAGAGATGATGCCACTGCACTCCAGCCTGGGCGACAGAGCAAGACTCCATCTCAAAAAAAAAAAAAAAAAAAGCTGCTGAAATCAGGCAGCGCCTTTCAGATTCCCGGCCCAGGTGATTTCGTAACTCCTGGGCACCCTGGCTACTGCCCTTCCTAGGCCCTGCCATTACCCTCTTCCTCCATTTAGCACTTGGCCCATGTCTCTTACATCTCCTTACCCAGTTTTTACAGGGCCGTGTTAGAGCCTTCACCCATGGAACAGTACAAGACATGATGCTACTCCGAGAATACCGACAGCTCCAGGAACAGCAGTCCCTACTACCCAGCCTCTCCCCCCAACCATCGCCCCTATCCAGCAAGAAGCAGCCAGAGGACAACGGCGCCCCTCTTCTATTACCTATTAAAAGGCTGGAATGTTAGGAACAAGTTGCACCAGAACCCCTCCCCCTTCCCACCCGCCCCCGCACCCCCCCCCCCCCACCCAATGCAGCTGTCCCTTACCCTGAATACTCTGCAGCTGCATTCCTGGACCCTTATCTAGGCACTACAGCAAGGTCACCAGACTTGCTTACAGCCCTACGGGCAGCATGGGGGAGGTCACGAGAAACGTGGATAAACCTAAGTTACACCCTCTTGTAAATTCCTATATTGTAACCTGGTCACGAGATGATATGTGGTAAGGTTAACCAACAAACAACCCCAGGGTCTCTCTCCCCCATATAAAACCCTCATTTTGTAAGCTCAGGGCTGCCTCCTTTGACTGTGGTGAAGCAGCCTGGCAGGTTAGTAAACTTACTCTCCTGACCTTGGGTCTCTCTCTCGTCCTTTCTCTCGGCTAACCTTACAGCGCCCTCATCCATTCTCCAATTATAATGTGTTTACACCTTTCCTCCTGCATGTCTCACATTTTACCTTGTCATCCTCTTACTTGTGTATGTGTCTATGCCTCCCAGCATTTGACAGTACCTGAAGGTCAAAGCCTATCTGCTGTTTACCCTTACAATTCTATTCACTCGGCACGCACTAGGCACAGAATAAATGCCATTCATCCCTACTTTTACTTCAGGGTACATTTTAGAGATCTAAGATTTGGTGTATCTTTCCCATTATCCATTCTTATTGCCTCAAGGCTCTCCTCTTATAAATCTAGTGGTATGCATTACTTTGGGGGTAAGGACAAATTTATCCAGAACAGAGAAGATTTAGTTCAGTCTTTAGTTTTAAAATAAGCATTTTTAAGTAATAGCAGAGACAAAAGTCTGAAAGCCAACATAGTTTTAATTTAAAAGAAATTTGATTTTGCTACAGCTTTTTGGCCAGGAGTAAGTGAGGATGCTGTTTCGAAAGCTGGTTTTGCATCTTAAGCAGTACGGTGTGGGTCTTAGGGGCTGGAGTGTATCTTGCAGGAAACACAGAGTAGGCAAGAATGTGAGGTGGTGTAAGACTAGTTTGTCTGGTTCAAAAAGTAAAAAAGAAGACTGAAAAAAGTAGGAAATCTAACCCAAAGCAATCAATCTTTGAGAAGAGCCCAGCACACTTCCCTTCCAATTGATTTGTCCTACACCCCTCCATGAGCCTAAGCATTAGAGCAGAAATGACTGAGGGTAGCATCCAAGCCACTGGGCCAAGGGGCACTGGTACGATGAGGATACCGTGTCCCACAATTCTAGGGTAGTCTGGGAAAAACAAAGCAGAGTTCCTGAGAAGAATGCAGTAGTGGCTGACAGAACCAGAAAGGGTGTTGTAGTGATATGTGGCCATGACATCAGAAGACTAAAATGAGGCTATGGATATTCCCTAGCAAATGTCTGGGGAACAGAGGCCAAAGCCGAAAGCTCAAGAATTAATGGAATGACTACACCTCAACGAAGGTTATAGATTAGTGAGGACTGATGAGTACAAACCAGACTCACACATCCATCCTCATCCTCACTCCCCACCCCCAGGCTACAATATTACATATATGTCCCCTACTCCTGAGGGATGGAAAAGAGGATGGGTAGGATAAGTTCAAACTGCTTTAATGGCTAACAAAATTCACCTTTATTCCTTTTTATTTTTAGTTGACATGTAAAAATTGTACATATTTATTGGCTACAGAGTGATATTTTGATACAAGTATAAAGTGTGTAATGATCAAATCAGAGTAATTAGCACATCAATCACCTCAAATAGTTATCACTTATTTGTACTGGGAACACTCGAAATCCTTTTCTAGCTTTGAAAAAATATACAATAAATTATTGTTAACTGTATTCACCACATAGCACTATACAACAGTAGAACAGAATTTATTCCTCCTATATTGCTGTAATTTTGTATCTGTTAATTAACCTCTCCCTAGCCTCCCCTCCCCCTACCCTTCCCAATCTCTCATAACCACAATTCTACTCTCTAGATCTATGAGCTCATTTTTTAAGTCCCTGCATTTGAGTGAGAAGATGAAGTATTTATCTTTCTGCGCATGACTTGCTTTGCTTAACATAATATCCTCCAGATTCATCCACGTTGGTGCAAATGGAAGGATTCCATACTTTATTTTATGGCTGATTATTGTTCCATTGTGTGTATACCATATTTTCTTTATTCACCTGTTTATGGATATTTATGTTGATTCCATACGTTTGCTATTGTGAATAGTGATGCAATAAACATAGGGGCATGCGTATCCCTTTGATATACTAATGTCCCTTCCTTTAGATAAATACCCAGTAGTGGGACTGCTGGATCATATGGTAGTTCTATTTTTATTTTTTTTGAGAAACTTCCATAATGTTTTTCATAATGGCTGTAGTAATTTACATTACCACAGCGTATAAGAGTTCCCTTTTCTCGGCATCCTCATGAGCATTTGTCTTTTCTGTGTGTGTTTTTGATGACAGTCATTCTAACTGGGATAAGATGATATCTCATAGTGGTTTTGCTTTCCATTTTCCTGATAATTAGTGATGTTCAGCATTTTTTCATTTACTTATTGGCCATTCAAAATTCATTTCAATAAATCAAAATTATTTTTAAACCTTCTGGGGAAATAGGAGCTTGAGAATAGGGTCCAGTTGAGTTATAAATGAATTAAAAAACACTGTAGACATGTGGCTGCATGAGCCATATACTTTATGCTGGATAGATATACATTTGTTGAAACATCTGTTGAGTGACTGTAAGTTGTAGGCTTTATATTTTAGAAACACAGTGAGTGAGGAAGGCTGATAAGTAAATGGACAAGCAATATAAAAAAGGCTGAGAAGCAAGTCTCTGCATAATGACAGGGAAGTTAAGTCTAAATCTGACCCTAAAGGGCTGGGACACTGGACAGTGGAAGCAGAAGAAAAGGTCAGGAAACAAACTATGAAGAAGACAATATCTGACGTGGATATCAAAGGATGAGAAAATATTGGATGCCTGCTGGAGAAAGTTGCCAAATAAGAGGCGAGTATTCTAGCAAAGGAATCCATCTGCAACAGCAAAAGTCTGGTGACTTGAAGGAATGTGTCAGGCACTGGGTACTAAGACAGTATCAACAGCAATGAAGAGAACAGGAAAGATTCAAGAGATAATTAGAAGGTGGAACAGGCTAGGATAGCAATTAAATGAATGTAGAGCACTTGGGAGAAGTCAGGATGACTCCTGGATTTTGGCTTTGAAATCCTGAGTGAGTGGTGGCTCCATTAATAAGATAAAGACAATTAGAGAAGAAATCATTTTCTAGATGTGTTGAGTTTGAGGTTCTTATGACACACATAACATGAAATATCTGAAATACTGACTTGGAGCTCAGGCAAGAGGTCTGAGTTAGATTTAAAGTTTAGATTGACTCATGGGTAGTAGTTGAAGCTCTGGGTGGGGATGAGTTTGCTTAGGAAGAATGTATAAAAGAAGAGACAATAATTAAAATCCTTTAAAAAAGCACTTGAAGGGCAGGCCATGCAAAGAAGAATAACAGTGGCCTGAGAGGGAGAAAAACAAGGAAGCCAGGGGAGGAGTGAGGCTGGATAAGCTGGGAAAAGTCAAAAGTGTGGGTTGCAACACAAGAATCACGTGCATAATGTCACGGTGTCCACCGGATTTACCAGGGGTCATCGATGCCCATAACAAGAACATTTTCCGAGGAACTGTGAGAGTGAAAGTCTGACTGTGGGTTAAAGACTGACTGGTAAATGAGGAAGTGGAGACTGTTTTTTCAAAGCAGCATGACTGGACAATGGGAGAGGGCGTGATCATTTATAAATAGTGAGGAGAACAGGGTAAAGCTGCATCACGGACCAAACAGCAAGGAAACAGAACATGGGGAACATCAGGATCAGTAACTCACCACAGGAATTCCTACTCCTGGGAAATAGAATTCTTCACTAGTGGCTGACTGTGACATATCTTTCCAAGAGTTAACCCCAGACTCCAAATCTTAAGAATATGGGCTTTTCTTCCACTATCATTCACATTCTGCAGTTACTGGTAGTATTTTACAGTATTTTCAGATGTAATTTTACTAATTTCTAAAAATAGTTCATATCTTTAAAAATCATGGGAAAATCATGACTAATAAATTCACCAACTTTAAAATATATTGTTCAAAAGTGTTTTTCCAATGACTCTGTAAATTGGTAAGATCTGGCCACATTTCATGTTATTGTCTAAAAATAAGCTAACTATGAGACAATGGGTCTAAATCATTCTCCAAAATATTGATGATGTTCTTCACTTTCAAACTGGCTAAACTGATAATTTTACTATCTTATGCCTCAGGCTGAGGAGGTTATATTGTAATGTCCGGGAATATTTACTATAATTTAAAATTCAATAAAAGGACAATATGGAATAACATATTAATAATAGTGACTGTTGATCAAAAAAGCTGATTTCTCTGATATATGATCAAGGTATGGGATTTAGGTTATATCCATAACCTTAGTTTTGGCCAGGTGGCCTTAGCTGGGTGATAACTGGATGTTTAACCTAAGTTTTTCATACCTGGGTCATAATACAAACTTGAAGAAACTGCACTGGCATCCTTTTAGGCTCTCTGATGCAGAAGGTTGTCTTTGGATAACTAGCGCAATTACTACTATTAAAATATTATGGTACAGAAAAGTTTAGTTACGTGTATTTCTTTGTTTACTGACACACCCCAAAATAAAGTTGCCAAGGTAGTTCAAGATCTTATCACCATTCAGAAACTTTTGGCAACATACCAACTGGTTAAAGGTTAATAACACAAACACAGATCCTGGAGGTATTTGCCATAGATTATGTAGGAATCTGGTGCTTGATTCTCACCAGGGTATCCCTTTTGAGTATAGGAAAATTCCAGAATATAATTGATAACCAAGCACCAGTACCTCTGCAACAAATATCTCTCATTCCAAATATCTCTTTTACAAGGCATGGGAAAAGAGAACTTGAAAGTTATTAAAGATAATTAACTATATAAAATAAAAATAATTTACTATTAAATAGATGAATGCCCTGGAACCTTATAATAGAGACTCTGTCCCTATTACGTGAACCTGGATTTGTGGCCCATACTCCCACAGGTTGACTATGGGAAGAGAGTATACGGCACAAGAACTACAACCTGTCTACCACCACACCCAACTACCTGGCCCATAGTGGAAACTCTGTATTTGTTCTGCAAAATAATAAATGATTTAGTGAATACTACTGCTTTCAGTGGAATCTCAGCAGATTAAGCATCATCAGTTCTGAATTCAGCAGATTCTGAAACTGTCACAAGGCATTCTATTACCAGGCCATACTATCTAATATACTACCAAGTTAGCTTAGTGTGGTGAAAAAAATGTAAAGTAGGAATAGAAAAACCCAGGACCCATCCTGGGTCATCACGCAACTGGCATGAATGTGGAGTGACTTGCACATACCTTCTAAAGCCTAAGGCTTTTGTTTCCCCTTTTGAAACTGGGATGATAACTGCCATTTCCCAGATGTGACTGTGTGTCAGATGAGACTGAATCATAGTCAGCTAAGGATAAAAGTGGTATCAGAAATCAGAGTCAAGATGTAAAAACAAATGAGGAAGTTAAGGCTCAGAGACATTAATGAGTTGCCCAATATCATAGCAGATAGTTAGAAAGCTGAATTGGAAGCTATTCATGATAATTGAATAGATTATTATATTTACATAGCAATTACATTATATATAACAAGTTTTTTTTTTTAAGAAAAGAAATACTTTCAAGTAATGGCAGCAATTAATTACATTATCACTGGGAAGTGCCTTTCTGGTTAAGGGACCCTCGCGATCACCTACTCAAATATTTGCTTTTACAGATGAGAACCTCAGAGTACAGCAACTGGAATGAGAACTGAGGTCTCCTTTTTCTAATAAAAATGCCATTTTATTTTCAAAAGCACTTATAAAGGGCTTTAGAGTACAAGTGGTGGAGATGAAAGTTGAGATAGAAAATTATTGTGCATAAGGTTTGAGAGACTGAATGCTGCAATTGCTTTCGGAACTGTGTGGCTGTAGACATTTATGTGCACGAGTTATTTATTTCTTTATTTATAGTGTAGGGGGTGGTGGCGGTAGGGGAGAATGGAAGGGTGGAACAGTATGTGTATTCTGCCTAGATATGAGAGTCAGGACTTAAATCTGTTAGGAGAATGAATTAGCTATTGAAGTTGAAAAGGACTTTCCCATGAAATTTATTGTGAGATTCAGGGCAAAGGTACTGCCATTTAGGGTGTAGATGTCTACGTGTAATATTAAGAATTGTACTTTGGGCATTTATATTATTGTGATCTCAACTTTGCACACAAGCTGGTATGATCCAAGACAGTTGGATTATGTATAAGTAGTAATAAAACTATAGATGCACGCTCACTTAAAGAAACTGATGCAGTTTATACTTTGGGGTCATTTTCTAAACAATGTATAACCTTAGTACATTTAATCTCTGTACTGTTGTTAGATTAATATTGCTTAAACAGAACTTTGTAACTCTATTTTCAGAATCTTTTGTGCCCTCCTCTATGCAGATGGAATAAGCTCTTTTGGCTTCTGTCTACTGCTTTATCCCAAAATACTGCCCAAGTAGATGCAATAAAACAAAATGCTTCGTGGGGAATCAGATATGCTGAGAGTCTAATCCTGCCTTCACCATTTACTAACTTTGCAACCTTGAGCAAATTCCATAGACAAGCCTCATGCTAACTGAAGCAATGCAGGTCAGCTCATGACTCCGTTACAACGTTTGGCCCAGAAATGTTAGGAATGATAATTAGAATGTTGAGATGTATGGTGTGATGAAAATGATGATAATGAAAAGCAGGAAGAGGAGAGCCTTATAAGTTCTGTGCTTTCTTGCTTTCATTGCTTTTGCACATGGCTTTTCAGTGGAGGGAAATGCTCTTTATTTCTATTATAAAAACTTCACAAAGTTTTAAAGACACAACTTATATTCTACCTTCTAGGGTCTAGCAAAGGGTCTTGAAATAATGCTTCTTTGTCATGACAGTAATGATTAATAAGTATACCTGATATTAGAGGAGCGTCTTTTCCAGGAAGAAAACATAAGTCAGATATAATATACCATTGCCCATGCCATTAAGATAATACTTGATATTTGTACTTGTGCTAATTGAAAAGTGTGAAATGGTATGGTGTGTGTATATACGTACATCAAAATATGTCTTTAAAATTCTTTAGGTGGCTGTTTAGATTCATCTTATGTCCATATTATATTCTAGAACCTTTTGTTGCTGGGGGAACCAGTTTCCCCCTCAAGCTATGTTTTCCCATGCACAATTAGAGACAAAAATAATTAGAGGAAGCTCTGTTCAGAGAGAAGGGGAAATGTATTAAAAATTAGTCAATTTCTGTTCTATGGTAGGAAGAACTAAATCACTATTCTAAACCTATCAAAGAAAATAAAAACTTTGAAGTCTCACTTCATGCGTCATTTAAATACTTGGCAATTACTCAGCTCACATAAACGTGGCCCCTTTCTGGTGTGTAGAAAAAGTGATTCTTTTCAATGACATGTACATATGATTTGATCCGAAAGCAATTCACTTTTCTTTAGACATCGATGTGTATATATGAAACTTACGGTGCCAAGGTCAATGATGAAGCAGTCACCCTTGTTGAAACTGTCCCAGCTAAGGGGAACTTCTGTGGCTCTCACCACTCTACGACCCTTCACATGTAGGAGCCTCTTGGCTGTCAGGTCGTTCGTAAGAACATGATTTAATCCAGATGCCACGCCTCCAGCCTGATGAATGAGGGAAGACAGACACACAAAAAACAAAGAGAAAACTGATGAGGTGTCTGCCTAGACAAAGCAAAGCACAATAATACTGCTGGTGTTTGTGCCAAAACTGTACCTGTCAGGCCAAGTTAAAATAGCCACCTATTCCATAAAACAAGAGAGAACCCCTTGGTAATCAACAGATTGTGTTTGTTTGGTCTCTTTATTCTTTCTGTTTTAACCATTCAATTGACAACTGCAAGTATTTACTGAGAACCTTCAGTGTATAAAACGCTGCTGCAAAAACAAAAAGAAGATG
This sequence comes from Homo sapiens, assembly GCF_000001405.40. NCBI lineage: Eukaryota > Metazoa > Chordata > Mammalia > Primates > Hominidae > Homo > Homo sapiens. The sequence goes on along the minus strand of NC_000007.14, from coordinate 12,580,764 downwards.
CCATAGCTCTTGCCCTTTGGACACTAATGATCCCCAAATCAATAATGAGCAAGGCAAAGATTTCAGGGAAGAAGGTGACAGGTGGCTAGAGGAGGGTCAGAAGTAACACATACAGATGACAGCAGCCAGAGAAGAAGGCACCCAAAAGTTCACACTGGTACAGGGTTGGGACAGAGATGGTTGTTGAGTGCTGGCCAGGAATGGGTTGATCTTATGTATGGTCCTTGTTTTTACATTTAAAGTAATCAAATGTCTTCTTTATTTTCTGGTAAACAGGTCTTACTATTAATAAATATGCTAGGCCTGAGTGTTTTTACTGTAAGCTAGGAGAGATGCAATATCTTGGCTGTACATCCCCAAACAAAAAAAATAAAATAAAATGAAATACAATCACCCGAATTAAAGAAAGATATTAACTGTATCAACTACATCTTCTTATATTATTTGCAATGATCTTTTACCTTTTCATTTTTTCTAATTAAATGATATGAACCATATCTTTATTTCTACTATTAATTATAATTAATTATATGTGAATAACTGAGCTACAGTATAAACAAAACTGTCACTGATAGATCAAAGACCTCTATAATAATAATGGTACGGAAAATTAGAGCTAATTTGTCATTAGCACATTCTTTTCCATTGATTTTAAATTTCCACCGTTCTCCAATAAAAGTTGGTATAGATTAAATGTTAATTTCAGGACAATTAAAACTTCAAATTAAAAAAAAATATAAAATGATTTCCCAGTCCATAATTTTACAACGACTGCTACATTTCTTGGTTGAATAAACTAAGTATTATATAATTAAATAAATACAAGTTTTCATCTATGTACTCCTGTTTTGAGACAGAGTTTCACTCATGTCTCCCAGGCTGGAGAGCAATGGCATGACCTCGCCTCACTGCAACCTCTGCCTCCTGGGTTCAAGCAATTCTCCTGCCTCAGCTTCCCTAGTAGCTAGGGTTACAGGCGCATGTCACCACGCCCAGTTAAATTTTGTATTTTTAGTAGAGGGAGTTTCACCATATTGGTCAGGCTGGTCTCAAACTTCTGACCTCAGGTGATCCGTCTGCTTTGGCCTCTCAAAGTGTTGGGATTACAGGCATGAGCCACCATGCTCGACTACAGTTACTTTATTATTTAATTTATTCCTTAATACAACACCTGTATGAGGAAACTGTTATAATATTCATTGTTTGGGGAAACTGAGCACAGAAAGCTCAGTATTTTCCCTAAAGCAAACAAGTCATATGTGGCAGAAATGGGTTCATAACTATGATGGTGTCACAGCACCTGCTTTTAGTAACTACAAGACTCAATTTATTTAAAATGTTGAGTTCACTGACATAAAGGAAGTTTCAGTATCGTTTGTCATAAACTGTAGGAGCTCCTGTGAATCAAATAAAATGAGAGGTAATAGTTTTGTATTTAGGGTAGTTCATAGCCTAGAATAAAATAATCATTTCAAGAGACATAAGAGAACCTATAATGTATAAGTGTTTTGTTCTGATCTCAATAATATCACAAAATATTCAACGAAGACTCTGAACAGGTAAAGGTATAAATAAACCTCGCCATCTTAGTAGGCGGACTTAGTATTACAGTCAGAATTGTAGTGAAGCTCTAAGGTTTCAGGTCTTCACTAGGGTAGCATGCTCACAGGGCAGGGCAGTGGGGTGTGCAGAACACTTGCTGGAGCGTGTTTGATTTCGGAAATCTGTGATGTTTGTCTGGGGAGGGTATTCCTCACACTTTAACTGAACACGTGTGGAGGGGTGAGTGGCAGGAATGGTGAAGGGAGGGCCAGTCTGGAAAGCTAACTAGGAGGATGCCAAAAAAAAAAAAAAACCTGTCCTATACTGAAGGCTGCCTTAAAGGGATAGAACCATTTAACTATTTGTTCTTGTTTATTTTCAGAAGTAAAGCCAATTGATCAGTGTTTCAGACCAGTGTGCATAAATTGTGTATGTGCGTGTGTGTAGTTTACCTGCAGAATTTTAAGCTCAAAATTTTCATCTGCATCCCTTCTAAGATCAAACCACACTATTTTGGAAATACATGTATAGTTCTTTACAGTTACTAAAATTATAATTATTATAAATACTGTATTAATATATTCCAGAACAACTGAGATTTTGAAGGCTTAGGTTACTTGCAGAAACTTCAGAGATTTTCTAGAATAGCAAAAATGAAAACTTTTAAGACCCAAATTACCAAAATTTAAATGTTGAAATAGCTACAAAATATTACAAAGGTATCTTGTGAAGACACAACTGAAAGCTCTTTTAAAAAATTAACCTATCAAATTAAATTTTCACAATATTTCACATATTGTACCACACATTTCACAAACATTTATTGAACACCTACTTTGTATCCAGCAGGTACTGGGGATATATCCATGAACAAAACAGATTAAAACAAAAGCAAATAAAACAAAAACCCCTGCCCTCAACGAACTGTCATTCTATGAAGACAGGAGGTATGGATGGACAAGAGGAGAAAGGGATTCATAATGGAAACTGAGGGAGCTGCTTACCTTGTATTTCAGACCGCCTTTGAAATAGCTAACAAAGTCATTAGACTCATATCCTTGAAGTTCTCTATTCTGCACTGGCTTGCCACCCAAATAGTCATCCATCTGAACAGTGAAGATGGCAGCAGCTGTGCTTTCATCCTGGGAACACTCCTTTCCTAAAACAGTGAACAACAGCACCTCAATTATCAAGCAAGAGAAAGGATTAAGGCAGAATTTCTGATATGAAAGAAGTCAGAAATTTTCATTTCAATTATGTATCAATCCAACAGTCTTCTACACAAAGATCTTTTAGCTAAAATACTGTATGTAATACATTATTTTGCTAATAATTAACAATTTTTTTAGTCTATTTTTTTTTTTTTTGAGAGAGGGTGTTGCTCTGTTGCTAAGCCTGGAATGCAATGGCATAATCATAGCTCACTGTAACCCCAAACTCTGGGGCTTAAGCGATCCTCCTACCTCAGTCTCACAAGCAGCTTGGACTACAGGTGCGTGCCACCATGCTTTGCTAATTCTCAAAAAAGTGTTTTGTAGGGAAAAGGTCTCCATATGTTGCCCAGGCTGGTCTCAAACTCCTGGCCTCAAGCAGTCCTCTGGCTTTGGCCTCCTAAATTGTTGGGGATTACAGGTATGAGCCACCATGCCCGGCCTGTTTTTGTTTCTGCTTTTTCCAATTCCTTTAAAAATTTTAAAAAGAAACACTGTTGTGTGAAGTTGCTCAAGAAGATAAAACAATCTATTCCAATGAGATTTAAGTAAGCATTAATTTGGTAAGGTCAATAAGATCAGACTATGAAAACATTTGACAAGTGGTTTAGCCTTTATTAGGATAAATCTTTGATTTTATGATATGTCAATATGTTAACTGATGTTTGTGAGAAATATGAGCATCAGAGCCATAATTAAATAAGTGGTTTTTACAATGGGAAAATGAATATAATTTAATTTTACCCCTATTTTTTGGTCTTTTTCCCTACTTCACTATCTGACTGGTTCTGTTTGAATGAAATAATGATCTCTGGAGGAAAGGAAGAGCAAAGGAAGCAGCACGCTAACATTTATTAAGTGTTAATGTACTTGGTATTGTTCCAGGTATTTTACATACAACATACATTTAATTTTCACAATTGTAATACACATCACATCCAGGTAACTTCACTAAGGTCAAAACAATTCCTAAGAACCAGTGTCTGTAGTGTACATAAAGGATACAGTACGGACAGTCAGGAGGGGCACTCACATTTTATGGAAAACACTTCAAACTCTTTACTACATCCAAGCTGTAATAAAAATCTTAAATGACTCTAGAAATAATAATAGCCAACATTATACATTTATACTACCCCTATGGGCCAGACACTATGCCAATGTTTTACATGGATGATCTCATTTAATCTTCAAGCAACCTCATAAAGCAGAACCTATTTTCTACTAGATTGGAACAGAGAAAATGGAGGCTTAGAGAGGCTGGGTAACTTTTCTGAGGTCATAAAGCAACTTTTGGGAGAAAAAGACCAGATGTAGGTTTGTGTGACTCTGAAGCACAGGTTCTTAAAAACTCCAGTACACTTGTGGGTATTTTTTTGTACTCAGGCTCTCATTAGCGGTACAATTTTATAGTGACAAGGTATGTTAATTTCTTCCATAGATAACTGATGCATAAAAGCTTAGAAGCTGTAATAATTTAATAGTTCACATGAACAACCCTAACTGACAGTATTCACCAAAGTTGAAGAAGGCAAATCAGTCAGTTGTATTAAAGAAAGAATCAGATTTCCTTACAATTTCCCTCTTACTCTCAAATGAGACTCATATACCAAGTATCTTCTGAGGGGAAACAACAACAACAACAAAAAAAAACAACTCAGTAGCTAGAAGATTACTTGACGTGATAACAATTTTGTGAACTCGCTGTGGTCAAAGTTAAGTATTTGACACACCGGCAATTTTGCAATCTGAAAGGACTCTGGTGTCATTCTTCTGCCGATTTGGGATCCGAACCCTAACTGAGAATACCATAAAGATGTAGATGTAGATTTTTATGATGCCTTAAGAGAGATGCTTTAAGAGATAACTTGGAATCAAGGTTAACATCAAAGGTGTTAAAGATGATGTATTTGACATAAACGTCCTTACCTGACTACAGGTTGAAACCTGAATCTCTTTAGGTAGATGTAAATGGACAGGCATGAAGTTAATGAATGAACTGAAAGTAAGTTAATTAAATTATCCTATCATTTGCTGATGCTTATGTAATGTGGTTGGCCAGGGAATATCTGTATGAATAAAACAGGATGCCTGAATGAGGTTGACGGTCTTGATGAAGCCAATGTCAGCCTTTGGATGCGAAAATTAGAATCAAATCCAGTTGTAGCATGATGGAATTCCAGAAAGTATTTAGAAACTTATGAACTTTGTGTATAAAGTCTGCTTAAGAATCAGTTTAGTTTTCCCCTACGAATCTGCTTATGATTTCCATTTGTTGTTTCCCTACACTGATTTTACCGGTGTCTTTTATGTTCTGTTATACTATGCTGTGCCGTGTTATTTTATATTATGTTAGACTTGTGTACATCCTATGAATTTCTATAAGTATTTTGTGGATGTAATGATTTTATAGATAAAAAGAGAGATTTAAAACTAGGTTAATCCAACAGCCATTCATGATAAAATAAAATAAGTCAAATTAGGAATAGAGAGGAACACCTTCCAACGATAATTAGAGTCAACAAAAAACACAGAGCTAGCAATGCTGAACAGTAAAAGACTAAATGTTTTTCCCATAAAATCCAGAAAATGGGTGTGCACTCACACCACTCTTATTCAACATAGTACAGCAAGTTCTAACCACTGCAATAAAGTAAGAAAAAGAAAAAAAAGGCATACAAATTGAATATGAAGAAATAAAAAGGTCTCTATTTAGAGACAACAATATTGTTTACATAGTGAACTCTAAGAGACCTATCCAAAAAAAAAAAAGAAAACTCTCCTAGAAATAAAAAGTACATTGAGCAAATTAGCAGGATACAAGATTCATCAGTAATACAAAAAATCAGTCACATTTCTATATAGAAACAATGAACATGCTGAAACTGAAATTAAAGGCGCAATGCTATTGACAATCACTCCAAAGAAACTGAAATACTCAGGCATATAGTTTAAAAACATGTACAGGATCTGTATGCTGAAAATTACAAAATGGCATTCAAAATATCAAGGAAGACCTAAGTAAATGTAAACGCTTAGTGTTCATGGATTTTAAGACTCCACATAATAATGATGTCAATCCTTCACAAATTGATCTATAGGCCTAATGTTATTCTTACCAAAATCACAGTAAGGTTTATTATAGACATATACAGGCTTATTGCAAAATTTATATAGTGAGGCGCAGGCCCTGGAATAGCTAAAATAATCTTGACAAACAAGCATAAAGTGGGGGGAATCACTCTACCTGATACTAAGGTTTACTACATAGCTAACGTGATTAAAACAGATTGGTACTATTGAAGGATAGACACAGATCAATAGACCCAATTTCCCCCAGTAGTGGCAACTTTGTAAAATTACAGTATAGCTTAACATATTAATGTATAGTACAGTATAGCACTGAACACCACAACCAGGATATTGGCATTGATATAATCCACCTATTTTATTCGTATTTTCTCAGTTTTACTTGTACTCGTGTGTGTGTGCATTTAGTTCTATAAAATTTTATCACATGTGTAAATTCATACATCTGCTATCACAATCAAGATGCTGTATAGTTCCACCAAAAACATCCTTCAAGTTGCCCTTTTATAATACACTCTTCTCCTGCCCACATCATCCCCTCTTCACCCTATCTGTAACCAACGGCAATGCCAAATCTAAAATTTTGTCATTTCAAAAATTTTATATAAATGGGATCATACAGTATAAAGCCTCTTAGGGTTTTTCACTCAGCATGATTCCCTGGAGCTTCATCCAAGTTGTTGTATGTATCAATAGTTTGTTCCTTTTTATTGCTGAGTAGTATTAGTTGGTACAGATGTACAACTTGTTTAACCAGTCACCTGTTGAAAAGCATCTGGGCTGATTCTAGTGTTTGTTTATTCAAATAAAACTGCTGTGGACATTCAGGTACAGGTTTTCATGTGAATACAAAACTTCATTTTTCTGGAATAAATACCTATGAATGCAATTGCTGACTCATATGGTAGTAGTATATTTGGTTTTGTAAGAAACTACTAAACTCTTTTCCAGAGTGCTGTACCATTGCATGTACCCACCCCCATGCTCCAGCAATGTAAATGATCCAGTTTCTAGCCAGTCCTTCGTATAAGTTCTTTGTATCGTATATTGTAATCCAATCCTTTGGATTCCCAGGGCATTGCACAAGGCCTGGTATAGCCCACTTATAACATAAATGTATACTGCTTTAAAATATATTTGTGTGAAGTTTAAAACTGGCAAAGAGAAAGAGTGAGGATAAGTGTTTGTACCTTAGGTTAGGGATGTGACAGGGAGCAGTTTTACTATCTAGACCTACCCATTGATTTGGTGCTATAAGGAACTACAAACAGAGGTGAATGGATGCATTTAAACTGCTAGGTGCAAAGCTGAAATGTTTTTAAAGAAGGGCTAATGCAATAACATTTAAGTTCTTTGCAATAAATTTTTACTTTCATTACATTTAAGCATATGATGTTAATACATTCAAGCATGTAATGTTAATACAATAAAATAATCTGAGATATGCCAAGTGTTATGGAAACACTGAGGGAGAGACCAAGAAAGACGACTCTCCTGCTCTGTTCTCTCTTGTTCTAGGTCCAACTTCTTCCTGTTTCCCCTTTTTGCCTCCCATTTGGCCTGTTTCTTCATTTCTATGCTATGCACCTTTTTTCATCTCAGTTTAACTTTAGTTTCTCTTTCTTCCGGCTGATTTCCTTTAACCAAATGTTCTTTTCCCCTGGAAGTTCAGCTCTCTCTCCTGTGACTTTCTCTCAATCTGTCTCTCTGATGAATCCTCATGGATTCATCCTAATTTAGGTCTTAGACTACACTATTTTGGATGAAATTCTGTTTTCTTAGGGAACTGAAGTAGGAAGAGCTGTTGGGCAATCCCATCTGAAAGTCCTGTTGACTATTTTACTTGAAGCTTTTTTTCTCTCCATAATTCTCTCTTGACACAAGAACACTTCCAAGTACTCTCATTTTTTTTTTCTCTAAAGGCTTCTGTTTCCCAATAACCACAGAAACTTTGTGCTTTCACAGTAATTATCACATTCTACCTGTGTTATATCACTTTTTGTCTTTTTGCACCTTTGAGGTGATGAACTTTTAGAGAAGTTTCATTAATTATTCATATCCACAAGTGCCTTGTACAGTACTGGCCATATTGAATAATTACTGAATGAATTTGCTTGTTATTAACATGTTATTGACTTCAGTTTTAGCATGTCTTTAAGATTATAAATGTTTCTGCCCAAACCATTTTCTATTATATTTTTGAAATTTATGGGCATCAAGTGGATAATTAAGTAGATAATTAAGTGAATAAGGTGAATCTGTAAACCCTACAAAATATAGTAGTTAAGAGGACAACTTGGATAAAAATGTATAGAATTAAAGAATTGTGTTCAAATCTCCCTTGCGGTCATCTGACAAAGTCAAACTTAACTGCTGTCTACAGTAAGATATGGCATTATTTCACATTTTAATTTACTCAAATGGCAAATGTGGCATTTCAAACACTTTCATTCATGCTAGATTTAAGTTCTGCATGGAAAGTCCTCTGTAAGGACATCATTATTCTATCTGGCATCATTCATTCTTGAACATGGGTTATAAAAGTTTCAGTCTTTTCTGGCAGAAAATACAAATAGATGACTGTGTATTACAACATTATAATAGGAATAACAGCAATGCATCAAGAAGCCAAAATGTGTTCAGAACTCAGGCTGAGCCTTCTCTGCCTCCTCAAGCTAACACAAATTTTTGACTCCAAATGTTATAATTAAAAGTCTTATCTTCATCTACGTATTTTTCATTTCTCATTTCTCAAATGCCTGTTCCAGGTGTTTGCCAATGTTTAGACAGTCACTACTCAATGTTTTCTATTATTTTGTTTCTTAAAATCTTCAAATGTTGGAAATTACAGTGTTGGCTTTCAGGGACTCAAAAATGTGTAAGTGTGTGTGGTTTTGTGTGTTTTCCTCCTAAGCTCAGGGATAAAACTAAACAAACACGAGTACTGGGCAGGCTAGCTAGTTTTAAAAGAAGGCAAAAAGGCTCAGAGAATCGGCATGTTGTTAGACAGGGTGTGCCCACTGGCACAAGACCTCCTGGGGAGAGGCTGGACATTCAGGATGTTTATGAGTAAAAGTAGAAGGTGGAAAAAGAACACACAAGGCCCAGTGTCCTGACAGCCTGGCACGAACGCAGCTCAAAATAATTACTACTGCTGAAGGAGCCGTTTCTGTTCCATCTTGTGTCCTTGCTAAAATAAATAATAAATAATAACAATAAAGCAGTCTACATAAATATATGAAATACCCATATAGAGCTATTTATTTGTATATAAAATATCTGTATTTTTTTCTTACTTCTATCTGAGGACGCCAGCTTCCGAATGAAGCGGAGTTTTTGTCTACCAGACCCACAAGCAGCATGGTGCGGGTAGAATCCTGTTTTAAAGAAGCCCAGAACAATAATTCCCGCAATCATAGAGAAAATAAGCCAGTGCCCGAAAGCAACAAATAAAAATAATGTGTGAAGAAAAAGAAAAGGACTTCTTCCTAGCGGCGGCAGATGCCCCCAGACTTTATGACTTCCTCTCCATCCCGACAGGGAAAGCAGGACTGAGTTTGTCGGAAGGTGAGCGGGGCTTGGCCAGAGACGGTGTGCGCTGAGGCAGCGGCCCTGGACAAGAGTGGCGTTTGGATACTTGACGGTGAAAGGGGAAGAAGCCAGTCACCAGCTCCAAAGTCCAGGAACTACACCTGGCAAAGGTCAAAGCCTGCGAGGTAAGTCAATTGCGGACAACGCCTGAGCCCCGCGTTTGCAGCCGGCGAGTTGACTTCGGTAGGGAGAAAGTGGCCGGCCCCAAAGGGCAGCCCCGTGGGGGCGCGAGTGGCTAGCTCAGTTTGCGGTCCCCTTTACTCCCACGCCTGCAAATCTCAGACCCCTACGCCCTCCCCTCGCCGGCCTTGGTGCGTCGGGGTCCCGCCGCCCGCCGTCCCTTACCGAGCCAGAAGTGCAGGTGGTAGGTGAAGCCTCGGCTCGTCTTGGCCGTGTGCAGCACCAGGTAGGCATCCCCGACGTAGAAGTCGCCGTGAGCGCTCTGGGGCACGGGCACCAGCTCCAGCTTCTCAATCCTCCAGACCTGCAGCCCCGCCTGCTTGCCCGCCCGGGCGAACTCTTCGTGGTATAGCTCCCGCGCCATGGCTCCTGCACGCGATGCTCCGGGGGACGCGTGATATCGCTGATCTTGGACTAAACCGAGAGCAGCAGGAGGAACCTTATTCGCCGCCACTTTATAGTGTTTGCCATCCGGGGAGGCGGCGCCCTGAAACGGGAGGGGCTAAGTGCCCAGGCGCGAGTTGACAGAGGAGACGATCGCTTCCCACGGGGAGCGCAGCGCTGGCTTCCAAGCTCCCACGCCTTGCCCCAGGCCAGGAGCGGAATCGGCGTCCCAGAAGTCTTGAGATTCAGAGGGAGTTTATAGTAACTCGTGCCAATGCCTCCTCCAAGGAAAGACATTTTCTCTAGCAATAGACGAAGAACATTAACGGTTAAAACTGCTTGGCACTCCTTTGTGCATACCCATCACTACCGTCCTGCATATTTCCCCTTCTCTCGCTAATCCTCTTATTTCTGGATCTCAGTTGTGCCTGGCAGGAGGGGTGAGGTGAGGAAAGAGCGCGCCAGCCCTGCAGAGTTGAGTCAGCGTTTACTCGGGTGGAGCAATACCTGTTCTTTCTGGCCCTCTAGAATAATTCTTAGAACAAGGCTTCCTCTGCTAATAGCAACACCTGCCGTTAGGCAGCAGAGGAGTGTGCCACATTAGCATGCTGGAATAATTTTAATACATCCTTCTTTAAAAAATGGGCTTTTTGAGTAACAAGCATCCTAATGATCAATTCTGTCATTTCATTGGGCAATCTCTGCATTCCTGACGACCAAAGTTTCTGTCTCGATCTTCCAGTTTGAAAATACCATGAAAAACAGCATGTCAGATTTCTTGGACAGGAAGAAAACCTGGAAGAATGGCAGTATTACCCCAGGTGACAGAGCTCTGTAAATCTCAGAGTTCAGGAGCTGTGGTTGAGCTCTCTTAACACCTGCTTCCTTTGGCCAAGAAAGATGAAAACAACAACAAAAACCCAGCAGCCGCCGTCCTGAGATGTTCTCTGCAGGGCTGTTTGTGGCTGTAATTTTATGCTTGGCCGGACTTCTGGGTTACCTGTTACCTAGCTTCAAGGTGATAATTTTCTTTGTTTTACCTACAGGTTTTGCTTTTGCAGCATGGCTAAAACACTATGGAATACAGATGGAAATTTTACTCTTGATTTGGCATTCATTTAACAAGCTGGTATAGCAAAGGATTCTGTTACTGAAAAAGGCAAATCACTCAGGATGTATAGAGTAAGAAAGCTGAATTTCATGCATGTAAAATTGTTTTCATTCAATTTCTCAAATTACATGAATCCCTGGAAGGTCAATAATAATGCAAAATTAGATTTTTTTCCTTAATTAAATTATGTTTTTAATAGGTTATTACATGACCATGGTAAAAAAATTAAAAGTACAAAATGTGTGCAATAAAAAATTATCTCCATTTCACCCTGCCACCCAGTTGCTTTCCCCAAAGGCAATTACGTTACCAGTTTCTTATGTATTTTTCCAGGCACTCAAATTTTGTCAACAAGAATATAGGTAATGTAGTTATTTTAAATTTTTAACAGAAAATGTAACATATAACCTTTTCGAATCCCCCCCCGTGTGTGTGTGTGTGTGTGTGTGTGTGTGTGTGTGTGTGTGTGTGTCTGTGTATCAACACACAGTACTCATAGAGCTACCGGTTTTTACTGACCATATGGTATTCCACTTTATAAACATACTAATTTATTTTGTCTATCTCAGTTCATAGTGTAGGGGCCAAGGGAAAACTTCCCCTCTACCCTCTGAAGTTTCACTGAAAAATCAAGTCACAAAAGGCAGATTAACAGGACAAATGGCATACAAATTTATCAGCGGGCATGGGGGAGAATCACAGAGTGATTGGCCAATATCCCAATGAGGTACAGAGGGTTGTACCTCCTTATTAGAGGAAAGGCAGATGGGTGATGTATGGGTGATTTGGGGGGTTAGAAAATGATTTTTAGGGGAATTCAATGTGTTTGAAGAACATACAGTGGCCTGAGACAAAGTATGTTAAGCCTGCAGAGCTCTCCGTGTGTGTTGACAGACTTCAGTCTTTCTTTCTGCAATATGAGTTCAGTTTGTGGAAAGTCAGGGAAGAGACCAGAGGTAACTGTTTTCTTCTTTGGCAAGTCGAGACTTTAGGCAGATAAGGGAACTTCAGAGAATACCTTCATTCTGTGCTTTGGGAAAGAGAGGATTGGTGAAGGAAGGTCAAAGAAAACTTAAGCCTTCTTCATTTCAGCATGTCAAAGTGTCACATTTTGTGGTATTGGTTTCTGAGCCCCAACACTAGGCATTTAAATTTTGTGTATATTTTGCCAATACAGTGTTACAAATAGCATATTGAACATACTTTATTATGCATTCGCAGTATTATAATTGAGATAAAACCCTGGAAATATAATTGGTTGGGATTAAATAGCTTTTATGTAGTGACGATAATTATGAAACCAATTACTACCACTTACTGATCTTTGACAATAACAGGCTATAGTACACATTACCTTGATTCAATTCCTGCTTTCATCCTTAGTTCTGAGACTTTCAGGAAGTTACTTAACTACACACAGCCAGCCTCATGTTCCTCATCTCTAAAATGGGAAAATAATAATATTTGCCTTATAAGATTATTTGGTTTAAATGAGTCGACACATATAAGGTATTTGTGTCTGTTACACAGAAAACACTCAATAATTAGGAACAATTTTTATGTGGTGGTGAGCTTCCTTTTGCTCCTTTAGATATCTTCTCTATCCTGCACCCTTCCACCTTCCCTTGAGGTTGATCTACAAGAGCTAAATCAAGTGGGCTCTGATGTCCTCTGGCTTGAGGCTTGGTTGGAGACCAGAGGGAGAAAAGAGAGTGAGGCTGGAGTATTTATTTCCTTGGCTCCTTCAGCAAAAAGTCACTGTTCTTTTAAAGGCGAATAACTGTGTCTGACTTTTTGTCTCCTGTTGGGTTATAGCAACTCTCCCCTCACATGTTTTATTCCTTTTGTTTTCTCTGCCTCTGTTCTTTTGTATATAGCTTCCTAAAAATCTCCTGGAATTTTCCTATTTTGCATGCATGCTCTGTTGTAAGTTGAGATCCTGATGGATAAATTTTATTAGCTACATTCTTTTTTTGTCTCCTGACCAAAACAGTGAGAGGTGGATATGAAGCCTCATTTTATTGATGAGGGAACTGAAGCTTTGGAGTTTGCCGTAGGTCAGTCACCCAGCTGATGAGTAGCCAAAGGGAATTCAAGTTCTCTCTCTCATTCAAAAGTACTTGCTCTTCCCAAAAACGTATTCTTTCAATCTAAATTATTTGGCCAGGTGTTTTTCCCTGAAGCATACTTTATAATTTTATTTTCTTCAAGGTTGTATCTAGAGAAGCTTCTGATCTAGTATGTCCCATGCAGCACTAAGAAACTTAGTTTTAACTTTGAGCCATTAGGTCTCAGTTTCCTTATCTGTAGACTGAAATCATGTGTTCTCTTCCTCCTGACGAAAAAAAATATAAGAACTGGTGCTCTAGACTTAAGATAATTTAAAAACCAGAGGTGTCTCAATTTCAGTTTCAATTTCAGTGATCATTTCTTTGTTGAAGAAATAAAAAGAAGCTTTGGCATAGATGAAAGTGAAATTCCCTCTAGGTTAGGCCAGAGCTAGTGTGAGGCAAGTAAGACAGATGCCTAGGATGTAAAAGTTAAAGAGGCACAAAAAACAACAACAAAGTAGCATTCAAGATAAATACTATTTTAAGGTGATATTTTAAAGCTCAAAATTAATGCAAAATATCATGATATAACATTTCAAATAGAGACAGGATTGTTAATAGTGCTGTACAGGCTGAGACAAAGGAAAAGTACTGATCCTTCCACTACTTAAAACTTTGGGCTGGGCGCGGTGGCTCACCTGTAATCCCAGAACTTTGGGAGGCCGAGGTGGGCGGATCACGAGGTCAGGAGACCGAGACCATCCTGATTAACACGATGAAGCCCCGTCTCTACTAAAAATACAAAAAATGAGCTAGTTGTGGTGGCAGGCGCCTGTAGTCCCAGCTACTCGGGAGGCTGAGGCAGGAGAATGGTATGAACCCAGGAGACAGAGCTTGCAGTGAGCCGAGATCACGCCACTGCACTCCAGCCTGGGCGACAGAGCGAGACTCCGTCTCAAAAAAACAAAACAAAACAAAACAAAACAAAACAAACAAAAAAACCACTTTGATAGTTAATAGTTTTGGCATTTTGATATTTAAAAAAGTGCTGCATTGAAATACCATTTTATATACTAAAATACTTGATTTATTTTTTTCTTTTTTTTCGTCCTATTAATTTTGTGCATGAGGCAAGTGCCTCACTCTCCTGACCCTAGTCCTCTCCTGGCTAAGTGAGCTCCAGATCTAAACTTCCAACTCCCTGATAGATATAGCTACCTGATTGGTCCTGCTGAGGTCAGGTTCAACATACTCACAACAATCTTATCGTTTTATCCAAACATACTTCTATTTTTTTCTAATTTCACTAACAGCATCATTTAATTTTGACCTAACACTCTCTATCTCCATATTCAATCAACAACCCAATCCATCCCTAGTAGCCTACTCTCTTGCTCCTCCTCTGATCTTCAGTAGAGACATGCAGTGAAAGTTAAGCGGCCTAACTTAAAATATGGCTTTGACCTAGGTTGAATCCTTGTTCTCCCCCATTTCAGCTCACTGAGCTGGGGCAAGTTACTAAACATTATGTGTCTCAGTTTTCTCATCTGTGGAATGGGGATACTGACAGAAATTTCCTTGTAGAATTGTCATGAGGATTAAATGGATAAATACATATAAACCTGGAAAAGTACCTGGTACATAGGAAGTGGCAGTAAACTCCACTGAGACTAACAAGTGATTAATTCATTTCTCCAAATTCAATCTTCAACGAATAATGTTTCCAGAGTCCAGATAAGGACTGCCCATTTTCTACACAAAAAAATCGTCTCCAAAACCAAGTGCCAGTTTCCTTTCCAGGCCTTTATTTTCTCTTCCTCTCTCATACCCTAGTTTCCTAAAAGTAAATAATTTCCTTCCATTTGTGTTATTGCCCTTCTTCCATATCTGTCTGTTAAAGTTCCTAATTCTTTAAAGTCTGCTTCCTTAGGGTCATGATTCCCCCGGATCCATTAAACTCCAGCATCCTCTGTGCTCCCAGCACTCCAGATCTGCTTACATCATAGCAGCTCCCACACTCTGAAGTGTGTTTTCTCTCTCAAGTTTGAAGGTTCACTTAGAGATTCATGACTCATTATTTGATTCCCTGGCTTTATGGTAATACATGCTGACTAGATATGATTGAATTGTTTGTTTTACATTAAATTACATTTATATTTTCATCAATTTACAAACCTGAGTCCAAGGAGAAACACCCAATGTGAATAAGTCTTTACCAAGAGTCAGGAGGTTTGAGGTTTGGGGCCAATGTGATTGGACTCAAGGTAAGTGTTCTAGAATATTAATACCTAGAGGGGAATGTTGCATATGTTATTCTTCTGAATAAAAAACAATGTCAAATAATATAATTGATGTATTGTGCAATTCACTAAAATGGGTTGGGAAAAATGAATCAGCTTCAAGCGATCTTCATTCCTCAGGGATAGAATCTCAGAGTTGAGAGACATTTTATTTATATCATTGCATCGTGATCCCAGAATTGTTGAAACTAAACATACGAAAGACAGGGACTGCACTTTTTTTTCCCCCAGGAGAGGTAAATGCTTTGAATGTGCTATTTATTTGCTTTCTTTTTGTTATGTAAATAATGAAATAATGTAATTAAAAATACATTTCTTTTAGTGGTAGTCCTGCTAAATTGTAATAACTTAACGTTTGTTTTACCAAATTATTTGAGGGTATAAGCATGGAACCTGGAATCAGGGGACCTGAGCATTGTGAGGATTAAAAGAGATTATGTATGTCAAAGCCCTAAGCACACAATCAACAAAGTCAGTTGATAATCAGCAAGCACCCTTTTTCCCAGTACCTATCAAAGCTTCACTTAGAAGTGAAAATACATTCCAGGGAAGTGTATTTTTATCCTTTTGACTCATTCTAAACAAACTAGAGCTTAAGAAAAAAAAGCACTCTTTTTTTTTTTTTTTTTTTGAGACGGAGTCTCGCTCTGTCACCCAGGCTGGAGTGCAGTGGCGCGATCTCGGCTCACTACAAGCTCCGCCTCCCAGGTTCACGCCATTCTCCTGCCTCAGCCTCCCGAGTAGCTGGGACTACAGGCGCCTGCCACCATGCCCGGCTAATTTTTTGTATTTTTTAGTGGAGACAGGGTTTCACCATGTTAGCCAGGATGGTCTTGATCTCCTGACCTTGTGATTTGCCTGCCTCGGCCTCCCAAAGTGCTGGGATTACAGGTATGAGCCACCGCGCCTGGCCCAAAAAAGCATTCATTTAAAAAAAAGCTTCAATCAGGATTTTGGACCTTCCCTTTCATAAGTCAATTATTTTTAAACTACACATAACACTATAACTATAAAGTAATACTGAGCCATGAACTATCATAGTCCAAGGTTCAGTACTAAAGTGAAGGTTTTATTGCTGTTGAATGTCTGCTGGTGTGATATATGGTCCATTTTTGTAAACCTACTTACTACAGCAGGTCATAGTTGGTTGATTTGACATTTCTTCTGAATACTGTCATGCAGTATTTTATTATGAAAGCAATTTCTAACCCATGTTTGATTATTTACAGAAGACATTATCATTACTTTAGAAGTTTATACATTGAAGAATGCTTATGACCAAAAGAAAGGTTGAGGATGAAAGTTTATGAAAATTTATGATTTAAATGTATTTTTTTCCTTTAAAATTATATTTGTATAAATGGAGATCATATCGTCTAAAATATAATAAAATTGAGGCTAATGGTGTTTGAGCCTGTGTCATCTTTTTTGCTTGATTTTTCTAAATGTCTCTATTTTACTAATAATCACAATTAACAATTTATTCTGTTTTGCTTGCTTATTTGTAGCCCTGGCATTACCACTTTGTGAGAAATAACTTCAGATTTTCAAGGACTAAGTCAACAATACTTGAATGCTAGAACTGTGTAACCATAGAAAATGATGGAAATCAGATATGATCAGATTATCATTTTGTTGTAAAGATACTTACAAAAATAAGGTTAATTAATTCATTTAAACCAAACAGAAGGTTGTTTTTAAAAGTTAAAGCTTGAAGATTATTTTCTGCTAGCCAGAAATAACTTCCTTCAGCCAATTCTCTTTTTATCACAACCTCCCTTTATATGAGTTGAAATTATGCAATTTGACTGTAACTCCTTTTACTCTTGATATCTTGAGGCTTGCTTGAAATCACAGGCTTCTATGGAGTAAGCAAACTGACTGAAAGGATTTCCGAAGATACTTTATTTTACATACTTCAGAGAACAGTGTCTTTTGAGGCTGGCAAAGGGAGCCTCATTAACTCCGTATCTACCCAGTTCCTCTCCTGAAATGACAGCATTTTAAAATAAACAGCTTAACAAGTATTCCCTGGACAGCTGGTACTCACACTTCTAGCTGAGGCCTACTAAAGAAAGATGGAGAGCAATTTGCTTCACCCAGGAAGTCTTAGGGCATTGGGATACTTGGGGCAGTAAACATGAGGGAGAATTCTTTTTGTTTTCCCACCATTTCTTTATCTCAGTACCTACATGGCATTTTTTTCTGATTGCTGTGGTTACACATGTTTACTGAAGACAATTTTGAAAATACCAATTACAAATGAGATTAAAATTATCCCTAATCATACAACCTAGGGATATGCTCTGATAACGTTTTACACAAAATTAAGATCATGATATAATACTGTACATTTCCATTTATAATTTGTTTAGGACTCATACTACACATATCTTTTCTTTGAGTGGTTGGGGTTAAAAGCAGAATTCCCGAAAGTTCCATCCTTCCATTTGGGAAACCCTGACTTGTTAGGCACAGAAATACTCCATGTCATTGTAGCATCACTCAATTGTATAATTTTGACATTTATTTTTATGTGAAAATTATAGAACAATTACACTCATCCATAATCATGTCTTTCTTGCTCGCTCTCTATTTTAACAAGTATTATGTTATTTAAGAAGTTCAGTGCCCTTGGCCCGGCACTGTGGCTCACGCTTGTAATCCCAGCACTTTGGGAGACCAAGGCGGGCAGATCACGGGGTCAGGAGATCGAGATTATCCTGGCCAACACGGTGAAACCCCGTCTCTATTAAAAATACAAAAAATTAGCCGGGCGTGGTGGTGAGCGCCTGTAGTCTCAGCTACTCAGGAGGCTGAGGCAGGAGAGTGGCTTTAACCCGGGAGGCGGAGCTTGCAGTGAGCCAAGATCGCGCCACTGCACTCTAGCCTGGGCGACAGAGCAAGACTCCATCTCAAAAAAAAAAAAAAAAAATAGAAGTCAGTGCCCATCATTGACTCCTAAAATGCCATCTTTTGGAGGTTATATCATTTTAACAATTTGATATCCCTTTCAAATTGCTGAGTTGATAGACATGCCTATGCATTATCTTTCTGTCTGTCTGCCTATCTCTGTTCCTCTATTCAACCATTTCTGTTCCTCCATCCATTTCTCTCTGTATTAGTGGTTAAGAGCACAGGCTCTGGAACTAGCTGTCCTGAGTTCAGTTTCCTGTTCTGCGATTTCTAGCAATGCTGTGGCAAGTTACTTTGCACCTCTATTTTATGATCTCTAAAATGGGAGTACTATGTGATAGGATTGTTATGAAGGTGAAATGAGTTAACACAAATAAAGTTCTTGAAATAGTTCTTACCAGCTAGTAAAATGCTCAGTAAAGGCACATTACAGTTATTCATACATAAACACACATACACATCTACCCACAGGTACTTCAGCCAAACTGGAATGCATATCAGCATCCAGCTACCTTTCATTTAAACAAAATCGTATTAATAGATTATGAACATTCTTTCAGGTAAGTATGTATGGATTTACCTCATTAAAAATAATGGCTTTGCATTCCATTGCATTAAGTAATATGCAATTTCCTTCTTTTGGTACTTTTAGATGCTTTACATGCATAAATTCAAATAATACATTAATAACCTTCCATACATCTTTCTTTGTGTACACGTTACTATTTCTGTAAGACAGATTTCTAAAAGTGGAATTTCTAGGCCAAATGATTTACACTTTTTTTGTTTGTTTGTTTTTTTGTTTTTTTGAGACGGAGTCTTGCTCTGTCACCCAGACTGAGGTGCAGTGGCACTATCTCGGCTCATTGCAACCTCCGCCTCCCAGGTTCAGGCGATTCTCCTGCCTTAGCTTCCTGAATAGCTGGGACTACGGGTGCGTGCCACCAACCCTGGCTTATTTGTGTATTTATTTATGTATTTATTTTGAGACAGAGTCTCGCTCTGTCACCCAGGCTAGAACGCAGTGGCGTGATCTCGGCTCACTGCAAGCTCCGCCTCCCGGGTTAATGCCGTTGTCCTGCCTCAGCCTCCTGAGTAGCTGGGACTACAGGCGCTCGCCACCACGCCCGGCTAATTTTTTATATTTTTAGTAGAGATGGGGCTTCTCCGTGTTAGCCAGGATGGTCTGGATCTCCTGACCTCGTGATCTGCCCACCTCGGCCTCCCAAAGGGCTGGGATTACAGGAGTGAGCCACTGCGCCTGGCCTTGCCTGGCTAATTTTTTGTATTTTTAGTAGAGACTGGGTTTCGCCGGTTTTACTCATTTTTTTTTAAAGGTTTAAGGATATCACCAAATTATATTTTCTAAGTCAGTGGACAAAAATGACCATTTCCCTTATCTTAGTACTAAATTCTAACAATTTTTCATTAAAAATTCATTTCCAGTCTAATGCATGAAAATTATATCTCATTTTCTTAAAGTTGTATTTCTGTGTTATTAGTGAAATTTAGCATTTTTCTATATATTTGTTACTATTTTTATTTCTTCTGGAAATTTCTTACTATATTATTTGAACATATATCGACTAAACTCATATTTTGTGTTAGTGTGTTAAGTATGCTAATTTTTCCTCTTAGATGGGTTGCAAACATACCATTTATTTTCCTTCTTTGTTTTCTCCTTAGGAAAGCTTTCCTAAGGTGATGTTAAATAACATTCTCATATACTCTATTGCAATAATTTTGAAACTTTGTATTTTTTCCTTAGATCTTTACTTCATCTGAAATATATATTTGTGTTATAACATAATTTAAAGATATAATTTTAATCTAAATTTATAACCACATTTATTAACAAGATTTGTTAAATCATGTATATATACTGATTTGAAAGATATTTATCAAATGTAAAATTTTTGTTTCTTAATCTTCTATTTAATCTACTAACTTATTTATTCATTTATCTGTAGAATGCGTTTTTATATCACACTAATTATTTGTTTCCCTTTAATGTCTGCTATGGCAGGTCTTCAATGCTTTTTTTCTGTCTTAGCAATGCTTAACATATTTTTCCACATAAAATTAAAAATCAATTGAACATTGTGTTTTAGCACTAATTTAATCTACTCTTCTGGGAACATTGTATAATTTTAGCATTTGATCATATCTTGGCTTATAGTGGTCAATAATATTTCAGAATCTTTTAAAGTTCTTATTTCTAGACTTTTCATAAGTAAATATAAGACATTTTTGTTATAATCTAAGCAAGTAAATGTCAATAAATTTGAAATTGAAGAAAAATGAATATAGTTCTAGAAAATGTAAAAATGCCAACATTAATGCAGTAAGAAATATAAAATCTTAAATACATGTTAAATTAACAACATTGTTTTAAAAGCAAAAACTTCCCTCCTACAAAATACAAGGCCCAAAAAGTTTTACATGTGATTCACCTTTACTTCCTATTGTACACTAGTTGATGTAGAAAACACAATTAAAGAAAAGCTGCTAAAATCATTTTGATGAGGCTATTATAGCTACACAACCCAATAAAGGTATTCTAGAAAATATAATTATGGTTCAATTTCATTTATGAATATCAATGCCAATGTCATAAATAAAATTTTCTCCAACCAAGTAAAAAATGTGTTTTGTTTAAAGAAAAAACAGTAGGATTATCCTACTAAAGTAAAAAGTAATAAAAGTCTTCTTTTTCAATATTCTTAGAAAGTTACATAGAAGGGAACTTTATTAATGTAATGGCATAATAATAAATTGCATTAATAACATTAAATAAAAAAACTTTAGAAGGATTTCATCTATGGTTGGCAAAAATGATAGAAAAAAACATTAAGAAATCCACTATCTCACTACTGTTCAAGAGGGTACAGAAGTCTTTGACAATGCAAAGACTGGAAAAAGACATACAAGATATTAAGAATTGCTAGGAAAAATAAAAACTCAATATTTGTAGATGATAATCGTGTAAATAAAAGGTCTAAGAAAAT
Organism: Homo sapiens; assembly: GCF_000001405.40. Lineage (NCBI taxonomy): Eukaryota > Metazoa > Chordata > Mammalia > Primates > Hominidae > Homo > Homo sapiens. The sequence goes on along the minus strand of NC_000007.14, from coordinate 12,559,380 downwards.
GTACTGACAAATGAAGAGACTTCACAAGAAACTATAGTGATTATCAAACGATTCGAATAATGTAAAATGAAATGTAATAATGTAAAATATAAAAAATGAAATAGAAATTCAAAAGAATCAAAATCTATAAAATTGAGTGTCTTTATGAGTTCAGAGTAGAAAGGGCTTTCTTAAACAAAATCCCAAAACAGCATAAAGTACAAAGGGAAGAATGGATAACTTTGACTACATCAAACTAAAGATGTAACTTCAAAATAAGACAACAAAGATGAAGTTAAATGTTGGCTGACAGACTGTGTAAAAATAAAAATATTTTCTATTAAATAAGTATATCAGGAATATACATATAAACAAAACGAACTCAGCAAGAAGAAATTCAATAAATCTTATGGAACAGTAATTTTGAATATTGATACAGGAACTAGAAAGAAATTATTTAGGCAGATAGTGAGGGTAAGAGAGTCCTCGGTAAGGTTTCTTTTTAATAAAAAGCAGCTTCAGGCCGGGTGTGGTGGCTCACTCTTGTAATTCCACCACTTTGGGAGGCCAAGGCGGGTGGATCCCCTGACGACAGGAGTTCGAGACCAGCCTGACCAACATGGTGAAATCCCGTCTCTATTGAAAATACAAAAATTAGCCAGGCATGTGGTGCACGCCTATAATCCCAGCTACTCGGGAGGCAGAGGCATGAGAATCGCTTGGGAGTCAGAGGTTGCAGTGAGCTGAGATCGTGCCTCTGCCCTCCAGCTTGGGCGACAGAGCAAGACTCCATCTCAAACAAACAACAACAAAAAAGCAGCCCCCAAATCATTTCTTTTCTAACAAAATGCAACCTGAAAAATCACGCTGCAAGCGTAGATAAACAAGCTAAAAGCTTGCATAGGTAAACGCCAGCAGCTGTGCCAATAGGAAAGGAATACCTGGAAACCAGGTATATTCAACATGGAGGTTCCCTCTTCCCTTTTCTTTGCCGCCATGTGTGCAGTAAAAAAGCAGGCAACATGGCACCAGCCAGGTAGAGACCCTATCTGCATAATACAAGATTAGGGTGGGATGGCCAGCTTCTTCCTGTACTATGCAAACAGCACACCTGGTCCAACCAACCTCTCAGGCCCTATGTAAATCAGACATTACCTCCTCAAGCTCGTCTATAAAACCCCCGTGCATTTCACCACAGTACTGGAAGACCCACTCGGGCGCCCCTCTCTCTCTGCAAGAGAGAGAGCTATTCTCTTTTTCTTTTGCCTATTAAACCTACTCTCTTAAATGCACTTTTTGTGTTTCTGTGTCCTCGACTCCCTTGACGTGAGACAACGAACCTCAGTTATTTATCCCAGATGATGCCGATTCAATATGAAGTAATGTGAACGGCCAGTAAAGCATGAAGAGTACTCAGTGCTTGGGTCCTCACTATTAACTGTAGGAGTCACATAGCCAATATTTGAGTGTTTACAATGGCCAGGCTTTACTAAATTCTTTTAAAATATAACTGTTCTGATACCTATAGCAACTTTACGAGCTATGTATTATTATTATCTCATTTTACAGATCAGAAAACAGGTACAGAAAGCTACGTAAGTACTCTACCTACCTAGAATATGAATCTAGGTAAGGTTTCTTTGAGCCTATGTAGCTAATGACTGTGGGATATGATGAGGTTTCTCTTTGAATAGCCTGATTAATCCTTTATTCTTTAATTCACAATACCCCTCCCCCCTTTCTCTTTTTCTCCTCTTTCCTTCCTTTCTGCCTTTGTTACATGCCCAGACATGCCAGAGTACCAGGCATTATCAGTACCAGCTTGCATTCCTTTCCTTATTTGGACAGAAGACTAGTTCTCTAGCTCATTTCAGACACCTCTTCCCCGTTTCCTCTCTCTCTTACGTGCCCACCTTATCTAAAGAAAATTCAAATGTTTAGCCAAACCGGTTAGTTTAGATTGTGCGGCCCAACTCCAGTCAATGGAGAAAGGGTACGGGGGCAGGGTTTGCGTCATGAATAGAGGCTCTCATGCCCCTTTGTTCTGGTGTGCTCTCATGGCGACTGGCCAGGGAGAAGCACCCCTCTGTGCAGAAGTAAAATTGCTTTGCTGAAAATCCTTGGTTTGAGTGTTCAATTTCCTTAGGATTTTGAGCATTATTCCCAACACCACTACAACCACTATGATTCTACTTCTATTACACTATTTTATAGCTATCAGTTTGTTAAACAATTAGAAAGATTAAAAAGTTATATAATATCAAAGGCTGGTGAGGATGTGGGGAAATGAGAAACCTCCTACAATATTGAGAGAGGCAGCTCCAACATGACATAGCCATTTGGAGAGCAATCTGGTAGTATTTACTGAAAACTGTAAGCCCATACTTTGTATTCCCAAATTCCACTCTTGTATTTGTACTTTAGACGTGCTCTTTACAGATGCACAAGGAGACATGTACAATGATGCCTGCCAGAGCATACTGTGTCTATAAGTAAGTTGAAGGCAACCTAGGAGATCAGACATAGGTAAATGTATGAGTAACGTGGTATATGGGTATGTATGAGAGAACATACAGTGTCAGAGGCAATAAACAGCATGGAAGGAATAGCAGCGTAGACAAATTTCAAAAAAATAAAGTTGAATAAAGTAGTAAGAAACAGAATGCAATACCAGTTATACTGAGAGGTGACAGCGTGCTGGCAGCCCTGGCAACCCTCTTTCGCTCTGGGCGCCTCCTCGGCCTCTGCGCCCACTCTGGCCACGCTTGAGGAGCCCTTCAGCCCACGGCTGCACTGTGGGAGCCACTTTCTGGGCTGGCCGAGGCCAGAGCCGGCTCCCTCAGCTTGCGGGGAGGTGTGGAGGGAGAGGCGCTGGCGGGAACCGGGGCTGCGCGCGGCGCTTGCGTGCCAGCGCGAGTTCCGGGTGGGCGGGGGCTCGGCGGGCCCTGCACTTGGAGCGGCGGGACCGCCCCGCCGCCCCCGGCAGTGAGGGGCTTAGCACCCGGGCCAGCAGCTGCGGAGGGTGCGCCAGGTCCCCCAGCAGTGCCGGCCCACCGGCGCTGCGCTCGATTTCTCGCCGGGCCTCAGCTTCCTCCCCGCGGGGCAGGGCTCGGGACCTGCAGCCTGCCATGCCTGAGCCTCCCCGACGCCATGGGCTCCTGCGCGGCCCAAGCCTCCCCACCAGCGCCGCCCCCTGCTCCGCGGCGCCCGGTCCCATCGACCGCCCAATGGCTGAGGAGTGCGGCCGCACGGCACGGGACTGGCAGGCAGCTCCACCTGCAGCCCCAGTGTGGGATCCACTGGGTGAAGCCAGCTGGGCTCCTGAGTCTAGTGGGGACTTGGAGAATCTTTATGTCTAGCTAAGGGATTGTAAACACACCAATCAGCACCCTGTGTCTAGCTCGGGGTTTGTGGATGCACCAATCGGCACTCTGTATCTAGCTAGTCTGGTGGGGACTTGGAGAATCTTTATGTCTAGCTAAGGGATTGTGAATACACCAATCGGCTGTATTCAGAGTGAATACACTCTGTATCTAGCTGAAGGTTTGTAAATGCACCAATCAGCACCCTGCGTCTAGCTCAAGGTTTGTAAATGCACCAATCTGTGCTCTGTGTCTAGCTAATCTATTGGGGACTTGCAGAACTTTTGTGTCTAGCTCAGGGATTGTAAATGCGCCAATCAGCACCCTGTCAAAACGGACCAATCAGCTCTCTGTAAAATGGACCAGTCAGCAGGATGTGGGTGGGGCCAGATGAGAGACTAAGAGCAGGCTGCCCAAGCCAGCAGTGGCAACCCGCTCCAGTCCCCTTCCATGCTGTGGAAAGTTTGTTCTTTTGCTCTTTGCAATAAAACTTGCTGCTACTCACTCTTTGGGTCCATACTGCCTTTATGAGTTGTAACACTCACTGCAAAGGTCTGTACTCCTGAAGCCAGCGAGACCACAAACCCCCCGGGGAAGAACAAACAACTCCAGACGTGCTGCCTTAAGAGCTGTAACACTCACCGCGAAGGTCTGCAGCTTCACTCCTGAAGCCAGCGAGACCACGAACCCACCAGAAGGAAGAAACTCTGAACACATCCAAACATCAGAAGGAACAAACTCCAGACACGCCACCTTTAAGAACTGTAACACTCACTGCGCGGGTCCACGGCTTCATTCTTGAAGTAAGTAAGACCAAGAACCCACCAATTCGGACACAATACCATTTAGAGCACACCCATATTAATAAAAACAAATTTTATGGAAGAATGTATTTGCAAATGGCCATCAACTATGTGGAATGTGGTTTGGAAGAGTGTTCATTGTCTGCATGTAAGTGGATGCCTGGTGGAGATGGGAAGGGGATGAATGATGCAATAATTAATGGGAAGAATCTCGAAATGAAATATAAAATAAGGGAGGTGCACTGTTAGAATAAAAGCCAGTCATGAACTAAGCAGTAATGCCAATTTAATTCTGTGGACTTGAAATCCAAGATCCCAAAGCAAAACAAAATAAAACTTGCAACATCAATTTCAACATCGATTTTATATCTCTATTTTAGTGATAGATTTTAAAAAATATTAGTATATCAATATATAAAATTTAGACCTGATATAATAAAAATACTTACGGATTTAAAGAAATTTTGGGAACCGGAAGAATAATACAAAGAATTATTAGAGATTAGTGTAGTGGTTCTGGGTTCACTTTTTCCTGTGTATACTTTTAGCTCCTATGACACAAAGAAAAATCTTTAGCTCCGGAAGTGTTTCACATGAACTGTAAAACCTCGGTTATTAATTTACTATTTTATTGCCATTTGGTTTAACAACATGTAGAAAAATGTTTGTTCTTAAGACCTGAAATCCTGCAGCCTTACAAACTTACAAATCATTTGAACATCACAAAAAAGTTCAAATGATTAAGGCTAATAATGTTCTATATTGCATTATTTTGACCTTTTTATCTAATTGCAAATCTTGTAATGACCCACTGAGCATATTTACCTTTTGAATCAAGGAAGCAGCAAGAAGCAAACAGCTGGGTAAGTACTTATAGAAAGAGAAGGCAGAAAAATGAAGGAAAATGTTTCCCTTTCAGGTATATTCTTTTCAGTTGTCTTAATTACTATGCTCTTGCATTTATGGCTTTTATTAAGTTATTGCAATATTTAATTTTTCAAACAATAACAATGAAAAATTATAGTGTATTAATATATTCCTTAAAATAAGAGGTAAAGAATGCGTTTTTTCTCATCTATCGATATAGTGAAATATTTGTGAATAAAATGATACAATGTTTGGGATTTACTTTGAAATATAAAGGGATAGATGAGACTGTATTGCCAAAGTGATTGATGATAATTGTTGGTATTAAGTAATGTGCATATAGAGGTTCACTATTCTCTTAGATCAACTTTTGCTTATGTTTAAAACTCTCCATTATAAAGAGTTTCTCTTAATAAAAGGATAAACTTAGGTTTTGTGTGGTTTTAAAAATCATTTAGCTATAATCGCCTTCTGAAATATTTATGAAATGAATAAAGCTCTTAGCATTGTATGGCTGGATATATTTGTCAGAATTTAAGGTGCCAGTCCAACTAGGCCCACCATATTCAGGGCTGACATTTGTATTCCTTTTCCAAAACAATGGGCAGGTGTGAGTTGCTTTTCCTTATGTGAGGTAATCATTGGTAACTTTTCTTCCTCTCCAAGTTTGTGTATGGCAGATCTTGTCTACAGATGTTGCTTTTTCTCTCATCAAGCAATTGCACAATTAAACTGTCAAGTGTGAGCTGCTTCTTCTTATGTGAGGTAATCATTGGTACTTTTCTTCCTCCAAGTTTGTGTAGGGCAGATTTTGTCTACAGATGTTGCTTTTACTCTTATCAAGCAATTGCACAATTAAACTGTCAAGTAGTAAGTATCTAATATAGTCCAAAGACTTTGTGAAGGAAAAAGCTAATTTATAAAAGACAGCACAGAGAACAATTGTCCAAAGGAGATTAATGAGCAAAACTGGCTTATCTTATTGAAATGTTTAAACTAATTGATTATGTACTTTTAGGGAGAGTTTTCTACATTAAAATGCGAGTTGAAAATTGGTAACATTTATTGCCACATTTATTATGAAAGTTCATGATAACTTAAACATTTTGAATGGTGAATACTAAAATCTGAAAGAGGATGTCCATAGGCTGAGGAGAATAAATAACTCTGAAGGCCTCTGTCATTCAGGCTTTATATTGTGAGGATGTAACTTTTTGGCTTCTTTGTCCTGTCTTTTTTTAGAGAAGGGGAACTTCTGCAAAACATCTTCAGGGTTTCCTTTGGGTCATTTGGCTGACCCAAGCAGATTTTCAACTTAGCCTTCAACTTTCCCTTTTGGGACTATGAGATTGAAAGTGAATATTTTCTGCAGAAAGCGCTCTGCTCATCTGTTAAGGGCAGTTTAAAAGTTTCATAAATGAAATTGAAATTTTTAAATATTTAAAGTCCTATCTCAATGAAAGGAAAACTGTTGAAAATTTGAATATTTTAACTTGTGTTTCAACTAGTGAAAAAAATGGAATGTTTCTCTACAGTCAATAAAAATATGGTGATTATCTTTAAGTTTTCTATCTTAGAAAACACAGAAAATGTATTCTTTAACTCAAAGAAAAAATACCACTTTTCACTTTGTGCATTAAATTTTGTAGAAAAATGAATATGCCAAATTCTTAGTAGTTTAGGAGCTATGATTTAGCAGAATAGTTTTCTAGTGATAAAATTAGAGATGAAAAGACACTTGAAACCTTTTCTTGCCATTAACATGCCTAAACTCTAGAGACATTGCGTATAGTGGTTAGGAATCTGGACTTTGCAACCTAAAAAATAAAAACTACCTGGGTTTGATTTCCAGATGCTCCATTTATAAACTGTGTGAAGTTAGGCAAATTAGTAACTTCCTCTACCCCCCCATGTGTAAAATGGTGATGATGAATCCATATTCAACACATATATAGGAAACATATGTACATTGTCATAAAGATACAATTGGACTATGCATACAATGCACATAAATAACTAGAACACATAAAATTTGCTCAATAAGAAGTAGTTATTATTTGCTCTGGGACAGCATTCACATTTAATTTAAAATATATAGTAATGAATATGTTTGGTACAATAATTGTTTTGAAAACAAGTTTTAGAAAAGTATTTGCTTTATAGAAAAAGGCAAAAATGCAGCATTTAGCTACAAGGCTGAAGGATTCTGAAAGTTATCCTGAAAGCAACTAAAATATACTCAGTTTTATAAAACTATTTCCTTTGAGTTTTAACATGCATCTGGTTTGAATTAGCATTGGAAAACACTATTTTTTTTTTCCTAAATAAGGGCTTGATAGTCTCCACATAACACTGACAATAATACCGTTTAATTTTTTACATAGTCACTTTTTCAAAACTTGCTCAAAATTTTCACTTGCTCAAAAATTTTACAAAAGGAAATACAAGCAGCAGTTTATACCTCGGCCTTAACCAATTGCTAATGTAATTATTTGACCAAAGAGTGGAACAGGTTCATCTCTCGTTCACCATTTTTGTATAGCTTTATGCAAGTGCAGGCCTTTTTCCCTCATTGCTTTAAATTCTTAATTATTAATATTCTCAGCAAGCATAGAATTAAATCAATTTTATTGTGTATCCAATGGAAAGCTTTTTCTGTCAATCAAATGTCAGTATTTTCTCCAAAAGCAGCATTCTTTTTCTTTTTCTTTTCTTTTTTTTTTTTTTGAGATGGAGTCTTGCTCTGTCACACCTCACGAGAGTTCAGTGGCACGATCTTGGCTCACTGCAACCTCCGCCCCCTGGGTTCAACTGATTCTCCTGCCACAGCCTCCTGAGTAGCTGGGATTACAGGCACTTGCCACCAAGCCTGGCTAATTTTTGTATTTTTAGTAGAGGTGGGGTTTCACCATCTTGGCCAGGCTAGTCTCGAACTCCTGACCTCGTAATCTGCCTGCCTTGGCCTCCCAAAGTGCTGGGATTACAGGCGTGAGCCACCATGCCCGGCTCAAAAGCTGCATTTCTTATCTAACAGAATCTTAATATTTTAATTTCACAGACCTTCCATTTTACTCCATAGAAGTATTGATTTACAGATCAAAGTTAGAATTCAGCGACCTGAATTAGAGAGCAAAAGGAGCCCAAGCCTTGAAAAAGGCAAGAAGAACCCTCAAAATGCTCACGCATGACTCAGAGGAAAGAATAAGATTCTTGGGATGTTAAGAGTTTGACAACTCTAACCAGGCTCTGTGGTCTGCTTTTGCTTTCAAGCTGATCCCAATGGAGAGTTTAAGAGGTGCAGGTTCCGGAGACCAACTGTATGAAATAAATTCCAACTCTATCGCCAACTGTGTGACTTGAGCAAATTGCTTTTACAAAGGGAGAATACTGATTTCTAGCTCAAAGGATGATTCTGAGGATTGAATCAATTTGTTATAAAATGTGGAGGATAGTGCCTAGCACAAAGTAAAGACACAGTAAATATTAGCTGTTATATTCTATATATATGTATATATGGCTGGGACTACAGTCGCTTGCCACCACGCCTGGCTAATTTTATTATTATTTATTTATTTACTTACTTTTTTTCTTTTTTTTTTTTTTGAGATGGAGTCTCGCTCTGTCGCCCAGGCTGGAGTGCAGTGGCGCGATCTTGGCTCACTGCAAGCTTCGCCTCCCGGGTTCACGCCATTCTGTTGCCTCAGCCTCCTGAGTAGCTGGGACTACAGGTGCCCGCCACCATGCCTGGCTAATTTTTTGTATTTTTTAGTAGAGATGGAGTTTCACTGTGTTAGCCAGGATGGTCTCAATCTCCCGACGTCATGATCCGCCCGCCTTGGCCTCCCAAAGTGCTGGAATTACAGGCGTGAGCCACCGTGCCTGGCCAGCTATTATTATTTCATAAACGCATATATATACAGGCTAAAGCAAGTGTATGTGTGTGTGCACGCGTGCACACATGTATGCAAGCATGTGTGTATACATGTATGTATATTTACACATAGGCCTGTAAGAATATACATATGTATAAGTATGCATACATATATATGCACCAAAATAGTGTGCCTTTTGGTTTTATCTTAAATTTTTTACTTGTCATGGACCAATTTTCAAGTAAGTATATATAGCTTTATCTCATTTAAAAAAATTACTGTCTTCTATCACATTGTATAGATGTACCATTGTTACACTGGTGTACCTTTAGTTTTTCTTTCCAGGATTTTTGCTTTGCAAATAATACTTAAAGTTACAGGTTTCTATATATTACCTAGTATATGAGTATCATTCTTTCTGAAGAATAGATTCCTGGAAGTGAAAGTGATGGGTCAAATTATATTTATATTTTAAATTTTAATAGATTCTCCCAAAGTATTCCCCAAGTATATCATACTACTTCATACTCCTAAAAACTGTGTGTAAGACTTCATTTTTTCAGACTTTAGCCAGATAATGCTAACAGTTTAGTTATTGAAAATCCAGTGGGTACAAATTGTATTGCATTTGGCTTTAATTTGCATTTTCTTGCCGATAGTGAAGTTGAGCATATTTATACTTTTTGGCTGTTTACAGGTATTTTGTGACTTTTATGTTCATAGTATTTATATGTTGGTCTATTGTGTCTTTCATTTCTTTAATCATTGTGTATGTTAGAAATATTAACTCCTTGTCTCATATATGTTTTACAAATATTTTATCCTAATTTGTTGGTTGTATCTGGACTTTTTTCCTCTTTAAGTTGGACTTTCCACACTGAACTTAAAATATTCTCCCATAGTGCCTTCTAATACTTTTATAGCTTTATTTTTTCCCTTTAGATATTTAATCTACATATACTTATGCATATGATGGCTGAAAATATATAGTTTTATTTTCATCCACATGGGTGCTTGATTTTTTCATAGTAGAATAAGTACAAAATCCGAGCTAGAAATTGAGAAATGAATAGGATCTTACAAATTCCTTAGTCCATGGTTCCATTTCACTATTCAGATGACTAATTCCCACCAAAAGAAAACCCCAGAGTTTAAGGCAATTTGATTTGAATGTTAAAGTTTGCTGGCTCATCTGAAATTACGTCATTTGGTCAGATCATCTCTTGCCATGACATTTCCTGCTGCATGGGTCTGCATTAATCAATTTGGCTTGTACTGTTTTCACGTTTAGCTTCCCCTTCTAGATATCTTTGGCCTTCCCTAAAATTATACCCCTTTACACACCATTATTTCAAACAGATGGTAATGATTATTATTGCATCTTTTCTGTAAGATAATGTTTTGTTTTGTTTTTTCAAAATTCTGAGAGTTTCTGCAACTTCTGGTTTGGTTCAACTCTCTTCTGAAAATAACAAAGCTTAATATTCCATTAATAAATGGCTACCAGACAGGAAGATACTCATTTTTGTAGGCCAGGCTCAGGTAGGAAATATATATGAAATTTGATTTTTAAAATGTATGTATATCGGCACATTTGGGCAAAAGTTCTAAAGGGATAAGCCATGGTACAAGTTTTCATGTTTTATTTTTTATTCTTTTTAGACAGGGTCTCACTCTTGCCCAGACTGGAGTGCAGTGGTGTGATCACAGCCCACTGTGGCCTTGACTTCCCGGGCTCAGCTGATCCTCCTAACTCGCCTCCTGAGTACCTGGGACTACAGGCATGCATCACCACACCTGGCTAATTTTGTATTTTTAGTAGAGACGGGGTTTTGCCATGTTTCCCAGGCTGGTTTCAAACTTCTGGACTCAAGTGATCTGCCCACCTCAGCCTTCCAAAGTGCTGGGATTATAGACATTGAGCCACCACACCTGGCCACAAGTTTGTTTTTGAGAGGAATTGTTTTAATTTTTGTTAGCATTATTTATTAGCATTTATTGTTGTTTCAGTTTTAGTTGCTGAAGTAACCATATTGGTTGAAGAAAATTTAGAAAATACAAGGGTAAAGAAAAATTATGGGCTGGGTGCAGTGGCTCACGCCTGTAATCCCAGCACTTTGGAAGGCCGAGGCGCATGGATCATGAGGTCAGGAGATGGAGACCATCCTGGCTAACACGGTGAAATCCGGTCTCTACTAAAAATACAAAAAATTAGCTGGGCGTGGTGGCAGGTGCCTGTAGTCCCAGCTACTCGGGAGGCTGAGGCAGGAGAATGGCATGAACTCGGGAAGTGGAGCTTGCAGTGAGCCAAGATCACGCCACTGCACTCCAGCCTGGGCAAGAGGGCAGGATTCTGTCTCAAAAAAAAAAAAAAGAAAAGAAAAGAAAAATTGTGTTCTGACATAATCACTTTAAATATTTTAATCTATATCTTTTTTAGTTTTATATATACATATGCAGTTTTTGACCAAAATTAATATCATAATGAACATATTTATTTTTTTAATTTACTTTTATGACTTAAAAGAGTAATTGAAAATTATGTGTTTAGCAATAAAACCTGGAAAGACTGATGGCAGTTCAACTTACAGTTTGCTCTTGCCCTTTGAAGAGGATGTATCTCTTTCACTTGATTTTACTTTTTAAAACTTTTCTCAATTCTTAATAATTATGTTTTCTTCCTCACTTTTTGAGAATAATGGTGTCAAATTGCTAAAAAAAAATCACCACTTTGGAAAGAAACCAGAATATTTTCCTTCAACAGGAATCTGGGGTGAAATGAATAAATTATGTAAGTTCAAGTTATTGAGCAATTTTTCCCTGTGAGTGGACAAGTATTTGAAAGAAATAAAGAATACTAGATCAATGCAGCAAGTGGATCTAAGAAAGTATGATGTACCATTATAGAATGTTTACCTGGCATTCAAGAAGATAATTCAAAGCTACTATAGCAATAACTAAAGGTAAATATATGGTTTGAAAACAATGTTTAGATAGAAAAAAAGAGTATTAATTATCTAAACCTTCAAATAAAGGAGATAGAAAAAGAACCACAACATAGACAAAGAACAAAACATGAAATAAGGGAATAATAAAGATAATGCCACTAAAAGGAAATGGAAAACAGAGAGGTAATTTCCACAACTGAAAGTTATTTTTCAAAAAGATTAGTGGGCCAGACATGCATTTGAACAGATTGATCATTAGTAAGAATGTATATATAAACAAAACACAGAATGAAGTATTAGTAGATGAAATAACAAAAGATATAAAAGACATAATGAAACATCAAGTTGTGACTAGTATAATAATTTGATAATACATTAGAAAGCCAAATGAAATGGGCAAATGATTTAAAAATGTAAAGTGACAAAATTAGTAAAACATAAAAAAAACTTGAATAGGCTAATAGCCACTAAATATATTGAATTACTATTGAAAATGTTTTTTTATCTTAGGAAGTACCAGAAAAAGAAAAGTCTACGGGCAATTCCTACTACATATTCATGCAACAATATTAATCCCTATTTTATACAGGTTTAATCAAAAATAGGAAAAGAGAAAAAATGTCAAAGTATTGTTATGAGGCCACATTTTATTGCCCTTGGCCACATTTCCTCAAGAAGACTTTTACCTTTCAAAACCATTAAGCAAGGAGCTTTTTCTACTTCCATTCTATTTCAATTTCTATTTCCTTTTCAATTTAAAAGGCCTTCAGAATTGTATTTTTTATAATGAGAAAAAGAATTAGTTCCCTCTGTTTTCCATCTATCAAATAAGAGCAATTTACAAGTCAAACCTACAAAATAGTACTGAGAGAACAAAAGTGCTGAATTTTATTCCACTACAAAAATTTTAATATTAGCGCTTCTCTCCCTTAGTAATGTTTTAACTACTGATGACAGGTTTTATAATTAGTCATAAAACATTTTAAAATAAATTCTTGCTATTCATTCTGGAAAACAGAAAAATCATTTATCTAGTGTAAAGAAAGAGTGGAAAAACCTTTGTTCATATGACGAATTTTTTTTTAGAGACGGGATCTCCCTCTGTCACCCAAGATGGAGTGCAATGGTGCGATCATGACGCACTGCAGCCTTGAAACCCCTGGGTTCAAGCTATCCAACCTCAGCCTCCCCAGTAGCTGGGACTACAGGTGTGTACCACTACACCTGGCTAATTTTTAAAGTTTTTTGTAGAGAAGGAGTCTTGCTATGTTGCCCAGGGTGGTCTTGAACTGTACCCTCAAGTGATCCTCTCACCTTGGCCTCCAGAAGTGCTGAGATTATAGGTGTGAGCCACTGCACCTGGCCTGAATCCTTAATATTAATATATATATATTTTTGAGACAGAGTCTTGCTCTGTCACCCAGGCTGGAATGCAGTGGTGTGATCTCGGCTTACTGCAACCTCCGCCTGCCACATTCAAGCAGTTCGCCTGCCTCAGCTTCCCAAGTAGCTGGGACTACAGGCGTGTGCCACCATGCCCGTCTAATTTTTTTATATTTTTGGTAGAGACAGGGTTTCACCATGCTGGTCAGGCTGGTCTCGAACTTCTAACCTCATGATCCTCCCACCTCGGCTTCCTAATTTAATATTAATTTGTATAGCAATTTTATATAAATTAATATTTAATTTGTATACAAATTAAATATTAATTTGTGTAGCAAATGTTTAGTGATCTAATAGATGTAGGTTGGAAGAGCTTATGTTGAAGTAATCTCTGCATATAGCATAGTGCTTACTAGCTCAGGCTTTGTAGTTAATAAGCCTGGATTTTATATCCAGGTCTTCTTTACAAGCTGTGTGGCCTTGGGCAAGTTATGTAAACTCTCTTAGCCTCCTCATCTTTAAAATGGTAACATTATTTTAGAGAGTTTTTGTGAGAATTAAATTAGGTGATGAATATATGTAAGTTAAGAATAGCTGTCTCACAATAATCTTCATCTTAGTTATTATCTGTGCTATGATGTTTATTGTTGGAAGAGTTCAATTATAATGTAAAGAATCTTTAGCTAAAAGTTTAAGCAACATAATATACCTGATTGACAAAAATGTCTTCAAAATAACTTTTTGAAAGACACATTTATTTTGCTAAACGAAATAATGCTGTAGAAAGATTCCACAGGTTTTTACTATCATCTAATGTCCTGGGATCCAATGAAAAAGACTAAAATTTGTGGTTGAAAAGATTTTTTAAAATCACCAAAAACTTGGAGATAAGGCCAATGAAGTACAGCATGACCTTTCAACATCAACCTGGGGAATTGGTTAATACGCCCATCCAATTAATATCAAATTATTCAGAGCTACACTGTCCAATATTTTAGCCATTGACTATATGTGGTTATTGAGCACTTGGAATGTGGCTAGTCAAAAGTGAGATGTGGTTTAAGTGCAAAATTTTGGAGTACAAATACAATTTCCATTTTTAATGCAATGAACAAAGAATCTTAGTAGAAAATCTACCCACCTCAGCCTCCCAAAGTGCTGGGATTATAGGCGTGCACCACTGCGCCTGGCTGAGAATATTCTTGATATATTGAGTTACATAATTTTTTTGTTAAAATTGTTTTCACTTTTTTTTTTTTTAACGTACCTGCTAGAGAATTTCAAATCACATAGTGGCTTAAATTATACTTCCATTTGATGGTGGTGGTTTAAAGGAATGCAGCTCTGTATGACTCACTGTTTACCATTAACTAAGGTCCTGACTCTCTAAAATTACATGTTACGTGGTAGATTTCATTCCAGTAGGAATGCAAATGATTTCTCTCTGGTAGAGAGGATAATTCCATCGCTTATGATTTTATTGTCCTGAAAGATAAGCAGCTTTGTAAATAACCTAGGAAGCCCATAAAAACATTTTTTAAACATGTGTACAAATATCCAGAACTTCAAAATGGCCTTTTATCCACCTTTCTTATTTTCTTGATTCCCTCATTGAAGAGTTATAAATCTTTGCTATGTGTTCAGGCTAGTGATTTAATAGATTTTTGTTTGTTTGTTTGTTTGTTTTGAGACAGAGTCTCACTCTGTTGCCCAGGCTGGAGTGCAGTGGCGTGATCTCGGCTCATTACAACCTCCATCTCCCAGGTTCGAGCAATTCTCCTCCTCAGCCTCCTGAGTAGCTGGGATTAGAGGTGCAGGCCACTACGCCCGGCTGATTTTTGTATTTTTAAGTAAAGATGGGTTTCATCATGTCGGCCAGGCTGCTCTTGAATTCCTGACCTCAAGTGATCTGCCTGTCTCAGCCTCCCAAAATGCTGGGATGACAGGCGTGAGCCACCGTGCCCGGCTTAATAGATATTTTAGAAGGCTTAAAATATTTCATTTTCAACTAATAATATACATGAAAGTTATTGTCTGACTTTCCGAAAATTATATACTTTGATGCAGGTAAGTCCTTATTATATTACAAATATATAATAACGTTAAATTAGCTTGGCTTTTACTGCCCTTCTTCTGTTAACTAACAGCATGATAATTTTCCTAAATCCAGCTATGACATAATCTAGTATTGTTCTGAAAGTCACTTTGTAATCCAGAATTCACAAACTACACAAAGATAAATATAACCGGAAGTTTATAGATTGCTGTTATCTGTTGTTTGCAAGGATGTGAGCATAGATATCATAGTTTTATGTTAATGTAGGCTATTTATTTCATGCTGCTTTGAGCAGCTAATCATTAATGTTCTCAGCAAGCCTTAAAGTTAAGCCGGTATTTGTCTGGCTCTGATGAAAAGACATAGACTTACCAATAATTTAAGCGCAAGCATTTCCTTAAAAGTTTCATTTTTTACCTCATGTGGTGGTATTTCTACCTCATGTGGTCGTAATTCTACTTTAAGTTCAATGAACAAGAATCTTAAAATTTTAACATTCCTGACAGATGCAAAACAGTGGAAGTACATATGACTCCACAGAGGTGTTAATTTATAAATAAAAGTTAGTGCTTACCTAGAAATCAAACTTGGTTCTCTTCAACTGCTAGTGGATGACTTTGATTTTTGTGGGCTCCCCAGAGTGGGAATCAATAACTAAGTTATCTATATTTTATACAGCTCTCAGACTATTGGAGTGAAGTCATTCATTGAAAACTATTTATAAGCATCTACTGTACATCAGCTACTCTCCTTGGCACTGGGACACAACAGCAAACACATGACAAAATCCCTTCCTTCATGAGGTTTCTCTATTATTTGGAGAGGCCCAGTAATTGGAAAAGGGTAGTTGGAGATGAACACAAAGAAATAACCAGGACTACATAATGAAGGGCATTAGAAGAACTTTGGCTTAAGATGTAAAGACATTGGAGGGTTCTAAGCAGAAGAGTAATATGATAAAAATTGCATTAAAAAAAGTCAGACAGACAAGTCTGCTGTTGTGTTGAGGATAGACTGAGGTGGGTGTTACCTCCAGTGGACATGTAGATTGGAGACTATTGTAATAATTAAAGCAAGAGATGATAGGGTTTGGACTGGTGTATTTACTGGAGGCAGCAGAAACTTGTTGGGCTCATGATATAACAGCTTATAGGCTGTAAGATAAAAAATGAAAAAAAGGGTGTCTCCATTTTATTTTTATTTTTTGCCTTAGCAAGTACAAGAATGGAATTGCTATTAACTGAGATAAACAAGACTGTGCAGGAATTGGCAAATAATATCAGGGTTAAATTTTGGATCTGGTGAGTTTGAGAGAATGTCTAAAAAGAGATCACGGGGAGATGTCAAGGAAGTTGTCCTAGGTGAGCGTCTAAGAGTCTGGCGTTCAGAAGATATTTCAGTGCTGGGTATATATATTAGGAAGTCTTGGGTGTGAACGTGTTATTGGTGACATTTAAACCAATAAGAATGAATGACATTAGGAGGAGGCTGAGGTGGGAGAATCAAAGCCAGGAGTTTACAGTGGGCCATGACTGTGTCACTGCAGGAGTTTACAGTGGGCCATGACTGTGTCACTGCACTCCAGCCTGGGCAAGAAAGAGAGACTCTGTCTCTAAAAGAAAAAAAAAAAAAATAAAACGATGAGATTACCAAGAGAGTGTATATAGATAAGAAAGAGATCAGGCCTAGGACTAAGTCCTGGGGCATTTCAGCCTTTCTACTCGCATAACCTGAGTAAATTCAGGTATCTGATTTATTTAATCCAGTATTTGCTGCATTTCTTTTTCTAAAGAGCACATTTCTTTTCAAGAATTACACATTAAAATTCCAGGGAACTTAAATTATGCAAAATATCCTTTGGGAAATGATTTAATTTCATTGCCTCATCTTTCCACTTAATGTTGCTTATGTCAACAATGCTATTAAATACGTACTTGCCTTTATTTCAGTAGTTTTCATAGTGAAATTGGAAAGGTGATAGGATAATCCATTTGATAAAACTGGCAATAGCATTAAATCCTACCCTCCCCTTTTATTAATTTTCAATTATAATCATCAAATCTTGATCAGAAGCAAAGAAGTTTCAAGTCATTTGTTTTCTTTCCCTCAAAATATTTAAACAAAAATTT
Organism: Homo sapiens; assembly: GCF_000001405.40. Lineage (NCBI taxonomy): Eukaryota > Metazoa > Chordata > Mammalia > Primates > Hominidae > Homo > Homo sapiens. Next base: position 12,541,981 of record NC_000007.14, on the reverse strand, counting down.
AGAAAATTATTTTAACATGTTAAAAGACAGACCTTTCCTTCTAGTTGGAACTATAAATTCTCCAAGCCTGGTGTTCTTTAAGAAGGACATTTATTATTTCTGTTACTTGGAGATCTTCTCTCTTTTGATATACTTGAGTGTCTCAGAGAAGCTTCTTAAAGTGTATTAGAAAAAACTGAAAAATGAAGATTCAAATATTGATTTCAATATGCCATAAACATACTAAATAAATGTTGATTATTTCAACCTATGCCACCTTGTATATGTGAACACAAAGCTCATACATATACTCTTTTTCTTTTCTTTTCTTTTTCTTCTTTTTTTTTTCAGAAATAAACACTATCACTAACCATCTGGTATCCTATGATTCCTGAAAATAAAATCTATTTCTAGGAACAATTTAAACCGTAGAAGAACTTCACTGTGTCATGAATTAAACTTTCCTATTTTTTTGTCTTTGGATGACATCCTCTGGGAAAGTGCCCCATTTATATTTCAGTGACTTCAATTCTGGTTGCTACCTTGTTCTCTATTTTTTAAAGTAAAAATATTTGATTTTTAACTACTACTTTCCCACACAGCATAACAGTCATCCTTTAGTAGAATATATGCTATATCCAGAGAATTCTTATTTCTATGAAGGAGGCAAACAGATAAAATTTGCAATCTTTGGCCTTAGAGAAACATGGTGGTCAAAATTAGTAAGCATTATTGTTGTTTGTCTCACATTAGCTTTACCTGAGACTAGAGCATCTTTAACTTTGGACATTAACAGAAAGCACATTATCAGCATTTCCACTCATAGTTGCAAGATCTAACTTTCACAAACTAAATCAAAAGCCTTATGATTGGATTCTGATCCCTGTGGTAACAAGGGAATTTCAAATTATGCAACTTTCATTTGTTGTTTTAGCACTTTCTCATGCCTCTGGGAGAGTGCAGATTTCTGTAGAATCCAGGAAGGTGCCAGAATTCATCAATGTTCTCACTGGGAAATGCACGGGAGATGAACATTCAGGCCAGAGTTCAGGAAGCCCTATGCTGTTTTGGTCCATCAGCTATCTAAATGAACAAAAGAGAAATGTGTGAACAGAATTCACTGAATCAGTTTCTATAAAGGGTGAGACTTACCTGAAAGGTCACTCCTGGGACAAGAAACTTGGCTGCAAATGCTAGATGTCATTTGCTTAATCCTCTTATTCACTACAGAAATAACTAAAACCAAGCTTATAAAGGCATGATAACAAAAAAGAATGGTTGAACATGACTACAACTATGATGTGGAAGTAGAACTATACTCTGTTGGCCAAACGGTCAAATTTATTTTTCGTACTTACCAGAAAGCATGCACATGCAACTGAGGGCAACAGTACAAGGTGTTTTGGAGTGCCATCTTGAATAAGTGATGTTAACATTAAATTCCCAGTGAAGACTTTAGTTTCCCAGCTTATAAAATTATAACAACAATAATAATAATTATAATACCTGACTAAACACTGCATAGTCTGAAGACAATTGAGTGAGGTTATGCCTATGAAAATGATTGCACATTACTGAGTTTGATGTATAAATGCCAATTAAAAGCTGCAAAAATTAAGGACTTCTAAATACATCCTGTCTTACACAATTCAACTTTTCCTTCTGTATTAGCACCAGTAGGGTAGAATAGTGCAGGGAAGTGTTACAATGAGGCTTCCCACTTAGGTGAGGGGAGACAGGAGCTCCTTTAGAGAAGGGCTATAAGTTTTTAAAGGATGTGGAAATGGGATGTGTTTCCTGTTGCCTTGAAATGGAGGAAAAGCCTCAAAGCTAAAACTAGGAGACAGGTTGGTTCCTTCAAACCAAAGGAAGCCAACTTCCTGATTTCTTACACATGGACAAGAGTTTTCCTTTATATAAACTCCTATGTTCCATTGAAACCAACCCAATAATCCCATAGACTGTTCTTTTTGATACACATAGAAATTGACCTTTCTGTTCTTAAAGCTTGAAGCTTACATTTGTTTTATCTGAGTTCCTTCCTCAGGAAAGCACCTTCAGGCCTCTTAAAAAGGTATCCAAGAAGTGAAACTCACCAGATCATGACATCCTAACAATGAGAAGCCTGGAGCCCTCATTCATCATGATTGCATCCTTGCCTCTCCCTAGTTCCTGTTTCTTACACATTGTTACATTTCTTTCTACAGAAGAATGTTATATAAACCCATAGGTTTAGTCAGTTAGAGAGATGGATTTGAGCCTGAGCTCTCATCTCCTTGACTGCAGCACCTGATTAAAGACTTCTTCCTTGGCAATACTCATTGTCTCAGTGATTGGCTTTCTGTGTGGTGAGCAGCAGGACCTAGACTAAACCCCTGGTGTTTTGGTAACACCATCAAGAAACTGCTAGAAGTTCTATCCCTATGGGGCTTTTTAAAAGGTAAATAGGCCAGACCAACTACTCTCACCCTCTCTTCTGTCCAAATTAAGGAATTAAGGAATAAATCAAACATCTGAAGGCTTTGTTTTTTTGTTTTTTGAGACAGAGTCTCACTCTGTCACCCAGGCTGGAGTGCAGTGGTGGGATCTCGGTTCACTGCAAGCTCCACCTCCCAGGTTCATGCCATTCTCCTGCCTCAGCCTCCCAAGTAGCTGGGACTACAGGTGCGTGCCACCACGCCCGGCTAATTTTTTGTATTTTTAGTAGAGATGGGGTTTCACTGTGTTAGCCAGGATGGTCTTGACCTCCTGACCTCACGATCCGCCCACCTTGGCCTCCCAAAGTGATTGGATTACAGGTGTGAGCCACTGCGCCCGGCCCTAAAGGCTTTGTCTTTTAAAGGAGGCATCACTACCCTTGGGGGAAAGCCCTGAGGAATACCCATTTCTGATTTCTGTGAGAAAGGAAAAAATAAGGTAATCCCTGCAAAGCCAATTCATGAATGCTCAGGATTATCATTTATAAAGAGTAAGGGTGCATATGGGTGAAGGAAGCCAGCAGGCTTGCTCTGGATGAATGCTTGCTGAGCTACAGAACTGCAGAGGCCACCTGTGGAGCCCTTTAGTACAAGGTGTTTGGGGAGCTCCTGGTAGAGGAGTGGTTTCATATATGTCCCCAAGAGGTTTTAAGGATGAGCATTTGATCATAGAGCATCCTGCCTACTTCTTATCTAGAAATGTAAAAATGGGTGGCTCGCAACGTGAGGGAAAGGGGAAAGGAAAACGGGGGTCTTCTGTACTCACGCCATTTGGTGAGCCGTATGGAGGGTTCTGTAAACACAGTGAATTAATGAAATTGATGAGCTCCAGCCATCTTGTGAGTAATCCCACCAATGATAAGATGCCTCTTATCAGACCTGTAAGAGGTAGTGGGCTGAGGCAGGGACTTAGGGCAAGTTGCTGGACGCTGGTTCTCAGAGGACTGTGCCAAATGAGGCCTCTGTCTAGGACAGAGAATAATGCGCAAAAATGTCCTCCATAAGTAGTCACTATTTGAACATCAGCCACACAGAGGATGTCATGGCTGATTACAGTAGTCTCTGTTACCTGAGCTTTTTGCCCCTGTTTCTTCCATTTCTCCTCTGGACACCAACACCTTGGAGATAAAAGGCAGACCAAGAAGCAATGGAGTGTGATTGAGACAGGTGCAGAAAGAGAGAAACAACAGAACGTTCTCTTCCCCAGATCCTGGAGCTACAGGGCAGGATTTTGTTGAAAACAGCAAACAAATTTTGAATTGGATGTGAGATTAGAATGTTAATTTAGAATGAATGAGGCTTTCTTTCTTTCTTTTTGAAATTTAAAACAATTGCAAAGAATCTCCCAATTAAAAAAATTATTAAAGTTTTACATGTACGTATAATAGTGCATAGATATTAAATAAATATTTCTATGGAGTTATCACAAAGTGAATGCATCTATGTAACCAACATCAAGGTCAGAAAATACTACATTTCTGGGACCCAGAAGGTTATTGTACTCCTTTCCTTCAAACCAAAGGAAGCCAACTTCCTGATTTCTTACATGTGGACAAGAGTTTTCCTTTATATAAATGGAATAATAATGCAGTATATACAGATATGTGTATATATATATACATTGTACATATATAGAGCATCTGGCTTTTAAAAAACTCCTAAGTATGTTTGTGAGACTCATCCCTATTGCTTGCATATAGCAACATTTTGTTCATTTTCTTTGCTGTATAATCTATTGTGTAAATATACCATAAATGGATACTTTTATGTATACATTCTATTATTTATTGGCATTGGACTTGTCTCTAATGTAAAGGTTATCACAAGCAATTCTGCTATAAGCATTCCTATATATATCTTTTAGTGCATACAAATATATCTTATATATCAGCTAATTATACAGCATTTAGAATGGAATTTTGTGTCATAGGTTATATGTATGTATACATCCAACTTTAGAATATATTGCAAAATATTTTTCCAAAGTACTTGTTCCAATTCTTCCCCCTCAAGCAGTGTATAGGAGTTCTAATTGCTCTATACCCTTGCCTATTGATATGGTTTGGCTGTATCCCCACCCAAATCTCATCTTGAATTGTAACTCCCACAATTCCCATGTGCCATGGGAGAATCCCAGTGGGAGGTGATTGAATTCTGGGGGCAGGTTTTTCCTGTGCTGTTCTTGTTATAGTGAATGAGTCTCACGAGATCTGATGGCTTTAAAAATGGGAGTTTCCCTGCAAAAGCTCTCTTCTCTTGTCTGCTGCCATGTGAGATGTGCCTTTCACCTTCCGCCATGACTGTGAGGCCTCTCCAGCCATGTGGAACGGTAAGTCCAATAAATCTGTTTCTTTTGTAAATTGCTCAGTCTTGGGTATGTCTTTATCAGCAGTGTGAGAATGAACTAATACAGTAAACTGGTACTGGTAGACTGGGATGCTGCTGAACAGATACCAGAAAATGTGAAAGCGACTTTGGAACTGGGTAACAGACAGGGGTTGGAACAGTTTGGAGGGCTCAGAAGAAGAGAGGAAAATGTGCAAAAGTATGGAAACTCCTGGAGACTTGTTGAATGGCTTTGACCAAAATGCTGATAGTGATATGAACAATAAAGTCCAGGCTGAGGTCGTCTCAGAAGGAGATGAGGAACTTGTTGAAAACTGGAGTAAAGGTGACTGTTGTCATGTTTTAGCCAAGAGACTGGCAGCATTTTGCCCCCGGCCTAGAGACTTGTGGAACTTTGAACTTGAGAGAGATAATTTAGGGTATCTGGCAGAAGAAATTTCTAAGCAGCCAAGCATTTAAGACGTGACTTGGGTGCTGTTAAGGGCATTCAGTTTTATAAGGGAAGCAGAGCATAAAAGTTCAGAAAATTTGCAGCCTGACAATGTGATAGAAAAGAAAAAAAGCGTTTTCTGAGGAGAAATTCAACCTGGCTGCAGAAATTTGCATAAGTAATGATAAGCTGAATGTTAAACCCCAAGACAATGGGGGAAATGTCTCCACGGCATGTCTGAGAACTTTTTGGCAGTCCCTCCCATCACAGGCCCAGAGGCCTAGGAAGAAAAAATGGTTTCATGGGCCAGGACCAGGGTCCCCGTGCTGTGTGCAGCCTAGGGACTTGGTGCCTTATGTCCCAGCTGCTCCAGCCATGGCTGGAAGAGGCCAACGTAGAGCTCAGGCTATGGCTTCAGAGGGTGCAAGTCTCAAGCCTTGGCAACTTCCACATGGTGTTGAGCCTGTGAGTGCACAGAAGTCAAGAATTGAGGTTTGGGAGCCTCCGACTAGATTTCAGAAAATGTAGGGAAACATCTGGATGCCCAAGCAGAAGTTTGCTGTAGGGATGGGGTCCTCATGGAGAACCTCTGCTAGGGCAGTACAGACAGGTAATGTGCTGTGGGAGCCCCCACACAGAGTCCTCACTGGGGTACCAACTATTGGAGCTGTGAAAAGAGGGCTACTGTCCTACAGACCCCAGAATGGTAGATTCACTGACAGCTTGTACTGTGTGCCTGGAAAAGCCATAGACACTTAACACCAGCCCATGAAGGCAGCTGGGTGGGAGGCTGTATCCTGCAAAGCCACAGGAGTGGAGCTGCCCAAGTCCATGGGAACTCACCTCTTGTGTCAGCATGACCTGGATGTGAGACATGGAGTCAAAGGAGATCATTTTGAAGCTTTAAGGTTTGACTGCTGTGCTGCATTTCGGACTTGCATGGGGTCTGTAGCCCCTTTGTTTTGACCAATTTCTCCCATTTGGAATTGCTGTATTTACCCAGTGCCTGTACCGCCATTGTATCTAGGAAGTAACTAACTTGCTTTTGATTTTATAGCCTTATAGGCAGAAGGGACTTGCTTTGTTTCAGAAGAGATGTTGGACCGTGGACTTTTGAGTTAATTCTGAAATGAGTTAAAACTTAGGGTGACTGTTGGGAAGACATGATTGGTTTTGAAATGTGAGGACATGAGATTTGGGAGGGGCCAGAGGTGGAATGATATGGTTTGGCTATGTCCCCACCCAAATCTCATCCTGAATTCCCATGTGTTCTGGGAAGGACCCAGTGGGAGCTAATTGAATCATGGGGACAGTTCTTTCCCATGCTGTTCTTGTGATAGTGAATGGGTCTCATGAGATCTGATGGTTTTTAAAAACAAGAGTTTCCCTGCACAAGCTCTCTTTTTGCCTGCTGCCATCCACATAGGATGTGACTTGCTCCTTTTTGCCTTCCACCATGATTGTGAGGTCTCCCCAACCATGTGGAACTGTAAGTCCAATAAACCTCTTTCTTTTGTAAATTGCCCAGTTTGGGTATGTCTTAATCAGCAGCATGAAAATGGATGAATAAACCTATGCTTCCTGTTGTTTATCTTCTTATTTTGGCTATTTTGGTGGGTGTGCAATAGTAGTCCATTGTGCATCTTACTGCATATTTCCCTGATTACTTGTGAAGATGAACACATTTTCATGTTTTGTCATTTAGAGATCTTCTTGTATGAAATCTGTTTCCTTCCTTCCTTCCTTCCTTCCTTCCTTCCTTCCTTCCTTCCCTCCTTCCTTCTTCCCTCCCTCCCTTTCTTTGAGACAGGGTCTTGCTCTGTCCCCCAGGCCGGAATGCAGTGGAGAGAACACTGCAGCCTCAACCTTCTGGGCTCAAGTAAATCTCCCGCCTCAGCCTCTAGTGTAGCTGAGACCACAGGTGTGTACTACCACATCTGGCTAATTTTTTAAATGTTTTGTAGAGACAGGATTTCCTAATGTTGTCCATGCTGGTCTCAGCCTCCTGGGCTCAAGAGTTCCTCCCACTTTGGCTTACCAGTGTTGGAATTATAGGAATGAACCATTATGCCCAGCCTCCTGTTATTTTCCATTGGATTACATGCCTATTTCTTATTTATTTGCATGAGTTCTTTATATATTATTAATATAAACCATTTTCTTGCTTATATGAGTAGCAAATATTTTCTCTAAGCTCTCTGTCTGCCTTTTCACTCTCCTAATGATGTATTTTAACAGAAGTTTGTAGTTTTAATGTTTCAAGTAGAACATTCAATAATTTTTTCTTTATAGATAGTGTTTTTGTGGTTCTTTTAAAGATATCATTTAATTCTCCAAATGTATTGCAGAAAGGTTATTGTTTTCTTTTCACATTTAGGTCTGTAATCCACATGAATTTACTTCTTTATGCACGATGTGAAATAGAAGTCATATATATTTCTTATCCTGAATTTTTCATGGCTGAACATAATCTTAAATTACGGAAAATTTTTAAATTTGCTTACATAGCTTTTTCATGGCTGAATGTGAGTTTAAATTATAGAAATGACAGGGCTAGTACAAATGAAATGTTGAAAATCTATAGGCTCTGCCAAAGTTGTTCTCAAGCTGAGGGGAGGGAGATCCAACACAGCATATTTAAAATTCATGATTTGAGAAAAATAAAGCCATTTTATTTGAACCTTCATAGGGATCTGTGTGCTAAATATATCAAATATTTGTAAAAAATGAAAAAATAAGAGGAACTACAACTTCAGATGAAAACATTTCTATTTTGAGAAGCCTGTGAAATACTGAGGTAGATTTGCTTTTGAAGTATGCTTCCCAGTGACACCTATGAAAGTTGAAGTTCTGACTGAGAATTCATAGTGTTACAGGCAGCAGTAATAATCTATGATTTTCTGTAACCACTATAAGAAACTTTTGGTGGCTGGGGGCTAGGTATGGTGGCTCACGCCTGTAATCCTAGCACTTTGGGAGGCCGAGACAGGTGGATCACGAGGTCAGGAGATCGAGACCATCCTGGCTAACGTGGTGAAACCTTGTCTCTACTAAAAACACAAAAAATTAGCTGGGCGTGGTGGCGGGCACCTGTAGTCCCAGCTACTCTGGAGGCTGAGGCAGGAGAATGGTGTGAACCCGGGAGGTGGAGCTTGCAGTGAACTGAGATCGTACCACTGCACTCCAGCCTGAGCAACAGAGCGAGACTCCATCTCAAAGAAAAAAAAAAAAAAAAAAGAAACCTTTGGTGGCTGGGCGCTGTGGCTCACACCTGTAATCCCAGCACTTTTGGAGGCTGAGGCAGGTTGATCACCTGAGGTCAGGAGTTCGAGACCAGCCTGGCCAACATGGCAAACCCCTGTCTCTACTAAAAATACAAAAATTAGGTGGGTATGGTGATGGGAACCTGTAATCCCAGCTACTCAGGAGGCTGAGGCAGGAGAATCATTTGAACCTGGGAGGTGAAAGTTGCTGTGAGCTGAGATCACACCACTGCACTCCAGCCTGGGTGACAGAGCGAGTCTGCATCTCAAAAACAAACAAACAAAACAACAACAACAACAAAAGAAACTTTTGCTGATGGACTACCATGCCATTTTCTTTTATGTTGAGCCACCAATTACCAAGCTCAAGCACATCAGTTATAGAGGAGAAGCTCCCACTATGCTACAGGAATCAAGAATTTTATATATGTACAGCGGGATGTTTGCAATTTAAGATGACCATTTTGTAAACTTGGTAAGGATAAGTCTACATCCTAAATCATTAGTAGGATGACTCTATATCCACCACTTAAAACAAATTCTTACCCATCTGGAGACAGCTTTCTGGTCACATATCTACTCTTTTTATATTCATCTGTCCTGTGGTCCTCCTAGAGATAGCTGTCTGCTGACTGTTCACTCTGTGTACTCCCTCATAGAAATCCAAAGATCAATCTTACTGAGTAGCCTCTCTCATCTTCCAGAAAGCTCTAGACATTATATATATTTTATATTGTATGCAAAAAAAGCATAGTTTTGAATTGTTATTCATAAAATACTTAGATAGCAAGTACTAAGTGTCGTGTGCTGTATTCCAAGTGTTTCACAAATGCAAACTTCGACTATTCATAGTGGTACAGGAGTTAAGAAAAAATTAATCAGGCAGATAGGGTATGGGAGGCTTCAGTAAGGTTTTTCTTTTTCTTTTTTTTTTTTTTGAAACAGAGTCTCACTCTGTCATCCGGGCTGGTGTGCAGTGGCACAATGTTGGCTCACTGCAACCTCTGCCTCCCAGGTTCAAGTGATTCTCCTGCCTCAGCCACCTAAGGAGCTGGGATTACAGGCGCCCACCATTACACCCAGCTAATTTTTTGTATTTTCAGTAGAGACAGGGTTTCACCATGTTGGTCAGGCTGGTCTCGAACTCCAGACCTCGTGATTCACCCACCTTGACCTCCCAAAGTGTTGGGATTACAGGCGTGAGCCACCATGCCCGGCCAGGTTTTTCTTTTTAATGAAAAGCAGCCCCAAATCATTTCCTAAAAAAGAGCAGCCTGTAAAATTGAGCTGCAGACACAGACAAGCAAGCTAGAAGCTTCCACAGGTGAATGCTGGCCTGTAGGAAATAACTACCTGGGACCAGGCATGTTCAAAATGGCGGCTCCATCTTCCCTTCCCTTTGCCAGCCACATGTACAGTAAGGAGCAGACAAGATGGCACTGGTCAGTGGAGAGTCCATTTGCATAATAAGATTAGGGTGGGGTGGCCAGCCTAGGCTATGTAAATGTCATATCTAATCGAATCAATCTGTGGGCTCTATGTAAATCAGACACCGCCTCCTCCACCCTGCCTATAAAATCTGCTGCAGTAGGCCTACTTTCCCCTTTTTCCGATGTTTCTCTCTCTCTGGAAAGGAGCTGCTCTCCTTTCTCCTTTCTTCTATTAAACTTTCTGCTCCTTAACCCACCCACATGTGTCTGTGTCCTGAATTCTTTCTCAACACAAGACAACGAACCATGGTTAATTCCCCAGACAATGCAGCCATTTCAATGGTAACTCTGCAAAGTTGGTACTATTATTACTGACATTCTACAGATGAGAAAACTAAGCCACAGGTAATGTTACTTTTCCATGGTCATGCAAGGCCATATCTATATTATCATTAACAATAATAGTAATAATTGAATCAAGAAGATATGAGGGACTGTGCCAGCAGTTTGTATATATCATCTTATTTAATTCTCCAAAAACCTGAGAAAATAGGATCAGAAAATTTAAGCAAATCATCCAAGATCACAAATTACAGGTGGATTACTCTTAATTTGAATTCATTTCACCAAACTCAAAGCCCAAACTCTACTACATTAATCTGCCCTCCTCCCCACTTCTCAGAGATGACATTGACATGTGAATAAAGAGAGCTGTGAGAGGTGATTATGCACGTAGGAAACAGGTTGCAATGAAATTCTCAAATAATAATTATTTGATAATGGGATTGGATTCTTTCAGGCTCCACTTAAAACAGTTAAGCACCATGCAACTATTTCACTTATAGTTCCTATGACAGTAGAGCACTTATATGATAAAATATGTTTTATTTAAAACAGAAATTGAGTAGTAATGTTAAAGAGTTAATATAAGTATCTAACAACAAATCCTAATTTTTTTGCCCACCTGCTCTTGCATATCTTTGTAAACTTTTCTTCCACACGATCCATAAATGCACTGTATGCATCACGCTGCCTTCTATGTCTCTGAAGGAAGATGGTACAAAGGAAGTTAGTAAAAGCAGACATGTATTAACTTTAATTGTTTACTTGTTAAAATTTGCTGTTTAATAATCTTTGCTTTAAAAGTGTATCTGTATTCCAGATTCACATCTTGTTCTGCTTAGACATAAAGGGCTTACGAAGCATCCTTATGTGACTAGGGCAGAATTTCAGCCAGGGTAAAAGTATGTGTTCTCAACATTTTTTTCTACAAGAGTCTTTTCAGGCCTTCTCACATGAGTGTCACTCACTAAACTTCTCGTGATTTCCAATGAGATAAGAGGAAATTTGGGAAAAATTTCTTACAATATTTAAGCCTTTGTAAAACAAAAATAAAATTCTAAGGCCCCCAATCAGATGAATGGACCCCCTTCATGAGTGAGGGGACACAAAGAAACCTGAAAAAAAAGTTCAGGCCCTGATGGGAAGAGAAGGTGAGAAGGTGGGACATGGATCATTATACCCTCCTCCCTTTGGAATTCAGGCGCAACTCACCAGCGTTAACATTAAAACAGAGATCTTAAGACTGACAAAACAAACAGCTCTTTGCAGCAACAAAATACCGATTTCAGCCTGACTCTAGTGTCGCATCACATGACAGATAGCAGGCCCTGGAGGAAATAAAAGTATTTTACCCCCAAATATACTTTTTTGGCATCTTTCAAAATGGCCCTGCAAAGCTGTCTCTCTTTTGCAGACAGTCTCATATCTTTTAAGGTCTGAGAAGAGACCTCCACATCTATTGTCTCTGAAGCCTGCTACCTGGAGTCTTCGACTACATGACAAGAACCTTGGCTTCCACAACCCCCACTCTTTACCTTAACTCAAGCTGACTTAACAGACAAAGCTTAACTCTCAACCAGTTGCCAATTGGGGAATCTTTGAATCTGAGGTAGGAGGCGGGACTCAACTCCAGACCAGATGGAAGACTGGTTAAAATAGGGAAGAGGCATTGAAAGCATCTCTCCACGAGACAGCCCCACCATTGCTGTGGCAACATCCGGAAGGTACCACTTCTTTTCTAGGAATTTCTGGATAACCCACCCCTTAATTTGCATGTAGTTAAAAGTGGGTGTAAATATGACTGCAAAACTGCCCCTGAGCTGTGCGCGGAGCACACTGCCTATGGGTAGTCCTGCTTCGCGAGGAGCAGTACCTCTGCTGCTGTACTCAATAAAAGATGCCGTCTAACACCACAGGCCCGCCCTTGAATTCTTTCTTGGGTGAAGCCAAGAACGTTCCCGGCTATGCCCCAGTTTTGGGGCTTGCCCACCATGCATCAAATCTACTTATGACCTGGAAGCCTCCAAACTTCGAGATGTCCTGCATTTCCAGGTGAAACCAATGTATACCTTACATGTATTGATTTATGTCTTTGCCTGTAACTTCTATCTCCCTAAAATGTATAAAACCAAGCTGTAAACTAACCACCTTGGGCCACATGTTCTCAGAACCTCCTGAGACTGTGTTACAGGTCATGGTCACCAATTTGGCTCAGAATAAATCTCTTCAAATATTTTACAGAGTTTGGCTTCTTTCATCAACACTGTATTCCCTATAGCTATTACTTAAAATAACCATAAAAAGTATGTAGCATTACTAACCGACATTATAAATAATGAAAAAGGCTTAGTATCTTGTCTAAAGTTATTAGAAAGTAAAAGAACAGGGATACTCTGATCTCAGAAGCCATGCTTTTAACTACTATTCTATATTTTCCCACTGGAATACACTTATTCTTTTATCAAGATCTAGAAATAAAAGAAAAGAAAATCCAAAGTTCTAGATAATCCACTATTTGTATTTCACAAAAAAAGCAGCGGCTATATGCTTTATTTTTAAAGACAGAAATATATTTTACACTACAACAAATAAAAAACTCCTGCACTAAAGCAATTGTCGACAACAGTGCTGGAGACATTTTCCAACAGCTATAGAGAAAGTCAAACTCACTGTATATGAAGCAGATCTAACAGGCCATGGGGCTTTCGTCAAAATTAGTTTTGAATCCCAGGTGCATTCACAATGCTTGTGGGTGATAAATCTTTCTGTACTAGTCTTCTGTTTATCATCTTTCGGTAACTGGTACCCATGTACTAGAGATAGGAAGACAAATGAGAGGCTTAGCAATGGCACGTGTCTTTGTTCATGATGTCTCTCAGATGTATCATTTTTGGAGATCAGGACCCAGGAGTGGTAAGTCGCTGGATAATTTATAGATGTAAATCTAAACAAAACTTTTCTTATTCTTTCTGCCAGTCCTGCTGGAGTTAATTTTGTCTTTCTTCAAACTCCAACTCCAATCCCACCTTTTATTTCTCTGGACCCATCGTTCTAAAGTGTCTCCTGTGGGATGGTATATTTTGCACTCTACCTTAAGTTTTCCTTAAAATATGTTTGAAGTCAGGGGCTGCGTCTTACAAAGAATCTCTGGCATTTTCTACCAAAGTGAGTGACACATAGCATATACTAAGAAAGCTGACATTTTCCATTTCAATTACACAGCTAGATGGCATTTTCTACCAAAGTGAGTGACACATAGCATATACTAGGAAAGCTGACATGTTCCATTTCAATTACACAGCTAGATGGCATTTTCTACCAAAGTGAGTGACACATAGCATATACTAGGAAAGCTGACATGTTCCATTTCAATTACACAGCTAGATGGCATTTTCTACCAAAGTGAGTGACACATAGCATATACTAGGAAAGTAGATATGTTCCATTTCAATTACACAGCTAGATGGCATTTTCTACCAAAGTGAGTGACACATAGCATATACTAGGAAAGTAGACATGTTCCATTTCAATTACACAGCTAGATGGCATTTTCTACCAAAGTGAGTGACACATAGCATATACTAGGAAAGCTGACATGTTCCATTTCAATTACACAGCTAGATGGCATTTTCTACCAAAGTGAGTGACACACAGCATATACTAGGAAAGCTGACATGTTCCATTTCAATTACACAGCTAGATGGCATTTTCTACCAAAGTGAGTGACACTTAGCATATACTAGGAAAGCTGACATGTTCCATTTCAATTACACAGCTAGATGGCATTTTCTATCAAAGTGAGTGACACATAGCATATACTAGGAAGCTGATATGTTCCATTTCAATTACACAGCTAGATGGCATTTTCTACCAAAGTGAGTGACACATAGCATATACTAGGAAAGCTGACATGTTCCATTTCAATTACACAGCTAGATGGCATTTTCTACGAAAGTGAGTGACACATAGCATATACTAGGAAAGTAGACATGTTCCATTTCAATTACACAGCTAGATGGCATTTTCTACCAAAGTGAGTGACACATAGCATATACTAGGAAAGCTGACATGTTCCATTTCAATTACACAGCTAGATGGCATTTTCTACCAAAGTGAGTGACACTTAGCATATACTAGGAAAGCTGACATGTTCCATTTCAATTACACAACTAGATGGCATTTTCTACCAAAGTGAGTGACACACAGCATATACTAGGAAAGCTGACATGTTCCATTTCAATTACACAGCTAGATGGCATTTTCTATCAAAGTGAGTGACACATAGCATATACTAGGAAAGTAGATATGTTCCATTTCAATTACACAGCTAGATGGCATTTTCTACCAAAGTGAGTGACACACAGCATATACTAGGAAAGCTGACATGTTCCATTTCAATTACACAGCTAGATGGCATTTTCTACCAAAGTGAGTGACACATAGCATATACTAGGAAAGCTGACATGTTCCATTTGAATTACACAGCTAGGTGGCATTTTCTACCATAGTGAGTGACACATAGCATATACTAGGAAAGCTGACATGTTCCATTTCAATTACACAGCTAGGTGGCATTTTCTACCAAAGTGAGTGACACATAGCATATACTAGGAAAGCTGACATGTTCCATTTCAATTACACAGCTAGGTGGCATTTTCTACCATAGTGAGTGACACATAGCATATACTAGGAAAGCTGACATGTTCCATTTCAGTTACACAGCTAGATGGCATTTTCTACCAAAGTGAGTGACACATAGCATATACTAGGAAAGTAGACATGTTCCATTTCAGTTACACAGCTAGACGGCATTTTCTACCAAAGTGAGTGACACATAGCATATACTAGGAAAGTAGAGATGTTCCATTTCAATTACACAGCTAGATGGCATTTTCTACGAAAGTGAGTGACACATAGCATATACTAGGAAAGTTGACATGTTCCATTTCAATTACACAGCTAGATGGCATTTTCTACCAAAGTGAGTGACACATAGCATATACTAGGAAAGTTGACATGTTCCATTTCAATTACACAGCTAGATGACACTTTTATAAGTATAACACATGCTAAAATGTGTACAATATTTGTAAATAAATTATCTTAGTTTTACAGGTATAAAATTATTTGCTCGTTATTTTGAAAAAGAGGAAATAAAATGTAACTGTGATCTCACTATCCAGAGACAAACACTGTTAACATCTTATTGGTTAATTTATATATAATTATAATATGTAAATATAGCATTCAGATATTGTCCCTCCTAATCCAAATAAGAAATGCTAAATAATACAAATTAACTCTGAATTAACACTTAACAAATGGCACCATAACAGTAATTATAGCATGCATGTGTGTATGTTATTTCCATGTGTTTTTTAATACATTACTAAGTGCTTTTAGCAGATTTAATGCTCACAGTAATTCTATGATGTAGATTCAGTTGTTATCATCTGCATTTCCAGATAAGGAAACCAATAGATAGACAGTTTAGGTGATTTGGGGCAGTGAAGCCAAGATTCAAAGTTGCACAGCTGGGCTCCAGAGTTTATTCCCTTAAGCATTACACTCTATTTATTCTCTATACATGAGACATTGATTTACAAATATTATCTTTAATAATATAGTAACAGTTGTGGTAGAAAAGTAAACGTATTGTTGCAAATAATTAAAAGGACATTAAAAAATTTACCGTATTATTAAAGGTGATAATAAAATCCACCTATTTAGTTTTAAGCCTATGAATTTACTACTACTAATATGGAATGCAGAGTTTTTTTTCCAATATTCATAACATCTTAACAGCTTACCTGTACTTAAGTGTTGTGATTTAAATTTTAATCCAAAGGGGTCCTTTTCATAAGTTGTCTCAAAGTTTGGTAAACCAGGTTGGTACTAGATATGTAAAGGAAAGATTGCAATATTATTAATACATATTGTTTCTCATTGTAGTTGGAGTTTGATTTTTCCTAATATTAAATATTTCCTTGGTAAAACGTAATTTTGATGATTTTGTTGTGGCATTCAAATGTAGCATTTAAAACTTGTTTATGAAAATTTGAAAAAATGATCTAAGATTTAAATAGTGTATAAACAATTCATTTTTGTGGTAGAGAGGAGTACTTCAATTACCCTTTTGTGAAGTGATCAGAATTAGCATCTTAAACAGTGTGGAATTAAGGGAGTCTATTCAAAATTTAGATTAGTTAACCTAATCTTAAACTTGCAATCTTAAACTTAGCAACCTAATCTTAAACTTGATTGTAATTTATGACACATAGAATTGCATATTATTTTTCTGGAGCTGAACTTCTTTCAGACACATAGCAAAAACATTGAACAAAGCTAAATAATTTATCAAGCCTGGAAGAGAGTTACTGTTTTTTTATAAGCTACTACCAAAGCAGATTTTTTAGTGGTTTAATTGAACCAATTTGAACTGAAATAGAATTTGTACACTCCAAGAACTGATCAAATAAAACATCACAAAGGTCTCTACTCAAAAGCTAAGTAAACGTGGCACAAAACAGTGAGGGTACCAAGCAGAAATTAAACAGGGTTATATTCTTAATGAGTGACCTGCCACAAGCGTATAGAACAATATTAAAAGTTCCAAAGAAGGAGATTCTCTAATACAAGATTTTTCGCTCTTTAATTGAATACAACATGAGACCAAGTTCGTTTCAAAAAGCCTTCACTGAGGTTTAATTTGTAACAATACTGACATCTGGTGGTTACACAATTTATAACACTCTGCCTCCAATTCAGTCATTTATAGAAGCAAGTTAATTCAGCTAAAATAAAAATATTCCTTATTCCGTGAATTTTATTTACTCAAGTTTTTAAGTCTGTTATTAGTAAAATATTTATTTATTTATTTATTTATTATTATTTTTTGAGATGGAGTGCAGTGGTGAGATCTCGGCTCACTGCAACTTTCACCTCCCAAATTCAAGCGATTCTCTTGCCTCAGCCTCCCAAGTAGCTGGAATTACAGGCACGTGTTACCACACCTGGCTAATTTTTGTATTTTTAGTAAAGACGGGGTTTCACCATGTTGGTTAGGCTGGTCTCGAACTCCTGACCTCATGATCCTCCCACTGTGGCCTCCCAAAGTGCTGGGATTACAGGTATGAGCCACTGCTCCTGGCCTAGTAAGGTATTTAAATAAACCAGTAACATTTAATATTTAAATGACCTCCCTCATCTCCAAAAGGTAACATATGTTATTTACTATGAATGGAAATATTTACATGACCTCCCTCATCTCTAAAAGGTAACATATATTATTTACTATGAATGAAAATATTTAGATGCCCTGAATAAGTAAAGAGAGTTATTGACTATAGCTCCCTGTATTTTCCAAATTTTATCCTAATAGCTCATAGAGTTAACATTCATCGAATACCTCAACATTTCAGATTCTGTTGTGCTTTGCATATACTGTTTCGTTCGTTGCTTAAAATAACCATAAAAAGTATGTAGCATTATTAACCCACATTATAAATAATCAAAAAGGCTTAGTATCTTGTCTAAAGTTATTAGAAAATAAAAGAACAGGGATACTCTGATCTTAGAAGCCATGCTCTTAACTACTATTCTACATTTTCCCACTGGAATACACTTATTCTTTTATCTCACTATTTCTAGATCCTGTTCTATCAGTTCTACTGTTTAACTCTTTGCCTAGCAAGTCACATTTATGTTCTAAATTATAGATCTGAGAACAGAATATATTCACATTTTAGTGGAATTATATTTTGCATAAATATTTGACCTTATCTGCATCTCCATATACTTCATCACACTTTTAAATTATAAATCTAATTATTGCCCATATATTATTTAAATTATTAATCATCCAAAAGATTCATTAAAGTAATAGAATATCCCTTTTTAACTATTTTCATTCATTCACCAATTTATTCCACAAATTTATTTTATTAGTAGTAGGTTATAAACTCCTGGCAACTGATGTCTGTTCTCCAATCATATCTAAACCCAACCTGTTCTCTTGAAACCTAAGAAAGCCTATCTCAGAGTTGGCCACTTGACCTGGCAGATAAAACCTCATCAGAATCAATCAGGTTCTTACCTCTCTGTTCTATCATTTATTGCTAAATGTGAATTGTATTGTACCATGAGAAAAAAAGGCAGCATTATACACATTATATACACATACCATTTTCCTATATGTAATAGTTTTTCTCATTAAGAAATGAATAAAAAATAATACATAGTTCCCCTTATCTATCTTAAATAGTTTTTATTCAAATGCTCTTTTTTACCTGTCGAAAGTCATGTGGTTTGGGATTGACATATACACCCCTTGGATATTGTCCACTCTTCACAAACATTAACTTTGCTTTTTGTAAATCCAGATGTGGAAATGTAGTTATAAATTTAGGAGCTGTAACCTCCTTAGGATGATTCCTTATGCTGGGCAAGTGAAGCATTGTTTCTGGAAAACTGATTTTTTTCCTCCTTTTTTCTTCCTTAATTGGTTTTGATGATCTTTCTGGAATTCTCAAAGATGTATACAGTTTGTAGCTAAAATCAGGAGGCTTTATTTCCCATACATTAACTTTCATTTTACATTGTGGAGGTTGCAGAACACTTTTTTTCCATTTGGAGTTGAGATCCTGTCGTGAAGGATATTGCAGCCTCTTTGCAATATCCCTATCTCTTGTGCCTCTCTGAGACTCATGGTATATTATGTGGGGGGCATTTTCACATGGAGGAATCTGCAACACACATGGAAATAGGTGAAGCTTGTCACTATAGCAATGGTGTACTCAACATTTTCTCTCCAGGACAAGTTAATCTTTGAAAAATTTATGAAGCAGGAAAAAGCTCAGAAATGACAGGGAATATGTATGGAGGAGAAGGAAAAAAATATCATTGCTGCAAATATTTATTCAGCACCTTTGTCACAGCAGTCAGTGCACTAAGGGCTGGTAATTTTTTAAATGATTGATGTAAAATCCATGTCCTTAAGTAACCTACTTAAAAGACAAACATAAAAGCCAAAAATAAAACCTGTGTAATAGGATAGATATTGCAAGTATTATGAGAAGCAAGGAGATTGGTCAGCTAGCTTTATCAAGAAAATAGACATGATGTCAAAAGCTGTTATTTGGATCGATCTTGAGAGGTAAGTAGAAACATTCCAGGTGGTAAAGGAAGGCAATAACATTTGACCTAGAAGTAGAAAGTATGTGAAATTTGTCATTGCCTATTTCTAGGATATCTATGGCTGCCTAAACCATCATGAGTACATTGTAATTACTGCTATTGAAACTTATAGATGAGAATCATGCATTTGCTTTTTTGCTGACCAGCTAACCAGTGACATGGAAATCATTATTACACTTCTCAGATTTAATGACATTATCAATATGTTACTGGATGATTCAATGAATTCAGAATCTCCTTGGAAAGGCTAATTACCAATCAGAATATATTTGGTGAAGTAGAAATAGTACAACAATGCTGGTTCCTGGGAAATAAGGACCTGAGGTGAGGATGAATTTCCTTCTCTTGTGCTAGAATTTTGTGTTGTTTCATAATAAAATCAAAATAGAGGATCATCAAAATTCTAAATGTTAATTTTCAATATGCTAAAGTTGCAAGTGAAGGGAAACTACTATGAATGAAAGGAAACTACTCTTCATATATGTTGAAAATGTCCATTTTCAAAAATTTGTAATATTTTGCAGTGATGGATTGTTTTCCAAATACTCTTATAAATATTTTTATTTTATAAAGGGCTATGCCATATTGAGAGAAAAACAAGAAGCATGTAAAAGGAGCATAGCTTCTCTGTGAGGAGACAGTGAAAAATGATATGATAGGAAAAACTAGAAAAATTGGAGTTATAGTATTAAAAGTCTTTTATGCCACACTAAGAAGTTTTAAATTCATCCAAGAGGGAAAAGGGAACAAATAAAATATTTTGAACAGGAAAATGGTTAGCAAGTTATTTGTATTTCAGAAAGATCAGTGTGATAGCAGTATGGAGGGTGGCCTCAAAATAAAAAATGAAAGCTAAGCCAAAAAAAAAAAAAAAAGCCCAAACCCAACATAGCAACGATTTAGGTGACATGATAAAAAACCTAAACAAAGATGTAGCATGAAGATGAGAAAGGGAGGTTGTTCTTATGAGCTACTTAGCAAATCTAATATCTTGAGCTTTGTTTCACATATATTGCAGTTTATTAACCAAAATAAGGAATAAAGGAGAAGAAACAGTTTATGAAAGAAGGTCATATAATGGGTAGATTTCAATAAAATGTAAGCCCCATACTAATCAGAAAGAAAAAAATGACAGTAGATACACAAATGAAAAAGAGAAAGGAATCAAAGTTTATCACTACAGAAAACAACCAAGCCACAAAGATAAACAATGAGAAGGGAAGAAAGAAAAAATAATATATACAAAACAACCAGAAAACAATTAACAAAATCAGAGAGTATGTCTTCAAGTGTTAACAATAACTTTCAGGGTAAACAAGTTAATTTCCCCAATTAAAAAACGTAGATTGACTGAATGGATTAAAAAAGGACTCAATTATTTGCTACCTACAAGAACCTCACTTCACCTGTAAAGACACACATAGACTGAAAATGAAGGGATAGAAAATGATGTTCCATACAAATGGAAACCAAAGCTAAACAGAAGTAACTATACTTATTTCAGATAAAATAGACTTCAAATAAAAAAATGTAAAAAGAGACAAAGAAGGCCATTACATAATGATTAAGAAGTATATTAAGGAAGAAGATATAACAATAGCAAATATATGTGCATCCAGCACCCAAATATATAAAACAAATATTATTTGATCTAAAGGGAGAGATAGACAGCAATACAATAATAGTAAGGGACCTCAAAACTCCACTTTTAGAAATAAACAGAACTTCTAGACAAAATCCATGAAGAAGTATCAAAGTTAAACTGCATTCTAGAGCAAATAAACCTAACAGACGTTTACAGAACATTCCACCCAGTAACTAACAATGTATGTTCTTCTCATTCGCAAATGTAACCGTCTCCAGGATAGATCATAAGTTAGGCCACAAAGCAAGTCTAAACAAATTAAAAAGGATTAAAAACATAGAAAGTATCTTTTCTGACTACAGTGGAATAAAACTAGAAATCAATAACAGAAAGAACTTTGGAAACTATACAAATACATGGAAATTAAGCAACACGCTCTTGAATAACAAATGAGGCAAAGAAAAAATTTAAAAATTTATTGAAACAAATGAAAATGGAAATACAACACACCAAAACCTATGGGATACAGCAAAAGCAGTTCTAAGAAGGAAGTTTACAGCAATAAATATCCGCATCAATAAATTAGAAATATCTTGAATGTAGAGACAGCTTCAAGATGCTGACTAGAGGCATCGGGCACTTGCCTTCTCCAGACAGAAGAAACAAAACTTAACCAAATAGATAATCACATTTCAGATAAAACATCTAGTAGAGAACACCGGAGTCCAAAAGAGAAATATCTGAGACACAGAAGGGGAAGAAAGCAAGGGGTTAGCTTGGCCAAGATTGGCTGTGAGCCCATAGGGGCTCCTTTTTGCAGAGAAAGGGTAAGTGGGATACCCTCATTGGCTTACATCCTCACTGTGGACTGCTGCAATCCCAACCATTGGAGAGCTCCTGTACCCACATTAACCCTAAGACTAGTGTGGGTGTTCATCTGGAGACCCAATGAGGGCATTGTACCAGATAGAAAATGCACTGGGTCACACACACTCCTGAGATCTAAGTGGCTACAGCATGGCACCACTGTGAGAGCCTAGCCATCACCATTCTGCATCCTGCTCTGGGAACAACAGCTGTCCCATCTCCACATCCTGGGAACCTCTGTTTATATCCCCTGGTGTCCACCCAGAGGGCTACGGAGGCACAGCATTGGCTGAGCCC
The DNA here is from genome assembly GCF_000001405.40 of Homo sapiens. Taxonomy (NCBI): domain Eukaryota; kingdom Metazoa; phylum Chordata; class Mammalia; order Primates; family Hominidae; genus Homo; species Homo sapiens. The sequence continues at coordinate 12,519,770 of NC_000007.14, read as the reverse complement.
AAAGATGCTTGGGGTCCCCAGTACTTTAGTCCAACAGAGTACTACTCCCTGGGGAAAAAAAATGGTGCAGCACACCAAGGAGGTGGCCACTGGGCACAAAGGAAGCCAAATTACATGCTTTCCAGAGCTGATGAGCTTTCTTTCTGGGGCTTTGATAAGTGACTCCACCTCTAACTGTGTCACATATTGTACTTGGGTTCACAGTGAGAGAGTGGGATCTTTCCCTCTACATGTGCACAGTGCCATAGCAGTTGTTGCCACTGGGAGCCAAGGCAAGCGGGTCTGAGAGCTGTCTGACTGGAGCTGGAAGGAGTGACCACAACCCTGCTGGCAGAGTGGACTCTGTGCTAGGATTTATGTATAGAGAATGGGATCTCTTTCCTTCTCTGCATTTCACTGCAGCTGCAGCTGCTCTTGCTGCCACTAGGGGCTGGATGGGCAAGAGAGGGCTGCTTGTCTGGGGCTGTGAGTTGCAACCATGTCCCCATTAGCAGTGTGGCCTGTGTTAAAGCTCACTCACAGAGGGTGGGGTTCTTTCTCACTTCTGCATGGTGCTGTTGCAGCTGCTGCCTCCAAGAGCAAATAAGTCTGAGAGCTACATGTTTGGGTTGTGGGTGGTGACCCTGTCCCCCTGCAGTATGGTCATGTGCTCTGGCTACCAATAGAGGGTGGGATCCTCATCTCCATCTTCTGCACAGTGCTGAAGCCACTACTGCAGCAGGGAGCTGAAACAAGTGCAACCTAGAACTGGAGACTCCCTGTGCCAATCCAGCCCATACCAGCAGCACGGGTTCTGTACTCTAGTGCACATCCTCAAATCAGGCTCCTCACACTCACCACTGCAGTCACTGCTGCTGCCAGAGATTAAATATTCACTTCCCAGAGCCTGAGAGCTGCTTGTAGGAGACTGCTGATAGCAACCTACCCATACAAACAGCAGGGCCACTATGCTTTCTAGTACAAGCCCTAAGGTCAGGTATCCACACCAACCATCACAGACTGTCTCAACCTGCCTACTACAGCCTATCCCCCTGCACACCATCAGGCGCCTGAGGACAGACACTCCCAAATTGGCACCACACCTCCAAGCCTGAGCACACCACCCAAGGACTTGGTGATTATTCTATCTATTCCACCACCTATACCATCTATTTTATCCCCCTAGGAACCTGAAGATGGGCCCACTCACCTTGCTGCCAACAGCACAAACACACACTCACATGTGCCATCTAGGAGCTCGGGGAGGGGTCTGCTCAGCCAATCACAGCCACTGCCAACACCAGTGAGCACTGCTCAGGAATAAGACAGTCATCTTACCACTGCTACTGCCATGGCCCACACCATGCTGTCTGCACATGGGGCTGAAAACCAGTACACCCACCTGGCTCACCACTGCCATTACCAGCATCTGGGCAAGACATGTGGAGGCCTGATAATTGGCTCAACTGGACAACTAACACCAGTGCCAGCATACACCACCCAGGGGGCTAAAGGACAGGTATACTCAGCCTACTGCTGCAACCACTTGGGCCTGAAGACTGACCTACCTGCAATCCCTTTTCCCAGAAAATCTCCACCATAGCCTCCACTAATGACCCTAAGCCACTGAGGAAATCACAGATACCACTAACATTGTTTGTAGGCAAAGAAATCATATAGAGACTACACTACTGCACACATTCAGAATCAAAGCCAAATGGCCCCAACAAACATCATAGATAAATTTTTAGGAAAAAGCCCTAAACTCAAAAGAAAATTCAAAAAATTCAAAGAAGACATAGATGCATAGATATGTAGGGACACAGAAAACATGAAAGAGCAAGAAATATGACACCCCCAAAGGAATAAAATAATTCTCCAGCAACAGATCCCAATCAAAAAAATTTCACAAAATCCCAGAAAAAGAATTCAAAATACTGATTTTAAAGGAGCTCAGCAAGATACAGGAGAATGCTGAAAAACAATACAAAGAAATCAGAAAAAATAATTCAGGATATGAATGAGAAATTTACCAAAGAGAAAAATATGATAAAAAAGAGCAAATGGAAATTCTAGAACTGAAGAGTTCATTTAATGAACTACAAAATATATTTGAAAGCTCCAACAATAGATTAAGCAGAAGAAAGAATCTCAGAACTTGAAGACAGGTCTTTTGAAATAACCCAGTCAGACAAAAATGAAAAAACAAAGAATAAAAAAGAATGAATGAAGCATTCATAACATATGGGACACTATAAAGCAAATGATATATGAATTTTTGTTATCTCAGAAGGTGAGGAGAGGACAAAAGTGTTCAAAAACCTATTTAGCAGAATAATAGCTGAAAAGTTCCAAAGTCTAGCAAGAGATTTAGACATCATATTAATCTGTTTTCATGCTGCCGATAAAAACATACTTGAGACTGAGAAGAAAAAGAGGTTTAATTGGACTTACAGTTCCTCATGGCTGGGGAGGCCTCAGAATCATGGTGGGAGGTGAAAGGCACTTCTTACATGGCGGTGGCAAGAGAAAATGAGAAAGATGCAAAAGCGGACACCCCTGATAAAACCACCAGATCTTGTGAGACTTATTCACTACCACAAAAACAGTATCGGGGAAACTGCACCCATGATTCAAATTATCTTCCACCGAGTCCCTCCCATAACACATGGGAATTATGGGAGTACAATTCAAGATGAGATTTGGGTGGGGACACAGTTAAACTATGTCATTCCACCCCTGGCCCCTCCAAATCTCATGTCCTCACATTTCAAAACCAATCATGCCTTCCCAACAATCTCCCAAAGTCTTAACTCATTTCAGCATTAAACCCAAAAGTCTACAGTCCAAAGTCTCATCTGAGACAAGGCAACTCCCTTCCGCCTATGAGCCTGTAAAATCAAAAGCAAGCTAGTTACTTCCTTGATACAATGGGGGTACAGGTATTTGGTAAATACAGCAGTTCCAAATGGGAGAAAGTGGCCAAAACAAAGGGGTTACAGGGCCCATGCAAGTCTGAAATCCATCTGGGCAGTCAAATTTTAAAGCCCCAAAATGATCTCCTTTGACTCCAGGTCTCACATCCAGGTCATGCTGATGCAAGAGGTGGGTTCCCATGGTGTTAGGCAGCTCCTCCCCTGTGGCTTTGCAGGGTACAGCTTTCCTCCCAGCTGCTTTCACGGGCTGGCATTGAGTGTCTGTGGCTTTTCCAGGCACATGGTGCAAGCTGTCAGTGGATCTACCATTCTGGGATCTGGAGGATGGTATCACTCTTCTCATAGCTCTAGTAGGCCATGCCCCAGTGGGGACTCTGTGTGGGGCCTCCCACAGCACATTACCCTTCTGCACTGTCCTAGCAGAGGTTCTCCATGAGTGCCCCGCTCCTGCAGCAAACTTCTGCTTGGGCATTCATGCATTTTCACACATCTTCTGAAATCTAGGTGGAGGTTCCCAAACCCCAGTTCTTGACTTCTGTGCACTCGCAGGTTCAACACCATATGAAAGCTGCCAAGGCTTGGGGCTTGCACCCTCTGAAGCCATTGCCCAAGCTCTACATTGGCCCCTTACAGCCAGGGCTGGAGCATCTGGGACATAGGGCACCAAGTCCCTAGGCTGCACGTAGTACAGAGACCCTGGGCCTGGCCCACAAAACCATTTTCTCTTAGGTCTCTGGGCCTGTGATGGGAGGGTCTGCTGTGAAGACATCTGACATACCCTAGAGACATTTTCCCCATTCTCTTGGGAATTAACATTTGGCTCCTTGTTACTTATGTAAATTTCTGCAGCCAGGTTGAATTTCTCCTCAGAAAATGGGTTTTTCTTTTCTATCACATTGTCAGGCTGCAAATTTTCTGAACTTTTATGCTCTGCTTCCCTTATAAAACTGAATGCCTTTAACAGCATCGAAGTCACATCTTAAATGCTTGGCTGCTTAGAAATTTCTTCTGCCAGATACCCTAAATCTTCTCTCTAAAGTTCAAAATTCCACAAATCTCTAGGGCAGGAGCAAAATGCCACCCGTCTCTTTGCTAAAACAAAACAAGAGTCACCTTTGCTCCAGTTCCCAACAAGTTCCTCATCTCCATCTGAGACCACCTCAGTCTGGACCTTATTGTCCATATCACTATCAGGCTTTTGATCAAAGCCATTCAACAAGTCTCTAGGAATTTCCAAACTTTCACACATTTTCCTGCCTTCTTCGAAACCCTCCAAACCGTTCCAGCCTCTGCCTGTTACCCAATTCCAAAATTGTTTCCACATTTTCAGGTATCTTTTCAGCAACACCCCACTCTTCTGATACCAATTTAGTGTATTGGTCCATTTTCACACTGCTGATAAAGACATATCTGAGACTGGGAAGAAAATGAGGTTTAATTGGACTTACAGTTCCACATGGCTGGGGAGGCCTCAGAATTATGGTGGGAGGTGAAAGGCACTTTTTACATGGCAATGGCAAGAGAAAATGAGGAAGATGCAAAAGCAGAAACTCCTGATAAAACCATCATATCTCGTGAGACTTATTCACTATCACGAGAATAGTATGGGGGAAACTGCCTCTGTGATTCAAATTATCTCCCACTGGGTCCCTCACACAACACATGGGAATTATGGGAGTACAATTCAAGATGAGATTTGGGTGAGGACACAGCCAAACCATATTGACATGAAGACATAGTGTTAGCGAAGGCACAGTGATCTCCAAATGGAGACAGCACATTGTAGTTAAACTGTCTAAAGACAAGTTTATAAAAACAACAAGAGAAAAGCTTCTAGTTACCTATAAAGTTACCTCCATCAGACTAAGAGCAGATTTCTCATCAGAAACCTTACAGGAAAGGAAGGAATGGGATGATGTGTTCAGAGTGCTAAAAGAAAAAATCCTATCACCTATGGATACTATATCTAAGAAAATTATCCTTCATACAGGATAAATAAAGTCTTTCCCAGAGAAGCAAATTTTGAGGGAATTCATCATCACTAGACTGGTTCTACAAAAAATGCTCAAGGGAGTCCTAAACTTGAAAGGGAAAGGATCAGTCATCATCATGAAAACATAAGTAAGTGTAAAATCACTGGTAAAGCAAACACACAAACGAGGAAGAGAAAGGAGTCAAATAGTACCACAACAGAAAACTACAAGACCCTATGGGCAAATAATAAAAGAAAAAAGAACAAGTAAAGAATATATAAAACAGCCAGAAAACAATGAACAATATGACAGAAAGAAAACTTCAAAAATCAATAATAACCTTGAAAGTAAATGAATTAAAATCTCCACTTAAAAGATTTACACTGGCTGAACAGACACAAAAACATGATTCAACTATATTCTGCTTACAAGAAACTCAACTTATCTGTAAAGACATACATGGAAAATACAGGTATGGGAAAAGATATTCTATTAAAAAAAAAGCAAAGAAGAGTAGCTGTACTTATATCAGATAAAACAGACTAAGTTAAAAACAGTAAAAATAAAAGATAAAGAATATTGTTATATAATGGTAAAGGGGAATTAGTTCAGCAAGAGAACATAACAATTCTAGGTATATGTGCACCCAACACTGGAGCACCCAGATCTATAAAGCAAATTTTACTAAATCTAAAGAGAGACATAGATTCCAATATAATAATAGTGGGATACTTGAACACCCCACTCTGAGCATTAGACAGATCATGTGGACAGAAAATCAGTAAAGAAACATTGAATTTAAATGAACCTAACAGGCATTTACAGAACATTTTCTCCAACAACTACAGAATAGGCATTTTACTTTTTTTTTCTTTTTTCTTTTGAGACGGAGTCTCGCTCTGTTGCCCAGGCTGGAGTGCAGTGGCGTGATCTCAGCTCACTGCAAGCTCCGCCTCCTGGGTTTACACCATTCTCCTGCTTCAGCCTCCCTAGTAGCTGGGACTACAGGCACCCACCACCACGCCCAGCTAATTTTTTGTATTTTTAGTAGAGACGGGGTTTCACCGTGTAAGCCAGGATGGTCTCAATCTCCTGACGTCGTGATCCACCCGCCTCGGCCTCCCAAAGTGCTGGGATTACAGGCATGAGCCACCGCGCCCGGCCCAGAATAGGCATTCTTCTTATCAGCACTTGGAACAGTCTTCAAAATGGGCCACATGTTAAACCACAAAAGATGTCATAACAAATTTTAAAACTGAAGTTATATTAAGTATTTTCTCAACCACAGTGGAATAAAACTAGAAATAAATACCAGGGGAACTCCAAAAACCATACAAATACATGGAAACTAAACAAAATTCTACTGAACAACAAATGAGTCAAAGAAGAAAATTTTTTTAATTTAAAAATTTCTTGATACAAATGCAAATGAAAATACCACATACCAAAAGCTGTGGGATACAGCAAAAGAAGTACTTGACTGGAACTTTGTAGCACAAACAGCTACATAAAAACAAGAGCAACAACAGCAGCAACGACAACCAAAAAAACAAAGATTTTAAATAAACAACTTAAGGCTGTACCTGGAAGAACTAGAAAAGCAACAAGAAACCAAACCCAAAAATAGCAACAAAAAAAGAAAGAAGGAAAGAAAGAGAGAAAGACAGAAGAAAGAAAGAAAAAGAAAGAAAGAAAGAAAAAAGGTAAGAGCAGAACTAAATGAAATAAAAACTAAAAGAAATACAGAGAATCAATGAAATACAAGGCTGAGTTTTTGAAAAGATAGATAAAATCGATGAACCACTAGATAGAATAACCAAGAATAAAAAAGACTCTAAGAAACAAAATCAGAAATTAAAAAGGAGACTTACAACTGATGCCAGAGAAATATAAACGATCATCAGAGACTATTATTAACAACTATATGCATATAAAGTGAAAAACCAAGAGGAAATGGAAAAATTCCTGGAGGCATACAACCGACTAAAATTAAATCAGGAAGAATAGAAAACCTGAACAGACTAATAAGTAGTAATGTGGAATCTGTAATAAGAAGGCTCTCAGCAAAGAAAATACAAAGACTGATGGATTCACTGCTAAACTGTACTAAACATGTAAAGAACTAATACTAATCATCCTCAAACTATTCCAAAAAATTGAAGAAAACTAACTCATTCTACAAGATCAGCATTACTCTGATACAAAAGCCAGGAAAGGATACAAGAAAATAAGAAAACTACAGTAGTCCAATATTCCTGATGAACAGAGGTGCAAAAATCTGCAACAAAATGCTAGCAAATCAAATCCAACTGCACATCAAAAAGATATACACCATGATAAGGTGTGATTTATACCAGGGCTGAAAAGATGGTTCAACATGTGGAAGTCAGTAAACATAATACATCACATCAACAGAATGAAGGACAAAATTGATTTGATCATCTCAACAGATGCAGAAAAAGAATTTGATAAAATTCCACACCACTTTATGATAAAAACTCTCAATAAGCTAAGCATTGAAGGAACATATCTCAATATAATAAAAGCCATATATGACAAACCCACAGCTAACATGATACTAAATGGGGAAAAGCTGAAAGTCTCTTCTCTAAGAAGTGTAACAAGGCAAAAATACCCACTTTCACCACTATGATTCAACAAAATACTGGAAGTCTTAGCCAGAGAAATCACAAAGAAATAAAGCACATCTAAGTTGGAAAAGTGAAAGTCAAATTCTATTTTATATTTACATTTAGAAAAACCAAAAGTCTCCACTAAAAAAACTCTTAGAACTAATAAACAAATTCAGGCCAGGCGTGGTGGCTCACGCCTGTAATCCCAGCACTTTGGGAGGCCAAGGAGGGTGGATCATGAAGTCAGGAGATCGAGACCATCCTGGCTAACACGGTGAAACCCCGTCTCTACTGAAAATACAAAAAAAAAAAAAAAAAAAAAAAAAAAAAATTAGCCAGGTGTGGTGGTGGGCGCCTGTAGTCCCAGCTACTCGGGAGGCTGAGGCAGGAGAATGGTGTGAACCCGGGAAGCAGAGCTTGCAGTGAGCTGAGATCGTGCCACTGCACTCCAGCCTGGGCGACAGAGCAAGACTCCATCTTAAAAACAAAAAACAAAAAACAAAAACCCAAAAAAACCAAATTCAGTTACAAGACACAAAATAAACATACAAAATTAGTAGTGTTTCTATACACCAATAATGAAATAGCCAAAAAAGCAATCAAGAAGGCAATTTTATTTTCTATAGCTACAAAGAAATACCTAAGAATAAATTGAGCTAACGAGGTGAAAGATCTCTATAAGGAAAGCTACAAAACACTGATGAAAGAAATTGTAGATGACACAAATGGAAAAACATCCCATGCTTATGGATTAGAAGAATCAATATCATTAAAATGACCACACTAGCCAAAGCAATCTACAAAGTCAATGGAATCCCTATCATAATACCAATGACATTTTTCACAGAAATAGAAAAACAATCTTTCATAACCATAAAAGATCCCAAATTGCCAAAGTAATACTGAGCAAAAAGGACAAAGTTGTAAACATCACACTACCTATCTTCAAAACATATTACAAATCTAGAGTAATCAAAATAGCATGGTATTGGTATAAAAATTGATGCATATACCACAGGTACAGAATAGAGAATCCAGAAATAAACCCACATATTTACAGCTAACTTATCTTCCTCAAAGCCACCAAGAACCTACATTGGGGAACAAAAACCCTCTTCAATACATAGTTGGAAAACTGGATAACCACAGGCAGGAGAATGAAACTGGAACCCTATTTCTCACCATATGCAAAAATCAACTCCAGATGGATTAAAGACTTTAACATAAAACCTGAAATTATAAAACTACTACAAAAAACACAGGGAAAGCTCCTCAGGACATTGGTTTAGGCAAAGATTTTATGGCTAAAACCTCAAAAGCATAACTAACAAAAACAAAAATAGACAAATGGGACAATGTTCAACTAAAAGGCTCTGCACAGCAAAATAAACAAGAGTGATGGGATAATCTACAGAATAGAAGAGAATATGTGCAAACTAATCATCCAACAGAAAGCTAATATCCAACATATACAAGGAACTTAAACAACTCAGCAGCAAAAACCCCAAACAATCCTATTAAAAAGTGGACAAAGCACAAGAATAAACAGATCTCAAAAGAAGGCATACAAAAGACCAACAGATATATGAAAAATTGCTCTAAATCACTAATCACATAGAAATGCAAATCAAAACCACCACAGTTAGAATGGCTATTATCCAGGACAAAAAATAACATATGCTGGCAAGAGTATAGAAAAAAGGAAACTATGTATACACTGTTGGTGAGAATGTAAATTAGTACATTCTCACTACAGTATGGAGATTTCTCAAAAAAGTAAAAACAGAACTACCATAATATCCAGAAATCCCACTGTGGAATATTTTTCCAAAGGAAAAGAAGTTTGAGACAATCCTGGGCAACATGGTGAGACCCTGTCTCTTCAAAAAGTACAGAAATTAGCCAGGCATGGTGGCATGTGCCTGTCACCCCAGCTACTTGGGAGGCTGAGGTAGGAAGATCTCCTGAGTCTGGGGAGTTTGGGGCTGCAGTGAGCCATGATCCTGCCACTGCTGGATCGTGATCCAGCCTGGGTGACAGAGTAGGATCCTGTCTCAAGAAACCCCCCCACCCTCCCAAAATTAGCAAAGATATAAAATCAAGCTGTATCCACCAATTGAACACTGGATTAAAAAAAGTATATATACACATAATAGAATACCCGTCAACCATAAAATAAAGAATGAAATCCTGTCTTTTTTTTTTTTTTTTCCTTGAGATGGAGTTTTGGCCTTGTTGCCCAGGCTGGAGTGCAATGGCGTGGTCTCAGCTCACTGCAACCTCTGCCTCCCGGGTTCAAGTGATTCTCATGCCTCAGCCTCCAAAGTAGCTGGGATTACAGGCACCCGCCACCACGCCCGGCTAATTTTTGTCCTGATCTCAGGTGATCCACCTGCCTTGGCCTCCCAAAGTACTGGGATTACAGGCATGAGCCACTGCACCTGGCTGAAATCCTGATCTTTTGCAGTAACATGGATGGAGATAGAAGTCATTATGTTAAGCAAAATAAGCCGGCCACAGAAAGGCAAACACTGCATGTTCTCACTCATACGTGGGAGTTAAAAAACTTGATCACATGGACATAGAGAATAGAATGATGAATATCAGAGACTGGGAAGAGTGAGTTGGTGAGAGGGGGTTATGAGAATAAATTGGTTAATGGGTAAAAACATACTGTAGGATGGAAGAAATAAATTCTAATGTTTCATAGCAGATTAGGTTGACTATACTTAGCAACAATATTTAGTATATTTAATTAAAACAAGTTTACATGTTGACCCTTATGGGTTAATTAGAATAAATCTGTACAAGTTAAAATTGTATTAAGGACCAAATGGATAATGACCAGTACATACACAGGTTCTCTCAAAGCAGTAACTCCTAGTTCTATCGTAAGATCTTTCCAAAGCAAAAACCTAATTACTGAAATAATTCAAACATTCTAATCTGTAGAGAAAAGCAATTATCCTAGAGGGTCAAGCCATACAATGTCACACCTAAACATTAGTCTTAAGTCATTTTCCCACATTCATATAGTTCCAAACATGGTAAATATCCTACATATTGAAAAGTATTAAATGACCTAATATTCAAAATATCTTAGAAATACCATCCTTTAGTTCAGCAGTCCCCAATCTTTTTGGCACCAGTGAGTGATCTCGTGGGAGACAACTTTTCCACAGACTGAGGAAGGATGGGGAGATGGTTTCAGAATGATTCAAATGCATTACACTTACTGTGCACTTTATTTCTATTATTATTACATTGCAATGTATAATGAAATAATTATACAAGTCACCATAATGTAGAATTGGTGGGAGCCTTGAGCTTGTTTTCCTTCAACCAGACTGTCCCATCTGGGGGTGATGGGAGACAGTGACAGATCATCAGGCATTTGATTCTCATAAGGAGCACATGTGCAGTTCACAATAGGGTTCACGCTCCTATAAGACTCTAATGCCACCACTGATCTGACAGGAAGCAGAGCTCAGATGGTAATGTAAACAATGGGGAGTGGCTGTAAATACAGGTGAAGCTTTGCTCTCTGGCCCTCTGTTCACCTCCTGTTGTGTGGCCTGGTTTGGGTTGGAGGCCCCTGCTTTAGTTAACGTACCCTTAAATTTTGTGTTAACATTGGTTTCACCCTGATTTAGTCCATACATGCCAATATACAAACTATCAAAGTACATTGGAGCAACTCATGTTTGTATTTTTGCAATTCTTCCATGTGTATGATATAGAAATGAAAATAAAATTTTTCTTCTAATATAACCATGTTTTCAAATAGGTTAGTTTCCTTACATAGCATTTTCTCATATTTACCACATAAGCATCATGGACTGATTTTTTTTCCAATGAAATGTTATCTAGTGACTTCCTTAATGAGTACAACTTTTTAAAAAAAACTTAGAAACTTGAGCCATTTCTCAAAAATAAGCATATTTAGTTTTCAGTTTTAGTTACTTGTGGCTGCCTATAAAAGATCTCAAATGACTGAGCCCTAAAGCCAGATTCATTCCTATATATACTCAGCCTGTTGTCTGCAGGGAAGTCACAAGACTTTACCGAATGCCCTGTCACAAAACTAAATGACCCTCAAAAATTAACAAGAGTTTTATACTTAGAATTCTCAGTCAGTTCATGTCAGTTGGTTATCTTTTAATAGTTGTCATATAAAAAGGCTTACAGACCACACATTATTTCAAAGAAGCCGGAGAACGTAGCATGATGTAGACTGAGATTAAAATTAACTTTTGATAAAAGAAGAGAGTGAGTACTTTTTGTAACATTTTGTCTAACATAAAAATGCTTAACTTCCACAAAACCCACAAACTGAAAAGACGGTCTGGTAAATTAAAGATTTGTATAAACTATGCACAAAACCCATGGTATTTGGGAAAACTGGAAAGGTTTCTACAAGTAACAGTTTTAAATATATAACTTTGTTCTACTAGCAATTACACATAACATACATGCACTAATTAAAAATACACTACAACCTTGTCTGGAAATGCAGCTTAACATTTTCCAAATGGATTTTGCCCCACATTTACTATATAATGAGGCTGTTATTACTGCACAGGGACAGTTAGTGATACTGTCTAATTACCTTTAAACAAAGATATAGGGATTTTCTCCCTAAAAACAAGTTTTCAACATCAAAACCTACGCTTATAAAAATTTTAAAACTTTCAGCAGTCTAAATATGTCAAATGAAAACTTTACAAACTTCTCAAGTGCTCTCTACATTCCAGGTATGTCAACCTTGCTATCTAATGTAGAATCCATCAGAGATATTTCCGTCTCTCTCTCTCATCACTGGATGGCTTTTTCTTAGTGCTGGCCTCATGGCTGTCTGCTTTCTTCATTGCTCTCTCCATTGTGTTGTGGTTAATTACTGGCTTGTATCCATTCCTTTTCTAGCCTTTTTTTTTTTTTTTTTTTTGGTGGAGTCTCATTCTGTCACCAGGCTGGAGTGCAGTGGCACGATCTTGGCTCACTGCAACCTCCGCCTCCTGGGTTCAAGTGATTTCTCCTGCCTCAGACTCCCAAGTAGCTGGGACTACAGTTGTCTGCCACCATGCCCAGCTTTTTTTTTTTTTTTTGTATTTTTAGTAGAGACAGGGTTTCACCATGTTGGCCAGGATGATCTCGATCTCTTGACCTCCTGATCCGCCCGTCTCGGCCTCCCAAAGTGCTGGGATTACAGGGTGACACCGCGCCCGGCCCTTTTCTAGCTTTTTTTTGGCCCTTAATCTTTGGTTTTATTTGCTTCCTCATGTTGTCTTTGTTCAGCAAGAGATTTATTCAGCACTTTATGTGACTGTGGAATCTCCTTCACCAACCAAAAACATGTTCTTAAACTTGTTATACAACACTGTAGACTTTTCTACGATAACCTGACAAACTTGGAATTGCTGTATTTTTTCAGTGCAGTAGTCATCTCTGTCCCTTTTTATTTTATACTTTAAGTTCTAGGGTACATGTGCACAATGTGCAGGTTTGTTACATACGTATACATGTGCCATGTTGGTTTGCTGTACCTATCAACTCGACATTTACATTAGGTATTTCTCCTAATGCTATCCCTCCCCCAGCCTCCCACCCCATGACAGGCCCCAGCGTGTGATGTTCCCCACCCTGTGTCCATGTGTTCTCATTGTTGAACTCCCACGTATGAGTGAGAACATGCAGTGACTGGTTTTCTGTCCTTGTGATAGTTTGCTGAGAATGATGGTTTACACCTTCATCTATGTCCCTGCAAAGGACACGAACTCATCATTTTTTATGGCTGCATAGTATTTCATGGTGTATATGTGCCACATTTTCTCTATCCAGTCTATCACTGATGGACAAGTGGGTTGGTTCCAAGTCTTTGCATTGTGAATAGTGCCGTAATAAACATATGTGTGCATGTGTCTTTATAGTAGCATGATTTATAACCCTTTGGGTATATATCCAGTAATGGGATCACTGGGTCAAATGGTATTTCTAGCTCTAGATCCTTGAGGAATCGCCACGCTGTCTTCCACAATGGTTGAACTAATTTACACTCCCACCAACAGTGTAAAAGCATTCCTATTTTTCCACAACCTCTCCAGCATCTGTTGTTTCCTGACTTTTTAATGATCGCCATTCTAACTGGTGTGAGATGATATCTCATTGTGGTTTTGATAGTCATCTCTGTTTCTGAGCTTGTTGCATTGTGTTCTGAAATGAAGCAAATACATTCAAGGCCTCAATGTACTATGCCACATTTTAAAAGAAAATAAATTTGTTTCACTTCTCTATGATACCTTATTTTGTCCTTATATTATGAATTTATTATTACATATTATCCTTTTGAATAATATGTATGTAAAATTAAGCTTCTATTGTATATAAATCACAGAATCACATATGTCTTTGTAGTTCCCAGGCAGAAATAATCAACTGGAGAACTACTTGAATAACTGAAGACAATAATGAAATAGTGCACCATAGTTTTCCTTTTACATGGAAAAAACTAAAGATTAGAGAAATACAAAGCTATGAAATATATGACTGAGAAATTAAGGAAAAAATAAATTAGTAATATTCTCATTTAAAGATTTAATAGTAAATGTTGCTTTTATAAAACCTATAGGTTGTCCAAGATGTTGCACTGAAAATAAAAGAATGGCTTTATCTGCATTCAATAAGCAGAGTTATTCTCCACCTAAGATAGTATATTTATACCTCAAGGATCAGTTTAAATGCTGCCTCCAATGAAAGCATTTTCAAATCTCTGTATCAGGATTTATGTTTTCTTTTTCTGAATACAACAATGGAGTTCAAATCTTCATTTTAACTTGTACCTGGATAATTTATTTATGTCAACTCCTAATTAGATTATAAAATAATTAAGACAAGGATTTCTATCTCTACAAACTCTATGCATAGTTCTCCATGTTTTAGATTGAGCTGTGTGAAATTGTTATTCAACCATTTTCTACCTTACAAAAATGCAAATTTTATATATTTCAATCATAATAATTATGTTTGCCAAATTGTGAAAATTATATTCGCCTTTTGAAAACTGTATGTAAAACCCAAACATCTAATCATATTTTTTTCTAAATAAAGAAAAACTTCACCATAATAGTGACAATACAAAAAACATTCTTTTGAATTTCTTCCTCAAAGATTTTCTCCAGGAAAGTCACTAAATATTTTTGTTATCTGCTTTTAAATTTGCTAATAAAAAAAGGAATACATTTCTTTAGTTAGTAAATATATGCAAATTTAAAGTTCCTTTGCCTAGATATATGATTTGAATTTTATAACATTAAATTTGGGAGGTAGATAGGTAAAAAAATAGATACAGATACACTTGATACCTTAATAAGTTGTCAATATAAAAAAATGTAATATAATCTGCTATCGTGATCACAGTAAACTTTTTAGACCACATATTCATGCACATTTGTAAACTTGTATAAAGGGAAATTCAACACTGTCTTTTAGCAGGGCTTTCTCTTTCTTAATATACTTTTCATAATTTCTTATTTATTTATTATATCATGGATAAATGAATTGCTTTTCTCATAAGTGAATTCATCTTATATACCTTAACATATAAAACATATAGGCTCCAAAGAGCTAGTCAGTTTGACAAACAAGAAGAATTCAAAATAAAAACAAAAGGCAGGAGCATTCATTAGAAAACCAGTTACTTCACTTACCATTTGAAAGATAGCTTTTCATAAAAGTTTTAGAGTAATATATCTCAGCAAATCTTTTCTGTAAAGCCAAGAGAGACTAACAGTTTAACATTATCCTTTGCTTTACAAAAGAAGCTAAAGTATATTTAAGTTTTGCTCATCTGGGTTGCTAAGAAACCGAATTAATTTTCTACCAGACTCAAGTCAGAGTAGAAAAAGAAAAGTAAAACTAGGGCCTCTGGTTGTTGCCTAAAACATAGCAACAAAGCAATAACTCTCATGCTTTTATTTCCAAAGGTTGAAAATCAGCACAACAACAAGCTCAATACTCAGTAAATACACAGAAAGAGAGCACATGAATAATTGAACTCCAAATCAGTTTTACTAAGTCTTGAGAACTCACCTTTTGTAATTGCTTAGCAATCTGCTTTATAAAGTGATATGAGTTTGACATGTGATATATTATATGATTCTGAGAGGCAGTTTTCACCTTGGGCTTAAGAAGGTTGACTTAATTTCTTCAAAGGACATTTTTTAAAACAAATAAAGATTACAAGTTCTTTCTAATCTACGGCTCAACCTACAGATCTTAATTTTCTTTTTGTTTCCTTTTTCTTTTTTTCAGAAACACAGTCATGCTCTGTCGCCTAGGCTGGTCTCAAACACCTAGCTTCAAGCAATCCTTCCACCTCAGCCTCCCAAATTGATGGGATTACAGGTGTGAGCTACCACACTCAGCCTCTGCTACATAATTTATGTGGAAAATTCCTCCTTTTTATTAATCAAAACCTACACTCAATAGATACATATTTCTTGGTAAGTTAAAAAAACTTTTTAAAATAGAAAACTTCAAATATAATGGGTGCAGCACACCAACATGGCACATGTATACATGTGTAACAAACCTGCACGCTGTGCACATGTACCCTAAAACTTAAAGTATAATTAAAAAAAAAAAGAAAGAAAACTTCAAATATATACAAAAGTAGACATTGTGTAATGAATCCCCCATGTAACCATCATCCAGTTTAAAAAATTACCTTTTATGGCTAATCTTATTTCACACACTTGCCCCAAATATATCTCCAACTTTTTCCCCTTCCCATATTGTTTTGAAGCATCATAATATTTTATCAGTAATTATATCAGAATGTTACCCCCAAAAGATAAGAACACTTTTATTTTTAAAACATAAGCACCATTATGACATCTAAAAAATGAACATCAATTCATTGGTATTATTGAATATCCACAATTCAAGTTTCCAATTATCTCATAAATCCCATAAATATTTTTTTTCTTTTGTGTTTCCTTCTTTTATTTATTTGTTTATTATTATACTTTAAGTTTTAGGGTACATGTGCACATTGTGCAGCTTAGTTACATACATATACATGTGCCATGCTGGTGTGCTGCACCCACTAACTCGTCATCTAGCATTAGGTATATCTCCCAATGCTATCCCTCCCCCCTACCCCCACCCCACAACAGTCCCCAGAGTGTCATGTTCCCCTTCCTGTGTCCATGTGATCTCATTGTTCAATTCCCACCTATGAGTGAGAATATGCAGTGTTTGGTTTTTTGTTGTTGCGATAGTTTAGTGAGAATGATGACTTCCAATTTCATCCAGGTCCCTACAAAGGACATGAACTCATCATTTTTTATGGCTGCATAGTATTCCATGGTGTATATGTGCCACATTTTCTTAATCCAGTCTATCATTCTTGGACATTTGGGTTGGTTCCAAGTCTTTGCTATTGTGAATGATGCCGCAATAAACATACGTGTGCATGTGTCTTTATAGCAGCATGATTTATAGTCCTTTGGGTATATACCCAGTAATGGGATGGCTGGGTCAAATGGTATTTCCAGTTCTAGATCCCTGAGGAATCACCACACCAACTTCTACAATGGTTGAACTAGTTTACAGTCCCACCAACAATGTAAAAGTGTTCCTATTTCTCCACATCCTCTCCAGCACCTGTTGTTTCCTGACTTTTTAATGATTGCCATTCTAACTGGTGTGAGATGGTATCTCATTGTGGTTTTGATTTGCATTTCTCTGATGGCCAGTGACGGTGAGCATTTTTTCATGTGTTTTTTGGCTGCATAAATGTCTTCTTTTGAGAAGTGTCTGTTCATGTCCCTCACCCACTTTTTGATGGGGTTGTTTGTTTTTTTCTTGTAAATTTGTTTGAGTTCATTGTAGATTCTGGATATTAGCCCTTTGTCAGATGAGTAGGTTGCAAAAATTTTCTCCCATTTTGTAGGTTGCCTGTTCACTCTGATGGTAGTTTCTTTTGCTGTGCAGAAGCTCTTTAGTTTAATTAGATCCCATTTGTCAATTTTGGCTTTGGTTGCCATTGCTTTTGGTGTTTTAGACATGAAGTCCTTGCCCATGCCTATGTCCTGAATGGTAATGCCTAGGTTTTCTTCTAGGGTTTTTATGGTTTTAGGTCTAACGTTTAAGTCTTTAATCCATCTTGAATTGATTTTTGTATAAGGTGTAAGGAAGGGATCCAGTTTCAGCTTTCTACATATGGCTAGCCAGTTTTCCCAGCACCATTTATTAAATAGGGAATCCTTTCCCCATTGCTTGTTTTTCTCAGGTTTGTCAAAGATCAGATAGTTGTAGATATGCGGCGTTATTTCTGAGGGCTCTGTTCTGTTCCATTGATCTATATCTCTGTTTTGGTACCAGTACCATGCTGTTTTGGTTACTGTAGCCTTGTAGTATAGTTTGAAGTCAGGTAGTGTGATGCCTCCAGCTTTGTTCTTTTGGCTTAGGATTGACTTGGCAATGTGGGCTCTTTTTTGGTTCCATATGAACTTTAAAGTAGTTTTTTCCAATTCTGTGAATAAAGGCATTGGTAGCTTGATGGGGATGGCATTGAATCTGTAAATTACCTTGGGCAGTATGGCCATTTTCACGATATTGATTCTTCCTACCCATGAGCATGGAATGTTCTTCCATTTGTTTGTATCCTCTTTTATTTCCTTGAGCAGTGGTTTGTAGTTCTCCTTGAAGAGGTCCTTCACATCCCTTGTAAGTTGGATTCCTAGGTATTTTATTCTCTTTGAAGCAATTGTGAATGGGATTCCACTCATGATTTAGCTCTCTGTTTGTCTGTTGTTGGTGTATAGGAATGCTTGTGATTTTTGCACATTGATTTTGTATCCTGAGACTTTGCTGAAGTTGCTTATCAGCTTAAGGAGATTTTGGGCTGAGACAATGGGGTTTTCTAGATATACAATCATGTCATCTGCAAACAGGGACAATTTGATTTCCTCTTTTCCTAATTGAATACCCTTTATTTCCTTCTCCTGCCTAATTGCCCTGGCCAGAACTTCCAACACTATGTTGAATAGGAGTGGTGAGAGAGGACATCCCTGTCTTGTGCCAGTTTTCAAAGGGAATGCTTCCAGTTTTTGCCCATTCAGTATGATATTGGCTGTGGGTTTGTCATAGATAGCTCTTATTATTTTGAAATATGTCCCATCAATACCTAATTTATTGAGAGTTTTTAGCATGAAGTGTTGTTGAATTTTGTCAAAGGCCTTTTCTGCATCTATTGAGATAACCATGTGGTTTTTGTCTTTGGCTCTGTTTATATGCTGGATTACATTTATTGATTTGCGTATATTCAACCAGCCTTGCATCCCAGGGATGAAGCCCACTTGATCATGGTGGATAAGCTTTTTGATGTGCTGCTGGATTCAGTTTGCCAGTATTTTATTGAGGATTTTTGCATCAATGTTCATCAAGGCTATTGGTCTAAAATTCTCTTTTTTGGTTGTGTCTCTGCCCGGCTTTGGTATCAGAATGATGCTGGCCTCATAAAATGAGTTGGGGAGGATTCCCTCTTTTTCTATTGACTGGAATAGTTTCAGAAGGAATTGTACCAATTCCTCCTTGTACCTCTGGTAGAATTCGGCTGTGAATCCATCTGGTCCTGGACTCTTTTTGGTTGGTAAGCTATTGATTATTGCCACAATTTCAGATCCTGTTATTGGTCTATTCAGAGATTCAACTTCTTCCTGGTTTAGTCTTGGGAGAGTGTATGTGTCAAGGAATTTATCCATTTCTTCTAGATTTTCTAGTTTATTTGCGTAGAGGTGTTTGTAGTATTCTCTGATGGTAGTTTGTATTTCTGTGGGATTGGTGGTTATATCCCCTTTATCATTTTTTATTGCGTCTATTTGATTCTTCTCTCTTTTTTTCTTTACTAGTCTTGCTAGCGGTCTATCAATTTTGTTGATCATTTCAAAAAACAAGCTCCTGGATTCATTAATTTTTTGAAGGGTTTCTTGTGTCTCTATTTCCTTCAGTTCTGCCTGATTTTAGTTATTTCTTGCCTTCTGCTAGCTTTTGAATGTGTTTGCTCTTGCTTTTCTAGTTCTTTTAATTGTGATGTTAGGGTGTCAATTTTGGATCTTTCCTGCTTTCTCTTGTGGGCATTTAGTGCTATAAATTTCCCTCTACACACTGCTTTGAATGCGTCCCAGAGATTCTGGTATGTTGTGTCTTTGTTCTCGTTGGTTTCAAAGAACATGTTTATTTCTGCCTTCATTTCGTTATGTACCCAGTAGTCATTCAGGAGCAGGTTGTTCAGTTTCCATGTAGATGAGCGGTTTTGAGTGAGATTCTTAATACTGAGTTCTAGTTTGATTGCACTGTGGTCTGAGAGATAGTTTGTTATAATTTCTGTTCTTTTACATTTGTTGAGGAGAGCTTTACTTCCAAGTATGTGGTCAATTTTGGAATAGGTGTGGTGTGGTGCTGAAGAAAATGTATATTCTGTTGATTTGGGGTGGAGAGTTCTGTAGATGTCTATTAGGTCCACTTGGTGCAGAGCTGAGTTCAATTCCTGGGTATCCTTGTTGACTTTCTGTTTCCTTGATCTGTCTAATGTTGACAGTGGGGTGTTAAAGTCTCCCATTATTAATGTGTGGGAGTCTAAGTCTCTTTGTAGGTCACTCAGGACTTGCTTTATGAATCTGGGTGCTCCTGTATTGGGTGCATATATATTTAGGATAGTTAGCTCTTCTTGTTGAATTGATCCCTTTACCATTATGTAATGGCCTTCTTTGTCTCTTTTGATCTTTGTTGGTTTAAAGTCTGTTTTATCAGAGACTAGGATTGCAACCCCTGCCTTTTTTTGTTTTCCATTTGCTTGGTAGATCTTCCTCCATCCTTTTATTTTGAGCCTATGTGTGTCTCTGCACGTGAGTGTGCTGAATACAGCACACTGATGGGTCTTGACTCTTTATCCAATTTGCCAGTCTGTGTCTTTTAATTGGAGCATTTAGTCCATTTACATTTAAAGTTAATAGTGTTATGTGTGAATTTGATCCTGTCATTATGATGTTAGCTGGTGATTTTGCTCGTTAGTTGATGCAGTTTCTTCCTAGTCTCTATGGTTGTTACATTTTGGCATGATTTTGCAGTGGCTGGTACCGGTTGTTCCTTTCCATGTTTAGCGCTTCCTTCAGGAGCTCTTTTAGGGCAGGCCTGGTGGTGACAAAATCTCTCAGCATTTGCTTGTCTGTAAAGTGTTTTATTTCTCCTTCACTTATGAAGCTTAGTTTGGCTGGAAATGAAATTCTGGGTTGAAAATTCTTTTCTTTAAGAATGTTGAATATTGGCCCCCACTCTCTTCTGGCTTGTAGGGTTTCTGCCGAGAGATCCTCTGTTAGTCTGATGGGCTTCCCTTTGAGGGTAACCCGACCTTTCTCTCTGGCTGCCCTTAACATTTTTTCCTTCATTTCAACTTTGGTGAATCTGACAATTATGTGTCTTGGAGTTGCTCTTCTCGAGGAGTATCTTTGCGGCGTTCTCTGTATTTCCTGAATCTGAACGTTGGCCTGCCTTGCTAGATTGGGGAAATTCTCCTGGATAATATCCTGCAGAGTGTTTTCCAACTCGGTTCCATTCTCCTGGTCACTTTCAGGTACACCAATCAGACGTAGATTTGGTCTTTTCACATAGTCCCATATTTCTTGGAGGCTTTGCTCGTTTCTTTTTATTCTTTTTTCTCTAAACTTTCCTTCTCCCTTCATTTCATTGATTTCATCTTCCATTGCTGATACCCTTTCTTCCAGTTGATCGCATCGGCTCCTGAGGCTTCTGCATTCTTCACGTAGTTCTCGAGCCTTGGTTTTCAGCTCCATCAGCTCCTTTAAGCACTTCTCTGTATTGGTTATTCTAGTTATACATTCTTCTAAATTTTTTTCAAAGTTTTCAACTTCTTTGCCTTTGGTTTGAATGTCCACCCGTAGCTCAGAGTAATTTGATCGTCCGAAGCCTTCTTCTCTCAGCTCGTCAAAGTCATTCTCCATCCAGCTTTGTTCCGTTGCTGGTGAGGAGCTGCGTTCCTTTGGAGGAGGAGAGGCGCTCTGCTTTTTAGAGTTTCCAGTTTTTCTGTTCTGTTTTTTCCCCATCTTTGTGGTTTTATCTGCTTTTGGTCTTTGATGATGGTGATGTACAGATGGGTTTTTGGTGTGGATGTCCTTTCTGTTTGTTAGTTTTCCTTCTAACAGACAGGACCCTCAGCTGCAGGTCTGTTGGAGTACCCTGCAGTGTGAGGTGTCAGTGTGCCCCTGCTGGAGGGTGCCTCCCAGTTAGGCTGCTCAGGGGTCAGGGGTCAGGGACCCACTTGAGGAGGCAGTCTGCCCGTTCTCAGATCTCCAGCTGCGTGCTGGGAGAACCACTGCTCTCTTCAAAGCTGTCAGACAGGGGCATTTAAGTCTGCAGAGGTTACTGCTGTCTTTTTGTTTGTCTGTGCCCTGCCCCCAGAGGTGGAGCCTACAGAGGCAGGCAGGCCTCCTTGAGCTGTGGTGGGCTCCACCCAGTTCGAGCTTCCCAGCTGCTTTGTTTACCTAATCAAGCCTGGGCAATGGTGGGCGCCCCTCCCCCAGCCTCGCTGCCGCCTTGCAGTTTGATCTCAGACTGCTGTGCTAGCAATCAGCGAGACTCCGTGGGGTAGGACCCTCCGAGCCGGGTGCAGGGTATAATCTCATGGTGCACCGTTTTTTAAGCCCGTGGGAAAAGCGCAGTATTCGAGTGGGAGTGACCCGATTTTCCCGATTCTCCAGGTGCCGTCCGTCACCCCTTTCTTTGATTAGGAAAGGGAACTCCCTGACCCCTTGCGCTTCCCGAGTGAGGCAATGCCTCGCCCTGCTTCTGCTCGCGCACGGTGTGCGCACTCACTGACCTGTGCCCACTGTCTGGCACTCTCTAGTGAGATGAACCCGGTACCTTAGATGGAAATGCAGAAATCACCCGTCTTCTGCGTCGCTCAGGCTGGGAGCTGTAGACCGGAGCTGTTCCTATTCGGCCATCTTGGCTCCTCCCCCCGCCATAAATAATTTTGATTTTTTTCTTTACAGTTTATTTGATTCGGGCTAGTTACTTACTCTTCTTTGGTCCAAAATCTCCTATGACTTGGGTATTAACTTCTCTTCTAATATTTTTCTAACGGAATATAAAATTTCCTAGACAAAGATCCACAATGGCTGGAGTCTTTCTTTTAACTGTTCATTTTATTTAAAGTGAAAGTTTGCCACCAGGTGGCAGTAAATTACTTATAATTTTGTCCTAGTTTATAAACTAAGAAGCCAAAATTTTTTCTGTATTATTTTCCCTGATGTTCAATTTTAAGGTGTTTTTATTTCTAATGAAAACGGCAGTAAAGTTGAATTGACTAAATCTCTTATAGTTTTGGAAATAGAATTAACCTATCTTTATGCTATCTGATTTATGCCTCATTGTTTTTTGCATAGAGATACATATGGTTCTTTATCAAAAGCATATATACAAATACCTACTTATGTTTAGTTCACTGTTATTAGTTGTTTAGGGTACAAAAATAGATTATGACTCCAGATTTCAAGTAAATTATAAGTAATTGGCTAGAAAAGATACAAACCTATAAGAATACATCACGAGATAAGGTGCTAAATGCCAAGTGATTTGTCCTGACGGTTACTCTCATGAGAAATTAGTGAGAGGAAGGTCTCTGAAGCTTGAGAATGTCTCCAAAGATTTCTTAGAGCATCTGAGATCATTACTAACCCTTGATGACAGTAGAGTACTTAATAAAAGGGGAGAAGAAGGGAAAGGAGTTTGGATGGACGAACAGCATAAGCAACATTCTGGAATTTTCTTTAATGCTCTCATGAATGCATTCTTGGAATTTTCTAATATGTAAACATTATTTTGTGGCCAACTGACTTCAATTATATGTAGAACCATCCAAAAGTCTCCTCTCAGGTAGGTAATTCTGAATGTATATTTCTGAATTTCCAAATTAGAAATTTAGAGTTAGAAATTTTGAGTTTCTCAGCCAGACGAGGTGGCTCACGCCTGTATTCCCAGCACTTTGGGAGGCCGAGGGCGGCGGATCACGAGGTCAGGAGATCGAGACCATCCTGGCTAACACGGTGAAACCCCGTCTCTACTAAAAATACAAAAAATTAGCCAGGTGTGGTGGCGGGCACCTGTAGTTGCACCTACTCTGGAGGCTGAGGCAAGAGAATGGCGTGAACCCGGGAGGCAGAGCTTGCAGTGAGCCGAGATCACGCCACTGCAGTCTGGCTTGGGCGAAAGAGTGAGACTCCGTCTCAAAAAAAAAAAAAATTTTTTTTGAGTTTCTCAGCTCCACAAATTTGGGAACGCAACAAGTTGTGGCAAATGAAAACCTCAACACTCTGATTTCTGTATTTCTAGGCATTAAGGAACATGAACGCTTTTAAGTAAGTTATTTGAATTACATATGTTTGTATAAATGGAATAACTTAAAATTTACTGTGGTAATAATTTTTTCATAGAACAGATAATTGCAACTTGAAATATTCTATAAGTTAAAAAAGAAGTAAAATAGGCTTTAAATAGTGTTCCGAAAAAGAAAATAAAAACAAGAGACTTTCTTTACTTGGAAAAAATAAGTAATATCAACTAATGCCATAATGTAGCTAAACAGTCTAACTCCTATTTTGTCTCTTTCTCTTTCAAAGGGGATTTCCAAACTGGAAATAACCAACACAACTAGGTAAGAATTGAAGCTTAAGAAAGGTGAGAGGATAGTAAAATAACATATTTACATAAATTCAGGTTCATAAAGCCATATTAATTACATATCAGCACAATAAGACGACTGGCAGTGGGAAATGAGCTGGCACCCTTTGGAAACCTATTGGGAAGGTGAGGTGCTTTAAGACTGGACATTGGAGATTAGACATGCCTGAATTTAATCCTTGAAAGAGCTGTGCAAAACAGCCACTTTGTGGCCACCATCTGACATGTCACACAGTGTGGGATAGGGAATAGACTTTCATGAGTAACAAATTTACAGCGTAAGATGAGGAAAAAAAATGAGTGTGTTTGTGTGGTCTAATCCTTTTAATATCCCCCGGATGAATGACCAGGCCCAGGACACTCTGTTGGACACATGGTGGGTGAACATTTTGGGTGGTAAGAATTCCTCCTCTTGACATTCTCCTTTACCACAGAGCAAGCCTGAGAGCAATTTTATCAATGGGAGAAGACGGGCAGAACAGACTGACTAACAGGTTATCTGGGCACCATCTTTACTGAGTTTGGATGTCAACTGTGCGTGGAGGTGTTGTTTGGGAAAAGTTGTCTATCGGTACCTGGTGACTTTGGGGACCTGTGTGAAGTTGCATTCCTCTTTTTCAAGGGAAAGGGCTAACAGTTCAGTGGTAGGTTGAGTTTGAAAGCAGCCTTACCACTAGGAGGAGGTAGCAGCCCCAAATTCTAATTTTCTCAGTGATGAGGCAGCCAAAGGTGAGCTCTCAATGTCATTTTAGGACAGTCATGCTTATTGCACCACAGAACCTCAATAAATTCTAGAATATGTATTTCTAAACAGATGATCAGTTATTGCTGTAGGGAAATAGAGGTCAATTCACAGTGATTTGTTTACAAAGTAGGGCTATGCATGAGTAAAATACACCTAATAATGTACGATGCTATCATATTGTGCCTATAATAAATTTGGCTGCTTGTCAAGTCTGAGGTTGTCTGTGTCAGCACTTCTGATGTTCAGAGCTTGCTTGTTAATTTGTGTTTTTTCTCTCCCTTTTTTCTAAGGAGCCTCTTAAATTTATTATGGTTAGACACCTCCTTCTTCAATTATCTATGTTCAAGTCACAGAGATTAAAATATGCTCCCTTGACTAAGTGGGAGTGATACTTCAGAGAAGGAATTATCTTGTTCCATATTTACTTACCAGGTCAAGCATCCATCATGCACCATGTACACCACAGTGCACCACAGCTGAGACCAGTGTGGATCCCACCATCAGCAGCTTTTCCAAAGGACCCAGGCAAAATGGTCAATATTGCCTTCTCTCCTCACTTTTACCTCACCTTTCAGCCTCTTGGTCCCTTCCTCCACTCCCACCCTAAGATGCTTATAGTCTATTTGTCATCCTCCAGTGGTTTATAATTCCTGTTTCACTACCTTATTTAGCCTGTTGCCTTTTACAGCATTCCAAAATGCTCATTTATTCTCTTTTATGACTCATCCAATACTAACCCTATTTACCATTCTAAACTGAAGTAGACTGCACCTCTTTTTCTCAAGTACTAATGTAGAATTTCAGTTTTATTTGTCCAATTTCAAACACTAGGAAAGTTTAAGAAATAATCTTCGTGCCTTCCTGATAGTGGCAATTGAACATTTTTCTTGACATAGAACAATATTTGGTCTTAACTGATCTTTGCTGTGGACCAGGCACTGTTCTAGGTATTTTATACTTGCCAGCAAAATCTCACAGCAATCTTTGGGAGTAGTTACTTTTATTATCTCATTTTACAGATGAAGAAATGTAGAAAGATAGTCTAACAGCTTGCCCAAGATTATACATCTAATAAGCAGCTGGGTCAGGAGGCAAACCCATCCAGTTTGGCCTGAGGCCAGGTTCTTAATCTCTGTAGTACAGTGACTAAATCGGTTCTCAAAGTGTGGCCCCAGACCAAGAGCATGAGTATCATTGGAAACTCATAAGAAATGGTAATCCTTAGGCCCTATCTCAAACCTGCTGAGTCAGAAATTTTGGAGGTAGGGCCCAGCAATCAGTGTTTTCACAAGCCTTCCAGGGGATTCTGATGTCTGGTCAACTTTGAGAACCTCTCCCTCAGAGTATAGTCAGGGAATTGCTAATACAGATTCTAAATTTTATTTTATCTGTTAGCAAATCATTGCACACATTCCTACACATATTTAGTTTTTTTCCTCATCCCAGCAACTTTTAATCTACTTTAATAGCAATTTATTTACAATTAAAACACTACATATCCTTTATCTTCAAAAGCCAATAAGGATTTTATAGATTTATTTACTTACTTATTTGACAGGGTCTTGCTCTGCCGCCCAGGCTAGAGTGCAATAGCACAATCTCGGCTCACTCCAACCTCCTGGGATCAAGCAATTCTCTCACCTCAGTCCCCAAGTAGCTGGGATTACAGGCATGTGCCACCATGTCTGGCTAGTTTTTGTGTTTTTTGTAGAGATGGTTTTTTGCCATGTGACCCAGGCTGGTTTCAAACTCCTGGGCTCAAGTTATCCACCCACCTCGGCCTCCCAAAGTGCTGGGATTATAGGCATGAGCCACCGCACCAGTGTGGATTTTGTAGATTTAAACAGATATCCTAAGTGATGTCAGATACTGCAAAACACATTTTTCTTTCCTAAAGTAAGACTATTCAAGATCCTTAAAGAGCAGAATCAGTTCACATCTAGCAAGAGCTTTCAAGAGTAAACAGAGACCTGTTTTACTTTTGACTTCAAGGCATTTGATGCTGTCATACTCCAGACAAAATTCTTAGTTGGAAAGAAGTTAAGATACCTGTTGTTGAACATTTGTTCACTGGGATTTGGCTGTCAGCAACCTCCTCAACATTCTTTCTGGGAGTGAGTTTAGTACTCCTGAGAGTTGAAAAATATTTCTGTTTTGTAAAAAAATTGAGACTTTGGATTGTGTTTATGTATGCATATGCATGCCAACTCAATTTGCATCTTATGATCTACCAATCTGAAATCAAAAGCAATGTAAGACCATAACCAGTATTGCTGGGGACATTGCTATGACAGACAGTTTCAACATAAAATTTGAATCTCTTTGAAAAATACTTAAATGTCCTTAAAGCCAAATTATTTTATTGTTTCAATTCTTGAACTAAATCAAGATACTTTTTCTTGTTTAAAGCAGGTGCTTCCCAATGACTTGGGTAGAGAGATTAAAAGAACTACCTTGGTCAGCCAAATGAAGTCTTAGTATTTTTTTTATTTCTAAAATGTAACTATACTCCAGTGCAAGTATTGTTACTTAAATGTATTACCATCGCAGTAGTTTTAAGCATATAAGTCGTGAAAAAAAGACATATCCCACCCATCCAACATCAAAATTAGTGCCTCACTTGTCCTGGGGGTCAGACACTGGCAGAAAATTACCAGAGAGAGGGTGAGTCAGCATACAAAACCCAAGTAAGTCCATTGAATCTAAATCAAGGAAAGAAATAGTTCACATTGTTCTTCTTCTTCATAGTTTCTTTTTGAGGCAGAGAATTCTTCTAAATGATTGTTGGAACTTAGAATTACTCAAGATTATTATAACCGAGTGGCCAGAGGGATATGCTGCCATTATGTCCTTCAGCATAAAGAACTGGTGACTTCTGTAAGGTAAACTAAATGTCATATTTGTCATGAAGGCAGCAAAATAAGAAATAAAGAAGCAAAAGAATGTTATCACTGTTTTTAATGCATTTATATGGGCTTCTGTGTTGGCATTTCTAAAGCCATGAGATCCATGTTGCATCCGATGAGTGTGCTTGTAAAGAGAGATGAGTAACATAGAAGTGCACATCACAAATATGGCTAGAGGAAATATTAATGCCAAGTTGACAAGAAGCACTTCACTAATTTTCTTTATCTTTGTTTTACTCTTTTTTAGTGTGGTGTTTCTGAGGGCATCCTCTTCCACATTTTTAGCGTAATCTACCTCGACACACAGATGCAATGCTCACAGAGGCCAGAACGCTTCCCAGAAGCAGCCAAGGTATTAACTTTGGGATCCTGAATTTCAACCAAAGAAAACAGGACTGAGTGAAGCCTGAAATCTTGAGGCAGTAAAATACAGAAAGGCAAGTGGCAAACCATAGGCTGATAGAGCTAAAAAACATCCAAAGGAACATCATTGCTGCACCATAAATTATTTTGACGTAAAGGAGTGGAAAGAACACAGAGAAAAAACTTTGTACCATTAACACCATCTGCAGACCAAATCTAGACATCCCTATGCACATTAAGAGGATTTGAATTGGCATTAGCTTTCTATGTTTGATCAATTCATTACAGTTAACAATGATAAGAAATCCATTTACTGTGATCCCTGTGAAGAATTCTGCTGACATCATGATAATATGAAGAATAGCTGAAAAAGACAAGGCCATGTTTTCTAAGTAAGACAAGTCTTAGCTTTTCCTTGTAGATGGTCCTGAATACTTCCTCCAGATGATCTTGCAAATGGGAACATACAGCACCGAGAAGTCTCAACTTCTGCCAGCTTCTGTATCATGGGTAGAGCCTTACACTAGCTTTTCCTCTAAGGAAGAAAATCAGAGACTACTTTTTGAATCTGGTGCTCTTCAGATGAAACTGGAGCAATGCAAATCTGAAGATATGAATGATGGCTAGGTCTTCCAATTACATCCTGAGAAAAATTGCTCCCTTGGCACCATTCCATTCTCACTCTTGCTCAATTTTGAAAAAAAAAAATCTGATTGCAAGTATGTTTTGCTTTGGTTATTGATGTTTTGTTTTTGTCTTTTATTTTTTCCTAATGCTAAATGCTGCATCCTGAAGACAGATACTTATTTCCTATTACTGCCACAAATATCCAGTCTCAAAGATAGCTCTTTCCCCGGCACACTGTTTGACTTATAATAATTTCAAGACACTTTAATAAAATTTCCCCTCCCCATATCCTATCCCTACTAAAGGCAATTTCCTTTCCAGACTTGAAAATCAGTTCCTGGAATATAACTTTTTAATAAAAATCTTCCTTCCCCTGAAATATATCCTGTTTTCATGGCCTTCTTGATACAATGTTGACCTTATGAATAGCAAACCAGAGTTATAAAAGTAGTGCATAATTAATTCACATGATGACATCGTCCTGGGCTCTTGTTTACAAGCATCATTTCAAAAAGTAGATGATGTAAAAGCTATTAACTACCAGCAGAGGGCATAATTATCATGTTAAAGTGAGCATCATCCCTCTATTATGATTACAAGCAGGTAATAATACAACCTTGCTGAACTTCAGTTACATCAGAAGTAAAATGTAAATAGACCACTACTTTGTAGAATAAGATATGGTGCTCAAAGTGCTAAGTTCCTGGTTGGGTGATACTAACCACTCAAAAAATGTTAGCTATTAATATTATTAAATATCTGTCCTCATATTGTGCTTACCACAGCAAGAAAATAACCATTCTATATAGAAATATTTTCAAAAAAAGGCTAAATATAAGATTGTGATAGTATGGAAAATTTCAAAAATGAAAGAACTGGACTTACTACCCACTGTTTACACCAATCATGGCTTTTAGAGATCCCCTCAGGGTCTTCCATGAAATGTACATCCACTAGCTATTGAAAGCAAATGTCGATGCCACCTGTCACTTTCTCCTGCCAGCTTCATTACTTCCCCACCCATCTTCTACACATCACTGCTGTCCAAAATGCAGCAATATTGGTCCTATCCATATCTCTTCTAAAATTCTAGTTTTATGTCCTACATAGCAATTTTGCCTGTGGTTTTTTGTCTTGGCTTTTCTTCTTAATAAACCCTGACTTTGCCCAGCAAATAGTATTTGTCTTGCCCTCTAGCCTCCTGAAGGCATTCCCGCTTCTAGATACAGGTGAAGAAACTTCGGCTCCAATCCAAGCCCTAGACCAGTATCATGACTATGAGGTGAATGAAAAATAAGTGCGATCTGCATAGTTTATAACTTAATGTCCTAAGTTACCTCTCTGAGATTAGTTATATATATTAAGTGTTTACATTTAAAAGGATCTACTGAGTTTTCAAATACTGTAGACCTATACGGAATTCTGCTTCTTAGTTAAAATAAAAGTTCAATCAATCTCAGTTTTCCGTTTTTCAAAAATTCTGTTTCCGTTAATGTTTTATTATGAATGTGTTTCATTAAATAAACTTGCTGAGTTAAAGACACTTGAGCAAATGAGGGGAAACAATGCATATAAATAACCATCCAGATGATATATACATGCCAAATTATTAATAATGATGTAATGTGACTAAAAATCTTGAAATGTATACTGACTATTGGGGTAATCTTTTTCATGACAGATGTCCCTTGCTTTTTGTCTATACTGTTACAAGCCATTATGAAAATGATATTTTAATATGCCCCAATACTTCTTATTCTAGTGCAACAATAAGAATTCTTTTATATTGCAAATATCTTCACCATAATAGCCAGCATTTGGGTATTCCTTTTCTATGGTCTTTTCTTTCAAATTTCCAGGGCAAACTAGGGCAATAAAAGGTAGTCAAATATACGGAAACTCTTCTTAGCCAAAGCAAAAAACCAAAAAAAAAAAAACCAATCAAACCCCCTCCACACATATTGATTTAATTAAGATTAATTTCTCTGAAAATAATACTTTACAAGAAACATTTCATTGTTAAAATTGCACTTTCTTACAACAGCTACCTCAGAATGCATATATGGTATGAATATAACTTTTAAGCAATTCTTTTTGAATTTCACTTCTTAGATAAATACATAATTTATAAGCTATAATTTATCCTCATTGAATGTCCAAGGGCTTTATATTTTTTTTTTGCTGAGCTGTTTCAAACCACTCTGCCTTTGTCACATTCATAAAGGTGCAGCTGGCCATATGGGCTGTTGGCTAAATGATTCTGCAATGAGATTTGAATTTATCTAGAACTTGTTTCATTCTGAAATCCTGGATTCAGGCTCTCATTTGGCTCCCTATATACATCATTTAATTGAAGAAAAAGCTTGACTTTTCCAATAACTATTCTAAAAGTATAATTGACAGTAAGCTACAATTTAGTTAGTTTGTATTTGCATTTGTGATTTTCCTGTCATATGTGGACTGTTTTGCATTTGCCATGATTGAATCTCATTTTGGAAGCAGAGTTTTAATGAAGAGCTCTTTCTCAGATATAGGAAATTTAATGGTGAGTTGTACTGTCTTGAAGTTACTAATTCATAGTCTTGTTAGAGATTTGGGAAAGGCAGTGGCCAAATGAAGATAGATGGTTTTCAAATTAAGCAATGTTTGAAAGTTTTATGAAAATAACATATTTCTTTTTAAAGAAACATAATATCTATCAGGGGCACTGAATATTTATAATTCACTAAACTAAATTTCAGCTTAGTCACCTTCCAATCAATATGTATTCTTCTAAATGGTCACATGATACTTGAGAATTGGCATACTTCCAGTAGAGGGTTTCTTGTATTTTCTTTGAAAAATGTGGTAACAGAGTTTTCTGATTCTAAGACGATGGGATAATGTTTATAAATTAGTTGGCAAATTGGAATATACTTTAAATATTGATATTATGACCTGGTGTTTCCCATGCTAGAGAGCTGCTTGTTTGGTTCTTATTGGTTATAACTGCACAAGTATTTAAAAATTTTAAACAAGTACATTGACTTGTTCTACATGCCAGTGATGAGGCTAAGTACTTTATAGGTCACTTAAAGGAGACTGAATCTGTTTTCATATTTTCAGTTGAAAATACTTTTGTTTGCAATTTTTCCGCTACGCTGGCTTTGCTATTGAAGTTTTGCAGAGAGAATTGGCTTTAAAGACTCAATCCTTTATTGGTCCAAATTAATCTGCTGGATTCGTTTAATTCCTTGAAAAACACTCAAAATATTTTTTAGCCTTCTGTAAAGAACTAACCCAAAATTTCACTTACATTCTGTTTTGTTGTTATTATGTGGTCACAGGAAATAAATGGAGGAGTTTATATGGTTTAAAAAGACACCCTGGTCACACATTGGTTTACTCTCTCCTTGCTGAGATCAGACGCCAGGCACTGGAGAAACTGCATTTTGAAGGCCGTGAACATATCTTCATTTTTCTAAAGGATCAGTGTAGTCTTACTTTTATTTGAGTTTATTTCAGTATTCTAATAGGTTGTCTCTATGGATTTCAATCTCAAAGACAGACTTGTAAAATTTAATCCCTGACTTCTCTTCCCAAGTTTCTAGAATAACAACATTAAGTATCAGGTGGATGAAAAATCCAAATACAGTGATCATCAGGCTCATATTCCAAGCTGCCAAAATTATTCCCCAAATTATTTCACTTAATTTTTTGAATTTTCTGTTATTTGTAGAAAAAAGAGTTATCTCTGTTGCAGAGATAGGAAACTAGTCTTGAGATGTTAGGTAACTTACCTAAATTTAATCAGAAAATACATGACAGAAGCAGAAATGTTTTGATCTCCATATACACAAATGGATACTTCTTAGAGATATGTTAAATTGCACTCATGAAGTTAGTCTCTGAAAAAAAAGGAGGTGTATAAATTAAATTATAAAAATTATGGATACTTGATAATTACATTTTGATTTGACAATAATTTATCAGTTTATTTGCTGTAATATTAGAAAAGTAGTTTTATTCTTAAAATGTTCAAGAAATTATTCTACACACTACTATCTTTTAATTCTTACCACAAAATTACAATATTATCCGATATGCAGAACATAATGAAGTACACAGAATGAAGCTGAAGGAGAGTGCAAATACAAATTTGAATACAGGTGATGTGACTCTATCCAGAGCCCACAATGTTGACTAAAATGCTATTGTATGTTAGATTGAAATACTTTGCTCCATCAAAATAGTTTTAAAAATGTAAAATCAATGGAAAAAAATCACTGTTTAATGGCTTCAATCTTTTCCTTCCCTATATACAGAAATAGGAAAAACATAAATTTAATACATTGTCTAGGAGATTATTCATAAACTGATGAAACTATAAAATATTGACCTTGTATTGTTAGCATATCAGACTGCACCTAGATGCTATGGAACTAAGGCACCAAAGAGCAAATAAAACCTAATAGTAGATGTTCAATAAATATTGTTGAATGAATAGTGTGTGGAAAATGAGATACAACAAAATTCATATGAACTTACAGGACTCATATGAACTATAGAACTTTACATGGACTATATAACTTCTAGGACTCATACAAATTTTAATGCTAGATGGAATGGAGTTCTATTACACCATAACTATTCCTATTTAATAGAGAAAGCTATGTTGGAATCTTAAAGGTTAAGTAACTTATTCAAGATTATATCAGTCAATAGTGGCTGAACTTGTATAGGCCACTTTAATTTTCTGGGGTTACATTTCCTTCTAGGCAAAACAAATGTGTAGAAGAAAAACATGAAAATTTAGTTTTGATATTGTCAGCATTTTCAGAGTCATCTGCTAAAACCTTGAATCAGTGGAGATACCTTTTCATGAGCTATGTCTCACCTAGGAGAGGTAAAAAAGAGGATTTCGTGATTTAGTGATTTATCGGATCTATCTCCTTATGAGTCAATCCCATTCTCAACTCCTTCCAACCCAGCTGATAGCATAATGTCTACTGAAATTCAACTTTAGAGGCCCTATGACGTGCAAATTATAATTTGGATTTTAGGCAATTAGTGAATGATGGTGTAGAGAAAAGCTTAGTTTCAAAAATTCCCCATTCTCAACTCCTTCCAACCCAGCTGATAGCATAATGTCTACTGAAATTCAACTTTAGAGGCCCTATGACGTGCAAATTATAATTTGGATTTCAGGCAATTAGTGAATGATGGTGTAGAGAAAAGCTTAGTTTCAAAAATTCCCCATTCTCAACTCCTTCCAACCCAGCTGATAGCATAATGTCTACTGAAATTCAACTTTAGAGGCCCTATGACGTGCAAATTATAATTTGGATTTCAGGCAATTAGTGAATGATGGTGTAGAGAAAAGCTTAGTTTCAAAAATTCCCCATTCTCAACTCCTTCCAACCCAGCTGATAGCATAATGTCTACTGAAATTCAACTTTAGAGGCCCTATGACGTGCAAATTATAATTTGGATTTCAGGCAATTAGTGAATGATGGTGTAGAGAAAAGCTTAGTTTCAAAAATTCCCCATTCTCAACTCCTTCCAACCCAGCTGATAGCATAATGTCTACTGAAATTCAACTTTAGAGGCCCTATGACGTGCAAATTATAATTTGGATTTCAGGCAATTAGTGAATGATGGTGTAGAGAAAAGCTTAGTTTCAAAAATTCCCCATTCTCAACTCCTTCCAACCCAGCTGATAGCATAATGTCTACTGAAATTCAACTTTAGAGGCCCTATGACGTGCAAATTATAATTTGGATTTCAGGCAATTAGTGAATGATGGTGTAGAGAAAAGCTTAGTTTCAAAAATTCATCTTTATTATTCCTTTGGACCGCTTAATCCAAGAAAAAATTAAGAATGCAATACTTTTGAAAGTCACACAAAGACGCAAAATATAAATTAGTTGCTATGAGCTAATCGAAGAGGACAGATATTTACCTAAGATGATAGAACAGAGGCAAATTTGGGGGAGGAGCATTTAAATTAAAAAAAAAATTATTGCAACTGAGTAAATTCCAAGTAACATAAAAGAAGCAGACAAAAGTAGAAAGCTTTAGTCCAAAGAATCAGAAAAAAGTATTTAGAATGCTGTACTAATAAAAGTACAACGTGCTTTCTATTCTATTACACCTCCAACCTGAAATAGACTGTAGCCCACCTCCAGATGTATGACATGCCATGACAGCATGCATGTAATCACAAAAAGTGACTGATAGCAGAATATATGGTAACAGCATAATATATAAATGTATACGTTATACATTATACATACAAATTGCGACATTATAAGAAAATAACCAAATAGGGTAGAATTAAATAATATATTTTCTACTAAAATAATGACTACAGAGAGTTTATTTAAATTTTCTGTTGAATTTTCTGTTATTTGTAGAAAGAAGAGTTATCTCTGTTGCAGAGATAGAAAACTAGTCAAGATGTTAGGTAACTTATGTAAATTTAATCAGAAAGTACATGACAGAAGCAGAAATGTTTTGATCTGCATATACACAAATGAATACTTTTTAGATATGTTAAGTCACATTTCCTCCATAATTGAGCCATCTCATATTTTGAAATAGAAAAAGAATACAACTTCAAATCATGGTTCAGATCACACCTAAGAACAATCAATCATTTTAAAAATCATGAAGGGTTGCTATTACTTAGCCCAATTTGAAAAACAAATTGCTTCAAGAAGTTTGAATAAACATACAGTGTTTAAGTATTTTTATAGTTATCCGTCCCTTTTTCAGAGCTTATTTTCAATATCTATTTTTCAATATCCATTCCATATACAAAGTGGCCATATTCCAACATAAGATCGACCTTTACCTTTGTATTTCTTCAGGAGACACTCCAGACTCAAAATAATAAGAGAAACATACAGCAATTTGTTGAAGAAATGTATGTCTGCTGCCATTTCTGGTCCTCTCATGGAGATTTCTTTCTTTCTTTTTTTTTTTTTTTTTGAGATGGAGTTTTGCTCTTATTGCCCAGGCTAGAGTGCAGTGGCACAATCTTGGCTCACTGCAACCTCTGACTTCTGGTTTCAAGCAATTCTCCTGCCTCAGCCTCCCAAGTCGCTGGGATTACAGGCGCCCGCCACCGCGACCAGCTAATTTTTTTTTTTTTTTGTAGTTTTAGTAAAGACGAGGTTTCATCATGTTGTTCAGGCTGGTCTCGAACTGCTGACCTCATGATCCTCCCGCCTCAGGCTTCCAAAGGGCTGGGATTACAGGCGTGAGCCACCGCACCTGGCCTGAGATATTCTCAGAATGAAAGATTTGTAGCAGCTAGAAACCAATCAGCAATGAGTTAAAACATCAACACCGTTTATCTTCTTTAGCTTTAGTATGATAATTTGGACTGTGCAAAATATGAGATCGACTTCTGTTCTTTGTCTTTGAGAAATCCCAAAACCTTAATCAAAGTGTGTTTTTCCTTGTCTCAAATCTAACTGATGCTGTCTCGAGAAAACCTTTGTAGAAAATGAAAAGCTCCATGCCCAACTCTGGTGACATTTCAGAACTGATGAGTAGAAGTGGCAATATATGGAACTTTTAGTTCATATGATGATCCGTCCATCCACAAGTGGAGAAAAAGTGGTACCACCGTTCCTTGATTTTCATACAGATTTGGTCAAGTAGGCCTTCTGTGTTAAATCAGAGGGAAATTAATCAGGTTATGTTCACAGTACTGTGTATAAATTGATCATTTTCTCAAAAAGTATCCGCATACAAATAGCAGCATTTCTAAGAGACATATTTCTTGTGAATTGAAAATTTCAAGCTAGTATATATTTATGACTGTGACATCTAAAAACTAGTGAATAGAGTAGAAATGTTTCTTCTTCCAAGATGACATGCATAATACCTTTTAGTGTGTTGTGCATCAAAAAATGTGTACTTGGTACCTACCATTCTGCCCCTTGGTGATACAAGACAGATTCTAGGAAATAGACTCTGATTGACGTTCAAACATGAAGACTAGCTTTCTGGGACTGATATTTTTTTCATTTGGATTAGATGCAGGTTGCTTGTTTTAAACACATATATTCTGATTTTTCTAACATTTTATGGTTGCTGGTAATAGATAGAGGAAAATGAGTATAAATCTTGAGAATTTCCTTGAAGTGCTTCTGCTATAGCAGCTCTCTTCCAATTAAAAAGAGTATCTATCCATTCACCATAAACTTTGCATAATAATGTATTCATGATTGTTTGGTTATCTGTGATCATTTGAATAAATATCACTGAAATTATGAGTGCCCTGACTCTTTCTAGAAAGTTTAACAATATTTGTTAAAAAGATAGTGCAATATAACAATGGTTTCTATTACACAGATTCCTCTACAAAAGTGAAAGCAAAGTCTATGGCTTGTATCTCTTTCTCATTTATTTTTATTAATGATATAGTCATCAATATTTTAAATACCATCCCCGTGGTCACACCATAACTTTAAAAAAGTGTGCAACCAATCACCATATTTTGGATTAAGGTTAGCACCACACTAGCTTGGGAAATAAGCATCTAAACCTGGTTCTATCCTTTATGTATGCCAGCACAGCTAAAACATGTTTTATATTGGCACTAAAAAGGAAGAAAAACAATTCACGGCTATTTTTTTCCACCGTTAACCTCTTGAGAGTAAGACTGCTTTAAAAAAATTGCTTTATGATTGACATATAAGAAGTTGTAGATATTTAATGTATATAACTTGTAGTGTTTGGAGATAACTATATACCTTTAAAACCATCATCACTATCAATGCCATAAACTTACTTACGCATCACCTCCTAATATTTCCTCTCATTCCCTTTGTTTGTTTCTTTTTGTGGTTAGAGCACTTAATCTTAAGATCTACCCTCGTGGCAAATTTTTAAGTACGTGAAGTTTCACTTATGCAAAGATTTCTCTTTAAATGTCAACTCAGACTAAAGGAACCTAGAATAGTAGGCAAAGCATTACTTGAAAATGAAACCCTTTCTACTGTAAGCAGGCAATCAAGACTTGCATCATAATGGAGGAAATAAGATGCTTGGCTATAACTTTGGCTTTTATCAAATTAAAGGAGGGAGAGCAGAGGGAATATTTGCTTCCCTTGTGCATCTTATCTGAAAGTGGTGTCTTTACGAATTTGTAAAATCATACAAATTTTACAAATTGAAATTGTATTTATTAAGCCTATGTTTAAAAAATGGTAGAGGAAGCAGTTGGAAATGAAGAATATGAGACAAGTAGAACATTCCGGTCTAAAGTCTCCTTTTCTAGAGCATATTCCTCTACCAACTAGTGGCTTAGGCCTTGCCTATCCCAAGCTAATATTTTCTTCTGTCCCTCAAGAGCCTGGCAGCTCGTCTGACATTATTGGCCCACAGTTACTCCCTTGTATCTGGCTTCCTTTGTGACTCTCAGAGCCAGCATCTCTTAGTGCTTTCTAGAGTGCAACCAGATTCCCCTTTTCCCTCCTGTTTCCTTACCAGTCACTAGAATTGACAGATTACAAATAAATAAAACTTCTCAGTATTTTGGCATGGTTAAAAGCACATTTTTTATTTTCCTAGCTGTCAATATTCCCAATAAAAACTAAAAATTTCAGTCAAAGCTAATCATAGTTCTAAGAATGTAAGCCTTATAATTGCTAAATATTTTTGGATTAAATATAGATTAATAATAAATCTAGGTTTAGAATTACAGTGCATAGACTTTCAATACTTTTACATTGTTTTTATTTTGAAAAAGAAAACAATCGTCATAATCATTCTATACATATTTACTATAAAAGGAGTTCTATGTATATATGTCGTATATTAATAGACAACCGACTCATTGACATAACTTGTTTCTCTTTCCATTATAGAGTGAGCACTTTCTCATGGTGTAAAATATTCTACCAAAACCTTATTTCCAATAGGTAAGTACAATTTCATAATATAGTTATACAATAATTAGTTTAATATTTTAAATTTGTTAGACATTCAAGTTGTTTCCAATTTTCGATTATTTAATATTAAATAGAATATCTTTGCACACAAGTGTTTGACTGCATTTCTGATTATCTCCTTAGACTGGGATGGAGGAGTGAATCAGAGTACATAACTGTGTTTTAAGTTCAGGATATATACTGCCCCATTGTTTCAAGAGAAATTGTAACAGTTTATATCCCATCAGCAGAATATGAGCATTTCTGTTTTACTGTACATCTAGCAGCATTTTGTGTAATCTTTCAAAGACATTTTCGAATTTGATAGGGAAAATGACACTCAATTTAATTTCATTTGTGTTTTTATTGCAAACGTAGTTGAATTTTTTTAGATACATGTATTATCCACTGAAATTTTCTTTTTTGTGAATCATCTCTTTATATCTGCTGCCTGTTTTTTATTTTTAATTTTTTTTAGAGATGGGGTGGATTTCATTATGTTGCCCACGCTGGTCTTGAACTCCTGGCCTCAAGCAATCCTTCTGCTTCAGTTTATCAAAGCGCTGGGATTATAGGCATGGCCACCATGCCTGACTACTTCTTCTGGTCTTTATGCTTTTAACAGTTTCCAAATTAGAAAGGCAAACTTAATTCTTTATGTGTAACTAAATGTCACTGCATATTTATTTGGGGGAAGATAAACTTGTTACATTTTTTGTAAAAAGAAGTTCTAATAGGAATTCTTTAATTCAGCTATTATGCTTTGCTTTTTAATGTTGCAATACCTTTTAAAACACCATCTTCAGATGGAGCTCAGAATACATTGGAAATCACCTGGTGAATATGAGAGGTACAATTGGTAAAGTACTCTGCCAAAGGTTTCAGCTCCTAGTTGCTTATCTGGGCTACACTGATAAAGAGTATTGTAGACTGATGGTATAAACAGTGCTTCATCCAGTTATCTCATGTTTATTTCACTGTTTGTTAGTATCTCTATAGAGAATAGGATAAAAAAGAAGATGAAATATGATCAATTAATTTTACTCCTTGCACTATTGGTCCCCTGGGCAAGGAAATGTATTAAAGTTAGTATCTAAAATAAGGTTTCATGAATTATGTATAGATTTCATAAAATTTCTCTCACTTTAAATTGATAGTTTACAATAGCTAGGTGAAAAGAGTACATTTAATCAAATCTTTTTATAATGGAAGAGTTTTTTAAATTTATTTTGAATTAAAAATATATGTATACACACACACACACACACACACACACACACACACACACACACCCCTCTTATATAGGGTGCCTGTCTGTCTATAGTGTGTGTGTTATGACGGGTGAAGGAAGGATTTCTCCTGTAGAACTGCAAAGCTGAGACTCTAGATTCCAAGGAAAGACTCTCTTCTGGTACCAGTGTTATGAAAACCAGGCTGAGGGTCAGTCATAATGATAAAATCAAAATCTTGGAAGGAGCAGTGAAGTCATCTACATATGTATGAATAGAAATGGAGTGAGAAAAATATCTTATATGCAAAACAAAACATGTTACAAATCTATTTTTTAAAAATTTCCAAATACACTCTTGCTTTTCTGTAGACTTCATTAATAAGAAAGTACATTAATAAGAAATTCTTCTCTGTCTGAGCTTTTGAAACATCTCACATTAGGAACTTGCTGAATTAAGCCATCTGTATATCTTCCACTTGCTCCAGGCAGTGGATTTATGAATAACTTATAGAGAAATTATAAGATGCTTTAGCTATTTCAAGCGGTTTTAATTAGTCCTCTCACATAGCAGAGTTCGGAAAATTTTACAACATTAAAATCAATATTGTTCAACTTGATTAAAAAAATGCTATTTTTTCTCCCAATAAATTCACTTTGTAATAGTTTCGTCTTGGTTGAAGTGTATATATATTTTATGACAAGCAAATTTATCATTCAAACTTAAAAACAATCTCAAAATCACTGCTATTAATATTAAATATCGAAGACTTTCTATTATTTTTCTGTAGATGTTTCCGTATCCTATGAGATTAATTTTTAAGAACTTTCAATGTAGTCAATAACTTTTTTAAAAAGCTCTGATTTTTTAAAATCTTAAATGAATTATACCTTTCTCTGAAAGTGAGTAACTGATGAACAAAACCACTTGATAACAATGATATTACTAGCACAGAAGGGCCTGGAAGACCCAATGGGCTATTACGTTGTTCATAAACAAGAGGATTATTCTATCTTTGCATTCTGAACTCTGGATATTACAATTTAATTGCAAAAAATAATAATAATGGTGATATCAATAGAAGACATTTTTATTTTCTTAAGAAACTAAATATATTACAACTCGGGATCAAATACCAAACTACTTGGAAGCCAAATACAATCCCATGGGGAAAAAAATGAACACAGTGTCTTAGACATTTAAGAATACCAAATAGGCTGGGCACGATGGCCCACTCCTGTAATCTCAGCACTTTGGGAGGCTGAGGCAGGTGGATCACAAGGTCCGGAGATTGAGACCATTGTAGCTAACATGGTGAAACCCCATCTCTACTATAAATACAAAAAATTTGCCAGGCGTGGTGGCATGCACCTGTAGCCCCAGCTACTCGGGAGGCTGAGGCAGGAGAATTGCTTGAACCCAGGAGGTGGAGGTTGTAGTAAGCAGAGATCACCACTGCACTCCAGCCTGGGCGACAGAGCAAGACTCTGTCAAAAAAAAAAACAAAAAAACAAAACAGAACAAAAAAAAGAATAGCAAATAAAGCAAAACAAAAACAACAATGAAAATGTGAAGTGAAGTACCCTCCTAATTTAGGGAAATCAAAACACAACACAGAAGGTTTTCTGCATTAAAATGAATTTCTATAAGTCATATCTTAAAATGTGAAATCCTGACTGCATATATTGATCGTTTTTCAACTGTCAGTTTTTAACAAGGTAAATATCAGTGGATACGAAAAATTAATATGCCTAAAAGGAATGGCAAGCAAATTTTAAGAGCTTTTTAGAAAGTGAGTAACAGAGTGATGAAATGTTAAGTGGAAAAAATGAGTATGGACTATATGTATGAAGGCTCCTCTCTAGCAAATGACACACACACACCACAAGAACCAAAAAGCGTGCTTATTTCTCATATTTTAGAGTAGCCTATTATGTTAAGTTTAAAAAATGAGCCAACCATTCTGAGAGTTCCTTTTATCTACTTGGAACAGAAATTGCAATTCTTATTACAAATTATTTGAAACTAAGAGAAAAATATGTAGCCTTAGATTTTAGTAACTTTTCAGAAACACTAAGTGAAAGAGTTCTATTTCTTCATTCAAGTATTTTCTGTGATAGGTGACTGGTTCCCAGTGAAGGAAGAGGGAAATCTACCTTGGGTGAAACAAATAAAATTATGTATAAAGTTAACTCTTACCAATATAAAAAATTCATTTGAAGACAGACACTCAAGCATGGTTTCCTGGGGCACCCGTGCCTTTCTCAGATTCTAGTTTTTTGCTTTCTTGCACTCCAGCTGACAGTGATGCCAATTAGGTGCTGAGGCCTTGTGGGTCATAGTCCATTTGAGATTCTGATGAACACTATGAACTACCTTCCTTTAAAAGTATTTTTCTTCAAAGAAAATTATGGCTATAATTTCAGAGACTTCATAGAATCTGAGGTTGATTCATAAATTACAGAACCCAGATTAAGATCCTTGTCCTAAGAAAAAAAAAATGATATACGTATAAGGAGGTCGTAATAGCTAAATTTTAAAACAGCTGGAATTTTGACATATTGGGGCATGGTAATAAAAAGATCTTTGGTTATTTAATCTATGGGTTTTACCTTTTTAAAAATTATCAATGATAAATGAAAAACTCTTTTGGTCAGAACTACATTTACTTATTTTCAAGGTTAATTTTAATGTTAAATAAGTTTGTGAGACTTTAATTTAGTGTTAGTTGAATGAGATATGATCATAACATTTTCTTTGGTGTAGTCAAAGAAAGTCTTTGCTTTAAAAAGGAATCAAACTGGTTTTTTATCGAATAGCTTTTCAAGTCAATTTTTCCCAGAGTCAACCATGACCACTATTTGCTTAGAAAAAAACAGCTTTTTTGTGTCATATAATGTGAGTTCAGAACACAGATTTAAGTTCAATAAGCAGTTTGACACAGATAATGTAGTGTTCCCAAATACCCTTCAAGTGGTATTTGGACATTTTTTTTTTCTTTTTTGAGTAACAGGCTATTGATCTATTGAGATGAATTATCACTTAAACAAAAAGCAGAATGCCATGCCTATTTTGTGCATTTCTGTTTATATTCTCATTTTCATTTTTTGTATATATTTTATTTGAAATAAAACGCTCTAATAACAATGCTCTTTAGAATACTTTAAAGTGCTTAAATGACATATTTATAAAGATAAAATAGTGCACTATGGTTTTCAATTCTATTTGTTGAATCTTCATGTTGTTATAGAAGTAGTTTGTACATACAGAATGGCCCATATTTACATGGGGAGGCGTTGTAGTTCCTGCTGTGTGTGCTTACACATTAAACCATCATACTGTAGGTAAATGCAGGTTTTGTTCTATGTAAATAAGTGAGATGATGGGTCTTTTTACTAATCCATATTTACATGAACTGTCTGGATTTTTACTGGTGACAGTGAATCTAGTTAATAACCACAGTGCTCTACGGAAATGTACATTGAAAAGTTAAAAACATCCTATAAGCATCAGGGAACATCATTATATGTGAGTTAACTATTATTATTGTTTGCTTTTATGATGTAAACAAATGATCAACATTTAAAACCATGATTGAATTTATTAGTGCAATTCACTAAAATACTGAAATAGTCTTTGGCATGAAAAGACCTGCTCAGCTGGGTTAATATTCATGAAACTATGTAGATGCTTTGTGCCACACAGCTCTGTTGATGTCCAAGAAGAGTTATCAGTTGTGGGTGAGAGAGGAATTTCAGAGGATAAGTGTCTAGTAAAACAAAACATAGCTGTCTAGGCAGGGACGGATTTACCAGGAACCAATGAAGCACAAGCTTTGAGGCCTCTCACGACCTCCTACTGACCCCTTACTTCCAAGTCCTTGTAAGCGGCCTTAGGAATGCCTGTGAGTATTTGCTTTTGTAACATTCCCAAAAGTACAGTGTTTTGTATGAAATCAGTTAAGACAGTTCTCTCTTCACTTTAGTTTCTTTATACTTTTCTCATGGGAAGTACACTATGGTAACTGGAGTGATTGCAGTCATTTTTGAGATCTGGCTAAAAGGAAGCTGAGGATGCATTGAAATTGAGTGTACTATGATATATTTATGTGGTTCACAGTCTCTTCCATGGATATCCCTATGTCATTACTACTAGCTTTCACTATGTAGGAATGACTTTCTATTATCCTTTCCAATTTAGGTGGTGTCAGGTTTCAAGGATGTCAACATCCGAGTCAGAGGCATGTCACTGTATAACCACGCCCAACAGTATCAGACAGTGGAAACGTGTGTAATGATGAAAAACTTGGTCTTGAAATACACATACTCAAAAGCTAGTCTTTGGAAATTTGTCCAAATCCTACAGCTTATGAAAGAAGAAAACAGTAACCTTAAAAATTTACACAATAGCACT
Source organism: Homo sapiens (assembly GCF_000001405.40). Taxonomy (NCBI): domain Eukaryota; kingdom Metazoa; phylum Chordata; class Mammalia; order Primates; family Hominidae; genus Homo; species Homo sapiens. Next base: position 12,475,282 of record NC_000007.14, on the reverse strand, counting down.
AGTGATGAGCTATGAAACTTAAATACATTTTTCTAATTTAATTATTATTAATAAAAATTTTCTACCAACTATGCCAGGAGCCTGAATTTTATCTTCCTATTCTCTTTATAGAAAATGTTATAACACTTTTGTCATGTGAGGAGATACTCAAAAAGTATATAGCCAAAAAAATAGGAAAAAGTATTATAGAAATGTGTGAGGAAGTATTAATAAAAATACACATTTTGCTTGTATTTTGTATCATAGATGATATTTGTCAGCTTTTAAAATTATGCAATATGTTGTGATTTTTCTCTTTCTAAATAATATTGACTATTGTATCTGATTTCGTATGAATAATTTTGCATTCTTTTTTATAAGGAGGGTCCAGATAATCAAAGCTTCGGATCTCCTAAAACCTGGCTTTGCCTCTTACTTGAGAACTTTGCAAAGAAGAATGCTAGCCAGTGAATGTTCAGAGAGGAAGGAAGAAGAAGCTGTCCAATGACCTTTTTTCTTATGGCTTTCTAACTTGATTCTTGACACTGTCACCAAGGTCAGCCTGCAGGAGAATAGGTTTCTTTCTCTTTATTTAAGTTTCTACATCTCCCCTACAGAAGTGCATCAAAATTGTTTCAATCAGTTATCTTTATTGTAAGATTATTAGTAGTTTTAAAAGTATATATTCTTTTGGCATTCTTTATTTTTCTACATTGAAAAATATTGCTTTTATTTAAAAAAAATAAAGTTATTATTTTAAAGAACTTGGCTCAAACATGGACAAGGTGACAGTGGTTCCCATTAGCACAGTTCAAAAAGATTTTAAGTTTATATTGTTGCCTTTTTACTAAATGAGAGGCCCTAGAATTGCCTACATAATTAATTACAATTTTAGCTTTTAAATGCGTGAAAAAATAATAAGAAAGTGAACAAAAATCATATGATAGATGCTAAATATTCAAGCTTATAGAGCATCCGTTTCTGAGGGAAGCACAACCTATTCCTTAAAAGCTATTTATATCTTGCATCTCCCATCCTGTAGGAGTAATCTGTGGAGAGACATTTGATTGATTATCTCTGCAATCCTCCCCTCCCCACTTCCTTCTCTGGCCCCTCCTTGTCCACATGGGCCTCTGGAGAAACCAGCGAGGGATGACTGGGGATAAAGGCTCGTCTCTGGAGAGGGCTGCCAACCTCACCTTGTTCCAAGTCTCCACAAAACACAGCCAACCTTCCAGACACAAAAGAAGCACCTCCTGACTCCATCTCTTTTCCTTGTTTTCTCTCTTTACAAGCATATTGGTATTTTTTCACAGAGAGATAATTCCCATTCACTTCTAGGAAGAAAATTTCGCTCTCAAAACTGTTGGTGAGAGACCCCTTGAAGAGAGAACTTCTCTGTTCTTCTGGAGGAGATGATTTAGTAAGGCAGTGCTGGAGTTCAAACTGAGCCTCCACAGGCCTAACTTGCTTCACTTTTAAGCTTTTAGGAAGAGAGCTTTTAGAGAGAGAAAATTGCTTTCCAAAAGGGAACTCTAGAAAGAGGACGAATGAGCAGGGCTGAAACTTTGAGAGAAAATGGAAGGAGTTGGAAGATGGAGGGAGGAACCAAAGTAACTAATAAGAATTTCTGGGGCTGGGTGCAGTGGCTCACACTTGAAATCTCAGCACTTTGGGAGGCTGAAGTCGTGGATCACATGAGTCCAGGAATTCAAGAGCAGCCTGGGCAATATGGCAAGACCCCGTCTCTACAAAAAATACAAAAATTAGCTGGGCATGGGGGTGTCTGTAGTCCCAGCTACTCGGGAGGCTGAAGCAGGAAGATCCCTGGAGCCCAGAGGTTGAGGCTGCAGTGGGCCGTAATCACGCCACTGCGCTCCAGCCTGGACGGCCAAGTGAGACTATCTCAAAAAAAAAAAAAGAATTTATTAATTTCTTCTTATGAAATATACAATATAGGCCCCCTCTTTTTGCTCCTGTATGAGAATGTGAAGAAAAGTCTTTGGCTTGATGTGCAGTCCTGATTCCTCTGGATTCCTTTTGGGAGAGAGGTTAGAACAAGAACTGAGGCCTGGTTCCAGTAAGTGCCTGGATGCAGGACAGCAGGGTAGCTGACATCCTGGATATGCAAAGTAACAGCATGGAGAATAAAGGAGTGAGGAAAATTAATAAAACATGGAATATTTTAATAAGACTGCAAGGAAGCATACAGAGACACATGGAAAATACAAAGATAGCTGTTTTATTGTAGCATGGACATGGACTTTATGGCTGGCAATTTGGGCGTTTCAAGCTCTTTTTGTTGTTTACTTGTGGTACATGTTTGACAAGTAATTTCCATTTTCCAAGTCATTTTTTTCATCTGTAAAATGAGACTAATTCAAATAACTTCCCTCGATAGGTTTCTATTTTTGGTGAGAATTGTTTTTTTCTTTTCATGTAGTATATATTTTATTAGCTTGTACTAATACATTCTCATATTACAAAGTCAATTTAGTGGAAGAATCTTCCTTCTGATATTTGATTCATGTGAAATAACACAAACAGAACTATACATTCAAAAAAATTCTCATTTAGATAACAAAAAAAAGACAAGTTAAACAACAAAAATCTTTTCCTTTCTCACAGGTGGACATTGAAGTGGACCTAATTCGGTTTTCCTTTTAAAAGCCCCCACAAACAAAAGTAGTTTGAAACCTATTTAAAATGAATAAAAAATTGGTTTACTAAATTACTGGTCTCCAGCACCATTTTCTGTTTTCGGTTGTTTGGATGCAGGTTATTCTTTGTCTGTTTCTTCTCTTCCTCTTTTTCATAGGTCCAGTTGAACCATTTTCATCATGTGCATCATCACTAGCAAACTTTGTTTTCTTGTCCTGAAATTGTACTTTTCCTTTACCAGACCCAGGCTGGGCAGCTTTACTACCCTTTCTTTTTCCTTTAAATCTGCAACCTTTTGACTTCCATTTGTTTAGGGATTCTTGTTGGTCTTCTGTTATTTTTTTAAGTGCTTCTTTTTCCAGCTCTCCTTCTAGTACTTCCCAAGTCACTTCTTTGCTCCTTAATTGTAGGTTACCATTATTTGCATCTTTGGCTTTACCCAATGTTTCCTTGGCTTTTTCTTTAAATAGAATTATCCCCTCTTTTGCTCCTCTGATGAAGTCTATCCATTTTATTTCACCATGATTTGAGAAGAGGATGTGTAAATCTTCTTTACAGGTCTGATCATCTAAATCACCCAAAAATTTCAGCAAGCATCCAATCTTTTCTTCTAGAGATTTCATTTCAGCATCTTCTTCTTTTGTTTTGCTTCTTGCTCTTGTTTAGCTCTTAATTTAGCTTCCACTTTATTTTGTTTTCTTTCTTCATTTTTTTTTTTTTTTTTGGCAAAGCAATCGTTCTTGAAAAGTATTAGCAGGTCTGTGTCTTTGTACTTCTGGCCAGGGGTCTCTACAAACTTCTTAGCAGATTCAATGCTACCAAACACAACAAAAATTGATCCCTTAAATGCTTTATGCAATATTCTTCTCATCTGAATATTTAGTACTTGACCTTTATCTTCTAACCATTCTTTCATGCATCAAGAGTTGCATCAGTAGGGAAGCCTTTAATATAAACAGATCTGTTTTTTACATCATTTTAATACTCATCAGTCACTTCAGGTAGGGATTTGCTTGGAGACCTTCTGATTTTAGTTTTATCTTCACTGATTTCCATGACTTCTGCCTTGGATTTGCTCAATGCTTCCACAATTACGTTAAAGTCTGTTGTTAGACGGTTCAACCTGTTGAATTTTATCATTATCTCCAAAGATACCCAGCCTTCATCCAGTTTTATCTTTTCCTTTAAAAACTTGTCCCGTGGCAACCTGAGGTCTCCAAGATAATACTCAATTTGATGACAGATTTTGGCCTCCAGGGCAGCCATCTTTTCATTATCACCATTTTCAGCATTGTGACTATAGAGATGGACACAAGCCTTCGGTGAGACTACAACATGGTGGAGGTAAAAAACCGAAAGGACGCAATGAGGATGGGGGCAGCCACAGTCCCGTCTCAAAGTGACCGCTGAACTGCCTGGGCAGCAGCCACGTGCGGGGAACCCCAGGCTGCCGCATTTCTCGTGGGGGCAGCCTGGCCACCGCCCGCTCCCGTTCCGCTACGCCCCCTCTGGCTGCGGCCCACGCGGCGCTCAGCCTGAACCTGAGGAAGGCGAGGGGCGAACGGACGCCGCGAGAGGCAGTGAGGAACAGCAACACGCCGTCGCGCACCAGCAAAGCGGGCCCTTTTGTAGCTTCTCTTTGGTGAGAATATTTAACAAATGGTATGAAAGTGCAATATTGGAATGTTTGAATCCTTATTTATATATGGCCACTGTGGTCTCTGATACAAGATAAGGTAACGCTTATTTATATTGTAATTACTGCAGCTCTAAACCCCAGTAGAAATCAGTCCTAAGCATTCTCCTAGCTTTTTCAGTGTTCCAGGCTGTCGGCTCATGTTTAATCCAGAGCAATGCCCATAGCTATTCTTCTAGAGACACTATTGCTGATGGCCTCATAGGCCTTGGTATAGGGAGGACTCCGTGTGCTCATATTTTTCACAGAACAGCTGAGAAGGGGCTGTGACTTTTAACATCTGGAATTTGTTGCAGTGTTAGATTAAAACAGAAACACAACTTACAGGGTGAATTCCACCTGCCTCAGTCTTCAGAGGCAGGCTGTCTGCCTAGCTATTCACCATTCTCTGAGACAGAAGCCAGTTCACCCACCACTGAGTGCTCCAGGCATTTTCTCACCTCAGAGTCTAGGCCCAATTCCCTCCTATTCTCCAAGGATAAAGCGAACGCTTATCTCTCAAGGCCAAAACCTTGCTCATTTCCCATCTCACATTTAAATTCTTAATGGGTTTCTTTCTCTTTTTTTTGAGATGGAGTCTCACTTTGTCGCCCAGGCTGGAGTGCAGTGGTGCCATCTCGGCTCACTGCAACCTCTGCCTCTCAGTTTCAAGCGATTCTCCTGTCTCAGCCTCCCAAGTAGCTGGGATTACAGGCGTGCGCCACCACACCCAGCTAATTTTCATATTTTTAGTAGAGACGGGGTTTCGCCATGTTGGCCAGGCTGGTCTCAAACTCAAGTGATGCGCCTGCCTCGGCCTCCCAAAGTGGTGGGATTACAAGCATGAGCCACCACGTCCGGCCCTTACTGGTTTTCTTAACAGTAAAAACACATGCCTTTTCTTCAGGTGGGTACCTCTACCACCACCACAGGGAAGAATCTGCTCTGTGACCCAGAGAAGACTGTCTAAGTATATGGCGATACATTTGACTAAGCCTGGCTTATGTGTACTCAAATACATACACACACATACGCACAATGATTAATGGAGCACGCCCAGTCCAGCCTACATTACCTACCGTTTCAACTCCAGTTCTGCTGCTGCTGGACTATTTTTCCTCCAGTCTAGGCTGGAGGCATCTCTAAGGTTATCTCCTGGGGAAAAAGGATTATTGTTTGCATATGGGCTGTTCTTGCATTTGATTTAACATTTGTCTCTTGGTCTGAAACATCTGCTTTGGAACGTTTCACTGCAGTATGATTCCCCAAAAACAATGAGGAAGTAGTAACTCCTACTAACAGGCCCTTCCATAGGGGTCCTTCCCAGAATAAACACAAAGAACTGCCTGCATTTCAGGGTGGTAGATCTGCTAGTATTTTCGCCAAAAGGCAGTTTTTTCAAATACCAAAATAAAAAAGGTTGAGTGACCTTATATGAAGTGACCTTATATATTTGTCATATGACCCTTAGTGGCTATCATTAAATACAAAAGAGAGAGAATGACATACAGTGCATTTAATACATATAACAAAGATGTTATTTAACTGAATGTGTATCTTAGAATTTGAATAACTGTTTCTTATGAGCTGTTTTTCACATTATCAACAGATGTTTGAAAGTCAAATCTATTGACTTTTTCGGTGCATATGTAGTAAACAATATACGCTATACTAAAATTTATTTCTGTTAGCTGAATTAGCATGCATTGTCCTTAAACATGTCTAGACCAAAATCTAAGTCAAAAATTTTAAGCCCAAAATGATTCTGATAAATAATTTTCTTCTTTGAAAATAGTCAGAAATTTTACTACCAAATACACTTGCCAATGGCTGAGTAGGGTTTTCTGCTTGTAATAATATTTTAAGCCATTTTAAACAAATTATAATCAAGCTCTAACAGTCTTCAAACTAAGTACCAAACCATAACCATTAAATTACAAACATGAAATAGCTCTTCTTAATCTTAATAATGACAAATAAAACATTTTATTATTTTCTTTGTATAAATTTAAGGGATACAAGTGCAGTTCTGTAATATGGATATATTATATGTTAGTGAAGTCTGGGCTTTTAGGTAACCATCACTCAATTAGTGAACATTGTAGCCATTAAGTAATTTCTCACACCTCATCCTCCTGACCAACCCATCTTTCTGAGCCTCCAGCGACTATTATTCCACACTCTATGCCCATGTGTACACTCTAGTCCCCACTTATAAGTGCGAATATGTGGAATTTGTTTTTCTGCTTCTGAGTTGTTTCATTTAAGATAATGGCTTCCAGTTCCATCCATGTTGCTGCAGAAGACATGATTGCATTCTTTTGTGTGGCTGAATAGCATTCCATTTATATGTTTACCACATTTTCTTTATCCAGTTATCTGTTGACAGACACTTTGGATTCCCACAGCACTTCTTACATTGGTTTGGAAAACTTGGCCATCTTCCTGATTAGACTCCTGGCTTTGTTTTATGTTTCCTTCTCTCAGTTTTCTTTTGGCCTAATTCTTTTCCTTCAAAAAAAATTTTATATTAATTTGTTTTATTACTTCAGAAGCAATATATAAACACCTATATGCATTCTAACAATTTGAAGTCTATGCAAACATTAAAATGCCCTTTCCTACTCCACTTCCAACTCCTTAAGATACCAACTATAGCAATTTGATAAGTATTCCTATAGACATTTTTCTAAGCTAATACCATCATTTAGAATGACAGACATGAATATTTTAATTTACAGTTGCAAACAAATAAATATTTATATAATGCACTGTGAAACTTCCTTTCTCACTTGGTATATGATGGACTTTTCTACAAATTAATACATATTAGATCCAATTTACTTTATTGCAGAATATTCCACAGTATAACTTTCACTATAAGTGTTTTAAAATATCTTATGAAAATTACATGAGATAATGCTAATAAATATATTTGCACATCACGTGACACAAAGCAAGTTATCAGTAATTTTGGCTGTTATTCATAGTAATTATGAGGGATAAGATTCCAAATTTTTACCCTTAAAATACCTCTAAATTCTCTTTCCTATTTTACTCCTAAAATACCTCTAAAATCTATTTCCTATTGTGGAACTTAATTTTATTGGAGAAGTTTATGAATATTCTCACATACTTAAATGTAAGAAAGATATCATATGAGCTCTTTTAGAGGAACAGGGTAAGAAACAGCACAGACATTTTCACTGTGGAAACGTTTATAGATTTTTTTCTATTAAATTAGTGTCATTTATGACTTTGGGTTTTAGTTTGTCTTACCATATTATAGTGGTTCTAAAACATAGACCAAAGTTCTTCGACTCTCTTTCTATTGAGAGGAGGAAGTCTTTGTACCCACCTCTGAATCTGGGCAAGTTTATGACCAGTTCCACCAGTAGAATACAGTAAAAGAAATACTATGTGATTTCAGAAAAGGCCATTTGGCTTCCACATCGTTCTCTCGGGATGCTTGCTCTGGGATGAGCCACCCACCCACTAAGAAGTCTGCTTACTCTGAATCTACCACATTCAAACAAACAAACAAACAAACAAACAACCTCCAAACCCAAAACATTACTGTTTACAAATTTTTTTTTATGCTGAGGGATCAAGTATGATGTAACAAAAATATTAAAAAGTGGATGAATAAAAACAAAATGTTAAGAGTAGTTGTCTCTGGCTACTGTGACTATTGGTCATTTTTTTTAGCTTTTTAGAATTTTATATCAGACTTCCCAAAACACTTATTTCAAAGCATGTATTGACATTATTATCAAAATAAAATAAGAAAATAAAGACAGGCAAAAATAAATCATGTTATTCTTGATATATTAACCTTTAATAAGTTGCTATTTTAAAATGTTTCCCTCGTGTTCTCTAAATATATAGTTATTAACTAAAAAGAGGAAAAAATTTAGAAGCCCAAGGATAGATTAAGTTTATTATTTCTACCTAAAGGATAGGAAGAGATTAAAATTATTCATTGAAATATTAGTCTTTTTGTGGGGCCTGTAGGTGAAACAAAATATTTTCTATTTTCACATGAATGAGGGACTGTTTTTCTATAATATAATTAATAAAGGTGTTTCATAGCATGCCAGAATTAAAAATATGGTGAAATAAGCCATATGGCACACAATAAATCAGAGTGAGTCACATGAGAATCAGATGTCAGGTCTGTAAGTTACATGCTTTGTCTTTTTAAAAAGTATTTACAGCTGTAAACTGACATTGGCACACATACAAATGTACACACACAAACACAAACCTGTTTTCTTCTTATTCATTATAATTTAAAGTTCTTGGAATTTATTGTATTTTTTAGTAATAACATTTTGATTTTATGACATAAACATTACTAATACAGTAATGCCATTAAATAATGAAATAAAATTATGACTATTCAAATTATATATGTAAACCCATGAAAGGTAATATCGCTGCATTAGGTAATTATTTCTTAGTAAAATGTTTGGCAGTTGTTGAGGCATATATTAGAAACAAGAACCTAATGCTGATTTAATAAAATAAAAAAAAATTTTCTAATTTGTTTTTCCAAATAGTCTAAGGAAAAGCCTTCCTGAGAATTGTTTCGTTGTTGCTATGGCTGTTGCTCTTAATGTTGATACTATGTTATTACTGAACCTCATTATTCTTTCAAGTATAAAAGGAGCTGGAAGAAACTTATGGCATAACTCTATAGACCATAAATTTCTGAAATTCATAAGATCCTAGGATACCATAGTCTCAGTAAATGTTTACTGACTGAATTAAATTAAATTAAAATGGATACTTTGACATAATATAATGAATGATATATAGCCATTATTACTGTAGACACTGGCAGATATAAACAAGACTTTATTTGATTTTTAACAGCATAAAATGTTTCTCTCTTCCTTTAGAGAAGACACATGCTCATTAACATCTTGTTACTGTAATTCTCCAACTCCATCATTATCCTTGAACTTCACCTTTAGTCGACTCCTTTTTTCTTCTCCCTGGCTGCTTTACTCTCTAGGTTTTGTAGGCTACTTATTATGAGAATTCCTTTATGCTTTGTGATTTTGTGGTAAGCTTAGGAAAAAAAGAATAGGCACCAAGGTTTTTCATAGACTGCACCTATAAAGAAAATAAATCAGAAGTAACAGTATGGGTACTTGTGGCCTGATTACACAAAAATTTAATTCCTTGAATTACTAACAAGTAGCTTTGACAATAACAATTTGGCAAACTGTTAAACAACTGAGATGTTGAATCAACTAGAAATCAGACCCAACTTTTGGTAGAACAATTTTGTGGAACATGCCTTGCTGTTTCACAGACTCGCTGTTCCACCAGAAGACTAGCTTTTTGCTTCTGGTGGTGGGAATAGACTTGGGAGCTTGGGGAGTATAAGGAGTATAAGATTAGCAAAAGGAGTATAAGATTAGGAAGAGGGGCTGTTCATGCCACACATACCTTATTTTCTCATTGAATCCAAATTAGATAGATAGGTAGATGAATATATAGATATACATTCTTGTATGCCAGTGTTCATTATAGCATTATTCAAATTAGTCAAAAGATGGAAACATTCCAAGTTGCCATCAACAGATGAATGAATAAACAAAATGTAATATGTATACATTAATGAAATATTATTCCATTAAGAATATTAACAATGCCCAAACTGAGAATCAAATCAAGAACTCAACCTTTTACAACAGCTGCAAAAAGAAAATAAAATACCTAGGAATAAGCATGTCCAAGGAAGTGACAGGTCTCTACAAAGGGAAACTACGAAACACTACTGAAAGAAATCATAGATGACACAAACGAATGGAAACACACCCCAAGTTCATGGATTGGAAGACTCAATATTGTGAAAATGACCACACTTTCCAAAGCAATCTACAGATTCAATGCAATTCCCATCAAAATACTAACATTATTTTTCATAGAATTTGAGAAAACAATCATAAAATTCAAATGGCACCAAGAAAAACCTCAAATAGCCAAAGCAATCCTAAGCAGAAAGGACAAATCTTGAGGCTTCACATTACTGGACTTCAAATCATACTGATGCAGGACAGGCAAACCCCAGAACTGGGAATTAGCCTGGGAGGGTTCTTGGCTTCTCCCAGGGAAGAATTCAAGGGTGAGCCAGTGGTGTTGAACTTTTATTGAAGCGGTAGTGTACAGCAGCAACAGAGGTACTGCTCCTTGAGGAGCAGGGCTGCCCTGTAGACAGTATGCTCAGAATAGCAGCTCAGAGGCAGCTCTGCACTCATATTTATACCCAGTTTTACTTATATGAAAATTAAAGGATGGTTTATACAGAAATTTCTAGGAAAAAGTTGGAAACATCTGGGTTGTTGGGTTTTTGCTGTGGAAAGGGGCAGTAACTTCCAGGTGTTGCTGTGGCAATGGTAAACTGACACAGCACACTGATGGGCCTGTGCTATGAAAAGCTGCTTCTGCCCCAGCCTTGTTTTATCTAGTCCTCCATTTTGGTCTGGTATCTGAGCCCTCCCTCCAGAGTCAAGTCTTGCCTCCTAACTTAATATTGCAGGCTACTACCAAAACAGCATGGTACTCATATAAAAGCAGGCATATAGACCAGTGAAACAGAATACAGAACCCAGAAGTAAAGCCAAATACTTACAACCAACTGATCTTTGACAAAGCATAAGAAAACATAAGTTGAGAAACAGATAACCTATTTAATAAATGGTGCTGGAAAAACTGGCTACATGTAGAAGAATAAAACTGGATCCCTATCTCTCACTTTATTCAAAAATCAACACAAGATGGATAAAAGACTTACCATCTAAGATCTGAAACCACAAAAATTCTAGAAGATAACCTTCTGAACATTGGCCTGGGTAAAGAATTCATGACTAAGATCTCAAAAGCAAATGCAACTAAAACAAAATAAATAAATGAGATCTGATTAATTAAAAAGCTTCTGCACAGCAAAAAAAAAAAAAAAAAAAAAAAATCATCAGAGTAAATAGTCAAGCCACAGAATGGGAGGAAATCATTTGCAAATTGTGCATCTGACAAGGGACTAGTATCCAGAACCTATAAGAAACTCAAACAAATCATGAAAATAAAAAACAAATAATCTCATTAAAAATTGGGCAAATGACATGAATAGACATTTTCAGAAGAAGATATACAAATGGCCAAAAAACATATGAAAAAATGCTCAACATCACTAATGATCAGGGAAATGAAAATTAAACCACAATGAGGTATCATCTTACTCCTTCAAGAATGGTCGCTATAAAATAGTCGAAAAACAATAGATGTTGGTGTGGATACAGTGAAAGGGTGACACTTATACACTGCTGGTGGGAATGTAAATTAGTACAACCTCTATGGAAAACAGTATGGCAATTACTTAAAGAACTAAAATTAGACCTGCCATTTAATCTGGCATTCCCACTATTGGGTATTTACCCAAAAGAAAGGAAGTCATGATATGAAAAAGACACATGCACGCATATGTTTATTGCAGCTCAATTCATAACTGCAAAGATCTGGAACCAACTTAAATGCCCATTGACCAATGAGTGGATAAAGAAAATGTGGTATATATACACCATGGAATACTACTCAGCCATAAAAAGCAATGAAATTATGTCTTTTGCAGCAGCTTAGATGGAGCTGTAGGCCATTATTTAAAGTGAAGTAACTCAGGAATGGAAAACCAAACACCGTATGTTCTCACTTATAAGTGACAGCTGAGCTATGAATAGGCAAAGGCATACAGGGTGATATAATGGACTTTGGAGACTCAAAAGGGGGATAGAGGAGAGTTGGTGAGGGATAAAAAACTACATATTGGCTACAATGTGACGGGTGATGGATGCATTAAAATCTCAGCCTCAGAATTTCCCACCCTGTAATTCATCCATGTAACCCAAAACCACTTGTACCCCAAAAGCTATTTGAAATAAAAAAATTAAATTAAAAATGTAATATGTATACTTTAATGGAATATTATTCAGCCATAAAAAGCAATTGAAGCTCTTCATTTATATAGAATATGAGGTATAAGCAATAGTGACAGAAAGGTAGATGATAAATAATAAGTGGTATAGCTATGGTTGCTATTATGTCTATATCTATGTATAATTACACTTTTGATTGGTGTTTTCCTAATAACTAACAATGTTGAGGATCTTTTTATGTGCTTATTGGCCATTTGTATATCTTCTTTGGAACAATGTTTATTTCAGCTTTTTCCCATTTTGTAATTAGGTTATCTTTTTGTTGTTGAGTTGTAGAAGTTCTTTGTATGTTTTTGATATTAAGCTCATCATATATATAATTTCCAAATATATTTTCCCATTCTGTAGATTGTCTTTTCACTTTCTTGATAATACTCATTGAGTCACAAAGTTTTTAATACTGATGAAGTCCATCCTGTCTTTTCTGTTGTTGTTATTTGTGTTTTTTTGGTCTCATATCTAAGAACTCATTGTCAAATCCAAATTTTATTCTATGAGTTTTATAGCTTTAACTCTTATATTTAGGTCATTAACCCACTTTTTAGTTAATTTTTGCACACAATATGGGGAAAGGGGTTCAACTTTATTCCTTGACATGTAGAAATTCAATTGCCCAGCACCATTTCTTGAAGTGACTATTCTTCTCCTATTGACTAGACTTGGTGTCTTTGTTTGTTTATTTATTTATTTTACTTTAAGTTCTGGGATACATGTGCAGAGTTTGCAGCTTTGTTACATAGGTATACGTGTGCCATGGTGGTTGCTGCACCTGTTGACCTGTCCTCTAAGTTTCCTGCTCTTGTCCCCCAGCCCCCAACAGACCCTGGTGTGTATTGTTCCCCTCCCTGTGTCCATATGTTCTCATTGTTCAACTCGTACTTATGAGTGAAAACATGTGGTGTTTGGTTTTCTGTGCTGTGTTAGTTTGCTGAGGATGATGGCTTCCGGTTTCATCCATGTCCCTGCAAAGGACATGAACTCATTCCTTTTTATGACTGCATAGTATTCCATGGTGTATATGTACAACATTTTCTTTATCCAGTCTGTCATTGATGGGCATTTGGGTTGGTTCTATGACTTTGCTATTGTAAATAGTGCTGGAATAAACATATGTGTGCATGTGTCTTTATAGTAAGTCATGGATATTAGACCTTTGTCAGATGGGTAGATTGCAAAAATTTTCTCCCATTCTGGAGGTTGTCTGTTCACTCTGATAATAGTTTCTTTTGCTGTGCAGAAGCTCTTCAGTTTAATTAGATCCCATCTGTCAATTTTGACTTCTGTTGCAATTGCTTTTGGCATTTTGATCATGAAGTCTTTGCCCATGCCTATGTCCTGAATGGTATTGCCTAGGTTTTCTTCTAGGGTTTTTATGGTTTTGGGTTTTACACTTAAGTCTTTAATCCATCTTGAGTTAATTTTTGTATAAGGTGTAATAAAGGGGTCCATTTTCAGTTTTCTGCATATGGCTAGTCAGTTTTCCCAGCACCATTTATCGAATAGGAGATCCTTTCCCTATTGCTTGTTTTTGTCAGGTTTGTCAAAGATCAGATGTGTGGTCTTTGTTAAAAATCAATTGACCATAGGTGTATGAGTTTATTTTTGGATTCTGAATTCTATTTCATTCATTTATGTGTCTATCCTTATGCCAGTGCCACACTGTTTTGATTATTTAGTTTTGTAATAAAACCAGCATTTTAATCAGTTTGGGCAGTGTTTAGTCATTCAGGCTGCTATGACAAAAATACCATAGACTGAGTGACTTTAACAATATAAATTTATTTCTCAGACTTCTGGACGTTGAGAAGTCCAAAATTAAAGTGCCAGAATGGCTGGGTACTGATGAGGGACCTCTTCCTGGCTTACAGATAGTTATCCTCTTGCCATATTTTCATGTGGTGGACAGAAAGTGAACTCTAGTCTCTTTCTTTTTTTTTTTTTTTTTTTTTAAGACAGAGTCTCGCTCTCCCACCCAGGCTGGAGTGCAGTGGCATGATCTCGGCTCACTGCAAGCTCCTCTTCTCGGGTTCAAGCGATTCTTCTGCCTCAGCCTCCTGAGTAGCTGGGACTACAGGCAGTCACCACCACACCTGGCTAATTTTTGTGTTTTTACTAGAGACAGGGTTTCACCACATTGGCCAGTCTGGTCTCGAACTCCTGACCTGGTGATCTGCCTGCCTCGGCCTCCCAAAGTGCTGGGATTACAGGCATGAGCCACCGTGCCCGGCCCTCTTTCTCTTTTTAAAAGCAGATCTCATCTAAATCTCATTACCTCCCAAAGGCCCCACTTCTTAATTTCATACCATTGAGGGTTAGGTTTCAACAAAAAATGATTTAAGGGGACACAAACCTGCAGTCCATAACAAGCAGGTAGTGTGGGTCAACTATGGTTTTGTTTTTAACAAATGTTTTGACTGTTCAAAGCCTCTTGCAATTCATATGAATTTGAGGATCATCTTTTCCACTTCTGCTAAAAAGCTGTGGCAGTTTGGATAGGGATTGCATTGAACCTGTAGATCACTTTGGATAGAGTTAATGTTTTAACAATATTAAGTCTTCTTACCTATGAGCATGAGTTGTTGCTCCATTTATTCAGTTTTTTCAAAATTTGTTTCAACAATGCTTTATAGTTTTCAAGTAAACTATAAAACAAAAGTTTTGCAAATTTTGGTTAAATTTATTTCCTAAATATGTATATTATTATTTAAATGCTATTGTAAATGAAATTGCTTTATTAATTTCCTTTTTGCATTGTTCACTGCAAATATTATAGGAACAAAATTGATTTTCGTCGTTTATTGATATTGTTCAACATTGCTAACCACATTTCTTAGCTCTAATAGCTTTCTTGTGATTTTTTTTGGGATTTTCTATATGCAGGATCATGTTATATGTAAATAGAGATAGTTTTACTTAATCCTTTCCAATTTGGATGCCTTTTCTTATCTAATTGTACTGGCTAGAACTACTAGTACAATAATGAATAGCAATGGTGAAAGCAGACATTCTTGTTATGTTCTTGAGCTTAAAACCATTTATGCCTAGTGTCCCATTATCGGAACACTAAGCATATGGGAATAATTTATATCCAACTGCTCAAGGTTATTGTCAAGGTCTGATTGCAAAAATTCAAAAAGTTGCAACCTCAGGCATAAATGGGTTATGGAGAAAGCTTTCAGTCTTTCCCCATTGAGTATGATGTTAGCTGTGGGTTTACTCCTGATCATGTTTATGGGAATATTAATTATTATTGCATTCCAGAAACTTATTTGGCAATATCAACACAATTAAAAATAAAAAATGCTTTGGAGTCTCTGTTTATATATGATTTCCACAGAGAGAAAAAGACCATTTTTTTTTCTTAAAGACAATTTCTCCAGATAAATTGTAAAGTATCTGTGTGATGAAACTCTGAGGGAGGGGGCTCTCAGAAACTGGTATTAACTTGTTTATCTATAAAGAATAAAATGTTGATTGGATTGTGGTTGTGGAATACTTTGTATCTATTAAAAATAAGTTAGATGTACACATATGAACCCGGAGGAATGTATAGTATCTGTTTTAAGGTAGAAAACTATTTTACACAAATTAAGACAACACTAGCTCATTTTTTAAAAAATGAACCAAAACCACCTCAAATTCCTGTGTGTGTGTGTGTGTGTGTGTGCACTTTTTATGAGTGTGTATAAATATGGAGAAGGATGCATGTCACGTGGTAAGGATTGGTTACCTAGGAAATAGAAGAATGGAAAGAATTTGGTAACTTTTGTCATTTTTTTTTAGAGTATTCTGTATTATGGTACAAATACTTCATAGGACATATATAGATAATACATCCTATGTAATAATATGTAAAAAATAATTAACATGTATTAGAAATAAATTGAAAAATAATTCAGGAAAAGCCGTATAGAATGGGTGATAGGTACTTCGGGAACAGCCAAGAGAGAGGTTTGTCCAGAGAAAAATATATTACCAAAACCAAATTTAATCAACTTCATTGTTATTCTCAGCTACCAGCAAACAGATGTAGAGACCAACACAACGGCACTTACAAAAGTCTGGAAGGAGTGAGACAATGAGGTATGTAGGGACCCTGGGGATATTGAGTAATTAAGACAGAAACACTCACTTAAGGAGCTCCCAAGTTAATAGATTGTATTTTCTTCCCTTGCTTAGTATTTTTGGATAGATATAGATATCCTCCTATCTATGCACAGCCCATTTTCCCCCTAATTTTAGGGGCTTGCTGCCACCTATGGATAAGAATAGAGTATTACAATTTGCACCAACACACCCTAACATCCACCAGTGAGCTAGATAACTGTGGATATCAGAGGAGGCTTGAGTTTGATGTATTTTAGTTCGGTTCAACTCAAACAATATTCATTATCATTATTAAACACCAAGTTAGGTATTGGATCTTCATAAATAAATAAAGCTTTGGAGTTAATGAATTATTGAACTCAATGAGTTCATAGCTTAGTAGGTAAGATAAAGTTGGATATAATTTTAATACCCTGAAGTTAACACAAATGTATAATGAGGTAGGAGTGGAGTTCAGTTTTAATGATATATAAGTGTGAAACAGGAAGTGTGAGGAGTAGAGTCTGAGAATTTACAAAGCTCAAATCATGGAAAACTGTGTGTGCTGTGGGTGGTATATGTGAAGTCCTGGACATGCTGGGTTCAGAGGTTGGTTATATGGATCTTAGGCTCAGTTAGAAGATCAGGACTGGGGATACACATTTATGATTTGGTGGGTAAGAATAATAAATAGGCCATGGGACAGAATGAATCATGCAAGAAACGATGTAGACAAAGTGAAAAAAGAGCAATGGACAGAGAAGTTAACAGCATATTAATTAGGAGTCAAATGAGCGAGTAATCTACCAGAAAATGGTTTATAAGGGTAAAACAAGAGCTCTTAATGGCACTGAGCTGAAATTTTAAATTATTTGTTCCTATGTCTCAGGATCCTTAAGAAAATTTAGGCTGGCCTTGGTGGCTCACACCTGTAATCCCAGCACTTTGGGAGGCCAAGGTGGGCGGATCACTTGGGGTCAGAAGTTCGAGACTAGCCTGGCCAACATGGTGAAACCCTGTCTCTGCTAAAAATACAAAAATTAGCTGGGCGTGGTAGCACATGCCTGTAGTCGCAGTTACTTGGGAGGCTGAGGCAGGAGAATTGCTTGAACCTGGAAGGAGGAGGTTGCAGTGAGTCGAGATTGCACCACTGCACTCCATCCAGCCTGGATGACAGAGGGGGACTCCATCTCAAAAATAAAAAAATAAAAAGGGAAGAAGAATTTAATAAAATCACATGTGTGCTTGTGGAGAAAAAGACAAAATACCAGCATAAAACAATGCATCAGGTTTTCTGATTTCCACTGAACTTAAACTATAGAATATATAAAAATAATATATTCACTAGAATATATAACATTAACTAATAGTAGTATAATGAGCATAGTATTAAGTTTTGGGAGTTAATATGCCTCATACAATCAACTGTAGAATATAAGATCAGTATTAACTGGTATTTATGCCTTCCCCCTTGAGTTTTATTTTTTCAATTATAGAGATAAAACCTGCAAGTAAGAAAAAAACATGTTTTTTTTGTTTATTTGTTTGTTTGTTTGGTTTTGTTTGAGATGGAGTGCTGGAGTGCAGTGGCATGATCTCTGCTCACTGCACTCTCTGCCTCCCAGCTTGAAGTGATTCTCCTGCCTGTTTCCCGAGTAGCTGGGACTACAGGCAGGAGCCACCTTGCCCCACTAATTTTTGTATTTCTTTTTTTCTTTTTTTTAAAATTATTTTTATTTTTATTTTTAGTAGAGACAGAGTTTTGTTATCTTGGCTAGGCTGGTCTTGAACTCCTGGCCTCAGGTGATCCATCTGCCTGGGCTTCCGAAAATGTTGGGATTATAGGCGTGAGGCACCGCGCCCAGCCAAAGCATGTTTTTTTGAATAGGATGTTACTATTGAATCTCAGTTTGCAAAGTAGAGTTTTATGTACAAAATTAACATTATATCTGGTATAAAATAAATTTAACATTTTGGTTTTAATGGTGCCAAGTGCTGCTTTACTGACAAAATGACACAACTACATGTAGGAAATAAACTATGAGGACTGCCAGGCCAGAGAAGTGTAGGCAAGGGCAATGCACCATCAGATTCTTCAAAGATTCTAAGCTCTATTAGTTTCACATAATTGCCTGTTTTTTTTAACCGGGAAATACCTTCTTGGGCTAAGTCAGCCCTACTTACTGGGTATGATTGCCAGTTGGCAGCTGTCCCAGAATCTGGGGGTGGGGCTCCAGGACTCTCATTCCATCTTCACCAAAATGAGGAGACCCACTTTTCTTGGAATTTTTTTATATTAAAAAATCTTCAAAATCACTGAGAAGGTATCTCCAGTTCTAACAAAAACTCATTTTTCATTCAGTTATAATTGGAATATTATATTACTCTGGTTTATTATTGTACAGATTAGAACACACAGAAGTTCTAAAATAGAGATGTGGCAGGAGTTTCAACATAGTGAAAAATAAGATCATATAGTTGAAAATGAGGGAAAACAGTCATAGATAATTATAGTGTAATCTGCAAGGAATCTGTCAGCAAACTATGGCTGGCATGCCAAATACAACAGTGTTCTATGTATGTAAATAAGGTTGTATTGGAACACAGCTGTACCCATTTGGTCACAGATTGCCTATAGCTGCTTTGGCTTCACATTGCAGAGAGAAATATTCTGTGCAAAAGACTGGCTAGTAACACCAAAAATGTTTACTGTGTGACCATTTATAGAAAAAAATGACAAGCCTAGAGCAAAAGCTAGGCAGAACCTATAGAGCAAAATGCTTCTAGCTCAATTGGGGAAGTTAAGATTTAGAGATCCTTGGCTAAGATGATGTAGTTTGCCATCTTAGATCTTATATTCTAATTCACATATTTACTGTGTCACAAACAAATGAATAGAATATTTCAATCATTGTGCAGGTAATAATGACACAGCAAGATTAGTATCTAATCTAAGAATCTCTGTTAATTATTGAGTACTCACTAGGCATCATGCTCATTATTGTATGTACATTATTTATTTAAATTTTATACTGCCTCAGTGACAGAAAATTGTGTCCCATTTTCTGAAGGAGAAATTGGTGCTTGGATACTTTGTGTAACATGCTTAAAGTCACGTTAAAACTAACACAAACAATGTCAAGAGCCTCAGTTCTTAATACTGAAATTAGGAAGCCATGGAAGCCATTGAGGACAGGTAAGTTTGCTAGATGTGATATATTAGATAACTCTTAGTGGGTGAAGAAGAGTTAACCAGAAAAACAAAAAACAAAAAACAAGAGAAAGGGTGGTATACAAAGGCCATAGGCAGTTTTTTACTCCATGACCATTTCACAGAGTAATGTGTAATTCATTTCTGGCTGCACTAAATGAATTTGCTCGGTTAATGAGAGTCCATTGATAGACCACGTGAGGAATAACAATACTAACAATAACAAAAGCCTCAACTCTTTATTGAGCACATTTTACATGCCAGGTTTGCTAAAGCTGCACATATGTTGTCTATTTCATCCACACAATAACATTATGAGGCAATACTATTATTATCCCTATTTTACAGAAATAGAGAGGCAAAGACAAGTTAAGTAACTTGCCCAGAATTACCTAGTTGGTAAGTGGCAGAGCCAATTTTCAAAACAAGTCGTTTTGAATCCAGGTTAAGTGGCCTTAACCACTGCACAGAACTGCCTCATATTGTTTCTTCTTTAGTATAATGCTGTAGCTCTCAGTGCAATAGTGACCTGGCTGAAACTAATCCCTCAATCAGCTGACTTTTCATTTTTTGAATTCAAATAATTCAAAGGTGAGGAGGTAATGGGTTTAGAGAATCAGAATCTGTCTTGGAACTGCCTGCTATGAACTGAACTGTGTTCCTCCAAAATTCATAAGTTGAAGCCCTAACCCCCAGTGTTACTATACCTGAAGTAGAGTCTTTAGCAGGTAATTAAGGTTAGGTGAGTGAAATAAGGGTGGGACCCTAAGCTGACAGAACAGGCCTCATAAGAAGAGGAAGGGAGAGAGAGGGAGGGAGAGAGAGAGAGAGAGAAAGAGAGAGAGAGAGAATGAATCTCTGCCATATGAGGACATAGAAGAAAGTGGCCTTCTGGAAGTCAGAAAGAGAGCCTTGCAAAGAACCCAACCATGTCAGCGCCTTGATCTTGAACTTCTAGCCTCCAGAACTGGGAGAACATATGTTTTTGTTGCTTAAGCCACCCAGGTGATGGCATATTGCTATGGCAGCCTGAGCTGACTAATACATGCCATGGGGCAGAATTGTGGTGCCAGGTCTCTTCACATGAACCAGTTGAGGATTCCTGGTCCAATCAGATGCAACCAGTGTCAATGGGTTTAAAACAATTGGGATGTCACAAAGTGAATGTGGCAATAAATTAGAGAATCTTGAAAGCCTCTCTAGCTAGATAGTCATTGGACTATGAGCCTTATTTCAAAAATCCAGAAGAAAAGGTTGTGAACTATTAATAACATGTCCAAAATTATCCAGGTTGTAAAGTATAAGATTCCAAATTTGATTCAAAGTTGATTGAAACTGATAATGTGTTCTTTCTTCTTTATATGATACCTTATATATATATATATGCATAAAATTTAATATCCTAATGCCAAAAATATCACAACTTCCAGGACTTTACTTAAGTACAATAAAGCATCTGTTTCTCTTTGTCTATGGATTTTTTTTTTTTGAGACAGAGTCTCTCTCTGTCGCCCAAGCTGTGCCTATGGAATCTTTTTCTCCCAAACCCATGATTCCAATCTAATCATGAGAAAACCATCAAATAAATCCCAACTGAGAGATATTCTAAAAAATACCTGACCAGTACGCGACAAAACTGGTAGAGTCTTCAAAACAAAAATAAAAACAAAACAAGGGAAAAAAAAGCTGAGAAACTATCACAGCTAAGAGAAGCTTAAGGAGACATGAAGAAAAAATGTAATGTAAATATAATGTGGTAACCCAGATAGAATCTTCTAACAGACAAAGGACATTATAGATTATAACAAATAAAATATGAACAATATATCTACTATTGTTCATAATAATGTGTCAATATTGGTTTATAAATTGGGGCATATGCACCATACTAATGTAAGACACTAATAATAGAGGAAACTGGGTGTGGGGTGTACAGGACTACTTTGTCTTAACTTTACAATGTATCTGTATATCTATAATTATTCTAAGCATGTGTTCTAAAAATAAGGGCATACCTTGGACCCAATAATTCTAGATATGTATCCAAAGAAAATAAATATTAAATAAGTGCATATCTTAATACTATGTAACATGTCTAAAAGTATATCTATTCTCTATTCTTTAAGTTCCTTGAATGTACCTAAGGGTTTACAGTCCCACCAACAGTGTAAAAGTGTTCCTATTTCTCCACATCCTCTCCAGCACCTGTTGTTTCCTGACTTTTTAATGATTGCCATTCTAACTGGTGTGAAATGGTATCTCATTGTGGTTTTGATTTGCACTTCTCTGATGGCCAGTGATGGTGAGCATTTTTTCATGTGTTTTTTTGGCTGCATAAATGTCTTCTTTTGAGAAGTGTCTGTTCATGTCCTTCGCCCACTTTTTGATGGGGTTGTTTGTTTTTTTCTTGTAAATTTGTTTGAGTTCATTGTAGATTCTGGATATTAGCCCTTTGTCAGATGAGTAGGTTGCGAAAATTTTCTCCCATTTTGTATGTTGCCTGTTCACTCTGATGGTAGTTTCTTTTGCTTTGCAGAAGCTCTTTAGTTTAATTAGATCCCATTTGTCAATTTTGGCTTTTGTTGCCACTGCTTTCGGTGTTTTAGACATGAAGTCCTTGCCCATGCCTATGTCCTGAATGGTAAAGCCTAGGTTTTCTTCTAGGGTTTTTATGGTTTTAGGTCTAACGTTTAAGTCTTTAATCCATCTTGAGTTAATTTTTGTATAAGGTGTAAGGAAGGGATCCAGTTTCAGCTTTCTACATATGGCTAGCCAGTTTTCCCAGCACCATTTATTAAATAGGGAATCCTTTCCCCATTGCTTGTTTTTCTCAGGTTTGTCAAAGATCAGATAGTTGTAGATATGCGGCATTATTTCTGAGGGCTCTGTTCTGTTCCATTGATCTGTATCTCTGTTTTGGTACCAGTACCTTGCTGTTTTGGTTACTGTAGCCTTGTAGTATAGTTTGAAGTCAGGTAGCGTGATGCCTCCAGCTTTGTTCTTTTGGCTTAGGATTGACTTGGCGATGTGGGCTCTTTTTTGGTTCCATGTGAACTTTAAAATAGTTTTTTCCAATTCTGTGAAGAAAGTGATTAGTAGCTTGATGGGGATGGCATTGAATCTATAAATTACCTTGGGCAGTATGGCCATTTTCACGATATTGATTCTTCCTACCCATGAGCATGGAATGTTCTTCCATTTGTTTGTATCCTCTTTAATTTCTGTGAGCAGTGGTTTGTAGTTCTCCTTGAAGAGGTCCCTCACGTCCCTTGTAAGTTGGATTCCTAGGTATTTTATTCTCTTTGAAGCAATTGTGAATGGGAGTTCACTCATGATTTGGCTCTGTGTTTGTCTGTTATTGGTGTATAAGAATGCTTGTGATTTTTGTACATAGATTTTGTATCCTGAGACTTTGCCGAAGATTTCCTTTCTTTTGAATAAATTCTCAGCAGTGATATTGGTGGATAGTATAGTAGTTCTATTTTTAATTATTTGGTAAGCTTTCATACTGTTTTTTGTAGTGGTTATACTAATTTACATTCCGAAAAATCATGTATAAGGATTCCATTTTCTCTACATCCTCAACAGAATTTTTTTTGTCCTTTTGATAATAGCCATTCTAGCTAGAGTAAGATGATAGCTCCTTGTGATTTTGATTTGCATTTCCCTGATGATTACTGATGTTGAGCATTTTAAAAATATATCTGTTGGCTATTTGCATGTGTTCTTTTGAGAAATGTCTACTCTGATTGTACTAGTCCCCTTGCATTGCCATAAAGAAATGCCTTAGGCTGGATAATTTATAAACAGAAAAGTTTAATTGGCTCATGGTTCTGCAGGCTGTACAAGAAGCACAGCACTGGCATCTACTTCTGATGAGGGCATTAAGAGCCTTGCAATCATGGTGAAAGGCAAAGCGGAAACAGGCATGTCACATGAAGAGAGCAGGAGCAAGAGACAATGAGGAAGAGGAGCCAGGCTCCTTTAAACAACTGGCACTCATGTGAGCTAACAGAGCAGGAACTCACTCATTACAATAGGGAGGGCATCAATCCATTCATGAGGGATCCACCTCCATGATCTAACTAGACCCCACCTCCAACATTGGAGGTCACATTTCAACAAGACATTTGGAAGGGACAATCATTCAAACCATATCATTCCACCTCTGACACCCCAAATCTCCTGTCCTTCTCACATTGTAAATTACAATCATCCCTTCCCAAGAGTCCCCCAAAGTCTTAACTCATTCCAGTGTCAACACAAAGTCCAAAGTCCAAAGTCTTGTCTGAGACTCAAGACCAAGTTCCTTCTACCTAGGAGCCTGTAAAATCAAAAACAAGTTATTTACTTCAAAGATACAATGGTTGCACAGGCATTGGGTATACATGTCCATTCCAAAAGGAAGAAATAGGCCAAAAGAAAGGAGCAATAAGCTCCATGCAGTATGAAACCAACTAAGGCATTGATTAAATCACCTTTGACTTCCCTGGACATAGCTCATAGCAGCTCATAGCTACTCTTATGGATTGGAGTGGAATGCCTGTGGCTTTTCCAGGGGCAGGGTACAAGCTGCCAGTGGATCTATCATTATGGGGTCTGGAGGGCAGTGGCTCCCTTCTTACAGCTCCACTAGGCAGTGCTCCAGTGGGAACTTTGTGTGAGGGCTCCAACTCCACATTTCCCCTGGCACTACCCTAGCAGAGTATCTACTAGGCTGCCAGGCCTCTTTCATGCTTGCATTCTGAGCATCTGCAGACTTAACACTACATGGAAACCACCAAGACTTATGGTTTGCACTGTCCAGAGCTGTACCTGGGTCGAGCTGTACCTGGGTCAAGCTGTACCTGGGACCCTGTGAGCTGATGCTGGAGCCAGAGACGCTCAGATATAGGGAGCAGTGTCCCAAGGCTGTGCAGGGAAGCAGAGTCTTAAACCTGGCCCCCCAAACCATTATTTGCCTCTAGGCCTCTGGGACTATCATGGGGGGTGCTGCCTCAGATATTTCTAAAATGCCTTTGGGACTTTTCCCCCATTATCTTGGATATTCACAGCTGGCTCCTTTTTAGTTATGCTAATCTCTCTAGCAAGTGGTTGCTCCACAGCCCGCTTGGATTCTTTCTCTACCACAGGGTCATGCTGCAAATTTTCCAAACTTTTACACTCTATTTCCCTATTAAATATAAGTTCCAACCTTAAGTCATTTATTTGCTTCTATATCTGATCCTAGGCCGTTAGAAGCAGCCAGGGTACCTCTTCAATGCTTTGCTGCTTAGAAATTTATTCCACCAGATACCCTAAGTAATCAGTCACAACTTCAAAGTGCCACAGATCCCTAGGACATGAACACAATGCAGCTAAGTTATTTGCTAGCATGTAACACAAGTGACTTTTACTCCAGTTCCCAAAAACTTCTTCATTTCCACCTGAGACCTTGTCAGCCTGGACTTCACTGTCCATATATCTCTATTAGCATTTTGGTCACAATTATTTAACCAGTCTCTAAGAAGTCTCAAACTTTCCCCCATCTTCCTGTCTTCTGAGACCTTCAAACTCTCGCAACGTCTGCTCGTTACCCAGTTCCCAAGCCACCTCCATACCTTTACCTGTCTTTATAGCAATGCCCTACTCCCTGGTACCAATTTTCTGTATTAGTCCATTCTTGCATTGCTATAAAGAAATACCTGAGACTTGGTAATTTATAAAGGAAAGAAGTTTAATTGGCTCATGTTTCTTCAGTCTGTACACAAAGAATAGTGCCTGCATCTGCTTCCAGTGAGGGCTTTAGGAATCTTATAATCAAGGCATAAGGTGAAGGAGAGCCAATGTGTCACATGGTGAGAGTGGGAGCAAGAGAGAGTGAAGGGGAAGTGGTACACTTTTTTAAACAACCAGATCTCATGTGAACTAACTGGACAGGAACTCATGTATCATCAAGAGGATGATGCTAAACCATTCATGAGGAATCCACCTTCATGAGCCAATCACCTCCCACCAGACCCCATTCTTACATTGAGAATCACATTTCAACATGAGATTTGGAGGAGGCAAACATCCAAACCATGTCACTAATCATTTGCCCATTTTTTAGTCAGATTATTTGTGTTTTGGTTTTGTTTGTTTTTTTCTGTTATTTGAGTGCCTTGTATATTCTGAATATCAGTCCCTTGTTAGATGAATAGTTTGCAAATATTTTCTTCCATTCTACAGGTTGTCTCTTCACTCTGTTGATTGTTTCTTTAGCTTTGCAGAGCTTTTTAGTTTGATATATTACATTTGTCTATTTTTGCTTTTGTTGCCTGTCATTTTGAGGTCTTATCCTCTTACCCATAAAATTTCTGCCCAGACCAATGTCCTGAAGCATTTTCTCTAAGTTTTCTTTTAGCAGTTTTACAGTTTTGGATCTTGTATTTAGGTTCTTGATTCACTTTGAGTAGATTTTTGTATATCACGAGAGATAGAGGTCATTTCATCCTTCTGCATAAGGATGTCCAGTTTTCCAGCACCATTTATTGAAGAGGATTTCTTTCTCCGATCTATGTTCTCAGTGCCTTTGTTGAAAATCAGTTGGCTATAAACATGTGGTTTTACTTCTGGGTTCTCTATTCTGTTCTACTGGTTGATGTATCTGTTTTTATACCAATATTATGATGTTTTGGTTACTATAGCTTTATAGTATATTTTAAAGTCAAGTAGTGTGATGCCTCCAGATTTATTTGTTCTTTTTGAGCAGTATTAGTTTGGCAGTTTGGGGTCTTTTTGTGATTCCATACATATACTAGGATTTTTATTTTCTATTTCTGTGAAGAGTGTCACTGGTATTTTGACAGGGATTACATTGAATCTGTAGATTGTATTAGGTAGCATGGTCATTTTAACCTTATCAATTATTATAACGTGTGAGCATGGGTTGCCTTATCATTTGTTTGCTCAGCATTTAATTTCCTTCGTTGATGTTTTGTAGGTTTCATTGTAGAACTCTTTCACCACCTTGGTTAAATTTATTCTAGGTATTTTATACTTTTGTAACTATTTTAGATGGAATTGCTTTCTTTTTTTTTTTTCAGCTAGTTTGTTGTTCATGTATAGAAATCCTACTGAATTTTGTAAGTTGATTTTCTATCCTGAAACTTTTCTTATTTCATTAAAAGTTCTAAGAATTTTGTGGTGGAGCCTTTAGGTTTTTCAAAATACAAGAACGTGTCATCTGCAAAGTGGGGGCAATTTGACTTACTCTTTTCCAATTTGGATGCCCTGTATTTCTCTTTCTTAATTGCTCTGGCTAGGACTTCTAGTACTATGCTGATTAAGACTGGTAAAAGTAGGCATCTTTCTCTTGTTCCAGTTCTTAGAAAAAAGGCTTTCAGTTCTTTCCCATTCAGTACAATGTTAGCTGTTGGTTTGTCATACATGGCCTTCATTATGTTGAGGTAAGTGTCTCCTACGGCTAATTTGTTGAGAGTTTTCATCCTGAAGAATGTTAAATTTTAACAAATACTTTTTATGCATCTATTGAGATACACATATAGTTTTTGTCCTTCACTCTGTTGATGTAATGTATCACATTTATTGATTTGCATATATTGAACCATCCTGGTGCCCTCAAGAGAAATCCCATTTGATAATTATATGTTATCTTTTTGATGTGTTGTTAGATTTGGTTTGCTAGTATTCTTTTTTGAGGGTTTTTGCATCTATGTTTATTAGGGATATTGGCCTGTGGTTTTGTTACTATTGTTGTGATGTTTTTGTCTGGTTTTGCTATCAGAGTAGTGCTGGCCTTATAGAATGAGTTAAAAAATTTCCACCTATTCCATTTTTTAAAAAAAGTTTGAGAATTGGTGTTAATTCTTCCTCATATGTTGGTAAAATTCAACAGTAAAGCAATCCAGGGCTTTTCTTTGTTGGGAGATTTTTATTACTGATTGAATCCTTGTTACTTGTTATTGGTCCATTCAGGGTTTCTATTTCTTCATGGTTCAACCTTTGTAAGTTGCATGTTCTAGGAATTTATTAATTTCCTCTAGGTTTTTCTATTTGTTAGTGTATAGATGTTCTTAATAGTCTCCAATAATACTTTGTATTTCTGTGGTATCAGTTGTAAAGTCTCCTTTTATTGTTCCTGATTTCATTTATTTGGATCATCTCTCTTTTTCTCTTGTTTTTAATAGCTAATGGTTTATTGTTTTTGCTTATCTTTTCCAAAAGTCAATTTTTTAAAAATACACTTCTTGGTAAATTTTTTCAGTCTCTATTTCATTTAGTTCTCCTCTTATCTTTATTATTTATCTTCTTATACTAATTTTAGGTGTGACTCGTTCTTGCATTGTTAGGTTGTTTATTTGAAATCTTTCCACTCTTGATGTAGGCATTTATTGCTATAAACTTTTAATATTACTTTGCTGTATTCCACAGAATTTGGTATGTCATGTTTTCATTTTCATTTGTTCCAAAATACTTTTGATTTCCATTTTAATTTCTCCATTGACTCCAATGTTTATTCAGGAGCATGTTTTTCTATTTGATAAAGAGATTTTCTATGTCTTTGATCATCTCTTCTCTTTCTAAATCTCCCAAAATTTGAATATTTGGTCATGTTATTATGTCCTGTATGTCATATAGTCTGTCTTCATTCTCATTTTTCTTATTTTTGTACATGCATTTATATTTACATGTGCATGTATTTATATTTATAATACACATTTGCATATTTTATATATTATAATACATATCATAATTATAATTATGTTATATATTATACATCATAATACATAATATAATATAATACATAATATAATATATTATAATAATACATAATATAATATGTGATACACAATATGTAATATATTTATATATTGTTCAAATGGATATGTTTATATATTTGTTGAAATATTCAATTATGTATTGTAATATATTATAGTATAATATGGAATATTATAATATTCAAAAATATGTATTGTAACATAATATAATATAGAATATTATAATATTCAAATATATGTATTGAATAAACAAATAATTACTTATTTATTATATAATTATATATTATTTATATTATTATTTTATATTATAATAAATACAAATAAAAAATTATATTAAGACTTTTCTATATTCATTAGAATTTTCTTCATGTACCATACATTTATTTTTAGGCTTGTTTTTAGACATTTTGTCATAATTCTAAAAATACAATATTTTGATAATCTAGTCTATTTTTGTTTTCTTTTCTCCCTATCTTTCCTTTCTTTAGGCTGTTTGTATAATCCCTGATAAAATGGCTATTAAAAGAATGAGAACAGACTTTCTTAAAGTATATTCTGGCTCTTTACTTTGGAAATTTTAAATCCTGGATGAGACAGAAAAATTGGAGGGCAAATAAAAATACTTTTGAGAGAAAGATGATGAGAACAGTAAATCCCCCTTTGTCTGTCACCTGACACAAACCCAAAGACACATGGGCATACCTGAAGCAGATTCCTTTAGAATTAAAGAGGAAGAAAAAGATAGATATATGGTCAGAGTGTTTTAAAGAGTGAATGTAGGGTAAGTCTAGACAGAAACATAATAATATCACCTTATAGTAATGTATCCAGTGCCCCACATGACTATAAAGTAGCAGCAAGTGGGGCACTGGATACATTACTCAAAGGTGATATTGTATTTCTGCCTAGACTTAGGGGATATACACATCCATGATGAGCAAGACAAGAAGAGCAGAGCCCCACACCCTGACGAAGGCTGGTCACTAAATAGAGTTCTCAGCACCTAGAAAATACTAAAGCAACATGTCCACAAAAACCAAGCACTCTTCTGTGTTCCACAAACTCCTATGTCAAACACACACCTGCACACACACACACACACACAGATATATTTATAGAATATTCACATTTTTATATTATTTTATTATGGTAGCAATATATTTCTTTTTTTAGTGTCCTCCCCTATTTCTGTTCTTTTGTAGACTCATTAGAAATAAAAGCATGGTACTACATTTCTCACTTCGCTATTTCAGATGGTAAATAACATACTGACATTTCAGTTGCTCCTCTCTAATTTTACTTAATTCTGTGAGTGTCTCAAATTTTAGAGTTATGTGTTATCTCAGAATTTACCATTTATTTAGTCTATATCTCTAGAGATTTGGGATATATTTTTTATAGTCTGAGATTTAAGAATAAAGTTATTTGTGAGTTAGATTTTTTTACATAAACCTTTTCATGTCATAGATTATTACCTACGTACATAACTAGAAGTAAAGCAGAATTATGCAATGCCTATTTGAGTCCACAGAGATCTCTCTGTTACAGCAACATAGTCAAAAGAAAGAGTATTGGTAGCAAATTTCTCCAATGCCCTCACCCTTGCAGGGCTGGATAGTTTAAGCAGAAGTAAGATTCTGGTTTATGGGTATGAATCATCAATGTGGCTGCTGTCTATTTATTTTTGTTTTTTTCTTTTAACATACAATAATTTTCATACAATAAATATATCCTCTTGGTATACAGTTCTGAGAGTGTTCATAAACATAAACAGTGTGTACTTAACTGTGCAAAAAAGATACACATATATTACCCCAAAATGTCCCTCTTTGCCCATTTGGACTCAACATATCTCCTACTCCCAGCTCCTGGCAACTAATCATCTATTCTCTGACCCGATAGTATTGCCATCGCAACAGTGACACAGAAATAGAATCAAACAGCACGTAGCCATTTAAGTCTATCTAGTTTTACTTAGCAGAGTGCAACTGAGATTAATACTTATAAAAGTTCCATATTTGCTTTGTAGCTCTAGGACTGTCTGTTCAACAGTATTTCTTTTTGAACACAAGCTGTCAGTATTACTTTTATATATTTGCAAGAAATAAATCATTTTTTATGTTGGAGAGAGTCATGTTAAAGTTTATTAAAATACAGCTTGGCAATCACCGTGCAAGCATGAATGAAGATTAATGGGTCCAACAATAAGGGGGCATAGAGAGCAATGAATGTGACTCTGTGGAGACCACTTCTTTTGGCATGGAATTTATAACTTCTTCAACACTGGATTTATTTCTGTTGTTTCATTAAATGGTCTTGTCAGTAAGAAATCCTGGGAAAGGTATCTTAGGAAGAAGAAATAGGATAAACAAAGAAACAGCAGTATGAGGACATCTGATACATTTGACCTCACAGTGCAATACATTGTAGTTACAGAAAGAAGTATGAATGAATCACAATTCTCTAAACTGTCAAGTGAATGGATTAAGGTGGATGGTCTATAGTACCTTTTTAGCATCTGATATTCTGTAGTATAGACATAATACCACTGAGTTGTGTCCTGCTAAGCAAGTTTAATATGCAATAGATTGTAGTGTGAGTTGAAAAACAATAGACAAATTCTTGGGAACTTGTTTAATTATTATTTTTTAATTGATAGAGCCATTTGGCAATAACTGTATATCAACTTAGCTTTTCTCCTTTTTCAAAGCCATTTTGTTGATGTATGACTTATGATTAGCAGGCAAAAAGCTGGATTTTAAAAAAATGTATATGACTTGATTAATTTGGAGGTATGTATACATTTGTGAAACCATGACCAAAATCTATTTCATAAATGTATTCATCACTACCAACTCTTGTTTGTTTTAAACATTTGAGAGAAAAAATTGGAGAACAAAGTGGCTGAGTTTTTAAGCTTGGTCTCTCAGCTTAGGGGGTTGCAGAAGCAACTCTATCTACTAGGACCAATCATGGGCCTTATTTCTAACTCCACTACAACCTACTGAATAACTGTATCCATTCACACCTTTGTATTCCTTATCAACACAATTCAGAGTTTTAGCAGATTCAACTTTATCAGACCAATTTTTTTTTTAGGGTCATCAATGACTCAGTTACTGAGCCATTCCCTGGGAATAACATCTTGACTAAACATAATCTTTATCTTCAAGGACCTCTCATTATTCAGTGGAGTAAAGACACGGGGAAATGGGGAATTTTCATGCAGTCGTTAGAGGTAAGAGCTGAAAATGTTAGGTATATGGTGCTATGGGAGTCCTTGTTGGTGGGTCAAGAAAACACTGGAAAAACTAATATGTCAGCCGAGAGTTAAGCCTGAGTAGGTGATAGTCAGGTAAAAGGTAAGGAACAGAAAGCCTTCTGGCCTGGGAAGCACTATATAAAAATATGAGGAAGAGCTTGACCAGATTAGATAACTGAAAGTTGTTGAGTGTGGGAAAAGTGGTATATTCTTGTGGGAAAAAATGACAAAAATGGAGATGGGACCACTCTGAAGAGTCTTGTAGTTTTTGGGCATGGGGCTTATGCAAAGGGCAATGGGGATGAATTAGCAGCTTTTCAACAGGAATGTGGGCAAAAGCAAGAAAATAATTTAGACTGTTTGTAAACTAGATGAGAGGCTATGGTGGCCTAATCATGCAGTATCAGAAGGGAAGAAAATGAATGGAATTGAATGATGTTAAGGGAGCACAGAGGTTTTGGGGACTGCCAGACAGTGAGAGCTGCAATGAAAAGAGGCAAGGATGACTTGAAGATTTCCAGTTTAAGAGAAATGAGGGAATTATTCCTGCAATAGAAAATTATGAAGGGAAGTTTTTCAAGCAGGTGTGTGAATGGTGCAGGGTTGGACATATGCCCAGGGTTGGACATATTGTGGTCTGAGAGACCAGGGGGCAGCTCTTCAATAAGAATTTCAATCTACAAGTATGAAGTTAGGAGAGAGGTTTGAGCTGAGAGCTCTGGAAACATCATCATATAAGTGGTGACTGATTACACAAGTTGGATAGAGTCAAGTTGCTCCTTTCATTTCTAAAATCCTGTGAATGCTGCAGAGAAAGAAGGATGCTGCTGTTGCAACATTAAAGTCTTCTCCCTCCCACCTTTCTCACTGAGACCGAAGGTAGCAGGAACACCTTCTGAGAATCACGGTCATTTTCATGGACAATCAAGCACTGGAGATAAGACAGTTAAGGATGTGTGGGCAGGGATGATAGGGGCACTGTCCCTTCCAACTAATCCTTGTCAGGCTTCATCTATGGGGAGCCCACCTCTGCAGTTTCTACTACATGAGGCAAACATCAAACTTTCTGGATGAACCGAGATGTGTAATGTTTCACTTGTCAACTGACAAAGACACTCTCCTGTATGACTTGTGCACTTGGATGTTCAGTGTTAACAATGTTGTTAACAAGAGCTACAGTCTTATTCCACCCCTCTTTTGAAAGATCTATGTAAATCCATGGGCTTGTTTGTTTATTTGTATTTATTGCAAAATAATGCCGAAGCACATATTTCTGATTCATGCTATAAAACTGGAGAGGTTTCTTCTTTAGGCCCATGGAGAAAAGCATGCAGTGCCTAGTCATGCTTATCCAATGAAGCTGATTAGGCCTGTACTTTCTTTTCCCACTAGCTCACATTTAAATTTTCATTCCTATCTAAAATTTAGTAATAGCTCAATTTATCAAGTGATTACTACATGCAGGAATGGGGATAGTGGTTTTCATTCGCTATCCCATTTCACCCTCACCATAACCCTAAGACATATATATTTATACCCTTATGTTAGAAATAAGGGAGCAAAGACACATTGGGACCTACAACTAAGACTCTGGAAAGGTCCTCCCAGCCATCAAGTCTAAGCTCTTAATTTCTGCACAATCAGATCAGACATCTCAAATCAGAAATCGCTGTATTATTGAACTATCATTTGGACACTGAGGTCACAGAAACTATGCCAGACTTACTGAAGTCATGAAGATTTCTGATCCTCCATTCCCTCATCTAGAACCTCTTCAGCAGAAGTTGCTGATTGGCAGTTGTCTTATAGTGCTGTTTCTTTGGCCTGAACAATGTTTTTGTTTTTTAATTTTTTAAAATAGTTATGGATTTAAAATATAAAGTGTATTACAAACAAAAGAAGAGCCCTTTTCTTTCCAAGGAAAAAGCAGAATGGAGTTGTTCGTGGCAAAAAAGTGAATGGAGTTGTTTATAGCAAAGTCTCAAGTGTAGGCCAAAAGGGACTGGGGACTGTGACTGAAAGAAAGAAAATAAAATTGCTCCCTCCCCAAATGCAGCCCCAAATCTGAAGATGGCTAGGTGGTTCGGAAACTATCCCCAGGTCACTCTGAGATTCACACAGCCATTGCTGAAGATGATAGATTCAAATGATGGAAGGATCTTGAGTCACTAGGTCACACGTAATAGAGTCTCCCGCACTCTGAACTGCTGGATTGTACCGAGACAAGTTGGCAACACTGGAAATCCATGAAATGTGAAGACATTTCAGGTCTGGCTGATTTCTCCCAAATTCTTACAATTGAAACCCAAGCAAGGTAATACTTTTGCTGAAGGCTTTCATTCCTCAGTGTCTGGCAAAACACAAAGGAAGGAAGGTGATTCCTCCCAGAGGAGGGAAATTGCTATGATCTTAGTAAACAGGATGGATGAGGCATCTACATCTTGTAGAAGGAACTTTCAAAATCCAGAGAAGAAAGAGCCTTACCCAGGGACATGGGCACATGAATCCACTACTGCAGTCTGCCCTACAATTATATCTTGAAAAGCTCATGTATGGAGCATGGGTTGTGACATGGTGCTGACTGGATCTCTTGGGTTCTGTAGGATCAGGTGTAGCCTCTGGTCACAGCTCACGGGCTAATCTGTTTAATCTGTTCTAGCGGTATTCAGCTCTTTCCATCCACACAATGTACTATACAAATAATAACCCTTTCTATTTTGGCAGTAACTGGACCAAAATTCATGAGCACTAGTTTATAACACAAGCTTCTTTTTAATTTCAACTCCACTGATGGTTGGTGCTGATGCCAGGTACTTGGCTTGGTTTGAGGTAGAACGCTAACAATATTCCAGACAGGCAGTTATGGTTCACCAGTTGTTGGTCAGAGGCAGAGCTGCAGTGCCCACACAGAGCCATGGAGAACCTGCCATCACCAGAAAAATGTCCTTCTGGCTAGTCCTGGAGCATCTGCAGTGTTCTGATGATGTTGTCTGGATTAATCTTCCCTTGAAAATCTTGGTATATGCAACTTTGGTTGTTTTTATAGTATATTGCTGATGTACATTGAAGGAATGCGAGCTAGCTAAAAGATTTTCTGCCCAAGTTGAAGAATACAATCATGTCGGTTTAAAGATTAGACCGAATATACATGCCTTTGAAGCCCTCAAGTCACCTGCAATGGAGACTAGTCCTCTGAACTTTTGAAATTTTGTGTTTGTCAGCACTTAATAAAGATGTGAACCAGGTCCACATTTTCACTGGAAGATACAGTAGACCTTGACAAAGAACAAGCGGGAAAGGCCTCTAAAATGTCATTTAATAGAGTGATGATGGCTCATTTTCAAGGACAGATATAGTCACTCAAAGAGACATCAGAATTCTACCAGTTCCGTGATTGAGGCCAACAATATATGCATCTCCGAAGCCTGTATGCAGAACAACATCAGAAGGGCATAACTATAACTTTGATAAAAATGTACAGTTATAGGAAAGCCTAAAGGTGCTTGTTCCCTGCATGTGAATGACAAGAAAGAGTGTAAGAACTGAAGGAGCAGAAAGAAATGCTTGCAAACTTTAGCACATAAGAGAACAGGTTGTAAATGATAAGTAGAGCTAGTTAAAATCTCTGTCTAAACTGTGCTAAAGTGTGAAGAGAAGATTATATGAATGAGACAAAAGGAACCAGACTAAAACAGTACGTCAGAAAATGAAGACCAAGAGTATCAGTCTCAAGCCAACAGGAAGAAACTCATCAATACTGTTAAATATTTCCTTTTAAAAAAACTTGAGACAAAAAAAAGAATATTTAAAAGGTTATGTGAATAAAATCAAATGTAGGAAGCACTTGTAGTTCCAGTCAAAATTCTCTAAGCACAGTAAACACAGTGTTGACAATACACAGTTTGAAAGCTAGATTCAAAAGCTTTAGCTAAAGCACCAGACACTGCTTGAACTACATCAAGAACATGAAATGCAACTTTGCAGAAAATCAATAGAGAAGGGAATTAACTGCTTAGAAATAGAAACGTCCCGAGGTATATGCAAATATCTAAACATTGACTTCTACAGAATGATGGCCAAAGACTTAGAGAAACAATTGGAAAACATCATTTCCTTCATCAAGGTTGAAAAAATAGCTCAAGAGAGTTGCTTGGCAACTCTGTCAACTGAGAGAAAGCTCAATGATCTAAGAAAGTCAAATGATCATAATAAGCAAAAATGGCTGAGTTAGAGTCTGAAATCCAGCTTTTTGCAGGTGACCTCTTAGAGCGTACTCTTCTGTATGCAGCCCAGGGCAGTGGCCCTAGAGGGTCAGGGCATCCCCTGCATCCTCAAAACCCCAAGGCAGTAGGAGGGGTGAGCTGTGAGGGCTCAGGGAAGCAGGGAGATGTGCAGGTTTGATTTAGGTTTAAAGCAGCAAACCCCTGAACATCCACAGGTAGAACAGGACATCTGATGTGTTTTCTCTCTTTAAAATAATTCTGACTCATGTCTTTTAGTTGAATATGTTACTTGATGGTACATTTGAAATTTTATATTATTTTAATTCCTAAAATAGTTTCCAAAATATAGATAGCTTTAATCTAATTTTTAAATATATAATATCAATTCCGGGAACTTATTAAAATTAAATCATGTAAGTATTGTATTTTAATTTAATTAACTGACCCACTACTGTTTAAACCATAATTGAAGTTTTACATGACCAGGTGGAGACATCTAAAACATTAGAAACAGTTTCTATATGCTATGAATTGCAATAAGCCATCTATTAAAGTAACTTCATTTTTACCTCAATACTGATTGGCATTGAGGTAAAATAATACACAACACACACACAAATAACAAACAAAAAAATAAACTATAAATACATCCTCAGTTGAACTTACTAGTATTTTTATTAGATTAGCTCTAAATTCATAGGTGAATTTTGGGGAATAGACATTTTGCAAGCGTTTGTTTCTTATTTTGTTTTTTCTTTCTGACCTTTGTAATATTATTTATGATGTTGTTTGATATTTAAATGTTTCCAAATTTTGCACTGTGACAATATTCTCTTTTGGACTTTGGACTTCATTTTATTTCTTTATTTTTTAGACAGGGTCTCACTTTGATGTCCAGGTTAAAGTGCAGTGGCACAGTCTCAGCTCACTGCAGCCTCAACTTCCAGGCTCAAGCCTGGAATATTTACCTCACCCTCCTAAACAGCTGGAACTACAGGTGTGCACCATCACACTTGGCTAATTTTTTGTTTTGTTTTGATTTTTGAGGAGATGAGGTTTCACTGTGTTGCCTTGGCTAGTCTTGGAACTCTTGGCCTCAAGCAAGCCTCCCACCTCAACCTCCCAAAGTTTTGGGATTATATGTGTGACCAACCGTGCCTGGCTCGGGCTTAATTTTTGACTTGGAAAGATCTTCTGAATCTAACAATTAAAAAAATTTCTTTGTGTTATTTTTATTATTTTACTTTTTTGTATTTGAGGTTTTGATCTTGCTCTGTTTTGTGTAAGAAATAAATTAGAAATTCAGCATTATTTCCTTCTCAAATGTTTAGCCATTTATCCCAATATAGTTTATGAGATAACTCATGTTTCCAATTATTCGAGAAGTTTTATTTCTTGCTTTCCAAATTCCCCTATGTATTTAAGGCTATTTACACCTAATTTTAAAGTAATTATTGCTTTCTAATATGATTTATAAGCTCATGGGAATAGCTACCCTCCATTATTTTGAAATATTTCTTTCATATTTTTGATATGTTTAACAATCTGGCATGTTCAGTACTCCCCACCCATATCATAGCAAACTTATTAAGATTTAATTAGCACAAATTTTATAGATTATTATAGGAAAGTGACTTTAAAATGTTGTTTTATTCCCACAAAATATCATACCTTCATATTTACTTCAACTCTTCTTCATATATTCATGTATACTTAAGCTCTAACTGAACCCTTCAGAATTAGATCATCTAAGCATTTTAATAGAATTAATTTTTCCACTACTACTGAAACCATAATTGAGATTTTACATGACCAGGTGGTATTACTGAAATAGTGCAATGATGAGAAAGTGTAGTCTGGAATAAACTACACCGTGACTTGAAACAACCAGACTCTTGAAAATGCATTTAACTATAGAAAATTTTCTATGCCTAACAGTGCCTAGAGGCAATTAGAGCCAATTTGGAAAGATCATATGTATTAACTAGATTTTCTCTTTGTTTAGTAAGTATTTGAAGGGAACAATTTAACTGAGAGGACAAAGCAGTTCCGCTTTTTAGCAGGCAGTTTGGCGCCCTCATGCATCTGAAGCCAGGTCTCGCAGCTGGTGCCACACAGGCAGCTCTGACTGCTGGAGCTCTGGCCTGGACTTTATTCCTAGCTCCCTTTTGAATCTGCTGAATAATTTTGTCCGCTGAGGACACGGACCTATCATTCCACATAAGTAAAATTCATAGTTTTGCTAGATTCAATTAAATCAGGCAAGTTTGTGTTGAGTATCAATGGTGTCTCAGGCATTCAGCCAACCCTGAGGATAACGTTGACTCAGAAACAGTCATCTTCACAGACCTCACAGTTCGGTGGATTAGACAGGAAAAGGGGGATTTTTAATGCAGTGGGTAAAAGAGCTGTGAGAATGTTAAGGACAGTTGCTGTGAGAATCCTTCTTAGTAGGTTAAGAAAATTCTAAGGAGAATAAGGTGTTACAGCTGAGGCTTAAGCTTAGATAGGAGAAAGCCAGGTAAAGGTGAAGAAGAGAAATACTTGAGACCAGAGATCCAATATTGTGAGGAAGTACAAGAGGGATTGGTCAGTGTCCATAATCTCAAGTTGTTTACTGTGACTGGAGGGTTGTATTGGAGTAGGAGACTTAAAGAGAAATAAGGTTAAAGAGTAGCTAACGCTGTAGACTCCTGTAGGTTACCTGTGGAGCCACTGAAAGAGCTTAAAGAGGTGAGAGAGCACAAATAAAGAGAAGAAGGCGAGTTAGTGTCCTCATCAGCCTGGTGAGATGCAATAGTCATATACGATAATGTATTGTCAGAGAAGGCAAAAAAGTGAATAGACTGCAGTGATATTAGGGAAAAGGACACGTTTTAAAAGCTGAATGGCTACAGGGATGAAGTAGAGAGGGTCAAAGATGTCTTCCAGGCTTCTGTTTCAGTGGAAATAAAGGAATGATTTCTGAAACAGGAGATCATGAAGAGAAATGTTGAAGTGGGTGTGTGAATGGTATAGAAGTCCTGAGGGAACACATTGGTTTCCTGAGGTTTAGGAGGCAGCTGCTCAATGAGCATTTGGATCTATAGGTCTTGACTCAGGGTAGTGGTTAGCACTGAACAAGATTTTGCAATCACCAGTATATAGACCATTATTAACCACATGTGTTTGTATAAAGTGTTCTCTGTCTTCCATTTCTGAAACCTGTCATAGAGGCAGAGGAAAAGAGATCCTATTGTTGCAACATTAATATGTATTTCCTCCTCCTATCTTTCTTCCCTGAGGCCTAAGGTGACAAGAGAGTGTTTTGGGAAGTGTGATCACCTTCCTTGGTAAATCAGCATCTGAGAATAGAAGGTAAATTATATCTTGTGGCAATAATTGGTTACCCGGTGATATGGTTTGGCTCTGTGTCCCCACCCAAATCTCATCTTGAATTGTAATCTCCACATGTTGAAGGAGGGACCTGGTGGGAGGTTATTGGATCATGGAGGCAGTTTTCCCCTTGCTGTTCTCATGATAGTGAGTGAGTTCTCATGAGATCTGATGGCTTAAAAGTGTTTGGCAGTTCCCCCTGCACTCTCTGTCTCTCCTGCCACCATGTAAGACATGCCTTGCTTTCCTTTCACCTTCCACCACGACTGTTAGTTTCCTGAGGCCTCCCCAGCCATGTGGATCTGTGAGTCAATTAAACCTTTTTTCTTTCTTTTTTTTTTTTCTTTTGAGATGGAGTTTTGCTCCTGTTGCCCAGGCTTCCGTGCAATGGTGTGATCTCAGCTCACTGCAACCTCCGCCTCCCTGGTCCAAGAGATTCTCCTGACTCAGCCTCCAGAGTAGCTGAGATTACAGGTGTCCACCACCATGCCCCACTAATTTTTTGTATTTTTGGTAGAGATGGGATTTATGTTGGCCAGGCTGGTCTTGAACCGCTAACTTCAGGTGATCCACCCGCCTTGGCCTCCCAAAGTGTTGGGATTACAGGCGTGAGCCACTCCACCAGGCCCCTTTTTTCTTTATAAATTACCCATTCTCAGGTAGTTCCTTATAGCACTGTGAAAACAGACTAATACATATGGGAAATAAGAGCCATAGAAATCTTGTGTTCATTTTTGTTATTGATTTTAAATTATTCTTGATTATGATATGATACATTAGTGGTATAATAAATAACTTCTTAGAAATTAATTAAGGTATACTTAAGGAAAAGCAATATAGCATGATTGAATAAAACATATGGGGTAGGCAGAGTGTCCCTTGTCAAGATAAAGAGTTAAGATACCAAAAATATATTAAACCAACTTCACAGATTTGCTCAGGAACTACCAAACAAATATATAGAAGCCAGATCCAGAGGCTACATATAAAATCTTTTATGAGGAAAATCATCTGCAACTCATACACTAATCCCAGAATGCATCTGTGAGTAGATAACAAAGCCCATTGTTTGGAAAATAATTTTGAAGTCCAGAGAATATTAATTTTAAAGTACATAGGAAGATTTTTTTCAGAAATAGGAATTTTCAGTAGGCCTTGATAAATTAGTAAACCCAGATGGAATATGGATGTCTTATTGTTATTTGATAACTTAAGTGGAAAAATACGGTCTCAGATAATTTGGTGATGTGACATTTCATTTTATAAACTAGTTGTTACTTACAGGGTATATCTATATAGGCATACTTGTAGTATTGTAGCAAAATGGATTCCAGAGGAAACTGCTGAATTTATATTAAAATAACTTGTTCATTATCAAAACAAGATCATCTTTAAAAATCTCATATTGCTTTGTACACTTGTTATAGAATATCCAAAGAATTAGGAAAAATAGAAATTCAAATTATTTAAACTGAACTTGTATTTTGCTTTAAATGTTGGCTGAAAACTCTTCATATCAGTTTCTTCTAGATAAAATTGGCACTGAGTTTATACTCAAATGAGAAGGCTGAAAGGAGTGAGGAAGTGTCATAGGTGAGTCTGAAAACTGAGCAATTAAGGTAGAAAAACATTTCAAAGAGCTCCTAGTTTAATAGATTGTATTCTCTTCTCCTTGCTTAATATTTCTGAAAAGTGAAAGCTTATGCAGTTGGTATGCATGAAAAGACCAAAATATAAGTTAAACCAGGTCATTTTAACATTTTAACTTCTGTGATTAATTATGTTTAGACACAGACCACTTTCCTCATAATTTTAGGAGCTTACTGCCACCTATGGATATGACTGGAGTATTACAATTTTCATTAGTTAATACAGTTCATCAATATTTATTATCAATATTGAATATTGAGTTAGGTACTGGGTAATCACATATGAATGGCTTATAGTATATTGGATGAGATAAACAGATAAAATTTCAGCATGATGAAATAAAAACAAATGTATTGAGACAAGAGTAAAGTTTAGTTTTCATTATGCGGATGTACAAAGCAGGAAGTATTAGGAGTGGAGGCTAAACCTTAGACACAATCCAGACAATGGCCAGATGTGTAGATTACAGGTGGTATGCTATGAGTTGAATCTTGGTCATTTTGTGTTCATTTGTTGATGGTATGAATATGAAGCTCAGGAAAAAGATCAGGACTGGAGGAGATACTTATGTATGAGCTGGTGGGTAAGAACAATAGGTACATTTGAGAGTGAATGGAACATACGATAATGTAAAGACAAAGTTTAGGTAAAGGAAAATTAGGAGAAACTAAGGAAACAGTTGCCCTTTTAATTATTATAACTGTGTCACAGAACTCTTTAAAAAAATGTATTAAAACATATGGTTTCTTGTTTTACAGCAACCTAGCAAATGCTGATTCTAGAAAAAGCCAACTTAAAAAAAGCACAAAAGCTTTGCATTATTTTTACTTGCCCTTGCCTCCCACCTACCCCGACTCAATGACAGTTTTGAAGCCAGCAGACTGCATTCTCAATAAAAGACCCTGGTTCCTGGTTCCGGAAAGGGCAGAGTAGTAGAACTTATTCTTAAACATAAATATTATTACTTTGTTTGGTAGTTTTGTCCTGTCGTGTAGCTTCCTGGAGGACAGACTCAAGGTATTCACCTTTGTTTTGTGCAACTCAGAAGTCTCTTAGGGCAGAAAAATGGCTGAGCAGAGTACATTCCTCAATAACATTATAAATCAAATGAAAAAACTTCATGCCATCTGGGGTGAGAGAGTTCAGTTGACACAAATAATAGAGACTCTAAAAACCTGGGGGAAAAATGTGGAAAGAGTTATTTGGGGAAAATTAGGGCATTGAAAAGTGCCAGTATACTGTGGAGTCTGTAAAGCCACATACATTCCCAGGGAAAAAGGATGCTCAGAAGAGACCCGAGAAGACCTTCACCTCTGGCTGAAATTTAGTCTCAGAGCAAGCAAGAAGTGAAATATAAGGAAGCATTGTGAAGGCCTGGCCAACCATTGAAGCATTGCCCCAACACAGAGCCAATCTATAAAGCCTGGAAGAATTTTTTTCCTTATTATTTTTTCTTTCTTTTATCTTGTTTTGTCCTTCTTCTTCTTTTTTTTCCCCAGGACTTCAGGAAAATCTCTTAAAAACACTAGTTAACCACAGGCAAAAAGAACAGAGATTCCTGAAACCATACATAACAAAGAATATAAACCATACAAAAACAGTACAGATAAGTCACTGGATAAATAATCACAACTCTCAGAAAACTACAGATCCAACATGAGGAATAGAAAGAACCTGATTTCTATAGTTAACACATTGTAATATTCAAAATGTCTAGTTTTCAACAAAAATTTATAAAGAATACAAAGAAATAAGAAAATATGGCCCATTAATTGGAGAAATTAGAAAGAATCTGATTTCTATCCCTGATGAAGCACAGACATTGGACTTACTTGACAAAAACTTTAAATAAAACTGTCTTAAATATGCTAAAATTGTTAAAGAAAACCATATAAAAAGAAATTGGGGTTCTGTTCCAAGATGGCCGAATAGGAACTGCTCCAGTCTGCAGCTCCCAGCATGTTCAACACAGAAGATGGGTGATTTCTGCATGTCCAACTGCGTTACCTGGTTCATCTCACTGGGACTGGTTGGACAGTGGGTGCAGCCCACAGAGGGCGAGCCAAAGCATGGCAGGGCGTCACCTCACCTGGGAAGCACAAAGGGTAGGGGGATGTCCCTTTCCTAGCCAAGGGAAGCCGTGACAGAGTGTACCTGGAAAAACGGCACACTTCTGCCCAAATACTGCACTTTTACGGTGGTCTTAGCAAGCGGCAGACCAGGAAATTCTCTCCTCTGCCTGGCTTGGTGAGTCCCACTCCCACAGAGCCTTGCTAATTGTTAGCACAGCAGTCTGAGATCAACCTGCAAGGCTGCAGCCTGGCTGGGGGAGGGGCATCTGCCATTGCTGAGGCCTGAGTAGGTAAACAAAGCGGCCGGGAAGCTCAGACTGGGCAGATCCCACCGCAATTCAGCAAGGCCTACTGCCTCTATAGACTCCACATCTGTGGGCAGGGCATAGCTGAACCAAAGGCAGCAGAAACTTCTGCAGATTTAAATGTCCCTGTCTGACAGCTCTGAAGAGAGTGGTGATTCTCCCAGCATGGCATTTGAGC
Source organism: Homo sapiens (assembly GCF_000001405.40). Lineage (NCBI taxonomy): Eukaryota > Metazoa > Chordata > Mammalia > Primates > Hominidae > Homo > Homo sapiens. The sequence continues at coordinate 12,431,843 of NC_000007.14, read as the reverse complement.
TCTGAGAACAGACGGACTACCTGCTCAAATGGGTCCCTAACCCCCATGTAGCCTAACTGGGAGACACCTCCCAGTAGGAGCCAACAGACACCTCATACAGGTGGGTGCCCCTCTGGGACAAAGCTTCCAGAGGAAGATTCAGACAGCAATATCTGCTGTTCTGCAATATTTGCTGTTCTGCAGCCTCTGCTGGTGGTACCCAGGCAAACAGGGTCTGGAGTGGACCTCCAGTAAACTCCAACAGACCTGCAGCTAAGGGAATGTGTTAGAAGGAAAACTAACAAACAGGAATAGCATCAACATCAACAAAAAGGACATCTACACCAAAACTCCACCTGTACGTCACCAACATCAAAGATGAAAGGTAGATAAAACCACAAAGATGGGGAGAAACCAGAGGAGAAAAGCTGAAAAGTCCAAAAACCAGAGCACCTATTCTTCTCCAAAGGATTGCAGCTCCTCACCAGCAACACAACAAAGCTGGATGGAGAATGACTTTGACCAGTCGACAGAAGTAGGCTTCAGAAGGTTGGTAATAACAAACTTCTCCGAGCTAAAGGAGCATGTTCTAACCCATCACAATAAAGCTGAAAACCTTGAAAAAAGGTTAGATGAATGGCTAACTAGAATAAACAGTGTAGAGAAGACCTTAAATGACCTGTTGGAGCTGAAAACCATGGCATAAGAACTTCATGACACGTGCACAAGCTTCAATAGCTGATTTGATCAAGTGGAAGAAAGGGTATCAGTGATTGAAGATCAAATTAATGAAATAAAATGAGAAGACAAGATTAGAGAAAAAAGAGTGAAAAGAAATGGACAAAGCCTCCAAGAAATATGGGACTATGTGAAAAGACCAAGTCTACATTTGATTGGTGTACCTGAAAGTGACCAGGAGAATGGAACCAAGTTGGAAAACACTCTTCAGAATATTCTCCAGGAGAACTTCCCCAACCTAGTAAGACAGGACAACATTCAAGTTCAGGAAATACAGAGAACATCACAAAGATACTCCTTGAGAAGAGCAACCCCAAGACACATAATTGTCAGATTCACTAAGGTTGAAATGAAGGAAAAAATGTTAAGGGATGCCAGAGAGATAGATCAGGTTACTCACAAAGGGAAGCCCATCAGACTAACAGTGGATCTCTCTGCAAAAACTCTACAAGCCAGAAGACAGTGGGGGCCAATATTCAACATTCTTAAAGAAAAGAATTTTCAACCCAGAATTTCTTATCCAGCCAAACTAAGCTTCATAAGTGAAGGAGAAATAAAATCCTTTAGACAAGCAAATGCTAAGAGATTTTGTCACCACCAGGCCTGCCTCACATGAACTCCTGAAGGAAGCACTAAACATAGAAAGGAACAACCGGTACCAGCCACTGCAAAAGCATGCCAAATTGTAAAGACCATCGATACTAGGAAGAAACTGCATCAACTAATAGGCAAAATACCCAGCGAACATCAAAATGACAGGATCAAATTCACACATAGCTATATTACCCTTAAATGTAAATGGGCTCAATGCTCCAATTAAAAGACACAGACTGGCAAATTGGATAAAGAGTCAAGACCCATCAGTATGCTGTATTCAGGAGACCCATCTCATATGCAGAGACACACATAGGCTCAAAATAAAGGGATGGAGAAAGACCTACCAAGTGAATGGACAGCAAAAAAAAGCAGGGGTTGCAATCCTAGTCTCTGATAAAACAGACTTTAAACCAACAAAGATCAAAAGAAACAAAGCAGGCCATTACATAATGGTAAAGGGATCAATTCAACAAGAAGAGCTAACTATCCTAAATATATGTGCACCCAATACTGGAGCACCCAGATTCATAAAGCAAGTCCTTAAAGACCTACAAAGAGACTTAAGCTCCCACGCAATAGTAATGGGAGACTTTTAACACCCCACTGTCAATATTAGACAGATCAACAAGACAGAAGATTAACAAGCATATCCAGGACTTGAACTCAGCTCTGCACCAAGCAGACCTAATAGACATCTATAGAACTCTCCACCCCAAATCAACAAAATGTACATTCTTCTCAGCACCACATCACTCTTATTCTAAAATTGACCACATAATTGGAAGTAAAGCACCCCTCAGCAAATGTAAAAGAAAAGAAATTATAACAAACTGTCTCTCAGACCACAGTGCAATCAAATTAGAACTCAGGATTGAGAAACTCACTAAAAACTGGACAACTACATGAAATCTGAACAACCTGCTCCTGAATGACTACTGGGTAAATAACGAAATGAAGGCTGAAATAAAGATGTTCTTTGAAACCAATGAGAATAAAGACACAACATACCAGAATCTCTGGGACACTTTTACAGCAGTGTGTCGAGGGAAATTTATAGCACTAAATGCCCACAAGAGAAAGCAGGAAAAATCTAAAATCGACACCCTAACATCACAATTAAAAGAACTAGAGAAGCAAGAGTAAACAAATTCAAAAGCTAGCAGAAGGCAAGAAATAACTAAGATCAGAGCAGAACTGAAGGAGACAGAGACACAAAAAAACCCTTCAAAAATCAATGAATCCAGGAGCTGGTTTTAAGAAAAGATCGACAAAATAGATAGACCACTAGCAAGACTCATAAAGAAGCAGAAGAGGTAAGAATCAAATAGACATAATACAAAATGATAAAGGGGATATCACCACTGATCCCACAGAAATACAAACTACCATCAGAGAATACTATAAACACCTCTACACAAATAAACCAGAAGATATAGAAGAAATGGATACATTCCTGGACACATACGCCCTCCCAAGAGTAAACCAGGAAGAAGTGGAATCTCTGAATAGACCAATAACAGGCTCTGAATAATTAATAGCCTACCAACCAAAAAAAGTCCAGGGCCAGACGGATTCACAGCCGAATTCTATCAGAGGTACAAAGAGGAGCTGGTACCATTCCTTCTGAAACTATTCCAATCAATAGAAAAAGAGGGAATCCTTCCTAACTCATTTTATGAGGACAGCATCATCCTGATACCAAGCCTGGCAGAGACACAACAAAAAAAAGAGAATTTTAGACCAATATCCCTGATGAACATCAATGCAAAAATCCTCAATAAAATACTGGCAAACTGAATCCAGCAGCACATCAAAAAGTTTATCCACCATGATCAAGTGGGCTTCATCCCTGGGATGCAAGCCTGGTTCAACATATGCAAATCAATAAATGTAATCCATCACATAAACAGAACCTATGACAACACCCACATGATTGTCTCAACAGATGCAGAAAAGGCCTTCGACAAAATTCAACAGCCATTCATGCTAAAAACTCCCAATAAACTAGGTATTGAAGGAATGTATCTCGAAATAATAAGAGCTATTTATGATAAACTCACAGCTAATATCATACTGAATGGGGCAAAAACTGCAAGCATTCCCTTTGAAAACCAGCACAAGACAGGGATGCCCTCTCTCACCACTCCTATTCAACATAGTGTTGGAAGTTCTGGCCAGGGCAATCAGGCAAGAGAAAGAAATAAAGGGTATTCAAATAGGAAAACAGGAAGTCAAGTTGTCCCTGTTTGCAGATGACATGATTGTATATTTAGAAAACCCCATTGTCTCAGCTCAAAATCTCCTTAAGCTGATAAGCAACTTCAGCAAAGTCTCAGGATACAAAATCAATGTGCAAAAATCACAGGCATTCCTATACACCAAGAACAGAAACAGAGAGCCAAATCATGAGTGAACTCCCATTCACAATTGCTATAAAGAGAATAAAATACCGAGGAATACCACTTACAAGGGATGTGAAGGACCTCTTCAAGGAGAACTACAAACCACTGCTCAAGGAAATAAGAGAGGACACAAAAAATGGAAGAACACTCCACGCTCATGGATAGGAAGAATCAATATTGTGAAAATGGCCATACTGCCCAAGGTAATTTATAGATTCAATGCCATCCCCATCAAGCTACCAATGACTTTCTTCACAGAATTGGAAAAAACTAAAGTTCATATGGAACCAAAAAGGAGCCCTCATTGCCAAGACAATCCTAAACAAAAAGAACAAAGCTGGAGACATCACAGTACCTGACTTCAAACTATACTACAAGGCAGCTGTGCTTGGTGTCTCATGCCTGTAATCCCAGCACTGTGGGAGGCCGAGGCAGGTGGATCATGAGGTCAGGAGATCAAGACCATCCTGGCTAACATGGTGAAATCCTGTCTCTACTAAAGATACAAAAAATTACTGGGCATGGTGGCGGGTGCCTTTGGTCCCAGCTACTTGGGAGGCTGAGGCAGAAGGGCGTCAACCTGGGAGGCAGAGCTTGTAGTGAGCCGAGATCATGCCACTGCACTCCAGCCTGGGTGACAGAGCAAGACTCTGTCTCAAAAAACAAAAACAAAAACAAAAAGAAACTATACTACAAGGCTACAGTAACCAAAACAGCATGGTACTAGTACCAAAACAGATATATAGACCAATGGAACAGAACAGAGGCCTCAGAAATAACACCACACATCTACAACCATCTGATCTTTGACAAACCTGACAAAAACAAGAAATGGGGAAAGGATTCCCTGTTTAATAAATGGTACTGGGTAAACTGGCTAGCCATATATACAAAGGTGAAACTGGATTCCTTCCTTACGCCTTATACAAAAATTAATTCAAGATAGATTAAAGACTTAAATGTTAGAACTAAAACCATAAAAACCCTAGAAGAAAACCTAGGCAATACCATTCAGGACATAGGCATGGGCAAGGACTTCATGACTAAAATACCAAAAGCAATGATAACAAAAGCCAGAATAGACACAAGGGATCTAATTAAACCAAAGAGCTTCTGCACAGCAAAAGAAACTACCATCAGAGTGAACAGGCATCCTACAGAATGGGAGAAAATCTTTGCAATCTACCCATCTCACAAAGGGCTAATATCCAGAATCTACAAAGAACTTAAACAAATTTACAAGAAACAAACAAACAACCCCATCAAAAAGTGGGCAAAGGATATGAACAGACACTTCTCAAAAGAAGACATTTATGCAGCCAACAGACACAAGAAAAAATGCTCATCATCACTGGTCATCAGAGAAATGCAAATCAAAAGCACAATGAGATACCATCTCACACCAGTCATTAAAAAGTTAGGAAACAACAGATGTTGGTGAGGTTGTGGAAAAATAGGAATGCTTTTACATTGTTGGTGGGAGTGTAAATTGTGGAAGACAGTGTGGTGATTCCTCAAGGATCTAGAACTAGAAATACCATTTGACGCAGTGATCCCATTACTGGGTATATACCCAAAGGATTATAAATCATGCTACTGTAAAGACACATGCACACATGTGTTTATTGTGGCACTATTCACAATAGCAAAGACTTGGAACCAACCCAAATGTGCATCAATGATAGACTGGATTAAGAAAATGTGGCACATATATACCGCGGAATACTATGCAGTCATAAAAAAGAATGAGTTCATATTCTTTGCAGGGACATGGATGAAGCTGGAAACCATCATGCTGAGCAAACTGTCACAAGGACAGAAAACCAAACACTGCATGTTCTCATTCTAGGTGGGAATTGAACAATGAGGACACTTGGACACAGGGCGGGGAACGTCACACACAAGGACCTGTTGGGGGATTGGGGGCTGGAGGAGGGATAGCATTAGGAGAAATACCTAATGTAAATGACAAGTTGATGGGTGCTGCAAACCAACATGGCACATGTATACCTATGTAACAAATTTGCATGTTGTGCACATGTACCCTAGAACTTAAAGTATAATAATAAAAAAAGAAATTGGAAAAATAATTTATGAAGAAAATGAGATTGTTAATAAGGAGACCAAAATTTCTGAAGAAGGACCAAAGAGATATTCTAGGATGAGAATAAAATAACTGAAATAAAAAAAATTCACTACAGAGTTTGAATTACAGATTTCAGTAGGAATAACAAATAATCAGTAGACATGAAGATAGGTAAATTAAAATTATATAGTATTAGAAACAGATTAAAAAATGAAGAAAAACTGTTGAGCCTAAGATACTTTTGGGATATCATTGAATGCACCAACATACAAATGATGGGAGTATCAGAAAGAGAGGAGAGAAAGAAAGAGGCAAAAATAAGGTTAGAAAAAATATTGGCCAAACTTTCCAAATTTGATGAAAGATACAAATATATACATCCAAGAGGCTCAATGAACTCCAAGAAGGATGAACACAGAGATCTACACTATAACATATTGTAGTTAAATTGCCCAAAGTCACAGATAAGGAATCTTGAAAGCAGCAAGGCAGAAGCAATTCATCATGTACAAGGGATCCTCAACAAGGTTAATAGCCAATTTGTCAGCAGAAATTATGGAGGCCATAGGCAGTGGCAATGGAATACTTATTCAAAGTGCTGAAAGAAAAAAAAATTTAACCATTAATCCTACATCTGGGAAAATACCTTTCAAAAATGATGGAAAATTCAGTCATTGCCAAATAAACAAAAGTTGGAGTATGTCAGTAGTAGACTTACCCTATAAAAAACGCTAAAGGGAGTCCTTTGGGTGGAAATGAAAGAATACTAGACAGTAAAAAAGCAACATGAAGAAATAAAAAACACTAGTAAAGGTAACTATATAGATAAATACCAAAGATAATGTTTTGTAATTTTGGTTTGTATGTTTCTTTTTGTATGTTTTAAAACACTTAAAATAATAATTATACATTTGCAAATTGGCAGAAATCTATATAGGTGTAATTGTAACAACTACATAAAAGAGGAGAAATGGACTGTATAGAGGCAGAATTTTGTGTACTATTGAAACTTGGTCTTAATTAAGTATAGATTTTTATAAGTTTAGGAATTTAATTGTAATTTCCAGGGTAGTCACTAAGAAAATAATTTCAAAATATATAGAAAATTAACAAGAAAGTCACAACAGTATGCTAAAAAAAAACCAGTTACATACAACAAGTAGGTGGTAATGGGGGAATTTAGTATATTAAATAAATAGAAAACAAATAGCAAAATATCAGAAGAAAGTTTCTCCTGATCAGTAATTACTTTAAATGTAAAAAGATTAAACTCTCTTATTAAAAGCAGAGATTGATGGAGTGAATTTTAAAATGGAGGTAACTATATGCTATCTACACGTGACTCATTTTTACATTCAAAGAAACAAATAGGTTGAAAGTGAAAGGATGTTAAAAAGATGTTTCATGCAATTATTAACCAAAAGAGATCTGGAATGGTTATACTATTATTACAGGAATATTAAGAAATTATTTTAGGCAGCTAGAAAGGGTAAAAAGTCCTCGGTAAGGCTTTTTCTCTTAATAAAAATATCAGCCCCAAAAACATTTCTTTCCTAACAGAAAGCAACCTGGAAAAACAGACTTGCAAGCATTGATATGCAAGCCACAGGCTTGCATATGTAAATGCAGGTGGCTAAGAGCCAGGTTCACCCAATATGGTGGTTCGGCTACTTTTTCTTTGTTATCAAGGGTGCGGACATCATGGTGGCCAGCCAAGCAGAGGCCACGTGTATGGGTATCACGGCGACCAGCCAGGTAGCCACATTTACATATTAAAAGGTTAGGGTGGGTGGGCCAGCTTTTTGCTGGCTACATGAATCACACACTTGGTCAAATCAATCCCCTGGGCCCTATGCAAATCAGACACCACCTTCTCGCGCCTCCCAGTATGACCGCCAGCTTTCTGCTGGCAGGCAGGGTTATTCTATTCGGAACCCTCATCCCTCTGTACAGGGGAGCTGTTCTCTTCTCTCTTGCCTATTAAACTTTCTGCTCCTTAATGCACTCCACGTGTGTCCATATTGCTAATTTTCTTGGTGTGAAACCAAGGACCCTGGGTGTTTCCCCAGACAACGGAGCCGTATCACTATCAGACAAAATGGTTATAAAACAAAAATACGTTACAAGCTACAAAGAAAGATATTATGAATTGATTAAAATGTCAACTCATCAAGAAGAAATTTGATATTGGAATGTGTTGAAATAGAGTAGTGGTGAGTCACTAAAGTTGGAGAATGAAAAGACGATGAATTCAGCAATATAAAAATGTCTTTCACAATCTATGTAAATAACTCAGAGATATTTCAGGTTCAAGGACAGAAACCTGTGGTCCAGATGCTGAAGTCCTCAACAAATGTAAGTAGGCAGAAAGTCAGTAATGAGAGGGGGTAAAAAGTGTGTTTAGTTCTCATGATCATCAGAGTTGGGAATCAGGATATTTTAAAGGGAAAATTTAATAAGAGAGACATTGAAAATTCAGGAGAATGCTGACACTGTAACTTTTCAAATTTGGTCTAACAAATGCTTTCCTTAAAACTGCAACGCTGAGTGCTTTCCTCGTAAGCAGTGTGGCCATACAGAGACAAGACAAGAGCGTAGAGTAAGGATTCAACGAAGAGTTTGAGGGTAAATGAGCTCAGTTATAGTATGGGGTTACTGAGGACACAAAGAACATTGCTGGGGAAAAAAGGATTAATTAGCAGAAGGAACAAAGAGACAAATGAAATAAGGGGGGGGCCACAGAAGGATTATTGGGTATGGCTAATATTTTGTTCAGGGGATTAGCTGGCTCCTTAACTTTGTCTTGGATATTGTCAGATGGCATTCAGCTTTCATTCCAACTTCCTGCTATTCTCCTCTCGTGTACCACAGCTGCTAAAACAATGAAATGCTTTGCGTCTACTACCTGCTCTAGGTAGTATTCCAGGTGCAAATTGGATTCCCACCATTTGACTTACTCATGTGGAATTTGAGAGGCACATGTGAAGCCATGTTCATCTTCTTATGTGTCCATACAGAAAAGACTATGGAAAAGTAGGTTTTCTGTAGCAGTGCTCCATTCCAGTGCCCCGTCTTCAGTTTCATGTATGTCTAGAGGTATTTTAGTAAGGGTGGTGGCCAGATTCTGTTCCATTTTCCATTCACCAATGTTATAGCCACTGAGAGCTGTGTGAGTGTCTGTCTGCAGGGGCATTGAGAATTTCATCACATTCCTGACAAGGGCAGAGGTAGTAGCTCTCGTATCAGGTCAGATCTTTCTGCTCTGAAATGCCTGGGACCCAGATTACATTATGTTTCTCAGCCCTTGCAATAACTTCATGATCATTCAATCCTTCTATTAAATCCCTTTCTACTTATAATATCACAGTGTTTGTTTCCTGCAAGAACTTTGACTAACACAGCTTTCTCACTATTTTTAAGTGACTCATGCATTATCATCTCTGTCTCAGTTACAGTACTGAACAAATCATGGCCTGTATAAGTAAACAAAATATAAAAATATTAATATTTCAATTTATTTGAAATTTTAATGCAATTAAGGGAGGTAAAAATTTAACTGTGTGTCCAATTTGGCACCTACTCTATTGCTTTTAGAGATTATCATTAGCAATAGGTCATACTGATTTATAAGAACTGATCACTGTTTGGAATTGGGGTTTAAAGAGAACTATTAAAAAGATTTTTTTCCTGCTAGTACTCCCAGGAATCTTCTTGTTCATATCCTGCCTCTATATAGTGTGCTATACATTTGATTTTAAGAAATGAAATCTGAACATAATAATTTATATTCTTTTGAAACCTTTCTTCATTTAATTCAGATAATATCCTCTATCATCTACAAAATCCTTTTATTATAGTGTGTTAGTGACATAGGCTTTTCCATGACAGCCTGGAGTTGAAACTATTATTCAATAGAAACAATTTGTGGTTCTGAAAATATAATGAACAGGAAACTCAGTTCCCTAGTGCAAGACTAGGAATCTTCTTTGGTAGTTAAAGGAGAAGAAAGAGGTCTTTACAAAGGCTTCATTTTATTCGAAGTCTATCATTAAAGCTGTTGCTCAACATGACAATTTACAAGAACCTGCATGTTTCCTCAACATGACAATTTTGTTTGGTTTCATTTTATAGTAAATTATGTTTGTCTCTGTGCTTATTTTGAGTTATAGTTTCTTCCTCATCCAGGTTGTGTCAGAATATTAAAGGTGAAACTGAGATACAAAATGTTTCATGCTCACCTGGCAGATAGGCACTCCTATATGATTTGATTTCACATGGAGAGCTACAATCTCATCCTTGGACACTTCTACAGAAACTCATATTGTTATTTTTTCTTAATTGCAAGCTAAAAAATTTTAGAAACAGTTCTGATTTATGTGAAAATTTTTGGAGATATTTATTCTATAGACTCAGAAAGACACAATACATACATGTGCATGGTCACACTTACCCATTGAAGCTAATTAGACCTGCATTTTTCTCCCTACCTCATATCAACATTTTAATTCCAAACTAAAATTTAATAATAGCTCTATTTATCAGGTGATTACCGTATGCCAGGAACTGGGCTAAGTGCTTTTCATTCATTATTCCATTTAATCCTGACCACTGCCCTATGAGGTTTGCATTCATTTCTCTTATGTTACAAGTGAGGAAGCTGAGACATAACAGGGTCCAGAGCTGACATTTCCAGACGAGGTCTGCCCAACACAAAGTCAGCACCCATAATTGCTACGTAATTAGCCCAGTTTTCTTCCAAAATCGAAGACGATGTGCTAGTGAAAGTGCATTTCGACAATGGGGTCAGAGATCAAATGGCAGCCTTACTCAAGAAATGACAATTTCTGGCCGGGCGCGGTGGCTCACGCCTGTAATCCCAGCACTTTGGGAGGCCGAGGCGGGCGGATCACGAGGTCAGGAGATCGAGACCATCCTGGCTAACAAGGTGAAACCCCGTCTCTACTAAAAATACAAAAAATTAGCCGGGTGTGGTAGCGGGCGCCTGTAGTCCCAGCTACTCGGGAGGCTGAGGCAGGAGAATGGCGTGAACCCGGGAGGCGGAGCTTGCAGTGAGCCGAGATCGCGCCACTGCACTCCAGCCTGGGCGACAGAGCGAGACTCCGTCTCAAAAAAAAAAAAAAAAAAAAAAAGAAATGACAATTTCTTTGGAGACCATTATTCTAAGTGAAGTAACTCAGGAATGGAAAACCAAACACTGTATGTTCTCACTCATAAGTGGGAGCTAAGCTGTGAGGACACAATGGTATAAGAATGATACAATGGATTTGGGGGACGTGAGGGAAAGGGTGGGAGGGGAATGAGAGAAAAAAAGACTACACATTGGGTACAGTGTACACTCCTCAGGTGATGGGTGCACCAAAATCTCAGAAATCACCACTAAATAACTTATTCATGTAACCAAAGACCACCTGTTCCTCAAAAACCTATTGAAATAGAAAACAACAATAACAACAGCAGAAATAAATGACAATTTCTGTTCTTTCATCTCTTACCAATAAAATGAGGACTTTGATCTTGAGCAGAGGTTGCTAATTGGCAGCTGCTCCCTAGAGTTGCTTCTTAGGTCTGAACATTTCTTTTTTCTTTGTTTTGAACTAATTGCCAAATTTCACAATTGGAGTTTTTCACAAATGTAAAACATTAAAATTCAAAAAGAAAAAAATGTTTTGGCTTTTATTAAAAAAAGATTATCTGGCAAAATAGACCCAAATTCTGTCAGTACAACAATCAGCGGGTGGTAGCAGCTGTTCCCTTTATATGGCCAATGCATTCTTCATGCCATAATCCCCACCTCTCCCAGCTGCCTTGCACCAAACCATTGACACACATTTGTCCCCTAACTTGCCTCTGTGGACATCTAGATATCCATCCTACCCTCCAGCCATTTCTCAAACTTGTTTCTGCAGAGCTGGCAAAGCCTTTGATACATACACTTTTCTTTACATAGATTATTCCTAATCTTAAAATTAATCTAGATGACTTTTCCAGCTCTAAAATAGGTAACTTGGATTCAGATACAGATTTTTTTTGTATTTTTATTAGGCAGATTAGAAAATGCAATATTAAGGTAGGTTTGAAATGAGTTTCAATTTAAAAAAATCATGTATTTGGAAATTAAGGAAGAAAATTTGCTATGGAAGGCAAGTAGATAACAATACAAGTAATCTTTCAGGGATCCATGCAGGATCTGCAAACTATGGCTCACAGGTAAAATTGACTGCTGTCTGTTTTTGAGAATAGTTTTATTGTAACAGCCATACCCAGTCATTTATATATTGGCTATGACTGTGTTTCCTGTACAATGACAGAGTAAAATAGTCCCAACAGAGACTATAGTGTCTACAGAGCTTAAAATATTTACTATCTGGTCCTTTGGAGAAAAAGTTTGCCAAACATAGAGAAAAAGTTGGGCAGTACCCATAGATCAATGGTTCTGGCTCAGTTTGGAACTAAGTATTTAGACTTGCTAGGGCTAAGTGATGACTAGCATGGTGATTACGACCATTTAGATCTCATATTTCTAGTTGGTATATTTGCTCTGTCACAAACAACTGAACAGGATATTTCAGTCACTGTGCTTGTAAATAATACAGAAATATACAGAAAGTATCTCTGTTAACCATTCAGTATTTGACAGACATTATGCTAAGTATTATACATAAATATATGTTGCATATATTTATAATTTTATTTAATGTTTACACCACACCAATGATAGGTACCAGTATATTTTCATTTTTCAGATATTAATAGCTTTCATATCATGCTTAATGTCACATTTACACTTGGGCATCAATGTAAAAAGGTAGGGAGTCATAAGAGCATATGATAGGAGGGGGGCTTTTACCCAGGCTTTGTGTTCAGGATAGTTTGCTAAAGGTGATGTATTGGCTAAATTATAAGAGGTGAGTAGGAGAAAACAGGAGAGAGGGAAACAGAGACAGAGAGAGAGAAAACAAAAAACAAAAAACCAGAGAATGACAGTGAGAGTGAGAGAGAGAAGAGAGAGTGAGAAAGGGAGAGAATTCGTAAAGGCCATATGCCATCTCTAAGTTTCCTGAACATTTCTTATAATTTCATTTTCTTGGGGCTACAATGAAAATATATACTGAGTTAATGGGTTTTCATTGATAGGTACATGATAGATAATAACAATAACAGAAGCTTCAGCCATTTATTGGACAAGTTCCTCATGCTGTACATGCTACAACTTCATGTGTGTTGTTGGGTTTAATCCACAACATACATTTATTAGACAAGCACTGTTATTAACTATTTTAGACATAAATAAAGAAGTCAAATGTAAATCAAGTATCTTGCCCAGAGTTAACTGGGTGAAAAGTGACAGAGCCAGCTGTCAAAACAAAAGTCTGATTTCAGGACTTGTGATTGTAACCACTGCACTGAACTTCCTCACATTGTTCAGTCTCTTCAGTATAGTGCAGTAGCCCTCCTAGCAATGGGGTCCTGGAAGGTGACTTTTCATGTTGAGATTTCACATTCTCCAAATGTGAGGATATATTGGGTTCAGAGAATCAGCATCTGTCTTAAAGCCTTTCATTGGGTAGAATCTCAATGCCAAATGCCTTCCTGTGCATCATGTGGGGTCAACAGATTCACAATATTAGATTCAAAATATTATGTTACAGAGGTGAGTATGGCCATCAATTAGATAATCTTGAACACTTCTCTATTTTGGTATTAATTGATTATGAGCCTTACTTTACTAATCAAGAAATAAATTTTATGAGTTGTTAAATAACTTGCCTGAAGTTATCTAGTTTTTAAAGTACTAGATCCCAATCTTGAATTCAGGTTTGCCAGTCCAGTAATTTTTTTTCATCTAATGAGAATTCACATATATGCACTAAATATTAGGAAATCCAGGAATTTAATTAAACACGCTAAAGCCTTTGGTTTTCCATTTAGTGTTATAAGCAGTATGAGAAGTCTGAAAGGGTTGCTAATAGGCAAATCATTCATGTAGAAAAATAGAAATATCAGCAATTTTGGCAAGATATTCAGGTGCAATATTTATAAGAGTTTTAGAATATATTAGAGATTAACTTCAAGATATGTCATTCAAATTTTACGCTAACAGAAATCTTTAAGATATTTCACTTAACTTTATTTCATGTAATATCAAATGGAACCACAAAAGACACCAGATAGCCAAAGCAATCCTGAACATAAAGAACAAAGTGGGAGGCGTCACATTACCTGACTTCAAAAGATACTACAAAGCTATAGTAACCAAAACAGCATGATACTGGCATTAAAACAGATACATAGACCAATGAAACAGAATAGAGAACCCAGAAAAATATCCATACATTTACATTACATTCCACTCATTTTTGACAAAGGTGCCAAGAGCATACATTGGGGAGAGGACAACCTCTTCAATAAATGGTGTTAGCAAAACTGGATAGCCATATGCAGAAGAATGAAACCAGACCTTTATCTCCTACCATATACAAAAATGAAATCAAATGGATTAAATACTTAAATCTAAGACTTGAAACTATAAAACTGCTAGCAGAAAACATTGATAAAATACTCAAGGACAATGCTCTGGGTAAATATTTTTTAAGGAAGACCTCAAAAGTCCAGGCAAGCTGAGGAAAGAGAAAAATACAAATAAGACCTCAAAAGCCCAGGCAAGCTGAGGAAAGAGAAAAATACAAATAAGACCTCAAAAGCCCAGGCAATATAGGAAAAATAGAAAAATAGAAAAAATGCTTGATCGCATCAAGCTAAAAATCTTCGGCATAGCAAAGGAAACAATAAAGTGAAGAGAAAACCTACAGAATGAGAGAAAATATTTGCAAACTATCTATCTGACTAAAGATTAATAACCAGAAAATATAAGGAACTAAACAGCAAAAAAATACCAAAGTCTGATTAAAAAATGGGCACAAAAAAAACCCTAAGTAGACATTTCTCAAAAGAAGACATACAGATGGCCCACAGGAATATGAAAAAATGCTCAACAACACTAATCATCAGAGAAATGTAAATTTAAAAAAATTAGATATCATCTCACCCCAGTAAGAATGGCTATTATCAAAGAGACAAAGAATAATAAATACTGGCAAGAATGGAGAGAAAAGGAGAACTCATATACTGTTGGTGGCAATGTAAATTAGTACAACCACTATGGAAAACAGGATACAAACTCCTCAAAAAGCTAAAAACAGAACTTCCATATGATTCAGCAAGCCCACTACTGGATATACATGCCAAAGAAAGGAAATTTATATTTTGAAGATATATTTTTATTCTCAGGTTTATTGTAGCCAAAAATTCACAATAGCCAATATTTGGAATCAACCTAAAGTACCCATTACTGGATGAATAGATAAAGAAAATATGGTATATATACATTATGGAGTACTATTCAGCCAGGAAAAGAATAAAATCTTGTCACTTGCAGCAACATGGATGGAACTGGAGGTCATTATGTTAAATGAAATAACATAAAGACAACTATCGTATGTTCTCACTAATACGGGAGAGCTAAGAAAGTGGATCTCATGAAGGTAGAGGATATTTTGGTGGTTACCAGAGGCTGAGAATGGTAGAGCGGGGGAGTGAATAAAGAGGGGTTGATTAATGGATACAAAAATGCAGGCAGATAGTGTAATCCCAGCTACTCCGGAGACTGACGCAGGATAATTGCTTGAACTTGGGAGGCAGAGGCTGCAGTGAGCTGAGATTGTGCCACTTCACTCCAGCCTGGGTGACAGAGGGAGATTCTGTCTCAAAACAAACAAACAAACAAACAAACAAACCATGCAGGCAGATAGAAGAATGTACCTAGTGTTTGATAAATTAATAGAGTGATTATAGTTAACAATAGCCTACTCAAAATAGCTAGTAGAGAATAATAGTAGTATATTCCAGCATAAAGACAGACAAATATTTAAGGTAATGGATACCCCAGTTTCCCTGATTTGATTACTATGCGTTATGTGACATGTCAAAATATCATATGTACTCCAAATACGTCCATCTATTATGTATCAATCAAACAATTAAAAAAAAACAAAGAAAACAAAAAACATCAAATGGAGTGCATTGATATTTTTGAGGTAATCAGTTTTTTAAAAAATACTTAATATAACATTTTAGCTAATACAGTTTCAAAATTAAATAGTGGGAAAAAAACAATACCTAATGTTTTAATAAAACCATTTCTGAGGAATTTTTATTTTGGAAAAGAATACTTAGAAGCTGAGAACAAATGTATGATATGCAAAATTTTTTTCCATATTAAAACAAGTTTGTTTGGAGTACACTATGGAAGTTTTTTTTGTTTTTGTTTTTGTTTTTGTTTTGAGATGGAGTCTTGCTCTGTCACCCAGGCTGGAGTGCAGTGGCGTCATCTGGGCTCACTGCAACCTCCATCTCTTGGGTTCAAGCGATTCTCCTGCCTCAGCCTCCCAAGTAGCTGGAACTACAGGCATGTGCCACCATGCCCGGCTAATTTTTATACTTTTAGGAGAGACAGGGTTTCACCATGTTGGCCAGACTGGTCTCGAACTCCTGACCTCAAGTGATCTGCCTGCCTAGGCCTCCCAAAGTGCTGGGATTACAGATGTGAGCCACCACAACTGGCTGGAAGTTTCTTAAACAATTAAGGAAAGATTTTTCAGATGACACAGTCACTTCACTTCTAGAAATCTACCCAAAATAATAAACATATAGGTTCACACAAAGACTTACATTTAAATGTTTATATCAGCATTATTCATAATGACCAAAAAGTAGAAAGAACTCAATATTTTCATTAACTAATGAATGAACAAAATGTGATCTAACCATACAGCAAAATATTACTTACCAATAAAAAGAAATAAAGCACTGATAAATCTATAACACAGACAATCTCAAAAAGTGAAAGAAGCCAGACACAAAAGAACATGTATGATTCCATCTATATGGAATGTCCAAAAAAGAGGCCAATATATAGAGAAAGATTATTTGTTGCGTAGGATTGGAGGGTGGAATGGGGAATAATTACAAGTTGGCATGAGGTTTATTTTTAGTGCTGAAAATGTTCCTTTTTTTTTTTTTCATTTGAGACAGGCTTTTGCTTTGTTGCCTGGGCTGGAGTGCAGTGGCACAATTTGGGCTCGCTGCAACCTCGACCTCCCAGTTTCAGATGATCCTCCAACCTCAGCCTCCCAAGTAGCTGGGACTACAGGCACATGGCACCATGCCCGGCTAATTTTTGTATTTTTTGTAGAAGCAGAGTTTTGTCTTGTTGCCCAGGCTGATCTCGAACTCTTGGGCTCAAGTGATCTGCCCACCTCTGTCTCCCAAAGCGCTATGATTACAGGTATGAGCCACCAGGCCCAGCCAAAAATGTTCTAAAATTAAATTGTGGTCATGTGTGGTCAGCTCTGTAAGTATACTAAAATTCATCGAGTAATACACCAAAAACGGGTAAATTTTATTTTATGTAAACTACATCTCAACAGAACTTTAAAAAAATGAGGTTGTATATTCTAAAATATCTGGCTCATTTCAAATTGAATTAGGGTGGGTTTTTGGGTCAGCAGGACAAAATTAAATATGCTTATATTTATGAGATTGTTTTGTAACTATAACTATCCATTTCTAGTTGCAAACTATCCATTATATTACAAGTTATAATTATGAGATTCATAATGCTTTGTGATTTAGAAAGTGATGAATACATAAATCATATAAACAAAACAGAAATGTCACATAGCTTTACCACCTGCTACAATGTTTTA
The DNA here is from genome assembly GCF_000001405.40 of Homo sapiens. Taxonomy (NCBI): domain Eukaryota; kingdom Metazoa; phylum Chordata; class Mammalia; order Primates; family Hominidae; genus Homo; species Homo sapiens. Next base: position 12,414,255 of record NC_000007.14, on the reverse strand, counting down.
TTTAAGGCTTGTAGAAGAGTAAATAACATTCAAATAAAGCCATGACACTAGCCAGAAACTTTGATTTCAAAGGTATTTTCTAATGTATACTTCAGATGCAAACAGTGTTACTTTCTAGTATACATAGAGATGGCTGTTGAAAGGGAAATATACATCTTTTCCATCTACATTCAAAGGAACTTTAGTATTCCAATCTCATTTTAAAATCACAATGTGGAAAATATTAAGTTGAAATAAGTTAATTTCTTTATTAAGAGAGCCATTTAAAAATTGCTTTTATTAAATAAAAATGTCAAAAACAAAACATCTGAAAAGTAATTTCTTAGTCTTCTGCAAAACATTTGGTATCATTGGGTTTATTTTTCCACATTCAAATACTCCAATTTTATAGTAAAAAGAGCCTATTGCAATTATATAGTACAATTCTCTTATTTTGCTGGTGTGAAAACAATGCATTAAAGGTTTCTATTAATTTTTTTCCTGATAAATAAAATTTATGTTTCTACTTTTTGAGCTAGCTAAATACTAGTACATTAATGTGTTTGTGGTAGATAGCTGAGGTTTTGAAATCCCAGCTGTGGTAGACCAAATAACAACCTCCTAGTCCCCAATATGTCAAGGTGTAAATCCCAGGAGTTTGTGAATACGTTATTTTACATGGTAAAGGAACTTTGCTGATGTGACTAAGTTAAGAATTTGAGACGGGAAGATTATCCTGGATTATCCAGATAAGCACAGTATAAACCCAAGTTTCCTTATAAGAGAGAAAAAGGAGGATCAGAGTCCAAGAGTGATTTAAGGAATAAAACAGAGGTCAGGGAGGAGAGACGATACTATGTAGCTGGTTTTAAAGATGAAGGAAGGAGTTATGAACCAAGGAAAGCAGGAGGCCTCTAGAAGCTGGAACAGGCAAAGAAAGGAATTTGTTCCCGGGAGCCTTCCGAAGAAATGCAGGCATGTTAACACCTTGATTTTAGCCCAGTGAAATTGACTTCAATCATTTATATTCAATATGTATTGATAGCCAAAACAATTAAGAAAAAGAAATAAAGTGCATCCAAATAAAAAATAAGTAAAATTATCTGTTTGCAGATGACACATTTTATATAAAAAACCTAAAGCCTCTACTAAAAAACTGTTAGAACTAATAAATGAATTCCATAAAATTGCAAGATATAAAATTAACAAACAAAAATCAGTTGTGTTTCTATACACCAATAAAGTATGAAAAAATTTTTTAAAAATCCCATTTACAATAGCATCAAAAAATAAAATACTTAGAAATAAATTTAGTCAAGGATGTGAAATACTTATATGCTTAGAACTATAAAATATTGATGAAAGAAATTAAAGAAGATAGAAATAAATGTGAAGATATACCATGTTCATGAATTAGAAAAATTAATATTTAAAAAATATTCATAATACCCAAAGCAATCTACAGATTCAATGCAATCCTTATCAAAATTCCAATGGTATCTTTCACAGAAATAGAAAAAAAGCAATTCTAAAATTTATGTGGAACCACAAAAAACTCCCAATAGCCAAAGGAATCTTGAGCAAGAGGAACAAAGCTGGAAGCATCACACTGCTTACCTTCAAAATACATTATAAAGCTATAGTATTCAAAACAGTATGGTATTAGCATAGAAACAGACATATAGACCATTGGAACAGAATAGACAGCCCAGAAATAAATCCACCATTTACAGTCACTTCATCTTTGACAAAGGTCTCAAGAACACACAATGGGAAGGTATAGTACCTTAATAAACGATCTTGGGAAAACTGAATATCCACATGAAGAAGAATAAAATTGGACCCTTATCTCACACTATACACAAAATCAACTCAAAATGAATTAAAGATTTAAGACCTTAAACTACTAGAACAAAATATAGAGGAAAAGTTTCTTTCTTATTGTATATATTTAAGGTGTACAACACTATGCTTAGATATGCATATACATAGTGAAATGGTTACTATAATTAAGCAATTTAACACATTCATCATCTCAGAAGTTTACTTTTTTTTTTTTTTTGAGATGGAGTCTCACTTTGTCTCTCAGGCTGGAGTGCGGTGGTACCATCTCCACTCACTGCAACCTCTGCCTCCCAGGTTCTCCTGCCTCAGCCTCCCGAGTAGCTGGGATTACAGGTGCCTGCCACCATGTCCAGCTAGTTTTTGTATTTTTAGTAGAGACAGGGTTTCACCATGTTAGCTAGGATGGTCTTGATCTCCTGACCTCGTGATCTGCCCAGCTCGGCCTCCCAAAGTGCTGGGATTACAGGCAAGAGCCACCGTGCCTGGCCCAAGTTTACCTTTTTTTTTTTGTGGCAAGGGCACTTAAAATTTGCTCTTTCAACAAAAATCCTGAAGACATCAGTATTATTAACAACAGAACTTATGTTGTACATTAGACCCCTACAGTTCATCCTACATACCTGCAACTTTGTATTCTTTGATCTGCACATCTCCTTATGCTCCCCTCTCCTCTGCCCCTAATAACTACTGTTTTATCCTCTCTTTATTTTTTTAAGATATGACATATAAGTGAGATCATTCAGAATTTTTCTTTTTGTGTCTGGCTTATTTCACTTGGTCTGAGCAATAATTTTTTGCCTATGACTTCAAAAAGTAATTTGTTCATTTTTGCAAGGCATAAAAAGCAAAAATAGACAAATAAGATTACATTGAACTAAAAAGCTTCTGTACAGCAAAGGAAACAATCGGCAAAGAATCAACCTGAAAAAATGAGAGAAAATATTTGCAAACCACTCATCTGATAAGGGGTTAGTATCTAAAATATATTAAACATAAGGAACTCAATAGCAATAGAAGAAATAACCCAATTAAAAAATGGGCAAAGGATCTGGATAGACATTTCTCAAAAGATGACATCCAAATGGCCAATATATGTATGAAAAAATGCCCAACATCAAATAATCATCAGGGAAAGGCAAATCCAATTCACAAAGAGATTTCACCTCACATCAGTTAGAAAGGCTATCATCAAAAAGACAAAACATAAAACGTGTTGGCAAGAATGCAGAGAAAAGAAAGCCCTTGTATACTATTGGTTGGAATTTAAATTGGTACAGCCATTATAAAAAACAGCATGGAGGTTCCTCAAAAAATTAAAAATAGACCTACCACATGATCCAGCAATCTCACTACTGGTTATATAACCAAAAGAAATGAAATCAGTATCTTAAAGAGATATTTACTCCCCTGTTAATTGCAGCATTATTCAAAATAGTGAAGATACGGAATTAACCTGTGTCCATCAACAGAAGAATAAATTTTAAAAATATGATGTGTATATACATATATATACAGTGAAATATTTTTCAGCCTTAACAAAGAAGGAAATCCTATTATTTGTGACAACATGAATGAACCCAGAAGACATTATGCTAAGTGAAATAAGCCAGGCAGAGAAAAAAATATATTGCATGATCTCACTTATATGTGGAATCTGAAAACATCAGTTAAACTCAGAAGCAGAGTGTAGAATAATGGTTGCTAGGGGTTGTTGGGGTGGAGGAAATGGGTGCTATTAGTCAAAGGGTACAAAGTTTCAGTTACACAGGATGAATAAATTCTGGGGAGCATGGTGACTATAGTTAATATACTAACATACTATACTGTATACTTAAAATTTGCTAAGAAAGTAGATCTTAAGTGTTCCCACCACACACAAAGGTTCACTATGTGAGGTGATACATATGTTAATTAACTTGATTCTGTAATCATTTCACAATGTACATGTTTATAGAAATATCATGTACAAATGGGGAGATGGTAGTCAAACAAACAGCATAAACAATTTTTATTCATCAATTATACCTCAATGCTGAGAAAAAATAAAAGTAGGAAATAATAAAACAAAATAAACGACAAATAATCAACAAAGTAAAGAAAAAAGAAACCCATTTCATACTTCTGACTTCCAGATATATAAGGTAATATGATAAAATAAACAAGTAAAAAATTGTGTTGTTTGAAGCTACAAAATTTGTGGTAATTAGTTAAAATGGCAATCAGAATCTAACATAGTGTTTGAAGGACTAAGAACCACCATCTAAGATAGTAAATGTATCCTGAATACTAATTTTCTAACCAAGTCAATTGGCGTGTTTCTGTTGAATTGATATTTAATTTAAAGTACAGTAAAATTAGAGTCAGAGTTTCATTTCTTCTTTTAATATGGACATTGTTAGAACTCTATCCTTAAAAATACTAATCTTAGATTCGTTCATGTCACGGATACTGCGAGGTGAGTAAAAGAACCATGACCACTATCTGTATAGACCTTATATTCTAGTAAGAAAACAAAAACAAAAACAAAAAAACAGACAATAAGCAAGGATACAGATTAAATATTTAGTTTAAGTTCTAAAATGGAAACAAATAGTGTAACGCTAGAGAATGACCTGGGGTAAGGAGCCAATTTAAACAGGGTGTTCAGGAGGCGAAATTCAGCTGAGACCTGTAGGATAAACAATCAGTCCTTCCAGGGGCAATGGTTGCCTTCTTTTAGGAACTTTTAGGAACGTTCACAAGGCTAGTGAGTTGAAGTATAGCACATATGAGAGCTGAGGAGGGAGAGTGGGAGTGGGAGAAAAGCAATGTATTTGAGTTTGAACAGGTAGGCAGGGGCTAGCTGTTGCAGGTAACAGTCCTCTGGTATTTTTACCCATTATCTATGGGAGGCCAGTGAAAGGTTTTAGGGCAGGGACATGGTGTGATTTACAGTTTGAAAGCTCATCCCGGTATTATATGGCAGAGATGTAGATTGAATGGGGCCTGAGTGAAGCTCAGAGAAAAAATGTGGTATTTTCTGCAGTGATCCACGTAAGTCATGGGGAGGCTTGACCAGCAGAGTGGCAGAGAAGACACAGAACAACAGGTGAGTGTGAGATTTCTTTGGACTCCTTATTCATGGATTGAATACAAAGGAGGAGTCATGAATGAGAGAGAAGGGAGGAGCCTCATGCCTTTTTCCTAGTTGGTGACGAGGGATACTCAATAGTGCCATTTTCCAAAACAGGGAAGACTAAAAGAGGAACCAGGTTTAAAGGGGCTTTCTAGGAATAACTAAATAAGTGATTGCTTTAATTCCTTTCCTTTAAAAATTACATTTTTCCCCCCTAATTCTTGATCAGTATGAAGCAGATATATCACAGGTAAAACATTTTTGTAATGCAGATTTTAGGGCATTCTCTTTTCAACTATCAACTGTTTTTCTTTATTACTATGTTTAATGAAACAAAATTGGTTCTCTCTTCATTCCTATCCAGCTTTTTCTCATTCATTTTCAACACTTTTAAAAAGAAGGAACTTTTAAATGCAGAAAAAGGAAAGAAACTATAAGACAGGAAGTTCAGCCTATGAATGAGAATTAGAGATGGGGTATATTTGGCAAATATTACTTATTGGGCTTCAGTACCACTGAATCTTTGTCTTTTCTGTAGCTATTTTCAGTTACAATCTCTATAACTGTCTACAATGAAGTTATTAATCATTTATAGGTGGTCATCTGGCTAGTTGGAAGGAAAAGCCAATGGTATTCTAGACTTTCTAGCACTGAATAATCTTCTTGTGAAACATATTGAGCTTGTCATAACAAAATCAGCTTAACTGCTGATTTTCTTTCATTCTGCAATGAACACACCATACTTTTCCCTGAAACTTTTTGATTGGATAGCTTCTATGTGGTCAAATGATGAGTCCATTTCCTCCTAAACAAACCACTGTAAGGTTTCAATACAAATCTCAAGTGCATTTTTCTGTTTCTTCTGGCAAATGCATAAGCACAACCAAATATTTAATAATTTATACAGTTTATATTTTCAAACAGGTTTTAGACAATATTCTTTTGTTTATAAACAACAACAGCAAAACAAATTCAAAGTCACTTAACCTTAATTTATAGGCAGTGTATTGGGGGTATCTCTTTTTTTTTTTTAAATTTGTTGTTTATTTTTTAATTAATTAATTAATTTTTTACATTTTATTATTATTATACTTTAAGTTTTAGGGTACATGTGCACAATGTGCAGGTTTGTTACATATGTATACATGTGCCATGTTGGTGTGCTGCACCCATTAACTCATCATTAGCATTAGGTATATCTCCTAAGGCTATCCCTCCCCCCTACCCCCACCCCACAACAGTCCCCGGAGTGTGATGTTCCCCTTCCTGTGTCCACGTGTTCTCATTGTTCGGTTCCCACCTATGAGTGAGAACATGCGGTGTTTGGTTTTTTATCCTTGCGATAGTTCGCTGAGAATGATGGTTTCCAGTTTCATCCATGTCCCTACAAAGGACATGAACTCATCATTTTTTATGGCTGTGTAGTATTCCATGGTGTATATGTGCCACATTTTCCTAATCCAAAACAGGAAACATAGGCAGTCCTCGAAAGATTCTGGAGCTGTTGAGTGGAAAGCCATCAGGAATTAGCATATCTCTCTTTCTGTCACTGTCTGTCTGTCTCTCTTCCTCTCTGTCTTTTTGTGTGTGTGTGCACGTGTGGACGTGTATGAGTGCTTTTCTCTGTTTCTCTATTCTCACATGTTGTTTCTCACCTCACCTTCATTTTGGTCATCCACTTTTGTCTTTTTCCTCCCTCAGCTGATCAGTTTTCATTACTTGACCACACTTATAGCCACATTCAATGAGTCCTCAACGGTGTCCATAGGTTATTGAAAACTGCGATGTAAAGTGAAACAACATGTAATGAAACCAGTTTTACTACAGACAAATTGATATCAACATGAGTTAAATTACTATACCATATTTCTGGTCACAAAAACATCACCAACTTCTAAAAAAAGACCAAAATACTTCTAATATTAAACAGTAAAATAAACTATACATACATTGAGTAAAGATTAATGAAAACAAGATAATTATTTACCTCCTTACTCCAGTTCAGGATCACAGGTGGCCAGATCCTACACCAGGAGCTCAGGGCATGAGGTGTAAACCAGCTCTCTTCAGGAAGCCATCCTACCGCAGGGCGCGCTCACATACCCAACCACAATCACTCAAGCAGGGCCTATGTAGACATGCCAATTCACCCAACACACAGAGAGTTGAGAAGTGGAGGGAAACGGGAGTACCCAGAGAAGACCCACATAGACATGGAAAGAACGTGCCAATTCCACATAGACATTGGCCTCTGCTGGAAATCGATTTTTTCCATCAGTGTTATAACAAAATAACGTTAAACAAAATGACCAAGGACCTGCTGTATGTTTTAGCCTCTGCTTCTGAGTGTACTTGTGTTCAGCTCAAGTAAACCCCAGAAGCAATCCTATCAATTTTACATTTCTGGAAAAGGGCTCACTCATTTAGTAAAACATGGGATGAGGAATTCATATGTTACATAAATATGTATTTTCCAGGAAGGTTACTCCAAACTGTGCAGACACTGTAATAGAGTAGTGCCAAGAAATGATGCACCTTTATATAATAAGACATAAGAGAAAGTATAATTATGTAGAATATTACCCTAGTTCTAATAACAGTAAACTGTTACATTCGACCATAATAGCTACTTTGGACCAAATGCTATTCTGAGTGCTCTTTCTCCAGATGCTCTTCCACGCTCCCAGCCACACACAGGCATGCACATACACTTTTGATTCTTTAAGTCTATGGGGTACTATTATTGTCATTTCTATTGTACAGAAAAATGAGGTTAAGAGGAGTTGAGTGTGCTGTTCAAGGTTACACTTCTGATAAATAGGTAGCAGATCTAGAATTACAGCCCAGGTGTTTTTAACCTAGGATTTGTGGACTTAATCACTGGGTTTTTCTGCCCCTTGAATTTGGTATTTTTTTTCACTCAAGCCCATCACTTTGTAAATTAACCTGACAAAAACTGAGTTATCTCCTTTTCCTAGAAAATTATCATTTGAAAATTTTCTCCTGTTAATCTTTTAATTTAAGCTATATTGTACTTATTAGCACTTGGCTTCATTTCTTCTTCCCTCTGACATTCTTATTATTTGTCTCAGTGATATTTACTGCATTTTACAAGTGCTGTCAGTCTCTATATTGCGGGGTACCATGCATCCATTGTTTTTAATGTTCAAAAATATAAAAAAGAATCTTATACCAATTTTTGATTAACTTCACGAGACATAGATTAAAACATTTTCATTACTTTTTGTTTTCCATACAGTTCTATAACTAATTTTTTTTTTTTTTTTTTTTTTTTTTGAGATGGAATCTTGCTCTGTCGCCCAGGCTGGAGTACAGAGGAGCTATCTTGGCTCACTGCAACCTCTGCCTCCTGGGCTCAAACGATTCTCCTGCCTCAGCCTCCCGAGTAGATGGGACTACAGGCGAACGCCACCACGCCCATCTAATGTTTTGTATTTTTAGTAGAGATGGGGTTTCACCATGTTGGCCAGGCTGGTCTTGAACTCCTGACCTCAGGTGATCCGCCTGCCTCGACCTCCCAAAGCACTGGGATTACAGGCGTGATATAACCAGCATTTAATTGATACATTCTTGCAGATCCAAGCCAGGTTACTGAGACTTGAAAAAAAATTCTTAAGTTGCTTTTAGTTTTTTCCATCTTTAGTCACATGGAGGGAAGTTGGGTTTTGGCACAAGTTTATTGTAAACTCATAAACTCATAAACAATCAAAAACTGAAGAAAAAAATAAGGCCCACGATACCTGAAATTGTATTTTGATGGAAGTCAGATAAGTAATGTTGTCCTCCAAGAAAGTATAAAAGTTTACTACATTTGTATAGATACTGCTAGAAAATAAATTCACAAAAGTCCTGCTATGATTTGATTCACATCAAATTACTTTGTTCCTGGTGATTTCACAAATAGATTGAGAAAACTGACATTTAATTTCTTGTCTGTTTTATTAGAATTTTTTAAGCGGAAACAAAAGACTTAACTGTACACTAAGAAATCTCTGGGTTTTCATTGTGCCTACATTATATTGCCCTTCCATACTTAAGCCTTAAGATAAAAATCACCTGTCTACCGTCCACCAAAAAGTAATATTTTATTTTTAATCCAGAAAATTGGGTGCCCTTGCTGCATTTGAAAGATGGCTACACACAAGTATTGTGTACCAAAAAGAAATTATTTCCAATATGGGTTAATATTTTTACTATGGAGATGATAAGCTTTAAAATTTTAAATGGTAATTTACCTTTCAAATTAAAAATAAAGAATTATATGAAATTAAAAAAATACTTGTTTATGCATTTGGACACCTCCTGTTTCCACCACCATGCCTAGGCCAACCTTGAACCTCCAAATTTGTGGGTGGAACCTTGGTGCCCACTTGGACCCCCAAACTATCCTCTTCAGGTAAAGGCTCTGTGAGAACCAAGTGCAAGGTGATGGATGGGAGACTCAAGGAATGAGACAGCCAGGGAAAAACTAGGACAGTGAGGTTTCATTTTCAGACATAAAAAGATGTAGAATCAGTTGAAAAAAGGACCCTGTTCCTCTGCAGAGGCAACCACACTTCTGAAGACCTTAGACCTGGCACGGTGGCTCACGCCTGTAATCCCAGCATTTTGGGAGACTGAGGGGGAAGATCGCTTGACGCCAGGAGTTCAAGGCTCCAGCGAGCTGTGACTGTGCCACTGCACTCCAGCCTGGGTGACAGAGTGAGACCTTGTCTCGAACAAAACAAAACAAAACAAAAACGAGGTTGGGGGAAGACATTAGAGCCCTCTGATCTTCTAATAACTCCCAGGTCAACCTTGGGAGTCGTGTGGCCATGTGCTAAAGCGTCCTGGGACAACTGTAAGAGCTCTGGGAATCACTGGCAAATACAGGTGACAAACCTCATGGTTTGGCTAGTGTCTAAATGCGGTCCTTTCCACTTCTGAAAACCTGTCACAGAGGCAGAAGAAAAGGCATCTACTGTTGCAACGTTAGTGTCTACTCCTCCTCCTGTCGTTCATCACTGAGATCTAAGGTGACAGGAGCATTTTCAGCGCCTTCGCCTTGGGGTGCAAACCAGTAGCGCCCATTACGCAGTTAGGAATCCGTCTGCAGATACAATCATGGGAAACTTCCCCTTCCAACGGAACCTTGTGAGGCTTCTTTTATGCGAGGTCCATCTGAGCAGTTTCTAGGATTACCAAGTTTTCATACAGCCTCTGTTAGAACAGCAAGACGCAGCGGGCGGAGAGCTACATCCCTGTAGCTTGACTCCTGGCTGTGCGACTGCACGGTGACATCCAAGGCGGCGGAGCCACTGCCGGTACACGCTGGGCTATGGGGACAGGTTGGGCGTGGCTTTCAGGTCAGCCAGCAGCCAAAATGGGAAGGGAGGAGTCGCAGACGGATTACGCGAAGGCTCTATCCCACGAAAGGACTGGGTGCACCCCAGAACGAGGACGCGGAGCTTCCCTGTTCCAAGCAGCAACAGACTGAGAAAATCCAAGAAAGGAGGCCCGAGGGGCTGCTGTGGCCCCATCCTCCTGGCACCCGCGGCCCGGGCTCTGCGACGCCTTTCGCCCCACCTGCGGAAGCAGCGATGCCTGGCGGAGCCTGCGTGCTGGTGATCGCGCTGATGTTCCTGGCCTGGGGGGAAGGTAAGCGAGGTAGGGCGCGCGGGGGTGGGCGCGCAGTGGCGCCGCGTGGGCGGTAGAGGGACTAGGCTAGACTTTTTGGACGACTTGGGGAGCGTCCCTGTGCGTTTTAAGGCAGCAAGCGATGTTTGTTCCTCACCCGCCTCCTCTCTGTCCCTCTGCTGTCTTTGAAAAGGTCAATTTCCAGCTTGAAAACTCTACACTTTTCTTTTGCGCACATGCGGTTGTTGCCTCCTCTTACTCTACGACCCTTGGTTCTGTTTTTGGTTGTTTCCTGCTGTTATCCTGCTCTTTGAGGTCATTGTAATTTACTGTAAGAAACTTTCGCCGGATCTGCAAGGTATGCTAGCCGCAAGTGGACCTGAATTCTCAGAACAGAGTTGAATTCCATACTGCACGAATTCCACCTCCAACCGGACCCTCAGAAATAATTCATTGGTGAACATTTTATCCCTACAATAAATCACCAAGTTAAGTTTTGTATATCCGTATTATACTGTATTATGGTTTTTGTATATATATGTTAGAATCAGTTTTGGCACTGTAAAAGAGATCTCTGTGGAGCGAATACTCCCCTCCTACTTCTTTAATCCATGACAAAGAACATTTAGTTTAAAATACAGTGAAGTTAAACCAAAACTACTTTCATTAGCCCTTTTTGCTTGTTTTTTGTGTTCATACAGATAGGAATATTAATGAAAGGTGACTTGTTCTTATATTGCAAGTTTCCTTACGTTTTTCAGAAAAAGTCTGATCTGTGTTCAACCATCTGCAGCTTGAAAAAACATTATGTACAACATTTATAGCAGTCCAGGGTATAGTTTTGTCTTATCATTTTTTGATCTTAACTCATTTTACTGATGTAAGTTTGCTTTGTATAAGGGGAATACAAACACTATCCTATACAAAACTTAAAAATAAAATACTAAAATCAAATTTATTATTTTCTGCAATGATATTTTTTCTGGTCCTTCTTTGGTTTGCTTACAGCGTTACTAAATCTTTATGAATAACTTTAAAAAATACATGTAATAACATATATCTGTTCATTACAGTTAGATAAATATTTCCAGGAAAAAAATGACCAATGTTTATAAAGGAAGATGATTTCATGTTTACTATAGACCGCATAACCCTTTTTTGCCTCTATATAATAGCTTTGTAATCTCTCTGCTGAAGACAAATATTACCCATTACCAGGTTTTAAGTTCATAACATTGGTAACATTGTCAAGTTCTTTATGTTTAATGGAGTAAAACTAGAAGACGAGGTAAATGGAAAATGCATTTATTGAGACTTCTTTTTTTCAAATAGCTTTATTAAGATGTTCATATACCATACAAATCACTCAAAGTGTGCGACTCTATGGTTTTTCATTTTCACAGATATGTGTATATTCAGAGTATATTTACAGGTATATGCAGCGATGACCACAGTCAATTTTAGAACATATTTATCAATCAGAAAGAAATACTATACCCTGGGCTATCATGCCGCATGCCGGCTATCACCCTCCCTTTCTCCCCAGCGATAAGGAATTACTAATCTACTTTCTGTCTCATTGCATTTGCCTATTCTGGATATTTTATGTAAACTGAATCATATAATAGGTTGTCTTTTGTGACTGGCTTACTTCATCTAGCACAGTATTATCAAGGTTCATTCATCTTGTAGCATGTACCAGTATTTCATTCCTTTTTAAGATAGAATAATGTTCCATTGTGTGGATATACTATATTTTGTATGTACATTCATTTGTTGATGAACATTTGAGTTGTTTCCACCTTTTGACTATTATAAATAATGTTGCTATAAAGCACCGAGGTACAAGTTTTGTTTGGATGTATGTTTTCATTTCTCCGAGATATATGCCTAGGAGTGGAAATACCGGGTCATAGGGTAACTCTGTGATTAACTACTTAAGGAACAGCCAGGATGTTTTCCAAAGTGGCTGTGCTGTTTTGTATTTCTGCAACAGTGTGTAAAGCTTCTAACTTCTTCATGTTTCCATCAACACTTTTTATTAACTGAGATTTGGATTCTACCTATCCTCGTGGTTGTGAAGTGGTATTTCATTGTAGTTTGATTGTCATTTTCCTAATGGCTAATGATGTCAAGCATTTTAATGCCCTTATGAGAAATTTGCTTATTCTCTTCAGAGAAATACTCAGATCTTGCCATTTTAAAAAATGAGTACTTGGCCTTTTTCTTATTGAGTTGTATAAGTTATTTGCATATTCCAGATATAATTTTCTTATTGGATATGTGATTTGCAATTATTTTCTCCCATTCTGTGGGTCGTGGAAATAATCCCCTGTGGATACTGAGGGGCTACTATACTTTAGTTTTTTTAGTTGATTCCTTAGAATTTTCTATATGGAGATGGTATTACTTATTCCTTTCCAATCTGGATATCTTTTATTTATTTATTTTGGTTAATCCCCCTGGGTAGAATTAGCTATTCTAAAGTACAATGTGGCATTGAAAAGGTGAGAGTAGACATACTTGTCTTATTCCTGATTTTATAGGAAAGCATCTAGTCTTTCTTCATCACATAAAATGTAAGCTATGGGATTTTCGTATATATCCTTTATCAAGTTGAGGAAACTTCCTTCTATTCCTAGTTTGTTGAGTGTTTTTATCATGAAAAGGTGTTGGATTTTTAAAAATGCTTTCCCTGTGTCTGTTGAGATGAACATGTGGATTTCAGCTTTTATGCTATCTATGTGGTTTATTATAGTAATTCGATTTTAGTTATTAAACCAACCTTGTTTTCCTGGAATAAATCTCACTTGGTCATAATTTTTCTATATGTATGCTTTATGTTCCTGGATTCTGTTTGCTGAAAATTTTTTCACTCATATTCCAGAGATGTATTGGTTTATAGTCAGCTTTTCTTGTTATATATATTTCTGGCTTTCCTGTCGGGGTAGCCAGGATAATGGGCTATAATACCGGGCTCGTACAATGAGGTGGAAAGTGTTCCATCTTCTTCTATTTTTTGAAAGTGTTTGAGACAAATTGGTGGTAATTCTTTTTGAAATGTTTGGTAGAATTTAGCATTGATGCCATCTGGGCCAGGTCTTTTCTTTGTGGGTAGTTTTTTGACTGATTTGATATTTTTACTTGTTATAAATCTATTTGGATTGTATTTTTCTTCTTGAGTTGGTTTTGCAGCTCCTGTCTTTTTAGAAATTTGTCAATCTCATCTAAGTTATCTATAATTATTGGCATATAGCAGTCATAGTATTCCTTAATAAGGTTTTCAGTAGTGTCCCCTATTTCATTCCTGCTTCTTGTCATTTGAATCTTCTCTCTTCTTTTCTCCATAAATCTAGTTAGAGGTCCGTCAGTTTTGTTGATTCTTTCAAAGAACCAGCTTTTGGTTTCACTGATTTTTCTCTATTGTTTTTCTATACTCAGTTCCATCAATTTTATATCCAATCTTTAAAATTTCCTTCCTTCTGCTTCCTTTAGGTTTAGAATGCTCTTATTTTTACAGTGTCTTAAGGTGCAAGGTTAACTTGATGTTCATCTTTTTCTCCTATACTATAGGCATATTCCTGTCTATACATGTCCCTCTAAGAATTACTTTAGCAGCCTTCCATACATTTTGCTATATTGTGTCTTCATTTTAACATTTCTTCAAGTATTTTCTAATTTTCTTTTTCATTTATTCTTTGACTCAGTGATTATTTCGGTTGTTTAATTTCCACATATTTGTAAAGTTTTTTAAATTTCATTGTTATTGAGTTCTAATTTCATTCCATTGTAATCACAGAACATACTTTATATGAATTTCATCTTTTTGAATTTCAATTTTTATTTTATGTTATTTTATTTTTAGAAATAGGATCTTACTATGTTGCCTAGGCTGGATTTGAACTCCTGGGCTTAAGCAATTCTCCCACGTCAACCTCCCTAGTAGCTGGGTTTATAGGAACATACCACCATGCCCAGCTTTCTGTTTAAATTTATCAAGGCTTGTTTTATTGTCTAGCGGATTGTCTATTTTGGCGAATATTCCATGTGCACTTGGGGAAAATTTATATTCTGATATTTTTAGGAATAGTGTTTATAGATGTCTGCTAGGTCAAGTTGGTTTATATTGTTGTTCTAATTTATATTATGCTGCCTGTTTTTAAAATTGATATTGAAAGTGGGATATTAAAGATTCCAAATATTATTGTTAAAATGTGTATTTTTTCCCTGCGTTTCTGCTGCATTTTGCTTCACATATTTCAGTGCTCTGTTATTAGGTTCAGTTATGTTTACAATTGCTTTATCTTCCTCACGGATTGACCCTTTTATCATTATAAAGTGTCCCTCTTGTCTCTGGTAAGACGTTTATGTTTCAAGTTCTTCTTTGTTTGATAGTAGTACAGCCACACCACCTTTCTTTTGGTTGCTGCTTGTAGAATATATTATTTTCTGCCCTTTTACTTTCAATCTAATTGTGTGCAGAAGAGGACCTCAGTTTGTCTTTTGATACGTAAAGAAAGCCAATGTAAAGTGATTTAGCAAACTAGTCACTCTATTTTCCCTTGCTTTTCAACCATTTGTGTTGCTGAAGAACCTGAAATTCTATTTTTTTTAAAAAAAATCTCAACTTTTATTTTAGATTCTCAAGGAGTACATGTGCAGGTTTGTTACAAAGGTACATCGCATGATGCTGAGGTTTGAGGTATGGATGATATTGTCACCCAGATAGTGAGTATAGTACCCAATAGGTAGTTTTTCAACCCTTACCCTCTTCCTTCCTTCCCCCTTCAGTAGTCCCTAGTGTCTATTGTTCCCATCTTTATGTCTGTGGGTACCCAATGTTTAGCTTGCCCTTATAAGCGAGAACATGCAGTATTTGGTTTTCTGTTTCTGCATTAATTTGTTTAGGATAATGGCCTCCGTTTGCATCCATGTTGCTGCCAAGGACACGTTTTAGTCTTTTTTATGGCTTCATAGTGCTGCATGGTGTATATGTATTACTGAAATGCCAGGGGTTTAGTCTACATCCTGCACAAAAAGCCAATCACTGAAACAATGAGTATTGCTAGGCAAGAGGGCTTTATAGGGTGCTCCAGCTGAGGAGATGGAAGATCAGTCTCAAATCCATCTCTCTGACTGATTAAAATTGGGTTTATATAGCAGGGAAGAAATATAGCTACATGTAGGAATACAGGAATTAGGGAGGAATAAGGAAGATGAGTTGGTCAACAGGAAGCTGATGATCAGTTAAGCAATCATGATGGGTAGGGGTTTGGAATCTCATTTTCCAGATGTGGTAATCTGGTAAGTTTCAGTTCCTTGATACCATCTGGGAGGCCTGATGGTTTCCTGAGAAAGGAACTCAGATAAGACAGTTGTAAACTTTCTGAAGTTTTAAGACTGGGAGGGTCAATTTCTATATTTATTCAAAAGAAACCATAAAGATCAGTTCTGTGGGACAATTGGACCAGTTTCAGGTATACTACATTTTCTTTATCCAATCTACTGTTGATGGGCACCATGGCTGATTCCATGTCTTTGCTACTGTGAATACTGCTGGGATGAACGTACCAGTACATGTGTGTTTTTGGTAGAATAATTCATTTTCCCTGGGTATATACCCATAATGGGATTGCTAGGTTGAATGATAGTTCTTTTTTCAGTTCTTTGAGAAATCTCCAAACTGCTTTTCATAGTGACTGATTTAATTTACATTCCCACCAACAGTGTATAAATGTTCCCTTTTCCCCACAGCGTCAGTGACATCTGTTGTTTTTTGACTTTTTAATAATAGTGATTCGGACTGGTGTAAGATGATACCTCATTGTGGTTTTGATTTGCGTTTCTTTGATGATTAGTGATGTTGAGCATTTTCTCATGTTTGTTGGCCATTTGTATGTCATCTTTTGAGAGGCATCTGTTCATGTCTTTTGCCCACTTTTCAATGGGGTTGTTTTTTCTCGTTGAAATATTTAAGTTCCTTATAGATTCTGGATATTAGACCTTTTTCAGATGCGTAGTTTGTGAATATTTTCTCCCATTCTGTAGGTTGTCTGTTTACTCTATTGATAGTTTATTTTGCTGTGGAGAAACTCTTTAATGAGGTTGAACTTGTTAATTTTTAGGTTTTTTGCAACTGCTTTTGAGAACTTAGTCATAAGTTCTTTGCCAAGGCCCATGTCCAGAAAGGTACTTCCTAGGGTTTTTTCCTAGGATTTTTAAAGTTTGAGGTCTTACATTTAAATCTTTAATCCATCTTAAGTTAATTTTTGCATATGGTGAAAAGTAGGGGTACAGTTTCATTCTTCTGCCTATGGCTAGCCAGTTATCCAAGGACCATTTATTGAATAGGGAGTCCTTTTCCCATTGCTAATTTTTGTTGACTTTGACAAAGATCAGATGGCTGTAGGTGTGTGGCTTTATTTTTGGGTTCTCTATTCTGTTCCATTGGTCTGTGTGTCTGTTTTTGAATGACTACTATGATGTTTAGTTACTGTAGCCTTATAATATAGTATGAAGTTGGGTAATGTAATGCCTCAGGCTTTATTCTTTTTGCCTAAGATTGCTTTTGCTATTGGGACACTTTTTTGGCTCTATATGAATTTTAGAATAGTTTTTTTTTTCTAATTTTGTAAAAAACAACATTGGTAGTTTCATAGAAATAGTCTTGATTCTTTAGATTGCTTAGGGCATATGGCCATTTTTATGACATTGATTCTTTTTTGTTTGTTTGATTTTATTTTTGAGACAGAGTTTCACTCTTGTTGCCCAGGCTGGAGTGTAATGGCATGACCTTGGCCAACTGCAACTTCCATCTCCTGGGTTCAAGTGATTCTCCTGCCTCAGCCTCCCGAGTAGTTGGGATTACAGGCATGCACCACAACACCTGGCTGATTTTGTATTTTTGTATTTTTTTTTTTTTTTTAAGTAGAGATGGGGTTTCTCCTTGTTGGTCAGGCTGGTCTCCAACTCCTGGCCTCAGGTGATCCACCTGCCTTGGCCTCTTGGCCTGCCAAAGTGCTGGAATTATAGGCGTGAGTCACCACATCTGGCAGACAATGGATTCTTCTAATCCATGAGTATGGAATGGTTTTCCAACAAAATTCTATTTTGAATGTCAGAAACTAAATTAGTTTTTATTTCTCATTACATTTGGGGATCAAAAGTGGTTTTTCTCTTTCTCAAATCTTTGAAGAAGTTATAAGATTTTAAAGACTAAAAAAATACTTGAAATTCCTGTAGGAATTCCTGTAGGATAATATACAGAAGATTTTATAATTGCAAACTCAGTTATTATGAAGTACCTGTCACCAAGGGTTATGCATGTTTATCTCTTAAAAATAAAATGATTTATTTGGCTTCTTAATATATTGTTTATTAACCAGTTCTGAATTTTGGAGAATTCTAGTCTTGGTCATTACATTAAACTGGAAAATAATCTAATGCAGGTTGGTCATTACATTAAACTGGAAAATAATCTATTACAGGTTACCTCATATATAGAAATAAAAAAAGGAAATTATTTGCATATGCTATCACTGTGGATCTATTATTTCTAACTTGACACATTCTTCCAAAGTATATGAAATTCAAGTACTGTAAATTCTATTATATATTACCCAACTTTCTTAAATAATATCAGGAAGAAGGATAAATGGAAGTATACATTTTAATGTATATTTTATATCTACTTTTTTTGAGGGGAAAAGTTATATTGTCAGTTTGCCAGAAAGCTCTGTATATCATGCTATGAACTTGACTGATGAATGAGATGGGCTTGTAGAGCTATTCTTTTAGTATTTGTTGAACGTAGTCCTCAGATCCTCAAATGAGAGCCCAAGCCATCAATATAATCCTCACTTAACTGTATCATGCATTCTAGAGCTAAGGTTGGAATAAAATTTTGAAAATGTGGCTTGATTATTGCTAATAAGATTTCTAAACTTTCTATATAGTCCTTGAACACTGTAAATGAGGTAAGTAGATTTTTAGAAAAAAGTTATGAAATAATAGATATAAAATATATGAATTTAAAATTATCTTATAAGATAAATATTGAGTAAAAGTAAATAAATAAAATTTTGAGTTAAATATTACACAATTCTGTAATGTCGTTGATGTCAAGTAGTGATTTCTTTTACACATCTTACATTTTCGGCTTTGTATTAGGAAACAATTATCAAAGCAGCTAAACCAGAAGAAATGTAAGAACTACAAAGGTGCTGAGTAAGGAGGAATACTACACAAAATAAAGATGGAGTTATTGATTTTTTTCCCAAGACGAAATTCTGTTGTAGAAAAGAGATCAGAGAAAACATTTTAATAATTTATGCACACCTTATTAGGAATATCTTTCAAAGTCTCTTTTTTAAAAGATTCTAACCAGGTGCAATGTCCTTGTTTTGAAGGATATTAGAGATATTCTAAAATTAGATGAAATGATAGCACATCCCTTGACTCCTATCTACACATATTTTATAAAATACTTACTTTGTGTTGACATCGGAGCCTTTTGGGAAGTTAACAACTATGGAAGATTTAGAGACAAAAGAAAGAGGAGCCTTTTGTGTTGACTTCCAATATCTTGTACTAAAAAAAATTCTGTAGAGAGATCATTTGGAAAATAATATCTTTGTATAGTTTAATTGCCATAACTACAAACAAAATAAAAAGCAGAAATATAATTCTAATTATAATGACTTATTTTTCGTAGGCTACACTTGTGAGATCCACTTGTAAATTAGTATCTCTGATTTTTTGTTCTCCTTATTAAAGTTGAGAAATTGATTTTGATTTATAAACACTTCTGTAATTTAAAATTATATAATAAGTATTTGATAATTTTTTAGTTAGATAAGGTTTTTCCACGATGAGGTATTTTTAGTGACTGAATTGTTTCTTTCACCTTTCTATTTCATAGATGCCATCTTTATTACAGTGTTTTCCATCAATAAATATAATATAAGTATTTGAAGATTTTCTATCAACTGTGCCAACAAGATACTCTGGTATTCAAATACAGACAGTTCCTTGTGGTGCTTATTATTTGGGTAATTTGGGAGCACAGGAGCCTCAAACAAGAGTTGCATTTTAGGATAACTGTTTCACTGCCTGCTCTTCTGTCCACTTTTAGTGCTGGAAAGTGGAGCTTTTTGTTCGGCCTCTGTGGATTTCATGGAAAAAGTATCTTCCAGGCCAAAGACTACTCAGATAAAAGGTTTCCTAAAAAAGACTAAATAATTCTCCCTTTCGCCATGGGCTTTTCTTGTTTCCCCTTCAAACCTGCTCCCCTCCATCCCATTCGTTTTCCTGTGCTTAGTAGGCATACTTCCAAAACTTTGGAAAATAACTTTAAAATTTTTAATGTTTTTCTGCATCCAAGAATGCAGTAAACTTTAGTTTGAAAGCACTTTACACCTGTTGAGTTAGCATTAAAAGATTAGTTCAGTTTGTTGCATTCCATGATTTGGCAGAAATAGAATTTTTTAGGCATGTGGCTACTTTGGGAGAAACTGGTTGTAGAGAAATAATGGTGATATTCAAATCCAGAGGACCAGGCCCAAGAGAAATCCTTGTAGGTCCTGTGACTTGACATCCTAACTCAAGAGCAGCCAGCTCTATTGGTTGTTCGAATTAAATGAAAATAAAGTTCTTAAAGCTTAAGTGTTTCAAAAGTACATTCTAAAGAGTTTTGTTGATTTGTTTATCGCATTTATGAAACATGCAAGTTAGTTAAGTCATTTATGACTTACTAAGAGACCCTGACATTTCAGAGGGTCTTTATGTGCAATAGTGAGTTTATTTGCTTTATTTTTTGTTTTGGGAATCAATTTTAATTGAGGACCGAACTATGTCAACAAACAAAACACATTACATAAAAACACCTGTCTTTCCATACTAGCTCAGGAGTGCTCTCCTGGGGGACACCAGTTTCTTCGGAGTCCTTATAGAAGTGTCCGTTTTGACTCATGGCACCTCCAGCAGTCAGCTGTTCAAGACCTAATATGTGACCATTCCCTCTCCCCTGGATGGTATAGATTTCTCATCCTTGACAGACCTGCCGAGATGCCAACCAAATGTGTTGAGGTATGTCAACTCCCTAAGTACTGCATGTTATTTTCCTTATGTGTTTTTCATATGAGAATTGTATCTTTTTACCACCAGCTTATTTCTCATGCTAAAATGTTGTTTTAATTTTGTATTGAGTTAATCTGAAAGACTATTCCCACATTACCTAGTCTAATAATAATAGTAATTGTTAGTGTTATGCTCCATGCAGTCCAGAAACACTTTCACCGACAATATCTTGTATAAAAGTTTACAACTGTAGCATACAATCTATCATCATTTCCATCAAACAGTGCAGAAAACATATATTCTTAGGCATAGTGCTCTTACAGTCACAGGTAGCAGGTCAAAAAGCTGAGTTTTGAATACAGGCAGTCGTTCTCCAGGGCTCAGGTGCTTAGCTGTATTACCTGCAAATAGTAAAATACTGTGTGTCTAAAGTGCTTGTTTTTGTCAGTTGTTACCTGTCACTTCATTTCTTAACTGATGGAGTAAAACTTACGGGCTCAGCACCTCCTATTCTAAGACTAATAAGAACTCAGCCTGGCAGTGAAATCTCCAGGTATTTTCTGATCACAATTGAAAGACAGTGTACCTGCAGGACATTCAATACTCTGGAGGCATATGGCCTTATCTCACTGAATCTCTCTCCTCAATCCCCAAATTTGTGCAGCCAGCATACCTTTTTTTCTTTATACTTGTGAATATGTAAGTGTATGTCTTTCAAACACATCAGGTTTAAATGGACAAAATTAAAAAGGTTTTGTACATGAACTCACATCGGATGTGTTTTTTTTTTTTTTGCAACTTAACTTTACGTAACGTTCACTCTTTTTACAACACGATATGATTGTGATCATAGCATTGTCTTGTATAGTGAACTAGCCCAAGTGGCTTCTTTCATTCTTATTTCATTTGACAAATACATTTTCTTCCAAAATGCTTCAAAAAATAAGCAGAAGAAAAAACATAAAGTGTGATTTCTTGGGTTGTCCCTCAGCTATCTTGCATTACTTATCCAAGCCACTCTGAATTTCTATTGACAATTCTACTTATCCTTGGCATGATTTTCAAATGCAAGTTCCCCTAATTCGTTCATAGTCCCCATTCATCTAATGATACTGTCATGAAATAGACATTATTTCTACTTATCATACTTCGACCAGTTATCCTGTCAGTTCAACTCTTATTATTGATACCACATTTTTATCCACATGATCTAAGGAATGAGACTAAGTCTAAATCTGTCAAAACACTAAGCCCATTAACTCAGCATCCTAAGTTATATGATCAAAATGGTAAGAAGGGTTTTAATCTGACGTTTATTTTGCAGCTTATAAATTCCCTGCACTTGCGGACATTATTGCATATGTAAACTCACTAGTTCTCTCAGTGATGCTTTTAGGTAGCTAGTGTTACTTCATTATAAAGATGTGGACACAGACACTAAGCATGAGTCACATGACCAAAGTCATGTACCTGATCTTCTCCCTTATCACAATCTTTCTCAGCTGACTGGTTTCCCAAGTGAGTTCTGCATAAATAGGTGTTCAGTTGTGATAGGTAGCTAATAGAGGCATTGTATTATTGAAGACATATGTCTGTGTCATGCTTCCCAAATTACTAACGTGTTCATCATCACTCACAATTTTACCCTATATAATTATACACTTTTTGGGTGTGAGTTCATTCTTAAAGTCGATTTTCTTTTAACCTAGAGGTCATGCAACTACCATTGGCCCCTGGAGAGAGATCACATCATATAAGATTATGTCTTAGCAAAAGGCTTGTTTTCCTTATTGTTATTCACATTTTATAAATACTGCAGACACAGGAATCATTTTCCTTTTTAAGCACTAATGTAAAAAGATCTCTGGAAAGACATTGAAATTTTAACAGTGTTTAATTTTAATGTGTGGCATTGTGGCTAAGTCTCATTATCTCTTTTTTGTTTATTTGCTCATTAGTCGCTTTTGTGACACTTCATTTGTAAAGAACTAAAAAAAATTCAGAATTTAAAAGAAAAGCTTGAGAAAATTGGAGGAACTTCACCACATTTAAAAATATTTGTGTTTTTCTCTTAAGGCTGATTTAGCTATAATTGTTTCTAGAACCTCACACGAATGTGTAGGTGAAACAGTTTCCTTGGCTGTTTTCCTGGAGATCAGCTAACCTGAGCAGGCTGTGCTCCAGGAGGAAGTGTTCCCTATCCCCACCCTCTCATTCCTTTTTTGTACTAAGGCTTTAAAGTATTCAACCAGAAAATCAATAGATTTTTTTTCTCTACAGGTTAATACACGTGGACTTACATAAATTACTATTTGTAATGTTTTAAATAATGCTTATGCATTACATAAAGCTTAGGAAATAAAGAACAGGAATGGAACAACATTTCTTCATAATCTATCCACACAGTCATAACTACTGTTATTAACATTTTGCTATTGTTTTATCTTATTTATATTTCGTAATGTTCATGTTATATGTTCAATTGAAAAACATGCTATTCTTTTTCAGTTACAGTTATAGCATTATCATTTTCCTATTATTATAAATTCATTTTCATAATTTTTGAAAATAATATTATGTCATACATGTATCATATTTATTTAAACCATCACCATATGTGTGGACATTCAGGATTTTGCTATAATAAGTAATTCTGCAATTGACGAATGTACATGTAATTATTGTTTTAATTTTAGTGTCTTTAGTAAGATTGATTTTTATAAGTTAAATTAGTAATGGTTAAAGTCTTTTTGAGGCTTTTGATACATATAGTTGTTCATTTAAAACATAGTGATAATTTTTAATTCCAATAGCAGTACATAAACATACCTTTTGCAATACTGAATATTCTCATGTATTTATTAGGCATTTGTGTTTCTTTTGTGAATTACCTATTTGTACATTTTGCCCATTTGTAGTCTTAGAGTTTTTAAATGGATAATATTACATGGTTAAAATAAAATAACAAATATAGTATAATTATACATAAATATAACACAATATAGTACTATTTACATATAATTTTATTATTTAACTTTTATATTTTAAAAATTATAATTCAATCACATATATCAATATTTCCTTTATGTTTTTCCTTTGCTTTGAAGCATAGAAATAATAACAAGAATTATAACCTGGCTAACGATTTTTTAGCCATTACTATGTAGAAGTTGCATTATATACATTACTTTATCTATACCTCACTATGGCACTTTGAGGTGGGTACCACTTCCACCTAATATAAAAGAGAAGGATGTTGAGTGCCTTGTCCAAGATCATGCATTTAGTAAGGGCCCTGGTTCTTCCCAAGTCATACATAGTTTCTTCTTATTTTTCCTGGGTTATTTTTCTATTTAATTCTATTTTTTATCTGAAAAGGATTTTGATAAATGACTTCAAGTGAGGTTTAAACTTTCTTTCTTTCTTTTTTTTTTTTTTGAGATGGAGTCTCGCTCTGTCGCCCAGGCTGGAGTGCAGTGGTGCGATCTCAGCTCACTGCAGCCTCCACCTCCCTGGTTCAAGCAATTCCTCTGCCTCAGCCTCCTGAGTAGCTGGGATTACAGGCGCACGCCACCACACCCGGCTAATTCTTTTGTGTTTTTGGTAGAGACAGGGTTTCACCATGTTAGCCAGGATAGTCTCGATCTCCTGACCTCAGGCAATCCGCCCACCTCAGCCTCCCAAAGTGCTGGGATTGCAGGCATGCGCCACCGCACCCCACCAAACTGTATTATTTCTAACTTACTAAACAATTTTTCCATCACCAGATTTTGAACAATACCTTCCTTCTCCCCGATTTTATTGCCTCCTGAACTATGCATTAACTTCTTGTGCATACTATTTCAAGCAATTTTGCAAGAGTTTTCCAAGATCAGTTTATCTTTGTGTTATGTGTTAACATAACTTCAGATTGACTTGTCTTATTTTAGAATGTATCAGCTATTTTAGTAAGGTATCTGAGATCTAATTTCCCTTGTTTACAATACAAATGTAATGAATGGAATAAATGTATTAATATTTACATTGAATGTGTAATTGAATGAGTATATTAATTATGAGATGTGTACCCTTAAATTTAGTATTCCTTAAAACTACTTTTCCTTGTATAGAACAGGTACAAGCCATAATTTTTTTAATGATTAATGATATTTTAAGGCTTGATTAGAATAAAATGCAAAGTTGATATATCTACAATGGATGAAAATAAACTGAATTTTCAACTTTTGTTTTCTCTCCTGCAAAAGATGAACCATTGTGGAACTCAGGCCCCCATCTGGCTGTCTCTGAGAGATTCAGAAACACTGCCATCTCCTGGGGAGATCAAGCAATTGACAGCTTGTGCAACATGGCAGTTTTTGTTCAGCACTACAAAAGACTGCTGTCTCTTTCAAATCCCAGTGTCTGTAAGAAACTGTGGGAACTTTTCTGTATACTTACTACAACCAACTCAGGGATGTATGGGCTACTGTGCGGAAGGTAAGAAAACACCAGTAATTCACATGACTGTTATTCATGGAACTCTGCCATTCGTACCATTCTCTGGATAGGTTGTATTGAGTTAGTGCAAATCTCAGTAAGATACTCAGTCTACCATTATTGCTAGATTGAAGCTAAATTTCTGTTTACATTGGTCAAATTTCTTTAGGGTTCTTTGCCAAGATTGTAAAGTCCCCCCACACGTGAAAGCATCAAAACAGACATCTCACATTTTTCCACTGGACATAATGATTGAGTGTGTTAAAAATTCTTTGGTTTCCTCAAGTCCATTCCTGTTTTAATTAAAGGATGAAGAAGGGTGAGTAAAAGTTATCATAAAAATATACATTTTATATTATTTCATCTTTCATTCACCAATATTTATTGAATGTTTATCCTGTGCCAGAAATTATTTAAGGCCTCAGAGTTACGGTGATGAGCAAGATAAATGAGATCTCTGCCTTCATGAAACTTACATTCTAGTGGAATGCTTCAGACAATATCTAAAAATAAACTGAATATGATTCAAAGATTAAAGTAAATATCCCTAAGTTCTTACTTTATAAATGTATGAGTAGATAATTAAATAGAGGCAAGGAAACGAAGCGTCTTTAAAGAATTACAAATTATTGTTGCTACTACTTCACCTAAAAGATTTTGAATAACTTCCCTCATTTTGGTTGTTGGCTGCATTTGAGTTGTTTCCAAATAATTGGGTATGATAAGGAAAAAAAAAATCTACTAATTTTACAGTGGAGAAACCTGGCAGACATTATATTAATCAAGTGATTGCAGTTAACTTTACTAGTGATAACGCATGTTGACATCACATGTCTCCTGATAACATGTAATAATAAGAGCACTTCTCTTTTGTAGTACTCTTCCCCCAAAAGCATAATCCTAGTCTAATAATGAGAAAGTTTATATAAACTCAAATTAAAGAACACACTAACAAAATACCTGAATAGTACTGTTCAAAAATGTCAAAATTATGAAAAACCAGGAAAGAATAAAAAACAGTCACAGATTAGAAAATAATGAATAATGCAATGGGATATCCTGATTGGGAAAATTGAAAAATTCAGATTCGTAAAATCTGAGTACAGTCTTCAGTTTATTTATTTGAGAGTGCACTCCTAAGGTAAATCTCCTAGTTTTGACAAATATATCATGGCTTTGTAATATGTTAACATTTGTGGAAGATTGATAAGTGCAAATTCTCTATTATTTTTGCGACCTTTTTGTGAATCTCAAACCCCAATTTAGTTACCTGGGTTCAACCATATATAGGACACTGAAAGTTCCGGGAGACACTCTTTTAGACAGTGTTATCAAAGCAGATGAACACTTGATTGAGCAACAATGATGATTATATGGGTAACACTCATGAACATTTTATTACTGAGGTTGTTAGACTCCCCAAGCTAGCCGACCCCAAATCACACAATTATAGCAAACAAGTAAAATCACTTAGTTGGTTATTATAGTAGTTAAAAGGAAACATAGTTTTAGGTTTTAATAAACCAATATATTTATATATATATGTGTGTGTGTGTGTATACACATAAATATACATAAATATGTATATATACACATATATATAAAATACCCAATCTCAAAAATTATTTTGCTCGTCATAGCTTTGGAATTTAAACCAGTATTATTAGAAAAATTGATTCCTTTAAATTTCTAGCATTCTCAGAAATCTCTCTTAATGTCAGCAAAAATAATAATTACAATAAGTTTTCTCCTATGGTTAATTTTTTGCTGAGTCTGTAATGCAATCTTTTTTCATAAAAACAATGACACACACTCCAATTTCACATTCTGTTTTTAACTACTGTTTTATTTCCAAATGACATCTAAAGTTGATGTAATATATCATTATTGGCCATAATCTCAAAGCAAATAATGCATTATTGTCTACTTTACATGATTATAGAAACTAAGACAATGTTCTCAACATATAATTTTATTTCAGTGTTTTGAAATACATACTACATTTATGGAAAATTGAATTGTTTAGATTTACTTTATCATTAACTGCAAGGCAGTAGTTCTATCTTTAAAAAAGAAATAAGGCTAAATTATTGTTTATTATTATAATAAGATCAAAATAATAAACTTATAAAATTTATTAATTCAAATAGGTATTTATTGGCAGTATTCCACAAGTATAATAATAACGCACTAATCATTTCACACATATGTACTGCTGGAGTTATGCTTATTTTCTAATCAACACAGCATCTCCTTAGTACAGAGGGGTGACCAAAACAAATGTGGTCCCTGCCCACATGGCACAGAGTATTCATGCAATTATAAATTGCAATTGATGAATGAAAATATTAAAAAATACTGTAGAAGAGAATACTGAAGGTGAGAGAGGATGAAATATATAATGAAGCGTCACCAGCGAAACGTCTAACAAAAGGGCACTGATGCTGAGAGCTGGAGGTTAAACTGTCCTTGGTCAGACAGAAAGCAAGGGGAAGAACATCTCAAACAGCAGCTGCAGCAAGCAGCAGGCCCTAAGGCAATAAGAGTATGTTGTACTCACAAGAGTGAAAGCCAGACAGAAATATTAGATCTCAATGAGTGAGGGAGAACATAACAAGATGGGGGTTTGAAAGCGCAAGGCCTGATCATTTAGGGAGCTCTGCGTTTTGTTCTGTGTGCAATGAGAAGTCTATGGAGAATTATCCTGAGGGAGTGAGCTGGTAAACCTTCACATTCTGTACACAGCTGCTGTCCAGCTAAAACTGGCAGTCTGTTTACTAAGAAAGGGCAGCATCTGCTCAGTTTAGTATAGCTAGTGGCATTCATT
The DNA here is from genome assembly GCF_000001405.40 of Homo sapiens. Lineage (NCBI taxonomy): Eukaryota > Metazoa > Chordata > Mammalia > Primates > Hominidae > Homo > Homo sapiens. The sequence goes on along the minus strand of NC_000007.14, from coordinate 12,386,299 downwards.
AGGAAGGAGAAAATCCAGAGAGATGCATCAATCTCATTGGGTGGCCAAGACAAGAGTTTTTGAAATATTTTAAAAATATTTTTTGGCACTCTTGTCATAAAAAGTATTTAATTTTTATACATCTTCCTATAATATTACCAAATATTTGTGGAAAATTCTGTGTTTCATGGAAAAACCCATCATTTATCTATATTAGTTTAAGAAACATTGACAACTAATAAAAAAGAAAACAAAACTTTCACACCAGGGAATAACATAAAATACAAATAATCACTTCACCACAAATATTTTTTACACTGAATTTAAAAACATAATATTTAAAATTTGCATTTTATGACATCCCTTCCAAATTTAAAATATTTTCTGTTTTGTTAATGTCACTATCATCCACTTGATTTCCTAACCCAGAACACTCAAAAGTACCTCATAATCTCCATATTCAAGTCCTCTAAGTAATTAGGGAGAAGGAATTCTGGGAGACAATTGTTATTTTTTTACTCTTAATGTCTGTTAATCAAACATATGCATGAATTATTCTCTCTGGCTTGCCGATAGAAGCTTGCCTTGGAATACCGTTTAGAACTTAAATTAGACTGCATAGATAGCAAACAAAAATGACAGTCACTTAATCTACTTAAGAGTTTCTTTTTCTTACTGAACAAATATCTGGAGCAGGTGTTCTCTGCTGATGGCAATTTGGCCACTTTACAATGTCAGGCTGAGGTCTCTGAAAGTCACTAATCTTTTCCTTCATGGTGACAGGATGAAGCTCCAGTTTTAGCCTCTTTATCTGCATTTAGACAGGATAAAAGAGAAAGTTCAAAAGGTGAAAGAGAGCTTCTGCTAACTGAAATTTACTCCCTTTTAAGGAGCTTATTTGGAAAAAGCCTTCTTATCATAACTACTTTAGAAGAATTCCCAGGATCATCTCTATCTTCGAAGGCAGTCTGTGAAATGTCATTTTTTACTTGGACGTATTGCTGTCTACAACCAATAGCCCCTATCTAGCTAGGAGTCATAATATTTAATTTTAAAATCACCAAAACAGCAAATAGTAGAGGGCAAAATTTCACTTTAATATCATAGTCTCATGAAGACGTTTTGATTCTCACAGAATTCATATATATGTGTATATATTTACACAATCTATATATCCCTAGAGCCTTCTAGAAGTCAAGAAAAAATATTAATTCAAGATCATAATTGTAATCAAAGCAATTCTAAAAAAGTTTATATATTTGAAATATTATTTATTTAGAAGACTCTATGGAAATATGAATATGTGTTATATTTTTTGTATTTCTACTTAGCAAGCTAGTTAGGTCCTTATACTACATGTGAAGTAGCATCATATCAATTAAAGTTAGCCTATGTAGCCTATGAGAAGTTAAAAATGTATACTATATCCCCTAAAGCTTCCAACTTCGTGTCTTTTAGTTTAAATACTAAATTCTTTCAAGAAGCAATCTGATGAGCCTACCTTTGTTTAGATAGTTGCTCTTGTGCCAGTTAACTGTATTTAGAACATTGGGTTGTTAAGTATTACCATCTCTGTCCTTGGCTCATTGGTGGTATAATCCTGTAAATGAGTATGGGGAATTGATTACCAAGGAACTGGCATAAAACCAACTGTTGTATACATTTCTGGAGATTATAGTGTGTTTCACTATTATTATAGATTTCACATATACTCTGTAAATCTCCCACATGCATAGTCCCCCAACCCCATTGTCGACGTCCCCCACCAGAGTGCTACATTTGTTATAATTGATGACCTACATTGACACACCATTATCACCTAGTCTATAGTTTACATTACGGTCCGCTCTAGGTGTTGTAAATTCTATGGGTTTGGACAAATTTCTCATAACGTGTATCCACTATGATAGGAACATACAGACTAGTTTCACTACCCTAAAAATTGCCTATGCTCTGCCTGTTCACCCCTCCCTCCTCTCAACCCCAGACAACCACAGCTCTTTTTACTGTCTCCATAGTGTTGTTTTTTCCTAGATTTCATATAGTTGGAATCACTTAGTAGGTAGCCTTTTCAGATTGGCTTCTTTCACTTAATACTCATTTAAGTTTCCTACATGTCTTTTTGTGGCTTGATAGCTCAATTCTTTTTAAGGCTGAATAATATTCCATGCTGTCTATATGTACAACAGCATATCCATTTACCTACTGAAGAACATCATGGTTGCTTGCAAGTTTGGGCAATTATGAATAAAGTTGCTATAAACTTCCATGTGCAGGTTTTTCTATGGAAATAAGTTTTCAGCTCCTTTGGGTAAACATAGAGGAGCATGATTTCTATGTCATATGCTAAGAGTATGTTTAGTTCTGTAAGAAACCACTAAACTGTTCTCCAAAATAGCTGTACCATTTTGAATTCTCACCAGCACCTGTTGCTCCACATCCTTGTCAGCATTTGATGTTGTCAGTGTCTCACTATTTAAAAATGCAGATTTGTACTTAGAAAATAAGATATTAAAGCTTTGATTGTTTTGAAATATGATGCCTTATCTTTTCATTTGATCTCACCCTTAAAAGGAAAAAAATGTTATGAAATAAGAGAAGAATTAAGAAAGTCTTAGTCTGTATTAAATCATCCTTCAATAAATTGTCATCTTGGATATATGTAGATGTATATCTTCATGCCCAGCTGAATAATTATACAAACCTTAACCCTTGGCAGCTATTTCTGATGCACGATTACACCCATGTGGTTCTGATGAAACTGAAACAGGAGGTGATTGTGTTCGTAAGTATCATATTTTGCTTTTTTAATAGTGTTTTTATAAACTAGACTATTTCAACAGATAATTATATTCTGCAGCTTTGGATGTTGAATTATATTGATATTTGATATAACCAAAGTCTGGTAGCTATCAAAAATAAAAATAACTTTATCGTGCCTTTAAGAAATAGTCCTCGAGTTGGGTGAGGTACAGAGAGTTAGGCAAACGTGTGTGTATTAGTAGAATCTTTCATAAGAAAATTTGGCAGTTCATATCAACATTCTTAAAACTCCATGTGTGTTTGTACCTAACAATTCTACTTTCAAAAATATGTCTTAGAGAACTATTTAGGGAAGTGTGCGAACACAATATTTATAACAGAATTTGTCTAATAATGTTTTAAGAAACCTGCAAACATCCAGTAACTGCTGATTGGCTGATTGAGTCAATATTTCTGATACATAAACACTGACAAAATATTTTGCAAACACCATTAAAGTATAGAAGTACATTATACAATACAACAATGCCTTTTTTTTTTTAAGGGAACGATTGTATTTATGTCAAATAAATCTTGAAAGACAAACATCAATGATGTTGATAGTGATTAAAATTTTTCTCTTCCTTTCAATGTATACTTTTTATTTTCTATTTTTTAAATATTTTAAAGTTTTTTCAAATATTAAGAAATCCTCCTACTATAATATGCCTTAAAATAAATTACTCTAAGTAGATTATCTAAGTGATAAAATGTATGTCATCTGCCTACATGATGGGCAGAAATTGAAATTATTTATTGAAATATTAGCCTTTTATGGGATTATTAGCCTTATCATATTTTGTTAGCCAAATAGGATAACTGAAATGCATGAGAGACTGTTGACATATAATTAATTTAATTAACAGAGGTGTTTTATATGGTGGAACAAGCCATAAATACATAAAATAAATCAGGATAGATCATATAATGTTCAAATATCAGGCCTAGAAATGATTATGCTTGGTATTTTAAAAAGAGTTTTATAATAATCCTCAAAATTTATCACTCTGAATTGAATTTTCATGCTCTATTTCATGCCCTATTCCAAATGGTTTTTTTCTAGCCCTTTTTTTTGTATATTTTACACAAGCTATTACTGTATGTGGAGGTCAGTTTAATTAAGCCCTGTGATTTAAGTTCACAAAGTAATAAAACAATATTCATAATAGCAGCAGTAAACATAAAATGTAATTATTTGACTACTCTGCATAATAGATATAAATTCTCTATACTGTATATGTATTGTAGCAAAATCACTTTTTCCTCTTGAATAAATAATAAATTTCACCTACTTATTATGCTCTTTAGAACATTTATGCAATTAATTAAAAAAAACTCTGCTATGCAAATTGCACACAATTTGGGGAAGCAACACCAAATGAAAGTATTGAGTCAAAAGTCAATAAAGCTTCATGGTAAAATGGAAAATGTATTAATATATTTAATACATACTAATATTACAATTGACAAAGGAATACTAATTTTGATTTTCTAAGTAGACATAATTTATCTGTTGTTTCTAAACCTTTTTCTTTAAATATAACAAATTTTGTTTCATCTATACTGTTGCAAGCAATGATCAATCTGCCCAGATAGTTCTCAATTTAAAGTATTGATTCAAACATTTTAATCATCATGAATTATTTTTTTCAGTCATTTGTCTTCTCTTATTCTTAATAATCATTTCCATAGATAGCTTTTCCCTGTTTTAAACTAAATGTCCTTTTCCTAGTTTATTTAAGGATAAATTTTTACTCAGATATATAATATTTAAAATCAAATATATATTCAAAAGTAGTTTATTATTTCCTTCAAGTTCGAATATACTGATTTGGTCTAATGTTTAAAATGCTTAGCAAAATATTTGTTAACTAGGTAAATTTGAAAATAATTCATTTGTCATTGGGACTATAACAAAATAACACTGTAAAATATCTAAAAGTACATTTTCTCCACAGAAAAGGTTTCAAGGTCTTTCCAGAATTTTCCAAAATCTACATGGCAAGGCTGAAAGATTATTTTGTGATTTTCCTAAAATTAGCATATTTATAAAATAGACAAATTATTTTAGAACATTTTAAAATCTTCTTTTAAAAATTTACCACTCAGATATTTTTCCTCTTTCTAAAACAGAACAAAACTAAACAAAAAACTTATCCAGAAAACTTTCAGATCCCCAGATTTGATTTTGCAAATGCCCAGAGTTCAAAATGATATAAAATTTTCCTGTGAGTTCTTAGAGGAAACTTCAAATTTCTTTAACCTCAGAAAAATGAAAGGAATAAGATATTTCACTAAGATAGTATAATCACCTCTGCAATGAATAACTCTTTCAGCCCAGAGTAATGATAAGTTGAGTTATAAGAGAAAACTGTAACAGTAAGAGAGAAAGTAATTTGATTTTACATTCTTGTGGCTATTTCTCATTATAACAAGGAATTATAATGTACTAAACCTTAATTTTGTTTGTTCCATCTTTTAGAAAAGATAAGTGCTTCAAAGAATGCAAATTTCTTTTCAAGAGCTAGACTTTTCAAAGGCAGATATTCAACCTGCATTAATATAAGCTTGAGCTGATAACGTTGCTTGGCTATCAATATTTGTGTGATTATGGGCCAGAATATGAAAGTATTACTTTGTTGATTGCTAGAAATAATCATTTTTCTAAATTTAGCTTGCTTTTTCTTAAGATAAACCACAGAGTTATAGTCTTTGAGTGCTTTTTCCATAAGCCAGTCTCCATTGTCTAAGATTCCCAGTTACAAATTATGCATTTTCTCCCCAGGTCAGCTGGCTGCCTCATTGCCACCTCCACCTGCAGGAAGGCCAGAGGTTCTGGTGGAGTTGATTGAGTCCAGGCTTTTCTGTAGGTGTTCTTTTGATGTTCCCGCTACAAAAAACTCAGTGGGATTTCACATAGCTTGGTCTAGGCTTTCTTCTCAAGAAGTCAAAGAGGAGCTGACACAAGAGACCACAGTTCAGGCATTCTCTCTTTTAGAACTTGATGGCATAAATCTCAGACTTGGAGACAGGGTATGTTAAAAAACAGTTGCATTTTATTTTCATGAATGTATTGATTTTCAAACACGATTTTTAAACATCATATCCAAAAAATAGATTTTGTCCCCAGAGTATAAAGCCCTAATATTTTTCTTTTTGTTTTTTTTTCCTTGCAATTGTGCTAATTCTCGTGATAACTGGAGGAGTCAGTGATCTTAGTGACTATATATGAATATATCATTTTAGTAATTTGCTGATTATTATTAATCCTTTTTTATATATATATTTATTATACTTTAAGTTCTTACACATATATGTCCCTCTCAGGTTTTAAAATTATATACGTTTATTCTAGAAAAAATGTTTTAATTTTTTAAATGACGATGTCACTTTTTAATTACTTTTCTTTTTTTTTTGAGGCGGAGTCTCACTCTGTCGCCAGGCTGGAGTGCAGTGGCGCGATCTCGGAGGTTGCTCACTGCAACCTCCGCCTCTCAGGTTCAAGCGATTCTCCTGCCTCAGCCTCCTGAGTAGCTGGGACTACAGGCGCCCGCCACCACACCCACACGCAGCTAATTTTTGTATTTTCAGTAGAGACGGGGTTTCACAATGTTGGCCAGATGGTCTTGATTTCTTGACCTCGTGATCCGCCCGCCTCGGCCTCCCAAAGTGCTGGGATTACAGGCGTGAGCCACCGCACCCGGCCTTAAGTACTTTTTAAAAACATCCTAAATACAAAGCCTACTATACTTTATGTTGAGGTTTGAATACGTCATATTTTATAATGATGGAATTTTTCTGAAATATCAAGTAAGCTTTTAAATTATTTAATTCTTTTATTATCTTTATATACTATCTATGAAGAATTAAATTTAGGATTTTAAAAGTGATAATTTACACGTTTTCTCCAAAATTGAATTTCTAAGTGATTATTTTTTAATTATATCCATAGATATTCTGCAGCGCTTCTGTCTTTTTCTTGGAGAATCCTCATGTACAAAGTGTAGCCATCGAAAGCCAAGAATTTTTTGCAGGCTTTAAGGTACGCAGCAGTGGGGATGCATCAGAAAGATTATTCCTCTGGAACTATGTTTCCCAAACTGTGATCTGTCCATGCTGGTTTCTGTACCTCATCACAGACTGAATCGGAATGTTGAGACCCATGAGTCCCCATATTTGAAGAAAAGCCCCAGTAATTCTAATGCGCAACAAAGTTTGAGGGGTCTTGTTAACTAAAGTTGAGATGTACCTTCATTTTTTAAAGAAATAGCTCAAATTAGAGTAAAGCAGAAGGTCTATTCCTCTAATTCATTCCATCGTGTAACGAAAGTTAGCCTAGTAATATTTAGTTATCATGCATTTTGGAAGACAGATACCAGGCCAAGTAGTAGAGTCTCTGACTAGAGTAGAATTGACCCAGAGCTATGAGTTTTATGGACTGCAAAGATTGAGCTAGCTAAACAGAGGAGGAGATTTGGTTGTTGCTGGTGGCAATAGGATCCAAGAACTGAAGAGCTATTCTAGCAGATGAGCAGAGATGACAGGGAATTAATAAGCAGTGGAAGAAGTGGGGGCAATATCAAACGGTCCAGGCAGGCAAGCACGGTGAACCTGGAAGGTCTCACCCACAGGACTCGAGTTTGACCTGGATTCATTTCTCGTTCAAGGACAAGATGAGATAAATGGTAAGATTGTGAGAATAGGACTCAGGACCAGGATAAACCCTGTTTATGAATAAAGTCCATGTACACACAGTAGGAACCAGGAAAAGAAGTGAGAAGAGTGGACCACTTTGTCAGAATTGCATAACTACAGCGTGAGGGGAAGCAGAGGTCAAGCTTTGAGAACACAGGAACATTTTGGTTTACATTGGTTAGCACTCAGCAGACAGTGTCAGGGGTCAATAGTCAGCACCCCCACCCTTGTACCCTTTCTGATTAGGCTAACAGGGAGAATATTCAGTATTAAGAATCATCTGTTTTGAGAGCTAGCCAAGACTCGAGACTGCATGGAAACATTCCTGCCTCAAAAAAGGTTTGGCCTGTGAATGAAGATAGGGCCAGTCCTGGGTTGCACCAGTTCTCAGGAAGTTCAACTCTGGAAATCAGATGCTGAGAAATAAGCTAAGTGTGGAGATATTTCAGGTGACAACAATAATTTGATTTATGTATTAAAAGTACTTAAATTTCTAATTGAGATGGTGGTATTAATCCCTAAGAAAAACCAGAGTCTTCTGTTGGTGTGTCAGTAAACATTAGCAATAAAGTGGAAGAAAATAGAAATATTTCTTTCTTCTTCGCTTTCCAGTGCTCACCACAGAACCAGAATCATTGAGGCAGGCTTGGATATGATTTGCCAAATGTGTTGGGGAACCAAAGTGAGTCAAACTCAGAGCAGTACAGCAGCTCCATGTACTCCTGTGTGTGCTGCTTGTATTTGTATAAGTTTGATTTTAATGGTCTTGCTTAGTTAAAACATTCTAGGGCTTAAGTTATTATTTAGTAAAATATGTGCTGTTGAGAAAATGCCCTTTCAAAACTGTGCCTTAGAAATAAATTATATTTTAACATAATTTTTCTACGTATTTTCTTATACCAGCTACAGCCTGAATTGAGCACTATATCAGAGGATGGGAAAGAATACTACCTGAGGATAGAAAGCACAGTTCCTATTATTTGTTCTGAATTTAGTGAGCTTGATCAAGAATGCAAAATCTCATTAAAACTGAAAACTATTGGTCAAGGTAATATACTAACTTTATTTTATCTTATTATTAGATTGCAAACAATAATGCTTTTTTTTCCTGTAGGAAAAGTCACTGGAGTGTACTCATATAATAAATCATGTTGCATGTTGACATCAAATTTTAGCCCAATCATATTACTAATACTCGGCCAAACTGACGATTGCCAAAGCAATTCACATTTCTTCTTCTTGGCTGAAAGCATACATTTTAAAAAAAGAAAAAAAATAGTGAATAATCTCCTCTTCGTCATCATCTTTTTCCTCTCGCTCCTCTTTTTTTCTCCTATTTTTTTCTCATTCTCCTGTTTATTCCTCTGTTTGCTTAGTTTACAGAAAACGAGGGAAAAACTGCTCTTTAAGATTTTTCAAATCATCCCCAATGAGAGACATTTGATAAGTTACGTTAAAAGTTCAAGCTTATGAAATATAGATCTCATAATGCATCCTTCAAGTTTCTCTCCCTAACGTACGTTTATGTTTGGGATCTTGTGTCTTAAAATTCTTCTATTTCAATTACTGATTATATGGATGTTGTGATACATGGCCACATATGTGTCAATGGATAGAGTGAAGAAATCCTCCCACATAACAAGATAGAATATGCGAGGACAAACCATGCATAGCAGTGATTGGCTTGATTATGTTCTTTTTCCCACTGAGCCCCTGATGTAGAGATCAAAGCAAGTTACAGATACATAAAATATAACCTTTAAGAGAGATTACAATTTCATTGGCATACCACATACATTTTCACCGTAGAACATTACATTGTCTTTAGTAAATATACCAAACACAAGGTATCTATAGACCTTCATGTCCATATTATAAATAATTAAATCAGAGAAACAAGAAGATAAAAAAGCCAGGAGAGAGAGAGAGAGAAAGAGAATCATTTGGAATGATGCACTCAAGAAAAGAGATGGCTAAAGAGATAGAGGAATTAAGAGAGGTCATCTTAGGATTGTTAACAGTAAGCAGGCTCAGTAATACCTACCTACTCGCTCAGATTTCAGGAGCACCACGAGCAACATTGTATTTTTAATTACAGCCTAGACATATTACATTATACCCTCTCTCGGACTATTTGACACAATTCTACTTCAAGTTAGCTCTGAAAAGTGTATTATGCAAATATTACTATAGTTTATGGAGAGAACAGAAAGAGGATGATGTTATTGATGTTTTCCAAAATCATGTTAGTCAAAGATTTTCTTCAGTTACAGGTATACTTTAAAATATATTTTCATGCTTTCAATTCTTTCAACAAGGCAAGCATTGCTAAAATAATATAATAATAGCCTAAATATATTTCTACATTTTAGAAGTTTGCATGCATGTTCTTATTCTCTGAGAATTAAAAATGGCTTTTGTTTGTTGAAGAAAAAATTCTGGATTTCATTCTGGATACCCCTCATCTTGTCCTCTTTAAGTACAGTAGCATTAAATCTTTACTTTCATAGGGAACCAGTTGGTGTCTGAGTGTATTTCTAAACAGACTATGCTGCTATTCACAGGCTTAAAGAGAACAACCCCTCATGTATTGGCTTGAGGAATGGATGTTATGGGCTATATCTAAGCTAGAAATATTCTGTATTCACCTTAGAGAGTTGGTTAAGAGTTTGAATGTTTCTGTTATTTTTTATGTGCATGGGAAAAGTATATATTTCTAAAAAAATAGTTCAGTATGCCTATATCTGATTAATATAACTTCATACCTAAAAAATCTGTATGGAAGAAAAGAAGATAGAACATTTTTTAACAACTTTTTTCCTTTTAGATTCTTAGGAGGACTTTGGAATCATTAATTGGATATGATAGCATACTTCCTCTCTGACCAATTTTGGGGGCAAATCTGTTCTTTTTGTTTAGTTATACAAATTCCTGGAGTTCTTTTCTCTTTTTTTGTTACCATTTCCTTTCCAAATTATTTTTTCTTTGTTATCGAAGCGAGGGAGCATCTCAAGGTTGTGAATATATTGGGACATTTGGGAGGTGAAAGAAGATAGCTTGTTACTGTTGTGAGATCATCTTCATTTGTTGTGATTTGTCTATTTTTTGAGATGATAAGCCCTTTATCAATAATTAAAAGCCATTGCTACTATTCAACAATGGATGGAACATGAACACATATGCTAAGAAATATTACAGAAGTATCTGGGCCCACGTTACAAATCTTAGACAGAAAAAATCATGTTAGTATATATAATATGTAAAATTATAATATATGTAATATGTAAAAGAATAAATTTTATCTATTCTTTTTGAATTTCCTTCAGTTGCATACAGGTTTATAACCTAATTGAAAATTGTAATATGTATTTATGTGTACATATGTATATATTATAGTTGATTAATTCTTTGTAAAAATCAGGTAGATTCAATAGCTTTGGCTTAATTTAGACAAAATTTGCAACCATATGTTTTAAGAAAGAGAAAATAATTTGAGAATAATCTTACAATTCAGTGTTTCATGTTAATTAATTTATTACATGCTTTGGTTAGTATATTCTCTTGGAAATTTTTAAACCTATTTTTTCATTAAATAGGTAGAGAGCACCTAGGCTTAAATTTGGCACTGTCTTCCTGTCATGTGGACCTTCTCCAGACATCTTCCTGTGCTAATGGAACCTGTAGCCACACTTTTGTGTACTACACTGCTGTCACAGATTTTTCTCGAGATGGAGATAGAGTCTCAAACATTGTAGTGCAACCAATAGTTAATGAGGATTTCCTGTGGAACAACTACATTCCAGACAGCATCCAGGTTGACAAATTACAACACTAATACTGCAAGTGAAGCTTTAAGAAGAAATGTGTATTTTATCATTATGTCTTATAAACTTTTTATGTAAAAAATTTTTTGGTAAATTAGTTTTTAAATGATTCAATTTTCAATAACTATGATAAAAACAATAATTAATTGAAAGTTTGTTGAGATTGCTAAGCAATTTTTTATATATCACTAAATATAATTAATGGTAATATTTACCAAAAATATCTTTGCTTTTAAGATCAAAGTAAAGGATGTCCCAACTGCTTACTGCTATACATTTACTGACCCACATATAATTACATTTGATGGCAGGTAATTTTCTGAAAGTTTCTTCTTTTAGTAGTTTTGTTTGCTTTGATTTTGTTGTTTTATTTTAAACAGTGTATTGTTTTATAATTTTTTAGTCCTAGTCACTGAAATTAGACAGAAAGGCATTACTGGCTTGTTTCAAGATACTAGTTTATTTGTGTAGAATTTTTTGCCTTAAAATCTAATTCTTAGTAAAAAACATGGATTATCTGCAAGGCTGAACTTGTAAAAATAAATATTATTACAAATGCAGAGAATCTTTTTTGCTAGACTCTTTAAATTTTTAATAATGATTAAATTATTTACTCTAAAGATGTTTATAGCATTTCCATATGATAATAAAACAATCTTTAAGTTTAGGCAAAATGATTAAACATATTAGAATTATTTTTAAAACTAATTACTCCTAAGTCTTGACAAGAATACTCAGGAAAAAAACTATTATAACTATTATGGATACCTGGATATTTGCCTCTGGAATTTAAAGTAAAATAGGCAAAAGACCAAAAAGTAATCTAAACTATTTTGTTATCAATACCTGTATAGAAAGATTTAAACTCAGTTATATCGTTCTGGGAGATTCATGGTTCTGAGATGTCTGTAAGGAAAATGATAAGAATGTCTTAGTGTTGCATCAACATTTTTTTCATGATGCAAATGGTTGTGGTTTGCTTAAAAAATTGTAATATGATAATTGTCAGTAAAATTATTCAATATATAGAGACTGTTCTATAAGAGAGTTATACTCCAATGGTGTCAACAGGTGTTAAGAACCTGAAGGAACTGATCTAACGGGCAAGAATCCTTTACGGTTATAACTAAAAGCTTAGACATTTTAGTGGAAAAATTTCGAGAAAGTGTAGTAGTGATGAATGTAATCTGACAATTCAACAAGATTAATTACGCAACAACTAGGTGAAAAGCCAAGTTCTAAGTACTGGGGGTATGGCAGTGAACAAAACAAACACTCTCTACCCTCATGGAGCTGGCTTTTGCAAAGGGGAAGAGAGATATAAACACATTTAATAAGTAAAATATAAAGTGTATCTGAGGAAGATACTTGCTGTGAAGAAAACTAAATTGGGTGGAAAGGGAAGGCTGAAAAGAGGGGTTGGAATTTATATTAAAATAGAGTGGTTACGAAAAGCCATTTGGTGAGGGTGACATTTAACAAGTACTCAAAGATGAGGGAGATGGTCACGTGCATACACATACGGGGAGAAGACCATTGAGCCAGCCTGCCCTGCTCAAGGAGAGCAGCTTGACTGGAGTGGTGAAAGGGAAGAAAGGAGTAGTGGGAGAGATTGAGGTGTTTATGACTACTTTGTTTCCTTCAGTGCATACAACAAAATGATCGTGATACATAAAGCTGTTGCAAATCAATAACATACTATTGTGATATTTTACACGATTTTTTAATGCAATTGCCTTTTGTTAATGATAGGGTATATGATAATTTCAAGACTGGAACATTTGTGCTTTATAAGAGTATGTCACGTGATTTTGAAGTCCATGTACGTCAGTGGGACTGCAGAAGCCTTCACTATCCAGTGTCATGTAATTGTGGGTTTGTTGCCCAGGAAGGAGGTGATATAGTTACTTTTGATATGTGCAATGGTCAGCTACGTGAATCACAACCATATTTGTTCATAAAAAGCCAAGATGTAACCAGGAATATCAAGATAAGTGAATCTTACTTAGGAAGAAAAGTCACAGTATGTATGATTCTTTAACATTGAAAGTATTTTTCCTTTTTCTCCTTTCAGATAAACATCTCTATTAAATTAGGAGCTATCATTTTTCAACATTAGTTTGTTTAAGAAAATAGCATTTATATTAACCATCATCTTAGAGGGAATACATTTTTCTCACCACACACAAATAGACACAACATCATTAAAACCATGTAAAATCTAAACTGCCTTATTTAACATTTCAGCATGACAACTTGGTGGATTATTCATTAAAATTACTTTTAACAACGTGTAATAAATAGTATATTAGACAGAGATGACAGACATAATTAAGAACAAATATTTAGGAATAATCAACCAGTTTTTGAAATGAATACAGTGGTAGATAAGTGTAATAGAATATGAAGTCAGGAAACAAACCTAAGATTATATATTCACTAATATTTTTAATTCTTTTTCCTTTACTCCTGGCAGGCTAATATTTTTTTAAAGATTATACTTCATATCTGTGAGTAAACTATTTGTATTTTCAGGTCATAGCCACCTTCCATTCATCTTTCAAACAAGTAATTCCAAGTAAATCAAATTTAAATTTAAATAAAAGTATTAAAAATTTAAGTTTCTGTTTGTATAATATTTACTGAAGTGAAAAATCATTTTTGAAAATATGTTATATATTTGAATTCCATCACTGAAAACCAAAATGCAAATCAAAAATTAGGAAAATATTTGCTACGTATAAAACAGGTCAGATAGAAAATACTCATGCATCACTAATGTATAATCAGCACTCCGATTAAAATGAGCAAATAATATAAAAAAACCTTTTCACAAAAGAAATCTGATATGTTCAAAAGTACAAAAACCAACAAAAATATGAAAACTTTAACCTCGTTAGCAGTCAAATAGATAAATAAAGGTTGAACATCTTTCATACAATATCAGGAAGCGTAGAGATAGTACATTTAGTAACAGTCTTTCCAGGGAACATATATATCATATATAACCTGCACCTATGTGTGCATTTTGCCAAGAAATTTTACTTCTGGAAATTTATTGTAAAAAAAAATAGTTAAGGATGTGCATACCCCCAGTGATGTTTATTGTATCTTTCCTTGTAAGATGAAAAAGTCATAGTTAAGTGGTGATCAATAAACAGGTTTAACTAAAACTCTAAATATAATGATGTCATATAGTAGAATACTTTGTAGTCATGAAAATGCTGGAGTAGGTGAGTGTGTTTATTGACAGGCGAAGATATGCCCAAAATATAAAAGAGGCTTTTGAGGAATTTGCACAAAGATCTTAATATTAGCTACCTTAAGTTGGTTTGGAAAGTAAAATTTGTTTTTAAAATAATTTAATGTAACTAACACAGACCATTTTTGTAAAAAGAGAAAAAAAGAGTTATTTTTAAATTTTAAGAAAATTAAAAGGGGAAAAACAACCAGAAGAGCAAACACAGTTGTGTATCTTCAGTGATTTTTAGAAGAGATAGCTTCTCCACATACACAGTACATCAAAGTGGCTGGTCTGGAAGAGGTGATATTCCTGTGATGGGAGAGATGGTTCACAGTTAGATTGCACAGGCTACTAGGGTCATTCAGCAAACTCTCCTTGCTCAGATTGCCAACTCCCCAAGCTACCTTCTAGTTATAATTTAGCTTCTGATTCTGTTTGTCTACTGGCAACTAGAGAATGCTAATTAGCTGCGGGAACATGTACTCCTCTGAAATTATATTCATCTGTGTAAATTAATTATTTGGCAATCTAATTCTGTATTAAATAATTATTATCAGAAACATTACTTGGCAAACATCCTCCTCAATATTTGTAATGTATTAATTGTATAAATTATCTTATTTTTGTTTAAATTATTTAAAGAAGTTGCAAGCAATATATTTCAATAAAAAGATCAGTATGGTAATCAAATTTCAGGTCAGCAAAATGCAAAAACCCATATTTTGACATAGAATGTTAAGAGGAAAGTTGTAGTCAAGAAAATCAGTATTTTATTCTTTTTTTATATTGAGGGAATAACTATTTCTTATTTTTTAAATAATAGATTTTTCTTAATCCAGGTTGAATATTGCTTCAACATCTTTTATTTCTGTATTTATTTCTGTTTTTCAGATCTGGTTTTCTTCTGGGGCATTTATCCGTGCTGATCTTGGTGAATGGGGCATGAGTCTAACGATCAGAGCCCCTAGTGTAGATTACAGAAACACTCTGGGACTTTGTGGAACCTTTGATGAAAATCCGGAAAATGATTTCCATGACAAAAATGGGATGCAAATTGATCAAAATTTTAACAATTATGTTGCTTTTATTAATGAATGGAGGTAAGACACTATTTTTCCACTTGCGATTATATTAATATTAGACTTAAAACGGGTGGTGGCTCAACACTCTGCTTTTTTGCAACACATATTAGGAAACAAATGTTTATGTACAAAATTACTATTCTTTCCTGTTTTCCATCTGGAAGGATTTTACCAGGAAAAAGCATGTCTGACACACTGCCAGTTTCTATGACATCACCTGGAAAGCCATCCTATTGTAGCTGTTCATTGGACACTGCAGCGTATCCGTCTTCCGAAGATCTGGACAGTGTTTCTCGATCAGAAATTGCCTTGGGTTGCAAAGACCTCAATCATGTCAGCTTATCTTCTTTGATACCAGAACTAGATGTCACCTCCGAATATATTAATTCAGACACTCTTGTCAGAGAGATAAACAAGCATACATCTCCAGAAGAATATAATCTAAATTTATTTCTGCAAGAAAAAAAACACATAAACCTGACTAAACTCGGCTTAAATGTACAAAAACATCCTGGAAATGAGAAAGAAGATTCACTACAATATTTGGCCAATAAGAAATATACACAAGGCCGGGGAAGCCACAGCCAAGAAATGAGGTACAATCGACAAAACAGATGGAAACGGCAGAACTTTCATGAGTTTCCTCCTTTGTTTGCTTTCCCGAGTCTCAGCCAAACGGATCTGGAAGAACTTACTTATTTTTTCCCAGAGGACCATGCTGAGGATGTACAGCAAGAGTTTTTCCCCTCTTGGCCCACTCCCTCTGGCCTCACCGAGTATAGCACCTTGACCCTCTGTCAGGAGACTCTAGCCAACTCCAGCATAGGAAGGCTGTGTCTTGCTTTTCTTGGCAAGAGATTAGACAGTGTTATAGAGATGTGTGTGAAGGATGTTCTGTTAAAAGATGATCTTAGTTGGGCAGAAGCAGGTGTGGCCCTTTTAGAAAATGAATGTGAAAAGAGGATTGTGGAGGAGGGGAAATATAACACAGAAGAGTATGGCACATCAATTGAAGACATTCTCTCAGTATTAAAATGCCCCAATTTATGCAGCGGCAATGGGCAGTGCATGGAATGGGGGTGTGCGTGTTCCCCAAGCTTTAGTTCCTATGACTGCAGTGATTCCTATGGTAAGTAAGTACTCTCAAAGTTTGATATTGCATGTGATATTTCATTATAAAAATGTGTTTGATCTTTATTTCACCCTCAGTATCCTAACAGTGTTTATTCAGATTTTATAGAGAAAACCTCCAAATCATATTAATGAACACATTACTAACTTTCCAACAGCATCTCATCTTATTTGGAGTAAAAGCCAAAGTAACTTATAACAGCCTAGAAGGCACAGTGTGATCTGGCACTCAGTGGCTCTCTAAACTCATTCCCTGCTACTGTCACCCTGTTGTTCCACTCCAGCTCCTCTGAGCTGTCCTTTGAAAATGCCAAGATCATTTAACCTCAGGGCCTTTACACACAACTGGGCCCTCTACCTATAGGGAATCATTATTTTCCCAGAACTCAAATTTAGTATTTTTAAAGCACTGTGTTTATATAGTTTGGCTAATTATACTGATTTGCTTAAAACTCTTTTTCTCTAATGCATCTATCTATACAGTATATTTTCTCTTAATATGTTAGACAAAGAAACTGTAAAAAGTTTTGTTTCCTTTAATAAGTAAACCAGTAACTCCTGATTTCCCTCCCATTCTTACCATCTTGCTCTTTTCCACCTACAGCCTTTTCCTTCTTAGTAAATTCCTCACATTAAAAACTTGTAGTCATTTTTGCCTGTCCTTTTCCTTCATGCCTCAAGTTTAATTCATTAGCAGCAAATCCAGCTCCAGCTTCAAAGCATTTCATTTCTTTCCCTGCTACAACCATAGTCCAAGCCACCATTATTTCCCCCTCAGATTATCGTAGATTCTCCCAAAACTAAATTTCTGTGCAGCAGGTGACCCCACTGAAATGTGAGTGAGATCATATTGCTCCTGTGTTTATATAGCTCGAATGGCTCTCCATCTCCTTCAGAGTAAAGTCCACAATCCCTACCATGGCGTAGAAGACCCTAGGTAGTCTGAGGTTCCTCTCTCACTGAATTCATCTAGCATTCTTCTCCCAGCTCACTGCTTTTCAGCCACACTGGCAGCTTTGCTGTTCCTCAAAGGAGCCAGGCCTGCTTCCACCTCAGGGTCTTTGCACTCACTGCTCCCTCTCACCGGAGGATTCTCCCACCACAGATCTTTATGACTTACTTTCTTTACTTCTCTGTTCAAATGTCATACTATCAGAAAATCCTCTGTGGTCATTCAAAATAGACTTGTTTTTCTTACACAATTCCATGGTCTTAATCTCTCTTAATATAGTTAATATAATTTTTTCTATATTCCTGAAAACAATTATGTAATATAATTTATATTTATCTTTTTATTTTTTTTTTAATCCTCCCATCTAGAATGCAAATTACATGAAGGCAGAAACTTTTGTTTTGTTCATTACTACATCCCCAGTACCTAGAATAGCAACAGATAAATAAAAATTACTAAACATTTGTTGAATTTGTGAAAGTATGGACTGAAGTAACCCAGGCTTTAAAAAAAATTTTCATCAAGATTTTTAAGGTTCTGAATACACGTGATTTTCTACCCTACTGCTAGTAGAGTTGTATTCACTTAGGTTTTCCCAGTAGTTAGGCAAGGGGTTTAATAATTTTTACACACTGCATATACCCATTTTGACAACCAGATGTTACTGATACAGATGACATTTTGAAATTTTAATACATTGCATTACTAACTACTATATTTTATTACAGAAATATTTTTTTCTATAACCCAGCTATATGGCACAAGCCAAAATGGCAAAACCAAAATGTACTTTATTGTAGTGGTAATTTCTTAATATTTGTCCTTAATTGATATAAAATATTATTAAACATTAGTGAAACCTGTGATTTTAGGACTGGTAGTGTTTGTAATATTATTATTGGTTTGATGGTAGATACCTCTTCTAATACCAGATTACTCTTAACATTTAATGGCTTAATTAGTGTTGTAAGCAGCATTTTAGGTATACTTTAAAATATTATTTTCCATATGCTTTTAATTTGGGGCTTGGAAATAATTAGTTTTTTTTTCTGAAATTAAGTAAAATATGTAGTATTTGTTATATTTTTTTTCCAAAGACAAAGCTCCTGAAATTACAGAGCTTGGGAATGCTGGATTCTGTGATGTTCAAAAATATAATTGTATGATGGTGAGAGTTTTTGGCAAAGGCTTCAAAGAATTACCTTCAATTAAATGTGAAGTTACTAAGCTACAGGTATGTTAATTATAGAGTTCAGAAACAATAGAGTGTATGAGATACTCAGATTAATATTATCTTGGATTAATTCGGTCTATCAATTAGCAACATAAATCCAAACGATATTATATCTAGAGAGCTGAACAGGAAAATGATTAAGTTACATAATGTTGACGCTTCTTTGTTAACTTTATTAAAATATCTTATAAACTTTTTATTGAAGTATCGGCTCACTGTTTTCACTTATATTAAAAAGCTAAAAGAATATCAAGCTTGATTTATGTAAGCCTCTGTATTTCTTGAAATGTAAAAACATAAAGAAGAGACATTGTTTTTAGCCAAGACATCTTGCATCAACTGGATATGAACATTTCCCTTTTACAAATCAAAAAATGAGGACTAATTGCATTTATTCTTTATATTTTCCTTACTATGGATTTTAGACAGAAAAGACTCACCTTTAAAAAATAGTATTTATCTTTCTAAAGGCCACAGAAACAGACATGAT
This sequence comes from Homo sapiens, assembly GCF_000001405.40. NCBI lineage: Eukaryota > Metazoa > Chordata > Mammalia > Primates > Hominidae > Homo > Homo sapiens. Next base: position 12,366,866 of record NC_000007.14, on the reverse strand, counting down.
CAGTTTGAACGTTAGTATATCAACTTATACCTTATTTTTGATGATTATTTAAATGGTCTTCCTTGTCTTTATTCACATGGAAATTTTATTTTAAGGATGACTCTATGAATTTCAAAAGTATATGTAGGTAAGCTGAAAACTTAAGACAGCAAACCACATTATAATATTCTTCTTACTTTTTCTCTAAATTAATGAAGCCAAATGTGATTCTGAGATTGAGAATTTACAGGAGGAAATAGGTTTGTATGTGTCTTTATCAAGTAGTTAAACACAAGTATGCTAACTTCAGGATTTTATGGGTGGAGGCTTTCTAAGTAAGTCATGAAATATTTTAATCCCAATGAAGTAATAAGACAAAATAGAAAGGTACATGTAAGTAATTTTAATATCACTTAAGAGAATAGACATTGTAATAGTCATGGCAGAATAAATCATATGACATCACATGAAAACTAAGTGATGTGCCAGGAGCGAATTTTGTAGATTTATATTCTCTTGGAAAGCACATCTTGTACTTACCTTCAGATGCATTGTTTGTTGTGATTTACTCTCATACTACCTGCCACTTCCTGCAAACTTCTGATAAATACAGAGTAAAATCTGGAATCCTCTAACACACTATACAGAACTGTATTAGTCCATTTTCACAGTGCTATAAAGATACTACCTGAGACTAGGTAATTTATAAAGAAAACAGGTTTAATTGGCTCACAGTTCCACATGGCTGGGAAGACCCCAGGAAACATAAAATCATGGCAGAAGGCAGACGGAGGCACCTTCTTCACAAGGTGGCAGGTGAGAGGGAGTTAAGAGGGACGCTGCCACTTTTAAACCATCGAGATCTCATGAGAATTTCCTTACTATCATGAGAGCAGCATGGGAGAAACTGCCCTCATGATCCAGTCAACTCCCACTATGTCCCTCCCTCGATCCCTGGGGATTACAATTCGAGATGAGATTTGGGCGGAGACACAGAGCCAAACCAAATCAAAAACTATAGAAAGAAAGATGTTCACTTGCCCAAACTAAAATTAGAGTGCATATCCGTCTTTATTTTACATTGTGCTGAAGTTAAGTCTGTCTCTCCTAGCGCCAGTCTTGCCCAGTGCTGGGTTTTAAAGGCTCTTCTAGCCTTTAATTCATACCTCCAGTCAAGTCTGTTTAATGTGCCACTATTTTAGGATCCCCAACCCTACGAACATGGGCCCTGCTCAAAGCCTTGCATTCACTTTGTGTGGAATGTGCTCGCCCTGCCACTAAGCTAATGTCTTCTCCTAGCTCCCCTATTACATGTTCAGTCAACGTGAATCGATTCCTGCTCACCTTCTTAGTTCAAATTTCAGTTCCCTTCGAAGATTGGGTTCCTCTTTAAAATCTAGCATTTTGGAAATCAGGTCATGCAAAATCCTTAATGACTTCCCATTTTACGAAGTAATTTTTAAAAACTTTTATTTTGGAATAACTTGATACTCACAGAAAAATTGTAAAAATAATGCAGTTTCCAGTAATTCTTCACCCAGTTTCTCATAAAGTTAATATCTTATTTATAAACCATATTCATAAAATAATTATTCAAATCAGAAAATTCACCTCGATACAATACTATTAACAAATTTACAGACCTTGTTCTGTAAATTTACCAGTTGTCCAACTAATAATGGTCCTTTTCCTGATTCAGGATCTAATTTAAGATTTTATACTGCATTTTGTCATGTTTCTTCAGTCTCTTTCGTATTGTGACAGTGCTCCATCTTTCTTTATCTTTTGCACACTTGGCTCTTTTGAATATTGTGACGGTGCTCCATCTTTCTTCATCTTTTGCACACTTGGTTCTTTCGAAGAGCACTGGCCAGTTATTTTGTGGAATGTTCCTTTTTTATGGTTAGATTGAGGTCATGCCATGTTGTACAATTTTTAGTGCATCCTTTCATGATGCAATGTATCTAATCACGGGCAATGTAAATTTTGATCACTTACTTAAGGGGTTTTTGCCATGTATCTTCACTTTAAGCTCCCTGTTTTTCCCTTTTTAACTAATAAATACGTTGTAGGGAGACACTTTTAGATTATGCAAATATATGATAGCTCCTCAAACATTTTCTTCCTAATTTTAGCATCCAACTATAATTTTTGCTTGTAGCAATTATGACTATGGTATTTACCAGTGGTGATTTTCTATTTCCATCATTTCTTCTACACATATTATCTGGAATTCTACTGAAAGGAAGAGCTGTTCCTTGTTTCCAATTTATTTATTCATTTATTTACTCATGCCAGTGTAGACTAATGGAAACTTATTTCATGAATTATAACTCAATGCTATCATTCTTTATTTGGCTGTTTAAATTATTCTAGCTTTGACCATTGGGAACTATTACAAATTCGTTCACACGTCCTTTTAACTTGCTCCCATAATTTTTTGAACAATTTATCACATTCTGGCATCATATGATATTCCAGACTCATATTTTTCCTACCCCAACTCTAGAATCAACTGTTTCTCTAAAGACTGTAGTTCCATTTATCAAAGAGGGTCATTTAAAATCCAAGACTTGGGTGCAAGGTGTGCTTCTTGTTACAGGGTAGTTAATCCTTCTTGGCCCTTTTAATGGATACAGTTAGAAAATCTATGTATGTACACTTATACACACACGTAACTACCTATCTATCGGTTTATCTATCTGTCATCTCTGTGAGTTGATACTGATACTTCTGATTTCAGTGCAGTGCCATAAGGTTCATTCTAGCCTTCTCCTTTCCTTATTTGTAACTCTTTTCTTTACAAGTGAAAACTGGCTCTCATGATCCACAATATATTTACCTGGTTTCTCAATCTAAATGTATATGTAAGTCAGTTTCAGAAATTCTAAGCCTTTCCTCTGTAAAAAAACAAATTCATGAAACAAGGTCACAATATAAAGGCAGATACTGCTTTCCAAAGTGAGTTAGATTAACTATTTTCCACTCTGTTTAGAGTGGTTATCTGTTTTATTTATAATACAACTAGGTTTTAAAAATATTTGTCTTCCATTTTGAGTTTCTTCCACACTCTGGTTGATTATAATTATTTAATTATTTGGAGGGTATATGAAATATTATAGTTCTAAGAGTTGAAGCTATACAAAGGTATGCACATAGAATTGTTACTTTCTTGTCATCCCTGTCATCTGCTTTCCATCACTCCTTCTTTTCATTAAAGTATGTTTCTACTGTCATCATTTTCTGGTTAATCCTTACTATATTTCTTTGGTACAAAAAATGGATAGAAACTCTTTTTTTAATATAAAGTGTAACATATTTTACATGCTTTTTTCTACTTTTGTATTAGTAGTTTTAAGCAAGTCTTTAGCTAGAGATTCAACCACTTAAGCATTTCTTTCACTTCCTCCCCCAAAGCAGTCAAGACTCTACAAAATCCAATTTTAAGGTTGCTGATTTATAGGATTAAATACAGGATGTTAACCAAGAAATGGATGGCACATTATGATTTAGCTCTTGTCTATATTTGTAGGCTTGAACTTCCTGTTTATGCTGTTCCATGCATCCCTGTCTTTTTCATACACTATTCCCTCCATTCATGTGAATTGCACTCTTTCCACTTCTGCTCCCAGTGTCCAAATAGCAGTCTCCCTTTTTATTTTCAGGAAGAGAAGTGTTTGCTTTTTTGAAGGCTTCTTTGACTGTGCTAGTTAGTTAGACTTAATAACTCCTTTTGTATTATATCTTATTTGAGTCTCTTTTAATGCAATAATACAATTATATATTGTCTGTCATTTTCTTTGTGATCTTTTTTCACTGAGATATTTTCAGCACATAATATATACTCACAAAATATTGATGAATGAAAAGGAAATAGAACACTGTATATTCCTCATTTTGGGTAGGCCCCTTGAAATAGAAAGTTGGGAATAATCTCTATATTGCCAGTCATTAGCTGGAGCTTTCTTTCTGCACAAGAAACCGAGACTGTACATTCACCTAAGTGTAGATATCATGACTACTCTGAGAAATCATCATTCTTCTTCTACAAGAGGGAAACCACTGGTAGATCTGCTAGGCTAGACTCTCCATACTCCCTTAAATATGGAGATTTGCAGCTCACTCTTTCAATCATCAAATCTTCAAAAACGTAATTTCTGTTAGCTGCAGATTAGGGTGATCATGTTTTCCTTTCCCTTTCCTGCTGACCCACAATATTGAAGCATCAGCATGCTCTATGACAAATTCTGAGTGGTTGAAAACATTTGACAGTAATAAGTTTCAAAGAAAAATCTAAATCTAAATTTTGACAGCAAAATATAGCTTTTGGTTTCCTACGTAGTTATCCGTACCTGGAACATTATGCTGGCTTCTCTTCTTTTGGGACCAGTGCATTTTCATACTGAAAAACAATACTAAAAGTGTAGCTTAAGCATAATGTGTCACTGAGTTATTAAGTAGAGTGAACTAAGTAGAGTTTATTTAGTTTCAAATTACTAATAAACTAACTTGAGCAAAAATATTTATTATGAGGATAGTATATTTCTTAGAGAATCAAGAATAAGAAAGTAGCTGAATTCTCAAGAAAAATCTTGAACTTGGGACTTGAACACCATGAAGACTCAGTATGTGTGCATTTTTATGTGTGTGTGTGTGTGTGTGTGTGTATGTTTGTCTCAATTTGGCTTTTGTTTGTGGGCTTCATTTTCCTGTTTCACTATATACTGGCTTTCTCTCCATAGTGAAAAAATGGCCACCAACCACTCCATAGTTTTGTGTCTTGCAACTCAAGCCATCAGAGGCCAACTGACATGACATCTCCATTGGTACAAAGTTAAAATATCATGAGTATTGAAATATTGGCCTAGCTTAGGTCCGCCCCTGCACCAGTCAAGCATAGTCAGGGAGATTGGTCATATAGGAATATGAGAGACCCTGTGGGAATTGTGTAGGGGGCAGAAAGGACAGTTTCAAGTAGATGAGGTGATGGAAGCTTTTGCAGGAGAAATGAAGGAATTTCTGGGCAGAAAATCAATCCACTGTGTGTCATCTATATAGTCAAGTGTGTTTTGCTACAAAAGTCGTTACATAGTGATCCATTGTATATGACCAATATTGGTAACTTCTTTGATTTGAACCGCCAAGAAATGCATGATTCATTGGGAGCAATTTGCATCATATTAACATATATATGTTTTTCGTTATTCTGAATAAAACTCACTCCCAATGTGACTTTTGTTTCCCTGTTATATATTACATTATACTAGGCATATATTTTAAAATTTATGTTTTCATTATATGTAATTTACTAACAAAATATTTCCATAATTTAACAGAGGTTAATTTTTTTCTCACTATGTCTTCAGTATAATAGCAGTGAATGGATGCCTGGAGAACCCATCTATACACAGACTGTTTTCCACAATAGCAGAGCTGTTGATTGTCAGCTGCCCACTGATGTTCAGCAGTTTGATACCATGGATCTGGTGGGTGGGAAACCAACTGGGAAGTGGCAGTTGAAGGTAAAAAATAAAAAGACATCTTCATATTTATAAACAAAGTAAATACTTAACATTTCATAATGAATTTAGAACATTTAGAACAAATCATCTTATTATAGAACTATTATGTTACAGGTATCTAATGATGGTTATAAATTCAGTAATCCCAAAATAACGGTCATATATGATGGTGCTTGCCAAGTTTGTGGTCTCTATAAAAATGACTCATGTACTATAAAGGTATGTATTTTTTTCATGTATTTTCACATTTACATCATAGGTATTTTCATTTCCTATGCTGTGGGCACATTAATTGTAGTTTTTTCACTTTTATACCAGAAAAACTAATAGAGAAAAGCCTTCCTCAAGTTTATATAAGTTAACTGAAATTGTTACTCTGCCTGCAACGAAGAGGTTCCTACCTTTAACATTTTGAAATGGCAGATTACTTCTAAAAAATTGTAAGAGGAAGTCCAGACTAAATTATTTACTACTTCACTCCTACCTACATTGTTTTTTCAGTAGTAATAATGACTTTCCAATAAGAGATCTTACGTTACCTACTCTTCTTTGCATCAAGTGACATACATTTGGTTAAAATTTGTAAAATGTATAAAGTTAGTATTTTTATGGGGAGTATTTCCTGGCAACTAATTTTATTGGAGCATGTAAATACCTGCCACTTGATGGATTACAGAACAGCAGTGCAGCCTGAGCTGAGGTGAAGTCACAACTTCTTCTTAGTCTATATCCAGCCTTCCGTATTTATCAGAAGGGCTGTCTCACATGTGAACTGCTGACTTAAGAGACACTTGACTCCTCAAAGCTGAGGTGCATACAAATAATATTTATGTACATGAAAATTTTAAAGTATTATTTTTTCTAAGTTTAAAATTTATTTTCTTGAGATTAGTCATCAGATCAAATCTCTGGTTTTGAGAGATTGTTTGATTTTTATTTTTCCCAAATATTCCATTTCCATATATTCATAAGTACTTTAAAAATATTATTATTCAAGATTGTTTTCTCCTCCTGGAGCTATTTTGCTCTAACTTTTGTGCAATTTTCCAAGTGATATTAAAGGAGATTTTGTAAAATGAGCTAAGTTTATATTTCCTGAATAACATTCAATTCTCTCCCTAAGAATACTTTCTACATTTAATGTTCTTTCTGTGCTTATCAGCATCTCTTTCAAATGTTTGGTGTAATGATATCCATTATCAAGTGTGGATATAATTATGCCAAAGATCTGGTCTAGTTGGCTGTGTTCACAGAACACAGTGGGCTGCTAGGGAAATGGAAAATAGCTATAACCTAATGTGATTTTATAAATTGTGGAGGAAAAAAAAGAAGTTGGTTTTATTTCTTTATGAATAAAGCACTCCTAGGATGAGTTTAGCAGTGAAAAATACCAAAAGAGAGATTTTCTCCCATGTTATTTATAAATTATAAGCTATAACTTTGTAAAGATAAAACTTATGTGTACTTTTATTACCTCCAAATTGATCAGTTTTGTAGACATTTACGTATTCAGGTAATTTGTTTCCTCATATGCACTTACGATTATGAAGTATCAAAATAGATGTATGTGCTTTCGTTGGAATCATCAATACATACACTGCCATCCTTCTATGTACTTTTTTTTTTCTACACGCTGTACTTTGATGTTTTCTTTTTTAAAAATTTTCCATTAGGAAAATGTTTGCATTATTGATGGACTCTGCTATGTTGAAGGAGACAAAAATCCAACCAGCCCTTGTTTGATTTGTAGACCCAAAATTTCAAGATTTACTTGGTCATTTTTAGAAAGTAAGTTACTCTTTATTAATCCAAATATTTCCTATACAAGACATTTTAAAAGTGGTTTTCAGCCAGAAGTTACGTAAATGTGTTTAAGATGAATGACCTCTGTGTTTAATTTAGCATCTCTCCTAACTGCAAAATTTACGTTGAGGGTATAGGATATTTATTTTAATATTTGATTAGGAAAGGATTTGTGATTTATTAATGGAAGAAATGAGAATTATTAACTCAGCTACACACAATTTCCTATGCTTAGCCTTACCTCTGTTCAGTTTTCTGAAGTTATTAACCATTTAAGCTCAAAGGCCATGGATTCAGCACTTGTTAAACAAGGTATCTGGACTCAGTAATCTATAAAGTGCCTTCCAGTACTACTGTTGTGTGATGTCATGAGTATAATATTGGGTACAGATAATTTTGAGATACTTTGTTTCAAACAATACCCCAAATTATAGTCATGTACCATATAACTTCCTCACTTTCATAAATAGAGCTATGTTGGTTCCATATAGGTGTCCAAATTCTCTTCCCTCACAGGGAGATGAGACATTATTAGAGACAATAGGACACAATTATTCCCTGGCCCCATGTAATTTTATTTAAGGAAGTCATACAGCTTTATATTTATACAATGCTGTGTAATATCATTATAATTGTATGTGCATATTTCATTACTGTGTTTCATTACATTTGCCAGATGATTCACTGCTTAGGTTTAAGACTCATGGAATGCTGTGGGAAGACAATGGAAATTTGAGGAAAAATGTAGTGCAAGAGATGAAAATACAATACAACTTCTGAATTGGTGCCTCTGTTTTGTCAATGGCTATAGTTTGACTGATTGATTCATTATAGTCTCATAGTGTTCAAAGTCATAAAGGGTCATAAAAATGTCATGTCTTTTAAATCTCTCATATTGAGGATGAGGAAATTAAGATCAATAAGTTAGGCTGCTTGTGTAAGGATATGCAGGGGCAGAACAGGAGTCAGAGCTACAATCTCGGGGCATTAGTGCTTTGTGGATGCAAGCAGAATTTTTGTGCTCAGTACAATGTAATGGGGCTATTTGTTCCAACTGTTAAGCCAGTGGGCTGGAAAGGTAGACATTTTTTAATATAAGACAATATAAAAAGAGATTTTCAGTTGTTTCATGAGTGTAAAGGGAACTCTGCCTGTCCTCTAAAATAGCCCCCCCCACCTTTTATTTTTTGAGACAGAATCTCATTCTGTCTCCCAGGCTGGAGCGCAGTGGCACGATCTCAGCTCACTGCAAGCTCCACCTCCCGGGTTCAAGCAATTCTCCTGCTTCAGCCTCCCAAGTAGCTGGAATTACAGGTACCCACCACCATGCCTGCTAATTTTTATTTTTAGTAGAGACAGGGTTTCACCATGTTGGCCAGGCTGGTCTGGAACTCCTGACCTCAAGTGATCCTCCTGCCTTGGCTTCCCAAAGTACTGGGATTACAGGTGTGAGCCACCATGCCCATCCTGAAATAGCCTCTTTTTTAGTGTGTGCACTCAGCCACTGGAAGAACCTCTGAGGATCAGAAGATGAGTATGACTAATGGCTTCCACGTATTATAGCTGGGGAGGCAAGTACAGCGAGAAACGTTCAAAGGAGCCAAAGAAACGGAGCAGTCATGGGCAGTGAGGGAGGAATAGAGAAAGGGAGTAGAGGGAGAAAGTGAGGCTTAAAGAAACAGAGTGCAAAGGATCCACAGCCAGAGAGAGAGAGAGTAGTGAGGCAGTCAACACCAAGAAGTAAGACAGAAGAGGTGCAGCATCCAGTGTGGCCAGTGCATGGGTATTTATATATTCTGTGCTGTATCCAAAGTGATTTCATACTTTCATAATAATGCCTGAGGTCTTGCACCTGTCAGTTACTTTCATGTGTCTAAGAATGGAATTGAACTTACTCAGAATGTTAAAAAAAAAAATGAAAGCAGCTAATAGACCTTTTAGCAGAGTTCAGTCTTTATCAAAATGCATATCTCTGTGGGAGCTCTCAGAAGTACACTTCATTCCTTTTTCTACACGGGTATAAAGTTAAGTGTTTTCTCTATTACAGACAACCAGCCCCCAGTGATTCAAGCATTGCAAGACAAATTACAGACATTTTATGGTGAAAACTTTGAGTATCAGTTCGTGGCCTTCGATCCAGAAGGTTCTGACATCCATTTTACGTTGGACTCTGGTCCTGAAGGGGCAAGTGTTTCCTCTGCAGGGCTTTTTATGTGGAAAACAGATTTACTAACTACCCAACAAATTACTGTACGCCTTAATGATGACTGCGATGCTGAAACTAGAGTCACGATTGAGGTAATCTTTATAATTACATAAGTGCCACTGGATTCTTTTGCAATTTTAACAACTTTATTTGAATTTAAAATACAAGCCATATTGCTAGTTGTAAAGAGCAACAAAGTTATTAAACATTGTATGGAAAATTAAACTGCCGAAACTTTGACTATTCTTTGTAAGAATTTAAAACCTTAGAGAGAGTCTCAAGCCTAGAAGCACAGATCTAAATTAATAATTTCTATACTGTTTTATTTGGCACTTCACTATGACAAGAATAAAGAACTCCTTCAGCTCCACCTTCATGAAAGATGTGTGATTAATCTAAGATTGATAATTATACCCTCTTCCATCAAGTGAAAGGACCTGAGATGTTGAATTAGAAATCAAGATTATAAATACAACTTGAGATAAATAATTGGCAACTATAATTCCTTTCTTTATTGACTTTTCTTTTGATTATGTCAGTCATGAGCACTTAATACTTAGAAACCCTTTATATGTCCTTTGCTCATTTGAAACTTGGAACACGCTTTTACACTGAAGTAATATTGTAAGAGCAGCTGCGTTCTATGCCATATTAACCCAGTAATTCGGGAGATCATTTGCTCTCTAGATTTGTGAATAACCCAGGTGATTAACTGCTTTCCACTTTAATGATTTTTTAAGTTGTTCTACTTGCATGACAGAAATTGATCATCTTGTAACTTTTTTTTTAGAAAAGTTATCCTTAGTATTATATTGTGGTTATGCACCTGGGAGTGGGCGTAATTGCCTTATTAAACTATTTTTAATACAATTTTATATTACATTTGTGTGTGTGTGTATATATATCAAATATAAGTGATTTGGTCATACTTGTACATAAACATACATGACTGTCATGATTTCTGGGGCATAAACTGAAGATAATTTTATTGAAAAATAAGACATTTCCTTTTTTTTTGTTTTGTAGGTGACTGTGAAGTCTTGTGATTGCTTGAATGGTGGATCATGTGTATCTGATAGGAACTTTTCTCCAGGGAGTGGAGTGTACCTGTGTGTCTGCTTGCCTGGCTTCCATGGCAGCCTTTGTGAAGTGGACATTAGTGGGTGCCAATCCAACCCTTGTGGTCTTGGCAGCTATATTAGTGGTTTTCACAGTTATTCCTGTGATTGTCCACCTGAGCTCAAAGGTAAGATTTTGCTCCTCATAACAAATTAGAAAGAAAAGCTCCTTGAAACACATATCTACAGATTACTTAAGCAAATGTGTGGTCCTAAAGATTTTAGTACACATCTTTACAATTTTAATAAAAGTTATTACAAATATAATTACTATCCATATCCCTTGTTTTTGTAAATTGCAAGTTCCATGCACTATTACATTTTTGCCAATTTTTATAACTGTTATAGCAATGTAGGAACCTGTTTTGCAGGTTCCTAAACATTCCTACCTGTATTTGGTAGGGAGAAGTGTATTAAAATGTATTACTATTAAGATATAATATGGAAAAATAAAGGAATTATGCCAGAGAAAATACAAAAGTTATCACTTAAGAGAGGTTTTACTGATAATTCGTTGACTTAGAAATATCATGGTAAGAAGTTGAAATCAAATGAAATGTTAGCATATTTACTAACTCATTAATTGCCCTAAAATGTGTGATTACGGAAATAAATATATGACTGCCAACCTTTAATTTCCCGCAGCTTTTTAAAAACTCATATGAATATTTTCTGTACATTTAATAGATGTAAATATTAAATAAGTAAATATATAGTTAATGAGCTGATATTTTTCTTGAAGATACCCATTTTAACAATACAGTAGAACTGAGCAGAATATTTATGTGTCTTCTAATTTTCTTCAGCACTTTTTTTTTTTTTTGAGACGGAGTTTCACTCTGTCGCCCAGGCTGGAGTGCAGTGGCGCCGTCTCAGCTCACTGCAAGCTCCGCCTCCTGGGTTCACGCCATTCTCTTGCCTCAGCCTCCCGAGTGGCTGGGACTACAGGCGCCCGCCACCAGCCCGGCTAATTTTTTTGTATTTTTAGTAGAGATGGGGTTTCACCATGTTGGCCAGCATGGTCTCAATCTCCTGACCTCGTGATCCGCCCATCTCAGCCTCCCGAAGTACTGGGATTACAGGTCTGACCTCTTCAGCATTTTAAAACAAAAATTTTATCATTGGGAACTATGAATGTAGATCTCTTTTCTACTTCACTGTAGACTCTATTTGAAAGAATTCAAATGTTGATTGCCTCATAAATTTTAGTATAATAAAGGCTACCATCCACGTATGACTGAATTTACTCGTTCAGATGAGTTGTTAAGCATTTCAAAGAGCACCACATCAACTCAAAAACTTTGATTAAGGACGGACTGACTTTCCTAACACAAACAACTTTCATGAATTTTTATAACTAGACTAAACAATTTGTCCTTAAGCTAAACAGACAACCATCCTAAATAACTTTTAAAAATTACTGACTTTTTAAACAAAGTTCAAATTACTGCTGTAATATGAAGCTTTTTGCCTTAACTATTAATGGAGTTCTTAACTCATCTTATTTACAAAAACAAAATCGTATGTACTTGAAAGGTCTGGTTTAATATTAAATTGAATGTAATTAGTGACTTTATATTTGATTATACAGTAAGTTTTAAAAACAGCATACTTCTGTCCTCATAATGCATAGCAGCTCTTTTGGGGTTAGAAGGACAGACATAAAAAGTAGAAGTTATATAATAAGACAATTGGACATACGATGTTTTTCAAATTAAATAATCTGAGCTCTTGATCTATATTTTATACAGGCAAAAATTGCCAGGAAGATGTTGATGAGTGTGACTCCAAGCCTTGCTTTGAGGGAGTAGCATGCCTGAATACCTTTGGTTCCTATCATTGTGGTTCATGTCCAGAAGGATTTTATGGGGATGGAAAAATATGCCATGGTAAAAGTTTCTATTTTCTGCTATGAGATTTTTTTTGCTGCAGTTAATTATTTTTTAATAGCATAGTTTCTGTTTTTGACTCATGTATTTATTTAGTGTAAATGCATTAAGTGTCATGCATTGAACTAGATACAAAGGATGCAAAAATATATAAGACATGTTTTCTGACTTAATAGGTAGAGTGTAACAGCAGGGAATATGACTAGTAATTACAGAGTATAATAAAGTGTTCTGTGTCTTTTGATAGAAATCACAAAAGGGCTAGTAGGAATACTACACAGGGAATCTTATCTACCTGGAGAAATAATGAAAAAGTTTTAAAAAAGGAAGCGACTAGACTATACTAGACACATGAGAACTGAATCTGATAGATCAAGAGAGAGAAAGGCATTCCAGGCAAAACCAACAGCAGGAGCAAAGGGACAGAAGCAGGCAACATCACAGCACTCCTTGGGCAGCCAGCCACTGTGAATAGTTCAGTGTGCCTGGAATATAGGAAGAAAGGGGAGCTGCTACAAGAGTTGGAGCTAGAGAGGTAAGCAGTAGCAAGACCACATAAAAACCATGGAGACTCTCTTAAAATTTTGAAGTGGGAGAGAAAGACAATACAGTTTACATGTGAGATAGTTTAAGGAGCAGTGTGTAGGATGGACCACTTGTGGGTAGGGAACTGTGTAAATCTGAAGGTGGGAAGAAGAGTTAAGAAAATACTTCAAATATATAGGAAAAAAGATGAAGATATATTAACCTAAGATGAAGATGAGGTAATGATGAAAGGGATAATAAAGAAGCAAGTTGATTGTACTTGGCCAGTGATTGGTTTTAGCATGATGAGAGAAAGAGATTCATTAAGTTTTAAGTGTTTGATTTTAGTGAATGGGTGTGTAGAATTTGCATTTGCATTGCTGTGGATAGAACTGCGTCCCCCCAAAATTTATATGTTGAAGCCCTAACTCCCAGTGTGGCTATATTTGGAGAAAGGAAGTAATTAAGGTTAAATGAGGTTATAAGGGTGGAGCCCTGATCCCACAGAATTAGTATCCTTATATGAAGAGACACCAGAGAGCTTGTGATGTATAGACAGAGCAAGAAAGTGGCCGTCTTCAAGCCAGGAAGAGAGCCCTCACCAAAAACTCAGTCAGCTAGTTTGATCACTTTGGTCTTGGATCATTGAGCCTCCAGAATGGCAAGATAATTTCTGTTGTTTAAGCCCCGCAGTCTGTGGTATTCTGTTATGGCAGCTCAAGCTGACTAAGACACACAAGCAACGTAATGGAAGAACAAGTTTTTTTGGAGGGGAATTATAATGAATTCAGTTTGGATGCACAGAAACTAGGGTTACTATGGAATATCCATGTAAGCTCAGAAAGGAGGATTAAGTTGAAAATATAAATCTTAGAATAATCAGCTATGTCATAGAATTGTCCAGGAAAACCCTTAGATTTAGAGGAAAATGGACAAAAAAAATTGGTGGGCATCAACATTTTAAAAGATTAAAAGAGAAAAAACTAAGTTATAGAAGACAGTGTTGAAGATCCATACCTTTGGTTTAATTAAGTGAATGGGACCCTTTTTGATGACAATTATGTACTAAGGAAGCAGCAGCATCTTGTGCTTCAAATTGGGCTGAGCCTGCCCAGCCCCACAGATATGAGCAACACAGTATAGGATGGTAAGGGGAATTCTCTACTTCTGCTTCTCACATTTACTCCTGAATATCCCATCCCTAATATTCACACCTTCCATTGTAATAAGTGATCTAGCCGTTTTCTTTCCCAAACAGACCCATTTCTTCAATAAAAACTTCATTCAGTGGCATTTAAGAGAAAAACAAGTTGAACCAAATCCCCTTACACATGAGTGACTAAATATGTTTCTTAACATTGTCAGAGTCATTTGTGTATTGTAGGAAGGGGCTTATTAATACAAAAGGACTTTTGGTTGTTGGTGGTGTTTTCTTAGTTTTATGATAGGTACCAGAGTCAATGGATAGCAACATGAATAAAGCACAGTTATTCTTGAGGTTATTGCTAACTAGTGGGGCACATAAGAATCAATAGCATGAAGGGCAAAGTTCTGTGGGAGAACCCAAATGGGCAAAATTGATCGGGTGGGTGAATTCAACTGAAGGAAGGTACGTTAGCTTGGGCTGCTATAACAGATTGAGGGGCATAAACAACAGAAATTTATTTTCTCACAGTTCTGAATGCTGAAAGTTCAAGATTAAGGTGCGAGTAGGGTTGGTTTGTGGTGAGATATCTCTGGTTTGCAGACTGGCTATGTTCTCACCAGGTCTTCCCTGCATGTGTGGTATCTCTTCCTGTTTTCGTGAGCACACCAGTCCTATTGGATTAGGGTGCCACTCTTATGATCTCATTTTATCTTATTTACCCCCTTAAAGACCCTGTCTCCAAACATGTTCACATGTAGGAGTAGGGATTTAACATATGAATTTTAGGGGAACACAATTCAGTCCATACCAGAAAAGTGTGCAGAAGAGATGACATTTAAGTGAGTTATTCAGTCTAATTTGCAGAGTTTAATCCAAGTGGCGTTTGTATTGTATATTCTTATTTGTGGTGCTTTGGTTGTCTAATAGTTTAAGTCTAATCTGTTTTCCTTGTTCTCATTTACAGTTGAAACACAGTTTGTAAATCAATTTACTACACAAACTGTGGTTCTCACAAGATCTGATAAAAGTGTAAATAAAGAAGAGGATGATAAAAATGCCCAAGGGAGAAAGAGGCATGTTAAGCCAACAAGTGGAAATGCCTTCAGTAAGTAATGGTCATAGTTAAAATCTAATGACAAGTAATTCCTCTTACTTGTTTTCTAGAAGACCAACATATTTATTCCTCAGGTATTTTTATTTTTAGAAAGATCACCTAAAGGTTATATGATGCGGTTTAAAATTTATCCTTTCTCTTGCTAATCTATTCAATCATCTGGCTTATATTTTAGAAAAAATGCGTTTATGTCCTCTAATGAACAAAGCATCATTTAAAGTGATTTCGGAGAAGCTTATGGTTGGAAGGGACTATTTCAAACTTATATTTTATAAATCCCTGGAAACTGGTCATCCAGTATCTGCTCAAACCCTAAATGTGATAAGAAGTTCACTATTTCACAAGGCCTTTCCTGTGTCATAGTGCTTTCTTAATAGCCCTCATTTGGTTTAATCATTCTGTGATTGTCTTCATAAAGTTCTTGTACATTTCACATTGGCTTTCTTTATGCCTCTGCATTCTGTAACATCAACTGTTATTGTGAATGGGATATCTCTCAAGACATTTTTGATTCCTGGAACATAGGAAATGTGTCTTGACTTTCTTATTGTTCCGGTGTTGTCACCTTACTGAATACTCTGATGTACACTACGGTTTATAGTGGATTCTCTTTCTTGATTTTACAGGCAGACAATAATTGTTTTTTGCAAATAGGGGGTTTTGTCTGCTATTCTTATTTACTTTCTTGTCTTAATAGTGAGATTTAATTTATACTTATAATGTGCCGGCACTAGGCAGACATTTTTTGTATCTTACCTCATTCAATCCTCATAATAGCTATTTACAGTAACTGTTATTACTTCTATTTTACAGATCATTAAACAGAAACATAGAAGGCTTAAGTAATGTGTTCAGATTATGGAGTTTTAAATTACAGGAGAGAGAGTTGAGCCTGAGCAATCTAACTGAAGAGACCAGGGTCTCAAACTTACGCTCTCATTGTAGTGTAGTGTACCTCTAGTACAAAGCCTGTAGTGAAGGGAGAGCTTTGTTAATGGTATGGGAATTCTTCTCATGTTTCACTATGATATCACTGCAGTTTCTGCTAGATACCATTTATCCAATTGATGAATTTTCCTTTTATTAGTTGCTTTTTCAGAATTCCTAGTTTTAAATTGGGAGTGGGTTTTAAATGTTATTTATCAAACGCTTTTTCAGCATCATTTATTACTTGCTATAATTGTAGTTAACAAAGTTTCCTTAGACTAATTTTCTCACAATATTTAAAATCAGTAATTAATGCATATTATATTTCAACATTATTTTATATTTTCCATATTATGTGTTTATGCAATTATATAATTATATTAATAGGTACAAGTCTAATCCTGATATATTTTTCCATAAATGCACTGCTACCTTTGATTTGCTAGTATTTCATTTAAATTTTTATATGTCACAAATATATTGACTATATGATTATGCCACTTTAATAAAACATTTATAATACTTTTCATCTCTTTTTGTGCATTGCAGCAGTTTTGAAAATACCCTTTCCTTAATTATTTGGTAAAATTTTTCATTAGATTGTCTGTCCTAGCATTATTTTGGGGAGTAATTTTAGATTGTTTTTCTATTTCCATCAATGTTTGTGCCTCCTCTTGAGTCAATTTCATCATTTTTATTTTGCCAGAAAATCATTTGTCACATTTAGATTTCAAATTCTTGTATACAATTACATGTAGTATTCTTGTATAATTTAAAATTGTCTTCTTATGTATAGCTATTTTACTTTTCTCATCTCCAAAGTTGTTTAGTTGTATCTTTCCACTGTTATGGTTTTTGATTTTTCCTAGATAGAAGTTGCCAAAGGTTATCTATTTATTTGGGTTTCTTTTTTCAAATAATCATTTAGATTTGTTTTTGTGCTAATTGATATCCTTTTGCTTGCCTTTTTTATTGATTTGTAGGAGTACTTTATATATTCTGGCCACTTCATATATTCTGATCCTATACATAATAGGTACTTAAATTATTGTGTTTATCTCTGTGGTTTGCCTTTATCTGTGTTGTCTTTTTATATGAAAGCATTAAGATTTTATGTAATCAAATAAATATATTTTTAAATCTTTTATTTATAGCTTCTCTTTAAGGATCTCTCAAAGTTTAAATTATAAATATGAACTCATAGTCTCTTTTAGAACATTTATTATTTTATATTTTACATTTAGTTTTTAATTCATTTGAAATTTGTTATTTTATTATATGAAGAAGAGGTCCAATACTTTTTTTCTTCCAGATGAATGGCAATTATGTAGTATCATTTATAAGATAAGTCACATTGAATTTAAATATCATATATTTTATTTATTTATTTATTTATTTATTATTATGATTATTATACTTTAAGTTTTAGGGTACATGTGCACAATGTGTAGGTTAGTTACATATGTATACATGTGCCATGCTGGTGCGCTGCACCCACTAACTCGTCATCTAGCATTAAGTATATCTCCCAATGCTATCCCTCCCCTCTCCCCGCACCGCACAACAGGCCCCAGAGTGTAATGTTCCCCTTCTTGTGTCCATGTGTTCTCATTGTTCAGTTCCCACCTATGAGTGAGAATATGTGGTGTTTGGTTTTTTGTTCTTGCGATAGTTTACTGAGAATGATGATTTCCAGTTTCATCCATGTCCCTACAAAGGACATGAACTCATCATTTTTTATGGCTGCATAGTATTCCATGGTGTATATGTGCCACATTTTCTTAATCCAGTCTATCGTTGTTGGACATTTGGGTTGGTTCCAAGTCTTTGCTATTGTGAATAATGCCACAATAAACATACATGTGCATGTGTCTTTATAGCAGCCTGATTTATAGTCCTTTGGGTATATACCCAGTAATGGGATGGCTGGGTCAAATGGTATTTCTAGTTCTAGATCCCTGAGGAATCGCCACACTGACTTCCACAATGGTTGAACTAGTTTACAGTCCCACCAACAATATAAAAGTGTTCCTATTTCTCCACATCCTCTCCAGTACCTGTTGTTTCCTGACTTTTTAATGATTGCCATTCTAACTGGTGTGAGATGGTATCTCACTGTGGTTTTGATTTGCATTTCTCTGATGGCCAGTGATGATGAGCATTTTTTCATGTATTTTTTGGCTGCATAAATGTCTTCTTTTGAGAAGTGTCTGTTCATGTCCTTCAACCACTTTTTGATGGGGTTGTTTGTTTTTTTCTTGTAAATTTGTTTGAGTTCATTGTAGATTCTGGATATTAGCCCTTTGTCAGATGAATAGGTTGCAAAAATTTTCTCCCATTTTGTAGGTTGCCTGTTCACTCTGATGGTAGTTTCTTTTGCTGTGCAGAAGCTCTTTAGTTTAATTAGATCCCATTTGTCAATTTTGGCTTTGTGTTGCCATTGCTTTTGGTGTTTTAGACATGAAGTCCTTGCCCATGCCTGTGTCCTGAATGGTATTGCCTAGGTTTTCTTCTAGGGTTTTTATGGTTTTAGGTCTAACGTTTAAGTCTTCAATCCATCTTGAATTGATTTTTGTATAAGGTGTAAGGAAGGGATCCAGTTTCAGCTTTCCACATATGGCTAGCCAGTTTTCCCAGCACCATTTATTAAGTAGGGAATCCTTTCCCCATTGCTTGTTTTTGTCAGGTTTGTCAAAGATCAGATAGTTGTAGATACGCGGCGTTATTTCTGAGGGTTCTGTTCTGTTCTATTGATCTATATCTCTGTTTTGGTACCAGTGCCATGCTGTTTTGGTTACTGTAGCCTTGTAGTATAGTTTGAAGTCAGGTAGTGTGATGCCTCCAGCTTTGTTCTTTTGGCTTAGGATTGACTTGGCGATGTGGGCTCTTTTTTGGTTCCATATGAACTTTAAAGTAGTTTTTTCCAATTCTGTGAAGAAAGTCGTTGGTAGCTTGATGGGGATGGCATTGAATCTATAAATTACCTTGGGCAGTATGGCCATTTTCACGATTAAATATCATATATTTTATTTAAAGTCCCTTATATGTTGAGATATATTTCTGAGCTTTCTGTTATGTTATTATTTTCTAATAGTCTTTTTTATGCCAATAATACATTGTTTTTGATTAGTGTGGCTTTATACTACATTTTAGTATCTGTAAGGCCAATATCTTCTCATGATTCTTGTATTTTGTAATTTTTATGATATCTCTGATATATACCTTCATAGGAACATTGAATCATTACATTTCAAAAGAAAAAATGTGCTTTACTAACATACATTTGCTAACATATGCTCTTTTCTTACTTTCTTTAATGGTAATTTTTGTAATCTGGAGTTTCAGTTCTTCTCTGCTTCTTTCTCCAATTCTGACAATAAAAACTCTCCTAAGGAGAAGGTTCACTTAAAACAATTTGGTTCTGGAAGGAGTCCCTTCTGTGTACAGAGGCTGAGGGAATGGGACACTGACTTGGCCCAGATCATCTAAAGCAGTTCTTCTGGGGACTGCTAGTCCAGGGCACTTTTGCTGTATTTTTTGACACAACTGTGCTTACCTCACTGCCCTTATTTATGTTTGGGGCTATATTTGGTGCACTCTTGTTTCTATTAGTCTGAACCCATATGCTTTTTATGTTTCACGAAGTCCTCACATTTTTCAAAAATCTTTCATTGCACTTGTTGCCAACTATGTTAAGGATTATTTTTGTTGTTTTTGGTTCATTTTCTTCTGTCTTTTTCTGGTTTTGGTTTGATTTACATAAAATCTTAATGCTTTGAGAAGCATTAAGTGTTTTTTATATTTTAAGACCTTTGAGAAGAGCTTTGCATGAAGACAGTGCAAAATCAAATCCTAAATTTGCAATAGAAAGCATAACAAGAAAAACGTATCTAATCACTGCTTAAAATGTGTTCATACTCTAAAACCCGTTAGATTTTTCCATACCAAAGAAGTAAAAAAGTGCAATAAGGAAATGAAGTATTTTGGCAGGTGAAATAAATAATGATCCCCCCCGCCCCCGCCAAAAAGATGTGTAAAAATGTTTTAATTTCTAGCTGAGCAGTCAAGAAAGATGGGGACATAAAATCTGATTTTATCACATTTGTAAAATTATTAGACCTGTGGTTCTTTGCCTCTCATATAAAATAGCATTTATATAATTTCCCAATTTTTGCTTATACATTTAGTTCCTGTCTTCTTTATAGGGAAAATTACTTACTCTTCTGTGTTTCTGTAGGTTTCATTTTATATTTATCACTCTTGTAGTAGTTCTCAATGATTGTTTCATAGTGAATGGCTCACATGTCTCTATCCTTGACAATATTCTAAATTGCTCAGGCATAGGGGCTGTGCTTTCCTTTGTTTTGAGGCTCATGTGTATGAGGTGATCAACAGGTGTTTGTTAGCCATTTCAAAATCTTAATGAAATAAATTATTGTACTTTGACTTTTATACTATTTAACATTCTGGGTTATCTTGTGTACCCCAAAAGATTATAAGCTCCTTGAAGGCAGAAACAGTGTCATGATTTCTTGTTAGTACACAGCTCCTACTACAATGTTAGACATGTGTAGATACTAAATGAAGGAATGAATTACTTAATGTAAAATATTTCAGGTAGAGAAGACTATTTATAAATGCTATTGACTAACGTTTTTTATTTTTTGGTTGTGTAGCTATAAATTTTCAGCCACCATCAACAGAATATTCACTAATTAGTACAAGATTTACTCCTACTCCCGCTACTATCAAAAAGTTACTGAGCACAACTAACAACATCTCCCGCTCATCACTGAAATTAATTACAGCCCAAATGGATAATTCAGTAAAGCCTATTTCCCATCAGATATCAGATATTGAACATGTGGATCGTAGTCTCAGTACAAATCTCAGTCTGGGTGAGTTGGAAGTTTCTGTGAAGAACAGTAGCTCTTTAAGCAGGAACCCAAACAACACCCATGGCAAAGCAAATGATGATATCCAGAACACCATCCAAACAGAGACAGGAGGGTATATTCTCAAATTAGCAGGTCTTCCCAAGGTTACACACAGTATGAAGATGAGTTTGTGTCATCTATTACAAAAGCAATTGCTATTTTGCCAGAAAAGTTTGGATCAACCAAAATATCACCTTGTGCTGGCTAGCCTTGTTTTCTTGGTGTTTCCTGTGTGCCAAGCTCAGATGGTCACTTCCAATGTGGACGCTGCCCCTTTGGGTATTATGGAGATGGTATCAATTGCAGAGGTAGTATGAAACTCTTCAGAAGATACAAAGAAAATTATCTAATTCAAGTTTAAGTTATTAAAAAGATATGCTTTTCCATATACTAATTTCTATTTATTCTGCTTAGTTCACTTATTTCCGTTTATTTTATTTATTGATCATTTATACTGTATTCTCATCACATTTTGAAAGAACAAAAGTGGGTCTGCTGAGTTATTTATTAAAATCATGTTAATATTATAGAGTATTACAACTATATAATATATATTACAAATATATTTGAGTACTTTCTGTGTTCCAGGGTCTGTGGAAACATTTTGTATCAACTGTGTCATATTATCCACATGAACCCCACAAATTGGGTATTATTTTTCCCATTATACAGATGAGAAAACAGAGTTTTGGAGTGCCCACTGAATTTCCCAGCATTAATCAGCTAAACAGATAAAAGATGTCAATATAGATCTGATTAACATTGTGGTCTGTATTCTTTTCAGCTCACGGTGGGCATTTGGCACTTCAAATACTAATTCTGGCATATTTGCTTATTTGCATGAACTAGGTTTCTCTGTAATCTTTCCAACTCTTTCGAGATTACAGCAAGTTATATATCACTTTAATTTTAAAGGCATTGTTTCTATCTTCTCACAATTATTAACATTGTTTTCTCTGATGAAAATCAACTTTTTGGCTTTGGCAACATAGAAGCTGTCTTGTGTTACTGTTGTGTTACTGTTTTGCTTTGTTTGTGTTTTGGCTTGTTTGAGACTAAACTTAAGCAAGAGAGTTGTTGGAGTATTCTTACGTTCTCAGTATTATCTAGAGGGACTATTAGTTAACTATTCAAACTTCAGAGACTTTTGCTTCTATCATAACTAAGTCTCTGAGCAATATGTATGTTCTGTTTTAGCAATCAACCTTTTTTTCTTTGATTTTTTTTTAGCCATTTGTAAATATCCATGTGGAAAAAGTAGGGAGTGTGTTGCCCCAAACATCTGCAAATGTAAACCTGGTTACATTGGTTCTAACTGCCAAACTGGTAGGTAACATCATTCATTAGTTTGCATGATAAATTGTATTTGGTAATTGATATGTCTAAAACTTGGGCTTTATTTTATACAGCTCTTTGTGACCCTGATTGCAAAAACCATGGAAAATGTATTAAGCCTAACATTTGTCAGTGTCTTCCAGGACATGGTGGAGCAACCTGTGATGAAGGTGATAATTCAAATTAAAAATCAAATATAAGGCCTAAAATATAGCATAATTTTCTTTAAAAACCATTTTACAAGACAATTCAGTTTTACTGTGTATATATTAAAATATTCTTATCAAAGCTGGTATAGGACTCTACATTTTAAAATACTTATTAAATATAATTTATTCAAAGATTCTAAAGAATTAAATTTCTGAAATCAGAGATTCAAGGGGCAATAGCTTATTTGTTATTGGTAAAATTACCCTCTGAAATGATTTGAGGTTTAGTTATAAGGTACTATATATCTACAAATGTTTTAGCTTCAAGCAAAGACAGCTATTGAATGATCTACCAAATATGGTTCAAATAAAGTGTTAAATGCCAAATAACTAGAAAATGTAAAGTAGTAAGAAGAAACCTAAAAAGTGAATTTGTAAAAATACATCTGTAGCCATATAATTGCATTGCTTTGGTTTAAATCTTAAGCGGAAAATTTATGAAATAGCATTCCTAAAGTGGATGATACTTTAAAGAAATAAGTTGTTTATTTTAAAATAATATGTGAAAAGGTAGTTTGGTAGATGGTGCATATAATTATGGATAAGCTGAGAGCCATGTTAAATGTTTTTATGGCAAAGCAAGCTACAAATTAACAAATTAAAGTAAATTTAGGGTGAACTAATAGAAACATTCAATAAAAATAGCATATGAAAATAACTATGGAACTATAGAAAAGCTCTATTTGTAAGGCAGGAATAAGTAAGTTCAAATCTCACTTTTCAGAAGAAGGCCAAGGTCCTATATTTTCTTCCAGTTAACAAAACGTTTTATTAATCAAAGCATGCTGTTGATTTGTAAGTGTTTCCAGTGTGAATTAATATAGTCAGTCCCACAGAACTAAGTTTTGTAGTAAAAGAGAGCTTAATGTATTATAAATTACTCTTACAACAAGATTTTATTGTGACAGTGCTTTATAAATATAAACTGACTTTTTAAAAATTAAGAACTGACATAATAACATAATCTGTTTCTGCAGAACATTGTAACCCACCTTGTCAACATGGTGGCACATGCTTGGCTGGGAATCTCTGCACTTGTCCTTATGGTTTTGTAGGACCAAGGTGTGAAACAAGTAAGCAAAGCTCTCCTGATGTCTGATATAATGAAACTGCTTCTTTGAATAGTTGATGGCCTTAATGCTACGTGAAATGAACCCAAACTCTACGTAAAGAACACACATTGTGATAGTTCTTGTAAACTATCGCAAGGACAAAAAACCAAACACCGCATGTTCTCACTCATAGGTGGGAATTGAACAATGGGATCACATGGACACAGGAAGGGGAACATCACACTCTGGGGACTGTTGTGGGGTGGGGGGATGGGGGAGGGATGGCATTAGGAGATATACCTAATGCTAAATGACGAGTTGATGGGTGCAGCACACCAGCATGGCACATGTATACATATGTAACTAACCTGCACATTGTGCACATGTACCCTAAAACTTGAAGTATAATAATAATAATAATAATCATAATAATAGAAAATGGAAAATAAATAAATAAATAAATAAAATAGATTTATCCCAGGAAAAAAATAAAAAGAACACACATTGATGATTGATGACAACAGTTACCATCTTGCATAGCACTGATATCAACCACAGTGGCCAGTACTAAGATATGATGCTATTCATGGTCTTTCTTTGAGAAAACAGGAATTCAAATCTGTTAAATTGCATATAAATTTCTTTTTAAATTTATGTCTATGATTGCTTTCATCAATAACTAATAATTTTCCCAAATAGCCAAGTCTTGTTTATCACTTGGCTCAATGGTTTTCTATTTTTTCCCTCTCTATTAACCAAAAATAAAATAAAATAACTGAATATGAGAATCAGAAAGCATTTGAAACCCGAATATAAATTGTATTTTATCTTTCTCTGCAATCTTATTAATTAGCAGATGTGATTAGCAGTTATGAGCTAGCTAGATAATAACCAACAATATGACTACTCCAAGCCTAATCTTTCTTTTCTCTTTATTCTATGATCTCAGTGGTTTGTAACAGGCACTGTGAAAATGGAGGCCAGTGTCTTACACCAGATATTTGCCAGTGCAAACCTGGCTGGTATGGACCCACCTGTAGTACAGGTAAAATTGGAAATATTTTCAATGAACATGTCAATTAAAAGTTAAAATATGCCAATGTCCTGAAGACGTGCACCTAAGAAACATAAAACTGACCTGACAAGACAGGTAGATAGGTATGAAGTTGTTATTTCAGACAGATTTTTAAAACTCTTTCATCTTCATTCCCTTTGTTTTTATGTTGAACCGTATGGTGTCTTACAGCTTTACTGTTATCTTAACCAACCAATACTTTTTTTGCTTTTATATTTCCCTCATTCACCTACCTTGTGGTGAAGAGAAACGTGTTGAATCTTCTAGGTTTCTTTTAAGTTTTTCATCGCAATACAAACATCCTATTTCATTAAATATCTAAGCAATTCTGAATTAAGTGGATACCCTTCATGTTATTCCATTTATTTATCACAGTATTAGGCTTTTTTTTTTCATTTAGACAGAGTCTCACTCTGTCGCCCAGGCTGGAGTGCAGTGGGGCGATCTTGGCTCACTGTAACTTCTGCCTCCCAGGTTCAAGTGATTCTCCTGCCTCAGCCTCCCGAGTAGCTGGGATTACAGGAGCATGCCACCATGCCTAGCTAATTTTTGTATTTTTAGTAGAGACGGGGTTTCACCATGTTGGTCAGACTGGTCTCAAACTCCTGACCTCGTGATCCGCCTGCCTCAGCCTCTCAAAGTACTGGGATTACAAGCGTGAGCCACTGCGCCCGGCGTAAGCTTGTTTCTTTGGCAGCAATGTTTGCAGTTATCTATGTTTGATCTAATTCATTATAATCTAATGACTTTTTCTCAATGAAAGTGTAATTCAATGTTTATAGCTGGCCAATTATTTGTGAAGCATGATGCAAATGGAAACAAGGATCCACTTGATTTTTGCCCTCATTTCAAGTCGCATATTGTTAGTGACAGAATTATAAAATTATAAAATTATAAAAAAGACTATGATACAAGTTGAGTTATGATAAGTAATGTTATTGAAACACAGTTCCTTAGAAGCAGAGAAGGAAGAAATTAATTTTGGCAAGTGGAGTGAGGAAGAAAATAGTATTTGTAGTAGATGTTGGTGAATGGGTAGGATCTAGGGTGAAAAATAAAATTGGGGATGTCTTTCAAAGCAAAACAAAAATAAAGAAGCAAAAACAAAGAATGTTTTTGAGTGTGCTAGGACTTGAGTGCAGTGTTCTCATTTTAATTGGGAAGGCGATAAAGAGGTGTGCATGGCTACATGTATTTGAACAGATTACAAACCATCCTGTTAACACTGTTGAATTGAATTGTCTTCTCTTAACTTGCAATCGTTTCTTCTAGCTTAGTGAAGGCATTCTGAATTCTAATCATAGCCTCTACATTCTTGATAGAGCAGGAGCACCGTCATCTTGGACAAACACCGCCACTTTAAATTCCAGCTCCCTTTCTAGCTTTTCTAAGCTTAGTGTTATTTGTAAACTTAATGAACATACTTTCAAAGCGATTATCCAGTAATTTCATTCCTCTTATGTTTGGCAAAGTCTAATTAATTATACATTATGGGCTTTACTTGCAGTAAAAATAAAATATTTCATTATGCACCATTTTGCACTTCTGTGCAGCTTTCATTTTTTAAATAATAAAACTTTTATGTTCTCTTTTCCTCCTGCTGTTTATTAGCTTTGTGCGACCCTGTCTGCCTCAATGGTGGTTCGTGTAATAAGCCAAATACTTGCCTCTGTCCAAATGGATTCTTTGGGGAACACTGTCAGAATGGTAATTATTCTTTCTTTGTATGTAAAAAGGGCAAATGGAAAGTTAGATATCAACAGAGCTCTGAGTAAACATGAGACAAGTTTCAAAGGGAAAGATGCGATTTTTTCCCCAGAATTCTTGCGATGTTTCAAGTATGCCCACCAAATTACTAGCTTACAAAAATATATCAAAGTTATTATGTAAAACGGTTATATTTACTCGATATATTGAAGCTCATACCTTGGCATCTCTCTGTGCAGCTTTGTAGGCCCAAGGTATGAAACAGATAAGCAAAGTTCTCTTGTAGTCTGTTATAATGAAATTGTGTCATTTTTGTTGCCTACACAGCAAAAATGTTTGATTTATGGTCAATCTACTGTCCACTATTATCCCATAATCTCTTTTCACCTTAGTTTCATTAAACATTTATGAAGAATCACCTGTGCACAGCGCTACGCAAGAAGATACAGAGACATAAAAATGCATTGTTTTTCTCTTTCATGGGCTTAGTATTTTAACACTTTCCCTCATATAGTTAATATTGCAGGTTATTTTCGGAATAATGGGGATGTCTTGAGGGTATGAATTAATGTCAACCAATAATATGTAATGTGTATTTTCTACATCTTCATATTTTCGAGTTTATTAAAAATGTAGAGTAGATTTTTACTATAGAACATGTCAGAGTATTTCCATAATTTAATTCCTAAAATTTAGGTTTTCCTTGCCACGATGCACTTTGATTTGCAATTCTATTTCTTTTATTTTGGATGTTGGCTAGGATTCTTAGGATGGAAATAAAGCAGAAAAGAAGTCATCCCGCTAACACAGGATATACGGGCATAGCGAATGAGTTCCTGTAATTCGTATTCCTTTGAAGAAGCAGTTTGAGAAACAGAAAGAAGTAAAGACTAAGTTAAGGGAAATCTTGAAAACTAGAAGACTATGGTTAAATCCATGCTAAAGAGTTATATATGTAGTTTTGAATGGAGAATGTAAGGAAGGAAATGAAAACGTTACATCTTTCATGCTACTTGAAGTAGTTGTAAGATGAAGTAAGAAAAGTTCTCTAAAATGTATATGCCAGTTGTATAAGTGGATAAAGGAAGAAATCTCTCAATTATTAAACTGAATTAAAAATTATCTATTGAACGTATTCCATGCTTTAAGGGCCAGAAAACAGATTATCATTGTGGGGAGAGAGTAGGTTTTACAATGAGCTTGCCTCCACAGCTTTCTTGCTGGTATTTACTTGAAGGCTCCATGCCTCAGACTTTCTGGCTTTCAAGTATGATCTAGACAGTTGCTATGACATGTAATTCTTATTAGATCTCATCTTGTTGTGAGCCTAAATGGTGGGAAGGGAAGATGGCACACACATTGAAAGTGATTGAATAAAATTAGGTGGAATGTAAAATCATATGAAAAACATATACTATGTGCACTATAGAATTTTAAAAGAGGAAGATAGAAATTGAGCTAGAAACATCACAAAAAAGTTAAACTACTAAACTAGTAAGCAAGGCTTAGGATGTATGGCTGGAGAGATATTTAAATACACCTTCCAATTTGCTTCACCTCTTGGATTTCACATGGAGAGTGAATCCAATTACTTAGCCCACTTCAGGATTTGGTGACAGAATGAGGCCTATAGATCTCATAAATATATGTGGAGGGTGGATTTTCTCATAAACCTCGTTTTCCTAATGTGAGACTATGGGTAGACATGGCCACCCTTAAATTGTATGCCCTTTGTATATATTATTTTAAGTATGTATGCTTTTTTGTATAAATAATTTATTTCTACACTTCAAGTTTTTGTGGATGATTAATTATAGCAAGATTACGCATCATAAACAATTTGTGGAGCTTTTTTACGTTTCAAATTCCTAACCACAGGCATTTTATATGGAGTTTTTGTAGTAGAAAGAATATATATTTTCTAATAAATAATAATAATCTTAAATTGTATGAAGGATAGGGAGCAGAAAATGTAAGAACATTTCTCTACCAATAAAAAGTATCAATAAAATGTCAGAGAAATAACAGTAGACTCAAGCATGAACCAAAAAAAACTTCAGCCTAAAATACTGGAAATTATCTGTTTGCTAAAAGCTTTCAGTTATATTATTACTATAAAGTTCTATATTATTTCCATTTAAAATCCATTTGAAAACAGTAGAATTTTTCTTACAGTGTTTGGAAATAAAGAAAGCAGCTAGTAATTCAAACAGGGCGTCAGTCCACACTAGTCCTGTTATTAATACCAGTTAATTTGAAATTTATTTTTAAAATACAAACTAACATTTATTTAATTATTATTTAGGAAGAAATTAAATTTTAAATTTTCTGGACAGGCTTGCCTGTGTATTACTTAAAAGAAATGCCTGCATTTAATTTCCATATATGGAAGAAACATGAAGTAATCATAACCATCTCATAAAATTAATACATATTAACGTTACTCTGAATTTCATAAAACAGAATTATACAAATAGGAACTACCAGTAAGATATATTCAAAATTATCTAACAAATATTCTTAACAAAACCAAGGATTTATTGTTAAAAATATTTTTACCAAGCATTCTCTGGAATAAGTCACATATAAAGCTGTGCCTTCATAACCTCAGTAAGTACTCGAAAGCTAATTTAAAAGTGCTTTTTAAATATGTGGAAAATTGTTGAGATTTGTCTAATTTCCACAAGAACAGGCACATTCTTATTTTGAGCTACGTTTTGACTTATTTTCTGGGTTTTGTCTAGATCATTCCATGCTTTATTGTATAGTGAAACATAAGGTTTATAATATATTCATTGTAATATGAAAGACTCAATTTGTTATGAACACTTAACCAATATATTTCAAATTGTGCTAACCCACTAGTAGCTTATAGGTATAAGCATTGCATTTCATGATTTAGAAAGGACAGGTTTAATGAGTGATCTTTTATTTTAATAGCACATTTCTCTGCCTTATGTCCTCATTGATGACAAGCACATGATGCAATGTATCATATGTAGTAATGGGATGTGTAATATTCACAGATTGCTGCCATGTGTTCTTTTAGCTTTCTGTCACCCTCCCTGTAAGAATGGTGGCCACTGCATGAGAAATAATGTGTGCGTCTGTCGTGAAGGATACACTGGTAGGAGATTCCAAAAAAGTAAGACATCACTAAATGTATTTGTCAACTACAGCTAAAGCCAAGACAAAACTGTTGAATTTAAGGGCTGACTTTTCATGCTTTTACCTTAAGGCATCTGTGATCCTACGTGCATGAATGGAGGAAAATGTGTGGGACCAAGCACTTGCTCTTGTCCTTCTGGTTGGAGTGGGAAACGATGCAACACACGTAAGAGGAATACTCTTAAAACACTGAAGCTTTCGTCCTTCATGGGAATGTAAAGCAGAGTTTAAAACAGAGCATTTTTTTCACTTTTGTTTGCTTGGTCTTTTTAAAATTTTTGCATATTTATTCTTGCTTTAGGAGATACCTCTTTGAAACACAAAGAGTTTTTACTCTTCTGAACTCATTCTTTCAGGTTAGCAGAAGAGGATATCTTGTATTTTTCAGTTTTTCTACTGCACTTGCCAGAAAAAATAACAAGTCCTTAAGTCCTGAAGTTGGGGTTGGGGAAAGGTTTTAAAAATTACTGACTTCTTGGCCCCACCTCAAACCATCCAGTTCTGACCTTTCCAAGAGAAGATAACAGTGCCACTCAGGCTGGTTAGCTCCTGAGGGTGGCTGTCTTTATTCAAATGTTTCATTTTTTTCCTTTCTATAAATTGTTTTAAATTAGCTGCTACTAGAATGTTTTGATCAAAATGAAAAAATGAGAAGCAACATAGATGTCCAACAACTGGAGAAAAGTTAAATCACGACGCATTCAAACAATGGAACATTTTGCAACTGTTAAGGTCACATTTTCCAAGAATATGTAGTGACATTCAAAAATGTTCTTGATAAAATATTAGGGAAAAATTTCTTTAATCACTTACTTGTAACTATTTCTTTTTTTCTCTCTAATGAAAAGTTTTGTGGGTTATGGATAGGATTTGACTAGTAATTTAAAATTTTAACTTGTTTATATTTCGATTGGCAGCTATCTGCTTGCAGAAATGTAAAAACGGTGGTGAATGCATTGCGCCCAGCATATGCCATTGTCCTTCCTCCTGGGAAGGAGTGCGGTGTCAAATACGTAAGCCCACAGGATGTTTTTCCTACTATATGTTCTGAATTGGAATCTGTTATAATAATTAAAGTATAGCTTTAGGACAAGTCCATAAGGGGGAAAAAACTCCAGCATGCTGATCCTTTTTAAAAAATGATTTTAGATATAAAACAAAAACTTCCTAAATTTTATATCCATTTAAAAGAAAAAAGTGTAGTATAATATATTAATAGTTTGTGTGAAGAGATAATTTCAAATTATGGTCTGTGGATTACCAATAAAGTTTCCCCAGGTGGGCCAAAGAAGGTATTGATATATAGAAGTTTAAATATTATTTCATATTATAAGATAAATACATATGTATCATGGATACCTTAGAAAATATGAAAATGTATTAAAAATTAATCACTCTAGGCCGGGTGCAGTGGCTCACGCCTGTAATCCCAGCACTTTGGGAGGCCAAGGCCAGCGGATCACCAGGTCAGGAGATCGAGACCATCCTGGCTAACACGGTGAAACCCCGTCTCTACTAAAAATACAAAAAATTAGCCAGGCGTGGTGGCAGGCGCCTGTAGTCCCAGCTACTCAGGAGTCTGAGGCAGGAGAATGGCGTGAACCCTGGAGGCAGAGCTTGCAGTGAGCAGAGATCGCGCCACTGCACTCCGGCCTGGGCGACAGAGCGAGACTCCGTCTCAAAAAAAAAGTAAAAAAAGAAAAAAAAAATAGTCACTCTAAATTTCACCATCTAGAATTAATTTCGGTTGCTTTTTTAGAGTTTTAGTATATCTCCATCCAGTATTAGTTATAAATTTCTACATAGATGAAATCTTAAGATGTAGAGGAAGATCAAATTTCATGCAATTTTGAAATTTTTTGTGGAAACTTGAAAAAAGATGTTAAAATATTAACAATGATTAACTTAATGGGAAAAACTGCAAATCCCTCAAAATATTTCCAAATGATTAATAATTACATAATTTAAAAATTGGTGGCCAAGTGTATTGTAAACTGAAATTACACAGATTTATTATGATCATGCCTTTTTACTAGAAATAATGTACCCTCCATTTCAATGTCTTATGAACCATACCCTTGTTTCCATGCATCAGAAATTTTGCATGTAGTTTTTGTGACTCTTAGACCCTAATTTATTAGTAATTGCTATTGTAATGTATACATTTCTTATCCTAGAAAAATATATGAAAGTACTATTAAGTGCTGGTATTTACATAAGATATGTATGCTCAA
The DNA here is from genome assembly GCF_000001405.40 of Homo sapiens. Taxonomy (NCBI): domain Eukaryota; kingdom Metazoa; phylum Chordata; class Mammalia; order Primates; family Hominidae; genus Homo; species Homo sapiens. Next base: position 12,334,919 of record NC_000007.14, on the reverse strand, counting down.
ATATTGATAATTCCAATTGGAATTTAGATGTGATAAAATGCTAGAAAAAAAAAGTTAGCAACCTCAACTTGGGTGCTTGTTCTGGAGTAAGCTCTATGCGGACCATAAGAGAGAAGGATGAGAAGATGTTAAAAGCATATTAATGGGGAAATATGCTTCAGTGGTTGCAGATTGAGGTTGTCTGAGCACAGCCTGAAGCTGTGCACCCTGTTTCTGCATCCTGCAGCATTTTTATGTGAATTTAAAAGTCATCCTACTTCAAATTCTTTATTTCAAACTATTGAGAAATTGTCTTAATATAATGATATTTCTTAAACAAAATATGTTACTACCATCTGTTGGAAAATTGTTGTAATAAAAATTCAAATCTATGATATGTATCATGTGAATGGTGCTTTCTCAGCTGTGGAGCCCTCGTGGATTTCACAACCTGCCCAATTGTATACAGCAGCCTGATGAAAACAACCCTGTCAATGTTGCATTTATCTTAAAGGACAAATTATTCTTGAATGTGTAAGCTTCAAGTATGTGATATTGAAGCAGTATTTGTCCTATAAAAATAACTATTATATATAATTTTGTGGTACGCTCATTTTCACTCAATATTGTTTGAAAGAATTTATGTTGTTTAAAAACAAAATTTAAAGCAATATATTAAGTTCCATAATATAAATACTACAAAAATTCCCTTTACTTCCCCTCTTATGTTTAACATTTTAGTTATTTACAAGTTATTATTAAGTATTATAAGTATTTTCTTTCTACAGGTAGATGATAAATAGATTGAGATATTGAGATATTGAGATAGATGTAGGTATTTTTAATTGCCTTGGGAAAGATTTCAAGTAAGAAATGTATGATATAGACAGCATGAGTATCTTTCAGAAATTTTCAGTAGTTATTTCACATTAAACTTCCAATGATAGTATAAAAATTGTCAAATTTTCCATACACTAGCCAGTACTGGGTTGTCTCTTTTAAATTTTTGCTTAATGTTAAAAAGTAAATTATAGATGCTATCTTCTGTTAATGACTTCAGCTCCTCTAGAAAAAAAAAGAGATATATTTCAAATACTTCAAAATGTAGCCAATGAAATTTTTGTTTCTTTTAATAATATCTTTATAGAATTCCAAAAGTGTTGTTTGAATTTTGGGTGCTTTGTTTTTGATGTGTGCGTGTGCTCTGAAAGACAAGAGTACATAGATTAGATCCATTCATTGATGGTTCATTAATAGATTCTTATGACTGCATTGGTGTCCAATCACCAGATAGCCCCAGACCACTAGGATAGAATATGCCACAAGCATTTCATGTCAAAGGATGGTCATTGTAAAAATTTGTGTATTGCAGCAATTTGCAACCCAAAATGTCTTTATGGAGGCAGATGCATATTTCCCAATGTGTGTTCCTGCCGCACTGAATACTCTGGAGTCAAATGTGAGAAGAAAATACAGGTATTTCAGAGTTTAAAGAGAAAATAAATATTAGACATTGACATTTGCATATCTCTTCTACTTAGTAATTGTTACTAATTAATGTTTTTTTATTATTTCCAAAATAAAAAAAGCATTTATTTGCCTCTAAAATTAAAAATTGTATCATTTTTGTGTTTTGGTAGAGTTATTATATAAAATTTTGATGTGTATTTAAGGAATTTCAATGTATAGATACAACTGTCCAATGTAACGCAGTATTTCATGACACTGTAGTTGAGACAGCAAATGTTCCACAATATAGATTCAAGACACTTATTTGTAGGGCCAGTGCTATAAAACATATATTTAAAAAGTTTCTGTGATCTTATTTCTTCATATAGGATTAAACTGCATTGTGTTTTGTCTCTAATCTTAAATTTCCAAATATCAACAGCCGAGATGTTATTTCAGTCCTAATTCCTATACACACAAGGGTAGTTCTAATAATCTCTCTCTCTCTCATACAAACATACAGACAAATGCAGCAAACCTCTCAAAAATGTCTTAAAGTTAATATGTAGGAGTTGTAATTTAAAAAGTCATTATATGCTATTTAGCACTTCAAAATGCCCCAGGGTCATGAATATAAAAGTATGCTGGAGTACCAGAATTTGACAACTGATTAGAAATTTTCTTCTTGAAGCTTGATATGGATCAATTTGGCTTGGAGACAAAATGGATATATGTATAGTTTTCTCCGAGCACTGGTGTCATCCTGTAGGATTGGCCCCCATTGTGAAAATAACCAGATCATAATAGGGCTATGGTTTGAAAACTGGAAAGCAAAAGTTATTGAGTACTTATTTGATTAAATATTGTTTGAGAAAAATAAAAATAAAAGCTTGAGCTTCCTTGGGTTTGAAGGCAGCCTAAGTATATATTATTTGATTTGATTTGATGTGAGATTTTTATGGCACAGAAAACCCTATGACCTCTAAAGCTTTTTAACTCCACTTTGACAGTACTAAACTAGGTGGCTGCTCTATATTCTATTTTATGTATTTATTTGCCATCTGAATCCTTCCTCATATGATCAATAGCAAATCATCTTTATCCCCATTAATGCTGCTTCTAAGAATGCATTTAAAATCACACTAAGGGGAAAAAATGCCAGAAGGCCATGGGGAAGGAAAAGGGCATAAAAGGCTAAGCATGAGGACAATATGTCCTGTTCTACTGTAACCTGCTCTCCCAAGCTTCTAACTTCAATCTCATTCTGGCTTTATTCTGTTGATCACTGGTGTCTTTTTTTTCTTTACTTGCTTTCGATATTTCTTTGTCTCCCACACATAGGTTAAAACATAAATTTCTCTTTAGTGGGGAAAAAAGCAATCACCATCCATGGGTATCCATAGAACCTTCTCCAACTCCATCCCTTGCTCCCCTCTTCCCTACCTTCCCCAAAGGAGGGTTCAGACTGGCTAACTACCTCCTGGCTCTTCCTCAGGCAACCTGAGATAGTGGGTAAAAAAAAGAAATGGAGCTTACTGATTGCATTGCTAGAATTTCAATGAAAAAGAATTACTGGCTAGAGACAAGAAACACAGAGAAAGGGAAAATAAGTAAAGGAAGAAAAAGGTGCTAAAGAGGGTGGGTTGATAAAAGGCTTTGAGAAGCATCATAACCTCCTGCTTGTGGCTGAGTGCACTCACTCTGACCCTGCCACTTATTTGCTCTGTGATTTCAGGCAAGTTTAACCCCCTCAGTCTCAGTTTTCTCATCTGCAATATGGCATTAATAGTAGCACCTAATGTTAGGCTTATTGTAAGGATTAAATATGTTAATATATGTGAAGTACCTAGAGTGGTGCCTGGGACATAACAAGCACTATGTAAGAGTTTGTAACTAATTACATCCAATAGAGGAATAGAAAGAGGTGGAGAAAGAAAAGGATGGGGAAAGACACTTCAGAGAAACACTGCAATGTGTTATGAGTATCAGTGGTTTTTTCCTGAGGGATATCAAAACATTAATTAGTTTTATTGGGCATGGATGTTTCTAAAGTGTAACATTTTGCCACGATGGAATCACCTAGTATGCAAGCTCCATTTGGTTATGACAGCTTGGACCTTAAGTATGATCTTGATTTGATTTCAATTTTATGAAAACAGTATTGAGTCTAGTGGCAAACAGAACCAAAAGAGCTTTACGTATCATGTCAGAGGGAAGGAGGCAACAAATAATGAGTAAGGGTTAAATGATTTTATACTATTCATTGAAACACAATTTCCTTCTTCCTACTACAGATAAGACGCCATTGAGTAGCATCAAGTATATGAATTACAAGCCTGTATCTTAAGAATGGAAATATTTTGTTCAGAAAAAGTTGGAGATAACTTGGAGTTTATTTGAACATCATTCAAAAAATATCTTAAAGACTGAAGAAACTAATAAAATACATAATGATCTCTGTTGTAATCATAGAGAAAAGCAAAGAAGAAATCCAGGTAATCTAAATTTGATGTTGAGATGGGATAGGATATTTACATATTGAGATGATGTATCTGATATTCCACCCATTCACAATATTTAATAAACTGAATATTTTCTCAGCCCTAACTGTGACTATGTCTGCATCATTAGGAGTCAGTCAGCCTAATGGAAGCCACTTGATATCATCCTAATAAATGATGCTTAATGCAGAACGAGGGGCTCACAGAAGTAAGTATTTGAAGAATGGGGAATGAGGGTTGGGAGCTACAGGTTAGGAAAGCCACCGCTGATCAGAGTAGGTAATAATGAAGACGTTAGCCCAAAGCTCCAAGCAGGTTCTTTTCAGAGGCTTTCCCGGAGCTGCTATAATACTTGAGAATCTTTAAAAACTACCACCAACTGTCTCAGGCAAAGTGGATTATTCTCAAAATTTTGCTAGAAAGCCACTGTGAATTTCATCTTTCCAAGCATCAAGCTGCAAACACCTCTGAAAAGACTGATGGCTTCCTCTTCATTTCCTTCTTCTGACTCTCCAGCAAATTTTTCTCATTGGCAAACTCTGACCCAGAACCACACAGGTAAGTGGATTCTGAAAAATGTAATTCCCAGCCTTACAAAAAGTGGCAGTGGTGTCCTGGGCCCAAAAGTGAGAAAACAAACACCAGACATGCTAAAAGGTCTGCATCTGATTGCTCTTCCATCTTTCCATTTTTTCTGTACCATGATCCATTTTGGTATATGAATCGAGAGAGATGATCACAAAACCAAATCCTTCTACAGATATCACAAGAAAAGTGTATCTGGATGCTTAATAAAAACAAAGTTAAATTACAATACATGAATAGTTGGGGAAGTGGGTAACAACAACAAGGAATACACATATAATTAAAAGATTTGCCTCAGAGACCCAAATAATTGCAAGTTACCTGGGGTTATAAAGTTTCCTTTTTCCTGCTATCTCATATTTTACCTCAGACATTTCATTTGACTTTCAGAAAACAAGTTATTTTAATTTGAACATGACCATCTTAAATCATATACATTTACAAAGGCTCATTTTTTTTCTTTTAAGTAGAAAGATTGAGCATTCCTAAGCCATATCTAACCTGTAAGATAAAGTAAGACGCAATCAGAATAAAAGTATTGCTACATATGCTAAGGACTCTTTAAGTATTAACATCCAATGTCAGAATTAAAGAGTTTTTAATTTATCATTTTATATTTACTAAAAGGTAGTTTTAATAGATTACTTAGGAGAACATAATATAAACCAAAAATAAAATTTAAAGCCTCCCAAACAATGGAAAGAACTCTTCTCGAGTAATTGAATTCCAAAGTAAACCTGAAACATTGGTTCAGGACATCATGGGAATGGATGATCGGACATGCCTCATTATACCCTCATCCCTTTGTAATTCAGGCACAACCCATCAGCATTAACATCAAAACAGAGACCTTAAGAATAACAAAGCAGACTTTTTGTAGCAATAAGATAGCAACATGACAGATAACAGGCCCTGAAAGAAATTATTTTACCCTAAAATATATTTTTTGACATATTTTGAAATGTCCCCGCAAAGCTGTCTCTTTTGGGGAAAATCTACATTCTGTAGAGAATCCCACCCTTTTCCAGGTCTTTTTCCTGATCCAGGAGAGAATAAACTAAGAGTTTGGCACCTTTTTAAGCCTGATAGGAAACATTTGCAATCTCTTCTCTCTGAAGCCTCCTACCTGGAAGCCTCATCTGCATAGTAAGAACCCCCTGGTCTCCACAACCCCTTATTTTAACCCAGACACTCCCTTCTGTTGATTCTGGGTCTTTAGATAAACCAATTGCCAATCAGAAAATTCTTGAATCCACCTATTATGTCTCCCTAAAACATATAAAACCCAGCTGTAGCCCGACATCCTTGGGCACGTGTTCTCAGCATCTCCTGGGGCCATGTCACAGGCCATGATGACTCATTTTGCTCCGAATAAATATCTTCAAATATTTTACACAGTTTGACTCTTTTCATCAACAATAAGATGCTTCACTATGTTTTATGTTACCAGAAATTCAGAAATATAAATGCAAAATAAATGTTAACACTTAGTGTATACTTAAATTCTTCAGCTTTTGTGAAAATAAGAGTATTGTACAAATATTCTTCAGCTTTTGTGAAAATAGCATTGTAGATACAAATGAATACTTTTTAAACTTAGTAATTGGAATTAAAATACTATGAAAATAGATACATTTTTATATCAGTTTGACAACTTTGCTTAATATACAATTGTATGAGAAGAAAACAAATTCAGTTTCTTCCCAGTATATTCTCACAACACAACAATCAACACAGAAGGTTTCTGTGACATCTGGTCACCAAGAAGTTTGTGGGGGAGTTCTCCCCAATAACTAATCAATTCTGCAGCAAACATCAGCTGGATGTCCTCTTAATTCAATGCAGTTCTGACACTATCTACCTGTAGTAGCATCAGATGCCACAGGTTGAGGTCACTGTCCCCCAATTCCTCAGACTTACCCCTTCAGATGCCAATCACATGCCCGAGGTTGTTTTACCTGTGCTTCTGACTGGCCAGCTATAAATTAGAGTTCCCACTATCTCCTCCTCTCAGGCTTGATTAATTTGCTAGAACGGCTCACAGAACACAGTGAAACACGTTTACTGCTTTATTATAAAGGATGTAACAAAGGACACAGGTGAAGAGATGTGTAGGGCAAAGCATGTGGGAAGGGGTGCAGAGGTTCTATGCCCTCTCCAGGAACCTCTGTGTATTCAGCTATCTGAAAGCTCATCTGAACATTGTCCTTGGGCTTTTATGGTGACTTCATTACGTAGGCATGATTGAGTGAATCATTATCCATTGGTGATTGACTTAACCTTCAGCCTCTCGCCTTCCCTGGAGGTTGGAGGGGCTGGGCTGAAATGCTTAAAGCTATCTTGGTCTTTCCTATGACCGGCCTCCTATGACCTGGCTATCCAGGAGTCCCCAGCCATTGGTCAACTCATTAGCATACAAAAAGACTCTTATCACTTTGGACATTATAATGATTTTAGGAGTATATATCAGGAATGGGATGAAAACCAAATATATATTTCAAAATATCACAACCACATAGCAATTTTATCAATAGTCTTATTAAATTGATTTTCAATATAAACTTTTTATGGTTGAAAAGTAATAATTGCTTAAAGACTTTTTCTGAGATACCTAAACTAATGCAGTCATGCACGACATAATGAATGACGTTTCAGCTAATCACAAACTGTATATATGATGGTAGTCCCCTGAGACTATATTACCATATTTTTCTGTACCTTTTCCATGTTTAGATCTACAAATACTTACCATTGTGCTACAATTATCTACAGTATTCGAATACAGTAACATGTTGTAAAGATTTGTAGCCTAGGAGCAGTAGGCTGTACCATACAGCGCAGGTGTAGTAGGCTATACCACCTAAGTTTGTGTAAATACATTCTACGAGGTTAGTACAAAGACACAATTGCCTAATGATGCATTTCTCAGAACATATACCCTTCATTAAGTGATGCATGAGTGTACATTAAATTTTTCATAAACATTTTTTAGATCTACATCAAGAATCTCAATAAAATTAAAATATTAATCAATACACTATCCATTTATAATTGACTTAATGGACCTGTATATGTTAATAATGAAGAAATGCTGTGGTTTACAAATTTTATGTAAAATCGTCCTTATGAAAGCTAATGACTCATGGAAATGAAAGTAATGTTTAGAATATAATGTGAGTTTAGAAAAGCAAGTAATTTGATAAATTGATGGCAAGAGATTTAATTTTTGGCTTATGTCTTGGTGATATTTCACATCAATTAATTTAAACATACTTTATTCACAGTCTATTTGGAAAATACTTTGAAAATAATGAGTGTTTAAAAATTAAGCAAAAGTACTTGAAAATGTGTAACTTTCAATATTTATCTTATAATTTTATTTATTTATTAGGAATAAGGTCTTGCTATGTTGCCCAGGCTAGAGTGTAGTGTCTATTCACACTGAATTCTTATAAAGAATTCAGACTATAGACTTTGCTTAGTTAATATATTTGACTGTTTTGTGTTTATTCATGCTAACATTGAAATGAAATACACGATAGTATTTAAAATTTCAGGTTAAAACTATTTGGGGATATTTGGAACCCATAATGACAATATAGACATATTGTATGTATTTTTTCAATTTTATAAAAAATCCATCACAATTATGTAATTTTTGATGGACTTACGTGCTACAGTTTAAACCAAGCATATTTATATTAATCAAATTAATATAAAATTTTGCCTTTATGCCACTTAATAATTTGTTTATGACTTATAATATGCATGCCAGTTACTTCTAAAATGAGGTGCAGTGGCCTAAATATTAAACAACATGTCAAATAGGGGGAGAAATACAATACAGAAAACCTAAAAGAAGATATACTGTACTGCGTATCTAAAATGTTATTAACTGTAAATAAGAAATAAATAATAAACATTATAAGATTCTGCTATTTTTAAAAGAGAAGAATGGCTATTTGTTCACAGAAAGCAAAGTAGGGAATCTAAGTGGAGCTTGTTAATCAATGTTTATCTGCAGCTGATGTTTCCTCAATCACTATTTGCAAAAGATACTGGAAATATCAACTCAATTCTTGTTTGTAGAAAAAAAAGTCTGACAAAATTCCTAAAGATTGCATAAGTCAGGTGGTTGCAGTTTTCTGTACCTGTAATCTCAGCTACTTGGGAGGCTGAGGCAAGAGGATCACTTGAGCCCAGGAGTTGAAAGTCTGTATTGAGTGAGTATTCTACCTGTGAATACTGATGAATCGCTACTGCATTCTAGCCTGGGCAACGTAGACCCCATCTCTTAAAAAAATTGCTTAAGTCTTAATACATTTTCCTTCTCTGATGAAGTAGATGAGATATTTATAAACAGCAGTAAAGCAAGTGTGCTAAAATCACTAATATGTAATGTTGAATAAGAAATAAGACTTATTCTCAGATGACTTCTATTTTTCACAGAACTCAGCCCTTAATTTCAGAAAACAGGCTGCACAAACTGACCTGTTTACAATTCTTGTCAAGTTTATTTCCTCCAGTTTTCAGTTTGCCTCACAAGGACCTCATCATGTAACACTTAAACTCTTTGATGATGTTGAAAATATGGGCAGCATCCTTGACACTCTATTTCCTTTAAACAGTCATGGCTTGTAATGGCCAGGACAAGTTTGCAGCAGACAGATATGTTGGATTGCTACCTATCCCTGGCAATGAAGAGTGGGAAACTACCCTCAGTTTTCCTAATTTTCTATCTTTTTTCTAACAGCCCCACTTTAGTGGAAACTGCCTCCCCTTTTCCAGGTGGGAGCCATCGAGTTAAGGTTTTTTTTTTTCTTCCTTTGATTCAACTCAATAGACATGGTGGTTAATTAAAAAGATACAGCATTCAAGACAAGAAGTGAGGCTGGGTTTAATGGGAGCCAGGAAGCAATCAAGAGACTCATTCTTTTCTCTTTCTGGACCTGCATGGATTGTCTCTTCTTGGCCTCTCTGTAAATCTTTAATTCTCTTTGCCCATTGCTGTTCTTTATTGATTTTCCTCAGGATTCAATGTAGCCAGCAGATCAATGTGATGATCTTTCTGTTCCAATTACTGCCACCCATTGACTAGAAGACATGACATTTAGTTCAAAAGTCTTGGCTGAGAAAAATCTCACAGAAATTGGTACCACTGGATGGGCGTGAACCAGTGACCATCCCTAGGCAATCAGCCCAGATCAGGGCCAGCAGAATCATGGCAGATGGAATTGGCTGTTTGCTAAGTTATGGTGAAGCTCATTATATTAGTTCATTTTCACACTGCTGATAAAGACGTACCTAAGACTGGGCAATTTACAAAAGAAAGAGGTTTAATGGACTCACAGTTCCACGTGGCTGAGGAGGTGTCACAGTCATGACCAAAGGTGTCTCACATGGCGGGAGACAAGAGAATGAGACCCAAGTGAAAGGGGTTTCCCCTTATAAAACTACCAGATCTCTTGAGACGTATTCACTACCATGAGAACAGTATGGGGGAAATCATCCCCATGATTCAATTATCTCCCACTGGATCCCTCCCATAACACAAGGGAGTTATGGGAGCTACAATTCAAGATGAGATTTGGATAGGGACACAGCCAAACCATATCATTCATGTTCTGAGTTGGGAAGGCAACAGTTCTAAATTCAGAAAGTTCTCAGAGCTTGGTTGTCAAAGATTTTCAATTTTTGCTTTATTTATTGAAGGCAGGTAAACTAAAACTACTATGGACAAATATTTCTGTCAAAAGACTGCTAGGTATGATAACCTCTTCACTCAGCATCCACTTTATTTTCATAATTATTCAATAGCACACCATAAAAATCAGAAGTGCTTTCCTGAGTGGAAGTAGATCAATTATGTGATTATCAATTAAATAAATTAAGTGGGGATAATTAGAAGAAAGAAAACCAAAATGTATTGAGCGTGATGCTAGGGATTTTAATTAACAATCTTTCAGACAATCAAGTTTTTGAGAGAAAAGATTTCTCTCTATTTTACAGATGACAACACCAAAGCCTAGAGAACTCCAATTGTTTCCTAAATACCCTGCTGCTTACACTTTGCCGTGATTGTATTTGAATGCATATCTGACACCAAGGCCTATTAACTACATGCTATCATCTATTTTTAGAAAAAGCCAAGAATGTTTAATGGCTCAAGATCACTTGATAATTTATTAAAGATATTTCTTTCCGCTTTTCAATCCACATTATGGGTTAATAAAAATATGCCTGTTAAAATGAGGTATTTAATTTATTTGTTGGACAAAAATATTTTGAAAAAAACTCACTTCAAGAAGAATTTGAGAATTACCAGTTTGTTTTGTTCTAGCTGTGGATATACATTTGTATGTGGAGAGGTGTCTGCGAAGAGCACCATGTAGAAATAGAACTGGAGGCAGGACAGCTGCAGGACACATTGCTGTGAGGCTTCAGAGTCAGGTGCACCTGGATTTTAATTCGATCCCAGATCCTGGCTCTAACTCACCACAGTTGTGTGTACTCGCACAGAGAACTTTACCTCCTTCTATACGTGAATTCCCTCATTTGTAAAATGGGGATAAAAAATATTTACATCATAAGAGTACTGTGTAATTTTAAATTTAAAATGAGATTATTATTGATATGCTGTGGCTCTGTGTGTGTCCCTATCCAAATTTCATCTCAAATTGTAATCCCCACTTGTCGAGGGAGGGACTTGGTAGAAGGTGGTTGGATCATGAAGGTGGTTTCCCCATGATGTTCTCGTCATAGTGAGTGAGTTCTCACGAGATCGAATGGTTTAAAAGTGTGGCACTTCCCCCACCCCGTCCTCTCCTGCTGCTGTGTGAAGAACGTGCTTGCTTCTCCTCCGCCTTTCGTCATGATTTTAAGTTTCCCGAGTCCTCTCAGCCATATGGAACTGTGAGTCAGTTAAACCTCTTTCTTTATAAATTAGCCAGTCTCACGTAGTTCTTCAGAGTGGTGTGAAAATGGGCTAATATAATTGCAAATAATTTTTCACAATGGTTGTTATCTAAATCCCCAACACATGCATTTTGTTATTTTTTGTTGTTGCTAAAGATGAATCAGTCATACCAGCTGAAGAAATGACAGGAAGACTTCTCTGTTTGGATTTTAGAGTTTTCCAATGATTACTATATGTTGGTAATTTTGTTCACTGATTAACTTTAAAAAGCACTAATTAAGATGTGAGATTAAAAACAAAATATGCAAACATGAACTTTAAATAAGCTCTGGCATACAAGTAGTGAGAACCAGACTAAGAAGGCTAAAGGTAGCTGGCATATAATGACTCAAATTGAGAGCTGAATGCGTGCCAAGCTGTGTTCTAAGTAGTTAACCAGGGTTAAGTTGATTCCCCTCCGTATTCACCTGTGTAGTTCTTTGGACTCTAGCCATCAGCCTCCAAAAAAGACCCTTTTGAACTTAGTGGGCCCTCGGCACTTTTGTCTTCACAGACCCCTCTCTCCATTTAAAAATATCAAAAAGTATATTTTATAACTGGGTTGATATAAAGATGAATACGTTAATATCATATATTAAAATAGTTTATTTGACCTAAAAGTTTTTTAATACTGATTTTAAAAGACATGAAACATTTTTGTGGGCCTTTAAAAATACTGTGGGCCATAGCCGATGTACCTCCCCCGCTGATCAAAATGGGGCCCTTCCTGGCAAGAGTATTGTAGTCTTAAGCATACCAGTTCAGAGACTACAGTACTCTTATCAACGGCCACTGCAGATGCTTTGAGAAAATAAAAGAAACGGAGGACAAAGCAGGTGGCATTCCAATTTATTTTTTTATTGTAAGGACAGACTTATACATCATTGTTGAAAGAATTTTAACCTGTTTTAAACTTCTGTAAAATTGTTTCTACTGCCAGATGAAATTAGCTTATTTTGCCTGCAGATGGTGCTAGATCCTCAGTTCCCAGGTAACACATTTTGATAAGAGAAAATATTAAATATTTAAGGCAAACATGACATTTTTCAAAAATAAAATTCTTCATAATTAATATGACATCAGTTTTTCCTGTGAGCCTAGAGTCTTAGTTATACCTGATAATCTCCAATAATTATAGCCACTTGTCTGAGAGCAGTTAAAAATTCTCATTGTGCTTGTAAAAGATACTACTTTCCTTCGAAGATTTGGTGACTTAACTGAATCCGTCTGAGATTAAAATTTCTCTGAGTAATATTAGGTTGGGCAGAAAACATTTTTTACTTCCTGTATACATTGAACTTGGAAAAAAACTGTGAAGATAGCCAGTACTTTCAAATATTTCAAGATTATGCCTTTTCCCCTGTCACTGAGAAATAGTAAGTCAATATGTAGCACACCCTGACAGAAAATAAAGTCTTTGTAAGGGATAATGTTTTCTTAAATATGCTTCTTCAGACAAAAACCATAAGTTTGTCTGAAGTAAGTGGATTTCTCCCAACTATATATCTGGACATGACTGTATCTAGAGAGTCTTTGATTAGAGACACTATGAGCTTAAGAACAATAATGAAACTTACTGGACATACACATTATAGTGAGAATTATCCCAATTTATTTTCTAATTTCATAGATGATATACAGGTGATGATAGATTAGACAAATAGGTATAGATACAATGTATATAAAGTAGATTCTATTATCAAACTTTAATCTTCCTCACCAAGGAATTGGTTATAATCCTCGATAATATGGTCAAGCGATATTGTTAGGGTCTAGTTTGGTTTCGTCTAAGATCTCAAGATAATCATCTGTACTTCCTTCAGTGTTTTGTTTTAATGCTGCCCAAGCTAAGAGGTTCCTTTCTTTGTTGAGGGCTCTGATTACTAAATGAAAGGAAATTCTTACGGCTTGTGTATGTGTCTTTAGGCACCAAGACCTGTCAATTATTTTTTGTGGACAACTTTGATGCTTCCTCCTACATTAGTTAATGGAGATGGTGACTGTGTGATACTTCATCTCCCTGATCTGTCTGCCTATTACATCAGCATTCTCTGATGATGCATTCTCACTGCTGGCTGATATTTTCTGAGGACTGTAGGAGGGGAGGATATTAGTTTTCAACCCTCTTCTTGTGAAAATAATCAATTATTCCTTGGGTTTTGACCTGAGATCTATCTCCCCATATCAAAGAGTCAAGCCATTTCCAGTGTAATGCCATAAAATACCCCGGCTGCAGCATTACAGATGAAGTAAATTAAACATTACAGACAAATATATTCTGACCACTCATTTCTAATAGTGATTGGCCTACATAGAAGACTTGAAGGATACTGGCTGGTTCAATCCAGGAAAATATTGCAAGGCAGCAACAGAGTTTGGTTTAACATGTGGGTACTTACATAAATCACAGGCAAATATTTTGAAAAATATACTTTTATTTTATTTTCATTTCTATAAAAGAAAAAATAACTAGAGGAAATGGAATTTTGTGCTACCAGAACAAAACCTAAATTGCTCACTTTGAGGGTTGTCTCTGGGCTGTCTGCCTGGCTCTGTGTGTGGAGCAAGGGTGAGATTTTTCTAGATCCATAGGGCTGAACCAAGAGGAGCAATGAACTAGAGAGGACAGAAGGTAGTTTCCAGTTAATGATCAAGTCCTGATGCATAATATGTTCAAAAAAACTTCCAGTCTTAGATTTGCACTAGAAAGGAAGAGGGTGACAAGGAATTTGTTGTTTTTTCTTCTCAAATGAGAGAACAGAGATCTCAGACAGAGTAATACCTGTCAGCACTGCTTGAGTGACTTATCTTCCAGCCACCGTTAAACCGAACAAGGAAATTTATATATCTCATTGTTTTGAGCACTATTGTTGTCTTCCAAGTGGGTAAATATTGAGTGTCCACCAAAATGCCAAAATTCATTTCTAACCTTTGTGGGTAGGCAGATTACAGGCTCTGCCAGTACCTGTTAGTAAGCAGCAGTGAGACAACTTGCTAGAAAAAGAATGTTAGATTTCCCCACCATCAGGGAATACTAAAATGATGAGCATGGTTAAAAATAAATGAGTAACCAGTTTTTAGCTTCTAATAGAACACTCATGCTGAAAATACACATGTAAGATTTTAACTAATTAGGCCTCAAGCTCTTTTTAAAAGCCACATTGCAATTAATTAAAATGACTGCTACTTATTTTTTAAAAAAACAAGGTAAATTTTTTATTATACCTACCAAACTGTCAGAGAAAGTAAACATGCTTAAACTCCCATATTACAGTTTTTGTTCTGAAATAGATAAACTATACAATCAACTTTATTTCTTTTTTCTCAAATTTATTTTTAATTGACATAAAAGTATATGTATTTGCCATGTATAACACGATTTGTAGTATATATATGTTGTGAAATGGTTAAATCTAGCTAACTAGTGAATGCATTACTTCATATAGTTGTATTTATGGTGAGAACACATAACATCCACCTTCTTAGCTTTTTTCTTATTTTTAAGTTGCTCATTTGAGTTGAAGTTGGCCTGAATACTTCAGCTAATATTGAACAATAATTGAATTAGATTAACAAATACAAATTAAAATCAAGATGTGTAACCTTTGAGGACCAAACTTGAGTTATTTCCCCTTTAAGAGCAGTGCTATAAAAGGAGACCGATCAGTGGAAATTTAGAAATAGCCATTTAAGAGAGACAATGCTTAGAGTAAAATTCTATCTCCAAAAACATTTATTGTAGCATGGTTTTTAATATTAAAATTTAAAAATAAATTATATGTGATAAATTAACAATTATAAAATAATAAAATGTTAAGTGATCATTAATAGAAAAATAGTTATATCATTATATTTCAAGCCATGAGATTTCTATATAGCCAATAAAACAATCATTAATGTAGAGCTATATCTTATATTGTATGAAGATGACTATGTTAGATGAAAAGATGAGAGAAATATTTCCAGACAATAAATATAGTATACTCCAATTTAAAAATGCATATGTTTTCATATGATGGGGCTCAGAAAACAGTATTTTAAAATGAAGGCCTCCGCAGCAGCCTCAGAGCAAAAGTTTTTTTCTGACCTTTTCCTGTTCCCCTGTCTCTCAGTCGTGTTCTCCCTGGAGGCTAGCCATAAAAACTAGAATCTCTCTTCCCCAAGGCAGGTCACAGAAATCAGAGCCCCTTTTCTCCAAAGCTAGTCATAAAACCTAATAATATTACTCTATTTTTCCCTTGCCTTTCTGTGTAAAAACTGGCCATAAAGAAATTGTCTGACATACCTTGTTTGACTGTAGATCATGAGACCCCCATTCTAGAGAGGGCTCTTCCTCACACCAAGGAGGGAATGCATGCTCAGAAGAATCTAGACAGCCAGAGTTTCCCCACTCAGCCCATTATCATTATATCTTGCCCTTTTTGTCCGATCATGTTTCTACATGGCTATCCATAACCTAAACATAAACATTGACAATTTCTTCTGTATCCTTGAGTCTTCTGAAAGCTCCCATGTATACATGTTAAATAAATTTGTATGCTTTTTCTTCTATAAATCTGCCTTTTGTGAGTTGATTTTTCAGAGAATCTTCCAAGAGCCTTTGGCCCCCACACATATATGTGAATACACATAAGTTTTTAGTATTATAGAAAATGTATAAAAAGACTGATACCAAATAATTAAGATTTGTTACCTCAGGGGAGTGGGATTGGGAGGTAAGGGGTGATTTAAGTAGATTTTATATATTACTTTATATGTATTTGTACTACTTAACATTTTTATAGTTATCTTAGTTTCATAATGTATCTTTTGCAGAATCTTCAATTAGCCTTAATGCAGCTTTTTGGAAATACCAATTTAGGGACTTTAAGAATAATATGAGTTGAAAATTAAAGAATCATTGCATTATTTTTCTTAATTCAAGAGGGGCAATAAAATTAATAAAAAAAGTTATGTGTATAAAATTTTAGTTGTATTTATAGTTATGCTCTTTTCAGAGTAAAAGATTCTGACATTTCATTATTGCAGATGTATTCAAGTTGCAAATTATGTATTTAAATTAAGGGAAATGGTCTACAGTCCCACCAGTGTTATTGTAAGATTAAAATTAATTACGCAGAATTTTTGTATCAGGCCAAACTGTACAGGTAATCAGTCATAAGCTAATGTTATTAGCTTGATTCATGTTATCAAACTGTATTTCTGATAACACCAGACAAGGGGGTGGTGGGGCAGAGAGATACTACATATCAAAATGATAAAACCAAGTTCTTTTGTTTGCATTAGTTTAAATATTTACAGGTTACATTTATGGCAGAGTTTAGACTTGAATAATTCAAGCAAAAAGCTCACATTTGCCTAAATTTGTGGGAGCAAATATACCATAAAATAATGTTTCCTACTTGTAAGTTTGTAGAGTGTCTTTTATGTACAAATTCTGAAACTTTTAAAGGACTGAGTTTGAGAGTTCAAATTGAATTAATGAACATTTTATTTTAAAGATAGAATTAAAATGCACTGTTCAGTTCATATAGGTAATTTGAGGTGCACAGGGAATGATGCAACTTTCCCAACAACTCACAAATCAGATGAAATGCAATGGTTAATTTTCAGTAAAAACTGGAGTTATCGAGAGGTCAGTCTCATATAGCTAGAGATTTGTTTTATTTTAGAAGATGGTGACTACCTTATTTTTTGAAAAAATTATGTGATTTTTATATATACAAAAGAAAAGAGTACTATATCTGTAAACTTATAAAGCATAACAAAATGGACACCCACAATTCAATCATCTAATTCAGAAATATGCCAAAGCCAATACAATTGTACTGATGACTTCTTTGCTTTTATTATAATCCTGCTGTATTTTATGTTAATCACCTGTGCTAGGCAACCTCTAAGATGGTCCTAAATGACCCCCACTTTCCAGTATTGACACCCTTATGTAATCTACTTCCCTACAGAGTGAACTAGACTTGTTAGAAGTGATTCACTTCTAACAAATACAATGAAACAAAAGTAGTGAATGCCACTGCTGATATTAGGTTATAAAATAATTGTAGCTTTCGTCTCTCTCTCTTTCTTCCTCTCTCTCTCTCCTTCTCACTTTCACTCCCTCTTTCTCTTGCTTGCTCTACGGAAAACCAGTTGCCATGATGTAAGTTTGAAGTTGTCCTATAAAAGGCCCACAAGGCAAGGGACTGAGGGAGCCTTCTAGCCAACAGGCAGGAGAAATGAGGCCCTCAGTCTAAACAGCCCTGAGAGAATAAAATCGGGTCAACAACCACATGAGTAACTTTCTAGTGGATCATACCCAGGTCTTATCTTAGAAAAGACCACAGCCGACACCCTCACTGCAAGCTCATGAGAGATCTTGAGCCAGAGGCACTCAGTTAAACCAATCCTGAGTTCTTGACCCAGAGGAATTGTGAGATAATAAATGTGTGTTGTTCTAAGCTACTACCTTCTGCAGTAATTTGTTCATCAGCAGTACATAACCAATACATTATCCTTGCCTTTTATAGTTCTCTTAAAGGATGCACAATGTATTAATTTCTGTTATATTGGAACTTTAAATTGTGTCACTAATTCTTTTAATTTTTGTGGGTACATAGTAGATGTATATGTTTATAGGGTACATGAGAGACTTATACAGGTTTCATAATGTGTAATAATCATATCAGGGTAAATAGGGTATCCATCACCTCAAGTTTTTATCCTTTCTTTGTGTTATAAACAATCCAATTATATTCTTTTAGTTATTTTTAAATGCATGATAAATTGTTGACTGTACTCTGTTGTGCTATCAAATACTAGATCTTATTCATACTATCTAACTATAGTTTTGTACTCATAAACATCCCTGCCTACCCCCCACCCCCATTACCTTCCCCAGTTTCTGGTAACCATCATTCTACTCTCTGTCTCAATAAGTTTAATTGTTTTGAATTTTAGCTCCTACAAATAAGTGAGAACATGCAACGTTTATCTTTCTGTGCCTGGCTTATTTCACTTAACATAATGACCTCCAGTTCCATCCACGTTGTTGCAAATGATAGGGTCTCATTTGTTAAGACTGAATAGTACTCCATTGTGTACATGTGCCATATTTTCTTCATTCATCTGTTAATGGAGACTTAGGTTGCTTCTTAATCTTGGCTATCGTGAACAGTGTTACAATAATAAACATAGGAATGGTTATTCTGCTTAAACTGTTCTCAATAGTGGTTGTATTAATTTACATTCCTACCAACAGTATACAAAGGTTCCTTTTTCTTCACCTTGTCATCAGCATTCATTATCGACTGTCTTTTGGATAAAAGGCGTTTTAACTGGGGTGAGATGATATCTCATTGTAGTTTTGATTTGCATTTCTCTGATGCTCGATGATGCTGATCACATTTTCATACACCTGTTTGCCAATAGCTTTGACTATTCTGGGTCTATTGTGGTCCCATATAAATTTTAGAATTATTTTTTCTATTTTTTAAGAATGCCATTGGTATTTTGATGGGGATTGCATTGAATCTATAACTTGTTTGTGGTAGTAGGGACATTTTAACAGTATTGATTCTTCTAATCCATGGAATATCTTTCCCCTTTTTTGGTGTTCTCTTTGATTTTGTTCATCGGTGTTTTATAGTTTTCAATATAGAGCGCTTTCACTTCTTTGGTTAAGTTTATTTCTAGGTATTTTATTTATAACATTATAAATATGACTACTTTCTTAATTTCTATTTCAGATTGTTCACTGTTGGCATATAGAGGTACTACAGATTTTTATGTTAATTTTTGTATCCTGCAACATTACTGAATTTGTTTAACAGTTCTAATAGTATTTTTTTTAATGGAGTCTTTGGGTTTAAAATATAAGATCATATTATCTGCAAAAAATAATTTGACTTCTTTCTAATTTGCATGCTCTTTCTTTCTCTTGTTGGATTCCTCTGGTTAGGACTTCTTTAATTCTTTATCCTGCAAATTTTTTGCTTGCCTAAGCTTGTAGTAATTTAAAATATGTTGAACTATGTCTTTATTATTTTATATTTGTCTACTTTTCCCTGTAGTTTTATCAAATTTTTCTTTCTATGCTTGAGGCCATTAAATTGGGTGCATACAAGTTTATAGTATGCTAGCTAAGCCTCTTAGACAGCATTGCATAGTGGTTAAGTTCAAGGACCCTGGAGCCAGATTGCTTTCTGGATTGAGTCCAGATTTCTCTCCTCATTGACTGTGTGACTGAGCAAATTGCTTAAGCTTCCTTCATCCATTGCCTTGTTTGAAAAGATGGAAAGGTAAATAGAAATAATACCTACCTAATAAAATTGAAATGAGAACTAAATAAGTTAATACTTATAAGCCTGCTTGTGTGCCTACAACAATGGTTGGCATGCATTTAACATTGTATAGCTGTTTCTAAATCAATAAATGTTCTGACCTCTTTATTCCTAATAATACTTTTGCTTAAAGGTTATTTTGATTGATATTGCTATAGCTACCCTGTTTTTTAAATAAAATATTTTTCTAATCTTTTTCTACTGTACTTTCAGCCTGTCTATCTTAGGTTTTATGTGTACCACATAAATTCAATTTCAACCTGAAATTCCTTTGTAAATACTAGGGTGGAAAGATATAATACCTATCCTTACCAATCATAAAAGTCACAGCCAATATTCCTATAACCAGACAGGTTAACAAGAGAAAAGCATAATAACTTTATTTAATCAAAGTTTTACATGACACAGGAGACTTCAGAAATGAAGACCCAAAGACCCAAGGACAACTGTCTATTTTTATATTTAGGTTCCATGAAAAATGAACAGGCATGTAGAAATGTAACTGGATAAAAGGGTTTCATCTAATATAAAAGGGTATAATCTAATGGTAACTGAAGGGGGAAACTCAACAAGTCCTGTCTGTTCAGATTCTTAAGCTCTCTGTGTAGCATTTCTTCTGAGTATTGGACAGCACTCCTCTGAAATGAGGATCTTCAAGGGAGAAATGAGAAGTGTGAATGACCCTTCTGGGTTTTATGGTTTGTGTGTGGGGAGAAGAGTTCTAGTTTCAATGATTCACTTTGAAGAAAAGGAAGTCTGATTTCTATGAATTGCTCAGGTGAATGAAGATGGGCTGGAGATAGGAGGATGGGAGAAGGTCAGAGAGACCTTCCTTCTGAGGTCCTTCTGAAGCCTTTCTGTTCAATGTGCTTAGCACACCAACACACCTTACTTTGGGTTATTGTATTCTGAGCATTCTATATTTCAACTGAAAATAATTAAATTATTGTGGTTAAAAATACATTTTGACTTATTTGCAACATTTTGTTTTGTGTTGCTTTTCTTTTGCTATTTTTTTCTCCTTTCTTGCTTTATTTTGGATTGATAGAGATGTTACGTTTGTTTGATTCTTGGTTCATCTTTTTTCTTTAACTGGCTTTTGGTTATTACCCTTGAAATTCTCATAACTAAGAAACTAAATGTAAATCACTGTTGATCTTCATTTCAAATATATGATTCACCAGTTTAACTCCTCTCAACTCTCTTGTAAGTTGCATCCTATTGTTATAATTTATATCCTAAATTAGAAACTATTGCTATTACTTTATACAGACAATATTTGCTTAAATTTAGTTAAGTGTTGTCCAATTTTCTTTTTTTTTTTTTATTTTTGCTTAAGGGTCAATTGTACCATCTATTTTTTTTTTTAATTTTTTTTTATTATACTTTTAGGGTACACGTGCACATTGTGCAGGTTAGTTACATACGTATGCATGTGCCATGCTGGTGTGCTGCACCCACTAACTTGTCATCTAGCATTAGTTATATCTCCCAATGCTATCCCTTCCCCCTCCCCCCTCCCCCCACCCCACAACAGTCCCCAGAGTGTGATATTCCCCTTCCTGTGTCCATGTGATCTCATTGTTCAATTCCCACCTATGAGTGAGAATATGCGGTGTTTGGTTTTTTGTTCTTGCGATAGTTTACTGAGAATGATGATTTCCAATTTCATCCATGTCCCTACAAAGGACATGAACTCATCATTTTTTATGGCTGCATAGTATTCCATGGTGTATATGTGCCACATTTTCTTAATCCAGTCTATCATTGTTGGACATTTGGGTTGGTTCCAAGTCTTTGCTATTGTGAATAATGAATGCTGCAATAAACATACGTATGCATGTGTCTTTATAGCAGCATGATTTATAGTCCTTTGGGTATATACCCAGTAATGGGATGGCTGGTTGTTGTCCAATTTTCTCACCATTCTTTCCTGACCCTTGACTTTGCGGAATTACTTTTCTTCCTCCTTAAGTATACCCATTTTGAAACTCCTTTAGTTAAAGTTTATTGATGATCATAACTTTGTTTTATCTTAAAATCTTACTATTATTCTTTCATATTTGAAAATAGTTTTGCTGGATACCTAATTCTAGGTCAATGGTTCTTTATTCCTATATATCCAAGTGATTATTCCATTGTCTACAGTTGAAAATTTCTGTTGTCAGTGTAATCATTGTTACCACCTTTTGTTGTAGCTATTTTCCATTCTTTTTTTGTTTGATTTTCTATAGTTTGACTTCAAGGCATCTGCATATCAATTATTTATATGCTCTATAATTATTGTGTTTCCTGTATCTGTGAATTCATACCATACCTATTCATAGGTTTGTTATAAAGATTAAATTAGTTATGTCCAGTGCCATGGCACATTGTAAATACTATGTATGTGTTCACCATTATTATTGAATAATTGTTACTTTTATTATAATCTCCTTTAATATTGCCCACCACCCCCATTATTTGTATTCTGTCCTCTAGAATGCTCCTTAGAAATATAAAACATTCGTTCATTCCAATCTTCATGTCAATTCACTAATCTTTCCTATTGTCTAAATCCTTCTCTCTCTGTGCTACTGGACAATTTCTTCAGACACTATCTTTTTAAGTTGTGTCTAATCTGCTGTTTAACCCATCTGCACTGGTGGTTAGCCATTTGAATGCACATGCCCACTTTCTCCCTGATGCTGTGCCCTGCATATTGATCTTTATAGAGTGCCTCTTCTAGACTCCCTAATGGGGACAGTACAAAAGGAGTCAGCAGCAGCAAATCTAAGGTCAGGGGGAGAAAGGCATCAGGGTGTTTAGTCCCTTCTCTCTCCCTGTCTTAGCAGAACACTTGCATTTTAATAGTTAGCATTTTACTTCTTTGTGAAGCTGGGATTTATTCTTTGATATATGAAAGATACAAAGGGTATTTTACCTCAACCAAGATGAAATAGAATTCTGAAGAATCAAGACCAATTCATAAATAAATAAATAAATAAATTTTGGTTCTTCTGAATATTGCCATGCTCATCATCACTGAGTATTCTATGTGAAATTGCTTCGGAAGTGTTAAAGATTAATAAATGAATTCTTTTCTACTCTAAGTAAGAGAGGCAGAGCAATTCTCTTTAGACATAGCACATCTGGTAACAGAATGGGTATTGTTGATTGAAGATGTGGAATCTGATTACAAAAAGGAAAAAAGTGTATAGATTGACATAATGTGATCAAAAGCTTTCAGAAAAGGAAAAAATACAGACAGGAAAAAAAAGTGAATTTTTGAGTGAATATATTAATTTCCCTTACATAGAGTTGGATAATAATCACAAAAAAGCATTGCTACTTAATATGGTTTGAATCTATGTCCCCACCCAAATCTCATATTGAAATATAATCCCCAGTGCTGGAAGTGGGGCCTGGTGGGAGGCGATTGGACAATGGGGGCCGCTTCTAATGGTTTAGCTCCATCTCCCTAGTGCTGTTCTTATAATAGAGATCTGGTTGTTTGAACGTGTATAGCACCTCCCTGCTTTCTGTCTTCCTCCTGCTCCGGCCATGTGAAGTGGTGGCTCTCCCTTGCCTTTCACTGTGACTGAAAGTTTCCTGAGGCCTTCCCAGAAGGTGCTATGCTTCCTGTACAGCCTGCAGGACTGTGAGCCAATTAAACCTCTTTTTTAAATAAATTACCCAGTCTCAGGTATAGCAGTACATGTGAAAACAGATGAATACACTACTTTTCCATACAGTTTAATTGTTTATTTACATGCAATTACTATAATATTAATATGTATGTAAGTATGGTTGAAAGAGCAGAGAGGTTGGCTTTATAGACAGAAAGGGGCTGAGGAAAGCAGAAACAGAATAAAAAGTCATTGGTCATTTCAAATTTATTTTCCTTATAAAGGTTAAACAGAGGGACTTTCTTATATCACAGCTAAAACTGGCTTGTTTGTGGATTTGGCTATTATCTCTCACTCTCCTGACTTCTTGAAAGGTCAGATAAACAACTTAGTTTTGGCTTAGTGGAACTTCAGCGTAAGGGACTAGTGTAGAAGCTCAGTCCAAACCAAATGGCCTTCTATAATTTTATTTTATGTATTTACTTTTTTAGAGACAGGATCTCCTTCTGTTGCCCAGACTAAAATGCAGTGGTGTGATCATGGCTCATTGCAGCCTCAAACTCCTGGGCTTAAGCAATCCTTTTGCCTCAGTCTCCTGATAAGGTGGGACCACAGATAAAAGACACAATGCCTGGCTAATTATTTTTTGTAAAGACGAGGCCTCCCTATGTTGCCTAGGCTGGTCTTGAACTCCTGGGCTCAAGCGATTCTCTGCTGGGATTATAGGTGTGAGCCACTGCACCCAATCTACCTTCCATAGATTTCACTTAAAACTTCCTCCCTTTTTGTCACACTCTCACTGAGAGTGTGATGAAACTTAGGTCATCAATGCTGCTCTCAGTCACCATAATTTTGGGTTTTGGTCTCAACATGTCTTGGGAAAAGCTGTCCACAACATGAAGTCATCAACTTCTCATCCTGGTTTACAGGTTGAATGTCTCTGGTTATTGTTAAATTATCTGTGTAGCTCACACATCAAACATGAGATCTGTCCTTGAAATTTACATCAAGTTGTCCAAACTCAATTTATAGGGCTTCAGGAACAGAGCAGTTCTTGTAGGGTTGTAACCAGATATTGGAGGAAATATAGTCAGATATTGGATGTAGCTAGATATTGGAGGAAAACAGAATTCAGGATCCACTCTAGTCTACAGGTAGATAAAAAAAACTCAAACAATAAGCACGGCTGCAATCTAATAACAGGTTCACTATAGTCTTTCTTCATCAATATAATTTTTCTCTTAACAGCGACGCCCCCACTTACACCAAAGATAATCCGAGTAAGACTAATTTTGTTTGCAAAATAAGTCTAGTCTCATGAAAATTGGCCTATTTAAGTGCACCAAGAATAGCAATTGAAAACATAGCCCTTTTATTTTTTCCAAGTTTGCTTTGCTAAACTTTTGATAAGCAATATCAGGCTGGACTTTTAAAGACCTCTTGAGGCTAGAAAGCCAAGCCAATGCATACTTGAGACTTTTCCTGCAGTACCTATAGATTCGTTCTATGTACATTCTGAAATATGGCATCCCAGTCCAAGGCTTGGAAATATAGTCAATATTACCAATTGTATTTTATTATAAAAGCATATTTTTTTGAATTTATGAACATATATTGCCATAAAATAAGAATACTCATGAATAGTTTCTGGATTTTGGAGGGATTAGATAGGAAAAAGTAAACGTTTCAATTTTTGATCACAAGGGTATACCTTACCAAATTGCTATAAGCTATAGATAGCTTTTTTAAAAGTTTCCTTAAATCTGAAAAACAAAATGTTAAAAGAACCAGCAATATTTAAAATTTTAAAAGCCATAAAAATCCGTATCTTTCCTCATAATTTTTTCATGTTTTCAAACTGAGACATGTTTAGCTTCTCTGTATCACATAAAAGCAAGATGCCAAAAGATGTATACTTTAAACTTAGATTCAGCAATTAATATTTCAGTTTAATTTAGAAATGACTTGAGTATTTCATGAATATCTATTACATATATTAGCATAACTTTAAGATTTCAAGTTATTGAAAAAGATGTTTGCCACTATGACAACTTTATTTATAAACTTTTATCCCATTTATATTAACCTAATTTACTTGTTGTTAACAATTATGCTTGAATTGCTTCTTCAACAAAACTAGCCATTGAAGTTTGGAAAATGCTATGCAAAATATGTCATTTTGGTAGATTGATTTTTGAGCATACCTCATTTTATCATACTTTACAGAACTTTACAAATACTGTGTTTTTTACAAATTGAAGGTTTGTGGTAACCCTGAATCAAACAAATCTATCAGCAACAATTTTTCCAACAGCATATGCTTAGTTCATGTTTCTGTGTCACATTTTGGTAATTCTTGGAATATTTCAAACAATTATTATATCTGTTATGTTGATCTGCAATCAGTGATCTTTGATGTTACTATTGTAGTTGTTTTGGAGTTCCACAAATTGCACTAATATAAGATGGCAAATTTAATCCATAAATTTTGTCAGTTCTGACTCCTGCCACAACAGGCAGTTCCCTCATCTCCTCCTTTTCTCAGGCCTCCCTCTTCCCTGAGACACAGTAATATTGAAATTAGGCCAATTAATAACCCTAAAATGGCCTCTAATGTTCAATGAAAGAAAGAGTTGTACGTATCTTACCTTAAATCAAAAGCTAGAAATGATTAAGCTTAGTGAGAAAGCCATGTTGAAAGCTGGGATAGACCAAAAGCTAGACCTTTTGTGCCAAACAGTTAAGTTGTGAATGCACGGGACGTTTTTAAAGAAAATTAAAAGTGCCACTCCAGTAAACACATACGGGAAAATTACATAGCCTTATTTGCTGATGTGAAGAAAGTTTTAGTAGTCTAGATAGAAGATAAAACCTGCTTTAACATTCCCTGCAGAGCAATACCCTAACTCTCTTTCATTCTATGAAGGCTGAGAGAGGTGAAGAAGCTGAAAATGAGATGTTTCAAGGTAGCAGAGGTTGGTTTATGATGTTGAAGAAAAGAAGCTGTTTCCATAGCATAAAAGTACAAGGTTAAGTAGCAAGCCCTGATATAGAAGCTGTATCTAGTTATCTAGAAGATCTAGTTAATTTCATTCATGAAGGTGGCTATACTAAACAAGAGATTTTCAATGTTGATTAAACAGTCTTCTATTAAAAATAGATGCCATCTAGGACTTTCACAGCTAAAGAGGAGAAGTCAGTGCTTGGCTTCACAGCTTCAGAGGATAGGCTTACTCTCTTCTTAGGAGCTAATGCAGCTGGTGACTTTAAGTTGAAGCCAATCCTCCTTATCCTTCCTTAAAATCCTAGGGCTCTTAAAAGTTGTTCTAAATCCACTCAAGATAATTAGAATTAGAAGTGGAACCCGAAGATGTGACTGACTTGCAGCAATTTCATGATAAAACTTATAAAAAACCAAAGGAGTTGGCCTGGTACAGGAGTTGGGATTACACCTGTAATCCCAGCACTTTGGGAGGCCGAGGCAGGTGGATCACGAGGTCGGGAGTTTGAGACCAGCCTGACCAACACGGTGAAACCTCGTCTCTACTAAAAATACAAGAATTAGCTGGGCATGGTGGCGTGTGCCTGTAATCCCAGCTACTTGGGAGGCTGAAGCAGGAGAATCACTTGAACCTGGGAGGTGGAGGTTGCAGTGAGCTGGGATTGTGCCACTGCACTGTAGCTTGGGCGACAGAGTGAGACTCCATCTCAAAAAAAAGAAAAAAAAAGGAGTTGCTCTTTAAGGATGAGCAAAGAAAGTGGCTTCTTGAGAGGGAATCTACTCCTGGTAAAGATGATGTAAACATTATTGAAATAACAAGATATAGAATATTACAACACCTTCGTTAACAAAGCAGAGGCAGAGTTTGAGAGGCTTGACTCCAATTTGGGAAGAAGTTCTGCTATAGGTAAAATGCTGTCAAACAGGAGCATATGCTACAGAGAAATAAGTGCATGAAATGGTCAATCGAACCGGCAAACTTCACTGTTGCCTTATTTCCACAGCCATACCAATCTTTCTTATTGAACTGAACTTGTATTTGCTTGCCTGGCACCAGAAAGCCAAATGATACCAACGTTTGCAGCTAGAGAAAGATGGGCATTTATTGCAGGGTGCCAAGCAAGAAGGACAGGCAGTTAATGCTTAAGAAGAAGTTTCTGATGGCTTACAAGTAAGAGTTTATTAGGCAGGTGCACATTTCAGGAGAGCAGAAGTAATAGGCAAAATCATAATACATGAAGGTTATACATTGGTTTGGTCCCAAAAAGTAGGATTTCTTGAAGCAGGGGCTTACAGATTATAGGAAGATTCAGAGATTCTTTGATTTGCAATTAAGGAAGCAAGGCTTTGTTCAAAAACTTGTGGTTGACGGAAAGAAATGTGAAGGTTTGGGCTTAACATAGGTTAGTTAAGATAGGGGAAACTGTTAATCATTATAGGGTGCCATGCCAGAGTCAGGCCAGGAGAACAAGCCATAATTTACTGGGTCAGAGCAACCAGGTTAGTAAGAATAATGGCTTGAAGGTGTGACTCTTTCCAGGTCCCTCAAGGAGAAACTCAGAACAAAGACTGGCAGCCAGAGTCCAGTCCTCAGTTCTCTTTTATCTGAGATCTAGGTGACAGCGGTCATCATTTTCCATCTGCTGAACATCCTGATTTCTGAAAAATAACTCAAGAACGAATGTATCTTTTAGTTTCTCTAGAGAACCAAAACACTCTGAGACGTTGACTTGCTTGGGTGACTTGTTTAAGCTACTTACTTTGTAGTTTAAATAATAGTTCTTCCCAAAAGCTATAAACAAATTATAAACTAAATAGCTTGTTTAAGCTATTAATATCTTCTTCCTTATTGGGTTCTTTAATTCTCAAGGCTAGCTGGAATTTCCTTGGAAAGCAAGAATTTTCCTTTATTTTCATGTGGTTATTTTCTTGGGGTTGGTGGGGGGCTGGCAAACCCCTAAGTGGGGTCTCTGTTCTTACCTTTAGCTACTACCACCTTGATCAGTGAGCATCCATCATCGTCAAGGCAGGACCCTCTAACAGCAAAGATTGACTTGCTGAAGGCTCAGATGATAGCTAACATTTTTTAGCAATAAAGTATTTTTAAATTAAGGAATGTACATTGTATTTCTAGAAATAATGATATTGCATAATTAATAGACTATAGTACAGTATAAATATAACTTATATACACTGCATAACCAAAAAATTGTGTAACTCATGTTCTTGTGATACTTGCTTTATTTCTATAGCGTAGAACTGAGTACACAATGTCTCTGAGATATGCTTGTAATTCGAACTAAAGGCACTTGAAAAATAGTAAAATGCAGGGTGGGGCTTTCTGAATTTCTCTCATCTGCCAAAAGAGAAATCCTCCAAAAAAAAAACTCTATTGTCATTAATTCTCTCCCCAGGGAATTCCAGTAACCAGGGAAGATTAACTTCATCATGGGAGAGGAGACTTTGGCACACTCATAAAGACCTTGTCACAAACCATTCTTTCAGTCTTTTCAAAAATTATTTACTCTAAGAATCTCTCTCATCCTTGACTGTATCACCCAATGGGTTCTCCTTGCCTGCTGCCTAGACAGAGCCGATTAATTGAGACAGGGAAATTGCAATAAAGAGCTCAATTCATGCAGAGCCAGCTGTATGGGAGACTGGAGTTTTATTACTCAAATCAGTCTCTCTGAGAGATCAGAGTTTTTAAGAATAATTTGGTGGGTTGGGGGCCAGTGAGTTGGGAGTGCTGATTGGTTGGCTTGGGGATGAAATCATAGGGAGTCAAAAACTGTCCTTTTATGCTGAGTCAGTTCCTGGTTGTGGGGCACAGGACTGGTTGGCAGGTCCAGGTGGGGCCATCTTGTTGTCAGAAGTGCAAAAACCTGAAGAGACATCTCAAAAGGCCAATCTTAGGTTCTATAATAGTGATGTTGTCTTCAAGAGTAATTGGGTAAGTTGGAAATCTTATGACCTCTAGAATAATGGCTGGAAGTTATTTAGAATTCAAACCCCTCTCATCCTAACTTGGTGGCCTTTCATTAGTTTTACAAGGAGAGTTTTGATTTTCAAAAGGGCTATTATTTCAACTATAAACTGAATTACCTCCAAAGTTTGGCCCATCCCAAGGAATGAGTGAAGACAGCCAACATATGAGACTAAAGACAAGTTAGAGTCAAGCATGTCATATTTCTCTCACTGTCATAATTTTCTCAGGTGTAATTTTTTTGCAACAGGTATAATGACTGTTATACCCATTGCAGATGAGGAGTTAAGGAAGATGTTTCCCTTTCTTGAATGAACTACTTGATTATTGCCCTAAGCAATTCTTATCTAGGTTGCTCACTGTAATCTGTGCCCTTTGGCTTTGTAAATTTCTCCAAACTAGTATAAAGAGAGTAGACTGGCTTGGGAAGTGTGATTTCAGGGGACAAGCTGGGGGTCCCTCTGTTCCATACAATCTTTGGTAGATTTGACCTCTGTTTTAACCCCATTACTGTCGATTATATTCATTCCATTTTTAATAACTATGTAAAAAGTTTCCTAAGTTTGCATTTCTAAAGATAAAGATCTTATATAGAACAAGTTAGAAAATTTACATCTCAAAGGCACATAAGTTAAATTTCCGGCCTAAATGCCATTATTTGCCTAGACAAAGAAAAGTATAGGTAGGAAGCACAGTTAAAATAAAATGGTCAAAGGTGAGGTTTGCTTAGACCAATGCTCTCCCCCATTGTAAGAATTTCTGCTCATTTTCCTTCATAGATATATCTTTTTTTCAAAAGAGTTTCAAAATAGCTAAATGTTAAAAAGTTACATTTTTGAGCCTAATTTAGTTCCATAGGTGTTCTGTTTAACTTGGTTTTGTTAGCAGTGGTGCATCCATACGGGTCTGCAGCAACTTGATTCTTGCCTTCTTAGAGAAAAGAATTCTACCCAGGTGCATAAGGCAGAGCAAGAATGGCAAATTTTAGAGCAGGAGTGAAAATTTATTAAAAAGTTTTAGAGCAGGAACAAAAGGAAGTAAAGTATACTTGGAAGAGGGCCAAGTGGGCAACTTGAGCTGTCCAGGTGCCTTGTCCAATCTTTGACTTGGGGTTTTATACATTGTCATGTTTCTGTTATTTGTTTTTCTTCTCTCCTGATTCTTTCTTGGAGTGGGCTGTTTGCATGTGCAGTGGCCTGCCAGCACTTGGGAGGGGACACATGTGCAGTGTGTTTACTGAAGTTATGTACGTGCTCATTTAAGAAGCCTTTTTCCCTTACAAGTCGAGTGTTGAGAAAGATGTGGAGGTAATTAGAGAAATGGAGGAAAATTTGTATTTGAGGTTCCATGTCCTGTTGGAGTAACATGCAGAAGACAAATGCTTAAACAGACAGGACAATTCCTCTGCTGCAGGAGGAAGTGGGAGAAAGCAAGAAGAATACTCATAGAAAGCTTCCATACACTCACAAAAACAGCATCCCTTGGATTCGAGAGGGCAATGTTGATTTGCCCTCTTGACATAAAGGAGGAAATTCTGAATGACTTGGGGCTTGGGATAAGGGCTCGCAAATGGCAAAGGAATAATTTTCCCTCCTCCCAAAGGGGTGCTGGCTCAAAAAAAGCAAGTAGGTGGGGTCCTTAAATGGCCACAGACGGAGATCCTATGAAGGCAGACAAATTTCACCAAAAGCCAAAAAAACTTGGCCCTGAAGAATAACAGGGACAAAAGATATATGGTGAATCATAAGGAGCTGGCAGAGCCAGGGTTCCAATTAATGTCTTTCCTGGCAGTGAGCCAAAAGACATCCTTAAGAGAGCCTGTTTCTTTGCTGCTGCACAAACACAGCACGAGCTACACCATGAATAACAGTGTATGTTTCAGGCAGAGAAGGAAGTCATAAGGCACGTAAAGTGAAAGCAGAGAATAGGCAGACTTGTCCCTAAGGTGAATAGCCTTGTGGGTTTTCAAGCCCATTTCAAAATATACACAGAGAAAACAGGAGAATACGCAGTGCAGGTTTTTTGGAAAGAGTTTATTTTAGTTGATAAATCAGAGGAAACCCCAGACGTTGCACAGTGTTAGGCTTTAGACCTACCATTCTCATGAGCCTCCTGTCCAGCAGGGCCATGAGTGTCTCAGGTGTACTCAGTGCAGACTCCAAGGTTCTTTCTACTCCTGTGAGTCACTGTCAGGGTGAGCTGAGAGATCAGCCAGGGGAAGTAGAGCCACTGTGACTGACAGAAATCATCCTGAGGGTTGGTTAGTAAGCAGGAGAGCAAAGGGGGAGAAGGAAACCTCATATGGGGATTGAATAACTCCAGGCAAAGGAGGCAAGGCAGAGAGAGATCTTACAACTAGGTAACGTATCTGAGTCACAACACCAAAGTATGTTAGTTGCAGCAAATACATATGCATGTGTAGCAACTGGATTCTTGCCTCCTTGGAGGAAAGAATTCAACTGAGGGGCCTAAGGTAGAGGGAGAAACCAAGACAAGTTTTGGAGCAGGAATGAAAGTTTACTAAAAAGTTTTAGAGCAGAAACAAAAGGATATGAAGTGCCCTTGGAAAAGGGCCAAGCGGTCAATTTAAGTGATCCAAGTGCCTTGTCCAACCCTTGACTTGGGGGTTTTATACATTGGCATGGTTCCAGGGTTTGTTTCTTCTCCCTTGATTCTACCTTGGGCTGGGTTGTCCATGTGCACAGTTGCCTGCTAGCACTTGGGAGGGGCAGCATGCACAGTGTTTCCTGAAGTTGTGCGTATGCTCATTTGAGGTGGTTTTCCTTTACCAGCTGAGGGTTCCTAGAGGAAGGTCATGTAGCAGTTAAACTCTACCATTTTGCCTCTTAGTGTGGATACTTGAGCCCACTTACCCAACTCCTAAGATCTTACCAGGAAGCTGCTGCTCACCAGGTTCAGGTGTTTTCTATTGTGAGACTGCCCTTTCCTGGCACCAGGTGCGACCAATTATTATTTTAGAAAGACAGTTGAACAAGCTGTCTGATCACCTGATGGCCCCCTGACATTCCTGTCAGGGGAAGGCCTCTCTTGCCCTGCACATGTCTGCCTAGCTACCTACTCTAACAGTTTCTGTTTTAGGAAACAGAATCTTCTGCTTTTAAAACAGAATTCTAAATTCTAGATTCAGTAATCCAGAACTTAGATTCTAGATTACTCAGTTTATTTAGGGTGGGCTCCATTAATGAATAGGGCAAACAAGCATTTTCTATGCCTGGACTCCACATGGATAACTCTGAAAAGGAAGAAAACCTTCTTTACATGAGGGCCAAAATTACTTTTTATTTAGCTTTCTTTATTCCTTTAGGGAGGAATAGTAACTATGCTAAAGGTTGACAGATTCAATTTTTTAAATCAATTAGTCTCTTAAGCTTTTTAATTGCCTTTTGTAAACAAGTCTTTTAAAAGATGCAATAAAAATTGTACTGAAATCTTTCTAGAGGCTTCCACACATCAATAGGAATCCCTGGGTAAGCCTAATTTGGTACCCCTCATTTTTAAGTGCACTTTTTAAAGTACAGTATTCTTCATCTGGGAGGTTCTATATAATGGCCATTGTAATTCTCCATTATCTTAAAAAAGATTTTGCCTTTAAAAATTTGAGGCTACCAGTGCCTAATATTTATACGTATAAAAAGCAGGCATAGCTGGAAAGTGGAGTGGTCAGTTCTTTAGAAATTAAGGATCTTGTTTTTATTCTGGCCCTTGGGTCAATCAGAGCAGAGATAAAATCCTATGATGAAAAGACCAGAGCATTGTGTATTCTAATACTTTCACAGAGTACCTCATTGCGCAAAGTTTTCTTGAAGCTGATGGGTGACCTACATCAACTAACCCATTTTTGTGACCATGGGAGTCTTATTTTGGTGGTGACTGCTCCAATACCTCTTAGGTGCCTATTCCATGCCTGTTACTGGTAATTAGTCAGGTATGAGCGTGGCAGGAGACGGTTCCACCCACCCCCACCCCTATCCCCACCAGGAACGTCAGGCAATCATCAGGTGACCATTCAGCAGCTATCACAGTAGCTCTCTAAAAATGATAATTGGCAGCCAGTGCCAGGGAGAAGCAACTTCCTGATGGTTGACAGTTTTCAAACTAAAGTGATAATTAATTGCAGGCAGCAGGGAGAAGCAATTTCCCAAACAGATAAAAACACTTGACATTGGTAATCAGCTTCCAATAAAATCTCAGGAATTGGCCAAGTGAGCTCAGGCATGCGCATTAAGAGACAAAATAGCAGAGTATGGCTTTCTGGGGGCATTCCACCAGAAAAGGGAAAACCCAGGTGGGCATGCATATAACTTCCTAAACACACTGTGCATGCTCACCTCCCAAGCATAAGGAGGGCACTGCACATGTGGGCAGCTCACCCTTCAGAAAGAATGTAGGGAAAGGGATGCAAGAGGTCAGAAGTGGGCCAGCACATAAAAGTCTTAGGATCAAGTTTAAATGGGGAACTTGCCTTCACACTGCCCACTTGAATCTCTTCCAAATGTACTTTCCTTTCTTTCCTGCTCTAAAGCTTTTTAATAAACTTGCACTCCTGCTCTGAAAGTTGCCTCAGTCTCTTTTTCTGCCTTATGCCCCTTCAGTTGAATTCTTTCTTCTGATGAAGCAAGAATTGAGGTTGCTCCAGACCTGCACAAATTTGCTGCCACTAGCATGCCCACCAGTCAAGTTTGTGTCTTTGGCTCTGAGATTGCCTTGACCAACATAGCTAATAATTTTTCTCTACCTAAGCATGCAAGAAAAAAACACATTTCTGAAAACTTTCAAAAGCCAAAGTTCATACTTCCGGCGGTAATTGCCATTTACTGCTAGTTTCTGCCTGACTTAGTCAAACACCTGAGGCCTCCCTACAGAACCCAATCCTGTTTCTGTTGTGACTTTCACTCTTATCGGTGACTTGTCAACCACACACCCCAAGGTTGGTACTCTCTTTTACAGCACAATCTAAGCCTGGATTCAAAGGCCAAAAAGATCTGGGTTGGGGGAACACTCAATGCAAGAAGAACAGAGTCTGATCCAAAATGAAGTTGCAGCATGTAGCGGTCCATAAGGAAGAAAGGGGATCCATGAAGGGGTCAATGGAGGCTCTCCTGTGTTCCTCAATAAGTCTCATAAATTTTCAGCAGCATTTTGGGTCCCCTTCTTCTGGTAACCAGATACTGTCAAAAGACAAAATTACAATAAACTTAGTTTAAATATCCTAATTGGCTTTTATTTGCAATTTTAGAATCAGACAACACATTATTCGATAAAATAAAATGAATGTCCTGATGAACTGAGCAAAGTTATTTGGCTTTATAGACAGAAAAGTGCTAAAGATAGCAGAAACAGAGAACAAAAAGACAATTGGTGTTTTGAAATTGCTTTCCTTGTAAAGGTTACTTCCTTATCATGCTGGCTAAAACTGGCCTGTTTGGAGATTCTGCTATGATGGAAATAAAAATATTTTACCCCAAAATAGATTTCTTTGACATATTTTGAGATGGCTGTTCAGAGAGAGAGCAAACTGACATAACCCTGAAGGGTTATCTTTTGTAGGAGAGATTTGCATCTGTAGAATATCTACATTAGTGAGCCCAGGTTTTCTCTGAGGCCTCTCCTTGTCTGGATCAAGGAAAAATTAACTGAGAGTTCAACACCTTTAAAGGTTTTTAAAAGCATTTACTATCTATTCTCTCTGAGGGCTGCTATCCTCAGAGAGGGTAGGTTTCATTTACATAGCAAGACTATCTTTGTTAGACAGGCCTCCTCTTCTCCCCCTCTCATATCCTGCTTTACCACCTGTATTAGTCCATTTGCATGCTGCTGTTAAAGACATACCCGAGACTGGGAAGAAAAAGATTTTTAATCATCTTACAGTTCCACGTGACTGGGGAGGCCTCACAATAATGGCAGACAGCAAAGAGGAGCAAGTCACGTCTTACATGGATAGCAGCAGGCAAAGAGAAAGAGAGCTTGTGCAGGAAAGCTCCCATTTTTAAAACCATCAGATCTTGTGAGATTTATCCACTATCATGAGAATAGCATGGGAAAGACCCACCCTCATAATTCAATTATCTCCCACCAAGTCCTTCCCACAACACATGGGAATTATGGAAGCTACAAGATGAGATTTGGGTGGGGACATAGAGCCAAACTGTATCACCACCTTAACCTGTTTTGCGAGCAATCCAAGCCCTTATTCTTTCTGTAACCTCAAGATGTTATAAAAACATCTGAACACCATTCCAGGGTAGGGTAATTACATTGTAGTTCTCCCTTGTATGATTGCTAACAAATCTGTATGCTTTTTCTTCAATTTGTTTTTTGTAAGTTGACTTTTCAGTGAAACTTCAGAGGGTGAAGGGAAGGTTTTCCCCTGTCCCCTGCAGCTATAATCTCTCTCCTGATTTCTTGAAAGATCTGATAAACAACTTAGTTTTGGCTTGGTGGCTTTGAACTTCGGCATAAATAACTTCATTTTGGCATAAGTAACTTCATTTTGGTTTGGCCTGTTGGGCGTAGTGCAGAAGCCCAGTTCAAATAATAGCTTTCTATAAATTTTACTTAACAATCATTTTGATGAGAAATGGCAAATAACTAGGTCAATTTTTCCAACTGTAGGGACCAAGGGGAACCCTTATAACCACCCAACAGGTTCACTTTGCCCAGTGCCTAGACAGAGCTGATTTATCAAGACAGGGGAATTGTAATGGAGAAAGAGTAGTTCACGCAGAGCTGGCTGTGTGGGAGACCAGAGTTTTATTACTATTCAAATTGGTCTCCCCAAGCACTAGGGAATCAGAGT
The DNA here is from genome assembly GCF_000001405.40 of Homo sapiens. Classification (NCBI taxonomy): domain Eukaryota; kingdom Metazoa; phylum Chordata; class Mammalia; order Primates; family Hominidae; genus Homo; species Homo sapiens. The sequence goes on along the minus strand of NC_000007.14, from coordinate 12,298,702 downwards.
TTTTAAGGATAATTTGGCGGGTAGGGGCTCAGGAAGTGGGGCATGCCAACTGCTCAGGCTGGAGATAGAATTATAGGGGTCGAAGTGAGTTTTCCTTGCTGTCTTCTGTCCCAGGGTGGGATCATAGAACTGGATGAACTACATTACCCTTCTGGGTGGTGTCAGGTGATCCATCAAGTGCAGGGTCTGCAAAATATCTCAAGCACTGATCTTAGGATTTACAATAGTGATGTTGTTCCCAGGGGCAATTTGGGGATGTTCAGACTGTTGTAGCTGGAGGCTGCGTGACCCCTAAACCTTAATTTCTAATCTTGTAGCTAATTTATTAGTCCTACAAAGGCAGACTGGTCCTCAGACAAGAAGGTTTTTTTTTTTTTTTTTTTTTTTTTTTTTTTTTTTAAAGAAAGGGCTAGTATCATTTTTGTTTCAGAGTTAAAGGTTAGTTCAGCCTATGCCCAGGAACGAACAAGGACAGCTTAAAGGTTAGAAGCAAGATGGAGTTGGTTAGGTCTGATCTCTTTCATTGTCATAATTTCCTCCGTTATAATTTTTGTAAAGATGGCTTCACCCTTGGCCCTCTGGAGGTTTGCTGAAAAAAACCAACTTGCAAAGGGCAGATTAATAATAAAAAAAAAGGGCATATAAATTTATGTAATATGTATGCATAGGAGACTTCAGAATGAAGATTTTACCCCCAGTGTGGTACAGATGCTTATGCATCATCTTGAGGTTGCAGAAGGAATGTGGGCTCAGAACATGACCCAAAACAGGTTATGCTGGTAAATCAGGTCTTAGTGGCAAGACAGATTCTGGGAGGGAGGAAACAGGAAGCTTAGCTAGTAAAGGTGGCGTTGTTATATAGATGAAGCTTTGCTTCACAGGCAGCAGCCCTTGGAGAGAATAGATGGTAAGAGTCTTTTTCAGACTTTTGAATGTTTCAGACTCAGTTAATCTTTCTCAGTTAATCTGAATAAGAGACGGGCTGGCTGCATTAATGTAGATTCTCTGCACATCTACAAATGCAAATTTCCCCCACAGAAGACAGCTTTGCAGGGCCACTTAAAAATATGCCAAATTAATATATTTTGGGGTAAAATTTTTTATTTCCTTCACACTCCAAAATCCACTGTACCCTGCTCCCCATTCTTGAGCTTTCCTTCTGACCTCACTGTGCTTTTAAATAAATAAAATGACCAGAAATAAAATCATAAATGCTGATGTGACAATTGTTTAATAGTCATGTTTCTAGTTCTTAGGTTGAAGGTGTCTTAAATTATCATCAATATTTCATCACATATAAAACATAGTTCAGCTATTAAATTGTAGAACATTTAAATCGGGAAAGAAAAAAAAATCCAGTTAAGATCTGGACTCTAACAATCCAAGAGACTAAAAAGTTTTAGTACCTATGTTTTGGAGTTGGTAAATTAAGCTTGTCTTAGAAGTTTTAAATTTAAGGAGAAACTTTAAATTCAGGGTATTATTGGCTACAGCACCAATGTATTTCTTTTGAAAAGATAGTGTTTAAATGAAGCTTTGCTTTTGTGGGGGCCATGGCCTTTGGCCCCCTGAAGTTTCACTGAATATCACTAACATGGGGCAGATTGATTAAATAATGGGGGAGGTCAGAGAGGCCTTGAGGTTTCTTCAGTTCAACATGCCAAAACATCATATTTTGGGGTATTGGTTTTGTAACTATCCAACGGGTTCTCCTTGCCCACTGCCTAGACACAGCTGATTTATCAAGACCAGAAAATTGCAATAGAGAATGAGTTTAATTCACTCAGAGCTAGCTGTACTGAAGGCCAAATTAGTTTTATTACTCAAATTTAGGAGGACAAAAATCGCCTAGTGCCCATCAAGCAGACCATCCAAAGTCAAACTCCTTATCTGAAAAATTTAGAAGTAATTAGACTTCCCTATTATCTAAAGCCAGCAGCTGGTACCAGGCTTCTTTCTCAAGAATTTATAAGTAACCAGAATTTCTATTCATCTCTGGAATGCATGTATGTTGAGACTCATAATGCAACCCTTGCTGACATTAGTGTTACAGGATTCTTTCAGTGCTGCTTTTGCCAGCTGGAAATCTCTGTGGCCACCATGACCTCTGCCTTGGGCCTTGCTTGGACCCACCAGGCTCACTCTGCCCACTCAGCCTAGCAGGCTGCACTTGGTTTGTTCCCCGCCCCAGATCCCACACCTGCCATGGGATCCACACTCAGCCTGCAGCTGGAACGGTCATACCACCACCAGCTTCCACCTTGGGCACCAGCATCTGGATGAGGGGAATGCAGTAGCAACTGAAATCTCAAAGATGCCAGCAACTGCACAGCCCTGAGGAATGCTACAGATCTTGCCCAGGGACTCCCAAGCTCCAAGGTCCAAGGCCCCAAGAAGTGTTACAGCTGTCTCTCATTCCTGCAGCTTGGCAAACGGGCATGTCACAGCACATTCAGTCCCACTGCTCACAGCTCAGTAAAGGGGGACATGTCACAGCTCATTTGGATTTGCCACTGCAGGTTGGAGAATGAGGGCATGTGGCACTCAGCGGTTTTTTCACTCCCGTAGCTCAGCAAGCAGGAGTGTATGTTACAGCTCTTTTCGCACCCACTGTTCAGTGGATTCTAGGTTCTTGTCCCGTGATGAAGAGGAATGAAGTACGTGGACACTGGAGAGTGAGCAAGGCAGATAATTTTATTGAGTGACAGAAAAGCTCTCGACATGAGAGGGGCCCAGAAGTGGGTAGCCCTCTGTGTGAGAAGGGAACAAAAAGTGGGTTGCCACCTGTGAGGCTGAGTCCAAGGCTTTTATGAGAAAGTGCATGCTGATTGATCCATGGGTGGGCCTGGAAGAAGCAGCATTCAATTGGCTAAAGGGCATCAAGGAAGTCCTCACTCTGGTTGTGAACTCTACCTGGAACAGGAAGCTCAGTTTTCAGGCTTTAGACTGTCCTTGGCTCTAAGGTCAGGTTTCACTGGGGACACGACCCTTTCTGGCTAGGAATTTGACTGTTTACTGTCACTATCAATCCCCCCTCTGAAGAGGTACGTCTAACTGACATTATTACAGGGATGGTGACAGGTCTAACTGCTTCATGCTGACAGGGGCATTGTTTTGGGAAAACAGCAGTTAGATGTCTCTCAGAGGTCTACCTATGGGTTCCCGGTAAAAAGAGCCATCATCTGAGGCTCTATTTCCATGACCATTTGGAGTTTGATGGTCTCTAGGTAAGAAGAAACAAATTTTAAAAGGAGGTTAAGTATGCATGGATCAAATATGAGTATTATACTAATCATTCTGAAAACAATGTTTTGATCAGAGCTGTTTCACCCTGGTGAAAGTAAGTCTTTAATGGGGGTAGGGAAGCTAAACTTCAGAAAAGAGATAGCTGTTTAGGGGAGTAGATAATGCCATGGGCTTTCAGGATTAAGGGATTTTTGGCAAAGATGCCTTATGGTGAGGAATAGAATGAAGGCAAGAACAGCAAGCATAGGTGAGACTATAAAGAGGATATCCATAAAATGTTAGTGACACTTATGTTTTGTGATCTTTAGCTTGAGGTCTCCAATTTCTTCACACTGGTGCTTCGGGTGCTCCTCTGGGTCAACAGAGGAAAGTCACTTTCCAAGGTCTTTACTCAAGTATAATGAATCCAAGAATCTATTCCAGTGACTTTCACTGCTGAAGGAGTAGAAAGAAGTACAGTGTAAGATCCCTCCCAACATGGGCGTAGAGAGAGAGAAAAGGAAGGAAGTGCCTTGATCAGAACTAAGTCCCATGGGTTGAACAGAAGTAGCCCTAGTTCATGAGGTTGGGCTTCCGACAGTTTTAGTTCCTGTTGGAAATGGGCCAAAGAAGTTACATATTTAATCAAACCAGAGGTTTCTTGGTCTAGCAAGAAATCATTAATGAGAAAAGGCCATCTATATATCTTTTTGAAGGGGATTAAACCCAGCTTCAAAGGAACATTTCTGGAAAGAAAAGTAATCCAGGGAGATGAGTGTCTTGAGAGACAGTTTTCTGAAGTGCCTTTTGATAGTATCATTAGTGTTCTATACCTTTCCTGAGGATTGTTGTCTCCAGGCACAGTGAAGATGGTATTGTATGCCTAGTGCCTTTGAGACTCCTGGCTTACAGCTACCTTGAACAAGGGACTATTATCACTCTGGAGGTACATTGGGAGTCCAAAGTGGGGAATTATCTCATTAATTAGTACTTTCATCACCTCATAGGCTTTCTCTGCTCAACATAAAAATGCTTCTATCCAGTTAATGATGGTATCTACCCATACCAGGAAGTACTGGATGTCCCTTATCTTTGGCATATGGGTGAAATTCATCTTCCAGTCTTCCCCTGGGTAGCCTCCCATTCTTGGGTTCCAGGGGGGAGAAGCTGTCAATTGAGATTATTTTTAAGGCAAGTCTCACAAGCATTAATGACCTATTTCACTATTTTTAGCAGATTTTTACCTGAGAACAACCTCTAGGCCAATGATATGTTTTATCCTTACCTAGGTAGAAGGCTTGTGAAAGATTTTAAGAACTTTCCATTGGCTGGAAGCTGAAGAAGGTGAAGTTTGCCATCTTCTGATTGTAGCTATCCTGAGGACTGAAAGGCGTATCCCTGAGAGGTGGCCTATTCTATTTCCACAGGAGAATATTGAGGTTTTGTTTCTCTTGTGGAGCCCTCCCAGATCAGAGGGACCTCAAGTGGATCAGATATCTGGGGCCCTCTCACTGCCAATTTAGCTGCTTGGTCTGCCAACTTATTTCCTTCAGCTATTTCATTCATCCCTTTTTGGTGGCCTTTAAAATGTGTTACTGCCACTTCCCATGGGAGGAAAACTGAGAATAATAGTCTGTTAATTTCCTGATGGTATTTAATGGAAGACCCATTTGCTGTGAGGAAATCCATCTCTTTCCAGATAGTGGCATGGGCATGGAGGACTAGGAAAGCATGCTTAGATTCAGCATAAATGTTAACTGCTTTCCCTTTGCTTAATTCAAGTGCCCTCAGGAGGGCAATTAGCTCAGCTAGTTGAGCACTTGTGCCTGAGGACAGGCACGCTCTCAGCAGTGTCATTCAGGCTATTGCATACCCTCCTTTATGGATCCCTTGTTCTACAAAAGAACTTCTGTTCGTAAAGAGAGTCCAGTCTGAGTTCTCTAAGGGGGTTTCTTTGAGGTACTCCTTGGCCACATAGGTTTGTGCTACTGTCTGTTTGCAGTCATATTCAAGCTCCCCAGCTTCCTTTGGGAGGAAGGTGGCTGGGTTTAGGGATGGACAGGTTCTTAACTGGACTTCAGATCCCTCTAATAGCAGAGCTTGATATTTGAGGAGGCAGTTGTCCATTTGCCAGAGACTCTCCTTAGGAGACAGCAGTCCTGCCACATTACGTGGGTATAAATCGTTATGTTATTTCCCATGGTTAACTTAGTAGCCTTTGGTACCAGCAAGTCTACTGCTGCAACTGCCCAGAGGTAGGCTGGCCATCCTTTAGCTACCAAACCAAGCTCCTTGTTTAAGTAGCCTATGTGCTGCTGGGCTGAACCTCAGGCCCAGGTTAGAACTCTCAGGGCCATTTCCTTCCTTTGTGATACATAAAGATTAAGTCTCTCCTATGGGAAGACTAAGGACAGGTGCCTCAAGCAAGGCTTCTTTGAATTGGTCAAAGGCCCTTTTAGTCTCTTGTTCCCAAATTAGGGAGTGAGTCTTAGCTGCCTGGGTCTCCCTAATAGGTGATATAAGGAATGAGCTACTTCTCCATACCCAGGTATCTATAATCTGCAGAATCCTGTAATGCCCAAGAATCCCTTCAGTTGCTTGAGGGTTTTGAGGAGGGTAAAGGAGGAGATGGGCTTAATTCTTTATTCCCCTACTGCCCTGGTCCCCTCTAACAAGACTAGACCTAGGTACTTCACTGAAGTCTGAGAGAGCTGAGCCTTAAGATTTTGAGACCTTATATCCTCTGTTAGCCAGAAAATTAAGAAAAGCCTTATTATCCTCCTCAGAGATTTCCTCAGCTGGGGCACAAAGGAAAATGTGATCTACATATTGTAAAACTTTAACCTGAGAATAAAAGAACTCAGAGATACTTTGACAACTCCTGCTCAAACAAGTGGGGGCTGTCTCACAATCCCTGAGGTAACACTGCATAGGTTAGCTGAGTGGTCTGGTTGAATGGATCCTTGAATGCAAACTAATATTGGGAGTTGGGGTGTAACAGTATGCATAAAAAGACATCCTTTATGTCATAGACTGTGAACCATTAATTCCCTTAGGTATTTGAGTAAGCAGGGTATAGGGGTTTGGGAACCACCAGGTGAATTCAAACCACAGCCTCATTAACGAGGCAGAGGTCCTGGACCAGTCTCCACTCTCTGTTGGGTTAACGTACCTCCAGTACTGGGGTATTAAAAGGGTTGTTTCAGGGTTTGAAGAAGCCCTGCATCCTCAAGTTATCAATGGTGGCTTCTAGCCCATTTCTAATTTCTGGTTTTAGGGATATTATCTCTGATTAGGGAAGAAGGTAGGGTCCTTAAGATGGATCCAGACTGGCATGGCAGTTGTGGCTCTGCCAATTTTCCCTTGAGTTGCCCAAACTTCTGGGTTAACGTTGGTCTCCACTAGGAGGAGACAAAGAGTCTGTCCCAGAGCCATAAGGATGGTGGTTCCCATATGAGCTAATATATCCATACTCAGCAGAGGAGTTGGGCTTTCAGGTATGATTTAAAAGTCTTGAGTAAACATGAGGTCTCCTGAACTACAACTAAGAGGTGAGGAAAAATATTGGGTTAAAGGCTTTAGCTGACTCCCCAGCTGGAGGCACCTCCGGGGTTTGGAATTGCCCTTTGCAACTTATAACCCAGCTAGGCCCTAGTGCAAAGGAACATAAGGCATTTTTTTAATCTGAGGGTCAAAGGACTCCCAGTGATTCAGGATGCACTCAAAAGGAGTACAGGCTGAAAATGGTTTGTTACCCATTTGAAAGAGAGGGTAAAAGGCATCCCTTAGCTCCTTTCTCTCTTTCAGTGAAAACCCAGGGCATGTGAGGAAAAAAAAAAAGTGTCCTTTCCTTCCCCAAGTCTTGGCAACCTCTATAGGTGCCACCCTTTCCTTCCCTGAGTTGTGGCAGCTTCTATAGGTGCCATGCATGAATACAAGTGTGACCTCTACCAATGAAGTGGGAATGCATAGTTAGTAGGGGTAGTCGCACTTACCTATGCTGTGCCCTAGCCTTCTGCTGTCGGTAACCTTTGGGTTTGCTAGACCCCATCTGTGCTATGAATGTGAGCAAGTTCTTCACCCATGAAATGGTAAGGAGTAGTCAGCAGCAGTAGTCGTGCTCGCTTGCGCTGCACTCTAGTCTTCTGCTGTTGACTGCCTCTGGGTCCCTCAGGACTCCAAAGCTTGGAAAATATACTGGAGTGATGTTAAAGTGAAGCTGTAAAACCAGATGCTCCTCAAACAAGGGACAGAAAGCGAGTCCCAGGAATTGGGGCCTAATAAGATGTCTCCCAAAAGGAAAAAATTAATCCCTCACATAGAAAAGCTCCCTGTATTCACAGGACTATATTGACTACTGACATGGTGGGAAAAAATAAAAACCTTAAATGCAGGGGAGGGAAGGTGCCTGGGGGAAAGTAGCCTCTTGCCCTATGCTAATGGGTTTCCTCAACAGGGGAAAGAAAACTCTCAATCATTACATCCTCCTTGCTTCTAAGAATAGACAGAAAACACATTGTTCTGAATTACGCTCCTGATGACTAAGCCAAATGCACATTCTACCCACTTATATTATCTCTGTGCTTTGCAACAACACCCTTAACATTGTATTAATATATAAAGAAAAGATAAAAGCCACTAAAGCCATGAAAGAAAGAAGGATAATGCCATAGAAAAGACTGGAGGTCCTAACACCAACACCCTAATGGGATGTTGGTGACTGGAGTCAGTCCAGTGGCCTTTTGGGTAACATCAAAGTATAGCCTCAGCCAGATAATTGCCCCAGAACTTCCTTCCAATTCCATGCAATGGCTAGACCTCCATGAAGAAAACTGGATTGAAGCAAAGCCAACATTCCCAACACCCAAGGGCGATGGGTGATTGACAAACCCCTCCCCAGCAAGCCTGTCCTCTGAAGACATGCCATTCACTCTTAACTGGCTAACAGAGGCCCAATGCCTCATCTGTTTTTGGAAAAAAAAAAATCTCCATACAAGAAGCCTTGGAATGAAAGTGAAAGAGGTCCACTCTTATTCACCCTTCTGCCAATCCCAGATGAGCCCCTGGAAATGTTACAGGATGTTTTTCAGTGCTGCTCTGCCAGCCGGAAATCTCTGCAGCTGCTGTGACCTCTTCCTGAAGCCTCACTGAGGCCCACTGGGCTCACTCCACCCACTCAGCCCTGGAGGCTGAGCTTGGCTCATGCAATGGCTCAGATCTTGTGCCCGCCATGAGATCCACATTCAGCCTGTGGCTGGACTGGGCAGGCTGTGACCAGCTTCCACCTTGGGCACCGGCATCTGGATGAGAGGAACATGGTGGTGCCCCAAATTTGGATATGCCAACAACCATAGAGCCCCAAGGGGTGTTACAGCTCTCGCCCAGGGAGTCCCGAGGTCTGAGTCCCCAAGAAGTGTTACAGCTTACTCTTGTTCCTGTGGCCTGCAGCTCAGGGAATGGGGCCATATCACAGCTCCTTCGGTCCTGCTGCCTGCGGCTCAGTGAATGGGGGTGTGTCACAGCTCATTCAGTCCCACTGCCTGAAGTTCAGTGAATGGGGGCGTATGGCACCCAGCAGTTTTTTTCACTCCCATAGGTTGGTGAGTGGGAGTGCATGTTATAGCTCTTTTCACACCCACAACTTGGTAGGTTCTAGGTTCTTTCCCCATGATGAAGAGGAATGAGGTATGCAGACAGCAGAGAGTGAGCAAGGCTGAGAAGAATTTTACTGAGTGACAGGAAAGTTCTTGACATGAGAGGGGAACAGAAGTGGGTACCTCTGTGTGTGAGAGGGGGCCCAAAAGCAGGTAGTCACCTGTGAGGCTGAGTCTAGGGCTTTTATGGGCTCAGAATTGGGGAGTGCATGCTGATTGGTTCGTGGGCAGGCCTGGAAAAAGCACCATTCGATTGGCTAAAAGACATCGAGGAGGTTCTTACTCTGGTCATGTACTCTACCTGGAACTGGAAGCTCAGTTTTCAGGCATCAGGCTGTCTTTGGCTTGAAGATCAGGGTTCAACAGGGACCTGTTCGTCTGCCTAGGAATTTAACTGTCTCCTATTGCTATCATCGAGACACCAAAATGTCTACAAGTGTAATCATTTATCATGATCTACATGGCTGCTGATATGGTCTAAATTACCCTTAAGATCCCACTTTAAGGTCCGTAAAATACTGCTAAGTAAAAATCCACTGTGACACACTTACTCCTCTCTTGCTGAGATGCCCTGCTGCACTCTTCTGCAGTGTTCTTTCTTTCTTTCTTTTCTTTCTTTCAATAAAACTTTCCTTTCCAAAACTATACCATTGTGGGTAAATTCTTTTTACTATCTGCGAGCCAGTCACTTTCCATTGCTGGGGCTCTGGTACATCACCCAACACAAATCAGTCTTCCAAAAACTCAGGGATCAGGGTTTTAAAGGATAATTTGGTGTGTAGGGGGATGGAAAGTAGGGAGTGCTGATTGGTCAGGTCATTGATGAAATCATAGGGAGTCAATGCTGTCCTCTTCTGATAAGTTGATTCCTGGGTGGGGGTCGCAAGACAAGTTGAGACAGTTAGCAATCTGAGTGATGCCAGCTTATCCATCTAATGCAGTGTCTGCAAAAGATCTCAAGCACTAATCTTAGGTTTAACAATAGTGATGTTACCCCCACGAGCAATTTGGAAAGGTTCAAAATCTTGCAGCCTCTAGCTGCATGAGTCCTAAACCATAACTTCTAATCTTGTAGCTAATTTGTTAGTCCTGCAAAGGCAGTTTAATCCCCAGGCAGGAAGGGGATTTGTTTTGAGAAAAAGCTGTTATTGTCATTTCAAAGTTAAACTATAAACTAAGTCCCTCCCAAAGTTAGTTCGGCCTACACCCAGGAATGAACAAGGACAGTTAGAGGTTAGAAGCAAGATGAAGTCAGTTAAGTCAGACCTATTTCACTGTCATAATTTTCTGTATAATTTTTGCAAAGGTGGTTTCAGTTTTTGAGCCTCAACACTTTAAACCAACAAAATTATATATTTTCAATGTGCAGAGGAAATGGCAAATATGAATATTTCTAAAACCAAATGCAATTTATTCTAATTTTAAGTGAATTGACTAGATTATAACACGAAGGGAATGTGAAACAGCACTCTCTGTATTGCTTAGACAGGGAACAACATAAACAATAGATCTGTCTAAAAAATGTGTAACTGGACTCAGTAAACTAGACACCTGTTATCAATTATTAAGGACACATGTAAAGGGAATTGTTCAACATACTTTCCTTCCTCCCACTGCCTTATAGTCTTAAAGGTTCTTTGTTCCTTCTGATTTATTGCCCTGTTTATGTATTTCAGCCCCAGAGTCATAGTTAAGGGGACAGCTAAAATTAAGGTACTAAGGAATAGTCTGTCAGTCTTTGCCCCGGGGTAGAAGGCTGCTATAAAGCAAATGAAAAATGAGGCATCATTAAGAATAAATTGTAGGTTTTGAGTATGTTCCTTTATTCTCAAAATGGGTTTTCTTTTTTGAGAATAGCCTCTTTCCATTTGAATTGGCTTGTATTATAAGCTGATTGTGGCATTCTGTTTTCATCTGAGTCTGCCCAGATGTTCCCTTCATCTACAGGATAAATTTCTACTTCATATACAAAGCTCTGTATTTTGAAGCCCTATCTGATGAGTTAGGTTTCAAAATCCTAGAAAAGTTCTCAGAAACTTATGACAGTTATTTTTGTTAAATTTATGCTGTCCTTTCTAATATGAACATAACTTTTGTTAAATTTTTCTTTTAAGCTTTGAAAATTTTTTGCATAAATTCATTGAATTTTACATTTAAAAGCAGTATCTTTATATTAAAAATTGTAACCTTAATAGTTAGCTTTGAAATGTGTTTTAATAGCTCTTTTTCACTTTTTATTTCCACTGGTGATTAAAAGAATGTTTTTAATATTTAGTTTCTTTATAAATATATTTAATTGATAAATACAGAAAACCATATATGAGTATGAATTAAACATCACACGGTTGTGACTAACCCCTACTGACTCCAATGGGGATGGCACTATGTCCAAGAGGACAGAGGAGACCCAGACCCAAAGAACAAAGACATAGGGTTTATGGAGGACTTACGTATGGGGCAGTCAAGGAGTGGTGGGCTAGACAGGAAGACCGCTACTGTTTGCAGCATGCAGTTTACATGGCAATTTTCACTTAGCACCCTCTACCTAGCAACATCCACATCTAGCTCAAAACAAAGGGCCTCTTAATTCCTTGCATATCCTGCAGTCCACAAAATGGACCAGCGGTTCAGGTGTCCTTCATAGAGTAAGCCTCTAGATTGGCTGCTCCTGGGTTCCTTGGCTCAGAACTCTGAACCAACACTCTTCTTAGACCATAGAGTATGCTTAAATTATTGCTGTCAGGTGAATCTGCTCTATACACACAGAGTCAGAAATGATGAATACACATTGATAATTATACATAGAAAGCAAGAGGGAAAAAAACATGCAGTCTTTCAGCATCATTAAATACAACTTTAATCAAAATTTTCACTTAATAAGTTGAAACAAGTCAATTGATTTACTGTATATATTAAAGCATTCAAAAGAGAATAATATCAAAAAGGATAATTTGTCTATCACATATATTTCTGACTCATATTCATATTGTCATAAGAAAAAGCCAGTTGTGTCAATGTCATTTAGTCTTCTGTCTTCTGAATGTTCCTTGAAAGACATTGTGTAAGAACTTATCAAATAGATAAAAAGTAAATAGTCAAGAAACATATTCAGTTTTATACTAAATATGTCAGAAATTTGGAGTATAAGGCTAATTTCACAGATTAAGAAATGTTGGGCGGGTGCGGTGGCTCATGCCTGTAATCCCAGCACTTTGTGAGGCCAAGGTGAGCAGATCACTTGAGGACTGGAGCTCAAGACCAGCCTGGCCAAAACAGTGAAACCCTGTCTTTACCAAAAATATAAGAAATTAGCCGGGTGTGGTGGTATACGCTTATAATCCCAGCTACTCGGGAGGCTGAGGCAGGAGAATCCCTTGAACCTGGCAGGCAGAGGTTGCAGTCAGCCAAGATTGCACTGCTGCACTCCAGCCTAGTGACAGAGTGAGACTGTCACAATTTTTTTTTTTAAAAGTTAATGAACTAAATTTGAAAAAGTTGACTAGGCACGGTGGCTCATGCCTGTAATGTAATCCCAGCACTTTGAGAGACCGAGGTGGGCTGATTGCTTGAGTTCAGGAGTTTGAGACCACCCTAGCCAACATGGCGAAACCCCATCTCCACAAAAAAATACAAGAATTAGCTGGGCATAGTGGCATGTGCCTGTAATCCCAGCTACTCGGGAGGCTCCCAGCTACTTGGGAGGTGGAGTTTGCAGTGAGCTGTGAGCCGAGATAGGGCCACTGCACTACAGCCTGGGCAACACAGTGAGACCCTATCTCGCTCTCTCTCAAAAAAAAAAAAAAAAAGGAAAAAGGCATTTCTGGGTTACTGTTTATCTGTTTATGATCCCTCAAAATGGTCTTTTGAACTTTAAATAAACTTCTCAAGTCATAAATTGACATTCATGAACTGCTTTAATAATTTAAAACATGGCTATATTGAGAAAACAAGAGGGATTCTTAAAATGAAGGAAATGACTAAAAAAAGTAAGTGTAATCTGTATTATATGTACTTTAAAATGTATGCATGCTAAATGTGTTATATATACACTAATAGGCAATAAATGTAAAGTAATAAAGATAACAAATTCAGAGTAACTTCTTTTACACATGATACATAATTAATGTGATAGAAGCTCAGTTTCTATGAATGTGCTTAGATTCAAAATTATTTAAAACTCGCCTCAATTTGGGGACTTTACAGTAGGATCCAATAGTGTTTCTAGTCACATATAAAGGATAATATATTTGACCCATCAAATTTATGGTATAAAATAAATACTAGCACACCAGTGATTATGGAATCTTATGACTATTCTACTATAACATGTTTATGATATTTTTCTATACAACTCACAGAAATAGTATAAAGTAACATAAAATTATGTTAAAAAATAGTGCACCAATGCTAGGGGTGGGTAACAAATGTTGTTAAACCTAGCACAAGAACTAGTTGGTGTTCAGATACCTAAATATTCACTAAATTGAGGTAACAACCAACATTCTTTGTTAACAACGAAACAAGAGGCACAACACAAACAACATTAGTTTTTTATTTCTAAAATTCTGATGAACTTAATTCATTATATAGATGGTCCGCAACTTACGGTGGTTCAGGTTCTCAAATTGAAGATGATGCAAAAGCAATACACATTCAGTAGAAACTGAACTACAACATACCAGGGAATGATTCTATTTACCACTAGCAATGAGACTCTGTTGGCAGTTAGCTGGTGAGTAATTCAATTCCATTATCTCATCCAAGGATTCACTTTTGGCATCACCTGTCTTAATTTTATTTCTCCCCACCCTAAGTACACCCTGAAACAAGGATTTGAGTGCAACTAGTATACCAAAAGATGGTCTTAGGTTAGCACTTACAGGGTAGTGGATAAATGAGCCAAAGAAGGAAAGAAAGTCAACTAAGAAGTTTACTGTTGTCAACTGCAGTGTTGTCTCACAGTGTTGGACTCGCACCTCAAACTTACCTAAACTCTGAGGGAGCAATAGCATTTATCTACAAACTCCCATCAGTCATGTTAGAGGGATATTTGAGGGAACTGAAAGGAAAATATTATTTTCCTGGTATTTCAGTCTATGTGGGTAGCGAACAGCTAGAAAACTTCCTCTGACAAGGGAATGCACATGCTGACAATTAGAAGTAAGGCTAATATACTATAGTGACCTGTGAACAAGATGGAGAAGCAGCCAATAAGAATACTTCTTGACTTATATAACCCCAAAATATCAAGGTGAACAGAAGACTGACGTCAGCTGGTACAGTGGAGAAATCACTGATTCCATTACTCAATTTCTAGACCCAATTCATTTTTCATTCCCAATTGGAAGAGATCCTTGGTGCTGTTGAGGAAAATCCCCGTAATACCACAACAGGTCTGATAAGTGTTTTCTTTCTGGTCCCCAGAGATATTTGTAGGGGAAGAAACATAATTTTTTTTCTTTAGCCCCCATAGATTCTTAGTTAAAATGAATCCCTATGACAAAAGACAGATTAGCAAGAGAAAAAAAATTTATTAGCATGTAGATTTCCTGGAAGGCACCATGAAAGACAATGGAAGACACCTAGGTAAGGAGTAGTTCTCAAAGAGGTGGCTTTGAATTCCAGCTTATATAGCATCTTTGACAAAGAATAGTTAATTATTAGAGAAATGACAAGACAAAGGAAAAGGACCTTGATTCTCTAACAACTTGTGGGAAGGTAACTAAATAGCAGATAAAGGCTAGTTAATAAAGCTTGTCAGCATGTATTCTTCTGGTATCATCTCCAGGAGGTAAGGGTCTAAAATTGTCTTCAGTGGTTAACCTCTGTTCTCCCTGGTAGAAGAGGGTGCAGGATACCTTCTGTGTCTCTAAATCCATGTCTTGCTTTTAGGCAAATAGAGGGAGAGCAGAGAGCTTTCCTGCATCTGCTTCTTCTCCATTGTCTTCAGCCCAACAATTTTTCATTTTTTGGGGTGAAATATTCTGGTCTCCCACAGATGAGTGATATGTACCCAGACAATTACACACTGAGGGAAGAGGAATACTGAGAATTTTCAAAAACTGTTGGGTATTGGGCTGAACTGCAACTGATACTGAGGACCATTTTATGGCAGAGGAGGGACAACAAAGTGTATGACCATCAACTCTATTGGTCATACTATATATCTGATAGCCCAAGAGCTGACAGGCGGAAAACGTTTTGAAATGGCCTCGTAAGTGCCTGGTTTTAGCCCGGGGATGATACCCTGAATTGCTGGGGTTTGGGATGCAGTCCTTCAAGTTGCAATATATACTTTAAACCAAAAGCCATTATATAGTGTTATTTTCTCAAAAGTTAAAATGTATGAGACTGAGTCCAAGGCACGGGAGGAGCAGTAGGTTCTCTCATCATCACTCCCACTGGCTCAGTTGAGGGAATGTGTGTTATTCTCCCAAAATTTTAGCCTCTGCTGCATTAGAGTTACTAGTTTGAGGAGGTGTTTGGGATGGAGAGCTTCTATCAGAGGACACAGGAAGAAGTTGGTTTGTTTTTCTTTAGCTGTGGTTGTCACCTGGACGTTTTAGATTCTTGATACCAGAAGACCAGCATGCAAAGAGTTACTATACTGGGAGGGGTAATTGGGCTTGATTATCATATAATAGATAGAAATAAGGTTACTTCTGCATAATGGGGGCAGGAAAGAATATATCAGAAATCTAAACCATTCTGTTGGATATCTTTTGTTGCTCCATCAGCCCTAGTGATAATAGTGAATGGACAATTGCATCAACCATTGCCTGTAGAGAGCAAGGGCATTCAGGGCCTCAGAATTGACAGTTTGCTCCACCACGCAAGCCACAAAAATCAGCTGAAGCATGACCTATGTGAAAGAAATCTAGGATGGGTGATAGAAGAGGAAGATTATGAATATTGTCTAGTTCTATTGAACATCTTGCTGTAATTCATTTTTATTGTGACCAGTCATCACCCTAAAGAGTCAGCAACAGAAGTGGATTTCACATGGAGCATTATTGTACTATACCAGATCCTATTAGTGTCCCACCTAAATACCCTTGGAATGAACTATTTTTACTCCAAACCCCTGACATCCAGCAACTGTATTTCTTTACTAGTGTTGAAGACATGTATTAAAAACAAAATCTTCTGCCAACCCAAAATCTCTATTACAGAGGTAGTAAAGACATAAAACAGTTTTATTATTGAATAAGTATTAAAACAGAATGTGATGCTCATCATAGGCAATCTACAAATAGATTGCAAAGACAGAAAGGAAGCTCACCCCTTTATATAGTCAACCAGATACAACCAATTTTATACATGTTTTTAAGATAAGCAATAACTAGGACTCAAGAGGACTTGACAGCACCATTTGTCACATTTAGTTCCCAACTTTACCTGGTAATTGGTGTGACTGTCTATATTAGCTAATTAGCTTTTTTTCTAGAGGGAAAAAAACTTCTCATATCTTTACTACAGGAGGTAGTTTTACAGCTTGGAGCAAGGGGCCCACTTAAGTTAGGCTCCCAGTGCCCCCGAAACTGGGAGTTTGGAAGACTGTTTCCGTTGATGGTTACATTTTAAAGAGGTGGCGCCAGGTCCTCGAGAAAGATTATTCCTAGGTTATGAGGTCCACAAAAGCCTGATTCAGTTTCTAAAAAGATTCATATACATTTTGAAAATATAAAATAAGTACCTATATTTGCTAAGTTTTCTAAGGTAAATGTTCTGACAAAGCAGGAGGGGAGGAAAACCTCTTTTTATATTAAAATTTAAAAGTTTAATCTAAAATTAAAATTAAAAATTTTTAATTCATACTTGTCCTGACATCTAATTTTTTCCTTGAAGTTGGAGCCCATTTTTCTTGTGTACATGGTAAGATAACAATGCCAATAAATTAACACCCCCTGATGCAGCTTGTTAGAAATGCAGAATTCCAGGTCCTGCCAAAGACATACTAAGTCATGATCTACATTTTTTAACAAGACCTTCAGGTATTTTGTATGCACAGTGAAGTCTGGAAAGCATGCAAAACATGGAGATTATATATACATCATATATTTATTATAAATATAAACATGTGTATTATATAAAATATTTGTATTTATATAAATATATATTATAAAATATATTTATATACATTTGTATATGAATATATTTGTAAATTTGTATAAAGCCTTGAAAATTCATTTTTCTTTAAGGATTTATAGAGGAATTTCTCTCTAGTTTAATATGTATAAATATATAAAATATATGCATTATATATAATGCAATAACCTATAGATGGTAGATTACATGCATCTATATGGTAATGTTAAAGTTGCATTATATATAACACATATAATCTATAGATTATATGCATCTATATGGTAATGTTAAAATTGCATTCAGCTGATGATAGCAGAAAACCTAACAATTGTAGCTTAACAAATAGGAATAATTTTTCTGACATAACAATTTCAGAGGTTGAGAGTCTGGGTGTGATACTGTGGTTCTGTGATATAATCAGTGGCCTGGGCTCCTACTCTTTCTACTCTATCATCTAAGCATTCAATTGCCTTTCTCAATCTGGCTGACTCATGATCCTATGATAGTTGCTTATATCCAGGCTTACATCTGTTTCAGGAAGGAAGAATGAGGACAAAGCAGTGCCTCTTTAGGAAAGCAAAAGTGTTCCAAGGAATCATCAACTTTTGTTTTACGAGAAAGAATTTGTAAACTAAAATCTACTCCAGAGTAATTAAGTTATATAGTTGGACACACTGTTACTACAAACAAAATTGAGGTTTTGTTAGTAAGCAGCAAAAAAGAATAAATATTGAGTAGGCAACTAAAAGTATTTGCTACAAAAAATATATTTACATAGGTAGACAGTATTTATTTTTACTTAGCACAAAGTGATAATTTACCCAAAATTGTAACTAGCAAGAGTAATTAATTATAATAATCTTTATATAACTATATAATATATAATTACATATAAAGTTAATGTAAATAATTAATTTGATAATCTATAAATCACCACTTTATGCTACATAGGTACACATTTAAACTGTTTTAATAATAAACCACACATCAATTATCACATTGATAAGGAAAGAATTCAGTGCTGTGATGCTGGATTGATGTGCAGGATTTTAAAGTACTGCAGAAACACAAGTTCTAAATGCAATCAAAATTTAAAGAATCTTAATTGTAATTATTTTTCAATATCCACTATTCTGGAATATGATTTTTTTAAAATTAGGAAATGGGTTAGGGATAACGTATAATTAACAAGAGATAAAGCTACATATATAAAGTTCACTTTTCTTTAGTATCAGAACTTGTTTGAAAAGCTACAGTGCAAGAAAACTTCAACTGAAAATTGAGGTTAAGCTATTTGTCAGAGAACATCTATTTCTAATTTCAAAGGCTATTAAAATCAATTGAGAAACTCTGTTTCACCATATCCTTTCATTTCACTTCACAGCACTCATATTGAATCCCACAGAACTTTGACAATCATGCCAAGCCAGTTACCATGCAGCAACATTTTAAAGTCTGATGGCTTATTACATAGTCATTAAGAAGGTTAATTTTTTCTAAAGCAATTTTCATATTTCTGATTAAATTTTTCCATAGTATTTAAAAACTTGTGAGACACATCAGAGATGTGTGATGAAGTAAATTAAACCCGTTAAAACCTCACTTTAGCTATTAATATTTTATATTTTATTTGAACACTTTTAATAAATTATTCCTGTGAGAGGGTACTTCTTTTGAGATATTCATTTTTGTTTTGTTTCCAGTGACATGCTTTACATGTTCTGCATGTCTCTACAGTTACCTGCTCTATCTTTCTCTACCCAGTTCTGTGCCCCAAGAGGCTGAACTCAGGGGAAATCTGTGATTTCTTTGCCCGCAGGCTTTGGCTTCATCCCATTGGACCAAGCCCGTAGATTGCAGTCAGGGAAGAGAATAATGTCAAGATATCCATTCATTCAGATTTTTCTATGCTTCATCATATCTTGTTGTCTGGTCCGCTATCAGGAAACCTCCTATATATGGCTTCTTCTGGATCTCACATTAGCTACCTCCCCTGGCCTCTCTAAACCTATGACTAGTATTGGTACTCCATTGTTATTTCCACAGGACTGGTGCATGATGCCTTGATGCTTTTTCTAAACCATGCTTTCACCGTTGTAAAGAGTCATTCTATAAATTCCCCTTCATGACCAAACTTGAGTACATATGTGTTTCTTACCAGGACCCTGACTGATTTGTTACAATTATATTTCTGTTTTCTACTCCAACAACCTAGAAGAGTTATACAAGTCAGAAAATTACTTTAGAATTTATAACTCTATACCTGCTACACTTAATTTCTTTGGATATATACCTCTTCTCTTGTAAATCCAAGATAGATTACTGAAATTCCTCCTTTACAGATCTAATACCTTTTTTTCCTATTTCTTCAAATCACTTTTGACATTTAACCACATTTCCATTGACAGCATCCATATTAACAGGGCTTTTAAAAAAATATAGACTATTTTTTTTCCTTTAAATAGTTTTTAAACTAATTTACTAAATTTGTATAAAGCCCTGAAAACCTATTTATCTTTAAGGATTTGTAGAGGAATTTCTCTCTAGTTTAAATGTTTTGATGCCTAATTAAAAATAAAATAAGCATATTGTGTGGTAAATTTTTATACCATATTATGAGTATAAGAAATAAGTTTTGTAGTCAACAGCCTGTTAATTTTTGTGGTTCAGTAATAAAAGCTTAGATGTAAGAAAAATATGCAGTAATTTACCTTGGGAAAATCAACTTCATTAAAATAATTTAGGGGTATTGAAAATATAAAGTAATTCATATTTTTTAACTATGAATAAATGGCAAAACAGTTAAGACATTACTTGCAAAAACTTTAAAAAGTATTAAAAAATGGATGAAAACATCCTCAGTAGTAGCTCAAACCTCAAAATTGCTATAGGAAGGGGCCTAAAGATGGCAGACTAGGACATCTGGCACTCACTATTTTTCACAAACAACAAAAATCAAGAAGATCACTAGGATTCAACAGAGAAGTGGCAGGAAACATCTGAGACACAGAAGAAAAGGGAAGCAAGGAAGCCAGCTGTGCCAGGATTAGCTGAGAGCTGAAAGGCTTCCCACTTCAGGGAAACAGAGTAAGTGAGAGATCTTCAGCAGTCCAGATTCCCACCATGTACTCCTGCAACCCTAGTCATAGGAAAGCTCTTTTACCATTATAAGCCCTGAGACTAGCATAGGGAGATGATGAAAGACTGCACAATGACATTTATCCAGAGAGAGAGCTCACTCTGTGTTCCACACCACCTCAAAATCCTGAACAACTACAACATGGTGCCATTTTGAGAGCCCAGCTGCTACCACACTGCGTTCTGCCCTGGGGCCCAATAGTCCCTGCATCTTCCCATGCCTGGAGTCCCACTGGCATTCTATCATGTTCACCTGAGTGGCTGCAGCAATGCAACACCAGTTGGACCCAGCAAAGGAACAGGGAACAGTCTTCAGCACTTTAGCACACACAATGTCCTGCACCCCAGAGAATAGGCAGTACAGAACACTGGGAGGCTGACCCCAGAACAAAGGGATTCAAATTGCATGCTTCTCAGAGACAGAAACCTGCCTGATCAAGCAGAAGAAATAATTTCAGCACTGGAAGACAGTTTCAAAAGGTAAAGAGAAACCCCCAAATCATAGAAAACATGTTTAATAAAATAATACCTGAAAACTTCCCAAGTCTGGCAAGAGATTTAGGCATCTACCTACAGGAAGCTCAGTGATATCCAAATAGATACAAACCAAAAAGGTTTTATCCATGGCATATTATAATAAAAATGTCAAAAGTCAAAGAGAATTTTAAAAACAGCAAGGTTAAAGCATCCAGTCACATATAAAGAAAACCCCATCCAAATAACACTGGATTTCTCAGCAGAAAACTTATAGGACAGGAGAGAATGGGATGATATTCAAAGTGCTTAAAAGAAACAAAAAAAAACTTTCAGCCAAAAATACTATACCCAGAAAAGTTATCCTTCCTAAATGAAGGAAAAATAGTTTTTCCCAGACAAGTAGAAACTGAGGAAAATTTTCACTAGACCAGCTCTACAAAAAATGTTAAAGGGGGTTCTACACTTGGAAGCAAAATCTACCTACAATGTGTACCATCATGAAGATACATGAAAGTATAAAATTCACAAGTAGGCCAAACATGCAAATGAGGCAGAAAAAAGTCTCAAATGTTACCACTACAGAAAAACACCAAGTCACAGTGATAATAGAAAAGAATGAAAGGAACAAAGGATATATAAAAGAACCAGAAAACAATTAACAAAATGGCTGGAATAAGTCCTCATATTCCAACAATAATCTTGAATATAAATGGATTAATTTTTTCACT
Organism: Homo sapiens; assembly: GCF_000001405.40. Lineage (NCBI taxonomy): Eukaryota > Metazoa > Chordata > Mammalia > Primates > Hominidae > Homo > Homo sapiens. The sequence continues at coordinate 12,277,392 of NC_000007.14, read as the reverse complement.
AAAAAGATAAAAAATGGCTAAATGGCTAAAAAATGTGATCCAACTATTTGCTGCCTGTAAGAAACTCACTTCATTTGTGAAGACACATAGAGACTGAAAGGGATGGAAAAGGATAGTTTATGCAAATAGAAACCAAAAGCAAGTATGAGTAATTAACATATCAGATTAAACAGCATTTAAGTGAAAAACAGTAGAAAGAGACAAAGGAGGTCATAATATAATGATAAAAAATCAATTTAGCAAGAGAATATAACAATTCTAAATATATACGCATTCAACACGAGAACACACAGATACATAGAGCAAACATTATTAGAAGTAAAGGGAGAAATAAGCTCCAATACAATAATAGTTGGGGACTTTGATATCCCACTTTTAGCATTAGATCACGTAGATAAAAAAATTTAAGAAAAAACCCATTGGATTTAAACAACACATTAGACAAAGTAGACCTAGCAGACATCTATAGAACATTTTATCTAATAGCTTCAGAATACACATCCTTCTCATCAGCACATGGCACATTCTTCAGGATAGATCATATTCTAGGACAGAAAACAAGTCTCAACAAATTTTAAAAAATTAAAATTATACCAAGTATCTTCTCAGACCACAGTAGAATAAAACTAGAATCAATAACAGGAGAACTTTGGAAACTGTACAAATACATGGTAATTATATAACATTCTTATGGCTGGGTGTGTTGGGTCATGCTTATAATCCCAGTGCTTTGGGAGGCCGAAGTGGAGGGATCAGCTGAGTCCAGGAGTTGGAGACCAGTGTAAGAAACACAGTGAGATCCTATCTCTACAAAAAAATTAAAATATTTGTTGGGGATAGTGGCACACACCTATAGTCTCAGCTACTCAGTAGGCTGAAGCAGGAGGATTGCTTGAGCCCAGGAGTTTGAGGCTGCAGTGAGCCACAATTACATTACTACACTCCAGCATAGGTGACTGAATGAGATCCTGTCTCTAAAAATAAATAAATAAAATGCTGCTGAACAACCATTGGAAAAATGGTTTAGAAAATTTAGAAGGAAATAAAAACTTTTTGAAACAAATGAAAATGGAAGCACAACCTTACAAAACCTATAGAATACAGCAAAAGTAGTATAAGAGGAAATTTTATGGTAATAAATGTCTACACTCAAAAGTAAAAAAAATTCAAATTCAATTTGAAATTTTCGAGATTCAATCAGAATGAAATAGAAAACTGAAACCGACCAAAGGAGTAATGAGATTAAAACAGTAATAAGTCTTCCAAGAAAGAAGAGCCAAGGACTGTATTCGCTACCAAATTCTACTAAACTTATGTGAAAAAAACTAATAGTTCACCTCAAACTATTTCAAAACCTAAGCAGAAAAGAATTCATCCTGACTCATTCTATGAGACCATTACCCTGATACTAAACCAAACAAGGACACAACAACAAAAAGAAAACTACAGGCAAGTATCCCTGATGAATATAGATACAAAAAATCTTCAACAAAATACTAGCAAACCAAATCTAGTATCCCATCAAAAAGTTAATACACCATGATCAAGTGGGATTTATTCTATAGATGCCAGGATGGTTCAACATATGTATATCAATAAACATGATACATCACATCAACAGAATGAAGGACAAAAACCATATGATTATCTCAATAGATGCAGAAAAAGCATGTGATAAAATTCAGCATTTCCTCATGTTAAAAATACTCAACCAACTGAGCATAGGAGTAATACATGTCAATATAATACAGCCCATATAAGACAAACCCACAGCCAATACTATACCGAAGTGGGAAAAGCTGAAAGCCTTTCCTCTAGGAATGAAAACAAAACAAGGACGCTCACTTTCACCACTCCTACATAGTACTGGAAGTCCTAGCTAGAGCAATAAGGCAAGAGAAAAAAGTGAAAGGCATCTAAAGTGGAAAAGAGAAAGTCAAATTGTCCCACTTTGGAGATGGCATAATCATATATTTAGAAAAAACGATTCCATCAAAAAACTCTTGGATCTGATTTTTAAAATTCAGTAATTTGAAGGATTCAAAAATCAACATATAAAATGAATAGCACTTCTATACAGTAATAATGAGATAGCTGAAAAAGAAATCAAGAGGGCAGTCTCATTTATAAAAACTACAAAAAATACCTAGGAATAAATCTAACCAAGGAGATGAAAGATCTAAAGGAAAACTATAAAACGCTGATGAAAGAAATTGATGAGGACACAAATAAATGAAAAAATTCCAATGCTCATGGATTGAAAGAATTCACGTTGTTAAAGTCACCATACAACCCAAAGCAATCTACATATTCAATGCAATCTCTATCAAAATAGGAATGTCATTTTTCATAGAAATAGAAAAAAATTAAAACTTGTATGAAATTGAAGAGCTCAAATAGCCAAAGCAATCCTGAGCAAAACAAAAAAACTACAACAAAAAAACAAAGCTGGATGGAGGCATCATACTACCTGAATTTAAAATATGTTACAAGGATCTAGTAGCCCAAATAGCACGATATTAGTATAAAAACAGGAACATAGACCAATGGAATAGAATAGAGAATCCAGAAATAAATCCACATTTATAGGCAAATGCAAGAGCATATTTTTGAGAAATAATACTCTCTTTAATAAATGGTGCTGGGAAAAGTGGATATCTATAGGCAGAAGAATGAAAATAAACCCTTATCTTGGACCATACACAAAAATCAACTCAAAATGGACTAGAGACCTGAACAAAAGACTTGAAACTATAAAACTACTAGAAGAAAACACAGGGGACACACTACATGACATTGGTCTAGGCAAAGGTTTTATGGCTAAGACTCTAAAAGTACAGGAAGCAAAAACAAATAGGAGTAAATTAAACTAAAATGCTTCTGCACAGCAAAGGAAATAATAAACAGTAAAGAGACAATCTGTTGAGTGGGAGAGAATATTTGCAAATTATTTATCTGACAAGTAGCAATAATTCCATTAAAAAGTGGGCAAAGGACATAGACATTTCTCAAAAGAAGATATACAAATTGTCCATAGGTATATGAAAAAAATATTCAACTTCACCAGTCACCAGAGAAATGCAAATCAAAACCACAATGAAATATTAACTTACCCCAGGTAAAATGGCTATTATTAAAGAGATTTAAAAAAGAACAGATGCTGGCAAGGGTGCAGAGAAAAGGGAACTCTTGTATACTGTTGGTGGAAATATGAATTAGAACATCCATTATGTGTAGAAAATAGTATGGAGATATCTCAAAAAAAACCTAAAAATAGAACTACAATACAATACAGCAACCCTACTCCTGGGTATTTATTCCAATAAAAAATGAAATCAGTGTATAAGAGGGATACTGGCACCCTCATGTTCATTGCAGCACTGTTCACAATAGCCAAAATATGGAATCTCCCTAAGTTTATTACTTAACAGATGAATGAATAAATAACATGTGCTATATATACACAATGGATTACTATTCAACTATTAAAAAAATGAAATCTTGCCATTTGCAGCAATGTGGATGGAGCAGGAGGTCATTTTGTTAAGTGAGATAAGCCAGGCACAGAAAGACAAATATTGCATGTTTTCACTCTTATGTGGGGGCTTAAATATTTATCTCGTTGAGGTAGAGTAGAATAATAGTTACCAGAGGCAGGGAAAGGTGTACCAGGGTAGGGGTGGGATAGAGACAAAGACAGGTTGGTTAATAGATACAAACATACCGTTATATAGATTGAATAAATCACAATGTTCCCTAGCAAAGTAAGGTGACTGAAGCTACTAACATCAATGTATTGCATGTTTTAAAATAGCTAGAAAAGAGGACTTGAAGTGTTCCCAACACATAGAAATGATAAATATTTAGGGCGATGGATACCCTACATGCCCTGATTTGATCATTACAGTTTCTATGCATGTAACAATATCATATGTGCCCTATAAAATATACACATATTATGAATTAATAAATTTTTTAAAAAATTGCTATGCAATAGTCCCCCCTTGTTTGCAGGGAATACATTCCAAGCCCTCCAGTGGATGCCTGAAACCGTGCATGGTAGCAAACTTTATATATACTGTTTTTTTTCCTATATGTACGTACCTATGATTAAATTTAATTTGTAAATTAGGCACGGTAGGAGATTAACAGTAATAAAATAGAACAATTATAACACTATACCGTGATAAAAACTATGTGAGTGTGCCATTTTTCTCTTTCTCTTTCTCTCTCTCAAAATGTCTTACTGCACTGTACCATGGGTAACTGAATTGTGGAAAGTGAAAACGTGGATAAGGGAGGACTATTGTATTTTAATACAATTTTAGTTATACAGGTTGAATATTCCTTGTCCAAGATGCTCAGGACCAAAAGTGTTTCAAATTTTGGAATATTTGCATATGCACAATGAGATATCTTGGGGTTGGGACCCAAGTCTAAACATGATATTTATGTTTCATATAGACCATTTACACATAACCTAAAGGTCATTTCATACAATAATCTAAATAATATTGTGGATGAAACACAATTTGTATATGTTGAACCATTAGAAAACAAAAATGTCACTATCTCAGCCACCCATGTGAACCATTTATGACTGTTTGGCATCACCATCATTCCTGACTCTGAATTTATATTCTCAGCAGAATATTCACATTTTCTTACATGTATTCACTCATTAGTATAGTGAAAAATAATGTGTTCAGAATAAATAAACAGCACATGGAGACAGAGTAATTTATGAGGAATAGAAATACCAAAAATACCCGTATGAGCTCTTAAACAACAGCAACAACTAACAATGGTAGGATTTTGGTCTCCACCTATAATGCTGTATTTTGATTGAAAGGTTACTGTACAACTTTTTTTTAAGTAGAATGAGGAGGCATTCTTCTGAATGACGTTTTAAAATATTTCCTCTAGAGTCATCTGCCATATTAACAATGGTTTTTGTCTGAGTAGTCTTTTTTTTTTTTGATTTTATAAACAGACATGATTTATTGTTCTGTTATGAATGCATGATGCTCTACTCCTTCAACAAGCCCATCATACATTTTCACCATGTCATCTATAGCCACTTTTCCTGCAGTATCGACATCATCTTGGTCATCAATACTATCATGCTTACCTTGATTTGGAACCATTTTGACTCTTCACAATCAGTCAATGAGTGAAGAACTAGAGCCTCATTATCAATGTTAAAAACACTTTCAATATCCATTTCTAGGGCAATAACACCAAAACAGCAATGTTTCATTAGCATTATAGACTTGTTCTGGCATCAGATTTTCATCATGTTTCGGCAAACTCATCAGTGAATTTCTCTACTACTTTGTGATCAGAAGATGCTTTAACATCACAAGTCTTAAAAAATGTAATGCTGTGTCTTTTCATAAATGTCTGCACCCAGCCTGCTGAATATTCAGTTTCCTTAAATTTTCAGTTTATCATGATAGATCTTTGCTTGTCTTATGATCAGCATACCATTAAGTTGCATGTGTTCACTGCAACACTGATGGATACACTCTTTCAATACATCATTGAGATCTTCAGTTTTAAATTTGGGCAGTGATTTTCTATTTTTCATTAACTTCTGTTCATCACTTGCAGCACAGAATTTTAATTGTTTATCTTTCTGTTGCTTCAAGTAATATGTGGTGGTCATTCCAACACCACACTTTTAAAATACATCTATATTTAAATCACTGTCCAGTTTCTCCAATAGCTTAATTTTGTGTGCTGTAGATAAACATACATTCTTCTTCTTCTTCTTAACACGGTTACATAGGAATATCTGCAAGCTTTTTATTTTTGACATTTTCAACAACATCTTTATACCACAGAACAGAGAAGAAACAACAACAAAAAACACACACAGTGAGTAATGAACATAGGTCTTGGCCCCATGTGGCGCATTATGGGGAACCTCTTGTTGGTGCATCTGACTTGCCCATGTCCCATTTTCTTACCCTTTTCGGATGCGCTTGCATGGGGGAATCTGGGCATGAATGGAAAAGATACGTCACAGCAGAAGTGGGCTGGGAGGATCTTTTCTACCTTGGGTACACTGAACAAACTGGGTGTTGTGTGCTTTCATTTTGACTGTGGCCTGTCACATGAGATAAGGTGTGGAATATTTCACATGTGGTATCACGTCAATGCTCAAAAAGTTTTGGATTTTGGAGTATTTTAGATTTTCTGTTTTTGGATTAGGGATGCTCAACCTGTATAATGAGACTGTCATAGTCGTTTGTGCTGCTATAACAAAATACTTGAGACTGAGTAACTTACAAGGAATAGAAATTTACTTCTCACAGTTCTGGAGTCTGGGAAGCTGAACATCAAGGTGCCAGTAGGTTCATTGTTGAGTGAAAGCGGCTCCCTCTGCTTCAAGATGGCACCTTGAATTCTGTGTCCTCATGTTATAATACCGTTGGGGTGTCACTTCACCAGCCAGAAACCTCTGTGGCCAGTAGCACCTTTTTCTGAGTTTTGCTCTGGCCTACTGGGCTCATTCCACCCACTTGGCCCAGCAGGCTGCACTTGGCTCACACTACTGGCCTGGATACCGTACGTGCCAAGGGCAAGCCAGGCACAGAGCAGCAAGGGGTGTGTGAGCAAGTGTGGGGTCCAGCCACTGCACAGCCAGACATGCTGGCTGCGGTGGGGCAGGCAGTTCCAGGAACTGGCATGGGTGCTGGCTCCCTATGAAGCACAGCTGGACCAGGTGTACCATAAGAAGCTTCCTTGGCTGACACTGGGGAATGCAGTGGCACCCAGATGCTTGGAGATGCCAAGAACCTTAGAGCCCTAAAGAGGGTGTCAGAGCCTTGGCTTAGGGAGCTCCTAGGTCTGGGCCCTTAAGGGCTGCAGCTCTTCTCTCCTTCTTGTCACCTGCAACATTGTGAGTAAGGCGTGTGTTTCAGTCCAGTTTATGTTACAGCTCTTTTAGCCCCGCCATTTGGCAGGTGCCTAGTTCTTGTCTTGCATCCAAGAAGAATGAGGTACACAGACAAGTAGAAGTTGAGCAAGATGAGGAGGAGCTTTACTGAGCAATAGAATAGCTCAGAGGAGACCTGCAGTGGGTAGCTCCTCTCCGTAGCCAGGGTGTCCCAATGAGTGTTCAGCTCCTAGCAGAGAGGGTAGCTCCTCCCTACCGCTGGTCGTCCTGTCATCTCTTCTTCCTCAACAGAGAGGGTATCAGCTCTTTGCAGCTGGTTGTTCTGTCATCTTTTCTGCTCTCAGGGGAGAGGGTAGCTGCTCTATGCAGCTGGTCATCCCCTCATCTCTTTTGCTCTCAGCAGAGTGCGTAGCTCCTCTCTGCAGTTGGTCATCTCCTCATGTCTTCTAGTCTGGCTGAGGTCTGGGGCTTTTATGGGCCTCAGCGAGAATGAAGTGCATGCTGATTGGTCCATGGACGGCCATGAGCAGGTCCCCAAAATGTGCCACAAGTTCCCACTCAGGTCTGTGGGACCAGCAGCCTGGCCCCCACGCTTCAGGCCTTCCCCAGTTTGAAGGTGGCGCTTCATTGGTACCCACCCCTTTCTACACAGGAGCCTGTCTGCCTCCTGCTCCTGTTCATGGCACCCAGGTTGTTCATGCTGAGAGGCACCTGCAGGCCAGGGTCAAGCTGCCCTCAGCTACCACTTGGCCTCCCTCCCTGGCTTGTTGGTGCCCAAAGTCCAGAAGGGGCCTGGCGGCAGGGGCCTGGCGTGTTATCACTGCCCCAAGTGTGCACATACCTGGCTAGGTTGCAACATCACCCAGAATTGGCCTCAACTCTGCTGTCTGATCAGAGTGGGCGCTGACAGCAGGGAGAAGCTGGACAGTGGGAGCAGGCACTTCTGAGCCTGTGGTGGGATGGGGAGTCTTCCCAGGCCACCAAGAGTGCAGAGGTGCCTAGGTGTGCAGCTATGGCTTGGGCTGCCACAACTGTGCCTGGGAGGGCAGGCCTCCTGTCTGCTTCTGGCTTCCAAAAGCACAGGGGTGCCCAGGTTGCAGCCCCGGCTTAGACAGTTGCAATTGTACCTGGGGAACTTCTGCCCTGCCAGCTTGGAAGGGGCAGGGCTCCTGCTTGTCCCCGGCTCCCACTGGCTCCATGGAGCATGCAGCCCCATCCATGCCTCCTGTCTGCATTTTCCTTGCAGTGGTGGCAGGTGAGGTGCAGGTGGTGCAGTGGCCCCAGCCAACCCCTCACAAATGAACCCTATGTTCCTGAGGCCAGCCCTGCGAGTCCCTGTTGCACCTTTGCCCAGGTGCTCGCAGGCTCCCAGGACGCAGTGGGGAGTAAGATTGAGGCTGTGGCAGAGGCCCTGGGCCTGTGAGCGGGTCCTGCCTGGCTGTGCAAGGATGGGGGTGGTACAGTTGGCTGCCTTGGGGAAGTGGGACATAGGGGTCCCACTGCTGCCACCGCTGCTCCTGCAGCAACTCCTGCCACCACTGCCCATACCTCCCTGCTGAAGCCAGCATGATGGCAGCTCCATACAGCCCACCGCTGCCATCACACACATGGTGGAAAAAGCAAAGGGATAAAAAGGGCCTAGCTAGTTTCCTCAAGCCCGTTTCTAAGGGTACTAATCCATTCATCAGAGCTGACCCCACATGACTTAATTACTTCCCAAAAGGGAACAGGAACGTTCAAACCATAGCAAAGATGAAATTTGAAAGACAAGTAACACATTCCATAACAGTAGATTCAGCCTCTTGGGTAGGCAAAACTAGAATTGACCTACATGATATAGCTTGAAGGTGTCTTTCCAAAGACATTTCTTTTTACTAGTCTGTCTTAAATTCCAATTAAAAATTCAATCACACAACATATGTTTATTGATGATCTACTCCGTGTCACACATTGTTAAAAGAATAGAAAATACAACAGAGAACAAAAACAAAGACATTGCCCATTTTCCTTAAACCTTAAGAATTACCACCTGGATAAGGTTTGTCCTATATATGTCCTGCTTATGCTATTATGGACTTGATATTTTCTACTTTTAGAAATTTATGTACAAAAATTACATAAAGTTATATAATAAATCACTTCAATATGTGTTAAACAGGTAGTATTTGCTCTTAATAGAGAGTAAATGTAAATAAATTAATGCAAGGATTTCAAAACTACTTTTTTTTTTTGAGATGAGATCTTACTCTCTCCTTTACTGATTGATTGATTTATTGATTGATTGAGATGGAGTTTTGCTCTTGTTGCCCAGGCTGGAGTGCAATGGTGCCATCTCGGCTCAACGCAATCTCTGCCTCCTGAGTTCAAGCAATTCTGCTTCAGCCGCCCTGAGTAGCTGGGATTACAGGCATGCACCACCATGCCTGGCTAATTTTGTATTTTTTAAGTAGAGACAGGGTTTCTCCAGGTTGGTCAGGCTGGTCTTGAACTGCCGACCTCAGGTGATCCGCCCACCTCAGCCTCCCAAAGTGCTGGGATTACAGGTGTGAGCCACCACACCCAGCCTCTCCTTTATTAATTAATAGATGTCAGTTTATCAGGACTACAATCATGATAATTCTGAGTTTACAGAATGCTCTCTCTCTATTTAAAGGGGGAAGAGGGGAATAAGAAAGTGTTAGAGAGGTATAAAAGGACCATAAACTAGGACCTTCCCCTTCGAGTAAACAAAAAGATACTATGTGATTCATTTTGCAATAAAATTATTATCACTATGGCTTTGAGGATTTATTGTCCTATGAAATCATCTTCTTAAATACAATATATCCTGTATCAGTTACTTGTATTGTGAAAGTCACTCTAGTTTAATTGATATCATTGTAGGATAGAAAGTCTTTCCCTGAGATATTAAGAGGTTGGGTAGAGTACCATAGAGAGGAGTTACATTTCATTAAGGCCTTAAACTTCTCATAGTCTAATAAAACAGAAAATGTGGAAAGAGTTCAAAAGTGAGGAGGAAAAGGACTTACTTCACAACTTTGCCTTTGAACCTGCTAGAAAGTGCAAGATAAGGTAAACAGCAATTTCCATTTTCAAATTTACAAAACTGTTTACTTCCATAGGTAGTTAATATAGTCTCAAATTAAACTTGATTTTAGGAATTTACTTAACTGAGGTGTAACAGATAGATAGATGTACACATGCATGCATTTATGCATGTGTGTTATGAATTTATTTTCTGAGAAAATAAGTCCAACTTGAAATGGTTATTAGGGGAGAAACAAACCCTATCGCTGATGTGCTAGACAGTTTCTGTTTGCCCAACCAGAAACATTATTTATTTCCATCCTACACTGTGTTCTGGAAGACTGAACTTGTATGAATTCCATCAACAAGCTCCCTTTCCTTTGGCATCCTGTTCATTTGGACCAAAAGGTAAGCTCCAGCAGGAGAATAAACGAAGGGAGAAAAATGAGGTCTGAATGTGTTTTTTCGTTTCTGGCATCCTTTTCGTGGAAGAATGAATCTCCTGACTAAATATCTCAGTTCTTGTCAGGAATTCCTCTTAAAATAGCCCTCTCTATTTTTGTGCCACTTCTTTACTAAGGGTGGTATTAGTGCTGTAATTTATTTGTCCAAGTATAGCACTAACTCTTGTAGTTTTTCTACACCATGTCTACCTACTTGTAAATAGCCCTTGTGTTAAACACTCCTCTAATTACCTAATTTAAATGTATCATTTTTTCTTTTATCCTGCTAGGTCCCTGACTAGCTCGAACAATCTTATTAAGAACTTCATTGGTTTGGGATCAAGTATTCAGCATGTAGAATTAATCTTTCATAAGGAAACCTAGTTTTTAAAATGCCGCTTACTATAAATACCTTATACATCAGAGAAAACAGATATTCTGCACTGTCATTAAAAAACTGGATTCTAGGTGGGCATGGTGGCTCATGCCTGTAATCCCAGCACTTTGAGAGGCTGAAATGGATAAATTATGTGAGCTCAGGAGTTCAAGACCAACCTGGGCAACATGGTGAAACCCCATCTCTACCAAAACATGCAAAAATTAGCCAGGTATGGTGGCATTTGCCTATAGTGCCAGCTACTCAGGAGGCTGAGGTGGGAGGATCGCTTGAGCCTAAGAGGTGGAGGTTGCAGTGAGCCAAGATGGTACCACCACACTCCGGCCTGGCCAAAACAGAGAGACCCCATTTTCAAAAAAAAAAAAAAAAAAGAATTAAAAAAAAGAAAGAAGGAATTAAAAAAAAAAAAACTGTTCTTATTTTCAATTCCATTATATCTTACAGTCTTTTGGGAACAAAGTTATAGAATAAAACAAAAAATTGCAAAAGTAGATAAAATATTCTACTGGTTAAAATACATATTAAAATACAATTTTTCTTGTAAAAATTACTTTTAAAATTTTAGGGTTGGTTCTGGTTGTTTTGAAGTAGCTGGAAACAGATTTAAACTCGCTCATGTTGGGATACAATACAAGCTGGAAAAATATTTTAAATTTAAAAAGCAATAATTTGCAGGCACTAAGAGGCCACCATACAGAGTTATAATTCTTGAGATAAGGGAAGATGTGGTAAGTATCCACATTCACTAACTTTCTTGCTCAGGTATTTTCTGTATAACAACTGAGGAAAATAGAGCCCATTCAGATAGTGCAGTCTCAAGGCAATGAAGCCTACCAGAGAGTGCAGTTTCACTAGGTTAAAAAAAAAAAAAAAAAAAATCAAAGATCAGAGTTTAGAATTACATAGAAAACATTACTGACAGAGGTTAAAGACCTAATAAGCAGAGATACAGATGATATCCTGGATAGGAAGAAAATATTTTAACAGGTGAATCTTCCCTAAATTGGTCTATAGATTCAATATCATTTAAAAATTCTGCATTTTTTTTAGTGGAAATCAAGATTATTCTAAAATGTGTGTGAAGAGTAAAATGTATGCAGGGGAATAAGAAGAGTCCAGTAATGTTGAAGAAGAACACAGCTGTAAAACTCAACACTAACAGATACAAAGACCTATTATAAAGAGACAGTAATTAAGACTGTAATATTGGTGCAAGGAGAGTCAAATAAACCAGTGAAAAGGATACATAGTTCAAGCCCGGTGCGGTGGCTCATGCCTGTAATCCCAGCACTTAGGGAGGCTGAGTTAGGAGTTCGAGACTAGCCTGGCCAACATGGTGAAACCCCGTCTCTACTAAAAATACAAAAATTAGCCAGGAATGGTGGTGGGCACCTGTAATCTCAGCTACTTGGGAGGCTGAGGCAGGAGAATTGCTTGAACTCGGGAGGTGGAGGTTGCAGTGAGCCAAGATGGTGCCACTGTACTCCAGCCTGGGTGACAGAGTGAGACTCCGTCTCAAAAAAAAAAAAAAAACAAAAACGTGTAGGTAGTCCAAAAATAGACCAATATAATAACATCTGCACCTGATTTATTTAGTCCAAAAATAGACCAATATAATAACATGGGCACTCAATTGCAAGTCAAGGGAGACATAACCATCTTCTCAGTAATGGTGTTGGGTCATTTGTATTACGCATTTTTTTTAAGGACATGGGCCTTTATACCACATAAAACTACTTTGAAGATGGGGCAAAGACTTATATTTGAAAGCTAAAATAGTCAACATTCTCCAAGAAAACGATAAAACATATCTGTATAATAACCATTAAACTATTGACTTTTATTTACATAAGACTTTTTGTTCATTAAATTATTCAGACAATGAAAGGTGAGCACAAACTGAGAGAAAATATTTGCAGTACATATATACCCAATAATGGGTTTATAGAGAACATATAATGAAGTACTTATATTAAATTTAAAAATTCATTTAAAAGGGGGTAAAAGATTTAAACACTTTCCAAAAGAGAATAGAAAAATAGCCAATGAATATATAAAAAGATCCTCAGAATATTAGTTATCAGATAAATGCCAGTTAAAGTCACTCCTTACCCATCAGTGGGTAATGGCTAAAATGAAAATGAGCAAAAGTATTAAGAATGAGTGAGGATGTGAAATAACTAGAACTTTTACCTTATTAATTTAGAAAAATATTTGATATTCATTACTAATGCTAAACCTACTTATACACGTCAACCTACCAATTCCTGCACAGCAGTGAGAAAGAACTGATTATTGATACACACAACAACATGCATGAATCTTACAGAGTTAATGTTGAGTGAAATAAGTGAGACACAACATAGTACCTGATGTAAGACTCTATTTACAGGAGGTTCCAAAAGAAACAAGACTAATATGGTGATATGGTTTGGCTCCATGTCCCCACCAAAATCTCACTTGAATTGTAATCTCCATAAGGGTGGGGCCAGGTGGAGGTAACTGGATCATGGTGTTGGTTTCCCCCATGCTGTTTTCATGATAGTGAGTCTCACAAGATCTGATGGTTTTGTAAGCATCTGGCATTTCCCCAGCTTGCACTCACTGTCTCTCCTGCCACCCTGTGAAAGGCGCCTTCCAACATAATTGTAAGTTTCCTGAGGCACCCCTAGCCATGCGGAATTGTGAGTCAATTAAACCTCTTTTCTTTATAAATTACCCAGTCTCGGGTATTTCTTCATAGCAGCGTAAGAATGGACCAATACATGTGGTGACCAAAGTCAGAATTGTGTGGTGGGGTGGAGAGTATTGTCTGGATAAGAGCACAAGGGAATCTTCAAGGAAGGGGTCTGGAATGTCTTGTACCTTGATTTGGGAAGTGGTTACATGAGTAAGTCAACATATAAAAAATAATCGAGATATATATTTAAGATTTAAACACTTTATGTAAGTTACATTTGAATTTTTGAAAAGATACCTTTCTCATGCAAATAAAATCAATGTAGGTTTGATTTTCTCTAACATAATCCACTTTTAGTTGTGTCGCACAGACAAAATAGAAACGTATCAAAATATAATTTGCATTTCTTTAAAATTGTTAATGTAATTTTTATAACCATTTTTTCATTGTTCACATTTTTAAAAACTAAATCAGACTTCTGCCGTGTATATACAAGACCATTTATACTCTAATGTTCTAGTCAAACACTGAGAAGTGGTGTTTTGATTGGTGATCCTGATCACAGATCTAAAACACCCATAATTTTAGGGTTGAATGAAGACTTCTGATGAATATTTCCCTCAAATGAAATGTGTTATTCAGTGATCCTTTCATTGTTTAGCCAAGGAGTCCTTAAATTAAGAGCTAAGGACCATAACTATTCAGTTAACCATTTATACATAGTTTTCCCTAGGTTTGCAGAATATTGGCTTAGTCAGTCAATTCCAGGTAAGCCATTAAGCAATAATCAAATAGCAAGCAATAATTAGCAATTCTTATATAACAAACCAGGAATGTAGAGACGTGGGACTGGGGAATGTTTACATTAGTTCAACAGAAATAGTTGGAGAGCCATAGGTATTATTAAGTAGCTTTTTGGGTATTTTGTCTTAATGATGGATCCATTATTTGTGACAGACTACAGCAAAAACTCCTTAAATTAGAAATCTAGTGCCATGCTAATTAATTATGGGGCCTCGGCTGAGGCTCTGGGTCTCAACTTTCTTACACATATAAAATGAATGGTTATTTCTAAAATTCTTCCATTCTATTGCCTAAGATAAAGTTCTACAATAATTTTTTAATATACTTTAATATAGGTTTCTACATAATAGCCACTTATCTATTCATACTTCTGATTACAAATTTAATCATTTTTCCATTTTATATATAGATCAGTGCTTTGCTCACAATGGAAAAAGAAGCACTTTAATATATGTTTCTTAAAGTACGATTTCAAGAAAACTTCATAGTCTGCATAATATTCCTCCATCTCTCATTCCCCTTTTGCATGGTAGCATGAAAATAAAAATATACTCATTATAATCAGTAATTTTCTCTCACCCTTATACCAAATCTTATACCCAGGAAAGCCATGAGTGCTTCTTACATAATCAGATCCAGCCTGTCTAAATATAAAAAAGGAATAAGAAAGATAAACTGTAAAAAGTTTGTACATTTATACAAATGAATACAGCTTTATAAGAAAAAAGCTTTTAAAATATGTGTAAAGGAACAGTAACATGAATAGCATAATTTCTGAATTTTGTTTCTGCCATAAACAGTGTGGGGGCAAGGTAGCTCAGTCAGGGAAGGGGAGAAATTTCTTGGTGGCTTTGAGGTTTGTCTTTACCTCACCCAGTCCATGCCTGGAATCCTCTGTCCACTTAGTGACCTCAGGCCCTATGTCCCAGGCTTTTCTTTAAACATCTTAGAAGGAGGCCGAGGCTAGGCTGGAAGGCAAGATTCTCATTTAGAATTTTCAGACCCTTTGGTCTGCAACTGAATGTGATGGTGGAAGCTGGTCCCCTGCCTCTAGCTGTCTCCACTCCACCATCCACTTTTCTTCTGCTGCTTCTGACCATCCCAGCAGCATCCTGCATTTGAGGGGCTTCCAGTGCCCTCAGGACACCCTCACAACAAAGAACAATGGACATCTCTGTTAACGGTTGTTTCTTTTTTTTTTTAATTATACTTTAAGCTTTAGGGTACATGTGCACAACGTTCAGGTTAGTTACATATGTATACATATGCCATGTTGGTGTGCTGCACCCATTAACTCATCATTTAACATTACGTATATCTCCTAATGCTATCCCTCCCCCCTCCCCCCCCCCACCCAAAGGATTATAAATCATGCTGCTATAAAGACACAAGCACATGTATGTTTATTGCAGCACTATTCACAATAGCAAACACTTGGAACCAAGCCAAATGTCCAACAATGATAGACTGGATTAAGAAAATGTGGCACATATACACCATGGAATACTATGCAGCCATAAAAAATGATGAGTTCATGTCCTTTGTGGGGACATGGATGAAGCTGGAAACCATCATTCTCAGCAAACTCACAAGGACAAAAAACCAAACACTGCATGTTCTCACTCATAGGTGGGAATTGAACAATGAGAACACACGGCTGTTTCTTGACACCATTGTGGTTCACCCTGGACACACCCTGCCGGCAACTCAGCAGAAAGAGATACTTCAGGAAAGAGCCCCACAGAGCTGGGAAGTGGGCTTGGGGCTTTTGGAACAGCCATCCAGAGTCCCAGGTACCCATGTCATGGTCTACAAGGTGGAGCACAGGCTCTGAGTGGCCACATGTCCTTGGCCCTGTGGGGAGTATGTGGTGAAAGGCAGCTTTAGCAGCTGCTGAGGCACAGCCCCTTCTGGTCCAGGTCTGAGTTCTATTGATAACAATGCTACCGGAGGGACAAAATTTAGGGTGTTTGACACGTAAAATACAATTAACTGTGCATGAAAGTTCTGGACCTTGACCCAGAATACTGAGAATAATATTCAGTAAATGGAAAATATGATCTTGGTACTGGAGGCATGTGACTCTGCTGCTTATTGCCAATCTTGTCTGCTCCTAGGAAGAATGGGAAGCATGTGGATTTAGTATTGATGTCTTCCCACCTCCCAACATCCCCTGTCCTGTCTCAGGAAGTGAAATCTGCTCAAACCTTGGTACAGAATTGTCACACCCAGAATTACTCTCCTCATGAAGAGATGACTGATTATTTTTTCTCTCCTCTCACCCTTACAAACTCCCTTTGTCTTGAGGAAAATGATGTCAGCTAGGTAGAAGAAAAAAGGCAAGGGTGAGAAGAGCAGTCTCCTCAGTAGAATTCTTTCAGGGGATTTTCCATTTTAAAGGTTGATATTTTCTGACAAAAATGACTCTTTCATTGATGGAGATCCAGGTATTACACCAAAGTTTGTTGAAGAGATTGCTTGTGTCATTGTATCCTATGCTTAGCTACCTCAGTTGAAATTCAGGACAGTATAACAATTACAGTTGTGTGTTTTGGAAAATATGACAAACATATATAGGGTTGCGAGGATTTATTGTTAAACTAGGACATTAAAGTACTATCATAGCACAGAGATGCTATGGAGGAGAGGATAGAAAGGCAAGATGAAAGATATATAAAAATGTATGAAATTTTTATGAAGTTATAACTTAAACAGTGAAAGAATCATTAAAATTTCTTCAGTGTAAAAAATGCATCTAAAAACTTAGATGTCTCTTCCATAGGAAAAAAAAATAGCAAGTGTTTTTTCAAACTCTTTATAGACATTTATATCTTAAGTGTCTATTCCAGATTCTCATTTGCCTTCTTTACAATCGAGGAATGACTTTTTAGAGGTACAATTAATGACCCCATTCTCTTTCACTAATATAAGAGTATAATTATTTCATTGGAAAGCACTACTATATATTATATTTCTTTCATATCTTTGTTCATGTATTAGTCTCATACAGTGCCTGCCTTATAAGATATTGTAAGAAATTATCAAGATAAATTTAATGCAGAAATAACAATGGTATATAATGTCCCTACTTATTCATTTATGCTTACATAACATTGGAGGTGCTCAAAAGGTTCCACGAGTATTGAGTCATTAAAGCTTAGTACCCCTGTGAGGTATGCTTGGTTATTATCATTATAGTTTATTAGACAGATCAAGCTTCCCCTGGAGTCCTGAAAGCTCTTACAGAAAGTGTTGGCTTTTTAATATTCTGCATCTGAGAATTACAACTCAGGTTTATGAAATTAACTCATTTTTCTTAGGATTGTCTCTTTCTTTTGAGTTATATGGTTTCACCTTCTTGTAGCATAGCAGAAACAGTGCACACCCAGCTTTTAGAAAACCTGTAGTTGAAAGGCTATTTCATCTCCTTCCAGAGATACAAAGAAGAGGCAAAATATTTGAGGGATTATAAGTAACCAGTGGGTGACATGAAAATTATTGATATATTTGCTAATATTTATTGAAAAATATACAATGTGCCAAGATTGTGCTAAATCCATTCCAGAGACCAGAGGCTTTGAAAGTCTGCATATTTTGCAAGTGCACAGCTCCATAAGTGGAAGAGCTAGTCCGGAACTCTAGCCTTTTGACTTCTAGCCCGATGCCATAGCCTCCATCCCTGAATTTCCCCAAATTTGATATGCTTGCTACCAGTGAGATAGAACTTGATTTTTCTCTGTACACAAGTATACTTTACTAGTTATATATTTCACTGCATTTTAAAATAATATTATTTCCCCACTAAACTGTGGTATGATAGATATCATTCCCTAGGAGAAAGCTAAATCAGGTAGAATTTGGGTTTAGGAAGTAAGTAGAAATGACAAAAATCACAAAGGTGGAACATTAAACTTTAAAGTCTGGAAGACCTACTATGTATCATATCACAGACTGAAGTGTATGAGGTAGTATGAAGTGAGTGTGGTTTGAATAACAAGAAGAAAGAAATAGGCTTTTAGCTCTAGCTCTAGTTTCTGTTTATTTTTGAGGAGATGAAACTGTTGAAAAATGTTTTCTTGCTTTTGCTTCTGGATATGTAAAAACTATTAAGGAAAAAAAACTTTAAAATAAGCAGCTTATCCATCATGGGGCCTTTAGATTCAAACTGATTGGTTCTGAAACCATAGTACATCCACTTACTAGTTGTGTGACCTTAGGAAAGTTAATTAACCTCTCTGAACTTCAGATTCTTTATTTATGAATGGTGATGAATGGTGTGAATGGTGATGTTATTTGTGAATGAACAGACACAATGTCTACAGAGTGCTTAACTTGTATTAGAAGGCATTCAGCAAAAGGTATCTACTGTTGTCATTTCTAGCACATTATTACCTCTTCTCTTTGAAACTTGCATCTTTGAAAGTATCATCAGTTACATCAGTCACTATAACTGTTAGCCCCTGACTCACTGTCATTCTCTTCTTTATTTCAGGTTTTGATGAGAACATGAATAGTCCTTTTAAATGTGGGCGCCTCTGTTTCTTGAACTCCCCTCTTCCCCAAAGCTTGTCTTCCACCCTAATTCAACCACTCAGTCTCATGGTCACATCCTAGACCTTGACATTGTCAGTACCTGGTATCCTCCCCAACTATAATCTCATTATCTAGTCTCCTCATCACAAAAATTTCAACATCACCTTTTTCACGAATCTGTTTTTACTGACCCTTACCTTCTTGTTGTTCCGTCTCCTTCGTTACTAGTCTGCTCAAGCTGCCATAACGAAGTGTGGTGGCTTAAATAACAGAAATGTATTTTCTCATGGTCCCAGTGGCTGGGAAGTCCAAGATCAAGAGTGCCAGCCAATTCAGGTTTTGGTGACAGCTGTCTCTTGGATTGCAGGCAGCTGCCTTCTTGCTGTGTCCTCATGTGATCTTTCCTCAGTGCAAAGATCTTTTCTGGGTGCACTGATATTTTTTTTTTTTTTTTTTGTTTTTTTTTTTTTTTTGGGTAAAGAGAGGAGAGGTCTCTCTCATACTCTATTTATAAGGCCACTAATCTCATCATGAGGGACCCACTTACATGACCCCATCTAGCTCTAATTATCTCCCTTAGGCCTTACCTCTAAATTCCATTGCACTGGGGGTTAGAGCTTCAACAAATGAGTTGCGGCAGGATATATTCACTCTGTAACACTTCTCCCTCCTAACCCAGCTTAAATTTACCAATTATAACCTCTCCAGTGCACACACCCTTGACTCATATCTCTCTTCCTTCATCATTTTCACTTTCACTTCCAGCCACATTTGGCCTCATTTAAGCCCAGAGTAGTTGGAACAAAACACACAAATATTCTGATTAGTTTCACTTTCAGTTAACAGCAATGAACTCCAGTAGATGTTTAATGCTGTTACGCACTCAGTACTTTCCTGATTCACTCAACTTTCTCATTTCTCATAGAACTTTGCTACTCCATGTGTAGCCCATGGGCCAACACTATTGATATTACCTAGATATTCTGAGAAATACAGATCTCAGACCCCATCCTAGACCTACTGAATACGAACCTGAGTTTTATCAAGATACTAGGAGATTCTTCTGCATAGTGTATTTAAGTTTGGGAAGCATCCCCTTAAAAGACTCTCTTCTCACACCTCCAAATCTCCTCTATCATCACTCTTAGCCAATGGCCTTGCTTCCTATATTTCTTAAAAACTGTAGCAATACATAAGTGGCATAGTCTTCCACCACGACTTGTACTCACTTACCACCATTCCCACTCACAACTTTTGCCTTCCCACTTGGGCCTATAAATGAGCCATCCATGTTCCCATTTGAAGTGATTGCTCCTCTGGGCTCTATATCACATCCCTCCCAGTTGGTCTAGGCTCTGCGTTAGCAATATTTCCTTCTCTTCCTTGATCATACCTACGGTCATGCAACAATGCTTTTATTTTTTCTTTTAAAATACCTTCTAATCCCATTTCCTCTGTTGCTTTCTCCTTTTATTTATCACTTTTGCAACAAAATTATTTAAATGACTTGTGTAGATCCTCTTCTGCAAATCCTTTCTTCCCATTCTCTGTTAAACCTACTTCAAATGTGTTTTGGCTCCTTTCATGTCTCCTTTTTTCGTCAATAGTTATTAAAAACTGTTCTTTTCAAAGCAAGCAATGATCTTCACATTACTAGATCCAGTGGTTGGTTCTCAGTATTCATTATACTTGATACCATCAACTACATTAGAATAAGCTGATCACTTCCTCCTCTTTAACATGCTGCCAGTATCAGATATATATTGAGCACATGTGTATTTTAAAAATTATTAATCTTCTTTGAAAGAAAATTTAGGATTCTGTCAGATTCAGCTGCATATAACAGAAATGTCAAACATAATATTTGCTTAAATGTGATAGAAGTTTCTCTTTCTTAAAAAATGTCTGAAGCTAAGAAATCTAAAACCAGTAGAGAGGCTTCACTGTGTCACAAAGACTGGGAATTCTATCATGTGCTTCATCACTTTCAGTGTTGTTTCCAAGTTTATAATTACTTCATAGTCTGAAAAACCTGTTAGAGATCCCATCATTAAGTCTGGGTTCGAGGCAACAGAGAAGATGATTGACATAAGAGCAGGCCCTTTTTCTTTCATCACTACTCATGAGTCTCATATTATGCTTCCGCCTGCATATTATTGACCTAGATTTAATCATATGCCATATCTAGCCACAAGATGAGCTACTAAAGGTAATCTTTGATTGGCAATAGGCCCACCTAAAACACAGGGTTCTAAGAAAGAAAAGGAGAATAGATGTTGTGAGACAACTAGAAGTTTCCATCCAAGGAAGTCATGACATTATCTTCATGAGAAAATGTGCTATTAGAATCATAAGAGAGTCCCAAATAGATGACTAACACATAAAGAAGCCATCACACGAAGGGCAGCTGATTTGTTAGTCATATAGCTGCTTTGTTCTTTGAGATCACATAAATCCAAACACTATATTTACCTTTAAAGTGTCAGTACAATTCACCTACATTACATTGTTTGTATATAATTCACAAATGATATATTTGTTTAAATGAGCATACTTCATGTAAAGATTAACAAAGCAATATCAACTTGATTTCCATAATCGTCAATCATCTAGCCAATATATGTAAGACTCTTATTCCATAAAAATCATTTGCTACTATGGAGAATAAAACATTAAACTGTCTTCATATTAAAAATAGATATCATAATAGGAATGTTGTATTGTTATATTGCATTGAGTAAAAGAAAACTGTTTGTGGAACCTAACCTTTAAATGACTTATTAAATATCTCTATGCAAAACAAACATAGACTGCTTACATGATAAATATAGAAGTGAACATCACCAAGGCCTAAGCTGACACTAGGGTTAAGTTTTGAATTCAAAGATTGAAATTTTGATTTAAACTCAGATGAGATTTTATACCTGAAAAGATTGTTTTTAAAAATGAAAGGGCTTTTCACTTACTGATTTTTCAGTTTTAAAGAATACAACTCTTTGTCACATACGTTGCTAGTATTTTTTTCTCAGTTATTATTGCTACTTGCTGTGATTTCACTTATGATACAGGTGAAATAACATGTGCAAGCAATAGAAACAAAGTACAAAGCAAAAAGCAAGGATGGGGGTGGTAAGTATAGGCACAGCTGACTTCTGATAAGGCTGAAACTAGAGAAGTGAACATTACCAGGACTACTTTTCCCCATATAACTCATACTAAAATGAAGCCTTTCAAGCATGTGTATTTTCTCTTAAGGCATAGCACAGTCTCGTACTTAGGAACACTAGAGAGCACTTGAGCATCATGCCTAGGGGGCATTTTTTAAATTATACTTTAAGTTCTAGGATACATGTGCAGAACGTGCAGGTTTGTTACATAGGTGTATATGTGTCATGGTGGTTTGCTGCACTCATCAACCTGTCATCTACATTAGGTATTTCTACTAATGCTATCCCTCCCCTAGCCCCCCACCCCCAACAGGCCCCAGTGTGTGGTGTTCCCCTCCCTGTGTCCATGTGTTCTCATTTTTCAGCTCCCACTTATGAGTGAGAACATGTGCTGTTTGGTTTTCTGTTCCTGTGTTAGTTTGCTGAGAATGATGGTTTCCAGCCTCATCCATGTCCCTGCAAAGGACATGAACTCATTCTTTTTTATGGCTGCATAGTATTCCATGGTGTATATGTGCCACATTTTCTTTATCCAGTCTATCATTGATGGGCATTAGGGTTTGTTCCAAGTCTTTCCTATTGTGAATAGTGCTTCAGTAAACATACGTGTGCATGTATTTTTATAGTAAAATGATTTATAATCCTTTGGGTATACACCCAGTAATGGGATTGCTGGGTCAAATGGTATTTCTCTGGTTCTAGATCCTTGAGGAATCACCACACTGTCTTCCACGATGGTTGAACTAATTTACACTCCCACCAACAGTGTAAAAGCATTCCTGTTTCTCCGCATCCTCTCCAGCATCTGTTGTTTCCTGATTTTTTTAATGATCGCCATTCTAACTGGTGTGAGATGGTATCTCTTGTGGTTTTGACTTGCATTTCTCTAATGACCAGTGATGATGGGATTTTTTTCATATGTTTGTTGGCCGCATAAATGTCTTCTTTTGAGAAGTGTCTGTTCATATCCTTTGTCCCCTTTTTGATGTTTTTTTTTTCTTGCAAATTTGTTTAAGTTCGTTATAGATTCTGGATATTAGCCCTTTGTCAGATAGATAGATTGCAAAAGTTTTCTCCCATTCTGCAGGTTGCCTGTTCACTCTGATGATAGTTTATTTTGCTGTGCAGAAGCTCTTTAATTTAATTGGATCCCATTTGTCAGTTTTGGCTTTTGTTGCCATTGCTTTGAGTGTTTTAGTCATGAAGTCTTTGCCCATGCCTGTGTCCTGAATGGTATTGCCTAGGTTTTCTTCTATGGTTTTTATGGTTTTAGGTCTAACGTTTAAGTCTTTAATCCATCTTGAGTTAATTTTTGTATAAGGTGTAAGGAAGGGGTCCAGTTTCAGTTTTCTGCATATGGCTAGCCACTTTTCCCAACACCATATATTAAATAGATAATCCTTTCTCCATTGCTTGCTTTTGTCAGGTTTGTCAAAGATCAGATGGTTGTAGATGTGTGGCATTATTTCTGAGGCCTCTGTTCTGTTCCATTGGTCTATATATCTGTTTAGGTACCAGTACCATGCTGTTTTGGTTATTGTAGCTTTGTAGTACAGTTTGAAGTCAGGTAGCATGATGCCCCCAGCTTTGTTCTTTTTGCTTAGGATTGACTTGGCCATGCGGGCTCTTTTTTGGTTATTGGTGTATAGGAACACTTGTGATTTTTGCACGTTTATTTTGTATCCTGAGACTTTGCTGAAGTTGCTTATCAGCTTAAGGAGATTTTGGGCTGAGATGATGGGGTTTTCTAAATATACAATCATGTCATCTGCAAACAGAGACAATTTGTCTCCCTCTCTTCCTACTTGAGTACCCTTTATTTCTTTCTCTTGCCTGATTGCCCTGGCCAGAATTTCCAACATTATTTTGAATAGGAAGGGTGAGAGACCGCATCCTTGTCTTGTGCCAGTTTTCAAAGGGAATGCTTCCAGCATTTGGCCATTCAGTATGATATTGGCTGTGGGTTTGGCATGAATAGGTCTTGTTATTTTGAGATACGTTCCATCACTACCTAGTTTATTGAGAATTTTTAGCATGAAGGGGTGTTTATTTTATCAAAGGCCTTTTCTGCATCTATTGAGATAATCATGTGGTTTTTGTCATTGGTTCTGTTTATGTGATGGGTTATGTTTACTGATTTGCATATGTTGAACCAGCCTTGTATCCCAGGGATGAGGCTGACTTGATTGTGGTGGATAAGCTTTTTGATGTGCTGCTGGATTTGGTTTGCAGGAATTTCATTGAGGATTTTCACATCGATGTTCATCAGGGATATTGGCCCGAAATTTTCTTTTTTTGTTGTGTCTCTGCTAGGTTTTGGAATCAGGATGATGCTGACCTCATAAAATGAGTTAGGGAGGAGTCCCTATTTTTCTATTGTTTGGAATACTTTCAGAAGGAATGGTACCAACTCCTCTTTGAATCTCTAGTAGAATTCAGCTGTGAATTTGTCTAGTCCTGGGCTTTTTTTAGTTGGTAGGCTATAAATTAGTGCCTCAATGTCAGAACTTGTTATTGGTCTATTCAGGGACTCAGCTTCTTCCTGGTTTAGTCTTGGGAGGGTGTATGTGTCCAGGAATTTATCCATTTCTTCTAGATTTTCTAGTTTATTTGAGTAGAGGTGTTTATAATATTTTCTGATGGTAGTTTGTGTTTCCATGGAATCAGTGGTGATATCCCCTTTATCACTTTTTATTGTGGCTATTTGATTTTTCTCTGTTTTCTTCTTCATTATTCTGGCTAGTGATCTATCTATTTTGTTAATCTTTTCAAAAAAACAGCTCCTGCATTCATTGATTTTTTGAAGGGTTTTTCATGTCTCTATCTCTTTCAGTTCTGCTCTGATCTTAGTTATTTCTTGTCTTCTGCCAGTTTTTGAATTTGTTTGCTCTTGCTTCTCTGGTTCTTTCAATTGTGATGTTATGGTGTCGATTTTAGATCTTTATTGCTTTCTCCTGTGGGCATTTAGTGCTATAAATTTCCCTCTAAACACTGCTTTAGCTGTGTCCCGGAGATTCTGGTACATTATGTCTTTGTTCTCATTGGTTTCGAAGAACTTATTTATTTCTGCCTTAAGTTTGTTATTTACCCAGAAGTCATTCAGGAGCAGGTTGTTCAGTTTCCATGTAGTTGTGTGGTTTTGAGTGAGTTTCTTAATCCTGAGTTCTAATTTGATTGCACTGTGGTCTGAGAGACAATTTGTTATGAGTTCCGTTCTTTTGCATTTGCTAAGGAGTGTTTTACTTCCAATTAAGTTTAGAATAAGTGCAATGTGGTGCTGAGAAGAATGTATCTTCTGTTGATTTGGGGTGGAGATTTCTGTGGATGTCTATTAGTTCTGCTTGGTCGAGAGCTGAGTTCAAGTCCTGAATATCCTTGTTAATTTTCTGTCTTGTTGATCTGTCTAATATTGACAGTGGGGTGTTAAAGTCTCCCACGATTATTGTATTGGAGTCTAAGTCTCTTTGTAGGTCTCTAAGAATTTACTCTATGAATCTGAGTTCTCCTGTATTGGTTGCATATATATTTAGGATATTTAGCTCTTCTTGTTCCATTGATCCCTTTACCATTATGTAATGCCCTTCTGTCTTTTTTGATCTTTGTTGGTTTAAAGCCTGTTTTATCAGAGACTACAATTGCAAGCCGTGTGTTTTTTTTTTTTTTTTTTTTTTGCTTTCCATTTGCTTGGTAAATATTCCTCCATCACTTTATTTTGAGCCTATGTGTGTCTTTGCATGTGAGATGGGTCTCCTGAATACAGCACATCAATGAGTCTTTACTCTTTATCCAATTTGCCAGTCTTTGACTTTTTATTGGGGCATTTAGCCCATTTACATTTAAGGTTAATATTGTTATGTGTGAATTTGATGCTGTCATTATGATGTTAGCTGGTTATTTTGCCCATTAGTTGATGCAGTTTCTTCGTAGTACTGATAGTCTTTACTATTTGGTATGTTTTTGCAGCGGTTGGTACTGGGTTTTCCTTTCCATATTTAGTGCTTCCTTCAGGAACCCTTGTAGGGCAGGCCTGGCAGTGACAAAATCTCTCAGCATTTGCTTGTCTGTAAAGGATTTTATTTCTCCTTTGCTTATGAAGCTTAGTTTGGCTAGATATGAAATTCTGGGTTGAAAATTCTTTTCTTTAAGAATGTTGAATATTGGCCCACTTAGGGTCATCTTAAACAGCAAAATCACCCCCCAAAAAGAACAAACATGTACTAAATAGACTGTGTAAAAAATGACACTTGTTTATGGATGAAGGCTGAAATGAGAAGGAAGAGCATTGCCTTTTTCCACTTTAGTTGGAAGCCTGCTCATCTATTGGGTGCACCTTTTGCAGCCAATTTGGCTGCAAATTGTGTTTCACTCTGCTTATATTCAAAATGACTCAAGAAGCAATGCAAGTCTTGATCTGAGGGTAGCAAATAAATATTAGCAAAAAGACTAATTCGCAAATTTGCCCTCCACAAATAATGAGGATAGACTGTGTGTGGATGTGTGTATCACGTATTTTTTTCTTTTCTATGTTGTTTTCTTATCATATAACAGAAGATGTGTTAATAATTAAATTTATATCTCAGGAATTAAGTTATAGAATAGGAGAAGTTGTCTATCATGTTATGTGGAAGTTTAATTTTAATATGATATATATTTAGAGATTAAATATGGCTTAAGGAGGTATAAATGGGTACCAAATTGACAATTTATAGATTGTGATGGTTTCATTGCTGGATCAACTGGACTAGGCTACAGTCCCCAGTTATTTAATTAAACACTAATTTAGGTATTACATGAAGGTATATGAAAAATGTAACTAAAGCCCCAAATCAGTTGATTTTAAGGAAGAAACATAATACTGGATAATCTTGATGGGCCTGACTGAATCTGTTAAAAGGTCTTAAAAGCTGGGCCAAGATTTTCTCAGGAGCAGAAACTCCAGCCATAAACAGCAGTTCAATCTGTGCCTGTTGAGTTCAAGTCATTTATGGTTGTCCTTTCCTCATTGTCTCTTTTATGGACCTGCTTATACAATCATGTAAGCCAAGTCCTTGAAATACATACATACAGACACACATAGTCAGTCAATCTTACTGGTTCTATAATACTTTTCTTGATCTCATTCCTCCTTCCTGGGTTTCAAACAAAAACTGCTGTTCATGTTCAGTAATGGGAAGGAAAACTGGAAAAAGAAGAATGGAAAAACTGGATAAAAATGTGGTTGAGGCTTTATCCACACTAATGGACATCTATTGCCCATAATCTTCCCTTATAAACCTCCTCCTAGGAAAGACTTGGAAAAAGTGGTTTTTATTGTTTGTTTGTTTTTAATATTTTCTGATACTCTGGGTCCTTTCAATTTGAGAATCTTCTGCTTAGGAAAAATTCGGGCTTTTATTATTTCAGATACTTTATCTGTTCCTTCTCTCTGCCACTGATTTACTCCTAATCGTTTTTCATGTCCTAACTAGTACTTGGATCACATTGTGCCCATCTGACACTTCATTCTGGCATGGACCTGTGGTCTTGTTGTTTCTTCAGCTGTGCACATTGTTGAGCTTGTCGGTGGCTAGCCACTACAATTCTAGCAGTTGGTCCTAAGATTAGCTGTATATGGAGCAGAGTTCTTGGCTCCATTATGTGATTACCTTCCTAGCTTTTTAGGTAGTTTGCTGGAGGTGTTTGACTGAGTTTTTTCTAGTGGAATGTGGGCAGAAATGGTGTGTGCTAGTCTGGAAATGGAACCTAAAAATCCTCCCACAAGATCCTTCATGCTCTCAAGCAGAGGAGGTAGGCCAGGACTTCATGGTCTTAAGAAATGGTAAAATCTTGCACCCCTAAGAGACTATGATGCAAAAGAGCAATCAGCTTAGGACGAGGACACAAGTGAGAAGTAAACTTTTACTGTGATAAACCACTGATGCCAGAATTACTTGATACAGTAGTTAGCCTACCATAACTAATAACAACTAGTATATTCACAAGTCATAAAAAATTCCTTGTTATTTTCTCTACCCCTTTAAAAATGCCGTATGGTAATTCTTTAATGCGTACATCAAGTGTTGGACAAGTTTTTTTCTTAAAGTGCCAAAGAGTAAATACTTCAGGATTTGCAGTACATATGGTCTTCATTGTGTTACAATTCAGCTCTGCTGCCGTTGCATGAAAGGTGAAATAGACAATACATAAACAAATGGGGGTGGTTGTGTTCTAATAAAACTTTATTTACAAAAATGGGCAGCCAGCCCATGAGTCAAAGTGTCTGACCCCTAATTTAGATAATTAATCTCTCTGGATTTGTTTTCATTAAAAAATGTGAGGCGGCATAAATTTAACTTTTTCTGCCAAATGAATAGTGAATTCTGATACCATTTATTAAATAGTAGGTCTTTTTAAAGGTATAGACTGAATATATGCCTCCAAAATTCTTACGGAGGGATTTATGCCAGTTTTAAAGGCCAGTTTTAAAGTAATGAGATGGTTTATAAATCTGTATTCAGTCCCTAAAAACTATTTTTCTACTTCTTGGTCAATAGTAGGCTGTTTTGATTTCTATAGCTTTAAAATATGATCTAGTACCTTGTATTGCAAAACTATAATTTTGGCTTATTTTTCAAAATTTCTTGGCTAGTCTTGTACCTTATTCTTTGAAGTTTCAGAATCAGCTTGTCATAAAATTTCCATAAAAATTTTTTGTTAGAATTTTTATTGGGATACCACTGAATGTTTAAGCCTGTTTTGGAAAGAGACTTTACTGTATTGAATCTTCTCATTCATAATCAAGGTATATGTCTTAGCTTGGGCTGTGATAATAAAATACCATAAACTGAATGGTTTATAACACAACAAACATTTATTTCTCACAATTCTGGAGGCTGAGAAGTCCCACATCAAAGAACTGGCAGATCTAGTGTCTAGTGAAGACATGCTTCCTGGTTCATAGCCCATCATCTTCTTGTTGAGTCCTCACGTCAGAAGGGATGAGGGAGCTCTCTGCAGTCTCTTTTATAAGGGCACTAATCTCATTTCGTAGAGCTCTGACCTTATGATCTAATTACCCGCCAAGGCCCCACATCCTAATATATCACTTTAGGGTTAGGGTTTCAACATAGGAATTTTGGAGGGATATATTCAGTCTATACCAGTCTTTTTCTCTATGTATTCACATCTTTATATTTCACAGTTGACTATTATTGATTTCTCTATAAGTTATATACATTTATATGCATTTCTTTTTTTTTTGTTTTCTCGAGATGGAGTCTCGCTCTGTCACCCAGGTCGGAGTGCAGTGGCGTGATGTCAGCTCACTGCAAGCTCTGCCTCCCAGGTTCATGCCATTCTCCTGCCTCAGCCTCCCCAGTAGCTGGGATTACAGGCACCCACCACCACGCCTGGCTAATTTTTTGTATTTTTTAGTAGAGATGGGGTTTCACTGTGTTAGCCAGGATGGTCTCGATCTCCTGACCTCATGATACACTCGCCTCGGCCTCCCAAAGTGCTGGGATTACAGGCGTGAGCCACCACACCCGGCCATTTATATGCATTTCTTATTTGATTTATTTTGAAATACTTTACTACTGCTACTATAGTGAACTTTTTGGTATTTTATTATAATTGGTTATTAATGTAATATCGGAAAGTTACTTTTGTGTGCTAATATTCAATTCAGATACTTTATGAACTGTTTGAACAGTTTTTCAGTTGTTCCTCTTGAAATACTATATGTGTAAACAAAGGAGGTACCCTTTCTTCCTTCCCATTCTTTATCCTTATAATCCATATCTGTGGCCACCCATTCCCTACCCAGAAATCCTCTCAGATGGGACTGTGGAGAACAATAAAGTGAGACTTTCTCAGAGAGTAGAACTAGAACTGTCAACTTGACTAAACAAAGAACACAATTCACTTCTAGGGTAAGGATTCCATGTAGTTCTGGCCCAGTAATACTTGATATGTGCCATGCAGTAGTAATTTTGTGTAATTCCCATCTCTCCCCTGTTACATGGCGCATTATTGCAGCCATCTTTATTTGCTTGTGTTGAGAGAAAATAATTGTTCATTAGCATATAGGTCACCAGAAAATGAGAAGCTAATTCTAGACCTCATGGAAAGGACTCCCTAATCCCTAAAGAGCCTAGGCTTTAAACTGCATGCTGAAATTGAATGAGGCTTTGGAACTACCTGGGGTTTATTTAATTTTATTCTCACCTATTCATTCCCCCACCTTCACCATTTTTGTGAAAGTATGAATAATTTATTTTTTCTGTTTGTGGTCTTTTGGCTGTGATACATGACATACTTTCTTTGATATGTAACCTTGGTCATTTGAATCTAAGTGATATACGGTCTTCAAAGGTTTCTCTCTCACCAGCCTAGCTGTATGCATATATTGAATTTTTTCTAGTGTTTTTAGGGTTTCCATGCTGAGAAGGTCTTTCTAGACATCTACGCCACCACAATGCTAGAAAAAGAAGTCCTGATTTTTGGAATCGAATTTTAGTAATCTTTGCTTTATTATCATAGGCTTTTCTCTATTGTCAGGTTTTGCTGGGGACAATTTTCTTTTTTGTGGGACAGTTTTGTTGCTTTTTAAAATTTTTCTAGTTTTGTGAGTTGAAATATAGATTAGATATTTTCAATCTCTCTCATTTTCTAACGAATGCATTTAGGCTATATTTTTTCCTGTCTGTCACTTGGCTATATCTGAAGTTTTTGAAATGTAATGACCTGAATTAGTTCTAAATGAACTATTTTAATGTCCTCTTTGTCTTGAGTTACAAACCTTTTAAATTTCTAGCTTTATGCAATGTTATTATTATTCCTAGTTGTATTACATTCAAGCGAGTGGAAGTTACTTATGCAATAGTATATAGTAATATAGTTTATATTAGTATATATATTTATATTAACATATGTTAGCAAGATATAGTAATATAACAGTATACAGCAATGGTCTGACAAAATTGTATGTGTATTTGAAAAGAACGTGCACTCTGGTTTGGGTTAAACATCTCCATACATAACTAATGGATCAAAGACCATTAAATTTTGTACTTAAATCTTCAATATTCTGACCTTTTTGTTTCAGAGGAACAAGTAAATCTCCTATTAACACGGTTTACTTATCATTTTCTGTTTGTAATATCACTTTTTGCTTTCTATATTTTGGAGTTATTTTGTTTGCTATAACTCCTGTCGTTTTGCCCAGAGATGATCCCACTGTGGCATTTCCCATGGGCTCTCTCCTCCTCCCAGCCCCACCCTTACAGGCATGTAGCCTCGTTTCCATCTTTTAGAATACTGTTGTCCGATGTATTACCTTCTCTCTTTAATATAATCCTGTCTTTTTCTTTTTTCAGTTGCTAGTCAATTGGAAATACCTCTTGTTGTTTTAGGGTAGAGGTATTCCTTTTTTTAAAAAAAATAGTTTGAGTAAAGAATATATACTGTAGAATATGTTCAATCTAATATGTTAAAATTTGAAATGCCTATTTATTCATGCAAATATTTCAGATAAAAAATTCCTAAAAAAAGTTGTTTGGTTGAGGCATGTATATTTGAAATTGAGAGATAATGAAAAATTATTTTCCAGTGAGGATATAGTCAGCCTTCTACCAAAAGAGTACACAATTGAGACCACTTCCACACATTTGTCATTAGTGATTGATATAAATCTTTTAAATATTTTCTAATCTCAAAAAAATTGCATTTTATTTGCATTAATTTTGAGTTCAAGTATAAATTCCTACTTGTACACTTTGATTAAAAGTGATATCTGGTTGGGCACAGTGGCTAATGCCTATAATCTGAGCACTTTAGGAGGCTGAGGCAGGAGGACCACTGGAGCCCTGCAGCTTGAGCTGCGGTAACATAGTGAAACCCCATCTCTACAAAAAAAAAAAAAAAAAAAAAAAAAAATTAGCTAGGAATGGTGGCACATACATGTAGTCCCAGCTACTTGGGAAACTGAAGTGGGAGGACTGCTTGAGTCTGGGAGTTTGAGGCTGCAGTAAGCTGTGATTGTGTCACTGTACTCCAATCTAGGTGACAGAGCAAGACCCTGTCTCAAAAATAAAAGTTTAAAAATTGATCTCTAAAACAAACGGATTGAATTACAAAGGGTGAGTTTGTGTTAGTCTTTTCTTTTAAAAAACTTAATCATAAGATCATAAACTTATGAGTAAGCTAAAAATCAAGTGGGCCAAATAATCAGATGATTACATTACCTATGACATGAAATAGAAAATACTGCTCATAAAAAGAATAAACAGAAATGTTTACTGGGCTGCCTTAATGTTTCAACTTTTCAGCCACAAAATAACTTAGACTTTCAAAATAAAGAAAGATATATCTGTTATATTTACACTAGTCTGAGTCCCAGTTAATTCTGGATACAGCCAACTGGACTGGGTAAATGTCTCTTCAACTCAACTGGAATACTCTTAGAATGAACTGTCTAAACATTTAAATAGGTAGTTTGTAAAAAAATTGAAAGTGGCAGGTTGCTGCCAGTATTTTATCTACAGCTCTAGATAAAGTAAATAAAAATGCTTACCACTGAGAGCAGGTGTCCTTGAATACTGTACTGCTAGAATTGAGAAGTGAAAAAAGGATTTGAACAATGCTTCCAGCACCTAAAATCATGCTGCTTTAAAAACGCACCCTATCTAAAGTCATTTTGGCTTTCCCGAAATCAGTATGCCTGTATACTCATAACTGGTATATAAGATGACCATTCAGGCAAGTCAGTTTTATCTTACTATTGTTTGAATTAAGATAAATATTTATGTTTTAAAAATTATATACCTTCAATAAGTCATAAAAGGATAAAAGCAGATCTAAGTTAAAACCCGGATTTGACTTGAAAAATTAAGTAAATAATAGTATAGTCTATTCCAATCAAAGCTTAGGAAATATGTCACAAAGTACTTTCTGTCAGAGTTAATAGGATTAACAAAGAGAGATTATTTTATCACCTCCTTAGAGTACAGGGCTTCCCAACATTTGTCCTCATGCCATTCACAGAAAACATTTGCTCAGCCCATTAGGACAAACCAATGAGGAAGCTCCCAGTCTGAGATGACCAGCCACTCCAGGACTTATGTGGCCACCAGAGGGCTGGCACGCCTGCAACCCATTGTAGTACAATGACTGGAAAGTTCTGCTTAGACTCTTCATGATCTTCCTTACCCTGTATCCCGTTCTCCCAGCCCCTCAAAATGCTATAGTTGTACTGCAGCTCTGTTCTCCATTGTAGTACTGTAACAGATAATGAAAAATAGAAGAGGGTAATGTGTAGGCGAGATAAAGGGGATGAAACAGTGTATTTTTGGCCAGTAAACTGTCTTATTTTGAGTTTGAGACTGTATACTTTCATCATTGTATCCCCTACAATCAAACACAATGCCGTGTGTATAGTTGTTGCTTATAGTTGACTGGATTGAAACTTTGGGTACCCATCACCACACCATTTTGAGTTCTTGCAATTCTAAGTGTCATAATTAGATCTTTAAATATACTTGGAAAAAGATGATAATAATTTCATAAAGGGAGATTGTGGTACTACTTACATAATATTTTGCCTTTAATAAGTCTTATGATGATAAAATCCAGCCTAAGTTAAAACCTAAGTAGTGTGGATCAAAAATAAAACAATGTACCATTTTCCCAACATTGTTAATGAGTTAGTTTTTAGATTGAAAGAGCAAGTCAAAGTTTAAACCCCAAGTTGAACTAACCCTCAGTTTTTAAACTGTAAAAAGGAAAATAGCAACAATAGTACAATAGTACATACCTCGTAAGGCTGTATATATTATAAAAAAAAATGCCTAAAGAATGCTTGTTATAGTGCCTGACACGGAGAAAACTCTTAACATTTTATCTATTACTTAGTACATCAACTTTATTCCATTGAACACATTAGCTCCTGAAATAACTTTTCAGTTTGTTATATCTCTTAACAGGTATTAAGTAAGTTCAAAGACTATAGAGTACTACAGCATTTTTAAAAAATATGTCAATGTATGGCTTTGTGTGAGCTGAACAAATTTTCCCTGATATAAATAGCACAACATGCTTTTCAAATTATCTTTTATTTCCATGAGAATGATACATTTCTTCTTAAAAATTAGTATCAAAATACATACTATTTAAATGAATTAATGTGATCGTTCATACAATCTTCTTCATACATTAAAATGTGAGGTTGACTTATAGTAGTCATATATATTAAGCCTGAACTGACTTTTTAATACAACAGTAATGTAATGGCCTCCTCTTCTTGAATCATGTGACAATGCCACTATTGAAATCACTAGTGGTAAAGTAACAATATTTATATAAATAAAAAACCTTGAAAATATTAAAGCTTTTTTAAAGATTCTGTAAAAATCTAATGATGTTATACGAAGTTCTTTTCAAGAACAAATGTTTGAGTGATAAGTAGTTGAGTCCTGCAGGAATTAATAACCAAGATTCCCTGTTCTCATGTTTACTATGTTCTAGTATAGGTACATAGGCAATAAATAAATCAGTAGATATGTATAATATTTTACATAGTGATAGGTCCTATGGAAAAGTTAAAAGTTATGAAAAGAATACAGAATTCTATGGTTCATAAGTATTGAAAATATTCACTTCTTTTTTTTAAACCAGATACAGGCTTACAAAATAGCCAGCTATTAACAGTATTTTAGGAAGGAAAAGAAGATACTCGTTGAAGAAGGTTATGTTTTGAAAGTATGTGTGACAAATGACATAAATATTCAAATAAGCATTTTTAGGAAATCCTTTAACTTGAAAAATACACAAGTTACCCAGTAAGGACACAATTAGATAATATCAGATGCATAAAAGTTTATATTTCAGTAAAACACTCTCTGTGAAAAATGTGATTTAACCTTAATCTTAACTTTACATAGGTTGTTACAGATATCAGTGTGGTCTCTGTTTAGATTTATTCTAAAATAAAAAAATGTTAACAAGTTATCAACAAGGCAGAAAACTTGAAACTTGATTTTGTTAAAGAAGGGTATTTTTTTTTTTTTTTTTTTTTTTTTTTTGAGACGGAGTCTCGCTCTGTCGCCCAGGCCGGACTGCGGACTGCAGTGGCGCAATCTCGGCTCGCTGCAAGCCCCGCTTCCCGGGTTCACGCCATTCTCCTGCCTCAGCCTCCCGAGTAGCTGGGACTACAGGCGCCCGCC
Organism: Homo sapiens; assembly: GCF_000001405.40. Classification (NCBI taxonomy): domain Eukaryota; kingdom Metazoa; phylum Chordata; class Mammalia; order Primates; family Hominidae; genus Homo; species Homo sapiens. The sequence continues at coordinate 12,242,238 of NC_000007.14, read as the reverse complement.
ACCGCGCCCGGCTAATTTTTTGTATTTTTAGTAGAGACGGGGTTTCACCTTGTTAGCCAGGATGGTCTCGATCTCTTGACCTCATGATCCACCCGCCTCGGCCTCCCAAAGTGCTGGGATTACAGGCGTGAGCCACCGTGCCCGGCCGGGTATTTTTTTTTAATTTAAGAATTAAGTACCTTACACTTCTCAAAAGAAGACATTTATGCAGCCAACAAACATGAAAAAAAGCTCATCATCACGGGTCATTACAGAAATGCAAATCAAAACCACAGTGAGAAACCATCTCACGCCAGTTAGAATGGCAATCATTAAGTCAGGAAACAACAGATGCTGGAGAGAATGTAGAGAAATAGGAAGCTTTTACACACTGTTGGTGGGAGTGTAAATTGCAACCATTGTGGAAGACAGTGTGGTGATTCCTCAAGGATCTAGAACCAGAAATACCATTTGACCCAGCAATCCCATTACTGGGTGTATACCCAAAAGATTATAAATCATTTTACTGTAAAGACACATACACACATATGTTTATTGCAGCACTGTTCACAATAGTAAAGACTTGGAACCAACCCAAATGTCCATCAATGATAGACTGGATAAAGAAAATGTGGCATATATACACCATGGAATACTATGCAGCCATAAAAAAGGATGAGTTCATGTCCTTTTCAGGGATATGGATGAAGCTGGAAACCATCATTCTCAGCAAACACACACAGGAACAGAAAACCAAACAGCACATGTTGCCACTCATAAGTGGGAGTTGAACAATGAGAACAGATGGACACAGGGAGGGGAACATCACACACTGGGGCCTTTTGTGGGGTAGGGGGCTAGGGGAGGGATAGCATTAGTAGAAATATCTAATGTAGATGACGGGTTGATGGGTGCAGCAAACCAACATGGCACGTGTATACCTATGTAACAAACCTGCACGTTCTGCACATGTATCCTAGAACTTAAAGTATAAAAAATAAAAAAAAAGTTAGGTGTCTGAAATAGATTTGGGATTAAAATTATTTGTATTTCATCTTTTTGGGGCAACTTAAAAAATGCTATTATCAATATATTCCATTCATGAATCTGAAATTCATGAAATGAAAATAAGAAATCAGTGGTTTCCAATATATCATTTTTAAGGATTCCCTTTGAAGACAAAACATTTAAAATGTATGTTAAAATGGAAAATCATTTCTTAAAAATCAGAAATTACATTTGTCTATTGTCATTTTCAGTGCTATTTAGAAAATATAAATTTAAGCTGACATTTGCCTAGTTATAAATTATGTTTCACCCATAAACCAAAGCAGTTTTGTTGAATCACACTCAGTAAGTTATCACTGAAGAAGTGACTGTACACTACCCTCTAGGCCAATGTTCAGGGGTCCCTGGAAAGGTGAGCAGTCAGGGGCTGCAGGTCTTCTGCTCTCAAATCAAAGCATCTGTTTTGTCACATATCAAGGTTCCTCATAAGATGCTATTTACAAATAAGTATTTCACAAGCTTTAAAAAATTCTGAAAAACCACTGATCAAGGAAACAGAAATCTACCAGAAAAAAAAAAAAAGCCTCACAAACTTATTAATGATTCTTCTCCCTTGAGAAACTGGCTAGGAGGAGCACATTCAGGTAATACATCTTTTCATTTTCGTTTTTCCATATTATTCTACAGAGATAATTTTGGGCACATTCCATCTAATTTCAAATCATACTACCTCATACAAGATTTTAAAAATAGTAATTAAAACACAACCTCTAAGCTGACAAAAATTGTTTGAAAAAAGTTGATGAAAACAAAAGTTTAAAACAAGTTTAAAACAAAAAAACTTGGCTCAAACTTTGTGACTGGGCAACTCCTTTAAAAGTAAACATTCAGAAAAAACATTCAGAAAAAGTTCACCAAGTGTTTGAGTAAGTTTAGAGGGAAAGTAGAGAGGGGTTGGACACGAAGTGGGCATTGAAAAAGATAGAATTGGGGGATAAAAAACATGGGCAAATAATTTTTCTAAGAAAAAAGGAACAGAATGAGCGAAGGGATAAAGGAATGAACTGTTCCCAATGAGAAAGAACTCGATTTGGTCAGGACATTGTTGAAGGGCAATAAGAAATGATTGTGAACTGAGATTGTAGCCAGCTAATGAAAGGTTCTCAACACCAGAGTAAGAACTTGGGCTTTTTCAGTAAAAAAGAAGGAAGTGCAGATATACTTCCTTTTATTGTGCATCACCTTATTGCGTTTTGCAGATATTGTGGTTTTGATGAATTGGTTTCTTTCAATCCTGTGTCCAACAAGTCTATGAGTGCCATTTTTTTCAACAGCATGTTCTCATTTCATGTCTCTGTCGCATTTTGGTAATTTTTGCAATATTTCAAATGTTTCCATTATTATTAAACCTATTTTAATGATCTGTAATCAGTGATCTTTGATGTTTTTGTAAGTATTTGGAGGCAGCATGAACCATACCCATGTAAGGCAGTGAAAGTAATAAAAAAAAGTGTGTGTTCGGACTGCTCTCCTAACCAGCTGTTCCCACATCCCTCTCTCCTTGAGACAAAATAACATTGAAATTAGGCCAATTAATAATCCTACAATAGCCTCTAACTGTTCAAGTAAAAGGAAGAGTCACATATCTCTCACTTTCAATCAAAAGCTAGAAATAATTACACCTAGTAATCAAGCATTTCTCACCAAGGACAATCTTGGAAAGTCAAGATAGGCTGAAAGCTAGGTCTCTTGCACAAGTTGTGAAGGCAAAGGAAAAGTTCTTGAAGGAAATTAAAAGTGCTATTTCCTTACTGTAAGTAATTGAAAAGTGTTCCAGAAAACATGAATGATAAGAAAATCAAACAGCCTTATTGCCGATATGGGAATGTTTTAGTGGTTTCAATAGATCAAACCAGCCACAACATTGCCTTAAGTGAAAGCCTAATCCTGAACAAAGCCCTAACACGCTTCAATTCTATGAAGGCTGAGAGAGATGAGGAAGCTATTGAAGAAAAGTTGGAAGCTACCAAGAGGTTGGTTAATGATGTTTAAGGAGATAAGTTGTTTCCATAATATAAAAGTGCAAGGTGAAGCAGTAAGTGCTGATGGAGAACCTGCAGTAAGTTACCCAGAATATCTAGCTAAGATCATTGATGAAAGTGGTTACAATGAACAATATATTTTCAATGTAGATAAAACAACCTTCTTTTACAAAAAGGTGCCATCTAAAACTTTCATAGCTAAAGAGAAGTCAATGCTTGCCTTTAAAGCTTTAAAGGACAGGCTGACTCTCTTTAGTGGTGAATGTAGCTGGTGACTTTAAGTTGAAGCCAATGCTCATTTGCCATCCTGAAAATCCTAGGACCCTTAAAACTTTTACCTACTCTGCCTGTGTTCAATAAATGGAACAGTCTGGATAATATGACATCTGTTTACAACACGGTTCACTGAATATTTTAAGCCCATTGTTGAGACCTGCTTGGAAAAAAAAATTCCTTTCAAAGTATTACTACTCATTGACAATGTACCTGGTCACCCAACAGCTCTGATGATGTACAAATAGATTAATGTTGTTTTCATGCCTCTTAACACAACGTGCATTCTGCAGCCATGGATCAGGGAGTAAATTTGACTTTTGAATCTTACTATATAAGAAATACATTTTGTAAGACCATAGCTGTCATAGGTAGTGATTCCTCTGATGGATCTGGGCAAAGTAAATTGAAACCTTCCAGAAAGGATTTGCCATTCTAGATGCCATTAACAACATTTGTGATTCAGGGGAAGAGGTCTAAATATGAACATTAACAGGAGTTTGAAAGAAATTGATTTCAACTCTCATGGATAATTTTGAGGGGTTCATGACTTCAGTGAAGGAAGTCACAGCAGATGTGGAAATAGCAAGAGAACTAAAATTTAGCAATGGAGTCTGTAGATGTGACTGAATTGCTACAACTTGATGCCAAAACTTGAACAGATGAGGAATTGTTTCTTATGAATGAGCTAAGAAAGTGGTTTCTTGAGTTGGAATCTACTCCTGGTGAAGATGCTGAGACCACTGCTGAAATGACAATAAAGAATTTAGAAAATTATTTAAACATGGTCGATAAAGCAGAGGCAGGGTTTGAGAGGACTGGCTCCAATTTTGAAAAAAGACCTACCATTGGTAAAATGCTATCAAAACAGCATCACATGCTAGAGACATCTTTCATGAAAGGACAAGGCAATAGATGTGATAAACTTCATTGTTGTCTTAAGAAATTGCCATAGCCACCCCAACTTTAGTAACCACTACATGGATCTATCAGCAAACAACATCCAGACAAGATCCTGTGCCGGCAAAAGGAGTATAAACTTCTGAACATTCAGATGATCGTTAACATTTTTTAGCAATAGTGTGTGTGTGTGTGTGTGTGTGTGTGTGTGTGTGTGTGTATGTATATATTTTATATGGGGTCTCGCCATGTTGACCAATTTGGTCTTGAACTTCTGGGCTCAGGTGATCCTCCCACCTTGGCCTCCGAAAGTGCTGGGATTACAGGTGTGAGCCACTGCACACAGCCTATTTTTTATTAAGGCATATATATTGTGTTTTTCGACATAATGCTATTGCACACTTAATAGACTACAGTATGATGTAAACATAACTTTCATATGCACTGGGAAACCAAAAAAAGGTGTGTAACTTGCTTGATTATATCACTTTATCGATATGGTGTGGAACCAAACCTGCAATATATCCAAGGTATGTCTATAATATCAAGGGAAATTTCACGTATGAGATAAATTCCAGAGACATTACAGAGGTAGAATGGATAAAGCTTGAGTACTGATTGGAAGTTAAGTGAATGAAAAAAAGAAATCAAAGATAATGCTAAAGTAGAGTTCAGGTAAGGACTATAAGGATGAAAAGGATTAAAGGTAAAAGATTTTGAATATCTACACTGATTTGTTTATGTTAAGGAAATTTCAAAAGCATAGCCAAAATACATAAGTGATACAAATTTTATTTTTCATGCTGAAATTTTTTTACAAATTTTATTGCGTCATACACAACTACAAGAGTAACAGTTATAACTGAATTAAAAAAATAGCATTTTGGGGGCATTTCTATTTGTTTGCTATTATAAGCATGTTTTGTTACATGAACAGCAATAATAATTACAATTACAGAACTGCTCAATTCATAAATGTAGTAAGTGTGTCATGATGGAGGCTACTACATAATATAAACAGTAAATGCCCAAACATATTTTCATATTCTATATTATTTATTATATAACTAGAATCAAGGATTAGAATCTAGGTAATACCATCATTCAAATATCTGACCAAGTCAATCAAGTGAGCAAGCACGTCAAATCATTTTCCAAAATCTGTTATAGTTTAGTTCTAAAGAAAAATATAAGATGAAACACATAAGGCATGGCTTGTTAATAATTTATGCCTAAAACCATTATATAATAAAAATCTGCATATTTTGCAACTTGGCATTTGTTTCATCTGACACAATAATAAAAAAGATGAATAGTACTATCAGCACTTGGAATTACCCAACTACAGCTGATATAGTACCTCCCAGACTTCTAGTTTCTAAAATTCTGGGTGAAGTGGGACAATTTGAACTATAACAGTCTACATGGTAGTAATATTACCTTTTGGCCACTGGCTCAATACTAATCCTTTTTTGTTTTTTAATATATAAAATATGCTGAAATTGTATCTCTTAAAACACATTTCAATTAATGTAATTAAAAACAGAAGGGTAACAGCTTCCTTTTAGAAGACTTAAGACTTAGTTATGAAAAATCTGCCATATTTGTTAAATTAATCCAACATTTTTAGGGTCAAATATAGATCATACTACATTTTTCAATTTAGAGTCTGTGATAAATACTTGTACAAATAACTATAAACACAACCAAATTACTTTTAAAAATGGAAATTACCATTTTTATCTCTTTAGTAACTTTAATCACTTGATTTTATCCAATTTAAGGACAAACTTCAAAAATCCACTGTGAAATTTGTATTCCGACTAAGCACAAAAATACACAAATGTTAGTTCTAGTCAGAAATTTAAGCTGACAAGTGAAAATCTCACTTTGAAAGTAGATCTGGGACACAGAAGTTAAATTTTTGATCTGAACACATCATAAATATATTGTTGTAATGTAAAAATAATTTTTTAAAAGAAATGTTTAACAGTCTTTTTACTCCACCATCTCAAACATGTAAAATTTTTCCCTAAAATAGTCTAAGATAAACATCTCATCTGAAACCCGATTTTATAAAAAAGAGAGAATAAAACTAATTACTCTTATATGTACTTGAGCCAAGTAGTTGCTGCTTCCAGATGTGAGCTAAAAATCGTGACCTAATGACATTATGGTAAGCAACCTTTTGCTTATAACCCTAGTAACTTGTAATTCAATTCCTATTGCTTATCAAAGACCCATATGTATTTGTAAATTTAAAAATTTACATCTTTTAAAAAGTACCTAACAAACTATTTTCTTAAATAAAATATAATTATTATATAAAGAACTGTTTATTCTAAGAACTTTAAAAGACAAACAAAATGGGGTGCGGGAGAGTTGGGCACATGCCCTCCAAGAAAATATCTAGAATTATATCACAATAATAAGGCTAAGAACCATGAAGGATTTATTAGGCTGAAGTTTCAAGTCTCCTAATATGTTACTTTAATTGTGTTTTTGATGGTCTCCTACCTATTTGAACATTGCGGTGTCCTTTCCAAACTGTAAATCAGACAATCTGAAGTGTGTTATATTTTATTGTCATTTTCTTAGAGAAAATAATTGCTTCACTGGCCTAACAAGGCACAGAAAAACTGTACACAAATAAAATATAGCCATTTAAATGTTCCATACTTAAGATGGTTATTCAGTAATTTCAAACAATTTATGTGGTATCTAATATTTTCATACTATTCTTATTTCAAATCTCAAATAAATTAATCTCTATTATTTATAAATAATTTCCTTAGACAATGGATCAGTCTTATCTTTATTGGAATGATGAAGGGGTACTAAATTTTAACAGAAAATTAAGCTAAAGATTATGTTCCAAAGCATTTTATAAGTGTTCATTCTCCATTTAAAATATTTTAGAAAACAATGCTACCAAAATCTTAGTCCAGCAGTATTAGTTTGTCACTACTAACTATTTGAACTTTCCTCTCATTTTTAATCATACCAATCTGAGTCAGCAGGGATTTCCAATATATATTTTAAATGATAGAACACAGATATGGGAGACAGAGATACTTGATCTTGCTCCAGTTGTACTACTTAGTAAGTACGTGATCTTCAGCCAGTCCCTCAACTTCTTCATGCCTTTCCTTCCTCTTCTAAAAGATAAGGAGCCTATCACTCTCCTTTGTTGGACTCATGGAACTGTGGGAAATCACGTAAGAAAAACATAGGAAAGAACTCTAAAAAGGGCCAATGTGCTATCAACATACAGAGGTTTGTTATAGTACTGGATTTTATTAGAATGACCAGTCTACTAGGGTGTAACTTAAAGTTATTCCAGGAAGTATCAGAAAAATTTCTGTAACATATCTTTACCATGTCCTCTGGATAAGGTCTGAGAGCAGTTTAGAAAAGCGTATTAATACCTATCCTATTCCCATGGAAAAAAGCACACTGGACATTGACCTAAGAAAAGCTAAAAGCCTCATTCACTCTTTCTAGATGTTTTATGGCTATACTTCTGCTTCACCTGAATGTGTGTTTGTAGTTTTATTAATTTACAGCCTGTTTTGTTCCAGGCTTATTCTGACAGTTACTTAACTCTCTCTGAAAGTAGTCACATACCATCTTTATTTCTCTTCTATCTTTTTACTTGTTTCAAATTCTTGTTTTTTTCTGACTCAAACTCCACTAAAAGTAGATATAATAAAAAAAATTAATTCAAAAGATGAAGAAAAAAGATTCAAAATTAAGTGACTAAAAGCAAATGCTTCTACTTTCCATCCTTTTCAGGAGATACTATCATGCACTCTAATAGTATATAAGAAGCACAGATCATCAGAAAAATCTGTTTAATTTACACGATGTAATTTTCCAAGGTTAAAAGACACAAGCAAGAAAACAAGGATTGATTTTTGTATGAGCGTATCTAAAAGATAATTTTGAAGAAATGAATGGTGATAATAAAGTAAATGGGACATGAGGACAGGATGGGAACATAATAGAAAGGATATGATAAAATAACTTTTTTTTTATTTTACACAGTCACTAAATGTGTAAAATTTACACATTTTAGTAAATGTGTAGTTCACTAGCTAAATGTGAAAGCAGACAGGTGACTGGTCACATATGGAGAAGCAGATTTGGAAGCCCTACTACAGATACAGGTGATTTTTGAAGTCACATAATTAAAAATTTTGAGACAAAAGGGGACCTATATCATATATAGACATAGATCATGTCAAATGAGAAAATGAGAATGATATAAAAAATACAAACAGAACCTGTATCAGAGAAGTATGCAGTAGTAGTCAGGAAACGTAGCAGAAGAAAAATGAAAATGATTTTTTTTTTTTTAAATACTAGAAAGGCCATAATGAACTTAAAGGACTGATTTGGGTTTAATAGTAAGGATGGCTTGAGTTAGCAATGAATTAAGGGAAGACTAGTGTTAAAACAAAAAAAAACCAAAAACCACATTCAACGAATTGAAGATACTCAAGAAAACTTGCAGAAAATAATATGAAAATTAAGGGGAAACCTGAGTGTGTTTAAAGGCAGAATTAAATAAAGCTTATGTTTTATGGTTGAGAGAGTCAGACTAATAAACAGGCTGTTTCAGACCTAAGTTAGGCACTTAGGGGTGGGGAAAGGGAAACCTGATTTCTGTCATGAGAAAACAGAACGAAATTAATCTCAACCCAGCTACATTTTTTGGTATCATAACCACTCCTACACTTAGTACATATTTTAAATGTCCCTAGAACTTGGTAAGTGAAAAGACAAAAAAAAAAAAAAATGAAAAATGATACTGAAAATATAAAACAGCAAAGTTGAATAAGTCAATAATCTATATTTGAAAACAATTTTAAATAAAACCAAAAGTAGAAAACTATAAAAAAGTAACTACTAGAGGCATCATATTCCAAGTGATGTGCAAAGTGATTAAATTTCTAAATAGGTTTTATTTTGGCCACCATCATTTAATGACATTCAATTAAGGATTTCTTGAACAATTTCTACCAAAAAAATAATTTCCTCCTCTAAAACATTGATAAAATTGATAACTGGGTACCTAACAGTTGCAAAACATGTCTACACCATTCTTTAGTATGAAAAGCAACATAAAAAAATGGAGCATCAAAATATTTTATTTCAAATTTATTTTATGCCAGATCCAAGCTGTAACTGGAACCTATTCCCAGTCTATGGGTTTCTGAATTTCATTTTCCTATTTATTGTATTTTTATGAGAAACTTGTTGTAATGAGTCTGTACCACTTTATTTGACATTTACTAAAGCTGTATAAAAGCCATGCACAGTTTATTTACAGTATTGTACATTAAATGATAATGTTTGAAGATCACACAAAGATTTCACAAAACTATAACTAATACAGAAAGATGTGTGAAAACATTAGGGGCTTTCAAAATTTTAGGTATGGAATTTTGCAAAGATTATTTTGGCTTATAAGTGTTAGGCAATCACTAACCTGAAATAAGTGACAAAAACATGCAGATGATTACCATTTCAACAAATGAAAAGCTATAAATGTCTAGCTAAAAGCTAAAATATTGTGTAGCTGAAATACTACCATATAACAATGGGAATTTATAAAACAGGAAAAAAGGTTATTCTTTAAAAGTCTTCCATGAGTAATAGACTTTCAGTAATTTTCTATAAAAACATTCAGAAATTAAGTTTCTCAAATTATGTTTATCACCAAAATTATGTTTTCAGTAGTGACTGGAGCTATGACTTTTAAATAATTATTTATTGTACTATAGGGGAAGTATCAGCTTTTCCCTGTAGGGGATAGGCTGGAGAAGGAAATCAACCAGTAAATTTAGATTCAAGTAAAAGATCCTAGTACAAATATATCATTAACACAGAGTGGAGAGTTACAAGAACTGCAGGTCCACATACTTTTAACTGTACTCTTAGAAGTGTAAACTTTAGGTTTGTTCAATTTAAGGTCTCCTATTAGGAAATACCTCTTCATTGAGAGTATAGGAAATATCAATAGATATTTCTTCTTTAAATCCATCTCTTCCAGTTTTTACTGTTGTGGCTGAAGTACATTTAAATATTCAGACTGCCCCAACTGATAAGTTGTGTTTCTTCCACAGTCGACATACTGATACCTCTCCTGGGATATCTGTTCAGAGTGGCCAAAGTATGTTGTTGTCACAGTAACTCTAAAAATAATGTAAGTGAGGAGAGACATTTAATAGTTATATTAGAAGTTTTTCCATAGTGAGACTACTTTAACACATAAAAATTATCTCCCAGAAGAGAATATTTGATTAATGATAACTTAATATTGTGCACACAATCCTCTTAAGGAGTATTTCCCCAACAGACAACAAAAATGGATAGCTGAGTGAGCCCTGTAGACATAATTACACATAATAAGTGTAATATTTTAAAACAATTATCTTCTGTTAAAAATATAAAAGTTCATTATATGCTTAAAAGTGACCATGGTTCTCTTATCATAGAAAAAAAGGTTAATCAAATGTCAGCTAATGGTCAAAACACCAAACCTATAATCAACAATGTTTTATTGGCTTAGATAACACCCAATTTACAAACCAATAATATTCTTATTACTGTTAATGACTATTTGTCAAGGGAGTAAGGAATTGGATGTGGGGCTCAGTTCCCTGTATCCTTTCCATTTTCCTGAACTCTTGTGACATCCAGATTCACTACTTAGCAGTCACGTAGTCTTTCACTACTTCTCTGAACAACCATTTCGTAATTTTTAAAGTGGGTGATATTTACTCATAGCACTCTTGTAAGGCTTAAAACCCAACTGAGGTGGCATTTATAAAGATGTTGTGTATATTATAAGCCAATGTTATAAATCCAAAATGTTAACAAGCAAAATCTCTTTCAAAAAAGATTTGTACTTACTGCATCATGAGTACTATGTTATGCACTTTGATGGATATCAGAGTACAGAAATCACTGTTAAAGAAATTAAAATGTGAACAAATGCAAGTTACTACATTATAAATTAAAAATTCTCCCTCCTATCTTAAAGCTAACAGAGATGCTAAGAAATATAATAAGCATTTGTTGGTTGAGAATTTTCTATACTTCAAACAATGACTGATATATTCATGACTTCTTACTCGAAAAACATGTATGTATTCATGCCACTGCAGTTGCAGGGTTGTTTAAATGCAGGCTATAAATTACTTATATATTTTGCTCATCTTCTGAAATTTTGATAACTAGGTTGTTATTTACCCTAAAAGTCTGTATCTACGCTTATTCAAAAGATGATGAAAATTTATAATTATTTTAACATAGTAACAAGTTTAACACAGTAACATAGTAATGAAAAATAAAGTGACATGGTATAACCCTAATTCTGAAAAATAAATAAAAAAACAAATTTTATGTGTATATATACATGAATATTATATATGTTGAAAAAGAGGAACAGAGAGGACCAGAAGCCAGAATACTACATAATGTACTCTTTTTGACTGATAACGGAAATTAAAAAATATGTATACTCTTTATACTTTATTTTATACACTTCATTATTTGACAATAAAAAGTTATTATAAATCAGAACTTACTACATATAACTCATTTCCTCTGCTATAACGGTAGGTACTGTGTAATCAATCTGAAAGGCAAAAGGAGAAATTCGATAGAGAACAAGATCAAAACATCAAACATTTCAGATATACTTCATAACTTCAAATAATTAGAAATTTTTCTCCTTTTACAAGCTTGATTCTCAAAGATTTCATCTTGTATGTGTATAAGACACATTTCTTTTTCTTTTTTTTCTTTTTTGAGACAGGATCTCACTGTGTCACCCAGTTTGGAGTACGGCGGTGTGATCACGGCTCGCGAGCCTCGACCTACTGGGCTCCAGTGATCCTCCCACCTCAGCCTCCCCAGTAGGTGGGAAGAGAGGTGCACACTACCACACTCAGCACATTTTTGTATTTTTTTGTAGAGATGAGGTTTCACCATGTTGCCCAGGCTGGTCTCGAATTCCTGGGCTCAAGCAGTCCACTGAGCTCAGCCTCCCAAGGTGCGGGGATCACAGGCATGAGCCACTGTACCCAGCAGAGACACATTTCTAAATCAAGTTTTTGAGGAAATCCCCCACCTCCTTCAAGTTATATGATATACAAAGCTGACATTCATTTAACTCTTACAAAGTATTTCATGATTGATTCTTACTTGTTTCATATCAAGTGGACCAATAATGGTTATGTTGTTTAAGCGTGCCTTTCCAATAACTGTTTTTGAAAATTGAACTTGGGCAGTGATGTTTTCAACTTCGACAGAGTAATAGTTATTGTTTGTTATATTTAGTGTGTTCTACAAAAAAAGGACACAGAAAATTTACAAGTTAGCTAAAAATATACAAATATGTATTTAAAATTAAAGTAACTTCAGCTGTAGCTATGCTTCATTTATTAAGAAAAAGAAAGTAATACCAAAATGTCAAAGAAAATTAAACCAATTATTTGGTTTTATGCACGAGTACTATGTATGTAATATGCCAAGAATAAAAACATAATTCAGTATTTAAAAAAAACAAAATGTATAGCTTCAGAATATGGACATTAGTAAGCTGTTTCCTATTCTATTAAATACAAAGATGACCATTTAAAATGTTCAACAGTACCTAAAATAATCTTTTTTGTTTAAAAGAAATTGCTATTTCAACTTGTACACTAGTAGAGATTTACAACAGCTCACTATGAAGAAGAAATGGGCTAGATTCAAGTCTGGTTGGTTGGGGAGAAATGTGGTTGCATCATTCACATGCTTAAGTAACAACTAATAGCTGGGATCACCTTCTACATTTCTAATTTACAACTGTTGTCTCAAATTACTGTAGAAAACAGTCATTAAAAAATTTAAAAATGTTAAATAAAAAATAACAGATATATAAAAGATCTGTAACAGTCATACCAAAAGGTAACATAAACAAAATCCATAGACACTAAATGATAAATAAAAGAAATATTTGTAAGCATCGGTTATAATCTATAACATGCAAAGAGCCCTTACAAATTGAAAAGAAAAAGACAAAACTCTAACAGGAAATGAAAAAAGAACAAAGGACATACATAAACAAATCAAAAAGGTACAAAGCTAAATGGCCAAAAATATTTTACAATGCTCAAATTCATTTATAGTTAGGAAAACGTTTATTTAAGTAAAAATGGAATATTGCTTTAAATTCCTCAAACTAGTACAATTTATAGAAAGCACCAAATTCTATTCCTGGCACAGATATGGGAAAAGGGTATATTTTCATACTGCTAGCAAATATGTGAAGTGTTACAGCCATTTCATCAGTAATTTAGTTATATACATTAAAATTAGAATTATGTATAGACTTTGATCGGGCAATCCTACTTCTGAGCACCGATTCCACAGAAATAAAAACATTAGGATGCTAATGACAGTGTTATTTGGAATGGGAAAAAAAATCCTGACAATAAAATGAATTCTATTCATAAAAAGAAAGAATAAATTATATTAAGTCCTTATATGGAATATTATGAAGCCATCAAAAAGAATCAATTAAGTCAGATAATTAGGAAAGATTTTTACAAGGTATTAACAAATGTGAAAACCAAGATGCACATAAATAAGTACTAAATAATATTTTTTAAAAATACTGATTTTTATAAAGCTGAATATGTGAGTATACATAAATGTTAATAGGAATATGTAGAAAGATATGAAAAGATGCAATATGGGATGAGTTGAAGGAGAGAAAATAGTTTTAGTAAAAAAAAGGATGAAAGAATATGCTAGAGTCAGCAATTATATGATTACATTTATGGAGTCATTTACATTGGTATAGTCACAAATGTAAAGAAATTTCAAAAATGTTCTCAAACACAGTAAAAATAATCTTTAAATATATAAACATTTTATCTATTTGGCTCTTAATGTTCATGTCAATTTCATTTCTAGACATGATAGGAAAGAGATAGTTAATTTGAGGTCAATGGATCTTCTGATAAGACCAAGGATTGAAATTTAGAAGAATCTTGGAAGTCTTTGTATATGCAAAATTATGCTGGTACATGTCTTTTTCTGTACTGTCCACAGTTTCATTAGAATATTTAAGGGATCAATGATGTAATACAGGTTGAGAATACAAATCCTTATGAGAATTAAGACAAAGAAAAAATAAGACAGAATAAATAAAAATTTAGTAATAAAGGTTAGACATTTGTTGCTCAGAGTAGTGAGAATCCATTTAATTTAAAAGATGAAAAGAGATCACCATAATTGTTAACAAAGACCCTAAACTACCTATGATCTTTAATTGGCAAATGTACTTTCAGGAATTTATCCTAAAGAAATAACCTGAAATGGAAACAAAGTTTAAGCACAAAGATGTTTTCCTAATATTTGTAATAGTAAAATTAAACATTCATTAAGAAAATGGTTGAATTAATTATAATATGATCATGTAAAAGACTACACAAGACCATTTAACATGGGAAAATGTACTGTGACCTCAGTTGAAATGTGCATTTGTATATATGTGAATGAATGTGTGTATCCTTTACACATGAGAATGATTACATTTGTAAATGTATATGCATTGTTCGTAAATATATGTATATGGTAATAGTTCGACCTAGGTAGCAGAAGTAAAAATCTTTATACATTATAGTTCTCAAATGTCTTATAATGACAAATATTTTCATAAGTAGAAAGACAAATGTTACTAAAAAGTAGTACTACTAATATATACTAATCATTTTAAGAAAGCAAAGCAGTTCCATTTTCAACATACTTATAGATAATGTACAGAAAATTCAGCCTCTTATCTCATTGTCATCTAGTTAATGTTCATCCAAATAATCTTATTTTTCATTTAATGTTCAGTCTGTCTCAGTTTAAGTGGCAGTATTCCAAAATGTGAGAATTTCTGCATAATTACTTAAAATAGAGTATGATATTCACATTTAAATATACTTGCTGGTACTTAAAAGAAAACATCACAGGGTTTTTTATTATTTATTAGTACATATTTATGTTATTTGACATGAAAAAAGTCTTTGGAGGTAGGCCAAAAAAAGTCTGGCCAATGTTTTAAACAGTGTATAAAAAAGAAAATATGTTCCTTGTTCCAAAGGGCTAAGTGAGAAAATACCCAACAATTCCCCAGTTGCATAAAACAATTTACAATTAGCATTGTGTTACAAACGTTTTATTCACATATACGTATATTTTCCTATATTGTTGTTTTTAAAGAAAAAGCCCTTAAACCGGCAACTTTTGACAGAAAGCAATAAGAATAAATGGATCCACGGGATCCATTTTTTCTCTGTAATTAAGTAGTGATTCCACTTTAACATACCATTCCATTTCACTCACTGTCCTGACAAACCTCCCTCTTTCCAACCACCACCACAGACATCTCTACCTCAACCTTAACCACACCATTAACCTCTGCAAGAAAAAACAACTATCACTCTTCCTGGCAGATCACTGTCACTCACATATATCTCATGGCTGGCCAATAAATATTATCCCTTTTCCTAATTCAATAGTTAGCAAACCGTGCTCTTTTCAAACAAACGTTAACATGTAAAACAGGTAGAAAACCTCTCTAAGGTTTTTGTTTGTTTTGTTTTCATGAGTGGCAAGGCTACACGGTCCTTTCAAAAACAATGTCCTAAGAAACACACATTGTTTGCAAAAAGAACAAAGCTGGAGGCATCACTTCAAACTATACTACAAGGCTACAGTAACCAAAACAGCATGGTACTGGTACCAAAACAGAGATACAGACCAATGGAACAGAACACAGCCCTCAGAAATAATACCACACATCTACAACCATCTGATCTTTGACAAACCTGACAAAAACAAGAATGGGGAAAGGATTCCCTATTTAATAAATGGTCCTGGGAAAACTGGCTTGTCATAAGTAGAAAGCTGAAACTGGATCCCTTCCTTACACCTTGTACAAAAATTAACTCAAGATGGAGTAAAGACTTAAATGTTAGACCTAATATTTAAAAAACCTAAAACCATAAAAACCCTAGAAGAAAACCTAGGCAATACCATTCAGGATGTAGGCATGGGCAAGGACTTCATGACTAAAACACCAAAAGCAATGGCAACAAAAGCCAAAATTGACAAATGTGATCTAATTAAAGTAAAAAGCTTCTGCATAGCAAAAGAAACTATCATCAGAGGGAACAGGCAACCTAAAGAATGGGAGAAAATTTTTGCTATCTACCCATCTGACAAATGGCTAATATCCAGGATCTACAAAGAACTTAAAAAAATCAAACAACCCCATCAAAAAGTGGGCGAAGGATATGAACGGACACTTCTCAAAAGAAGACATTTATGCAGCCAACAGACACATGAAAAAATGCTCATCATCACTGGCCATCAGAAAAATGCAAATCAAAACCACAATGAGATATCATCTCACACCAATTAGAATGGCGATTATTAAAAAGTTCAGGAAACAACAGATGGTAGAGAGGATGTGGAGAAATAGGAACACTTTTACACTGTTGGAGGGACTGTAAACTAGTTCAACCATTGTGGAAGACAGTGTGGTGATTCTTCAAGGATCTAGAACTAGAAATACCATTTGACCCAGCAATCCCATTACTGGGTATATACCCAAAGGATTATAAATCATGCTGCTATAAAGACACATTAACACGTTATGTTTATTGCAGCACTATTCACAATAGTAAAGACTTGGAAACAACCGAAATGTCCATCAATTATAGACTGGATTAAGAAAACGTGGCACATATACACCATGGAATACTATACAGCCATAAAAAAGGATGAGTTCATGTCCTTTGTAGGGACGTGGATGAAGCTGGAAACCATCATTCTAAGCAAACTATCACAAGGACAGAAAACCAAACACCACGTGTTCTCACTCATAGGTGGGAATTGAACAATGAGAATACTTGGATACAGGGAGGGGAACATCACACACCGAGGCCTGTCGTGAGGTGGAGGGATGGGGGAGGGATAGCATTAGGAGAAATACCTAAAGTAAATGATGAGTTAATGGGTGCAGCACACCAACATGGCACCTGTATACATATGTAACAAACCTGCATGCTGTGCACATGTACCCTAGAACTTAATAATTAAAAAAAAAAAAACACGGCATTTTCACATATGCTAATTTACAAAAGAGAAACCAGTCACCTGTATTTCATCTTTAAAGCTGATAAAGGAATGGTCTATTAAACGTGGCAAAAACTGTATTTCCCAAATACAATGAAATCAAAATGTTACATTTATAAAATCTATCAAATCAACTATGTCAACACTTTGCTAGAAGTTATTCAGAGTCATATGCTGAAAAGTAAATTGTAATACCTTTTTTCTTTTTTTAGTTTATTTTACCCTCCTAAAGACATTTTCAAATGCTAAATCATTCTGTATATACAGAATTGCCAGTATTTATTATTGCTATTTTTAGCAGAACCAGAAATGGTAGAGAACGTCAATACAGAAAAGACATACAGAAAGCACACTGACCAGTGTCACATTTAACAAACATCTCTTCTCAATGGGGACAAAGGTGCTGCTTAATAGGATAAAAGAATGAAGTTAAACATTTTTCATATAAATTTATACTCACTGTGATATTTAAATAAATTGTACGCTTCTGAACATCATAACTGACATAGGCTGATTTTACACCAATGTATTTCACGTCGATAGAGCGAGGGAAAAGGAAAAACACAGCCAATCCAGAAAGGAGTAGACAGACAAACACAGAAGCCATCACATACAGCTTTCTGAAAAGGAAAAGAGGGTATTTAAGTACATGTGCATCAGAAATTATATAACACAACATTAGAGAAGGTATGTTCAATTTCCCCCATATATCAGCAGCAACATATATAAGATGCTAAATGTTACCAAATTTTCACATCTGAAAGTATTGGGTATGGTTGAGTCTGAGTCTATTAAGTGTTAAGATGTTCTCTTTAAAAGATGAAATCGGCGGGATGCGGTGGCTCACGCCTGTAATCCCAGCACTTTGAGAGGCTGAGGCGGGCGTATCAAGAGGTCAGGAGTTCGAGACCAGCCTGACCAACACAGTGAAAAACCATCTCTACTAAAAACACAAAAATTAGCCAGGTGTGGTGGTGTGCGCCTGTAATCCCAGCTACTCAGGAGGCTGAGGCAGGAGAATAGTTTGAACCCGGGAGGCAGAGGTTGGAGTGAACTGAGATCGCACCACCGCACTCCTGCCTGGACGAGAGAGCGAGACTCTGTACCAAAAAAAAAAAAAAAAGGAATCACATTTTTGGACACTGAAATTTTGGGCTTAAAAACAATAGAACATTTACTTTTTTGACTGCCAGAGCAGTTTTCACATTAGATTCAAGCTGAGGAGCTTCATACAAACGCACATTTCAAAACTCCCTCTGAATTCACTGAAGCAGAATTTTCACATGTTAAGTTTTGCCATTACATGATCCCCTAAAGTGACTGCTCATCAGAACCATCTTAGAAATAATAATGATGGGGAAGGGAGAGCATTAGGAAAAATAGCTAATCATGCTGAGCTTAATACCTAGGGGATGGGTTGATGGGTACAATAAACCACCATGGCACACATTTACCTATGTAACAAACCTGCACATCCTCCATATTTTTAAAATTAAAAAAAAATGACACAACCACATGGCTCATCAATGATTCTTACTATAATTAGTCTTTTTTTGAGTATTCTCATCTCAAAGTACTTACATACTCAGTTTTTAAGATTTTTTTTACATTGATCAACTCTGCTTTGAAGGTGTTGTTACATTTCTTTTTCTAATCAAGAAAAGATATTTCATGCAGGTATAAGACAAGGAAAAATTTGTAGGTAAAAACTTCCTCTTTTCAAGGTTAACCTCAAAACCAGAGTTCAAATAACTATTTCCTGTTCTCTCTAACATACAAGTCCTCTATTGGATGCCCACAACATCCTTTTTTTGTTTTTGAGTCTTGCATGACAATTACTTATTTTCCTTACAATCTACTTATACAAAAATTTTCCATTTTATTGTTTCTTCCACTCTCCGCCACCATTTCCTTTCTAAATGCTCTGATGGATTTAATCTTTGTATGTATTACAAGAGCAATTAAAGTGCCTCCTGCAGATATTTTATAAATATTTCTTAGTGTTTTAAGTTGCCCAAGTTAAGAACAGAGCAAACTGGTTTATTAAAAAACAAAATAATACAAGCAAACACAAATTTGCTAAGTCACTGCTACTAAGTCCATGCTGTTGTCTTGAGCAATCAAAACAGTTCCCACTCACTCATTTTGGACTCTCTCAACCTGAGTAGGGGTAGTGATCCCCACTGGATTACCTAATAGGAAATTTAAACACGTTTATAGTATCTATAACACACCAAAATACATAAAAAGGCATAAGAAGTGTTTAACATCATCATAATAAAATCTGAACTTTGTTGGATTTTCTACACTTCAGCGTTTTATTTTTAATTACTTATGGGCGGGTGAATCCATCATAATCTAGTCCTTAGGGCTTATAAGTCAGTCCTAGTTGTGAATAAATGAATCATGTTCTAAATTACTCTGTATACCACGTTTGTAGCCATAACGAACATTACTGAACCTGGTGGGACAATAAAACAACATTCCATCTAGTATTTCATTCCAAATTGAAAAGTTGGCTAGTTTACTGACAAAATATATGTCTCCATTACAAAATTAACTAGTAATGATTTTTCTTATGGCTCTAGTGATAGCAACCAAATCCTGGGAGTTATAAGGTGCTAATGAAGTTATGAAAGTTGTGTGGTATATCTGCAATCAAGTTAGAATTCCATTTTTGCCATTTCCTACCTGCAGTATTTAATGCAATTTACTTTTCTTCCTCTTTAAAATCCATGTTTGAGGATTAAATGACATAGCTAAAGTATACAGACAAAAGCAATTGATAAATATAATTTTCTAATAATCTTACAAATCACTCAATTTGTAAAGAAATAAAGACCCAAAGTTGTTCCCAAAATATTATAATTTTATTACAAATTGAGAAACAACAACTGTTCTTGGCCTTGTGTGAGCTCTGAGGACTATTCTCTCTGCTCCTATTGGGTGGTCTTTCCTCAGCCTCAGGTATGTTCCTCACACATATATGTTGATCAGGACACAGCTGCAGGCTTAAGAGCACCCTCTCCAGCTCTCTACCTTCTGGTACTCTGCCCTGCTAACTCTAGTCATTTTGGCTTTCTGGACACCCAGTTCCATCTCCATTGAGGAAGACCACTGAGCTCTGCCTGGGTTGGTTCCTTCCTTGTGCTGCAGGCTGGAACCTTTCTCAGACAGTAAGCTGGTACAATCACAGGGCTTGCTGGTGCAATCATAGGGCTTATCTCCTTTGTTTTTGCTTTCTCAGGAATCACTGCCCTGTGCTGGCTGATGTCCAATGTCTGAAAATATTGTTTACTATATTTGTCCAGTTTTACAGTGATTTCAGGTGGGGTATTTCAGGCATTATTCTATTTGGGTCAAAAGTGGAAAATTCAATTTCTTTGATTTTGTATCTCTTTGGTCTTATTGCTAAAACTCTTGCTCCCTAAGGCATTTACATAATAACTTATTTAAGTATAAAATTTCCAAACTACATCAAAGGTACTCCTAATAATGCAACTATTAAGTACAGTTTAAAATTTGTTGTGATTCTCTTTGCCATTTGGAACACAACTCCCGACATTTATAGTCACAGCACAATGTTTTCAAGTCACTTAAAATAATTATTTCAGTTTTGTTAGTGTCACCAACTTCATATACAGTTAGAATAATGTTTCCTTTTGTCTCAATTTTTGGCAGTTACTTTTGATTTCATCTTTTAAGTTATGTAAAAAAAATGTACACAGATACAGACACACACACACACACACACACACTTTACTTGCTTATCCACTCCCTCTTCCAAATTCCTTCCCAAACTCAGAGGTGAACCAATTGTATTAGATTTGGTTTATCATCCCATTGTTTGTCTCTTTGTGTGTATATGTGTGGGTTTGAGTGTGTGGTGTTTTCAAAGAAAAACATATTGTCAATATCACACTGTGGTAAAATATAGTTCTCCTTCCATTTTACCATTGTGTACACATAGTATCTTATTCCATCAGTCCTCTATTATTGGTATTTACATTGTTTCCAGTTGTTTGCTTCTGCAAACATTGGCACAATAAATAATTTGCGCAAATACCATTTACTATATTTGACAACTATCCTGAGAATAAATTTTTCAAAGTAGGATTTCTGAGCCAAAAAGTAAATGCAGATGTAATTTGGCAAATAATGCCAAATTTTCATTCACTAGCAAGGAATGAATATACTTGTTTTCAGTCACTACTGCCAACAAAGTATGTTGTCAACATTTTGGATTTTTGCCACTGTGATAGAAATGGCATCTAAGTGTAGCTTTAATTTGCATTTCTATTATGAGCAAGATTGGACATCTTTTCAAATGTTTAAAGGTCATTTGCATTTCTTTTTTGTGAACTAGCTGTTCATAGCTTCTATTTTGCTTTGGAGGTTGGCCTTTTTCTTCTCAAATTCTGAAGCTCTTTATAGAGTAAGGATATTGGCCCTCTGTCTGTGATATGATTTGTAAACTTTACTACTTAGTTTGCTATTTGTATTTTGACTTCAGTTAAGGTTTTGTCTTCATCCTGTAAAAGTTCATCTGTCAAATTTATCTTTTCTGCATTCAAAATCATAGTTTAAAAAGTTCTCCCACTTTTAGGTTATAAAGGGATTAATCCTAATTTCCTTCATATTCATATCTGTCTATACATTTTGTAATAAAAGGTCAGACTGTTTATAAAATCCTTGGTTTGTTTTATTTTCCTGATTTAAATATGTCACACCATTGCTTATCCGTTTGAGGCACTGTAGTCAAGAAGCAGCATGTCAATCTGATTTTCTAACATTTATAAATTAATTGATCCTTTTGCCTAGGTATTTAGGAGTTTTGTTGTTTTCTTAAAGTTCAAGAATTTCACTAACCTGGGTTGATTTTTTTCAGGATTGTGGTGTCTTTTCAATATGCAGGTCCCTGTGTTCTTGATTTAATGTTTTGCATTTGTCCAGTTCTATTCCTTTGGTTTTCTTCTTCAGATGCTCCAATTACATACATGTTTAGTTTTCTTTATGTGACTTTTAGACATTTTCTCTCAAATCCTTTACACAATTTGTTGTTGATGTTTTCATTCCTCCCGTTTATGTTCTATTTCCCTGACTGTATTTCCAATGTATTTGTACTTGTGTTCTTCCAGTTTTGTGGAAATGTTTTTCTTCTAATTCTTTCCAGAGGTCTGTAAATTCTCTTTGCACATACTCCCATTGTTTAGTTATCTCATTTCTGAGCTTCTCAATTTCTGCCTTATGCTGTCCTGTTATAGCTTTTATAGTATTAAGTTAAAGTGTTCATCTGCTCTTTTCACATGCCTTTATTAAAGTGTCAGTATTTTGCTTAGCTTACTTTCTTCAACTTCTTAAAAAGTATATTTGTATAATGCTTTGTTGCAATCCTTTCCAGGTGCTCATGTTTAAATGAAAAGAGCTTTTGTACTTTCAAGAAAAGGTTTCATTTGCGGTGATGGAATATGCCAGCGTTGCTTTGCTAGCTTCACTGTTCAAGGGCTCCATCCTCTGTTGATATACAAAGTATTTGAAAATATGGCCTCCATGTATATTTATCTCCACAGTTTTGAGATGATCTCCCTAATATGTCAATCTGTTCTCTCCTTCCTTCCTAACTCCTGTCCTGTAAACATTGGATTCTACTCAACTTTTTTCTTGAGGATATGTATTTGTATCCTTTTGCAATAATTTTTGCTTCCACATTTCCTAACGTCTCTGAGGATTTAGGATGGTCCAGTTCCTTCTGATCTCGAAGATACTTAGCAGGTCTCTTGTGGTCTTTTTGCACTTTCTCCAAGCTAGAGCATGCAAATCTTGTCATTTTTACAGATTATTCTTGGAAATATTTGCTGGGTGTCCTCTTCTTTTGGGACAAAGTATTTGCTTTGTGTATCAGGGCTCATATGATCCTTAGTAACTCTTTTTGCTTTCCTTCACAACCTCCACACAGCTGCTAAGGCCGTTGGGGTCCCTGCTGTCACCATGTTTAAATACCAATTTTTATCCTGGGGTTGTGGAGTACACCTTATTATCCAATTTTTAATGAAAATTTTATGTGTGTGTGTGTTTGTACTGCTATTCTAGATCTATTTCCATAGATTTGAGAAGATAAAGATACCATACTGCTTTCAAGACCTTACCCCAACCAGAAAATCCTTTCTTGTCTGTTTAAGGATACAAAGCATATGATGACATAATTTAACTACGTGACAGCATTTTTTCTTTTAATAGTTTTAACTAGTTATTATACATAATTTGAAAAAATACAAAAAACAAAAATAAAACATAAAACACTGCCATATTCTTAGAATCACTTACGTTCTTCTTGGCCTTAATCTCTGATCACTATATGGAATCAATGCCACCAGTTGGTTTTCTTGCCCTAAATGTGAAAGAAGTAAGTTCAGAAATTACTATGATTAGTTAAAAATATAATGGCTCCCCATCACAATCTGGTTTGGAAAGACCAGAATATCATCTGGCACTCATCTCTTTCCTTTAGTAAATTGCTAAGTCTTCAGAAAGTATCCAGCAGAAGTTCTAGAGAAGACAGCGTGTTTTTTCACACGTAAATGTCTAGCTAAAAAAAAAAAAAAAAAAGTATAACAAATGAGGGCTTACTTTTTCTTCCACTAAAAAAAATCTAAGTCCTAGCTTTCAGAAGAGCTAAATTTACCAGGCCTTCCTTCAGCTTCACTGGTGTCCATTAAGACTCTGATTTGGTTGTCTGGATGATAAAAGAAGAAACATATTGGTATCGCCCTTTCCTGAAACCTCTATCATCTCTATCACTGCAGAGCTTCTGACATTGTCCCCCTTGAAAACCAAAACCGGCCTCTGAAGTAGAAGTCTCAAGCTTTAAGAGCCCCCTACATAATGAGCCTTCCAGGGCCCTTTCAGGTCTCACCCCAATCCATGTTAAAGTCACTTCAAAATCCGTGATTTCTTTCTTGGGTTGAGCTATATCCATAAGTTTAAAGGATAAATGGACCTTTAAATGCCAATTTTATAATCTTATTAGAAGTTGGCTTATCATATTAACTATTAAGGTATCAGATAGTCAAGTTCTCTTTAAAAGCTTTCTAAAATGCTTCTGTTATTTCCCCCGACACATCTATACTCTTCCTCTCATCTGTGCTCCCCCATCACACCCATATATAATTATACAAATACATATAACATGGATATCTGTATCTTTGTGTGTTTACATATCTCACCTTGTTTAGTGGTATTCATCTGGCTAAAACTACAACCCTGGTTAAAACCAACCCTCTGGCTCCTATGCATATATCAACAGAGCTAAACATGGACACAGAAAAACACACAACTACACTCACTGGTTTCATTTTTGATCACTCATGTCAAGTAGCACTTAATGATGTCAACAATCATACTACATTTCCCAAGTTCATACTCTCAAGCTGACTCTCCAAGACCACAATTTTATAACTTCAACTCTCTTCAAATCTTTAATATCTTCTTCGCTATCCTCATTCTTAGTTCATTATGTGATAAATGGAAGATAATTTCTACAAGCTTCTATTATCAGATCTATCCACCTACCTGCTTCTGTGTCCATACTTTACCTTCTCTTTTATTACCAAGAATAAACCACCTGTGCTTATAACTTACCTTTTATAGAAAAAAAGAGCAGCTCTTTGTTCTTGTGCAGTAGATCTGCCCTTCTGTCTATTCAAGAACATTGCTCCAATAATTCTCTTATCTCCCGAATTACCAATGTTTTCTCTACAGATAATTCTCATCAGTATACAACTGTCTATTATTCACTCTATCTTACAAAGAAAAAAAAAAATCCCTCTCCTGACCTCACAGCCCCTTCTAATGACTACCTCTCTTCTCTCTGCTATGGAGCCAAACCCCTCAGAAAATCTATTTTCTCTCTATGTAACATCTCCTATGCACTCTTGAGCCCACTCTATACATGCTACACGTCTTTACCAAAACCGCTCTTTTAAACTCTTCTGTGGCCTCCATATAACCAAATCCAATGGCCAGTTCTCAGTCTTCACACTACCCAATCTATCAGTAGCATATGACAGTTGGTCACTCTTTCCTCCTTGGTACACTTTCTTCACTTATCTTCCATGATACCACACACAATGATTTCCTCCTCTCATTCTAACTTTTCTTTCTCAGGGTCCTTTGTTAATTCTTTCACTGACCTTGATATGCTACAGTGTCTCAGGATTCGCTAGGGTCTCATTTTTGCCATCTGCACTGACTAGCTTGCTGCTGTCATCCAGCTGAGCTTTAAGTGTCATCTATACATTGGTAACTTGAGGCTGGGCGCTGCAATTGAATTCCTGACCCTTATGATAACTAACTGCCTAATGAACATATCCACTTCCACGTCAAATAGGCATCTCCAAATATCCATGTCTAAACTTGAGCTCCTGAACTCTCCTGTGACATATACACTCAAATAATCTTTTTTTTTTCAATTTTAATAAATTGCTACTACATTCTTTCAGTTGCTCAAACAAACCCCCCCAAAAAAACTCTGGAGTCATCCTTGATTTCCTACTTTCCATAATCTGTATCCAGGCGGCCAAAAAAGTTTACTGGTCATACCTCAAAAATGTAACCAGACTGCTAAAACAGTACTCCCCTACCCCCTGAGCCTGGTGCATTAATCCCTTCAACTACAATAATTATTTTATTCTTAAATAGCTACTATCCTTGTGAAAATAAAACCATCATACTCAAAGGCCAACGCAAATGTAAACTTCAATTCAAACCCACAGCATTTTAAGATACATTTTAAGCATCTTAAAAAGGTACACAAAGTATACTTTATACTTTGACCTTCTTCCCTCTGGGTATCTCCAGGGTCACACATCAACTTTCACCAAGAAGATAATGAGAACAGCATAAAGTATCTTTATTATTTCTACTTATTGCCACTGTTCCTAAAGTAGCTTACAAGCAGCACACAGGGGATTATTTCCTTCTGACGTCCCCTATGATATATCACAAACAATTTTTTTTTTTCAATTTGGCTCATTTTCACGTACCATCCCTCTTCACAGAGTTTCTTTAACTCATTAGGGCACAGCCAGCTTATTCTTCTTCTTTAGATAATGAATTAAAAATATTAGGTTGGCCAGGCGTGGTGGCTCACAGCTGTAATTCTAACACTTTGGGAGGCCAAGGCTGGATGATCGCTTGAGCCCAAGAATTCGACATCATCCTGGGAAACATGGGGAAACTCCATCCTTATTATTAAAAAAATAAAATTTTAAAAATAACATGAAAGAATAAGCTTCCTTACACATTAACTCTGGCTGGGCATGGTGGCTTACTGCTATAATCCTAGCACTCTGGGAAGCCGAGGTGGGAGGATTGCTTGAGGACAGGAGTTCAAGACCAGCCTGGCCAACAATTGCGAGATCTCATCTCTTAAAAAAAAAAAAAAAATAGGTCAACAAATTACTTAAATTGCTTCTAACATCTGATATAGCAAAGTAGCAAGTAACTATGATGTCATCTCTACAGATGCCAAATAGGACTAAAAGTTTTCATTTACAAGACAGTGAATATCTGCTATAATAGCAGGTGGGAATGAAAAAATACTGGAGGTAGTGAGGTGGTTTTCTTTACTGCTTTAGGAACCTTAATTAATACTTTATTTGTTTCTTTTGCATCTTTTTGACTGAAGGTAACTGATATGATGTTTCAACTTTAATTCTAAGAGTCCTCTAAAACAGGTGGTTCCTGAGACCCACAGTTTTTATAATACTTGAGCAAATACCTAAAATCATTTAAAGGGAAAACAATACAATAACACATACCCCTAGGAATTCTTCCTGTTCCCTGACAAGTAGGGCAGGTGACACTATCTCTTCCTGTAAATTCCACATATGGAAACTGAGAGACATCTCCATTTCTTCCATCTTCATTATGGACTTCACTATTAACCAGTCCATTCCTCATGTTTTCAGATGTGACTCCATCATAAGCATCTTCTTTGCTTGAATGCAAAGGCAAATGAGAAAGAGACTTTCCCATGTCTAAAGAAAAATAAAAATCTTACAGTAAACTTCAGGGAAAAAAGTACATTCAAGAACACTCTGAGATATTTACACTAATTAATTTAGAACAGTCAAGGAACAGTCAAACTCTGTAAAATATTTGAAGGGATTTATTCGGAGCCAAAAATGAGTGAACAAGGCCTGAGGCACAGTCTCAACAGGTCCTGAGAAAATGTCCTCAAGGTAGTTGGGTTACAGCTTGATTATACATTTTGGAGACAGAAATTACAGGCAGAGGCATAAATCAATAGATGTAAGGTATACATTAATTCAGCCCAGAAAAGCAGGACATTTTGAAGCAGGGGTGGAAGGCTGGGGGGTGTCCAGGTCATAGGTGCATAGGTGGATTTAAAGATTTCCTAATGGCAATTGGTTGAAACGGTTAAACTCTACCTGAGGAGTTGAAGTCAGCAGAAAGAAATGTTTGTAGTTAAGACAAGGGAGGAGGATGTGGAAGCCAAGGTTCTGATTATCTAGATGATGCCTCCAGGTAGCAGGCTTCAGAGAGAATAGTTTGTAAATGTCTCTTATTACTCCTTAAAATATTCCAGGCTCTTGGTTAAATCGCTGCTGAATTAGGAAAAGATCTGGAAAGGAAAGGGGATTCTGTACAGAATGTGGATCTTCCCCACGAGAGACAGCTTTGCAAGGCCATTTCAAAGAAATATATTTTGGGGTAAGATATTTCAATTTCTCTCAGGGCCTGCTATCTGTCGAGTGATTCTATATTAGAGTCAGGTTGGGATTTGATATCTTATTGCTACAAAGAGACTCTTGTTAGTCTTCAAATCTCTGTTTTAATTGATGCTGGTCAGTTGTGCCTGAATTCCAAAGAGAGGAAGGTACAACGGGGCATGTTCAATCCCCTCCACCCACCTTTTCATCATGGCCTGAACTACCTTTTTAGGTTTACTTTGGAATGCCCTTGACAGAGAAGCGGGTTCCACTTAGTTGGGGGGCTCAGAATTTTATTTTTGGTTTACAGAACAAACATTAAGAGAATGTTCAAACTACCTTTTGGATTATACCTTTTGGATTAGGATTATATCCAATCAAAATAATGTCTGAAACAAAGGAGCCATTTACTAGAGTCCAGAAGTGTTTTTTTAAACAAATAATGTGAAATGATGTCCTATCATGCTTATGATGAGAATGGGCTTTCAAACATTAACATTTGACAAAAGTCTACACCTGCAGGTTCTCTGAAAAGAAACATGCAGGTTTCATTTTTCTTAAAATAAAATAAAAATACATTCTACCTTTTAACTAGTTAGCACTAAAGGCAAAAATTGCTTTGGGTAGACGATAACTAGGTATTTGATGTATATCACCAAGTAACTTCAAAGTAGTACGTTTCAGCCTCTGAAAATTCACGCACCTTTGTGATAAATACAATCACCACTCTTTTCCATCCTTAAATTTCTTGCTTTAAACATTTAAACACTCGCAACAACAATAAAAAGCCCCAAAATTCCAAAATCACAGTTTTTTTTTCATTCAACAGTTGACAGTTAAAATTATGAAGCCAATGTTCCAAAATATTAAATATAAGTTACCAATACAAAGCAGCAAAATTTAGAACACTAACTTCAAAAATTTTAGGATAAGAGTATCAAAATAACAATACAAATGTAAAAATCTAAGTAGAAATAAATAATTAGTACTAGTGCCTACACAAAAATAACTTCTGCAGGTAGATAATGAAGTAACTTTATACTTAAGGTCATACCCTTTTAAAGCTGAAAAGAACTTAACAGTCATATAATACACCCTGCTGGTATTTTCCTGCTTATATCCTGAGAAAAAATAAAGTGAAAAAGTAAAACTGAAAAATAACATAATTATACTCCTTCTAAATTTGATATGTCTTTTAGCGGTTCCTAAAAATAGATTACATACATTCAGACAGATAGTATTTCTTTCAAAAATTCTCACTTATTTGATTAAACAAAACAGACATTCCAAGTAAGTCAGTTCATCCTAGAGTATGAAGAAAATTTTACTTTCTAGAACTGGCATGCCTGATAGGAGCCTGCTTGGTGGGTACAATGTGTGTTGCTCCAGTGCTGGATGCACTAAGGGCTCTGACTTCACCAGGATGTTGTGTATCAATGTAGCAAATGGCACTTGTACTCCATGAATATACACAAAATAAATACAAAGATAAAAAAATAAATAAAATTCGCATGCCATCCACTTGTTGCTGTCACTCAAATAAACAGAATTTAAAAAACTATACAAATGGTATGCAAACAAATGTAAAATGAGATTTTCACTCTTTCAAAAAAAAAAAACTATGTATTTATAAAAATCACTGCCCACATCAAAAATACAAATGATTTATGACTTCTAAAAAATCATTGTCTTAATCAACACCTGTCAGCCACAGGTAGGATAGGGAAGACTTAACATCACTGTCCCCACACACTGTAACCTTGGGGTCTATGCGGAACACTAGATGAATTGGGATCATTGGGCCTTATCAGCAAGGCCTTAAGGGCACTCTTTCTGGGATCTCAGTCAACACAGCCAGGCTGTAAGCTGCATCTTAACTGGAGCGCGTTGAGAAAAAAGACACAGAAAGGCAGACTCAAGTGGCTCTCCGTTTGAGCCTGTTTTCTGTCCTAATCTAATAGCTGCCATGATCGATTCTGCTTTAGGGTAGGTGTTTGGACAAGTGCCAGACTCTGTGAGAAACTGGGAATCCCTTGCCTTCTCTACTAGATTTTCCTTAGAGAACTGACAAGTGTAACCACTTTTATTCTTGGGAGACTCAATGGTTTAAAAAAGGGGTGCTAGACCCTCTTCTGCAACCTCTGTGGGCTCAGTGTTATTTATTATAGCGGTTCCTTAGTTTACTGAAAGTCAACATGGATATCAGACTCAGTTTGGAGAGAAAAAATATATCACAGCACTCCAATTTAAATGGCTCCTGATCTTCTGTGTAGACACTGGTTTTAGTTCTAAAAGGGCTTGAGAACTAAGGAAACAAGCGCCTTTGAAAAGCTCCATAAACAACACCTAGCACAAAGCCTACTCTGTAAAGCTGCAAAATAAGATCCCGGCACCACGGCAAGAACATTCATCAACAGCAAAAGGAAGAGGGCCACCTGGCGCTCAAGGTGTGAGGGCCTAGAGGCAACCCAGAGGTAGGGCTTGGGCCGAAGCCGAGTGTTCCCTGGCTGGGCCTCATTAGAGGCGACACAGCAACTCGATCACCAGCCCTGACCGCCGCCGTACCTGCGGCTGGCCCAGCACCCCAGCGGCCTCCCCTCCTTGTCAGGCCCGGCTCAAGCCGCGGCGCAGCCGCTCAGCCTCGCTCCGGAAGGGGACCTGGGGACTGCACGTCCGGGGTCGCTCACCGGCACGCGGGGCGCTGCGCAGTCCCGGGCTGCTTCGGCGCGGACAGGGCCGAGGACAGGGTCGTGGAGTCCACAGTCCCGGGAGCCGGGGGGTGGAGCGACCGGCCTGGAGCGCGCGGCCGCCGTAGAGCTGGGACGGGGGAGGGGTAGGATAACGACGGCATCAGCAGAGGCCAAGCGCTGCTGTAACCTGCGTCCGCGCCTGCGCAGAGCGCTCCCGGAGGGACACCCCTGGCGTGCGCGTGACGCATGCGTCCTTCTTCCTCCTGTTTGAGCCCAGAGGCGTCGATCGTGTGAGATTGTGCGCTCTTCAGGTTTCATTACCTTCGCGTCCCCCAGACTTCAAAGTGTCCACTGTAGCCACGAATTACCTAGGAACAGTCGCTCCTCCTATTTCCCATATCAGACCATTTCCTTTTGCAAAGGGTATAAATGTGCACCATCTGCCTCAGCTTTCAGCTGAGCAGCCTCCTCGCTCACGCAATGCGAGTTGTCGCTGACAGTCTGGTCCTTAGGAATGGAATAAACTGGTCCGTACACACGCCGCTGACAGCAGCAAAGCTACCTCTATTTTAATTTAGAAACTGGCCAACTAGAAGGAGACAGCAAGCGGCAAGGCCGTAGTTTTTGTTTTTGCTCGGTTTCGTTTCGCTTTGCCCACGCTGCCCCTCCCCACCCCTTAACTCTGGTGCTAGTTACAGGTGTGTGAAATCCCGTCTCGGATCCCAGTACTTAAGCTCTTCGCTGTGGGTTGGGGCTGCCCTCCCCCAACGTCTAGGTCATTTCACTTAGAAGATAAGAACAACGACAAGGAGTCGTTTTGAGGGATCAATGAGATGCCGGTAATAATATTAAGGGCACTCTAGTCTCATTCCTGCGGAGAGTTTAACGTTTAATGAATGGTAGGCATTCTTACAGTCACAGGAGCAAGGAAGTGAGAGTCATATATTTCTCTCTTCTAACAGGATCAGTGTGATCCTGTTAGAATCAGGGAATTCTAACAGGAATTGGGAAATGAAGCTATGTAAAAGTAGGAAATACAAGTCAGAACGATATACAATTTAAGAGGATTACTGTAGATCCATATGTGAGATAATGAGCTTTCTCATACAATGTTGTCGGAGATTTAAAACTCCTAAGTTTTCTGGCAGACAGTCAGTATGTATCAAGACTATTAAAATGTTCACATCGTTTGGTCCAGCAATTCCACCCTTTCAGAAGTATCCTAAACCTAATGAGAACTCTAAAAAGATTTGGGTATGAGGTGTATCCATTTAAATAAACTGAATGTCCAACAAGGGACATTGATAAAATCATTATTTTTCAACCGCTTTTATTTAGCCCATATTTTCCAAAGGGAAGGGTCAGGGTGTCTTCCATTAACACTGTTTGAAATTTCAAAATTAATAGGTTGGTTAAAACAAATCAGAATCATGGGGGAAAATTTTTCTCAAAATTATTGACAGTCCACCTGTGGAGATATGATGTTCCCCTTGGAATTACTGAGTTTTTAAAATTATGGAATAGCCATCTATTGAGTTTTTATAAAGCCAGTAAAAACCATCTTATAAGGCTGTTATACGCGGAGTGATATAAAATTAAAATCAGGATGCAAAGTATAGGATATGAGGTATTGTAATAGGATGTAAACTATATTCACATATAGATAACATATAGATATAAATATATTACATATCTGCCTTGAAATGGAAAGAAATATACAAAATATAAACAGTTGCCTGTAGTTTGAGAGCATGGATGTTTTTTCTTTATTATTGTTAAATAGGCAAATGGTTCTATAATGTAATATATATTATTCTTAAGTGAAAAAGTTACTTTTTTCTTTAATTCTTAAGGGAGTATTTAGTATTTTCTCAACCTCATCATTTAACTTAAAACGTGCTGGCCATATAGCACAGTTCCTTATCCAAATTCCTGGAATTCACATAGGAATAAGTCTTCCTGGGAGAATGTTGCTGTAAGAAGCAGTTCAGTAGCAGGGTTGGGAACACAGCCTTGGGAGCCATATGGCCTGAAAATGAGCCCAGCCTGACAGAGATATACAAAATCTCTGTAAGAGTGGGCAAAATACTTAGCCTTCTTTATACCTAATTTTTATTATCTGCAAAATGAAGATAGTAATAATGTCTGTCTCAAAGGGTTATGGATGGGAGCTGATACCTGCAGAGCAATCAGTAAATATTAGATATTATGATTACAAATTTATCATCCATATAACAAGGAAGTACTTTAAAGACAGATATTGAATGTTTGGTACATTTGTTCCTATGCCTTATTTTTCATTGAAGCACATTTTGAAAGGAAAATTTTCTGAAAAGCTTCCAATTATTTGATTAACAGTGATTTCTTGAGTTCCGAGTTCAGTAGTGGTCTAGGTGCTATCAGATATAAAGGCCAGTAATTTTAACAGTCTGGGATAAGTTTGAATAGAAGAACATTCTTTCTTAATGATTTCTGGTTATATTTAGTATGATGCTGAAGCTAAGGGATTTCTCTAGGTTGTACTAAATCTTGAAAACAGCCTTATCTCTCATTTCAATTCTCTTTTATCTCTTTTAATGGTAAATCACCCAAATCCTAATAGCAGTCAGCCATAACTAAAAATTTTGCAAAAATTACTTTTCTAGAAATTAGCTGTTAAAAATTATAAGCAGAAAAGGAACATAATTATTTTGAAACATATAATTTGTCAAATGTTAATATATAAGTCTCTCTCAGCTCACCCCCTTCCACTGATATGCTGGTCAGATTATGTTAGAAACCTGGATAGGTTACATTGGAAACCAGGGATTGAAAAGATTGAAGTTTGTCTGGCTGATTTTCAGAGATAGTGCCCCAGATACATAGCAAAACTACCATTAGCAAAACTACCATTTCCCGCTGTGCCACCTGACTTACATTCACAGGCAGTAAACTCCTGACTCTATTGACACATCTTTGTCATTCCAATTATTTTAAAAGCAGAGGTCTTTATTAATTTCTGCAAATAACTTACCTATCTGAAACTCTTGGTTATGTCTCTGTACTCCTTCTTAGGCAGGATCTTCTATATTTCCTCTGTCTCATTCATCTTGCTTCACACCTGCATGGAGCTAATCTTTCCCATGTGTTAAAACTTTCTTTCCCAAATATTCAAGTCATCTTTTGTAGGGTTTTTGTCATAATCATAATTTCTAGTAAGAATAATTTTAGGAGTTCAATAACACTTGGCCAATGAATGAATTTGTTGTGCCAGGCATTGTGTAAAGTAGTTTATATCATCTAATTTTTATAGAAATGCTATGGATTAGGTTCTGTTATTATCCCATATCTTATTTCAAACAGTGGAAATAGAGGATCCTAGGTATTATGACTTGCACATGACCACACAGCTAGCAACTAGAACTCGGATATTTTGACTGCAAAGCTACAGCTATTAACCACTGTGGCATGAATATCTGTATTAAATTTGGAAGAGTGAATTCTGTCCTCAACTTTTACTACACAAAGATAAGTGATGACGGTGAGTAAAGTTAACTGGTTAGGGGGGGAAAAGAGGGTATTTTCACTCTTTTGCTAAGTGATCATCACTGCTGCTGAAAAGAGGAGAATTGGGTCCAGAAATCCTTGAGGAGGTGTTCCGAATATAAAATAAGGAAAACACAGAGTCCAATTAGGATTTATGTTATAAAAGACTGTTTCTTCACAACAAACACAAGCTAGAGAAGGTTTTTTTTTTTTTAAACATTTTTAAAAAACTTATCAAAGAAATGAGGACGCAAATTTAAGTACACTTAAATCCAAAAGATAAGGAGAGCTTCCTAAGAGAGAATAGAATTAGAGTTGCTTTAATCACCTACAAAACAGTGGGAGAAGGAGGAATGCACCATAAACAGGGCCGAAGGGAGACCTGCCGAATGACACCCCTGTGTGTGGACCAGGATGATAGATTACAATCTCATGTCGTTCCAGTGATAGAACGAGTGTGCACTCACTCTCCAATTCTCTCCTAAAGGTCTTCATTAAGTGCTCAAATGTCATATGTTAAAGGCATGGGGTAGGGCATGAATGCTGAAGAAATTTCTTTGCAGATTCTAGGCCTTTAACCAGTGTACTGCAGCAGCTCTGTGAAGGCTGGAGGCAGGGTGGCAGGCTGCCCAGGATTCTCCTGAGGCACAGAAATGACCGGCAAGACTGGAGAGTAAACAGAACAACCTGTGGAGATATTGGAAGCTAGGTGTTTGAGCTAAGAAAGTATTGAATAGTTTGGTGGAATGAGCTAGTAGGTGCACATTAATCTTGAGATTTTGCCAGTGCCAAGAACTCAAGCATATTTGAAAGCAATAGTAAATAAACTGAATCAAAACTTCAACAAAACCCAGAATGTGGGTTTTTGACTCACTGTTGAAAGATTTGATTCAGCCTTCCAAACAATAATCTTGATAGAAAAAATGGCAAGATGTTTTTTGAGGTACATGTTATTTACTGTTTTCTTTTATACAATATCTAGCATATAATAAAGATTATGAGACATGAAGGAGCAAGAAAATGTGAGCCATGGTCAAGAGAGAAAATGATTAATAGGGGAAAATACAGAAATGGCCCAGATTTGGTATTATCTGGCAGAGACTTTAAAATCACTTTGATAGATATGTTAAAGCATCTGTATAAAAAATGGAAAACATGCATGAACAGACAGGGAATTTTAGCAAAAAGATGGGAACTATTTATAAAAAGCAAGTTGAAATATTAGAAATAAATATTAGAAGTAAAAAGTTCACTTTTTAGCATTATCACCAAATTGGACATAACAGAGGGAAAAAAACCTGTAAACTTGAGACGGTCAGTAGAAATTATATAAACTGAATATAAAGAGCAAAATCAAGGACAAATGGAAGGGAGCATCTGATATCTTTAGGATAATATCAAATCATTTAGCACATATGTACTTGGAATCCAAGGAGCAGAAAGGGGATAGAAGAAATATTGAAAAGATAAAAACTTAGAAATCTCCAAAACTGACTGAATATGTAAATCCATATATTCAAGAAATTCAGTGAATCCTAAAAACAAAACAAAACAAAAAACAAATTTAAAGAACACTAAACCTAGGGAAACAGCAAATAAAAAAACCCTTAAAATTAGTCTTAAGAAAGATATACATTACATACTGGGAAACAATAATAATATCACTACTAATTTCTATATCAAAAGTGATGGAGGCCATAGAAAATGGAATAGCATATTTGAAGTGTCTAAGAACATAAAATATATCAATTTAAATTCAATGTCTAGCAAAAAAAATTGAAAGCAAAAGAAAGCTATTTTCATACAGACAGAAGCTGAGCAAATTTATTCCAGAACACCTCCAGCAGAATGTCTAGAAACTCTTTACGCTAATGTGAAATGACACCAGATGGAAGTCCTGATACATAAATAAACATACAGAAACATTTTGTATTGTCTTCATTCTATGTGTATCCCATATATCATATCTCTACATATTTATCTATAGAGACGTATATATTTAAAAAATTATTGACTAAAGTGAACTAATAACTGTATATTTTGGGTTTAGAACATATCTAGAAGTAAAATACATGGCAATGAAGCCATATTGTATAGGAGAGAGTGTAAATAGAATTATAGTGTTGCAGCCTTCTTACATTTTTAAGTAGTAATTTGTTATTGAAGGCAAACTTTTTTTTTTTTCCTGAGATGGGATTTTACTCTGTCGTCCAGGCTGGAGCACAGTGGCACAATCATGGCTTACTGCACCTTAGATCTCCCTGGGCTCAGGTGATCCTCCCACCTCAGCCTCTCAGGTACCTGGGACTACAGGCACATGTCACTATGCCAAGTTAATTATTTTACTTTTTGTAGAAACAGGACTTCTTTATTTTGCCCAGGCTGACTGAAGGCAAACTTTTAAAAAAATGCATAAAATAAAAGGATGGGGAAAATATACCATGAAAACAATAAGCATAGGAAAGATATGACCATATTAATATCAGAAAAGTAAGACATCAAGACACATAGTATTACCAGAGATATGAAGCACATTCATAATGATAAAAGTCTTCATTATTTAAGAATATGTAACAATTATAAGACACAAAGAAATACTTAAGAGAATTAAATGGGGGAAATAGTCAAGTCTATAATAAGTAATTAATAGAATAATAAAAATCAGGTAAATTTAGATTTCATTAACACTCTCCACTAACTTGACATAATTGAGTTAATAGAATATGATATCCATCAACTAAAAAGCACAATTTTTTTTCAACTGCACGAAGAACACCCAACAAGATAAACTAATCAGATGACAGCACACAAAAAAGAAGTCTCAATAAATTTCAAAAGATCAGAATCATAGAGTATATGATCCATGGCCAAAAATAAAAATCAGTGGCAGAAAATTATCTAGAAAATACCAAAATATATAGACATTAAGTATTTTGCTTCTGAGTAATCCACGAGTCACAGAAATCACAAGTAAAATGAAAAATATTTTGAACTCTATGATAAGAAGTCTATCAAAATTTGTTAGAAGCACCCAAATTACCAGTAAAATGGAAATTTATAACATTAAATGCCTAGAATAAAAAATGAAGGTTTACAGTGAACTAGTTAAGTGTCTACATTAAGAAACAGAAGACAAAATAAAATCCAACTTGAAGAAATGAAATAGTAAATATAAAAGTAGAAATTAGTGAAATAAAAGATAGAGAAATTAAAGTCAAAAGTCAGTTCTTTGAAAAAATTAACAAACCCGTAACAAAGAAATAGTGGAGAAAACACAAATTACTAATATCATTTTAAGAAGAGGAGACATCATTACAAATCTTACAAACATTAAAGACATAACAAGGGGATATTATGAATAACTTTATGACAGTAGCTCTCAAATGGGGGTAATTTTTCCCAGGGGGGATATTTGGCAATATCTGGAAATAGTTTGGTTGTCACAACCCGGGAGGAAAGTTACTACACAACTTGTGGACACAGGCCAAGGAAGCTGCTAAACATCCTGTAGTACACACTATCCTATCATAACAAAGACCTACCTGGCCCCAAATGCCAATAATGTTGAGGTGGAGAAGCTCTGTTTTGTGTTAGTAAATTCATTAGCTTAGATAAAAATGAATGAATATCTTGAAAAATATAGCTTGCCCAATTGACAAAGGAATAGAAAAATCTGCACAACCCTGTTTTTATTAAGGAGATTGAACTCGTGATTGTAACTTTCTCACAAAGAAAACTCAATCTCAGATGGCTTTACCAGTGAATTATATCAAACATTAAGTGAAGAAGTATAATAAAACCAATCTTAAATAAATGAATAACTCCTTTTAAAAATAGAGGAGGGAACATTTCCTAACTTGCTCTATGAAGCAGCATAACCCTGAAATCATAACCTGATAAATATATTATCAGAAAAGAAAATGGAGGTGCAAATATGTTAATAAAATATTAGCAAATTCAGTGCATACACACAACTCACAGAAACTGAGAGTAATGAGGGTCTGTCAAAGGGACACAGGAGGCAATGGAAAGAACTCCCAATGGCCAAAACTGGTATACTTTGAGCAATAATATTGATATAAATAAAGTGGCATTGGATGATAAACCAAATTATAAAATACACATCCATGAGTTCTTACTGATATGAATAAATGACTGAGGAAATGAGTGGGGGGAAATAGACAAATCTCCTATGTAGGAGAATTCCAAATATATATATATATACATATTTTTATATATATATATATGTATATATATATATATATTTATATACTTTTTTTTGAGTCAAGATCTCATTCTGTCACCCAGGCTGTAGTTCAGTGGCAAGATCACGGCTCACTGCAACCTTGACCTCCTGGGCTCATGTAATCCTCTCACCTCAGCCTCTGGAGTAGCTAGGACCACAGGTGTGTGTCACCACACCTGGCTAATTTTTAAAAAAATTATTTTTGTATGTGTGGAGGTGAGGTCTCACTGTGTTGCACAGGCCAGTCTCAAACTTCTGGTCTCAAGTGATCCTCCCACCTTAGCCTCCCAAATTGCTGGAATTACAGGCATGAGCCACGGCACCTGGCCCCAAATAATTTATGTAAATATAACACCTTCAAGGAGGCAGAACATAACTCCCTACTTCCTAAGTGCGGGCTGCATATGGTGATTTCCTTCCAAAGAACACAGTATAGAAAGGGGGGAAATGGTAAACACAGTTTAGAAATTGACCCATACTACCTCAGCCAGATAATCAAGGTTGACAACAGGGATAAGTCATGTTTATATTATGTACCGTAGATATAGTGTGATGAGAATGACACTTTTTTTTTCCTGAGTCTTCCTCCCCAAGACTGGTTAGGATTCTCCCCAAGATTTCTGAGTCTTCCTCCCTAAGATTGGTTAGGATTCTCCAGAGAAATAGACCAATAGAATGTGTGTGTCTGTGTGTGTGTGTGTGTGTGTGTGTCTGTGTCTGTGTCTGTGTATGAGAGATAGAGAGAGAGGTTTATATTAAGAAATTGGCTCACATGATTATGGAGGCTTGGTGAGTCCAAAATCTGAAGGGGGAGGCTGGTAGGCTGGAGATTCAGGAAAGAGTAGCAGTTCCAGTACAAAGGCAGTCAGGATGGAAACTCAGAGCCAATGTTACAGTTGAAGTCCAAAAACCATGTGTTAGCAGAATTCCCTGTTGCTGTGGGGTGCAGACTTCTGTTCTATTCAGACCTTCTACTGATTGCATGAAGCCCACCCACATTATTGGAGGGCAATCTGCTTTACTCAAAGTCCACTGATTTAAATATAAGCTTCATCCAAGCAACACCACACAGAAACATCCAGAATAATGTTTGATTATACGTTTGGGCACCATGACTCACCCAAGTTGACATATAAAATTAACCATCACACCCAATCTAGTCATGAGGAAAACATTAGACAAATCCCAAGTGAGGGACATTTTACAAAATACCAAATTATTTTACAAAATAACCAGAACTCTTCAAAACTGTGAGGGTCGTCAAAAAGAGTGGAAGAGTGGAAGTCTGAGAAACTGTCACAGTTTCATGGCTAAGAAGACATGACAATTAAATGTAATAATACTTCTTGGATGGAATCCCGAAACAGGAAGAGTATATTAAGTACAGACTAAGGGAACCAGAATAAAGTATGGCCAATGTATCGTTATTGGTTCATTAATTGTAACAAATGTACCTTGCTAATGTAAGCTGTTATAGGGAAACTGGGCATGGGGTACATGGAAATTTCATTGATAAACGTGTGGAATAATTTAAAATACTCAGGTATTGCTAGTGGGATGTAAAAATCAATTCTTTAGAGAACTGGTAATTTCTTTCTTTCTTTCTTTTTTTTTTTCTTTTTTTGAGATGGAGTTTTGCTCTTATCACCCAGGCTGGAATGCAGTGGCGTGATCTTGGTTCACTGCAATCTCCGCCTCCTGGGTTCAAGCAATTCTCCTGCCTCAGGCTCCTGAGTAGTACCATGCCCGGCTAATTTTTTTGTATTTTTTAGTAGAGACGGGGTTTCACCATGTTGGCCAG
The DNA here is from genome assembly GCF_000001405.40 of Homo sapiens. Lineage (NCBI taxonomy): Eukaryota > Metazoa > Chordata > Mammalia > Primates > Hominidae > Homo > Homo sapiens. Next base: position 12,201,850 of record NC_000007.14, on the reverse strand, counting down.
GCTGGTCTCGAACTCCTGATCTCAGGTGATCCACCCGTCTCAGCCTCCCAAAGTGCTGGGATTATAGGCATGAGCCACCGCACCTGGCTGAGAACTGGCAGGTTCTTATAAACACATGCATTCTAGACCCAGAGATCTACAAGGACATCAAACATGTCCACAAAAAGATTTGTACATGAGTACTCATAGCAGCCTTATACTTAGCCATAACTTGGAGAAAAAAAAGACACCAAATATCCATCAACGGGATAAGCAAGGTGACATACATTTGCACATTCGTAATTTATATAATGGAATGCTATTCATCAATAAAAAGGAGCTACTGGTATAAGCAACATGGACAAATCTCAAGAACTTTTTTTGTGCAAACAAATCTAGATGCCAAAGAATTCATATAATGTGATTCTATTTATACAAATTCCCAGAAAAGGCAAAATAAATACTTGGTTATAGAAAGCAGAAAGTGGTTTCCTCAGGTAGAGGTAGAAATTGACAGGAAAATGAGCATAAGGGAAATTTCTGGGATTGTATAAGTATTCTTCATTTTGTTTTGGGTGACAGTTATAGGGTTGTGGGCAATTGCTCAAACTCATTGAATTGATCAATTAAAATACATAGTTTATTATATGTAAGTTACACTTCAATAAACTATTAAAAATTTGTTCTTAGATAAAGTATTAGAATCTATTTTTTTCTCTTTATCTTACATTGTCTTTCAGCATGGAGGTTCTGATTTGTCTTGGCTTTTCATTTATGAGGCTCAAAACTCTTTACTTTCTTTTCCTCAAACAATAAAGTTACAAATCCAATTCATTAGTTCAGGGCCCTATTTGATGTTGGTATCCTATAATTCCCATTAATATTCAGACTTGGGTTCTAAATTTTAATCGTGTACAAGATTTGCCTTTGGTTGGCCTATGTTGCCTAGGTTTTTTACTTTCTTTTCTGATCTCTGTTGCCCAAACAGTTTTCCTGGAATTTGTGCCTATTGCCTCTTCTGACCTTGAGTACCTGGGTAAATTTTAAAGCCCCTTTTTGTGTCTTTGTGTCTTTCTCATTCATTGCAGTATCTTCACAATATCGTTTCATAAAATAGAGAAATGATATGTTGGCTTTGAAATACATGTTAATATTACTATAATTTGAAATAAATCACTTTTATGAAAAATAAAATAAAGGGGTGAATAATTAATGGAACTTGACTCTTTGACTCTATATTTGGGTAGCTGTATTTTCTCCTGTATACCTGGCTTGATCTGATCATAAATAATTTTGATATCACTTTTAAATAGAATACATGTAGTAAATATCATGAAAATGTTGTTATCTGTCTTAAATTCTCTTTCATGTTTACTATTAGTCATTTTCTGATTTATTTTAAGAATAATTGGACAAAGAGACTCAGAAGACAGAAAATGGGCATGTGTGATATCCAAAATTTTGAAACAGATAGTAGACACAGACTGATTCCTAGGAACCAACAGACAAAGTTGCAGTAGCTTTAAAGAGCTGATATCAGATGATAATAGCAGCTATGACATACTTGAAAGAAGGAATTTGAGAATGCTGTTAGACACTAGAAAAAAAAAATGAGAATTGTGTCCTGCAGACTTGGTGGATTAATTCCACACAAGTGTACCCTTTTGTTTAGCTGGTCACATCTGTTGTAGGTTTTACCCCTTCACTGCCTGACCCTAGGCATATGGGCCAGAGTTTTGCCGAAATGGCCATTTAAGTGGGTACTGATGTCTTCTGCAAGAGAATCCAACTGTAAACACTTTGCCAGGATTCTGTAATCCTTGTTCTTCTTCCGACTTTCCTGGCTTGTTCTTCCTGCCATTTTGGTTCATTTCTGCTCTACCTTTTGCTCGGAATGTGCTCATCGTGCAGATTGGTGTTTTGTGTATTTTTACTGGCTAATCATTTTCCCATAGCTAATGTTAAGTATATAGTATATCATCAGTGTCTTACTTTTATTATCCTCATTATTAAGAATTAATGATCTACGTGGAAGTACATTTTTCCCCACTCGTTTATAGATTTATTTGAACTTTTTCCTTAATATAATCATTCCTATTGCATTTGCAAACCTATTTTTATTGAAATGTTTTGAAAAGCTCATAGAATCCTTGGCAGTAGTATTTTGAGTCACAAATACAAAAGTAAGTAACATTAGGGGACATTTGAACAGACTTTGGCACCAGCTAGGTAAACCTATCAAAAGACACTCTCTGCTGCTTGAATCTACTAACTGATGACTAATGGAAAATTACAGAGCCTCCCTTCTAACCTTGACATTCCTATAAGGCTTTAGTTTCACAAGAGATCAGGCATGCATATGTAATAAGTAGAGCACCCAAACAAAAATAAGCCTTGTTAAAAACAATAGCCTGTGAGAAGTATCTGCTTATTTTGTCTTCCTACTCCTGGCACCAGAATTTGGCTAGAATAATAACACAGGGGTCATCATTGCAAATATGCCTGGGAAGATTATTTTATTAGGAATCTATAAAGAATTATGTTTATGTTTAGTCATTATGGAATGAAAACTATAAATTTTACTTTGCAATCAACTGAACATAATTATGTGTAACAGTGGGTTTGCAGATTCCCTTTTTACTAAGAAATTGCAGTAAAACTTGTTCTAGTATATGTAGGGATGTTGCCTTCTTTTTGACCAATTCTGGGTTTATTTCTTGTGATTTCCAAATGCATTAGCTATTCTGTTGTGTCTCTCAATGTTTGTGTCCTATATTGGTTTTAAAAATTTTCGTAATTCTTAGTCTACGTGGTTTTTTGTAATTCTTCAGTTTGTTTTAAGCATTGTCTTTATTGGATATATTTCTAAAAAGGTTGATGTCTTTCTTATATTCCTTATAAAATATTTAGTTCCAGTTTTATAGCTCCAGGTGTAGCTATTTTTTTTTTGAGAGAGTGTATTGTACCTATCTCTTTTTCTTTTATGGATTCTCTGGTATTCTCTGGGTAACTGCCATTTGATCTACTCAAATTAAGGCAATAAGAAGAGTACAGAGTTTTACTAATTTTGGGAAAAAGAATCCAAGTTGAAAAGAGCATAAATGCATTCATCATCTTACTTTTTGCATAAGACCACAAAATTGCCCCTGGAGTATTGATTATAAACTAACTTATGCTGATATTAAACTAATAATTCTGAACATAGTATTAAGATTATTGAACCAAAACATTGTTAATCACAGTATCTGAAAGAAAGTTGTTTAAAATAGTAAAAATAAACAACCAAAAATTATTGAAGTGTTTCTTCTTAAGCATTAAGGCCTAGGTGCCAACAGATGAAATGATGTGTAATAATTGTTATAATCTTTGTTTTCATATTATATTATTTTTGCAGTAAAGACAATTTTTTTCTTCTTGGTAAAAATTATTCCAAATTTCCACTCATGTGTTTTTCATATTGGAACCTCACATAGAAACTAGATGAGAAATTACAATACTTTCAACTACTTCCCCAATTAATATTTTCTTACATAATAATTAGTAAATATAGATCTTGTTTTGAGAAAATGCCTCAGGAAAGAATTTTGATCCCTATGGTGGTTGTAGATCTTTGAAATTGTTAACGTGATATGTAAATAGCCTAGGCATCTCTCAGGTGTGGCAAATGGGCTGAGCAGGTGTTCTTTCAAAGAGAAAATGTAGCCCTGTAGGAATGCTTCTCTGTCTGATTTCCAAAGTAAAACATTTGAATTCAAAGTTTCTTCGTGTATTTTTAAGTTACATGGGTGTTTTTTTATTACAACGTTCCATCCACCTTTTATACATTTTTCAAAAATTGAACTCACAAGATACTAAGTACAAAAAGCAGAGGAGGCTGGTGGGAGAAGGGCATGAGCAGGGGAGTTCCAGGATGCAGTAAGCTGTGATCACACCATTGCACTCACTAGGCAACAGTATAAGACCCTGTTTCCAAAAAAAAAGCAAAAGAGCTAAAATTCATGTTTATCAGGATGTTTGGAAGTCCTAAAATTCATGTTTATCAGAAAGTTTGAAAAGTAAGTTTATCCGAGATCACAATGCCTGAAATACCATAGGTAAACAATAAATAGTTGTTGAATAAATGCATCTTAAACAGACTAAAATATTTTACTGTCATTTGAACCATGTATATTTTCTCCAGCTAAATGGTGCTAAAGCCTGAAATAGGGAAAATTAATGAACTCCACTCATCCTGTAGTCATTATTTCATCTTTCATTGTTACTAATTATCTCTATTTGTGTTTGCTCACTTGGCTACTGCCTCCTCACCAACATCAATTCTTTGTTCCTTTCCACACACACACACACACACATATTTATTGCATGGAATTCTCATAAGCATATGAACTTCTCTGTAAAGCTCATGAATCATACTCTAGAAAGGAAGGAAGACTTACTTAAAGAATATCTTGCTAATCAAAGCCACTCAGGAGAGCACTCATTAAACTGGACCACAGGGTTTGACAATAGTGATGGGTAACACCTCTACTCTAGAGGCAGAAAAAAGGAGCACTATTATCTTCTTCTCATTAGGAGTGCCCAGTAACTCGTAAACATTTTTCCTCCTCCATTTCTTGCACTTCCTAGTGGAAAAGAGAACGTTTTCTACAGTTTGCTGTTTCAAGAACATTGATTTTAAGATTAAAAATTCACGTGATTGTGATTTAACTTGGTTAAATCTTGGTTTTCTACTGCTCTTCTCATCCATGTACTTCCACCTCACCAGTCTCTTCTCTCTAAAGCCTCTTAGCTTCTTGTTTTGCTATAGCTCACTGACTATAAATCAGCATGCTTATATAGATTGAACTTAAGGGTTCTCTTAAAATATTTTAGTTTACATTAACAAATTACAAATTTATGGTAGCAAAAACCCACCACCGTTGTGGTACAGTAGAAATGCCTGAAAATGGCCTCCTTGTAATGACTTACCTTAGATATTTGCAAATGCTGTAATCAGTAGTAATGATGGCATAGCAAAATAGTATTTGATTAATCACATTAACATCAAAATAAAATTTTGTGTAAATAAATTTTGGGTAAGTAAAAATTAGACATAGTAAATGCTAAATAATTTTATTAGGAAAAAGTAGTGGTATAATCATGAAATATTAATAGTAATATCATGACATATGTGTTTTAACTTTGAGGAGAGAAATGAGATGCCTGAATAACGGCCAAGCATCAGTCTTTTAATAGGACATTGCATGCTTGAAACAGATATACTCTCCATTTGTCACACAATGTAGCTATTGTAATGTGAACAGTGTAGCAGTCATTGATGATAGTTATGTAACATTCTGCAGAGAAATTTTAACAGGATCAAAATTCTACAGAGCAGCACTATCTATATTGTTTTACTGTTTTATCTGAGCTTTCCGCATGGATTCACTCTACCTATCAAATTTGGTTTCTTAATAATTTCCAAAATGGAAAAGAATGTTTTGTTTTACTATATCTGCTCTATGATACACATATGATGCTTTTATTATATCAAGTTAGTAAGATGCGTTGCAGTTTAGTGACTTTTTTTTTTTTTTTTTGAGGCCACAGGACAGCAATCGAATAAGTAGGTTTAATTCCTGGAATCAGCACTGGTAAATTTGCTGAAAAGACCTACTAAAATTATTTTATCAATTATAGAATTGTACATGATATAATGGAGACCATAATAGACTTTAGATTTAGAGAATGTTGTGACTTAATTAACAAGCAATATGGTTAAATGTCATTTTCAAATAAACAGTACTATCAATCCAGTGTAAGAAACACATGTACTTATAGCTCTTGATATAAGGATCATTTACCTTAATTCAGTGTGCTCACTCCTGTCTCTCACACACCTACATACACATGCACATTACACATAGAAATCCAAGACACACAGTCTGAAGATTTAAGGGTATATTTTTGAGATATGCAAAAGATATGCAAAACTAAATGAAGTGTAAAGGAACCAAAATCTCATTAGTATACTGCTCTTATCAACTAGTTAATTCATCATCTATACTCTAAATACTTTCCTGCATTATTCAAAGGCATAAAATATTAGATTTCAAAGTCAGAATGATTTTTTTTTTTTTTTGAGGTGTAGTCTCACTCTGTCGCTCAGGCAGGAGTGCAGTGGTACGACCTTGGCTCACTGCTACCTCCGCCTCCTGGGTTCAAGTGATTCTCCTGCCTCAGCCTCCCAAGTAGCTGGGACTACAGGTGCCCACCACCATGACTGGCTAATTTTTGTATTTTTGGTAGAGATGGAGTTTCACCATATTGACCAGGCTGATCTCCAGCTCCAAAGTCAGAATATTTTTATGTTCTAGATATTATTCATATTGTAATACGGTTATTAAATGGTCTATTTAAAAAATATGTTGGTCAATAAATTATAATTGTAAGTAAATCATAAAACTTGGATTAAGGTACCATGTTTATATGAAATGTCACACAGAAAAAGAATTGCTTTCTAAGTTGTCACAGAACACATTAGTTTATGGGTGTTGTTACTGTAAGTTTACTTCAGAATATTTTGAAGTTTCTTACAATGACATGTTTACACATTGGTACAGAATATTCTGAAGTTTCTTACAATAATTTGCTTACACATGGGTACATACCTTGGTTATTACTATTATTAATTAGGGGATTTTTAAAAGAATCTATTTTTACCTCTTAGATACAGAAGAGTTTAAAAACAAAAACAAACACAAAAAGAATGGTTATATTCATGCTTATGCCTTCTCATATAAAGAAGAAACAGTATGACTGGAAAGCACAAGGCTGAAAATTCAGATGAGTCTGAATCCAAATTTGTGGATGTATGAATATTTGTACGCGTATGTGTATGCAGGTAATCCGTTTTCCCCTTTATAAGGTTGATGCCGCACTTTAAGGATTGCATGCCGATTAGGGGGATGTTATGATAAATTTTTAGTCTCTAACATAAATATACTATTTTACTTACACTAAGTGGCTAACATAGAAATATATTATGATGTGTGACTTTAGATTTAAACAAGATAAAATACAAAGATGATATCTTATGCTATCAATCAAAGCTATCATTGAGCAAAGGATGATGAGTGATCTATGAGCTTCTCCTCATCAGTCTGGAATGACTCTAGGAGGCCAGTTTGTTTTAATGTCTTTGAAATGACCTTATTTTAGCATATTTTTAAATATAAATATTTTAGCATATTTTATTTAACATGAATATTTTAGCATAATTTACTGAATATGAATATTCATGTTGAATTAAGTAGTATTTATTATCTAATCCTTTATTTTTCTCTTTTATTCATTTTTTAATTCTCAGTTGAAACTTAATTTTTATCATGTTAATGAAAATTTGTCTTATAAATAGTAATTCAGTATGACTTACTAATGACCACACAAATCAGATCAGTATTGGATCTAATACTGGATCAGTATACTGAAGCAATGCATCATAGAAACCTGGTCAGGAATGTCAATGTCAAAGCATTCCTAGAAGAAAGGATAGTTTATAGATTGCTTCTTTCTGAAAAGATAAATAAGAATCCAGAGACATAGTTTATAAATTTTATCTGTGTGTAATGGTGAGTAAAGCAGTTTTTTCTGTTTTTTTTTTTTTTTTTACCATGTTTGTGTAATCTTCTTTCAGACTTTTTGTTTATGAAAAAAAGACTTATAACCAGAAATATATAATAACCAACAGTTTGAAGTATTCCTAAGACTATTTTTCAACTTTGTTTTTAAAATTACAAAATAAAATAAAATTTAAATTAAAAAATATGGAAGTAGCTAATTAAATTAGTATTAAGGGAGGATACAGAACTGTAAATGCACGGAATAGGCTAAGACTGCAAGAAAATGTTCCAAAATATGAGGGCAGTATGTTGACTTGTCTCTTCTACTTTTTCTTTATATATGTTGGAACATTGTCTTTATAATGAATTCAACACAGTGAGCACTCTAGGAATATAAAAGTTAAGCCTTGAAAACTACTATAATGCAATAATACTGACAATACCTTATAAATTGATCATTACAGAATTTGGAAATTTCACAATAAATGTTATGTGGTTCTAAATAATGAATTACATTGTAGGCTATAACTCTAGTAATATCCTATTTATCTTGTACATTATTGTAACTTTGAAATCGAATGCACTTCCTTATCTTCTAAGCCATACTGCCTGAAATACAAGGATTATTATTTTAGATAGCTAGAAGTCCTGGTATATTTAATGTTCTAGATGCTGGATGGAAATATTCAAATACAAGAGTCATTGATGACCTCAGGATGTCTTTCAGAGAAAGAAATTTAAGATGGAATTTTAATAAAGTATTTTTCCACTTTCTGTTTTTGATTGTCTCAAGGTGTCAACAGCAGCAACTAAAATGTGATAGTACTGGACTAAACAAGAAGGCACTGAATCATTCTCTCAACCATAATTACCGGCTAATTCTGCCCTCTAGAGAAATGCTTCAAATTTAGTTTTAAATTAAAAAAAAAAGTTGTCAATGGTGTTTAAATTTTAAAAATGTCTTTAACCTTTGTCTTAGTCCATTTGTGTTGCTATAAAGAATACCTGAGGCTGGGTATATAAAGAAAAAAAAGGTTTATTTTGCTCATAATTCCACTGGCTGAAAGATTGGGCATCTGATGAAAGCTTCAGGCTGCTTCCACTCATGGCAGAAGACTAAGGGGAGCCAGATGTGCAGAAATTCTCTCTTCATATGGTGAGAGAGAAAGCAAGAGAGAAGGGAGCAAGGTGCCAGGTTATTTTTAATGACCAGTTCTCACCGCAGTTCACTTCCATCCCTGCGACTTGCCTCAGGGAGGGCACTAATCTATTCATGAGGGATCCACCTCTGTGGCTTCAAAGCCTCCCATTAAGCCCCATCTCCAACAGTGGACATCAAATTTCACCATGAGATTTGAGAGAACAAACATCCAAACTATAGCACTCTGTTCTTGGGCTCCTAGAAATAATGTCCTCCTCACATTGCAAGATATAATAATTCCTTTTCAATCCCCCAAAGTCTTAACTTGTTCTAGCAAAAGTCCAAAGTCCAAAGTTTCATCTGAGACAAGTCTCTTCCAGCTATGTTCACGTAAAATAAAAAAAAAAGTTATTTACTTCCAAGATACCAAGGTTGTACAGGCATTGGGTAAAAGATTCCTATTCCAAAAAGCATAAATCAGCCCAGAGAAAAGGGTAACAGGCCTCACACAAGTCTAAAACCCAGGAAGGATGACATTAAATTTTAAAGCTCCAAAATAATCCTTAACTTCATGTCCTGCATTCTGTGGACTAGTTCAAGGACTGGGTTTCAAGACCTCAGGCAGCAGTGCCCCAATAGCTTTGCCGGGTGTACTCCATGTGGCTGCTTTCATGAGTGGGAAGAAACATCAATGGCTTTTTCAGGCTGAAGGAGTGATATGGTTTGGCAATGTCCCCAAGCAAATCTCACCTTGAATTCCTATGTGTTGTGGGAGGGACCCAGTGAGAGGTAATTGAATCATGGGGACAGATGTCTTTCCCATACTCTTCTCATGATAGTGAGTAAGTCTCACAAGATCTGATGGTTTTATAAAGGAGAGTTTCCCTGCACGAACCCTCTTTTCTTGTCTGCCACTATGTGAGACATGCCTTTCAAATTCCACCATGATTGTGGGGCCTCCCCAGCCACATGGATCTGTAAATCCATTAAACCTCTTTCTTTTGTAAATTGCCCAGTCTTTGTATGTCTTTATCAGCAGTATGAAAATGGACTTATACAGTAAATTGGTACCAATAGAGTGAGGCACTGCTGAAAAGATACCTGAAAATGTGGAAGTGACTTTGGAAATGGGTAACAAGAAGGGGTTGGAACAGTTTGGAGGGCTCAGAAGAAGACAGGAAAATGTGGGAAAGTTTGGAACTCCAGAGAGACTTGTTGAATGGCTTTGACCAAAATGCTGATAATGATATGGACAATGAAATCCAGGCTGAGGTGGTCTCAGATGGAGCAGAGGAACTTGTTGGGAACTGGAGCAAAGGTGACTCTTGTTATGTTTTAGCAAAGAGACTGGTGGCATTTTTCCCCTGTCCTAGAGATTTATGGAACTTTGAACTTGAGAGAGATGATTTAGGGTATCTGGTAGAAGAAATTTCTAAGCTGCAAAGCATTCAAGAGGTGACTTGGGTGCTGTTAAAGACATTCAGTTTTAAAAGGGAAACAGAATATAAAAGTTTGGAAAATTTGCAGCCTGACAATGTGATAGAAAATAAAATCCCATTTTCTGAGGAAAAATTCAAGCCTGCTGAAGAAATTTGCATAAGTAACAAGGAGCCGAATGTTAATCACTAAAACAATGGGGAAAATGTCTTCAGGGCATGTCAGAGATCTTTGCAGCAGTCCCTCTCATCACAGGCCCAGAGATTTAGGAGGAAAAAAAATGGTTTTTTGGGCCAGACCCAGGATCCTTGTGCTGTGTGCAGCCTAGGGGCTTAGTAGCATGTCCCAGCCACTCCAGCCATGACCAAAAGGAACCAAGGTACAGCTTGGGCCGTTGTTTCAGAGGGTGCAAGCCCCAAGCCTTGGCAGCTTCCACATGGTGTTCAGCCTGTGGGTGCACAGAAGTCAAGAATTTAGATTTGGGAACCTCTGCCTAGGTTTCAGAGGATGTATGGAAACACTTGGATGCCCAGGCAGAAGTTTGCTGCAGGGGCAGGGCCCCCATGGAGAACCTCTGCTGTGGCTGTGCAGAAGGGAAATGTGGGATCAGAGCCCCAACAAAGAGTCCCTACTGGGGCACTGCCTAGTGGAGCTGTGAGAAGAGGGCCACTGTCCTCCAGACCTCAGAATCGTAGATCCACCAACAGCTTGCACTGTGCACCTGGAAAAGCCAGAAGCTCAATGACAGCTCATGAAAGCAGGCAAGTGATGTGGCTATACCCTGCAAAGCCACGGCCACGGGAGCCCACTTTTTGCATCAGCATGACCTGGATGTGAGACACAGAATCAAAGGAGATCATTTTGGAGATTTAAGATTTGACTGCCCTGCTGGATTTTGGACTTGCATGGGGCCTATAGCCCCTTTCTTTTGGCCAATTTCTCCCATTTGAAATAGCTGTATTTACCCAATGCCTGTATCCCCAGTGTATCTAGGAAGTAACTAACTTGCTTTTGATTTTACAGGCTCATAGGTGGAAGGCACTTGCCTTGTCTTGGATGAGACTTTGGACTGTGGACTTTTGAGTTAATGCTGAAATGAGCTAAGAATTTGGGGGACTGTTGGGAAGGCATGATTGGTTTTGAAATGTGAGGACATGAGATTTGTAAGGGGCTATGGAAGAATGATATGGTTTGGCTGTGTCCCCACCCAAATCTCATCTTAAATTTCCACGTGCTGTGGGAGGGACCTGGTGAGGTAATTGAATCATAGGGGCAGCTCTTTCCTGTGCTGGTGATAGTAAATAAGTCTCATGAGATCTGATGGTTTTATAAAGGGTAGTTTCCCTGCACAAGATCGCTTCTCTTGTCTGCTGCCATGTGAGACATGCCTTTCACCTTCTGCCAGGATTGTGAGGCCTCCCCAGCCACACGGAACTAAATAAGCTCTCTTTTGTAAATTGCCCAGTCTCTGGTCTGTCTTTATCAGCAGTGTGAAAATGGAGTAATACAAGGTGCATGCTACCAATGGCTCTATAATTCTGTAGTCTGAGAGTAGTGCCTTTGTTTTTACAGCTGTACTAGGCACTGCCCAAGTACAGGCTCTCTCAGTGGCTCTACCTCATGACAGACTTCTGCCCGGGCACCCAGGCTTTCCAATATATCCTCTGAGATCTAGGTGGAATTTGCCAAGCCTCCATGGCACTTGCATTCTGAGTACCTACAGACTTAGCACCACATGAATGCCACCAAGGTTTATGGCTTGCAACTTCCAGAGCAGCAGCCCAGGTAGTACCTAGGGCTCTTTGAACCATGGTGAGAGTTAGGGTGGTCAAAACCTAAGGAGTAGCATCCCAAGGTGGTGCAGTGTAGCCGTGACCCAGGCCTGTCCCCTGAAACCATCCTGTTATTTTAGGTCTCTGAGCCAGTGATGGGAGGGATGGACTCAAAGATTTTGAAATGCCTTTGGGGTCTTTTTCCCATTGTTCTATTAACATTTGATTCCCTTTTATCTGTACTAATCTCTCTAGTAAGTGGTTGTTCTGCAACAGCCTGGGATTCCTATCCTAAGAATGCTCTTTTCTTCTCCATCAAATGACCAACCTGCAAAATTTTATGCTCTGCTTCCCTTTTAGTTATAAATTCCAACTTTAAGTCATTTGTTTGCTTCCATATCTGATTGTAAGCTCTTAAAAGTAGGCATGCCAATTCTTGAGTGCTTTGCAGCTTAGAGATTTCTTCCGCTAGATACCCTATGTCATTGCTCTTAAATTTGGCCTTCCCAAAAGACCTGGAGCATGGAAACAATGCAGCCAAGTTCTTTGCTATGGCCTCATCAGCCTGGGCTACACTGTCCATATTTCTATTAGCATTTTGGTCACAACCATTTAACCAGTCTCTAAGAACTTCCAACTTTTCCTCATCTTCCTGTCTTCTTCTGAGCCCTCCAAACTCATCCAACCTATGTCCATTACCCAGTTTCAAAGCTCCCTTCAAATATTCAGATATCTTTAACAACCCCCCAACTCCTAGATATCGATTTTTGGTTTAGTTCATTTAGCATTGCTATAAAGGAATATCCAAGACTGGGTAAATTGTAAAGAAAAAAGGGTTTATTTGGCTGATAGTTTTGCAGGCTGGACAAGAAGCATGGCACCAGCATCTGTTCCTGGTGAGAGTCTCAGGCTTCTTCTACTCATGGTGGAAGGCAAAGTGGAGCTGTCATGTGTGGAGATCACGTGGCAAGAGAGGAAGCAAGAAACCGAGGAGGAGGGACTAGGCTCTTTTAACAACCAGCTTTTGCTGGAACTAATAGAACAAGAACTCACTGATTATCACAAGGACAGCACCATGCCATTCATGAGGGAGGAATCTGCCTCATGAGCCAGATTCTCCCAATTAGACTCCACCTCCAATGTTGGTGATCAGATTTCAACATGAGGTTTGGGGGGAGATCCAAACTATAGCAACCTTACACTGAAGATTTTGAATATTTAAAGTTCTGTACTGTTAGTGTCTTTCCCTAGACAATATTTCTCAAATCATCTGATTACATTTCATTTGGTTTAAACATTTTGTAAATTTTATAAGTTAACAAACTGAATATGAGATTAGTGGTGTTTTCATCATTTTTTTCTCTCAGTTCAGTATCAATATCCTAAATCACCATAGATAATTGACCTTTATGACCTCCAAAATGTATCAATTTTACAGTTAGTTCAGAATTAAAATTAATTATAGACATTAACATTCTTAACAAATTTATGCCAGATTGCTCCCTAGGTTTTTGGCTACAGCAGTATCAGGTGTCAGTTGTCACAAGTTATTCATTAGTATCACAATATGGTTGTTAAGTCATGAGATGGTAACAAGGCCCTGCCATTGTCAAATTTCAAAGAAAAATAAAGGATCTCTTCTTTTACAAATTCATTGTTAATCTCTATAAATTATAACCAGAATTATGCATGAATCATACTTAACTATTCAGTGTAGAGTGAAATGTCTTAATTTATTAATCTCTCATCCATTAGCTCACTGATTATAATATTAAGTTAAAGTGTAATTTTACATGTCACACGTACATTGGTTATTTCAACCTCATAATGCTATATGTAAGTTTTTCAAAGTGAAAGAGCCATTTGGATGTTAATACTTTCTGTGATTTTCCTAATTTTTTTTCAAATAATTTGCTTACAACACAAGTAAAGAGGCTTGTCTATCTTTAAAAAAGCCAGCATTCTTCTTTACATTTTCTTTTTATTTATTTCGTATTTAAGCCCCTTAGTGTTTTTGATGATACATGTAGGCTGAACCATATAAAGCTACAATTTCTGCAGTATCTTACATTTGGCTCAAATTAATATAAAAGAAATTATAGTGGAAAATGGATAAATGTTTATGATAAAGTATTTGAATTTGAACATCCAGTGCATAATTCTATATGTCAATTTTTTTTGGAAAAATGATAAATTGGAATTACTAGACAAACCTTAGATTTAGCTTCATCAATGTAAACATTATATTTAGCTTCTTCAAGATTCTCCAATTAATTCATATGAGGTTAATCATGTTGTAGACTTTATTTACTGTGAAATAACATTTATCTTACAAAGAAGATGTAATATTTTGACCTGAAAACATAGGAAACATATTTCTTCTTGATTAATTATTTTCTCTCTAAAGCTTGATGAATATCCAGTCATTCAAATGACTGAATTGTGGATTCTCTGTAAACTCCAGTTATTATACAAGTAGCCCACCTTGATAGGATGATCCTATAAAGCCTTCTTATTGCTTATAAACAGTCAAGCTGTAAAATTGGTAGGCTTTTATATAAACAAATAATGTATAAGAATAAACTGTAATTATGTTCTATGTTAATACAAAATAATAAATAACTAGATACCTATTGATTTATTCTTTGCTTATGTTCTGTTTTTAACTAGATGGACCCTTACACAGTGATGGTGCAAACAAATGGAAGTCTGTATTAATTCACATCAGGTCAGATTAGGATTCAGCAAATTTTTTATTTATACTTTATCCTGGATAATAACTTCATCTCTTTTTTAAGGTGCTAGAACTATTAGTGTATAAAACCATTTGGTATTTGGTGACATATTCAATAATAAGACAGATAAGAGAAAGCAACACAAAGCATTTTAAAATTTAAAAAGCAGGAATTTTTAGTTTTTAAAATAATACTATTCAGAGTTAGGCTGAATGTCTATAGTGAATCTTTATAACACATTATTTAAATAACAATATGAAAACGGAATGAACATTGTAGCGCTAGGTAAGTAAGTTTCTGAAGTATTTTTCAAAATGGGCTTCAGAGATGCTGGGTAAGTTATGTTTTAGTGGGATTAAAGGAAAAGAAGATATAAAATTAGTCCACTAGGTTAATTTTATCATCTAGACTAGAGATCTGTGGCAATTTTATTCTATCATATAAAAATTTTCTTCCATTTTTCATTTGGCTCCTCCCTCCTTCCTTTGCCTTTTATTTTGTCCCTTCGTCTTTTCCACTCTCTTTCCTTCCTTTGTTATTTCTTTCCTTTCCTTTCCCCCTTACTGGAATTAACACAAAGGGAAAAAAGGGCTTGAATAAGAGAAATGAGAAATCTTTTTAATACTGCAAAGACTTTCAAAGACAAAATGACAAGCTTATAGATAGGGAAAGGTGTTAATTTCTTCACTCACGTATTATGTATTATTTTCTCCCTATTAATGTTATTTGTGAGATGACAATGGTCTATCTTACATATCCTTAGTGTTACTCTGCCTATCAATTTCGCTGTAAGGCTCTTTATCCAATTTCACAGATGATAACTTTTAGTTTGTAAACCATTGGTTATCAATTAAAAGAAATCATCCAGAACTAACTGTTTGGCTACTATAATTAATCTTTATATAGTCTAATCCCTATTTGATGAGGTTATCTGCAACAAAGAATATTTACTTTAAATCATACTGTTGACATTCTGATAATCGATTTTTACTATCATTAATGTTATCTAGAAGAAAAGAGAGAAAATGATGTATCCCACATACAGGCTATCATTCATCATTTTGCAAATGATACAATGTCACTAAATGAGGAATTCTGAAATCTTCACCATTCTATACAAGTTCAACTCTGTATATAAAATAACAAAAACAAAAATAATAAATGAATGACAAAAGTATTAAAGATTAGTTTATAGTCTATACTAGACATATATTTCAACTCTTTATTCACTTACAGCAAAATAGCATATAACAAATTATTATATTCTAGTAGAAAAATGTATACTAAATCTTGCTTCAAAATCTATTATAAAATTCTGCAAGATTAGATATGTCGTGGCTTTAAACCAATGGTTCTCACTTGGGGATGATTCTTCCCATCCAGGGGACTTTTGTCAATATCTGAAGATATTTTTGTTCGTCATGACTTAAAATGTGCTACTTGCATCTAGTGGAAGAGGTCAGAAATGCTTCTAAACATCCTGCAGTGCACAGGACAGATCCTTACAATAAAAAATATCTGGCTTAAATATTTGTAGTACTGTGGCTGGGGGACACTTATTTAGACAAATATGTGCTGAGCACTTCCTATGCTTGATATTGACCTTAAGAACATTTGGGGGCACAAAATAAGCCAGGTAATCAGTGCAATCTCAGAGATGAGTTGAAAATCAAAATAATAATGATGATGATGATATATCATAAAAAGACCAAACAAAGAGGCAGTGTTCAATGAAGCCCAACTCACATTTGCTTGGGGGTTAAGTGTTAGAAAGATTACAGCACTTACTAATGTACTTTTACACTGTCTTAGTAAATTCCTGTATATGGTTATAAATGAAAAATACACAGAGGAATTATCATTGAAAAAATGTTTTCTTCTTTTCTATTGTCACTCTGGTCACCACTTTCTTTTCCCAAATAAAGAGTTGTTAATCAGATACCTTTGGTAAACATTTAGTTTGTCCCAAGTTTTTTGCTATTACTAACAATGCAGAGATACTGAGATAAATACAGGCATACCTTCTTTTATTGCACTTTGCTTTATTGCATTTCACAGATTTATGCAGTAATTTTCAAATTAAAGGTTTTGATGCAACCTTGCGTCAAACAAATCTATCAGCACCAATTTTCTAAGCACATCTACTTACTTTGTCCCTTGGTGTCACATCCTGGTAATTCTTGCAATATTTTAAACTTTTGCTTTATTATTATATCTATTGTGGTGATCTATGATCAGTGATCTTTAATGTCACTATTGTGATTGTCTTGTAGTCCCATGAACTGCACCCACATAAGGTGGCAAACTTAATTGATAAATGTTGTGTGCGTGTTGACTGCTCCAATGACAGCCTGTTACCCCATCCCGCTCTCTCTCTCTCTTCAGTCCTGCCTGTTCCCTGACACAAAACAATATTGAAATTAGCCCAATTAATAATCAAATAGTGGCCTGTAAGTGTTTAAGTGAAAGGAAGAGACATAAGTCTCTCACTTTCAGTCAAAAGCTAGAAATGATAAAGCTTAGTGAGAAGGCATTTCAAAAGCCAAAATTGGCTGAAAACTGGGTGTCTTGCACCAGTTAGTGAGGTTGTGAATGCAAAGGAAATGTTCTTGAATGAAATTAAAAGTGTTACTCCAGTGAACACATGAATAAGAGAGTGAAACAGCCTTATTACTGACCTGAGGAATGTTTAAGTGGTCTGGGTAGAAGATCCAAACAGCCACAACATTTCCTTAAACCAAAGCCTAATCCAGAGCAAGACCCTAACTCTCTTCAATTCTATAAAGGCTGAGAGAGGTGAGAAAGCTCAGATGAAAAGTTTTAAGCTAGCAGAGGTTGGCTCATGAGGTTGAATAAAAGAAGCCATCTCATGCCTATGTCCTGAATGGTAATGCCTAGGTTTTCTTCTAGGGTTTTTATGGTTTTAGGTCTAACGTTTAAGTCTTTAATCCATCTTGAATTAATTTTTGTATAAGGTGTAAGGAAGGGATCCAGTTTCAGCTTTCTACATATGGCTAGCCAGTTTTCCCAGCACCATTTATTAAATAGGGAATCCTTTCCCCATTGCTTGTTTTTCTCAGGTTTGTCAAAGATCAGATAGTTGTAGATATGCGACGTTATTTCTGAGGGCTCTTTTCTGTTCCATTGATCTATATCTCTGTTTTGCTACCAGTACCATGCTGTTTTGTTACTGTAGCCTTGTAGTATAGTTTGAAGTCAGGTAGCGCGATGCCGCCAGCTTTGTTCTTTTGGCTTAGGATTGACTTGGCGACGCGGGCTCTTTTTTGCTTCCATATGAACTTGAAAGTAGTTTTTTTCCAATTCTGTGAAGAAAGTCATTGGTAGCTTGATGGGGATGGCATTGAATCTATAAATTACCTTGGGCAGTATGGCCATTTTCATGATATTGATTCTTCCTACCCATGAGCATGGAACGTTCTTCCATTTTTTTGTATCCTCATTTATTTCCTTGAGCAGTGGTTTGTAGTTCTCCTTGAAGAGGTCCTTCACATCCCTTGTAAGTTGGATTCCTAGGTATTTTATTCTCTTTGAAGCAATTGTGAATGAGAGTTCACTCATGATTTGGCTCTCTGTTTGTCTGTTATTGGTGTATAAGAATGCTTGTGATTTTTGTACATGGATTTTGTATCCTGAGACTTTGCTGAAGTTGCTTATCAGCTTAAGGAGACTTTGGGCTGAGACAATGGGGTTTTCTAGATATACAATCATGTCATCTGCAAACAGGGACAATTTGACTTCCTCTTTTCCTAATTGAATACCCTTTATTTCCTTCTCCTGCCTAATTGCCCTGGCCATAACTTCCAACACTGTGTTGAATAGGAGTGGTGAGAGAGGGCATCCCTGTCTTGTGCTTGTTTTCAAAGGGAATGCTTCCAGTTTTTGCCCATTCAGTATGATATTGGCTGTGGGTTTGTCATAGATAGCTCTTATTATTTTGAGATACGTCCCATCAGTACCTAATTTATTGAGAGTTTTTAGCATGAAGGGTTGTTGAATTTTGTCAAAGGCCTTTTCTGCATCTATTGAGATAATCATGTGGTTTTTGTCTTTGGTTCTGTTTATATGCTGGATTACATTTATTGATTTGCATATATTGAACCAGCCTTGCATCCCAGGGATGAAGCCCACTTGATCATGGTGGATAAGCTTTTTGATGTGCTGCTGGATTTGGTTTGCCAGTATTTTATTGAGGATTTTTGCATCAATGTTCATCAAGGATATTGGTCTAAAATTCTCTTTTTTGGTTGTGTCTCTGCCCGGCTTTGGTATCAGGATGATGCTGGCCTCATAAAATGAGTTAGGGAGGATTCCCTCTTTTTCTATTGATTGGAATAGTTTCAGAAGGAATGGTACCGGTTCCTCCTTGTACCTCTTGTAGAATTCGGCTGTGAATCCATCTGGTCCTGGACTCTTTTTGGTTGGTAAGCTATTGATTATTGCCACAATTTCAGCTCCTGTTATTGGTCTATTCAGAGATTCAACTTCTTCTTGGTTTTGTCTTGGGAGGGTGTATGTGTCAAGGAATTTATCCATTTCTTCTAGATTTTCTAGTTTATTTGCATAGAGGTGTTTGTAGTATTCTCTGATGGTAGTTTGTATTTCTGTGGGATCAGTGGTGATATACCCTTTATCATTTTTTATTGCGTCTATTTGATTCTTCTCTCTTTTTTTCTTTATTAGTCTTGCTAGCGGTCTATCAATTTTGTTGATCCTTTCAAAAAACCAGCTCAAGGACTTCATGTCTAAAACACCAAGAGCAATGGCAACAAAAGCCAAAATTGACAAATGGGATCTAATTAAACTAAAGAGCTTCTGCACAGCAAAAGAAACTACCATCAGAGTGAACAGGCAACCTACAAAATGGGAGAAAATTTTCGCAACCTACTCACCTGACAAAGCGCTAATATCCAGAATCTACAATGAACTCAAACAAATTTACAAGAAAAAAACAAACAACCCCATCAAAAAGTGGGCGAAGGATATGAACAGACACTTCTCAAAAGAAGACATTTATGCAGCCAAAAAACACATGAAAAAATGCTCACCATCACTGGCCATCAGAGAAATGCAAATCAAAACCACAATGAGATACCATCTCACACCAGTTAGAATGGCGATCATTAAAAAGTCAGGAAACAGCAGGTGCTGGAGAGGATGTGGAGAAATAGGAACACTTTTACACTGTTGGTGGGACTGTAAATTAGTTCAACCCTTGTAGAAGTCAGTGTGGTGATTCCTCAGGGATCTAGAACTAGAAATACCATTTGACCCAGCCATCCCATTACTGGGTATATACCCAAAGGCCTACAAATCAGGCTGCTATAAAGACACATGCACACGTATGTTTATTGCAGCACTATTCACAATAGCTAAGACCTGGAACAAACCCAAATGTCCAACAATGATAGACTGGATTAAGAAAATGTGGCACATATACACCATGGAATACTATGCAGCCATAAAAAATGATGAGTTCATGTCCTTTGTAGGGACATGGATGAAATTGGAAATCATCATTCTCAGTAAACTATTGGAAAAACAAAAAAAAAACACCGCATATTCTCACTCATAGGTGGGAATTGAACAATGAGAACACATGGACACAGGAAGGGGAACATCACACTCTGGGGACTCACACTCTGGGGACACAGGAATGGGAACATCACACTCTGGGGTGGGGGGAAGGGGGAGGGATAGCTTTAGGAGATATACCTAATGTTAAATGACGAGTTAATGTGTGCAGCACACCAGCATGGCACATGTGTACATATGTAACTAACCTGCACATTGTGCACATGTACCCTAAAACTTAAAGTATAATAATAAAAAAGCCATTTCCATAAAAGTGCAAGGTGAAGCAGAAGATGTTGACGTAGAAGCTGTAGCACGTTATCCAGATCTAGCTAAGCTCATTCATGAAGGTGACTACAGTAAAAACAGATTTTCAATGTAGACTAAACATTCTTCTATTGAAAGAAGATGCCATCTAGGACTTTCATGCCTAGAGAGAAGATAATACCGTGCTTCAAAGTTTCAAAGGACAGGCTGACTCTCTTGTTAGAGACTGATGCAGCTGGTGACTAAGTTGAAGCCAAGACTCTTTTACCATTCCAGAAATCCTAGGACCCTTAAGAATTTATTAAGTCTACTTTGCCTGTGCTCTATAAATGGAACAACAAAGCCTGGATGACAGCACGTCTGTTTACAGCATGGTTTACTGAGTATTCTAAGCCTATTGTTGAGACCTTTTACTCAGGAAAAAAAAAAGATTTCTGTCAAAATATTACTGTTCACTGACAATGCACCTACTTAACCAATAACTCTGCTGGAGATGGGTAAGGGGATTAATGCTGTGTTCTTGCCTGCTGACACAACATCCATACTGCAGCCTATAGATCAAGGAATAATTTAGACTTTCAAGTCTTACTATTTAAGAAATACATTTTGTAAGGCTATGGCTGTCATAGATAGAGATTTCCCTAAAAGATCTGGGCAAAGTAAATTGAAAACCTTCTGAAAAGGATTTACTATTCTAGATGCCATTAAGAACATTTGTAATTTATGGGAAGAAGTCATAACATTTACATTAACAGGGATTTCATAGAAGTTGATTCTGGCCCTTATGATTGACTTTGAGAGGCTCAAGACTTGAGTGAAGGAAGTAATTCCCAATGTAGGGGAAACTGCAGGAGATCTGGAGTTAGAAATGGAGCCTGAAGATGTGACTGAATTGCTGTGATCTCGTGATAAAACTTGAGTGGATGCGGAGCTGCTTCTTAAAGATGAGCAAAGAAAGTGGTTTCTTGACATGAAATCTACTCCTCGTGAAGATGCTATAAATATTGTTGAAATTACAATAAAGAATTTAAAATATTACATAAACTTAGCTGATAAAGCCGTGACATAGTTTGAGAGAATTGCATTAGATTTACCTGTTTCTGAAAGACTTTTTGGAATTCCTCTTACAAACAATCTGAATGTGAATATAGTGCTTTATTTGGAGGGGCAGAGGGAGGAAATTATTCTCCAACATCTTTATTACTTCTTTGGCAATTGTTCTAATTAGGTGTTCTATCTTTTCTGGGGTTCACTTTGGTAGTCTATATTTTTCTAGATAATCATTTTATTCACATTCTCACATTTATTTAAATGGTATTTAGCAAGGTAGTTTCATATAATTTTATTTTCTTTGATATTCTATATCTGTGTTACCTTTTCTGAATTAGTGCTTTCATCTTTTTTTTCACTTTTTTCATGGTTTATTGCCAGTCTTAGAGATAAGCATCTTAACATTTTACATTAAGTATGCTTTTTAAATAGGTTCCCCTTTTGAAAATTTGTTTTTGATATTCTTTATTTGTAGTTCTTTGATACTTTAATTGAAATTTTGTATTCTTACTTTGTCCAGTCTTCTATTTTTTTCCTAGAAATTTGTTCATTTCATTTCACTTGTCTTATCATAATATTGTTTGTAAAAGAGTTTCATGATCTTTTAATTACTGTACAATCTAGTGGTCAATTCTTTCCCTCTTTTTTATTTTTAATATTGGTACCTTCTCTATTTTTAACTTGCTCAGTCTTATCAGAGAGAAGTTTACCCATTTCATTAGTTTTTTTTAAACAATTATTTTGGACTTTATACATTCTTGTGTACATTTGCTTTCCATTTCTGTAATTCAGGTTTTTATGTTTATTATTTCCCTTTTTCCAATTTCTTTAGGTTTCACTTGTTGTTAGTGAGCTACACCTTTGTCAGCAATTTCTTTTCTATATTTTTACTTTAGATGTATCTTGCAAATTTTAAATCTTGTCTAACAATCTTTATCAGTTAATTTGAGCACTTAGTCCATTTATACTGAATGTGATTACTAATATCTTTGGTTTTAAATCTGCTATCTTACTATGTGCTTTTTGTTTGTCCTGCCTATTCTATAACTCCTCTTCCGCCTTTTCTTTCTTTTGGATTGACCATTTTTTATTAATCAGTTTGTTCTCTGTTACACTAGCATACTCTTCTTGTGAGAGTAGTATTTTAGGTACTGCAATATGGCACAACTGGACTGCATCCAAGATAGTCCCTCATTTTTTTTACTATCTCACCAATAAACTTCCCCTTTCAAAAATGACTTGACCATGTTTTTCCATTCGTGTTTGCCTTTCCAATTTCTTTAAACTTTCTATCAAATGACGTATAGGAAGACTCTCACAGCCTGTCCACTTACACTTTATCTTTTGCTGAAGACAAATAATTTTTGGGGTTACGCTTCAAAATAAGACATTGACTTGGGGAGATGTATTCTACCACCAGTGTCAGGGGTATACAGCGGGCGAATCCTTTCTGAACTGTTTCCTGCATCTCCCACTTGTGCTACTTTTGGCTTTTCATGTTTTCAGAATAGTCTTTTCATCTGTTCTGTAATTTTGGTGTCAGTAGAGTTTACGTCTAGGTTTTCTTCCAGCATTTTTTTTTGAAAGCAGGGGCTGTGATTTCTGGAAGAAGAATGGACAAGCACTGGATCTATTTGAACTTTTAAAATCTGCAATTCCTATGGTGCAGCATGAAATCTTGGTCTTGAAAACTGGGTAGGATTTTGGACAGTGAAAGAAGTATACTTAGGCATAATGGTACAATGTAAGAGCAGACAAAAAACACAGCGCCCAAGTGTACTTAGCAACCTAACTACTGAGTATTAAAAATGAGCCTGGCATTATGCTAGACATTGGTAGTAAAGTGATTCTATACGCAATGATCTGTTCTCAAGGAGGTCACAATGTGGGATGAGCAGCAATTAGCAGTGTTTGACTGAAGCACAGATTATGAATAGCAAGTTAGTCTGGGGCCAAGTTCTGGCTGAATTTCAGTGTTACTCATTAACAAACATTTAATTCAGCAAACAAAGTAGGCATGCTGCAGTGAGAGTAGTCAGGTGGTCATTACAGATTTTTGAGTATATACCTTGGGAGTAAACTTCCTAAAAGAGATGTAATTTGCCCTACTAAATAGAGGCTTCATCTATGTGTTACGGTATCAATTTACAATTCACAATTATCTTTTTCCAGAGCATAAAGTATCCTTTGTTCTTGTATAATTCAAATTTAATAAGAAATTAATGCAACTCTGAATGTTATGGTAGTGTTAATTGCTACTTTTGTTTCAACACAGAACCCAAAGAGGTAAGGAACCTCACTTCTCATTCTACAGTTGAAAAAAATTATTTTACCAGTAAAATGCAATCATAATGAGACATAAATGTATATTTCTAGATTATTTTTAACTTCACAGGATTTTAAGCATTGGGGCACATTATCACTTTATCAATAATTATTATCATATAAGAACTGCTTATTTTATAACATTTCATTCATAGATTCTTTCATTTCCTTATAGTATATATTTTTCAAAGAAAAAGCAGCAAAATTAGAAACAAAGTTTTAATATTTACAACTCTCTCTTCTTTGTAATGTGGAATTCAATTTGGTGTGTGTATTTTTTCCCCTTTTTTAATACTCATAACAGTGTATAGCGGTGTTTGCAGCAAGCATCTGGGGAGTGGAACAAATGGGGAGAGGTTGGTCAAAAAGTATGAACTTTCAGTTATAAGATGAGTAAATTCTGAGGATCCTATATACTGCATAGTGACTATAGTTAGTAACAATGTATTATATACTTGAAATTTCTGAGAGAGTAGATCTCAAGCATTCTCACCAAAAAATAAAAAAGGTGATGGATATACTAATTAATTTGATTGTGGTAATAATTTCGTAATGTATAATATATCAAATCATCATGTTGCATGTTTTAAATACATCTGACATTATTTTTTCAATTATACCTCTATAAAGATGAAAAACTCATAACATGCTATATTTTAAAAGGAACACTCATCTATAATTATTTTTATATATTAATACACATTAATTATATACATTATCATTTCTGTACAACAGATATTTGGTTAAGATTTAAATATTTTTAGAGCCATCCTTGTGATTGTTTCATCCAGTGTTGTGTGTTAAATATAATATTAAAAGAATCCATGGTTACATATTAGGATTATCATTAGCCCTTTGCAGAGATCCCTGGAACAAGAGGCAGAGGGGACAGGGAAAAGCAGGATTTTATTCAATGCTTCCTGTTTACTCATTTGACAAATTACTTAATTTTCATCAGAACATGTATGTGGAGTATTGTTCCATCCTCCTCCTCTCAATGATGCTGTGGTGTCTGATACATGCACCACCCCTTGCCAATTTTATGCTACCCGAAAGGCACCCTGAAACTTGTCTCAGTGCTTTTGCATGTGATATTAAACTCAGGCTCTCATATTAACTTAGCCCCTCCATAATCCTGTGATATTATCAAGCCATAAACTGATGTCTGTGCTCTTCAGCCACTAAATAAGTTCTTCCATTTTCGCAAGCAGTGATATGCCCATGAATGTCTGAAGTACACTGTGGATGCCTTGCGGGAAACATGTTGGAATGGCCCCAGTAATTTAGGCAGATATTCCAAGGATATCCCTCTCGTTCTGTCAAGTGTTTGGAACCTATCTGAGATCCACCTTCAACTTTTAAAGAATATTTTTATCGGCCTTTTTGAGGTAGAATTACATACAATAAACTTAACTAATGAGAGTACACTTTTATAAACATGACAATATTCATGACATAGTACTTTATACCAATCAGCTCGGTAGCAATCAATCTCTTTACTAACCCTAGCTACTAGCACCTACTGATCTTTCTCTCACTATAGACTTGCGTTTTCTAGACATTTAATAGAAATTGAACATACAGTGTGTGGTCTTCTTGACTTCTTTCATCTAGCACAATGCTTTTGGAATTCATCTATGCTTTTGCGTAATCTATGGTTGTCTTTTTTATTGCAACGTATTATGTTGTATAAATATGCAAAAATTTGTTTATCCATTTACCAGTTGATGGACATTTGAGTTGTTTTCGATTTTTGGCTATAACTAATTAGTCTGCGATTAGCATTTGAAGTAAGTTTTTATTTCTTTTGCGTAACTAGTAATGGGATTAGTGGGTCATATGGTAAGTATGTGTTTACATATGAAACTGCCACACTTTTTCCAGAGTGGTCATATCATTTTACATTTCCAGTGGCTCTATTCAAGAATTCCAGTTGCTACACATGTCAATATTTGGTACTGTCAGTCTTTTTAATATTAGCCATTTTGGTTGTTGTACAAGGTTATATAACATTTATAATTTCCATTTCTCTATTGACTAATGATGTTGCGCAACTTTCTCATGCTTATTTGCTGTTCATAGTTTTTTCCTTTGGTGAAACGTGGGTTCCAATGTTTTAATCTCTTTTTTTTTTTTTTTTTCAGACAGAGTTTTGCTCTTACCACCCAGGCTGGAGTGCAATGGCGCAATCTCGGCTCACTGCAACCTCCGCCTCCTGGGTTCAAGCGATTCTCCTGTTTCAGTCTCCCAAGTAGCTGGGATTACAGGCATGTGCCACCAGGCTCAGCTAATTTTTGTATTTTTAGTAGAGACAAGGTTTCATCATGTTGGTTAGGCTAGTCTGGAACTCCTGACCTCAAGTGATCCACCCACCTCAGCCTCCCAAAGTGCTGGGATTACAGGCATGAGCCACTGTGCCCGGCCCCAAAGTTTTAATCATTTTTAATGAGATTGTTTGACTTCTTCTTGTAGAATTGTAAGTATTCTGTATATATTCTGCAAAACAGCCATTTGTGAGATATACATTTTTTTTTTTTTTTTTTTTTTTTTTACCGGTGTCCTTTTTCTGCTTTAGTATCCAATCAATAATACTACAATGAGTTTAGGCATCATAGCTCCTTAGTTTTCTCTAGCTTATGGGATTTTCTGAGTATTTTCTTGCTTTGCATGACTTTGAGAGTTATAAAAACTATGGGCCAAGTGTTTTGTAGAATGTCTTTCAATTTGGGCATATCTGATGTTTTCTCATGATTGGGCTATGAGTCTTCTTGGGGAAAAATACCACAGAGATGAATTGCCCTTCTCATGACAATCAATTAGAGGTACCTGAGACCAACATGCACTATCATTGGTGAGCTTAACCTTAATCATTTGTCTGAGGTTGTATCTGCCAGGTTTCTCCACTAAGTCAATTTTTCCGTTTACACATTGTATTCTTTGCAACTAAGCTATTAAATCCAACTCACATTCAAGAGAAGGAGAATTGAGCTTACCTTCTGGAAGGAGGCATTTTAGAAATTTTGTGCACATATGCTAAAATC
Organism: Homo sapiens; assembly: GCF_000001405.40. Taxonomy (NCBI): domain Eukaryota; kingdom Metazoa; phylum Chordata; class Mammalia; order Primates; family Hominidae; genus Homo; species Homo sapiens. The sequence goes on along the minus strand of NC_000007.14, from coordinate 12,174,910 downwards.
ATAATAATAAATAATACATATTTGAAGGGTGGACACCTTGGAGTATGCAAGTATCCTTAAAGTTTTGTCCACTAATTTTAACATTCATCATGAATCTTGTCTGCAGCAATTTACTGGTGGGTTCTAGTGGTGATTTTGTATTTTTCCCACTTCTATATTTAATATTTGGAATTATTCTATAAGGAATATTTATCATTTCTCCTCTGTTTATTTAATTTTAGGGACTGAATTTTTTTTTCTGATAAGGGCCAGATAGTAAATATATGGGGCTCTGAGAGCTGCGTTTTAGAGGCTATATCAGAAGTACCCACTAGTCTACTAACTTGCCATAAGACCTTGTTCCAAACTTTTGTGATTTTGGCATCTATTAGTCTAGTGTTAATTGAATATGTGTAAAAGAACACTTCATAAGATGTATCTTTTAAAAATTGAGAGACATTTGAGCATTATCTTCTGGATACATTTTAATGAATGAAAGGTGAAATATATTCTTGGATAAACTTATTGGTGTTTGAATATTTGACAGTTGGAAGACATTGTTTCTTATTGAAAACAGAATCTGCTAAAACTTGAGCTAACTTTGGAAGTTGGCTTCTACATTTTATATATGATAAAACTGAGGCTTGGAGAACTTAAGTGAATTATGTAAGGTCATATGCACAGCTGGGATAAGACTCCAGACTCTAATACTAGTGAATGATTTCTTCCATTCTCCTTTGCTGCCACATATAAGAAAAAATGAATACTTCAGATAAAAAAGTAGGGTTAAACTATTCTTTAAAAAGTTTTGCAGCTAAAATGATTTAAAACTGATCATTAGATATAATATTGGAAATAGAAAATCGTTGTCTATTTGGTCTTTATGACTGCTCACTGCTATGACAAGTGGCACACAATAAAAATAAGTTCCCAGAAATAAAACCACTGTTGAGGCCACCATTTATTTCAGCAATTGTCAGGAAAGATGAATTAGTCTGTATAAATTCTCTGGAGGTGTCATGATGTGTAAGACTAATAAACACTGTACATGATGATTCCCTTGGAGAGTGAGATAATAACCTCGAAGAAGAATCAGAATTAACAAGAAATGAGACCAATCTTTCACAGTACTGTGAAGGTTAGAAAGATAAAGCTATAGTACTCCAAAAGCCATGAAATTACTTCCAAAGGCAATAATCAATTTAGTGAGAAACATTAGAAAACTACAAGTCAAAAAACAACATCAACAGGAATGGTAAGCCCTGGGGGTCACAACCATCAAAAAAGTGGCTGGTAAATCCTGTTTTCCTCCCCTTGCTCCTCAGTTAAGATTGATTCATGCTGAATCCTGAGCCTGAAACAATTGTTTCCAGAGAAGAAACATTTTTACTTACAAAGAATTACCTTTCCTTGCTTGCTTTTTTATAGAAAAAGAAAAAAGAAATGAAGGAAGGGAAGGAGGGAAGAAAGGAGGGAGAGAATAAAATAAGAAAAAAGAGAAAGTTTTATTATTGTCTAATTTCTTCCTTGATTTATTTTTTACTGGACTCATTGATTGAAAACTCTTCAAGGAAATAGATTAGTTGAGCATTCTTGTGTTTCTCATAACAATATAAATGTGTAAGTCATCACAAGTAATGATTTTCTTGATCACTTCAAGTATTTTCTGAATATTATGCATTGCTCTGTGCTCTGACAAGCTGCACTGATTCTCTTCTTACATTCAACTATCAACTGGAAATGTTAAATCCATTATTATTTATTGAGCTGGCATTTTGTTATTACCTGTGGATACTGAGATGGAATATAGTCTCATTACTCTAGTAAAACATTGATATCTGATTGAGTGATTCTTTACTTCATTTGATAGTATCATTTTTTGGGTGAGACACAACAACCCTGGACATTGGCTAGAGAAGTGTGGCCAATTAAAATGATTATTTTCCGTATTTTTTAAGTTTTATAAAATAAACACATATTTTCTTTGATAACCACAATAATATTCAACACTAAAAAATAAAGACATCAAAACAGAAATTTAGATGATAAAAATGAGAAAGTGTGACATATTTTTGTTTCCTTAATTTTACTTACACCTTTGGTTTTTGTGAAATATTAAATATACTTTTTTGAACGATTGAGTCTCATTCCCAAGTTCCGTTACCCAGAAACAACAGCTTTTAATTCACTTAACTGCTTTTCCTAGTACTTTAGTCCATATTTCTAAACAGCACACACACATACACACACATATATATACACGAATATTTTAAAATTTTTATTTGCAGATAGTATCTATTGTATTTCTTGGAAGACAAGGATAAGATTTTATTTCTTCTCTTTGGATCCCCCACCTTGGGACAAACACACTTTCCCTCTTACTATAGTTCCCACACACATAAAACTGTTGGTTGAATCATTATTTAGTGTTTGCAGTGTTTATGAATACATAAATATTATTCAAAACAAAAGGCTAGGGATTTTCTAGCCATGTAAATATACTTTTGGTTTACCTTCTGGGGAAGAAATTGTGATGATTTTCTCCCATTGGCAATTCTGTTTTTCCCCTGTGGTAACCTTGAAACATTTTTTCCCGGTCCCTAAAGTAAATATACTCTAGAGAGAAAAAGCCAGCAAAAACAAACAAACAAACAAAAATGACCAAAGACCCGTAGGGGAGGAATCTTTAAAGGGGGCATAATAGGTCATTTATTGTATACCACACAGCATTTATCATTCTCTAAAAGTCTTCGAGAAAAATCTGTTCCCATGTCTCTCTTCTCAGTTGCCTGATGGCAAAGATCTCTCCATTTCCACTTCTGTCTAATAATTTATGTAGTTCCTTGCACATAGATCTTCCTGCAATTCTCTTACAGTTGGTTTTACCTCTATCTTTTCTGATGTTTTCTATTTTAGTCCTTCTCAGACTTCTCTATTATTGAATCCTCAGAAACAAATTTTGCTATTCATGTCATGTCTGTGAAAAAGCTTTGTATTAGTCAAGATAGGCTAGATTATTTCCTGATAATTAATAGCCCCTAAGATCAAGTGCTTAATATAAAGAAAACAATTCTTGCTCACAATACAGGTCCAATGCAAAATGGTAGGAAGGGTCTGTAAAAGCCTGATTCTTGCTTCCATGATTGTGGCAACAGCAGGACAACAAACACATGTCATTTCCACTCACATCTTATTGGAAGCAAGTTACATGTAGATGCCTAACTTTAATAGGGGGCAGAAAGGTATTATACTAATTTGTGTCAGGAAGAATAAATAGAATATTTTTGAACACCTCTAATGATAACCTTAACCATGATAGTGAGTACAGGGACTCTGCATACTGAAAACAAAGGAGGCAACTACAAAGAGCATATATTTTTAAGTTATCTGTGAAAATATGTTTTTCTTCTATTACATACCTTTTAATTGCTTTTAAAAGCCATGAGGGCCCCAGTAAGTGTACCTTACTTCTGACTAACTCACCCACTGGATCCCATGTCAGTGGAACAAAAGATATAATTTCCCTAGTCTTGAAACACCTTCAGAAAACAACCTCCTATGAGTTTACTTTTAAATTTATTATTAAATTAACTTAAAAATATCATAACGTTGGTGGCTGGCAAGATGGCTGAATAGGAACAGCTCCAGTCTACAGCTCCCAGCGAGATCAAAGCAGAAGGTGGGTGACTTCTGCATTTCCAACTAAGGTACCCAGCTCATCTCACTGGGACTGGTTAGACAGTGGGTACAGCCCACAGAGGGTTAGCCAAAGCAGGGTGGCGTGTCGCCTCACCTGGGAAGTGCAGGGGGTCAGGGAACTCCCTCCCCTAGCCAAGGGATGCTATGAGGGACTATGCTGTGAGGAACAGTGCACTCCAGCCCAGATACCATGCTTTCCTATGGTCTTCACAACCCACAGACCAGGAGATTCCTTTGGGTGCTTATGCCACCAGAGCCCTGGGTTTCAAGCACAAAACTGGGTGGCCATTTGGGCAGACACCAAGCTAGCTGCAGGAGATTTTTTTCATAACCCAGTGGTGCCTGGAATGCCAGCGAGACAGAACGCTTCACTTCCCTGGAAAAGGGGCTGACGCAAGAGAGCCAAGTGGTCTAGCTCAGCAGATCCCACCCCCATAGAGGCCAGCAAGCTAAGATCCACTGGCTTGAAATTCTCACTGCCAGCACAGCAGTCTGAAGTTGACCTGGGACACTTAAGCTTGGCAGGGGGAAGGGCATCCACCATTACTGAGGCTTGAGTAGGTGGTTTTCCCCTCACAGTGTAAACAAAGCTTCCAGGAAGTTTGAACCGGGCGGAGCTCACCGCAGTGCCACAAAGCCACTGCAGCCAGACTGCCTCTCTAGATTCCTCCTCTCTGGGCATGGCATCTCTGAAAGAAAGGCAGCAGCCCCAGTCAGGAGCTTATAGATAAAACTCCCATCTGCCTGAGACAGAACACCTGGAGGAAGGGGTGGCTGTGAGTGCAACTTCAGCAGAACTTAAACTGCCTGCCACCTCTGAAGATAGCAGTGGATCTCCCAGCACAGTGCTTGAGCTCTGCTAAGGGACAGACTACCTCCTTAAGTGGGTCCTTGACCCCTGTGCCTCCTGACTGGGAGACTCTTCCCAGCAGGGGTTGACAGACACCTCATACAGGACAGCTCCAGCTGGAACCTGGTGGGTGCCCCTCTGGGATGAAGGTTCCAGAAGAAGGAACAGGCAGCAAACTTTGCTGTTCTGCAGCCTCCACTGGTAGTACCTAGCCAAACAGGGTCTGGGGTGGACCTGAGCAAACTCCAGCAGACCTGCAGCAGAGGGACATGACTGTTAGAAGGAAAACTAACAAACAGGAATGGTATTAACACCAACAAAAAGGACGTCCACACAGAAACCCCATCCGAAGGTCACCAACATCAAAGACCAAAGGTAGATAAATCCACGAAGATGAGGAAAAACCAGTGCAAAAAGGCTGAAAATTCCAAAAACCGGAATGCCTTTTCTCCTCCAAAGGATCACAACTCCTCACCAGCAAGGGAAAAAACTAGACAGAGAATGAGTTTGACAAATTAACAGAAGTAGGTTACAGAAGGTGGGTAATAACAAACTCCTCCAAGCTAAAAGAGCATGTTCTAACCCAATGCAAGGAAGCAAAGAACCTTGAAAAAAGTTAGAGGAATGGTTAACTAGAATAATCAGTTTAGAGAAGAACATAAATGAACTGATGGAGCTGAAAAACACAGCACAAGAACTTCGTGAAGCATACACAAGTGTCAATAGCTGAATTGATCAAGTGGACGACAGGATATCAGAGATTGAAGATCAACATAATGAAATAAAGCATGAAGACAAGATTAGAGAAAAAAGAATAAAAAGGAACAAAAAGAGCCTCCAGGAAATATTGGACTATGTGTAAAGACCAAACCTACGTTTGATTGGTGTACCTGAAAGTGACGGGGGGGAATGGAACCAAGTTGGAAAACACTCTTCAGGATATTATCCAGGAGAGCTTCCCCAACCTAGCAAGGCAGGCCAACATTCAAATTCAGGAAATACAGAGAACACCACAAAGATACTCCTTGAGAAGAGAAACCCCAAAACACATAATCATCAGATTCACCAAGGTTGAAATGAAGGAAAAATGTTAAAGGCAGCGAGAGAGAAAGGTCAAGTTACCCAAAAAGGGAAGCCCATCAGACTAACAGCAGATCTCCCTGCAGAAACCCTACCAGCCAGAAGAGAGTGGGGACCAATATTCAACATTCTTAAAGAAAATAATTTTCAACCCAGAATTTCATATCCAGCCATACTAAGCTTCATAAGCGAAGGAGAAATAAAATCCTTTACAGAGAAGCAAATGCTGATAGTTTTTGTCACCACCAGGCCTGCCTTACAAGAGTTTCTGAAGGAAGCACTAAATATGGAAAGAAAAAAACTGGTACCATTCACTACAAAAAGGTAACAAATTGCAAAAACCATTGACACTATGAAGAAACTGCATCAACTAATGGGCAAAATAACCAGCTAGCATCATAATGACAGGATCAAATTCACATAACAATATTAACCTTAAATGTAAATGGGCTAAAAGCCCCAGTTAAGAGACACAGACTGGCACATTGGATAAAGGGTCAAGACCCATCTGTGTGCTGTATTCAGGAGACCCATGCCAGGTGCAAAGACACATATAGGCTAAAAATAAAGGGTGGAGGAATATTCACCAAGCAAATGGAAAGAATAAACAGAAAAGGTTGCAATCCTAGTCTCTGATAAAACAGACTTTAAACCAACAAAGATTAAAAAAAGACAAAGAGGGGTATTACATAATGGTAAAGGGATCAACGCAACAAGAAGAGCTAACTATCCTAAATATATATGCACCCAATACAAGAGCACCCAGATTCATAAAGCAAGTTCTTAGAGACCTACAAAGAGACTTAGGCTTCCACACAATAATAGTGGGAGACATTACCCCTCTGTCAATATTAGACAGATCAACGAGACAGAAAATTAAGAAGGATATTCAGAACTTGAACTCAGCTCTGGAACAAGTGGACCTAATAGATATCTAGAGAACTCTCCACCCCAAATCGACAGAATATATATTCTTCTCAGCACCACATCACACTTATTCTAAAATTGACTACATAATTGGAAGTAAAGCACTTGTCAGCAAATTTAAAAGAATGCAAATCATAACAAACAGTCTCTCAGACTACAGTGCAATCAAATTAGAACTCAGGTTTAAGAAAATCACTCAAAACCGCACAACTACATGGAAACTGAACAACCTGCTCCTGAATGACTTCTGGGTAAATAACAAACTTAAGGCAGAAATAAATAAGTTCTTTGAAACCAATGAGAACAAAGACACAATGTATCAGAATCTCAGGGACACAGCTAAAGCAGTGTTTAGAGGGAAATTTATAGCACTAAACACCCACAGCAGAAAGTGGGAAAGATCTAAAATCGACACCCTAAAATCACAATTAGAAGAACTAGAGAAGGAAGAGCAAACAAATTCAAAAACTGGCAGAAGAAAATAAATAACTAAGATCTGAGCAAACCTGAAGGAGATAGAGACATGAAAAACCCTTCAAAAAAATCAATGAATCTTTTCTTGAAAAGATTAACAAAATAGATAGACTGCTAGGCAGACTAATAAAGAATAAGAGAGAAGAATCAAACAGACACAATACAAAATGATTAAGGGGATATCACCACTGATCCCACAGAAATACAAACTACCATCAGAAAATACTATAAATACCTCTATGCAAATAAACTAGAAAATCTAGAAGAAATGGATAAATTCCTGGACATATGCTCCCTCCCAAGACTAAACCAGGAAGAAGTCAAATCCCTGAATAGACCAATAACAAATTCTGAAATTGAGGCAGTAATTAAGAAACCAAAAAAAAACCCAGGACCACATGATTCACAGCCAAATTCCACCAGAGGTACAAAAAGGAGTTGGTACCATTCCTTCTGAAACTATTCCAAACAATAGAAAAAGAAGGACTCCTCCCAGACTCATTTTATGAGGGCAACATCATCCTGATACCAAAACCTGGCAGAGACACAACAAAAAAAGAAAATATCAGGCCAATATCCTGATGAACATCAATACAAAAAGCCTCAATAATATACTGGCAAACCAAATCCAGCAGCACATCAAAAAGCTTATCCACCATGATCAAGTCAGCTGCATCCCTGAGATGCAAGGCTGGTTCAACATACACAAATCAATAAACATAATCCATCATATAAATAGAACCAATGACAAAAACCACGTGATTATCTCAATAGATGCAGAAAAGGCCTTCGGTAAAATAAACACCCCTTCATGCTAAAAACACTCAATAAACTAGGTATCGATGGAACATATCTCAAAATAATAAGAGCTATTCATGACAAACCCACAGCCAATATCACAATGAATGGGCAAAAGCTGGAAGCATTCCTTTTGAAAACCAGCACAAGACAAGGATGCCCTCTCTCACCACTCTTATTCAACATCATATTGGATGTTCTGGCCAGGACAATTAGGCAAGAGAAAGAAGTAAAGCATATTCAAATGTGAAGAGAAGAAGTAAAGTTATCTCTGTCTGCAGATGACATGATTGTATATTTTGAAAATCCCATTGTCTCAGCCTAAAAACTCCTTAAGCTGATAAGCAACTTCAGCAAAGTCTCAGGATACAAAATCAGTGTGAAAAATCACAAGCATTCCTATACACCAATAACAGACAAACAGAAAGCCAAATCGTGAGTGAACTCCCATTCATAATTGCTACAAAGATAATAAAATAACTAGGAATACAACTTATAAGGGATGTGTTGGACCTCTTCAAGAAGAACTACAAACCACTGCTCAAGGGAATAAGAGAGGACACAAACAAATGGAAAAACATACCATGCTCATGGATAGGAAGAATCAATGTATTGAAAATGGCCATAGTTCCCCAAGAAATTTACAGATTCAATGATATCTCTATCAAGCTACCATTGACTTTCTTCACAGAATTAGAAAAAACTACTTCAAATTTCATATGGAACCAAAAAAGAGCCCGTATAGCCAAGGCGATCCTAAGCAAAAAGAACAAAGCTGGGGGCATCACACTACCTGACTTCAAACTAGACTGCAAGCCTACAGTAACCAAAACAGCATGATACTGGTATCAAAACAGAAATATAAACCAATGGAACAGAACAGAGTCCTCAGAAGTAACACCACACATCTACAACCATCTGATCTTTGACAAACCTAACAACAACAAGCATTTGGGAAAGTTTCCCCTATTTTAATAATGGTATTGGGAAAACTGGCTAGCCATATGCAGAAAACTGAAATTGGAACCCTTCCTTACACCTTATGCAAAAATTAACTCAAAATGGATTAAGACTTAAATGTAAGACCTAAAACCATACAAACCCTAAAAGAAAACCTAGGCAATACCATTCAGGACATAGGCATGGGCAAGGACTTCATGACTGAAACACCAAAAGCGATGGCAACAAAAACCAAAATTGGCAAATGGGATTTAAGTAAAGTGAAAAGCTTCTGCACAGCAAAAGAAACTATCATCAGAGTGAACAAACAATCTACAGAATGGGAGAAAAGTTTTGCAATCTCTCCATCTGATCAAGGGCTAATATCCAGAATCTACAAGGAACTCAAACAAATTTACAAGAAAAAAACAAACAATCCCATCAAAAAGTGGGTGAAGGATATGAACAGACACTTCTCAAAAGAAGACATTTATGCAGCCAACAAACATATGAAAAAATGCTCATCATCCCTGGTCATTAGAGAAATGCAAATCAAAACCACAATGTGATACCATCTCACGCCAGTTAGAATGGTGATCACTAAAAAGTCAGTAAACAACAGGTACTGGAGTGGATGTGGAGTAATAGGAATGCTTTTACACTGTTGGTGGGTGTGTAAATTAGTTCAAACATCGTGGAAGACAGTGTGGCAATTCCTCAAGGATCTAGAACCAGAAATACCACTGGATTCAGCAATCCCATTACTGTGTATATACCCAAAGGATTTTAAATCATTCTACTGTAAAGACACATGCACATGTATGTTTATTGCAGCACTTTTCACAATAGCAAAGACTTGGAACCAACCCAAATGTCCATTAATGATAGACTGGATAAAGAAAATGTGGCACATATACACCATGGAATACTATGCAGCCACATAAAAGGATGAGTTCCTTTCCTTTGCAGGAACATGGATGAAGCTGGAAACCATCATTCTCAGCAAACTAACACAGGAACAAGAAAACCAAACATTGCATGTTTTCACTCATAAGTTGGAGATGAATATTGAGAACACATGGACACAGGGAAGGGAACATCACACACCGGGGTCCTTTGGGAGATGGGGGGCTAGGGGAGGGATAGCATTAGGAGAAATACCTAATGTAGATGACGGGTTGATGGGTACAGCAAACTACCATGGCATGTGTATTATCTATGTAACAAACCTGCACGTTCTGCACATGTATCCCAGAACTTAAAGCATAATAAAAAATAAATAAATAAAAATAAATTTCCCATCAATGGAAAAAAAAGATTACAAATATTGTGCAGTGTATAGTGCTTGGTTGATGGGTACACCAAAATCTCACAAATCACCAATAAAGACCTTTCTCATGTAACCTGTATCCCAATAACTTATGGAAAATAAATAAACTGAATTTACAAGTTCAAAAAAGCTTAAAAATAAAACTTCAGTACGGAGATGAAAAAAAAGATATGCAAACAGCCAATAAACATACAAAAAAAAAAAAGTTTAACATCACTAATCATTGGGGAAATGCAAGTTAAAACCACAATGAGATACTAACTTACTCCTGTAAGAATGGTGATGAATAAAACCTCAAAGAAGAATATAAGTTGGTGTGGATTTGGTGAAAATGGAATGTTTTGCCACTGCTGGTGGAAATGTAAGCTAGTACAACCACTATGGAAAATAGCATGGAGATTCCTTCAAGAACTGAAAGTAAAACTACCATTTGATCCAGCAATTCCACTACTGGGTACCTCCCCAAAGGAAAAGAAGTCATTATATGAAAAAGGCACATGCACACACATGTTTACAGTGGCACAATTAACAATTACAAAAATATGGAACCTACCTAAATGCCCATGGATGAATGAGTGGAGAAAGAAAATGTGGTAAAGATGCACCATGGACTACTACTTAGCCATAATGCAGAATGAAATAATGGCCATTGCAGTAACTTGGATGCAACTGGAGGTCATTATTCTAAGTGAAGCAACTCAGGAATGGAAAACCAAATACTGTATGTTCTCACTCATAAGTGGGAGCTAAACCATGAGGATGCAAAGGCATTAAAAATGGTACAATGAACTTTGGGGGCTTGAGGGAAGGATGGGAGGGGTGAGGGATAAAAGGCTACATACTGGGTACAGTGTACACTGCTTGGGTGATGGGTGTGGCAATGTCTCAAAAATCACCACCAAAGAATGTATCCATGTAATCAAAAACCACCTGTATCCTAAAAATTATTGAAACAAAATATATATAAATGTTATAAATCATTCTGCTACAAAGACGCATGCACAGGAATGTTCATTGCAGCACTATTCACGATAGCAAAGACATGGAATCAACCTAAATGGCCATCGATGACAGATTAACTACATAAAATGTGGTACATATACACCACAGAATACTACGCAGCCATAAAAAGAGCAAGGTCATGTCTTTTGCAGGAATATAGATGAAGCTAGAAGCCATTATCCTTAGCAAACTAATGCAGGACCAGAAAAAAAAATACTGCATGTTCTCACTTATAAGTGGGAGCTAAATGATGAGAACTCATAAGCACAAAGAAGTGAACGACAAACACCGGGACCTACTTGAGAGTGGATAGTGGGCGGAGGGAGAAGAACAGAAAAAATAACTATCGGGTACTTTGCTTAGTACCTGGGTGATGAAATAATCCATACAACAAACATCCATGACAAAGGGTTTACCAATATAACAAATCTTCCCACATACACTTGAACTTAAAACAAAAGTTAAAAAATGATAAGAGTAAATAAATTGGGGAAATTAAAAATATATATATAACATCTATTTAAATTTTCTAAATGTGACACCCCAACTTTTGTGAAATAAAAAAAAGGCAAAACTTCAGTTATCATATGCATATTTGGTTTATTACTAAACTACATTTCTTTTACTTATTAAAAATGAGAATAACATTTGATGTTGAGAACATTGGGAACAATATAAATTTGCCTCAGAGAGTAAAATTCTAGTCAGAAGTTGAATACCAACCAATCTCGTATATTAACTTTAGAACCTTGGAAAAGAATGTTAGGATAATGATAATCTAGGTCTTTACTCACAGCACAATATATTTATCATTGCAAGTAACTGTCATTTCAGGTCCAGTAAGCAAATAGAGACTAGCCATTCATTTCATGCAAGACTCTGACGAGTTGCCAATGGAAACAAATGTCTCTCATTGCTCAACTAGCTTGGGTTCAAACTGGTGACGTGGAGGTGAAAGTTTGTGGATTCTGTTATCAATCATTTGGGCTGTCCATTCCTCTAGCAGCAAAGAACTGACTCAGACAAGAGAAGAAATAATTATTTGATTCAACTTATTAGCACATTACTCCAGTCTATTAGCAAAATTGTATAAAATATAAATGACATAGAAAGCAGCTTCCTTTTATTGTAATATAAGGAACTATGTGAAGAAAATGTGCCAAATACAATATTCTGCAAATTGCTATGAATCATTAGTGAGTAAATTCATTTGTAGTTCCTAGGTATTTCCTCTTGCCTGTGACTGTCAAACAATGGCAGTATGATGGATTGAGTCACCCCAGGCAGATCTCCTCTGACTTTAACGTCGAATAAGGTTACAGATCTGACTTTAATGCTCACTGTTAACATACTTGGGAATAAGTTATTTTACTTTTTTGACACATTGTTTTTCATTTCTTTGCATTATATACACAATAGTTAAAAAGGATTGCTAAGGTATAATTGGCAGAGCAATTAAGAGCTGCAGTTTGGCATACTTATTACTTTTTGAGGATAATTCATTTAAGTCATTTCTCAAAACAATATAAAAGGATGAAGATAGAATATAGTCTTATGATTAGTTAGCATTACATATTCAATAAACGTTTGAAATGTACTCTCCTGCTTTTCCCTGAGATAACTTGAACTTCTAAAGCATTGTAATAGAATGTCTTTTCTAGAAAAATTCCAAATGGTTGCAAGTGCATGCAATTTTAGGCCAAATTGATCAACTCCTCTTGTTTTGTTTTAGAATACAGACATAACAAAACCAGTAAGTTACCTAACATCATATAGCTTATATTCTGGTGAGATGACAATGTAAGTGGAAAAACAAATGATATGAATGACAGTTTTAATAAGCATTATTTTTAAAAAACTAAGCCAACATAAGTGAAATGGAAGTCATAAAATTTTCTACTTTAGTAGATCATTCATAAAAGACTTCCATGAGGAGATAATGTGATTTGAATAAAAAATAAAACAAGTCATGAGAATATTTAAGGAAAGGTAATTTCAGACAGGAAGGACAGCAAAGGGACAGCAAATTACGTGACTATAATAAATAATTTGCTTTGTATGTTCAAGAAACAGCAAGATGATCATTGTGACTGGAGAAAAATGAAAAAGAGAAGAGGTAGGATATGAGGTAAGAGAGTTGGACATGGGCCGGATTATTTGGACCACCAAGCTCCAAGTGTTCTAAAATATTTTACCTAATCAGCTGGGTGAATGGTGGGGTCACCTAACTCAGGGAACATCAGATGAGACACATATTTGAGTGCTGGGGGAATCAATGCTCTATTTTGGACACCACACGTTTGTGAGAAGATGCCTATTAAATTCTGGTATTTGTTTTCTATGCTGCATAACAAATTTCCACAAACTTGGTGGCTTAACACCACACAAAATTAATATCTCACAGTTTCTGTGGGGCTGGAATCTGGGCAGGACTTAGCTGGATTCTTTGCAAGCCTACAAACAAGGTATCAGCCAGCTGGGTTCTTATCTGGAGGCTTAATGGGGAAGGGATCTGTTTCCAAGCTCAGTCAAGCCATTCATCAGTAGTCTTCCTTTCTTTGCAGCCTTGTGATTTCTGGAAGCTTGCTTCTTTAAGGCCAGAAAGGACAGCAAGACTCCCCAAAATATCAGCTAGCAAGATGGAGTCTTACATAATGTAATATAATTACAGGAGTGACTTTCCGTTATCTTCCCATATATTCAAGTCACAAGTCCTGACAACACTTGAGAATTGGGTGGTTGGGGGTGATGGGTGGCAGATTCCACAAGGCCATGAGGACCAGGATGTGAGGATCATAGGGAAAACTTAAAAGTCTGTAGACATGCAAATGGATAAACTGAGTAGGCAGCTGAATATACATTCAAGAAGAAATATCAGGGCTGAAGATAAAAATTTTAGAGCTATCGAGGTATGGATATTTTTAAAGCCTTGAGTATGGATGAAAATATAATCAATAAAGGCATAGAAATCATGAATATTTTGTTCCAATTGACATAAAGAGAGGATATCCAGCTTTTCAGCTCAATTTAAAAAGGAAAAAGAATACAGAGAATAATTCTAAGATGAGCTTTGCTACTTAATGCGTCAGGCTTGTCTGCCTTACCACAGCTACCACTCTTTACTAACTGCTGGCTATTATCATCCTTAGGATGTACCACACAAATACTGTGCCAGGAGCATTAAAGAGGTCATCTCATTTTATCCCTATAATAAACTAATTAGGCAGATTACTGTGTTTCTTTAATGATGAGAAAAGTGATGTTCAAGATCACGCAGCTACTAAATGAGAAAACCAGTGAATGTGGTTTGACTCAATCTGTGCACTTAGCCACATCCTTTCTATTGCCTCCATTTGTGGCCCAATTGCCTGGCGCCTTGATCCCAAATTTCCACTTCCGTTCATTGATTGGTGTTCTTTATGCCTCCATGGTTATGCTATTCTTCTTCATTTGTTTCCTTTTGTCCTTGATCCAAATTATATTAACTTACCTCCCCCTTCCCCAGGGAGCTGTCAACATATAACTTTGCAGGCCACCCTTGCTTTTTTTTTTTTTTTTTGAGACGGAGTCTCGCTCTGTCGCCCAGGCTGGAGTGCAGTGGCGCGATCTCGGCTCACTGCAAGCTCCGCCTCCCGGGTTCACGCCATTCTCCTGCCTCAGCCTCCCGAGTAGCTGGGACTACAGGCGCCCGCTACCACGCCCGGCTAATTTTTTGTATTTTTAGTAGATAATGGCAAAAAGAGTACTATAAAGAGAGAAATATAGTCAATTTGTTTTTGGTAGATAGAATTTTTTCAGGCATGAAATCTCAACTAGCACTGTTATCTCCATTACTGTGGGGCTATGGCATGACCTAGGATATTTTAAACACTCACAAAGCAACAGGAACTAGGGCATCGGTTAATATCATATACACTTCAGTCTTCATTTTTTATTTTATTTTTTATTCTTTTTCATAAGTGTGCTAAGACAAGGCACATACTCCAGTCTTTAGAACTGAATCAGGTTTAGTTTCCCTAACTATACACATACATATACACACACATTTCATGCTGTAAACTTCCCTCTCAGCATGGCTTTAGCCATCTCCTACAAATTTTAATATGCTTATTTTCTTTTTACAGTTCTATTTGGATTTATCTGTGTTGTTTTTGAGTGTTTCTTTCTGTATGGCTTTTCAGTGGTTGCTCCACGTATTATACTCTATATATTTATTATATATATATATAAACACACACACTATATATATACACACACACACAGTGTAATATGTATAGTGTATATACAAGTGCTTATATTACTCATTCTGATGTAGTAGAATGATTTTACTCATTCTGATGTAGTAGAATTACATAGTGTAATATGTATATTAGATATATACACTAGTGTGTGTATATATTACATATTACATATATAGTATATATGTGTTACATATATACTACATATATTATACCATATACACTATGTAATATAGGTACACTATATATGTTACACTACATATATACGCATGCATATGTCTATATAGGTATGTGTGTGTTACATCTATATACTTATACCTATACATCTATGTGTATACTATGGTACATATATAATCAGTTTACTGGTGTCATCATTTTAAACAGTTTAAGTGCAGAAAACTTATCTCCCTTTATGTTCCTTTGTTCTGCACACTTAAAATTGTCTTAAATATTTTCTTTATATACATTGAAAATCACATCAGGCAGTGTTAGAATTTTTACCTGAAACATTAACATGATTGAAAAACTCAAGAGGTGAAGGAAAGTCTAGCTAGAGTAGTCTGCCCATTCCAGGTTTTACATTCTGCAGTTTCAGTTACTAGCGGTCAACTTCAGTTTGAAATTATTAAATGAAAAATTCCATAAATAAACAATGCATAGTTTTAAATTTGTGCCGTTGTGAGTAGCGTGATGAAATCTTGCAGCATTCTGTGCCATCTGCTCAAGACATGAAATGTCTCTCTGTCCAGTGTATCCACACTATGTTTGCTCTCCACCCATTAGTCACTCAGTAGCTATCTGGGTTATCAGATTGAAAAAATATAGTACAGTATATATTGGGTTGAGTACTATCCGAGGTTTCAGGCATCCACTAGGAGTCTTGAAACATATCCCCTGAGTATAAGGGAAGACTACTCTATTTTATTGACCCATAATTTTGTTTACTGTATTCTTTGGCAATAAATTCTCTTAGTTTTACTTAATTTGAGTGCTTCTTGAATTCGCCTTCATTGTTGAATGATAGTTTCACTCTATATAGGACTCTAGGTTGATAGATTTGTTTCGTCAGTTTTTTACACTTGAAAAACATTGTGCCACTTCTTTCTACCCTCTATGGTAAGGTATTCTTTTTCTCTAGCTGTTTTCAAGATTTTTTCTTTCTCTTTAGTTTTCAAACATTTATGATGATATATCTAGGCATGGATTTCTTTGGGTTCATCCTGTTTGGGGTTCACTCATCTTTTTGAATATAACAGTTACTGTCCCTTGCCATATAAGTATTTAGCCATGATTTCTTCTGGTACTTTCTCAGACCCATCATTTTTCTCCTTTCCTGGAACTCTGATAGTAAGAATATTAGATCTTTTGTTGTAGTCCCACAGGTCTCTTAGGATCTGCTTGTTTATTTGTGTATATATCCATTTTATTTTTCAGATTGATTCAAAGTAGATAAGAAAATTCATTAAATCTTCTCTCCTTGAAGTGCAAATAGAACTGAAATAATAGAACACTATGTGCCTCTGCAGTGAGTAATATTTATATAGTTATAATGTGGAAAATGCTGTTATGGATTTTAAACTTCTATAATTAACCAGTATTCAAAAGGCAACAAATTTTACTATGACCATGGAATAGAATGTAAAAATTGTCAGTCTTGCAATAAAATATAATACAATTATTTTTTATGAAAAAATAAAATGTTGATATAATGTACAGGTGGCTGAAAGTGGTTAGGAGAATGAATGATGAGTGGTAATGAAATGGCAATATTGTTATCTTGCAAAGCGGGAAGTCAAAAGATCATATCTGTAAATGAATAAAAAAAGTTTAAGTTTTTACTCTTTCATAATAAACTGTTTAAGGTATGATCTAGATGCTTATCAAGCCCTTCTTCTTTTCTCTTTCTCTCTTTTTTCTCTCCCTTTCTCTCTCTTTTTCTTTCCTTCCCTCCCTCCCTCTCTCCCCTATTCCCCCCTTCCCCCTCCCCTTCCCTTCCTCCCTCCCTCCCTCCCTTCCTTCCTTCCTTCCTTCCTTCCTTCCTTCCTTCCTTCCTTCCTTCCTTCCTTCTTTCCTTTCTTTCTCTCTTTCTCTCTTTTTTTCTTCTTTCCAGGTAATCTAAGTTTCTCAGTCAGCACTGCAGCTTAACACAATTAATTCTGGCTAATGGAATATAGAAAGAAGAGATACACACTATTTATGGATTTGTTAAAATTATATCAGGCTTTATATTGCTACATTTCCCCATATTTTTGTTTGTGACTTTATTTTCTCTGCAATTTCTTATTGTTTCTTATTTCTCTTTTGGAGGAAGAAATATTTCCCTTCCTACCTTATCTTTATTATGTTCAGCATGTCATTCATTCTGGTTATTTCTTGATATCCCTTCCATTATTCTTACTTCAGCCTGCTTACTTACTTTGATCTGAATACTTTGCTCTATACTTGGACTGTGACTTTCTTGTATAACTTTTTGATTTTCCTCAAGATTCTAGTTTTATTTGTTCTAGCATTCCTTGCTTTTATAAAAGTTGAAAGATTTTCTGAACTAATTGGTAAGAAGAGAAAAAATTTGTGCCAAATTTTTCACCTTGGGCCAGGAGCCCAAGTTAACATTAAAAAAATAGGCATAATTCAAATTAAGAATAAACACCAGACTAAGAAATACCTTATAGAAGCAATATGGATATATGATCCATAAATGTAAACTAAGATTTTATCCCGTTTTTGTTTACTCTTAAAAACATGATGGTTTTTATAATTTTTATGTAGATTTAATTCAGTTCTAAAATCTTAATGGAATTCAGTAATCACTGGAAAACAACTTTCATATGTTAGGCAAGACAGGCTGGTATTCTCATCTGAGAGAAATGTTAATATATCTCTTCCTCACACTACTAATGTTAATATTCATCTTAACTCTAATGATCACTGAAGGCATAGCAGGTTGTGAAGGTGATGGTGGTGATGAAACATTCCAATTGTAACTGGTAGATTAGTTGATCAACTTGTAAGTATTTGAGTGTATAAAAATAATGAGATCTGGCTCTGTATAAAATTAGGAAATATAAACTTTCAGCTTCAGTACTAATATGCTAAAAAAATTTCTGTTAGACTATCTGATTTGTCCCTTTATTACTGGAAAAGACAACTATGCAAATTAGTAAGATTCTTGCAACCCATTTATAAATGTTTAACAGTAACATATTATGTACTAAATTAATTTAAAAGTTGATGCTAATTATATATATATATATTTTTGAGATGAGGCCTTATTCTGTCACCCAGGCTGGAGGGCAGTGTCATGATCACAGCTCATTGCAGGTTTGAACTCCTAGACTCAAGCGATCCTCCCACCTCAGCCTTCCGAGTAGCTGGGACTAGTTATGCACCACTATGCCTGCCTGGCTAATTTTTGTTGTTGTTGTTGCTGTTGTTTGTTTGTTTGTTTGTTTGTTTTAGAGATGAGATCTTGCTTTGTTGCTTAGGCAGCTTTTGAACTTATGGCTTAAGCAATACTTTTTCCTTGGCCTCTCAAAGTGCTGGGATTACGGACATGAGCCACTGTGTCTGGCCTCCAGTAACATTATACTTGTTTACTCTTTCCAAAATTATAGGCAACACCCTGCTGTCATGCTACCAAGACTTCAAGTGTTGTGAGATATAAGTTAATTTTTGTGTGTTTCATTTTAACACTTAGCGGACTGTATTGTTCAAAATAGACACTATGTTAAACTTGAATGAATAATTATTTATTTATTTATTTATTTGAGACAGAGTCTCACTCTCTCGCCCAGGCTGGAGTGCAGTGGCGTGATCTCGGCTCACTGCAAGCTCCGCCTCCCGGGTTCACGCCATTCTCCTGCCTCAGCCTCCAGAGTAGCTGGGACTACAGGCGCCCGCCACCACGCCCGGCTAATTTTTTTGTATTTTTAGTAGAGACGGGGTTTCACCGTGTTAGACAGGATGGTCTCGATCTCCTGACCTTGTGATCCGCCTGCCTCGGCCTCCCAAAGTGCTGGGATTACAGGCGTGAGCCACCGCGCCCAGCTGAATGAATAATATCTTTTATGCAGAACTAAAACCCATTGTTACAGTATGGAAAAACATTTTGAGGTAATAAAATTGGGCTTCGTTTCACAGAAAGGGTATTAAAAGCAGTTTCAGGCAGGCAGTTAGCAGCTTTTAGGTTTGTGTGTCTGAGAAAGATACAAGTTTCCATCTATTGTGTAGAGAACATACCATGATTAGCCCAAATTGAAAATTACAGTGCCGGAAAGGATGGTTGAGAAAAAATGGCTTAAGACCCTTATTGTATTCTGGTGGTGCAACTTTACTATTTGCTCACTTCATTCCAGCCACTCCAGCTTTCTCTCAATTTCTTCAACATACTCTGCTTTCCCTGCCTCACAGCCTTTGTGCATACTGTTCCCTCTTCCTAAAATGTTCTACCCATTCTCTTTCTTTTGTTTAAATGGTGACCATTCTTCAAATCTCACTCTAAATATTGCTATATGAGTAAACCTTTCTTTATGCACTGAAATAAGTTGAGTCTCCATGTAACATATTTCCTTAGCACCATGAAAATCTACTCCCAGCATTTTGCATGTAACAGTTTCTCAATAACTGGTAAATGCTGGTACTGAATTTTCCTTCTTTGTTAATTCTGATGTGCAAACTCTATGAGGAAACAAACTATTTTGTTAACAATGAGCATCATCTGAATGTATGACATTATCTGGTAGGTAATAGGCATACACTAAATATTCATTAATCAAATGATGAATACAGAAATTTAGAATTCACTATGTATTAGTAGTTTCATATCTCTAAAATACTTTCTTCCAAGTTTATTTGCATCCCTTATTCATATTGAGTTTTGTCCGGATAGTGAGATAAAAAAGGGAGAAAGTTGGAAAAAAGATTGGCTGAAGAGCTCAGAATGGGAAAGCAAACAAAAGATAAAAGAGAAACATGCTAAAAGTGAAAATGAGGAGATATTCTAAGCCACTGAGATTAGAAAATAATATTAAGTCTTCTCCAAAACAGAACAAAACAAAATCTAGAGGGCTTGTTCACTTTTTCTTTCAACATAAGCATGGCAGTATAGTTTAATGTTACTATTTAAGGGCTAATTAATTAGACTGGTATCTTCATATATTTGTTCTTCTTCACTTTTGGCATTCATATTGTCCATTAACACTTCTTTTTGAGTGACCATGTGAAAAGAGTAGAGGTGAAATTTAAGCCATGCAATTTGCTCCCTGCTGACAGATTTTGTAATATGATTGATGGGGGCAGAAGGTGAAACTATCTGGTAAAATGAGTTTTTTGCATTATCTGTGTATTTCATATATCAATGCCAGTATTTCTTAAACTGCAGGTCAAGACTCCAGAGGGAACGGTTACAATAAAATCTAAAGAGTTTCATATATGGGAAATATTTGGATGTATAAATTGTGGGCTATATTGTATGGTTCTTCTTTTCCTCCTAAATTCTGCATATCTCCTCCCTTCTAGTCTATTAAAATTTGTTATTCTGCCAATAAGAGGATAGAAAATATTTAAGTCATATATTATTGGTAGTATAAGCACTTTAAAAGAAACATTTGAGAATGTTGAAATCATTGGTCTATACAATGCTGTCTGTAGCACATTCCACAGTGTCTTACAAGCAATTAATATCTACGAAATGGTTTCATTTCCATTTACTCACAGAAATATTACTATATCATAAGAAAAAAATGATAAAAGTATAGAATAGATAGATACTACCTATTGTATTAATTAACAGTCATCTTAAAGAAGAAAGTGAAAACTGGAAGAAAAATGTTTCTACTTTATGAGGATGTTTTAATCTATTTAATAGTATTAAATCCAAAATTAATCAGACTTTTTTACATTTCATGTTTGATTTTGGGACTCAGTTATGCTATCGTATTCCACATTTCATTTTCTGTTGCAGCGTCTTTCTGTGTTTTAGTCAAGAAAAAGTTCTTTTATTTGTGGACTGACCATGGAGACTTTTATTACTGCTGAAAATTTTACTGCCTGATTAGATTACACCCTCATTGAGTCAAACAACTTTGGTTGAATACTGAGTTCAGGTAAATCTTTTGCTTTTTAGTACCTGAATATACAGAATAGTGGAAAAGAATCTGAAACACTTTCCTCATTGAAACATTGCCAAAATTGAAGGTTATAATGATAAAATTTTATATTAAAATTGTTTTCTACAGGTGCTTTTATTATTAATTAACAATCCAACTTAGAGTCTCATAAGTAAATAATATCTGTAGTCATATACTCTGTTTTCCTATTACCCATCACTAAAATGAAAAGAAAACATATTCTTAAAATTCCAGTCAGGTATTCTGGAAAATATATTTCCATATTTTATTGTCAATATTTAAGGACAATTTTTGCCTGCAAGTGTTACCCATCTGACTCAAACTCTCTTAAGAAGGGATTCATTAGCTAGTATAACTAAGCTGCTAAGGGTCTGCTTGTATCTGAGATGACTGAGTGTGAAGCTGTGATGTGTACCACTACTTTCTGTCAATTTACCTTCTGGTATCACTTCACTCCTCATACATTGCTCTCTTCTCAAATTCAGAGCCATGGCATATGATTGCACTTTTCTTACCTGCATACAGTTTTTCAAGAAAGGAGAACGGGAACCTTCCTTGTCTAATCTTGGGTAAGAATGTTCATTAGTATAATCTGGATTAATATTTACAACACAACATGCTAGAAGGTGGTTGCATCGTGATTGCCTTGCTTCCATTTCCTGCTCATCCTAGATAATCAAAAGAAGTAAATGGTTTAACTTCATTAGGGAATAAAGATAACGATCGCTTGAGAGAATTTCCAGACCACAGCACAGGGAAGGAGAACATATGTGAAGTTTAGCAGACATAATGAGTTTAGATACAGAATTGAGAGTCCGGTAAGACTAAGGCAACCAGAGTTGACAGAATACATTACTAGAGAGTAATCAGCTACACAGAGAGAAACCTGAAGAGATCTTTAGAGGATTTTTCATTGTGGGGTTATTAATTCAGCAGATTACCAACCAGCATATATGTGTAAGGAAACTAGTGAGGCTGGGGGAATAACTTTCCAAAAAGATTAGAGGTAACAATGTGCAGTGCTTACACAGGGCCAGGCATAGTGTAGTTAACTACACTGTAAAATCGCAATGGTCATGAGGCATTGGGCAAAGTACAGAGAAATGTCTTTCCTCAGTAGTGGAGAGTATTTAACCATAGACTGAATGCTACATTGTTTCCATGTAACAAATTTTACAAGCAAGATCAGAAAGGAGAGCATTGCTTTCAAGTAATTTAACTGGATTCCAGAAATAAAATCTTAAGAACATTTACAGGGTTAAAAATATTTTTTTTGGATAGAACAAGTTAAAATTCACATCTGATAATCAATCTGATCTTACCAGCTATAAAAAAATAACAAAAACCAGAAAAATGGACTCATACTGACAAGGTAAATCAAATAATCAAAACCAACCCAGATCTGCAGGTATTTAAAACTGTCGTTATAAATATATTCCATGTGATCAAATATTAAGTAGCAACATGGAAGACATAAAAAAAGACCCAGATATGACTTCTAGAGATGAAAACTATCATATGTGAGATGATACTCTGGGTGGGGTTAATTGCAGATAGCACATTGCAAAAGAAAAGATTACTGAAGTGTGAGAAACAGCAATAAAAATTATCCAAAATGAAACCCAGAAGAAAAAAGGAGAGAAAAAAAGGTGAACAGACCATCAATGTCTTGTGGGACAGTTTCAAGCATCCTAATAAGTATGTACTTGGAGAGTCTATAGGACAGAAGAAGAGAGAAAAATGTTTGACCAAATAACAGGCATAAATTTTCTAAGTTTGCTGGCACCTCTAAATCCACAGGTACAAGAAACTTAGCAAATATCAAGCAAGATGAAGAAAACTACATCAAAGTTTGTCAAAATCAAATTACCCAATACTAGTGATAAAGAGAACATACTAAAAAGAAAAATAACAAAGAGACATATTGCATACAGAGGTATAAAAATAATAACTTTACTTTTATAAATAATACAGTGTAGAAACATTTTTAAAGAACAGAAAGAAAAAAAATCAGCATAGTGTTATATACCCATCAAAAATTACTTTTAAAACAAAGGGTAAAGAGTTTTTCAGAAGTATAAAAGCCAAAAGAAACTGTAGCCTACAGATTTACTCTGTAATACAGAAAGAAAATGAAACCACATGGAAATATAGAACTACAGAAAGGAATGGAGCGCATAGAAAATGATAACTAGACAGGTAAATAATAATTTAAAATTATGTAAAACTCTCTAAAAGATAATTAACTGTTTAAACAGAAATATATACAATATATACAATATATACAATAATACAAAATATATACAAAATTAAGATGGATAACAATGCCACACATATGGAGAGGTGAAAAAATGAAAATATACTGTTACAAGGTTCTTATACTAATTATGTAGTGGTACATTACCACTTCAAAGAAGATTGTGGTAAATTAAACATGTATTGTGTAAATCCTAAAGCAATCATTAAAATAGTAAAGAAAGGAATTACAGATAAAAAGCCAACAAAAGAAATAAAATGAAATGATAGAAATGTTCATTATATTAAAAGAAGGCAGTGAGAGGGAAAGGGGAACAAGGAAAATATGGGACAAATAGTACACAAATGGCAATATTGTAGATTTGAAGCTACTCATATCAGTCATCAGATTAAATGTAAATTATATAGAACCCTCATTTAAAATACAGAGATTATCAGGTTGGATATAAAAGTAAGTACTAACTATAATCTGTGTATAAGAAACAAACCCCAAATACATAGGTACAGACACATGTAGATTCAAAGTAAAAGGATGGAAAAAGCTACACCATCCAAAAATTCTGAGTGACTATCCTATTATCAGACAAAGTAGATTTTAGAGCAAAGAATATTACCGGAGATAGACAGCTTTATTCATAATGATAAGGTGGTCAATCTATTCAGACTTAGATGCCTAGTAACAGAGCTTGAAAACACATGAAGCAAAGAAGAACCACGAGAAGAAATAGACTAACTTACATTTGTAGTCAGAGGTGTCAATAACTCTTTCTCAGTAATGGATAGACTAGGAGAAAGAAAAATCTGTAAGATTTGAACAACATGACCAATCAACTTGATCTAACTGATATTTATACAATATACCACCTCAAAACATTCTTTTTAAGTACACACTGAATACTTACCAGGATAGACTCTACTAGACCATAAAACAACTCCCAATAAATTTAAAAGAATTCAGGTCATTTAATGTATATTACTGACCATATATAATGTACATTACTAATGTATATATACATATAATAATGTACATTATTATATATATATACTATGTATTATGTATATTATGTATGTATATTATGTATTATGTATATATGTATGCATATAGTAATGTATATTACTAATGTATATATACATATAATGTATATTCTAATGTAAATTAAAATTAAGTTAGAAATCAGTAACAGAATGCTTTCTGAAAAAATACTCAAATTTTCAGAAATTAAATAAAAAATTCTAAACAACACATAGGTCAAAGAAAAAATCAAAAGAGAAATTAGAAAGTATTTTTAATTGAGTGAAAATGAAAACATAATGTATCATTTTTTGTGATGCTACTAAAATGTATTTAGGGGAAAATTTGTAACACCATATGCCTGTGTTGGGAAAGAAGAAAAGAAGAAGTCAAGAGAATAATGAAGAACATAACTCCCCTTGAAATCATGCCCGTATTAAAATTCAGTGAATAGTAGGTCTATTAGCCAGCTGCCATAAGAAACACCACAGACTGGGTGGCTTAAACAATAGAAATTTATTTTCTTACAATTCTGGAGGCTGTAAGTCTGAGAAGAGATGACGGCAGGGTAGGTTTCCTTTGAGGCCTCTCCGTGTAGATCAGCATCTTCTCCCCATATCTCCACATGGTCTTCCCTCTGTGTCTGTGTCCTCCTCTCCCCTTTTTATCACACCAGTCATATTGGATTAGGGCCCACCCGTGTGATCTTATTTTACTTTAATTTACCTGTTTTAAGGTCCTATCTCCAAATATAATCATATTCTGAGGTGCTGCAGGTTAGGACTTCAACATATAAATTTTGGGGGAGTACAATGTAGCCCACAGTGAGGGTTTTTAAATACCATTATCTTGTCCCTCTCCCATTATTATATACACACACCATTATTTGTGTGTGCACACACATATATGTCTATGTATGTGACTTTTTGTGTTTGTATGTGGCTATACGGGTAGTATAGAGGGGAAGGAGATTGATTCTCTTTTAGTTCACATCACATCTGGCCTGATGAAAAGGGATGCCCATCACTTAGAGATGTAAGTTTGTTAACTGGTCAAAGGAACTGGAGGGAACTTGTGACTTTGCAATGTTTCCTTAGGGGAGGTGTGATGATGAATTTTAGGTGTCAACTTGACTGAATTAAGGGATATGGAGGTAGCTAGTAAAGCATTATTTCTGGATGCATCTGTGAGGTGCTTCTAGAGGAGATAGGTGTGTGACTGGATAGATTAAGAAGGATCCACCCTCACTGTGGGGAGGCATCATCCAATCAGGGGTCTGGATAGAACAAAAAGATAGAGGAATGGTGAATTTACTCTCTCATACCTGGAGCTGGGACACCCTTCCTCTCTTGCCTTTGGACATAAGAATACCAGGTTCTCTGGCCACTGGACTCTGGGACTGGTACCAGCACCAGCAATCCCCCAGGTTCTGAAGACTTTAAATTTAGACAGAGCCACACTGCTGGCTTCCCTGTGACTTCTATTATGGGACTTCTCAGCCTCCATAATTATGTGAGCCAATTCTCCTCATAAGTCTCCTCTCATCTATGTATCTATCTATTTTATCTATCTATCTGTCTATCTATCTATCTATCTATCTATCTATCTATCTATCTATCTATCCATCTATCTATCATCTATCTACCTACCTACCTGCCAATCATTTAATTGGCTGTGTCTCTCTGGAGAACCCTGACAAATACAGATCTTGGTAACAGGACTGGTTTTAGAAGAACAGAATTTTCAGAATGAATTTTCTTAATCAGTTTTGGGGTTTCTGAAATTGCCTTTCTTATCTGATTAGATTTAAAAATGTGAAGGACTCTACTTCCACTAGTACAGAGAGCTGATTGTCTTTGGCTTGAACTGTTTACAGAAATATGCAAAACATCTACATTAGATACTCCTAATCAACCGCTTATAAGAGGCAAGGAACTTGGTGACTTTGTATATGACATTTTTGAGCATTTGTGGAAAACTAAGAAGTATAATGATGTTGGTTGGTTGCTCCTACTGTTGCTGGACAAATGTGATGAAAGAAAATGATGAACTTAGGGATTCAAATTCCCAGCTCCAGCTCCACATAAGTAGCTTAAGAGCTTCTCTGTATTCCCTTCTCTCTTGTGGCCACAGGGCTGAAATTGCTGAAGATCAAACACAAGCCCTTATTATACAATTGGCTGAATTGCCATGAAAGTTGAACTCTCAGTCTCACAGGGTGTCTACTGTTAAAATAAGGGCTTTGATTGGGAAAGGCTGGGATCCTGTTAGTTGGGATGGGAATGTGTGGGGAGACCGATGAAGCTGAAACACTGAACTCCTAAATTCTGACAAGTCTTTATTGCCAAAAGAAGTGTCCTCCCTAACCCCGGTGACAGTGGCCACCTCACCCACAGAAGTTTCTACCTCCGACTGAGGGGATTAACCCTGAATTGTCTAAGAAAACTGTAATGGCCTCCCCTGAGGCAGTTGTCGGGCAAGACAATGCTGATTTTCCTTCGGACCCACCACCTCTCTCCCCTCTTTGCTTCTAGACCTATAATTGGACTCAAGTTCCAGAAGGCACCTAAAGGTGAGGTATGAAGAGTGATCCATAAGGAGGTACATTATACTCCAAAAGAACTATTTGAGATTTTTACTTTCTACAAGCAGAAGTCTGAGGAACATGTATGGGGATAAATATTAAGGATGTGGGATAATGTAGAAAGAACTTATAGTTGGACCAGACTGAATTTATTGATGTGAGCCCACTAAGCAGAGAGTCTGCATTTAGTGTTGCAGCTCAGAGAGTTAGAAAAGACACCAATAGTTTGGTTGGTGGGGTGAAACATCGATCAAAAGATGGCCCACCATGAGTGAGTCAGAGATGCCTGATCTCCCTTGGTTTAACATAGAGGAAGATATTTAAAGGCTTGGGGAGGTTGAAATGCTAGAGTGGATTATCATTTTAAACCTATTCACCCACATTGGGAGGGTCCAGAGAACACACCTTTCACCACTACTTTTAGAAATAAATTTCTGAGGGGACTGCCAATGTCCTCGAAGAGCTGTATAATTGCTCTTCTCTGTATTTCAATAGGAACCACAGCCACTCAATTGAAAAACTTAAATGCAATAAAATCCTGAGGCGACAAGGCCAAGTGGCAGCATTTGACCATCAAAGGCAAGGTTGCCATAGTTACCATAACAGAGGGCTGAGGTAAAGCAGCAATCACAATAGTCTGGCTCATGTAGACCTATGCCATTGGCTACTTAATTAAGGTGTTCCCAGAAGTGAAATGGATTACATTCTGACTTGATCTGTATAAGCAGAAAACTTATACAGGTAAAATGAACAAAAGTCTAACTCAAATTATTAAAACAGAGAATCACAGCCCTTTAATCAATTCCCAGACTTCAGTCGGTTTACAGACCCAAAATTCCTTAAATGAAGGAGAGGCTGGGTCCTCCCAAGTAAGGACTCAAGTATACTTTTGGAACCTTATAGTGTTAATATTTCTGCCAGCCGTCCCCAAACGGACCTATGCCTTTTACCAGGGTAACTAACTGTGCACTGGGGGAAAGGAAAAAATCAGCTTTTTGGGGGACTACTGAAAATTAGCTGGGAACTGACGTTAATTTCAGGGACTCGCTGTGGCCCACCAGTTAGAGTAGAAGCTTTTTATGGAAGTTAGGTGATCATTGGAATTTTAGCTCAGGTCTGGCTCACAGTGGGTCAGCTGGGTCCCTCAATTCATCCTGTGTTTATTTCTCCAGTCCAGAATGCATAATTGTAATAAAGATAGTTTGTAGCTGGGAGAATCTCTACATTGCTTCCCTAACCTATGAAGTGAGGGCTATTGTGGTAGTGAAGGACAAATGAAAGCCATCAGAGCTGCCTCTACCTAGGAAAATGTAAATCAAAGCAATACCACATGCCTGGTGGGATTGCAGAGATTGGTGCTACCATAAAGGACTTGAAAGATGCAGGGGTGGTGATTCCCATCACAGCCCATTCAATTCTCTGGTTTGCCCTGTACAGAAGACAGGTGGATCCTGGAGAATCAAAGTGGATTATCAAAAACTTAATCAAGTGGTGACTCTGTAGCTGCTGCACCAGAGGTGGTTTCATTGTTTGAGCAAATTAACGCATTTCCTGGTACCTGGTATGCAGCTATTAATCTGGCAAAATGCTTTATCTCCCTACCTGTCTGTAAGGCCCACCAGAAGCAGTTTGCATTTATTTAGTGAGGCCAGCAATACACCTGCACTGCCCTACTTCAGGGGTGTATCAATTCTACAACACCATGTCATAATTTACTTCACAAGAATCTTGATCATCTTTCCCTTCCACAATATGCCACACTGGTCTATTACATTGATGACGTTACGCTAATTGGACCTAGTGAGCAGAAGTAGCAACCATCTAGACTTACTGGTTATACATTTGCTTGTCAGAGGGTGGGAAATAAATCTGCCTAAAATTGAGAGGACTTCTACTTTAATACAATTTCTAGGGGTCCACTGGTATGGGGCCTGTTTAAATATTCCTTCTAAGGTGAGGGATAAGTTTTTGTATCTGGCCCCTCCTACAACCAAGAAACAGGCATAACACTTAGTAGACCTATTTAGATTTTGGAGGGAACACATTGCTCATTTGGGTGTGTTACTCTTGCCCATTTACCAAGTGACCTGGAAAGTTGCCAGAGTTCTGAGTGGGGCTCAGAACAGGAGAAGGCTCTGCAACAAGTCCAGGTTCCTGTGCAAGCTGCTCTGCCACTTGGGCCATATGACCCAGTAGATCTAATGCTACTTGAGATGGGAGTGGCAGATAGGGATGCAGTTTAGAGCCTTTGCAAGAAGGCCCCTATAGGTGAACCACAGCACAGACCCTTAAGTTATCATGTGTATGTGTTTTATCTTACTGGATTCATAAAAGTTGGTAAACAGTGCATATTGATCCTGCTTCAAAACTGAGTTTATGACAGAATGCATTTTGGGCTTGTTTGGTGTGGTGTTACTTTAATTAATATCATGAAAGTTGAAGAATAATGAAATGCCTAGAAAGGGCCAAAAGTTGTTTTTATTTTTTTCTTCAGTCATTCTACTTTATTTTTTTTATTTTTTATTTTTATTATTATTATACTTTAAGTTTTAGGGTACATGTGCAGAATGTGCAGGTTTGTTACATATGTATACATGCGCCATGTTGGTGTGCTGCACACATTAACTCGTTGTTTAGCATTAGGTATATCTCCTAATGCTATCTCTCCCCCCTCCCCCCACCCCACAACAGTCCCCGGTGTGTGATGTTCCCCTTCCTGTGTCCATGTGTTCTCATTGTTCAATTCCCACCTATGAGTGAGAACATGTGGTGTTTGGTTTTTTGTCCTTGTGATAGTTTGCTGAGAATGACGGTTTCCAGCTTCATCCATGTCCCTGCAAAGGACATGAACTCATCCTTTTTTATGGCTGCATAGTATTCCATGGTGTATATGTGCCAAATTTTCTTAATCCAGTCTATCATGGTTGGACATTTGGGTTGGTTCCAAGTCTTTGCTATTGTGAATGATGCCGCAATAAACATACATGTGCGTGTGTGTTTATAGCAGCATGATTTATAATCCTCTGGGTATATACCCAGTAATGGGATGGCTGGGTCAAATGGTATTTCTAGTTCTAGATCCCTGAGGAATCGCCACACCGACTTCCACAATGGTTGAACTAGTTTACAGTCCCACCAACAGTGTAAAAGTGTTCCTGTTTCTCCGCATCCTCTCCAGCACCTGTTTCCTGACTTTTTAATGATCGCCATTCTAACTGGTGTGAGATGGTATCTCATTGTGGTTTTGATTTGCATTTCTCTGATGGCCAGTGATGATGAGCATTTTTTCATGTGTCTGTTGGCTGCATAAATGTCTTCTTTTGAGAAGTGTCTGTTCATATCCTTCGCCCACTTTTTGATGGGATTGTTTGTTTTTTTCTTGTAAATTTGTTTGAGTTCATTGTAGATTCTGGATACTAGCCCTTTGTCAGATGAGTAGGTTGCAGAAATTTTCTCCCATTCTGTAGGTTGCTCTGATGGTAGTTTCTTTCGCTGTGCAGAAGCTCTTTAGTTTAATTAGATCCCGTTTGTCAATTTTAGTTTTGTTGCCATTGCTTTTGGTGTTTTAGACATGAAGTCCTTGCCCAAGCCTGTGTCCTGAATGGTATTGCCTAGGTTTTATTCTAGGGTTTTTATGGTTTTAGGTCTAACATGTAAGTCTTTAATCCATCTTGAATAAATTTTGTATAAGGTGTGAGGAAGGGATCCAGTTTCAGCTTTCTACATATGGCTAGCCCGTTTTCCCAGCACCATTTATTAAATAGGGAATCCTTTCCCCATTGCTTGTTTTTCTCAGGTTTGTCAAAGATCAGATAATTGTAGATACGCGGCATTATTTCTGAGGGCTCTGTTCTGTTCCATTGGTCTATATCTCTGTTTTGGTACCAGTACCATGCTGTTTTGGTTACTGTAGCCTTGTAGTATAGTTTGAAGTCAGGTAGCGTGATGCCTCCAGCTTTATTCTTTTGGCTTAGGATTGACTTGGCGATGCGGGCTCTTTTTTGCTTCCATATGAAATTGAAAGTAGTTTTTTCCAATTCTGTGAAGAAAGTCATTGGTAGCCTGACGGGGATGGCATTGAATCTATAAATTACCTTGGGCAGTATGGCCATTTTCAAGATATTGATTCTTCCTACCCATGAGCATGGAACGTTCTTCCATTTGTTTGTATCCTCTTTTATTTCATTGAGCAGTGGTTCGTAGTTCTCCTTGAAGAGGTCCTTCACATCCCTTGTAAGTTGGATTCCTAGGTATTTTATTCTCTTTGAAGCAATTGTGAATGGGAGTTCACTCATGATTTGGCTCTCTGTTTGTCTGTTATTGGTGTATAGGAATGCTTGTGATTTTTGCACATTGATTTTGTATCCTGACACTTTGCTAAAGTTGCTTATCAACTTAAGGAGATTTTGGGCTGAGACGATGGGGTTTTCTAGATATACAATCATGTCATCTGAAAACAGGGACAATTGACTTCCTCTTTTCCTAATTGAATGCCTTTTATTTCCTTCTCCAGCCTGATTGCCCTGGCCGGAACTTCCAACACTATGTTGAATAGGAGTGGTGAGAGAGGGCATCCCTGTCTTGTGCTTGTTTTCAAAGGGAATGCTTCCAGTTTTTGTCCATTCAGTATGATATTGGCTGTGGGTTTGTCATAGATAGCTCTTATTATTTTGAGATACATCCCATCAATACCTAATTTATTGAGAGTTTTTAGCATGAAGGGTTGTTGAATTTTGTCAGAGGCCTTTTCTGCATCTATTGAGATAATCATGTGGTTTTTGTCTTTGGTTCTGTTTATATGCTGGATTACGTTTATTGATTTTCGTATGTTGAACCAGCCTTGCATCCCAGGGATGAAGCCCACTTGATCATGGTGGATAAGCTTTTTGATGTGTTGCTGGATTCGGTATTTTATTGAGGATTTTTGCATCAATGTTCATCAAGGATATTGGTCTAAAATTCTCTTTTTTTGCTGTGTCTCTGCCAGGCTTTGGTATGAGGATGATGCTGGCCTCATAAAATGAGTTAGGGAGGATTCCCTCTTTTTCTATTGATTGGAATAGTTTCAGAAGGAATGGTACCAGCTCCTCCTTGTACTTCTGGTAGAATTCAGCTGTGAATCCATCTGGGCCTGGACTTTTTTTGGTTGGTAAGCTATTAATTATTGCCTCAATTTCAGAGCCTGTTATTGGTCTAGTCAGAGATTCAACTTCTTCCTGGTTTAGTCTTGGGAGGGTGTATGTGTTGAGGAGTTTATCCATTTCTTCTAGATGTTCTAGTTTATTTGCGTATAGGTGTTTATAGTGTTCTCTGATGGTAGTTTGTATTTCTGTGGGATTGGTGGTGATATCCCCTTTGTCATTTTTTATTGCGTCTATTTGATTCTTCTCTCTTTTATTCTTTATTAGTCTTTCTAGTGGTCTATCCATTTTGTTGATCTTTTCGAAAAACCAGCTCCTGGATTCATTGATTTTTTGAAGGGTTTTTTATGTCTCTATTTCCTTCAGTTCTGCTCTGATCTTAGTTGTTTCTTGCCTTCTGCTAGCTTTTGAATGGGTTTGCTCTTGCTTCTCTAGTTCTTTTAATTGTGATGTTAGGGTGTCAGTTTTAGATCTTTCTTGCTTTCTCTTGTGGGCATTTAGTGCTATAAATTTCCCTCTACACACTGCTTTGAATGTGTCCCAGAGATTCTGGTATGTTGTGTCCTTGTTCTCATTGGTTTCAAAGAGCATCTTTATTTCTTGCTTCATTTCGTTATGTACCCAGTAGTCATTCAGGAGCAGGTTGTTCAGTTTCCATGTAGTTGAGCGGTTTTGAGTGAGTTTCTTAATCCTGAGTTCTAGTTTGATTGCACTGTGGTCTGAGAGACAGTTTGTTATAATTTCTGTTGAAAGGGCCAAAAGGTGTTTAGGTAAACTAATGAATGAGTTTTTGTTTAGAGAATATCAAGAAAAACAATTTGTACACAATTATAAACAAAAAGCAAGGTTTTCTATTGACAATTGTATTAGAATTGTTACAGATTCCACTTCCTTTTAAATCTCTAAACTTTGAGGGCAGGGGTTGGGGTGAGGAGTAAATACTTAAAAAAATACTACTTTCTATGCTACACACACACACACACACACACACACACACACACACTTGCTTGAAGAAAGGTATTTACATATGTTCCACGAATAAAAAACAAATTGTTTTCAGATAACTAGTCAGCCAGGCAAGATTCTATTTTTTTTATTCCGGAGAATATGACCTAAACTATGTTTTTACTGTTCCTCTGTATCGTGTGATTTGCCCAGGCAGTGTATAAGATTTCAAAAACCTCTAATAAATCCTATACTTGTGAATATACAAATTGTGACTCTTTAGCTCACGTTAGAGCCAAATTCTTATTTGAAATGGAAAAATGTGTTTGTGTTCCTATGGTTTTATATTGCTAATGTACTTTATAAATTATGAGGCATTTCTTAAACTTATTTGATCATGGAACTCTTCCCTTTGCCCGTCCTGCTACACCCCAGAATATCTTCCACAGCAAGTAGTCTCTAAAACATATTTTGGAGAAGTGGCAGAGAGGTACGCTTTCTGTTCTTTATACCAACATAGGTTTATTTTAAGATTTTTCTTTTTTTCTTTTTTTGTTGTCTAAACATAGTTCTGAAAATTAATACTACTTTTCTGCCAGTAAGTATAATGTTAACATCATTTGGATGTAATTTCTAGCTATTTTAAAAGCTTTCTAATAAAGGCAGCAGAAATATGTCTTTTAAATAAATATTTTAATGATTCTTATTAATTTGTCAAATTTATACTTTTAGTTATAAAAATTATAGCTTGCACTAAACAGTATGGTTTCAGATGCTATAAATCTGAATGCTGGATGTAATCCTAAGGTTTTTGGAATTTTGTGACCTTAATGAATCACTTATATGATGAAACATTGACCAGGTTTATCCAGGCAGTTAAAAGCACATTATTAGAACAAATAAGAGAAGGAGGAGGTAGAATTCACAATGCTGTTTGTTTTTAGGACATAAAAAGCTAACCATCATTTAATGAAAGTACGTAAATAACAGCATCATAAATATATAAGCACTGGTAACTAGATTATTGGATCTTCTCTGAACTAATATGTCCTATATAGATTATCTACAAAAGAGAATTGCTTTTTTGTGGTTGAAAGTTTAGTCTTTAAATATGTCACAGTAAATTTTTTAACAGACAATAAAATTATTCTATATTGGTAACACTGCATATAACAGGTGGTTTTAGCTGGGAGTAACCATAGCATTTGCTATCCAACCAATATTTAAACTCTATTTTAACGGAAATGATAAACTTGTTGACCTAAATTGATCTAGCATTGCCTCTATCTGAAATATAGTGAGTCAACTGTAACATTGAGAGAAGAAAACATTTTCCCTTTAATCATGATAATACTTTCATATTTTTAAAGAACAGTAAAATTATATTAAGGATCCAGATGCTGTTTTAAGAAAACTTAATTACTTCTTGGATGTTAGAAATTTCATCTGGCAAATATGGTGCCCTCAAAAATCTCATGCATGAGTAAGTCAGTTGTCGTAGGCTACTACTACCTTCTGGCTATAGGAGAATGTGCAATACTCATATGCATTACTTGTCGTGTGTGTGTACATACAAAATCTGGTTTATGAAAATATACATTGAAATTTCATTGTATGTACATACACACACATAAATGCATAAAACACATTTTGGAGATGATACCTAAGAGTAGAATTTCTAGCAGGTCACAAAGATGAATATATTCAGCTGTGTTCAGCTTTAATAGGTACTGCCAAATAGTTTTCCAATGTATTTTTACATGTGGATGAGCAGTCTGAGAGAATTCCCATTCTGAATTTGCATGCCACCACTTTTCATGGCCAAACTATTTCTTTGATGTGCTAGATATGTAGTGGTATTTTGTTGTGGTTTATATTTGCATGTTCCTTATGACTCATGCATTTGACCAACCCGTTATTTTACTATTGCCCACTGGATAGCTCATTAGTAAAATGCCTGTTCAAGTCTTTTGTACACTTAAAAATGCTTTCTCTCGAACCCAGGAGGCGGAGGTTGCGGTGAGCCAAGATTGCGCCACTGCATTCCATTTTGGGCGATAGAGCAAGGCTCAGTCTCAAAAAAAACAACAACAACAAAAAATATTTTCTGCTCTTTTGTCGTACATTAATTTGCAGGAGTTCTAAGTATATTATGGATATGAACACTTTGTCAGATAAATATAAATATCTTCTTCCAGTTTGATGTCTTGTGATGATCAGCTCTTTATTTTAATGAAATCAAATTGAACAACCTTTTCCTTTATGGCTGGTGCTTTTTGTATCCTATTTAAGAAAGCATTGCCTTTCATTTGGTTTTAAGAATATTTTCCTATGTTACCTTCTGACATTGAGCTGAAGGCAAAGATCAAGACGGAGAAAGAACTGAGAGATTGGGGTATTTGATATATAATCTGTCTCAGTGATTTTTAAACTTTGCTACACATTAGAGACACCTGGGGAGCTTTAAAAACTGGTGCCCCTGATGTACCCCAGAACAATTTACTCAGAATCTGTTGGTTTGGGACCTAGGCATCAGCATATTTTAATTAGTATAGAGAGAATTTATGCAGAGGAAATCAGCAAAGAAAGGACGGCAAGGGAGTAAATTTGGCGATTATGAATTTGGGTTAGAATATAGGATCTACAGAGAAAATAATGATGTGTCGCATTGGAACAAAGGCTGTAGCTCACAGAATTTTGAGTCCAGAATACAGATTTAGATTTAGTTCGACAGACAGTGGAATTAAAAAGGTTTATCAAGGACATGAATATGATTTGCCAATACATTAGTATGGCTGATGTGACAGCGGGGTAAGGGTAGATTGGAAATGAGGGAGAGAAGACAAAATTTTTGAACTAATACTTGTGGTTTCCCTTTTCTAACTCTGCTAAGCACCAGAAATTGCGTGGTAAATTTTGTGTGTATGGGATTTTTCTGGCAAGAGGATCTCAAGCTGTCATCAGATTTTCAAAGGAATCCGAAACTCTCTGAAGGCTAAAAGCAACTAGATTAGTGAAGACAATTCATGAAAGGTTATGAAGTTAAGTTTGCCACTTAAGAGGTACTGAATACCCAAAACATGTTTATAGCAGCTGACATGGACAGAAGATGTCTGATGGTAGAGATATTTTTGTGAGTGGGTGGAGGTTGTAGAAACTGATTGAATGTGGGAGTCTGGGGGCAGGGGAGAGAATATAAAAAGCATCTTGAATTAAAAGATGAGAAAATGGGGAGAATGGAAATGTAACCACATTATGTTTGTGCAGGAAATATTAAATTAAGCTTTTATACCCTGATCTTGACAATTATTTAGGCAAAACTGAATTTCTACATAAATTGTGTTGAAGTGATCAGAAAGAAAAGTCAATAATCAAGCCAGGTTCTTGATATTTTTCCCATAAATATTCACTAGGCATGACAGGTAGGAGACTAATTTTTAAACCACTCATTTGCTCTTTGCTAATAAAAATACATCTTTTTATCTTCTGCTTGACGGTCTGTACATTAAATGAATTTTGAAATATGTATTAAAATAGTTAAGATTCTTTAACTGTAAATTTCAAAGAAAGAATTATTTTAAATAATAAATACATGTATGTAAAGTATAGATTTAGATACAGCTGTTAAAAGACTTTAGCAATACATTATGATTGTAAAGGAATAAATTTTTTAAACTCCAATTTTCTTATAGAGGAATAAAAAAGAATTATTGTACAGGCAGCTGACAGATGAGCTAAATCTTATCACTGTTACACAGATAAAGGTCTAGGTGAATGAAACAATAAATGGCCAATGAGAAAGACATTGGCAGGTCCCTACCTTAAACATATTACATATGGGTAGTGCTAGAACAATAACTTGAGAAACCTTGGGTTACATTAAAAATCAACAACAGCAACAACAGAAATAGGGTAAATTTGGTTTTAGGCAGACATGGCTCATAAGGAAAAAACACATACAGTTTACACCAGTAAAATCAATTGAGGGTTGCTTAGGAGCAGTTTTTTGCAGACACTTATTTCAAATAGAGAGTGAGTCATAAAGTTTATCTGTGTTCATCATCATCTTGCCTCTTGGTAGATGGATTTCTACAGCTCCAGTAAACACACTAGCTTTTTATGGTAAACTTACATTTCATTTTCTAAGACATGGCAATCTGATAATTTCCGTAGAGCAAAATAGACTAGGTAGGAGTTTAATTTTCTTTCTTTTCCTATAAACTTGCCTGCCTCTTTCACTTTGGACTCAGGTTTATGTTAGCTAAGTATACTTCCTAAAGCCGGAGTAGGAAATGGCTTTTTCTCTGGTGAAGTTTTGTCCTAACTGCCAAAATACTCTTACTCTTAATTAGTTCCTTGACTGAAACAAGCTGTGAGTGGCGTAACAGTATATTATTCCTGTATTTGAAGATTTTTGTTGAAGAATAGAGTGCCTGATAAAGACTCTGAAGGATAGTTTTTAAACTTTAAATTCGGTTCACCAAGTATATGTAGCACTTGCTATGTGTCCAAATGCCTAATGCATTTCTTAGGCATTATTGGAATCAGTGAAATTGGAAAGCTACAATCTGCCCCATTAGGGCTGATTATTTGTTTTCTAGCTGACTTCAGCAACCTAAAAGCAAGCCCAGAGATGGAGAATACTTGATGGGATTTTGGCAGATGGGTAGGAGGAAAGGCCAAAGAAGATGGCAGAGAAAAATATTAATGAGAAGATTTGGAAGAATGTGTAATGGGGTCTGAGCTTGATAGAGAGGACAGTAAAAGTAGGATGATGTCACCAAAAGTAGAATGATGTCACCAACTGTAAAGGACCTGGTCATCTCAAATATGGTATAGAACACTGAGAGTGAGAAGAATTAAAGTGAGATGATGAAAGTCTTTCATTTATACTGAGAGTGTAGGTAGATGATGTAGAGACCCAATACTCCTTCCAGTGCCATTTATTTCCCCCTCACTCTGAGGAAAAAGAGCATTTTATGTGCAATATTAACCCCTTTGATTTATAAAAACAGAAAATTTGCTTTAAAAAGATAACAATGTTAAATAAAAATAGACAATGGGTTTGGCATGCTAGGAAAGGCATATAATAGAAGAAAGTGATTTTTAAATGACTAAGAAATATTATATTTACTTTAATATTCATTTTTAGAGTCCCTTTTACTATAACA
This sequence comes from Homo sapiens, assembly GCF_000001405.40. Taxonomy (NCBI): domain Eukaryota; kingdom Metazoa; phylum Chordata; class Mammalia; order Primates; family Hominidae; genus Homo; species Homo sapiens. The sequence continues at coordinate 12,136,357 of NC_000007.14, read as the reverse complement.
ATTATAATGTTCATATTTTTTGCAATGTACTGATTAAGCACAGTTGAAGTCAAATATGAAATACCAAACTACTCTAAAAAAATACCTGGTATCAACAGTTGGGTATTCCATGTATATTAAGTAGCCTAAGGGGCTAAGTTATAGATATTAAAATTATCTTTATTTCATTTTGATGAAAAATGTACTTGAATATAGTATAAAATCTAACACAAAAGTGAAGAAAAATATCTGCTATAGAAATTAGCTATGATGCTAAATTATCCTGTATGAAAATGACTTTTTTGGTATTTACTAGAAAAATAATAATAAGTACTGTTATATAATTATAGCTGTATTTAGATGACAGGATAAAAACATTAAAATGCAGAACAGCATTAATTTATAATGAATTATAATGCCTGCTATGATCCAACTAAGCCCTGGCCAAGTCTAAATTTGGCTTTGTTAAAAATGACTTAAACTTAGTTGTTGATGTCTTTATTTCCCCTTACCTACCTGTAATGTGGCTGCTCTTATTTTAGTGAAGGGGGAGAGACAAATATTAAATAATGGAGAGGAGAGGTTTGGTTTACTATTTTTTTTCTATTGTGTGCAAGTAGTTCAGAATCTGTACATGAGTTTTAGTGGATAGAAACTGATTGAAATTTGTGGCAAAGCAAATGTTCTCAAACTTAGATGGAGGTGCCTGAATGAAATTGATGCCTATGCAAATATAGGGCTCTTAGTGAATTACTGTGCTTTTTAACTTTCAGCTTTACTTAAGAATTGCAGGTGGAGCCAGAATATTCCAGAGAAAGAGATCAGCTTGGGCAAAGGTCTGGAGGCACATAAAAATGTTTTACTTGCTAAATATTAAAATTAGTTAAGTATAGCAGGCATATAAGACAATTGTGAAGGATGAAGCTAGAACATTAAACAGGGACACATTATGTGAGGACTTCTATGCTGAGGCAAGGGGTCAGAAATTTATTGTTTCACTCCAAAAGGGGCACTAAAGGAGAAAAAGTAATTGAAAAATTTTAGAAAAGCCCCTCTGGTTGCTATGTGGAGGATGGAGTAGAGAGCATGTTTGAGGAAAGAAGACATGCAAAGTGAAACTGCAGGCATAACAAAGAAATGATGTTTTCAATTAGCTTATTGCAATAAACTTAACAATCTTTTTAAATCTTTTTTTAATTTTTATTTTATTATTATTATACTTTAAGTTTTAGGGTACTTGTACACAATGTGCAGGTTAGTTACATATGTATACATGTGCCATGCTGGTGTGCTGCACCCATTAACTCGTCATTTAGCATTAGGTACATCTCCTAAAGCTATCCCTCCCCCCTCCCCCCACCCCACAACAGTCCCCACAGTGTGATGTTACCCTTCCTGTGTCCATGTGTTCTCATTGTTCAATTCCCACCTATGAGTGAGGATATGCGGTATTTGGTTTTCTGTTCTTGCGATAGTTTACTGAGAATGATGATTTCCAATTTCATCCATGTCCCTACAAAGGACATGAACTCATCATTTTTTATGGCTGCATAGTATTCCATGGTGTATATGTGCCACATTTTCTTAATCCAGTCTATCATTGTTGGACATTTGACAGACTTTAAACCAACAAAAATCAAAAGAGACAAAGAAGGCCATTACATAATGGTAAAGGGATCAATTCAACAAGAAGAGCTAACTATCCTAAATATAGATGCACCCAATACAGGAGCACCCAGATTCATAAAGCAAGTCCTGAGTGACCTACAAAGAGACTTAGACTCCCACACAATAATAATGGGAGACTTTAACACCCCACTGTCAACATTAGACAGATCAACGAGACAGAAAGTTAACAAAGATACCCAGGAATTGAACTCAGCTCTTTTTTAATCTTGTAAACTATTTCCTCATGATCTTTCTGTTGGTTAGAAGCAAGTCACATGATCTGCTTACACGAAAAGTAGGGAATTATACAGGTGTGCGACTCATAGGGGACATTTAAGAGTGTGTCGTCCAAAAATACATTCATTAAGTTCTTCATCAAAAGTTAAAAATCTAGTAAGCATTCTTGTTAAAATTGAATAATATATTATGTTTCCTATAGTGATCTTTTAAAAACACAGTTGGATCCATGGTCTCTAACCAACCCCTTTCTCCTGCTCATAGCAATCCAATAATTTCCCAACTTGTAATAAAAGCAAAACTGCTTCTAAAGTTTATAGACTGTACATGAGTTGGGTCCTGTTAATCATTGTCTCTGTCTTTCCCCTTTGGCTGTGTGCCCCAGACACACTCCAAATTACTTCTTAGTGTAGGGCTTTGAAGTAGTTGTTCTGTCACCTTCTCAGAAAGGCCTTTTCTGACTAGCCAACTAGGGTTTTACCACTCAACATTGGGTATTACATAATCTGCTTTTTATTGTCTTTTTAAAACCTGCTGTTGGTGATAGTTTCTTCTAGGTTTATTGGTTACTGCTGGCTACCCAGCCCCCAACTCCTCTGCAGTAGAATACAAGTTCCATAAGAGCAGAATCGCGATGTGTCTGGTTCATCTCGTTATTCCGAGTACCCAGAAAATTTGTCTCATTGGAGGTGCTCAACACATATTTACTGAATGAATGAATGGCCCACATAATCACCACTGGAAGCAGCTTTTAGTATTATAAAGAAATCCCTTTAAAACTGCTTATTTTACATCACATGTTTTTGGTTTGACTCTATATAATTTAACAAAACTTAAGCAAGAAGTACTGTAACTTGTATTTCTTCAGTAATGAGTCAAAAAAACTCATGGTCTAAGGACATCATTTCTAGTGCTAAGTATGTGTTGGTTGCTTGCTGGGGCACAATGACTTTTCTCACTGAGATGTAATCTAGATTCACTGTTGCACATACTGAATTACAACGTTTTTTTTTCAGAAGTCATACTATTACTAAATATAAACAATGTAAATGATTATTTATTCAAAAAATATATAAAGAAACCTAATGAAACTGAAATCTATGTGCTTTTTTAAAAAAACTTTTATATTAAGTTTAGGAGTACATGTGTAGGTTTGTTATATAGCTAAATTTGTGTCATGGGGTTTGTTGTACAGATTATTTCATCACCCAAGTACTATACCTAGTACCCTTTAGTTATTTTTTCTAAACTTCTCCCTCCTCCAACCCTCCACCCTCCAATAGGCCCCAGTGAGTGTTGCTCCCCTGTATATGTCCATGTGTTCTCATCATTTAGCTCTCACTTATAAGTGAGAATATGTAGTATTTGGTTCTCTGTTCCTGTGTTAGTTTGCTAAGGATAATAGTGTCCAGCTCCATCCATGTCTCTGCAAAGGACATGATCTTGTTCTTTTTTATGGCTGTATAGTGTTCCATGGTGTATATGTGCCACATTTTCTTTATCCAATCTATCATTGATGGGCATTTAGGTTGATTCCATGTCTTTGCTATTGTGAATAGAACTCCATCTAACATGTGTATGCATGTGTCTTCTCAAACAAATCCGTGTATGTCAAAATTATGTTTAAGATTAAGGCTATTAATATCTAGTTTAATACAATAATCTCAAAGATTTTGTGATTTGGAGAGTATTTCACTACCTTTGAAAGGGACATGATAACACTATATGAAAAAAAATTGGTTAAGTAAACATCTTCTGGGACCACTTCTAGCTTGTGCAATGTTTTGAGATGATAAGCTTGATAAAGAGATTGTTTTGTGTTTGGTGTGTGACATGGTTTGGCTGTGTCCCCACCCAAATCTCATCTTGAATTGTAGTTCCCATAATCTCCATCTGCCATGGGAGGGACCAGGTGGAGATAATTGAATCATGGGGGCAGTTTTCCCCATTCTCTTCTGGTGACAGTGAGTGAATTCCCACAAGATCTGATGGTTTTATAGGGAGTTTCTTCCTTTGATGGTCACCGATTCTTCTTCCTGCCATCATGTGAAGAAGGATGTGTTTGCTTCCCCTTCCACCATGATTGTAAGTTTCCTGAGGCCTCCTTGTCCATGCAGAATTGTGAGTCAATTAAACCATTTTCCTTTATAAATTACCCTGTCTCAGGCAATCCTTTATAGCAGCATGAGAATGGACCAATACAGCATGCAATCTATACTGCTTGCAATGTGGACTAGAGAAAATAGACACCTGGGGAGGCACTGGATGAATGAGTTGCACAGTTGGCATTTTAAAAAATAATGTGGACTCATTCATCATTGAAAAACAAATATGTAGTTTAAAATGTGTTTTAAACCAAGAACTTAACTTCAATCAATTCTCTAAGATTAAGTATGAAATCAAGCATGTTTTCTTATCAGGAGACAAGATCGAAACTTGAACTTTCAGAAGCATACTAAAAATGCAGGGATTTATAGAAGTATTCATTGAATACCTTGTTACACAATGGCTTGAAACAAAGTATATAAAATTTTACATATAATTAAGATGACAGTTTAAAAATGCTGACAATGGAATCTCCAGTAAATGTTTGCTCCAGGAAACTCTAAACTCTTAACTAAAGGAACAAAACTAAAGGAAGGTAGTTTATCTTCAAGAGTGAAAGTACTGTAATATCAATTGTCCTATGTGAGATATATAATTAAATTTTCAAGAACCATACATTCGTCTACTTTTAAAAGTGAAACCAAAGAATACATCTGAATTTTTGACATTTCCTTAGCAGCGTTTTTATTTTTTAATGAAGAGTCTCAAAACTATTAATCTTGCTGAGAATTCCACAATTGCTGATCAAACTCCATCTTGAGGCAGGTTAACTAAATGGCTCATAATCATACACAGTTAGTGACAAAGAGTTGTAATGGGTTTCATCAAAAAAGACTTCATGAGTGTAAGAAGAGATAACTTCTTTTCCTATAAAGCACACTTTTGATGCTACCATCTTAAAATACCTTTTCATGAATTATACAAAGTTTATAGCATTATTTTAAACCAGAGAGCAATTGTATGCCCTTCAGTGATAAGATTTCAAAGAAAGTCCTCATCCTGCCTGAGGAACTAGGGGAAGACAATTTCTATTCACTGTTAACCACAATACACAGGGTATTAACCACAATACACAGGGTCAGACATAGTGATATACCATGGGTATACATTGGTACATAAAATACATATATTTCTTGCAGTTTATTATTTTCCATCTATTGAATAAAGAGACAAACTTTTTTTTTTTTAAATAATAACCTGTGCTAAGTCTCTTAGTCAACAGTATTCAGGGTGTATAGGAGTGGGAAACTTGCTTAGAGTGGGTGTTTTGGGAGGGCCTCTTTGGGGAGTTGGATTTTTAAGCCAAAATTTGAAAGGAGGAGAAATCACTGAGTGAAAATAAATGAATGTGGCATTATATAGGCCAAGACAAGAAAAGAAGGAAGTCATCTACAGTGTCAGTCCCTGGAAATCAGTCAGTTAAGAACCATAACAGATAATCATCAGATTTAGTCACAGAAAGGCTATAAACTGCTTTGGCAAGAACAGTTTCAGTTGCATGGTAGAGCAGGGAATTCATATTACTCAGAACTGAGGAATGAGTAAAGGTGGATGGTGGTAGTGAAAGGGAAGCCATAAACATTGCCAATCTCAAAAACAATTTACTTGGCCAATTTCATTTTTTGAACAATCTAAATACTTAACAACAGTGGTTGTAAAAGTTAACATTGTAAGTTACAACATTGTAAATTATTACAAGGGAGTATTATGCAATCCTTTAAAATGTGAATGAAGAGTATTTAATGATGCACAAAAATGCTTGCTAACTTGTAAATTTAAAAGCAGAATGTAAAACTGCATTTGCAAAAATCTTTTTAAAGTACACGTGACAATAACACATTTGCTCTTGGATATATATAAATAGAAAAATATGTCAACACTAAGTATCATAGTTACATATTATGTCCAATATATTGATATATATGTAAATATATATAACTAGAAACGAATATACTGAAATATAAACAGGTGTTAGCTCTGTGGGTGTCTTAGTCCATTTTGTGTCTCTATAAGAAATACCTAAGGCTGTTTAATTTATAAAGAAAAAGGGCTTACTGGGCCACAACTCTGCTGGCTGGAAGTTTTGAGACTGGGTATCTGGTGAGGGCCTCAGGCTGCTTCCACTCATGGCAGAAGAAGGGGAGCTGGCATCTACAGAGATCACACAGTGAGAAAGAAAGCAAGGGAGAGAGGAGGGAAGTGTCAGGCTCTTTTTAACAAGATCTAGTGGGAACTAACAGAGCAAGGATGCACTCACACCTCACTCCACCCAGGGAGGGTATTCATCTATTCAGAAATGATCTATTCCCATGATCCAACCATTAGGCCCCACCTCCCAACACTGCCACACAGATGATCAAATTTCTACATGAGATTTGGTGGGGAAAATAAACCATTTCCAAACTATAGCAGTGGTATAGTTTTGTTGGCATTGATTTTTTAACAGTGTATATATATTACTTTTATAATTACAATGTTAAAATTAAGCATTGTAGACTAGGTGCAGTGGCTCATGCCTGTAATCCCAGCACTTTGGGAGGCCAAGGCAGGTGGATCACCTGAGGTCAGGAGTTTGAGACCAGCCCGGCCAACATGGCAAAACCCTGTCTCTACTAAAAATACAAAAAATTAGCTGGTCGTGATGGTGGGCAGCTGTAATCCCAGCTACTTGGGAGGCTGAGGCAGGAGAATTGCTTGAACCCAGGAGGCAGAGGTTGCAGGGAGCCAAGATTTGAATCCATTGCACTCCAGCCTAGGCGACAGAGCAAGATTCTGTCTCAAAAATAAATAAATAAAAATAAAAATAATAAAATATCATAAACTACAAATAAAACCAGATAGACTGGTTCAAATATATGCTCTGGTATTCACTAATTTAACTTTTGAGAGTTAGACTGTTTTCCTCTGTGAAAGGGGAACTATAATAACTTTGTATGCTTTGCAGGAAGATCATATTACAATGTATTGAAACTCCTCTTTAAAATATAATTATGCCTTCAATTATTTGATAGAGATTTTTAAAAATATATACCCTCGGTTAGATGTCATAAAAAGAACAATAGGGCCAGGTGCAGTGCCTCAGGCCTGTAATCACAGTGCTTTGGGAGGCTGAGGTAGTCACTTGAGGTCAGGAGTTTGAGACTAGCCTGGTCAACATAGCAAAACCCTGTCTTTTCCTCCCCACCCCCCAAAAAACAAAACCAAAAAATTATCCAGGTATGGTGGCGCACGCCTGAAATCCCAGACTCTTGGAAGGCTAAGGCACGAGAATCCCTTGAACCCGGGAGGCTGCGTAGGTGGCAGTAAGCTAAGATAGCACTACTGCACTCCAGCCTGGCAGCCTAGGCAACAGAGTGAGACTCTGCCAAAAAAAAAAAAAAGGAACAATGGTATAATAAATTAGGGAAAGACAATTGAATTTTTATGTAAGTTAGTAAAATCATTGAACAAGGAAGTGGGTATAATAGATAACAGTGAGTCTATATTGCCTTATTTTTTTTGGAAAAAAATAATTTTTATTAGAAAAAAATCTTTACCTTCCATAATATGCATCCTTCAAAAGTTTCTTATATTTGCAGGTATCTCTAGAAAGTATCCTGTCATTATTGACTAGGTGCGTGGGTACAGAAACCAAATATGATTTATTTAGATGTAAAATCTACTCATAATTGTGCTTCTGGAATTTGTATGGTAGAAGAACTCTGAAAGATTAACACAGTAAAATACAAAGGCAAGTTGTAAATTGGGCACACAAAAGTGAAAGGTGGATATTTTCCATGTGACTTTATAAAAAGCAGAGCCAGGTCATTGTGTTATTTTTATTTTAAAGTTAAGGTAGAAGATAAAGTAACTTCTTCTCTTTTCATGATTAAGTTTGTGCAGGTTTTGTGGTAAAATTTATCTCTTCTTTAAAAGTAATAGCAAAAGGGAATAAAGTTTCCTATACCTAAGGCGAGTACAGAATTCTAACACAGATGAAATTTCTCTTCATGCAACCTCCAACATAAATTCAGGTTCATAAATTTCAACTTTTTATTTAGGTGTTCTATAAAAATGTTAATCTAAGTGAATTTAGTAGATCTCCATTTATTTATATCAAAAGCTCTGTATACCACATATGTGAATTAATGATTGTTTTATTATAATATGTATTACTGTTAAGCAACTATGATTTCTGGGCACGTAGAAGATATTGGCAGACATAGTCCCTACCCTTAAGGTAGTTGTAGTCTTTGCTAACATTGATGAGAACAGTCATATAAAGAATATTCAGGCAAATAAAATATACTGACATTAAATAAGAAATTGAAAAATAAGAACCTGAGGTTTGGAGCATTTTAGAAGAGATCAGCAAAAGACTTACAGATGCATATGTAAATAAGTTGAGAAAAGAGTTATTATCTTCTCCTAAGCTCTGGAGGAGAGATTCAGGGACTTCAGGGATATTTTGAGTAATGGAAGCAAAGAAATCAGAGAGACCTGGGGGGCAGATGCTTTGCATATTAGATAGATATTCTGTAGTATAGTAATATTTTTCATCCTCTGAGAGTACATTTAATTCAGTTATATGTCAACTATCAAAATGGAGTTAAAGATGATGTCATCAGCAAACAAAAGTCAGGCATCCCATAACTGCACTTGGGAAGTTGGCAGGAAGCAAAATAGATAAAATATGTGGTATTACTTAAAAGCACATTCTTTGATGTCAGACAATTTCACAACTGGTTCAGATACTTAGAGCTTATTCTCTAAGCCTACATTTTCTTATCTGCAAAATAGAGATAGCAAATAGTCCTTGCAAATCTGCTCTGTTGTACTAACAGTGATGGTCTAAGGTTTGACTTGACCATTGAGGTCATGAGACTCAGTATCTTTTAACCAGCATCAACATTTTTAGGTTTAAGGAGGGACAGGAAGGGAATCACAGAGCATGCATAGCAACAACATAGCAGAGGCTATGTATCCTTTGTGGCAATGTACTGCTTTTATATGCCAGTCATTTCACATTTGGAACTATATGATCATGAGAGATGGTGCTGGGCAACCTTGGCTTATGAGGGCAATTAGCACAGCTATCCCTTTAGCTTTTTTATTTAGTTAGGCACACGGTTACCTTAGGTGCTCATAAGTGACACCAGTCTTCAGAGAAGTTGCTCTTTATCAATATATTCATTACTTGCTTGAGACAATAAAGTAGGTGCTTGGTCCAATACAGAGTTCTTGGTGAGATTTTCACTTATCTTCTCTCTTACATCCCATTTTTCTATACATTTTGTGGAATATATTGCTAGGAAACTTGATCAAAGGCCAAATTCTTGGGCATCCCAAAAGCTAGAGGGAAAGCCACATATGTAGCTATTAACTCTTGCCTTCTAGAATCAACCTTGTAAGATTTTGTGAGAAGTTAATGAAATAATACAATTAGAATGTTTAGCCCAGTGAATGGCACATAGTGCTTAATAAATGTCAGTTAACAACTATCCTTATTCATAAGGTTCAACATATAAGATTGATGCTTGGTTTTGAGGTTTTATGTGACCATATTCTGTTTAGGACATAATATCTATCTATCACTGTAGTTACTGGCTTGCTGCTACTGCTATTACTAAACTATGCAACTCTGTATTTTTCCTTGGTAACACATTTGGAAACAATTTTCATATTACTTTCTAACAAAAACTGAAGATATTTCATTTTCCTTTGTTTATATTTTCATCACTGAAGGAGCACTTAGATATATATGTAATAAGTACAATGGAGAAGTAACTTGGTTAAGATATCAAAATTATGTTTAATTTGCAGCATTGGATTTAGTTCTAAGTCTCCACTCAGGTAAGTTACTAAAGAGCTTTTCCTATCTTCAGCAAATTACTGGCATAATTGTCAAGTTTTAGTGAAATTAATAAATAGAAATGGATGTTTCATAGCATTGATTTATATATACACTTATTCTTTAGTATTATAGCTCTGTGAGCAGGGCAGATGGGGAGGTTATAGCATTTTGCATTACTAGTCTGCAGAGGACCATGAAAGTAGGGTAAAGATGGAAAGCAAATAAAGTTCCTCTGTCTGCTTTTTTCAGGGCTGCTTTTCACGCACTGTTTCGTGAAATCCGTAAAGTAGAGACATATCACATTTTTGGAGAATCTGGGGTCCACTGACCCCTAGGCTATATTGTTTATTAGATGTCACAGCATTTTGAAGAATGTTATTAGGAAGAAATTTATTTTTAGTTTTGACATTGTTTCTTGTTTTTCTTCCTTTCCATTTCTGTCATTTTCTTCTGTCTAATTTGTCTCCTATTCAATCCAACAATATTAAAGCTTTAACCATTTCTACTAACAAGTCATATGAGAAAGATACAAATAAGTAAAATTTAAAAAATATAAAACAACAATACCCAGCCAAAATGTTGATAATTCCCCTTTATAATCAATGGAATTCCCCTGGAATTCTATCAGTTCCCAGATATGTTTTCTCTTAAGAATGATGCTTCCTCCCTCATGAAGAGAGTACAGAAGGGAATAGAAAAGATTCTCTTCTCTATTCTTCTTCTTTCTATTTTTTATTTTTTTTTGAAAATAATCTATGAATTTCTAAAAGACAGAAGAAAGAATGTTTTTAATATACAAGTAAATACTGCCTTTATAAGTAAATGTGCCAGAAGATCAACCAGGGCAACTCTGATGTCTTCAATGATTTTGTTCTTAAATGATGTGACTTTTTTTTTTTTTTTTTAGCAAAAGTTAGACTTTCAGACTCTCAGCAACAGATAATGCATTACTTTCCCAGTATGTTCATGGCATAATCAGGACATAATCACGTTGTAGCACATAAAAGCTTAATAGTAAAGCATGCTGAAATCTCAGGGTGATTTTTAAAAAGGAGGAAATAAAGATGCAGCTTGATGGAGGCAAGAAAATAAATCTAGCTGCAGAGCTGAGTCTTGCAGTGAATGATTACCTGCATATTATCTGAAGGACTTAGAGCAAAAAGTCATGGAGCAGGTAATGGTGGCTAAATGATAGAGCCCTATGCTTCACTTGGGTTTAGTAATATAAGAAGTCTAGCTGGCACAATGTGAGAGGTAGTGGCATCTTTGTCTAGGTGATCTGCCCATCAGACAAGAATTCTGGCCAGTGATTGGGATTGGGATGGGGGTATACAGGTAGCACTGTCCAGCACTTTAAGGGTGATGGAAAGAGTTAAGGCAAGTCAGGACATTAGAACCAATCAAAGGAACTGTATATCAGAGACATGTTACTTTTCTATTTGAGAACTGGTATTGAAATCTAAGAGGGAGTTAGAATCACAGGTTTGAATGTATTAGCTCATACCTGCAGAGAAGTTGGTGTAGGCTATGACTATGCAGGGCTTAACACCATATACTGTGTTTGTGGCTTCAAGATCAGTTATAGTTCTAATTCCCACAGAATTTTAGGTAGTGGAGATGGCAGACAAGCACATTTAGCATCTCCTTCATACCGCTCCATCCCACCTTTCCATGGAACCTCACCTTGGGGATCCTTGGAACTCACTAGCAAAAAGCAGTATTAGAAAAAGATCAGCTGAAATATATAAATACCAGTGTGCTAACTTTTCAAACAAGCTTAGCTTAACCAATTAAATTATTTCAAAATTTGAAATTTAGCCAGTAATTGTGCCAGCTTTTTGGTGCCCAGTGTTTATTTACCAAGCAGCAGAGACATCAGTCCATGATGTGAGCACTGCAGTGGTTTTCTATACTTGATACTCATTCCATAGACTCTTCACTCTGATTCTCTCAAATACAAAGAATACTAAGATTCTCACTGCAGGAACTCCAGGGTTCCTTGTTCTGACTTGCTTGGAGGCTACAAAGATCATATTAATGGGTACTCTTCTGACCTTGACCGGAGGCAGTGTGTTATCTAACTGAGACTATCAGTTTTTGCCCTTGAAAACTGCTCCCTGAATTGATAGAGACAAGACTTAAAAAAATTGGAGGCAGATTACATTTTATGCTTGATAATAAGCATGACTTACATACTGCATTTGCTTAAAACAAAGTGAGACAGCAAGGTGGGAAGGGGTTCCCAGAGAAACTCCACCCGACCTGAGCACTGGGAAGAATGCAGGCTGGAGTGGAGCCACAGAAGTTTGTGCACTTCGCAGGGGAAAGGAGCCGGGCTCTTCCTCTTCTTGGGTGGAACCCGGCATTCAATCTGCCAGGTGAGAAGCACTCCAGCAGGAACTCTCACTTTGTTACGAGTCCCTGATTCCCCTTTTCTTCCTTTTTCACTCAATAAAACCCAGCCTTACTTACCTTTCAAATTGTCTGCGAGCCTAATCTTTGGTGGTCATGTGACAAAAAGCGCATCTTTAGCTAAACTCAGGAAATGTCCCTCAACAAAAGTGGAACAGGCATTTAATGGAAAATATTTCAAGTTTTAGGAAATTGTTTATAATTTTTTATGTTAGAATGCCTTTTTTTTCTTGGTGTGTTGGGGCCAAGGGAAAACCTTTTCTTTGTTCTCTGAAGGTTTGCTAAAAATGTTGACAAGAGGGAGATTAATAGGAGAAGAGGCATACAAATTTATTTGATCATAGATTTACATGACACAGGAGACTTTAGAATGAGGGCCCAATGATAGGAGGAAAATTGTCTATTTTTACATTTAGGTTTAACAATGTATGGACAGCCACGTAGAAATATGATTCAACAAAAAGAATATGATCTGATGTTAACAGATGGAATGGGGAAACACAGCAAGGCCTGTCTGTATAAATTCTTCTTTTCCTCTCTGGTGTCTGTATTTTTTCCTTCTGAGTAAGGATCAGGACCCTCTCTGGAATGGGGGTTTTATGACCTATATTCAAATAAAGTTGGTCAGTTAATTTCTTTATGGCCAGTTTTTACACAGAAAGAGGGGTAGGGAGTTAGAGTAATATTTTTAGTATTTATGGCTGGCTTTGGTGAAAAGGGATTCTAGTTTCTATAATGACTCACCCTGGGGAAGAGGTATTTTAATTTTTATGGCTAGCCCTTGGGGAGAATGGGACTGAGAGACAGGAGGGCAGGTAAAGGTCAGGAAAAAAACTTACTTTTCAGGCTGTTTCTGAGGCTCTTATTTTGGAATATTATTTTCTGAGTTCCAACAGATTCATGTGAAGTGCTCTTCGATAGTCTATGTCTTAATACCCAAGCCTTGGTGTGAGAATCAACTGGAGTGTTTATGTAAAAAGCAGATGCATTTGCTTAACCATACACCTGATCCTGAATCACTAGTTGACTCTGAAATAATACACACTTTAGAAATAATCTAGTTATGGATCCAGGACTCTCAAGCTAACTTAACTCCCTGTATCACCTGCCCCTCAGACTAGTCATCACTCCTAGGATCTTCCGCACTGTATGCCTGAAACAGTTCATTCAATATTTGGCAAACATTTGTTGATTGCCTCGTGTGTACCGGGGATTCTCCTAGGTACCAGTGATTTAAAATGAACAATACATATATCTTCCCTAGGCAATACCATTCAGGACGTAGGCACGGGCAAAGATTTCATGACTAAAACAACAAAAACAATGGCAACAAAGCCAAAATTGACAAATGGGGTCTAATTAAACTAAAGAGTTTCTGCACAGCAAAAGAAACTATCATCAGAGTGAACAGGCAACCCACAGAATGGGAGAAAAGTTTTGCAATCTATCCATCTGAAAAAGGGTTAACATCCAGAATCTACAAGGAACTTAAACAAATTTACAAGAAAAAAAACAAACAACCCCTTCTAAAAGTGGGTGAAGGATATGAACAGACACTTCTCAAAAGAAGACATTTATGTGGCCAACAAACATGAAAAAAAGCTCATCATCACTGGTCATTAGAGAAATGCAAATCAAAACCACAGTGAGATACCATCTCACACCAGTTAGAACGGTGATCATTAAAAAGTCAGGAAACAACAGATGCTGGAGAGGTTGTCTAGAAATAGGAAGGCTTTTACACTGTTGGTGGGAATGTAAATTAGTTCAGCCATTATGGAAGATAGTGTGGCGATTCCTCAAGGATCTAGAATCAGAAATACCGTTTGACCCAGCAATCCTGTTACTGGGTATATACCCAAAGGATTATAAATCATTCTACTCTAAAGATACATCCACACGTATGTTTATTGCAGCACTATTCACAATAGCAAAGACTTGGAACCAACCCAAAAGTCCATCAGTGATATACTGGATAGAGAAAATGTGGCACATATGCACCATGGAATACTATGCAGCCATAAAAACGGATGAGTTTATGTCCTTTGCAGGGACATGGATGAAGCTGGAAACCATCATTCTCAGCAAACTAACACTCGAACAGAAAACCAAACACTGCATGTTCTCACTCATAAATGGGAATTGAACAACAAGAACACATGGACACAGGCAGGGGAACATCACACACTGGGGCCTGTCAGGGTGGGTGGGGGGATAGGGGGCTAGGGGAGGGATAGCATTAGGAGAAATACCTAATGTAGATGATGGGTTGATGGGTGCAGCAAACCATGGCAAGTGTATACCCTATGTAACAAACCTGCATGTTCTACACATGTATCCCAGAACTTAAAGCATAATAAAAAATAAAAAATTAAAAAGACATAAATCCATCTTCAAGAATTATATCATACATGGAAGATAGAGTTCTAAAACATGTCACAGTGTGCTCAGTGATCAATGTTATATTAGATCAATGCAAACTGCTATAGGAGCAGAGAAAAAATTAGTCACCTTCCTTAGGAGAGAAGAAGAGGGCATACTATTTCACAGAAGATGTGACATGTGAGCTGGGCTAAAGCAGGCTTTCAGAAAAGGAGAAGGATGCCCCAGAGAGACAAAAATAAATGCAACGTAGTCCTGTATGTTCAGAGATAATGGGAAATTCTGGTGGCTGGAGCCTAGTTTGCGTATATGCAGAAATCTAGGAATTTAATTGAGAGGAGCCCTATGATTTACAGTAAGGAGACCTTACTAGTCTGTAGGTGATAAGAAACACTGAAAAATTTCAAAGAAAATAGTGATATGACCAGATGGAGGACTGTATCTGCTAATCATTAAAAGGAAAATAGTTTCTTCAAAGGAAGATTGTGCCCTAAGATCGATCTCCACTGCACCAGAACAGCAAAATAATATTGGTTGTTTTGAATTAATATACAACATAAAATAATCCATTTGATTTTTAAAGACAAATCAATTGGATTACTGTCATCCAAAATATAGAATCAGAGATTCCAGTTATCTTATGATGGGCAATGTTGCCAAAGACGTACATTCTATATTTTTCATGAAAAGAAAAATGCAGTTATCAAGTTTATAAACATCTGAAATGATATAATATTGTTTTTAAATTCCTTTTTCTCAGTGAAACATTGTTTGTATGTATAATTCTTAAACACAATTTAGCTATGACAACCGTGTGTGCTGTGGAATTTCCCATGCACACATCACTAAAGCAGCCTATCTCCAGGTGTGTCCTTCATCAGCTCAGAGAGTTTTTATTCAATCTTCAGGGACAGAGGAGAGAGAAAAAAAGCCTAAGGACAGGCCAAGGAGATTCACTGACTATTTATAGAATAACTTTGTTGGAGAAAATCAGCTCTTCAGAGAGAGGGAATTAAGCTTTTTGTGTATGTTTAATGGAAACAGTAGCAATGCAAAATATAAAGCAACAACCCCTAATCAAAGGAATACTTTGTAACTCTAAAAGAATGTCAGGGATAAACATAAAATTAACAATTAGCTGGAATGATTCGTTAGTGTCATCTTTTCTTTTCTGCCATTGTTCTGTTGGGATCTTACATCTTGAAATTATTTTCTGAGATATGTTACCTGCCTCCCTACTGCCCTCCAAAATAGTAAAATATTACACATTTAAAACCACTTCTGTACCTTGAATATAAGTTATATATGTCTGTTGAATTTTTGTAAGTATAAAAATTGATAAATATTATTTAATAGTGACTTTAAAATTTACATCATTTAAATAACATTTTGAATAATTTTTAAAATATTCCACTCTTTTGGATCATAAATACTGCCTGATTTAAGCATTTGAAGTGTGAGAGATACTTTGTTCCTTTTTGTTTGGACGCAATTTGATGGAGCTGTAGTTTTTTGCAACACTTTTATTGTATAATCCCGCCAGCAGATCCCCATCCCCCATCTGTTCACTATGATGTTTTCTTCCCATTTTATTCCAGAAGATGCCAAGACAGCCTCCTGGTGGGTTACCCTGGCAACCTCATGTGTCGTGTTTTAGAATGTCCCAGGGCTGCCATTTTATTTCAATTTGCATGCACTTCAGTCAGCTAACTGTAAATTAAAAAGGTTATAGAATCAACCTTTCTTTTCTTGCAGAATAAAAAAACAGATAATTAGGATTACTGTGTAGTAAATATAAAAATCTACTTGTATTTAGTACTCTATCTAGGAAAAACTTTGGTTACTCTTACCTAAAGTCATGGTATTTTTCACATGGCACTTCATAAAATGACACTGCAATGCTGCTATAATGTAAGACTCAATGGGACTGCTTGATCTCATCTTTGAAAAGCATATCACTTTACAGTCTTTTGATGACATACAAGGGTTTTCTCAGTGGAACTTTTGACATGTCTGACAGTGTAAAATGGCAGTGACTCAAAGTTATTTGATTATATCAAGCTACAGATTTCACGTAGTCTCCAATCTAATTTTGAAAGCATTTCTTTTTAATATTTTACACCTGAAGAGTCACATTCTTTAGTTATATTTTTTAAAGTTAGTGACATAATTTCTTTTTGTCTAAGCTTAAAACATTTAATACATATTTTTGACAAAAATAACTTACAATTTGTATTAATCTTCAAAGATAGACTTTTGCAGTTTTCTTAAAAGCAAGAATTATAGAAGTCTTGATATTTGAGCAAAGTTGTATGTAAAGTTAGTAGCAAAGCTAAAATGAAAAGTAATTCCCTCTGAGACTCCAGCATTTATTAGGTATCAGAGTGAGAGTGATGGATCACTGTTTTCTCCTTAGGAAGAAAATTACCATCATGCTTACTCCAGTTTGTCAGGTATTTTCTGATTTGCTGTAAAGAGCTTAGGCATTCTATAATCGCTTACAACATTCTGAGGAAGATACTCTGCTATGTATTGGTGACTTTCTTCTGTTTTACCCAGATTTAATGTTACCTTGAAATTAATAACCTTGTCTTTCTAAGGAAGGGTCTCTGAAGAGCTTTTTCTAAGTGGTTTTGAGTACTACCATAAACTCGCTCTACTTCCCCCTTTCATTCCTTAGGGGCACCCGCTGAACATACTTTAACATGTATGGGATAACTCGGTTGCTACTTTCTTTTACTGTGTTTCCTTCTAGGCTTGATTATGCTATGTCAAATTTCAGCTAGGAGTTTGAGAAAAATGATCATGAATTTTCTATTTTCCAAAGTCTTCTCCATCCTAAGAGTAGTACATGAGTCTTCTGAGACAGTACATCCACTAAGAATGTTTGCATCTGAATATCACTCTTTTTTCAAAATTCTCAGCGTTGTAAGTTTCCTTTAAACACGAGTTTGTAATGAAAAATTTAATATATAATAAGAGCCTGTAGTAAAAGATTATTATTCTTTAACTCCAAAGGGGAGTAAAGCTAGCTTGATATCTTACTTATTGGTGTAAAAATCACTTGAAGTAGATCACAAGGAAAGAGAAGGACTGGTGCCCAGACTGATTCACTTTGACAGACTCATTCAAATTGTTCATGGTAGCTAAAGTGTCAAATGCAAGTTTGCCTAATAAGCCTTATTTTGAAAACACTATTAACTTTAGCTTTTCATGATACTGGTGGCTGCCTTTAATTTTTTTTTTAAGTTTAGTAGTTTTAATGCTTGCCTAACAAAGGCAGATAGTTTCTTCTATTACCATAGTAAGTTTAACTAACCCTGGATGACGGATGCAGATTAGCTCTGGTTCTAAAGAGTTACAACTGAGTGCATTTAGTACATCTAGTCAAGCATGATTTTTCCTTTGAAATATTTGGATAACCTTAGGCACAGATGGGTAGGTTAGTTAAAATTATCTTTCCCTTGTTTTCATTCTTTCTTGTTTCATCTTGTTTTCACTCTTTTTAAATTTTTGTACAACTTTATTGCAGCACAATTTACATCCTGTAAACTTTACATCTTCAAAGTATATGAGTGATGAGTTTTGACATTTGAATATATCAATAAAATCATTACCACACTCAAGGAGCATATCCATTAGCCACAAAAGTTTTCTTGTGCCTCTTTGTAATCGCACCCTCCCACTACTTTCCCAGCTACAAATTTGTTTTCTGTCACTATAGATCAGTTTGCTATTTCTAGAGCTTTCTATAAATGTCATTATACAGTATGCACTAATTTTTGTCTGGCTTCTTTTGCACAGAATGTTCTGAGATTCATCTACATTGTAGCATATATCAGTAGTTCTTCCTCTTTATTGCCTAGTAGTGTTCCATTGTATGAAATATTTTAACCCATTCACCTGTTAATGGACATTTGGTCATTTCTAGACTTTGGCTATTACAAATACAGCTGTTATGAACAACCATGTATGTTTTTGTGTGGGCATATGTTTCATTTATCTTAGATATATACCTAAGTGTAGAATGGCTAGGTCACAGAGTAGGTGAATGTTTACCTTTTTAACAGACTGTTGAACTGCTTTACAAAGCCAGTATGCCATTTTATATTCTCACCGGCTTGATGTGAGTGTTCCAGCTTCACCACATCATCACCAACACTTGGCCTTGTCAATCTTGTAATTCTCATCATTCTAATACATGTTTGTTGTTTTATAGTTTTCAACAGTGAGCATGTACCATATTTTGCTCATACATTCCTAGGAGAAAGGGTACATAATATTCATATGCCTTCAACTTTCTGGAGCTGTACACCGACCAGTTGCTGGTCAGACTGTACGCTGACCAGTTGCTTCCCAGTACAACCACAAAAATTTACACTTCTACCAGCTGTACATGAGGATTTCTATTTATTTACATATTTGACAATGCATGGTATTGTACCACACCCAAATTTGTCCTGTTCAGTAGGGACATAAGTATAACTTAAATTTGCATTTCTTGCATTATTAGTAAATTTAAGTAATTCATGTATATGTAAACTACATGGCTTTCTCTGTTTTTCATTTGTCTTTTATGTCCTAAATTTTTTTGCCAATTTTTGAATTGTTTTTCCAGTTTATTTTTAGAAGCTCCTTCTACATTCTAGACCAATGTTGTACAATACATTGAACTTTCTGCAGTGAGGGAAATGTTCTGTATTTGTGCCGTCTAATATAATACCAATAGCTGCACATGACTATTGAGAATTTGAAAAATGGCTAGTGATCACTTGAGCTCAGGAGTTCGAGACCAGCCTGGCCAGCATGGTGAAACTCCGTCTCTACTAAAAATACAAAAAAATTAGCCGGGCGTGGTGGTACACGCCTGTAATCCCAGGTACTCAGGAGGCTGAGGTGGGAGAATCGCTGGAACCCAGGAGATGGAGGTTGCAGTGAGGCGAGATTGCACCACTGCACTCCAGCCTGGGTGACAGAGTGAGACTCTGTCTCAAAAAAAAAAAAAAAAGAAAAATGGCTAATGGCATTGAGGAAGTGAACTTTTATTTTACTTAATTTTAACTAATTTGTATTTAAATATTTGCATGTGGCTAGTGGATACTATACTGAAAAGTGTAATTCTAGATATGAGTTCCTTATCAGTATCACATACTGCAATTGCCTTCTTTGTGGCTATTTGACCGCTATTTTTTTCTATGGTTTCTTCATTCAACAGAAAGATTACATATAAAGTGTATATCTCAATAATTCTTCCCATTGATGGGTCAAGAAGAAAAATCTTTGCTTTTGATATATTCAATTGCATCAATTTTTAGTTTTGATTTTTAGTGTCAGGCTTTTCTTTAATAAGTATTTTCCCATGTTGAAGTCACAAAGATAGTCTCCTTTTTTTGTTCTTTTGGTGTCAGTTAATCATCTAGTCTTGTTTTCTCCTATGTAGTCACACAGTTTTCCCTCCATAATCTGTTAATCTCTTTGTAACTAACTGCTCTGTGAAGCCTTACTTACCATCTTTCCAAATTACATTTCTATCTTTCTGAGCTCTATATTCTTTCATTGGGTTGTTCTCCGTTCTTGTGCTTATCTGATAGTGCTCCTACTATCAATCATAGTTATGACAAGTATTTAATATCCAACTAGACAATAGCCTGATGTTTTGGTCATATTTTTTTTTCAAAATTGCCTTAGCTTTTTGTAGATCGTGTTCTTTAACATGAGCATTTAAAAAAACATGATCTTTATTATTGTGTAACTTACATAGAGTATACAGCTCAATGAATATTTATATATGTATATAACATGTAATTACCACCTAAATAAAACTGTAGCATATTTCTACCACTCTCAAAATCTCTCCATTCCCTTTATAATCAATGCTCCTTCACCCCTAGAGGTAATCAGCATTCTGAATGCTGTAATTATAGGTTAGTTATATACTTCTCTAGTCTGACTCCTTCCAATCAACTTAATGTTTCTCATGTCATTCACGTTATTGTATCAGTAAGTTATTTTGCAATTTATGTTGCTATATAGTATTCCATTTTATGAATATACCATCTTTATCCAATTTCCTGATGAACATTTGGATAGTTTCTAACTTGAACTTATTTAATGGTGTGCTGGTAAACAATTTCTGGGAAGACAAAAAGTAGCATTTGCCAACTCCCCTGGCATAAATACTTCTACCGTGGCCAAGTCCAAGCTGCATGGCATTAAAACAAGCTTTCAACTTTTTTGTGAGCATCTACACACTAACTCAAATGCACACCTGGAGCTATTATATATAAAACTGCTCTGAAAATTCTTATATAAGTGGGACGTTTTTGCACATTTAAACTCATTTCACTTGGGTATGTGTGCTAATTGTGGGATTTCTAGGTAATAGGATAGACATATGTTGAATTAGTAGAAACTGGCAAATTTCTTAATTTGCTGATCATGTTTACAACAAGCAAAATTATACTTTATCAAATTCTTTTCTCCATTTATTGACATAATCTTGTGATTTTTCTTCTTGACCCATCAATGGGAAGAATTATAGAGATATACACTTCACATGCAGTGAAAATATTATTACTATTTGATCAAATTATACTCTTTTTTGAACACACTTTTGGATTTGTTTAGTGTTTTGTTTAGGCTTTTTACATAGATACCATACATTTTTGCTGAAATGAAAGCAAAAATATTATTTTAATTTCAAAACTAAGATTAAAATTTAAAGTATATAAATTAGAACATATAGAAGCTCTCATAAAGTTTCTATTATTGCTTATTTTTAGCTGGGCTTTATTCTATAAGGCCATAGTCCTAAAACTATTGTTTTTAATCCTGGAAGTACACTAAAATCACCTGGGGAGCTTTTATAAAAATTCCAGGTCCTCACCCTTCAAATCAGAATTGTAATTCTGGTGACAGGAAATAGCCGTGAGAAACATATGGGGTATCACCCTTACCTCAGATAGAATCTAGTGTGCTAGAGATGCCTTGGTGATTATGAAATACACATGTACATCACACACACAAAAACTATGATTAAGGAGAGGGTTAAATGGCCTCTAGTTCTGCATCTAGCTCTGAAGTTCCACGATTCTTAGAAAAGGTTAATTTGCTTATTTAGCTTTCTTCATTAGTTCTGCAGCTCACCAACCAGCCATCCAGTGATTTCAAAGTGCAACTTTTTTGCCTGAAGTGAAATTCACAAAGTTACAAGTGAGAGACTCTCACATGTCTGCAGTCTCAGTACGTCCCTTTGATTTTCCTAATAGGAGAAGCCAAGATTTTTGCCTTTCTTCTCTCCCCCTTCTTGCTGCAAATAGGTTTTCCTTGTGTTTATTCGTTCATCTGTCTTCTTTCCCAACCAGCTGCTTCTGTAAAAGGTATTTCATAAAGCTATTTTCAAATCTTACAGATTCCTAATCAACAAAGTGAAGTTTTCTATATTCTTAAGATTATTTGGGGTACATTGGATGAGGTAGCTTTTAAGTCCATCAACAGAAGAGCCTCTCTATGTATCTTTTCTTTTGATCCTCGAAGACCAAGTTCTTATGAGACAACTGAGATTTCAATTACAGAATGAATTGCCTGAAGTCTAAAGTTTGAATTGAGGTTTATCAACTTTGAGAAATTCAAGCCTCAGCATGAAATAGACACACTCCTTATTAAGTGTGTTGAGTTTAAATGTATTTTGAAACATTCAGAAAAGAATTGTCTGGTGTGGTCCACGTCAGTAGAGAAAGGCATGCAAATTGTGAGAGTCAATATGGAAGAGTAGAAAGGATACAGGACCAAGATCAGGTGTGAATCAATTTGGAAGAGTGAAAAGAATATAGGAACAAGAACAGTAAATCTTTGTTCTGTTGTTTTCTGACTGCTGTTGAAAAAGGGTTCACATTTTCAGAGCTTAAGTTCCTCCTCCTTAAGATGGGAGATGAATTCTTCCCCTCATTTCAGATTCCTGTGAGTAACAAATGAGGAAATAGATATGAATACTTTTTTAATTTGAAAAGTGCAATCCACGTGAAGAATGTATGAATGGTAAAGTAAAGCCACTGAAAAGGAAGTGAACTTTTTGCAGGATATTCACAGAAATGAGTTGAAATCAGAGCTCCAAGCTCAGTCCAGTTAATGGCAACAATCCTCTATTGTCACTCAATAATGGTGGTAACCTCCACTGAGTCCCTTTTATTTTAGCTACTTAATAACTTTGCTCCACATGAACACTTTCCATCGCTATAGAGAATCTCTAAGAAATCATGTGAATACATTTAACACAATTATCTTAGTGCAGTTTTTCCTCCATGATCAGAAAACTAAGGACTAGCATTAGATCTTTATCAGAAAATAAATTATCATGCCTTTTAATTCAGTAAGTAACTTTTTTTCCATTAGATTGATTTTGTTGATGAAGTACGGTCTAAAACATTGTCCAATGTATTATGTTGTATTTTGTTTTCCATTTTTTTTTTCAGATATAATCTGTAAGTTTTTCATGCATTTTTTCTTTTGGGTGATCTACGGTTCTCTTTATTAATATATCTGTCAATTTCCTCATATACAGAGCAATTAATCTCACTTTTTCCCTGAAGTGTATTTTTTAATATATCAGTTAGGCAAAGGAAATAGAACATAAAATATCAGTAAAGAAATTACTATGCACTTCATTTGCTTTCAGTTTGAATAATGAAATGAATATAGGTAGATAAAGTATACATGGTAGCCCCCAGGAAAAACCTAAATGTTGTCTCCTTTCCACTTAAAACATACTAGGCATAATTTATAGTGGAGAGAAGTAGATTTTTCCAAGTAGCTTGTAGAATTTAGTACTGGGATGGCTTAGATCAATAGTTTTGAAAGAGGGAGGGGGAATGATTTTGCCTCAAGGGAACTTTCGGCACCATCTGGAGTATTTTTGGTTGTAACAGCTGAAGGGGTGCCATAGGCATCTTGTCACAGAGGCCAAGGTAGGCTAAGGCTAAACATGCTACATTGCACAAGACAGCCCCACAACAAAGAATTATTCCAGTTGAAATATCAAGAGTCGGAGATTAAGAACCTGCCTTTGATTCAATGGGTGATAAATTCCATAACTTGAAAGGAGCCTCTACATTAGGCCTTAGGGATGGAAAAGGAAAAATTTCATAAAAGCGAGTTGCAATAGTGTAAATGAAAGCCACAATTTCAGCTGGTAGCCTTGAGTGCTGTGGTGTTCACATTAGCTCCACCTTTGACACTTTTTAAATTTAGAGAAATGATCCTAGTAGACTTACAGTAAATTATATCTAAAGCCGTTCTATCAATGGATTTGGGGGATTGCGTTGGTGAGAGCTTTGACCTTTGTAGATCACTGAAATGGCCAAAAAGAAAAAAAAAAATACAGAGGAAAATAGAATAAGAACAAAATCCAGAAAGGTGAGCATTGAGTAGGCAATGGTAATACAACTGTATATCTTGTTCTCCGTAGCTCTTTGGGAGGGGAAGGAAGCAGGTATGACAGGGCTTGGGAAGGATGTGGAGCCTACTGACTCAGAATCAAATCCCAGCCGGAGGGTATCTGCCAGTCTCAACCCACAGCCTCAGATCTTATAGCTGACCCTGGTCCTAGAACCTGCTAGGGCTCTGGGACACAGGGTATGGATTCCGAGGGTGGCTACTGCCCTCTGTGGGACCCTCGCAATGGGACATGGGGCTCTGTGCTCTGGCGAGCGTGCAGTACAGAACAGGAGTGCGGACATGCAGGGGACCGCTGTGCGCAGAGCTGAGGCTGGGGCACTGAGGGTTCTCCCTCTTGGGCAGGGAAGGACAGGGCGCACGCGCCACCAGAGGCGCACAGGACCGGCGACGGCTGCACTGGGGCTGGAACTGGCGGCAGGGCATTGTCAGGGCGGGACCCGGCGATCGCAGGGTGGGCGGCTTGCAGGGATCAGAAGCAGGAGGCAGGAGGTCCGGGCACCCGGCTCTGGGCATCAGGCCGCTCTTTATCCTGAATCCCCGCCTCCCTCTGCCCTGACGCCCTGCGCGCACTCCATCTCAGGCCGCGAAGTGGGCCATGTGAGCAGTCTCCCTCCTCCTTTCCCCGCGGGCGACACGAGGAGCCCAGGGCGCAGCGGGCTCGAATCACATAGTGCCCGCCCCGGATTTCGTGCGCAGAGAGAACCCCAGGCCCCACAGGCCCTCCCACGCTCTGCCCAGATCCCTGGGCAAGAGTCCACCGTCAGCATCGTCGCTTGTAAGTCTTGTCTGCTTAGTTAGACAGAACTTCCAAGAACTGGAAGTTCTAAAATCCTTTCCCGCACTCTTGGTGGGGGTTGCAGTAAGTTGTGGAGAGAGCAGGGAGATTTGACCCGGATGAATACAGTAAATCTTTAAAATAAGCATATTGACGATATAGTTTCATCTTTCCAAACTGCTATTAAATACGACCTGAAGTGAAAAATGACGTCCATGTTGAGTGCAAAATTTAGAGGGCTGTCATTAGACAAGCAGACCTAGTGAATGGGATCATTCTATTCAGCTGGAACTAGGCTTCTTAACAAGAGTAGCAGAAGTCCTTTCAAAGACTTAAAAATAAGTTCCCATCATCTATTTCTTGCATACATCTAGTGATAACATTGATTTTATATGAAAAGAAATTTAAGGTTAGTGCCAATTTTGTTAAAACTCTGACCCTGTGTATATTTTACAAACTTTTTTTTTTTGGAACAGTTTTGCAAATGTGACCATATAGAAGGAGATAATTTGGGAGTAGGGGGATGAAGAAACTTTTCTAGAATATAAAACAAATTTAATAAGAAACCTGTTACCTAAGCTACTTTCATACAGTTTCAGCATGCTGGAGTAGGAATATGAAGTTTTTGTTGTTGTTGTTGGGTCTCTGCTTAGTAATTGTGTGATCCTAAACAAATCACTTAACCGTCTGAGGCTGTTTTCCTCAACCTTAATTTTGTAAGAGACAGTCAGTGCTTTGATTAGTGAGAATATGATACACTGTTATTTTTCAAACTGTTCATTGGTAATTTGCTTGTCCACCCGACAGCCTTAGGTAGATAAGAGGAGATGGGTTGGGTAAGGAAAGACGTGTCTTTCCCAGGTAATTCTGATCATGACCTTTTCCTCATTCCCTTCCCTTTAGGAATTTTTTGAATTCTCTAGTGGACAGAGGCTGGTTAATATGTAACTTTATAAACTACCATATTTGATTTTTATGCCAAAGGTTTTCCTTTAGTCATTTTTTTTTTCTGAAGCAGAAAAGTAGTGACATATAGATTTAAAATAGGATGGCGTGGTGAATGCTTTACCTTTGAGCTGCATTTAGTATGTCGTTTAGTTGAAATATTTTATTTGTAAAAATGAGTTTGGCACACCACACATGTTAAATTTTCAGGAGCGGGCTCAGAATATTTAAGAATGAGTGATTTCACAGTCTATTGGGATATGAGGAAATATCTTTATAAGCTAATTAAGATTTTAATTCTTAATTTGATTCATTTGTCTCACATTGCCTGGGTGAGTTCAACCATTTAAATTGGGCAAACTCAGCTAAGCCCCTTCTCAGCCTGCAGGCATGCCCAGTCTTTGTCAGGAACTGCAGTATACCAAGGACCAAATCTGGTTTTACTGGAATTTACCTTGACAGTAGTATCCGTAATGACTCTTTACCATTTTTTGAGTACTTAAAATATTTATTATTTGGTAGGTCATGGTTAGAAATTATCTCACATTTTATTTATATAGATTGCTATAATACATACATGTAAATATATGTGAAAGTGACTAAAATAGTAAATTTGCTGTTTAATTATATCATAAACATACATATATCCATAGGATTTCAAAGAAAAAAGCATTACTGATTTTTTGTTTTGTATTAATAATTTGATATAGAATTTAAGTCAGTTCTCAGCCTTCAGTGGGGTCCTACTTGGGATTGCTTAGGTCGGGTGGATAGTCTGTGCAGGCTTGATTCTATAACGTGTTCCTCAGCTATTTTGAAGGTTACAGTTGGAAAATTCTTCCTTTTTTCTGAATCTCTAAGATATCATAACAGGATGTTAAAAATGGGAGATTCTTGTCAGGGATGCAAGAAAACAATTTATGCTCAACAAATTCCACACTCAGATCTACGCCACCCATACAGGACTTAGAAAGGAGATGGTGAAACCTAGCTTTCAACTCTTGGCTTATCCGTTATCAGGAGGATATATTAGTGGTAGCTACAGGTTAATGGGGACGTTGAGAAGATCTGCAGAGATGGTTTGTTTGGACAAATTATGAAGGTCTCCACTCTTTCCTCATAGAAGAGGGAAAGGGGCTGCTTTATGAAGGAAGTGTTTCTAACTTTCTCAAATCCAGTCGGAGAAGTTTCAAAGTATCAATTTATAGGGCCTAATAACATTCCTTGGAGTTTTGGAGATGAATGCTTACGTGTACCTGAAAACATGCCCTTGGCTGATCACAGCTAGAAACCTGCATTGTGAGTGAGCTATAATGACATATATGGTGGGGGAAGGATGTATAAGTTTTGACAGTTGATGCTTGGAAAGGAGTTGGCCTAGCACTGCTCCAGGCTTCTCAGCATAAGATCGATCCAGGATGGGAAAAGATAAAGTTTTATTTTTGTATGAAGTTTGAAGTTTGGATTATTACATTAAATGTATACTTTAAGAAATGAGACCATTTTTTGACTAAAAAGAACCAGAAAGCTACTTCCTGAGGTTTTCTCCAGGAACAGGAAAAGAACCTGCCCACAGAAGAGGGTTGAAAGACTAGGAAGAGATTCCTTATGCACACAAAGCAGTCTAACTTCTTTCATGACATGGTTATGCCATAATAGTTCTTTTGCCTCTGGCTCAGCTATAAAACCTTTGTCAATGTCCTTAATCTTTCCAAAGTTTTAATTTCTATATCAGTAAATGAGCACAATATTAGAACCTATTTCATATATTATTTGTGATAATTAGACTATAATTAGCACAGTGTCTGACATAATGTAAGCAAATATAGCTGTTATTAATATGATTGATTCTTACACAAATGTCATAGCTCCTAGTTCAGTATTGGGCTCACTTAGATACTAGTGGAAGTCTGTTTCATTGAATTATTAGGATGAGTTGGTTGATGCAATAAAAACTAACAAATTTTTTTTATTTGGGCTAGAAGAAAGTGGTGACCAAAAACATTAACTTGTCTGACTCCTTGATTCTGTGTATTGCTTTCAAATGTGAGGAAAAAAAAGCTACAGTTTCCCTGACTAGTCTTTTCCCCAACTCCTTCAGTACTAAACACAATAAAAATAGCATCTTAGGGATACAACTAAAAATGTAGTTATTAAAATCTGGTTACAAATTGGAACTCTATTGGCCATTTTTATAAAACAGTTTTAGAAAAGAAAAAACTTCTGATGATGAACTTTTGATGAACTTCTTATGAAGTTCAAAATAGAGTCCAATTGTTGAAAAAAAGGCAAAGCTAGTACTTCTAGATCAGATGTTATCAAAGTCCAAGTCCTAATGCCATTGAATTGTTTTTGAATTACTCAAACATCAAAGGCTCGTGTGGCTGTGGATAAATGTAAACATTTGAAATCTCAGAAGCACTACTTTGGATTTAAACACTAAGAAGGTTCACGCACACGTTGTGACCATCTAAGAAGTAATACCACTGTTCCTTTCTTTGACTTTCCTAATGAGGAAAACAAACTGATGTGTTACAAAATGAAAGACAAATACTAAATTCCAGAGGAGGGATGTGTGTTTAGGAAGGCACTAAAAATGTCAAAATGGGTTTTTATAGTCCCATAAATACAAAGGCTTGGCTCTGGACTTTTTGTTAACTTTTAGTAAAATTACACAAGCAAGTCTTTGCATACCAGGAGAATTTCTTCAGTTCATAAAACACCCAGAGAAGAAAGCATCAAGCTCACCAAAAACTAGCTCACCATGACTTGCTCAACAACACAAATTAAGCTTTAATATATATAAAAAAGTGGGATATCCATGGTTTATTTTTCTGCTATGAGGGGAAATAAACTTAGCACTTTCATCTTGTCTGCAGTCTCTTGTTTTCTAAACATGGTATCAAGGTCATTTATTTCTTTGTACATATGTAATCGCTAGGATCTGACAAAATAACTTTGTGCAACTCCCGTTCATCTTATTTCCACATCTTGTAAGTTCTTAAACTGCAGAGATAAAACATTTCCAAATGTGGGAGTCACAGTATCAGTACAAATTCATCCAAACTTAGAAGTCTTTTCATATTTTTAAGTTTCCTTGTTGGGATATATATCTTTTGATAGTGTAAGCTGTATCCTTGTAAGAAAATTAACTAAATTTTCAAGGCAGTAAATAATATTGTTTTAGTGAAAATGATGGTATAAATAGTGGTATCTTTTTAAAAACTTATTTCTTTTCTGCACCCTTCTTGTCTTCTGAAAAAGTATTCTAAGCAAGCTTGAAATATAATTCTGAGTTGGAAGTATTCTCATAAGTTACTTAGTCCTACACCTTCATTTAATAGCTGAGTTTTAGAGAGGTCAACATTCCAGATCAACTAGTAAGGCCAAGGCTAGAAGCTAAAACCTTAAGTGTATGTCTTTTTCATTCTTTATAATAAAAAGCAGCTCAGGATAGTTAATCTGTGAAGATGTCTTGTTTCACCTTGTTTTGCTTTTTATTATTTAAAAAAATTGGTTTCAGCCAAATTTACATAAGTGGTTTTGTAGAATAGCTTAATAATTTGATATATTATTTTTAAGAGATTAGAAAATAATATTATTTAAAACTCAGTTGTATGAATTATCTTAGTTCATTTCAAGATATGAAACTCTAGTTTAAAATTATGAGAGAGCATTTAGAAATTATCTGAAAAAAAGCCATAGGATTTGTTAATAGGCTATCTCTTCTTTGGTAAAATCTGGCAATTTTTCCCCACATTTTTTAGACTCTAACTTTAGTGATAGAAAAAAACAAATGTTTAAGGAATTTGAAACAGCATGCTTTTTTTCAAATATTTTTAGTAGTGCTTATTTTGTGACTTTTAAAATTTTAGGGTTTGGTATATTAAATATTCTATTATGTGCTGGTGTGTATACTTTGCTTGAAAGTTTAAATTATGGTAAATTCCAGAGTTCTGAGTTATATACCTTGTCAAACTTAACCTCTTGATATACCTTTTTTGGAAGGAAAAGAGTTTAATAGGAGTTTACTGGGTTACATACTAAACAATAGTCTGGTTTATTCATTTTTAATTCATATAATACAGTAAATGCACAGAAATTCATTTGCCAATAAAAATGTTTAAGAATTTTTATAGATGCAAAAGGAATCAATTGTTTATTAAATGATGGCAAAATTGGCAATCCATTTGAAAGGAATCAAACAGATTGTGGATCAATTAATGTATGGTTAACAACTAAAATAAGCTATTATTTTAACTATAATTAGGTTATATTGAAACTGTAATAATTTTAATTAGAGATTAAACAAAAACTTGCAAATTGACAAAATGAACTTTATGATTTTAAGACAACTGTGTCAACATTTATGTTTCTGAAATCAATACGTTTTTATGTAAAACAGTGTATGAAATAACCATTGTTTTTCCATAAAAGCTTTTGAACATTTCTATATGAATAAGATATTTCACAAGTATTCATCTGCCCTTCAAACTCCTTTAATTAAATCTCCCTTTCTTCAGTCACCATAACTTAAAGCAAAACTTTTTTTTTTTTTTTTCTGTATTGGGCTAAAAAAATGGTGCCTTCTAATTTAACCAAACATGTGAGAGACTTGACTTGAAACTAGATAAGTAACAATGAAATCGGCTATTTGAAGAAAATCTAAAACACGTTTGATACTTCCACACAGATTTTCTTCTATTTAATATATAGTGATGTTAAAATCTTTGGGAGTAGTTGAAGACAGACTTGGACCATTAAGTAAAAGGCAGATGATGGTTCATCCATGTCAGTTCTTGAAATTGGTTGTAAAATGCACCATGAAATAAATGTCTCTCATTTGCTATTATGTCCTTAGATATCTCTGGTATTACACGTTAGCCTACAGACTGAAACTGTGGGACTTAAGCACTTAATTAGGTGACCCATAATCAGATACATTTTTAAGAATAGGAGTCTGGGATGTCCGCAAATATAAACATTTAAAACATTGTGGTGTATATGACATAATGTTTCTAAAGCATCATTGAAACTTAATTATATCCTGGTAACAGTTCAAGAATACAGAGTTACATTTGGTTCTTTAAAAAAAAAAAACATTGTCATTAATGTTTAATCATTATTGTTGGTTTATACAAAACAAGGATAATATTCTTCCTAGCATAAGCCAATTAAGTTATCAACATGATTGTGCTTTTCATCACACACTAGACATTTTATATTATCATATATTGGATCTTGCACTCATTTTTAAAACAAAAAGCAAACAAACAGCAGTGAAAAAACCATCTTATTAATGGTGAAGAATGTAGACTTTGGAGCCAGACTGACTGCAGGCAAACCTTGGCTCCATAATTTCCTAGCCACACGATTTTGGACACACTAGTTATACTCCCTGAGGCTCAGCTTTTAAATAAAGTAACATAAGGTTTGTACCTTTTTTCAAAGGGTTGCTGAGATAATTGAATTATTTAAAACATATAAAGCACTTAGAATTTTGGCTAGTACGCAGAAATCATCAACAAATGTTAACTACCAGCTAGTTTTCCTCCCTTTCTGTCCTGCTTTTCAAATTATTATCTTGTGTTGCATTCTCTTCTTTCTTTAAATTTTTCCTCTAGGTCCTATAGATATGATTCTGACTTATCTAAGACTAAGTTGTGTGTGTATGTGTTTGTGTGTGTATGTGTGCATGACAGAGAGAGAGAAATAGTAATATTTTGATACAAGACATAGCGGAAGCACTTAAAGGATTTCTCTTTACACTAAAGAGCCATCTTATAATTAGAGGCAATTTCATAGCCTGTTCTACCTACATACTTAAACACATTGTTTACAAGTCTTAATCAGTGACCAAAATAGATCAGCTATCACTATATACATTAAAACCACTTGTTCTCACACTTTTTGATAATTCCTTTAATGATGATAAATCTCTGAACCAGCAAAGGATAGTCAAATATTTTTGTAACTAATGTGGAAGCTTTTAGTGTAGTAGTTGAGATTATTGAGAGAATTAGGTAGTAGCAAAATTATTGCTACTTAATAGCTGTGTAACCTGGCATAAATTACTCAACTAGACTCCCTCTTTAAAATGGCTTGAAGATTATACATTTCTGATGATTTACATGAGTCCAATTCACATAATGTTTCTCATAGTTCATATAATGCTTCAAACAGGAGCTGGCAAGGAGTAAACAGAAATATGATTGCAGTAGTTGTTATTTACTTTTCAGTTGTACTACAGAAGAATCCTATTTTTTGATTAGCTCAAAAGTCATAAGAAACTGTCTTAGTCTTCAGTTTTGCTTTGGTTGTAGAAACTCAGCCTCAGAAGCTATCACTTCCAGATATACCTAACCACATCTTGTCCTGCCAAGATCCAAACAAAAAGGTCAGTCATTTCTTATCAGAGGATAAATCAATTGGTGAGTTTCCCAGTGGCAATTTTCACAAATGTTGAGACTTTCCAGGATCTCTTAATGTGGGGAAAAGTGAACATGGTGATTTCAAAGACATTTACCCTTCAAGTAAATTTCAGCAAACCAATTCCCAAATCAAACTGTGACCCAGAGCCTTTTATGTCTCTTAATAAGAGTGACAAAATAATTTTTTATTTTTCAAATATGCAAGTCCACATTTTATTACAGTTTTTTAGAACATTAGAGAAAAGTTCCACATAAAATGAAAGGGAATGTGTTTGTGGGCTATGAATCAATTCTGAATAAGCAATTATTAGGGCTTTCATCCTCATTACTGGGGACATCTGCAGGGTTAGAAGCTCATGCTAAGTCACTCAACATTTATGGGATATCCAGTGTGTGAGAGCTGAGTTCTGAATAATGCAGCAGCATCTATGGAATATATGAAATTTTCACAAACAAATATTTTTAGGCATAAATTATTTTAAGTTGCCTAGGGATATTTTTGAATGAGGTAGAATATTTTGTAAAATCAAGCATTTATTAGAATGGACATTACTGTTTGAAAAGGAAAAGTATGTATGGGCCCTACCTATAGCTGTGCCAAATATTAATAATGATCATGAAACCGCTTTAAATTTAAACTAAAAATCATTAAAATGCTATGTTTAAGATTTTAGAAAATATTATAGTTTCCTTGGGAATACAGTATTCTTTCAAAATATTTTGTGAGTTATCATCTTGCTAAACTAGCAATATTTACAGATATTTTTATCCTTAAGCAATATTTAAGCAATACCCTTTGAAGCAATATTTAAGATAACTGAAGATATCTGGGGAGTTGTAAAGACAGTTGTGTTATTATATGTGCATTTTAAACCACTTTCTGACAAGAAAGTAAAAAAGCTCAGGCATTAAAGGGATTATCTTTTAGTCTCTAAAAGTGTAAGCTGACAAGAATGGATAAAACCAATAAGAAAAATTCATACTCTCATCACAGATATGCCCAGAGTTGCCTTTTAATTTTTCTTATTTTCTGCTTTTGCAGTATACTGTGGAAAAACAGGGAGCAGGAAACAGAAAGGAGTAATCTCTCTTCTGGGAGAGCAGTGTCTTCAAGCTGGAAACTGTATGGAATAGAGAATGGGGAGTTAAAGGTTTCTATCATTCAGGATAGGGGAGCAAAATACAAAATCAAAATTCTGAGATTAAATACAGATGAGAATGCTGTACAAGGCATTAATCTCTTAAAGAAAAAAGAACCTCTATAGAATTTTATGAGTTGAGGTTCAATAAGATTCTGTGCTGGAAAATATGACAGACACAGAAATAAGTTATTTCAAGGGCAGATGAACATTGTTAATTGTGTTTCTTTGAGCAGTTCCTTACACGTTGCTAACTGGAAATACACTTGTTATGTGACATCATCATTTTAAACTGGGGATTTAGCAAATAAATAATATAATAAAAACTCTCAACTTATTTATTTCTTCCTCTCTATCTTTGTATACCTTGCTGCTTAATAAAATTCCATCCGTTAGGCCTTTATCCCATTGCTCTCAGAAACTGCCAATGTTCATTTTTGCCTTTTGACTTCGTATGTTTTTAATTCTGTTTGGAAGATTATCTACTCCCTTCTCTGGCTATTTTAAACATCTCTAAAGGGTCAGAAGAAATTTTGCCTCCTTGACAATGTCTTTAAAGTTTCTTTCTTTCTTTCTTTTTTTCTTTTTCTTTTTGAGACAGGGTCTTGCTCTGTCACCCAGGCCGGAGTGCAGTGCTGTAATCATGGCTCATTACCTCTCACGCTCAAGTAATCCTCCCACTTCAGTCTCCTGAGGCTGAGAAAACAGGCACAAGCCACCATGCCTGGGTAATTTTTTCTGTTTTGTGTAGAGTCAGAGTCTGGCTATGTTACTAGGCTAGTTTTAATTTTTTTCTGCCATAGTTCTTTTTTTTTTAAGCGGGGTCTACAAGTGCACACCACCATGCCTGACTAATTTTTAAATTATTCCATAGAGATGAGGTTTCATTTTGTTGCCCAGGCTGGTCTCGAACTCCTGGGCTCATGTAATCCTCCTTCCTGGGCCTCTTGAAGTGTTAGGATTATAGGTGTGAGTTACTGTTCCCAGCATCTGCCATAGTTCTTAACCCCTTTTACTATTGTAATTGTGGGTAATTACTACAAAATAAAATGATGTAATTATAATGATTAATTATAATTTCTTAAAATTGTAAACTAAGAAAATATAGCTCCAAATTATCACAAAAACTTTCAGGCATGGGTCCCATAATCTACTTCTCCTGTGTTCTCTTCAGTGCCAGTAATAGTGACAGTCACAGCCTTGGAAATAGAGATGAGGGTCAATCAGTGGGAAAATTTTATGATAAAATACTATATTTACAGAAATACTAATTAGCTGTTTTATATTAATTAAATATAATGATACTCTACTGCCATACTATAGGATATTGCATTTGCAGACCCTTCATAGATGTGTCTCAAGTTTTGATCAATTCATAACATTATTTTTTTAATGTTTTAGAAAAGCTGCTGGGCATTGGTTAGGATGCTGAATTTCAGTGACCATATGTGGGCTGAGGCTAGCCAAACTCGGACTTGAAGCTGTTTGAGAGTGACTAACATGGGAGCCAGAGACTTAATGGAGGGGGCAGAACCAGTGCAAGATGCTTGGTGTTTCCTCTTCTGTGTCATACTTTTGAGAAATTTGTGAATGAGGACAAATGGTCACATGTATTGAGTATTGGGATAATGGTGGTAGCAGTCTTCTAATTGAAATCTAATTGTATCAGGAAAAGCCGACTACAACAGAATAACTTTAAAATTAGGATAAAAATGTCATAGGTAGTGAGAGGAAAAAACAGTGGTAGCAAGCCATCTTAAAAAGTGATATAACTAAAAACAAAGAAACAAAAATAGACGCAGAAAAGGCTTTCAATAAAATTCAACATCCCTTCATGCTAAAAGCCCTCAACAAACTAGGCATCAAAGGTACACACCTCAAAATAATAAGAACCATCCACAACAAACCCACAGTCAAAATCCTACTGAACAGGCAAAAGCTGGGAGCATTCCCTTTGAGAAACGGGAACAAGACAAGGATGACCACTTTCACCACTCCTACTCAACATGGTACTGAAAGTCCTAGCCAGAGCAATAAGGCAAGAGAAAGTAATAAAGGGCATCCAAATAGGAAGAGAGGAAGTCAAACCTTATCTCTTCACATATATTATGATACTATACCTAGAAAACCCCATAGTCTCTGCCCACAGGCTCCTAGATCTGATAAACAACTTCAGCAAAGTTTCAGGATACAAAACCAATGTATAAAAATCAATAGCATTTCTATATACCAATAACATCCAAGCTGAGAGCCAAGCCAATAACACAATTTCATTCACAGTAGCCACAAAAAGAATAAAATAGGAATACACCCAGGAATACAGCTCACTAGGGAGGTGAAAGATCTCTACAATGAGAATTACAAAACATAGTTGAAAGAAATCAGAGTTGACATAGACAAATGGAAAAATATTCCATGATCATAGATAGGAAGAGTAAATATTGTTAGAATGACCATACTGCCCAAAGCAATCCACGGAGTGAAGGCTATTCTTATCAGACTACCAATGACATTTTTTCACAGTATTAGAAAAAAAATTCTAAAATCCATTTGTAATGACAACAACAAAAAATCCCAAAGAGCCAAAGTGATCCTATGCAAAAAGAACAAAGCAGGAGTCATCACACTACCCAACTTCAAACTATACTATAAGGCAACAGTAACTAAAATAACATGGCACTGATACAAAAACATACAAATGGAACAGATTAGAAAACCCAGAAATAAAGCCACACATCTGCAACCATCTGATATTCAACAAACCCAACAAAAACAAGAAATGGGGAAAGGACTCCCTATTCAGTAAATGGTGTTGGGATAATTGACTAGTCATATGCAGAAAATTGAAACTGGACCCCTACTTTTCACTGTACACAAAATTCAACTCAAGATGGATTAAAGATTTAACTTCAAAACCTATGATTATGAATACCCTAGAAGAAAATCTAGGAAATACCATTCTGGACCTCGACCCAGGCAAAGACTTCATGATGAAGACTCCAAAAGCGATTGTAACAAAAACGAAAATTAACAGACCTAATTAAACTAAAGAGCTTCTACACAGAAAAAGAAACTAACAACAGAGTAAACAGGCAACCTATAGAATGGGAGACAATATTTGCCAACCATGCATTCAACAAAATTTAATATCTAAAATATACAAGGAATTCAAACAAATCAACAAGCAAAAACCAATCCCATTAAAAATGGGCAGATGGTATGAACAGACAATTCTGAAAAGAAATCATACATACAACCAACATGCATGTGAAAAATGTTCACTATCACTCATCATTCCAAAGTCCCTTCCACATTTTCAGGTACCTTTATAGCGATACCCCACTCCTGATATGAATTTTCTATATTAGCCCATTCTTGCCCTGCTATAAAGAACTACTTGAGACTGGGTAATTTATGAAGAAAGGAGATTTAGTTGACTCACAGTTCCACAGGCTGTACAAGAAGCATGGTTGGTGAGGCCTCAGGAAACTTCCAATCACAGCAGAAAGATGAAGGGGAAATAAACACCTTCTTCACATGGCAGAGCGGGAGGAACAGAGCAAAGGGGGAAATGCTACACACTTTTAAACAAGCAGATCTTGTGAGAACTCACTATCATGAGAACAGCAAGGGGGAAATCCTCTCCCATAATCCAATCACCTCCCACCAGGTCCATCCCCCAACATTTGGGATTACAATTCAACATGAGATTTGAGTGGGAACACAGAGTCAAACCGTATCACTGAGTAGATACCCAAAGTAATATAATTTGTTCTATCATAAAGACACATGCACAGGTATGTTAATTGCAGCACTATTCTCAAGAGCAAAGACAAGGCATCAACCGAGGTGCCCATCAACAGTGGACTGGATAAAGTAAATGTAGTACATATACAGCATGGAATACTACTTAAGTATAAACAAAAATGTGATCATGGCCTTTGCAGCAACATGGATGAAACTGGAGGCCATAATGCTATACAAATTAATGCAGGAACAGAAAACAAAATACCACATATTTTACTTATAAGTGGGAGCTAAACATTGAGTACACATGGACGCAAAGAAAAGAACAATAGACATTGGGGCCCACTTAAGGGTGGAGTGTGGGAGGAAGGTGAGGATTGAAAAACTACATATTGGGTATTATGCTGATTACCCGGGTGACAAAATTATCTGTACACCGAACCCTCACAACATGCAATTTATCCATTTAACAAAGCTGCATGTGTACCTCTTTAAACTAAAGTAAAAGTTGTAAGGAAAGAAAAATAAAAATTATGGCGTATTTATTTTTTATTATTTACAGTTTAGGGTATTTTCTATAATTTCCCCAAACAAAATGATAGGACAGTATGATCTGCTCCTTTCACTTTATGTTTGAGTCCTGCAGCATAGTCTCTAAGATAATTCTTTTTAAAAATATCTGACATGAGGCATAACCCATTTTTACCAGAGATCTTTATTAATGCTTTGATATTTAAATTGATCTTTTCTGAGGCTTAGCTAGGTATATTATTCTTTTCTTTAGTTTTTAATTTATTTGACTGTGATGCATTTCCATTTGTCAATGAGTTTCTAATTCTATCTTCCAAAATCATTTTTAGTAGTTCACTACATTTTCTATTTCAATCTGTACTTAATTTGAATTTCATTCATGTGATATCTTCAGTGCTCCAGTTGGCAATCATGAGGAATTTAACAGTAAAGAAACTGAGCAGTGAAGATGGGTAACTAATATTAATGGGGAAAACCTAGGAACCAGTTTTATAAGTGGTCAATTCACTTCTGAATATTTTTGGGTAGTGACGAGTTTTGTTTTTTCTATCCTATCTTATAAATTTAGGGGTTTAGAAAATAAATACCCAAATACTAGGGAATTTCTATACATTTTTTTAGCTAGAGGTTAAGGACCGATTGTGACTTGACTAAGAGCCCAAACTATCACTCGTGGAAGCTTCTTCACCATGAGTCTTGGAACTCTCTCTGCAGTGGCACAGTGGACTACCACGTCTCCAGAAACATCCGTCTGTGGGTGCATATGACCATGTTCTAAATATTTCTGCTCATTCTCATCATCCTTTCTAAAATACCATTAATTTCCTCTTTTTCTCTCTCTCCCCACCACCTTCTTTCGTGATTGATACTATCTTCTTCAACAAATTTTAGCTGTGTGCTTTTCAAGAGATTGAAAAAAATAGACTGTATTTCTGGAGCAATTTAGGTTTGCAGATTAATTGCACAGAATATACAGACAGAATCCCATATATCCCCCTTTCCCTTGCACAGCTTCCCCTGTTATAAACATCTTGCATTAGTGTGGTACATTTTTTATAATTGATAAATGAATATTGACACATTTTTATTAACTAAATCCCATAGTTTACGTTAGCTTTCACTCTGTTTTACATTGTATAGGTTTGGACAAATGTATGATGGCATATATTGACAATTACAGTATAATACAGAATGGTTTCACTGCCTGAAAAATCCCACGTGCCCTACCTATTCAGTTCTCCCTCCCTTCCTTCTCCTGAGATCCTGATAGCCTCTGTTATGTGTACTGTCTCTATGGTTGTGCCTTTTCCACAATCTTATAGAGTTGAAATTATATACTATGTGGCCTTTTCATATCGGCTTCTTTCACTTAGAAATATGCTTCGAAAATTTCTCCATGTCTTTTTATGTCTTGGTAGTTCATTTCTTTTTATTGCTAAATAATATTTCATTGTATGAAAGTACCACAGTTTGTTCATTCATTTATTAAATAACATCTTCGTTGCTTCCAAGTTTTGGCAATAACAAATCTTAATACGTGGACGTAAGTTTTAACTCCTTTGGGAAAATACCAAGAAGCATTATTGACCATATGATCCCACACAGTATGTTTGGTTTTATAAGACACTGCCAAACTTTCTTCCAGAGTGGCTGTAACATTTTGCATTACCATCAGCAATGAGTGAGAGTTCCTGTTGTACTATATACTCACCAGCATTTGGTGTTGTAACTGTTTTGTATTTTGGTCATTCTAATAGGTGTGTAGTGGCATCTCATTGTTTTATTTACACCTCCTTAATGACATATGATGTTGAGCATCTTTCTATGTGCTTATTTTCCATCTGTATATCTTCTTTAAGTATCTGTTCAGATTTCCTGCCTACTGTTTAAATGGGTTTTTCTTCTTATTGTTGAATTTTAAGAGTTCTTTGGTATTTTGGATACCTGTTCTTTTTTTACAGATATGTGTTTGGCAAATATTTTTTCCCAATCTGTGGCTTGTCTTTTCATTTTCTTAACTTTCCGGAGATTTTTATTGCTAATCCTTCCTTTTTATGATAAATGATTCCATCATTTTCATACCTAATTCAAAAGACATTCATTACAGTCTCAGAATCTTGACATCTTCAGTCTAAATTAGCACATACTACTTAGAATCTGACCTAAATAATTTGCTATTTTATTATAAAATAAAGTTTAATATAATGTATATATCATCTGTATATATATGTATAATGTATATATCATCCAAATCAGTCTTTTATTTCCTGCTTACTCATATTATTAGACTTTTTTCTTTAGAATAATAGTTTTGAATTGTTTTCTGCTAATTAGCCATGGTTTCTATTTTGAACTTTCTAATGTGGTGTTTATTGAAATAAAATCTATTTTTAGTCTATCATTTTCTTACTACAGTTTTTATGAAGTAATCTTTAATGCATATTGCTAAGTGAAGGAAGCCTGTCTGAAAAGGCTGTATAATGTATGTAGCCGTACATATCCAACAATATGACATTATGCAAAATGCAAAACTTATAGTAAAAGATCGGTGGTTGCTAGGAAGTTGGAAGGGGCAGGATGAATGGAAAAGCACAGGTGATATTTTAGGACAGTGAAACTATTCTGTATGATACTTTCATGGTGGATACAGGACATTATGGATTTGTACAAACCCATAGAACTGTGAAACAAAATGAGTGGACTGAAGGTAATAACATTGTATTGGTATTGGCTCATTAGTTGTAATACATGCACCAGTAATGCAAGATGTACCACACTAATACATAGGAGAAACTGTGTGATAGAGAAGTAGAAGGAGTGAAGCTGAGGGAGTAATGGGAACTCTGAACTTTCCGCTTAATTTTTCCATCAACCTAGAACTGTTTTAAAGATAAAGCTTATTAGCTAAAAAAAAAAAAAATATCTCTTTGCACGGGGATCTATTTATTACCATGGAGAAGAATGAAGTCTTGGGCTCAGTCTATCAGTCTATCTTAATGTTTACTTTGAATGAAGGACATACTCCTCTTTCATATGGATAGAAATGAGATAGAACAGTTATCAAGATCCTATGCAGAGAATTGAAAAGGCTGTTGTATGAATAACCGATATGAGTTATATCAGAAACCTAAGTTCAGGGAAGAATACACACACATATAATACCAAAAAAGAAATTATTCAAATGTTTATTAGAATAGTAGATGCAGGTAAGTACATATGGAGTGAAGTATAGCTAAAATCCAGTTATGTCATTATTCTTGATAAAATGTTTTAAAAGAAACCAACAAATTTGGGCACATACAGTGATTTGTAAAGAGGGACAGGTGATCTGGAATTATTTGAGATAGATACGGTTGGTGACTGCAGTAGGGTTGTAAAGGAATCTGGCTAGTTCTGATACTGTGTTTCACCTGAAAACCAGGATCACAAAGCTATATCCTAGCAATATCTACTCACAAGCCAAAATCTATTGTCTTAAAATTTCTGCTCACCTTTTTTAGTTTTATCTGTTGAAATGTAAGTTTTAAATGTAAGAACAAGTCTGATCTAGGATATATTAATAATAGTATTATAACTTCTTTTTGTTTTCCCCTGTTGTGTATACATTTAATCAATAGCCTAGTTCTTCTCCTGACCTTAAACTAAAGCAAACCTCTTAATCCTTTGGCCAAACAAGTTTTATTTTAATGATTATATTTTCAAATTTCACATAACAATAAAAACTCTGTGCCTGATTTGAAGTTGAGAGCTCTCTGCTCCATGAGTTTAGGCCTGCTGAATAGGCTGAATGCCTACAGTTGGAGAAGGGAAAGTGATTCATTTCTCTTCTCCTTCCCTATCTCCCTCCTCTGCTCCTGCCAGCACAGGGGTTAGAGCACAGGAGAGGGAGAAAGGAATGCTTTTGCTGAAAGGATAGCTGGTACCGCCCCTGGGTTTGCTGCATCCGGCAGGAGTTAAAGCTATCCTCATATGTATTTCTTGTAGAGTGCTCTCCCTGGTTATTCCAGAAACACCAGTCGCTGAGGATCTCTCACCTGCAGTTCCCTGCTGGATCTTCATTCTGACTGGTAAGTTATTCCTTCTTTGCTGAGGTCTTCACACCTCCTCCTGTGGTTTTCATGGAAAGGAACTTATGTAACCCCATACTTGCTCCTTCGTGTGACCTGCACCTGGTTGTGGAAAATCCTGATGCATTCTTTTTCCTTAAACCTCTGAGTACCTGCTGATCCCCATGTGGGGATAATCTCTCCTGTGCTTTTCATTAGAAAGGTAGCCAGGTGCCTGGTTTCTGTGTATTTTCCAACCCCCAGGAGATTCCCATCACTCCCCATAGCTCTTCTTTGTTGACTTGGGGTTGAAAGATAGTGCTTCCCCATCCCTTCATTCTTTGAAAAACTCTACTTTAAACCTTTATTCATCATGACCGAGGGGTGTAGGAGTCACCTCGTGATTCCTGGCTTCCATAATAAATCCTTGTTCAGAACCTCACTTTCCCATTTTAATCTCTTACAACAGAAGCAACCCAGAACATACTTTTTCTTCAAATATTGAGATTTGTAAAGAATCCTTCTGTCATCTCATTTTTATGCTAAAGTCATTTACTGAAGGAGTGACATCCCCAGACTCCTCAATGTCATCTTTCCTGTTTTGAGCTTAATGTGATCTAATTGAAGAGGACCTTTTAAATATGTGGCAAGTAATAAGACAAACCTACTAGACCAACAATGATAATTCAACAAAAGACACATATTTGTGATGTATAAATCAAATGCTAATAAGATATGCTCAACATTTAAGTATTTTACCCATGAGAGGAGTGGGTGATGGTTTTTTAAAATATATATATATATATGTATATATATGTATGTGTATATATATGTGTATATATATGCATGTATATATATGTATATATGTATATATAGTGTATATATGTATATATATGTGTATATATATATGTATATATGTATGAAAAAGGGTTAGTGTGAAAGGTGAAAGCTCCCTCCTATGAAATGGCAGAAGAAATTATTTAATAAATTATCCGATGCATATTTTGTAGATTTCTATATTTACTTTCCTTAGATTGCTAAGTATGAAAGCATGACCTACTTTTCCTCAACTTATGCCTCATAGTGGGTATTTGCTCTATTCTCTGTACTGCTATTTTCTCCCTGAGTCACTCTTCTACAGAAAGCACTTCCAAAATTTACTCATTAAAGACAGAGAGTTCTGAGAATCTTAATCAAATATTCATAGTTTGTATTCATCTGGTTCACAAGTCTGTGAATTGCCAATTTTTGTTGAATTATTTATATAAAAATGAACACATTTTAACTCTTATTTAATTGGCAGTATCTAATAATATCTCCCATTTGCTACTCGCCTTGTGGACATTGAGAGAATGGTTCAGAAAATTCAACTGGCATTGGGGAAGGCTGACCTAGATAATCCTTTTTTTGGAAAATTATTGATTTGTGCCAGATTATACATTAAAAATCTCTTCTTAAAATTATGTCACTCTTTTCCTTTCTCCTCAGTTAAATCTATGGGATCTCCCTTTTTTTTGTTTCTCAATTGTATCAGGTTCCAGCCCCAGCTGAGGTCCAAGGGTAGTGGGTGGATGAATGGCAGATAGCTGAAAGAACACTCGGGGGCCATAGGCAGGTGAAATGTAGTTTTATTCAGCAGCTCTCTCATCAGCAGCTTAATCACATTAGCTCTCTCACATTGTTCACCTTTATCTCCGCTGTCTGCTCCAGCTCTGCGGCGCCTGCTGACCCCATGCCTACAACAGCATGGCCGGCTCTCCCTTGCCTTCAGGGTCAGCAGCTTAACTCTTTCTGTCTCTGGGCACCAGCAGGAGTCCTGCCATGACTCCTCTCTGTCTTGCAGATGGACACCTCTGGTTCTCTCTCTTTCTCTGGGTACCAGTGCCATGTCAAGCCATGCCCAGGAGCCCTTACAGTGTCAGCAGGGCAGTTATACCTTCTACAGACAATAGTGGCTCAGAGCCAAGTATGAACTTACATAAACAGATTATGTAACAAGCAGAATATGTGCCTGCACCCT
The DNA here is from genome assembly GCF_000001405.40 of Homo sapiens. NCBI lineage: Eukaryota > Metazoa > Chordata > Mammalia > Primates > Hominidae > Homo > Homo sapiens. The sequence goes on along the minus strand of NC_000007.14, from coordinate 12,092,653 downwards.
AAACTTGCTGAGTCATGCAGGCCTGGATGTCTGCCTTGGCCTAATTCTTGACCAAAGCACATCCATGTACCTTACACTCTACCCACTAGGTTGAGGGAGACATAGGTTTTGGACAAACAGGTTTGATACATAGCTTTAGGCATGCAGACCCACTATACAGCTTTGGCACATAGGCCCCAGACACATAAACCTGACACATATGCTCTGGGACGCAGGTTTGGGCACGCAGCCTTGATACATACACAGGGGCTTTGATAAACTGCCCAGCTATAGGTGCAGATTACCATAGGTGTTGTCTCCTTGGTGATTACCATTCTCAGTGCCCTGAATTCAGCTCATTAGCTACTTTGCCTACACCTGGTTTCAAACCACATCGTGTCAGTACTAGGCTGGATTGTGACACCAGTCCAGGCAGCAGTAGCACCTTGGCTAGACCCATCTGTATACCATGCCCTATTAGGAATGGGGGGATGCACTTCCTAATGGTGAAAGCTCAGCGTCTAGGGGTGCCTCAGGCCCCATGGCCTTATCTTGCATTAGGATCCTAAGGCTTCTTGTAACTCTGCTGCTAAGGGAGTTGTACTCAGGGTACTTCATTCTTCCAGGTAGGCACCCCACTTCACTAAAGTGGATATGTGCCATCCCAGTCCGGGGGGCCATGAATGCACCCATCCTGCTATTGGGTAAGTTGTCCACACGATGATGACTGTAACCCATCCTGACATGCTCTTATGAGCCTGAAAGGCAGTGTATGCAGTTACTAACTGCTTCTTTATTAATGAACACCAGAGCTCAGCTCCCTTCCATATAGCTGGGACTAAAAGCTTACTGGTTCTTCCAAGTACTCCATGCACTGCCATAGGCTCTAACCAATACTATCTGTAATTTCATGTACATCAAGTTTAAATGGGAGCCCCTGGTTAACTACCTGCAGGGCTTGAGCCTGCTGAATAGCCTGCTTGGCTATTGGAAAAGGCTGCCTCAGTCTTATCCAAATCTAAGGCAAGAGGGGCGTTGCCACTTTTAAATCTGCAAGAGAATCAGAAGTTAACATAACATCATCAACAAGACTATGACATAGAGTGGGGCTATGCATATTGCCCTGTAGCAACACTGTGAAAGTCCATTGTCACCCTCCAATGAAGGCAAACTATTCCTGGTTCTCTGGACAAGAATCCCAGTTCCATTGTTAAGCAGTCCAGCAAGTCTGTGACAGATGGTACAGCTGCCAAGCCGTGTAAAACATCCCCAGCCAGAATGTCCTCAGGCATGGGAGAGACATACACAGTTCATGAGCGGAAAACCAAGCAGCAGATACCAAGATGCAAAGATACAGGTTTCGCTTTCACTGACCAGTCTTCATAACCATCAATAACTGCAGCTCTGCCCAGAAACTTATCCGGGTTCAGAGTCCAGTAGATTGCCAAGTCCACATATGGTCTTTGGTCATCCAGTGCCCCCCTAAGCCAGGCATCTTGGTCAGTCTCTTATCAAACAGAAAAGGCTTTACACTTCCACCTAACTGCAGCAGGCAGTCTGTGAACTGGAATGCTTGGGCAGGACTGGGTTGCGCAGCAATGTCCTTCTCCCATGTGACTTACACTAAGTCTGCACATGACTGCCGAGATTACTTGCTTAACTCCTGCAACTCAGTGGGGGTATAAGCACTATAAGAGCTGTGTTCCACCACTGTGGGGGGGCCCTGGGCTCTCCCCTGGGGTCCCATTGGCTGCTCATGTTCTGCCTTCTGATGGATCACAGGGTGAGCCCGCAGCAGAGGAGCCTCCTCCCTGCCTGGCATCCTGCAGGAACTGGGCATGCACCTCCCGCAGCACAGTTACAAATGCCCGTCTGACTCTGCTGGCAAAGGCATGTTCCTCATTGGTGCTGTGCACTTCCAGGTACTTCAGTGCCCTCTTCATACTCACAGGAGACCCATCCACTGCCTCCCATGTTTCCATCAGATCCCATCCTCCTCGCAGCATGGCTGCCACTGGGTACCACAGTCCATGCTGCGGCCACAGAGCCAACCCAGGAGCCCTCAGGGGCTGAAGACCCACTCACCTTATCCTGCTGACAATGCCAATTGTCAGGTTCCAGCCCCAGCTGAGGTCCAAGGGGAGTGGGTGGATAGCTGAAAGAACACTCCGGGGGCGCCATAGGCAGGTGAAATGTAGTTTTATTTAGCAGGTCTCTCAGTAGCAGCTTACTCACATTAGCTCTCTAACACTGTCCACCTTTATCTCAGCTGTCTGCTCTGGCTCTGCAGCTCCTGCCCTTCCGGCAGCTGCATAGCAGGCTCTCCCTTGCCTTCAGGGTCAGCAGCTTAACTCTTTCTCTCTCTGGGCACCAGCACGAGCCATGCAATAGCTGTCCTCTGTCCGTCTGCAAGACAGACAGCTCTGATTCTCTCTCTCTCTTTCTCTGGGTGCCAGCGCCATGTCAAGCCATGCCCAAGATCCTGTACAGTGTCAGCAGGGCAGTTATACCTTCTACAGACAATAGTGGCTGAGAGCCAAGTATGAGCTTAAACAAACAGGTTACATAACAAATGGAGTATGTGCCTGCACCCTAAACTCGCTAAGTAATGCAGGCCTGGATGTCTGCCTTGGCCTAATTCTTGACCAAAGCACATCCATGTACCTTACAAATTGTTTGTCTTCTAACAACTGATAACCTAGAAAAACTTAGGCAAGCACCAAACAACAGAATAGTAACTCAGTAAAGGAGGTGTGGCATGCCCACAAACACAGAACCAGAAGGCCAGGCTGAGTGGATGTGAATTCCTTTTTGTCATTTGTTAGCTACTTTATATTGGGTAGATTTCTTAAATTCTGTGACATAGTTTTTTAATCTATAAAAATAAATAATAGGGCTGGTTGCGGTGGCTCACGCCTGTAATCCTAGCACTTTGGGAAGCTGAGGTGGGCAGATCACAAGGCCGGGAGTTCGAGACCAGCCTGGCTAACCTGGTGAAACCCCGTCTCTACTAAAAATACAAAAAAATAGCCTGGTGTGGTGGTGGGCACCCGGTACTCAAGAGGCTGAGGCAGGAGAATCGCTTGAACCTGGGAGGCAGAGGTTTCAGTGAGTCAAGATCGCGCCATTGCACACCAACCCAGGTGACAGAGCAAGACTCCATCTTGAAAAATAAATAAATTAAATAAATAAATAATAATAGTATCATATACCTCACAGAGTAGAAAAGAGGATTCAATGAGTTAATATATCCATAAAGTGCACTCAATGAATGTATGTATTTTAGTATTTCTAAAATAATAATAGCTCACAAAACAAATGCCAAATCCTAATCTGTGTCTAACAGTTACAGAAATTGTACCAGTCTCAATCATTTTCACATAAAGCAGAAATGAAGGTTAATACAATTTCCTTCCCATGGTTATCGTTTGTGTGACCCTTAGCACACTGGCTTGAAAATTCTAAAAAAACACAAACACAGTACACTGGAATCTAAACGGACAAACTATTTTCAGAAGTATTGGCTATAGAGTGAACCATAGCAAAGGGGACCAGGAATACCTTTTGCTGATCAGGATATTTAATCCTGCACATTGGAAGAAAATAAGAGCTGTCAGCAAGCACACACACCCCATTCTAGAAAGAAACCATCCCCGACAGACTTAATGGGTCATGTGTTCTGGTCAGGTCGTAGGGTTCATGGTTCCCTCACTCATCCCTCACAGAAGGGGCCTAAATGGGAACCCTTAATGCTAAGGGGGTTCTGTGCAATTCCTGAACCTATGGTTGGAGGTGCTCCTGATGTTTTGCTGGTTTAAATTACCTTCTTTGAGTTTGGAACAAATTATTCTGAAGAGTTACATTCCAGTACCCTGTCTACTTTTCTATTTCTGTGTTTCCTGTTTGTTCCTCTTACCACTCTGGAGATACAGGCCACAGTGAGATTGTGTTCACAGTGAGTATCATGGTAAAGAAAAAGGTGGAATATGGTTCCCTAGTCCTCTCCCCACCCTGCCCCTGTAGACCTCCTGCCAACACCCACACTGTGCAGAAAGCTCTGAGGATAAAAGTTCATGGTAAAATCTAGAGATTGTTTTAAAAATGTCTCTGAAATGACTAAGTTGAGAGTTATGTTTTCCTATATTAATGGAACTTTGAAATGGCAAATGATTTATATTGAAATGTATCTTTTTCTACCATATTGTGTGTTTTGTAAGTTATAACCTCTATGCAGTCAATAATGTTATACATTTCAAAAATAACTGACCCTCAAATTCCAATATTGATAATAGCTCTGCATCAATCAATACTAGTCTCTCAGACAAATTAGTGTTTACATTGACCAGAAAAAGTCATTATATGCATATTAGCTAGGTACCACAACATAAATTGAATTAATTTAAGGAGTGAAAAATATACAGCTTTTTGTATTATTTCATATTTGATACTTCCAGCCTTAATTCTTTACCACATTTTTAATGTTAACAAATTATCCCAATGAGCAGCTATCTGCTCATTAAGTGAAATAAAATATATAAAATTTTAGAACAATGTCTGGCTCATAAAGGTACTCATTAAATATTATAATCTGACCTCCTTCAATTTTTATCTTTCAAGACTAAGAAATTAAGAATTTCATCATCTCCATTATATATCTACATATAGATAGAAATGCTAGAAAATGTGGCATTCACATTAAAGACCAAATGCTGCCTCATTGATGTGGCTGATTTATTCTCAGAATGGTGAGTGTGGATGGAGATTACAAATTGGGGAGTACTGCAATGTTTTACAAGAACACTTGATAAAAATGTCACTCTTTCTCTGCCCCACTCCAAAGCACTGTCCATATAACAGGATTTTTATGTTCAAGACCAGGAGTTTGCCTATTCCTTTTTTTGTTCTTATTTCTTTTTAATTTCTCTGTTCCCACCATCTTTACCAATCCCTGTACACATGTGTGTGTGCTGATACATACACATAGTCCAATATAGTATGTCCATGTCTATTCAGTACCAAAATCTTTATTATCACATGAATAAATGCTGCGATATCAACTGTATGTGTTAAGTTTTAAGATTATTACTTCACATTAATCCATGTTTAATAGATAAGGTTCTATAAAATTGCTGATATTTAGCCATATTACACCTTCAGTAAAGATCAGCCTGATATCTTGGTCTTATCCAAGGTATCTGGTCATTGCTCTGCCAGTCAGCAGCACTCTACGTGTGAACATATCATATAATATAATGAGATGCCATTATAATTCTTGGCTAGTCAGGATGTTGCTTCTTAGTTCATTTGATTTGACTGTATGCGTGGTTCTGTTCCACTAGTCCACATTGCTTGCTGGGGTTCCCTTTAACTGCTCTTAAAAACACTCTTCCTTTTTTTTACTGTGACTAAAGATACCTAGACTTATCTTTTTCTTCATTTTAAACTTTTACAAAAAAAAAACAAAAAACAAAAACACAGAAGGAAACTTGACTTAAAATAACTTTTGTTTTATACCCAGCAAAAAGTATCTGAGATAAGGAAATGTTAAGGAGGTCTGTACATGCTTAGAGTGGGAGAGGAGAGAAAATGCTTAGAGTGTACATGCTTACAGAAGGCTTTTTTTATTCTGACCCCTCATCCTCAACCAGCTCCCATGTAGCTCTCCTACTTTGTAGCAAGGCCAGAGCAGAGCTCCAGTCCCAGTGCTAATACTGCGATTAACCCCCAAGCCAAACCCAGCTTTTATATTTGCTTCCAACTCGTAGCTTTTGACCCATTTCAGGATTTTGTTTGCCTGTTTTTGTGGAGAGTATTTTTTTCCCTCAATTTCTGAAAATCAAGCAAAAATATAAAAAGCACGTTATATATTAGATTCAGTTATTTTGTCTTTTTTTCTTTTTTATGGTCTATAAGGTGTACAACGTGATTTTTTGAATACACATATACTTAGTAAAATGATTACTATAGTTGACCAAATTAACGAATCTCTCTCCTCACATAGTTACCTTTGTGTGTGTGTGTGTGGTAAGAGCACCTAGTATCTACTTTGTTAGCAAATTGCCAGTACACAAAATGATATTATTAACTATCGTCATCGTGCTGTGTATGAAATCTCCAGATACATCCTGCGTAACTGCAACTTTGTACCCTTTGACCAACATCTCCCCATTCCTGCACTTCTGTAGCCAGCATTCTATATATCACTTCTATGTATTTGGATTTTTAAGAGTCTCATACCTAATACAATACATATTACAGTATCTGAGTGTCCAAAAATGTTTATTAGGTGAATGTGTACTTGACTACCTAACATTTTTTTCACATTATAAGTTATATGACATTTTGAGAGTTGGGTTTATTTTACTTACCATCGGAAATATTGTTTCATTGGATAGCTCATTTAGTTCAGTTTACACAATTGTTATTGAATATATTTTATGTGCTAGTTTCTTTTGCAGAAAACACATGCCTGCTTGCAAGATTGGTCCTTGACTAGCATCTGGGAACTTTAATGGTAAACAGTTCCCTACAATGATATAAAACTTTAACTACATGAAAAAAGTGGCTTGGTATGCCTAGCTGTGTAAAATGTGGTTTAACACCTGGTTTTCCTTCTAGGAGTCTAGAGTTTTGCTAAAGACTGGGCAGAGAGTATTTATGTGACCAAACCCCAGTATAAACCTTAGACACTGAATTTCTGATGAGTTTCCCTGGTAGACAACACTTCACATGTGTTGTCACAATTCTGTGTTGGAGGTAAAGAGCATATTCTGAATATTTCACAGGGAAAGAACTCTTGGAATCTTGTGCCTGTTTTTTTTTTTTTTTTTTTTTTTTTTTTTTTTTTCTGGTCTTTGCCCCATGCACCCTTTGTCTTTGCTGATTTAGCTTTGTATCCTTTCACTGTAATAAATCATAGCCAGGAAAGTAACTACATGCTAAGTCCTGTGATCCCTCCTTGTGGGTCACTGAACCTGGAGTGGACTTGGGGACGTGTGACAGAGCTGTACATCAGACAAACTGAACATATAAGAAAGAGCCTTTCCCATGAGGAGCTTATAGTCTTGTAGAATAGAGGGAGTAGGAAGTGTGTAAGGGGCTTTTAGATACTCAAATAGATAATTTCAACATCATTTGGTTGATAATAACCAAATCATGCAAAGAGTGCTATGGGAACACCAAGAAGAGACACTCTTTCTAGGAGTTCGGGACAGGTTTTAAAAATGAGAAATACTTTGCCAGGTACAGAAAGGTAGGCAATACATGCCGAACAAAGAGACCTGAATGTAAAATAAAATAATATCAGTGATAAGATTGATAGTAATGGCCACAAGAATAACAATAGCAAACACGAAATGCTTACTAAGTACCAAGAATTTTTTAAGCCCTTCTATATATTAACTCATTTGATTCTCATAGCAATGCTGTGAAGTAGGTAATATTATTATGTGTTTTTAGAAAATGAGGAAATGAGGGTACGGAGAGATTAGGTATATTGTACATGTTCATATAGCTTGAATATATTACTCTGCAGCTTGAACCCAGAAAATCCAGTTGTTACTCTGTGCTAGCTTTCTAAAGAAGGGAAGCAGGATATATTTGTTTAATTATTTTATTTTTTAATTCCAAACTTCTGACATAGAAAATGCTTTTTAAATTATAACACATGCGAGTTGGAAATTTCCAGAATGAAATATGCTACTATTATCTTGGTGGGAAAATAAGACTTCCAAATATAAAATAATAGAAAGCAATATAAAATGTCATATTCGAATATGTAATATAGTCTAAAAGAGGCAATGTATATATTAAGCATTATTTCCTTTATCCATGTGGAGACTTAATGATATCTTCACTTTACCTAAATCCATGATAAAAACATGATAACACATAAATGAATAATTGCCTCACTTATTGAATAAAATCTACACTCTCCTTGGATAATCTTTAATTTGGAGCTTCTCTGCTATTACATCTGACTTAATATTTTCAGTGGTGAATGAATTATTTTTTTTATCTTTGGTGTTCACATTTATACAAACACCAAAGGTACAAAACCAGAGTATTTATATATATTGGTATATATGTCTGAAAACATATATATAAACACCATATATATAGACAAACTCTCTCTATATATATATATGTTTTCAGACCGTTATGTGAAAAGTGGTGAAATAATATTATATTTCATTGTTTTTAAGACATTTTCTTTACTTGCTATATAATTTTTTGAAGTTTTAGATAAATTCAGGCAAGTAAAGTGGCTACCTTTCAACTTTATCTCCTTCAATGCTGTAACAAGGCTGAAAGATATAAATGAAAAAGAAAAACAAGCTGCCCATAGTTTAAATAATATCTTTAGGTCATTTCAGTATTTTAGCATTCTCTTTGCTAACCTTTTGACTGCAATATAATTATTAACAGTAATCATTTCTACTGCAATTGGAAAATTGAAATTTTCAAGTGGTCTAACACATATATTAAAAATGACACTTTTATAGATGGAGAATGAAAGCCAGAGCCTGTATTTGAGCATAATTATGAGATTCATATATTAATGGAGTAATTTTTAGAAATAAATGGCCAAAGACATTTTAAAATTATAAATTTTTTGGAAAAATAATGGTGTTATCTAATTTGAATAGAATTTACTGTGATGCTCAGTATGTTACTTAGAATTACCATGTGATTAATTTTTAATTCCCAGCTTTTTATTGAAGTTCTCCACCTTGTTATCTAACTATGTAACTATGTTCATCATGTTTATTTTAATATCCTTGTCTGATAACTCCAGTATCTACATCAACTGTGGGTTTGTTTCTATTGTCTTTTCTGTTTTCTGGCTTTGATACACTTGGTCTCTTTCCTTGGTATGTCTGATAATTGTCTAATGGGATGCTGTCTGCCTGTTATGTATAAAAATTATGGAGGTAATCTCTAGATACTGTTTTCTTTGTCATGAGAGAATTTCCCTGTTGCCTCCTTCAACCAGAGAGAAGGGATAGAATATATTAATGCAATTCAGCGAGAGATGGAGCTTGTTTAGAATTGCAGTTTCATCTTAGTAAAAGTTGGTTTAACGTTGGTTCACCTCTGAAATAAATATGTGTGTTTGTATGTGTATATGTATACACACATATCACAAATACAAATATAAACATATGTGACATGGGATCTTCTTTGGCTGAGTAGAATTGATATCAACATTCACAGTTCTTGCCTGGGGTATTTACCAGGACCCCTTCTCCTTGATGTCCCCATACCACATTTCAGTCCCTTCAACCCCCTAAGAAGCCCTGTTCTGTTCCTTAGCCCTTTACCTTTTGCTTGCGAATTAACAATTGCTTTAACAGGAAAAAGCCATAATGAATGTTGGGTGGAGTCCTTTGTAATTCTTTTTCCTCTGCGATCATAGTCTCTCAAATCCACAGCTTTTATTGGTCTCCAGTGTCTTTAAATGGATGTAATTTGGATTTTGGACAATCTTATCACTTCTCTTCACCAGGGACATAGGTCTGCAAAAGGTTTTTCTGCAGAAAGCACAGTGTGTTACTAAAGATGCAAAATGTAAAGTACATTTAAGTATGTTATTATCTGTAGAATTTGTGATAACCAATTGCAGGATACTTGACTACTATACGCAAAAATACTCCCACTCCTACTCCGATTTTAACCTGGGAGTGAATAATTTAATGTGCATAAAAGACTCAACATATAATGGATAACCTAACATATAATGGACGATTTAGTTCAATAAGTGGTTAGATCTGAATTTTCCAGTCCAGAGCACAGTCTACATTTTACATTTTACAACATCATGCCATTCAGTATCTAAGTACTTGCGTAACCTCTATATCAAGCTCCAAGCTTTAGCTACAACTAAGTTTCAACAGGATTCCTATTGTAGCTCTTGTTTGAACTTAACCTATTTCATTTTTTATGATCACAATCATTTTGTTTTTGTCTTGTAATAAGTGGTAACAGGTAAAGGGCTTGAGTATGAGTGATAGTGAAAATAATGATGACAAATATAAATAACCTAAAAATGTGTATTATTTGCCCTTGACTATTTATCTCAACTTAAGTTTACTTCTTATAAAAATGTCATTTCTTTTCATTCCTGATGTGAAACTTGCCCTTTAACAAATGAGAAAGAATGCCGTTTTATGACTTCACATAACTCAACACTATGAATTACTACAAATATACATTAATATACGATTTCCTCAGAAGCCTATTTCATGTAGCTTTGCAAACAAATGAGAAGGGCACGCTAGAGGAATTAGATAATCATTTAGTAGCAGTTCTAACTTACAGCTTTGACATAACACTTTAACAAAACAATGAAGTGATTGAGTCAAGAAAAGTAGTTATACTACAAAGTACACTCTCTTAAATATTTGGTTCCAAATTTCAGATGTGAGTTATTATTACCACAGCCTGTAGGCACTCATTTAAGTATTCTTGCCTTTTATAAATGGTTTGTGTGAATCAGTTCTATGAGAAAAACATTCTTCCTCGTTACCACCTCCAAACCACAACCATCCATCCATTAGTGTTAAGGGGCCATATATAGGAGGGATGGTAGGTGGGAAGTTTGACTCTGAATTCATTACTGTATATACATACTGTAAAAGTTTGACTTCTAATTTTAGAGCTTTTCGGAAACTTGAAAAGTCAAGTAGCGTGACTTTCACTGTTGACATGTATAATAAAAAAATCCTATATTAATAATTGTTTGAGGCTACTTGTTTTCTCCGACAGATGGTTTCTTTTTTTATGAATGGATTAATACCACCATTCTTTATTTCTATTTCACCATAGTTATCATCATTCTCCAAGTTCAAGGATAAAAACTTGAAGTTCTATATAAATCTTAAATTATTATTTGCTTTTGTATTTATTCACATGCCAAATACATTCTAAGAATTTAATATATTCTTGCTAAAATAAATGTTTTGCTTTTTATCTCTATTTGATGTGTCTATCAGCTTTAGTATATGGAATTTGTCATAGGCACATGAGAATGCATTTGGTGCACTAGAGCATTGATATTTAACTATGCTTTGCATTCTGCTCTTCACACATGTTCCTACTGACATGGATACAAAAAAATGCATTGATTGTGGGACTAAGAAATACAGAAATAGATGCTAGCCACCAAGAATCTCCATAGGCAGAGAAGAAATAATATGATTTAGACAAAGTAATAATAGTCATCATTATCATAATTATGTTCACTAAGATATGTTGAATGGTTATGAAATGCCAGTCCAGTCTCTGTTCTAAGTGCTTAGAATTCCTGACATCTTAGCTTCACACAACCAAGAGTGTATAGCAGAAGTGAGAGTAAACTGGGCATTTTTCAGGGATAAAAAGTCACATGCTAAAGATCAAGACTGAAAAAAAAAGAAAAAAACACATGCAGTCTTGGTCCAAACGTGTTTTAGAATGTGTGACTCCAAGTCATGATCTTTTGCCATTTAAGCAACTACTACTCACACTTTGGAATAACAATTTTATTTCTATGATTCATTACCCATTTAAGTATATAATTTGACATTACCTATGTCAAAATGCATTCATTTTTCCATAATAAACATGGTTCTTATTTTCATGTGCCTAATCTGGGAGGTGACACCTGCTGCCAGAGGAGCTTCCATTCACCCCTTCAACTTGGAAATGCCCTGAAAAATTTAAAATAATTTTCAGACACTTTATTATGTTTATAGCTCTTAGCAAATAATGAATAGAAACAAACATATTGAGTGTTCAGCACCATGAGGAATAGAAAATCAATAGGATGCAATTTCTGTCTTCTGGAACCTTACAAGATAAATGAATGAAATACTACAGGTAAATAAAAACAAAATTGGCTAAATTTTAGGTAAGGAAAATGGAAAGAGTGGAAGCTTGGGGAAGGAAAAAATTCCCTCTTATAGAGCCTATGTTCTCAGAATGGAGAAAAATATGAATTTCCAAGACCTCTAATAATTAACCACTATTCTCAAGGAGTCGTGTAAAAGAATGAACTCTTTCTTCACATCTCAATGAACCAACCAGTGGGTTCTTAGCTTCTTTTACCCTGGACCGGACACATTACCAGTCCTAATCTTTAATATTGAATCCTTCTCACACTGCCAAATACGTTATCTGCTTCTTTCTCTTCCCTGTTTTTGCAGTAGCGTCCTCCTCAAGCTGTACATTTAAAGCGTGAAAGTAACTCATTTCCAGAGTAAACCTTTGTCTTTTCCAGACTAATGAAATACTGCAAAAATGAAACTCTTCCTGTGCCCTAAGTTTCCCAGCTTCACCTGGCACAAAGGAGTGGGGTTGGGGGGAGGTTTGCGTAAATCTACTGAAATTTGGAGAAAGGTTTTGGTTCTTACATGGAAATTGATTTGTATGCTGATGTATGCTAATCAACACAGCACAATTCTCTAATAATGTGATAATTATTATGCTGACTCAGGCTAAAACGTTAGCCCTTGTGGCATGTTTATCTTGTCCTCTGGCACCAGTGGTGTAAAAGAATCGTATTCACCATAACTCTAGTGAATATAATGAATTTTAAAAAGTACTGTTTTGTTTTGATGTAAAGACAGATATATCTTAATGAAAAAGAAAAATAATTGCTAGGCAGTGGATTTGGGGTTGACTTCAATAGGGATAACTTAAATAATGCGAATAAAACAGTAATTAAAATATAGGCAGGTAAACTCCCTCCAGCACTATTTTAATGATGGACACTTTCCAAGAGGGTTCTTATCTCCTCAGAGCAAAGGCTGGAAGCACCTTTTTTCACCCTTAGACAGAGGATGATGGCATCTCATTTTGGTTGTCAGGTGCACAGTTTAGGAGAAAAACACCTCTGGAATATACAAAACATTCTGTTTGTCAGAATGGAAAAATACTGCATGTTTAAGGATCAACTAAGAGATTTTTTTTCTGAATATTTGGGACAAAGCACATTTTAGAAATTAAGACCTCTTGATGAACTTTAGACAAAAGGAAACATGAGTATTTTTCTACCTATTATGTTAAACTGACGCCAAAGGTAAGTTGTAGCATCTTTCATTGTTTGCTTTTAATGAGCACTTAGGCATAGTCTTAAGTCATAACCATTTTGTGATGTTCTATTTTGAGATATGTGTTCTTATGGGCACAGAGCAAGTTATATACATGTTTATGTACTCTTTTCTGCTATAGCATGCTTGAGGATGTCATCTGAACTAGCTTAGTGCCTCAGCAGCTCCTGTACCTCATGGCTACTGACCATACAAGCACTACAATCTTAATTCCAGTGCACAGTACCCTGGAAAGATTTGAATGCAGGGGATTTGTTACAGGAACCCACATTTCACCTTCAGTGTTTCCTCCAGTGGGGAAACTCCTTCCATTCAATCATTTAATAGGCAGTTCTCGATGCTGGCTATGCACATGAATCCCCAGAGATTCTGATTAAATTGGTCTTGGGTGAACCTAAGGTGTTAGTATTTTGTTTAAAGCTCCTCAGGTGAATAAACATACAGCCCAGTCAGACTACCCCACATTAGGTGATTTAGGGAAACCCCATTCACTCATGGCAGGAGAAGACAGCATGGTGACTCTTAGGGGCCTTTGTATCTATCTTCTCTGTAGACTTTGCCATTCTACTTACTATAACTCTATGAAAAGGAATTGCCAAATCTCATCTTTTAAGTCTTGCTTAATTTTGGGTACTGGTTCTTGCTTTGTGTTGTTTTCACTGCCTTGTACCTAATAGTTCAAATTTCCTCTGCTTTCCTACTTGTGACTGCACAATACTCAATCAGTAATTCACCTTGGCATCACATCTTGCAATTCTAAGTCAACCTCTTCTCTAAGCCAAGAGAGGAGACTGGATTATAATCCATACTACACTACACATACAGGCACGGAAATATTGTTTGCATTTTACCAATCACAGTGTACATCCCCAATTCAAAATACTGGAAACACTGTTACCAGCACCCTCTCCAATGATCCAGTAATGCAATAACAAGGCATCAGCATTTCAGCATATAAATCTTTATAGTACATCTTTGACTAAAAAAAATTACATATCACTTAAACCTAGATATCATGGCTCATCTCTGTTCTTTCTTCCCTGTATTTGTGATTGTAATTACGTTGGCTATAAATACCTTTTATCAAAAAAAAAAAATTGTTTTTAAGGTTGTATAATTCTGTTATGAAAAATTCTAAATTTTCATGGATAAATTACTATTAATGAATATGGTTATATGCATTAGGAAGCTAATTTGGTAACAATTATTTCCATATGATAGCAGAAAGTGTTGGAAACAAAGGTAAAGTAATTTGTCAATCAAAATATATGAATAGGTTGAAATTTTGGAAGCAAAAACTATTTATGCTCTATCACTTGCATTTTGATTGTTCCATATGGTTAATGAGACTCCCCTGCCCTCCACATTTGGAAGAGCTTTATTTAAAACAAATATGTAGTCACTAAAAATACAACTAAAAATTTATGTCAGGACAGTAATATTCCTTTTTTTCCAGCTATTCTTGTCAAAGCAACCTAAATCCCCAAAATATAGAGGATTTAAAATGTGGGATTTAAAAATGTAAACAGGGGCTGGGCACGGTGGCTCACGCCTGTAATCCCAGGACTTTGGGGGGCTGAGGCGGGCGGATCATGAGGTCAGGAGATCGAGACCCTCCTGGCTAACACGGTGAAACCCCGTCTCTACTAAAAATACAAAAAAAAAAAAAAAAAAAAATTAGCTGGGCGTAGTGGCGGGCGCCTGCAGTCCCAGGTACTCGGGGAGGCTGAGCCAGGAGAATGGCGTGAACCCAGGAGGCGGAGCTTGCAGTGAGCCGAGATAGCGCCACTGCACTCCAGCCTGGGGGACAGACCGAGACTCCATCTCAATAAAAAGTAAACAGTAAGTTGCTTACTTGTCAAACAGTTTTTAAATAACACAGCAGCAACAAAAGAACATAAATATTAATACTACTACTACGAATTAACTTAGAACATTCTGATAATCTGAATTTTCACACTACATGGTTTCAGTAGTAATGATATTAAGATTTCTTGATATATTTTAGTGGGTTTGTAGTTGGCTCAGGTTTATTATAGTCCGTTAGAGTGTTATATTGTCATCTCTATAAAGTGGCATCGACGCACATGAAAACCTTTAATGACTTCACAGGATTAGGCTGTTGCAGTTATGATGATAGTTTCTGCCCATTACTTTCACTATTTAAGAGGAAGTTCCAATAATATTTTCAAATTGAGCTAGAAGGTAATCACTGCGGTAAAAACCCCAGGCTAAGTTGAAGAGGTTATATAGTTTTGCTATTACAATTCTTTGATTTGAAATAATAGAAACCAACTTCTCAAATCATGAAGCAAATTAATAATAAGGGTACAAATGCATAGCCTTGAATCCAGAGGCTGAAATTCATGTAGGCCTCAGTTAGCTAACATAAGCAGGAAAAATCACTGGAACTTTTCATCCTTCATGTTTATTCCTCCCTGGGTTGTCTGTTTTAATGCCTATTTTTGCAAACAAGCTTCCTCTTCTACTCTGCCTACTTGGTAGCTGTGACTTCTACCTCCCTATGTTTTGTATATGGCAGCCTAGTCATATACAAAATCAAGAGATTAAGAGGCTCTGGGAAAGAAGAGCATCTGGCTGCTACAGCTTTGTTCAAGGACATACTCTTCACTAGGGATGGCCTGGTGTTAGTGTCACTGAGCATTGACTTCCGGGGCTTAGACCTGTGCATGAGGAAGGGGGATAAGTTGAACAATGTAAACTCTCATTGGGCATGTGCAAAAAGACTAAATTTAAATTTGTGCATGAGGCTTAGGGTAGTACTTACTGCTAAAGATTCTTCAGCCTAGGGGCATGGACTTCTTCTTCCAGCCCACCTGTTATTCCCATGGGCACCTATCATCTCCTTCCCTATATTTGCACAGCTAACAACTATCTTGCTACTTCCTGCTGTTTACCCTGAAACCCTGATTTGACATCTTCCGTATAACTCCAGGGCTGCACCAACATATTATCTACATTGGTTAAAAAGAAAAGTTAGTGGGAAGGGGAAGAAAAAGTAGGCTGTTCCTTTTTCTTCTGACTTTCAACTCTAACCAACACTGCCACATCAGCAGACGTCGTACAATAATCATGATTGGTAATTATGATGATAGTAGTTACTGAGCATTCCCTATGTGTACTAGACTAGGCTAGTCCTTATCTTGTCTCATTTAATACAGATAACAACCTTATAGATAGACACTCATCTCCATTTTATATGTAGGTAACTAAAGCTGGGAGAAATGGACTTTTCAGAGGGGCTGTAAGTAATAAGCGATGAAGCTGAAATTCAACCTCAGGCAGTCTGATTCTAGTCCAGTAATTTTTCACAGAAAAGTTGGGAAGTGCTGCAAGGCTGCAGGCCGCCAGCACGCCTTGCATCCATCCCTTCCCCATTCCACCCATCCCTCATTTCAGAAACTTGTCTCAAAACTCTTTAGGCCCATATAGTGATTCTTTAGGGTAGTCCATTTGGTCCCACCGTCACACCATCCCTTTCATGCAACACTAACTTTCTCTAGGGAGGGTATCAAATGGATAAATATTTATCCTCCCTCTGTTCTTGCACTGTCATCATCATTTAGGAAATCAAGAAACAAGAGGAATGAAAGGGTCTTGTTTTGCATTAGGTCAGGGAAATAGGCAGTGAGAGTCAGATTCTGGTGGAAAGGTGGCACCCCTCGTGCAAACCTCAGAGTTCACAAAAACAAGCTAGGAAAGTCAGTTGAACCTTTGTCCTGTCCCAGGTCATGGGGATCTCATGAATGATTAGTGGAGAAGCCCGCATATCTTTTGCAGGCAAATAGAGGGAATAAGGACAAAGCATAGCAGGGCTAGATAGATGCTTGGCATTCATAAAACTTTGTGACCCATGTTGATTGGGTAATATGCTTAAAGTACATTATTAAGTGATTAGAATTCGGGGGGGTGTTGAATTTAGAATAAGTCTAACCAATTTCAATGGGACAATGGGGATTAAATGGAATCTATTTACATATGCATTTTGGGAATGCAACTCATTTAAAATTGAGGATTCCTTATGTGACTGTGAAATTTGAATGACTGGGCCAGAATTTTGCTGAAAAGTAAAAACCCTTTTAATTGGCACAATTATAGAGAAATTGAAGTGTCAGAATATTAAGGCCTGTTGGAAGTAAATGCTCAGTGCCTCAAAGTGAAAATAGCACTCAGGCAAATTTTTCTCAGCAAGGCAATTTACTTCTATAGAAGGGTGCATCTCGAGGATGGAGAAATGGCGAGAGCACACTGGACAAGGGAGGGAAAGGGGGTCTTATCCTTAATGCAGCTAGTCCCTACTACTGTGTCTTTCCCCTATTGGCTAGGGTTGGACTGCATAGTCTAAGCTAACTCCAATTGGCTATTTTAAAGAGAGCAGGGGTACGAGCCAGAGTGGCAGGGTGAGTAGTTTCAGTGGAAAGGATGGTTACAGAGCAGATGACTAAGGTCAGAGCAGGTGACTAAGGACAGAGCAGGTGACTAAGGGTGACTAAGGACAAAGCAGGTGATAGAGGCTGGGAGGGGGTTGTTTACTGAGACTAAGGGCAAGGAGACATAAAAAACAAGGAAGTTAAACTTTAAAATGGAGAACAAAGAACATGGAAGCTGAATATATGGACATATTGGTTCTTAGAAGAGGAATTTATGGAATCCTTCAATATCCCTTTCAATTTTTATAGTCCTTCCTCTTCAAACCTTTTTAACATGTCTTGGCTTTGTTGTTCAACTTGATCCTCTAAAAGGAAAAGCTTATCTGAATAAAGTGGAGGAGAGCTAAGGGAGGGTTTAGTAAGTGCTGTTTCTATAAGTCTTTGCACTAGCCCACGGATGCATGGTATGACACAACACCCAACAAGAATGAGTACACCTGTTATGGCTGTAAGAGAAGTAAGAATTGAGGCTATGATTCCTTTCTATTTACTGAACCACCTCTCTAGCCATCTTAAGAAAGGGTTGTCGACTCCAGAATTTTTAGTTAACTTATTAGATAAAGCAGTAAGTCCTTGTAGGGCCCTTGTTATGTTCCCATCAAGGGCAGTGTTGTTTGGGATGAGGGTACAACACTGAGTTTTAATCATAACAAACACTATCTTTTTTGGCTAATATCATTTCTGTGGCCATTCTATTCTTCCAGGCCATCTGTCTAGTAGGCCCCAATTGTTCTGCTATTCCTTTGACAACATCCCTGATGTAATTGATAAATCGCTGTTGATTATAATAGATGTAATTTATCCAATCTATGTTTTTATTGATAGTCAACCACCAAAATATTGACTCAAATCCTGCAGTTATTTGATCCCAGGCTTTAAATTTATGTGGTACCCTTGTGAGCCTAATTGTATCTAAATAAACGTGGGAGTGGAAAGACCAATAAGGGGCTTCCCTTGGTTTACAACGTTGTGTTTTTCCTTTTTCTGGTTGATGAAATGCCAGGGCAAAAGGGATAGTCAATTGGACTAGAGCACCAGTGCCACTCCAGTTACTTGGCAGAGTGTCCAGTAAAGGTCCACCACAATACTACCATACATCTGCTCGGGGGTGAATAAGCGTTGACTGATTGTTAAGCTCTTGGAAAGTATTCAGCTCACTGTATCCTTTTATGTCTCCAAGGAACGCTAAGTTACCTACTTATTGTGAGAGACACGAAGTGAACCTAGTGTCGGGAGGCGGAAGCTGGATGGCCCTCAGTGGCTGACCCGCAGAGTGTTGAATTTTGGGATATAGCAGAGAGAGAACTTGACACGACTTGTTACCCCAGGCTGTGGAATCTTGGAAAAGAGCTACTATACAGCCCATGTCTGGTTGACTGAAGGACCATCCTAGTGGAAAGCAGATAATCTGGGCTTCTGGTCTGCCATTCACACAAGCTTAACAATTGCTTTTGTTTAAAGTGCAGACAGAATATTTGATCCATTCCAACCAGGCATTCACATCTTGATACCCTGTCTCAGTTGCCAAAGTTTGTTTTAGGTCTTTAAGTTCTATAATAGCTACCTTGGTCTTGTCATTAGATAGAGAAGAAACAACAGTTTCATTGTGAGAGGTTTTGGAAGAAGGCTTAGGGGAAGGTATAGGCAGTAGGGGAGCAATGAAGTGTATTTCAAAGGATCTGATAGGGTCTGTTCCTGAAACCTCAGCCCCCATCCCATAAAACCAGCTTAAATAAAGGAACCGACTTAGAGAAGAAGAACTTTGAGGGTTTGAGATAATAACCTGTACTGGATTGCACTGGTTGAGCTGACAGTTAGGGGAAGCTGTTTCTTTAGTAAAATGAATGTGTGGTTTTAGGAAATTACAACTGCTGGTTGTGGCAGTCCATCCTTGCACTTTAGTGGTCCACAGAATGTTGGACCAACTACAGCATAAAAGCTCTGTATCGGGGGGCAAGACTCCCAGTTGACACTGGGGTCTTCACTGAAACCTTCCCAGACTAAATGATCCTGATTCACTAATCTCCAGCCTGAGGGGAGTCAAGAAGGACAGAGGTATTTTTCTGAAGTGGAAAGCTGTCTTTGACTTGGTAAGTCTCTATGGGGTATAACAAGGCAAGAATCAAATGTAATAGTTTGAGGCAAAATTGACCTGGTTACATTAATAATGAGGTGGTCAGCAATACAGCAAGGAAAGGAGGAGTAATAGAATAGATGAAAGATAGTTAATTTTTTCTTAGCTTTAGTTTGGTAGGGTTTTCACCTGGGACTATGGCCCATGACTCTCGTGTGGGCAGTGCTTTCTTGACTCGGGTGTGATGGGTCCATCCTTTTTCTGCTGTTGAGACTGCGGTTTCAGTAGTTAGGAGCACTAGGTAAGGTCCTTCCCAGGCCAATTCAAGCTTTTCCTCCTTCCAGCTTTTGATGAGGATGTGATCCCCAGGCTGATTTTGATGTACTGGGAACTCCAGGGGCAGTGTCTGTGCTAGGAGACCTTTGGTTTTAAGAGAAGAGAAAGTAGAAGATAGGCCAAGTGTATAATTTTTAAGGAATTGGTTTTTTGTTTCAAAGGTAGGAATGTCAATAGTGGAGCGTAAATAAGGCAATCCATTGAGCATCTCTTAAAGGGAAAGACCAATATCTTTCTGAGGGGCAGTTCAGATTCTTAACAGGGCAATAGGAAAGCATTTGGTCCATGGTAACCAAGTCTCCAGAACCAACTTGGTTAAGCGGTTCTTCAGAGTTTAATTCATTCTTTCTATTCTCCCTGATGAAGGTGGGTGCCAAGGAGTATGATATTCCCATCTAATGTCTAGTGTTTGGGATAGCTTTTTAGTGATGTGCGCAGTGAAATTGGTTCCATTGTCTGAGTCAATATTTTCTATTAGCCCAAATCTGGACACTGTATTTTCAATTAACACCTTAACTACATTATTGGCCATTGCATTTGAAAAGGGGATAGCTTTGACCCAGTGAATGAGGTGATCTGCTATCACTAGTAAGTATTTTAGATGACCTATTGAAGGTATCTCTGTGCAATCAATCTGGATACTTTGGGATAGCCTTAAGCCTGGGCTCCTTCCCCAAAGGGGTATTCTTTTTAGTTTTCTTACATACTATACAACTGTCTGTAACCTGTTTGGCCAGGGTATAAATTCCTGTGCACCGATAAACTCTGAGGACTGTATCACACATGGCTTGGGGCCCCCAATGGGTCCCTTGATGCAGTTGGGACAAGACTTCCCTCATAAGGGATTTGGATAACGTTTCTGTCTGGTCTGGCAGTATCCATTTTTCTTCTGAATTCTCTTTAGCATCTGTTTTTATTAGTTTTTCTTTTTTAGTGGAAGAGAAAATGGGGATCATGGTAGGAGAAGGAAGGTAATGAGTTAAGTCAAAAATAGGTGTTTTAGAAGAAATGGCAGCCTGTTTGGCTATCTGATCTGCTAGGTTATTTCCTCGACTTTCACAAGAAAGACTTTTCTGATATCCAGGGACATGGACAATACCTATTCTTCTGGCAACTGCAGATTATTAAATATTTGGGTGATTAGCTCCTTATGAAAAAGGTCTTGACTTTTACTACTAAAGAGACCTCATTCAGTCAAAATTTTCCAAATGTGTGAGCCACTCAACAGGTGTACTGAGAATTGGTATAGATGGTTCCTTCCTGGTTCTGAAAGTACTTTAAGGCTTGGCTGAGTGCAAACCGCTTGCAAGTTTGGGCAGACCAATTATGAGGCAATTTTCCTGACTCTATTTCTTCGAGAGTTTCTCCATCAAGTACTGAATACCCATTGTGTCTTTTTTCCTCAATCACCCGGGAGGAATCATCTATAAATAACTCTCGTCCCGTCCTGAAGGGAGTGTCTCCTAGGTCTGGTTGGACTTTTAAATGATAATCAATTAAATCTAAACATTTGTGCTCTCTCTTTAGATTTGGATCCCCTGTTAGGAAACCTGCTGGGATAAGTGAATTATCAGTGGTTAATATTAACAGAATAGCCTCATACTTTAAGATTCTTGAGTCAGTAAGCCACTGCCCTGCTTTCTGGTTTAAGATAGTTCTAACTTGGTGGGGCATGCTTACTGTCAATTTTCCTCCAAAGGTTAACTTTCTACTTTCTTTACTAATACTCCTGTAGTTGCAATGGATTGGATGTATTGAGGCCATCTACAAGTAACTGGATCTAAGACTTTTGACAGGAAGACCACAGGCTACCAACAGCCTCTGTGTCCTTCAGTAAGCACTTCTAAAGTTACTCCATTATCCACGTTGACAAAAATGTGGAATGGCTTTTTAGGGAAGGTAAGGCTAAGACAAGGGTGGTTATGAGCCTTTCTTTCAGCTCTTTGATCTGATCACCTTTCTCAGAAGTCTACAGGAGATGGTCAGGCTTCTTCTGGGCAAGTTTTTGATATAAAAGTTTATTGTTTAGTGCATATGAGTCAATTCATAAGTGACAGTATCCAACTAACCCTAAAGATTTCCTGAGTTTTTATTTAGTTTGAGGCAAGGGTAGGGATACGATTCCCTCAACTTATTTAGGCCCTATTTTTCACTTGTCTGCACTGTGGCCTAAATATTTAACTTCAGGCTCTACCTACTGAAGCTTTCCGTTTGAGACTTGTAACCCTTCGAACTGCAGATGGTTAAGAATATGTGTAGAGAAGCTAGCTACTTTCTCCATATCTTCACCAGATATAAGAATATCATCAACATATTGGAGTAGGCATATTTGTTTTGGGATGATGACTTTTTCTAATACTTGTTCTAAAATTTGACCGAAAAGGTTAAGGGAGTCTGTGAACCCTTGGAATAAGACTGTCCATCGATATTGTTGTTTTCACCCTGGATGGAGATCTTTCCACTCAAAAGCAAATATATCTTCACAATCTTTA
The DNA here is from genome assembly GCF_000001405.40 of Homo sapiens. NCBI lineage: Eukaryota > Metazoa > Chordata > Mammalia > Primates > Hominidae > Homo > Homo sapiens. The sequence continues at coordinate 12,070,230 of NC_000007.14, read as the reverse complement.
GCCAGGGGACATGTCCAAAAATCATCCTTCAAATCTGTAACAGTAAACCATTGATGATTATATGGAATCTTGCTGAGAATGGTGTAAGGATTGGGAACAATGGGGTGGGTAGTTTGGACTATTTGGTTAATGGCTCTAAGGTCTTTTACCAGCCAGTATGACCCATCTGATTTCTTGACAGGCAGTATTGGGGTGTTATAAGAGGACATATAGGGCTCAAGAAGCCCATCTTTAGTAAGACCTTCACTTATAGGTTTTAACCCTATCCTGCCCTCTAGGGGAATGGGGTATTATTTTCTCCTTACTACTTCCCCGGGGGTTTTTAGCTTGATGTGGATTGGAGGGACTCAGAGTTTTCTTCAGTTCTTTTCTTTGGACCAGACATTAGAATTAATGTATTTTGTCTCTGTATTGGTGAGTAGGTTTAATGAGGTGAAGAATTCTCTTGGTCTGACTTGTAGGCCTCTGCCTAACTTCAACATTAAATCCCTCCCTAATAAATTAGTCTCTGCTTCAGGGATTAACAAAAACTGAATATGAGCTGATTGATCTTGGTATTTGACTTTTGTGTATTTTAAAATTTTTGTTTTAAATCCTTCACCTTTCACTCCAGAGAGCAAAAGTCCTTCCAAAGAGTAGGCAATATTAGATGGGGGGAAACCAACAGAGGAACAAGTCATCCCTGAATCGAACAAAAAGTGATAAATTCATGTTTAGGTCCCACTTCTAAATTTATTAAGGGCTCCTGGTGGGACTCAACATAAAAGAGACAGAGCCCCTGACTCCCTTATTCTTCCTCAAAAGTAATGAACGGAAGGACTTTTTTCTCTTTTTTGAATTCAGGACATTTCCTCTTGAAGTGGCCTGTACTTTCATATTTGTAGCACCTATCTTGTCCTTTGTACCTCTCAGTTCTGGGATTTTTTTACTTTGTTTTGCCATACTCTTCAGAGGGCCTTGGTCCTCCAGATGGAGGCTTAGGTCTTTTAAAGAAGGGTTTGGACCCTTTATAGTTTCTGTGTCTCTGGAAGCTCTGTTTAGAAGGACATGGATTTGGAGTCTTCTGTTGGAAGGTGGATAATGTAAGTTTTGTCTTTTGTTTCTGATTTTTTTCGTCTCTCCTCACACATAACTTTTGAGTTTCCATGCGAAGTTCACTCGGGGGACGGTCTGGTCTTTCCAATTTTCTATTTTTTTGTACTTTTTTTGAAATGTCTGGCCAACTTTTTGTGAAAAATTGGAGTTTTAACATTTCTCATCCAAAGGGATCTTCTAAATTGAGGCCTGTATATTGTCTCATTTGTTCCTTCAGTCTGTCTAGGAATTTCATAGGCCCTTTATCCTTTTTCTGTTGCATATTAAATGTTTTAGAAAGATTTTGGGTTTGGGGTACTGATTCCCGAGTTCATTTGATTATCACCTCCCTTAGGCCCTGTGTATTTTCCTGGTGAGTTGTGTTGTTATTGTCCCAGCGGGGGTCTTGGGCAGGGAATTTCTGGTCCATGGTAGGAACGTTTTGACTGGGTGAATGCTCACGTTCTCAAACTACTATAGCAGCCCTATGAATCATACTCCTTTCTTCTCCTGAAAAGAGGATGTCCAAAATGGACATTAACTCAACCCAAGTGTATAACTGAGGTCCTAAAAATTGATCAATTTGATCTGCCACTCCGTAAGGGTCATCTAGTAATGGCTTAAGCTCCTTTTTTAAACTCTGGAATTCTGAACTGGTTAAGGGAGTATCCATGAAGTCAATGGTTCCTCCTCCTTGTGGCACCTATCTTAAGGGAAGGAGATCAGGGGCTGACTCTTTAGTTGTAGAGGGAAAAGGGAAGTTTCGGATATCCTTTTTATATTGTTCTATTTCACATTGGAGTCCCTTTAGGGAGGGGTCCTTAGGCTGTTAGGGGACAGACTCTTGGGATGATAATTTCCAAGAGTCAGGATTGTAAGGAGGGGGAATAACGTGAGTAGGTGAAGAATCTGGAGCAGGATCTTGGGCAGCAGCAGCTGTCTGAGGAGAGGGCTTGGGGTCACTGAGCAGGGGAAGATGGTCTAGGGGATCCCATATGCTGGAGTCTTTGCGCATGGGAACTAACTTATGTAATTTTTCCTTTTGTGATGTTACATTGGGTTCTTCCCTAGTTGTCTTTAAGGGGAAAAGGACAGGTCTCTGCCTCCAACAAAGAGCATAGTCTAGTTCCTCTTGAGAAACGAGGCTTTTATCATTTACATATTGAATGAAAAGCTGACACATTACATCTTCATTCGACCCAAACTTTGGTCAGAAGATTTGAGGGTTTGAAGATGGGTCTCTGAGTCCAAATAAAACAGCAATATTTTATCATTTGTTGCTTTTTCTTATGTTTAGTCCTCTCATTATTTTTCCAGTATTTTAACATGAGACCTAGGGGACTATGAGGGGGAATCATCTTTGTTGGTATTTTTATCCTTTTTACTCCCTGTCTTGCTTAGGGTATTTCCCATGTTGGGTCCTAGTTAGGCTTAATCCCTCATACTAGAGATTTCTTGCCTATCTTTTAGCCCCACCTGCTGGAGGATCCTTGCACCCTTCTTTTGCTTCATCCACTCTGGCCGCTTCCCTTTTGGGTGTCTAGGCCCCTCTTGGTATTGGCATGCCAGTTTGAACCCCATGGCAGGATCTGTCCTAAGCCGTATGAGGTGACCATGGAACCGCAGATAGGACCCACTCACTCCACACAGCGGTAGTGCGTAGTACCATTCACACAAGCAGCACTGCAAGCAGTAGTGTTTGTGATCATTTAAACACACTTTTAACCTCCAGAATATCTTGACCAGCAAGGAAATACTTCGTCACCCCTGCGACATTGCTTAACTTGGTCTGTGTACAGAGTTACCTGATTGCTGCGGTATGTGAGAATCCTTTCCCCAAGCTATCATCCTGTTTCCTTCTGGGTTGTTGAGAGCCCGAGTTTATTTGTCGCACTGGGTGGTTCCCCATCTCTCACCCTGAGGCCACCACAATGAGGCAATGGGACGCGTCTCCCCACGAGAAGTGAATGGAGACCCATTCCCTGGAGGAGAATGGGAATCCCGGGCAGGCGCCCAAAATTGTTGGAAGTAAATGCTCGGTGCCACAAAGTGAAAATAGCATTCAGACAAAAGTTTTCTCAACAAAACAATTTACTTCTATAGAAGGGTGAGTCTCATGGATAGAGCAATGGAGAGAGCACACCAGACAAGGGAGGGGAAGAGAGTCTTATCCTTAATGCAGTTAGTCCCTACTGCTGTGTCTTTCCTCTATTGACTAGGGTTAGACCGCACAGTCTAAGGTAATTCGGGTTGGCTATTTTAAAGAGAGCAGTGGTACAAGCTGAAATGGCAGGGTGAGTAGTTTTGGTGGGAGGGATGGTTACAAAACAGGTGACTAAGTATGACTAAGGACAGAGCAGGTGACTAAGGACAGAACAGGTGACTATAAGGATGACTAAAGACAGAGCAGATGACTAAGGACAGAGCAGGTGACTAAGGACAGAGAGGGTGATAGAGGTTAGGAGGGGGTTGTTTACTGAAACTAGGGACAAAGAGACGTAAAGAACAAGGAAGTTAAACTTTAAGATGAGGAACAAAGAACAGGGAAGCTGAACATAGTGACATATTGGTTCTTTAAAGAGAAATCTACTGTATCCTACAAGGCCTTAGTGCAGACCAAGTTGCATTACTTCTGTGGTATGGCAAACAGTCCTAAAATAAGCAGATATAAAACAAACAAAATCATACAGCATGTTTTCTATTAGGAATACAAAGGGAAAGCAAACGTAACATGTCTAGTCCTTAGTAAAACCTGGGTGACAAAAGAGAAGAGTGAAAAAGGGCAGCACATCATTGTGGTATATGTTTCTTATATATGTTTCTTAACGTCCTTTCGTTCTTTACGTCTCTTGTCCCTAGTTTCAATAAACAGCCCCCTCCTAATCTCTATCACCTGCTCTGTCCTTAGTCACCTCCTCTGTCTTTACTCATCCTTATAGTCACCTGTTCCATGCTTAGTCACCTGTTCTGTCCTTAGTCATCCTTAGTCACCTGTTTTGTAACCATCCTTCCCACCGAAACTACTCACCTCACCATTCCAGGTCATACCCCTGCTCTCTTTAAAGCAGCCAATTGGAATTACCTTAGACTGTGTGGTCTAACCCTAGTCAATAGGGGAAAGACACAGCAGTAGGGACTAGCTGCATTAAGGATAAGACGCTCTTCCCATCCCTTGTCTGGTGTGCTCTCTCCATTGCTCTATCCATGAGACTCACCCTTCTATAGAAGTAAATTGTCTTGTTGAGAAAACTTTTGTCTGAATGCTATTTTTACTTTGTGGCACTGAACATTTACTTCCAACAATTTTGGGGGCCTGCCTGGGATTCCCATTCTCCTCCAGGGAACAGGTCTCCATTCACTTCAAGTGGGGAAGAGCTTCACATACACCTTTATTTTTTATTTTCATTAATGTCACTAATTCACATTATAAAATGATGGTAAAACATTTACATAAGTGCTGGACTGCAGTTCAATGTGTTTTTAAGTGCAGAAACAAAGTTACCGTCTAAACTAAATTTTGTTCCATTTGACGTAAAAAGAGAAATATCTACTTAAAGCAATCTTTCGTTTTATAGGTGAATGAAATGCTAATCACAAATAATTCTCATATAATCAGTAAAGAAATCACTTATAAAGTCCTATAAGCTGACATTTTGTCCAGCTCAAGCTCCTGTTTGTACTTAAAATATTAAAATTATAAGTCTTGAAACTAATTCTAACTGGAGGATCCTGCTTGTTTGCAGTCTCTGCAAAACAGTTTCAATATAGTATATTTCAACTTCCTTTCAAGACGGAGACTATATTTCTGTTGTTGAAGCAATTAGGTGCATATTTTACCTACAACAATCAATAAGTAGACAGTCTGTTTCTTATACTCTTCTTCCACCACAGCTAGGTGTTAGACAAACACAAGTCATTCAGGCATTTTTAAAAGACCCTTCTTTCTGTTGCTATGTCCTCTAATTTCTGATTTCTGCCTGGGGGAGCTTACAGCAAGTATAACTCTCTTTTGTGGTGGCTAGGGAAGCTAAAAAAAAAAAGTTTTGCAAAACATAAAATAAAACACCCTTTTTATAAAAGCAAGGTGAAAAGTTCAAACATCCAGCTTCATTGGCAAATTGTGATTTGGCTCCATGAAAGTAAGTTTACTCCCTGATTCAGTGAGAAGATACATACTGATCCTTAGTAACTGCTTTGCCTGTGGCATGTGTGATAATCACATTATGTAGACCATTAATCTGCTTCCGGGTCTATTTGATGTCAATGACTCAGTTATATTTATGGATGGGGCAGATCTCAGTTTTACCTTTTAAAGTTACTTAAAGAGAATAAGCATAACAATATGTATTAGTTTTCTATTGTTGCCATAACAAACTAGCACAATGTTAGTGGCTTAAAACAACACTAAATTATGTTACTCTTCTGGCAGTCCTACATAGTCTCACTAGTCTCAAATCAAGGTATCAGCAGGGTTGCATTCCTTTCTGGAGGCTTTTAGGAGGATTGGTTTCATTGACTTTCCAATTTCTAGAGGCTACCCACATTTCCTGACTATGACCCCCTTTCTGCATCTTTAAAACGAGCAAAATTCATCCTCTGACAATCTTTTGTTATATATCTCTCTGATTGCAGCTGGGAAAAAGTTTCCATTTTTAAGAACTCGTATATTTAGACTGGGCCCATGTGAGTAATCCAGGATAATCTCCCCATTTAAAGATCCTTTACCTATGGCCAGCTGTGGTGGCTCTGCCTGTAATCCCCGCACTTTGGGAGGTCGAGGCGGGAGGCTTGCTTGAGGCCAGGAGTTTGACACCAGCCTGGGCAACATAGTGAGACCTCATCTCTACAACAAATAAAAAAAATTATCCAGTATCTGGGCATAGTGGCATATACCTCCAGTCCAAGCTACTTGAGCACTGAGATGGGAGAATCACTTGAGCCCAGGAGGTCGAGGCTACAGTGAGCGAAGATCATACCACTGCAGTCTAGCCTGGGTGACAGAGTGAGATCTTATATCAAAAAAAAAAAAAAAATTTCTTCACCTGAATAACATCAACCAAGTCCCTTTGGCCATGAGAGGTAACATATTAGGATATGAACAACTTTTCTTGAGGGGAGGAAGGGGTGGCATAATTCTGTCTACTATAGAATAGTTTAGGACAGCAATATCCAGAGCAAATTAAATGTGCAAATTTATTTTTGGTAGAATTTTTTTCTCCAATTAAATGAGTTTCTTTCAGCTCTTTCCCTGAAAGGTATTTTGATTTTCATTATATTTCATTCTTTTGATTATTTTCACTTAATAGATGTGAAAATTGAAGTTCATAAAATTATCAAAAGTCATGCTTCAAGATGTAGGAGGAGCCAAAGGCTGCATCAGGTGTTGGGTTCGAAGAGTCTTTCCTCCAGTGACCCATTGTTCTCCAAATTATTCACAAGAGAACAGACAAAAAAGTGATGTCCTAGAAAATCATAGGCCAGTCTCTCAACCAGAAAACTTCTGGGAATGCTATTTTTAAAGTCCTTAACAGATTTTTCTTACTGAAAGTCATAACAAATGTTTCCTCTAGAAAAAAATGTTTCTATTGAAGTATATTTGACAATTGAAAATTGTATATATTTAAGAAGTACAATTTGATGATTTGATATACATATTCATTGTGACATAAGTGCAACAGCCAAGATAATTAACATAGCCATTTCTTGAGTTATCATTTTTGTTTCTTTTTGTTGTGAGAACACTTAAGAGCTAACCTCTTAGCAAATTTCAATTATACAGTAAGTTGTTTATTATAGTCACATTGGTATACATTAAATCTCCATAACTTATTCTTGTTACACTGAAACTTTATACTCCTTAACAGGATCTTGCTGTTTCCCCATCTATCCAGTTCCTAGCAAACACTCTTCTTTCTGCTTCTATGAGTTTGATTCTTTTAGATCCCACATAGGAGATCATGAAGCATTTGTTTTTCTGTGACTGGATTATTTATACATGGTTTATCCACGTTGTTACAAATAACTGGTTTTTATATTTTTTTGCAATGTGGAATAATATTCAGAAAAAAATATTCATAAAAGCTGTGCAACATTCCATTATGTATTTATACTACATTTTCTTTATTCAGTCACCTGTTGATGGACACAGGTTGTTTGCACATATTGGCTATGGTGAATAGAGCTGCAATGAATATGGGGGTGCAGATCTCTTGAAAATCTTGATTTAGTTTTGTTTTTATATAGTCCTAGAAGTGAGACTTCTGGGTCATAGGGTAGTTCTATTTTTAATTTTTTTAGAAACCCACATACTGTTTTCCATCATGTTTGTACATTCCCAGCAACATTACCCAAGGGTTCCCTTTCTTCCAGATCTCTCTGATTATAGCCACTCTAACAGATGTGAGGTGATATCTCATTGACATTTTGATTGGTTATCCCTGATAATTAGTGATACCTTCTCATATACTTGTAGGTACCTGCCATTTGTATGCTTCTTTTGAGAAATCTCTATTTAGGTCTCTTGCCCATTTTTTGGCCGGGTTGTTTTTTAGCTATTGATTTGTATGAGTTTGGTTTCGTTTTGTTTACTTCCCCCTCCCAGGTTTATTGAAGTGTACTTGACAAGTATAAATCATATATTTTTACAGTGTACAAAATGATATTTTGATGCTCATATACATTCGAAATGGTTGCCACAATCAAGTTAGTTAACATTTCCATCATCTCATAGTTAACTTTTTTTGTGTATTTGGTTAGAACAGCTCAGTTCTACTCTCTGAGCAAATTTCAAGTATAAAATACATTTTTATTAACTATAGTTATCATGCTGTACAATAAATCTTCAGATCTTATTCCTCCTGTGTAACTGAAACTATGCCTTTTAACCATCATCTCCCCATTCTGCCCCCTATCCTCAGCTCTTGGCAACTACAATTCTACTCTCTGTCTCTATTTGTTTGACTGTTTTGGATCATGCAGTATCTGTCCTTTAGTGCCTGGCTTATTTCACTTAGCACAATGTCCTTCAGGTTCATTCATGTTGCAAATTACAGGTTTTCCTTCTTTTCATAAGGCTGAAAAATATTCTAATATTCAGTATTCTATTGTATGTATATATATACATAATATATTTTTTATTCATTTATCTGATGATAGACACAGATTGATTTCATGTCTTGGCTATCGTGAATATTTCAGTAAACATAGGAGTGAGATACGTCTTCAACATACTACTCTCATTTCCTTTGGATATATATTGGATATTAACCCCTTTCCAATATATGTACAGTTTGCAAATATTTTCTCCATTCCATAGATTGCCTTTACATGCTGTTGATTGTTTCTTTTACTGTGCAGAAGCCTTTCATTGGAAGGAATTCCATTTGTCTAGTTTTGCTTTTGTAAAATGATACCCAAAGTTCTGTACTTTGGGAATCATTTCAAAATAATATCATTGCCCAAATTTATGATTTGCCTAAACAAAAAAGCTTTTTCCTAAGTTTTCTTCTAATAGTTTATATTTTCAGGTCTTACTTTTTAAGTTTACTATTTTGAGTTTATTTTTGTATATGGTGTGAGATAATGGTCCAATTTTATTGGTTGTGTTTGAATATCCAGATTTTCCAACATCATTTATTGAAGAAATTATCCTTTCTCCATTTTCTGTTCTTGGCACTCCTGTTGAAAATTGGTTGACCATAAATGTGTTGATTTATTTCTGGTCTGTATTCTATTCCACGGGTCTTCATGTGTGTTTTATGCTAATACCATACTATATTGATTACTATAGCTTTGTAGTACAGTTGGAAATCAGAAAGTGTGATGCCTCTAGCATTGTTCTTACTGTTCAATTGTTTTGGCTACATGGTGTCTTTTGTGCTTCTACATGAATTTTAGGACTGTTTTTCTGTATTTCTATACATAAAGAATGCCATTAGGATTTTGACAGGGATTGTAATGAATATGTCCATAACTATGGGTAGTACAGCCATGTTGATAGTATTAATTCTTCAAATCCCATGGAACAAGGGACTTCTTTCCATTTATATGTGCCTTTTTCAATTTCTTTTATCAATGTTTCATAAATTTCAGTTTAGAAGTCTTTCACTTTGTTGGCTACATTTACACTTGAATATCTTATTATTTTGTTTCTACTGTGAATAAGATTATTTCCTTAATTTTTTTGGATAATTCATTATTAGTGTATAGAAATGAAACTGATTATTATATATTAATCTCATTATACAATAATCAGTTTCATATCTATACACTAATAATGAATTACCTAAATACATTAAACTTCCCTATACACCATGTATTAAACTTCACTGAATTTGATGATTATTTCTAACAGTTTTATTCTGGAGCCTTTAGAGTTATATATATATATATATATATATATATATATATATATGATTATGCCATCTGCAAACAGAGATAATTTTGCCTATTTATTTCCAATTTGGATGCCCTCTATTTCTTTTGCTTGTCTAATTTCTCTGGCTAAGACTTCTAGAACTATGTTGAAAAGAAGTTGTGAGAGTGGGCATTCTTGCCTTATACCAGATCTTAGAGGGCAATCTTTCAGGTTTTCCCCATTGCTTATGATGTTAGCTTCAGGCTTTTCATATATGTTTCTTATATTAAGCTGCATTATTTCTCTACCTATTTTGTTGAAAGCTTCAATTACAAATGGGTGTTGAACTTTGCCAAATGCATTTTCTCAGTCTGTTGAGATGACCATGAATGCTTTTCTTTTTATTTTGGTAAACTGTTGTATAATGCTGATTAATTTGCTTATATTGAATCATCCTTGAATCTCTAGAAAAATTCCCACTTGTCATGGCATATGATCCTTTAATGGGCTTTTAATTTGGTTTGCTAGTATGTTATTAAAATCCTTAAATCCTTAATATAAATAGCAATATAATATAAATGTAAATATAATATATATTTATATTTATAAATATTTAATCCTTAAATCCTTAATATAAATATAAAATCCTTAAAAATAAGGATTTTTAAGTCTATGTGCATCAGGGATATGGACTTCTACTTTTCTTGTAGGATTTGCATGGTTATGTTATCAGAGTGATGATGGCCCCATAAAATGAGTTTGGAAGAATTATTTTTGGAAGAGATTAAAAAGGATTAGTTTCAGTTCTTTTTTGAATGTTTGATAGAATTCAAACATGAGGCCATAAGATCCTGGGGCTTTCCTTATTGGAAGATTTTTTTACCGATTCAATCTCCTTATTTGTTATTGGCCTCTCAGACTTTGTTTCTTCCTGATTCAATTTTTGTAGCTTGTAAGTTTCTAAGGATTTATCCATTCATTTTAGGTTGTTTTAGTTTGTTAGTGTATAATTGTCATTTACAGTTCTTTTTGATCTTTGTTTATTCCTGAGGTATCCATTGTAATGTCTCCTTTTTCAAATCTGATTTTATTTATTTGAGTCTTTTCTCTTTTTTTCATAGTCTAGTCTAAGGGTTTATTGATTTTATTTATCTTTGAAAAACCCAATCCTTAGTTTTGCTATATTTTCCCATTTTTTTGTTCTCTGATTTGCTTCTGCTAATCTTTATTAATTTTTATTATGTTAATTTAGGGTTTAGTTTGTTCTTTTTCTCCACTGATTATTTAAAGTATAAAATTGTTTATTTGTGGTCTTTCCTATTTTTAATGTAGGTGTTTATCATTATAACATAGTCTGTTATTACTGCTTTTGCTGTATCTCACAAGTTTTGGTAAGTTGTGTTTTATTATTCAGGTTTTGAGATACTTTTAAATTTTCTTCAGTTTCCACTTTGACCCAATGGTGTGTTGTTTAGTTCCTACATTTTTGTGAATTTTTCCAATTTCTTCCTGTTTTTAAATTCTAGTTTCATTACATCATGGTTAGAAAAGACACCTGTAATGATTTTGATCTTCTTAAATGTATTGAGGCATGTTTTGTGACCTAACATATGATCTATCCTGGAGAATGTTCCATGTGCACTTGAGAAGAATGCGTATTTTGCTGCTGGGTTAGAAGTTGTGTTATTTGGTATGTATTATTATTCAAGTCATATATTTATTCACTTTCTGTCTGGACGTTGTGTTCGTTATCGAAAGTGGGATATTGAAATCTCAAATAATATTATATTATTGTTTGTTTCTCCTCAGTGTTTGCATTATATATTTAAATGATGATATTGGGTTCATTTATATTTACTTTTTTTTGTTTTTTTTTTTGAGACAGAGTCTCGTTTTGTAGCCCAGGCTGAAGTATAGTGGTGCAATCTCAGCTCACTGCAACCTCCGCCTCCCAGGTCCCAGTTCAAACAATTCTCCTGCCTCAGCTTCCCGAATAGCTGGGGTTACAGGCACATGCCACCATGCCCAGCTAATTTTTGTATTTTAGTAGAGACAGGGTTTCACCATGTTGGCCAGGCTGGTCTTGAACTGCTGACCTTGTGATCTGCCTACCTCAGCCTCCCAAAGTGCTGGGTGGGTACATTTACATTTGTTATATCTCTCTGTTGGATTGATCCTTTTATTATTGTATAATGACCTTCTTTGTCTCTGGAGACAGAATTAGACTTAAAGTCTATCCATGCCTTCTTTCTTTTAGTTACCATTTACAGGAAATACCTTTTCAATCCTTTCACTTTTAGCCTTTGTATGTCTTTGATTCTAAAGTAAGACTCTTGTAGACAGAAAGTAACTTGATCCTCTTTTTTTTTCCATCCATTCAGCTATTGTATACTTTTTGATTGGTGAGTTTAATCCATTTATATTTAAGGTAATTATTTGCCATTTTGTTAATTGTTTGGGGTTTTGTTTTTTGGATTTTGTTTTTTTGCAGTTGCTTCATTCCTCTCTTCTGCTTTTGTCTCCTTCCTTTGTTATTGTGTGTGTGTGTGCGTGCGTGTGTGTGTATGTATGTATTTATGCGTTTTACTGTTTTTCTTTTCTCTTTATCCTTTGTATACCTATTACAGGTTTTTGGTTAGCTTGAGGCTTGTATAAAATATCTGGTAGTTGTAGTCTTCTATTTTGAGTTGAAAACGATTCAGTTGCATACAAAAACACTCCTCTTATACTCCCCAAACCCCCAACACTTTGTGTTCTTAAAGGCAGGGATTGCTTTCTTTTATATTGCATATCCATTAACAAATTTTTATCTATGTACCCCCTTATCTGTTGGAGATATGTTCCAAGACCTATAGTAGATGCCTGAAACGATGAATAGTTCTGAACTCTATATATACTATGTTTTTCCTATACATATATAACTATAATAAAGTTTATAAATTAGACACAGTAAATGATTAACAACAATAACTAATAATAAAGTACAGCATTTATAATGATATGCTACAAAAAGTTATGTGAATGTGGTCTATTTCTCTCTTTCTCAAAATATTTTATTATACTATACCCACCTTTCTTCTTCTTGTGATCTATTAATCTGATTATCAAGGCAGCTAATAAATGACTAATGGACAGGTAGCCTATATGGCATGGATACACTAATCAAATGGATGATTTACATTTTGGGCAATATGGAGTAGGATGGTGTGTGATTTCATCATGCTAAACAGAAGAGCATGCAAATTAAAATTTATGAATTGTGTATTTCCGGAATTTCCCATTTAGTATATTCAGACTGTGATTGACTGTGGGTAACTGAAACCATGGATAGCAAAACTGCAGATAAAGGGAGACTACTGTATTACCTTTTATATAAGGATTAAAAGTAATTTACACACCTTTGTAGAGTTACATTAATCCATATATGTTTATATATCTACCTTTGCTTGTGAGATTTATGCTCTTATATTATTTTTAGAGCATTTTTGTTTAAATTTGTAGAACTCTTCTAATCATTTATTGTAAGACAGACCTAGTGGTGACAGTTTTCGTTTGTCTGGGAAAGAGTTTATCTCTTTTTAATTTTTAAATGATAATATTGCTGAATATAGTGTTCTAGGTTGGCAGTTATTTTTTTCTTTCAGTACTTTGAATGTATAATCTTACTCTCTCCTGGCCTATCAGGTTTCAGCTAAGAAATCTGCTGATAGTCTTATGAGGGCTCCCTTATAAATGTCAAATCGCTTTCTCCTCCTCTTTTAAAATTCTGTTTGTCCTTGACTTTAGACAATTTGATTATGATATTTGGGTGAAGACCTCATGATACTCAGCCTGTTTGGGGTTCCTTGGGCATCATGAATATGAATGTTCATTTCCCTCACCAGATTTGGGAAGTTTTCCATAATCATTTCTTTTTCTTTTCTTTTTTTTTTCATTTTTTTTTTTTTTTTTTTTGAGATGGAGTCTTACCCTTTTGCCCAGGCTGTAGTGCAGCGGTGTGATCCTAGTTCACTGCAACCTCTGCCTCCCAGTTTCAAGTGATTCTCATGCCTCAGCCTGCTGAGTAGCTGGGATTACAAGTGTGTACCACTAGGCCTGTCTAATTTTTGTATTTTTAGTAGAGGTGGTTTTTCACTATGTTGGCCAGGCTGCTCTTGAACTCCTGACCTCAAGTGATCTGCCCACTTCAGCCTTCCAAAGTGCTGGGATTACAGGCATGAGTCACCATGGTTGGCCTAGTTATTTCTTTTACATAAGCTGTCTGGCCCTTTATCTTTCTCTGTTACTTTTTAGACTCCCAGAATGAATATATTTATTCACTTGATAGTGTCCCTAAGTCCCATAGGCTTTTTTCACTCTTTCATTCTTTTCTCTTTGTTCTCCTCTGACTGGGTGATTTCATATGACTTGTCTTTGAGTTTGCAGATTGTTTTCTTCTGCTTGATTGAGTCTACTGTTGAAACTGTCTATGGCACTTTTTCATATTATTCATTGTAAACTTCAGCTCCAGAATTTCTGATTGGTTCTTTTTTGTAATTTTCAAGTCTTTATTGAGGCTTTTGTTTTGTTTATATATTATTTTTCTCATTTCATTGAGCTATCTGTGTTCTCTTGTAGCTCACTGAGAAACCTTAAAATAATTATTTTGAATTCTTTATCAGGAGATTCTTAGGTCTCCATTTTTGGGGGATTATTTAGTTGAAAATTATGTGTTCCATAGGTGTCATGTTTTTTTGATTTAAAAAATTTTTATTTTAGCCTTGCAATGATATCTGTACATTTGAAAGAACATTCACCTCTTCCAGACTTTATACACTGGTGTCATTATGGAAAGACCTTTACCTACACATGGGTGTTAGAGTGCCAGCTGGATGGGTTATGGCAGCAAATGGGGGCACAACGGTAGCTCTGGCTGTAGAGACAGTGCTGAGTCATTGTCTCTGTGGAGCTCCATCAGCTGAGGTCAGCATTGGTAAGAACTGTAGGGGTCCTTGGTGGCCAAGTCTGCAGGTGTCCATGGTGGTGGTGAGAGCTCCTGGGGTCCTCAGTGGCAAAGACTGCTGTGGTCCTCCTGATTTCTTTGTTCCCCAGGGTGGGATGTCATGGCCAAGTAGATTTCCCAAGGTGCTGGGTCTGGCTTATGGGTACATTCACTGAGTTAGTAACATTTCTGTCCAAGGTGTGGGTGTACATAGAGTGGGCATAGAGCTGGGGTCTGGGACATGCATGTAGTTTTGGGGAAGAGGTTGGTAGCTCTGTCTTTAGAGAGTGGGGATGGATTACCGTGGTGGCTCTGACTCTGATGGGAGGGCAATGTACAGCAGAGACTCTGTTCCTGAAGGGGGAAGCAGTATTCAGCAGGCTTCAGCCCCAGTGGGGTGCAGCAGCACAGACAGGTCATCAGCTAGGCTCAGTTTGTCAGTGAAGACTGGTAATCCCCAGTGGCAAAATCTGTGGGAGTCCATGACAGTTTCAAGGGTTCTGTGGCTCTCCTGCTCTACTTTTCATCTGTGGTGGGGGGTTGAGGGGAAGACAAATCAAAGGAATCCCCCTTGGTGCTGAGCTGTGCTGGATGGAGCTATGAGGTGGCACAGATAAAAGTGTTTTGTACACTTTTCTATGCAGTCACCTTCAGTTTTTGTGCTCCAAAGGGCTTCAGCAGTTTCTTTACCATATTCCAAGCCATCACAGAGCTATATTTGTCATTATATAGTTGTTTATTGTTTTTGTGGGAGGGATGGCTGTTGTGACTTACTAGTATTCCATCTTGCTTATATGATTCACTTCCCTCTGACTTTAAAACTATAAATAAAATATGCAGACAAGCATGGGCAGAGTTACTATTCAAATAAAAGCTTTGACCTAACAATTGAATCTGGAAATTTTAACCATCTATATGTTATTATAGGGCTGCCTACCAATTCAGGAAAACATGATGAATAGTTTACATAAATGATTGTAAAGATTAATGTTTCTTTCATGTTTCACTTATAAGTAGAAGCTAAACAATGAGTATACATGGACACATAGAATGGAATAACAGACACTGAAGACTCAAGAAGGTAAAAATGAGGGGAGGGATGAAATACTTTTGAGTACAGTGTACATAATTCAGGTGATGGGTGCACTAAAAGCCCAGAATTCACCACTACATAATATATCCATGTATCACAACTTCACTTGAACTCTTAATCAGAAGAATGACTAATGGTTTTCAAACTTTGGCATGCATCAGAATTATCTGGAAGGTTTGTTAAAATGCAAATTCCCATGCCCTCCCTCCGGAATTATTTAGGTTTGCATTTCTAAAATAGTCTCAGGTGATCCTGAAGCTCCTAGTTGAGGACCACACTTTAAAAAAAAAATAAAAGCCTTTAATTTTTATATACAAATAGATATTTTAAGGATGGAAACCAGATGCTCTTGATTGACCTATCTGTCAGGCTACTATTCTCCTTTCCCTTTTCAGGTTGAAACACGCTTACTATCCTAGATGTAAGGCCAGACATGGAAGGGAAGAGGAAAAGAAACATTTATGCCTGCCAGACTCTCTTTTTAGGTAGAAAAAATGAAAGAGCAAAGAAAAGAGGGTTTAATATCAGCTTATCTAAGACCTATTTGGAGAAACTTAGCACTTTATACTAAAAGAAACTTATTGACATCTGTTCCTCAAATAATTTTCCATCAATTTTATGAAGACAATAATACGTGATTCAAGTGTGTAGCAAACATTGAGAACAAATGTACTAGGAATTCTCTGTGGTACAGGAATATTCATTTTCACCATCAGCATCTTCGACTTTAAAGCCTAAGTGTGATTTTTGTGTTTGTCCCTCCAGGGCTGTATCATGAACCATGGTGATGATCTTCATGAGCAATCCTTCAAACTGACTGGAGTTGTGTCTCTGCGAGTCTTTGTTATTGGCGTTTTGCTATATTTGTTTGTCTAGACTGCTGTAATAACATACCATAAATTAGGTAGCTTGTAAATAACAGAAATTTATATCTCACAGTTCAGAAGACTAGGAAGTCTAAGATCAGGGCACCAGCATGGTTGGGTTCTGATGAGGGCTATCTTCCAGGTTGCAGACTGCTGACTTCTCGTTGACTTCTCGTGTGGTAGAAAGGATAAACAAGATCTCTCAGCCTCTTTTGTAAGGACACTAATCCCATTGTAAGGGTTCTGCCCCCATGAGCTAGTTACCTCTGAAAGGCAGCACGTTTTAATACCATCACCTTAGGAGTTAGGTTTCAACCTACGAATTTTGGGGCATATATTCAGACCATAGTATGTCTTAAGTTGGAAGTTGATCCTAATTCACAGTGGTTCTGGCTCAGATACTGTCAGCCATTCTGGGTTAGATCCTACTTGGTGCTCTGGATTACACCTCAGTTAAGCTATTGCCACATTATAGACCTTCCTCTCCCCCAAATAGTTTTGCTTCTGACTTTTGGAATAGTGTCTGGAAAATGACACCCCCCCCATATTTTCTAAGTATGATCTGTGTGAAAGTCTTAGTTGAAATGTTGTTATTTTAGCCAAGTTGATTAATACTGAAAGGTGTTACTAAGGCTATATATTAATGGAACTTCTGACAGTAGCTGCCATTGGGTGAGCTTAGATTAAATAGTAATTGTGATTGAAAAGGAATGTAATTAATTATACCATTTGAGTGGTTCTGGCTCTCATTAAAAGGTGTCATGATTCAAGGAATTGTGATAGACAACCCTCAAAGTTATACAGTTTTTATTAAACCACAAGCACAGTGGATTCAACTTTGGAATGATGTTCTTTCTCAGGGACCTTCCTGAATTATCAACATTTTATATATATGTAATATATAACAACTGTGTGGCTAGTCCACACCTGGATTTCTAGCCATTAGACTGGCTAACAAGAACACTTGGAATTCTAAGGTTTCTTTATGAGACATTCAAAGGCCTTTGCCTAAAACCATTTGTCTGATAAATGGAAATTCAAATATAGGAAACCTAATGGTCATTTTGACAATTTAGCTCTATTTATTTATTCATTACAAAAATGGCAAAAATGCGGTTTTAATGAAGAAACTTACATACATTATTCGTTATTTTTATTTTAAAACTGACCTGGGTATAAAACAGATTGTTGCATTTTCTGATGTGATTTTTAACAAGAGCAGAGTAGCAGACGATTTGAGCATAACTGTAGAACACTGCATGATTGAATGAGTGAAATGCCATACAATTTTCAGTACTAGGTAGAATTCTCACTACCCATTAAATTGAAAAATGAGAGAAGCAAGACTTCTGCTGCCACCCACTTTGGTAAAGAGTCCAGTTTTCTTGGTACAAAAATAAAATGCCTACTCCACTCTCTTGAGCAATATCTTTGAAATATTACTAACCTCCATGGCAGAGGTTGCTTAATCTGCAAATGTTTTGGCTAGCAAACCATTATTATTGCTAATAACCCTTACTCACATTATCCAGAGAACTGCTTCTTCTACCATTCTTTAACAAATGGAATATAGCATAGTAGGCGTACTGAGCCGTATTAAATTTTACACATCATTAGTCCCTACCTCCCTTAAAGTTTTAGCTTATATTTTTTCTTTTCTATCTTCCCCACAAAGACATTTTTTTGTCCACTAAGGAAACATATTGAGTGAGATCTCATGCAGATTAGTGTAATTCTCTTGTGTAATTTTGTTTAAAAAATAGTTAAAGGGCTATGGGAAAATGTGGTGACTTTGATAAAAATATTTTAAAAGTAAAAATAATGTGTTTTGACCGTGTGAATGATGTCACATTTACTGTGTAATATGTAATTTAAAACAACTACCACCAAAATTTTTTTTAGTTTGACTCTCTTGATTCACCATAATTATATCACAACAAACTCTTTTCAGCAGGATCAGTTTTTAAGGTTGAGTTTATTATAAAAATATTTACTTATAATCCTCCATTCATTAATTGTTTTATGGTCTGATATGCTTTGGCTCTGTGTCCCCACCCAAATCTCATCTCAAATTGTAATCCCCACGTGTTGAAGGAGGGACCTGGTGGTAGGTGATTGGATCATGGCGGGAGTTTTTCCCATGCTGTTCTCTGACACTGAGTGAGTTCTCACAAGATCTGATGGTTTAAACGTGTTTTGCGGTTTGCCCCTCACTCTCTCTCTCTCTCCTGCCACTATGTAAGATGTTCCTTGCTCCTCCTTTGCCTTCCGCAATGACTGCTAATTTTCTCAAGGCCTTCCCAGACATGCAGAACCATGAATTCAATGAAACCTCTTTTCTTCATAAATTATACAGTCTCAGGTAGTTCTTTAGAGCGGTGTGAAAATGGACTAATACATGGTCATATTTTTAATTTTTGGTATGCAGTGATTTGGAAATTTCCACCAGTTTTTGCTGAATTAGGTAAAAGGTATTTTCAGAGAACAACATGCAAACTAAAAGTAAGCCTTCTTTCCAGCTGCTAAAAATTGGCTGTTTCTTTTATAAGTTTTCAAAGGCAAAGGCAACATTTCAATCAGCAGTGAGTATTCTGCCTTTCACCAAATACAGTAAAAACAGATCTGCGAATTATTCATAATGATCTGTCATCAGTTCTTGCCAATCATGGTATTCATATGTTAGTGAACACCATTTATGTCTCAAGCCATAAGTAGGAATTTTTTTGAATCAAGACTTGAACTAGGACTTGAGATATGTGTTGTGAAGTCAAGCAGAACCAGCTCGATTTCTCAGCAGGACGGGACAATAAAATCTGTAAGTGTGCAGGCGAGGTGACATAGGATAAACAAATTGGATGTCTGATTGAATTATGTCTATTAAAATCAACATTTGGTTGGTTAAATAATAGTATAAGTTTTTATGGAAATTTACAATGAATCATTCCTTAATGTAGCATTTATAAAGCCGTTAGCTGGCCTAAAATATAAAGAGCTAGGAAGTTATCACTGCCATACTTGCAGCAAGAAAGGCCCTGAACAAACTGAAAATCAACAGCTATTGGTAAATTAGTCAGAGCATTGAAGTCAAAGGGAAAACTCCTCCCCTCAAAACTAGGGAGCCAGGAAAAGGGAAAATTATACCTTATTGGGCACAGAAGCAATTGCTAGATCCTAAAGAGGAACCAACTAATTGTTAGGGATTGAACACAGACTAGCTTGAGAGAAAAAAACTTTCGGGGATCCCGGCTAATGAGGGCTACACATTTTTCTGAGTTTTACCTTCAGGAACTCCACCGGGTTCTCAGGGAGATAAAATTGGAGAAGAATCCTTTCCGTGCTTCAAGCAAGGGGAAGGATAATTTAACAATTTCAAAATAAGCTCAGAGCACTCTCTTCTCATTGGCAAAAGATCTGTACTCCAGGGAAATAATTTTACCAGACTCCAACCATCTTGAGTTTTATCAAAATCTAATTGATCTGGAAGAAGGAAAATACCTAACTCTAGCTTTCTTTAGGCTTCCTGTCTCACCTAATGGGGTAGGAAAAGGAAAGGAAAACACTGAGAAGCACTTGTGAAGGTTAAAGCTGAGGAACACAGGCTTAAAAAAGACCGAAACCTTATCATAGAAATATAGAAAGCTTCCCACCTATCACCACATGAACAAGACTCCCGTTAAAAATAACGGGATTACAGTTGAAAGAACTGCCAGCCTCAGACCTTATTTATAAGTAAATTTCTGGGTAAACCTAAAGACAACCAGGGGAGGCGAAAACAAGGACACTAGATGGAAATTCTGAAAATGAAAAGGAAATACTAGACATCAAAGACACTTTAACAGAAATGAAGGATGTCTTGAATGTGCTCATCAGTGGAAAGAATTAGTGAGCTTAAAGAATCTGTGAACTTAAAAATATGTTAAAAGAAAGCTGAAAAGCAAAGAGAAAAAGGAGTCAAAAAAGGAAAAGAAGTGTAAATGGCTCTTGAGCTAGAAAAATAATGATGTCTATCGTGTGTATAATGGTTTATGCATGTGTGCACATGCTTGAGTTAACTTTCTAAAGAAAACCGGTATTCATGCAGTTTCGGAACTTGCTTCATTTATCCAATGTGCTTCTTTTTCAGAAAAATTTGATATGTGATTACATATTACATTATTTTATTAAAGTCTGCCATTCCCCCACCTCTAGCTTTTTGTGCTTCCAGGGTTTCTCAATCAGCTCTCCCAACATTTCTCCCAATAACATCTGGGGCAACTGAGCAGCTTTCACGAATCCTCACACTCATCACATCCCATAAAAAGGGACCTTATTGATAATAAGGTTCTCCCACTTTAGAAAAAAAGTAATGGTTTGCAAAGCAAATGTACTTGTTATTTTTTACTTTACATGTGGGAGACATTGTAATCTAGTAAAGGAATGTCTCTGTGTAAGGTTTGTAGACAGAAATTATGAATCTTGAATGAAATGCCAAATACTAATGCGCAACTCCTGGGACATTCTGCTTTCCATAGTTAGTTTCAGTGAATGATGAATTTAGAAAAGATTTTCTAGAAATGAGTGAAAATGACAAAATAGCAGGCACATTGCAGATGCTTCGCATTAATGGTGAGGAAAAAAATTGAAAAATGTTGAAAGATGTAGAATATTCTAACTGCAATAATATTTGTAAGATATTTTCTTTAGGTTTCTCATTTTTCACAATTGATACTTTTGTGGAAAGTTATGGTGCATTTTTGGGAGGATATTGATTGTTTTATGGTCCGATATGGTTTGGTTCTGTGTCCCCACCCAGATTTCATCTCAAATTGTAATCCCTACGTGTTGAGGGAGGGATCTGGTCGTAGGTGATTGGATCATGGGGGCTGTTTTCCCCATGCTGTAAAATTTAAATTTCATTGGGATGTGGACTAATTGAGATAAACACTTAAATTTCACTAGGATGTGGACTAATTGAGATAAATCTTCGATAAATATTATCAATGGAAAATCTGTTTAAAAATGAATTAACTTTTCCTGACTTGGTATTTTATGGCCAGATTTCCATTGATTACTTAGTAAATAGAATATTTGTTTAAAAAGGTGGTTTTTGTTTCCTGTTCTCCTATTTTGAAGAGGATAAAGGGTGTCTCACTTGGTAGAAATAATATTCACCCATTCCTTTCTCTTTTTGTCTGACAATCTGATTAAGAAGGTACCTAAAAAAGGAACCAGGAAGAAAGTGTGGAGGTCACTTTTTAAGGATGGAGAAAGAGAAAGGAAATATTAGGATAAGTGAAGTAACAATGTTTCCATGATGAATGTTTTGGGAGGAAAAAGATGGAAAAAATAACGAAGCTTTCTTTCAAAGGAAAAAACCTCAGATTTTCAGGTCATTTTTTGTCTCTGCCTTAATTATATGTTAACAGCATTTGATTCTTATTTCACAAGAATAAGCTTGCATATGGGAAAAGAAGGGAGGCATCAGGTTACGAGAGTGTCCCACAGTTCTCTTTCTGCTATTTTTGCTATTACTACTCCTGCCTTGTTCTGCCTTATAAACCTTGCCCTTCACTAGTGAGGAATACAAGCACAGTTCAGAAGAGACTGTCTATCATAGCCCTGAAAATAATCACCTTTCCTGAGATAGTAAAATTTTATTTTAGAATAGTGGAATACAGTGCTAAATTGATCACTGTGTACTGCTTCCTTGTTTCTTTTGTTATCTATATTTTAAAACATTTTAGGTCAAAATTTCCTATTTTCAAACTGTGTTTCTGTGACAACAGAAAATCTAAAAATAAAGCTTAATTTTAGATTTTTTTAAACCTATAAGCCTTAAAATACCTTGCAACTTACTTTTCATTTCCCTCATAGATTTTCTTCAGGGAAAATAACTTTCATATAAAGTTACAGCCATAGGCTTGCTATTCATTAAACCTAACTGCTTGATCTCATGATTAACTTAAGAGAAACCTTAACACTGAGCTTTTGCTTTTAATTATTTCTGTGCTGAGTTATTGAAATACAATTCCAAATTATATTTATTTATATACATACACATGTGTGCATATATAGGCTACATATTTTATGTTAATATTTTATATATTGTATCTAGGGCATAAAGAGTAACTCCGTGTTTTATTAGTATTTCATTATTTTGCCTAGAAATTATAAACCTTTATATCTCTCTGATATGCATTTACACCTCTGTCAATTTGAGTGTTTTATAAAATTGCCAATATTTTAAAATTTGTGAGCCTCTTCTATGTCTCTTTCATACTTTTTTCTGAGTTTTTTATATTAATTGGATGTTAAAGAGTATGCACTGTGCTAAAATATGTCACTGAAGGTTTTTTCTTTGGGGTAACTGACTCTGGGCATAATTCCTCATGGCATATTAAAAATACAGAGAAGCAACATTGAAGTAGTTTTGAAATCTACTGTAGCCTCCTAAAAAGATGGAGGATATTACAGTTGTGTTTCCCTTTTGTCTTTCTTTTTCTAATATGAACACTTATATTTATTTTTTGGCTCTTAAATCTAAAGACTCTTTCTTACTTGGGTTTTGTAATAGTATTTATCTCAATGTAGATCATTATCCTGTGGGCAAAATTGTCATTATACTGAGAGCCTTAGTTAGGAAAGAAATGCTCCTGGGAATTTCTGTTTTACATTTTAGAAATCTGAAGTTGGTGATAGCGTATTTCAAGAGAAATAGTATTCTTTGTAATCTGTATGAAATTTCTTTTCTTGCCCATCTATACCCCCTCTGTTGCCTTAAGCCATTTTTTTAGGAAGAGGATGAGAATGAAGAGGTCTCAAGTACCTAACTTAGCCATAGTTGTGGGTAGATCCCACTCATTGAAAATACACTGCCTCGAGGATGCTGTCAGTCTGCTGATGACTATGGCGAAGCAATGGGGCTACAGCTTTCTCCACTCTGGATTTTACTTTAAGCTCCTGTTCCTAAAGTGAATACACAGAATATTAAGGGAAACTTAAGAAATTCATCGTAGGCTTCAGGTAGTTGTCCTAAATCTATATATACAAGATTTGCATAGATGTAGGCAAGATAGCTTAGCTACCTGACTGCTTCTTGTCACATCAGGATTGATGACTTGGAGTAGGTCTTGGATGTGGAATAGGTGGGTGTCGCACATGAATATCTTATGCTTCATTCTCTCCATTCTCTGCCTCTTTCCTTCAGTCCTTTCTCTTTAATCTCTTTCCTCACTAACCATCCACACAAATACACATGATTTCCCAGCCCCTCTGTTGCTAATCATCCCATGTCTTTCCAATTTTGTAGCTGAAAGCATCTGCTAAAAGCACTCAAATTTTTTTTCATTGACTTGATGGTTTTCCACTGGTTTCGCAGAGAGATGAAGGGATATGCCAGAGTTTTTCTATCTTCTGGATGTGTTAGGGGAATATAATGACAATTGTGTTTCCCATTTAGAGAAAATAACTAGTTGATAGGGTTGGGTAGGTGCTTTTACTCTAGACAATAGCTTATTTTCACCCAAAGTATTCTGAAAGCAAACACCCTTCCCACTGTGATGATTCATTTATTTCTAAAGGTCCCCATCTGGCCTCTGTGAGAAATTCATATTCTTTCTATTAACATAACTTTGACCTTATTTGTAACAAATAAATAACTAATAACTCTGGCTTTATTGTAACACAAGGGTATCCGCCTTTCCCTGCCCTGGGCTATGTTAAAAATTGTCTTTTATTAACAGGCAATGAAAGATGCTATGCCTATTTGCTTCTCTATGATTCCTAGATTTCTGTCTGAACAATAGGAGCGATGGGAAAGAAATTCAATTCACGAAATCACTTCTTACACAATAATTTGTCCAGGAGTGTCCTGAAATTAGTAAGTTAGAAGACATATAGCCTGTAAGAGAGCCTAGCTTTCCTCATTCCTATTCTAATCAGTATAGGTTTTATATTCTCTGTCAAATAGGAATGTTTCCAATATCTTTATGAAACATTCATTTTATTTTTTTCAAACTCTCAAGGTAAATCAGAACTAAAATTATAGATGCTATTATTTATGAAGGAAGGACATATACAGGATAATGTGCAAAATTTAGCTCAGAACATCTATGCTGTGTATTCTTTGAGAATAACGAAGGTTGTCTTTGTAGTCATTAATTTCTCAATCTTTTGGGGACCATTTCTGGTTAATGCTGAAAAAGAATAATATAAAAGCACTCATGGCTGCTGTCTGGAAAGAATGAATGTTTTCGCAAATGGATATGGTTTTGTATTTTTTAGAAATAGCCGCCAAATGCTACATCTTTTTATAGTTTTATAAAAGGGAACTTTACATACTCAACTCTTATTAAGAAAAAAGGTGCTCAGGCTGTTTAGGCTACTTGCAATATTTTGGGAAATTATATGTATCAGAACCTTAATTGCTCAATGCTCTTATACTTTTCCTTTCGCCTGTATTCTGGTCCTTGCTTCTTCCTCTGATTTACCTGAAGCTTGCTATTTTAGCCATGAATCATCCACCAATCTGTATTATCCACACTTGCAACATTTAGGAACAATCACTCCTTCCTCATAGCTACGATCTGTATATCTCCCTTTCCTTTCATCTTTCTCTATATTTCTTGCTGCTTTTTTTCTTTTCCTCTTTGTCTGTTGCATGGGAACTATCATTGCCAAATATACTTCTCTTTACTAACTGCTGTTTCTCTTCTAATATTATCTGATATAACTATATCTGCATCATCTTGTTATATGATTTTGTTGTCTTTCCAGGGGTCTTAGAGTGGGGAGGAGAGTGATAATAATATTGCATGGAGGTAATAGCAATTGCGTCTTATCCCTCTACTGTTTCAAATGAAGTCCCATTAACCATTTTATGAGTTTATTGATCACCTACAGTGTCACATGCTAGCCACTGTACTAGAAGAGGTCCTAGGATACAAAGATAGACAAATTCTACTTCCTGATGTAAAAAACCTTATAAACTAAGCTCTAGAGAAATGTCAGATCCATGTAATTGCTTAGTTTGTGATGGCAGATAATTGATAGCCTTGAATCTCTTATAGTGACAAATTATAGTTCTTTATATCCATTTGTGAGCTGTTGGTGACATTTGAATCATATGTGCCAACCACTCATTTGACATTGTTAGAGTAAAAGTAGTCTGAAAAGTTAATGTTTCTAAATAGTTAAGAAATTTTGGAGTTCTTCACTTATTTTAAAGATTTTTTTTAATGGAAATCATCTTATAATATACATCTCCCTTCTGAGATGTGAATAATTTAGCCTAAGATTTGGTCTAGTATCTGGGAAATAAAAGGGAATGGGATTATAATGATAAAAAATTATAAAATAGCAATACAAAATGGTGACCAAAGTTATTATTCATTTTTATATGAAATATAGAGTGAAAAATGTTTGCATTTTTCAATTTGTTTTTATTTGGGAAATGCAATTAATAGTATTTTTTTCCATTGCCAGAAAAAAACTTGGTTGACATTGATTAATTGCCTCCTATGTGACAGTTACTCCACCTCCTATGTGTGTTAACTTATATCCCATCTCAGCTGAGCTATTGCTTTGAAGTCAAATACTAGCTAGTTCTAATATATGCCATATGATGTTATTTAAAATATTGGAAATAGCTAACAGCAATTAAAATTTGTCATTTTTATCTATGTGTTTGTGCATAGTTAATCTTTTCTTTGTGATTAATTTATGCATATATCTTAAAAGTAAAGTTTCTGTGGTGGTTAATACTGAGTGTCAACTTGATTGTGTTGAAAGAGGCAAAGTATTGTTCCTGGGTGTGTCTGTGAGGGTGTTGCCAACAGACATTAACATTTGAGTCAGTGGGCTGGGAGAGGCAGACCCACCCTCAATCTGGGTGGGTACCATCTAATCATTTACCAGCATGGCTAGAATAAAGCAGGCAGGAGAAGATGGAACAGCAAGCTTGCTGAGTCTTCCGGCCTTCATCTTTCTCCTGTGCTAGATGCTCCCTGCCCTTGAACATTGGACTCCAAGTTCTTCAGCTTCTGGACACTTGGACTTACACCAGTGGTTTTCCAGGGGCTCTTGGGCCTTCAGCCACAGACTGAAGGCTGCACTGTCAGCTTCCCTACTTTTGAGGTTTTGGGACTTGGACTGGCTTCCTTGTTCCTCAGCTTGCAGGCAGCCTATTGTGAGACTTCACCTTGTGATCCTATGAGTCAACACTGCTTAATAAACTCCACTTTGTATATACATTTATCCTATTAGTTCTGTCTCTCTAGAGAACCCTGACTAATACAGTTTCCTTTAGGAATAACTGATTCAGAGAAGTATCTCCTCAAGTTTTCTTTCTCTTTCAGATGCTGCAATGTATAATATCCCTTTCTATTCCTTTTCTACTTTAGCAAAACCTTGTTTCCCAAACTCTGTTTCCCATTTTCACTCTTTTCCAATGTGAGTGCCAGGTGAAGTATGTAGTCTAGGCCTACAAATCATAAGAATTCACAAAGAGGAGGAGAGCACGTCTATTTCCTGATTGGTTATTTTCCTCAGACCCTGTCCCTCTGCCATTGCTTCTCTATACCTTAAAGTCCTTGTTCTCCTCTCAGTCTGCTTGAGAGCCTGCTGAGAGGAGGGGTTCCAAAATAAAGTTTAAATTCATTTCAATCCTATATGTAATCAAATATCCTTCATGATTCATTGTATGTGTGAATATATTTTCCTTTTAATTGCAAATAAGGTAGAAAGTGAATGGAATGGCATTTCTGTTGGCAGTAACCAATCTTAGAAAACATCAGGAAGATATTTTAATTTAGGGAAAAGATCGTAGGGAAAAAAAATCTGTAAAAATATGTTTACTTCTATAGTGGACCAAGAAAGATACCCTGAGTAAAAACTAGTCCAGTTCCTACACCAGAGAATATAAAGCTGATATGGTTTGGCTGTGTCCCCACCTAAATCTCATCTTGAATTGTAACTCCTATAATTCCCCCTTATTGTGGGAGGGACCTGATGGGAGGTAATTGAATCATGGGGGCAAGCCTTTCCTGTGCTGCTCTCATAATAGTGAATAAGTCTCACAAGATCTGATGGTTTCATAAGGGGGAGTTTCCCTGCACAAGCTCTCTCTCTTTGCCTGCTACCATCCACGTAAGACATGACTTGCTTCTCCTTGCCTTCTGCCATGATTGTGAGGCCTCCTCAGCCATGTGGAACTGTGAGTCCATTAAACCTCTATCCTGTATAAATTACTCAGTCTTGGGTAGGTCTTTATTAGCAGCATGAAAATAGATGAATACGAAAGTAGATAATCCAGTTCCTGTGACATCCAGAAGAGGATAATAAAGAACCAGTAAACTAAGATGCGCTTTACATACCTTATTTAAAAATTATTATTTCCCCCTAAGTTCTTGAAAAGACCTAACTTATCCTTTACTCCATTCACTTCCTCTTGCTGTTGCCATACCGGATCCCTTGCCTCTAACCTTGAATTCACCAATGTGAAATAGGCACGGTCTTACTTTCAGGGGCCCAAGAAATGGTTATGTTATTTCCTACTTCAGAAGTATGGTACTTCAGAAGACAACTGGCTGGGTTGTGGTGTTTGAAAGTAATTATCAGGTTCTCCTTCCAAAATATATGTCATGCTATTTAATATGATGCTTGTGTGTTCACCATTAGAAAATTACTATTTCTTAAAGGCTTTGGAGGTTTCAAGCAAATCTTATTAAAAGGGAGATTTTCCTAGGGAAGTAATTGCTTAACCATTTTTTAAAATTAGTACATATGAGTGATGATAACATACCAAGGAACAGAATCCCAAATAATATATCATAAGACATGTCACTGGAGAAGAAGGTGATGTCAGCCCCCTGCCAGCATAGCTTTCTTTACTAATTCTAGTTAAATACATTAGGTAGTCATTTTATATAATTTTTATTAACTTTATTAAGCTAAATATATAAACTGTGTCCTGATTACTAATACTGATACCTATTTAATAATTCAATATAAAGAAATATTTTAAAAATAATAATAGACACAACTTAAGTAATTCTCTGAGAATTTTAGTCATTACCACTAGTGTATACAACTCATTTTCCTTAATAAGTTAACCCTATTCTGTTTCTAATGTGATCTGTTTTCCACCTTTCCTATGTATCTATCTATCAGTCAATCATGAAAGAGGTTTTAACTACTCATGCACTTAATATTTATTGAACACTTATCATGTTCTACGTAATGTGTTAAGGGTATAGTATTAAATAATACACATCTAGTAGCTATCTTCCATACCCAGGAAGTTTTACAGGTTTTTTTTGTTACTTGCTAATAATAACAACTTTATCCTGATAATATTGCTCAGCTGCTAGATAAAATTTCTGTAATGACTTCAATTAAAAAGCCTCTATTTTTATTATAAGAGAAAGACATATTAGTTAATAATAACTTAACCCTAAAAGTATATATATTGTAAAGTAAAGGTCTCTCCCCACTAAATATTATCCCCCATAATAGTGCTGCTATGAATTTAGTTTATACCCTTCCAGATAGCTTATAAAAATATAGTAGCTACATTTTACATAAATGAGATCATACTGGCTCACACTGAACTTTGTGGTCTGTATTTTTTACTCAAAATTATATTGAATACTTTAAACATTTCAATATGCTTTTATCCTGTGAATTACAGCCTTTTCATTTTCACTGACTGTATAGCATTCCACTGCCTGGATCGATCATATCGTGGTAGATGTATTTGGGGCTTTTTCTCGCTTTTCAATTTCTTAAACAGTGGTGAAATATAACACTGAATTGTATTGAGCCCCTAAATCCTTGCTAATATTTGTCATTCTCTGATTATGAATAAAGTAGAGCAATTTTTCTCATAAGTCAGATCTGTCATCCAATATGTGGCCCAGCACTTGATTGGTCTGCTGGATTTCTGTTGTAAACCTACGTCATTGCTACCCCTTTCTACATTCCCTCTGTATTCTTTCAGGTCAGTCTCAGCAATAAATTTTCCAGGATCTCTCTCCTAATGGTTCTAAGTTATATTCAACTAATGAGAGGCATTTAAGGGATATTAGCTATTAGAACTGAAATCAGAATTTAAAATTAAGTGGCTTTGGATTGACTTATTTTGCTGAAATTAATCTATTAATACAAATCAATTTGATGACCCAACTGATTGTGTTTGAAGTCCTGATTCAGTTTGGATTTGTGGGCTACCATTTAATATTTGTAGCAATTCTGCTGAGCTCAATCCATATGGAAGTTTTTCAAATGACAATTTTCAAATAGCTGCCATAAAAACTACCACAGGAAGCAAATTTTAAATTCCTCAGTAATTTCTGTACCTTTTAGATAGTAGTTTCTATACTTTCTCCTTTAAGCTTCTTTTTTCCACTGTTAAGTTTGTGTTTATCAGTTGATGTTAGTGACTGAGCATGAAACCTAGCTGCAAGTTGCATTTTCATCTCAATTTCATCTGTGAAGTGTAGTAAACTTGGCCACTATGGTTTAATCTAGTCAGTAAACCCTGGTAAGATAAGAGTTGGTTTAAACCAAGCCAGAAGGTAAAATTCTCAAACAAGTAAAATAATTTTATCTAAAATGATACTATGTATTTGAACCAGCCAAACATAAATCCTAGAAATCTGTTGGACTAAAATAACTAGACCACGCTAGAGTCTTGATCTTGGTCTTCCCAGACTCTAGAACTATGAGAAATAAAAACACAAATTACCCAGTCTCAGTTATTTTGTTATAGCAGTACAAAAAGCATATAGAGACATTTATTTTTCTGAGTCCAACTTTGGAAATTTCTGATCAATTTTGATATATTATTCTTACTATTGACACTTCTCTACATATTAAATAATTTAGTCTCTCTTTTTTTTTTTTTTTGAGATGGAGTCTCGCTCTGTCGCCCAGGCTGGAGTACAGTGGTGTGATCTTGGCTCACTGCAAGCTCCGCCTCCCAGGTTGATACCATTCTCCTGCCTCAGCCTCCTGATTAACTGGGACTACAGGCACCCGCCACCAAGCCCGGCTAATTTTTTGTATTTTTAGTAGAGATGGGGTTTCACCATGTTAGCCAGGATGATCTCGATCTCCTGACCTTAGGATCTGCTCTCCTCGGCCTCCCAAAGTGTTGGGATTACAGCATAAGCCACCTCCCCCAGCTAACTTAGTCTCTCTCTCTCTCTTTTTTTTTTTTTTTTGAGACGGAGTCTCGCTCTGTCCCCAGGCTGGAGTGCAGTGGCGTGATCTCGACTCACTACAAGCTCTGCCTCGTGGGTTCAAGCGATTCTCCTGACTCTATCTCCCAAGTAGCATGCACCACCATGCCTGGCTAATTTTTGTATTTTTAGTAGAGTGGGGTTTCACCACGTTGGCCAGTATGGTCTTGATCTCTTGACCTTGTGATCTGCCCACCTCGGCCTCCCAAAGTGCTGGGATTACAGGCATGAGCCACTGTGCCCAGCCAATTTAGTCTCATTTTTAAATGTTAAAAAGTGAAGAAAAGCTTTGAAAATAGGAACTTGGATAAGAATAATTAAAGGAACACGATTAAGGGACATTTTAATACTGGCATGACACAAGTCATTCAGTGCAAGAATGACAGTCTCAGGAGGATGGCCCATTGTCTTGTGCTGTCACAACTGTAGATATATATAGTGGCCAAAGGAATCACAGTATAGGGGTTAAGAATCACAATTATAAAAATATGGAATGTTATTATGCAGTGTGATAGCCACACAGAATGGCTTTAGATTTGATATGGTTTGCCTGTGTCCCCACCCTAATCTCATTTTAAATTGGAGCTCCCATAATCCCCATGTAGGAGGGACCTGGTGGGAGGTAATTGAATCATGGGGGTGGGTCTTTACCCTGCTGTTCTCCTGATAGTGAATAAGTCTCATGAGATCTTATTGTTACATAAAGGGGAGTTCCCCTGCACATGCTCTCTTGACTGCTGCCATGTAAGACGTGACTTTGCTCCTCATTCTCCTTCAGCCATGATTGTGAGGCCTCCCCACCCATGTGGAATGGTGGGTCCATTAAACCTCTTTCTTTTATAAATTACCCAGTCTCAGATATGTCTTTATAGCAGCATGAGAACAGACTAACGCAAGGTTAATAAGTTGAAAATCTGAAAAACAATATTTGAATAAAAATAGAGAGTCATAGTACAATTCTGCAAAACTTAGGGTGTGGTCAAATTACTGAGTATTGTTCATTTTATTTTGTTGTTATTTTCATCTTGTACTACATTACAGTCAGAGAATGTATCCTCCACAAGGGCTGCATATTGCAGGGTATTGAACTCTTCCATTGTTCCAAGGGTCCTATGAGTGGTGGGAAACAAATGCTAACTCTCTGTAGAATACTTGTTTGTTAATTTATTTGTGTGTTCCTGATCTCTCTAGAACTATAAAAAATGTATTTGTCTTCCATTGGTATTGTGTTTTTCAGCTTCTCCTGGATTCTATCAACTGTATATTTTAATTATCTTATGTATTTTGATGTTGATATTTCATGTAAGGGATACATGTTTTTATATTGTCTTTTAATATTGTGCCCTTCATAAATAACAAATACAGTATAATTAGTGCATGTAAGATAAATAAATAAATATAGCTTTTGCATAAATTAAAGTTTTCTCTTATTGCTGTTTTTTGATCCACTTTCTTGATAAATGTAGTGGCTCTATTGTCAAGAAGACTGCCATAATGATAGAATGTATGCACATGAATGTATGCTGTTGAATCATTTTGCATATACTGACATATTCAATAATCTTAGTTGGATGTCTTTGTTGGGGTTTAGAACATGCTACCCCAGAATAAGACACCTTGGCATACTGGATATTTTAAGCTAAAGGAATCTGAGAAAACGGCAGAAGCAGAAAGATCTCTCTGACTTTCCCCTGCCCTTCTCCCCTAAATCAGGTCATGAAACTTAGAGAGGGTTTTCTGACCTCCCTGGGGCAGATCATAGGACCTTCTTGTGAAAGATGCTTTTCTATACCTGGAGTAAAGGAACAACCTTAACTCTGAAGATGAAGAGTCGGAAAAGAATCTGAACAGGCAGACTTTGCTATTTCCATCAGCTTATTACTATTAGATCACATCTTTTTGCCTTATCATATTTCTCTATGACTATCTACTCTTCATCAAACCTACTATTAAAAAAACTCAAGTTTACTTATTTTATATCTTCATTTCTTTTTGAAGACTCCCATGTCACATAAAACTTATACTAAATAACTGTGTATGATTTTCTGTTGTTAATCTATCTTTTGTTATAAGGGCCTCAGTCATGAACCTAGAATGGGTAGAAGAAAATGATATTTTGTCTCTCCTATGTCTTCATCATTTAGAAACACATTGGCAAGTGAAATATATAGGAGTATGTGTATGTGTATATGTATATATACATATAGGACATATAAATACATATATAAATACACATATAACATATAGTGCCATTTTCAATGATTTTCAGGATATGATATATGTATTGTAACTAGAAATCTTATCTCTGAAGGTATATGTGTATTTGTGTTAAAAGTTTTTGGAATCCTGGAGGAATGTGTGTTGAGTGTATTTTTTAGGGAAAATGGATACATTGTATTTGAGATTTTGTGTCTGACTTGTTTTGATCATCTTGACCTGCCATATCTATAAAGCACTGTAGATATTCAATTAAAATCTATCTTGGAAGTGTCAATCTTTTACACTTCAGGGGTCAGGAAATGTAGAGGTAAGCAAAGTGTCTGGATTAGTATAGTGGCTCTTTCTAAAGACTGCTGAGACAATTTAAAGACTCATGGATGATAAAACAGAATAACGTAAATGTTATTCATTTTCCAATTTCAGATTCAGTTTTTGTGCTGTTTCTTCTTTATTCTGGATTTCTCAGGGTAGTATACACAGTTAGTTAGATGTTCTATATAAGAATTGAAAAAGCATTAGTTGTTCTTAAGTCAAAAGAACAGTTTCCATAACCACAAGTATCTTAATTATGTATGTCATTTTTTCTTTATAGTGGATGTAATTAAGATCAAGGCTTGTTCTAAATGGTAGGTTATTAGAAATGACATAACATTTTATAAGAATCACGTCATTGAAGACTGGGAGGATTTAGGTATGTTCTTGATTTTAGCCAAGTCACTTGGAGTATCTCAGGGACCTTGTGTTTTGGTGAGTGGAGCTGTAAAACATGAAAATTGGAATTGATCATTCTATGGATTCTACCAAATCTCTATTTTATGAACATTATCACAATCTTTATACTAATTCTATAAAAACGATAGCAGTATTTCACAAATGAAAAAATTCAAGCTTTGAGATACTACATAACCTGTGTGATCTACTAGGAACCCGCAGGTGCCAGAATTTAAATCTACTCCTGTTCGCCATCCGAATCCTATGCTCAATACACTATTCATTACTAATTTTATAACTTAACTGCCCATAATTTTGGGACTCGCCATCCTTAGCCCTATTTATTCTTATCATTCCCATTCTTTAATATTTGTTTAAATAAGAGAAACTAATGTACAGTGGAGTTTCATTGTTTTTGTTGAAACCTCAATCATTAAACTTACTTTGATTATTTAATTTTCCTTGCAGTGATTCAAAATCAAAAAACCAGAAGTGACTAGATTGAAAAGTGACCCCATCAGTCTTTTCTCCTTTCAAATAACAAGGAAATAGCTTTAATTTTTTTTCTTTAGCTCCATTGATGCCACTTGGCGACAGAGGTACAAATAACTAGATATGACTGTTCTTTGAATAGCACCTTTTCCAAAAGACAAAATTTAGGAGTTAAATAACTTACTAACATTTGTTTTAGACATTTAAGTGTTTTTTATTGTATTGGAGGATAGCAATAACCTTTCTTTAGTTTTGTTTTCATTCATTTCTGTAATTGTAAAGACCACCTACATGCTTGAAACTGATAATTTATGCTCTAGCCCAAAACATTTTTAAAAGACCAGGCTTATACATCCAGTTGCCTAATTGTCATCTTCACTTAGATCTCTCATATCAAAATATATTTAACATTTTACTGTGAAGTAAAATGTACACATAGAAAAGTGCCCCATCATGGTAACCACTATCCTAATGCTCTAATTTTACAGCAGTTATTAATATTATATATATGTATATAACTGATGTTCTTATTAGTTTAATGTCTACTTATATAAGCTGTATGCTTCATCAGTACAAGATTTTATTCATTATGTATCATAGTATCTAGCAGAAAGCCCGACTGTAGATCAGCTGTATAATATTATTGAGTAATGAAGGGAAATAGATAAAATATAACCAATTTTTATTATGCACATGTGCAAGTTTGCTGATATCTATAAAATTTGATGGTTAATTGAAGGTTTAAGGAGAAATGGAAAGTTAATTTATGTCAGTTATTGTACCCATATTTTCTTGTGGCTTTTCTAGCATTATTCAGCTAAATACAAAATATTCTTTCTTCATATGTAACAGATAAATAGTCCAAACAGACTTGCAGTATTTTATTTTCTTTTGAATAAAGAATGGGAAGATGAAGATCTTGTAGTTCTAGTTTACATAACAACCAGGCATAAATATTCTTACTAAATAATGTCAGGTTGACATTGGAAGGTCATTCTTCTGGCACAGTTAAATTTCTTATCCTTTCTTGATTTGTTATTTCTTTTTTTCTTCTTCTTCTTCTTCTTTTTTTTTTTTTTTTTGGCAGCATCTTGTTCTGTTGCCCAGACTGGAGTGCAGTGGCAGGATCTCAAATACTTCTTCTTTCTCTCTTAACACTCTTCTTTTTGCCCATCTTCCTTTCACCTTCTCTGTTTTCTCCTACTGTGTACCAAGCCTTCAGACCTGTTGGCAGCATCCTGTGGGTCTTGCTTAGCCACTGGTGACCTTCGGGGTTGATGAGGAATAGAACAACATATAGTTGATTGAAACCAGATTGGAACTACTGGCAGGTATCTTGTGTGCATAATTACTTTTTAGAGTTCTTTTTAGTTTTTGGCATTTCTGGTGAATTGTCTCTATTGTGCTAATGTATTAGTTCCTTATTTGAACACTTATGCAGCTGCAAGTCTATAACTTAGAAAACAAATCTCATGTACATGGATTTTTAGTCTTCTAAATTTGAAGAATTTTCTTCAAAAAACATATTTTATCTTTATGTCTTCCATTTATTTGTATAGATTTAGGGGGTACAAGTGCAATTTTGTTACATGTATATATTATGTAGTAGTAAATTCTGAAAACATCACCCAAATAGTGAACATTGTAATCAATAGGTAATTTTTCAACCTTTATTCCCCTCACAACTTTTGGAGTCCACAGTTTCTATTTTTCCAATCTGTATATCCACGTGTACACATTGTTTAGCTCCCACTTACGTGTGAGAACATACAGTATTTGACTTTCTGTTTCTGAGTTGTTTCACTTAGAATAATGGCCTCCAGTTCTGCAAAAGACATTATTTTATTATTTTCTATAGTGGAGTAGTAATCCATGGTGTACACGTGTGTGTGTGTGTGTGTGTGTGTGTGTGTGTGTGTACATACCACTTTTTTAATCCAATCATCTGTTGATGAGCACTTAGGTTGATTTCATATTTTTGCTATTGTGAATAGTGCTGTGATAAACATATGAGTACAGGTAGGTATCATTTTGGTATGATTTCTTTCCCTTTTGTGTATATAGCCAGTGGTGAGATTTCTGGATCAAATGGTAGTTCTAGTTTTAGTTATTTGAGAAATCTCCATACTGATTTCTATAAAGATTGTACTAATTTTCATTTCCACCAACAGTGTATAAGCGTTTCCTTTCTCTGCATCCTCGCCAACATCTGTTGTTTGTGGACTTTTTAGTAATAGCCATTCTGACTGGTATAAGATGATATCTCATTGTGGTTTTAATTTGCATTTCTCTGATCATTCGTGATGTTCAGCATTTTGTCATATGTTTATTGGCTGAAAAGCATAGTTTTAAATGGGTCTCTGAGTAAATACACAAAATATTCCATGATACTACTGTTCAGGCAAAATGTCACTAAAGCAAATAAAAATATAAAATGAAAAAAATAAAACAAACTTTGCCTTCTGTTTTTTCTGCCTACACAACCTCTTTAGTAAAGAGTAAAATATCATATATTCTATATCTGCCATATTTTATATGCTTTCTGTTCAGTGAATAACCTACAATTATATGTGAAACTGTGAAAGGTAAAATAAATTTATTTTACATATTAAGTAATGCGTGAATGTAAGCATGTTTCAAGAAAACTACAAAATATATTTTATAGCAATTTTAAAATTTTATCCTTAGTAATCTGTGTGGCAGAGTACACACACACACACACACACACTATCATTTGGTAATAATGCCATCTCTTTATCTGATATCCTAATACTATATTACTATAATATCACATTTTATAGATGTCCCCATGATCTTAAGAACACTGCTAAGTGAGGGATTATAGATATTTTCATGTGTGTCACCTTGATGCATACATTAAAAATTCTAACTCATTGGTAAGATTATTTGAAGTACCTTTTCTGCAACCAAATCTAATTAAAAGTAAAATTCACAGTATATGGTAGATTGATATAACTATGCATTAAAATGACTGCTATAATATAAATGTATGCATGTGTGTTGATATGTGTTTATATACAGATGTGTAGTACATGTGCATATAACATGGAGAGCTTAGGTTTTGCTTATGACCATTCCAATTAAAATGATATCCATGGTTGTTAAAGCAGATTGTCATAAACCTATGAATGGCTTTCCTTGACATTATTTTGGCTTGATGCTCTCGTGATGCTCCCAAAAGTAGATAAAGAAGGTGCTATGCCATACATTCTTTTCCTGGCCTAGTACCATTGCCACAGAGACCTGCTGGCCAAAGATAACCTTAGCTGTGGGTACTACAGAAATGAGAAGCAGCATCATGAGGAATGTAGGCATTTTCACTATCTCCCTTTGTCTTTCTTATGGTTTTCTTTAGTAATACAGTTTTAGTGTGAATGAGAGAACAGTTTTCTGGACTTTATGTGACTGCTTTTTCAAAAACAATAATTTCGACTTTAATTAGAAAAAAATGACAGAATGTTCAGAAATTTTTATCTACTGCTTAGAAGTAAAACAAAGGCAAACCCTATGTAGTATTTATTTTTTGTATTGTTTTAAAATCTTTTATGCCATGTGTTAAGTGGTGTGGGGGGTAAAAGCTATTAAGGGAATATCCCAAAAGCTGGCAGTGTAATTCAGGTTAGAGAAGGAAAATGTTAGTTCTTAAAAAAATACCTTGATAAGAATTCGGTTAGTTAGTGTTTCTAAAGCTAGACTTTCATTTTAAAAAGCTCATTGTATGACTCTCATAAAAACATAGGATGAACATATGCCAAGAATTTATTCAACTAATTAATGAGGGAGCTGGCAGAATGATCAAGCTGGTGCTAAGGAGAATTATAGGCAGAAAGCTATACAGGCACTAGAGAAAGATTGTTGGGGAATGATGGCTAGGTTAGGTATGTGACTGCTTAATGCCTTCCAGGGCAATGGCCTGTAACAGTTTGGGATTGTCTTTGCTACTGAACAGAAAGTGCTTGCATCTCAATCATACAAAAAGCTACAAGTTAAGTTGCAACTTACCTCCTTTTGATTAATAATAATTTTAAAATTAATTATAAATAATCATAGGTGCATTTTTTATATAATTAAATAATCAAATAATGTAACAATGCTCTACCGTAAAACTGACAGGATATTCTGCTTTTGCTTTGCCTTATTTCTAAGTTTTAAATATATGTATTTTTCTTAACAGAACAGTCACTGATGTGTAAAAAAGCACTCTTTAAATGTTTTAAAACAAGGAGAAAATGTCTTAGGAGGTGACACCCTGGGTACCTGTGTTTAGGGTTAAGATTAGAGAACTCCTTTCTCTACCCAAGAAGGAAGGGGGAGTCATAATAGTGAGAGGGCTAGAAAGGAAATGAGTCAGGGAGAAAGTATGAGACCAAGCACTGCATGGGGGAAGGGTCAAGAGAAACCTATAGTTGTCACATGACCAGAAGGAATTTTGAGAAAAGAAATGTCTAAGTTTTTTAAAAATGTATTTAACTTTATTTTCTCCAAATAAAGATTCAAATGCTTAGCATGTTTCTCAACATGGCCTCAGAAGATTTTTCTACTCTAAATCTGGTTTCCCTTCACTTTAATGATTAAATAAATGTTGACCAATAAAAGATTAAATATAAAGAAACTTTAAAAGTTAATAATTAAAACACAACCCAATAGGAAGAAAGACAAAAGACATGAAGACGGATTGCCAAGAGGAAGAAATAAGATTTCCCATAATAAAACATGTTCAACTTACTAATCATAAAAAATTTACAAAATGAAACCACAATGAGGTAACATTTTATACTCCCCAGCTTGGCAAAAATGCATCTCTGACAATCTCAAACATTGGTAAAGATCTAGAGCCCTGGAAATTCTAGTATACTGGTGGGGAGCATAAATTAGTACTTGGGAAAGCAATTTGGCCATATCTATTAAAGCTGATGATGTGCTTTTGTTGTACAAACCAGCAATTCTGTTCAAGGTATACATCCATTCTCTGGTATGTACCACCAGAAGTCACATAAAAGAATGTTCACAGCAACATTGCATTTTTCTATTTCAAACAAAGATGCAACTCAATAAGCGCCAGCTGGAGAAGAGAACATTTGTGATATACTCATAATAGAATAATATTTAGTAGTGAAAAAACTCCTACGGCAATGAATGTAAAAAAAGGTGACAGAAGAATACATTCAGTTTAATTCCATTTATTATTCTTTAAGGATACATACATGGAGATAAAGTGATGAAGGACAAGAAGGCTATGATCAACACAAAGTTTAGTAAAGGGGTTCCATCTGTCAAACAGGGATAAAGACAGGTTCAGGAAAGAGCACATGGTACCTCAAAGGAAAGACAATAAGGTGGGTGGTAGGCACACAGGGGTTTGTTTATTATTATTATTATTACTCTTTATACTTTATATAGATATATACTTTAGCATCTATATTATATGTGTATATATCTATATTCCATTGCATGTATGAAATTTTTGAAAAATTCAAACAGCTTACAAGAAAAAATTACATATAATGTAATAACAAAAAACATTACGTATAATGTTCCAAATGGTGAATCACAGCCTGGAGGCTATTAATTTACCTCCAGTCTATCATTGACCCCTGGCTAAAACTGCTGCTTTGTTTCTGTTCCCCTCACACTTGAGAGTAAGATATTGTCCTGCTCTGACAATACTTACCACATTTTAGGGGCTTGATCCATGCTGACAGAAAGGATAAACAAACTAACCTGACTTGTATTTCTAGAAGAACTAGGAAAACTGAAGATTTGAGTCACAAGTACGCAGTAGTCATTTGGCTTTTCTGATTTCATGGTTTCACACATTTTTGCAAACCTACAGCCTGTTCCCTCTGATCCCTTCCTCCACCCTCCTGTCCTGGTGCTTAAGGCTTGAAATCGTTCAGTGATGAGATCAACCTTGGAAAATGCCTTCAGAAATGTTGTTTTCTTCTGCTTTCTGACGTGGCTGCTTCAAAGGTAATAGGGGTCGAAGCCACTCTGCCCTTGTTTTCTGCATCCAATTTGGGGAACATAGCCACCAGCCTGTCGCTTCACTGTACTCAGGAGACCACACAGTCATCCATTTGAATCACCTCACCCAACCCAGGGGCTGAGTGATTTAACTCCATCCTTGATACTTATCACTGTCTGAGATGAATCTGTGGTGACCTCCCAACACTTTCATGCAGGACCTCATGCCTGGCTCCTGGAATGATCACACGATCTGTTTGTATTTTTACAATTTAATGTGCCACTTTCATGCATGAGGTTCACAGATGAAAGTAAAATCACAGCCTCCCAACTAAACAGAACTAAAATTCAGAGAGGTGTGAAAAATGGTAGGGAACAAACACTCCATTTTTGGAATATGTGTCTTCTAGAATTTATTCTCCTTTATAATTAATATAAAATCTGAGATTTCACCAATGCCTTAAGAGACAAACATACAAATTGAAATCTGAAAACAATAATTACATGGAACAAAGTGGAGCCTGACACTTAACAAAAGCTGTTAAATGAAAAGTATCTCTAGAAAAAGCAAAACTCTACAGTAAAATCAAACAAAACAGAAAGGAGCTTTGGTACTTTTCAATAATAGGAGACAAAAATAAGTTTAGTGTATTATTAAATTCATGTAATATAAAAACATCTATGTGGAAGTGTTGAATTAAATTGATAAAACAGAACCAAATCTAAAATAGAGTTTGAAGGCAAAGAAGATCTTGCTTTCCTCTTCTTTGATTGTAATAAAACACCAGAATTTGGAACAACAAGTATTTTCCCAACTAAATTTCCTTCTGGTCTGTATACACCCAGCAGGATGGCACTCTGTATTTTATCTAATTTTAAAATGGCATAATTTGATTTTTAGCAGCACAAATATCTAAGATTTAAGATTTTTTGGTGCTGCGTAGTAGATGACATAATCCGTCTCTCTTGCCTTCCATCACTCTTTAGTGATGGAAATTCCACTATGCTTGTGAATGCTCTAGGTGTGCTTTATTTTTATTGTTAATTTTTAAAGCAGAAATGGGCTGAATTTCATAGGTAACATTCATGTATTAGTACATTTATGTATTCAACAACAATTGTTGAGCCCAGTTATGTGTTAAGCATGTACAAGTTGCTGGATA
Organism: Homo sapiens; assembly: GCF_000001405.40. NCBI lineage: Eukaryota > Metazoa > Chordata > Mammalia > Primates > Hominidae > Homo > Homo sapiens. The sequence continues at coordinate 12,029,070 of NC_000007.14, read as the reverse complement.
AACTATGTTCAGTGAAAGAAAGAAAACAAAAAGAGATTTTGTAGAGTTTTGTTGAGGTCATAGAGTGTGGAAGTCAGGAAATAATAGGTAAATATGTAGTTATAACTGTAATGAATGCTGTAAAAATGAACAGAGTCAGTGATAGTGAATAATCAATTAAGCGATCTATTTTAATGGTATGGTTAAGGAAAGCCACTCTGAGAAGGAAGTTTTTCCACAGAGACCTGAAGCAAAGACTATCCATGAAGAGAGAGAAAGTGTCCCACTCTATTAGTTTCTTAGCACTGCCGTAACAACTACAAACCTGATGGCTTGAAACAACAGAAATGCATTCTTCCACAATTCTGGAGGTTAGACATCCCACAGGAATGTGTAAGCAGTGTTGGTTATCTTTGGAGGCTGTGAGGGAGAATGGGGTCCATGCCTCACCAGTAGCAGCCTGCAGTTTGGGCAGCCTGATGTTCCTTGGTTTGTAGATATATCACTCCAGTCTCAGCCTCCATCTTCACAGTGTCTTCTGCCCTGAGTATCTCTGTGTTTCAAGTCTCCCTCTACCTTTCACTTTTAAGAAACCTGTCATTTTTAGGACCCATCCTAAATCCAAGATGAATTATTTTGAGATTCTGAATTATATCTGCTAAACCTCCTTTAAAAAGAAGGGACACTTTGCTGGTCCTAAGGGTTAGGGCATGGGCATATCTAGGGGACTGATAGGTGGAGAATTCAAGTCGTCACACTAGGCAGAAGGACTAGCATGTGCACAAATGATGATGTGGTAAAGAGCTTGGTGCATGAAAGAAATGGAACATTTTGGGTGATAGGAAGAATGAGTCATAATTCAGTTGATGTGATAAGCAATATTATTATATTGCCAGCTATGCCAATGAATAAAACTATAGAATAAGCTCCAAGTGGATTTTCAGAAGAATAAGAAATACTTCGGGCTTCCTAAGGCCTGGAATGAGGGTTGAAATTCTCTGGGAAATCCATCTGGCATTCTGATTACTAATAACTGTGATTAATTACAATAGTATCAAATGTCTTGTGACATTGAGCTTACTCTAAGTGGATATGCTACAAACTTACATGTAAATTTTCTCCGAAGTTACCACTCACATTTTTCTTATGTATTCTAAAAGGGTCATTTCTCCACGCCCTTGTTTCTCATGTGTTGTGACTATATTCTATTTCTGAGGCCAATGCCTAATAGTATATTTCCACATCACATCTATGACAAAGAGAGTGAACCTAATTTATAGTGCAGTATTCCTTGGGTTGTATAAAAATTTCAAGTCTTGTCCTATGATGTCTAATATGTGGTACTACAGTGATTTTGTGTAGTTTATATATCACCACTTTGAAAAGTCTGTTTAGGTCATGTCTCTAAGATATGCCAATGTAATTCAGTTTAAAGTAGAATACAGATACCCTGTTTTGGAGTCTTATTGAATATGAAAAAAAATCCTGTACAAGTAAACAAATTCTATTTGCATTAGTTTTGTCTCCTATTAAGGAATTCTCTTTAAACCCTTTCCTCAATGAGTGCCACTTTATACAATGGAAGACAACATACAAAAGGCAGTCCTGTGCTACTAGATTATAGCTGATGGCTTCATTAAGCACAAATAAAAAAGAGACCTACTTCAACCTCTTGAATGTTACTGTCCTACTTCCCTAGCCAATAATGTAGTGCTGAGATTACTGTTGTCCCAGTAGCAAACTTGCCTCCAGCTAGGTTCATAATCATTCTCGGGCATCTCTTTATTAATGTCAGCCACTAACCTCAATGCTGAAATACTAGTAACACTAATAAACCCACTTTAGGAACTTTTCTGATCAAATGATAGTTGTTAAATATTTCTGAATAGTTTCTATGAGCACATTCACTGCTTATAATTTCTTCTGAAAGTCATTTCTTCAACAGCAGCATTCCTGTAGGAAAACCAATTAATTACCAGTTTAAGTGTTGAGAGTTTAACACTGAGAAAGTAATTGGAGAATGGAACAGAACAAAGTTAATTTACTCTAACATAGACTGGGTACCCTTTTATTTTTATTTTTGTGCCAAGCAAAATGGGAATAAAGATTAAAAAATTGAAATTGGTCTTTACATCAAGCAGTTAACTTTTAAAAACATGATTTAAAGGAACGAAAAATCATGTACTTTCATGAGGATTTTCCTCACATGTTTATTTGAGCAAATGTGAGATACACATTGAAGGACTTTGGGGAGACATGTAATAATTTTTGATAATTTAGTTGGGAAACGGAAATGACAATTTAAAAATTAGAAGCAGAGAAGATAATTCACTTATTCATCCACAAGGCTCGTAGATAAATGGAAAAGTGAAAATACAGCTTCTTATAAGGGAGAAATTGGGATGTACCTCACTGCTAAAATGAAACCTGACCCAAAAAAGGCAGTTTAGTAAATAAGATTGTTTGTTGAGGTGGCATTTAATTATGCCTAAGAAAATAGCCATGCCTTATGACGAATGTGAGGTTATGTAGAATCATTTACTGAATACTATTTTGTGGAAATATTTTCTAAATCATGGTCATGTTAGATTTATTTTTTCCATTAAAATATCAAAAGCTCCTCAGCAATTTCTGTCTCTTAAAAGAATGATAAGTTATTGGTTTGTAGCATTTTTAATATTTAACTTGAAGCTTGTTTGCCTGTTGTATTTTATCTTGAATAACAAGAAAATTAAGTGATAAAATATAGTTTTCATCTTATCTCTATTTTATTACTTTCATTTTTTTCCCTTTTGGATAAATAAATGCGTGTTTGTGGTGTGGGGACAAAATATAGAGCAGGAAAAAAGAAGCAGCAAAAGGGATACTCCTCTCATTCAATAAAGCCCTTTTAAACAAATAATGTTATAGTCATATGAAGGTCAAACTAGTCTTACTTTTTGATCTAAGAAACAAGCAAGAGCATGAAGTCTTTTTTATTAATATCTTTTATAGAAAAGTTCAGAAGATTTTCATTTACAAGTAATTTCGTTTTAAAAATCATTTAATGTTAAAGGTAATAAGCATTGTTATGTCATAATAGACCATATAAAAAACCATGTTGTGAAAAACAATTCTTATATGTTTGTGAATTTTCCTTCTGATCCCTGAGTAAAGTTACCTAGTTTCCCTTTCTGGCATAATTGATTATTACTCAGTGTACTCCTGAAAGTGAAGGAGAAAATTTCAGTTCCATGGTATCCTTTCTCTCATCTGTCCCATTCTCATTCTTCTAGCATCACTTTTCTCTTGGGATTTAAAAATAAATTAAAACTTTTTATACCTCTGACAGCTATCAAATGTCCTGTTCAGCAAGATAATAACACAGGATTTGCCATGGTTTGCGTATATATTATAGATTATTCTCATGCCTTTATTTTGAACTGTCAAAGAAAAATTGCACTCGAAAGTTAAGCAGGCAAGTAAGACTTTATCCAAGACTATTGTAATAGGGGATAGAGATTGAACTCAACCACTGAAATAAAAGGCTTGGGAATTTTTAGGTGCTGCTTGAGCTAGTGGAAAAGTACTGGGAGAGTAAGTGAGGGAGGTTAATCACTGGGATTAGGCCATCTGTGTTTGCTAATTGCCAAATATGAAGTTAGACTCATAACCTCTCACAGAAACTGGAGCACTATTTTTCTTGATGATTGCATTTCAAAGGGATGACTCCCAGGTCCTTGAAAAAGACATTCCCGGGGTTATAAAACTGGCAAAAAGTTGGGAGAAGATTTCATCTCACAGGAGAGAAAGGTTGCATGTTTTCCAAAGTAAATGATCTGTGAAAAAGGAGATTTTAAAGAAAGAATCATTACTGGGAATAAAGAATAATAATTCATAAAGGAATTGACTATAATCTTAAATTTGTTTGCACCTAATAACATAGCTCCAAAATTTATAAAGCAAAAATTGACAGACCTAAGGAGAAATAGACAAATCCATAACTATAGAAGACTTAGACATACTTTTATCACTATTTGATAATCAGTAAGATTTTTTAGAGCTGTCTGAGCTGACTAGTATAATAATGAAAATAGTTTACCTCAAAATAATGCAGATATGATATCTTCAGAGGCTTAGGCTTAAGAATTACTTATCTGATATCTTCAAGTCCAACACGACTTTTCTTTATAGTAGGATTAATCTGGATTTTCAGTGGAAGAATCCATTTTCTCAAAAGATTTGGCTTGTATTTATTAGATAATACACATTTTTTATACCACCTTATACCAGGGAATGCATTCAGAATAACAACAAAGTCAGCTAACCATAAGTTTTTGGCCATAGCTATCACCAGCATCAGCAGAAATACAGTCAGTCCTTCTCAAATATCTTCATTTTGGTAGGACTGAATATTTCATATCTGTTCCGTAATTACTTTGACTGTTTTGGCTACCTTGAAACACTTTCCCTCTTTTTTTTCTCCATCATCCCTTCTTATATTTGTTTTGTTTACTACATGTATTAGGATCAGTTTCAGCTGCATATAACAAAAGAAAGCCAACAGCATCCTCTGAATTTCTTCTAGCCATGAATCAGGGGTTGGGGTGGGGAATAGGAATGTAACACCTGTATGTGTAGTTTTTGTTCATGATAGGTCATTTCCATTAGATTGTAATCCCACTGGATGAAGGACCTTTCATCTCTTTTTACCTCTAGATATATAATACAAAATAGTGCCTGGAACATAATAGGCACTCAATTGGCAGTTTCTTAATAAATGAAATAGAGAATAAAGTGAGTTGATTCTGGAAACACAGATAAAGGTCATTTTGAGTGTTTTTTTTTTTTTTTTTAAGAAATATCAAAGAAAATAAGCTATTCTCTGTAGGTAGTGGAATTGAGATTCCTACATGAGACTTGATAAGCTTTTTGTCAGACTCGTCATATTTTTTTGTCTGTTTTTTCAGTCTAAACATTTTTTAACACTAATCACATATCATTTTATAGATGGTGAAAGGTTTAATTAATAAAAAATGATTACTTTGAAATCCTTTGAATTGAAAAAACACTTAAAGCTTTACTGTATTCTTAAGGCTAGTTTATTAATAAAGACACATTACTTTTATAGAAATGGCTAAAAATAAGGCAAAAATATTTAGGCAAGATGAGAGCAAAATAGGAAGTGCCACTTTTAGACCATCAGACCTCATGAGAACTCACTCACTATCACAAGAACAGCACGGAGGAAACAGCCCCCATGATCCAGTCACCTCCAACCAGGTCCCTCTCTTGACATGTGAGGTTACAATTCAAAATAAGATTTGGGTGGGGACACAGAGCCAAACCATATCAATCTCCCTCAGAGATTCTGATTTAATTGTTTTAGGTGTAATCTGGGCATCTACATTTTTTTAAAAAAATCATTAAGTGATTCTAATGTTCAGCCAAGTCTAGTACTTATTGTTTTAAGCCTCTCTCTGGTTGATGTCACTTGTAGCTTTAATTAGTATATGTAAGTAATGAATGTGTATATGTATATTCTAGGCTTTGGAAACTTTCAGTATATAGTTAAATGACTATTTTAGTTTTCAGCACATTTGAGATCTTGCAACTGTCCATGAACATCACACCTGTACTAACATGTGGCATATGTGATAGTCAATTTTATGTGTCAACTTGACTACAACCCAGTGTGCTCAGATTAAACATTATTTCAAGGTGTGTTTATAAGGGTGTTTCTGGATGAGATTTGCATTTGAATTTACTCAGTAAATTAGATTATCTTCTCCAATGTGGGTGGTACTATCCAATCTGTTGATGGCCTGAATAGAACAAAATGGTAAAAGAAGGAGAAATTACCTTATTTTTATTTTTAATTTTACTACCTGCCTGCTTGAGCTGAACCTGTCTTCTCCTGCCTTCTACCAGGATATACACCATCAGCTCCCCTGCTTATTAGGCTTCAGACTTGAACTAGAATTACATTGTCAGATTTCTTGAGTTTCCAATTGCAAACTGCAGATCATGGGACTTCTCAGCATCCAAAATTGCATGAGCCAATTTCTCACAAAATGTGTGTGTTTATCTATAGATATAGATATTTGTTATGTTTCTTATTTGTTATGTTTCTCTGGACAAACCTGAAAAATACTGTATAGTTCACTGTAACCAAAAATATTAGAAGTGATTAGAGATAGATCTAGTAGTCTTTTTATAACTTTTATTTTAGTTTCAGGGGTGCAGGTGCAGGTTTGTTATATAAGTAAATTGTGTGTCATGGGGGTTTAGTGTACAGATTATTTCATCACCCAGGTAATAAGCACAGTAGCACAGTGCCTGATAGGTAGTTTTTTGAATCTCACCCTCCTCCCATTCTCCACCCTCAAATAAGCCCCAGTATCTGTTGTTCTTTTCTTCGTGTCCACTTGTACTCAAAGCTTCCACTTATAAGTGAGAACATGCGATATTTGGTTTTGTGTTCCTATGTTAGTGCACTTAGGATAATGGCCTCCAGCTTCATCCATATTGCTGAAAAAGGACATGATCTCATTCTTTTTATGGCTGTCTAGTATTCCATGGCATGTGTGTACCACTTTTTGTTTAACCAGTCTACCATTGATAGGCATTTATGTTGATTCCATGTCTTTACTATTATGAATAATGCTGTGATGAACATACATGTACATGTGTCTTTATGATATAATAATTTATTTCCTTTGGGTATATACCCAATAATGGAATCACTGGGTCAAATGGTAGTTCTGTTTTAAGTTCTTTGAGAAATCTCCAAACTGCTTTCCACAATGGCTGAACTAATTCACATTCCTACTCACCAGTGAATAAGTGTTTCCTTTTCTCCACAACGTTGCCAGCATCTCTTATTTTTGAATTTTTATGATAGCCATTCTAACTGGTATGAGATGGTATCTCATTGTGGTTTTGATTTGCATTTCTCTAATGATGAGTTATGTTGAGGATTTTTTCATATGCATGTTGGTCACATGTTTATCTTCTTTTGAAAAGAAGTCTGTTCATGTCCTTTGCCCACTTTTTAATGGGGCTATTTGTTTTTTTTCTTGTTAATTTGTTTAAGTTCCTCATAGATTCTGGATATTAGACCTTGGTCAAATGCATAATTAGAAATATTTTCTCTCATTCTGTAGGTTGTCTGTTTATTCTGTTCATAGATTTTTTTGCTATGCAGAACCTCTTTAGCTGTTTATTCTGTTCATAGTTTCTTTTGATGTGCAGAATCTTTTTAGTTTAATTAGATCCCATTTGTCCCCTGAGCCTAACCTTGGTTGGTGTTTGGAGTTCTGCAATATAGAATGCAGCTTCAAAAATTGTTGACTTATGGGAAAGAAAGAAGTAGTCCAAGAGAAAAGGAGAACTCTCAGAAAGGAAAAGACCAACAGAAGGTTTCAAGAGAGCAAATTACAGAGAGGGCAACACTTAAGCTTATTTTTTCTACTAAAAGTTTGGCTCCTTACTCTCTCAATCTCTTTGTTTCCTGTGATATCATTACATGAGAGCTTGGCACCATAGAAACAAAATGAAGCTGCTGTAAACCTTTCCTGGAGTTTACATTTCACCCCAGAAAGTGTTTCTGATAAGGTTAAGATGAGGAAAAAATGAGTTACTAAGTGTGAATGAGTCTATCTGGTATAGCACTTGACAGAAATTAGGGGCTTGTCAATGTGAATTTGCCTTTCTTGAAAAAATACCTATAGACAGCTCCTCTCTGCTAATCTTTTGGCCAGTAAATTCTAAAATTCAGTAATTAAATGTCTTCCAATACATACATAAGAGAACTATAGTTTCCTCTTTCCCCACTCCATTCTCACCAAATTCTTATAAAACATGCTTTAGATTGTCTTATAGGATTTCAAGGTAATGAGAAAGAATTTTCAGAAATACACATTAGATCATTTTTTTCCTCTGCTGTCAATTCAAGTTCATTAAAGTTTAATGCAGTTCAATTATAGTATTACACTTACAACATTGTTTTTCCCAAGCCTGATTCCTTAGGCCCTTGAGGATGCCAGCTCACTAACTGAATGTGCTTTTTCTTCCCTAAAGAGCACAAAACAAAACCCTCTATAGTATACTATTATGATGATCTAGAATAATTCTCATTTCCTCTGGGGAAAAAAATACCCATTCTCAAACATTAAATTCTCCTCTTGGGGCATCATACTAAAATCTTTGACATTTCTAAATTATGGGAAAAGGGTATTTTAGTGAATATAATATGTTTTTGTGATTCTGCTAATTTAATATTTTCTAAAAAGTTAGGGAGGGAAATTTCAAAACAAATAGCTAATCTACCTTAAAATATCTAAGACCTAACAGTAAGTTATAATTGGTTAGCATTTGTTTCCACACTGTTGATAAAAATAGCACTGTGTGTCTGTGTGTATAAAACCAAATAATTAAAATAAAATTTGTCCTAAGAAAAGAATAAATCCATTGTATTTAAAAGTAAAAAAGTTGTTAGTTTGATTTTACTTAATTTGGAGTTAAGCTGTCATATTGAACATTGTGTAATGTTGGTTGCAGAAGAATTCTGCAATCAAGCTGAAATTATCTGTAATTCCTTATGATCATTTGAAACAGCATTATAAGGATCCTCAAAGAGTAAATTAACCTATACCACCCACTCGAGGTATTAGCATTGTTAATCATCACAGAAGCTATGACAATTCCATCAACAGAATTATCTATTTGATTGCCAGATTAACTGATTAAAATATAGTAAAAAAGTGGGTTGTCTGTTATCTTTGTAAACCACTCTCTGTTGTTAGGTCATAAAAGGCCCTAGAGATGGTGAGAATAAGCCATACTGAGGGAAAAATGCAATCACCTAATTGTACAGAAAGGTGATATGACTTGCCCAAGGTCGTGTAATAAGTTAGTAACAAAGCTAGAAATGGAATCTATGCCTCCTTACTGTAATCAGGGATGGTGCTGTATGTAATAAAGGTCCCTTTAAATTACTATAGAGAGGAAAGAAAGAAGTTAGGAAGATGTAACTTTTATTCTTTACTTTTCTGCAATTCTGATAAATAAACCATAAGTACTGCTTCATAAATGAATTTGAGACAGTGTTTTTGCTACTATGTTTTTCAAAACATTGTAGACAAAGGGAATTTTGTCCTATTTAAAAAGACCCAAGTCACAGAATTCTTAATTTAGAAATTTCAAGGTATTAATTAACATATGTATATATATGTGTGTGTGTGTGTGTGTGTGTGTGTGTGTGTGTGTGTGTGTGTGTATAACAACTTTTTGTATATAGGTTCTGCCAGGTAAACTGCAGGAATTGAGTATGTCAGATTTTGGTATACGTGGAGATCCTACAACCAATCCCTACATACACCAAGGGATGACTATAGTTACGTGTGGATAAACTCCCCTTAATAAAATGTCTTATGTTACTAAATTTTGAAGAATTATGAAGATAGCTATTTTTATATATTCCTTTTGTCATCTAAATACTCCAAAATTATTTTTAGTTTAAGGCATCCATTTGCTAAAGGCTAAAATAAGAATTTTGTTCATTGATTTCCTTTAACTAAAAAATAAAAAATAAACTTTGTTTCTTTTCTTTAGGCAATGTTTTATTTAAATTATAAGAGAAATGTGATTAAGTGGTTTTATTATTTAATAATTGTAAAATGGAGTTCAAATGTATTTAAAGTAGTATAGAGGCCGGGCGCGGTGGCTCACGCCTGTAATCCCAGCACTTTGGGAGGCCGAGGCGGGCAGATCACGAGGTCAGGAGATCGAGACCATCCCGGCTAAAACGGTGAAACCCCGTCTCTACTAAAAATACAAAAAAAAAAAAAATTAGCCGGGCGTAGTGGCGGGCGCCTGTAGTCCCAGCTACTTGGGAGGCTGAGGCAGGAGAATGGCGTGAACCCGGGAGGCGGAGCTTGCAGTGAGCCGAGATCCCGCCACTGCACTCCAGCCTGGGCGACAGAGCGAGACTCCGTCTCAAAAAAAAAAAAAAAAAAAAAAAAAGTAGTATAGAATCATTATTCTATAGACAATCTCAGTAATGAGAAACCGTAAATATTCTTCCTTGAAAATATACAGGCATGCCTCAGACCACTGCATAAAGCAAATATTGCAATAAAGTGAGTCACACAAATTTATTGGTTTCCCATATTTACACTACACTATAGTTTATTAAGTATGTTGTAGCACTATGTCCTAAAAATGTACATACCTTAATTTAAAAATATTGCTAAAAATGCTAATATTCATTTGCACCTCCAGTAAATAGTAATCTTTTTTGCTGGTGGAGAGTCTTGACTTAAGGTTGATAGCTGCTGACGAGGGTGGTGGTTGCTGAAGGTTGGCGCAGCTGTAGCAATTTCTTAAAATAAGACAACAAAGTTTGCTGCATCAGTGGATTCTTCCTTTCACTAAAGGTTTCTCTGTAGCATGAGATGCTATTTCATAGCATTTGCCTCACAGTAGAGTTTCTTTCAAAATTGGAGTCAATCCTCTCCAACCCTGCTCTTGCTTTATCGACAGTTTATGTAATATTTTGTAAATTATTAATGGTCATTTCAACAATATGCTCAGCATCTTTACTAGGAGTAGACTGCATCTCAAGAATCCACATTCTTTGCTTATCCATAAGAAGCAGCTCCTTATCCATATAAATTTTATTGTGAGATTGCAGCAATTCAGTCACATCTTCTGGCCCCACTTCTAATTCTAGTTCTTTTGCTATTTCTACCACATCTGCAGTTATAATAGTAACATCAAAGATCACTGATCACAGATTACCATAACAGATATAAAATAATAAATAAGTTTGAAATATTGCAGCCAGGCACGGTGGCTCACGCCTGTAATCCCAGCACTTTGGGAGGCCGAGGCAGGCAGATCACCTGAGGTCAGGAGTTCAAGACCAGCCTGGCCAACATGGTGAAACCCCATCTCTACTAAAAATACAGAACATTAGCTGGGTGCGGTGGCGGGTGCCTGTAATCCCAGCTACTGGGGAGGCTGAGGCAGGAGAATCACTTGAACCTGTGAGGTGGAGGTTGCAGTGAGCCAAGATCACACCATTGCACTCCGGCCTGGGCAACAAGAGCGAAGCTCCGTCTCAGAAAAAAAAAAAAAAAGAATATTGCAAGATATTTGCAATTATCCACACTACAAAATTGGAAAGAGTCACAAAGTGAGCACACACTACTGGAGAACAGTGCTGACAGTCTCGCTTGATGCAGGGTTGTTGCAAACCTTCAAATTGTGAAAAATACAGTATCTGCAAAGTGCAGTAAAGCAAAGTGTAATCAAACGAGCTATGCCTCTACTCATTAAAAATTTCATTCATGCCATTCTAGTCAGAGTTTCGTTTCAGTTTGTTTTTCTAGCCCTGTCTTACCTAAACACGAAGCTTATTTTGATAATTTAATGGCTTAATTATGACCTTGCTGGCAATATCTGTGTTGCCATGTTTTTCAAATTCTATCAACTAAATTGAAACATATGCCCCATATAGTTTAATCTTCTCATGTATTTCTCTGTATTAATGTTTCTTGGATTTTTAACATTTGGGTATGAAGCATTTAATAAGGTCTAGAGGAGAGACTCTAATCCTGGGAATACATTATTTTCTTTTTTATGACTCTTGATTAGGAGGAGGCACATATTAAAGACAGGCCCTGACCTCAGCTGTCCTCTGCCATCCTCCTTTCCTCTGCCATGCTCTCCCACACAGCATTTTTCTTCTAAATTAAATTGTTCATTGACACTATTACAATCTTTAAATCCTTTATGGTTTTATTCCACAACATTTGTAATATGAATTCCCCATTGTCAGCAAAATTAGGACAGCTAAAACCTAGATATTTTGAAACTATGTAAGCATTCTTCTGAAACAAAGGCTGACTTTAATGCAATTTATATTTATACAGTGGAAAGAGATTCATGAGAGAGTCATAAGCCAGATTTGCCCATATGCTTCTCTCATTTCTCGGTGTATGACTGAGTTTTGGACAGAATAAAACATTTCTAATATCTTGGGAATGGTAAATATGATTTCAGGTATAATGTATAGTTAAGGCTTTTTTCAAATATGTCGATATTTTCACATTTTAGTTTATGATAGTTGAAAATAACTTAATTTAGTAATTGTAGTGCCTGAAGGCATCTTTCTGCAACAAACACTTAGGAAAATAAATAAAATAAAGCTGAAATAGGCAAAAGAGAGGAAATGAGTGTTTTATGGATATGTCATAATTTTAATACTATTGAGTACAGTAAAACTTAAACAGATGCTAGAAACAGTATTACTGTTGATTGTTTTTGTTTTATTGTTGTCATTTGTTTTTTAAGAGTTCTAGGGAGCAAGGAATTAATTTATTTAGTGCTTACTCTGTATCTAGCAAAGGACCTTTTCTGGTTATCTCTTTCCCTGATTTTAAGTAGACAAACTCTCTATGGGCTGTGTCTCCATACAGAGAGTTAATTATTAACATATACTGCTTTTAGAGTTGTCCAGACGTTATTTAATTATGAGATGTTTCTTTATCCAAAATAGTAACTATTCTATTAATTTATTGTGATCCATATGTTCCTAACTGAATACATTCTGCTTATTTTCTAAATCTTACATTTGTTCCATGTCAAGAATATACAATGAAGTGTTGAAGCAAGAAACTTGTTAATATCTTTTTACGAATGTTGGTAGAAAGTTTGGCTCAAGTGAAAGGTAAAAAATTGTACTGTTTCTCACTGATCATAATTCACGGTAGCTAAATTAGTAGAAATATTTTTAAATTATCATATAAGATACTCTATTAGAGCATGTTTGAGTCATTTTATTCTTTCATACTAATGGAAAGATAGCTTATTTTTTATTTTAGTATTTGCTAATGCAAAGAGTGTGAATGGTTCAGTTAGGGAAAATGTCAAAGCCATAGAAAATTTAGATGAAAAAGCAATGGCAAAGTTACATATTAAATTCCATTTTAGAAAGTTATTTTTACTGGCAGTTTATATCTAACACTTTAAACCTTAGTTAGAGTTGGCTATATACATTATAATGGAAATGATTTTGTCCCAAACTAAAACAGGGTAAAAGAAAGAAAGAAAGGAAAAAGCAAACTTTCCTTGCTTTCTTTTTTTATTGTTATAAAGTTTTTTTCTTTTACTTCAGTGTTTTCTGCGTTTCATCTCAAAACAAATTATTGGTATTAATTTGGAACATCAGAGAAGGCATGTTAGAAAAATTTGCAAATGTTTTTCATTTTGATTACTAAAAATTTCAACTCATGTTTTTAAGAAGAGAGCTCTACAAACTACATTCATGATGGGAAAATTGTATGTGATTCTGAACTAGCTATAATTATAAATCTGGGTGCAGGACTAGAATTCTGTTTGTTAAATAAGAAATTAATTATCTGTTTTTACAATTTTCATATCAAAGAAATTTTTTTCCCTGACATTTATCATGGGCCAAGAAATACCCACAATTCCCAAAATGTGAATTCATTTAGAGAATTCAAAAAAAAAATAGGCATATTTACATGGGAGAGTATTCCATTTATAAACTTACATACAAAGAATGATATTGTACCTTTTTCTTTTGGATCTTCCAAGGAAAACATCAAGCCAGAAATCATAACAAGAATGATTATATGTTTATTAGTTGTAAGATCAACTTTTCTTTATATGTGTAAGAAGAAAATGCACATGATGGTACAAAATGATCTTTGAGTTAGAAATTTACTTGTGCTACAACCTAAATTCATATTCTGTGATATACAATTGTCTCATTGAAGTGTCATCCCAATAGGAATTCTCGTCTGCATTATGCCAGTGACAGGAAAAGGTAAATTGAGAATTACGTTGCATTAAAATTGAAAACTGGAATATCTGAAAAAGTATGTAGAAACTTTGTAACATTTCTTGAAATTTTGTTGCTGAGATGTTTCTAGTTTATGTACTTGATATCCACTGTTCCCACATTCAATGCTTTACCACTGGGTGACAAAAGCATGTACAGTCATATGCTGCATGATGGTGTTCTGGTTAATGATGGACTGCATATACAATAGCAGTCTCATTATAATGAAGCTGGAAAAATTCCTATTGGCTAGTGATATCTTAGCCATTGTAATGTCATAGCATGATGTATCACTCATGTGTTTGTGATGATTCCGGTGTAAACAAACCTACTGCACTGCCACTCATATAAAAGTATAGCACATACAGTTATGTACAGTATATAATACTTGATAATAAATGACTATATTACCAGTATATGTATTTACTATCCTATACTTTTTATTGTTATTTTAGATTGTACTCCTTCTACTTATTACAAAAAAAAACCAAAAAACAACTAACTGTAAAACAGCCACAGGCAGGTCCTTTAGGAGGTATTCCAGAAGACATTGTTATCATAGGAAATGACAGCTCCATTTGTGTTATTGCCCCTGAAGACCTTCCAGTGGGACAGAGTGTGGAGGTGGAAGGCAGTGATAATGATGCTCCTGGCCCTCTGCAGGCCTATGCTTATGTATATCTGTGTGTCTTGGTCTTTCACAAAATAAGTTTAAAAAATTTAAAAAAATTAAAATAGAAAAAAGATTATAGAATAAAGATATAAAGACATTATTTTTGTGCAGCTATACAATGTATGTGTGTTTTAAGCTGTATTATAAATATGGAAAGGTTAAAAAATTAAGTTTATAAAGTAAAAAGTTATAGTAAGCTAAGATTAATTTTTACTGAAGAAATAAAACTATTTTTATACATTTAGTGTAGCCTAAGTGTAGAGTGTTTATAAATTCTACACAGTGTACAGTAATGTCCTAGGCCTTCAGTCACTCACCACTCACTGACTCACCTAGAGCAACTTCCAGTCCAATAAGCTCCATGGTACGTGCCCTATACAGGTGTACCATTTTTTATCTTTTACACTGTACTTTTACCTTACCTTTTCTATGTTTAGACATGTTTAGAATTGCCTATTCAATAGAGTAACATGCTGTGCAGGTTAGTAGCCTAGAAGCAATAGGCTATACCATATAGCCTAGGTGTGTAGTAAGCTGTCCCATCTAGGTTTGTGTAAAAACACTCTATGATGTTCACACAGTGACAAAATGGCCTAAGGAAATATTTCTCAGGTCATATTCCTGTTATTAAGTGGCATAAGACTATACTGAAAAAGTGAATAAGCCTTGTGAAGAATTCTATATATTAATACATTTGTATTCATTGATATTTTATTTTTCTTTAATATAGAAGCACTCACAGCTTTTTGGTTCACAGTATTCTACAAAGGACAAAAATGATGTAAAAAGAAGAAAATAGATAATATGTCCTCTTCTGTGTCATTTCTTAAAATATTCAGTTCTGCAATTCTCTTTTGCCCCAGAATGCCTTTTTTTCTTTACTATATAGAAATGTTGAAATTCTAACAGAAACAACATATGTCATATGATATACTCAGTCTCAAAAAAAAGCAAGCAATAATTAGGCTGGCATAACTTTTGAAGAAGTAAAATAAAATGTCCACAATATTATAGTGTTTTGCACTCAAATGCAATATTTGAATTATAAAAGCCTGGGGCAAGCTTGGTTGCGTGATTAGTACATGTTACCAATGAACTCAGCATCATCGATTTAAGATTCATCATAGTCAGGTAGATTTGACTTTTCTGAACTATTTTCATCCCCCTCACCCTCCCTTTAACCATCTCAAAAATGTAAGGACCTAGCATCTGAGTAGAGAGTCAGAATACATCAGCTTAAGTCCAGCAGCCGTGCTGAGAAAAACATCTTTCAGTTCTCCCGCTATGAATTAGCATATTTGGGTGCTGGGAGGAGAGCAGGCTCTATTTATCATACAAAATTTAATACCCCATTCTGCTGCCCAACACTAATGATTTACTTTAGTGTTCTTATGTTTCTAGGTGAAGATCATCAATAGCTTAAATTACCTGGCAGACTAATAAGAAAACAAGATCTCTGTCTTCAGAAATATAACAATGGCTTCTGAAGTTAGGGAGATAAGTTTTTATCAAAGAGATTTCTGAATATTTTAAATGATGAGTGCTGGATTTGCTATTTTTATGTAGTGATTGGATAAGCATAAGATTATGCATTTTATGTAGTAATTCAGCATTTATTATTAAACCCTAATGTGTTCTCAGTGTTGTACTACGTGTTAGAGATATAGCTCTTTGCCAAGATAAACCCAGTTTCTTTATCATCATTAACAACAAAGTAAAATGTACTGACAGAAAATGGAGAACAAGTGGAAATATTCACTCCTCATATATTGGCAAAGAAAAAGGTAGGAAGGACAGAAAAGCCACGAAGGATGATTGCAAGGATATTGTTCTCAGAGAGAAGGAAATGTATTATTCCTGCTTTTGAAAAGATAACACTACCTAAGTTTCAAAGTGTTCAGTATGGCCAGACACTGAGGAGAAAGGGAAACTGAATAAGAATTGTTAAAGTGAAGCTAGAGCAGAACTCCAAAAGAATATTTAAGCACAGACCAAAGGCCAATGCGATTTTCCTTGCCTGTAAACATTGTTTCCAAGGACATTCTTCCTAAATGATAGTTTGGGAGACTTACTCATCTTTTTTATTTCTATGCAGAGAGTAGCTTGTTACATTTCTTTATGATGAATGAAATAACTAACTTTATTGCAATGGTGCATATTTTCTCTCTATGTCTAAACTTAGTACCAGTAGGCATTTGTAAACAATCACTAGAAAGCAGCAGTAATCAGGTAGTGAATTAGATCATATGAAAGATGTAGTTGATAATCCTTTCCTGACTTCTGTATCTTCTATTGCATCTGTTACTTTGAAGAGATTGTCTTTTCAGATGATCTCTTACCATTGGAAGTTTATTTCAAAATGAATGTGCCATAGCCAACTATGGCAAATATGGCATTAAGTTATGGTATTTAAAAATTAACTCTTGGCCGGGCGTGGTGGCTCATGCCTGTAATCGCAGCACTTTGGGAGGTCGAGACATGCGGATCACGAGGTCAGGAGATCGAGACCATACTGGCTAACAGGGTGAAACCCTGTCTCTACTAAAAATACAAAAAAATTAGCCAGGCGTGGTGGTCGGCGCCTGTAGTCCCAGCTACTGGGAAGGCTGAGGCAGGAGAATGGCATGAACCCGGGAGGTGGAACTTGCAGTGAGCCAAGATCGCACCACTGCACTCCAGCCTGGGCAACAGAGCAAGACTCCGTCTCAAAAAAATAAAATAAAATAAAATACAATACAATAAAAATTAACTCAATGTTTTTTATATACATTTGATTTTGTGTCACTTGTGATTGTAGAATAAAAACATGCAAGTTGTTGAAATGCAATAAAATGTAGAGACATATACAGGAAAAAGTTAAAAGTCAATTTGAGTTGCAGGACATAGGATAATCATTGTAAATATATTGGAGATCTGCCTTCCAAGTCTACATAAACACATACACACACTCACACAAATACACACTTTGCATCCATCTGTATAACTGAGATTCATCTATGAACCCTGGTCTTGACCCTTCACACTCTTTACTTTTCCATTTCCTCCTACCACTAGCAATATTGAGGTCTCCTGGGCTGACATTCTTGAGATACTGTCTTTATTTTCCTTTTCCTTTGTCTTTATATATCTACTATATTGATTGCTTATGTGACTTTTTCTTAACATCTGGAATTTTTCAAACATTCAGAATAAATGGAGAGAAGGGAATCATCACCTATGATATACTTATGTGTGCATATGTGAGTATTTTAAAGAAAACTTCAGACATTATATGTTTATACTCATAAATATTAATACGTCAATATATGTCTCTACCCGAGGGTGACTTTTAGAAATATACCCTCATAACTATCATTAGTGGTAAAATTAATAATAATGTCTTAATATTATACTCTTTTTTTCCCTGGTCATCTCAAAAATGTCTATTTGCAGTTGGTTTCTAGTCAGAATCCAGGGTCTAAACAAGACATTTGGTTGGTGTGATTCTCCTTTTTTTTCTTGTTATATATGTGTTGAGTAAACAGGCAAAAAAATAAAGAATACTATATTTTACATTTCAGATTTGGCCCATTGAATCTTTATGGTGGCATCTAGCAAAATCTCCTATGACTCCTTCTGTATTTACCTGTTAACTGTTCATGATATCTTAAGGCTTGATTGATTGCTGTGCAATTTTTTGGCAACAAAACTGTTGAATTGTATCAGGATTCAATAATCTCTGAAAATACCACTTTTTGTGATGTTAAGATTTATCAGTGGGTCCATTGTTAATGGCCTAGCAATTATAACATTGTTTCCTGTCAACCTTTTATCCTGATAGTTTTACTCACCCACTAGTTGCCTAGATTCATTATTTCATCAGAGTTTAATAAGGGTGACTTATGTTCCATGCCTATTGTGTTTTTAGTCATTGAATACAAATGTTTATATGTAGTTCAGGACACCATTTTTCCTTATAAATGTGGCCAAATTGCCTGGCTTGCTGATGAATCTCTCTTTTTTAGCACTGAAAGTCTTGCAGTCCATGAAATCTCTCATTCAGGGCCAATCAGAACAGTTGGTCCCCCTGTGTTCCAATCAATAGTTTTTATCACTTTTTGTTATATTTCTATAGTTAGGACACTGTGGTATGGTAGAATGAACATTGGATTTCAATTGAGATCTGTGTGTGACTCTAGACTTTCAAAGCTTAAGTTTCTTGGTGCATATAATATCTTCTACAACTCCAGTGGGAGGAGGAGGGTATCAAAGAGCATATAAATGTAGAAAAGCATTATGCAGATATTAAGGATTATTATTCTCTATGTACATTCTTGTTTTTTCTCTCAGACTTGAAGCACCTGGCTCTTTTTCTGTACCATTTTATATCAGCCTAAATATTTAATATTCAGTTTTAACTATATCCCACATGACAGTCTAAGCTCTCAACCTCTGGCACTTGTTAGGCCACATAGGAAAAACTGTCTCCAGTCGTGGATACCACATTGGAATAAAGAAGACTAATATTAAAAGCGTGCACAGAGAAGGTGACTTGGATGGGAGTGGGCAAGAAACTATCGCATATGAAATATAGTTAAGTGATATTTGACATTCATATTAAAATTATGTTTAATACTGGATCATCTGATTTCCTAGACTTTAAACTCCTTTGAACAGGGGATAAGAAAGTGCTTGACATATTACCGACTTTGATAAATATCTTTTTAAAGATCAAAGAATAATAAGCATGTGGATTAGTGACTGAGGCCTGAACTGATATTGCTCAGATGAGGAAAACCTATCAATTGCTTTGGGTAGGGCAGAACCTAAGCTTGGACTAGAACTTGAGTTGTTTTACTCCTATTGCAGAACATTCCTGTGTTTTCCTCAGCAAAACTTCCTTCCCCTAACCCCAGGGAAAGTTAAACAGAAAAAAAAGAGTTAAGGACATAATAGCAATCTACAAATATTTGAATAGAGGGGCATTTCCAGTTGATGTAAGTAATTAAGGGTGATAACCACAGGAACTAGAGTGGGACTCTGCCTAAGTATGAGAGAGCGTTCCAACAATGACAGCTGCCTCACAGCTCGAACAGAGGTTGGCAAGCACTTTTCAGAGGTGTTGCAGAAAGAATTTGTATATTGGTTGTTTTTAAAGTCCCTCCTAACTGCAAGGACTTGTTATTCTAGGAAATAAAGTAATCATGAGTGCAATCTCCCACTATGCTAGAAGTGTGGGCATCTCCACTGGCAAAGACCCAGCTCCACTTCAACTGCTTCTCCCATCAGCACCACTGGTGGGAGGAGGAGAGAAAGATTTGGGCTTTAGTTCTTCAGAAGTCTAATGCTGTGGGCAGAGCACTTCTTTTCCTATCAAAATGATTGGGGCAATGAAACTGATTTTGCAAGCAAATAGGAAATATATATTTATTGGCTTTGCTTTATGATAAATATGGTGTTCTTTCTTTCATTTTCACTCCAATCCTTATTACATACCATCTAAGTAGTAAAATAATTTCCTGATTGTTTTCCCTCTGTCCTTCCACCATACTAATTCTCTAATTCAAGGTTTGGCTTTATTTCCCTTTTGTAGAACACTGATTGATTGTATCATTTGCCCTAATTGCTGGGTCTCTCCTTTCTTTGTGATTTACACCACGCTTTTATTGTTCCATGTTTAAGGCCCTCTAAGACTGGCCTCTTATTCAGTAAGAAAGTTGCTTCTCCTTCCACATCAGCATTGATGCATCCCCCACACAAATGATATACTCTCCAAAGCAGACAGCTCAAGGCAATGTATGTGACTTGAAGCAATTTGCTTGACCTCTTTGAACCTTTTTATTGTTATTTCTAAAATTAGAATAATAAAATTTAACTCACAGAATTGTTTTAGTAATAAAACACCTTACAAACGGTTTT
The DNA here is from genome assembly GCF_000001405.40 of Homo sapiens. Classification (NCBI taxonomy): domain Eukaryota; kingdom Metazoa; phylum Chordata; class Mammalia; order Primates; family Hominidae; genus Homo; species Homo sapiens. Next base: position 12,008,668 of record NC_000007.14, on the reverse strand, counting down.
TTACCAATGTCAGTTTCCTTTCATTTTCCCCATGCTCCCTTCTATTTACCCGCAGAATTATTTTAATTGGACATGCCATTCATTTTGTGCTTAATATAAATTGTTTCATTACCTGCCTTTTTAAAGGTTTACTAGTGAAACAAATTTGTCAGATTGAAACTAGTAGTGCTCTTTATTTTATATTACATATGTTGCAACTTGAAAAATGGTATGTGCTGAATGTTAGGGAAAGCCAGAAAAATTGAATTTCTGCCTTCCCTTATAAAAGATTAAGGGTAAACAGAGAAATTTACATAGCAATAAAGGAGAAAATATCATTGTTCTTTACATTTTATGCAACTTAAGCATGGCTATGATAAAATGAGCAGTTTGAGTACTGATACTTTGATAGCTGTAAAGTGGTTACCACATCTTCGTTGCATCTGTAGTAATTTTCTCAGATTTGACAAATAACCAATAATTATTTTTCAATTGCACTTTGCTTTGGTGTTTTTGACCTGCTCTTAATCCTTGTTTATCTCAATATTGCCTTTTAAGGTGAGCTGTGTTTAAAGGGTTTTCACAAAAGCTGGAGCCATTACCAGGTGATCTGAGCAACAAATAGACTTTGTGGTCATTTCAAACAATCTGAAATATATAAAGTCATATCTTCATTCCAGAGTTAGAACTCTTTAGGAAATAAAAGTTTTCTGAGACCACAGCATGGGAGGTTTTTTGCTGATGCTTTGTTTACCACTGACATTTCTTCCCCATCATCTTATTATACAATTTTTGTTCTTTAGTGTTTACTTTGGCAGGTTATACATTTTCTGGTGGAGCAAAGTTAATTTCATTTCATCCACATAGACAACCATTCATTTAGACCCCAAGCTGCTCAACGAGTTATTATATAAATATTTGATTAAAATAATGACTTTCTGGCTCTCAAGAGAAGAGGCATAAAAATCATAGCCCCATTTATAAACCACACTGCCTCAGTCTAATAAAACAGCAGTGTCTGTAAGAGCCTGACAAGTTAAAAGTAAGCTCAGTAACTTCGAACATAGTCTTCTATATTCAATAATTTGACCCTAGACATTTTATTTCTGGTATTTCTCTTTTTATATTTTACATATAAATTGTACGCATTCTAATTAGTACATGTCTATAATAAACATAGCAATACTAATTGCTTTAGGGAATACAAATTATTTCACACCAGCTTGTGGTCTAAAGAATTTGCAGTCTAGTTGGAGAAGAATGAATACAGCACAAAATGTTAGATATTGAAATTAAAATGGGGCTATGACAAGCAATCATTTCTTAGCCTTTTCTGACTTCTCAGTAAAAGACCTATGGAGACCAAAAGAGTAACAAAAAGAGAAAAAGTGATGAAAATGCATAGCTATTAATGGAGTCTAGAGGAAAATCTAACTAGAAAACTAGATTATAACTGGATTTAGAACATAATCCAAGCCTCATACTATGTTGCTGGAAACAGAACATACCACTTGGTATGAAAGAAGGGCATATGGAATTTTCCCCACCTTCTATCTGTAGGTTCAGAAATGAAAGTTTTGACTGAAGAGATTGTTGGAAAATCATCTCTCTGTTTCATTGTTACTACTTTTGGAGACAGCCAGAGTTCTATTCTTGTCATTCTGCTCCTGCCCCCATACCATCTTTTATACTCATCTGTAATTAAAGTTTTAGAAAGCAGTTACCAGTAGGCAGGGAATGGGGTGGAACTTACATGGCTCTACCATAGTTTTAGGTAAAGCAGGAGTAGAGAGAATAGTAGCAGTTTATATATAGGCTTATGGTTTATATATATATATTCTTGCAACAGCCCAATCTGAGGCTAACAAAGACATACTCCAAAATCTCTGGACACTCAGATTTGGTCCCGGAAAGTGGATCCAATTACTTAAACAGAAAAAATTGTAGGACCAAGGGCAATGCACATACCCTACAGCTGGGTACACATAGAGCTCTCCTCATATGATGAAAAATAAAAAACTTCAATCACAGACAACTTTCGAATAAAGAGCTTAAAAGTTCAGCATTTAAGCTCTTTTCTACAAGAATCTAGATAAAATCTAGAGATGTTTTTTATTTTCTTAATAGCATTTGTATAGACAAAAGCCTTTTGGAGCCCAAAAGACATGAAAATTGAACACCATTCAGTTTAAAAGGAAAGAGACAGCCATTCCCTGACAAGCCTTCCAAGATGGCACACCAACAATTCTGTACCTTTTCCCAGCCAAATCCTGAAGAAGCCTGAGAAGTAATAAAAAGTTGTTGCATCACAGAAACATAAAATCTCTCAGAAACCTACAGAGAGATAAAATCTTGCTAGGTCCTGGTAGAGGGAAAACAGTCCCCAAGAGTAGAAGATGGCCAAGCTGTTAGCCCCCACGTAGTCTAGCAGTATGTTGGGGAGGGAGGTTGTTAACTCTGATTTTTTTTCTCTCACACATTAAACAGAAAAATGTATCATCTCCTCCATCACCATCACAAGAGACTACTGCACTGCCAAGCCAGTATCTGCTGCAGGAAGTGGAGTGATGGGTAACTTCAGGATCTAGCCTGAGCCAGTTTCTTTTGTGGGAGCATAAAGATGAAAGAAAATGGAGCCAGGCTCCCCTCATCCTGACATTTTTTGTTTTACACAAAAATCTGTATAGGACATTGCTACCAAAAGCTTTTCTCAGTCTTGTTTTTTACATTTTAGATAGCAGAGATAGTTGATCTATCAAACTCTACAAGGACCCAATTTTCTTCATTCTCTTTGTTCCCCTTTGTTTGTCTTCAACCTCTTTGATTCTTACTTGATATTTCTTTCTCATATTACTTTGCTAAGAGCTGAAGAGAAATGCTAACAGTATTGCCACTTCATGTACTGTTTTTCTAAGTTCTCCTATACTACAGTCTAACTGGAGGGGTGTGTGTGTGTGTGTGTGTGTGTGTGTGTGTGTGTGTGTGTGTGTGTCTGTGTTTAGTATAACTTGAATTTCTCTCATTTTAGCCTCCAATATGAATTTCTTGTCTGTTCCTTAAAAGATCTCTAAGTTAATAATATATATTTTAGCTTTGGGTACGTAAGATTGTACTTTATTACTAAGCTACATGTCAGCTATTGAAATAAAGCCTAAAGTTTTATTAAAACCTGCAGAATTCAGCTACATCACAAATTTAAATCCCCACTTCCAGATCTTGCTGAAAAAAAATCCAGTGCAATCACCTATATTTTTCTGCTCCCTCTTATGTCAAATAGGTCTGTGAAGATTTTTTTTCTTACAAGTCAATCTTTGCCTCAGCCCATCCTGCTGAGACAAATGTCTAAGGGAACCGGTGGTGACGGTAACCCTTGAGCTGACTCAGCTTGCTAATGGCCAAAGGATTGGGCAGCCGTTATATGAAACGACTCAAATGTTTTTGCCTAGGACTAAAGTGGACCTATAGAAATATACATTAGCTATATACAAAGACACCATAAAGTCTAGTCACTCACCACGTTCAGAATATTCTGTGACCAGTTTCATAGCTAAAAACCTACCACAGAACACCAAAATTCTGCCTGGATAACACAGGCCTCTAAAGATCACCAAAGCAAAGTTACCTTGGCAAAATGTTAAAGGTTCACACAATCTGATTTGACTAGAAAGCTCTCTTGGGTTACTTCTCTGTGAAATTCCACACCCTATTTTGTTCTCAATGTTGTCTGACAAGGTACAAAAGATTACTGCTTTTGAAAGGAACTCAATAAATAGCGCTCTTTTTAAAAGCAAGGTCTGAGAAATAAAAGTCAGTGGATGGAGGCCAACATCCTTGAAGGCATCCATTGTTCTAATGATACAGCCAGTCCAGATTAATGTTATTGCCTGGAGAAGCAGACTTCCCTGCTCGCTGCAGGTACCTTCCTCCCTAGAAGAAAAAGGGAAGAACTGTGCCAACGATATCCAGTTTATTATTGCCAAAGTCCTTCGTCAGATAAAGCCGCCCCTTCTATTCTGAAGTAATTAAAGTAGATCTTAAGTAGGGCTAAAGTCATGCCAGCAGAGTCACAGCAGAGGTGTTATCTACACACAATAGTCAGGAATGTGGGAAAAGTGTTTCCCAATAGTGAAGATAATCTTAGTTCCAGATTAATTTGTGGGTTAAACGCAATTCAAATGACAATTTTTTGCAGGCTTTATTGAATAATCTGAGAAACTTATTCTAAAATGCATATGAAAACTCAGATTCTGAAAAAGATGAACAAAATGGGGCACTTATCCTACCAGATATTAAGACATACTACAAAGCTTTAATAAGATAAACCATATGGTTATTGTCCGTGAACAGTCAAATGGTTGAGAAAATAGAGCTCAAAAAACCATCCAGGTATAGATAGGGGTTTGATATACCACAGTAATGACTCCAAAATCCACAGGCTACAGATGGGTAGTTTAGTAGATGTATTTGAAAACCAGGCTCACACTAAAGAAAATGTTACAAGGGGACTCTACACTATATAAAGGTAATCTCCAGGAGGATTTAAGGAACTAAATGTTAAAATTATACCTCAAAATGAAGAATGTATAGAAGATTGTGACTTTGGAGAAGGGAAGTTCTTCCTCCCAAGGACTATAGAAGCACAAACTGTAATGAGAAAAAAAGTCAATATATATGACCATGTCAAGTCATGGATAATTATTCAAGCACACAAAAGTTAACAGATTGAGAGAAGGTATATGAAGCATCCAAATCAATGAGATATGTGTCAAAAATTATCAACTAATATAAGTAAGAAAAAATAAACCAAAATTAAAAATGAATGAAATATAAAAATACAAAAAATGGGAAATGACAACAAATATATGAAGATATGCTAATGCAAACTCATCAGTAATGAAGTAATTCCTAATTAAAATAACTGATACACTGCCTTATGCTTAATAGATTTTTTAAATAAACAAATTGGATTATTTGGAAATAGGGAACACAAGTCTTTACGTACTTCTAATTGGTATGCAAACTAGAATTGGCTCTCTGGAAAGTAACTGACAGCATTTAGTGAAATTAAGCATGGCAAAATCCTATTGTCCAGCGATCTTATATGTTCAGAGGATAGAGAACTTCTTAATAAGTTCACGAGGGAAACCTATATAAATTCATTCATTGCAGCACTGCTTGTGCTATCAGGAACTGTTAGACAAATAGATACCCAAAACTAAGAAAATGAGTGTGTATCAAGTGATAGAAATAACTGTGTAGATGGTAGTTGTAAAGAATTTGATGTACCTAAGTTATATGAATTCATTTAAAAACTCAGTCTTGACTAAAGGGGGGAAAACATAAGAACCTATAACACTATCTCATTTTTATAAGCCAAAAATATGTATATGCATCAAATAGCATATTTGTTAAAGACACATACTTGTCAAAACACCCATAACAAAACATTAAAGTCACTGCTATGGTGGATGGAATGGGATTCAGAATTGAAAATTTAAGGGGAAAAATGTGACAGTCATCCTACTGATTTATTATATGACATAGCATAGACTAAGAAATATGATTCATTCAATTATCCGCTTTGGAAATTCAAAACAAAAAATCAACAAAAAATATCTCAGAAAGAGGGATAATCTAAAACGTGCTGGCAAATAAATGAGAAAAAGTGAAACTATCATTAAAAGCCAATTGACATTACTATAATTTGATCAGTAATGTTAAGATGCCCTTCCAGCATGAAGAGTAAAACAGTACAAGAAAAACAGTGAGGAATCTCAGAATAGATATGGAGAACAGAATTCCTGAAGCAGAAACCAAAACAACTGGTACAGAAGCAATAATACAATGCAGGAGTAGGGAAAAAAATTGAATTAACATTATTCAACTCAAAGATCGTACTGCATTCTGATAAATTAATAAAGTCAAATGATTAAATGGAAATACATGCTTGTCACATCCTATCAAATATTTTGTTTTTAAATTACAAGAATATGGAGGATGGAGAGAGATCACAATTTTACTGGGAAAATTTATGTTTATAAGGAATATGTGATGACCTAGCAAAATGTTCAGTGTTACATATAGTGCAAAAAGTATGGAATCTGCTTATGTTGGAAAGAGAACTGGAAGTTGGAATCAGAGATAAAAATAGAAATTATAATGTTGATCTTAACTATGTAAGAAACTATAATAGAATATAGGCAACTTTTTCTCTGAGTGGTCAAGTTATTAGAGATTTTTAAAATATCTTTTTCTGTTTTACAAAATTCTCACAATGTGCATTTACTTATTTTAAAATCAGGAAAATATATAGCTAATTTTCAATATTCAATACTAATAAATAAATAGCAGTTTAAGAGATGACATTGCTCAGTAGTGTAAGCTAAGTATGGGTAGAGGAGAAAAAAAAAAGCATGCAAGTGGACGCAGCCGTGGAACTGATACTTAGAACAAGACCTTACTCATTATATGTCCTAAGCTAATTACATATATTAAAAACACAAGTGATAAGAATTTATGACAATGGTTTTCTCTTAGAGAAGTAGCTTTACAAAGGATTTTTTTCCAGTTCCATCACATTTGAGAAATGGAGCATTAGTAATTCTGATGCACAGTTTATTTTTTAGTATACCAAAAAGCTTGTATTTGAACACTGTAAATGGAATATGAAATTATACATTAATCCTCATCAGATCCCTTAAAGAAATTTTTGAGTTGCAATATACTCACAGTTATTGTTTTAATTTTATTAGTTGCTGATTTGAAGATAATACAGTATTATATCAATTAATTATTACAAAATTAATAATTTGGACTCTGAGTATGCATCACTACTTCTAGATGCTGTATTTCTTATACATTAATATCCACTGTACATTTTGCGCTTAAACTCCAACTAAAATGGGGATATTCTTCACTTATGTTACTACTGCAGCTGGGGCAGCTGACGTTATAAGCAGCCCCCTGAGGCCTGGGATTTCTCTTTCTTTCCTGAAGGTGCCTCAAGGCTGTGATGGACTGAGGTGTCCCTGAAGAGACTTAGACTAGATGAATACATCTGTGTGGAGAAACCATTTAAAATCTCTGTTTAAGAACACTTATGTTTCTTCTAAATGTTCTTCCTATGTTCCCTTTTACTTTGTATTTACATCATTAAGAAAATCAGAGGTATCAGGAGAAAACTGTAACAATGATCGTTATTAAGTAGAGAAGCATATTTGTCACATCAAAAATTTTAAATAATCTTATATATGGTGTTTGTTCAAGCTGTTTGTGTAGGTATTCAAACTGTTTGTGTAGTATGGGAAATTACAATTTTGCTCCTACTTTTTTCTTATGATTGCCAAACAAAAGAAGTTGCAAGAGTCACTGTGTTTTTCTGTATTAGTCACCCATATCAACACTTTCAACAAATATTTATGGCTTATCTTCTAAAATCTTGTCTTCTTCTATGTACATTCATCCTGCTTATATTTAATAGATTATAATATTGACTCTAATAATAAAAATTGAGATGTATTATATTATTCTTCAAATAATCTATGTTCTTATTTTGTATACATATTAGTCTGAACTATTTGACAATAAACAAAAACTGGGTTGTCATGTCAGACAGCTTGATAAACACTGCACTAGGGTCTAAAAAAAAATTGTAGGGTAGTAGAAAGAATGGCATGGAGGGAGAAATTTAAAACCTATGACATTTTTGAGGCTGCTGTAGACCCCAGCTGTCAGAGACAATATAAAGTTATAAAAAGATCAGTATTAGAAGTGCCTGGCCTCCATTTAAAATAGTAAGCCATGTACAGTGTACTAAACATTAAAAAAAAGTTTCCTCTGTCCAGTTGCTGCACTTCTGGGAACTTCTTTCCCTCCCTCTAGCACATCTATGCAGATTCCATGATCTCCATGCTGGCTTCATGGATATGTGACCTATGCAGTTTCGAAGGGCCCCCCTACACATGTTTTAATTCTCTGCCATGGCTCGTTGAAAATTCTTAATAAGTTTTGAACAAGGTAACCCACATTTTCACATTGCACTTGGCTATACAAAATTATGTAGCAGTCCTGCCGAGTAGCTGTGTCTGTAGGATATGACCAAACCCTCCAGCCACATTGATTAGTGCAAGGCTGGGTGCCAGACTAAAGCCTCGTCAACTGTAGAATTCGAAAATTTCAAATTTGGGTGTCAATAATGTTAGCAGCACTGAAGATTCACAAACTTCTACAGAGCTAATCTGGTTCTTTTCTTTCTGAGGACTTATTTTCGACTACTTATTGGATCTTCTGAAAGACTATTATCCTTATGCTTATTTTCTTTTTTCTCTAAGTAGCTGGAATAGGTTTTCGTTCTTGCAATTAAAAACAATAGCTAAAATACATATGTTATAGAATGAGAGAAGGGTAAGAAACAGCGTTGGAAATTACATTTTAATGAAATAAAATATTCTCAATCTTAAAGAAACTCTGCTTCCTAAAGAGAATTGAAAACAATAGACTTGGGGAAATCAACAACTGAGAAGGCTCTAAGGCCACACCCTGAATTTAGGGGAAACCGTCTGAGTTGGGGAGGTTTCTCCCAGGACCACCAAGTGTGTCCTGGTATAGGACATTTTAAAAAGTTTTTTGAATGGAGAACTGACTTAAAACATCTTACAAAAATTTAACCTTTTTGATTCTCCGTTGTCCCAGCCTCTCACCACTCATTCTCTTGAGACACAGAAAAATGAGTAGAAAAAAAAAAAATCAAGTTCTTTTATCTTAAATGACATGTTAGTAAGAAGCATTCTTACTTCAGATGTAGCACAAATCAAACAACAAAATGAAATAAACTTACCATATGATAACCATGAATAGCTACAAACTGAAATCCAGGAAACATAGCTCCCAAAATAGAACAATATTTTCCAAAAGTACTTCTAGCTATAAAAAAAAAGTGTTAAATATGAATTAAATGAGTGAAGAGTTCAAATCTGAAATATTAAAACAATAGAATGGTATGGGCATAAAAATTGAACACTTATTGAAATGATAATTAAAGCAATTAGATAATCAAGAGACACATCGTTTTTGACTGAAAATCAAAGTAGTGTTAATATTAGTAATATTGTTTTTCACACATCCTAACTCTCAATCTCAATTCTTCCCTTCTCCCCCCACCTCTGTCCTTCTGTCTCTCTATCTATAGAGAGATGTTTGTGGCAACGTTGTTCATCTTTGCCATTGTGGAAAAATCGCCCCAAAAATTGTGGTAAATTCTTGCTATGCATTTATTAAAAATGGGAGTGTGAATTTCAGCCTGGAGAGTTATATCATCTAAAGTAAAAATATATATTTATAATAATATATAGCATATCATTTTTGTAATAAAACCAAAATTCCCTTTATATGTGAATGTATATTAGAATGATCATGTAGATATATATAAGAATAGAGAAAAGGAACTATAGCTTACTTCAAATTATACAGGCTATGTAAGAGAGACTCATAATTTAAATCAGTCATTTTTACCCCAATCTCATGTTGTTTTTCTGTGAAACCCTATTATCTAAAACATATTGAACATCAGTTAATGAAGGAAAGTGCAACTCAAGGGGTTACTGGTAGTGAAAATGTTGTGAAGTACTGATTTTTAAGATTTTTCTCTTTCATTGATGTAAATGAAATTTGATAATTATTAGTCTGTACTTAAATATAGGCATTTAATTGCTTTATGTTTTCTGGAAAAAATATTAACTAATAAATTAGCTTGGGATCTGGCATGACTGGGTTTTGCAATGCCTGGGGATAAAATGATTTTAGGATATTATAAATTGTGCTCTCACTTTTCTAGTTCTGGAAAGAATAAATAAATAGATATTTTAGAGAATAAAAAAAAAGAAAGGCAATGCAGGATTACTAATAAATATTACATTTGGGATCTTGGAAGGGATGTAGAAATGAGAACCCTTAAAGGGAGGCTTTATTGGCCAAATGGTATATCTATTTCTGTTGAGATTTACTTTGTCCCTTCTTCACTGGGGAATCATGTTGACCATTTCTCTTTTAGGCACTTTTATTGTCACAAACAAATCACAACAAATCACAATTTTCTTTATAACAGTGTTAGCAAGTGAAATTATGGATTACATATTTTTGTGACAGTTTGAGAATATCAAAACAGAAGTGAAATGGTTAAATCCCATTAATATTATTTATACTGAATTTATACTCATTTATGCCAAATTATTACTACATCTTCAATGAGTTGAAAGCTGCGGTTCAATTATTTTATGCAATAACCATTACAATATGGTAGACTACCTGCTTCTACTGAGTCATTTCTGTTTGTTAGGAATTTCCTAGTTTATGATGAACTTTTAAAAAAAATTTAGATTCTATCTTATGAGAAACCTACAGCCCACATCATACTTAATAGACAAAAGACGGAAGCAGTCTCTTTGAAAACTGGTGCCATTCTTAACAATCCTATTCAACATAGTACTGGAAGTTCTAGCCAGAGCAATTGGGCAAAAGGGATAAATAACAGGCATCCAAATAGGAAAAAAGGAAGTAAAGCTATCTCTTCATTGATGATATGATTTTTTTACCAAGAAAACCCTAAAGACTATTAATAAGGCCCCTGAAGCTAATAAATGACTTCAGTAAAGTTTCAGGATGCAAAACCAATATAGAAAAATAAGTAGCAATATATACACCAATAATGCTCAAGCTGAGAGCCAAACCAATAATGCAATCTCGTTTGCAATAGCCACAGAAAGAATAAAATACCTGGGAATACAGCTAACCAAGGAGGTGAAATATCATTGTGAGGAGAATTATAAAACACTGCTGAAAGACGTTTGAGATACAAAACAAAACAAAACAAAAACAAATAAATGGAAAAACATCTCCAGCTCATGGATTAGAAGAATCAAAATCATTAAAATGGTCATACTGCTTAAAGCAATTTACATATTCAATGTTATTCCTATCAAACTACCAATGTCATTTTTCACAGAATTAGGAAAAATTATTCTAAAATTCATTTGGAAGCAAAAAATAGCCTGAATAGCCAAAGCAATTCTAAGCAAAACAAAAAAAACAAACAAAACAACAACAACAACCAAAAAGCTGGAGGCATCTGATAGGGTTTGGCTGTGTCTCCACTCAAATCTCATCTTGAATTGTTGCCCCCATAATCCCCACATGTCACGGGAGGGACCTAGTGGGAGGTAATTGAATCATGGGGGTGGGTTTTTCTCATGCTGTTTTCATGATAGTGAATAAGTCTCAAGAGATCTGTTGCTTTTATAAAGAGCAGTTCCCCAGCACACGCTCTCTTGCCTGACACCCTGTAAGACATGCCTTTTTCTTCCACCTTGATTGTGAGGCTTCCCCAGCAATGTGGAACTGTGAGTCCATTAAATCTTTCTTTCTTTATAAATTACCCAGTCTCAAGTATGTCTTTATTGCAGCATGAGAGTGGACTAATACACATCGATTACCCAACTTCAAACTATACTACAAAGCTACAGTAACCAAAACAGCATGGTACCGGTACGAAAACAGACCCATAGACCAATGGGACAGAATAGAGAGCCCAGAAATAAAGCTGAGCACCTACAACTATCTTATCTTTGACAAAGTCAACAAAAAAAAAGAAATGGGGAAAAGATTCCCTATTTAATAAATGGTGCTGGGCTAACTGGCTATCTATATGCAGAATAATGAAACTGGACCCCTACCTATCACCATATACAAAAATTCACTCAAGATGAATTAAAGACTTAAGTATAAGACATCAGACTATAACATTCTTAGAAAAAAACCTAGGAAATATCCTTCTTGATACTGGCGTTGGCAAATAATTTATGGCTAAGTCCTCAAAAGCAATTACAACAAAAATAAAAATTTACAAATGAGACCTAATAAAGAGCTTCTTCACAGCAAGATAAGTGACCAACAGAGTAAAGAGACACCCTATAGAATGGGAGAAAATGTTCACAAACTATGCATTTGAAAAAGGTCTAATATTAAGAATCTATAAGAAACTTAACAAGCAAAAAACAAAAAGTTGGCAAAGGACATGAAAACACATTTCTCAAAAGAAGACATACAATTGACCAACAAACATATGAAAAAAAATACTCATTATGACTAATTATCAGAGAAATACAAATGAAAACTATAATGAGATACCATCTCACTCCAGTCAAAATGGCTATTAATACCAAGTCAAAAAACAACAGATGCTGGTGAGGCTATGGAGAAAAGGGAACATTCATACACTGTTGGTGAGAATGTATTAATAAATTAGTTCAACCACTGTGGAGAGCAGTTTGGAAGTTTGGAGATCTCTCAAAGAACTGAGAGTTGAACTACCACTGGACTCAGCAATCACACTACTTGGGTATATACCCAAAGGAAAATAAATCTTTCACCAAAAAGACACATGCACCTTGATGTTCATTGCAGTGCTGTTCACAACGGCAAAGACATGCAGTCAACTCAGGTGCCCATCAACAGTGGATTGGATAAATAAAATGTGGCACATATACACCATGGAATACTACACAGCTGTAAAAAAGAAAAAAGTCATGTCCTCTGCAGCAACATGGATGCAGCTGAAAACCATTATCTTAAGCAAAATAATGCAGAAATAGTCATATATTGCGTGTTCTCACTTTTAAGTCGAAACTAAACATTGGGTGCGCATGATCATAAAAATAAAAACAATGGACACTGGGCAATACAAGAGGAGGGAGGAAGGAAGCAGGATGGGTAAGCGTTGAAAACAACTACCTATTGGGTACTATGCTCACTACCTGGGTGATAGATTCATTCTTACTCCTAACCTCAATTATGCAATATACTTATGTCACAAGTCTGCATATGTGCCCCCTGATTCTAAAATAAAAGTTGAAAAGAAAAAGATTTATACATGAAGAGCAGACTTCCATGTTGTAAAACATATTTTGTATTTATTAATTTGAAAAATGTTACTTTTTGTTGAGTACTGTTAGTGTTTATGTGAACAATAATTTTAGTGAACTGTAGGTAGGTAATTTGTAACTAATATAATAGTGATTCAATTTGGAATCAATTGTTCAGTCATTTGACATTTTTTGTCCTAAAGGTAACCATGTAAACTTAAATATGAAAAAAACACCTAATTGTATATTTTATTGGTCTTAATGAGATGATTTTAGCTACCAAATAAGAACATTTAAATCTGGGTTTTCCTCTTTCTCCCATTTTAATGTTTACAACTTTGTGTTCTCTCAACTGTATAAAATATATTCTAATTAGAATTTCCTGATGCCAAAAAATTTAGATTCTCTCCTGATTTTACTTTTTCTTAAGATGACTCACTACGTAGATGTTTTCTAGCACAAAATGACTCAGTTAAAAAATCTAAAAGATTATGTGATACAAAATGGGAAAATTAAATTTACATACACAATAATTATGGTTATCAGTATCTGAAAGGTAAGGATGAAATATTTCATTTGTGCTACAACTCCATGTGGCCATATAGTATGGTATAGCACTATCATCATAGAAATAACATTGCATTTGTCGACCTTAAATAGTAAGTGGGTGTCATAGACCCTAGTTAATCATATTTGACTGGGGTTTTAAAAATGAAAAATTTATTTTGCTACTGGACACAATAATTTACTAAGACCCTGCAGATCCTCCTTTAAATATATTTTTTATGGTGGTTATTCCCTGAGATTGTATATGACTAGTTTCTGTTATCCTGACAGCTAATTGTAAATCAAAAGGAAAAGCAAACTTTAAAAAAAGATTTCTCCTATTATTTTGATATGATGGATTCTCTATTTTTAATGTTTCTAAACAAAATAAAATGTTTTGGGTAACTTTCAAAAACAAAACTGGAAGTTCATTTTTACTAACATTTAATGAGTTATAATAATGACCAGCTCCTGCTTGTGTCCTTTTAAGTGTATGAATTTCTAGGTTAATTTTTAACTTTGGGTAAGGTGAAATAAAAAAAAATATATAATATATCTATATTAATATTAAAATATATATAATATATGTATTTAAATACTCTCTTGTAATTTTCCTTTTTAAAGGTGCTTACTGAGTAGATTTTGTTCTAGCACAAAAGTGACTGGTTGTTTTAACTATTGGAGAAAGGACCTTGATGCTGTGGAGTATTTCGTTGATAGCTGACAGCGTCTTGAATGCCCTTCCAGCCTATAAGCAAGCTGCACTTCATAAGGATCCTAAGGGAATCAGCACTCCCAACTTTGGTGGCGTTTCAGGGTTGGCTGGAGCAGAGTGCTATGGGCACACCACCATGGTCAAAACTCAATCAGGAAATGCAGGATGGACATATCCAAAGGAGAACAAAGTAAAGAATAATAATCATTGTGATAAGAAGCCAGTGTTGCAGGCAGGAAAATCATAGCTTGCATAAATAAAAAAGATAAGCCAAGCACAGAAATGTGAATGAGAAAAATCCAGAGCAGTGTGGTCAATCTGATGTATAAAGCAAGCCTCTAATGTGAGCCACATACCTGATTTTTAGTTTTCTGTTATCCTAATTTAAAATGTAAAAAGCAACAGGTAAAATCAATTGTAATAAACATTTTATTTCCCTGTATATATCCAAGTATTAATATTTCAACACATAATCAATATAGAAATTTAAAATGAGGTATTTTAAGTTATTTAGTTCCATTCTAAGACTTCAAAATCCAGTGTGAATTTTTCACTTACACAACATCTTATTTCAGAGTAGCCACAATTCAAGCGCTCAATAGCACATGTGGCTACTGGTTGTTGTATTGACAGTGCAGGCACAAATTCATAAAGGTGATTTAATGGGTTAAGGTGAGAGAAAGAATCTAGAATTAATCCATAGATAGCAAGCGGTGCCAGTGCCCATTTTGCTTTAATGCATAACATGGGGGATTTTAAGTATTCTAAAGCCTCAGTTCTGCTCTTGCTTCTCCTGCTTACTCATTTTTTGAACCTCAAATTTATTGGCTATGTAAATAAAAATATTACATTATATGCTCAATATATACACCTGAGCTATCCTATGAAGGAGCACCATGGATGGTCTCAATGTTAGTCAAAATATTATATAATTCTTAGCCTATTACAAAGTTGGGAGAAAAAGAGGATATTGAAACTGAGAGTAGTTATCTATCTAGAGCAAATTACGTTTTTATTTTTATTGATTTTCTCCATTGCTTGTTAAATAGGGAAGTGTCACAGGTAAGATCCGGAATTACTGTGTTTCTATCAATTAACTTTGGAATTATATGAAGCAATTACATTAAGCAAAAATATTAGATTCTGTTCTAATTAAAAGTAAACATTAAAAGTTTAAGACATAAACTACATTGACATTAACAATGCTTGAAAATAGTGTTTCTTCCTTTAAATGCAGGAGGAAAAAATACCATCCAAGGGAATGTGCAGTTAATAGAGCAAAACAAATGATTCATCCCAGTGGGATGAAGAGACAGAAGATCAGTGGTCCAATGATCCCCGTTTCTTCAACAAAATAAATGTAAATTTCTGACATGCTATTATTAAAAGATGTGTGCTTTTTATACTGTATAATTAGAAATGAGGGAAATACAGCATTCTGTCCATCAGCCATCTGTTTATTTACAATCAGCCATAGCTGTGTATATCGGAGGAACAACTTTGAACAAGGTGAAAACATGTAATGAAGATTAACATCATGAAAGCTTCATGTGAACTTTATGTCTCCTTCATAGTAGTTCACATTTGTCTAATTTGGAAGATTACATTTGGAAACTGAACAATGAAGTTATTTAACTTGTAGTGGAAAAAAACACTCCAAATTTTGAATTGAAATGATTTTGGTGTAGCAAATATGCCACATTACCACATTAAAATTTAAATTTGTGCTCTAAATGAAAATGTGCCCTTATCCTGAAAAAAGGGAAATTTCCTATGGTTTGTTAAATTTTCTCAAATACTCTGAAGTTCTCTCCCTACAATGGAGAGGTTTGGCTCACAAATTGGATGTGAGAGCACCTAACCTCTCATTGAATCAGCTTTTCTGTTTCTGTAAGGCTGTAGAAGGCAGGATTTCTTTCCTTTTTTTTTTTTTTTTTTTTTTGAGACAGAGTCTTGCACCCTCACCCAGGCTGGAATGCAATGGCGCGATCTCGGCTCACTGCAACCTCCGCCTCGTAGGTTCAAGCGATTGTCCTGCCTCAGCCTCCCGAGTAGCTGGAATTACAGGTGCCTGCCACCACGCCAGGCTAATTTTTTGTATTTTTAGTAGGGACGGGGTTTCACTACGTTGGCCAGGCTGGTCTCAAACTCCTGACGTCATGATCTGCCCACCTTGACCCCCCCAAACTGCTGGGATAACAAGCGTGAGCCACTGCGCCCAGCCAGGATTTATTTCTTAGTGTGGCGTACTGGTACGTGTTCAACAGTCAGTTCTCCAGAAGAAAAAAATAGCCCTGATTTGCAGTGTTCGTCAATTTCTTCCCATGTGGCCTATTTCAACTTACCAACATGATTTCACTGAAAGCAGGGGAAAAGATGTGTACGTCCAACACACCACTGCTACCCTCCCTAAAATGCAGTTTTTATTTCTGTGACATTAAGATCAGTGGTCATTAACATAGTGCTCTCTGAGTTCTTCCGCTGGCAGCAAGTAAATTACTGATTCAGACCACACTTTAAGCAAATGGACTTTGTTCTTGTGAATTTCCATTATCATAAAGTCCAAGGCACATTTTTCAGATTTGAACATCTTGCAATTTTCATCATTTCAAACTGAGTTTTCTTGGTGGACTTGTATTTTGTGTAGCTTTAACTTTTATTTCCCTACTGATTAATCAGTAGAAAATCTATTCACATGTTTATTGGCATTTGGATATCCTCTTTTGTGAAGTGCCTTTCAAATATGTTGTCTGAGTTTCAACTTTCTGTGGTCTTTTCCTCCTTGAGCACCTTGTTGGTACTATTAATATATGCTACAGATAGCCATATATCTTTCCCACTCCTTATTTGTTAATGTCTCTTGATGAACAGACTTTATGATCAGTGTCTCTTTTTTCCCCTACTTAACAAGTTTTCCCAGTTCTGAAATCATAAAAATGTTCTCAAAGCTTAAGTGCTTTGTTTTCGACTTTGAAATGTACAATCCAAATGGAAAATATTGTTCTGTGAATGGTATAAGATAGGAGTTGTTTCATGTTTTTTACATATGTGGATTAAATTGACCCAGCACTAATTATTTGAAGACTGTCCTTTACCTAATGCTTTGCAGTTCCATCTTTGTCACAAATCAAGTGTCTATACGTGTGGGTCTGTTTCTGAAATCTATTGCATTGGTCTATTTATTTATTTTGTAACAATATTGTTTTTTATTAATAACTATAACATTGTAATGATAGAAGACATTTTCCCATGTGGTCCTATTCAAGATTTCCTTAGGTGTCGTCATTTTTTAATATACATTTTTGGAAATATACTGAAAACTCATTTATAATAACCACAAAAATTATCTTGATAATGAACTCTGTAATGATAATCTGATTTCATTTCTGCTGCTGTTTATTTGTGCTGTATCTCCTTTTATTTCTTAATAATTCTAGTCTGAACTAATCAATTTTATTAGTTTTTTTTTTTCAAAGAACTATTTCGGCTTTGTTAATTTGTACAGAAATGTGTTGTTTTCTATGTTTTTTTTCCTAGTCTCATTATTAATATTTTCTTCAGTCTACTTCTTGAAGTTCAACCAAAATTTATTCAAGTTTTTCATTCAATATTTGGTTTCAGTAATTTTTAGCTTCATTTCCTAATATATTAATTTTAAAGCTATGGGTCTCTCTTTAAGTATAACTTTGCCATCATTAAAATGTTCTTACTTTGTGTGTGTCCGTGTGTGCATGCGTGCATGTGTGTGTGTGTGTGTGTGTGAGTGACTGATAGGGACAGGAGGCAGGGAAATTCTGGGCAGAAGAGGGTGGGGCCCCGGTGAGTGGCCCACCCACAAGCCTGGAACCACGGCCCAAAAAGAGAACATACATTCCTGTTTTCCTGGTTGACTGTTGCCTTTTCCAAAACCACTCATGGCCCACCCCCATGCCAAATCCTGTGCCCTTAAAAACCCCAGGCTCTGCAGGCAGAAGAGGGAGAAAAGGAGAGGCAGTGGGACATGGGAGACTATGGTTGGATGTTGGAGAGAAGCAGCTTGACTTCAGAGGGATGTCTTGATGGTGTAGTTTCAGAGAGGAGTCCCGCCAGGGATTATCTTCCTACTCTGCCCACTTTTCAGCTCCCCTTTCCACTGAGAGCCACTTTCATCAGCAATAAAATCCCCCACATTTTTTTTTAAGATTTGTAAATGGAATGAATGCCCACTAGTGAAGAGAAAGTGCTACGGACTGGATTGTGTTTCATCCAAAATTTACATGTTGAAGCCCTAATTCACAATGTGACTGCATTTAAATATAAGGCTTTCAGGAGGCAATTAAAGTTAAATGAGGTCAAAAGAGTAGGGGCGGCCGGGCACGGTGGCTCATGCCTGTAATCACAACATTTTGGATTCTGCCTCTTGGGTTCAAGTGATTCTCATGTCTCAGCCTCCCACATAGCTGGGACTACAGGCACACACCACCACACCCAGCTAATTTTTGTATTTTTAATGGAGACGAGGTTTCACCATGTTGGCCAGGCGGGTCTTGAACTCCTGCCTCAAGTGATCCTCCCACGTCAGCCTCTTGAAGTGCTGTAATTACAGGAGTGAGCCACTGTACTCTGCCAAGATTTTTACATTTTTATTGGTATGTAATAACTGTACATATTTATGTGTAGATGTGATATTTTGATATATACATACAATGTGTAATGATCAAATCAGGGTATTGAGTATGTCCATCTCCTTAACCATTTGTCATTTATTTGTATTGGGAACATTTTAAATCTTCTAGCTGTTTTAAAATATACAATAAATTCTTAACTGTAGTAACACTCCTGTGCTATTAAACTATTAAAAATTTTTGAATATATATATTTCACTGTTTTAAAAATTCATATTTTTTTCACTTACAGTTTGAAAAATATATATCTCAAAAATTTTTCTTTGTAATTTCTCCTTTGATCAATAGGTTGTTTATAATTCATCTCTTAATTCCCAAATATACATTAATTCAAAAATTTTTGGCCAGGCATGATGGCTCACGCCTGTAATCCCACAACTTTGGGAGGTCGAGGCAGTCGGATCACAAGGTCAGGAGATCAAGACCATCCTGGCTAACATGGTGAAACTCTGTCTCTACTAAAAAATATAAAAAATTAGCCGGGCATGGTGGCAGGCACCTGTAGTCCCAGCTACTTGGGAGGCTGAGGCAGGAGAATGGCGTGAACCCAGGAGGTGGAGCTTGGAGCTTGCAGTGAGCCAGGATCGCACCACTGCACTCCAGCCTGGGTGACAGAGCAAGACTCCATCTCAAAAAAAAAAAAAAAAAAAATTTGGTTATGGATTTACTTCTTTGTGATCAGAGATTAGATTATGCATGACTTTAATGCACTGAAATTCACTCAGTCTTATTTTGTGTTCAACATATGGCGGAGATCTAGAAATTTTCTATTTCCCTTGAAAATAAGGTACATTTATTTTGGCAGTTCTGCAGTTCCTATGCATATAATTATACACACACACACACTCACACACACACACACACACACACACACATCAACAAGGCCAAGGTTGCTAAAAGTATAGTTCAATCTTCTGTATATTTGTTATGTTTTATCTTCTTGTTTTATTGGTGTTGGAGAGGTGTGTTAAAAAACTTCTGAAATAGTTGTGAATTTGTTCATTTATCCATGTATTTCTGTTAATGTTTGCTGCATAAATATAACACCGAGGGAACACAAATTGGGAATTGTTATA
Source organism: Homo sapiens (assembly GCF_000001405.40). Classification (NCBI taxonomy): domain Eukaryota; kingdom Metazoa; phylum Chordata; class Mammalia; order Primates; family Hominidae; genus Homo; species Homo sapiens. Next base: position 11,988,774 of record NC_000007.14, on the reverse strand, counting down.
TATTTGTTATTATGAAATACGCTTATTTCTAAGATTTTGTTTTGTTTTTAATACAATCTAATTCTTTTTTCTGTTGATTGGAACATGTATTACCTTTACATTCAATGAAAGTAATAATTTATTTTGGTTTGAATTCATCAACTTTCTACTTACCTATATTCTTAATGTACATTCTATTTATTCTGTATCCCTTTTTGTCTCATTTTTTAGTTTTTAAAAGACACTTTAAAAAATCTTTTTAAAATAGGTTTTGAACACAACCACTTACATTATTAAACCAAGGCAATGGTAATAGGTCCCAGAATCCAGTTGTTTCTGCTTTAGAGAGTGAGATAGGCTTTTTAGAAAACATAGTCACAGACTGTTCTATTTGCCCTGTGTATTTGTATAAGGGTAACCAGAAGTATTTACTTTGAGATAAACTCTACTCTGACTGGCTAAGAGGACATTAAAGACTACACAATTGTCTATGACAACTTTAGTAAATCTATTTAGGCGATTTTTTTTTTTTTTTTTTTTTGCTTTCTGAGCAGAAGTGCTATCATTTATTACTTTAAGGCTAAAAATAAGTTTTGAAACAGCTTTTCAAGTTTTATTTTTATGAAAATTATAGCTTGAAGAATATACATGAAAAGACAATATCTCTTCTGGAAGTTTTAAAATTAATTTTAAATACTTGAGTTTATTTTATTTTGTAGCCTTCTAGGTATTATATTTAAGAAAATATAATTCACTAATGGGATGGTTGTATTATTTTCTGTTACTTTAACAAAATACCTGAAACTGGGTAATTTATAAGTAAAATGAATTTACTTTTTATAGTTACAGAAACTGGAAGTCCAAAGTCAAGGGACCACATTTGGAGAGGACCTTTTTGCTGGTGAAGTCTCTGTGCAGAGTCCCAAGGAGGCACAGGGTATCCATGGTGAGGGGGCTGAGCATGCTAACGTACTTGCTCAGGTCTCTCTTCCTCTTCTTATAAAGACAACACTTCCACTCCCATAATTCAGTTTATTGACCCATTAATTTATAAATGAATTAATCCATTAATGAGAGCAAACTTTCATAATTGAATCACCTCTTAAAGGACCCACTTTTTAATACTGCTGCATTGGGGATTAGGTTTCCAACACAAGAAATTTGGGGTAAACATTCAAACCCCATCAATGGTAGTTTTCAACATCTGGAAATTTCTAACGATTACTCCAAATACCCAGGATAAGTAAGAGTGTGCTCAACAGATATAAGGCTGATCTTCATATAAGAAACAGTATCCCAGTGAAGCGTACGTTGTATGAGGAGAATAAGTATCATTTATTGCAATAGAAATGTCAATTTATGTGCTTTGAGTTGGACAAATTCCTTGAGTGGAATTAGACAGTTTCTGTAAAGTAGGCCAGATTATCTCTGAAGAAAGAAACTGTGATAGCTTAGACCCAATATTAGTGCCTATTCTTGATTGACTAGGCCTTGTTGATAGGATTGTAATGACCTTGGCGGAAGCATTTTGCTGTTATGAGGTCAAGGTTCAATTTGCAAAATTGAAGGTGAGGGGAGCTAAAGTGCCAAGAATGTCCTGTTAAAGAGAATTTGTCTTTTGAAGTATTTCAGAGAATAGCTATTAAATTTTATCAGCAAGGTTAAGGAACAAGTGTCAGAGCCAGAAATCCATTAGATTTAGAGTAGTAGCTATACTCTGGAAAAAAATGTGTAAGAGTTTTGCTTTTCCTTAAGTGGTAAAAGGTGAACAGATGGGGTCACAAAAATAAGATGAATAGAAAAGGGAGCATATCAGTGTTTTAGCAGAGATCATATTGGAATAATAGGCAAGCTTACTAGCAGAGTAGAAGGACTGAAAGGGGCCTTCTACCCTTCCGAAGAAGTAAACAGCTTCTAAATGATTCCTAACCCCCCACCCCCAGCCTTTTTTTAAGATTTGTAAATGGAATGAATGCCCACTAGTGAAGAGAAAGTGCTATGGACTGAATTGTGTTTCATCCAAAATTTACATGTTAAAGCTCTAATTCACAATGTGACTGTATTTAAAGACAGGGCTTTTAGGAGGCAATTAAAGTTACATGAGGTCAAAAGAGTAGGAGCAGTGGGTGCAGTGGCTCACACCTGTAATCTCAGCATTTTGGGAGGCAGAGGCTGGTGGATCACCTGAGGTCAGGAGTTCCAGACCAGCTGACCAATAAGGTGAAACTCTGTCTCTACTAAAATATAAAAATTAGCTGGGCGTGGTGGCGCACGCCTGTAGTCCCAGCTTCGTGGGAGGCAGAGACAGGAGAATTGCTTGAACCCAGAAGGCAGAGGTTTCAGTGAGCCGAGATCATGCCACTGCACTCCAGCCTGGGTGACAGAGCAAGACTCTGTCTCAAAAAAAAAAAAAAAAAAAAAAAGAGTAGGGGCATAATTCTATAGAATTGATGGCCTTACAGGAAGAGAAAGAGAGAGATTTCTGTGTCTGCATGTGTACACATTGGGGAAAAACGATGTGAGAACACAGCAAATGGTGGCTGTTTGCAAGTGAGGAAGGAGGCCTCACCAGAGTCCGACCATGCTGGCACCCTGATCTCGGGCTTCTCAGTCTCCAGGCTGTGAGAAAATAGATTTCTGTTGTGTGAGCCACCCAGTCTATGGTAACAGACTAATACAGGAAGTAATAAACATCTTTTGAGGTAGGAAACATGAATCTGAGGATCACTACTTTGGAGTCTTACTGTTGTGTCAGTTGTTAACAGTACCTGATAAGATCCTTTTCACTGAGGTTCAAGTGCAGGTTTTTTGGTGTCTTTTCCAGAAGATTACATTTTCAGATTATAGATCATTTAGAGGTGGGTGTTTTAGAAATGTTCTTATCTGTTGATCTAGAGCTAGAGATATCCTGAGTCCGTGTAGTACTAGTCATATCTGTTTGTAATTGAGTGGAATTTAAGACTGTTAATGAAATTTCCAAATGCCTAAGGTAGCCTGTTATTAATCAATCAGGAGAGATGATATAGGTGTCCCAGATGGCTTGGCCCATAGAAACATTGAAGCTAACAATAATACTTTAGGCCATGGAAGTTTGAGGGTTCCTGAGAACTTTCATAATTTTAGTTTTATAATGCCATAGTTCCCTTAATTCTTCTTCAGGACTCTTGATAAAAAAAGATGGTGAAATTTCTTGATAAAAGACAAAACCTGCTTTTCAGCATTCCTTAACAAGAATGCTGGAAAAACAAATGTCTCTGTCAGTAGAAAGGCAGAAATTCCTCAGGTTGAAAAACAAAACCAAGCATTTTTGGGGTCATAATTAATGGCCATGCATTCCACTGTATGACTATAAAACACATTGATGATCCATCTATCAGTTGATGGATATTTGAGTTATTTCTGCTCTTTGGCTACTGAAATAATATTGCTGTGCACATTCATGCACAAGTTGCTTCTAATAAGTTAGATTTTCACATATGGTTATATAACTAGTAGTTGAATAGCTGGGTTATATGGTTTCTACATGTTTAATATTTTGGTGAACTGCCAAATTTCTAAGTGTCTGTACCATTTTAGAACCTCATCAGCAATTTATGAGGATTTCAGCTTCTCCACATGCTCATCAACACTTCTTATTGTCTGCCTTTTGATTTTAGCCACCCTAGTGAATATGAAGTGGTATGATATCTCATTGTGATTTTGATTTATATTTCCCAAATGATAAATTATATTAAGTATCTTTCTGTGTGTCTATTGATCATTAATAGATATTCTTTGAGAAATCTTTTGCCTATTTTTAAACTGGGCTATTTTTCTTTTTGTTGAAGTTGACAGTTCTTTATTAATTCTAGACACAAGTCCCCTATTAAATATATGATCACAAATATTTTCTCCCATTCTTTTGGGTTGTCTTCACTTTCTTTTTTTTTTTTTTTGAGACGGAGTCTCGCTCTGTCGCCCAGGCTGGAGTGCAGTGGCGCAATCTCGGCTCACTGCAAGCTCCGCCTCCCGGGTTCACGCCATTCTCCTGCCTCAGCCTCCCAAGTAGCTGGGACTACAGGCGCCCGCCACTACGCCCGGCTAATTTTTTTGTATTTTTAGTAGAGACGGGGTTTCACCGTTTTAGCCGGGATGGTCTCGATCTCCTGACCTCGTGATCCGCCCGCCTCGGCCTCCCGTCTTCACTTTCTTGATGGTATCCTTTGAAATACAAAAAGTTTTTTCTTTTTAATTTTGATAATGTCCAATTCACTTTTTTCTTTTGTGACTTGCGCTTTTAACATCCTAGCTAACAGACCATTACTAATTAAAGGATAAAATGTACTCCTCTGTGGCTTCTAAGAATTTTTATAGTTTTACCTTTCACATTTAGGTCTATGATTCATATGGAGTTAATTTTCCTTTATAGTATGAAGGATTCTAATTTCATTCTTTTGTATGAAGATATTATTGTCTTAGTACCATTTCTTAAAAAGCTTTATCTCCCCCCATTAAATATCTTAGACCCATTTTTGAAAATTAATTGACCTTTAGTATAACAGCTTATTTCTGTACTCTCAGTTTTGCCCATTGTTTTGTATAGCTTTTTCTATACTGTACCACACTGTTTTGATTACTGTAGTGTTGTGGGAAGTCAGGGACCCTGAACGGTGGGACCGGCTGAAGCCATGGCAGAAGAACATAAAGTGCGAAGATTTCATGCACATTTATTAGTTCCCCAAATTAATACTTTTATAATTTCTTACGCCTGTCTTTACTGCAATCTCTGAACATAAATTGTGATGATTTCATGGACACTTATCACTTCCCTAATCAATACTCTTGTGATTTCCTATGCCTGTCTTTACTTTAATCTCTTAATCCTGTCATCTTCCTAAACTGAGGAGGATGTATGTCGCCTCAGGACCCTGTGATGATTGCGTTAACTGCACAAATTGTTTGTAGAGTGTGTGTGTTTGAACAATATCAAATCTGAGCACCTTAAGAACAGGATAGCAGCCATGTTCAGGGAACAAGGGAGATAACCTTAAAGGCTGGCTGCCTGTGGGCCTGGTGGGACAGTGCCATATTTCTCTTCTTTCAAAAGCAAATAGGAGAAATATCGCTGAATTCTTTTTCTCAGCAAGGAACAGCCCTAAGAAAGAGAATGTGTGCCTAGGGGTAGGCCTCTAAAATGGCCACTTTGGGGATGCCTGCCTTTTACGGTTGTAAATAAGGGATGAAATATGCCCCGGTCTCCCATAGCGCTACCAGGCTTATTAGGACGAGGAAATTCCCGCCTAATAAATTTTGGTCAGACCAGTTGGCTGCTCTCAAACCCTGTCTCCTGATAAGATGTTATCAATGACAATGCATGCCTGAAACTTCATTAGCAATTTTAATTTTGCCCCAGTCCTGTGATCTCACCCTGCCTCCACTTGCCTTGTGATATTTTATTACCTTGTGAAACATGTGATCTCTGTGACCCACACCCTATTTATACACTCCCTCCCCTTTTGAAAATCACTAATAAAAACTTGCTGGTTTTGCGGCTTGGGAGGCATCACGGAACCTGCCAATTTGTGATGTCTCCCCTGGACACCCAGCTTTAAAATTTCTGTCTTTTGTACTCTTTCCCTTTATTTCTCAGACCGGCCAACACTTAGGGAAAATAGAAAAGAACCTACGTGAAATATCAGGGGTGAATTTCCCCCGATACTATAGCTTTGTAGTAAATATTGAAACTGGAAGTGTGACTTCTCTGACTTTGTTTTATTTTTCAGTGTTGTTTTGACTACTCTTGATTCCTTGATTTTTCAGATGAATTTTGGGATCAACTTGTCAATTTCTACAGGGAAGGAGACAGGAAGGATTTGATTGGAATTGCACTGAAACTGTAGATCAATTAATAACTATTACCATCTTAATATTTAATCTTACATTACGTGAACAAGGATGTCTCTCCATTTATTTAGATATTCTTTAACATCTTTCAAAGATATTATCTAGTTTTCAATATATAAAATTTGCACTTGTTGTATTAAATCAATTTTTTTTATTCTTTTTGGTGCTATGATAAATGGAATTTATCATTTAGTTCATTGCTAGTATATCAAAATACAATTAATTTTTATATATTGATCTTGTACCCTGCCACTTAGCTGAGCTCATTTATTAGTTCTAATGATACTTATAGTGTATGTGAATCATTTATGATTTTCTATATATATATCATATCATCTATGAATATAGTTTTAATGTTCCCTTCCAATCTCAAAATCTTATATTCCTTTTTAGATATATCTTCTTTCTTTCTTCATTTGAGTAATTTGAGACTTTTCTCTTTTTTTCATCAGTCTATATAAAAAGATTTTAAATTTTTTGTCAGGTATTTTTAAATTGATGTATAATAGTTGTAACTATTTGGGAGCTACATGTGACATTTTAGTACCTATATACAATATGTGACCATATTGTATATGTGATATTTAGTACCTTTATACAATATGACCAAATGTGGATAATTGGGTTGGATATTCATGACCTGAAACATTTATCTTACTTTTGGGTTGGGAATATTATAATTGTTTTCTTCTAGCTGTTTTGAAATATATAATAAATTATTGTTGACTATAATTCCTCTACTTTGCTATTAAATATTATAACTTATTTTTTAAACTACTTTTATACCCCTTAACCAATTCCTCCTAATTCCCCATCTTTTCTTTTCAGTCTCTAGTAACCAGCATTCTACTCTACTTCCATGAGATCTGCTTTTTTGGCTCTGATATATGAGTGAGATCATGCAATATCTGTCCTTCTGTGCCTGACTTATTTTACTTAACCTAATGACCTCCAGTTCCATCCATGTTGCTGCAAAAGACAGGATTTCATTCTTTTCTATGGATGAACAATATTCTGCTGTGAATATACACCACATTTTCTTTATCCATTCATTTATTGATGGGCACTTAGGTTGATTTCTTGTTTTTGCTATTGTGCATAGTGTTGCAAAAAATGTGGGAGTGCAGCTATCTCTTTGATATATTCATATGCTTTCTATTGAATATATATCCAGTAGTGGGAATACTGGATCATATGGTAGTTCTATTTTTAGTTTTTTGAGCAACCTTCATACTGTATTCCATAAGAGCTGTATTACTTTACATTCTCACCAACAGTGTACAAGTGTTCATCTTTCTTCTCATCTTTGCCAGCATTTGTTATTATTGTCTATTTGATAATAGCCATTTTAACTGGAACTAGGTGATATCTCATTGCAGTTTTGATTTGCATTTCCCTGATGATTAGTGATGTTGAGCATTTTTTTCATATATTCATGGTCCATTTGTATGTTTTCTTTTAAGAAATGTCTATTGAGTCTTTTTCCCACTTTTTAATCAGATTTTTAAATTTGATATAAGGTTTCTTATTCTGATATATTGATAATATTCTGATTATTAATTGCTTGTTGGATGGATAGATTGCAAATAGTTTCTCACCTTTTTTTTTTAGGATGCCTTTTCACTTTGTTGATTGTCTTTTGCTGTGCAAAAGCTTGTTAGCTTGATGTAATCCCATTTATTTTTGCTCTGGTTGCCTAAGCTTTTTGGGAGTCTTACTCAAAATTTTTTGCCCAGACCAGTATTCTGTAGCATTTCCTCAATATTTTCTTCTAGAAGTTTCATAGCTTTCAGTTTTACATTTAAGTCTTTAATCCATTTTGGCATTCATTTTATATATGTTGAAAGATAGGAATCTGGTTTCATTCTTCTGCATATGGATATCCACTTTTTCCAGAACCATTTATTAAACACTGTCCTTTCCCCAATGTATGCTCTTGGAAACTTTGTCAAAAATTACTTGGTTGTAAGTGCATAGATTTACTTCTGAGTTCTTTATTTTTTCCATTGGTCTATATGCCTGTTTTTATGCCAGCACCATGCAGCTTGGGTTACTATAACTTTATGCTATAATTTGAAATCAGGTAGTGTGATGCCTTCAGCTTTATTCTTTTTGATTAGGATTGCTTTGGCTGTTGTGGCTCTTTTTGGGTTCCATACAAATTTTAGGATTTTTTTCTGTTTTTGTGAAGAAGGTCATTGGTATTTTGGTATAGATTATATTGAAGCTATAGATAACTTTGAGTGATACAGGCATTTTAACAATGTTGATTATTTCAATCCATGAGCATGAGATATCTTTCCATTTTTTTTCTGTCCTCTTCTATTTCTTTAATCAGTGTTTCATAGTTTTTCTTATATAGAATCATTCACTACTTTGGTTAAGTTTATTACTAGGCAAAATTTGTTGAAGCTATTATAAATTGGATTGCTTTCTTGATTTCTTTTTCAGATTGATTGCCGATAGTGTATATAGTGCTACTAATATTTTTATATTGATTTTGAATTCTGCAACTATACAGAGTGTGTCAGTTCTAAAAGTTTTTTGGTAGTCTTTAGGCTTTTGAAAATATGAAATCATGTCTGTAAGCAAGGCTAATTTGATTTCTTCCTTTCCAATTTGAATGCCCTTTATTTCTTTCTCTTTCCCAGTTGCTCTGGCTAGGATTCACAGTACTATGTTGAATAGAATTGGTGAAAATGGGAATACTTATTTTGCTTCAGATCTTCATGGAAAGGCTTTCAGTTTCTTCTCATTCATGCCTTTAACATGTTAAAGAATGTTCCAACTATACCCAATTTTTTGAGACTTTTATCAGGAAAAGATGTTACATTTTATCTAATGCTTCTTCAGCATTTATTGAGATAATCATATGGATTTTGTCATTGATTTTCTTGATACGATATATCACATTTATTGATTTGCATATATTGAACAACGTTTGCATCCCTGGAATGAATCCCACTTGAGCATTGTAACTGGTATTTTTAATGACTTGTGTTTGATTTGCTTGTATTTTGTTGAGGATATTTGCATTTATATTCATCAGGGATATTGACCTGTAGTTTTATTTATTTGTTGTGTCCTTGTCTGGTTTTGGTATCACAGCAATGCTGGCCTTGTAGAATGAGTTTGGAAGTATTTCCTCCTCTTCAATTTTTTGAAGAGTTTGAGTAGAACTGAGATTAGTTCTTTAAATGTTGGGTATAATTCAGCTTGATACTGTCAAGTCCTGGACTTTTCTTGGGTGGAAGACTTTTTTATTACTATATCAATCTCATTACTCATTATTGGTCTGTTCAGGTTTTCAATTTCTTCATGATTCAATCTTGATTGGTTGTGTGTGTTTAGGAGTTTATCTAATTTTTCTAGATTTTCTAATTTGTTGGTATATAGTTGTTCATAGTAGTCTGTAATTATCTTTTGTATTTCCATGGTATTAGTAATAATGTTTCCTTTCTAATCTCTGATTTTATTTATTTGAGTCTTATCTTTTTTTCTTAGCCTAGATAAAGGTTTGTTGATTTTGTTTATCTTTGCAAAAAACTTTTCATTTTGCTCATCTTTTTAATTATTTTTAGTCTTAATTTTATTTCCACTATAATTTTTATTATTTTTTTTCTATTAATTTTGACTTGAATTGTTCTTGCTTTTCCATTTCCTTAAGCTTCATCATTAGGTTATTTATTTAAAGTCTTCCTATTATTATTATTATTATTGTTTTTAACATGGGCATTTGTTGCTATAAACTCTTTTGGTACTGCTTTTGCTGTATCATTTAGGTTCTGGTATGTTGTGTTTCCATTTTTATTTGTTTTAAGAAATTAAAACAAAATTATTCACTGACCTGTTGGTCATTCAAGAGCATATTGTTCAATTTCTGTGTATTTGTACAGTCTCCAAAATTCCTCTTGTTATTAATTTCTGTTTTTGTTCTGCTGTGGTTAAAAATGGTACTTGATATGTTTTGACATTTTTGAATTTTTTGAGATTTGTATTGTGACTTAGCATGTGGTCTATCCTGGAGAATTTGCTGATGAGGAAAATGAATATTCTGCAATAGTTGGGTGAAATGTACTGCAAATATATGTTAGGTCTATTTGCTGTAGAGTACAGTTTAACTCTGATGTTTCTTTGTTGGCTTTCTGCCTGGATAATCTGTCTATTGCTGAAAGTAGGGTATTACAGTCTCTTATTCTTAATCTGTTGCAGTCTATTTCTCCCTTTATGTCTATTAATATTTGCTTTATATATCTGGGTGCTCTGGTGTTGGGTGCATATATTTTTCTATTATTATATTATCTGGCTGGACTGAAACCTTCAGTATTTATGTAATGACCCCTTTGTCTATTAAGTTTTTAACTTTAAGCTATTGTATCTCTTGTAAGTATAGCTACTCCTGCTCTGTTTTGGTTTTCACTGGGTTTACATTTCTATGGAGTATGTTTTTCCATTCCTTCACTTTTAATCTATACGTGTCTTTATAGGCAAAGTGAGTTTCTTGTAAGGAGCATAGAGCCGAGACTCGTTTTTCAATCCATTCTGCCATACTGTGTCTTTTAATTAGAAAATTTAGTTTATTTACATTCAGTGTTATTCTTGGTAGGTAGGGACTTATTGCTGCCATTTTGTTGCTTATTCACAGTTGTTTTTTAATGCCTTTCTTTTTTTTGTTTCTTTTTTTCTTTCTTACTATGTTCCTTTTTGATGAAGTGATTTTTTTCAGATAGAATATTTTAGTGTATTGCTTTTGTGTGTCTATTATAGGTTTTTGCTTTGTGGCTAATATGATCCTTACAAAAAACCTGGTGTAGTTATTACAAATTATTTAAAACTGATGCCAACTTAACTTTGCAAAAAAGAAAAGAAACAAAAAACCTGTATACATTAACTCCCTTCTCCTCCAAAATTTTGAATTTTCGATGTCACAATTTGTACTTTTTATGTTTTCTATCTCTTAACAAATTGTCATTATTATTATTTTTAATACATTTGTCTTTTAGTTGCTTTGGTAAAAATATAAGTGGTTTACATACCACAATTACAGTATAATTGAAAAAATTACAATAGTGTCCTTTTGTTCTTTTTGATTGGAAGAACTTCCTTTAGCACTTTTTTGTAGGACAGGTCTGGTATTGACAAATTCCTTCGGCTTTTACTTGTCTGGGAACGTCTTTTTCTCTCCTTTATTTCTAAAGGATGGCTTTGCTGGATACAGTATTCTTGGTCAGCAGGGTTTTTTGTTTTTATTTTTTTCTTCTTCAGCCCTCTGAATATATTTTCTAAATTCCTAGAAGCCTATAAAATTTCTGCTGAGAAATCTGCTGCCATTCATATTGAATTCCCTTTATATGTTATTTGCTTCCTTTGTTTTAGTGTTTTCAAGATCTTCTCTTTGCCTTTAAACTTTGATAATTTGATTATGCTATTATCTTGGTTACCCTTATGTGGGATGAACCTGATTAATGACCTTTTCACTTCCTGTCCATGGTTATTTATATCTTTATTTATGTCTAGAAAGTTTTGTGTCATTACTTCTTTAAATAAGCTTTCTACTCTCTTATTCTTTCTCAGTTTCCTTTTTAACTCCAATATCTGAATATTGGAGTTAATTCCAATACCTGAATATTGGAGTTAATTCCAATACCTGATATTTAATTCTAATATCTGAACAATATCTTTTGATATTGTTCCATAGATCCTGTAAGCTTTGTTCATTCCTTTTGATTTTTTTTTCTCATCTGACTGTGTATTTTCAAATTTATTCATCCATTTATTAGAAATGGATGATAAGTTGCTCTCACTGTGTTGCTCAGGCTGGTGTTGAACTCCTAGGCTCAAGCAATCCTCCTGCCTTGACTTCCTAAAATGCTGGGATTACAGGCATGTGCCACCACAACTGGCCTTGATTATGTATTTTCAAATAGTCTGCTTTTGTGCTAATTCTCCCTTCTATGACTAATTCTGCTGTTGTGCTCTTCATTACATCTTTTTCATTTCATTTATTCTTTTTTCATCTCCAGGTTTTCTGTGCGTGTGTGTGTGTGTGTGTGTGTGTTTTAAAATACTTCAATCTCTGTTACATTTCTATGATAAGTTTCTCAATTGATTCTTAGTGTTTTCTTGAGGTTTGTTGAGCTTCCTTAAGATGGCTATTTTGAGTTCTTTTTCTGATAGACTATAAATCTCTATCAATTTAGGGTCAGTTTCTAGCACCTTATTTTGTTTGTTTGGTGAGGTAATATTTCTCTGAATGTTCTTGATGTGTTTGTACCTGTGACAATGTCTGTACATAGAGGGATTAGGTATGTAGTTCAGTCTTAACGATTTGGCTTTTTTGGTGCCTGTCTTTCTATAGAGGGACTTCCAGAAATTCTAAGCAGACTGACCATTGAATTCTTTGAACCTGTGACCACTGCAGCTTTCTCAGCATGAGAGGAGACTCCAAGCCCAGGCTTGTGGCAAGTCTCATGATAACTCTGTGTTTAGCATAGCTCTCTGAGCCAGATTGTCATGGAGAATATCCAAGGAGATTATTGGGGCTACATGTGAATATTGGCCAGGAACCTGTATCCACAAGGCTGTCCTGGTGGCCCAGATGGGCTGGTTTCCCAGCAGACTTCTCTGCACAGATGGGATAGCCCCTGACAGAAGTTAAAGGGGCTGAAGTTGATCCTGGGGTGCCTTGGCATCTACTATGGGAAGGAGGAAGGTGGGTGTGTGTCATTGGCTCATATGGGTGTGAATCACCCAGCAAGTCCCTGCACAAGCAGGATAGTTATTTGATTGCAAAGTGAAGACAACTGAAATTGATCAGGGGAAAACCATAGAAAATATCATCAAAAACAAAAGGTGGTTCTTTGAAAAGATTAACAAAATTGAAACCAAAGTGGCAGTAGAGAAGGAATTTAAGCACTACGTAAGCTGCATCCCAAAGGTTTTTGCATGTTTTATTTTATTTTAGTTAATTTCAAAGTATTTCTAATTTCCTTTCTTCTGCTTGTAGTAGAAAGATTTATATTCCTTTGGGTATATACCCAGTAATGGGATTACTGAGTCAAATGGTAATTCTGTTTTAAGTTCTTTAATAAATCTCTAAACTGCTTTCCACAATGGCTGAACTAATTCACCTTCCCACCTGGTGTGAGAATTCACATTCTCTTCTGGCTGGTGTGAGATGGTATCTCATTATGGTTTTGACTTGCATTTGTCTAATGAGTAGTGATGTTGAGCTTTTTTTTCATATGCTTGGTGGCCATCTGAATGTCATCTTTTGAAATGTATCTGCTCATGTTCTTTGCCCAGTTTTTAATGGGGTTGTTTGTTTCTTGCTTGTTAATTTGTTTAAGTTCCTTATAGATTCTGGATATTAGGCCTTTGTCAAATGCATAGTTTACAATTTTTTTTTTCTCATTCTGTAGATTGTCTGTTTACTCTGTTGGTAGTGTATTTTGCTGTGTAGAAGCTCTTTGGTTTAACTAGGTCCCATTTGTCCATTTTTGTTGTTGTTGCAATTGTTTCTGGCATCTTCATCATGAAATCTTTGCACATTCTTATGTCCAGAATGGTATTTCCTTAGTTATCTTTCAGAGTTTTTATAGTTTTAGTTTTTACATTTAAATCTTTAATCTATCTTACATTTATTTTTATGTGGTATAAGGAAGGGATCTAGTTTCAGTCTTTAACATATGACTAGCCAGTTATCCAAGCACCATTTATTGAATAAAGAGTCATTTTCCCATTGCTTGTTTTTGTCAGCTTTGGTCAAAGATCAAATGGTTATAGGTGTGTGCCTTTATTTTGGGGCTTTCTGTTCTGTGCCATTTGGTCTGTGTGTCTGTTTTTGTACCAGAACCACACTATTTTGGTTATGGTAGCTTTGTAGTTTAGTTTGAAATGGAGTAAATTGATGCTTCTAGCTTTGTTCTTTTTGCTTAGAATCAAGTTGGCTATTCAGTCACTTTTTTGGTTTCATATGAGTATTTTTTTCTGCTTTTGCGAAGAATGTCATTTGTAGTTTGATTGGAATAGCACTGATCTATAATTTGCTTTGGGTGGTATGGCCATTTTAACAGTACTGATTCTTCCTATCCATGAACATGAAATGCTTTTCCATTTGTTTGTGTCATCTCTAATTTATTTGAGCAGTGCTTTGTAATTCTCACTGTGGAGCTCTTTCACCTCCCTTGTTAGCTGTATTCCTAGGCAAATACAGTCACATTTTGAGATATAGGGAGCTAAAGCTTCAAGATATGAATTTGTGGAGCAAAGGGGGTACAATTTAGGCCATAATACTTTGTGTGACTCAAATCCTTCAATATTCTTTGAGGCCTAAAGAAATGTATGGCATGATCTATCTGTATTCTACTCTTTTGAGATGCAGTGTTCTATGGTTTATAGAGTCATTCAAGTGTTCTCTTTTCTTGTTGATCTTCTGCCTAGTTGTTCTATTCAATATTGAAATGTCAAACTATTAATGTTAAATTTTCTACTTTTCTTTTTGTTTCAAGTATTTTGGGACTCCATTGTTTAGTTCATATATTTTTACAATTCTTATGTCTTCCTAATGGAAATATTTGCATATACATAATGAGATATCTTGGGAATGGGACCCAAGTTTAAACAGAAAATTTATTTATATTTTATATACACCTTATACGCATATGCTGGAGGTAAATTCCTATATTTTTTATAATTGTGTACTGAAATAGTTTGTCTACATTGCATTATCAGAGAGCAAATGTGTCAGTATCTCAGCCATCCATGTAGACAATCTATAATTGTTGGTCATTAGTATCATTCCTGAATCTGAATTTATATGCTACTGATAAGTAATCATTGTCTTGCATTTATGCACGTGTAAGTATTTGACAGTAAAAAATATGACTAACATTAATATAGTAAAAAACAATGTGTACATGGTAGCTAAGCAGCACAGTAGCATCATCAAAATACCTATGATATGGTTTGGCTTTGTCCCCTACCAAATCTCATCTTGAATTGTAATCCCCATAATCCCCACATGTTGTGGGAGGGATTTGGTGGGAAATAATTGAATCATGGGGGCAGTTTCCCCATGCTGTTCTCATGATAGTGAGTAAGTTCTCATAAGATCTGATCATTTTATAATCATCTGGCATTTCCCCTGCTGGCACTTATTCTCTCTCCTGCCTCCCTGAGAAGAGGTGCCTTCTGCCATGCTTGTAAGTTTCCTGAGGCCTCCCCAGCCATGTAGAACTGTGAGTCAATTAAACCTCTTTTCTTTACAAACTACCCAGTCTTTGGTGTTTCTTCATGGTGTGAGAATGGACTAATAAAACCTGTATCAGCCATTAAACAACAGCAACAACAAACAATTGCAGGCTTCATCTCCATCTACAATGCTGTGTTTTGATTATATCGTTTTTTGGTGAGAAGAAATAGAAGTAGTTGAGGGACCAGGAAGTGGGTCCCCTAAGATTGAGGAGGCATTCTTCTGGATTTTTAAACATTTCCTTGAGATTTATCTGCCTCATTAACAATGGCTTTTGTCTTAGAAGTGTCTTTGATTTTGTATACTGACATGATTTCCTGTACTGTTATGAATGCATGCTGTCCTTCAGTAAGCCCATCAAACATTCTTACTATGTTGTAACTGCCTGACAGATTCATCTTGCTGTCCAAATAGGGTTAACTTACAAGACAGGGAATTACAATAGAGAAAGAGTTTAATAAAGCTGGTTAAACAGAAGACAAGAGAGTTTAAAGCGTTGGCTAAACAGAAGACTGAGAAATCAACTTCTTCAAATATTTGGAGGCTAGGACTTTTTAAAGAAATTTCTTTAGGTGGGTGGCTAAAGAATGGGTGCTGCTGATTGGTTGGGGAGGCAATTGGAGCAGTATGGAAAATGGCCCTTCTGCTCTGAGTCCTCTTCTGCATAGGTGCTACAGGATTGGTTGAGTATTGAGTCCCAGGTCCAGGTGGAGTCATCAGTTGTCAGAAATCCAAAAGTCTGAAAAGACATCTAAAACAGCCAATCTTAGGTTCTACAATAGTGATGTTGTTTACAGGAGTAGTTGTGGAAGTTACAAATCTTGTGACCTTTGAGACAATGTCTAGTAATTGTTTAGCTATACCTATGTCTTAGCAGAATTCAGGTCCCTCTTATAAACTTAGTATTGTGGCCTTTTATTAGCTTTATAAAGGTGGCTTATTTTTGAGAAGGGCTATTATCATTTAAATTATAAACTAAATTTCTCCCACAGTTAGCTTGGCCCACACCCAGGAATGACCAAGAGCAGTTTGAAGGTTAAAGGGAAGATGGAGTTGGTTAGGTCAAATCTCTCACTGTCATAATTTTCTCACTTTTATAAATTTTACAAAGGTGGTTTCAATGTTATGTACAAGCACTTTTTCTGCAGTGTTAGCAATGTCATCTTTATTGTCATGTCAGCTCTCAAAAAGTTTCAGATTTTGGAACACTTCAGATTTTGTGTTTTTTGCATTAGGGATGCTCAACCTGTCCTAATAAGTTTGGATTAATGTCTGCCATTTTGCTATTTGTTTTCTGTATGTCTTACATTGTTTTCTGTTCTCATATTCCTATATTACCACCTTTTTGTGTTAAGTAGATATATTCTAGTATACAACTTTTATTCTTTGTTGTTTCTTTTACTATTTTAAGGTTTTTTTTTTTTTTGAGACAGAGTCTCACTCTTATTTTCCATGCTGGAGTGCAGTGGTGCGATCTCAGCTCACTGCAACATCTGCCTCCCCACTTCAAGCAATTTTCCTGCCTCAGCCTCCTGAGTAGCTGCGATTATAGGCACGCACCACCACACCTGGCTAATTTTTGTATTTTCAGTAGAGATGGGGTTTCGCCATTTTGGCCAGACTGGTCTTGAACTCCTGACCTCAGGTAATCCTCCCGTCTCTGCCTCCCAATATGCTGGGATTACAGACATGAACCACTGCACCCAGCCTTAAGGTTAATTTTTAAGGGTTACTTCAGGAATTATAATTAAGAATAATCTCGAGACCAGTCTGGCCAATGTGGCGAAACCCCATTTCTATTAAAAATACAAAATTAGGCATGGTGGTGGATGTCCGTAATCCCAGCTACTTGAGAGGCTGAGGCAGGAGAATCGCTTGAACCCAGGAGGCAGAGGTTGCAGTGAGCTGAGATCATGCCATTGCACTCTAGCCTGGGCAACAACAGTGAACTTTACTCTGTCTCAAAAAAAAAAAAAAAAAAAAATCATGGTCTGCAGTATTAATTTAATAGCAAATTAATTTAAAAGTATACAAACACTCGTCTTCAATATATATAGTGTTCCTCCCTCTCTCTTGCATAATTGCCATCCAAATTATATCATTTTTCATTATAAGGTATCAATAGTTTTATAAATATTACTTTATAAAGTTGCTTTTAAATTACAGAAGAAAAAGAATTACCAAAAAATACATTTATATTATTTTTTCTATTTATGTAGTTACCTTTACCAATGTTTATCATTTTTTGTGGTGGTCTGAGTTACTCTTCAGTGTCCTTTTATTTCAGTTGAAGGATCTCCTTTAGTATTTTTTATATAGAAGATCGATTAGTAATAAAGTTTTTCAGTTTTTAATCTTAATTTCTCCTTTGCTTTTAATAATAATTTTGAAGGATATAATATCTTTGGTTGACAGTCTTTTTCTTTCAGTACTTTAAGTATGTTATCACACTGCCTTCCAACTACTGTGGTTTCTGTTTGGAAGTTAGCTGTTAATTTTATTAAGAATCCCTTGTGTGTGATGAGTTGTTCCTCACTGCATTTAAGATTCTTTGTCTTTATGTTTCAACAGTTGAACTGTGATGTCCTAAAATATAAATCTCTTTAGAAGTATCCTAATTGGATGTATTGAGCTTATTGCACGTGTAGATTAATGTTTCTCATAAAATTGGAAGAATTTGTTGATATTGTAATTTCTTCAAATATACTTTCTCTTTCTGTGATTTCCATCATATTTTTAAGGATGTGTTTATTTTTCTCTCTCTATTCATCAGACTGGATAATCCTAAATTGACCTGTCTTGAAGTTCATTGATTCATTTGTCAGTTCAAATCTGTTGTTGGGCTTCTCTATGATATCTTTTATTTCAGTAATTGTACTCCTCAAATTTGGTTGTTTTTAATAATTGATCTGTTGTTTCTAATATTCTTTGGTGAGACATTGTTCTCATACTTTAATTCTTTAGACATAGTTTCCTTTAGTTCTTTCAACATGTTTATAATAACTGCGTTATAAATTCAACAACTGGACTTTATCAGGGCCAGTTTCCCTTGCCTGCTTTTCATCCTGTGTATGGGTCATATTTTCTTATTTCTTTGTGTGTCTCCCTCTTTCCAGTCTTTTTATTATTGCTGGTGGTTGTTGCTGCTGGCTGCTGCCTCTGTTTGTTTGGTGATATTCCCATAATAATTGTACAAAGTCTGTATCCTTTATTACGTGTGGCCACTAAAGTCTCTGCTAGATTAGTTTAGTGGTAAGCTAATGTTTGGACAGAGATTTCCATAAAGGCCTTGGGCCAAAAAGTCTTCCAGACTTTGCCAGAGATTATGTTCGTGTGTGGCGTCCCTTCCATCTTTCATCAAGGAGTTTACAACTCTGGCATAGCATTTACTTCCTGCTTGTATATATCCTCAAGGTCAGCTAGACATAAAAGAGGAGGCCCTTTTCCTCATGTCTCATTAGGTCATGTCCAGAGTTCTACACATGTGTATGCCCTTCTAGATTTCTAGGAATAGGTCAGAGGTTTTCAAAGTGCTGTCTGAACATCTCATTCCCCTGATTTTCCTTTTGACACTTTTAAAGTCTTGTTACCTTAATTGCCATCTGCTCAAACCCCCTCTTCCCAGGTCGGTCAACTGCAAAATTAAATAGTTGCTATCATTTGTTTTTTGACTAATGTCCTAGACATAGGGCTATTCACACAGAGTAAAATCTACATCAGATTAATTTAAGACAAGCCCTGAGAATAGAGCTTTTTCAGGGAACTGTCAGATAGGACAAATAGTGACAGTCTGGAGATGGGGCATTTGCAGAGCTTCAGACTTATTGTGCCCCCTCCAGTGGTTGCTAGGTTGCTGGTTTTCACAGCTGCTGTAATTGCAAGGCTACTGGTTTTCCAGGTTACCAAAGAACAGGGGAGAAAGGAATGTTTAAATTAAAACATCACAAAGCATGTTGTTCTTAATGAGATCCAGCCACTTTTCTTGAATAAACACTCTTTGGATTTTTCCAAAATTTTAGATAATTCCTAGGGTTCACAAAAACTTAATTTTGACATTTTTGGCAAGTGCACTTGTTGGTTTTATGGAAGACTGATTTTCTTTTAAGTTCTTATTCTGCTGTTTTAGAAGTGCATCCCTCCTATTCAATTTTTTAGTAATATATTTTTTCTCCACGAAAATTTCCAATACTTTTAAACTATATGCAAATAGTAGTTATAGCTGTTTTAGAGCTTGGATTTGAAACTATTATCTCGAGTGCCTATGATCTGTTTTGTTTGTTACTTCCTCATTGGCCCATTTTGTTGTGTTTTGTTTTGCTGCCAGTGTTGTCTTTGCTGAATCATTTCTACAAATAAGATATGTTGAGCTGTTGGATGAAATTATTATGTCTCTCCAGAGAGCGCTTAAACTTTATTCTGTAAAGTGTTTGTCACTACAATCTCATGTCACATTATTTCAATTACGGGGATTGAAATGATTCAAAGGTCCATTGCATCCTCTCTCTCTCTTTCTCTTCCCCTCTTTATTTTTCAGTTCTAGTCAAAGCCAGAGGTTTCAGCAGGGACTCTTATGTGGGCACTGTACTTTAATCCATGCCCCCTTACCTCGACAAGACTGTTAAGAGCACTTCTCGGAGTCTCATCTACCCCTTCTGAAATCCACATCAAAACTAGGCTCACCTTTCTGGGCCTTTGCCTTCCCTCAGATTCTGGCCTGATCATTCTTCACTATTTTATTATCTCCCTGATTCCTTCAAGCAGATAATTTTGATGTTTCCCAGATTTTCTAATTGCCTTGGTTAGAAACATTATCTGAATTACTTAGTTTAACATTACCAGATGCAGAAGCCAACTTTATCTTTATTTAAACTCAGTGTGGTAAAATCTAGAATTGCATCAATACTAATAAATAGTGCACTAGAAAGTTAGTTTCATCAGATACCTTTTGTTCTTTTTTCTGGTCTTTTACAAAAGAAGAAGCATCCAAAAAACTGTCAGTATTTTTGTAATGAACTCAACTTACTTAATTGGTTGCTTTAAAGAATACATTTATAAAATTTGGTCTTAATTCTATTGCAGATATAAATGAATTTTCTTTCTCTCTTCCTTTTTTTTTTCCTTTGAGACAGAGTTTCACTCTTGTCGCCCAGGCTGGAGTGCAATGGCGTGATCTCGGCTCACTGCAACCTCCACCTCCTTGGTTCAAGCAATTCTCCTGCCTCAGCCACCTGAGTAGCTGGGGTTACAGGCACCTGCTACCACGCCCAGCTAATTTTTTGTATTTTTAGTAGAGATGGGGTTTCACTATGTTGACCAAGTTGGTCTTGAACACCTGACCTCAGGCAGCCCACCAGTCTCGGCCTCCCAAAGTGCTGGGATTACAGGCGTGAGCCACGGCACCCGGCCCAATGTGTTTTCTTTCTAGCTAACATTAAAGGCCTGTGAGAATGAATGCAACCAAATTTTTTAGAGGAACTTCTCTTTGATAATGGTAATTTGCCAAGGGAAGTCATTAATCTTTTTGTGTGTGACTTGAGAATATTTTTTACTTTATCCTCTAATTTCTAGTCATTGTTAATCCTGATTTACTTCACGGCATTGAAAGATGCTAAGGAAAAATAAATTCTCTCCCCTCTTCTTTTTTTACTGTAATATTCTTTAGGGTCCTTGAATAAGAGATATTTTGCAGCACTGAAGGCTTTGTGTAAAAATTGCCTACAGTCTAGAAGTAAAGCTCTATGGTGAGTTCTGCCATCTGTTACAAGCGTTTACAACAGGAGTGCATCTTATATACACCAATTTTGACAGGAACTCATTTTTAATGGGCAAATCAGGTTATCCTCAAAGGTATTGAATAGGAAACACAGTCATGTATTCAATGACTTGAATTTTCCTTCTTAATTTTTCATTGCCCTATCACTATTGCAATTTGCATTCATCTCTATGCTAATTGCTTCATTAATACTTTAGAAGTTGGGTTTTTTTTTTTTATTCTGCAGTTGTTAGGTTACCTAAGGCAGAGTAAATTTCAACTTTAATCTCAATAAAATTATTACTGAAATGCTACCACTTGTACTTTTTGTGCATTTATATTTGGTACATTCTATACTCCTTCAACAAGACTCTGTGATGTACATATACTTAGGATACTATAGAAACTATTTTCTCAGTTTAGAAGGTTTTAATCATTGTACTCATTTTAATTATCTTTTAGTGTTGTTGGGGATCAGAATGTGATGCCCCAAAATATGCTTTGACATGGTCAACTAAAGAGCAAACTCAAGGTCTCTTCTCAAATCCCTCCACTCACCCACCTTCATCTCTCAATCCTCTGTCTCTCTCAAAGCCCAGGATGAGGCTGTTCTCTGAAGTTTCCTTATCTACCTAGAAAGCAGACCTGCCAAAAAGGAGCACAGTTACTGTTGATCCCTCCCTGAAATTTCATTAACCAGAAAAAATTAAAATTACTGAGATTGTAAAAATACACTTTAAAAAAATTAAAACTCATACATTAGCAGAAGACGTTGAAAATTAAACACCACACTTAGAGTCCAGGTGAACTTTGTCCCACACCATATTCTGTTCTCCAGTCCCACTCAGTTCCCAAAGAGAATTATTTACTGTCCTTTATCTGAGCACTGGGCCTATTTATGCCCTTTAAAAACTACTTACTACCCTTCAAAATGACTACATTTCACCCCATCTCTTCTTTCCTTATATAAAAAGGGTATATAAGCATCTGTACCTTGCTGGGTTGTTTGGTAGTCATTCTCCTGCAATTCTCCTGTTTTTATGCATGTCAATAACACTTGTGTAACTTATTTCTCTGTTAATCTATCAACTCATTTCAACAGATTTAAATTCAAACTTTCAGTGGGGAAGGAAAATTTTCTTCATCCCTACATGTATATGATATAATAGACATTTTAGAATCAATATGCACAGCAGATTAAAAAATTGCTTAATAGAATTATTAGTGTTATTATAACTAAGCATAATACAAGAAAACAAATGTTTACAAGAAATTAGGAGATATGAAGTTCTGACTTTCTTTTTGCATTCAGACTTAATCCCACAAAATGGGATTGATAATAAATTTGTGAAATTTTATTACTAACGTGATAAATATGTTTTAGGTTTAATATTGCTTGATGGTAGCTCTCTTCTTTAATATTTGCAGCAGGTTAGTATTTAGGAAAAAACATTAAAATTATTGCGTAGCAATTTCAGACATGCTGATAGTATTCTAATGAAAATGTAACCTCAGTTCTGGACAAAGATAGAAAAAAATGAAAGATATTATAGAATATTTATTACTTGAATTGATTTATTTAGGCTATATGTTGATAAAAATATTGAATGCCTTATTGACCTAGTAAGTTTGCGGGTATTTATAGATTCAGAGGACTTTGAAAATTATAATGTAGATTCTCTTGTGTTTATTTTATTTTACTCAAGTACAATCAGGAGAAAAGAAATGAATTATTTTCTGAGGAATGCAAGTCCTTTTAATTGTCAGACCCAGAGAGATACTAAAATGAGACCGCAGTCACATCCTATGCTCCACTTTCAGCTATGTATCATTTCTTGAAACTGCTTGTTATTGCCACACATAGCTATAAATTAACCTAATAATGCCATATGGGGCACTGCAACCCACCACCTATAGATTGACAACACATAGCAAATCACCAATAAATGTTATTTCTGTAAATCAGCAAGAATTTCTTACAACTTTGTATCATCCCACTCCCTGTCTCGCCACCCCTCTTTTTTGTTTTTTTTTTGTTTGTTTTTGTTTTTGTTTGTTTGTTTTCGCCTTTAAAAATACACGTGTAACTGCTGTTAATTGGAGTGTATATTCAGGGCAACTTGAATCTATCCTTCTGGGTTGGAATCCCCAAGCTTGGCCCAAATGAACTCTACTTATATTAATTTTGCCTCAGTTTCTTCCTTTTAGGCTGACATATCTGGCATAAGTCAGCAGGATTAAGAGTGACTCTGTCTGACTACCCAGTGTTTCTGAAAGTGGTGCTTGGTAGCAGCACAAACATTTCGTATTTGGAATTCCCATCTGGCATGCTGGGTGAATTCTCCTACCACTTTTTGGTTGAAGTTGTAGAATTTATTTGGCTGTTTTTCAGACCCACTCTTTCCTTTAAGAGTGAGTGCTGTAGTCTCTGTCTTTGGGTAGAACAGGGTGAAGAGCTCTGCAGAGAGCTGCCTTTTTTCTACCTCTGTCTCGGGGTGGGGTTCAGGTCAAAGTTTTTTCCACTGTTGTCTCTCAGTGGAGGCTTGGGTCACAGAATTGACAGTTAGGCACTAGTGGTCTCATTTTACATAGGATACTTTAAAAATGCATCTGCTTTTGTATTTTTGAAATTAAGGCTTGATTTTTCATTTGTGACCAACTCCTATTAGTTAAACACCAGCTGGTTTTATGTATAACACTTATGGCAGCTCTTATATATACCTCAGAGTGTGGACACATCTAACCTGGGATGGTCATAAACACAATGACAAAAAATGGAAATTTTAAAAATACCTAAAATAACTTATTTGCATGCACAATTAGAAAAAGCTAGTTTTAGAACCAAATAGGAGACTTACTTCCAATGGTACCTAAAATGCTTCTAGAAGAAATTCTGAGAAATTTGCCTCCATTCAGGATTTAAAGATATCTATCACCACCACCTGAGGAAATTCCCCAGGTCTTTGACCCCTCTCCCTGAAATTCCTATTGTGGCATTCCTAGAGACACTATGAATTCTTCTGGTTCTGAGGGCCACCTGATTCTCAAACTGTTCTTTGCTCAAGTAAAAAGACCACTCAATGAATAAGACGAAACTCTAAAACATACCTTTGTTCCTAGCTGACAATTGCTTAGGGCAATAAAACAGGTAATTAAAAGATTAATAGTCAAAATGGGGAAATGAGTAAAAATAAAGCCACTGAGATTATAAAAATGCATATCCAACAACTTTTTTTCCAATCAGGACTAATGACTGATACTGATGTTCAAATGCCAACATCCAGGGAATTAGCTAAGCAGCATTCCAGCTAAGATCGGATCTGAAAAAAGTTAAAATCCTTTGTAAACTCAAACTACCTGCTTTAGCTTTCCTGTGGGATTAACAATGAAGGCTGCCTCCACATTGTAGTTGAGTAGTTAAAATTCTGTGCTTTCATCACCATGGACCCGGGTTCAGTTCCTGGTCAGGGAATCAGTCTCTCTTGATTTGACATTTACACCACTTTCGACTTTTAGGGGTGCTTATTTGTTTTTGATCCTTTTCCCTTCCACGGACAGCTTTTGATTTCCTGTCTCCTTTCATTCATCGGGGGCACATGAGGCTTTTGGGCTTTTATGTGTAGATGGTCAGCTCAAAAGCTGAGACCCTAAAAAATACGGCCAGACAGAGATATGGATTATGCTTCATCTGTGGCTAGCAAAACATTCCTTTCTTTGTGCTGTCTTTGAGATAGTTCTGGATTCCATGTGCACTGCTTTCCACCTCTTTGAAGACACCATGTATATTCTTGGTTAAGCTGCAACCTTGGTTAAGTCTTATTAGTTTCACTTGGGAATGTACTTCAGCTAAAAAAGATTCAAAATCCTGAAATATCGACTGTCCCAGCTAAAATCTGATAATAAGAAATTTAAAAGGATGTTTTTAAGAGCTGTATACTTAAATGTGAACTTAATTAAAACTGATATTTAGGATATATATGTATACATACATATATAAACACCTATACATATAAACACACATATATAACCATATGTATTCATACATATATATCTTTTTAAGGGCTCTGTTCTCCTTCTGTAAAAACTTATCAGTCTACTGAATTTATCTGTTCTTAAAACCATGATAACCATATGTGCCCCTTCTGTCTGTTTCTTCATTTACTTCTGTCAGTCCCTCCTTCCTCTTACCACCCTTGATGCCACGTAAGGGAACCTAAAAAACTTTCTAACAGCCTGGGATCCCTTAAGGAAATCAGAAAAGGTTCCAGAGACTCCTCTTTTTGGGAGAAACCTCTGTTTTTCCTCATAAAACCCCAAGAATTGTTAACTGGGCAGATTCCTCAAGTCTAAGGTTATATTCTCTTTTGCATTAAGCTCTTTTGCATTTGGCTTTTAGATACATACACAAGTACATGTATATGTTATATGTTGTGTCTACATATATATATATGTCTGTACATGTTTATATGTAGACAATATATATTGTCTACACGTTAGCAAATTAACTTAAAGGTGAATCCTCATAAATTACATAACTAGCCCAAATACTTTTCAAATTCTTATAACTTTAGTAATTTTTGGTAAATAAAAAAATAGTTTTAAAATAGTTGGTAAAATAAAGACATCTTCAAATTTTTAGACATTTTTGCCTGAGTCTGCTGGTCAGACACATTTAGGCTGTTTCTAAACTATTTTAAAATCATAAAACTATTGCTTCTGCGGTACTTTTCATATTTGCTTAAGTTGTGACTTAAACCTGTAAATGCTGACTATTGGGGTCCTCCAAAGCCTTATACACATCTTACTATAAGCTTGTCTTCAGTTTTAAGCCCCAAATTCTGGGGTCTAGACAAGTAAACATAGTGAAGACTGGGAACAACACCTGGGCCCCATCCTTCCTGGCCCAGCTATGCTTCTTGGCCATGCTAGATGATATTAGATCTTTCAGGCATTGTCTTTACAGCTCTGTTCTTTGTGTTGGATACTGCATCTCGTACATGATTAAAATTTAAAATTGCTTACTTTCTAAATTTTTCACTAAAAATAAGGGCTACTAAGAGTTAAAATTATAATTAGTATATGCAATTAAAACTGTTGGATATGAGAAACATGTCTATATACAGAGCATATAAAGTTAAGAAGTAGAGAAAGTTTAAAAGAGAGAAATTTTTCCTTTATGTGGGAGAGAACTTTATGTATTCAAAATAAGGGGAAAAGGAAAGGAAATTTTTGTTCTAAGTTAAAGTGATAGATGAAAACTGAAGGTTTAAGGAAGTTGTAGAAGGTTTATGTAAGACCGATTTTTTTGAATGGAATTTTGTGTGTGATCAGGTTGGCTAAAATTAAAAGGGGGTTATTTTAATTTAAAATAAGTTAAAACTGAGCATTAACATCAAAAGTACACTGATGCAGGGCCAGATCCTGGGCCTCTGTGTCAGAATAAAAAGGATCTGCTTTTTAATAGAAATTGCAAGAGTTTATAAAAGGTTTATGGAAATCTTATCAGTATGGTCAAAGCTGATTGAGATTGGATAGATTTGTTTGTAAGATTTTATTAAAATTAGCTTTAGCATTGATAATATAGTGACACAAATCTAACTTGGTTTTCCACATAATATTCATGAGATAATAAAAGATTTTTTATTTCCTTTTGAGTAAGTTGCATAAAAAAAGAGAAAGGAGTAAAAGATTTTGTTTGCCTTACAGTGTCAATATTAGGTATTATGATAATTGGAGAAAGCGCATCTTCCCTTTCTCAAATAGTAAAGCTTTTTGCTTTTAAAAATTTTTGAATTATCACTTTGGCTAAATGAATCATCAGTATTTTACAGTGACCTGTGATCATATTTTCAGCAAGTATTTTAAACCTTTGATATTTGACAAATTTTCTAAAGTCAAATTTCAATTCTAAATTTTGTCCTTTTGACCGCAAGCTAACTTTTTGGACATTTAGGGCCTCTGGAAGTCCAAGAGAGACATATTAGGCTTATTTGATATGAAATATTGTAAAACATGAAGTTATTTTTAACTATTTTGGGGTTATATTTGTATAAATGTGTTACTAATATATGTTCCAAAATTATATGAGATTTTGAAAATTTTTATGATTATGATGTTAAATTGTTGTAGGTAACAGAAACAACCAATTTTTCTTGTCAATTGTGTCTTTAACCATGGCTATTCTAACACTATTGTCATCCACAATTATTAGTTTACTTTGATTTTTGGCAAAAAGTGATTTATAATCTGCTACAGTTTAAAATTTGCTCCTTATGTAAAAGCATTTATGGAAAAGACTCTAGCAAATGCTCTTCAGTAGGGGTTTCTGATAATTTTGGAGATCATACCAATGAGGTAGGTAGAAAAACTGTAGGACTCTAATAAAAAACAGCTGATACGTTCAAAAGGATTCTTAACATCAGGCAGAACAGGAATTAATTACATGGGACTAAACTAACAATTTTGGACTTAAATACTTCTGTATGACTTTTGGTTGAAATACTGTTGGTTCTTTTTATGTTTTGTTTTCCAGGGTCAAGAAAACATTTTTTTTTTCTTTTTGAGCCATTTATAGCTTATAGCAATTGAGTAAAGCATACTTTTGTGAGTAAAACTGAAACATTTGCCCTTCTCTACCAGATTCTTCATGATTTGAAAACTATTCGTGTATATTCTTAATTTATGGCAATATGATCATTTGCATAAGTTCAATAAAAATCTGTTTTCTTTTGTCACAGGCCACAGTTAGATAACTGGTTATTTTAACCCAGATTTTGACTGGGATGGCATAATTTTGGATGTGACCAGAATGCTTTGATGAATTAAAATTGACTTTGCAGAGCTGACAAAAAGCCCCTTGGAAACACTGGGCTCGTACCTTGTGTAATAATACATAGTTCTTTTACAAGGTTTCTATCCTTGTGGTAAGTAAAGAATGTCACTTTCTGACAGGCCTAGGAACCTCAAGTTATTTTGGGACCTAGAGAAGAATTCTCCCAATTTTTATGATTATTGTAGACAGTCTCATGGCAAATCTTTGGTTTGAATAGCCTCAAGGCTTTTAAAAGTGGAATTGGATGTTCCTTATGTAAAAATCCTAGCAAAGCCAATTTAAAGGGGATTATATGGCCATTCACTATTCTTGTTGCACTTAATGCAAATAATCAGGCCAAGTATAAGAGGACTAAACCTTACATTGCAAATAAATCTGTCCTACTAAGATTTATCTTTGGAAAAAATAGAGAGCTCAAGGAAGAAAACATTGTATTTCAGAAGAAAACTAGTACACCTGTTGTTAGAGTCTAGTCTTTTCCATTGTTTTTGAGCTTTATTATTTACCTACATTTGGACTTAATCCTGACTTACTTCAGTGCTACGAGACATCTCTAAAGAAGAATATGGATTTAATTTTCTTCATGATGTTTTTAGTTGACTCCCTAACAGAGTATTTTTTCCCTATTCTGACATACAAAGTCTCTTTTGATTGTAATCATTGTTTGCATTATATTTCTGCTATTTAACTTATTAATGCTATTTATGTCTCATTGTTTTACTTCTAAAAAAACTAAATTCATGGTACTTTGAAGACCAGGTAAGATTTAGCAAATGACAGCAACCATAGATCAATTACTTTGACAGGACTACCTGGGAATGAGATTTACTGGCAGTAAGGGACACTTGGCAGTCAAATTTTGATCACTAGTGTTTTTCATAAAAAAGATTTTTGATCAAAAAGGGGAAATTAGTAAAGAACATAACTTTCGTCTGATGAATGCAAATCTTTTAAAATATCAGGCCCAGAGAGATATTAAAGTGAGACAGTGATCACATCCTGCTCCCTGGTTTGAGCTCTGTATTCATTTCCTGAAACTGCTTGCTATTGTCACAGGTAGCTATAAATTAACCTAATCCACACAGGATACTGTTACTCACGTTCTATAGCTTAACAATATCTGGCCAATCACTAATCAATGTGATTTTTGTCAACCAGTGAAAGTCCTGACAAACAACTTTGTATCAACTCACTCCCTGTTGCCTCTTTTTTGCCTTTAAAACTTTACTCGTAACTGCTACTAATTGGAGTGTGTATTCAGGGAAATTTGAATCTGTGCTCTTGGGTTGGAATCCTCAAGCTTGGCCCAATAAACTCTCTAATTACATTAACCTTGTCTCAGCTTGTTTCCTTTGGGTTAACAATACCATATATTTACCACGTAAGTTTTCCAATGCCTAAAGAAAAATTGTACCTCACTATAGATTTTAAAATATTATAATTAAAATATTTTGTCCTTTTATTTTGTAGTAGAAGAAAAATAATTTTTCCTCTATCCTTCTATGTTCTTGAATGGGGACCCTATGACAAAAGACAGATTACAAGAGAAAAATAGAGATTTATTAACATGTACATCTCATATATACATAGAAAATACGCAGGGAAATGAGTAACCAAAAGAAGCTTAGAATTCAGGCTTAAATATAATCTTCAGCTAAAAACAAATAAGCAAAAAGGGTGTGAGACATGAGTTAAGGAAAGGCAACTAGGAAAAGTATGGTAAATATGAATAAGGTTTGTTATGCAGATTTAAGTTGGAGATTTCCTTTATAAATGTAAATTTTCCTTTCAAAGAGTAGCTTCTCTGTTTTCAGAGCTTCTATTTCTCAAAATAATCAGCTCAAAATAATCGTTATACTAAAGAAGCATATTTTGGGGCATTATATTCTGGTCTTCTGCAGTCACATTTGGGGGTGGTACCTTCTGTCTCCTACATCCTGAAAAAATAGAATAAAGTTCTTAAATACATTAGAGTCCATTCTAATTTGATTATTTTAATTAGCTTTTTATTAAGAAACAATTTGATCTTCAGAACAACACCCTGAGCTAAGAAAAGTAAGTTTATGATTATTTACACTGTGTAGATTAAGAGATTTAGGCACAGAAAGATTAAGTGACTTTTTTATTAAGGGCTGGAATGAGTATTCATGTATTCCGAATACTAATGCCCTTGGTATTATATACAAAGGGTTGGTGTAAAAAATCATTATAAAATTTTAGTATGAGTAATCCTTATAATAAAAAATAAAATAATAGTTTTATATGTGCAAATATTTTGTCTAGTATTAAATTTAGGATGTGCAGGATGAAAAGCACATGATGTAAAGAAGATAAATGTATGTTTGAATAGATTTAACATAGTTTCATGAACTAAAATAGTAGTAAATAGAATTTCTAAAATCAAGGCATCATAATTATGCTCTAGTAAATATATGGCATTATAAAATTCCATATGGTTGACTCATTCATTCATTCTTTCATGACACAAATATTCACTGAGTGGCTAGTATATATTAGGTCCTTTTTTAAGAATTGAGAATACTAGAGTGAGTGTTAAAAAGTCTTAGAGAAGCTTGTCTTTCATCAAATTTCATGAATACTATATAATAATATTAATTATGAGAAGTACTGACTGCTTAAATTATGTGTACTTTCATTTTATGACTTTTTTCAACATAATATAAATTTGTATTATGAACAGTTTCACAGTAGTAATTACAGCTCCTAAAGTTTAAAATAAAACAAATTGATATTGACTAAAAATGACAGAAAAAACCTGTCACAACAAAAAGCAAACTTGCAAATAATCTAAGGGGCGGGTGGTGATGAGACAGAGAAATTGGAATGAAGGTACTTTGTCAGTTCTAATTATCTTAATTTGAAAAAGCAAATAGGCCCACCAGATGTTACTACATAAGTTAATTGTGTCTTCAACATAAAAGGTAATTAACTTACATGCTTACACTTGTACAATTTCTTAGACTAGAGTTAAATTCACATGTTATGACTTTCCATAACACTGTCTTCAAACAAAAGTCCCTAATAGAGTAATATAAAGTCTTTGTAAGTAGGAATATCCTTATATTCTATCTTTGAGGAGACTGCCTAGGCCAGGAGTTAAGCATGCTCAGCATTTGTGGAAGGGAGTGAGGCCCTAGACCTTGACGTAATCTGCTTCCTTAGGTGGCTGCTTGGCCACTCCTCATTGAGGGTTCCCTTGATACATGCCTCTTGCTTCTCCGCTCCTCCAGAGCCCCATAGAGAGAAGGTAACCTGAGGCAGTGAAGCTGTGGCTGGATTTTCACCTTAGTGACTGTAATAAGGGCAGCTAACATTTATTGAATGCGAGGAAATTGTCATAGTGCTTTATATGTATCTAACTAGTTCTTACTGCAAATCATTAAGGTAAATTGTGTCAGGATTTGGACTTTATAGGTGAGCATCCTGAGGTACAGGGCAGTCAAAAGGTCAAAAACTACCTAGTGGTCTGAGATTTGAACCCCAGCAGTCCAGATCAGAATCTGTGTGTATAACAAATCAGGACTGCAGATCTAAAGTATTTCTATGATTTAGATTTTCCTGTTTTCATGTTTTTCTCTTTGACTTTTCTAATATTCCTTAACCTCAGTTTTTTAATCCATTGATAGAATTTGAATATTTGTCCCCTCCAAATTTCGTGTTGAAATTTGATCCTTGTGTTGGAGGCAGGGCCTACTGGGAGGTGTCTGAGTCATCGGTGTGGGTCCCTCATGAATGGCTTGGTGTTCTTCTCACGCGATTGAGTTCTCACTCTTAATTCTTGCAAGACCTGGTTGTTAAAAAGAGCCTGGCACCTGCTCTCCCTCTCCGTTTTTCCCCTGCCATGTGATATGCCAGCCTCTCTTTGCCTTCTGCCATTTTTGGAAGCTTCCTGGAGCTCTCATCAGAAGCAGACACTGGCATCATGCTTCTTGTACAGCTTGCAGAATCTTGAGCCAAATAAACCTCTTTTCTTTACAAATTTCCCAGCCTCAGGTATTCCTTTATAGCAATGCAACAGACTAAGAGATTCATTAAAAATGAAAACCGATCTCTGTCTTACTTCCATCACAGAATTGACATTGGCAATACATTATAATCTATGAAAAAGTATTTGGCAACTTAAAAACACTATGTAAGTGAAAAAAAATTACGATTATCACTTGACACTCTTGACAACCTTTTTATTATTATTATTATTTAACACTTTTCTTATGGCTTTGTGACAGTCATCTCTTCTTGCTTTCTACCAGCTTTTCTAAATGTCCTTCTTCTTTTTCAGGCTTCATTGTCTTTTAACACTCACAGTAATGTGTAAAAGCCAGGGTCTTAAACTTGAACTTGGAAAATTGAGAAATCACTTTTTTTTTTATCTTATAGATAACAAAACAAAGTTTCAGAAGTAATCTGATGCCGTAAGGTTAATTTTGTCAGAGACTTCACTACACAGTCTTAAGTCCTTTCACTGCAAATGCTAGGTCTATTGAATGGGAGGCATTTCTGCATCTTCTTATTTCCGCCTTAAAAGATATCAGATCTGAAAGTAAGTAACTAAAATTGCAAGAGAAAATGTTTTAAGACCACTTCTGTATAAGACTGCAAATGGTAATATCAGTTAAAAGCAGAAAATGGAAAAGAGTAAACAAATTGATTCCATAATAAAACGATATGCAGTAGTGGGGCAGAGAAACAAAAACATCCGTTTTTACATCTTTGGGAGAGAAAAGAAAACTAACTAGCTTGGGACTGATTCAGATAGATGTCATTTTAAATTACTTTTTTTCTTCTGTTTACCAAAATAATGTAATTAGATGGAGTAAGTACAATAAAGAAAATAGGTTTAAAACAGATGTCTGGTAATAGACATTCACACCATTAAAAACTATATAGGGAACTGCCTGCTAGGCAAATGTATGCAGAACCAAGTGTTGGGTCATTCTCAAGAAAAATGAGCCTTGATGGAAGTGCGTAGATTTAGCCACAGGGTTTTTTTCTTTTTTTTATATTAATAAAGGATATTGCTTGGTCAGGCTAGGCAGAATGGTGTGTTTTGTGATTTGGTGGGGAGAGGTAGATGATGAAGGGAATTGACTGGGTAAATCAGTACACTGAAAAATGAGAAAAGGCTGTGTTTCATCTTGTTTTTAATTTAAAATCTTTTTTATTTGTTTTATGTTGCTTTTCATTTGTGTTGTGAATTCATATATATGTGTATATATGTATATATGTATACATGCATACATGTATTATATATAATTCATATATATGTATACATGTATACATATATTATATATAATTCATATATAATATATGTATACATATAGACATACATGTATATATGAATTTATACATACACATATTTTCATAAGAGAGTTAAATGATAAACACTGTATCTAATTTAGTGATATTTTCATTAAACTTAACTGATCCTTTGCTCAGGGTTTCTTTGAATAAGAAGAAAGGAAATAATTGGAAGGCTAATCTGAGATGGCAGCAATTGATTTTGACCAAAGCATAGAGAGATTTTAATTTGAATGGCAGAGTTTCCAGAGAAAAGCAAAGTGGGCCTTCAAATGTATTAGCTATGCAAGGATCTCTGCGAACCTTCTAAGTGACATATGTAACATTTTCTTCATAACCTATACAGAACAAATGTTAGAGGAAATTATAATCCTTCTGTTACTAAGTACTAGTTTTTCTTCCCCTGGAGACAATAAATTCTCCTTAAATATTCATCAATTTATTTGTTAAAAATATCTTCTGTACATCTACTGTGCACAATGCATGGGGTAAATGTTGAATAAAATTAACACTGTCTTGTATCTCTCAGTTTATGATCCTTTAAGGGATGTAGATTTATGATTCAGGGTGATTTGGGCTGTGTGATAGGAACATTTACTGTGCTCTGTGAACACTTGTAGGATCCGCTAATCTAGTCTAGTGTGGGGAATGAGGGCATATGTTGGAGGCTAAGGAAAAGATATGTGGCTACAACTTGCAAAGTATGAAGAGTTGGAAGAATCAGAGTACAAACTGCCTGATAAACTATGCTAAGAATTTTGAAATTCATTCAATGGACAATGGAAAACCATCAAATGGTTTTAATGGAGAGAGAAATGAGTCAATTTGCATTTTAGAAATATGATTATTCAAATTGATTTGTTAGCTAGGATTCTTTTCAGGCAGGATTTATTTCCTCTAATTGTTGACATAGTCCTTTGTCAATAAAGGCTTTTAAGATACTGCAAAAAAGGTAAGGAGAAATTTGATGTTGTTCATTTCTGTTTAACAATTATCAGACGATATCTGGCACGTTCAGAGTGGTATGGCCATAGATGGTTTGATAATTATCTATAAAATTCCTTGAGACCATTCCAGGGCTCTTCCTGTTCTGGGAGTGATACAGTTCTGAGGAAGACCAGTAACCCTATTTTTTGATTCAGAAGATTGTGTAGCCACTTATCTATTGGTCCCTTCCAATTGTTTTTCAATGAACCCTGAATTTCCTTACAGAGGTAACTTGGAATTACCTCGTTGGTCTCCCTCTCTCCTTTTCTTCCTAATTCTTTACCAGGCTTTAACCTGATGGTGACTCTGGGTTTCTTCAAGATAATTCTGTTTCATACAGCTATCTTTTGAATTCATGTCTGCAATTCTTGGTTTCCTGAAGTCATCACTGACTTGATAGCATTTAGAAGACATATTTATTTATTTCTAAACGTAACTGATTGCTTTTTATGGCATGGCTTTGAAATATTATCATACCAAAAGCAGAGCACGTGGATAAGTGGTTTTATTTTGGAGGGAGGGGCCCTATTCATGGTGTAAATAATTCCACCATTGTCAATTCACTCTAACAACTTGACGTTCCTTCAGTGGCCTCTTGCTTCAAGTTGCAAAATTACCTCCCATCCTGAGGACAGGAGTTTACTTTTCATGCGTAAAGCCAGTTAGCAAACACAGATGGCCTAAAATACCCTACTCCAACTCTTAAAACTCTCCAGCCATTTGTATCAGAGCAGTTGATCTCAGACTGAACTCTGATCTTTCTACAGTATGGTAATAGACTTAAGCAAAGCCTTCCCTTGGCAGTTGCAATTTTTGCTTTGGCATCTGTTAAGGGTTGAATTTTGTCCCCTCAAAATTCATATGTTCAGATTTTAATCCCCCATCGCCTCCAGAATGTGAGTGTACTTGGAGAGAGGGCGTTTAAGGAGATTTCTAAGATAAAATGGGGTCATATGGGTGGGCCCTATCCAATATGATCAACTGGTGTCCACACAAGAAGAGGAGATGAGGACACACACAGAGAGGACCATGCAAAGACACAGGGAGATGATGGCCATCTACAGCCATGGAGAAGGGCCTTTGAAGAAACCAACTTGGTTGACACCTTGGTCTTGAGCTTCTATTTTCCAGAACTGTGAGAAGATAAAGTTTCTGTTGTTTAATCTACCCATTCTGTGGTACTTTGTTAAGGTAGGCCTAGTAAACTTACACAACACCCTACTGGTAGGACGAGAGACCTGTCTTATTTCAATATCACCAATATTCAGTATTAAAAATTATAAAGTATTTGCCAATTTAGTAAAGAAAGAGCTATTTTTGATTGTTTTAATTTCTACTTATAGTAAATAGTAGTAAAGATTTATATTTCATGTATTTATTCATCCATTGTATTTACACTTTTAGAATTTATCAACATCTGACCCATTTTCCCATTGTGACCTTAATGTTGTTTTAAAAAATCTGTTAGAATGGGACACAACGGCATGTGCCTGTAGTCACAGCTTTTTAGGAGTCTGAAGCAGGAGGATTACTAAGTCCAGAGTTTGAGTCTAACTTGAGCAAAATAGTGAGATCCCCCATCTCAAAAAAATAAATGACTTAGCAATAAATCATAAAAATTAGTCTTTAGAAAAATCTATTTGAGTGGCCCGTTGAATTTAAGGACTCAGTGATTTCTCAGTTTGTCTATTTTGTTATTTTTTAAAACACAGGATATTTTTTATTTATTTTATGCTTAGAAACCTGTCTTGTAGTATTTTTATGATTTCTAAAAGTTGTTCAGCACTTTAATCCATCTAGAATTTATTCTGTTATACTATGAAATATGAAGACATATATCGATTCTTTTTCTGACAACTCTTTATTTTCCTATTAGTGTTTACCAAGCAACACAATTTCTTATTTGGCTGGTGCTTTATTTACCACATATGAAATGTTATATTTCAAAAATGTCTATTTTGAAGTTATATCTTGTTTTCCATTTATGTTTATATGTGAGTATTATTTTGGGAAGAATAGAGGTTATTACAAATAATTTGTTCCCATTGTGTAACATGGTATTTTTTTCTTCATTTATTTGGGTATTCTACATGCATTTCTATAAAGATGTATAGTTTGTTACCTTTTTAAAAAGCATATTCCAAACCAGCCATTACATACTTTGCTTGTCTTTGGTTATTATTTTTAATGGTTCCCTTCATCATTAAATAATTCACTGCTGTGATACCTGAAAACACCAGTCATTTAGCAAATTTATTAATTATATAAATATTTTTAGGTGATTCTTTTCTATTTTTATTTTCTAAGTAAGAGTTTTTGAAATTTACTGAAAATCATACAATAAAACAATCAGAAGGGTTTATGGGAAAAATAGGGTTAGGAGCACAGCCCTCAAAAACTTTGTCAGTGACAATACAAAAGCTAGAACCTAATAAAAAATGGTAGTATAGTTTTGCATGTGGTAAATGGTTAAAAATATATAGACATACTACAATAAATATGGCATTTTACATTTAAAAAGGCCTAAAATTTGCTTGTACAGTGAGAGTCGGAAGGGTTGCAACTATGAATTGTTTTGCAGCAGTGGAAGGAGGGTTCAATGAAGTAGAGAGAAAGTTGTAACACTGTATGTGGGTAGGGGTGACTCATAGCACATACTGTGAACTGAGGTGGCGGGTAGGAGTGCGTATGTGTGTGTGTTATTGTCTTCCAATGCTTGGTTTAGCTACACACAGTTTTCTGAAGTCACTAGTGTTTCTTGCCAATGAAATCACATATAAGCAAAATAAAAATTTGCATTATGTTAAAATTGTTTTCTAATATACCAATTGTGTTTGAGCAAATTTGCTATTTAAAACAAGTGTTATGGAAAAACTGAATCTATTTGAGGAAGCTCAAATACCTATTCTGGGAAATCTTTTGAAATTAATTCTTTTATAACTTCTATTTTTTCCCTTCATTTATTTTTCCATTTTTTATCTGTTGAGGTTATCTTCTTCTGAAATTCTTTTTGGTCATCCCATTGATTTTATCTGCATTTAGAGTGTACTTCTATTTCCCAGGTCTGATATTAGTCTTTGCTTTGGCTCACTACCCAGCTCAAATCTTTGTATATGAGCCAATTGGGAAAAATATGAGGGAACCAATAGTTCCCAAAGGACATTTTTAAATACTTTCTACCTCAGTTCTCTGTTGTGCCTAAAGTCACCTCTCCTTTGGAACAATTTCTTTGCCAAAAAGGTACAGTATAGAGTTTGTACAAGTAGTGCTTTTCTGTAAAGCGTGACCATGACAGTCTGTAAAATAATAACTCTTCTCTTACTGCCCTTAAAACTGTGTTGTGTAATATAACAAAAGTTTTTAGAAGAGATTCCAACTGTATGGAAGAAAAGATGTATTTTCTCACCCATTGCTAGGTTCATGGCTGAGGTACCTATGACAGACAACAGATTAACAAGAGAAAATTATACACATGTATTTAATATAAATTTTATGTGACACAGGAGCTTTCAGAAAATGAAGACCCAAAGAAATAGAGAACCTGTGTTCTTTTACACTTAGGTTTGATGAAGAGTGGTCAGTGCTACATGCTTTGGCTATGCAGTATAGCCTATTGCTCCTAGGCTACAAATCTGCATGACATGTTACTTTGCTGAAACCATAGGCGACTGTAATGCAATGGTAAGTATTTGTGTGTTTAAACATATCTAAACATAAAATGAATTCAGGGCAAGATGGCCGACTAGATGCAGCCAGGTGGAACAGCTGCCACCAAGGGACCGAGATGACTGGCACAGTCCTAACAGATATTCAGAGGGAAGGCACTGAGAGTAGACTGAGGAAGACACAGAAGCTGGGCTGAAGTGGGAAGAAGCTGGGAGCCCTACATGAGGCTGCTACACACTGGGACTCATTCCTGGCCCCCAGCAATGCCAGGGAATGGGGAGAGTTAAAATGGCAAGGAGTGACCTGCTCTTGCCATGGACCTTTGGAATCCCAGCAGGAGGAGACCCCTCAACTGCCAGGGCCACTTGAGTGGCAGAGAGAGCTGCTTAGAGAAGTGGTAGAGGCAGCACTGCAGTCAGTATGGAGCCCTGTGGGTTTGGTGTGGGAACATCTGTACCAGAGTATGGCCAGGGATGCCCATCCCCCTAATTTCAACTTGTTCTCACGGGAGACTTTAGCCCTAGGGGAACTGTCAGACCTGACCTCTGCTGGGCAGTCTTGACCATCTGATGAGACCGGTTTGACTTGAGCATGTGTTGGTGTACTAGCCTGTCTCAGGGCCCCAGCCTGGCTGTGCCTGCTTGCAGTACAGCCTCAGGTGCCCTGGGGGCCTGCATCATAGCTCCTGCTGTGGCAGATGGTACCTGACCAGCAGAGAGCTCCAGCAGAGCAGCACCCACCCAGTCCCTCCCTTCACTGCAGCGTCCCCTGGGCCCATGGCCAACCCCCAATCACTTTACCGACATGTGTGTGTGCAGGCAAATCTTTTCTTCCCTACCACACCAGCATGTTTGTATGCATGAACCCTGCTCTGCCACTGCTGCCATCATGAGTGCTCTCCGCCCCCCATACCCTTGCCATATCACTGTTACAGTTAGGGCCTTGGCAGTCACAGAACCCTACCCCTGTACCAACATTGTTGCCAGAGTGAAACTAGGCACAGAGAGCAACAAACCCTCCCCCACCCTGAGCAGCCACCTTTACCTGCATGAATGCACACAGAGGGTAGACACACACCTGCACCCACCAGTGCCCTGCCCTCATGCTAACACCACCACCAGTGTGACCATGCACAGAGTCACCAATGGGGGCACCTCTTCCTCTGAGACATGCCGCCTCCATCACTGCTGTGAATACCTGCATGAAAGCTGACACCCCAACACCTGGTAGCACTCTGTTGCAGCTGATGAGCATGCACCCTGCCATGCTTCTGCTGCAGCTGGCAAATGAGAATGAGGATTGATCTGCTACCACTGGCCTACAAAACACTTCGGCTGACACCATCCATCAAAGTGTGGTGACTAGTGGTCTGGTAGTATCTCGATCCCCACCAGCACAGTGGGTTCCTAACCTTGAGGAGCCAGAGAGAAGAGTCAAGGATCAATATCAGTCCCCTAGCGTTAGGGCATGCAGTCCAGGAGTTGTGAGCTGAGCTTTGCCCCCCAATATATTCCAGAAATGAAGGCAGTCGACTGAACCCACCTTATATCTACCACAATAAAACTCTCAAAGTCATCAAATAGGGTAAGAGAAAAAACACAATGAAACCATCAAAGGACAGCAACTTCAAAGATTGAAGGAATATCAGCCTGCAAAGATGAGAAAGAATCAGCTCAAGATACTAATCTTTGCTTTGGCTCAGTACCCAGCTCAAATCTTTGTATATCAGCCAATTGGGAAAAATATGAGGGAGCCAATAGTTCCCAAAGGACATTTTTAAATACCTTCCACCTCAATTCGACTCAAAAAGCCAGAGTATCTTCTTTCCTCCAAACTATCACACTAGCTCTCTAGCAAGTGTTCTAAACTTGGCTCATATGACTGAAATGACAGAAATAGAATTCAGAATATGGATAGGAATGAAGATAATTGAGATGCAAGAATACATTGAAACTCAATCCAAAGAAGCTAATAATCACAATAAAATGGTATAGGAACTTAAAGACAAAATAGCCAGTATAAAAAAGAACATCATTGACCTGAGAGAGCTGAAAAACACACTAC
This sequence comes from Homo sapiens, assembly GCF_000001405.40. Taxonomy (NCBI): domain Eukaryota; kingdom Metazoa; phylum Chordata; class Mammalia; order Primates; family Hominidae; genus Homo; species Homo sapiens. The sequence continues at coordinate 11,949,039 of NC_000007.14, read as the reverse complement.
AAGAATTTCATAATGTAATTGCAAATGTTAATAGCAGAATAGACCAAGTGGAGGAATGAATTTCAGAGCTTGAAGACTGATTTTCTGAAATAACAGTCAGACAAAAATAGAGAAAAAAAATGAAAATCTCCAAGAAATGTGGGATTAAATAAAGAGACCAAATCTATGACTCATTGGTGCTCCTGAAAAAGATGCGGAGAATGAAAGCAACTTTGAAAACATGTTTCAGAATATCATCAATGAGACCCTCCCTAAGCTAGCTAGAGAGGCCAGCCTTAAAATTCAGGAAATGCAGAGAATACCAGCAAGGAACTTCACGTGAAGTGACACACAATCATCATATTCCCCAAGGTCAAAAATGAAACAAAAAGACACAATTATCATATTCCCCAAGGTCAAAATGAAAGAAAAAGTGTTACAGGCAGCTAGAGAGAAAAGCTAGGTCACCCACAAAGAAAAGACCATCAGACTGACAGCAGACCTCTCAGCATTAACCCCACAAGCCACAAGAGATTGGAGGCCAATACTCAATATTCTTAAAGAAAAGAAATCTAACCCAGAATTTCATATATGGACAAACTAAGCTTCATAAGCAAAGGAGAAATAAGATCCTTTTCAGAAACGGAAATACTGAGGGAATTCTGAGGTTACCACCAGACCTGCCTTACAAAGCTCCTGAAGGAACCACTAAATATGGAAAGGAAAGACCATTATTAGCCACTACAAAAACACACTTAAGTACACAGACCAGTGACACTATAAAGCAACCACACAACTCTGCGTAACAACCAGCTAACATCACGATGACAGGAGCAAATTCACATATCTCAATACTAACCTTGAATGTAAATAGGCTAAATGCCCCCAATTAAAATGCACACAGTGACAAACTAGATAAATAACCAAGACCCAGTGGTATGCGGTCTTCAAGAGACCAATCTCACAGGCAGTGAAACCCACAGGCTCAAAATAAAGGGATGGAGAAAAATCTACCAAGCAAATGAGAACAGAAAAAAGCAGGGGTTGCAATTCTAATTTCAGACAGTAGACTTTAAGCTAACAAAGACCAAAAATGACAAAGAAGGCCACTGCGTAAAGGTAAAGGATTCAATTCAATAAGATCTGATTATCCTAAATATATATGCATGCAACACAGAAGAATCCAGATTTAAAAAGCAAGTTATTGGAGACTTTCAAAGAGACTCAGACTTCCCCCAAATGATAGTGGGCGACTTCCACACTCCACTGACAGTATTAAACAGACCATTGAGACAGAAAATTAATAAAGATATTTAGGACCTGAATTCATCACTGGAACAAATGGACCTTACAGACATCTACAGAACTCTTCACCACCCCAAAACAGAATATACATTCTTCTCATTGCCACATGACACATTCTCTAACATCAACCACACAATTGAACATAAAGCAATCCTCAGCAAATGCAAAAGAACTGAAATCATAACCACTCTCTCAGACTATAGCACAAGAAAATTAGAAATCAAGACTAAGAAAATTACTCAAAATCATACAATTACATGGAAATTAAATAACCTGCTCCTGAATGACCTTGGATGAATAATGAAATTAAGGGAGAAATCAAAAAGTTCTTTGAAACTAATGAGAACAAAGATACAACACACCAGAATCTCTGGGACACAGCTGAGGGAGTGTTAAGAGGGAAATTTAGTGCACTGAATGCCCATATCAGAAAGTTAGAAAGATATCAAATTATCAACCTAATATCATACTAAAAGAACTGGACAACCAAGAGCAAATCAACCTCACAGCTTGCAGAAGACAAGAAATAACCAAAATCAGAGCTGAACTGAAGGAGACTGAGACATGAAAAAGCATTCAAAGGATCAATGAATCCAGGATTTTTTTTTATTTTTAATAAGGCAGGACAATCACTTGAACCTGGGAGATGGAGGTTGCAATGAGCCAAGATCATGCCATTGTACACCAGCCTGGGCGATAAGAGTGAAACTCTATCTCAAAAAAAAAAAAATAAAAATAAATAAATAAATAAATAAATAAATAAATAAATAAATAAATAAATAAAATAGACTAGTAGCTAGACTAATAAAGAAGAAAAGAGAAGATCCAAATAAATACAATTAGAAATGACAAAGCAGATATTACCACCAACCCTGCAGAAATACAAATAACAGGTAATATTATGAACACTTCTATGCACACAAACTAGAACATCTAGAACATCTAGAAGAAATGAATAAATTCCTCGACAGATAATATCTGTCCAGGAATTTTCAAGACTGAGCTAGGGAAAAATGGAATCCCTGGACAGACCAATAACAAGCTCCAAATTGAATCAGTAATCAATAGCCTACCAACAAAAATCAGTCCAGGACCAGACGGATTCACAGCTAAATTCTATGAGATGTACAATGAAGAGCTGGTACTATTCCTACTGGTACTATTCCTACTGAAACTCTTCCAACAAAAGTGAGGAGGAGGGACTCCTCCCTAACTCATTCTGTGTGGCCAGAATTATTCTGATACCCAAGCCTGGCGGAGACACGAAAACAACAACAAAAGTTTAGGTCAATATCCTTAGTGAACACTGATGCAAAAATCCTCAACAAAATACTGGCCAACTGAATCCAGCAGCACGTCAAAAAGCTCATCCACCACAATCAAGTAGACTTATCTCTGGGATACAAGGTTGGTCCAACATATGCAAATCAATAAATGTTATTCATCACATAAACAAAACTAAAGACAAAACCCACATAACTATCTCAATAGATGCAGAAAAGGCTTTGATAAAATTCAAAATCTCTTCTTGAAAAAAACTATCAATGAACTAGGTACTGAAGGTACATACCTCAAAATAATAACAGCCATCTATGACAAACCCACAACCAACATTATATTGAATGGGCAAAAATTGGAAGCATTCCCATTCCCTTGAATACTGGCACAAGACAAGGATGCCCTCTCTTACCGTTCCTATTCCACATGGTATTGGAAGTCCTGGCCAGAGCAATCAGGCAAGAGAAAGAAATAAAGTGCATCCGAATAGGAAGATAGGAAATCAAACTTTCCGTATTTGCCCATAACATGATTCTATGTCTAGAAGACCCCATAGTCTTAGCCCTAAAGCTCCTTAAGCTAATAAACAATTTCAGTGAGGTTTCAGGATACAAAATCAATGTACGAAAACCACTAGTATTCCTATACACCAACATCAGTCAAACTGAGAACCAAATCAAGAATGCAATCCCATTCACAATAGCCACAAAAATACTAAAATACCTAGGAATACAGGGAGTTGAAAGATTTCTAACTAGGGAGTTGAAAGGTCTCTATAGTAAGAATTACAAAACATTGCTCAATGAAATCAGAGATGATACAAGCAAATGGAAAAACATTTCATGCTCGTAGATAGGAAGAATCAATATAGTTAAAATTGGCTGTACTTCCCAAACCATTTTTCACATTCAGTGCTATCCCTTTCAGACTTCAATGATATTCTTCACAGAGAGAAAAACACTACTTTAAAATCCACATGGAACCAAAAAGAGCCTGAATAGTCAAGGCAATCCAAAGCAAAAAGAACGAAGCCAGAGGCATCATGTTACCTGACTTCAAACTATACTACAGGGCTACAGTAATCAAAACAGCATGGCACTGGTACTAAAACAGACACATAGACCAATGAAACAGAAAAAGAGAGCCCAGAAATAAGGCCTCACACTTATGACCATTTGATCTTTGAGAAAAATAACAAAAACTAGCAATGGGTAAAGGACTCTCTATTCAATAAATGGGGCTGGGATAACTGGCTAGCTATATGCAGAAGATTGAAATTGGACCCCTTCCTTATACCATATATAAAAATCAACATGGATTAAACACTTAAATGTAAAAAACAAAACTATGAATATGCTGGAAGACAACCTATACAATACCATTCTGGACTTAGGCATGGGCAAAGATTTCATGATGAACACACTAAAAGCAATTGCAACAAAAGGAAAAAATTAACAAACGGACTCTAATTAAACTAAAGAGCTTTCACATAGTATAAGAAACTGTCATCAAAGTAAACAGACAACCTACGTAATAGGAGGAAATATTTGCAAACTATGTTTCTGACAAAGGTCTAATATCCAGAATCTATAAAGAACATACACAAATTTGTAAGAAAAAAAATGACCCCATCAAAAAGCGGGCAAAGGACATGAACAGACGCTTTTCGAAAGAAGACATACATGCAGCCAACAATTATATGAAAAAAAGCTCAGTATCACTGATCATTAGAGAAATGCAAATCAAAACCATAATGAGATACCATTTCACACTAGCAGAATAGCTATTACTAAAAAGTCAAAAAATAACGTGCTGGCAAAGTCACAGAGAAAAAGAAATGCTTATACATCGTTGTTGGGAGTGTGAATTAGTTTAACCATTGTGGAAAGCAGTGTGGCAATTTCTGAAAGACCTGAAAATAGAACTACCATTCAACCTAGCAATCCCATTATTGGGTGTATACCCAAAGGCATATAAATTGTTCTACCATAAAGACACATGCACACATATGTTCACAGCAGCACTATTCACAATAGCAAAGGCATGGAATCAACCTAAATGCTCATCAATAGTAGATTGGTACATATACACCCTATAACACCATGCAGCCATTTGAAAGAATGAGATTGTATCCTCTGGAGAAACATGGATGGAGCCGGAAGCCATTATCCTAAGTGAACTAACACAGGAATGGAAAATCAGATACCGCATGTTAGCACTTTTAAGTGAGAACTAAAAGAGGAGAACACATGAACACATAAAGGAGAACAACAGACATTGGGGCATGGTGGAGGGTAGAGGGTGGGAGGAGAGAGAGGATTAGGAAAAATAACTAATGGGTACTATGCTTAATACCTGAGTGATGAAATAATCTGTACAACAAACCCCATGTCATTAGTTTATCTATATAACAAACCTGCACATGTACCCCTGAACTTAAAAAACATAAAAGGTACAGTAAAATTATGGTATTATTATGAGACCACCATCGTTTATGAAGTCTGTTGTTGACCATAATGTCATTATTTGTTGCCTGACTGTACTTTAGACCTAACACATCTATCAGTTAATGATAAAGTTCATTCTCTTATAGTATTCCAGAGAAAACAAAATACATTCTCTTCAATGACATAGAAAGACCTCCTATGAAAAAGTAGACTTCTGGTGTCCTCATTTCAAAAGGAGGGGTTGGGAAAGGGAGGAAGGGAATAAGGGAGGGAGGGAGAGAGAGAGACGGCGGGGCGGGGGAGGAAAAGAGAGAGAGATTGAGTCAAAAGAGGCTTGCTTGTTCTTACAAGCCACAGTGCACTTGCTAATGAGATCAAGAATTGAACATGTTCTAAAAGTACCTATATAGTATACACATATAATTCCTTCAAAGTCATTCTAACATGGATATGACTGGGTCTGAGTACTCTTCTTAATTGCTACTTTTCCATAGTTTATAAACATAATTTCTCTATGTCATGTTTTAATTTGGCCTTTTTGTGGGCCAGAACTGTGAAACTGGATGGAGTTAAAAGCAACTTGCAGAATGTTGTCATGAAATCATGTTATTTCTAACATTATTAATGAATCTTCACGCTGGTTTCTCAGGCATAGTAAAATAATGAAGCAGAGAGAATTAAATATCTTTGCTTTCTTTTCAAAGTGTGGCAATCATTATTTGTCTAAGTTAGTCATTAGGATTGCTGTGTTTTCATTGAAAAAATAGCAGTTAGTGCAATAATGTATCACATTAGTGCCTAACAAACCAAAGGGATTTAGACACTGTCATGAGAAAAAGCCCATGGGGGTTAAATACATACTTTCAACTCTAAAGAAAGTGCTTTTATATGAACAGTGAAAAGTCTGCTCTTTCCCAGCAGATAGTGCAAAAGGGACCATGGAGGATATTAACTGACACAAAGCTAAAAAGTCAACCTATACACACATATATGCATATATGTATATATACATATTATTTCATCACTCAGGTATGTGTATATATATGTGTACACACACATATATATATACATATATATATATCCTATTCTTTTATTCATGTAAAGAATGATTTTTACTACTAATGACTACTTTCTTGGCATTTGCATATTTGTTGATTCTAAACTCAAGACTTTTTTATTAGTATTGTGGCCATGGGCTATTCATTTAACCTTTTAAGCCTTAATATTTTCATATCTAAGATGAAGTTTAAAATACTTTCTCTGTGTACTATAAAAGAATGTGATTATGAAATCAAATAATGTAATAAAAGTATTTTATAAGCTGAGAGAGGCATCATACATATGCTAGGTTATAGTATTACATATCCATGTATAGCTGAAAGGACTTCAGTATACTCTAATTTTTAAAGTCTGCATCCAAATGTAATTTATGAAATGAGGAGCCTGTTTGTATTTGAAACCTGCCTTTGGACTTCTAGTTTGACGAAAATCAGCCTCCCATTATACGATCCTCTGAATAACAGCCGTACTGAATAAAGAAAGTCTTCATTTTGTCCTATGGGTCAGAAGCTGTAGGCCCATGACTCCATATTCATTTCCTGTCAGTCTCCTTGTTAACAACTCCATGTAAGCCACTCTGGCCTTCCTGTTCACAACAGGTTCATTCCACTTCCGGAAGGGCTTTTAGTTGGGATTTCCTTATCTGGGAATGCTCTGCCGGATTGTTATTTGACTTACTCTTCCCTTACTTACCTCTCTACCAATATGCCACCCCTTTGGAGAAGTCTTCTATTGTCATTCAATCAAAATTTTCCTCCCTCATTCTACGCACATTACTGTCTGTCCTCTGGCTGTCCTTTGTCTTTCTCACAGCACTTATCATTGCCTGACATTACACATATTTATTTGTTTTTATTGACTTTTCTTTTGGCTTTTTAAAATCTTCTTTATACCAGAAGAGTTTTTAGGAGGTAGATAATTAAATATCCTTTTCCAGTGTATTTCACAATGCTGAACAGTGTATGGCACAAAAGATGCACCATAAGCATTAGAGGAAAGCAAGAAAAAAATGAAAGAAAAATGGAGGGAGGGAGGGAGGAAAAAAGGGAGGGAATAAATGGAAGAATAGAAGGGAGGGAGAGGAAGAGAAGATGAAGGGAAGGGAAAGGAGAAAGGAAGGACAGAGAAAGAAAGAGAAGTAAAGAAGGACAGATGGCCATTGGGTGCCATTGTTTCCTAACAGGCTAAAATATTGCCTCAATATTTGGAATTAATTTTCAGAACATTTAAAACTTAAATATGCACTATGACTTTTTGGACTGCCTTATATTTTGACTTATTTACTCATATATCTAAATGAATATAGATTTATGTATCTAAATATATATGTGTGTATATAGCTATCTGTCTATATTTATCTATTATTCTTGCCTTTCTGTGTGCGGTTGATACTTTTCAGTTTACTACATTAAAGCCAGTTGGGCATACAGCTGCTGTATGTTTTCATTGTAGGTCAACAGAGAACAGAATCTTGTACTGTGGTAGGCACTTCTCCTTCCATAGCTATCAATAATGGGTGATTTTTATTTTTAGCTTTGTTGCTTGTCTACATATCTTTCTGTGAAACTAGCGGGCAGCATTATTGTAGCTGACCATGAAAGCAGAATGTGATATTGATGATATTGTATAATTTAATGAAGCAGTGAGATTCCATTTCTATTAAATTTACTAGATATATTCCACTGCAAGCACATTTCATTTTCATGGTGAACTAATAACTTGGCTGCTTATAGATAGATAATAAACATTGCTGTTTATGTTTGAAATAATTAGCCTGGAGACCATGTTAGTAATTATTGCCATCCAGTGTTCCTATAGCTCTGTGCTTCTCTAGAGATACAGGTTCTATTTCTGGGGATCTATCACCGGACTTATCTATTATGGTCTAAAAGCAATAAATATTAAATCTTTATAATATATCCTCATTTACAGAAGCTGGGAGCTGGATGAAAGTTGAAAGTAGTCCTCTTCTGTAATAAACCATTGGTCTCAATTATGGGTAGATCCCCTTACCTCTCACTGCATACAGAAAATCACTTCCGAGTATTCACTCTGCTTTTTATGTGGCGTATGTTAGCATATCATGCATCTCATTTTGTGCGCCATGCCTTTTTTGCCTTAATGTTTCTTTCAATTGCCTCATTAGAGTAACAAACATTTTATTTTCTAGACATCTTAACAATATCAAAGATGCTGTTAGTTAACTTGAAAATTTTAAAACAAAATCAGTTTCAAATTTTGGTTAGCTTTCTACTATTATACTATGTACCTTTTGTTTCTTCAGTTTTCTGGAAAACCTAGAGTAAGGTCACTTGTGGTAACTTAGTTACATAGTTTTATTCTAATTATATTGGTTCAAAATTAAAGTAATAGCCATCATCATATAAAATAACTTTTTATATTCTTTATAATTTTAAATGTAAATTGTGTATTTCTTTAACTGTTAGCCTTTTATTGAATGTTATGATGTCTATAATTCTCACGTGATTTTTCTAAGAGGAATATTTTCTATGTGAATCTCTTTACACTAGTAGTAACTAGTAATGAATTTTTATTTCAAAACTTTTTAATTTACCAAGAAATATTTGAAATATCAAATACTTTCCACAGGGGTTCATTTTGTGGCATAGTTGAAAAATATAATTTTATACATGAGGATATTAAAAAAGTATTCTTGCAGATTCAAGAGTAGATCTAAATTTAATATGCTATTTATCATGGATATTTTACTGAAGTAAACAAACGGAATTATATAATAATAAAATATAGATAACTGACGGAAGTTTCATTTTCCCCAAACCTCCATTCTGATTTATAAGACTATGTCATTTTAATATTCTTTCTATCGCTTCTCAAATATGGTGTGCTCTATCTGTTTTATCTCTGTTCTTTATCCCAGAATAACATTTCCGATTGAGAGCAAAGGCAATGAAGTCTATCTATACTAGAGCAAATTTGTGGGTCCACAGATTCATCAGCCTGTCAAAGACTATAATGACTCTACAAAATGGAAAAGCCCCTAGTCTCGAGGGCAAATAGAATTTTATGTATGATTTAGGCATTTACCTACTTACCGGAGTCCAGCTGTATTTAGATAGAATTTCATTTTGTCATATGAACTTTTTCAGCATTTAGTCATCCATATAAAAACTCAAATTTATAACATTATTTTTCTTGCAGACAAGAAAGAAGATTGTATTTAGCTTTTCATTTAAAATCATTCATTTTAAACAGCTAATGATTCTTAACAGCTTGTCCCATTCTGCCAAAAATGGCAATGAGAGAGATTATATAATTTCTGTGGTCATCAATTGTGAGTCTTTTTCCTGAGTGCCTGAAAATAAAGTAGTAAAATGTGGGTTGTCAACAGAATGACAATATTAACAAATATATAATTTAAGAAACCTTAGTATAAAGTTGTAAAAAAGCAGTTTACCACTGATACCAGGCTTCTATTTTTGGGGATGGGAGTTAATTTTAATTGAATTTTATATATTTTTATTCTGCTTACCTGTGTTGCAAAAATGTTTGTTCAGCCCTTTGTCTTTAAGTTTCAGTGGAAGAGAAACTTCTTCTTTATTCTAGGTCCCTGTTCCCCTTTTTCTTAAAGCATTTACTTTAGAAAATTTGTAAATGTCCATTCTTTCTCTGCTCCTTTAAGGTATTAATCTTTTAAAAAGCTTCTTGCCAGTTTTAAAGTCCAAGAATATCTGTCTCAGGTACTTGGAGCCATCTAAAATAGGGGACCTGTTTCTCAGTTTCTGTAGGAGAGTAGGAGCCTAATTTCAGTGAGTCCTTGCTTTAAGATATTAAATTACTCCCTATTATGAAGATGAGAAAAAAATTACATTTTCTTTGGGTAAAGCAAATCAGTAAACATAGATTGTCTAAGATCCCCACACCTCAGCTCTTAAAAACTTTCTAGTCCTTTGTGTTAGTGGAGTTGAGCTCAGGCTGAGTATGGCCTTTCTTTCCTATTGCAGTAGCTTTGAATAAAGTCCTCCTTGCCTATTTAACTTTGTCTATTACAATTTTTGCTTTGATACAATGTAAGCTGTTTTATTTCCAAATACTAGTCCTTATCTTCTTCTACTAAGATTACAGATTTTCTCTTAATGAACACTCACTTTTAAAAAATATTTTGTTGGGCCGGGCATGGTGGCTCATGCCTATAATCTCAGCACTTTGGGAGGTCAAGGCAGGTGGATCACAGGCAGATCACCTGCAGTCAGGAGTTCAAGACCTGCCTGGCCAACATGGTGAAACCCCCTCTCTACTAAAAATATAAAAATTAGACAGTCGTGGTGGTGCATGTCTGTAATCCCAGCTACTCGAGGGGCTGAGGCAGGAGAATCACTTGAACCCAGGAGATGGAGGTTGCAGTGAGCCAAGATCGCACATTGCACTCCAGCCTGGGCAACAGAATGAGACTCTGTCTTGAAAAATAAAAATAAAGACATTTTATTAATTGGCTTCCCTATTTCATATTGATAACTGTGTCTCCTCCTTAAAATTAAGTCACAGCTGTGACTTATATTGTTTCTGATATGTTCTTCAGTTATTTTTTTTTTTTGAGACGGAATCTCACCAGTCATCTCTTAACTGTTGGTGATCTCCATATATTCCATGCCCATTCTCTAACTATATCTTTCTTTGATTAATTTTAAATACATTTCAACTTCCAAGTATGTGTTTATGATTCTGAAATATTTCCCAGGCCGTACTCCTCTTGAGTTGCTAGACTACATATTTTCCTGCTTTTTCCACCTCAATGCTTCAAGAGTATCTAAGAACCTTAATTTATCTTAGAACCCTATTTTACAGCTTTTTCAATATTTTCTTACTGGATGAGTGCACAGCTCTCAACACGGGTAGCCAAGCCAATAACCTGGCCATTAACCCACAGCACATTTATTAACTTATTTTTCCAGTACAAAGGTCCTAGTAAGTTTTGTGGAATAAAATAGTACATGAATAATATTTTATAAAATCTTGGTGGTTTATACCTGATTTTATATCTTCTCTCTGAGTGATGAGTAGGGAGTGAGAGTGAGGTGTAGCCAGATGAGTGTAGTGTGAAAAATCAATCCAAGGAAGGAGAGGCTGATTACTTGGTATTGATTAGTTGTTTTTTGAAACATTAAGAGTCTAGTTTAAAATATGACAATGATTAGTTTATAAAAACAAGTCAATTTTCCTTGGAATTGCATTGAACCTGTAGATTGCTTTGGGCAGTATCATCATCCTTGTCAAAATACCAATATTATTCTTCATAGCATTAGAAAAAAATTCTAAAATTCATATGGAGCACCACCCCTCAAAACAAAAGCCAAAATAGAGTAACCCTGAACAAAAAGAACAAAGCTAGAGGCATCACATTACCCAACTTCAAAATATATTACAAAGTTATAGTAACCAAAGTAAGGATGCTATTGCCATAAAAACAGACTATAGACCAATGGATCAGATTACAGAGTTTAGAAATAAATCCAAGTATTTACAGCCAACTGATTTTTTGATAAAGGAGCCAAGAACATACACTGAAAAATAACACCTTCTTCAATAAATGGTGCTGAGAAAATTGGATATCCACATGCAGAAGAAGGAAACCAGATGCATATCTCTCCTTATATACAAAAATTAACTGAAGATGGACTAAAGACTTAAATATAAAACCAAAAACTATAAAACTGCCAGAAAGAAAAAAACAACATAGGAGTAACGCTGCCAAGACGATCGAGCTAGGTAAAGGTTTCAAGGCTAAGACCTCAAAAGCACAGAAAACTATAACAAAAATAGACAAATTGGATTATATTAAACTAGAAGCTTCTACACAGCAAAGAAAACAATCAACAGAGTAAATAGACAACCTACAGAATGGCAGAAAATATTTACAAACTACTCAGATGACAATGGACGAATATCCAGGATATACAAGGAACTCAACTCAATTTAAAAAAATCCCATTAACATGTTGGCTAAGGACATGAATAGATATTTCTCCAAAGAAGGAATACAAATGACCAACAGATATATGAACAAATGCCCAATATTACTGATCATTAGGAGAATGCATATGAAAATCACGATGAAATATACCCCAGTTAGAATGGTAATTACCAAAAAGACAAAACAAAGAAAAACAGATGCTGGTGTGGATGTGGAGGAAAAAGAACTACTATGCACTGTCGATGGGAATGTAAATTAGTACAAACACCATGGAAAGCAGAATGGAGATTTCTCAAAAGACTAGACATAGAACTATACAACCCAGTCATCCCACTACTGGGTATATATCCAAAAGAAATCAGTGTATCAAAGGGATACCTGAACTGGCATGTTTGTTGCAACACTATTCCCAGTAGCAGAGATACAGAATCAACCTAAGTGCCTGTCAATGGATGAATGGATAAAGAAAATGTGGTATACATGCACAATGGAATACCATTTGGCCATAAAAAGAAAATGCTGTGATTTGCAGAAATATGGGTGGAATTGGAGGTCATTATGTTCAGTGAAATAAACTAGGCACAGAAAGGCAGATACCACATGTTCTCACTCATATGTGGGAGCTAAAAAAAAGTTGATCTCACTGGTTCGACTTGGTGTTTGAAAAAACAAACAAACAAACAAACAAACAAACAAACAAAAGTTGGTCTCATAGAGAATAGATTGAAAGATACCAGAGGGAAGGGTGTGTGGGTGAAAGGGGAGGGGTTAGTTAGTGGGTATAAACATACTGGTAGAATAAGCCCCAATATTTGATAGCAGAGTAGAGTGATTACAATTAGCAACAGTGTATTATAGATTTCAAAGCAGCTAGAAGAGAGAACTTGAAATGTTGCCAACACATAGAAATGACAAATTCCCAAGATGATGCAATATCCTGACATGATCATCACATACCATATGCATGTAATAAATACTCACATGTACTCCATACATTTGTAAAATAATTTGTATTAATTAAAAATAGTTTATTAATGGATGCAGTGTATTCCATACTAGGGTAAACATTTTCTGTAAACAACCAGATGATAAGTATTTTATACTTTGAGGGCCAAAAGGCAAAACTGAGGATATTACTTAGGTCCTTATATAATAATTTCAGATACAGTTATATAAAAATGTTAAACATTTAAATCCCACCAGTCATATAAAAACAGAGAGGAGCCAAATTTGACTTGCAGGCCATAGTTTGCAAACCTGTGCTCTGTAACATATTATAAAAAAAAGTTTCATATTCATGTTGTAATAAGCCTAAAACTTAAAAAAAAATAATCCCCAAATCATATGCTATGTAACCCTGTGTGTGTGTGTGTGTGTGTGTGTGTTTAGAGTTTTTTCCTTGGACATAGTAATTTTAATATCTTGGGCCTAATTTTTATTCTTCTCAATGGCATAATTTCTTGGTAGATGTAATTGCTAAAGGATTAAGTAAATTATTTAATTGCATTTTTATTGCAATTGCATGTGGCAATAATTAGATGGAAATGAGATGAATCATATTCATTTCTTGTCATGAAGAGAAGGTAATATTAATCTAACTGGTAGATGCTAGAAAAATGTTAATAGTTGCACTTAGCACATAATCTGCACTTATTTATGATGTGAATGTCATGCAGAAGAGATATAAGTCATCTGTTAATTTATTTCTAGCTGCAAAGAATTCAGACTTGCTTAATTTTCTGAGTTAATGGGTCTCTATTGTAAGGATACCTTGAGGAGCAAAGGAGACTGAAAGTTGTCTCATCAGCAGTGCATGCAGGACTCAGGAAGAGTTGAAGCTTTGCTTATTGTGGTTGAAAATAAGTCAACAGCTCTTGCATTCTATCAACAGTTCTGGTGACCCAGTGGGGATTTGAGTTCTGCCCTGATATGGCTCGTTTTTGTCTTCTTTCCACCTGTCCTGCCTGCTTCTTCCTACTCTGCTTTTCTCTCTGTACTCTGATCAGTGTTGCAACTTCACACCTCAGAGATTTTGCCTACCTTCTTTGTGGTGAATGTGTGCATGACATTTGTTTTGTTTTGTTTTAATTTCTAACCTGGGAAACTCACAAGTGATCTCTAATCAAGAAGATAGATTTTCTTTCCAGATGCTAAGGACTTCGGGTCTGGTTTGAATGTTTGACCTAATCCCTACTTTACAGACCATGTGTGTTGGGTTGTCAAAGTTTACGACCTGAATCACTGTCATTTAAATACCATGATAGTCATTACTTCAAACTGAAAGGACATATTATGACTTGAATATTGTTACTACCAAGGGAAAACTAGGTCTAGTTTTGGGGCTTAAAAGACGCTCATAGATTTCCCTAGAATTTTTTTTTTCCTTTACCACTGTTTGTTGCATGTCTACTATTTAGTCAAAAACCAAACAAACATAGAGGGTGGGCCCATAATTCCTGACCCTGTGAATTCCACAATTTTATTAGATCCATTTTATTTTTTTGAGTGACTATTAAACATGGCTTTTGTCCATTTAATAATAGATCAGTTCAAGCATACCACATAGTCGGTCCAATAGTCCCTTGGACATAACGGGAAGATGGCTGGACTCAAGGCAGGTGTAAAAAAACTAAATTTAGCTGTTTTAGCTGTTGTCAGTATAGCACTGTTCACCTATTGGAATAAGAAGGTAAATTTTATTTTATTTTATTTTATTTATTTATTTTTTTAAGATGTAGTCTTGCGCTGTTGCCTGGCCGGGATACAGTACAATGGCGCAATCTTGGATCTTGGCTCACTGCAACCTCTGCCTCCCAGGTTCACGCAATTCTCCTGCCTCAGCTTCCCGAGTAGCTGGGATTACAGGCACACACCACCACGCTCAGTTAATTTTTTGTACTTTTAGTAGAGATGGGGTTTTACAATGTTGGCCAGGCTAGGCTCAAACTCCTGACCTCATAATCCGCCCCCCTCAGCCTCCCCAAGTGCTGGGAGTACAGGTGTGAGCCCCCACACCCAGTCTAAGTTTTCTTATATTATTTAAAGAACAGAAGGACATTAAATGATTGTTGCATATTCTTAAATTTATAGGTGACACCAAAAATTAAGGAATTAGAAGATTAAGCAAAATGTAGAGATAATAGAAATTACTGCAAACAGGAGAAAGCAGTCACAATTTAGCTCAAGGTGATGGAGATTTTGAAGGAATGGTAGCCCACAGTTTTCAAGTCATTTGATTTTTGTCAATTTTAGCTAAAAATCCAGAATTAATACAAAATGATATGAAATATATTTTGTTTACCTACTACCCCCAGTTTACCTATTGATGTCTTTGTCCCCATTACCTCAGACTGTGACCTTATTTGGAGACAAGATCTTTACAGAGGAAATCAAATTAAAATAAGTTTATTAAAGTGGGCCCTAATCCAATATGACTGGTCTCTAAACCTCTTTCTTTTGACTGTCTAGTTTCCAAAACTGTGAAGCAATAAATTTCTGTTGTTTAAGTTATACAGCTTGTGGTACTTCTTTGCAGCAGTTGTAGCAAACTAATACTCAAAGTCTCCCTGATTTTTAAAATACTGGCAACCTGCTGAATTACAAAAGAAAAGTTGAAACCAAACATATCTTCCTCCTTTCGGGTCTGGTTTGAATGTTTGACCTAATCCCTCCTCTCCAGACCATGTGTGTTGGATTGTCAAAGTTTACGACCTGAATCACTGTCATTTAAATACGATGATAGTCATTATTTCAAACTAAAAGGGCATATTATGACTTGAATATTGTTCCTACCAAGGGAAAACTAGGTCTGGTTTTGGGGCTTAAAAGACGCTCATAGATTTCCCTAGAATTATTATTTTTTTCTTTTACCACCGGTACCTTTAGATTCAGAATTATACATCATTTAAAAAATTACCATCAAAAGCAAAAGGCAAGGTACACTTGTTATTCTAGGCATTCAGAATGATAATTGAACATTTGGGGATATGTGTATGTGTTTGGGATTTGTTTCAATCACTGCTGCTTGGTATTAAACCTTGCTAATGATTGCTAATCCTTCCTGTATGTCTCAAATTCAATTTACCAAAAAGAGAAGATTCTGTTGGTGGAAAAGTCATCATAGTGGGTGAAACATTTGTATTTTATTAAAGTTTAATTACTTTTTAAAATCAGACCATCTCAATGGCCTGATGACAATCTCCAGTCCAGCATTTTTAGCCAAGGGAGGGTATGATGACCAGTCACTGTGTGTAATAACTCACCATTAGTTATGACTATAACATCTAACCTGACTTTCCTAGACTACTCTGCACAATAATTCAATTCACTGATAAATACAGGAAAGATTCAGGCCAAATGAGATATGTTCACAGTTTTAAAATCTTTATTCATTGAATTATTGGAGATAAATGAAATTAAAAAATCTTTATGGTTATTTAAGTCTTATGACAACTTTGTTCAACATCAACAATTTATCCAAATCTGGTGCAATAGAATAATCAGAATTATTACAGATAGCAAACAGAATGCTTCAAAGATATTATTTATCATTCAAACATAATATAATTCCCTATTCTATTTGAGTTCCAAATTCTTTAACATCATAGTTTTGTTGGTTCCATTAATTCAATATGAATTGAAGCCAACTGATCCATGCTGCTAGCAATTTTAAATATTTCATATTCACAAATGAGCATTCCAGTTAAAATAACCATTTTCTGTTGCTATTTTAAACTCCAAACTAGATGTTAAATCAGTGTATGCTATAATAATAAAACTTAGAAATATATAAATATGGGTATATTCTATATGGTAAGGAATTTTCTCACTGGAAAAATTATTTTGATAAGGTATAACTAAATCAGTTAGATAAAGCATTATTTCAAAAGTATGCCTCACTTTCTCAAACTGTGAGGTTAAGAAGTTGGACTATATGAATTATAAGGGTTATTTTAACTCTAAGAACCAAAAAGAAGAAAAGGAAAGAAGGAAAGTGAAAGGAAGGAAAGAAAACAACAAAAGGAGACAGAGATACAGTGTTTTTCCCTCTAGTTATTTGAGGTAGGTTTTATTTGATAGTTCGAAAGACAATATGATGAAAACCAAGAAAGCAATATTCATGTGAATTCCAGTGTTGTATTTTTTTCTTTACGGTATTTTTGTTAATGGAAAAAAGATGATTATTGTTGTTGTAGAGACACTGCCCACGGACTTCAACATATACCTCAGAAAACCCTGGGATCAGGACACAGACGTGCCATTTGCAAAACAAAATCTGACTGTAACTACAATTTATATTTGTTTCTAATAAACGGCATCATGAAATACATATAAACAAACTCATAGCTTAGTCATTGAGAGGTACTTTGAAAACAGGAGGGAATGCCATAGAGTTTAATTTGTTTTGAAGATACTTGTAACTCAGATAACCCACGAAGAAAATGTGGTTTTGGGGTTAAGAACATGTATATTTTAGTTGTAATTAGCTACACTGGAAAAACTCTGACTTTAAAAGAACTATGCCCCTCAATTGACCTAGAGTTTCTGTAAATGTTTGCCACATCCATGGCATTCCATAGAGGGTTTATGCTTTGCTGGATGTAATCCCTGGTAACAGACTCATGGTTTCTCCCAGTGCCAGTAGCTGACGACCCTAAATAATATATAACCCCGAATTCTAAGCTATATTTTTTCCATTAAGTTTGTAGGACAAACATATATCAGAACAAAGAGAAAGTATGGGGTTTAGACAGCATGATATATTTTTTAGTTATCCAAGCCATTTGTGATTGATACATGTCCAGCAGCTGTCTTTTAATATAAAATACAATTTAAACCTTAGAAAGCTATTAACCAAAGAGCCATGATTTGCATTAAATACAGTTATTCTATTCAGGGACGTAAAGTCACATTTATAGAATAGACTTGATCCCTTGTAAATGTAGGTTGTAAATATTTGGACATTTAATTAATTAATGTGTTTTGCCTAATTTTTATAAGCTACTGTGATGCACGTTACCACAGAATTTTTTTCTTTAAGTCATTAGTTCGAAATAAATATGAACTCTGTTGTATAATTTCTTTCTTCTATTTACCAACTGTCCTTAACAACTGGATTTTAGAAAATTCAAGCCACTCACACAATTAGGCAGGTTAAAGCCACAGGAAACTTAATAATAACCTGAGTGATGACAACATTAACCAGCAGTTATCAGCATCAATGGCATTGAGCTATACCCATGGGGAATCCATTTTTCCAAATGTTACATAGACTATTTAACACTTTCCCAGATGACAACAGATAAATGATGAGTGACTTTTATTGTTATTTACTACATGTGTAGAGTATATATATTCACATATATATATACACACACATATATATAGACAGAAACTAAAAACTCAGTTTTCAGTGATTGTAATTGCCTATACATACATAGTAAATATATATATATAGACACTGAAAACAGTTTTATATTAATATTAATAAATGTATTTCATGTTTAGTTAATGAAGAGCTGATATCAACTATACAGATTTCTCTTTCAAATACATAAAGAATTAATTAAAAATAACATAAAACTCCAGTTACAGTAATTAGTTATTGTGCTTTTTATTTTATAAGTTATTGCCAAATGCCCAATTTATTTATGTTATCTTTGGCTGCTATGACTCAGACAATAAAGATGATGACAGTATTTTCTGGGATTAATATTTATACTTTAAAGGGCAAATCTCTAATGTTTCCACAGAATAATAACCTTGAGAACTTATAAAAATAGAGCTAGAAACCCCATCTGCAGATGTTCTACACTTTTGTGGGTCTGGCTGAAGTGCCACGCTAGAAGCTGACCAGTAACCTCCCCTTCCCCAGTGTGAATCTGCTGAAAATGCTCCAGGTGGGGGTCAAAATGGGGGGATCATGGAAAACATTGGAAGTATCAACATTTAATTTAATAAAATAATTAAATCATTGATATATCATTTCAACCACTAATTTAATAGAGATGTATTAAATACTTGTGATCAGTAGCTCAGTAAAGGTTCTATATTTCTGCAATGTTTCTGTTGTAAGAGAACAAAGGGTGTAACCTCCTTATCTTGGATTAAAACCCAGAGGTAGGGTAGATTTACTTAAGACAGAGCTAGTTATCTCCAAACCCCAAAACGTTACTTTAGTGAATAAATTTCTGATTTTATTTCAGACTTCTTAGATATGAACTACAAATTCTCGTTTTGCCTCCATAGATATGTATTAAGACTTTGAATATTAAGTTAAGCGAGTAATTAGCTAACTAGAGCTTGAAGATAGCTTGTTTGGCTTTGGCCTTTAGATATATTTCTCTTTACTCTTCATTATACAAAAAGGCTCCTTCATCCAGGAAAATAGACAAGAAATATCAGATATTTGCTTATTATAAAGACTCTTCAATGTTTTGCATTAAAACACCCCAAAACCCTAAATTCTCATATCACCTTCTTCATTTTGCTTATCTTTTTAAAATTAAAAGACATTAGCGGTATGGTCTCTATAGAGAGACTAGAAGATTCAATGTGATGTTTTAAATATATTAGACTAGAATAATATTCTGAAGAACAGAGAGGGAAGAACTGGGCTATTTTTAAAGCAAACAAAAAATACCCAAAAACTATACAAAGGAAAGAAAGAAAGAAAACCAAAAGGAAAAAGAAAAGTCTACTAAATTTTGTACATTTTCTAGCCATGCTAAAGAAAAAGACAAATTGTATTAAATTTTTATTTAATAAAATCCTTAATAATGCCAGTCACAAAAATGTATGTAAATACCCATCTGTCATTTTAAGTGAGGATAAATCCTTTCTTTTTACCTGTGATATTCAGGAAATTATTTTGCCTCATCTATTGAGGGAAGATCTCTCTTAAAATATTGTGGATTTTGTTCTTCTTGTGTTAATAATTTCCTGGTTTCAGACTAGCTGATTTCTTAATAACAACTTTAACACATTATTCCTTATCTGAGCATTAGAAACAAAATATGGATATGCAGAGACATGGAACTATCCAACCTATTGCATTTACTAAGGATGGGAAAGCACTGGAGGGAGCTAATTGAGTCCATGCTGAGTAATTATCAATGGAAATGAGTTTGGCCATTTTCTTTTGCACTGGGAAATTTAAACAAAATTGTTGAGTAGACATTGATACTGTATTTGTGCATTCATTAAAGTACAAAAGCTTCTCATTTTAATTCATAGGACATGAATTAGAAGAAAGAAAGGATTACACAGAAATACCATGCAGCATAAATGCATTCATGGGGTGGATAAATTTTCTTTAAGTAGAACCAGATTTGCAAAGGAATCTCCATATCCTCAAAGTTCCTCTTCAAAGGATTTGACCATTTTTGGATGAGAGAACCAATCCTTGACCGAACATGATTAGGGATAGCATCAGTTAGTAATTTCTTAATGAACAACTTATTTGATGGCATAATGTATAGATTATAATTGCCAATTGATTATTTATCTTATAGACATGTAGCTGCAATAATGGTTTACCTTTATTTTAACTGCGCTCTTGTTCTTAAAAATAACAATTGCTTTTTAAATCTAAAGCCATAGTATTAAAGTTGCTTTTAAAAATGTTGCTGTCCATTAGATTCACATTTTTTGGATCATAATATTGTGTAAGCATAAATGCATTCAATTTAAAAGCTATCTATAATTAAATGCATGTTATATTCTTCCTCTTAGAGGAAAATACAGGTACTACCTAAAACATGGTTATGCAAATAGCACTTTCTGAGAAAACGCCTTGGACTACATAAAAAGAATATCATATAAAATATACGTTTAGAATAATGTATTCTAAGCCCAATGCTGTTTTCAAAATGAGGGCACTGCAGAGGTAGCAGCCTCTTTCTCTGTGAATATTCCCCAGAGGAGAAACATTTTAATATTTTTGCACTGAACAAGGTGACTTGAAGTTTTTTAAAACTATAAAAATATTTTGAGGGTTAAGGCATGGGTGTGAAACTTAGGTAAAGTAGTGGCATGGCTCGTCCTTTGATTCTTGCCTTTCCACCATCCAGTGGCCTGGGCTCTGCTCCAAACATGCTTCCCATGCTAGATTTTACCTCTGCTTGTGCTACTTATCCAGTACCATATCTAGCCTCATTAAGAGCCAGGGTGAAGTATTTCCCAGTGAGAAAACATAGCAGACCTGAAACTTATTTCTGGCACCATCACCCCTCAATGCAAATCTGGAGATCAAGGAATGGGCCTGAGAATGACTCTACATGGTTTGGTTGACACTACCCCCTCTCAAATCTCTCCTTGTCTTATCCTAATTTGAGTATACATTGGGACTGCATGCCTTGGGGAAGTATATTGATGCTCTTGATAAATAGGGATAAAGAAGTATCTTATGGTTTAAGGACAAATGTGAGCAGCTACATGCTTAGTTGGGTGGTAAAGGAGGCAAAGGGAAGATGCAGAATATTTGCTATACTCTAGAATCTTTCTATTTCCTAGCATTTTGTAAGATTTTTTATTAAGACAGAAACTTTTTGTGTGTGTGTGAGTCTGTTCTTTCTCTTTATATTTTTCGAAATAAGCATTCTAGTCACAGATTTGGACAAACCAGCCCTTGGTCACAGATATTCATATACAGACCAGATAGAAGCATTATCATTTTTCTTTGTCTTTTACATTTTTAATGTGGATTATAAAATTCTAGTCCTAAATTGCAGCTACGTAAATTGTCACTGTGTCTCAGTTTAATTTGGCTAGCATGTATTTGCTTGTCAGCTAATTTGCCAAGTACTGTGATAGACTCAAGTAGAAAAGTGTGATAGAATCAAGTAGAAAAGTCTCGTTTTCATGACTTTTGTAGTCCAAAATACCACAAGTCCTAAGCAACCATAATGAAAGGAAATATATAGTAACCATTCCCCCAACATATTGTGTACTAGGTGCTGAAAACACAAAGGTAGAAAATATATATCCCAGTCCTTTGGGGCCATGGGAATGTGTACTCAAAAACCTAAGATATTAGCCTAACTGCCTTGAGACCCAGGTATTCTTATAAGCTAAGGATTTTAATAAAATCTTATACATAGCTTTTTTTAAATTCTAAGATCATCTCCTACTTTTCTTCAGGTTATATTTGTTTGCATGTGTGCAGTGATGGTGATAAGAAGATGGTGGATGATTTTACTGCTTTTATTTTATTCTTATCAAGAAAAATAAAAGTGGACAACCCCACATCTGTTCCTTAAACAAAACAAAAAATGTATACATAATATAAAATACATGTACATATTTAAACAGGACCTTGAAAGAGGGATAGAACATGGCCCTTGAGAGATGTCATAAAATGGGGGAAGCATATTCCTGATGAATTGAATCACATGAACAGTGGTAAAGAATTGGAAAAGAACAGGGAATGATTAGACAATAAATGAATCTGGCTGAAAATCTGGCAGGTTGACAAGAACTATATATCTAACAGATAATAGATAATTTCTGTAAGTTATTATTTGCTATATGAAAGGGTATGTGCCAAGACTTTCTATAGATATTAGATCGTTTAATGCTCACCACAATATTATATACTAATTATTATGGAAATTGTACTGTTGAAGAACTTGGGGCTCAGAACTTCATTATAGACCTTGCTCTCCACTTCAATTGCAATTGGCCAGAAAGGTGAGGGGCCAAATATGGAAGGACCTGGCACTTTTTTATTTTGATAGTGTGAATTTATTGAAAGGCTGATAGTCTGTTTGCTTTTATTCTTTGAAAGGAAATTAATATTTAATTTATCTCCAACCTCACACACTATGATAAAGCCAAGTTACTTTAGTGCATCTACCATTTGATAATATGAATATTATGATTAATGCTTAATAATAGCATTTTTTGGTTTATAAAAGAATGCCAGATAATGTCTTTTTGGGCAACTCTTCTTTCTCCAACCTACTTGGAAATGCCAGAGAGGCTTCTCTTCTCTAGCTGCAGTATTTCCTACACGACATCATTCAATTTGATGTTTTAATATACAATATAACTGTATATTGCTCTCAAATTTATATTTCTAGGCTTAACCTCTCACCTGAACTTCATTATATTTAACTGGCTCATTGACATGTTCACTTGAATATCTAAGAAGCACTTCGTACCTTGGATAGTCCATATTTTTCAAATTAGATTGCCTGTCAATCATCATTATTAAACAAGACACTCTGTTTCCACTCAGTTTAACCGTTCTGTTTTAATATATTAATTTCCTCTCCATACTTATATCTGTTTCTAGGCCTTTCTTCTTTTCCTGTTTCTAAGTCACTATCCTATTTTAATTTTGCAATAGATTCACAGTTTCTGGTTTGGAAGACAGCCATTCTAAGATGATCAAGGGCATTGACTCTTGCCCTTGTATATTTCCCTCCATTTAAATTGTATAAAACATGTGAAGATAAAGAGATATTACTCCATGGTTATGTTATCTTACACAGTATACGTGACTTTAAGAAAGGGAGATTATTCCAGATGGACATAGCCTTGTCACATGAGCTCATTGAAAGCTGAGAGTTTTCTCCGGCCTGTGGCGAAAAAGAGAAATTTAAGACATAAAGAGTACTTGGAAAATTATATAATCATGTAGGATACTTTGGAAGAAGAGAGGATTTAATGGCAGTAGGAAGAACAGTTAGGAACTTATTTCCAAAGTCAAGGGCAGAGTAAAATGGAAAAAAACTATATTTTAAGAAGTACCATAAAGGTAAAACTGACAGAATTTTGAAAGTAATTGAAGTTGTAGGTAGGGGTGGATGAATTCAAGCTGACTTTGAGGTTTTAAATATAGATGATATGTCATTGTTAATTAACAAATACAGGGAAAAGCTTGGGTCATAGGAAATAGGCAGAAGTTAGTTAATTTGGATATGACTTATTGAGTTTATAATCCTGGAGAAAAATCTAGGTGAAAGCAATTTGACTGTTACAAATAAGAATCTCATAGTACAGTCAAGGATGAATCAGTCTGGGAATTTAGAGTCTTGGGTTATTTCTACCCTTTCCTTTGCCATGGACTAGCTGTTTGATCTTGAAGAAACAGGTGAACTGTCCTGAGCTTCAGTTTCCTCATATACTGAGACAAGACAGTCAATTGAATTCACCAGACATTTATTGAGCCTCTACCACGTGGAACATACTGTTCTAGGAATTACAGAAAATAAAACTGAAGTGATCTGAAAGGCATCAAAAAAGGACTATGATTAATTTTGCTAGATGAAGACGAGTGGCTGAGTTTAAGAGACACCCAGATGGGCAGGATCAGAACTCATGATCCACTGAAATGGTCCTGTGAAATGGAGATTTACCTCCTAATGCAAAAATTCCAATACATTTTTCTCCAGCTCTAAAAAAAAAAAATTTAACTGGGTTTTATTTCTTACCGGATAAAATCTAAACTCCGAAGCATTGAGTACAAGATCATTTATGATCTTTCCTGCCTTCTTTCCCAGATACTGCTTCTACTTTCTACTCTAAAATTTGTACATGTTATTTCTTTTGTCTAGAATACTTTTCCTCACCATGATGTTGCTTGCTTAATGAGTGGCTGTCAAAACTTCAAGAACTTCCCTGACCTCCATGGTATTATTCATCTATGCTCACGCATACTCTTTTTTTTTTTTGTCTTGAAATATGACCTTCATTTGTTGGAGTTAAAATATTATTATTGGTTCAAATTTCCTTTCCTCATTAGGTAGACATTCTTGAAGACAAGGTTCATTTCACACTTTAATGTTTTCATAAAATATTCAGTTTGAGTGTGTCCATCTTGGCATTGACTTTACCAGCAGTTCTGAGCTCAAACCAGGTCTTCATCAAATAACTACTAAATAACTCTTGCTGCAGATAGATCCATGTCAATTTTCTGAAATGCTATCCCTCTAAATTCTAAATACATTTCTAAATTGAAACAATCACTTTCTATTTCAAGTACAGCAGAGAAAGAGCTTATCTAAAACAAAATTTCACATAGATATCAACTAATTCTTTTGGAAGCTAAAGGAGATTTTAATCTTTTATCTAAAAGGCATTTTACTCTCATACCTATATAAATTTTTAGAAAAAAATGCATTCAATTAATTCTATAATCAAATGCCCACTTGTAAGCCTGCATCCCAATTTGTTTCAATCTCAATTTAGGACCTTCCTCTGCTAGCACATTTATAGAACTGGGACATCTGCTACTATTGGACACTCAGGCCCATGTAAGAGCCAGCTGCAGCATTCATTATTTATTTGAACAGCTTGTTGATTTGTAAGTCTTTAAAAATTCTCCTGCTAAGCACCAATGTGAGATTTTATTTTCTTTTATATTTTCCTTTTTTGGACATATAGAAGTTTCTATGAACAGGGTCTGAGTAATTAAGCTAACAGGAAGAAATCTCTGAAACAATGTCATCCACCCTATAGTCATATATAAATTGGATAAAGTGAAAAGATAGTATTGTTTCGTGCTCTGCAAGATACTTATTAAAGTATCCACCTTAAAGATGAAAAAACCCTGAATATTTTTACTTCCACAAGTACTCATTAGTATGTCAGTTAGTGTAATTGATACATACAGAACATGCATGACCAAGTGGCAAGCAAAATTTTGACAGGTAAATTTTCACAATTTGTTATTTTCTAATTGGTTCCTACAAATTTCATTACAAAAGTGAAATTATTTTAAAATCCTAGATATTTTAAATGTTAAAATTTTAAGAATTAAATCCAAAAATATTTTTGAAACTGAATATATTCTTTTATTTCCTAAAATGGTCATGATGGGGTTTTTTGGTTGCCATTAATGAGGTACAAATGAAAAATAAATTGATGTTCAAAGTGGATTATATATATATTCCTCATAATTTTTCAGAATGTTCAACAAGGGCTAAAAAAAAAGACATCTGAGAATTTTATCTAAAACTTCACACACACAATAAAAATGAAAAAGCACTAAAGAAATCTTTCAGAATAGTGTGTTGTCATATAAATGCCTACTTATTTCTAACACAGTCACTTTTGTTAATTAGCTAAATGTTATTTTCTGAAATAATCTCTTCGATGGTTGATTTGTGTGGATGGCACACAGCATATTTCTGGTTATTTTACTAGAATGAGTACCACGTATTTTAAACCATGAATTTCCAATTATATGTAAAGAATGATATTTATTAACATTAACACTGTTTAAACAATGCTACAGTATTGTATAGTCAAATTAGGGATTCATTTTTATCTCATTATGAAAATAATACATGATCATTATAAAAGATTTAGAAAATAGAGCCTCCATCAAGGAGAACACAAAAAGAGTCACATTTTTCCCAAATAGCATTTACATACTTTTTCCTAGCTTCCTGAAGGTTTAATTGACAAATAAAAATTGTATATATTTATGGTGAAAAATGTGAAGTTTTCCTATATGTATACATTGTTTAATAATTAAATCAAGATGATTAACATATCCATCACCTCACGTACTTCTCTTTGTTAAATGAAAACATTTGGGATCTATGCTCTTAGCAATTTTGAAGTATATGATATATTATTATTGATTATAGTCACCATGTTGTACAATGGATCTCCGGAACCTACTCTTTCTGTCTGGAAGTTTGTACCCTTTGACCAGTATCTCCTCATTCCTTGTTCTCCTTCCTTAGCAAGTGATTTTTATAGGTTGATTTCATAATCTGCACCTTTACTGTTATTCTAACAGTTTTTTTTTTGGTGAAATCTTAAATGATTTCTATATACAAGATTATGTCATCTGCAGTTAGACACAATTTAACTTCTTCCTTTCCTATTTGGATGCCTTTTATTTCTTTCTCTTGCTTAATTGCTCTGGCTAAGACTTCTAATACTATGTTGAATAGGAGTGGTAAGTGTGTGCATCCTTGCCTTGTTCCTGATCTTAGAAGAAAAACTTTCAACCTTTAACTATTGAGTACAATGTTAACTGTGGTACATATATGGCTTTTATTATGTTGAGGGACATTCCTTTTGTATCTAAAATGTTGACAGTTTTTATGATGAAAGAATGTTGCCTTTCATCAAATGCTTTTTCTGCATCAGTTGAAATGATACAGTTTTTGTCCTTCATTCTGTTAATGTGATGTATCTCATTTTTAATATGCATATGTTGAAACATTCTTGCATCCCATAAATAGATCCCACTTGATCATGATGATTATTCCTTTAAATATGCTATTAAATTCGGTTTGGTAGTATTTTGTTGAGAATTTTACATTTATGTTCATCAGGAATATTGCCCTGCAATTTTCTTTCCTTGTAGTGTCCTTATCTGGTGTTAGTATCAGTTTAATGCTGGACTCATAAAATGAATTTGGAAGTAGTCTCTGATCTTTAACTGTTTTGTTAAAGTTTGAGCACAAGTTGTATTCATTCTTCTTTAAATATTTGGTAGAATTCACCTGTGAAGTGAAAGCCAGTATGCTACTGGGCTTTAATTTGATAAGATGTATTTTGTTACTTATTCAATCCCCTTACTCATTATTGGTCTGCTCATACTTTCTATTTCTGCATAATTCAGTCTTGGTAGGTTACATGTTCTAGGAATTTATCCATTCTTCTAGGCTATCCAATTTATTGGTATATAATTGTTCATGGTAATCTCTGATAATCCTTTGTATTTCTGTACATAGTAGACAGGATCATTTATAGGTCTCCTCTTTCATTTCTGATTTTGTTTATTTGAGTCTTGTTTTCTTTCTCTTAGTCTAGTTACAGGTTGATCAGTTTTGTTTATGTGTTCAAAAAGCAACTTTTAGTTTCATTGATCTGTTCTATTATTTTTCCAGTCTGTATTTTATTTATTTTTCCTCTCATCTCTGTTATTTTCTTTCCTTGCTAACTGTGGGCTTAGTTTGGTTTTCTTCTAGTTCCTTGGGTGTAAATTTTTTTTATTTGAGAGCTTTCTTCTTTTTGAACGTAGTCATTTATTGCTATAAACTACCCTCTTAGAACTGCCTTTGCTGTACCCTGTAAGTTTTGGGTTGTTGCATTTTCATGTTCATTTATCTCTACATAGTTTTTAAAACTTCCTTTTTGATTTCTTCTTGACCCATTGGTTGTTCAGGATCATGTTGTTTAGTTTCTACGTACTTGTGAATTGTCCAAAATGCCTTCTGTTATTTATTTCTAGTTTTATACCATAGTGTCCAGAAAAGTTACATGATATGATTTCTGTCTTCTTAATGTGTTAAGATTCATTTTGTGGCTTAACATATGATCTATCCTGGAAAATGTTTTGTATGCACCTGAGAAGAATCTTTATTATGCTGCTGTTGGATGCAAGGCATTGTATGTCTGATCTGTTAGGTCCATTTGATCTAAAGTATAGCTCAAGTCTGCTGTTTCCTCATTGACTTTCTGTTTGTATTACCTGTGTGTTATTCAAAGTAGGATTTTGAAGTCTCCTACTACTGTGGTATTACTATCTATCTCTCCCTTCAGATTTATTAATATTTGCTTTATATATTTAGGTGCTCCAATGTTGCATACATGTCTATTTATAATTATTATTTCTTCTAAATTAATTGACCCCTTTGTCAGTGTGTAATAACCTTCTTTTTTTTTTTTAGTTTTTTCACTATTTCTATTACCTCTATTAGTGACAGCTAATAGAAATATAGCTCTCTCTACTCTCACTTGATTTCCATTTGTATGGAATGTCTTTTGCCATACCCTCACTCTTAGTCCATGTGTGTCCTTACAGATGAACTGAGACTTTTGTAGACAGCATATATTTGAGTCTTGTTTTTTGTTTTTTTTAATTCATTCGGCCACTCTGTTTTTGATTGGAGATTTTAATTCATTTACATTCAGTATAATTATTGCTAAGTAAGGATTTATTCCTGCCATTTTGTTAATTTTTCTTGGTTGTTTTGTAGAACTTTTCTTTTTCTCTGTTATCTTTCTCTGTGGTTTAATGAGTTTCTATAATGGTATTTTCTTCATCTTTTTTGTATCTGCTATAAGGTTTTGCTTTGTGATTATTATAAGGCTTACATTAAACATCTTATAGTTATAATAGGCTATTTTAAGCTGATAACAACTTAACTTGGATTGTATAAAAAACACTACACTTTTACTTCCACCACCATATTTGATGTTTCTGATGTCACAACTCATATCTTTTTTATTGTGTCTTAAATTATTATATAGTTATTTTTAATAATTTTTAACCTTTATACTTGAAATGTTACTAATTTATACACCACCATTACAGTATTATGGTAGTCTTAATTTGACTATGTACTTCCATTTCTCAGTGAGTATTATATTTTCATATGTTTTTATGTTACTAATTAGCATCCTTTTGTTTCAACTTGAAGAATTTCCTTTGGCATTTCTTATAAGGCAGGTCTAGTGGTGATAAACTCACTTGGCTTTTCTGTCTAGTAAAGTCTTTTCTTCCTTTTTGAATGGCAATTATGCCTAGTAAACTATGCTTATGGGGCAGTTTTTTGTTTGTTTTTTGGTTTTCTTACAGAACTTTGGCTATATCATCAACTCTCTCTCTGGCCTGCAAAATTTTTGCTAAGAACTCCACAGGTAGCCTTGTCACGTCCCCTTGTGTGTGAGAATACTTTTTCTCTTGCTGCTCTCAAGATTCTCTCTTCATATTTGGTTTTTAACAGTTTGATTTTATGTCTTGATAAAGTTAGACTTTTTAGGTTGAATCCGATTGGATACCTGTGAACTTCTTATACCTAGATCTTTATATCATTTTATAGATTTGGAAAGCTTTAAACAATTATTTCCTTAAATAAACTTTCTGTCCTCTTCTTGTACTCTTTTTCTTCTTGAATCCTATAATACAAATGTTAGCTGTCTTGATGTTGTCCCATAAATTTTGTAAGATTTCTTAATTCCTTTTTAGTCTCTTTTCCTTTTTTTCCCCTCTGATTAAATATTTTCCAATTACCTGTCTTCAAGTTTATAGGTTCTTTCCTCTGCTTGATCAATTCTGCTACTGACAATTCCTATTTGCATTTTTCATTGTATTCATTATATTCTTCATCTACAGAATTTCTGTGTGGTTCCTTTGTATGATTTCAGTTTCTCAGTTAAATTTTGTTCATGTATTATTTTCTCGATTTCGTTGAGTTGTCTCTCTGTGTGTCCTTATGATTTGCTGAGGTTTCTTTAAATAATTATTTTGAATTACTTCTCAGAAAATGTATAGATCTCCATTTTTGTGTGTGTGTCAGTTACTGGAAAGTTACTGTTATTTTGGTGGTGTTATGTTTCTTTGGTTTTTCATGATTTTTTGTTGCCTTGCATTGATGTCTGCAAATGTGATGGAGTAATAATCTCTTCTGTACTTTAAGATTTGTTTTCAGTGGGAAAAGACATTCCCCTAACGTCAGATGAGAGGGCTCCAACTGGGTGGAAAGTGGTAGTTCTGGCTTGAGGTGAGGTTGCAACAATGTAGTCTCTGTTTAGCTCTGTCAGCTAAGGTTGGTGTTGGCAAAGATTGCAGAGATCCTCCGAGGAGGCCAAGGCTGTGGATATCCTTAGTGGTGGCAAGGGCTGTGGGGTTGTTCAGTGACAAATGCTGCTCCGTCCTCTTAATCTATTTTTCTCCAACCAGTGAAGCCATGGCCAAGGGCATCCCTCTTTGCTGCTGGCCCAGCTTCCAGGTGTGCTTGTGGTGAGGTGGGTACATACAACGTGGCTGATGCTCTAGGGTCAAGGGTTTGCACAGGGTCGAGAGGGTTGAGTGATCTGGTCCCTGGGGCAGCATAACATTAACTCCATCTGGTGGAGAGGGCAGTAGCATCTCCCTCTCCTAGGGTCAATGGTGTGGTTTGTTGTCTCAGTACTGAAAGATGCTAGTGTCCTTTGCTGAGAAGGCTACTGTGCATGTCAGCTGTATTCACCACTGATATCTCTTGCACTTCCTCCTTCCTAACCATTTCCACATCTCAAGTATGCTGGTCTCCCCAGCAGTCCTTTCTGTGTGAATATTCTCCTTTTTTTTTTTTTTTCTCCTTACTGTGTTGCCGCAAGTTCTTAAAGGGATCCTTGAGCCCTTCCAAGACTATTATCATTCATGGATAAATATTTTTATTGTCGGGGGTGCGGGGAGAAGAAGGTTTGTATCTCCTACTCCCTTGCTGATGTCACTCTGTAGTACACATATCTTTAATAATGTGATCATGTAGTACATATGCTATTGAAAATTTTTTTCAGTTAACATATATTAAACGCTTTCCCATGCAACTTATAACCTCCTGTGATATATTATTTTTTATGCATGCATGCTATTTAATCATGAAGATGAACTATAGTTTATATAATGAGATCTCTATATTTGATTGTTTGTTTATAGATATTTGCTATAATAAATAAGTCAGAAGAGAACATTTAAAAAATATATATTTTTTACATTTCATGATAAAATCCTTATTATATATTGTTGTAAAGGACAAAGGGAACACCCTTTCTAAGATGTTAATACTTACAGTTGATTTGCTCACCCAAAATTTTCCACCAGTTTTCTATCTATTGATTGCTATAAATTGCTGTATACTTTTATGATTCCTTTAGCAAATATATGTTAACTGTAGAAAAAATCTTAAATGTCTTCAATAGAAATATTACCCAAATATAACAAAAAAATCAGAACTCTCCCAATCTCACTACTTGACTGTATAAATAAGAAAGTTATTAACAATTAATGTCCCCACAAGAATTATAAGATTGTATTATTTTTTCCCAACCTAACTTGGAGATTTTCTGTTTGCTTTTTACCCAGTCTTTTTTTAAATTATAAATTGAATATATTTTTTCCATTTAATTTTTTCCTTTACAAACTTTGAAATTACATCTTATTTTTTTCCTCTTAAAGATTATTATAGAAAAATGTATTTTAACCCGAACCTAAATTAAATCTATATATTTACTGTTTTTCCAAAGAAGGCAAATATTATAGAGTGTGATAACAATTATTTTCCCTCTCTTGACACAAGCGTTCTTTCCCAGTATTTTATTGCCACTGTTCCATGTAACAAAAATTGACTATTTATGCACACATTTACCAATTTCTCAGCTTACTGTTCTTCTTGTATCCCCAACATTTGTTTTAGTTATTTCTAAAATTTCCAATTCAAATATGTATATACTGTGAATCTTCCAGATTTGGTTTTTGTTTCCTTTATTCTGCAAGTGTTGTAGTTTTTTCACATAATTTCCTTTTTTTGTTGTTCCTTTATCATCATCCATGAGGTAAGAACTGTGCAGACTCTGATTCTCAGAAAAGACGGTTAATTATTAATAATTGTCAGCATCCCCTACTTTTGTGAAGGTCAAATCTCAGCTATACAGAAAGGACCAAATTAATTTGCACAGCTCTCAATCATGTTCTGGATTGAAATAAAGTTTTCTTATGTATATATCTTTTAAACTAAAATCATATTTTTTATCCTTCACTCACCAGCCCCAATCTGTGCATTTTTGCCAGGTATAAAATATCAGTTAATACATGCAAAGTGAAATTTTCTAGAGTTCTACCAGAATTATTTGCATATCTGGTTCAACCTATTTCAGGCAAATAAATTATATTCTTCCACGTTTTATTTTTCTATATATTTTGAACAATATAAAACGATTCAAAAATGTATGTGTGAGATGCCTTTTCATATATTTTCTTGCATTTCTTTTTATATTTCATTGAACATTTTCATGATGGTGTGGTGATGTGTAGCAATGGAGAGCATAGCTAATTACTTCATCATATTTCTTGGAAGTCCTCAAACTAAGATTTTGTTAGTAATTTCTGAGGTATCATATTTAGTAGTGGAGCTACTAAAGTAAATAGCATTCTTATTTTATTTTCTCTCTTGTCTTTTCTCTCTTCTCTTCTAATCTTCTTCCAGGCTTTTGGATATGTTATTCTTCAAAGTTATATAATTTTTATTTCTCAACATATTATTGCTCATGTATGGAATCTATCAATTTTCATAGTTTCAATAGCTACCTCTTTCTCAGAATTCCCAGTTCTGTAATCCAGCCATAATATATACTGTGAGCTTCAATTCTACCCCTTCAGAGTCTTGTCAAATATCTCCATTAACTTATTTATTTTGCTATTTCTCAACTTTAAGATACCCAAACTCTAATTCTCTTATTTTTGCTCTACTTTAATGATTTTCATTTTCTACCATTTCCCATGTGTTTTATGGTGACCCTATTTTTCTCTATTCACAGGGTCAAAATATCAGAATTTCTTTGGTATTAAACTTTTGCTTGTACTCCAAAGACTTACTAATTCTGTATCTTCAATATCTTTTTGTTTTTAGTACTCACTTTTCTTTCCGTGCCATCATTGCTGTTTAGTCCATCATTATATTTCACTTACTAAGAAATAAAAGCCTTCATACTGGCTCCCATATTACTGTCCTCTTAAAGTCACCTTCAGGCATACTGTAACCCATTCTCTTTGTCATATATACTCTACTTTTCCACCTTCAAGTTTTTATTTACACTTCTTAAGCATAGTGACCCACAGAGCTAGACATATGCTGTAACTTGTAACACATACAAAAAATATTTGTAGAAATCATTACTACATATGTTGATTAATATTGAATAAGTTCTGTGGGTACATAGTTTTCAGCAAAACAGCCAAAGTGTAAGTAGACCTACATCATCCTGAAGGATAGAGACTATCATTTTTACTTTTGTTTCTTTCAAGTCTATGTACACAACAAGCTTACTGAAGTATTTTTCCAAGCCTGAGATCCTTCCTAGCTTTTCCCACCTCTTAGAATGGCCTTGAGGTGGAGCAGTGATAAAGAAGAGCAGTAACCAATTAGATATACCTTTTAGGCTTAAAAGAACTGTAGCTTCTTATGTAAGAGCAAGGGATTATCTCAGATCCTGAA
This sequence comes from Homo sapiens, assembly GCF_000001405.40. Classification (NCBI taxonomy): domain Eukaryota; kingdom Metazoa; phylum Chordata; class Mammalia; order Primates; family Hominidae; genus Homo; species Homo sapiens. The sequence continues at coordinate 11,915,072 of NC_000007.14, read as the reverse complement.
ATTATCTAGGTAAATAAATATTATTTGGTAATGATTGTTTTGGTTGCTTTGTGTTGCATGAAGTATGACTTTGGTTTATGATACAAAGACTGCTGGCAATCTGACATGAGACTTGCTATCAAATTGGACTGGTGTCTTTCTCGTCGAAAATGACCTTGCACTAGTTGATGGGGCTTTTTGCCCCTCTAGAGCTGGAAGCACATCAGTGTCCACTTGAATGGCAAATTGTGATAAAGTAGCAGGAGCACAATTGCATAGCATAATCACTGCAATTTTTTATTGAATTGAGCCCTTTGCTCTTTCTCTTCACAGAACAGTTTATTGAATGTGCTTGTGGAAAACAAAGGCCGTAAAGAAAAATACCCTTTTTTTTTATATATTGAGAATAGAAGAGAGAAAATGCGTCTACTTCAAGACTGCATTTCTTAAATGGAAGAACATTTTCAGGTGCAAGCGGACTCTTTAGAAATATCATAAAACTGTGTCACTCAAGGGCAATTCAGTGACTGATGAGGTTTCTATCTGGCAGCCTAGTCAGCTTGAACAATGGAAGTTTCTTATGTCCTTTATTTCAGGGAAATGGAGAAATTCTACTAGCTAATAAAATATTTTCATTAAAAGGTAGAAAAATGATCTTAACAGATGGCTAATGTTATATTTTATACATTCAATAATAAAGGATCTGTCAGCAGCAAGTTAAAGTTGTGTAATGTACATGAATGAATAGAAAAATAATTATTCAGAGTTTGAGGTAGAGCTTGACATTGGATATTTCTGTGTTTGAATAGTAACTTTAGTCTTGATGCCATTTGTCAAATTTAAAATAATCCTTACTAGCTTTTCTTAGCACTCTCAAACTTAGCAAACTTTATCAATAAAATCCTGAAACATTTTTCTTGTAGAGTCTTCATTTTTAAATGGGAACAATGTTGTTTATCACAAAATAGTTTGGTGAAATCTCTTGGTACTATAAATGCTTCCACTTCCAGACACTAGATTTTATTACTGTCATTTGTTTTTTATTTCTACTCTTTTCAAAAGATTATTTATTCCAATATAATTGACATTTTAATTGATACTATAATCTCAGATCATTCCATTTAAGAAATCTGTATTTCTGTCATATATTTTAAATATTCCTGAATAAAGTACAAAATAGAAGTGAATATCAAAGGTCTTGAGACTTTTACCCTTTTGTAAAATTTTATTTTTTCCTAGTATAATTTTTCTTAAGAAAAAATAGAAACACAAATTTTGAATTATTTTTTGTATTTTGAAAGTTTTATATTGTCCTTTAACACTAAATACTTTGATCACGTATTAACTGTTTTCCTAAAAGTTACCTAACACAAATATTATTTCATAAACCAGACTATTCCTGAGTATCTTCCAAGGCAAGGATCAGAAACAATATTACACTTCAAGCTTGGCAGTCTTAGTATATATTTCTTTCATAAAAATCCCATATTTTGGCCGAATAGGTTGAAAAGGCTAGCAGATATGTACTCTTGCTCATTCTCTGGGAATCCCCTATTGTCCATTTGAACTGCTCTTACTACTGATAAATGTAAATTGATAGATTTACGGCAACAGGGGCTACCAAGAAACTAACGTTTAGCCTTTTTTTTTTTTTTTGAGACAGAGTCTCACTCTGTCGCCCATGCTGGAGTGCAGTGGCACGATCTCGGCTCACTGCAAGCTCCGCCTCCTGGGTTCACGCCATTCTCCTGCCTCAGCGTCCCGAGTAGCTGGGACTACAGGCGCCCGCCACCACTCCTGGCTAATTTTTTTTTTTTTTTTTTTTTTTTGTATTTTTAGTAGAGACGCAGTTTCACCGTGTTAGCCAGGATGGTCTCGATCTCCTGACCTCGTGATCCACCTTGTCTCGGCCTCCCAAAGTGCTGGGATAACAGGCATAAGCCACCGCGCCTGGCCACGTTTAGCCACTTTTGAGTACCTAGTAAATGTCTTCCATATTTCTCTTTTATTGGCATTATATGTTTGCCAACTGGATAAAACAGTTTATCATTGAATATTCTGTAAAATAAAGAGTTTAAAAGGGGAGGATATTAAAAATAGCAGAAGATACTGTGAGTTTCAGTCATATGCTTCCCCAATCCCCTCTCTCCCAGGCCTTTCTGCCTTTATATAGTCATAAGTTTCTCACAATTTCATCTTTAAGTCTTCAGGACTAAGATCTTACTTGGGTCTAGGAATGTTTAGGTAAATTAAACATTCTAGATTATTTCTCTGAGTGTTCTCCGTCTTTAATTCAGTTAAATGAGTAATGTATGTGGAAAGGAATTAAGTGGTATTCAAAAAACGGTTTGTCATATGATAATATATAATTGATTACTCAGCTATTGATAGGGCTCACATCACATGAGGAAAAGTTGAAGTACTAAGATATATTTTATCTGTGTTGCTAAAGTATAACTATCAATTTTATTAAGTACTAGATTTTACATGTTTTCTATACCCAAATTTTATTAAGAAATATGCAAAAAAATGCAAAGCACTTTTTCAGGTGAGGGATACAAACAACTAAAATTTTTAAATAGACAAACCACAAAAAGAGAATAAAATTATTTTTTTCATTTTAATTAGTATTTTTCTATGTAACAGTCATCTTTTACCTGATTTTTGTACCATCTGGTGTATTAAAACTCCCTACTGGCTTATAAGCCCTAATTTGAAAAATAAGTACTAATAGATAATTTTCACATAATATCTCATATCTTTTCCTGTAAATCAATATAAATAAATCAGAAAACCGTGATTTATTGTCCATCCTGGCCCTTTGTATCAATCCTGCCCAGATTGTGTGGGATTCTTACTCTTCTGGTAGCTTGTTCCTTGGCTTCTGTTCCTAGCCTAGCTTCCTTCCATCACTGAGGCTTATTTCCTTCCAGCTAGCTCAGTTGCATTTCCAGCCAGGAAGGATACAGTTGCTGCAAATGCCTCTGCTGCTACTGTTCTGGCACTGATGGTCTCCTGCTGTTTTGGCATAAATGTTGCATTTACACACCGGGAATCCTTTATTTGGCATTTGAGAGAACTGTTATCATGGACATGATGAATTCATGAGCCGGAGTGTGTTTTTGCACTCACTTCTATTTTTCATTTATGTGGTATCTATTGTTATGGTGCCTCAAATAAGCATGATTTATCTTCACTGTGTTACTTATAGAGCATGATTTATCTTTACTGTGTTACTTATAGAGTACAATGTACTTTCAGGTATGCATTGCAGCAGATTTTGTGGTCCTATGTGGTTATGATGTTTTCCACTTTATATTTGTCCTTTTTTTCTTTTAACTATTTGTGTTCATGGTCAGATTTCTTCTTTAGAAGACACGTGCAATTGAAAAGCTCAGCCTTTGGGGAAGACATATCTGAGCTTAAAACTGAGCTCATTCCTTATTCTGTGACTGCAAAAGTTATTTCGTATATACCTACAATCTTGGTTTCATCTTGTATAAATGAAAATAATAGTATGTTTTTAGTAAAGTTATTACAATAATTAAACTAGATAATACATCTAATATATGCAGTACAGGGAAGATGTTAAAGAAATGTTAGCATCCCTTTTATGCCAGGACCTCATTTAATTTTCCAAATTAATTAGTGATAAGGAAGAAAACATGCTTATCAAAGTTGGTCCTTGGTAGATAATATTCCACGGAGATAAAATTGGTAGTAGATAAAATTCTACAGAGGTCAGTCATTCTAAACTGATTTTCTGAAGTTCCACAGCAAAAGCTAAGTACCCGGTTTTCTTGCAAAATTCATTTGAAGCTATAAAAATTGGGAATTTACCTGAAGTGGGATTGAATTTAACCAAGGCAAGGCTGATATTAAAGAGGTGCACAGCGAGCAGTTTTCTTGACAGCATGTTTTAAAGGGGGCCAAGAAATCTCACCTACTAAAAAAAATTCTTCCCAATAAATATGCCTCATTCTTATTCACTTCCTTAAAACTTGATAACATCTGACCTTGTTTTTGAAGGAGTAAATATTGCTCAAAAGGATACTATTAGGATGTTATTAGTAACTCATAGCATAATATAAATTGTTGCATTAGACTTTTCTTCTGTAGAAGGGGATTTGGGCAATAGGACTTTTGATTAAAGATTGGGGCACACATGAAAAGCATAATAAATTTTGGTAATTTTACAGATTTTTCTGGCCTAAGAAACATTCATATCGATAAGCTTCAGGCTTATGCTTTTTCCCACTAAGAAAACACACTAAAGTTTATCAAGAAGGCTGATTCATCCTGAAGCAAGTCTAAAGAGAGTAGTGGTTCATTGCTGTGTGTTTAAGCCATAATCCTATAGAATTTTAGTGATTTTCAAGGCCCAGCTGTGTGTAGACGAAAAAAAAAAATGCCCCCCAAAACATTCTTTATTTTGTACTTCATTTTGTAGCCAAAAGATAATGCTGTAAGTACGGTGACAATCTGTTAGACAGCCAATTCCATTATGCTTACGTTAGAAAATGAGGCTTATTCCTTTATTTACCCTGAGGCAAGGAATAGAGGAAGGCTTTCTGAATCTTGGAGAAATGGCTTTCCTCTAATCTTAGGGCCAGGGTGCAGACTTTGAGAATTAGGTCTCTTCAGTCATTATGAGTAATGTTCAAGTCACCATGGCACTTTGAGATATAGCCTGTGTGAGTGTAAGCCTAATATGTTTGAATAGACTGGAATTATGTAGAAAAAGGTAATTGGAGCTCTTGATTAGACATATTTGTTGCCTTTGAAAACTTCTTGGCTTCTTTTCAGGAAGCACCTTTGCAGCAGATTTAACAAGGCTTTTCTAGGCTACTAATTCACCAGACATTTTAGCCATTCTTGCCTAGTTCAATAAATATTACATGGGAATTGATGGGCATAAGTGAGGATTTTGATACAAACACTCTGTGGAATTAACTGCACAAAAGAATGAGGCTTCTTGGCTGGAAGAGCAGATTTCTGGTTGTATCTTGTAACTAGGACAAATTGCTTTTGTATTGAAGCATCCATATGGGTTTACATGAGTAGAATAATCAAAAAGAGGAAGACAACTTATGGAAGGTTGTCTTACTATTAGTCAGGGTAATAGAATCAATATCTATATATCTATATATTTACATACCTATATCTATATCTTAAGAGATTTATTTTAAGGAATGTCTTATACAATTATGGACTCTGACATGTCCCAAGATCTGTAGTTCAAAAGCTGAAGACCCAGGAAAAGCCAATGGTATAGTTCCAGTTTGAATACCTGCATACTGAAGATCCAGGAGGAGCCAATGTTTGAATTCAAATACAAAGGTAGGAAAGAAAAGATGTCCCAGCTTTAAATTATCAGACATGAGGAGTTCACTCTTACTCCTGGGAGAGCCAGCCATTTTGTTCTACTCAGGCCTTTGACTGATTGGATAGGGCCCACCCCTATTAAGGCGGGCAGTCTACTCTACTGAATCCATCCATTCAATGGTACTCTTATCCAGAATCACCCTCACAGACATACTAAGACTGTTTGACCAACTGTTTGGACATCCCATAATCCAAAGTGGCACATAACCTGTGCCATTACAAATGTTTAGCCAGGCTAACTTCAAATTCATGATTTTTTTTAACCCATTGGTTTACTAAGCTTGCAATTACAAACAACGAGCCCCAAATCTAATGAATAATGAAGCCTGCAGGGAGAAAGGAGTTGAGAACTTGTTTGCCTGCAGTAGAAGCAGTTGAATTACAGTAAGAAGAGTAAGAATAGTTTAAAATGCCTCCCAAAACATTCAAATGGTATAGATGTAGCAAGGGTTGGTGGGGCAATAGGAAACTCATGGGGGCTTTAGAAATTGGGTAAATCTGTCCCGTCTTGTAGGCTTTTACTTGAAAACTTCACTGGATACTCAGAAAAATTGGAAAGAACTCTAAGAAATATTGACTGTGATCTAACCTTAAGGAAAAGCAACAGCTGTGCAGTTAGATGCAAGAATCTCCTGGAGCCTTCTCCCCTTCAGAATGAAAGTTTTAATCTGTGGTTTAAGAACAAGTGCTGCTGCCATTAGAACATCAGTTGCCACTCAGAGAAGGAAGTAGAAGAAAAAAATTAACTTTTGGAGAGGAAGGACTACCTAGTGAACCCAAAACTAGGGTGAGGAGCAAGATAACTTATAAAAGATATACCCCAGAGACATGCTGCATATCTAAGATGAGGCTTAATCAGAAGAACAGGGACTAATATGTCCCCCTTCTCTCAAGGCACATCACTCCCCACTGCCAACCTAACATATTCAGAATACTGCTAGAGGATGACAGAACTAGAGCAAACATATAGACCCTCTCTAAGCACAGGGCAAAGAGAAGACCAAAATTCAAAATTGCTAATGTTTGCTCTGGTAGCCATTCCCACTCTAGGCACAAGTTATCTCTATAGGAGATTGGAGTGACAAAGAAAGCTTATTAAAGCTTTCTAAATTTAGACAAAAATTATAATGTCAAAAAAGTAAAGTACTTATAAATTAACAAAATACATGCAGAATGTATATGCCAAAATCTACAAATCATTGATTATAAAAATCAAAGATCTACATAAATGGTAATACATGGAGTGCTCATGGATTGGAAGATACGATGATTTCTAAGTAAGAATAAAGTCTTTGAAAATAGTTTCAATGCAATTCAAATCAAAACCCCAGCAGACTTTTTTCTTCTTTTTCTTTTTTGAGACAGAGTCTGGCTCTATTGCCCAGGCTGGAGTGCATGACCCAAACATAATTCACTGCAGACCCGACTTCCAGGGTTCGGGTGATCCTCCTGCCTTAAGCCTTAATTTTTTTCTTATAGATGTCAGTAAGCTTATTCTAAAGTTTATGTGCAAAGATGAAAGAACTAGAGTTTCAAAATTAATTTTGAAGAAAAACAAAGTTTGACTACTCACTACCCAATATCAAAATTTAATATAAAACTACAGTAATCAAGGCAATCCAGTGTAAGTAATGATTACATACACATTAATTGAACAAAATAGAGAGCTCAGAAATAAACCCACATAAATACAGTTAACTGATTTTGACAGAGGTGCAGAGGCAATTCAATGGATAAAAGCCTGTCAACAAATGATGTTAGAGCTACTGAACATTTATATACACAATGAGCAAGAAATTCATGACTTATACTGAAAGCTAATATATAATTAACAAAAAATAAATAATAGAGTTTAACGTAAAATGCAAAAATTATAAAACTCTGAGAAAAAATCGTGGGAGAAAATGTACACAATTATTTGCTAGGCAAAAGGTTTTTAGATACGAAAGCATAATCTATAAAATAAAACATTGGTAAATTGGACTTAATCAAACTTTAAACCTTTTGCTCTGTGAAAGATGCTGTCAGAAGATTAAAATATATGCCATAGACTGTAAGAAAATATTTGCAAATCACATTTCTGACCAAATAAATTTGTGTCCAGACATATGAAGAAGTTCCTAAACTCAACAATAAGAAAACAACCAAACAAAAAGAGGTAAAAGAGAATTTATATTTCAGAAAGGTGAAGTACTCATAAATGTCCCTATTCTTCTTATGAAGTATAACTAAAAACTCTGGACATTATGTATAATGCAAATATAAAATAACTGTAAATGGTGGAGAGAACACAGACACACTAGGGTACCTCTGACCCAAGAAATTATGTGGTGGTGAATTTCTTGGGTTTTCATTTTGCCTTACATATTCTAAAATAGGACCAGAAGTTGGAAACCTAGAAATACCAATGGGCACAGACAAAAGAAGAAAAGCCCTCTCTAGCCAAAGGATCAGAAAAGAGACAGCCTCACCAAATAGAGAACTTTTAGACAACTTCTCTACACAAGCCAAATGCCACAGAAAATTAACTTTGGTCCCCTCCCTGATCCATGCCAGTAAAGTTGAGTAGAGTTCATAGATTACACTCTCATCAAGTTGTAACAAGGTGCCTCCAATTCTGACTGCCTTGGTATCACACAATGTTAAATAAGAAGTTTGGACTTTCATCTTTACCATTCAGTAACTAAGACCCCATAGTGTCACTGGGGACCACTTAAAAACTTTAGACTTTCATCTTCCTCAGGAAGTAATAAGGTACCTCTTTCTAGCTCTGCCATGGTATTGTCAGGGAATTGGGAAGAGGGAAACAGAATCACACAATTAGAACATTACATTAATAATTACCACAGGCAACATCTGATGCATGCTAAAACTAGTGGATATAAATTTAAATAGGTACAAAATATGCACATAGTTTCTAAGTGTCCTTCCCTCCCCCAAAATTATTTAACAATTAAGTAGGAAAAAATAATAACTATAGAGTGGACAATCGAGGCATGTAACAGTTTAAGCAAGTATCAACCTCATATATTTCCTGATGTGATGTGAGAAGACATCACCTTTGCATGATCCTTCTTAACAATGCATAGCCTGAGTCTATTCGTGAGAAAACATGAGACACTCTAAGTTGCAAAACATTCTAAAAAGTAACTACTTTAAAAAAGTGTTATGGTCATTAAAAAGTCTATGATAAACTTTGAGTTAATTTTGTAACTGGTGCAATTAAAGGAAGAGTCAGTATTTATTTTTATTGTTTTTCCTTATAGGTCAACCAATTGTTCCAGTGCATTGAAGGGCTAGCATTTCATCATCGAATTGCTTTGTACCTATGTTGAAAATAAAATGGTGATGTGTATGTGGCTGTATTTCTGGACTCTACTTCATTCCATTAAACTCTTTATTTTTGGCCAATACCAGACAATGTAGACTACTGTAAATATATAATAATTCTTGAAATGAAAAGAATAACATCTCTTAGTCTTTTTCTTTTGTAAGAATTGGTTTATCTCTTTTAGATTCTTTATATTTCCGTATATATTTTAGAATTAGCTGCTCTATTTCTTTTTCAAAAAAGCCTATTGCATTTTTTGTTGAATCTACAGATCAATTTAGAGAGAATTTGTAATATAACTTCCATCTAAGAAAATTGAAGAGAAAATTAAACACAAAGCAAATTGGCATGCTACCTTCCCATAGCTTTGACATTTCACAATTGAAAAAAAAAATCATTAAGCTTCATCATGGCAGTGAGGAAAAGATTTGTAAAAAGGAGGAAAGATATGAGTAAAATTAGTTCATTGTAGGATTTGGGCCCAAAAGGAATTAGGAAACAATGAAGATATGCTGCTCAGAACCTGGCCATAAACCACATTTTTGCCTTTTGTCCCAAGGATTTCTCTTTTAAAATCTTTTGGCACATACTGGCTAATTCAAAAATCTGTAATAAAGTTTTTCTTTTTTCACATGGTTTTAACTGCATTGTGACATACATGGAGTCCAGCTCTTTGGAATCTCTTTACCAGCTCTTTTCAATTTCTTTAAGTAGTGCTTCCAGGTTTATGCTATGTTTAACCTTCCCTGACTGTTCCCGTCTAAAGTTGGTCTTGTATTTCTATAATCACACTTCTATATGATCACAGTGTCCCCTTATATTACTTATATGGCTAGAAACTATGTGTTCATCCATATTAGTTTAGTTAGTCCAGTATATCTTTTCACTTAAACAAGAATGTTATATGCTTTCATGTTCACATATTTAATTGTAAAGACAGAAACAAAGCAGAAGTCAGATTAGTCTCCTTATTCTTGTCATAGTTTTTCATTTCTCTCCTTGGCAAACTGGTTTTATGTTAATACCAATAGATTAGAAGTGGCCGTCTGGAAGGCTGTATGGGCAAAGACTGAGAAACCACATCTCTAGTTAGTAGCTAAGTGATTTGAAAATGGCAAAATCAATTAACAATATCTGACAGTGATTTGGGCAGAAGCTGCCAGTGTTTCAAACCTGCATTATACTATTGGCCCAAATGCAGACCTATTCCTTTGCTAGTCCTCTCATTATAAACATGGTTCAAAAGGGATTTATAATGTTATTATCTTTGTCTAGGCTTATCATATCTATCTTATAGTTTATAGGAAAGTTCTAGTCATTGAATTTGGTTTCATATGATCATTTTTAATCACTGTATTTGCATTCCTATTTAAAACCAAGCTGATGCAATCTCTCTCTCTCTTTCTCTCTCTCACTCTCATCATCCTCCCTCACTGCTACCCCTCCCAATTCGCTGGTAATCAATATAATACTCTTCTATGAAATCAACTTTTTATAGGCCTATAATGGATAGACAAGTAAAAGACTGGTCTTTCAGAACAGATAGTTTGCAAAGTTTTTGGTGAAAGAATTTGATTAACTTAAATGACACCCTACATTTGGAAAAGGATTATAATCTAAATATGAAATCTTTGAAACATGGGCCTTATTAGTCCTAATTATTTTATGTAAAATTATTTTGTAGTTTTAATTTGCATTATTTTCTTTTTTAATCAATTTTTATTTGTAAGTGACATAATCATTGCACATATTGGTTGGGTACAATATGATGTTTCAATGTATAATGATCAAATAAGACTAATTACTATATTCATTACTTTAAATATTTATAATTTCTTTGTGGTGATAATCAAAACCTTCTCCTCTAGCTATGTTCAAATATACGCTACATTATCATGTGCTATAGTCATCTTACTGTATAATAGAACACTAGAACTTATTCTTCCTGTCAAGCTGTAACTTTGAATCTATTGACCATCCTCTCTCAATCCTCCCTCCCAATTCTCTGGTAATCAATATAATACTCTTTTATGAAATCAACTTTTTTAGATTCCACAAATGCATGAGATCATGCAGTGTTTGTCTTTCTGTGTCTGACTTATTCCACTTAACATAATGTCCTCCAAGTTCATTCATGTTGCCTGCAGTGACATGATTTTATTCTGTTTTATGACTGAATAGTATTTCACTGTGTATGTATATTATATTTTCCTCATTCAGTCATTAGTAGATGGGCATTTAGGTTGATATTTTTATTGTCTATTGTGTATAGTGCTCCAATAAACATTGGAGTGCAGATATCAATTTGAAACACTGATTTCAATTCCTTTGGATATATACCCAGTAATGGGATTGCTGAGTTATATGGTAGTTCCATTTTTAGCTTTATGAGGAAATTCTATACTGTTTCACATAATGGTGGCACTGATTTCTATCCCAGCAACAGTGCATAAGAGTTCCCCTTTCTCCACATCTTTGCCAGCTTTTGTAATTTTTTGTTTTGTTTTGTTTGTTTATTTTTTTATGATAATCATTCTAACTGGGGTGAGGTTATACAACATTTTGGCTTTGATTTCCATTTCCCTAATGATTAGTGATGTGTAATTTTTTTTCACGTAACTTTTGGCCATTTGCATGCTTTCATTTGAGAAATGTCTATTCAGTTCTTTTGCCCAGTTTAAAATTAGAATTTCTTTCGCTGCTAAGGGTTCCTTACATATTCTGGATATTAATTGTTTGTTGGATGCATAATTTGCAAATACTTCCCCCCATTCTGTAGGTTGTCTCTTCACTCTATTGATTTTTTTCTTTGCTGTGCAGAAGATTTTAGTTTTGTGTAATCCCATCTGTATATTTTTTATTTTGTTGCCTGTGCTTTCAAGGCCTTACTCAAAATATTGTTGCTGTCCAATTTCATGAAGCAATTTCCTTATGTTTTCTTTTACTAGTTTCATAGTTTCTGGTCTTACATTGAAGTCTTTAATCCATTTAGGGTTGATTTTTGCATAGGGTGAGAGATAGTTATATAGTTTTATTTTTTCTATAAGTCAATACTCAGTTTTCCCAGTACTATTTATTGAAAAGACTGCCATTCCCTCAATGTGGATCCTTGGCACCTTTGCTGAAAATCAGTTTCCTGTAAATGGATGATTTCTGGGTTTTCTTTTTTGTTCTGTTAGTCTATATGTCTCTTTTTATGCCAGTACTATGTTGTGTTACTTACTATAGCTTTTCTGTATATTTTGGAGTTAGGTAATGTAATGTCTTCGGCTTTGCTCTCTTTGTTCAACATTGCTTTGGCTCGCTGGAGTCTTTTGCATTTCTAGATAAATTTTGAAATATTTTTTCTATTTCTGTGAAGAATGTCATTGGCATTTTGATAAACATTGCATTGAATCTATAGACTGTTTTTGTAATATGAATATTTTGACAATATTAATTCTTCCAATCCATGAACATAGGATATCTTCCTTTTTTTTTTGTTCTTTTCCATTTCTTTCATCGATGTTTTATTGTTTTCATTGTAGAGCTCTTTCACCTCCTTAGTTAAGTTTATTCCTAGGTATTTTTTGTAGCTATTGTAAATAAAATTGCTTTTTGGATTTCTTTTTCAGATAGTTTACTGTTGACAAATTCAAGTGCTACTGATTTTTCTATGTTGATTTTGAATAGAAATTTGTGTTGTTTCTAATAATTTTTTTTGGTGGAGTGTTTAGGGTTTTCTATACATTAATATATGTGAAAATGTTATCTGCACACAGGAACAATTTAACCTCCTCCATTCAATTTGAATGCCTTTTATTTATTTCTCCTGCTTAATTGTTCTTGCTAGAACTTCCAGTGTTATGTTGTATAAACATGGGACGAGTGGACATTCTTGTTTTGTTCTAGATATTAGAGGAAAAGCTTTTAACTTTTCTCTATTCAATTTGATTTAGCTGTGGGTTTCTCATATAGGGCCTTTATTATGTTGAGGTATGTTCCTTCTATACTCAATTCGTTGACAGTGTTTTCATGAAGGTATATTTAATTTTATCAAATGCTCTCCCAGCATCTATTAAAATGATCATGTAGTTTTTGTCCTTGATTTTGGTAATGTGATTGTGTTTATTAATTTGCATATGTTGAATATTTTCTGCATCTCTGAGATGAATCCCACTTGATCACAGTGAGTGATTATTTTTAATGTGCTGTTGAATTGAGTTTGCTAGTATTTTGTTGAGGATTTTTTCATCTATGTTCATCATGAATACTGGACATTAGTTTCCTTTTTTGTTGTATCTTTGTCTGGTTTTGGTATCAGAGTAATATTGGCTTTGTAGAATAAGTTTAGAAGTATTCCCTCCTTTCAATTTTTTGAAATAGTTTGAGTAGAAGTGCTATTCTTCTTTAAATGGCTAGTAGAATTCAGCAGTGAAGCCGTCAAGTCTTGGGCTTTCTTTGATGAGACACTTTTTATTATTTCTTCATTCTCATTACTCATTGGCCTTCTCAAGTTTTTTATTTCTTCATGATTCAATCTTGGTAAGTTTTTGTGTCCAGGAATTTATCCATCTCTTCTAGGTTTTCTGATTTGTTGGGATATACTTGTTTGTGGTAGTCACTTATTATCCTTTGTATTTCTGTAGTATCCATTGCAGTGTCTCCTTTTATATCTCTGATTTTATTTACTTGTTTGTTCTCTCTTTTTTTCTTGGTCTAGCTAAAGGTTTGTCAGCATTCTTTATCTTTTCGAAAAAACAATAGCTCATTGTTTTGTTGATTTTTTTATATTTTGTCTCTATTTTGTTTATTTTTGCTTTGATGTTTATTATTTCTTTTTTTCTAATTATTCAGGTTTTGATTGTTCCTGTTTATCTAGTCCTTTGAGGTATAATGTTAGGCTGCTTATGTGAGATCTTTGTATTTTTTTGATGTAGGCTCTTGGAAATGAGGTTTACAGAATTCTGAAAACTCACTTAAATTGAACAAACTTTTAGCTGTAACAAAAGCTGGCTTAATGTGCATATTGAAACTAATATTCCTTGAAAGTGTTAGCTTCAAAAGATATCAGAGATATCATTTCAAGAAGTCTGTTTCTATAAACTTTTCTCTTAGAACTGCTTGTTTTCCATGCATTTAACGTCACATGAATACTTCAATTAGTTTAAGAATTGACTGCAGATTTTCAATGCATTGTTAAAAGAAAATAGCCTGTCCTAAACCAAAGATTTCTCATCAACATCCACACAAAAGTTTTTAGTGAATCACTAGATTCTAGGTGCAAATTCATTGTTATGCAATTTGAAAACTAAAAATAATACTATGATATAGTTCTTTAGTGGGCACAGTATAGCTTATAGTTAATACCTTCTGGATTCAAAAATATTTTATCTATCTGAACAGTTTCCCTGACAAGTAAATTATATGATAAACAGGTCTGTGGACAACTTAAGTGCTTTGACATATCTTATAATTCATCATTTAATCTTAGAAATTATTTTATATTTCTATTTAATGACTATTGCTCTATTTCATAGATTAATCATTAAATCTTATACATTATTTTATATCTATATTGTTAAAAAGTAAATGTATTTAAACACCCATAAAGAAATACATTACTGCAATTTATTACTATCCAAGGTAGTTTTGAATTAAATATTTCAATTCCAATATTGACAACTATGAAGGAGAATTTAGAGGTGCACTTCAATATTATGTTCTCTTCTTTTACTATGAAAAATGTTGAAATACATCATGAGTGAGATATCTTTGTTTACAACTCTAGCTGTGCTCTTATGCTTTGGTCATTCTTCCTGTCCCATTTGCTTTTCTTTTGATGTAACCTCAAAGAGTAGACTAATGATGCAAGTTCGTGAATGAAAAATAATACTACATGTAAATACTTGTTCTTTTAGTACAAATTATTTGAAGCCAAATATATGGATTTGACTAGTTATTAAATCAAGATCTTGTGATAAGAACTTACCACATCTTTAAGTGGCATACTTTAATTGGCTTCTAACTATGTAGAAGTTCTTGGCATTTTATATTAATAGTAAAAACTAATTGGAAATAATGTTACCTAAATCATCCAAACAAAGCAGTTTTTAGCTAGCTGGCCTGGTTGCAGTTTTTCTCAATATCTCATTGAAGTACTCTTGAAGATATGGAGTAAGTGAACTGATAATCTGATAGAAAAGACTGAACAGAAAACCTAATGCCAGGTTCTGGTAAAACTCGACTATTATTATGAATAGATGGAAGGGTGTTAAGTGTAATTTAGCCACATTTGGCATATGATTTATTTTAGTTTTGCTTTATAAAGCAAAATACCTGATAAAAAGCAACGATATGATTTTTCATTCCTTCTTGCCAGAATCTGTACCTTGTTTCAGAAACTTAGAGATGAACAAAATGGAGAACTTGGCACTTATTTCCTCTATAACTCTTGGAGTTACTTCCTGAGGTAAAGAGAATCCTTGATTTCTTTCCTGCTTCCCCAGATACCATCTTTCTGTATCTGGGGAGAGACTGCCACTCTCAGAAAATAACAGGAAATAAAAGACTTACAGGTAATGCCTGGAAATAATAAAGTAATACGTATGTTTTTTAAATAAAAAGTTTTAACCTGTTAGAAAAGAATGAAGACAACAAAGACATTTTCAAATATGCAAGCCCTGTTTTTAAAACTGAGATATAAGAAAAACAAATTTACTCTAAAAAGGGGAAATAATGGAAACAAGAATTATGAATAAGTCCTAAAATTTCATGCAGTTATCAAAAGCTACTTTTGTAAAAAAGACATATGTTGTATAAATCATACTATAATAATAATAATTTGGCCTTAGAATCCTAAAATGCAGTAAATAGGCATGGAAGGAATGAAACATTGCCCAATTTTCTTTATTAATAATGAAAAACAAAACATACCACTTAATCCTTGACTCTGAAGTTAAAGTAAATATTTTAAGCAATGAATCATTTTCAGACACTTAAAAAGATAACAGTGATATAATTTAAAAGAGACTATACCCTCTCAATTTTTAAAAAACATTAATCATATATAGCAGGAGAGCTAAAACAATACAAAGCAAAAAATTCAAGTATATATATAAAATAAAAGAAATATATAGAAATGGATTAAACTTCCATATGAAAAATTTCTCTGACTAGATAGTAATAATGAGAATAACTTCTAAATTTATTCAACTCACAAGATCCATACCTGAAACAAAATGACATAACATAGCAAATATTCAAAAAAGAATTAATGTATATAACAGGTTTTTTAAAAATGTCAAATGCAAATACTTCCTCGAAGGAAGGGCCTTGTGATTTTGAGTTTTGAATTGAGAAACCAAGGGATTACACCTCAGAAATAATAGTAACAAGAAGTAAACTATCCATCAGTGAGAGAGAAGCTCAGGTACAGTCTTTTTAATCTCTGATTGAATTAAGATGACTTGGTCCCCTAAATCCCTGGCAGTAACAAATTTAAATTTAAAAATTTTTTGTATACTTTTAATTAATTAATTAATTTTTGTTGGAGACAGGGTCTCACTATGTTTCTCAGGCTGCTCTCGAACTCCTGGACTCTAGTGATCCTGCTGCTTCAGCCTCCCAAAATGTTATAACAGGCATGAGCCATTTGTATTGAGATAATTTTTACTTATATTTACCAGTGTCCATTCCCCCTTCTTATATTCATTCATTCATTCATTTATTATATATTTTGTTCTAGTAGATGTTGGTGAATATAATCATGAACAGCAAGCATTTATTAATTTTATATTTATTAAACAATTAAATTAAAATCAATTATTGATTTTATTTACCATCATAGCCCATGTGATGAGCCCTGGAGGAAAGAGGTGGGGGGATGTAGAACTGAGTGCTATCAGCATCCAGAGGTAATAGAAAACTTAAAAATGAGCATGCTGTTCCACAGACAGAATGCAAAGTAAGAAAAGGGTTGGGTAATGTCTCTCCCAATCAAAGAACAAATTCCTTCTTGAGTAACAAATCTAATTTCTAGATTGACTAGAGGGTGAAGCTAAATAATCTTTTTTAAAATAACCATCAAAGCCAGTTTGCTAATTTAACTTATTATCTGTGTTAAACAATTCATCCCACATCTGCAAGAGAGTGGCCAGAAAATAAATCGATTTCTTAATGAAAAGATTTTAATTTTCAAGTTAATTCCCTGTTAGTCACTGCTGAGAAGCACATCTATTTTTTTTGAAATTGCATATTGCTTTACAAAATATGACAGCTGTTTTCTTATTTTCTAGATTTCAAATAGCTTATTTTGAACTTTAGAAATGATAAACTGCTACATTAGTGCCACCTTTAACAGGTTTACATTAATTGTGTTTTATGTGTGTAAACTGAAAATCTATTAATTTTGCCTTTCCTACTCACTTCTAGTAAACTCTCCATTGATAATGTGCCCTATTTGATTTTTAAAAAAGTGATACCAAAGCAGTTAAGTCAAATAAATGAAAGAAGAGTACAAAATATAATTCAAAATACTCATTCTATATCACGCTATCAGTTTATATTTAGAAGTACATTACCCACTAGGGCCCGCTTGTTGAAGCAATTGTGGACTTTATGTTTGTTATTTGGTCATCAAAACTTCTGTCTAAGTACCTAGGGATCTGTTGGGAACAAAATTTGTCATTCTGATTCTCTTTAATGCTTTTCATTGTCTGTGAGAAAATATTGTATGGGCCATTGGGGCCCATTTGCAAAGGTTTCTTCTTTGAGCAAAGGAAGCTGTTGCTGGTATCATTCACTCCAGAGATTTGTGAGTTGAAGAATGAAGTGTCAAAAGTGAAATTAAGACACAGAATAAACATGTGGTGAACTCTAGTAGTACCTGATCAATAGAAACCACAGCATGCTGTTATATAATTTTTAAAAAATTGATTTGAAATGGACAAGTCCAGAGTTTTATATACTTAGGTTCCAGAGGCCCTAAATTTAAAACTGAATGACTATTTTCTGCAGATATTGCAATAGCTTAATTTGCATTTCATTTAATATTATTTCATTTCAAAACATCAAAGTTGATGAATTCTAACATTCTATTATAATACAAATTGCTTGCTTATTAGGTATTCATAGTCATTATTATGATGTCATGGGGGGATTTTAAAGATACGCTAAGTAAAAACAAAGGAGAAAAGAATTTTGTGATATTAAATCAATTCTATCCTTACCAATTTGTTTAAAATAATTTATTTTGTAATAACAAAATTTATTATATAAATCTAACAGCATTGTTTCAGTGCTACCAATGTCCAGTTTCTTTTTACCATGTTCACTAATTTTATGGCATTTTTTGTGTTTTTTTCCTGAAGACCATTTATAATACCTTTTTAAAAGTCTTTATATAAAAATGCATAAAATATTTAAAACTAGGTTTAGAACAGTCAAGATGATTAATGAGATAAGTAGCTCATAAAAAGTAAAAGATAACAATGGCAGACTCGGGTAGTAACAATAAATTATTGAAGACTGTTAATGTTTGGGATTTTGTGTCTGCATAATTAGTCATATCTCTGTCCAGACAGCAGTGTTTGTGAGCATTTCAGGCCAGATGGTACAACAAAGAATTGAGGGGAAAAAAAAGCAAAGACAAAACCTTATCATTTCATTTATATTTTTTAACTTAAGTAGAAGACTACAAATTCCAAACTATTAACAACTGATTGAATTTATCTGCTCTCTGTGGAGTGCCAAATTTTTTTTTTTTCATTACAACATAGTAGTAAAGTTAGGAAAAATGAAAGTATTTATGATTACTTTTCTTTTCTTGTATAAATTAAATTGTCACCTATGGACATGTTAAGGTAATGTTTATTAATACGGATTTTAAATAAGTTTTAGGAATTTTGTCTCAGTGCTTTATTCTGGTGTTTTTATCTAATGAAATGTAGATGTAAATAATGACATGAAGTAAAAGGAATCTAGTTCTTTGACATTTCACTTGCCTTCTAGTCTAGGAAGAGAGCACTGAACTGAGACTCAGTTGACTACAATTTTGCTCCTAAATCTACCACTGAATCAATCACCTATCTGTCAAGTAAATGGTAAAATTATTCAACAAGATATATTAAATCTCCCTAAAATGCTGTAAAGTTGATGCACTATGGTATAAAAATTAAAGAGTCAAGGCTTTATTTAACATTTTGATTTTGATATTTATTATAAGATTATATTACAGATGCCTTGTTTCAATAAGCCCCTGTGGTTTGTTTAAATATGAAATTAAATTTTGATAGTAAATAAAGTTTAAAATATATTAATGATAAAGTAAGTTTTAGAAGGCGAGATTTAAAAAATTTTCTTTGTTATTATCTATTTTAAGGCTCTATACAAAAATACATTCTTTGGTTTCCCAGTTCAAAGCTCAAGATCACCAAGTTCCCTCCTTACCGGAAGCATATCTGCATTTAATATTTGTTGTCATTCATTATATACATTCTTCTTTCTGAAATATTTACCATGTTGGATCATTTTGTTTTAGGTATGCATCTTGTGAAGTAAATAGATTTAGAGATAATTATTATCATTATTGTTATCCAGCCAGATAGCTTTTTTGTAAGTAAGCTTTAAATAGATAATAAATTAAGCTTCTACTTTAAATACATTTGTTTGATAAATATCATTGTAATTTTATTTAACACATATTTTAAGGAAAGATAAATGCAAAGGCAAAAAGATAAATTTAACTGAAACTTAAAGATTCTGAAGATGAAGTAATATAAAAATAGAAGCTGACACTATTGGCATAAATTTGCAGTGCTAATTAAGTTGTGGTCTACTGGTTCCCATATGGTTTGCTTGGCTGCCATGATCACTGTTCTGTTACCTCCAGGGCTTTAAAGAAAATATGCAAATAAGGGGAGGCCCACATGGCCATGGCCTAATTAGAATTGGGCAGTTTGCCTAGGCCAAAATTGAGTACTTTACTTCTCCTTTCTATTTTCCTTATGTCAAATTATTTTAAATCTGTTTCGAGTGAAATAGCAAATGTTTCTTCTTGCAGCAAATATCTTTGCCTATTGGTAAAAATAATTGAACTCAAAAAATATTCATAAAGGTCTATTATATATAGATGTATACTGTCCATGATAAAGGAAAAACAACTACTGTAATATAGTCCCTGCTCTCAAGAAGGTTCTAATAAAGTAGGAAGGAAGCATAAGTATGTAAACAAATAGCTATTGTAGATATACACTAAATTATAGTTGTTTTCACAGCGGGTATAATCATGTTTGCCTGGGCAAATCAAGCAACGAATGGAATCATTTCAGTGAACATTTAATTCCACATCCATCTATTGTCTCTTGGGTGATAGATAAAGTGTTACTTATTGGTAATATACTCTCAATATTTTCTAGATGTGAAAATGGCTAGAAAATGGTTGGAAAACAGATAAAAATGAGTTAGTGCCTAATTATTAGTTGAGGATCAAATGGAAATGTTTTGTCTTCCCAACACTGTTACATATTTAAAACTCTTCCATGTTGCCTGTGTGCAAATTCTTGGCTCATACCTTGTTTCAGTCAGGAATTTGTGGAAATTTCTCCACTGTCTTTGGACATTGTGAAAGTATCTGAGACTATTAAAAAACGTTCTCCTTGCGAGTTATTTAGTCTTCTGTCTAGAAGCACAAATGATAGTTTCTCTACTGATAACTTTAGTAGGTAGGATATATTTCCATGCTGTCCATTCTAGCCAATTTTTTTTTCTCTAAAATCAAATTTGTCTACCTAAATATAGAAATAGACTTGTATTTTAAGACTCTATTTATTTATATACCTGTAAATATTATGTTCCACTTTTCAGAACTTCCTATTTATTTCTGTCAGAATCATCCTAATTTTGCCTAAATTTCTGTTATGTTTTAATTTTAATGTCACATCTTCCCTGATCTCTTTCAATTTATATTTATCTCCTGTTTTCTTGTCATCTCTTCCCCAATTTTTTGTATCTTTGCTTGATGCTCTTGGAAGTAATATATTTATTCAATTTTATAACTTCCTGAAATTTTTGGCCAAAATTTTCATCTATTCCTTGGTATCCTGGATTGAATAGTGTCCCTGAAAAATTCATGTCCACTCAGAACCTCAGAATGTCAGTTTATTGGGAAACAGGGTCTTTGTACATGTAATAAGTTAAATTAAAATGAGATTATACAGAATTACGGTGGCCTCTACATGCGATGACCAGTATCCTTATAAGAAGGCTATGTGAATACATGGACACATCAAGAAAATCCATGTGCCAATCAAGGCAGAAGTTGGAGTGATACAGCTGCAAGCCAAGAAATGTGAAAACTGACTGCAATCACCAGAAGCTAGGAAGAAATAAGGGAATATCTTTTTCCAGAAAGATACTGCACCCTGAAGAAACTTCCAATGGTGCATGGACCTGCCAACACCTTGATCTTGAACTTTTAGCCTCCAGATCTGTGAGAGAATACATTTTTTTCTTTCTTAAGTCAATCACTTTCTGGAGATGTGTTATGGCAGCTCCTGGAAGCTAGTTTACTTGGTAATGTTTTGTAGTGAGTGTTCTTCATCTTCCACAACCAGATCTGTCTGTTAAAGAAGTGGCTTTTTTCTTTTTAATCCTAGAGGGCAAAGGGAATATTTGAGACTAACTGAAATATATGTGAATGATCTAGGGATGGATATATATATATGTGTGTGTGTGTGTGTCTGTGTGTGTGTGTATGTGTGTGTACATAAATATTTTTTTAGCCATATCATAAACCAATGGATATATGCAATTATAATTTTACACACATTAAAAGTCTTTCTGCACTGATGTCATGGGGCTAGAATAGTGGTTTCAAATATGGCTTATGTTTGAAGCCATCTCCAGCCTATGCATCCATATTAAAACATTTTTGTGTTACTATACCTTAAGAAATATCTAAGGCTGGGTAATTTATAAAGAAAATAAATTTAACTGGCTCATTGTTCTGCAGGTTGTACAGGCATGGCAACAGCCTCTGTTCCACTTCTGGGGAGGCCTCAGGGACCTTTTATTCATGGCAGAAGACAAAGTGGGAGCAGGTATGTCACTTGGTGAGAATTAGAGCAAAAAAGTAAGGGGAGAGATGTCACACACTCTTAAATAATCAGATCTCATGTGAACTCAGAGAGAGAACTCACTCACTGTCAGGAGGACAGCACTAAGCCATTCATGAGGGATCCAATCCCATGACTCAAACACCTCATACCAGGTCTCCCCTCTAACGTTGCAGATTACAGTTAAATATGAGATTTGGAGGGAACAAACATCCAAATGACATTATTTCACCCCTGGCTCCCCAAGACACATGTCCTTCTCACATTGCAAAATATAATCATCCATTTTCAATAGTTTCCCAAAGTTCTAACTAGTTCTAGCATCAACACAATTGAAAGTTCAAAGTCCCAAGCCTCATCTGAGGATGAATTCCTTTCACCTATGAGCCTGTTATTTACTTCTAAGATATAATGGGAATATAGACACTGGGTATATATTCCCATCTTAAAAGGGAGACATTGGTCCAAAGAAAGAGGCAACAGACCACACACAAGCCTGAAATCCAACAGAGTGATCATTAAATCTTAAAGCTCCCAAATAATCACCTTTGACTTTATAACGTGCATTCAGGACACACTGGTACAAGGGGTGAGCACCCAAGGACTCTAGGCACAATCTGCAAACTGCTGGTGGGTCTACTATTCTGGTGTCTGGAGGGAGGCAGGCCCATTTTCACAGCTTCACTAGGCAGTGGCCCAGTGGGGTCAATTTGTGGGGGCTCCAACACTGCATTTCCCCTTGGTATTGCCCTAGTAGAGCTTCTCTCTGGAGATACATTTCTGTGGCAAGCTTCTACCTGGGCATCCAAGCATTCTCATAACATTGTTTGAAATCTAGGGGGAAGCTGCTAAGCTTCCTTTATGCTTTCATTCGGTACACCTGCAGGTTTAAGACCATGTGGAAACCACCAAGTCTTGTGGCTTACACCTTCCAGAAGGGCAGCCCAAGCTATATATGGGTCCCTTTGAGCTAAGGCTGGAGCTAGAGAAGCCTAGATATGGGGAGCAGTGTCTTGAGGCTGTTCAGGGCAGCAGGACCTTGGGCCTGGTTCCTGAAACCATTCTTTCCTCCTAGGTCTCTGGGCCTATGATGGGAGGGGGCTGCCTCAAAGATCTCTGAAGTGCCTTTAAGGCCTTTTCCCCCTTGTCTTAGATATTAGCATTTGGCTCCCTTTTAGTCATGCAAATCTCTCTAGCAATTGGTTGCTCTGCAGCATGCTTGAATTCTTCCCTTGAAAATTAGCTTTTCTTTTCTACTGCACGGCTAGGCTGCAGATATTCTAAACTTTCAGCTGTGCTTCCCTTTTAAATATAAGTTCCAACTTTAAGTAATTTCTTTGCTCTTGCATTGAATCATAGGCTGTTAGAAGCAACCAGGCCACATCTAAGCTTTGCTGCTTAGAAGTTTCTTCCGCCAGGTACCCTAAGTCATCACTCTTAACTTCAAACTTCCACAGATCCCTAGAACATGGACACAATTCAGTTAAGTTCTTTGTTAGGGTATAACAAGAGTGACCTTTGCTCTAGTTCCCTATAAAGTTTACACTTCCATCTGAAACCTCATCAGCCTGGCTTTCACTATCCACATCTCTATCAGCATTTTGGTCATAACCATTTAACCAGTCTCTAAGAAATTCTAAACTTTCCATCATCTTCCTGTCTTCTTCTGAGCCCTCCAAACTCTTCCAACCTCTGCCCATTATCCAGTTCCAAAGCTGTTTTCTCATTTTCGAGTACCTTTATAGCAATGTCCCACTCTTCACTACCAATTTTCTTTAATTATTATAAAGAAATACCTGAGACTGGGTAATTTATAAAGAGGTTTAATTGGCTGACCATTCTACAGGCTGTACAAGTATGGTGCCAACATCTGCTCTGCTCTGCTTCTGGGGAGGCCTCAGAGAGCTTTTACTCACAGTGGAAAGCAAAGCAGGATCAGGCACATCATATGGTGAGAGCAGGAGTAAGAGAGCAAGGGGGGAGGTGCCACACACTTGCAAGTGACCAGATCTCACATAAACTCAAAGACAGAACTCACTCACTGTCATTAAGACAGCACTAAGCCATTCGTAAGGGATCCAGCCCCATGACCGAATCACCTCCTAACAGGCTCCATCTCTAACATTAGAGATTACATTTAAACATGAGTTTTGGAGGGGACAAACATCCAAAATAAATCAGCATTGAATTACTGCCACCACATATATGGAATTTTGGTTTTGTGTCACAAAAGCCACAGTCTGGTTTGTGTCTAGGGCTTGAATTTATCAAGGCTAGTTTTTCTGTGTATAATTTTTCTCATTGGCTACGGATGACATTCAGAAAGACAAAAGGTAATGTCAATCTAATACCATCACTTTCTCACAGAAAGTTTTTAGTCTAATTACTTAAATGGGAATTCAATTTTGATGGTAGTCCAAAGTAAATTTGGCTCTAGTTATTCTGTTAAGATATAGTTTGATATAGTGGGTTGAGCATTTAGGAACCAGAACCCAGTTGCAAGATATAAATCCTAACTGTGACTCTTCCTATATCTTTTAGAAAGTTACTCAACTTTCCTTTGTCTCAATGTGCTTATATATAAAATTATAATAATAAGCAGCTGTCTCTTAAGGTTGCTGGGAGCACAAAATGAGTTACCTCTGTGAAGTGCTCAAGATCAGAGGCTAATATATGGTAGGTGATGTTCACCATTTTTATTCTCCCGCACATGAAAATACTTTATTGCAACATGTCTTAAAATGTAGTTATTCAAAAGTGTAGACTCCTGCATATTCTTTCAAAGTTTCAATTTTGTTGAAGATTTAAAAAAAATTGACATATTCTACATGACTCAAATAGAAGTCAGTTGGTGATTTATCACTAATTTAATTATGATTCATTTGTCATCAGTAATGAGCTACAGTGCCAAACATGGTTTCCACTTTCAAAAATAAAATTCTTATTTTTTTCTGTAGAATATTTCCATTTAAAATTCTTTAGTTTCTCTCTAAATTTCATGCAACAAAATTCTTTTAAATTCACAGAAATTTCTTTACTATTAAAAAGATCCTGGTGATAGATTCATATTCAGATAATGAGAGTTTAGAGTTTAAATTATTACTATGAGAGTTAAAACTATAGTCATAGGAAAATGAATACATTTATTATTTAACCCTCCACCTAGTATAATTTTAATTCTTAACCAGATTACCCTATCTTTTCAAATTATTACTATTTCACATTTAAAAAATGTAGTACCTTTTAGAATAATCTTCTATTATATTTTGGTGATGTTGTCCAAAGATAGATTTGCTCAAGGTAGGCAAAAGAACTTATCCTTCCTTGGGAACCATCCTGATATTTGCAGACAATTGTCACACTTTAATTCTGTCCTTGTCATTACTCAATAAAGTATACTTGTTTTAATTCCATTAAGATTACTCATATGTTAATTCTTTGTTTATTCACTCATTGTGCTGCTCTGAATCCCCATAATTTTTATGTTTTTATTAAAGATATATCCTGAAATGAAAAGCAAAGGGATACATGCAATTTTGTAAGTTAAATGATCCCCATGTTTTATGATTTTCTAGAGTAAAACAAAAATTCTTGTAAAGGCTAAGCTTGTGAATAGTTATTCCTGTGCTTTTAGAGAAGAATATATTTAGTGTTGGGTCATAGGACTGTGTTGCATGTGTCTCATGCACCTATGTATGTTAGTACAATTGCCAGATTGGTTTTAAAATGACCAAGCTATTATAGAACTGTGTATGTAATTCCAAAACATTGAAAAAAAATTCTATTTTGGAAATTTACTGGAAGAACAGTCATCAGTGTAACTTAATTTCTTACTGAAACTGATGGGTGCTTTTTACGTGTGGATACTTTTCATGACAGTATTTAAATTTAGTGTCTTTCTAGTGGAATTGACCCATCTCATTATCTGGGATCATCCATTCTGATTTTTTGGGCTTTTTTTTAAACCATAAAATGTTAACTTTAAGCTTCAAGACCTCTTGATATTAGATGGGAAAAAAATTAACTACTAAAAAATGTCTTTGAAAAAAAGTAAACTGCTATGTTGAAAACATGGTTCTCAACATGAAAAAAAGTTTGAGTAATACTGGTTAGTTTTTACTTGTTAGCCTCTGTATTAGTCCATTTTCACACTTCTGATAAAGACATACCCAAGACGGGGCAATTTACGAAAGAAAGAGGTTTATTGGACTTACAGTTCTGCATGGCTGGGGAGACCTCACTCACAGTAATGGCAACAGGTGAAAGGCACGTCTCACTTTGGGGCAGATAAGAGAAGAGAATTGTGCAGGGAAACTCCCCTTTATAAAACCATCAGATCTCATGAGACTTATTCACTATCATGAGAACAGCACAGGAAAGACATGCCCCCATGATTCAATTACCACCCACTGGGTTACTCCAACAACACATGAGAATCATGGGAGCTACAAGATGAGATTTGAATGGAGGCACATAGCCAAACCATATCATTCTGCCCCTGGACCCTCCCAAATCTCATGTCTTCCCATTTCAAAACCAATCATGCCTTCCCAATAGTCCCCCAAAGTCTTAACTCATTTCAGCATTAACTCAAAGTCTACAGTCAAAAGTCTCATCTAAGACATGACAAGTCCCTTCTACCTATGAGCCTGTAAAATCCAAAGCAAGTTAATTACTTCCTAGATACAATGGGGGTACAGGAATTGGGTAAATACAGCCATCCTGAATGGGAGAAATTGGCCAAAGTGGAGGGGCCACAGGCTCCATGCAAGTGTAAAATCTAGCAGGTCAGTCAAATCTTAAAGCTCCAAAATGATCTCTTTTGAATCCATGTCTCATATGTGGGTCTCACTGATGCAAGAGGTGGGTTCCCATGGTCTTGGTCAGCTCCGCCCCTGTGGCTTTGCAGGGTACAGTCTCCTTCCCGGTGCTCTTATGGGCTGGTGTTTAGTGTCTGTGGCTTTTCCAGGCACAGGGTGCAAGCTGTCAGTGGATCTGTCATTCTGGGGCCAGGAGGACAGTGGCCCTCTTCTCACAGCTACACTAGGCAGTGCCCCAGTAGATACTCTGTGTGGGGACTTCCACCCCACATTTTCTTTCTGTACTGCCCTAGCAGAGGTTCTCCATGACGATCTCATCTCCATCTGAGACGACCTCAGCCTGGATTTCATTGTCCATATCATTATCAGCATTTTGTGCAAAGCCATTCAACCAGTCTCTAGGAAGTTCCAAACTTTCCCACATATTCCTGTCTTCTTCTGAGCCCTCCAAACTGTTCTAACCTCAGCCTGTTACCCAGTTCCAAAGTTGCTTTCACATTTTCAGGTATATTTTCAGCAGCACCCCACTCTACTGGTACCAATTTACAGTATTGGTACAGCAAACTTCTGCCTGGGCATCCAGGTGTTTCCATACATCTTCTGAAATCTGGGCAGAGGTTCCCAAATCTCGGTTCTTGATTTCTATGCACTTGCAGGCTTAACACGACCTGGAAGTTGCCAAGGCTTGAGGCTTGCAGCCTCTGAAAACACAGCCCGAGCTCTATTTTGGCCCCTTTCATTACAGCTGGAGCAGCTGGAATGTAGGGCACCAAGTCCCTAGGCTGCACACAGCAATGGGGACCATGGGCCTGGCACACAAAACCACTTTTTCCTCCTCAGCCTCTGGGTCTGTGATGGAAGGGGCTGCTACAACTGACATGCCCTGGAGACATTTTCCCTATTGTCTTGGTGATTAACATTCAGTTCTTCATTATTTATGCAAATTTCTGCAGCTGGGTTAAATTTCTCACTAAGGCACTAAGAATGATAAGAATGATAAGACATTAGTTTGATAACAGCTTCTATTAGAGCAATATGAATTCTGCTAAAATTGAAGCAAGAAGAAAACATTAAATTTATATTGAAACTTGGATGGAAGTTTATGGGTACAATGCCACAAATAAATAATCAGTTTACAAATTGATGATTCCTTTTAAGAAGGGACAACACAGTGTTGAAGGTGAAGCCCACAGCAGTAGGTCAACCATATCAATTTGCAAGGAAAAATTCATCTTATTCATGCCCTGATTGAAGAGGACCAACAATTAACAGCACAAACAGTAGCCAACATCATAGACATATAAATTGGTTCAGCTTACATGATTCTAACTAACACATTAAAGTTGAGCAAACATTCCACTAGGTGAGTGTCAAAACTCTTGCACCCAAGTCGGCAGCAGACAAAAGCAGAGTTTTCATTAGAAAATTTAAACAAGTGAGATAAATATCCTGAAGCATTTCTTTGAAGAATTGTAACAGAAGAAGAAACATGGATTTATCAGTATAATCCTGAAGACAAAGCACAATCAAAACAATGGCTACCAAGAGGTGAAAGTTGTTCAATCAAAGCAAAAGTGGGCCAGTCAAAAGCAAAGGCCATAGCAACAGTTTTTTGGGATGCTCAAGGCATTTTGCTTGTTGACTTTCTGAAGGGCTAAAGGACAACAATGTGTACATATTATGAGAAAACCAAAGCTTTAGAAGAAAACTGCCTAGAAAAGTTTTACCAGAGCGTCCTTCTCCATCATGACAGTGTTCCTGCTCATTCCTCTCATCAAACAAGGGCAATTTTATTGATTGTAAATCATTTGCATCCACCTTAAAGCTGTGATTTGGCTCCTTCTAGCTTCTTTTTGTTTCCTAATCTTAAAAAAATATTTAAAGGCACCCCTGTTTATTCAGTTAATAAGGTAAAAAAGATTGCCTTATCAAGGTTAAATTCCTAGAAAAAATTGCAGTTTTTTAAAGGATAGACTAACTGGCTGATATTATTTTTTACAAAAGTGTCTTGACCTTGATGGAGCATGTGTTGAGAAGTAAAGTTTATATTTTTAATTTTCATCTTTTAATTCCATTTTTTTTCACAAATTTTTGAAGTCCCCCTAGATATCCCCTTTTACTCACTTAGATAGTCTATGATTGGACTTATCTATGTATCAATTTATTTTGCATTGCTCTTGAACTTCTATCCTCATTAAGTTGCTCTTGAAAGTGGAATAAACATATATAAAAAATAGGTTACTCATGATAATCATATGTATTTACAAAACATTCCATTTAATTTTTCTCTTAAAAGCATTCTCAACACTTTCCACATATTTATCATTCTTAAAATTATAGTAATCAAGTGTTTGTTTATATATTTAATAACTGATACCAAAGCTTTTGTATTGACATTCTTAATTGAATTTTAGTCTAACAAATGAAGATCCCAAATGACACTATTAATAGAAATATGATTAGTCCTTGTATAAATTAGAGTATAGGCTAAGAAGCTGCTACCAAAAAAGCTACAAACACTGTAGCTTACATAAGAAAAAAGGCTATTTCTTTTCCATTTAACAGCTTTGGGTAGACAAATTCTGTTTTAGTTGACTGAGCTATCCAGGGACCCAAGCTTGAATGGAATGGAGGCTCTACCTTTTTTGCCATACACATGGCTTCCTACACAGTGAAAAAAGTAGCTGCTCCAGTTTCAGGCTTTGCATTGTTGAAGGAAGGACACCAGCACTATGACCACTTTCCAAAAGCAGATTGTAGTTTTATAGCCAGGTAGGCAAGCCATGATCATACTGCAGTATCAGTCTTCATAGCAGTCACTTGATTTTTGCCTGTATCCCCACCTGCATCCCCAGCTCATTTATGTAGCCTCCTCATTTGCCACTTCCTCACTAATATCACATTCTAGCTACGAGGAGCAAATTATAATTCACAAATGTGCCCTATAATGCCTGTAATTTTCCTGTTTTTCCATGATGTTTTATATACCTCTAATTTCCTTTATTAGCTTCATTAACTACTTCTTAGTCTGAAATATACACATCTCTGTGCCTTGTTCACAATATATTATATATCCCAATGATATTGTAAGCACCTCATAGGCAGCTACCATGAGTTACAGTCCCGGTTATGCTATTTCTGAGATGTGTGACAGCAAGCAAGCTATTTAAACTTTCCATGCCTCAGTTTCCTCATGTAAAAGTGACCTAATTTTTGCTTCCTCAAGGGGTTTAGCTAGAGACTGAAATAATCTAGGCAAAGCTCTTAGAATACTTTCAGAAATAACATAAATATTAACTATTAATTATTAACTAATGGTCAACAAATATTGACTATTAGTAATTCTTACTATGCCTTTATAAGCCCAAAATGTCTAGGTCCACCATATGATTGAAAAGCATTTGATTACATTTGAAAATCCCCAACCAATATAGAGGTGCTTTAGAAATTCACAAAGGACACAATGTTGGTAATGTGACTGATGCCATACTTGAAAGAACTAGAAAGCAAAGTGATTGTGATGGTCTGAAAGGAGGGGATAAACTAGGACAAGGACAATATATTATTATTATTTTTTAAATTTTTTAAACTTTTAAGTTCAGGCGTACATGTGCAGGTTTGTTATATAAGTAAACTTGTTTCATGGGGGGTTGTTACACAGATTATTTCATCACCCAAGTATTAAGTCTAGTACCTATGAGGTATTTTTCCTGATCCTCTCCCTCCTCCCACCCTGTACCCTATGATAAGTCCCAGTGTGTGTTATTCCCCTCCATGTATGCATGTGTTCTCATCATTTAGCTTCTACTTATAAGTGAGAATATGTAGTGCTTAGTTTTCTGTTACTGTGTTAATTTGCTAAGGATAATGTCCTCCAGCTCCATTCATGTCCCTGGAAAGGATGTGATCTCATTTTTATTTTTTATGGCTGCATAGTATTCCATGGTATATATATATATATATATATATATATATATATATATATATATATATATATATATATGGCATATTTTCTTTATCCAGTCAATTGATAGGCATTTGGGTTGATTCATGTCTTTGCTATTGTACATAATGCTGCAATGAACATACATGTGCATATGTCTTTATAATAGAGCAATTTATATTTTTTGTAATGTATACCCCCAGTAATGGCATTTCTGGGTCAAATGGTATTTCTGTTTATATGTCTCTGAGGAAATGCCACACTCTCTTCCACAATGGCTAAACTAATTTATACTCCCACCAACAGCGTATAAGTAAGTGTTCTTTTTCTCCATTACGTTATCAGCATCTGTTATTTTTTGACTTTTTAACAATAGCCATTCTGACTGCTATGAGATGATATCTCATTGTGGTTTTGATTAGCATTTCTCTACTGATTAGTGATATTGAGCTTTTTGCCATATGATGGTTGACCACATGTATTTCTTCTTTCGAAAACTGTCTGTTCATGTCCTTTGCAAATGTTTTAACGAAGTTACTTGTTTTTTTCTTGTTCATTTGTTTAAGTTATTTATAGATGCTGCATATTAGATCTTCATTAGATGCATAGTTCCCAAAACTGTCTCCCATTCTGTAGGTTGTCTGCTCACTCTGTTAATAGTTTCCTTTGTTGTGCAGAAGTGCTTTAGATCCCATTTGTCAAGTTTTGCTTTTGTTGCAACTGTTTTTGGTGTCTTTGTCATAAAATCTTTGCCCATTCCTGTGTCCTAAATGGTATTGCCTAGGTCGTCTTCCAGGGTTTTTATTGTTTGGGGTTTTACATTTAAGTCTTTAATCCATCTTGTGTTGGCTTTTGAATATGGTGTAAGGAAGAAGTCCAGTTTCAGTCTTCTGCATATGGCTAGCTAGTTATCCCAGCACCATTTATTGAATAGGGAATCCTTTCCCCATTGCTTGTTTTTGGCAGATTTGCTAAGTATCAGATAGTTGTAGATGTGTGGCCTTATTTCTGGGATCTTCTATTCCGTTCCGTTGGTCTATATGACTGCTTTTGTACCTGTACAATGCTGTTTTGGTTACTGTAGTCTTGTAGTATAGTTTGAAGTCAGATAGCGTGACACATCCAGCTTTGTTCTTTTTGCTTAGTATTGCCTTGGCTATTTGGGCTCTTTTTGGTTCCATATGAGTTTTAAAATAGTGTTTTTCTAGTTTTGTGAAGAAATTTAATAATAGTTTCATAGAAATAGCATTAAATCTATAAATTGCTTTGGGCAGTATGCCATTTTAATGGTATTAATTCTACCTATTCATGAGCGTAGAATGTTTTTTCCATTTGTTTGTGTCATCTCTGATTTCTTTGAGCAGTGTTTTGTGGTTCTCCTCATAGAGATCTTTCTCTCTAGTTAACTGTATTCCTAGGTATTTTATTCTTTTTGTGGCAGTTGTGAATAGGATTACATTTCTGATTTGGTTTCGGCTTGACTTTTGTTGATGTATAGAAATGCTAGTGATTTTTGCACACTGATTTTGTATCCTGAGACTTTGCTGAAGTTGTTTATCAGCTTAAGAAGCTTTGGGGCTGAAACTATGGATCAGATATGGACAGATATAGGATTATGTCATCTGTAAACAGGGATAGTTTTACTTCCTCTCTTCCTATTTGGATGCCCTTTCTTTCTTTCTCTTGCCAAATTGCTCTGGCCAGAACTTCCAAGAATAGGATTGGTGAGAGAAGGCATTCGTGTTTTGTGCTGATGTTCAAGGGGAATGCTTCCAGCTTCAGGACAATACATTTTAGCCCTTTTTATTCATCAAGAATGTTTTCATATCAAGTCCCAGGGATGCAACTTGTGGGCAAAAAAAGGAAAGAGAATATGTGGGGAAGAGGGAGAGAAAGAGAGAGGAAAGGAAAGAGAAAGAAAGGAAGGAAGGAGAAAGGAAGATAGGAAGGAAGGGAAAAAAGAGGAAGGGAAGCAGAGAAAGGAAGAAGGGAAGGAAGGAGGGAAAGAAAGGAGGGCAGAAAGCAAGGAAGGAGGGAAAGGAGGAGGGAAGAAACCAAGGATGGAGAGAAGGAGAAGGGGAGGGATGGAGGGAAGAAGAAAAGAAGGAAAGAAGAAAGGAAACAAAGAAGGAATTGGTTTATGGGACCATCCCCAGATTTCCAGCATGGCTAGATACAGGTTCTAATGGAACATTGCCTTTGCATCCATCACTTTACCTTGCTATGTACCTTCTGGGTCGAGTTTGTTCCTACAGTCTCATTTAAGCTTCAAACTTGTATGATTTTTACAATTACCAATGTCAGTGGAAAGAAAATGCTTCCTTTTGAGAGTTTCAACAGTATTTCTAGCTCTGGGTCTCTCTGTCATGGGCTTTCTTCATGAGCCCATCCCTGAATCAATTACTGTGTCTGAATCAATCCTTGTGAATTATCTCTGAATTAATCACTGAGTACAATAATTTGGCAAGGGCGGACATGCTGAATTAGAAATTGTACAACATAATTAAAACTCCATAACATAATTTTCAAAAGAAATAAGATCCAATTGCATGCATATATCGTATTTTTACTGTCATTACTATCATTACCCAGTTATGTTGTTTTAAATTTTCAGTTACGTTGTTAACAAAATTGCATAGGAAGCATTTTTTTTTAAATGGTGTAGCTTTTCACTTAAGCCTGTATCCCTAAAAGCTAGAATGTTAATCAAAGAATAGAAACACTTTTGTCGGTCTTAATATTTATGGTTTGTGACCTATTCCTTTGTTCATTTATTACCAGTAAAGTTTTTCTCACTTGTAATGTTCTTTTAAAAATGTTAAACATTGTTCTGCGATATGTGTTGCACCGTATTTTCTCTATTTTGTCATTTGCTTTTCAATTTTGCTTATGGTGGTTTTCTTGTAAAAAATGTTAAAAATTTTACATAGTCAAATTTATTAGTTTTTTTCTTTAGTACTTGCCTCTTGTATTATGCTTAGAAAGGCCATTTTCATGAAAAGATATTCACAATAATTGATCTGTGTTTTTTCCCAATATGTTTATGGCTTCATTTAGTGTTTGCCTTTTTGATAATCTGGGATTCTTGTGAGAGAAAAGAACAATTATGCCAGCATAATTATCGTCATTCTTTCTCCGTCAATTCAAAATGTCAGCTTTAGTGCTTGTATGCACACATATGCACATGCATATGTACACACATGCATGCATACACACACACGTACAGTGGCTTCCCCATTCTCCTACTGCTTCTGAGGTTATCTTTAATTAGACATAGTGATGCAGCTGAATATTATATCCTTCCCAAACCAATGAAGTATTTGAAGGAAATGTTTTGCTTTCTTTTCCTCTTATATTTGCAATCTCCACGTTAAATATTCTGTAACTTTTGTCCATAACATTTTTGTTACTCAGTAATTTAATCATACAAATTGCTGTTTTGATTCCATAAATCTCAAAAAGGAAATAAATCTTCAGCAAAGTCCTTATATTTGCCACAGCTTTATTTTCATACATTTTTCTGTGTTCTGCATCTGCACTGTGGACTGTGACTTTTAGAAATGTAAAAAGTCTTGTCACGTGTAATACTTATTTTTCTTACTGATAGAGTTACTTTGAGTTTTGCATGTTCACCATTCCTTCATGTTTAACTAATTTCTGCAGTTGACTTTACCTTTTTTTGTTTTAAAAGCTTCGTTGTGATATAATTAACAGGCATTAACTGTCACATATATAAAGGTGATAATTTTTTAAATCTTACCACATGTATACACTTATGAAACCATCAGCACAACCAAGATAAAGACCTTTTAATCACCCCTGCCAAATTTTAAATGTTTTGAAAACAACATGAATGAATATATATATGTGTATATATATGTGAATATATGTGTATATATATGTGAATATATATGTGTATATATATGTGAATATATATGTGTATATATATGTGAATATATATATGTATATTTTCTTCTCAGTCTGGAAGAGTTTTGGTTTCTGAGAGTCTTTGACACTTGTTAAAGAAGTTTAACCCATTCACTTTTTTCTCATAACAATATAACATATTTTACATTGCATTTCCATCTGTATGCTTTTATCTCCATTTTTAATTTTTGTAGGTACATGGTAGGTATATATATTTGTGAGGTATATGAAATATTTTGATATAGGCATACAGTATGTAATAATCATATCAGGGTAAATGGAATATCCATCACCTCAAACATTTATCCTTACTTTGTGTTACAAACAATCCAGTTAAACTTTTAGTTATTTTAAAATGTACAATAAATTATTGTTGACTGTCGTCATGCTGCTTTGCTATCAGATACTAGATTTTATTCATTCTATCATTATATTCCTGTACCAATTAATCATTCCAACTCCTCTCCCCACCATTACCCTTCCCAGCCTTTGGTAACCATCATTCTACTCTGTATCTCCATGAGTTCAGTTGTTTTAATTTTTGGCTTTCACAAATAAGTGAGAACATGCAAAATTTGTCTTTCTGTGCCTGGCTTATTTCACTTAGTAACTTACAGTTCCATCTATGTTGTAAATGACAGGATCTCATTCTTTTTAATGGCTGAATAGTACTCCATTGTATATATGTGCCATGTTTACTATGAAGCTGCTAAAGGAAAACATTAGGAAAACCCATAGGATGTTAGACTGCACAAAGATTTCTTGAGTGACACACCACAAGCACAGGTACATACCTACTAGAGGGATTGCTGGATAATATGGTAGTTCTATTTTTAAGTTTTGAGGAACTTCCAAACTGATCTCCATAGTGGTTGTACTGATTTACATTCCCATGAACATTGTACAAGAGTTCCCTTTTCTCCACATCCCACAAGCATTTGCTATTGGCTATCTTTTGGATAAAAACCATCTTAACTGGGGCAAGATGATATTTTATTGTAGTTTTGATTTGCATTTATCTGACAATCCATGATGTTAAGCACCTTTTCATATACCTGTTTGCAATTTGGATTTCTTCTTTTGATAAATGTCTGTTAAGATCTTTTGCCCATCTTTTAATCAGATTATTAGATTTTTTTTTTACAGAGTTATTTCAGCTCCTTCTATATTCTGGTTATTAATCCCTTGACAGAAGGATTGTTTGCAAATATGTTCTCCCATTCTGTGGGTCATCTCTTCACTTTGTTGATTGTTCCCTTTGCTGTACAGAAGCTTTTTAACTTAATGTGATCCCATTTGTCCATTTTTGCTTTGGTTTCCTGTGCTTATGGGGCATTACTTAAGAAATCTTTGCCCAGTCCAGTGTCCAAGGGAGTTTTCCCAAAGTTTTCCTTTAGTAGATTTATATTTTGAGATCTTAAAGGCTTTAATCTATTTTGATTTGATTTTTGTATATGGTGAGAGATAAAGATTTAGTTTTATTCTCTGGCATATTAATATCCAATTTTCCCAGCACCATTGACTAAAGAGACTGTCCTTTCCCCAATGTGTGTTTTGGCACCTTTGTCAAAAATGAATTCACCGTAGATGTATAGATTTATTTCTAGGTCCTGTATTCTGTTCCACTGATCTATGTTTCTGTTTTTATGCCAGTACCATGCTGTTTTGGTTAGTATAACTCTATAGTATAATTTGAAGTCAGGTAATATGATGCTTCCAGTTTTGTTCTTTTTGCTCAGGATAACTGTGACTATTCTGGATCTCTTATGGTTCCACATAAAATTTTAGGGTTGCCCTTTCTATTTCTTTGAAGAATGTCATTGATATTTTATTAGGAATTTCATTGAATCTGTAGATTGCTTTGGGAAGTATAGACATTTTAATAATATTGATTCACCTAAATTTTTAAAAATGTTAAAAAGAATAGACAGAAGTTTATCTTTAGGGTCCCTACTTTAGATTGTCAACTCCCTTAATATGATTCCAAATCTCCTTAATTGTAAAGATTTTTAATTAATAATTGGTCATATTGTTCTCAAGAACCGATTGAGGAACAGTGTAACATACTTTGCTTATGTTTGAATATATTATATATCCACCTTTCCTTAGTATGTAAGACTAAAAGGTTTCAAAAGGAAAATGATGGTAGTCTGGATATTATTGGTGAATTCATGCTGGTTTCTAGTGATCACATTTTTACTTACCTCCCAAACATCTCCTTAGAAATTAACTGTAGCTTTTGACCCTGATCGACATTAGGCTCACCCTTCTGGAGTGTTCACAATTAATTTATCTTCTTTTAGGAAAATATACCCAATTGCTTATATTAAATTTTACATGAAAAAAAGGAACTTTAATTATGATCTGTAAAATGTAAATAATATCAGCCTCATATATTTTAGATATTCTTTGAAAGCTGGATTTTGGAACATGAAAGCTGAAATACAATTATGTCTTCAGCACATATTGTATATTGTAGAAATATATCCAAGTTCAACAAAGATTTTAAGCTAAATCTACAATTTTTAATATTTTGTGGATGTAGACTTACTTCATTTTATCAGAATTTTGTGTTAGTAATTTTTGCTTTTTATAATCTAGAATTGCTTAATTTTAATGACAAAATTTGAAGTGTGATTAATAGCGCTCATGGAAAATTGTTTGAAGGATGTACTTTCTATTTTTTTTCAATTTTCAAATATATCTTTTTTAGTCTATGGCACCATTAGGATGCTATGTACTTGAAAATTATAGGCTTTCAATAGCGCTTACATTGCATTGTGCTCTTACATTATGGATATTATAAAGAAAAGACTTACATGATTGTTTATCACACTTATTGTTGCAATTTGGTAATAATATTGTCCCTTACCAATGCATTCTCCCTCAATTCACACCAACAGGAAAATATGAGCTTTGTTGGGAAATGTTTCTTTTGTAAAGTCTTACAAACACTGCAGAATCTTATAGCTAGTCTTGAATATTTATTAACAATATACATGGCTTTATGTCACAAACTTTGTGCGGAAAATGATGCTTTAATTGATCTAAATTGTTTATTTTCATTTTCTTTTTTTTTTTTTTTTGAGACAAAGTCTCACTCCATCGCCCAGGCTGGAGTGCAGTGGTGCAATCTCGGCTCACTGCAACCTCCGCCTCCCAGGTTCAAGCAATTCTCCTGCCTCAGCCTCCCGAGTAGCTGGGACTACAGACGCATGCCACCACGCTCAGCTAATATTCATATTTTTTAATAGAGACAGGGTTTCCTTATGTTGGCCAGGCTGGTCTCAAACTC
Source organism: Homo sapiens (assembly GCF_000001405.40). Taxonomy (NCBI): domain Eukaryota; kingdom Metazoa; phylum Chordata; class Mammalia; order Primates; family Hominidae; genus Homo; species Homo sapiens. Next base: position 11,877,298 of record NC_000007.14, on the reverse strand, counting down.
CTGACCCTGTGATCCACCTGCCTTGGCCTCCCAAAGTGCAGGGTTTACAGGCGTGAGCCACCACACCCGGTTATTCTCATTTTTATTTTGACTCAATTTCTGTAATCATTCCTTTTTTAAATCCTATTTTACTTAGTCGATCTACCTCAAATTATTGAAGTAGAGAAGAAATGGATGGATAGATAAATAGATACATACATAGAATTATTTTTGTTAGCTTCTAAGACCACTTAGTAAAGTCTCCATGTATACAGAAAAAGCCAAGTGAAGATACAAGCACCTACATACAGGTCCATAGCTTGGAAAGGGGAAATAAAATGAAAGGACAAAGAAAGAAGCTCTAGGATTTAGGCATCAAGTTGAAGGTCTGTATAATGGGCATATCTTGAATAAAATGTAAAAACCAATTACCACAGCTTTGTAGCATATTCATGTATTGACATGGTGTCAGTACAAGAATTGTGAAATTGTATTTGATGTAGCCATTTATTTTATTTTATTTCCATAGGCATGCCACTCTCAAATAAGGAGATGACTAAGTGGAATTAATAGCAGGTAGAATTTCCAATACGCCTCAAATCTGATTCTTTAACACTTCTCTGTTTCTGTTTTAATAATGATAGCTATCAGACTGTTTTGTTACTCAAGAGCTTCCCGATTTGTTTGTTTGTTAACATTTCAAATGCCCTGCTCAAGGTAAACCTGCTAAATAAGCTAAACCTGAACACCATCTGGGTCTTAGATATGGATCCTCAATCAAATGACTGTCACTTAATTATTGTACTGCTTGAACAAATTAGTGTCTCGAAAGGAATATGTGAAAATGACACAGTTTCCTTTAACTGTTTTATTTTCTCTTTTCTGTTATTTCTCAGTTTTAATTGTTGGATGTTACAAAGATGCATTTTGACAGATTATACTCTCACTACATTAAGTTTATTGTATTTTTGTAAAGACACATTTGGAAATAATGGAACTAAGTCTCCTAATTATGGAAAAAAATAGATTTTTAAAATATCAATTAATTTTAACTATTTTTGTAAAGCTTCATATCATATTAGCTGCTTGGAAATAAAGATAGTGATCAGTTCTTTGGGCAGTTTGGTTTTACTGTAACAAGTCTTTCTCCCTCACATTGTGGAAGACACTAAACCCTCTAGTGTATGCTAACGTGTGTTTTGTTAGCCCTGGATGCCCGCAAGAGTCATTATATTCAGTAACTGAAGTCTCACACACCCTTGCTCCTATTTACCTCACATGTACCACAGATGGAGTAAATGGGCCTGCAATTCCTTGGGGTTTTAAAAAATTCACTGTTGTAGTTTAGAAATTGTGGCTGCACCATTGACTTTCTCCTATAACAGCCTGGTTCAGTGTGGCATCCTAGATGTAAAGCCTGAATAGATTAAACTCATAGCTTTGCTTAAAATCTCTTTATGGACTGTTAATCACCAAAGCAGAGAATATAATGGATTGCAAATATTTACTAGGCTTGCACTTCTATATACAGCTGTGCCTAGATAATTTAATCAAGGTTTGCAAGGCAATTTATCCCGAAGAGATTGGGAATTCTGAATTTAAATAAGGAAAAATAAAACAGAAAAGTATTTTGCATTACAGTGGTTTTGATTCTTGGCCATTAAATAAAAGGGTTTCCATTTATGACATAACAGGTGAAAACAATAAAAACAGACTTAATGTTATCCATTAACCACATACAATTGCATGCTTAGATTTAAAGAAAAAGTACATGTCTACATAAATGTGCATGGAAACTTTTTCCATGTGAAAGCAGAAAATTGACAATTCTATTCCGAGGAAAGAAAAGTAGAATAAAATGAATACAAATCTTATGGAAATTAATGTCATAGTTTCGTTGATGATATTTTACTTGGCTGATGAACGAAGTATTCATTTCAAATGCACATAACATGTACCATATTAAACTAATAAAAACTAGTCTCACAGATAAGCTCCTTCTTCCCAAATGTATATTGTTTTATTTAATATTTTTAAATGGCCTGATGAGAATCTTTATAAGAAGATATTTAGGCAACTGATATTGCGCTGATTTGTATTTTAACAAGTTTGCTTCTTTATTCAGTCATTATCTGTTTTGAAAACACATAGCCTCAAACACAAACTAGCTGTGAAAGTGAATCCTGCAGGAAAACCCTGATCAGGAAACAAAAGGCACTAACAATAAGTCACATGTAAAAACATTTACTGGTGGTGATGATTAAAATTAGTTCTGTAGGGAGAAGATTATTTTCATGAAAACTCATTAAGATAAAATCAGTGTTTGGAAAACAGTTGTTAGAATAAACTCTAATCCCTTTACAAAGGCAAAGAAACTTTGTACTTGGAAAGAAAAAAATCCATGTGACTTTTATGATGAAAAGCTAAATGGTTGGAAACTAGACAGTGTCAATGTAAGTTCAAATATTAAGGGAAAATAAATTTAAAAGCATACAAACTGCTATAGCAGCCTTATGAGACATAGGCTAAATATTTAATGACTATTTCTCTATCTGTAGAGGGACCTAGGCACCAAGTCAAAGGTCCATATAATGGGCATATCTTGAATAAAATGTAAAAACCAATTACCATGACTTTGTAGCACATACAGCAATAAATGTGCCAAATCGATAAGAAAAATTCAGGTTAATTTGAGCTAATTATCTGTTCTTACATTCTAGCCATTTATTTAAAGTATACTGCAGAGGAATAGAGGCATAATAGCTATTTTACAAAGGTTCTTCACATGGAAAGGAAAAAGAGACTGTGTAATTTTGGCCCAGGGACACTCTGTTAAGGCTGTAAGCAATGAGATAATCATGGGAGCAGTGAAGCTTTTATGTCACTTATTTCATGTGCCAGCGTGTGGTGTAGTAAACCCATGGGATCACTGGTGTTGCCTACAAAATGAAGCCCCCAGGACATTTTTGGGGACGGTTGGGAAACTATACGAGGGGCTATTGGATGCTTCGTTAATATTCCTATACATTCATACCAAGCTTAATTTTATCACCTATAAATTTACTTGCCCTACCTACCTACCTAAATTGCAGTAGTACATGCAAGTAAATTATATGCACTACTGTTTAGAATAAACATGGAATTAAAAAATAAATAGATATAAACTCAAAGCAGTTTAAAACCAGAATTTATTTTAAAGGTTAGTCTATGAAAAAAATGAGTAAAGCCTCAAAATGTGAACAAACAAATAAACACTTGGGGAAGGGTAGAATATTTTCAAATACTGTATGATGTGAGTGAAACCATTTTTAGATTGTATAAATTTATTTCCATGACCTTGTAAAGCAATCTTTATTCTAACATGATATTACTGTTTCAACCATGAATCCTAAATTCTTTTGGAGAATCACAATTGCACATATTATCTTGCATTTGTCTGTGTTTTCATTAGAGTCCTCAGATCGTGTGTCCAATTATTCAGCTGGGAATGTATGTTAGCATAGATATTGGTAAGGAAACTAAACTTATATTTTTGTTTGCCCTCTGATCATTGCTTTAATTCCAAAGTTTTAATGCCGATCTGACTTATCCATATATATTTAAATAGGGTAAAGACTATTTAAGATGGGTATTTGGAACATTGTAACTTTTTTGTTAGCAGTTTTAACTGCACTTAACATTGCCTCTGCTAAATTAATATTAAACTTTTTAAATAGGAATAAGTGGGAAAAACTACATTTTAACACCGAAATAATTAAGAACCGTGTCAAATCTTTCCTTCTTCTATTTAAGCTCATGAGAACTTTGTGTGTGTCTGTGTGAGTGTGTGTGTGTGTGTGTGTGTGTAGTCTATTGATTGCCTTTGAATTAAATCCTGTGTTAGTTTGTAATGCTGAGTAGACTGTTAAAAAAGGAACTAAAATAATCTTGACTAAGTATAGTCAGGGGTACAATCATTGGTATTCAGTTACACTGCATTTTTATTCTCAAGAATAAGAAAAAGGACAAAATCTTAAAGAGCATTAGATAATATGAACATTACCTTTCAACTATCAGTGACTGTAGGGAGTATTGCTAGATAGAATATAGATAAAAATACCACTGACTTGCATTCCTGTGAGCTTTTCTGAGGATTAATGGGAAGTCATATTGATGAGGCATTGGAAAATAAACATATCAAATAAAGACAATGAAAGACAGTTGGCTTTCTTGCTGGACTGCACAACTGGTAGCTAGGATTCTTTTTCAATGAGTAAATGAGAGAAAAAAAGAAAAATCTTTACCTATAAAAAAAAAGATGGCCAGCCACAGTGACTCATGCCTGTAATCCCAGCACTTTGGGAGGCCAAGGCCGGTAGATCACCTGAGGTCAGGAGTTTGAGACCAGCCTGGCCAACATAGGTGAAACCCCATCTCTACTAAAAATACAAAAATTAGCTGGGCATGGTGGCGGGCACCTGTAATCTCAGCTACTCAGGAGGCTGAGGCAGAAGAATTGTTGGAACCCGGGAGGCAGAGGTTGCAGTGAGCCGAGATTGCACCATTGCACTCCAGCCCCAGCAACAACAGTGAGACTTTGTACAAAAAAAAAAAAAAAAAAAAAAAAAAAAAGATATGTCAGGTTTGAAGGGAACCACCCTAAAAGGGTAGGATGGTTAGGATAATGTTCTAGAGGCTAAAGAGGAATGACTTTTTGTTGGATCCAGGCTCAACAAACAAAACCAAAACCACTGGAGTGTCTTTTCTGGTATAATTTATGATATTTGGGTATGGATTGGTGATATGGTTTGGCCATGTCCCCACACAAATCTTATCTTGAATTGTAGCTCCCATAAGCCGCACATTTTGTGGCAGGGACCTGATGGGAGGTAATTGAGTCATAAAGGCGGTTTTTCCCATGCTGTTCTAGTGATAGTGAATAAGTCTTACAAGATCTGGTGGTTTTATAAAGGGGAGTTCCCCTGCACACACTGTCTTGCGTGCCATCATGTAAGATGTCTTTTGCTCTTCCTTCACCTTCTGCCATGATTGCAAGGCCTTCCCAGCCATGCGGAAATGTGAGTCCATTAAACCTTTTTCCTCTACAAATTACCCAGTCTCAAGTATGCCTTTATTAGCAGCATGAAAATAAAGTAATACAATTGAGTAATTAGATTATATCAGAGAATTATTATTTCCTAAAATGTGAAATGTTATCCGTAGAAGAATATCTTTATTTGTGGGTGTTGAATGCTTTAAGTATTCAGGGATGAAGTGCCTGCACCTTACTGTAAAATAATCCAACAAGAATAAAAAAAACAAATATATATATTGAGAGAAATGAGCAGACATGGTAAAATGTTAAAAATTATTGAATTGATTCTAGGTGGTGATTATATAAATGATCATTGTAATTTGTTCAACTTTTCTGTGTAATTAAAGTTTTTATGATAAAAAATGGAATGAAATCTATAGACTTTGCAGAGGGGCACAGAAGCCAACTGAAAGTGGTCTCAATGGCCAAAGCTAGAAAAATTTGAGAAGCAAAATAAAGAAAGTAATATTGATTATAATCCAAAGTATAAAATAAATATCATGAAGTTATTTGTATTTACATTGATATAAATAAATGTTTGGATAATTGAATAACTAGGGGGGTACAAATAATCCATTCAGAAGAATTACAAATATTGTATGCAGATAGTCTGCCCCCAAGGAGGGAGGCATAACTCCCCACTTTTTAGGTAGGAGCCGTACATAGTGACCTCCTTCCAAAGGGTATAGTATGCAAGGGGGAAAAATAAAGAGCAAGTTTTCCAAGGAACCTGATAAACACTGCTTTAGACAGGTGACCAAGGTCAAATCAACAATTATAAATCATGTTGATGACATGTACCCTTGATATTATGTAGTAAAAATGGCCCTTGACCTCTGTGGTCTTCCTGCCAAGAAATCATAACCACACTGTTATCATGAGAGAAACATCAGACAAGTTCCTGTGGTGGGGCAGCCTAAAAAATACCTGAACAGCAATCCTCAAAACTGTGAAGACCATCAAAAACAAAAACTGAGAAACTGCCACAGCCAAGAGAAGTATAAGGAGATATGAACCCAAAATGTAAATGTGGTATGCCAAATAGAGAAAAACCACACTGGACCAGAAGAAGTACATTAGGGAAAAACTAAGGAAATCTGAAAAAATTAGGAACTTTCATTAATAATATATTAATATTGGTTCATTAATTATAACATATGTACCATACTGTATTAGTCTTTTCTCACACTACTATAAAGAACTACCTGAGACTGGGTAATTTAGGAAGAAAAGAGGTTTAACTGACTCACAGTTCTGCAGGCTTAAAAGGAAGCACGACTGGGAGGCCTCAGAAAACTGACAATCATAGTGAAAGCTGAAGGAGAAGCAAAGACCTTCTTCACATGGTGGTAGGAGAGAAAGAGAGCAAGGAAGAAGTGCCACACACTTCTAAACCATCAGCTCTCATGAGAACAGCATAGGGGAAATCAGTCCCATAATCCAGTCACCTCCCATGAGGCCTCTCCTTTAACACACGGGGATTACAATTCGACATGAGATTTGCCTGGGGCCACAAATCCAAATCATATCATTCTGCCCCTGACCCCTCCCAAATCTCACGTCCTTCTCACATTTTACAACACAATCATGCCTTCCTAGCAGTCCCTCAAAGTTTTAATTCATTCCAGCATTAACACAAATGTCCAAGCCCAAAGTCTCATCTGAGACAAGGCTATTCCCTTCCACCTATAAACCTGTGAAATCAAAAACAAGTTAGTTACTTCAAAGATGCAATGGGGGTACAGGCTTTGGTAAATACTCCCATTCCAAAAGGGAGAAATTGGCCAAAACAAATGGGCTACAGGTCCTATGGAAGTACAAAAGCCAGCAGGGAAGTCATTAAAACTTAAAGCTCAAAAATAACCTTCTTTAATTCCATGTGTCACATCCGGGGCTTGCTGATGCAAGGACTGGGCTTCCAGGGCCGTGGGCAGCTCTGCCTTTGTGACTCTCCAGGGTACAGCCCACACAGCTGGTTTTGTAAGTTGGCATTGAGTTCCTGTGGTTTCTCCAGATGCATAGTGCAAGCTGTCAAAGGATCTACCATTCTGGGGTCTGGAGGATGGTGGCCCTCTTCTCACAGTTCCACTAGGAAGTGCCCCAGTGGGGACTCTGTGTAGGGATCCAACCACACATTCCCTTTCTTACGGGCCTAGTTGATGTTCTCCCTGAGGGCTCTGGCCCTGCAGCAGACTTCTGCCTGGAAATCCAGGCATTTTCGTACGTCCTCTGAAATCTGGGCAGAAGTTATCAAACTTCAGCTATTGCCTTCTACACACAAGCAGACCCAACACCACATGGAAGCTGCCAAGGTAATATGGTTTGGCTCTGTGTCCTCACCCAAATCTCATCTTGAATTGTACTGCCATAATTCCCACAGGTTTTGGGAGGGACCCAGTGGGAGATAATTGAATCATGGAGGCTGGTCTTTCCTGAGCTGTTCTTGTGGTAGTGAATAAGTCTCAGGAGATCTGATGGTTCTACAAGGGGAAGTTTCCCTGCACAAACTCTCTTTTTGCCTGCCACCATCCTGGTAAAATGTGACTTGTTCCTCCTTGCCTCCTGACATGATTGTGAGGCCTCCCCAGCCACATGGAACTGTAGTCCATTAAACCTCTTTCTTTTGTAAATTGTCCAATGTAGGGTATGTCTTTTTCAGCAGCATGAAAATGGACAAATTCACAGGCTTGGGGATGCACCCCCTAAAGCAAAAACTGGAGCTGTACCTTGTTCTATCTTAGCCATGGCTGGAGCTGAGGCAGCTGGGATGCAAGGCACCATGTCCTGAGGCTGCACAGAGCAGCAGCCCCCTGGGCCTGGCCCAGGAAACCATTTTTCCCTGTTAGACCTCTGGGCTTGTGATGGGAGGGACTGCTGTGAATGTCTCTGAAATGCCCTGGAGACACTTTCCCCATTGCCTTGGCTGTTGACATTTGGCTCCTCTTTATTTACCCACATTTCTGCAGCAGGCTTGAATTTTTCCCCAGAAAACGGGTTCTTCTTTTCTACCAGATGACCAGACTACAAATTTTCCAAACTTTTATTCTCTGCTTTCCTTTTAAATATAAGTTCCAGTTTCAGACCACCTCTTTGTTTTTACATGTGAGCGTAAACTTTTAGAAACAGGTCACATCTTGAATGCTTTGCTGCTAAGAAATTTTTCCCACCAGATACCCTATATCATCTCTCTCAACTTCAAAGTTCCACAGATCCCTAGAGGGGGGAAATGCTGCCAGTTTCTTTGCTAAAAGCATAGCAAGAGTAACCTTTACTCCAGATCCTCATCTCTGAGACCACCTCAGCTTGGACTTCATTGTCTAGATCACTAATCAGCATTTTGGTCAAAGCCATTCAACAAGTCTCTAGGAAGTTCCAAACTTTCCCACATCTTTCTATCTTCTGGGCCCCCAAAATCTCTCAGAAGTTTCAAACTCTTCCACATTTTACTCTCTTCTTCTGAGTCCTCTGAACTCTTCCAGGCTCTGCTTATTACCCACTTTCAAGTAACTTCCACATTTTTGGGTATCTTTATAGCAGTACCCCACTTCTGGTACCAATTTTCTGTATTAGTCCATTCTCACACTGCTATAAAGAGCTACCTGGGACTAAATAATTTATGAAGGAAAGAATTTTAATGGACTCACAGTTCTGCTGGCTTAACAGGAAGCATGACTGGAAAGCCTCTGGAAAATTACAATCATGGCAGAAGGCAAAAGGGAAGAAAGGACCTTCTTCATATGGTGGCAGGAGAGAGAGACAGAGCAAGCAAGGAAGTGCCACATACTTTGAAACCATTAGGTCTCATGAGAACTCATTCACTACCATGAGGACAACATGGGGGAAATTTGCCCCCATGATTCAATCACCTCCCACCAGTCCCCTCCTTTAACATGTGGGTATTACAATTTCACATGAGATTTGGCTAGGACCACAAATCCAAACCATATCACATGCTAATGTAAGATGTTAATATTAGGGAAAAATGGGTGTGGAATATATAAGAATGCTCTGTATTTTCTACTCAGTTTTTCTGCAAATCTAAAAACTGTTCTAGAAAATATAGTCTAAAAATGTACAGACATTAAACCAGTGGTTCATTTGTAGGAATTTACCTTAAATTTACATGAATGTACATAGAAATGTTGATTTCAAAAGACTGGATACAAAATAAATAACTAAAATAAGATAGTAATTTAATAGATTATAGTGCAATTTTATTGTGCAGTAATCAAAAAGTAAGTTATAGGTTAATATTAAAACAAAATAGAAGTACATGAGCTATTGTAGTGGGGAAAAAGGATTACCACATTTGTATAGTATAATTCCAATTATCATACAAGATATCATTTTTTTAAATGATGGCTTGACAAAGAACACACTTTTTTTTTTTTTTTTTTTTTTGAAATGGAGTCTCACTCTGTCATCCAGGCTGGAGTAGAGTGGCATGACCTTGGCTCATTGCAACCTCTGCCTCCCGGGTTCAAGCAATTCTCATGCCTCAGCCTCCTGAGTAGCTGGGATTACAGGTGTGCACCACCACACCTGTCTAATTTTATTGTATTTTTAGTAGAGACAGGGTTTCACCATGTTGGCCAGGCTGGTCTTGAACTCCTGACATCAAGTGATCCACCTACCTTGGCCTCCCAATGTGCTGGGGATTACATACAGATGTGAGCCACTGTGCCTGGCCAGAAGTGATATTATTTTCTCCTGGTTTGTGCTCTCACATAATCTTGATCCTGGAGCATCAATTTGTATGTGGCTGGTATTACTTTTTTTTTTTTTTTTTTTAGATGGAGTCTCGCTTTGTTGCCAGGCTGGAGTGCTGTGGCATGATCTCAGCTCATTGCAAACTCCTCTTCCTGGGTTCAAGTGATTCTCCTGCCTCAGCCTCCCGAGTAGGTGGGACTACAGGCACCTGCCACCATGCCCAGCTAATTTTTGTATTTTTAGTAGAGACGGGGTTTCACCATGTTGGCCAGGATGTTCTCAATCTCTTGACCTCATGATCTGCCCACCTCAGCCTCCTAAAGTGCTGGGATTACAGACGTGAACCAGTGCGCCCGGCCTACATTTTCTTTATTTGATGTGGATGACTGGTGTATTAGTCCATTCTCATGCTGCTATGAAGAAATGTCTGAGACTTGGTAATTTATAAAGGAAATTGACTCACAGTTCTACATGGCTGGAGAGGCCTTGGGAAACTCACAATCATGGAGGAAGAGGACGCAGACATGTCCTTCTTCACATAGTGGTAGGAAAGAGAAGAAGTGCCAAGAAAAAGGTGGAAAAACTTCTTCCCAAACCATCAGATCTTGTGAGAACTCATTCACTATCATGAGAAAAGCATGAGGGTAACCACCCCATGATTCAATTACCTCCCACCGGGTCCCTCCCATGGCATGTGGGGATAATGAGAACTACTCTTTAAGATGAGATTTTGGTGGGTACACAGTCAAACCTTATCATTCTGCCCCTAGACCCTCCCACATCTCATGTCCTCACATTTCAAAACCAGCCATGCCCTTTCAGCAGTCCCCCAAAGTCTTAATTCATTCCAGTATTAACCCAGAAGTCTGAGTTCAAAGTCTTATCTGAGACAAACCAAGTCCTTTCTGCCTATGAACCTGTAATATCAAAAGCAAGTTAGTTACTTTCTACATACAATGGGGGTACAGGCATCAGGTAAATACACCTGTTCCAAATGGGAGAAATTGGCCAAAATAAAGGGACTACAGGCTCTATGCAAGTCTGAAATTTAATAGGATATTCACTAAACCTTACAATTTCAAAATGATCTCCTTTGACTCCATTTCTCATATCCAAGTCAAGCGGATGCAGGAGGTGGCCTCCCATGGCCTTGGAAAGCTCTGCCTCTGTGGCTTTGCAGGGTATAGCCCCCTGTCACCACTACTTTCATGGTTGGTGCTGGCATTGAGTGTCTGTGGCTTTTCCAGGTGCATGGTGCAAGCTGTTGGTGGATCTACCATTCTGTGGTCTGGAGGATGGTGGCCTTCTTCTCACAGCTCCACTAGGCAGTGCCCCAGTGGGGACTCTGTGTGGGGGCTCTGACCCTACGTTTTCCTTCTGCATTGCCCTAGCAGAGGCCATGAGGTCTCCACCCCTGCAACAAACATCTTCCCGGGCATTCAGGTGTTTCCATACATCTTCTGAATTCTAGGCAAACGTTCCCAACCCTCAATTCTTATCTTCTGTGTACCCATGCCAACACCACATGGAAGCTCCAAGGCTGGGGCTTGCACCTTCTGAAGCAACAGCCTGAGCTGTACCTTTGTGACATGACTCCTTTGTGACATGACTGGCATGGCTGGGACACAGTCTTGAGGCTGCACACAGCAGGGGTGTCTTGGACCACATCTAGGAAGTCATTTTTCCCTCCTAGGCCTCCGGGCCTGTGATGGGAGGAACTGCCTTGAAGGTCTCTGACACACCTTGGAGACATTTTCCCCATTGTCTTGGTGATAAACATTTTGCTACTTGTTATTTATGCAAATTTCTACAGCCAGCTTGAGTTTCTCCCCAGAAAATGGGATTTTCTTTTCTATCACATTGGTAGGCTACAAATCAAATTTTCCAAACTTTTATGCTCTGCTTCCTTTTGAACACTTTGCCACTTAGAAATTTCTTCTTCCAGGTACCCTAAATCATCTCTCTCAACTTCAAAGTTCCACAGATGTCTAGGGCAGGGGGAAAATGCTGCCAGTTTCTTTACTAAAGCATAGCAAGAGTGACCTTTACTCCAGTTCCTCATCTTTGTCTCAGACCGATTTGGCCTGGACTTTGTTGTTCATATCACTATTAGCATTTTCGTCAAAACCATTCAACAAGTCTTTAGGAAGTTCCAAAGTTTCCCACATCTTCCTGTATACTGAGCCCTCCAAATCTCTAGGAAATTCTAAACTTTCCCACATTTTCCTGTGTTCTTCTCAGTCCTCCAAAGTGTTCTATCCTCTGCCTGTTACCCAGTTCCAAAATCACTTCCACATTTTTGGGTATCCCTATAACAGTATCCCACTTGACCAGTATCAATTTATTGTGTTCTCACACTGCTATGAAGAAATACCTGAGACTGGGTAATTTATAAAGGAAAGAGGTTTAATTGACTCACAGTTCTGCAGGGCTAGGGAGGCCTCAGGAAACTTACAATCATGGTGGAAGGGGAAACAAACACATCCTTCTTCACATGGTGGCAGGAAGGAGAAGAAGTGCTGAGCAAAAGACAGAAAAGCCCTTAATAAAACCATCAGATCTGATGAGAACTCACTCACTATCATGCGAACAGCATGGAGGTAGCTGACCCCATGATTCAATGACTTCCCACTGGGTCCCTCCCACAATATTTGGGGATTATGGGGATTACAATTCAAGATGAGATTTGGATGGGGACACAGGCAAACCATATCAGCTGGCAAGAATGTTAACTTTTTTTGAAGTACATTGTTATATTTTGCAAAAATTTAAAAATAAATTTGGATTTTAATTGTGGTGTGTCATGATTTGTATTTCAAGTAATATTGTTTAAAATAATTGTGTTTCAATTTAATTTAAGCCACTTTTGATACACCAACAAGTACAATTCAGATTTCTATAATCAATCAACAATTCCAGATTTAGTAATTAGCATGTGTAGAGTCATTGAAAATCATTTTTGTTAATGATCTTCAAATTGCTGCTAAGTGTTCACTTTATTTGAAGGCTAACTCATCATTAAAGACCAATACAAATAAAATGTTTCTCTGTGCTGTCAGTAAAAATCCAAACTAATATTAAATATTTACAATAGTTTCTCTAATATTTTGAGTGTATTTTTAGATTATTTGAATCTAGAAAGATGTGTTTTCAGGTAATAGAGATAAATTATTTTGCTTTTCCTTAATTAATTTGTAACCAGAGGTATAAACTCTTTCAAATATATTTACACACACACGCACATAAAAATTAGCAATTACTCTCTACCTAAATGTCTAGTATAATAATGTTAAATTTTACCATATTTTTTAAAAACTTAAAAATATTCCACAGGTACACTTAAAAATGTTTATTTTCTAGCCCCCTGCATTCAGAAATATAAAAATAACTTGAGGTTGATGTGTATCATGCCTGCCCAATGTTTAATTATTTTTGTAAGTATGTATGTAACTTTACATACCATTAATCAAGTAAATACTTTTGTGGTTTTTTTATTTTTTATTTTTTTTTATTATTATTATACTTTAAGTTTTAGGGTACATGTGCACAATGTGCAGGTTAGTTACATATGTATACATGTGCCATGCTGGTGTGCTGCACCCATTAACTCGTCATTTAGCATTAGGTATATCTCCTAATGCTATCCCTCCCCCGTCCCCCCACCCCACAACAGTCCCCAGAGTGTGATGTTCCCCTTCCTGATGTAAGTTGAATAATTCTGTTTATTTGTGACTTCATCCGATATTATGTATTTGAGATGTAATCATGTTTGTCAACCTAGTTTAAATTAATTTAGGTATATTAATATGTAAATATAGCATCATATTTTTATCCCTACTCCTTTAGATGAACAGAAAATGCATGGTCTCATTTAATCTGGAAATATAATTAATACCGTTATTTTCTGAGGTAGTACTGAATGCATACTAGAGATAAGAAAACTGAGGCTTAAACCACTTAAGTAATTGGCCAACATTCCAGCTAGTGAGTGTTGAAGCGAAGATACTAACCATGTAGTGACACCAGATAACAAACACTTAATGACTAATTGCAATGTCTTTCTTTGCTGAGAGTTTAGTAAATGAGGTTTGATAATATTGAAGTAATGGGCATTGCTAGTTTATGGATTTCAGAGGAGTAAAGAGAGAGAGAATTGACAGATATAACAGAGCAGTATGAGGAAAGCAAAGTAGAAGGCAATCAAAAATAAATTACAAATGCCATAACAAACTGAATTCTTTTCCTTATCCACAGTGTTTATTTCCTGATTGTTGACTTGTCAGTTGAACACTCAACATGAATTTCTAAATTCAACTCACTTCAGCAAATACCCAGAGTACTTATTATGTGTCTCCTGGGAGCCGTGATACAGAATAATAAAAAGAACTCCCACTTTCTGAATTCACAGTTTAGCTGTGGAAACAGATAACTAAAATTAAACAGTTCAGAAGCTAGACAGAGCATGACCCATTTATATGGTGTTATGGGTCATATAACTCAGTCTAAAGATTAGGAAAGGACTCCGAAAGCTTCTAAAGAAGAAAAATTAATATGGATTGTATAGGATAAGTAGAGATAAGCTAGATTACAAAGGTGGTAAGGATGTTTCCAGAAAGAGAAGGTATCATCAGCAAAGACAAGCAGGTGGTCTGAGATTAAGCATAGCACTTGGAGGAACACAGTGTCTTAAGTGCAGGGTTATGAGTGAGTGGGAGAGGTGGGAAATGGTGCTCTTGCAGTCAATGAGGATAACATGTGGAAGGTTTTAGACACCCTATGAAAATGTTGAGATATTTTTCTGAACATAAAAGAGAACGATGAGACATGGTTTACCTGAGATCAGATGTTTGTCTTAAAAATATGGTTTTAGGCCGGGCGCGGTGGTTCACACCTGTAATCCCAGCACTTTGGGAGGCCAAGGCAAGCGGATCACGAAGTCAGGAAATCCAGACCATCCTGGCTAACAGGGTGAAACCCCGTCTCTACTAAAGATACAAAAAATTAGCCGGGCGTGGTGGCGGGTGCCTGTAGTCCCAGCTACTCAGGAGGCAGAGGCAGGAGAATGGCATGAACACGGGAGGCGGAGCTTCCAGTGAGCCGAGATCACAACACTGCACTCCAGCCTGGGCGACAGAGAGAGACTCCGTCTCAAAAAATAAATAAAATCAATCAATCAATGAATCAATAAAATGGATTTAATAGAAGCATGCACCACTATTGCAGAGAAGTGTTCTAAAGGCAAAAAGACCATTTCTGTGGTTAGTGGGCCCAAAGCCAAGTTAATGGAAGTTGACTTGGGTAAGAAAGGGCAAACGTTGAGAAATAGAGTATTGGGAGTTCCTATCCTAACTTACTGCACAGGGGAAATATAAACATAAACTTCTTGGAAATGCAATTGTTTCTAATTCCAGAGTCTTTCGTTTTAGTGTCTATACTGAGTACCAAAGATATATAGCCAGTTGCTCATTTATGTTATTCTCTCACATCTTATTTATACATGACCAAAATGGAATGTATATTCTTTCTCTCCAAACTGTTCTTTCTCCTGTATCACCTATCTTTGATGACATAGAGGGAAGTGAGTGTGATTGATATTCAGTAGTAGAAGTCATACCATTTTAAGAATAGATATCAAGTACCTGTAGTGTCTTATATACTGAATGAAACTTGGCTTTATTTAAATTGTTTTCATGTAGATATGATATTGACAGAAATATTAGTAGAAATGGAGATAAGAACGTTGAGGTGGGAGCAGATATACAATTTATTTCTCCTACCTAAAGGTTGGTATCTATAAATACTACAAACAATCATTAGTATAATGTAGACATTTACTGACTTGTCTTGATAATGACAAAAAGGTTTCTGTGAAAATGTGGCTTAGAGATAGATCTCAATGCAATAGTTTCTTTCTAAAATGATTTTTCAAAGCTCATTACCTAATTTAATAAAAGCTGTTCTGTAAAGATATATCAATAATTAAAAAACCTAGTTCTCATTTCAAACTTTAACTTTACATCGGACACATCAATAAAAATATATTTGACATGGACTAATGTGATTCTTTCTTTTCTTCCAAGGACTCTTTTTGTCTGTTCCTTATAAAATATATGTTACTAGTTAATTACTACTTAAGATTCTTTCTCTTTGGTGGGGAGAAAGCCTTTTATAATATATTCGTCTTTTGCTAATAAACCTATTTCATAGTTTAAAATATGAAAGTATACTTTAAAAGTGAAAGGGAACCATGGATAGGATAAATGGTGTGAGGGTTAAAATGGACGATGGAGGGATGTTTTTATTAGATTAGAAATATTATATCTTACAACTGAAAATGCAAATTATGCTGTGCCATAATGTTCCTTTCAAGCACATAAGATAAAATTTGCATATCTAAATTGGATCAGACTGAATAGGTTTCCCTGGTCTCTCTTCCCTGAACAGCAATCAGCCTCAAAAAGACTGTAGGCAATCCCAATAGTGAGTTTTTAAAGCCCATATTCAAGAATCTTCATGTATGTGTGAGTATATGTGTGTAGGTTTACATATATGCATGTATAGATACATAGGCATAAACTTACTTATATCTGATTTAATTCCTTAGAGACTGATAAAATTTTCTATGTTCTTTTCATAATTATTTTCCATACACGTTTTTCATTTTCCTAGATCTTTCAAAATATTCTTTCTATCTAGTGTCCACATTGCTGGTTGATTTTTCAGAGTGTCATAAACATTTGAAACTTTGAGTTTCAAATTATCTTTATGTATTAGTGAGATACGCTCTCTCTTTCATTCACCTTTAAGAAAATATCTGAAATATTTAATAAGGAAGAATAAATTATATTTTACTCAGATACCTGTTATTCAAAAGTATCCTACATATTATTTTTTAAGTTCAAATTTTTATTCAAAATATTTATAATTTTAGTCTCTTTATTCATGCAATTAAAATATGCAAATAATCCACAATGGAATGTACTTAAATTTTTACATATGTACTTAAAATTTACATATATAGTTGGTTTATTTAAATTATTTTCAATGAAATAAAAATTATAGTTTCAAGAACTTGAATCTTGTTATGATTGATTACCTTTAAATTTCTGAAAATTTAGATAAATGGATATAATATGGAAGGTTTTAGATGTATTGGATAATCACATTATTATCACATTATTATCTGCGCTTAAATAAGCGTTCCAAATCAAACCACCTGACTCTAGATGCTTTTAATAAAAATCAGCACTAGATAATTGTGAGAATAAAAATAAGTCCAAGGTTTTAATAAGCCAATAGTAGTCTCATGCCATTGAGTATTTTAAAAAAATGGAAATGTTTCTATTTTCTTATAAAAGATGTGCATCTATTATATTTATATACGGAAGACTATATGTTTCATTCAAATATCATAGAATTATTCCTATGATGTTCATGCCTGATTATTCATAGATAAAGCGTCCAGTTGGTAGAAAATCCATTTAGTAAATTTCTCATTTTTATTTCAATTTGTCTTTTGTCAAATTTATTATTTATAATTTTATTGGTATTTTTATTTAAAATATCACTGATTAAGAGTGGATAGGGTATAAATATATTTCATTTTAAATAGTCTTGTTTTAATATACAAAGGGTAAGTTAATAAAAATTATTCCTTAAAATAATGTTTTGGTTTCCAGTAAAGCAATAATTTTATAATTTTAAAAAATCTTTCAGAAAATAAAAACATGAAATGCAAGAATAGAGTAACAGAACTATTGTTCTTGTTTAGGACGTAATTGAAACTGGACAAAACTGAATATTTTATTTCTCAATTGCCCTCACCAATGTTTTTGTACCATAGCTTCTGTCATTTTTGGTTTTGCAGTAGTTCCCACTACTACCTATGTATCCTCAAGTCTCCTAGCTTTAGTTTCTACTTATACCTCTCTTCCATGTAATGAAAGGACTTTATAGGAGTCTTTGTATAAACAAATGGGTCAATACTTGAAGATATTAATCCTTTAAAAGGAAAATATTCTAGACAAATGGAACTTTAACATCATATTTTATAGTTTTATATTCCACCTAAGGGCAATAATAATCTTGGCCGGGACATATTTGTTGTATATTATTAATAACAAAGATATATAATTTATATAGATAGATTAGTTTTTAGATAGATACATATTCATATTTATATATTGCCTAATTATATAGCATATACTACTTAATTTTATATAAAATAAGCATATGTGATTTTAAAGATACATATGTATTTATATGTTTTCACATTTGTAAGTATATTGATATACATTAAGTTGTTTCAGATTATTTAATTCACATATTAACTTTTAACTGGACTGTAGCTTTTTGGGCACATGGAGTTCTCAAATTTTTCCACTTTCTTCAGCTCAGTTCTAAGTAATAAACGAATGGTCAATACTGCTGATTCATTGATTTTTTTGAAGAACTATGTAGGAACAAAATGAAATTGACAAAATTTAAAATCTTATGAAATCAACTCTTGCTGGAGTAAAATTTTGTAAATAATTTGGAAAATAATTTGGCAATATCTGATAAAGATGTGCATGCTCATGACTACCTAGTAGTACCATATAGAAGTATTTAATAGAGAGAAATTATTGCATGTGTGCACAGGAAGTGTTTACAAAGATGTTAAAGTCAGGGTTGTTTTTAATAGCAAAATACTGGAATGAATCCAAACGGCTTGCCAAAAAATGCGTTAAGTAACATGTGTCGTGTTTATTCAGTAGGTTTTAAAGTGAATAAACATTATTTGTTATCTATGTTAACACTGCCATGTCTTAAAATGTGACCTTGAGTGAAAAAGCAAGCTATCAAATTACGTATATACTCTGACATAATTTATATTAATTTGAAAACCCCGAAATACTTCATATCACTGAGAGGTACTCACGTCTGTATGTAAAAATATAACATATGGATTGGAAATTGTAGTACTTAGGGTGCAGAAGCGTACCCTTAGACAAGGCTTTAAGTGCAGGTGGTTTATTTAGGAGGTGGTTTTAAGAAACAACAGTAGGGGAATAGGGAAATAAAAAGAAAAAGGGAAAAAGCCAATAAAGCATGTGTTACCAAGTGTATCACAATGATGAGCAACTAGAATAAGTACTATGTTGCTGGAGAACTCTGGAAGACTGTGTGAAACACATGCTTTTGAGATCTCACTTAAGGGACCAGAGGCACTAGCTTTGATCGGTCACTAGTTAAGAGCTGCTGTGGGTGAGGGAGAGTGACTTATTGCTTGAGATTTTGGTGTTGCACATGGAGTTGGTGGACTGTAGTGGTTGAAGAGACCCAGGCAAAGAGACACGGGTGCTGGCAGCTGTGAGTCAGAGCTGTGGTCAGTGGGGATATGGGAAGACCATAATACCTACTAAATTAATGATTGCACTTGCTGCTAGGGGCTAGTAGATGGGAAAGGAATGAAACTAGGCAGGCCTGCAAAACAAATTCAAGTTATAGATTTTCTTTAATTTTTACTTAATAAAAATATTTGATGTAAATATGACAAAATCTTAATGATTTTCAATTCTTGTAGCAGGTGCATAGGTGTTTATGATGGCACTTAAAAAACACTTTACTGGCCAGGCACGGTGGCTCACGCCTGTAATCCCAGCTCTTTGGGAGGCCGAGGTGGGTGGATCACGAGGTCAGGAGACTGAGACTATCCTAGTTAACATGGTGAAACCCCGTCTCTACTAAAAATACAAAAAAATAGCTGGGCGTGGTGGTGCACGCCTGTAGTCCCAGCTACTCGGGAGGCTGAGGCAGGACGATCTCTTGAACCCAGGAGGCAGAGGTTGCAGTGAGCCCAGATCACGCCACTGGACTCCAGCCTGGGCGACACAGTGAGACTCCATCTCAAAAACAACAACAACAACAACAACAACAACAACAACAACAACAAACACTTTCCTAAATTTCAAAAAAAAATTTTTTTAGAAGTGGAATAAGCACTGGTCTGGCACTGCTGGGCTTTTTATTATTTGGCATGCACTGAAAGGCTGAGAGTCGAGATACAGATTTTGAGCTCCTGGAGATAAGATATCATGCCATTTTGTTTACTAGGAAACTTACAGAGAATTTTGGTGGAAGTTTATAAAATGAATGAATAAATTATGGATTCTAGTTGACAAGGCCATTTCTGGATAGATATTCTAGACCAGCTATGAGTCACACTTTTTGGCTTTAGCTACCATCAGTGTAATTGTGTCTAATTTCTCTAATGCACTTTGGTATTGACTGGGTGGGAAATTTACTGTTCATTCTTAATTGACCTTAATATCTAATACTGGCATTTAAAAAGGTAAGGTTTTGGATGATCACAGTCATCCTCCAGTACATGTGAATGACAAAGTTGCAGAAAATTTAGGAGGTCAGCTATTGAAGAGTCTTGATAGGTGTTGTGAAAGCTGATTATGCCAACTGGAGTCATTCATGTCATGCCCAGCTGAAATGGAGTCAGAAGGCAATGGTGAAGGGCAACCAGTTCCTATTCCAAGAACTCTTTTTGCAATTCAATTGAAAATCCTAACTACAACTTAAATGTTACATTTTACCTAGTAACTGCTGCCACTCACCAATCAAAATGGATCAGGTCCTGCATGACTCTGTAGGTGAAATTTTTCTGCTGAAACTTTTTTTCAAACAAATTGCATAACTTTCCTCTTTAACCCCATAAAGTCTCAGCCTTTCTCTTTGTTCTTTGGATACATGTAAGGGCTACCCTGACTTGTGTCCCCCGAATTGCAATTCTAATTCCCACATATTATTCCCAAAGAAACACTTTACTTGGAGGTTTGTCTTTGTTTTTATTTAAGGTTGACAGCGTTTAGAGAGAGAACAGTACATCTGTAAAGATAAGGTTTTCTTTCATTTATTACTCTGAGAAAATCATCTTAAATGTGATTGTAAAGACTATAATCTCAATACTTGTACAGAATTGCTAAACAACAATATGGATATGTGTCTTCATCACCTTTATTTTTACTATTACAAAGGTAACGGTGCTGCCACACATTCCCTCTGAATATTAGGAAACACACTGGGATATGTATGAGCCATTGGGCAAATGCATTCCGAAGCATAACCAGGAAATGTCCCAGCAAACTGTCAAACAACTTTAAAGTAACTCTTAGGCAAAATCCTGCTGCAGACAAACCAGTTCATGCTGTTTCATGTATCACGAACTGAATTTTATCAACCTTACAGATAGATAATCTTCCATTTACCAAAAACGAAAACAATATTTTGTGAGTAATAAAATATGGGGTTCCTTTGTTCTTTTGAAGGGAATAAGAGCCAATAACACCAAAGTGAAAAGATAGAAAATACTAATACTTAAAATTATGTAGATAACTATACTTCACAGAAAATACTGTTTGAACTAAAAACAAGAAATGTTGGTTAAATGTTGTTTTCTCTTCTTTATGTAATTATAATGTGAAGAATTGTAGCTATTCTTTTTTTAGAATAGAAATAGCTTTGTGATAACAGCAACAGGAGTAATTTTAGACTTGTAAAAATGTGCATTTCAAGATACTGTCCAAAAATTAAGTATGGCAAAATAAAATTTCAAAAATCTGCAGATCATATAGCACTTTTTGTCATATACAATTTGCAGGTCTAAAACTTCATTCGTTGATTTGTTTAGATCCTAGACAACAAGACACTCTTGCAAAAGTAAAGGACAAAATACCAACCCCAGTCTTACTACTCATCGACTTTTGTTTTAAGCGGCATGTAATGGCAGCGTGTTTAAGATTCTGCTTCTGAAATGTGATGTCTCAATATCAACATTCTCCAATTGCCTGTTGTGTGAGCTTTACCTGATTAATAACCGTGAGGAATTCTGAAGCAAACATCGCAGTGTTTATCATGTACTCCTTTGCCTCAGTCTTTTAGTGTGGAAATAATGATCAGGGATGATTTATGTTTGTCACCCGATAAGTGCTTACTTCATTTCTCCCCATTTTTGGTATATTTGCAGCACATGATTTAAAGCTATCAAAGCACTAGAAAGTATAAACAGAAAATCTCTACGATGTAGATACTCAGACTTCATAATTTTCTTGTGTGTACTTACATGGGTTATAAGTGGGAGTACCTATTATACAGTGTGGAGTATATCTCATACAGTTTTAGAGCCTAATAACACCCATTCCTCAAAGAAGAAATTTTGAAGAGAAGACAGTCTTGGCTGCTATGATTCAACAACAAACAACAGATAAAGAGTCACAGAATCTTGTCAAATGAAAAGCTAAATTGTTTTTTAGGAGTTTATTGAGAAGAAATTTTATGAACCCTCAGTAAAATTTTCCATCAAAAATGAGTTCAATATTCAAAACATTTATTATTTTCCTTTAAGAAGAAAACAATGTCTATCAAAATTGATGCCTGCCTGTGTTTTAAGTCTAATAATTTTTATTCTCTCTCTCTTTTTAGACATCTTCTTTTCATCAATTCTTTATCATTTTGAGAGCTTTTGAGGACTTTTGTACTTGATAAAACTGTTAACAGTTTCTTGGATTTAAAGGACTACTTAGTAAAGTGCCAATTAGAAATTACAGGTTTTGTTTTTGTTTTTGTGTATTTGTTTGTTTGTTTTTTAAGCTTCAGCTTACTTCTACTTTGGAGAAGTTTTCTTTTTTCTCAACTTTAATAAAACTCTTGTGTAATTTTTAATTTCAATTGCCAAACTCCTAAGTTTCGAGTGTTATTTCATGTGTTCTGATTCTTCGTTTTTATAGCATCCTTGTTTCTGTTTCCTGATTTCATTTTTTTCTGAGCATATTATTGATATTTTTTCTTTCATTATTTTATCTGATCCCTTCATTTTTTAAAAACATGTGTATGTATATGTCTTGGCATCTGTCTTTAGTTTTAGAGGCTTTTCAACGAATTATGTATTGAGATTTGAGAAGGAAGTACTAAAAATCAAATTGGATACTCAATAAGCATAGGTAAATGTTGTTCGTTGAAAATCTATCTGTTCTTTTCTTTGGGGCTGGTGGGATTCCTCAATCAAGTATTGTGGAGTTTTCCTCTTGAAAAATATATCCCCTGCTTCCAGCATTCTGAGAGCTATATGAAAGGAAAGAATAGAGGGTTTCTAATTCAGTATGCAACTATCCATTCTGTCTACCCATTTCAGAAGAGTTCCTCACCTCCACACTCAGCTTTGTGTGGTGTCTCCGTATCTCCCTGCCTTAACTTCTGAGAGTAACTTCAAGTTTCCTACAGAGGGGAGGAAGAGTAGTAGTAATCCGTTTCTGACTTTTTAAACTATAAAGAGAGTTCTGAAAATATGAAACATTTTCTATACATAGCATAGCAAGTTCAATGCATGTCTAACAAGTCAATATTCTAAATTACATTATTCGAATAAACATACAAGTAAACTTTAATTCAATGGTCAAAGACTGAGGGTATTGTTTTCCTTATCCCATGTTATGTTTATTATTTGTATGAGTGGACCTCATTTCACTAATTGTTTTGCAGAAATTATCACAAGACTTTTTAAAATGAAGACTCCTTTTCTAATTTGGGGAGTTTTTTTCTAACTTTTCTAAATGTGATTACTTCTTCTGCTCCAGTTATTTGTGTTTTCTCCTCTGGAATGCCGATTATACCTACTTTGGCTCCATACCATCTAGCTCCCATCTTTATCATCACTTTGGTCACTGAATTTCAGTTAGGACCTTTCTCATAGCATTTTCCATATGATTCTTTCATTTGTCCTCTGGACCACACATTTTGTTTGTGCATTGTTAATTCTACTTACTGTTCCAATATGAATTTTTAATTATGCTATTATTTAATTTTAGAGTTTTTTTCGTTTTTAAATAGCTTTATTTCCCCATCATACAAATGGTATTTGCCTATTTGAGGACAAAATTCAAATATCATTTCAGGACAAAAAATTAAAAAGAAATGTCTTTTATATCTTGCATATTAAATATTCAGGAGAAACCTCTGAAGGATTTGACAGAATTAAGGCTATATTGCCCTTTTAGTCTTGATGACAACTGTCAACCTGAAAAAAAGTTTCTACCTTGCTAGGATTTCATGTATAGAGTGTGAGATGCAGACTTCTCAATAGCATTGTGTATAGTAGCATGTGGCTACTCCTGAAACTGGGGGATAATAGCGGGGCTAACCATTTATGCAAGAGATGGAATAAGATAAGTTACTGTAGAATCTGAGAATGGTGCTTCTTCACCAGGAGGATTGCTGGACAGACAAACATGTAGGTACTCTGTTAGATATTATTCAACATATTAATTTGGGCTAATATAATACATTAAAAATTGGCTACTCATTACTATTTTAAATGTTATTTTTTAAAAGTTATGATTAAGATTAAACATTTTTTCATGTCTCTTGGCCAATCATATATCATTTTCAGTGAATTGCCTATCCATAAACTTTTACTTTCTAATAATATTTTTTAAATTTTTGTCTTAATATATTATAGGTTTTATATGTTAACAATTAAGGAAAGTATAGCAAAAGCATTTTCCAATTTTTTGTCATATGATATTATTTTTGGTGAGTTATCTTATTAACTATATGGGACAAATAATTATGAAGAAACCATCTGCCTTCTTCATGGCTTCTGAATATTTGACTTTCTTAGACAGGCTTTTTCACCCCAGATTTGTAAACATATTCTCCCACATTTTATTTTGATATTTTTACAATTTCATTTTTTTTCACAATTGTCTCTTTGATGCATCTGTAATTTTTATTAAATTGTGAGGAGAAATTCATTGTTCTTGTTTTGCAATGGATCACAATTTGTCCAAAACATTCCCTGTTTTCTTTATTTTTTCTTTACTAATTTGAAATGCCCCTATTTTCATGTTCTCAACTTTTCCATAAACTTTGGTTTGTTTCAAGACTTCTGTTCAATAACTTGTCTACAGCTCCACAGCTTTACATAGCTCCAGTTGTGCCATTATCATGTTGTAACTGAAATGGTGTTTACCAAGTAGATTTAGATTCCTTCTTTATCACATTGACTGTTTTCACAAGTCTATATTTCCATAGAAATGTTAGAGTCCATTTGTTTGGTTTAGAAATATCCTTCTGTGTATTTTACTACCACTTAATAACAAGGATTAATGTAAAAAAATTTATGTATATAAAATGGATTAATGAACATATGAAATAATTTAGAGAAAATGAGCTGTTTACATTTAAATAGGTAAATATTTTATTTAGTTATCTCCCTTTGGAGAATTCAAAAATTTTATATAGGTCTTATATACACTTATTAATTCCTAAGTATGTTTAGCCTGTCTCATTTATCAATTATAAATGGAAATTCTAACCTATTATTCTTAATTTTCAGAAAAGTGGTTGATTTCTGTTTTAAACATGATATTTTCTGAATTTTTAAATTTGCATACAATATTTTTCTATTGATATCTTTGAGTTTCATAGATATGTGATGTTGTAATTTTCAATTAGCAGTTATTTTTACTCCCTTTTCTAATATTTATCCATCTTATTTCTTTCTCTTGTCTAACTACATGTACTCGTACTAATAGAATAATGTTAAATTTCATGGCAATAGTGGCATTTCTGTCTTGTTCAATAATTTAGTAAGAATACATTTGAATGTTTTATATAAGAAAAATATAACTACTTTGACGTGATCATGATAGGAATCATGACTCTTATCATTTATAAAAATATTGATCTATTCTTATTTTAATTTTTTTCATAAGAAATGTTATCAAATTTATTTTTAGTGTGTTATGATAGTTACAAAGTATCTTCTTTTCCCGTGAATATGGGAAAATATATAGTATAAATCCTAATATCTAGCCATCCTTGCATTCTGGGCGTGATTCTAAATAATATTATTGTTTATTCTATTTCTCTATTATATATCTGAATTAGCCAATATTTTATGTCAAAATTTTGCATTAATATTTACTAGTGAAATTAACTTGCGATTTTATTTTGTGGTTATATTTCAGTTATTATTGTATATCTTAGTATTGTGCTAGCTTCAATGAGACAAGATAAACCGCTACAACTTCAAATCACATTTTAATAACTCTATATGTGAATTATTAAATTTTAAATAAACTTATCAAAGAAGAAAAATAATATGCATTATCTAAAGACTTCGAACAGAGTACAACATTAAAAAACAATTAAATAGCACAGTTCTTATAAAACTGAATAAAACATTCTCATTAAAAATGATGGCATTTGGGGACATGGCAGGCCAACACCATTTTTTCAGAGACCTTGTTGATGCCAGGCTTGGGAAAATTAAAGGCAAGATGACTTTGGCAAACATCGACATAGCTCTTTGCTATCCCCTCCCCCTCCTCATCCAGCATCACATCAGGATGTTCTCCTCAGTCAGGATGATTTGTCTGTATTGCTTTATTTAAAACAAATTTATTTCCATGAGTCAAGCATAATGTGTTGGGACAGTATGCTTCATAAAGTTGTATGTTGATTTGTTTAATTTCAAATAGTAGAGAGATAGGCTACTTCACTAATATATAAAAAATAATGAGTTTGGTGATATTTATTATTTTATAGAGGATAAAATGATACTTATATCTTGCTATGCTTTATCCTTTCACTGGTGCACAATGAGATTAATCTTCTGTCACTACATATAAAAAAAGGCAATTCCTCTTTTATTGTCACTTAACTGCTTCTGCACAAAAGCCATCATCCTTTTATAAGAAACCTCAATAATTTGTCACTGGTATCACCAATTCTAAGCTAGTTATTAAACTATTTCAATACCATGATATTCTTAGTAATTGCTGTCGTTTCCTAATTATATTCTCTTAAAAGGGTTTGATCCACTATGAACTTTTCAAATAAAAGTGTTGCTAAGGCAACTAAATGTGATTTGCAACAAAAATGAACTCTCACTGCAACAGGATATTTCAATGAACACTTCCTTTTTTTTAAACCTCCTTTGAATTCAAATTTGCTAAAGGAAATAAATACACCTTTGAACCTAATAGAACCAACACAGGCAGTAATGGGATTTCATTAAAAAGGAAAAAATCTACAATGTTAAAGTTGAATACTTGACAAACAAAAAGGAAAGAGGGTTTACTTGAAAGGTACTAGTAGGAGAAAATGAGTTCTATGTCTCTACCTCACTGTGAAATATCAATTAATATTTTAAATAGTACAAAGTATAACATCTTGAACCTAATCTAAGTTATTTACTGAGCAAAATAATTTAGACACCTCCCTGGATACTCAGGGGTGTAAAGAACACACATAATTAGATAAATACTTATTATAAAAAGTTGAGTAAAATTAAGCAATGTTCTTTGACAAACTATTTTACTCTTTGAATTTCATACTCTTTGAATTCAACTCTGTTTTTGTTAAGTTCTCTTTTATTGTTTTTTCAGTAATCTTCAGGTAATTTTCATTACTTTCATTACATTTGCTAACTGGGCTGGCATCTAGATTAACCAAGTGCAGCTTAGTAGAGCTCCTATTCTACAAGGTGAGTTTACATTTCAAAATTGTGCTCAGAGTTGACAATTCTGAAGATAAAACTCACATTCCAAAAAGTGCTAAACATCTTGATGACTTAAATAGTCTCCACGTGAGAATAATTTCTTAGGTCTTTAAAGCATTCCTCATGTCACAAGCAAATAATAGGATAACATAAATCTGTTAACATACAGGGTTAAAATTGGTGTTATAGAATGAAACAATTTGATGATTATGGTTCCATCATCTGTTTTCCAGTAATGCCGTAGATTTAAATACAGACTACAAGTTTAAACCTTTTAAACTTTGTGTTTACCTAATTATTCCAGAGACTTTATTTATTTATTTATTTATTTATTTATTTATTTATTTATGAGACTGAGTCTCACTCTGTTGCCCAGGCTGGAGTGCAGTGGTGCAATCTGGGCTCACTGCAAGCTCCGTCTCTCGGGTTCACACTTTTCTCCTGCCTCAGCCTCCTGAGTAGCTGGGACTACAGGCACCCGCCACCATGCCCGGCTAATTTTTTGTATTTTCAGTAGAGATGGGGTTTCACCGTGTCCAGAGACATTTTAGAGGAATAATTTATCTATAGCATCAGGGTCAAAGCAGTTGAGGGAATCCTGCAGGGAAGTAGATTTGTCAAACCACTGGTATCCGGAATGGTAAGAGGCTAAATGGGTCTGTGTAATTCAGCGAAGATGACAACTTAAGTTTCCTGCAGCCTTGTAGAGATATGAAAGTTAAGAGTCTAATTTCAGAGCAGTATGCACTCATGACCTTTTTGTTGCACAGTGAACTCTGATTAACGCTTTCACCCAAGGTACTAAAATAATCATTAACTCAATCAGAATCTTAACTAAAATATAGACAATTGAATGAACTTCTTAATGCAGATTTTCCTGGTGTTAAAGATCAGCCTCCTAATTGGAAGAAATTATAATAGTTTCTCTGTTGTTGCTATTACCAAATGACTTCAATACAATTTGATTTGTGGGATTTAATTACCATATTCGTATTATCTCACTAAAAGAAGTATAGAAAAATCTGCTAATTAGTTTTCTAATAAATGTTCTTCTATTAGACTAACAAAAGATCTTCAAAAGTTCAGGATGTTTTGGGCAGGAAGGATAGACCACTATCATTCTGGTAGCCAAAGCCAACAATTACATTATTTTGCCCAAATTATGATTAGAAACAAATATTTGATAAATTATCCACATAAATACATATTTTAATGGAAACCGACAAATTAAATTAATCAATTAAAATAAGTAAGTCTTCCATCCCTAGATTTCAAAAATAACATTCTTTGTGATAATCTCTGGGTCACTATCGTTATTAGAGAATTAAGATTACAAAAATGTTAATTAAACACAAAGTAACCACTATACCCGAAGACCTGAGATAACTTGGGTATTCTGTGATTATCTTTGTTGAAACACAGACTTGGTGTTTTGCAAAGAAATCATTTGTTCTGCCTTAGTGAAGCTAATTATTCTCAGCATGCAACCACTGTTTCAAATTGCAAAAGGCACATCAGCCTTTGCTGTATGTTGCAGGAATTAAAACCCAATCAAATGAGATAATGAAGTGCATACAAAGAATATGATCTCACTTTCGCAATGCAATAAAAGTGAAAGCGATTTAAATAAATGTTGCAAAAAATCATAATTTACACAGAGAAAACATGCTGTAAAGCAAATGTTTACTATTTAAGTACTTACTGCTTAGAGGTAAGCATTAGGTTTATTTATTATGTGGTTAAGATACTTCATTTTAATGACTGAAGAATATGGTGCTAACAGTCCAATATGAAGATTAATATAAAGCAGGTTTTTAAAAAAATTCATGGTAAACTAAGGAATTAGACTATATTATGTCAGGGATAAACATATACACTTAACAGGAATTTCGTGAGAATATATTAAGTAAATGGTTAAAATGAACCAGCATCGGTACTCTTCTGTACTTGTATAATCTAAAAGAATGAAATACATCAGTGCTCTTACTCATTACAAAAGTTCTTTGCTAATGTCTGCCACAACTTATCATCCATTTAAAAAATCTCTACTTACTTTTTTTTCTGTGAAACATGTTTTGTTTTACCTAAGGAGAAATAATCCATTAGTAGCCCCCATGATTGCATAAGCTGGTGAAATATAATTGGATCTGGTTCTATGTTCCATTTTACTGAAGATAAATTTCTTGTAATTTAAACCCATTGAGTTAATATTTTTTTATTGTTTGCTTTCGGTTTTTGTTTTCTTCCATACTAGCCATTATCAGTGATGCTTCCTATTATCTACACACCAATACCATCTTTCAAGTTACATGGGGTGAAATTAAGATGGATTATAGGTTTTGTCTTTTGCTTGTTATGGAAGAAACCGTAGCAAGCTTCCCTTTCAGCTGCCAAAAATATACAGTCATCTCAGCAGCCCAGAATGTGAAAACAGCAGGATTCAAACATCAGCAATGACAACACAGAGAGCATGAAGTTTCTGCTCATTACACACTGTGGGGGCTGCCTATCTGGAGGAGTTTACTCTGCAAAGTATTGATCGAGGATAATGCTCACTGTTAGTTTATTTACATATCAATGTGATATCCTGGGTATTAATACATTAGTGGGCTTTTCTCTTGATTCTGTCTTCTTTCTTCATATTACATTTTATCTTTGTTTACAAATGTCAGTCATATATATCGCATTGTCCTAGAGTGGAAGAATATGTTTGGCTAGCATGTAATGTTTTCAAGCTCAGTGTCATGCATTCATGAAGGCTCAGTGAATGATGCATGTTATATAAAAGTCCCTCTGTCTGCAGAATTTGACACAGTGTTTGGCACATAATAGATACTGTAAAAGTGTTTTCCATTGGTTGAATAAATGAGCACATTTTCACTGAAGGCTTGATAGGAGAGACATAATAAGGATCATATAAGAACTATGATAAAATAAATGGATATTATAAACTTTTCCACAACCATTGGGTCAGAACTCAGTAAACACTGGGAAGAGCTCAGATCTAGATTTTTAAAATGCACAATTTTGATGGTGTTACTCTTAAGTTAGTGTTAGATTCCTATTTTTAATTTGGACTAAAAATTTAACAATTTTAGAACATTCAGACAGTTGCAAGATGTGGTTTCTCTCACTTTTCCCTTAGAAACACACGTGTTTATAAGGAATTTTGACAGCAGTCTCAACTCATTTACATTGAGCACTCACAACGATTTGGAAGTGAAACACGTTATGGTTTAAATAGTACTGCCTGCCAACAGTTTTGAAGAACTGCTTTTATTCACATCCCTACTTAGCTGCTTATGTTCATCTCTTCTTAGTTGAGTCAAGTAAACTTAGATGGTGAGCTATTGTTCAGCCAACTTGGCGTCTTTTAACCCGACATTCAACTTAGAAAGAAAAGAGTTGTTTTAAATACCTTTTACCCCTTTTTTATCAACTTCTGAAATCTATTGCAACATGTTCTGTGCCTTATTAGCAAATGAAAGAAAAACTATTTTCTTTGTAAATTGCAAAACAGTATATTGTCATGTGCCAAGACAAGTTTGCATCTGTATCTCAAGGGGAAAAACTTTTGGAAGTGGCAGATCTACCAGCAGCAATTAATTAGAAAGCTTTTCATGTTATTTTCAGTAACAGTCATGTATTAGCAGCTTGAGAAAATTGCTAGCAATGGGTGCTGTCAACATAGGATTAGCACAATGGATGGAGTTAATTTACTAACATTTGCTTTTCTTCTCAAATTTTCATATCTTTATCTTATAATGAGGTTGGTTTTCATTGCCAAATGGTGAAGTCAGCGTAAATACAGATTTTTAATTGAATTATGAAGCATAGAGTGTGAGCTGTAAGCATATCTTAGTCCACAAGAGTGAATACATCTTATACTTGTAAATGATAAGATATAGTGCACAGCTGGTCTCTGTTCACCACCCCATATGCAGAAATATAAGGAAGGCCAGTCTCTTAAAAGGCAAAGAAGAATCAATTTAAAATATTAGTAGCAAGCCTGCCAAAATTATTTGTCAATTTTTCTAGAATAAATATAACTTTTATAAATTAAATTATATGCCAAAGGAAAGCTTTACTTTTTTAGTTCATTTATGGGTAATTATATATGCCAAGATGCATTACTCTCCTAGGAAATTGTTGTCCTTGAATTCATCATATTTATCATGTCTGGAATAATGGGGCACAGTTGTTTCTCTTCCTTTCTGATTAGTAAATAGAAAACCAGTTCTTTTAAAATTTTAGGCATGTGAATTGTTGATTCAAATTATTTTCCTCTTTTCACAAGTATTTGTCTTTTACCTATTGTGGACTTTGTACTCCTTTAAGCAAATTTAAATTCGGCAAATATTATGTTTATTATTTTTTTCAATAAAGACGTTATTTACAGAATCACTGATTTTCAGAAGCTGTCCCCAGTTAAGACAACTCTATGTACAGAGAACTCATGGTGTTCCACTACTTCCAAACTCATCATTAACTACATGGAAAAGTTGTTAAACTTGTGTATCTTAATTTTTTTCATTTGTCACATAATAGTATCATTCCCACTTATTTCATCTGATTATTATAGGTTTAACTGATACTTTATGTGTGAAAGTAATGAACACCAGTCAACTAAATGTTAAACATTTTGCTTTTATATTTGATTTTAAAAAATACAAGAAAATAGAAAATAAAACATAAACTCTCAATTAAGTAAGTTGAACATAAGAATTATCTCTGCTTTAGTTCGAAGCCCCAGCTAAACATCAACAGGGGAATTTAAAATGTATGAATGCATAAAGCCAAATAGAACAAGAGAGGCTCTAATACAATAAGTGGTATCAAAAAAGTTTATTTAAACAATTAAAAATCCAATCAAGAGAAAACTGTTTTAAATAACTCAGCAAAATGGAGGAAGTTGAGACCATAAATGCCTCAAAGAGTATAGCAAAAATATTCACC
Source organism: Homo sapiens (assembly GCF_000001405.40). Lineage (NCBI taxonomy): Eukaryota > Metazoa > Chordata > Mammalia > Primates > Hominidae > Homo > Homo sapiens. The sequence continues at coordinate 11,845,028 of NC_000007.14, read as the reverse complement.
CAGAAGACCTAAATTCAGAGGCATTTTATACTCTGAAGGTGAGGTATAAAGCAAGGCTATCAAGCTGCACAATCCAAGGAAAGCTATTCATTTTGTGAATAATAGCTAAGGGCTTATGAAGTTAAGTGTGATAACCTTTTATTCAAACCTGAGTCTGAATATAGAGTTTTAAAAGGGTAATGCAACATGAAACTTCAGTTTACCTCTTTCATTAAGGGCACATATTTTCCCCTTTCTATGATCTGATTGCTCTAGCCTCCCTCCATTATGAATTTGCTTTCTTATTTGATTGGAGTTGAGCCCTAATAAAGGTCCATCATTATTGACTAAATTCCTGCTAGCTCTCTGGATAATTAAATCCAATTTTTATATTCAGTGATTTCTAATCCACTTTTGTCTACCTAAAGGCCTAACAATTTGACTTGAAAACATGACGAGGGTTAGGCCTGGCGTGGTGGCTCACGCCTGTAATCCCAGCACTTTGGGAGGCCGAGATGGGCAGAACAAAAGGTCAGGAGTTGGAGACCAGCCTGGCCAATATGGTGAAACCCTGTCTCTAGTAAAAATACAAAACTTAGCTGAGCGTGGTGGCGGGCGCCTATAGTCCCAGCTACTCGGGAGGCTGAGGCAGGAGAATTGCTTGAACCCAGGAGGCGGAGGTTGCAGTGAGCCAAGATTGCACCACTGCACTCCAGCCTGGGCAATGGAGCGAGACTCTGTGTCCAAAAAAAAAGAAAAAAAAAAAGATAAAACATGTGGGGGGTTGTGATATTATGATATTCAGGTAAGCAGACAAAAACAGACAAAACCCCAAAACCCCATAAGCCTCTTAGGTGACACAATTACCTGAATATAGAAATTTATGGAAGAGTTAATGCTAATGTTTTATCAAATCCATTTTATTTTCTTCATAATAGGTATATAAGGAGATAAGTTTACCAATTTCCTTTGTAATTAGATTGGGGCCATATAATATCATTTTGCCAAAGGTCTATATAGAAAGATAATATAAACATCTGATATAGCTCTCTTGCCCTATTCTTCTTTTCAGTGGCAACCACATAGACCACATTTTGAGATATGAAGCCAAAAGGTGAAAGTAGCCGTGACTCCTTGGAGGGTAGAACAGATGACTAAGTAAATTTGAACATATATCAATAGAAAATATTTAATCGGATGAATTTAGAGGAGAAAAAAGATAAAATGAGCCTCAATGATGTGTGAGTCAACATCAAGCATTTCAACAAGCAGGTCATGGAAGTCCCAAAAATAGAAAAGAGAGAAGGGGGCAGGAAAAAACATATTTTAACAAATAGTGTTCAAAAATCTCACAAATTTGATGAGAAATATGAATGTAATCACTTAAACATAAAAAAAACCCAGAGTAGAATAGATTCCCATCACCTAGAATAAGAAAATAGCATAAGGCATCAAGGGAAAAATGACTCATCAAGTGCAAGGCAACCACATTAATATAAATAGCTAACTTATGATCAGGAACAGTAGATGTCAGAAGACAGTGGAAGCTCATACTCAAAATACTTAAAGACAAAAAAGTTGTCAACCAAGAAATATTTATCTAACAAGACAATCCTTCAAAAATGACGAGGAAATAAAGAAATTGCCAGATAAGCAATGTCTGAGAAAATTCATTCCCAGCAGACCTACTTATATGAAATACTAAATGGAAACCTATAGGTCTGGAAGGAAGTGAAACCAGACAGTAACTCTACCCACAGAAATAAATATAGAGCATCAGAAATGGTATGTTTAGTACACATAAAATATTTTATAAATTTATATTTTCTCTTAACATCTCTAAAAGATATAAGATTTTATGCAGCAATATTTATAACACTTTTTTGTTAAGGTTATAACATACAGATCACATTACAGAGAGGAGGAAAAGGAGTGATAGTGGGCAATAATTCTCTATCTTATAGGAATAAGTTAATAATATTCTGAAATGGCTGTGAAAGGATGACGTAGATACTGTAGTCCATAGAGTAACCATTAAGAAGTTCATGGCTATTTAAATATAATTAAATTTTTTTATTTCCAAAGGGTAAAAATGGTATGCTAAAAAGTACAAAATAAGGTATAAAAGAGGAAAAGAGGAACAAAACAGTTAAGATATGTAAATAGATATTCATAGCAGCACTATTCATAATAACCAAACAGTAGAAACAACCCAAATGCACATCAACTGACAAATGGATAAAGAAAATTTGGTTTACCCATACAATAAAATATTAGTCAGCCTTAAAAAGCAATGCAGTGCTGATTTTTGTTACACTATTAATGAACCTTAAAAACTTACGCTACATGAAAGAAGCCATTCACAAAGGCCACATATTATATAATTCAATCTATATAAAATGTCCAGGTAAATCCGCAGAGATAGAAATTGGATTAACGATTGTTGCAGTCTGGGGCAAAGGGAGAATGGGAGTAACTGATAATAAGTTTGGAATTTCTTTTTGTTTCAATGGAAAAGTACTAAAATTATACGATGGTGATGATTATGCAACTCTGTGAATAAGACAGTAAATTGTATATCCTAAACAAAATTATATCTAAGTCAACCTGTTATTTAAAAATTATATAAAACAAATAGAGAGTAAAGAACAAAATGATAGATGTACGTCTAACCATATAAATAATCACATTAAATGTGAACGAACTATGGGGAAGGTGGGATCCTCCAACAATTGTGTTTCCACAAAAACATCAATTTGAAACACTATCCATAAATGAAAATACCTCCACAAGTGCAAAAAAATACAGGGGAAGGGTTACAACACCTGGATGAAGCATAGAAATAAGAAAAGACATATTGCAGAGGTTAGGAAGGATAGTTTTACATTACTTACAGTACCCCTTCACAACCCCAGGCAGCATTGTGTAGAGAGAAGCATTGTCCACTTTGGAGAGAGGAAAATGAGCCCAGGACTTTGCCTTGGACCACAATACCTGAGCCACCAGAATAAAGCTTAGCATTTGGCAGGCTCCCATGGTTCCAGACTCCAGGCCAATACCTGCAAACTGAGTTTCCACATCCACCCCAACACCAGATAAGACCCCACAGCCCCAGACTTCAGGCCTGCACAGAGAACTTTATCTCCAGTTTGCATCACTGCTGAACTGACTTCAGCTACCCCTGGTTTCACATGTCTCACAGTGTCAGAACTCCCCAGTGGCTCCAGGCTCTGGGCCTGCCTCAGCAACTTGCCAGTTCCAGTGGGCATGGGCTTCAGACCAATTCCAAGGGATAAAAGCTTAGGCCCACATGGATCCAGGCTCCAGATCTGCCTACCTGCTGGCCTAGGCACCAGTCCAGCTAGCCCTGACTCCAGCAAGAAGCCTTTTCATGGGCCACATCACACAATCTGACTAGACTCTATGAATGAGCTGTTGAAGGGCTTTTCTGGACAAAGCCAGTCTGCAAAAGCTGGAATATGTACCTACTTCTTCAAATGATCAGACACCAACAACTGACCACAAAGACCAAGAACAATCAGAGAAACATGACATCACCAAAGGGACAAACCAGTGGCTGACCTTAAGGAAATGGAGATCTATGAACTGCCTGACAGAAATTCAAAATAACTGTTTTAAGTAACCTCAGTGAAATTCAAGAGAATACAGAGAAACAATTCAATGAAATGAAAAATTAAATAAATGGCCAGAATGATAAATTCAGCAGAAAGATTGAAATAATAATTTTTAAAAATATAAATTCTGGCTAAAAATTATAATGAATAAAATTAAAAGTGCCATAGAAAGCATCAACAGCAAAACTGTTGAAACAGAAGAAAGAACCTATACACTGAAAGACAGTCTATTTGAAAATGTACAGTCAGAGGTGAAAAAAGAAAAAAGAAATGAAGAAAGCCTATGGGATTTTTGAGACAATATCAAATAATAACCTTATTAATCTGTGTTGTTCAAGAGAGAGAAGGTAAAAATCCAGGGGTAGAAAGCATATTTAAAGAAACAAAGGCAGAAAATCTTTAAACCTAGAGAAACTTACAAATATCCAGATACAAGAATGTGGTACAGGAAGGTCAAAGGTCTCCTATCAGGTTAAATATAAACAGGACGACTCCCAAAACATATTATAATCAAACTGTCAAAAATCAAAGATAAAGCATCCTGAAAGCTGCAAAAGAAAAGAAAAAAAAAACTTATATCAGAGTTTCAGTATAACTAGCAAGAGATTTATAAGCAGATAGCTTATAGGCCAGGAGGAAGTGGGATAATATATTGAAAGTATTAAGGAAAAAACTGCTAATCAAGAATACTGTGATTAGAAAATTTATCTTCAGATGTGAAGTATAGGTATATAATTCAACAGACAAACCAAAGCTGAGGGAGTTCATCACAGCCAGACTTGTCCTATAAGAAATGCCAAAGAGAGTTATATAAGTGAAAGAACAGAACACTAATGAGTAACATGAAAACATCTAAAAGTACAAAATTTTCTGGTAAAATACATAGTCAAATTCAGAATACTCTGATATTGTAACAGTTGTGTGTAAATCATTTATATCTTTAGTACGACAGTTAAAAGACAAAAGTATTAGAAAGTAGTAATAGTATCAATAAATTTTAGGACATATGCATTTTAAAAATACATAAATTATAGGTCGGGTGCGGTAGCTCACACCTGTAATCCCAGCACTTTGGGAGGCTGAAGCTGGCAGATCATGAAGTCAAGAGATGGAGACTATTCTGGCCAACATAGTGAAAACCTGTCTCTACTAAAAATACAAAAATTAGCTGGGCACGGTGACACTTGCCTGTAGACCCAACTACTTGGGAGGCTGAGGCAGGAGAATCGCTTGAACCCGGGAGGTGGAGGTTGCAGTGAGCTGAGATTGTGCCACTGCATTCCAGCCTGGTGACAGACCGAGACTCCGTCTCAAAAATAAATATATATATATATATATACACACACACACACACACACACACACGTATAAACATATGTATATACATAGAAAGCGTATATACATATATAAATTGTGACAGTTTTAAAAAATCAAAATTGGGGGTAGATTAAAAGTATACTTTTTTGTTTGGTTTGGTTTGGTTTGCAATCAAAGTTGTTCTCAGCTTGAAAAACTTTTTTGTAAGCCTGGTAGTTACCAGAAACCAACAATTTATAGTAGATGCACTAAAAATAAAAAGTAAGGCATCAAGGAATATCACTAATGAAAATAATTTAACCATAATGGGAGACAGCAAGAGATGAGGAAGGGAATTAATGATCTATGAAACACCTAGAAAACAATTTTGGCAGTAGTAAGTTCTTACCTATCAAAAATTACCTTGAATGTAAATCGATTAAACTTTCCAATCAAAGGGCATAGAATGTTTGAGTGCGTAATATAACAAATCCCAACTATATGCGTCTTAAGGATACACATATGTTGAGTAAAGAGATGGAAAAGATATTTCTTGCAAATAAAAACAAAAAAAGAGCAGGAGTAACTATACCTGTATCAGATAAAATAGATGTTAAGTCAAAACTGTAAAAAGAAACAAAGAGAAAATGAAGGTTATTATATAATGATAAAAACCTCAGTTCAGCAAGAGGATATAATAATTGTAAATATATATGCACTCAACATTGGAGCACCTAAATATGTAAATCAAATATTAATATAGCCGAGAGAGACTACAATAAAATTAAAGTAGGGGCCTTCAGCACCCCACTTTCAGCAATGGACACATTATCCAGACAGAAAATCAATAAGAAAACACTGGACTTAAACTATACTCTAGCCTGAATGGACCTAACAGACATAAACAAAACATTCCACCCAGTAGCTGTAGAATACATAGTCTTCTCAAGTGCACATGGAGTACTCTCCCAAGACAGATCATGTTATGCCAGAAAATGAGTCTTAACAAACTTAAGAAGATTTAAATAATATCAAGTGTCTTTTCTGACTACAATGGAATAAAGAGAAAACAATAATATAAAGAACGTTTAAAATTTTTAAATACATGGAAATTAAACAACACATTCCTGAACAATTGAGTCAATGAAGACATTAGAAGGGAAATTAAAGAAACTTGAGACAAATGAAAATGGAAATGGAACATACTAAATCTCATAGGATTTGGCAAAAGTAGTCCTAAGAGGGAAGTTTATAGTTGAGTATAATGTTAGCTATGGGTTTGTCATATATATAACATATATGTGTTTATTTCATTGAGATATGTTCCTTCTATACCTAATTTGTTGACAGTTTTTATCATGACAAGATGTTGATTTTATCAAATGCTGTTTTCTATATCTTTTTAGGTGATAATATATTTTTGACCTTCATCTTGTTGAGGTGATATATCGCTTTATTGATTTATACATATTGAGCCATCCTTTCATCTCTGAGATAAAACCCACTTGATTGTGGTATATTATTTTTGATATGTGGTTGGAATTAGCTTGCTATTATTTTGTCAAGAATATTTGAATCTCTGTTTATTAGCAATATTGGCCTGTAGTTTTCTTTCATTGTTGTGTCATTGTCTAGTTTGGGTATTAAGATAATGCTATACTCATAGAATGAGTTAGGAAGAATGTTTTCATCTTCAATTTTTTGAAAGAGTTTGGCAAGAATACCACTAGTAAAAAATGTTTAACAATATTTCTGCTACCTAGTGCCAGGGTCTTTTGATTCCTTACGTTCCATCTGGGATGAGGTTCTTCCTCATTGTAAGTCCTGCAGTGAGCAATCCATTCCCCAAACTCTGAAAGGTTCTGAAACAGAATACTGTATTTTTTCACCTGATGTTAAAATCAAGGGGTCCAATCATTTGCAGCAGATTTTATTTTCAAACAGGTTTTTTAATGAATAAAATGGAGAAACAATGAGATTAATTTTATGTAAAACAATCTGAAATTTAAAATCTGCTCGTCCCTCATACGTAAATTTACAAACCACCAAAACAACCAAACAACCAACAAACCAACAACAAAACAGTGTCTATTAAGAAAAAAAAAAAAAAGGAAAGAAATGGGAAAGAAAAGAGAGAAGAAATACTAAAGCCGGAATTTGAAAAAACAAAAAAGTAAAATATATAGCTACTTGTAAAGATAAAAGATGAAAATTTCTGTCTTTTAATAAAGGCATACCTCAGAGTTATAGAGAAATCGGTTTCAGACTATTGAAATAAAGCAAATACAATAAAGCAAGTTATGCTAATATTTTGGTTTCCGAAGGCATATAAAAGTTATTGTTAAACTATACTATAGTCTATTCAGTATGCAATAGCATTATGTCTAAAAATGTACATAATTTTAAAATACTTTATTGCTAAAAAATGCCTATGATCATCTGAGCCTTCAGCAAATTGTAGTCTTCTTGCTGGTAGCAGGTGTTGCCTTGATGTCAATGGCTGCTAACTAATCAGGGTGGTAGTTGCTGAAGGTTAAGGTGGTTATGGCAATTTCTTAAATAAGACAGCAATGAAGTTTGCTGCATTGATGGTCTCTTCCTTTCATGAAAGCTTTCTGTGTAATATGTGATGCTGTTTGATAGCATTTTAACCACAGTAGAACTGCTTTCAAAATTGGAGTCAATCATCTCAAATCCTGCCATTGCTTTATTAACTAAATTTATGTAACATTCTAAATCCTTTGTTGTCATTTCAACGCTCTTCATAGTATCTTCACCTGAAGTAAATTCCATTTCAAGAAACTACTTTATTTGCTCATTCCTAAGAAGCAACTCCTCATGTGTTCATATTTTATCGGGAGACTGAAACAATTGAATCACATCTTTAGACTCCACTTTCAATTCTAGTGTTCTTGCTTTTTTAACTGCATCTGTATTGACTTCCTCCAGAGAAGTCTTGAACCCCTAGAAGTCATTCATGAGGGTTGAAATCAACTTCTTTCAAACCTGTTAATATTTGTATTTTGACTTCTTCCCATAAAACATCAATGCTCTTAAAGGTATCTAGAATGGTGAACCCTTTCTAGAAAGTTTTCAAGTGAGTTTGCCCAGATCCATTAGACGAATTATAATGTAAGGAAGCTTAAACCTTACAAAATATATTCCTTAAATAATGACTTGAAAGTCAAAATTACTCCTTGAACCACGGGCTGCAGAGTTGATGTTGTATTATCAGGTATGAAAATATTAATATCCTGTATATCTCCATTAGAGATCTTATTTTCTGATCAGTAGATCTCAACAATGGGCTTAAAATATTCAGTAAACCATGCTCTAAAGAGATGGGCAGTTATTCACCTTTATTGTTACCTTTATAGAGCACAGGCAGAGTAGATTTAGTACATTCTGGAGGGCCCTAGGATTTTCAGAATGGTAAGTAAGCATTGGCTTCAACTTAAAATCACCAGCTGAATTAGACCCTAACAAGAGAGTCAACCTGTCCTTTGAAATTTTAAAGCCAAGCATTGACTTCTCCTCTCTAGCTATTAAAATTTTAGATGGCATATTCCTCTAATAGAAGGCTTTTTTCATTTATGTTGAAAATTGATTGTTTAATGTAGGTACTTTCATCTGTTTATGTTGAAAATTGTTTAATGTGGCTACTTTCATCAGTGATCTTAGCTACATCTTCTGAGTAGCTTGCTACAGCTGCTTCACCTTGCAATTTTGTTGTGAACATGGCTTCTTTCCTTAAACCTTATGAAACAGTCTCTGCCAGCTTCACACTTTTCTGCAGCTTCCTCATGTCATTTGGTCTTTACAGGTTTAAATAGAATTGGGGCCTTTCTCTGGATTAGGCTTTGGTTTAAAGGAATGTTGTGGCTGATTTGATCTTCTATCTAGATCACTAAAGCTTTCTCCATATCAGCAATAAGGCTGTTTTGCTTCCTTTCATATGTGTATTTGCTAAAGTAGTACTTTTAATTTTCTTCAAGAACTTTCCTTTGCATTCACAACTTGGCTAACTGGTGCAAGAGGCCTAGCTTTTGGCCTATCTTGGCTTTTGATATGCCTTCCCTAATAAGCTTAATAATTTTAGGCTTTTGATTGAAAATGAGAGACTTGTAATTCTTCTTTTCACTTGAACGCTTAAAAGCCATTGTAGGGTTATTAATTAGCCTAATTTCAATATTCATATGTCTCAGGGAAAAGGGAGGCCCAACGAGAGAGAGATAGGGAAACAGCCTGTTGGTGGAGAAGTCAGAATACACAACAACATTCATTAATTTAGTTTGCTATTTTATATGGGCACAGTATGTGGTGCCCCAAAATAATTACAACAGTAACATCAAAGATCACAGATCACAGATCACCATAACAGATAGAATAATAGTGACAACATTTGAAAAATTATGAAAATTACCAAAATGTGATAGAGACATGAAGTGAGCACTTCATGTGGGAAAAATTATGTTGATAGACTTGCTCAATGCCAAGTTGTCACAAGCCTTAAATTTGTTAAACAAACAAACAAACAAAAATATGTGTAAAGCACAGTAAAATGAGGTGTACCTATAAACTTGGTGGGTGGGTGTCAAGGGAAGGGGAGGATAGAAAGAAGCCCAAAATAAATTTTGTCTCATCCAAATCTTGGTCAAGTGTGACACCTAGAGGTTGCACAAATAGAATTCCTTTGGGTATTTTTTATTTTTTAGGATGCAAAATGCATTTATGTGGAGAATTATTTTTAAGTTTTTATTTCAAAATGGACATCTTTAGATATTTCCATATGTAATACTATCAATAAATAACTATATTTCTTCACTTTTTTATAATTATAAAACTGTTGATGTTAAAAGTTGTTTCCCTTTCCATCAAGGAACTGAATATTTCATAATTGTTTTAAAATATTGATACTAATGACTAAAAGTCATTGTCATGAGTCTCATGAGTTGTAATATATATTTATATGTTTATGTTCTAATAAAAGAGAAAACAGATGTGTATAGGTATGTTCACATCCTTACCTCTGGAGTTTAGAAATGATAGCAAAATTAATAGAGGCAGAATAAAGACACCTATCACATGAGAGGTGATAAGTTTAGAATTTTTTCATTTCTAAATATTAAAAAAATATGCTTTGCATTTGTCATTCATTGGTTTGGAGAACTTTTATCGCACTGGCTCATTAATATTTGAACAGTTCTCCATGAAAAATGACGAACGATTTACTTCATGGCAGGCTGTACAGATGGTCAATTTAATCTGCATCCTTGAGACTTCTCATGACTAAATTTTGACATCATGTCATTAAACATTTGTGTATTATTATTTATGTCATATTCTAGGAAACAAATATTGCTATGTCTTGCTATCTCTTGCCATCTATCAGTTTTATTGATAGGATTTATCTACCTAGACACTATACCTTTCACAAAGGAACACATATCAGGATATATACATCACTTTTGTCTCCTCAGAGACCCATACATTTTTGTCCTCAAGTGCAATAATGACATTGTTATGAACAAATGTGTGGCAGGTGTGGAGACAAATGTTTATATGACTTGGATTCTCTAACCTTGTTCAGAGATATCTTTGCTGATGATTGTGTGTGTTTGTGTATGTGCATGTGTGTGTGTGACTCCTAGGCCTTGTGTACGTTGAAATTGAAAGAAGGAAACCAAATGTTGGCTATTTTGAAACAGTACTGCAGAACATATCACCATAATTGTGTATTGTAAATGGCAGCAAATTGGAACCTAGAAATTGACCCCGTATAATGCTTGAATTTGTAGCTATGATGTTTACACTCTTGACAAGTTGAGTTATTATTATACCACCATGGGTAAATATAAAGGTCAGAATCTTAAAATTTCTTTTGACAATAAGCTATTAAGTATAGTGTCGGATGGCTTTTTGAAGGGCTAGGTAAATGACCTTGCACATTAACTTAATTCCTCAGACTCTCTGTCCTCTGTTATATAATGAATTCCCACTTGGTGAATTGATTGGCGCTTCCCACGAATGCGTAGAATGGCTGCTGTTAGCAGAGTATGTCCAGTTTGAAATACTTCCTGTGCCAGAGTTAGAGGATTTCAAGGTTTAGGGCACTAACAGTAGCTGAGAAATACAAGCAGAAAGGATGGGAAAATGATTCCTTGTGGAGTGGACATGGAAATTTTCCTGAAACGACAGAACCCAGGAAGCAATAGCAGGTCCCATTTCCTTCTGTGGTGTAACTGTCAAAAGAAGTGATCCTTCAGGGAACCATACATTAGTTAAGATCAGGCTTCCTTTTTATTCCTTATCAACCTATAATCTTTTGATTGTTGCCTGTTTTTCACGAGTGAAGAAATAGTAAGCCACACTAGCTTATCTCTCCTAATCACAGACTCACAGCGCTCGGGCTCTCTGAGCTTTTAATTCCTTCTTAGAGGCCTAACAGAGCGGAAAGTAAACAAAGACCAAATTTGCAACCTTCAACGTAGCTAATTTCCTCTGATGTCAGAATACTTAAACAGGCAGGACCTGGGAATTATTTGATCAAACCCGCTTTTAATCTAATGCATGCAGAGGGGCTGTGTCTGGAAGGCTTTGCAAAATGACAAGGGTCCCAAGGGAGCCTTATGGAAGGTTTCCTCTTTCAGAAAGAGTAGCTTCCTCATCTTAAACTCTAGGGTAGCTATGTTGGAGTAAATTCATAAAAAGTAGTTTTCCTGCTTTTAAAATTTTATTTTATTTGGCTGAAAATTGCTGATGGGATAGTAGTTTTCTTTGGCTTTCCGTTTGCTGAATTTTTAATGGTTAAATGCCTACTATTTTAGCTTTACTGTGAAATGAATTAATAATAAAATATATTATTATTAGCTAAAGGGAGAAGGAGAAAGGGGAAAGCATTATCCGACTTCACACACATTCTTCTATTACTACTGGTAGAAGAAAGTGAAAACACAAAGGACAAAAGATGCAAACACATGTGGTTCCTTATTTAGATTGCGACAGGCATTTTGCTACAGTAAGAGTTAAGAAAAATCGGTGTCAGGGAAATTTTAAATGAAGAATTTACTAATTCCAAGATATCCAGACAGCATTACTGACTCAGTTTGACTCACAACTATCTGAATACTTAGAAGTAGCATATTTTTGAGGGAAAGAAGTAGATGAAGGGACAGAACTCTATACCTGAAATATAATTTTAATTTTAAGGGTTTTTTTTTTGTACAATTGTATTTATGTAATTAGGTAGCATTGCAAATACTCATTAACACTAATTCAGTTTTAAAGGCTATTAAAAGACAATTTAATTTGTCACAGAGCATCAATATTGCTCATATTTTTATTGATAATAGATTAAGTTAAAAACAACATTTAAAGAAGGGTTTAAGTGCATTTTGACAAGTCAACATTTCTGCTCTCGTGTTTTCACACCTGATCTCAAATACTGCTCCCCACACAAAGTAATTCAGAAGCCATGGCTTAAAAATAGATAATAAACACTGATGCTTTGTGTAAATACGTACTAAGAATAGCATGCCACTAGATCTAGCATTTGACTCCTTGGATGACAGTGAATATCAATGCCTGTTATTTGTCATTCTGAAATCTGCCGGGTGATGATTCTTTTTATTGGTGCATCCTTCCAAACATATTTCATCGCACCATGTGCACCGGAGTTCTTTAGGCGGGTATGTCGGAGGTGGGTGTCGCCTGGCTGGCCCCTCTCCCCTTTGCTCGCCCCCTTTCTCGCCCTCGCGCTCTCGCCTCCCTCTGCCTCCAGCCCCCTCTGCTCCTTTGGGCTCACGCCCCCCTCCTCCCCCTCCAGCTGGCGGGGGCTGCGCTGCCTCCCAGACCTAGCAGACCTGCTCAGTCAGCTGGGGCCCCCTGAGGACAGTTGCCTCCGGAGCCGCCGGGACCTGCCATTCTGCGAGGAATGGCAGCGGCAGCAGCATCCCCGCCAGAGGCGGCGGCGGCGGCGGCAGCGGCCACGGCCACCACCGCGGACGCTATTGTTCCCTGGTGTTAGACGCGCTCTCCCTCCTTCTCATCTGAAGCGAACAATAGCAGGAAAGAGCTTTGCTTTCTGTACTCTTTGAAAAGACGTTCCAAGAGCGGAGAAAAATTCCCTGCCGAGCGTGCTACGGCTCTGGACCCTGGAGTGGCTGCAGGCGGCATGGGGCTGCAAGCCAGGCGCTGGGCGTCCGGGAGCCGGGGCGCTGCGGGGCCGCGCCGGGGCGTCCTGCAGCTGCTGCCGCTGCCGCTGCCGCTGCCGCTGCTCCTGCTGCTGCTGCTACGCCCGGGCGCCGGCAGGGCTGCGGCGCAGGGCGAGGCGGAGGCGCCCACCCTCTATCTGTGGAAGACTGGTAAGTGGGACGGAGTTACCCTTTCCCCATCTTCACATCTGGGGCCACATTAAGGAGCTGGTGGGCTTCTGTAGGGACCCCGGTGCTTTTGGATGGCTTGGTTATGCTGGTATCCTAAGGTAAAAAGTATGATTTCTTAGGAAGCAAATAGGTCATGTCCGATGCAATTAGGAAAGAAAAGCATAACAACTAAGAGGCAACAGTGAGTAGCTGGAATATTTCTCTCGCAGCTCTGTAATGAGGGCAACGCGCACTTCCATGATGAAGTGCATTATTTTTAACCCCTGGATTTTCATTCTACTAGGAGTTTCTCAAACAGATTTCTAGCAAAGAACAAGCAAAGAGTTTAGTCTCAGTCTTTATTCTTTAGGCAAAGCAATATGCTCACTGTCATGACATTTGTGGATATAGAGTTGAATTTGTTAACTTTAGCTTTGTGATATGTGGGACACCTCAGAAACAAGCCAAGTGAGGGCGGTTCCAACAATTAAAGGCAAATGGGGCTCCAGTGAGCCTTCAGGGAAAGACTGAAAACTCAATTATTAACTAGCGAGTCGGAGGATTTTTAAAGTGTACAACTTTTAGGATGTCTGGGTTCAAACTTTCTCTTCCTTCCTTGAGAATTGTTTTGCTTTGTTTTTCAACCACCCAACAAAAGCAGCTACTAACTGCCCATCATTACCCATTGGCAAAATGCTTGGAGTTTCTGGCGGGGGCCGTGACAGGCAGGAAAACAATACGGAGTGAGGAATTACCAACCCCTTTTCTGCGGGTTCGCTTTCTCTCTGCATTAAAAAAACATTGAGAATTCCTTAGGGGACCTGAAACTTCACATGTTCATAGGAATAAAATGGGAAAAGATTATTCCTGTTGCTTAGAGCTAGGGGGTAATTTAAGAATAACTTGGTCATGCCAAACATTAAGAGAATGTTGTAGTTGAAAGGGAAAGTATGTATTCGTCATGGGGTTGCAAACAGGTTTCAGGGAGTGAGTGTCTTTTCCTGCTTCAGCCCATCTCTGCACCACTACTGAAGAGACAGCTCAGTCTACTCTACAATTGCATCACTATCGATATCTGGAATTTTTAAAGAAGTTGCAGCTATCCAGAAATTTAGTGAGGAGATTAAACAGAAATTTATTTAAAGTCAAAGTACACAATTTGTCTTAGAAGATTACATGAAACATATACACATTTTAAAAAGCAAGATTATTCTTGCTAACACCTTAAGTTTGAAGATCAGTTGAGTAATGAATTCAAATGAAATAAAATTAATTTACTTCAATTTGAAACGAAGATTTGAAGATCTCTAATTTAGCGTAAGCTAGGGTTTTACTTGTTAAAAGCACATTCATAATGACAAACATTAATCAAATTATAATTTACCATTAAATGGTATCATATGGATGCTTGGGGAGAGCTTCTTAGGTAAGTCAGTGTAGGATGAAATAGTAGTTGCCTAGTTGAAATTTATACTAGCAAAGTAACAAGAGCCAAGCAATAATTCAGATGGAAAAGAGCCCAGCCAACATTCACTGTACAGCATCTGAGGTGTCAATATATGTCATCATAAATGTCATGGTAGGAACACAAGCCAATAAACAGTTTAAAATAGTGGGAAGCTCTCAGAAACAATGATATGGAGACCTTGATTCCAGTGCCAGTCCTAGCTCTTGCTAGCTGTAGGAATTTTGGCAGTTCACTTAAATTTTGACCCTTAGTTTTCTCAACTGCATGTAAATGTGATGACACCTTCTTCTGCCTATCTGCAGTGTGTGAAAATCACATGAGTTATGAGAAAGTGATTGGTAAACTTCAAAGCTGTATGCAAATGTAAGCTAGTGTGATGAGGATGTTAAAGATATTTCTTGACTGGTGATCCTTGGTTTGGTAAAAAAAAAAAATAGTTCATTCAATTGGAAAGCAAAATAATGACTTCTTTATTTTTTTTTTTTTACCAAAGGGAAAGGAGACTTTAATATATCTGTAAAGGAGTTGAACGTAGTTCTCAAAAGAACTAGAGAATATTTAAAGAAAAAAGATATACCATAAATGAAAATTTAGAAGTTACAGAATCACTATGTGTGTATCACTTGATGAAAATAAAGAGGCAAGAAGGGAATTGGAAGAGAAAAGAGGTGACATACTCCAAAATATCTGTTCCAATGGGGTAAGCTTGGTCTTGGTACAGAGGATTATAGAGAATCATATTAATGGTGAGATTATTGAATTAAAATGATGTAGTGAAAGTTGTTACACTGGATGAAGATCTGGGACAGGAACTCAAACTGTGTATGTTACTAACATGCTGTAGAACTTTGGTAAAGTCATTAATGACTTTGGTTCTTGGCTTCCTATTTTGTAATACTCATTAAATAGATAAAATGATATCTAAGGGCCTTTTTAACCCCTAAAGGGCTTCATATATATGAATGCATATGTCAGATACATATATTATAAATACACACATAAATACATATATACAACAAATAAGGGTATATAAAGTTGACCCTTGAACAATGCACAGATTAGGGGTCCTGACCTACATGCACAGTGGAAAATTTATGTATAACTTTTGACTTCCCCAAAACTTAACTACTAATAGCCAACTATTGATCAGAAGCCTTACAGATAACATGAACAGTCAATTAATACATATTTTATATATGTATTATATACTATATTGTTACAATAAAGTAAGCTAGAGACAAGGAAATGACATTTGGAAAATCACGAGGAAGAGACAATATATTTACTATTCATTAAATGGAACTGGATCATCATAAAGGTCTTTATCTTCATCGTCTTCACATTGAATAGGCTGAGGAGGAAGAGGAAGATAGATAAGGGGTTGGTTTTGTTGTTTGAGCAGTGGCAGAGGTGGAAGAAAATGCATGTAAGTTGAACTGCCCAAATCAAATCATGTTGTTCAAGAGCCAACTGTACACATGTGTGTATACATATAATATATACATGAATAATACTTATTACTTATACATTATATGTAATGTTAAATATCTATCTATCTATCTATCTATGTGCTTTATTAAGTCAACTCACAACAAAGAGTTTTTGAGGAGCTAAAATATGTAACCACTGTGGTAAAAGCTGAATGGGATACTGCCATCCCTGCCATTGAGAAGCTCACAATTAACTTTTTTAAAAAAATTCTTATTCAACTGATTACAGGCTTTAGGAGATACTCACAATTAAACAACACTATAAGTACACAATTACAACATGGCATACCATACACATGAACAGAACATTATAAGAACAAAGAAGTTATTTGGCTGATAAAGGAGGTGTGAAGGGTCGCAAAGATAATTTAATATATGATCTGGGTCTTGAAGGATGAGGTGGATTTTGACTGAGGAAGGAGTAGAAGGCCATTCTAAGCAGAGAGAAGGAAAAAAATAAAAGTGAAAAGGCACAGCAGCTTTCCTAGATCTTGAAAGTCCCAGTAGTACACAGCACCTCAAGCCCAGGATGTGGGATAGCAATGAAAAGATTTCATGCCAATCCAGTGAGTTAGGACCAGATTATCAATAAACTTTCAAACAATGGTAAGATATTGGACTTTAACTTATAAGTAGGTGGTAGCCACTGTAAACTTTGAGCAGAAGAGTGATATTTTGTTTGTCTAGAATGAAGAGAGATGAGTTTAGAAGCTGGAAGGCCAGTGACGTGAGTCGTTGACTGAGAGGCAAAGGGAAACAGAACTCCGACAATAGAAGTTATAGTGAAGAGTGAGTAGAAGAGGGCTTGAGGTCACACTGAAGCAATGTTAGCTTAGATTTAGGGTGCAGAAGACACAGTGCCTTCCAGGGAAAGTAGGAAAATGCCATCAAGGTTTTCATCATGCCTGTAGTCAGTAAAGGAGGTACAGGGTATGAAAAAAGGAAGAACAGATTGCTTAGTGTTGTGAAGAAGAATATCAATTTAATTCAGATATACTGAGCTTGAGGTAGCAATGACATATTTAGACCAATATATCTCATGGGAAAATTAGTGAATGGGTGACTCAGTTTAGGAGAAGGAGTTAGGCTGAAGATGTAAGCATGGAACTCAATAAATGTATATTTCAAGCCATGGGAGTGGGAGGGATCATTAAAGCAAAGAAAATATTGAAAAGAAGAGCCAGGATATTTCACAGAGAATATTGGGATATAAAGGGCCACAGTGGGAGAAGACCTAGAGAAACAGTCTAAGAAAGTATGGCCAGAAAAGGTACAAGGCAAATGACAAGATACACTAGATGAAGACGGTATTTTATAAAGGAGATTGTGGCAAAAAGTATTTTAAAAGTTTAGAAAGGCTAGGAAAGGAATTCTAAAATATTTTAGAAAATATCAAGTATGAGGACTTGGTAAGATAATTCACAGTGTTTTGGGAAACGACATTTTAGGTATAGAGGTAGAGATATAAACTTGATTGAATAAAAAACAACATGGTAGAAAAGATACAGTATCAATAAAGTTGAATAACTAAGTGGTATGTAAGTCTCTCTACTACAATGTTGTTGTTTTATGAGGAGGAAAAGCCCAGAATTTCAGATATTAAAAATTATTTATTAAAATATAAAAGTCTGTTGGGCATGGTGGCTCATACCTGTAATCCCACAGCTTTTTAGAGGTCAAGGTGGAAGGATTGCTTGAACCTAGGAGTTCAAGTTTACAGTCAACCATGACTACACCATTGTACTCCAGCCTGGGCGACAGAGCAAGATCCTGTCTCTAAAAATTAATTAAATAAATAAAATATAAAAGTTAAAATTTTCAGCACTTTTGTATCACAGTCATTTCAAAGTTAACTTATCTTTGTGTGAATAATTGGGAAGCATTTCATACACACAAGAGGCATAGCATTTATATTACTGAAAGATGAATAACTAATGTTACTAATAAGTGTTAATGGCATTTGCATTTTTTTTTTTTTTTTTTTTTGAGACAGAGGCTCACTCTTTTTGCCCAGGCTGGAGTACAGTGGCATGATCTTGGCTCACTGCAATCATTGCCTCCTGGATTCAAGCGATTCTCCTGCATCAGCCTCCTGAGTAGCTAGGGTTACAGGTGCCCGCCACCATACCCGGCTAATTTTTGTATTTTAAGCACAGACTGGGTTTCACCATGTTGGGCAGGCTGGTCTCAAACTCCTGACCTCAGGTGATCCACCCACCTTGGCCTCCCAAAGTTCTGGGATTACAGGGACATTTGCACTTTTTATTATTCTAGCATATGAGATTGTTTCTATAATAATTATTGTTAGTTATATTCACTTGGCAATTCCAAATTAAGAGTGTCAATGAATTGAGCAAAACGCGACTGACTTAGCATTAATCAGACAAAAAATGTTGAATACATAAACTTTTATCAACTTCTGTCATAGATATATTTTCAAAAATATCTTAATGAAGTAATTGAATTTATTTTTATAATGATGAAATTACACTGAATCCAAGAAACATGTACATAATAGCCATTATTTAGAATTGAGGTGATAGAGTATTTACAGGTATGCATTTTCTCTCAAGGAGAATACTCACATTAAACACTTTTGAACTGGATTCATCTAATGCAGGACATTACTATTACTGACAGTCAGTGTGTCCTTTACATAGTAATTGCATTAAAATTATGCCTTTGTTCTTCAACTTTAATAAAAACAATGTTATCTTTTTTTACTTTTGTGTACTTATGCTAATAGTACTTATTACTCTGCATATAAAATATTCTCCAATGTATATGCAAATATATCTATTTTAATTCTACCAATCTTTAAGTAACAAAGGAGAGAGGGATATCATTCCAGGTAGTCATAAAATGAGGTGGCATTATCCCAATACAAGTGTTTTAAACTTCAATTGTTCTTACAATTTACTTTTATTCAGAATGTCACACTGTTTTCTCACTTCAAGAATGAGAAGGATGGAATAGGGTAGACAGAGCATGAGCGTCAGCGTTAATCAATCTGGGGCATCATGGATGGAAAATACTCTATTCATGTTTCCTAAAAAGTTATTTTATCTCCCTGAATCTTTTTCTTTCATCTCCAATATGGATTAATGGGATGCATTCTATAGGGGTTTTCTGAGGTTTAAATGTGGTAATGCATGTAACGTACTAGGAGAGTGCCTGACACATATTAAAAGTTCAGTAAATGATAGTTTTTATTATTGCTATTGTTCTGTCAGATGGTACAAAAACTATTTAAGTTTATGACCTGGAGCAAGCCCAATAATGTGCATTAGCCTTCTCTTAAGCATCTTTTCTTTTCCAGTAAATGCACTAGAAAATACGAATTGATACAGTTAACCAGACTAGTAGATACTCCAAGTTATAAGGGAGACACCATTATAGAATGGAAAGAACACGGACTTTGAGATCAGACAAACCACTGTTTACATCTTACCTCTACCTGACTGGCTAAGTTAGATCAATTCTCTGGCTCTGTTTTTCACCTTAGAACAATGACAGAAGTTCTGATGTAAGAAGGCATTTATGAAGTTTTTCAACAGGTAATAAATAGAAAGTACGTACTACCGTGACCTAAATGCTGCAGACATTCAAAAACTGTTAGTTCTCTTACCATTCTTTACCAGTTATTCCCCTAAAAATGACATAAGTTGCAGAAATTTTACTGGTCTAACATACTTATTTGTTTTCTCCAACTAAAGGACAGCATGAAAGACAAAAAAAAATATATAGAAAAATTATTGTATTATAGACATATTTTTTATTAGTTTGGCACTTATGTGTAGACAGCACTTACCAAAGACTATAAAAATGTTTTGAGCACCAAATTTAGGGTTAATTATGTAAATAGAACTTTTTATACTTCATTTTATTATTGTATCTCAGGGTATTTCTCAAAAATTTGATATTTTACATTCTTGAAATTAACATTGTCACCTATCAATTCTCAATTAAATGCTGTCACTGGATAGTTGCTTGTATTTTATACATTGCTTTGTTTTTACTTGGTAAGTGATCATTTAAATACATTTTAAAAACCACTGCAGTTTGTGTCTTGTCTTTTTTTCTTTTGTAATTTATATAGCACCATCAGTGCTCAGAATTCATTAAAACTATATTGGTTGGTTGGATCAAAAAGTCAAATTCTCAGGGAATTGTATGAGGCTTTAACTGTTTCAGTGAAACTGGAGTAACTTAGGTCACTCCTTCTGAAAATTATACACAACTATCTGGTTTGTAAAATGATGGCAGCCCTCAATCATAGCTGAGATTAAGAGTACAATAGGATGGCACGTAATCTAGATTTTCTTCTGCCCATTATTACTGTATAGAGGACAGGCCTGATGGTGGGAGGAAGAGATTCTGAGTAGGTTATTGGTGAAGTGCGATTGTAGTTTGGGTCCTTTTAGGAGGAATACAAGTTTCTTGACCTCTGATATGAGTTAGAATGAGAATACTGGATAGTGGAGTTTCTTTGTGAAGAGAGTATTGGAAGTCCCTCAGTGTAGTGAATATATAGGACAGGATCCCTTAGAATTAATGTAAAGGCACATTAGACTGGCCCTTAATGAAGGAGGCACTGAGCATGTGGCACTTGAGAAAATATATCTTTCCTAATACAAGAGACAGTGCAGACTGTGAAGTAGAGGTGCCAGTGAGTCATAAGGTAGATATCTTTTCTAATTTTTTTCATCAGAACTTTACACTGATAGTTTAAAATGCATTCAAGTGATGACAGCATTAAATGTTGTCACAGTAGAATTGTTTCTGTTTTGTGCATTGTTCCATTTTTACTTCATAGGTGATCATTTGAATTATTTTTAAAAAACACTACTGTTTATATCTTGTCTGTCTTTCTTGGTG
Source organism: Homo sapiens (assembly GCF_000001405.40). Taxonomy (NCBI): domain Eukaryota; kingdom Metazoa; phylum Chordata; class Mammalia; order Primates; family Hominidae; genus Homo; species Homo sapiens. The sequence goes on along the minus strand of NC_000007.14, from coordinate 11,823,920 downwards.
TACGTCGCACAGTTAGTTCTCAGAATTCATTTGTTACTTAGATCAAAAAATGAAATACCCAGGTGGTTTCCATGCATGTAGTTCCTATGTACCCAAACAGTAAAAAAGCTTATATTAATGGGAAGTGATAAAACAATTAAAAGCATTCATATATACCAATAATGATCTAGCTGAGAAAGAAATCAAGAAAATAATCCAATTTACAATAGCGGCAAAAATAAAATACTTATAAATGAATTTAACTAAAGACATGTATAATCTCTTCAAGGAAAACTACAAAACACTGATGAAAGAAATTGTCAATGACACAAACAAATGGAAAAACATCCCATGCTCATGAATGAGAAGAATTAATATTGTTACAATGACCGTTCTGCCCAAAGAAATCTACAGATTCAATGCAATCTCTATCAAAATACCAATGCCATGTTTCACAGAATTAGAAAAAAGAATCCTAAAATTCATATGGAGCCATAAAAAAGAACCCAAATAGCCAGAGCAATCCTAAGCAAAAAGAACAAACCTGGAGAGATCACATTACCCAATTTCAAATTATATTATGAGGCTATAGTAACCAAAACAGCATAGTACTAGTATAAAAATAGATGCATAGATCAATGGAATAGAATGGATTACCCAGAAATAAGGTCACATATTTTAAACCAACTGATCTTTGACAAAGCCAACAAGAACATATGTTGGAGAAAGAACTCTCCTTTCAATAAATGGTGCTGGGAAAATTGAACTTCCATATGCAGAAGAATGAAACTAGACCCCTATCTCTCATTACATACAAAAATCTACCCAAGAGGGATTAACATCTTAAGCATAAGACCCCTAACTATAAGAATACTAGAAGAAAACCTATGGAAAACTCTTCTGGACATTGGTCTGAGCAATCAGTTTATGACTGAGACCTCAAAGTCACAGGTAACAAAAACTAAAGTAGACAAATGAAACTTGATTAAACTGAAGACCTTCTGCACACCAAAAGAAATAATCAACAGAGTGAACAGACAACCTGCAGAATGGGAGAAAATATTTGCTAACTATTCATCCATCAGGAGACTAATATCTAGAGTATACTAGATATTGTAATATACTGTTTATGAGAATATATTGGAAGAACTTGAATAACTCAGTTTTTAAAAATCCCACTAAAAAGTGGGCAATGGACATGAATAGACATTTTTAAAAGAAGACATAGAAATGATTAACAGGTATATGGAAAAGTGCTCAATATCCACTACATGATTGGTGGGAATGTAAATTATTACAACCTCTATGGAAAACACTATGGAAATTTCTCAAAGAGCTAAAAATAGAACTGCCATTCAATCCATCAATCCAACTGCTGGGTATCTACCCAAAGGAAAAAAAAGTCAATATATCAAAAGACACCTATACTCATCTTAATCATAGTACTATTCACAATAGCAAAGATGTGGAATCAACCTAAGTGTCCATCAACAGAAGAATGGACAATGAAAATGTGTGGTGTATATGTATACAATATAATACTATTCAGCCATAAAAAGAATAAAATTATGTGTTTGGCAGCAATGTGGATAGAACTAGAGGTCTTTAACTTAAGTGAAACCAGCTAGGCACAGAAAGTCAAATATCACATATTCTGATTCATAAGTGGTGGTAAAAAATTTGTACACATAGATGTAGAGAATGGAATGATAGACAAAGGAGATTTGGGAAGGTTAGGAGGGGAGAGGAGGATGGATGATGAGAAATTACCTAATGGGTGCAATGTGCGTTAGTTGGATTTTGGATATCCTAGAAGTCCTAACTTGATCACTATGCAACCTATGCATGTAACAAAATTGCGCATGTACCCTATAAATTTGTACAAATAATAGCATATTGGGAAAGGGTGAGGGAAACTAGGTAATACTTGGAGCAATGATACCAAAAAGTAACCTATCTATTGTTTCTGATGCATAATTGGACCTAGCCAAAAAGATGCCATTGCATCCTCCAGAAAAGCTGTTGAGCTAGTTGTTATTTTACAGTTTAGTATGTGAAATCATAACCTTTGGGGTATTGTTTTCTATTATGCCCATATTATTATATCAAAGTTATGCTATGGGAAAAGAAATGAAATAAGGGCAGATGGAGAAAAAGCACAAATGTGTTCCCTTATATGAACAATAATTTTCAAATGTCACATGCAGTAGGGTAATTTTGTAGGAGGTTCCAAGTCACAGGGGACGTCAGAGAGAGATGGTCCACATAGAAGGAGTCACATTAGTAGATTCAGGAAAAGCTATGCAAGACTGATAAAACTTGGGGAAAAAGTGAGATATTTTAAGAGAGAAAAACAGCACAGAGAAAACAGAAATCAAGCAAATTATCTGCATTCTTTTAAAATTATTATTTTTTTTCTTTTGAGGTGAACACTTCAAAGTTTATTTACATGTTCTGTTTTCTCTTTTAAGAATCCAAGTTTCCCAAATTAAATGTTTCTAATATTACTATATATGCCTAAAAAAATAAAAGAAAAAAAAAGGGCTTTTAAAATCAGGGCAAGGGAGAAGAGATAAAAAGTCATCAAATTAGTCCTCTTAGCTCCAAATGAAATGAAATTAAGAACAAAACTGTTGGTTTCCAATAGGAGTTTCGTTCCATTTTCCAGCACATACAGTCAGCTCAGTCTCAGCGTAGACCCTCAGAACTGTTAGCCCAACATATAGTGACCATTGTTCACCATGTTAAAGAGCATCACTTTGGGTCCTCAGGAATGACATTACATAAACACTTTACTAAATACCTAAATAGAGGAACTGAGCAAGAGGCAGCCAAAAACAAGTTACAGGACAATAGACATTTCCCGCAGTACTTTCATAAAACATGGTTTGGCTCGTGATGAAATGAAAAGTCCCAGAAAACCTGGCTACAAGGCTGAGGGAAAATACAGAGATGATCCTGTTGATCTCCGCCTTGATATTGAACGTCATAAAAAACATAAGGAGAGAGATCTTCAGCGAGGTAAATCTAGAGAATCAGTGAATTCCCGAGACTCCAGCCACTCGAGGGAAAGGTCAGCTGAGAAAACAGAAAACTTATAAAGGATCAAAGAAGCAGAAGAAGCACCGGAGAGCGAGAGGCACGTCCAGATCCTCCTCCTCTTCCTCCCGGTCATCTCACTCCTACAAAGCAGAAGAGTACACTGAAGAGACAGAGAAAAGAGAGGAGAGCTCCACGGGCTTTGAGACATCGAGACTGGGGACTAAAGTCTTTGTGGGTCCAAGTGAAAGAGGAGGTGGCAGAGCGCTCGAGGAAACTTTCAATTTCAAGCCAGAGGAAGAGGCCAGGACAGAGGCAACTACTCTGGGAACAATAACAAGAGTAACAATGATTTTCAAAAAAGAAACCGGTAAGAGGAGTGGGACCTAGATTACACACCCAAAAGCAAGAAGTATTACTTGCATGATGACCTCCGGGTCAGGGCCGGTTCATGTTCTGGAAATCAAGCACCAGCCCCAAGTGGGCCCATGACAAGTTCAGTGGGGAGGAATGGGAGATTGAAGACGACAAGAGTGGGACAGAGAACAGAGAAGAGAAGGACAATTTACAGCCCACAACCGAGTAGGGTCCACTCTTTACGGAATTCCTTGCCCAGGGGAGAGAGGTGCTGGAAAGATGGCTGGCGAGGAGCTAAACAGAGGAACCTCAAGAAGATTCTGAAAAATCCTACCCCCACCCCTCACCAGCCATGCAGATTGTACTACCGCGGGAGGCATCCCTGGCGCTGCCTTCCACTGGACAGAGGAGGCTGGCGGTGGAGCCCGGGGGTCAGGCCCAGCTCTTGAGCGGAACACAACGCATTGGGCTTTAGCTGTTTTTCTCATCTGTTACTGGTGTGTGGGGTGGGGGCAGGGGTAGGGTGGGAGAGCGATGCTTGGATTAAAATGATTTTATTTTTAATAGACTTTTTGGTGCAGTGTTAGACTTACAGAAAGTTAAGCAGAAAGTACAGAGTTGCCTTATGTTCCCATTCTCCCACTATTTTCTTCTACTATCAGAATCTTGCGCTAGTGTGGTACATTTGTTACGATTGATGAACCAATATTACTACATTATTATTAACCAACGTCCATGGTTTACATTAGGATTCACTCTTTGGATTGCACATTCTAAGGATTTTTAACAGATATGTAGAGATATTTATCCACCATTACCATATTATATAGAATAGGTTTACTACCCGGAAAATTCCCTGTGCTCCTTCTATTTCTCCCTTCCTCCTCCCAAATCCCTAGCAAAGACATATCTTTTTACTGTCTCCATATTTGTGCTTTTTGGAGAACGTTATATAGTTGGAATCATACCGTATGTAGCCTTTTCAGTTGGGCATCTTTCACTAGCAGTAAGTGTTTAAGTTTTCTACATGCCTTTTCGTGGCTTGACAGCTCATTTCTTTTGAGCGCTGAACAATATTCCATCCTTTGGCTATACTACAGTTTGTTTATTCACTTACCTATTTAAAGGCATCTTGGTTGCTTCCAAGTTTGGGCAGTTATGAATATTCATGTGCATATTTTTGTGTGGATGTAAGTTTTTAGTTCATTTGCGTAAATACCAAGGAGCATGCTGCTGGATCATATGGCAAGAATATATTTAGCTTTATAAGAAACTGCCAAACTGCCTTCCAAAGTGGCTGTTCCATTTTGCATTTCCACCAGCAGTGAATGAGAGTTCCTATTTCTCCACTCCTCACCAACTTTTGGTGCTTTTAGTATTTTTTATTTTAGCCATTCTAATGGATGCATATCTTGTTTCAATTTGCAGTTCCCTACTAACATGATGTTTCATCTGCTTGTCATCTTTTCATTTGCTTGTCATCTGCAGATATTCTTTGGTGATAGATCTGCATTCTTTTAATTGTAGGAGTAATAGTAGCAAGAGTAGGTAGCCAACTCTTAGCTGGCGGAGTTCAAAGTCTCAGTCCAGAGTGTGCTGCACATATTCCACTTTTTATTGTTCTGGTAGAATGACACATACTGAAGATAATTGTTCAATAATGAAAAAAAACCACATGGGAATTAAGTAAGGAATAAATGTAGATGGTCCTACACTTTGTTCCCTCTTGAGAGGAGTATCCTGGGCGTGATGAATGATATCCCAAAGTAGAAGGAAATAGGCAAATATAATAAAGATTAAGTTAAGCCTGCAAGCTGGTGAGATTTTCAAGTGTAATACATACCTCCTGTATCCCTAGCGGACTCTGGTATGGTTAATAAATCATGTAGCTGCATATCTACTTTTCCTTGCTTTGCACTGAGGAAGCCATTGTCTGGGAAAAAGTGGGAGATGCAACATTTTTCTGAACTTCTGGGAAACAGTGAAGGTCCACTGTGCTGAAGCCCTAGTAAGTTGACCTGGAAACCAAGCTGTTAAGTCAGCCTGCTACTTAGGTTGCTCCCATGACCTTCCCGTTGACACACATTGTTGAGCGCCCTCAGGAAGGAGACAGGTAAACAATGACCCAGAAGTGGATAGTTGGTGTGCGTAAGAATAGAAATATAGTACACTATTAACAGCCTAACGTAGAACAATACTGCTTGATGGAAAATTAAATTTCCCAAGCAAATGTATTGGACACAGACATTGATTATGTAGCTAAAATAGTTTAACTTATGGTATGTGGCCAATACAGGGCTTTCTAATTGTTCTGTGTAGTCTGTAGAAAATGTTTTCCCTTGGGCTATTATAGCGCTAGCAAATAACAGGACATTCTGAGTATTGTAGATGGATGTGTTTGTAGGTATGTTCTCTATTGCACCAGAGAAGAAGTGGTATCAGAACACAAATGGTGACTATTTGATTTGCACTATTTAAAAGTCATTTTTATTTTCTCTACAAAAATCAGAGTGTGACTATAAACGTTACAGAGGTCCACTGTATTCAGGGATTTCCAGATTAGTTGCAAAGAATTGAATGCATAGCTTGGAATGAAAGAAGCACCTAATCAATAACTAGTTAAATAAATATATGTTTGTGTGCATTTGCCTGTGTGTGTGTGTAGTCAGTAAAAAGATGTTTAAGAACAGACTTCTGAGCCAGAAGTGCATGAATTTTGACCTAATTTTGTTATTTATTAGGAATATGATTTCTAATCTCTGTCTTTTATTTTGTAGCTATACCATGTGATATGATATTAGTAACTACCTCTACAGATTATTTAAAGATAGCTTGAGATAAATCTACAGTGTACTTAGATGGTGCCTGGCACAAGTAACTGCTCAGTAAATGTTATCCCTTACTTGGCTATAATCCTAGTGTGAACTGCTCACTGGTACAGAATTTGTCTCCTGAATCTATCTGTGTCCTTTCCTTTTTTACTTTGATTCCTCTTCCTCCTTGGATCTGCATATGAATGTCAAGCTTCTCTGCATCTGACATTGCTCTGTTCTCTACCTCTGGTCAGAGTCAACAGTGTAATTACAAAGCTCAGCCTTACTGTAAGGTTGTTCAAAGTATGGTTTTTAAATGCAGAGACATTCTGCCCCAGTGTTTTGTTTTTACTTGTGATTGTGCATATCTTAGCCATGCAGGCAATGCTGGAGGTTGGAGTCTCTAAGTGGGACTGTGGGTTCCAAAGTTCCTTTGCTTGTAAAACCCGAGATTATTCTTGGCAAGACTTTCCTGCTCGGTGATGCTGTGAATGAAAGGATGTTGGAAGTATACGATGAGTGATCAGACTTCCTTTCTTAAACTCCTCTCCTGAAATGCATTATGTGTGTGTGTGTGATATATGAATATCCTACTTTCACATGTCAATATACGTGGTTCAAAATCTTCTGAAGGAAATGAAAATGTTGTCTACCAGCTTGAAAGAGAGACAGCTATTCAACTATTTCATGTCCATTACAACCCATTTATTTGTACATTCTTTAAAATTTGTGTAGCACTTGTAAACTTCTGACAGAATCACAATAATAATTTGATGCACCATTATAAGCATAATCACACATGTATACATGTCTGCATATCTAGATGCATGCATATATATACAGGCACATGCAAATAATGCAATCATATATGGCTTAATTATCACACAGGACTTCATAATTTTACCTGATATTAAGAAAATTATACCTCCTAAAATATGGTTTTATGTGGTATTTATAGTAGTGACTTTTAAAAATGTGTGCAATTATACACTTTTTTCACTAAAATATTATACAAAATTTATATTAAGATTTTATTTTACAAAGTTTTGTGCCAAGCTTATGTTCCTCAATAACCCACTCATAAAAGCTATTATAAAAGTCCTTGCATTACTTTCCACTAAGTTATCGCTTTTTATTTTAAGACCCTTTTTATGTCTAACCATCTTCCTGTGTTTGCCACTCTGGTGCCTGTACAATGTTTTCAAACTGCAATGCTTGCACAAATTTCCAAGAAGTACTTTTCTAGTAGCATCTACCTGCCAGCATATCCATGAACACTATTTCTCTAAAACATTACTTGTGAATAGTTTCCATTGATTATGACATCATTGAGGCAGGAATGGTAACAGACCCAGATGGAATAATGTGGATTACATGTATCTGTATAAAAACATACATTGCATTGCATAACGATTTTAGGGGACTCCATTCACAGTCTGAATTAAGTGACCTTTTATTCCCCAGTTTGTGTTAATCAAATTCAACTGAGGAAAATTGGCAGGCACTTAGTACCTATTTTATGGCAAGGTCTGTGTGTCAGGTGCAGGGGAACAAACATGAATAGCATGGAGTTCTCTATCCTGTGTAAATAAACTATTTGAGGCTAGTGAACTTATTACAAAAATAGAAACATATATGGATGTAAAATGGAGGAGGGAGTAATTCTCTTGCAAAATGAGACAGGGAAGGAAAACTTTCATAAGACACAAGTTTGAAAGATAAGCAGTTTACACAATGGAGAAAGGCTATAGAGAGACAGAATTCCAGGCAGAGAAGGAACAGTTGTGAAGAAATTAAATGGCATGTTTCCAGGGATAGAAAGAAGTTTGGAGTAACAAAAAGTAGGAAATAATTTGGGGTGGGAAGAAGGGTGGGTATGAGTTTGGAGAAGAAGGGAATGGATGGATGACACAGTCTTTTCATAATAATAAGTTTATTTGCTGTTTTCTGATTCATAGAATCTAGGAGATCAAGTCATTTGGGTTTATAAAATATTGCCAGGAATGAAAGAATATATTTGTAAATGTTAAGTCAGATGTGAATATATGAGTTTTATATGATTGTTCATCTAAATGAACTATTATAATTCTCCTTGCAAACTTTCCAAGAGAAATGCTATCTTAGGTAGTGCTAATTAAATGCAGTAACTTCAATAGCGTAGCATCCTTTCAGGTTTATTAATAAGAATGATGTAATATTTTATTTTTTCCTCTGCAGTTTTGACTAAAGTAATATTAAAATAAGTAAAGCTTAAATATATGTACATATATTTATATGTACAGGTATAGAACTCATCCCTGATGAGTTCCGTGAAAGGGAATACAAATGAGGGGAGTAGATGAGGCATGATATAAAGGCTGGCTATACTGATCTCTTCTCTGCTGTGGACTACCTGGTTAAGAGAAGTAATACCACTCCCTTACCCTGCTGCAGGTCCATCACTTGCAATCAGAGACAAGGTTCAACTAAAAACAAAAAAATCTCATAAAGGACAATACCGTTGGCTGACTGCAACATCTAGTGGGCCAAAATTGGACTATGGGGCATTGATTGACAACCTTTGCCTTTGACAATCATATCAGGTCTTCAAAAATATGAAGCTTAAAAATGGAGGGTAGAAAAGATTTTTAAAAGATTCTTTTTTTTTTTGAGTTTTAGGGAATGGCTACATGAAAGTATATGTAACAACAAATTCAAATTAAAGTGTCTGAGCAACCATGTTTCCAGCCAACATCAACATTTCTCTATGCACTGTGCTTCATTTGTTCCCATTAGTTCATGGGCCCTGTGGAGAGAGGAGTAATCAGGATTAAGGCATCTGCTGCTCATGAGCTGGCACAGATAATCACAGAAATGCAGCAAAGATCAGAAGATCCAATCACTCTTATCAAACAGCTTCTTTTGAGAGTTTGCTGTGGTGACTACATACCTCTAATGGGAGAGTCATCAAAATGGATTTGGATTTATGAAATCAAATAATTCATAAGGAGAGCTTTGACTGCTGCTAAGATACATTTCTCTCCCTGTCTCTTACTGCAATATTTAATGTAATTTCTTTAGTTCTCTTGGCTCATTGTATAAGAGAACTGGTTTTGAACTGCTTCAGCTGTGCAAGTTCCACAAGAAGAGAATAAATACTATGAAGCAGACAAGGTGGTCCTTCAACCTTGGTTGATCAAGCACTGCAGAATCATGAAAGTCATGATTTCCCAAATCATGATGAAAGTTTTCAGAGCTTTCAAGATCATTCTTCTTGAGGTAATTTTCTACCCTGATAGCATCGTCTAAAAGCTAAATTATTTTGAGTATTTTATGAAAAATGTGGAAATTAGAGTGAAAATTACTTTTGTGCCATGTTATTATAAATGAGATGAATCTCCTTTGTTTGTCACGTGCTGAATACTTGGGATTGCCATCACAGAGCCATTCTTTTAACAGCTTTATTTGATAGAATGCACGTAGCATGCAATCACCCATTTAAAGCATACAATTCAATGGCTTTTAGCATATCCACAGACTTGTGCATCCATTACCACAATCAATTCAAGAACATTTTCATTACCCCAAGAAGAAATCCTGCATCCCTGAGCCATCAGCCCAGGTCCCGGGCAAATACCAATCTACTTTTTCTCTATTCGCCTAGTCTGGACCTTTCATATGAATGGCATCATAACTTGCGTGATCTTTTGTGACTAGCACCTTTTATTTCGCATCATGTTTTCAAAGTCCATCCATGTTTTACATGTATTAGAATTCCACTGGATAAATACACTGCCTTTGTTTATTCCTCAGCTGATAGACATTTGGGTTGTTCCTACCTTTTGGCTATTATGAATCATGCTACTATGAACATTGATGTACAAGTTTTAGTGTGGATATGTATTTTCATTTCTTGAATATATACTTAGGAGTTACATTGCTGGATCTTATGGTAACTGTATTTTTAATTGCTTGAGAAACTGCCAAACTGAGCCTTATTATTATTATTATTATTATTATTATTATTATTATTATTATTTTGAGATGGAGTCTTGCTCTGTCGCCCAGGCTAGAGTGCGGTGGTGCTATCTCGGCTCACTGCAACCTCTGCCTCCTGGGTTCAAGTGATTCCCCTGCCTCAGCTTCCCAAGTAGCTGGGACTACAGGCGTGTGCCACCATGCCCAGTTAATTTTTTGTAATTTTAGTAGAGACAGCGTTTCACCATGTTGGCCAGGATGGTCTGGATCTCCTGACCTCGTGATCCGCCTGCCTTGGCCTCAGAAAGTGCTGAGATTACAGGTGTGAGTCACCACTCCCAGTTGAGCCATGTTTTTTAAACCCAGCACAGCATAATACATACTATGTTTTTTGTGAATTTCGGTTATGATATAATTGTCATTTAAAAACATGTAATTAGAAGATAAGTAATTAAAAATATAGGAAAGTGTTTTAGGGGACCTAATTCATAAGAATAAAAGTGCATTTAGGAAGAAAATCTGCTGAAATAATCATGAACACACTTAGTAGGATGCCAACAAGTTTTTAATCTGATCGCATAGTGAAGTCTTCAATAAAGAAAAAAATAAAGTAGTTGGGATGGCAGAGCTCTCATGACTTATCACTTGTATTTTAAAGTTGCAGAGAAATCTAAATTATACCAATAAAAACTTTCAATGCTAACCTGTTTTGGAAGTTGCCTACATCGTTTTCACAGCTTAGTGGATGGAATAACAATACTTCCTTGTATTCTTATGGTACTCTATAATTCCCCAAGCACTCATGCATACATGTTCTTTTACTAAATTCTCACGATTTCTTCATTAATAATAAATTCTCCTTTCATGAAAGAATAAACTCAGGTACCTGAAGTTAAGTGATTTAACCCAAACCACACTCTTAGTTTAAAACCAGCAGCCAGGACATATATCGTGGTGTCTGTTGATGTTATGATATACCTAAAAATGAAATTTTCTATAAAGTCCTTTAAAGTATGCTTCAATATTTTGATTGAAGAAGCCAAGGTCAGGGAAAATACTCTCCAGTTATGTGAAGAATAAGTCTCCAAGACTTAAATTAGCATTATATGGTATAAATAATAGGTGATAACTGAAGTTTGCATTTAATATTTTCACACAAGCACAGGGAGATAGAGTAAATGATTACAGACGTGTTTTGAAAAATATTTTGTCTATGTGATATGTTGACTGATCACTTTACCATGTTCTTGAGATTTTACCATTTTCTCTTACAGTTTCCTTCACTTTTGTGACGTAAATGATAACGTATTTTATCTAAACAATCCGTTGCCCTATAATTAAATATAAGTATATTCCCATATTGTTTCATGATGCAATGTATCTTATTTAAAAGCATAAAGTGCTGCTTCAAGCTATAACTAAATATTCAGTTTCAGTATATTTACATTTTAAAATTCATTTTGTAAAGGGTTATATAGATTTTTACTGTGAATTTTCTTGAAAGTAAATAACGCAGGAGTTTAAATTGAACACCACACAACAAAACTTTCTAAATCTTCTTCATCTGTGTGTCTCCCAAAAAACCTGACAGGGGCACTCTCTCTCCCTCTCCCCATATCTCTCTCTCTGTCTCCCACACACACACACACACACACACACACACACACACAATTTTCTTTTCTTCTCCTTTATAGTCTCAGATTTCTCTCACTGTCTCTACAAATGTCTCTCATTATGCTCAGTGGTTCTTTTCTCTCCCACCTCCCTTGTCTGACCACCTGTGTTGTGTTTTGATACAATATTGCAGTATACTTTTAATTTCAGGAAAGCTTTTTCAAGTATATAAACTGATGTAATTTCATGAATAGGCATATTATCAACAATAGAAAATGCTGACTTTCACTGTGTCCTTTAAAGGGAGAATTGCATTCCAGCTGTAGTTTTCCTTTTCTTTTCTTCCCAGAAAGAATCCAAGTGAAAACCTGCAAGCATCATTATATTTGTCCACAGGCAGCTAAGCTGATATATTTAGTGTGCACTGCTGTATGGGATACAGCTGTGAAATGAGCTAAAATTTATTATTGCAGGTAAAAGAACTAGTATAAATATATTCAAATGAAATCCTTTGCAAGCATTACAGTAAATAGGCTTTGGAAACGTTCTCATTCTGTCTCGTGTACTTTAAAAATGACTTTTCTGAAGATACTACATATCTTAGGGCATATGATGAAGGAGATGAAAATTAGGACTGTCAGTATTCAGGGATTTATACAGTAGGTTTCTTTTACCACTAGTGCAATAGGATTTTTAACTTGAATTCATATATATGTTTGGTTCTTCCTAAATCTCGGGCCAATGTAAAAAAGTCTCTTGAGGAGGAAGAAAACTAGCTACTCCTAAATGCATCATGAGCACGCAAAGCATTTTACTCCTTAAGTATAAAAATAGCAATTTTAACCCAGAGGAAAACTTGAAATATTCTTTCTTTGTTGAAGGTCTTTACATAACTTGTGTACAGTGCATGGCATTGTTTCGTGTGTGTGTGTGTGCTTGATAATTCTGTCGGTTAATGTGCATAGGAAATTTGTTTTCTTAATCAAAGTCTGGTTAATGGACAAAAGAGACATTACACACAAATCACCAAGTTTTAAAATATTGTAAACTAATAAAATATCCTTAACATTAACATCATATGCCACATAATTTAATCTGCAGCTTATTGTGTTGCAGAAATGTCTTCAGAAGTTTGAAGTTCAGCATCTTCATTTTGAATAAAAATGTATTGCTGTAACAGAACAATGAGGAAATTCTGGGAAAAAATTTTAGTTGGCAGAAGGCTGAATTAAACCTGATTTGAGGAGTCTTTAGTCTTCCTAATTTAATTGTGTGCTTTTAAGGGATATTTAAATGTTTCAAAATTTTTCTGAATGGTTTTCTACATTTGAAAATGTATGGAGACTCTTACCATTCTACTCACATCCACATTTCTGAAAGTTGAAATTAAACCACCCTAGGGCTGAGCTAATATCATCAATAATTTTGCCTACATGTCCATGTGTATGGTGTTTCTCCTATTATTTGTTACATCATATTAAGGCATCTGGAATGGAAAGTTAAATCTGAGGTGAAGACAAAGTGTTGGCTATTTCTTCTTTCTAGCAAAGTTATTCTCCCCATTTCCACATTTTGATCTATTACAAATATAACAGTAACAGCAGCATTGGGGTGGTGCCCTCTAAGCCCCTTTATTTACTGCACAAACATTTTACTGAACTTTAGCTATGGGGAAGTATAGACATGTATGAGCTCATAATCTTTCAAGGAGATGTAGACATAGCAATTGTAATCAGTGTAATCGGGGCTATCAGTGAAGGGGAGTGACCAGCTTATCTGAGCTGGAGATGGGCAAGGAAGGGCCAAGAAAAGCCTGATATTTACATTTGTACTGGCCTCCAAAGGATGTGCAAAACTCTGAGAGGTGAGAGATGAAGGGACATCACATGGCGAAGGCACAGAGACAGCTATCTGAAAGGTTTACACTCTGAATAGCTCGCTCTCTACCCATGAAACCGTAGGACAGCTCCCTGCTGGTGCTCTCAACAACATCAGGGATTCTTATCAGTTTTACCTCTTGTTCTTTCTAAATCTGCCAGCTGTATGCTAAGAGCTAGTTTCTACCTGGTCTTGATTTCCTTGATCAGTCTCTTATAATGTCTCCATAGGATTGTCTGCTTGAGTTCCAAATGTTGATTTGTTCCTATCCCATACTTTTTCATGTCCCTCAGTTTCATGCCATTTGACCAAATGGTTAGTTTGTTTAACTTTCTTATACAGCCCATTGTTCTAGAACCACTACCTTCAACTTGAGCCCCAAAATATAGAATAAAATCAAATATTAGATACAATTCTCAGCTCTATTTATCTTGAGCCACGTATGACACCATTTATGCTTTGGTACATATAAGACTCAACTGTGGGCCTTAGCAGGAAAACCAATGAACATTTGTATGTAAGAAATATGTTGTTAGTATATACGTTAGGCCTAGAAATTAAGCAAGTAAGCTAGTTCCAAAATTACTTAAAATAATTCCTTTGAGTTTAGAAAGTGCTTTAGCTCTGGCTTGCCTAAGATACAATAATGCTTACTGAAATATTTACCATAGTTAATTCTTATTGCTCCTCTTCACAAAAAAAATAAAATTTCATACATTCCAAAGCCTGTGACCATAAGGCTATGAAAATCTTCCTGCAATAAGTGAACTATGCTTTTGTATACACTCATGGGAAACCACACAAAAAAAGAAAGGTCCTTGTGAGGAGTAAAATGTAATATCATCTTTGAAGTGCCTGATAGATAAGCAACAGACAGCCACAACTATAATAGTAGAAGATTACAGAATCCAAAAATTACTCTCCTGTCAAGAATCAGTTCAAATACCACTTGCTCTATGAAGCTCTTGTGATCCTCCTCCCTGACTTATGTCAGCACTTTAACAACAATACTCTATTTTCATTTTCACCTGTGCATTCAGTGTGTGCCTCCACCAAATTACTGGTAATGATTTTGGGTACTTTATTGTTTAAGTATCTCTCTTACCCTTATCATTTAAATGTGGACTTCTTGAGGCAAAAGCTGTCTTAGTCATCTTTGTTAACTCAACATGTATTATATACTAGGTATCAGTACATGGTTGATGAATGAATAAATTACTTAAACTTAATTTAGCTTAAATAATTTTATATCATGTTTTTCACTTCATAATACTCATGATGATTTTCTTATTTTACAAAATATTCCCAGAAATTTTGATATATTTTAATGGTATGTATTTCTACTATATGTATGGTTTAAGTATTTAATATTCATTTAATACTGGCTATTTAGGTCATTACCTTTTTTATTATGAAATTATACTGTAAATGATATTCTTGTAGGTATATATTTTTTGCCCATCTCTGAGTTATTCCTTATGGTGCATTCCTTAAAATTCAGTCCTTTAGTTAAAAGGATGAATGAATATTTTTAAGATTCTTGATACAGATTGTCAAATTATTATAGTTTATACATGTACTAGTAAAGAATAAAGACCCTAGTTTACATGACCAAACCGGGCATAACAGTTTTAAAACCTTTGCTAACACAACAAATCTCAAGCCATCTATCTCAGTATTATTAATTTTTAAAAAGTATCTTTTAAATATGATAGAAAACCTATATTTTTTCATTTTGGTATATAGTTGTGCCTTAATTCATTTTGTGCTGCTATAACAGAATACCCAATACTGGGTAATTTATAAAGAACAGACAATTTATTTCTCACAATTCTGGAGGCTGGGAAGTCAAAGACCAAGGTGTTGGCAGGTTCGTTTGTCTGGTGAGGGCTGCACTCTCTGAAGGTGAGGGATGCTGTGTCCTCACACGGTGGAAGGTGAAAGGACAAGAAAGAGCAGACCTCTCTGTGGACCTCTTTTATGAGGGCCTTAATCCCATTCACCAGGGAGAAGTCCTCATGAGCCTAATCACCTCTTAAAGGCCCCACATTTTAATATTGTCACATTGGCAACAACTTAATTTTGGAAGGGACACATTCAAACCATAGCAGTGTGTGTGTGTGTGTGTGGTCTCTTTCTAAACTGCCCTGCAGAAGTTGGCACCCTGGCGTAATCAGAACAGCTTAGGATGGAGGAGACTTTCACAGAGTTGTG
Source organism: Homo sapiens (assembly GCF_000001405.40). Classification (NCBI taxonomy): domain Eukaryota; kingdom Metazoa; phylum Chordata; class Mammalia; order Primates; family Hominidae; genus Homo; species Homo sapiens. Next base: position 11,808,069 of record NC_000007.14, on the reverse strand, counting down.
TATGGAAAAATGTATAGATGGGTGGTGCAGTGAGAGGCCCTCTGGGGTACTTGGGACCAGGAAACAATGGGGAGCATAGAAGACAGGTACGGGAGTGAGTTTCAGTATTGCTCTGACAGTGTTTTGTTTGTTGGGTGTCATTTATTTTGGTATTACTTAATTTAGAATTATTGGTTCTTACTGAGGTCTGAGAAAATAGTCTTAGAAAGTTAGCTTTTCAGGAGACCAACATTTTTGGCAAAAACAAGTGAATTTAAGCTAATGTATTTTAGTTGTAGCAAAATATTATTGATTTAAAACTTAGGTCAGGTGATCTTTTACAGAGTATATGAGGCTAAGCTTTAGGTGTTATAAATCTTTTCATGAAAAATAAAAAGTATACTGCATTAATTTCAGCCATTAATTAGTGCTATTAATAATTCAAGTCACTTCTAAAATGATTTATTCAAAATAAGTTTGGGACTTGGGTAGACTAAAAATTACATTATTTAATGTTATTCTAATTTGGTTTACTGTTATGTAAATCTTCAAATGAAAAAGTTGATAAAATCAATAATTTGTTTTATAATTTTACTTTATTTTATATATTCTTTCCATATCATCTGTAAGAAAGCAGGGTTTTACTTGATTAATACTACAAAAATAATTATAGTCCCTCTTAATACCCCAAATAAGTAGTATATTTGGGAATACTTTCCTTTCTCAAACACTTACTTCAGGGTGTTATTGCTACCAGTAGCTAACAGCCAGTTTGAAATATTGACGCAAATAAATTTCCACCTTGATCATTTGCACACCCAGTCCCTCACAGGTTTTAGTACTAGGTTTGTATCATGTGATCCCTATGGCATCTACCCATATGGCTGCCCCCAATTACCACGTGCAGTGGAGAAGGGCTAAGGAATACACAGATTCTACACAACTTCCTTAGGAAATGCACTGTTTGTTTAAAACACTTCAGAGTAAAAAAGTACTTAGTAGTGATCACTTGGGTCCATGTCATAATGTCAACACCAAATATTAAATAAGACAAGTGAGAGAGAAAGAAGAAGAAAGAGATATATATATATATATTTAGAGAGAGAGAGATTGATTTCAGTCTACAAAAGTAAAAATGCTGCCTTCAGTATTTTGTGCAAATGAGAAATTATACTTGAGGTCTGAGGTTAGCAGTGGAGAGAAAGACCTAAAGATCTAAGATGAGGAACTTAGAAGGCCTAAAAGGCACACTTTAGCAGCAGAGGGGAATGCTTGGGGCTAGCACTTGCTTATTCTTAACTGTGTACTGGGCACCTTTCCTCCAGCTTTGGCTCACTACCCAGTGTCCATGAACCTTTTCTACCTGCTTTCCCTCAGGTTCTGAACAATGCTCTGTTTTTCTGAAATTACCAGTAACAAGTGGATCATCTAAGAACTGCTGGACAAAACATTGATCTATTTTAATAAAGGATATTTTTCATTCAAGTTTCATTTAGAAACATCCCTTAGCTCAGGCAGTGTAAATGTGTAGATGTCACCTGCAGCATTGCCTGAAATACTCCTGCCTTTTTATTTATCTAAAAATATATATTGTATCCCCACAACCACTTTTAAGCTCTGTAGACTAAAGCTGAAGTCCCTGCTTATAACCCTTAATGTATTTCCTTTTTACCATCTTTTTGGGAAGCTGAACTCTATAGTCCAAGGTCTAAAAGTTCTTTATTTTGTACATTGAAATCAATTTAGGGAGTTATCTTTATTTAAATATTTTTATTCTTCCTGAAAATAAAGAAAATGTGTATGTGGAATTTAATTGCATAAATTGAGGTTTGAGCACAATGAAAAATCAATGTTTTAAAAACATGGAGTGGAGCTGCAGTTCCTGACCTGCATGGTGCTTGTTAACCCTCAGAGGAAGACTTACGTGAATTATTCAGCTGATCATAGGGTGTTAAGTAGATTCTAATTTGTTTACAAAAATTAAATGTGCTTTAGCAACCAAAGAGAAAACCTGAAAAGATAAGCATTGTAGGTCAAAAAACTGTGACAATTAGAACTACTTTTGTTAATGAAGGTCAAAATAAAAATAAAGAATCTGTCACTGAATAGTTTTCCCTTTTGTACTTGCAAACATCTGAGATCCTTTAGTAAGGCAAGTATAATTTACAATATCCTTTTCTCAAAACAAGTTATCCATTAGTTACAGTCAAAACACGTGAAATATTGAGACATATATATGTATATAAAATAACTGAGCCATATTTTAAAAATATTTTGGCATTTTAAATGTTGAATGTAAGTAACTATAAAAACACTTCTGAATAGAAATGTTGTGGTTTTTGATGTTTAAAAAATGTTTAAAATTGCATGTATTTGTAAATTTGTCTTAAAGTTGAAATCACGTATTTCTTTTACATTAAAAGATACTAGTTGACATTTTAAAACCATATAATGATATGTGAATGAATAAAAATTATCAATAAATCCCTTCATCTGTGCAATATATAAGGAAATTATATTCTTTTAAGAAGCTTTAGAGAAGTGTGAAAGAATGTTACAGAAGAATTATTCTCTATTTTTCTCTGTTATTCTTTATTTTAAAGAGCAATTAGAATATTATTCATAATATAGAGACCACTAAAATCTGTGTAGATTTTTGTGTATATGAGTTTTTGTCTGAGAACATTACATTAACAAGATATAGAATTACAGCCACAACTAAAATATCAAGTAGATATACTTTTATTGGGTAAACAATAATTAATGTATAATGTTTCTATTAGTATTTTGACAGCCATGGGATTGGTCAGTAGGATACAGAAAAGAGATAGTCCCATTTCCTTCAACTCTCCTTTGGAATGAGAAGAAGTATAAATATATTATTGCAGTGGGAACATGAATGCTTCAAGAAGGCTTCAGTAGTAAACAAGAGGAGGAAGTTTGGATGTATGGACCAAAAGCTGGGTACTCAGGGACACAGTAGAGGCTCAGGCAGGTGGATATATGGTGACAACTCTAGACATAATGACTACAATATCGGCCCTAGATTAATTGTAAGCTTCCATAGGGCACCAATGCAAGGTTTCAGCTCTTTACCAAATTCTCAGAATTGGTAGAAAATATGAGGGTTCATGAATGATGAACGAGGAAAAATATCCATTACCAGGATGAATGCTGATGCTTTATAGAGATCCTCTATTACTTTTCCAACATACCAGTTAAATGGTCTTAGAACCAAGCGGGGCTAGGCCTGCACATGGGGACCGAGAGGCCGCAGATGTGAGGACTGAACAGTACCAAGCAACTCATTAAGCAAACAATGGAAGTGTTTAAAATTCAGTCACAATATTTAAAGCATTAAAGGTGGCATAAGCCTGGTTTACATTTCCTTTGAGGAAGAGAGAAATGTAATGCCTTAATCATTAGCTAGGAATAGAAAGTCACATGATTTCATAAGAATATGATTTATCAGCCATAAACAGGTTGGTCAATGTAACCCATGCAGATTGGAACACTGTATATAGCACTTTGTGTATCACTTTTAACAAATCTCCAAAAACATTTCAAGCAACTGAAATTTCAGTTATGTTGAATTGAAATTTAGGTTATTTTTTAACGTCTATTTGTATCAAGAAGTGTGTTCTTTTTGTTGTTGTTTATAGAAAACTGATAACTTCGAAACTCATCACAAATCTAGAAAATGCAAATCATGTGTTTTCTGGAAAATAGGAAATAAATTCACTATCTTTCTCTTAATACTTAGCATTACATATTTTAATCAGAGAACTCACAGTAAGAGAACTCTAATTACTAATGTAATGCTATGTCTAAAGATTTTACTTAAAAGGAAGGAATACATAAACATTTATTTTAAATCCTCATTTTATCAATTGGAATAAAAATGAGTGATAATGACAAAAAATTCTATTAATGATAGGTAGTCTTTAATGGCAAGGCAAAAGATATGTTGTAAAAATCACTAAATCTAAAATTCATTTAGATTTCTGAAATATAAAATATAAACCAAAATAATTTTAATAACATCCATTACTTCTAATTGCCTCCTGGACAACATAATTTAATTATCTTATGATAATTCAAAATACAAATACATACAAAACTGTATTTGTCATCTTTCAGTACATAACTAGATTAATTAATCTAATATATTGTAATGTATACTGTGTGATGTGTGATAGAGCACTGGTTTTTATCCTTGGCTACGCATTAGATTTACTGAGGAAGTTCTAGAAAGTACTGATATCCAGACCCCACCTCACCTAGAACAATTAGATTGTCTTGGAATGGACCTGACATTGATATATTTTTCTAAAAGCTCATCAGGTGATTCTACAATATAGCGGCAGTTGAGAAACAATACATAGAATTAAAGATTCCGCTGTTACCATAGTTTATGTTAACAGGGATTCTTATCTAGCATAGCCAAGTAGGAAATAAGGAGCCTCAATAGCATCTATTTATCCGTCACCATAAATGAGTATATCTGTGCCCAAAGCAAAATGCTGATATTTAAGCAGACATAATCTAGTATTTCTTTCTCCTTTTCTCCTCTCTCTCAATCTCATAGCTCTTACTCTTCCTTGATGTCTAACTCTCCTTCTACTAATTGTGGAGAGTCTTTTAGCTTCATTTCTACCCTAAAACCCATTTATGCCAAAATGGAGAAAATAAGCATAAATTTTGAAGCAGAACTTATGGGATTTCCACTTTTGGGTCTATTACTTGATACATCACATGTGACTTTGCTTACATTGTTAATTTTTCTAAGCCTCACTTTTCTCCACTATAAAATATTGATCAAAAGTCCTAATGTAAAATATAGAGACAATTAAAGATAAAATACTCAGCCTGTCTGGTCACCCAAACAAAACAGGCATTTATAGTAACCCCAAGGCCCATGAACATGCTGCTGCCTGTTGAAAAAGTCCCACCTTCACCCTCTTAACTCCTCTTCTTCCTTTAGATTTCTCAGGAAAACATTTACTGTCCTCTCCCTACCAAATTATCTTATTACATATGCCCTTGGCTCCATCCACCTCTCCTTTTCTAGATTTATCACAGATGTTATTTAATATATGTATGATCACAGATGTTATTTAATATATGTATGGTTATTTGACTAGTATCTATATTCTTTCCAAGAGTCTAAGATCTCTAAAGGAAGAAATGTTATGTCTAGATTTTCTCATTATTGTTTTTTGATAACATAGCACGGAACTTCACACATTTTAGGATGCAGATACTAGTTAAATCTGCATGGATGGATTGAAGGATGGAAGACTGAATATATATTAGTGGAAATATTTAACAAACATTTAGTAAGTGTTAATGTTATACATCAAGGAATTTAAAACATATAGACACAGAATTTTATAAATTAGTTACTTCCATATCCTCACTTTAATCATAAAAATGTTAACTAACTTGCTTAAAAACACACAGATTAGAAAGAGCAGAACCAGAATATATAACTTATTTTCTGGCCCACTCTTAACTCAACCTCTGTCTCTCTATCCTTCTCTGTTATTTATTCTGATTATTTTTAAATCTAAATGAGCTGATTCCCCAGGATCCAGAGACCTTTCTTACCATGTCCCTCCTTGGCTTCCCTACAGTTTAGTGATCACACATTCAAAATCTCAGGTCTGCAGTCTCAAGGCCTTCAACACACAGATGTTGTTTCTCAAACTTTTGTCTGCATCAGAATCACATGAGAAAATAATAAAAATGCATATCTCCTTTCCTTACACCAAAAGATTTTAATTAAATAGTATAGTAGGGTGGGCCAGGTATATGCATGTATATGAAATTCACAATGATAATGCAGGGGTCAAACCTACATCTATGCTGGAGGAATTTAAACCCTAGGAACCTTGATTTGGAAAGGAGATGGATTTTGAATGATTTCCTAAGTATGGAGCAAGGGAATAATTAAGTTGAAAATTTCTCATACTCTAAAACCAGGAAATTTCAGCCTTGAGAAAATTGTCAGCCTTGTGACGGAAGTTTTGTGGTTAGAAATTGTTACATCCTACACAATAGGCAGAAAAGCTGTCAATATAAATAACCTTTAACATCATATTGAAATACTTACTCTGAAATGAAATATATTCACATTGTAAAAAATAATAGTAAAATAATTTATGTCAACTGATTTAATGTTATTCCTGATAACTATGCAGTGTGAGAATATGCCTAAATGTTCTTAAATATGTGTTACTTTAATTTTGTGGTAAGCTTTGCCTGACTGGAACAGTACATAGAGTTTTAAAATGTATTACTCTTCAACAAATTAGAAAAACATGATTACGACATACAGATTTTTTGTCATTGTTTTTGTTGTTGTTTGGCTTTACTTTCAAGCTACTCATTTTCCACATCTAAACAAAATGTATTCTTTTTTTTCCAGTTCTTTTGGAAAACCTTTTATAAATTTGAAGTTATATGTGTTAATATTTTATATGCTAATTTAAAATTTTAACTTAATAATATAGACTACAGCACTATAGAATCCACGATATTTTGAGGGGTTCTGGAACTTTTGAACTCATATGCACCAGGGTTAAAATTTTGTTTCTGGCACTTTCTAACGTTGTTACCTTGGACAAGTTTCTTAGGCCCTCTATGCTTCAATTCACTTATCCATACTTCGCACATGCTTTGTCAGCATTAGATTAAGTAATGTATGTAAAAGACTTACTTTGGTCCTTAGAAAAGAGTAGTTCTCAGTTAACAAAAAAAGGAAGAAAGACAGAGAGAGAGAAAGACAGGAAGAAAGGAAGGAAGGAAGGAAATTATGAGGCAGTATAAACACCTAGTATTACATCCAGCAACATAACTTCTTTTTATTTTTTAGCTTTATTGTGTTATAACTAATATGCAAATGGCACACATTTAATACATACATCTTGTTTTCATTAAAAAAAAATTTTTTTTGAAATGGGGTCTCCTTGTTGCCGAGGCTGGTCTTGAATTCCTGGGCCCAAGAGATCCTCCCACCTCAGCCTCCCAAAGTGCTAGGATTACAGGCGTGAGCCATCACATCTGGCCAATACATATGTCTTAATGAGTTTGGACATATATGTTTACCCTTGATACCATCACTTTGACCAAGATGCAAAATATATTCAGCACCTCCAGAAATTTCTTTGTGTTCTTTGTGTGTGTGTGTATGTGTGTGTTGTAAGAACACTTAACATGAGATCTATCCTCTTTTATTAACGTGCACAACACTGCATTGTTAACTATAGGTACTATGTTGTAGAGAAGAGCTCTAGGACTTACTCATCTTGCATAATAGAAACTTTATACTCATCGAAAAACAATTCTCCATTTCCCTCTCCCCTCAGCCCCTGGCAACCAAAATTCTATTCTCTGCTTCTATGAATTTGACTACTTTAGATACCTTGTATAAATGGAATCATACAGTAAATGCCCTCTGAGGCTGGCTTATTTCACTTAGCATAATGTCCAATATGTACATCCATGTTATTACAAATACGATATTTTTTTTCTTTTTTGAGATGGGGTTTCGTTCTTGTTGCCCAGGCTAGAGTGCAACAGCACAATCCTGGCTGGCTGCAACCTCTGCCTCCCGAGTTCAACCGATTCTCCTGCCTCAGCCTCCCGAATAGCTGGGATTACAGGCGCCCATCACCACACCCGGCTAATTTTTGTATTTTTAGTGGAGACAGGGTTTCACCATGTTGGCCAGTCTGGTCTCAAACTCCTGACCTCAGGCGATCTTCTCACCTCGGCCTCCAAAAGTGCTGGGATTACAGGTGTGAGCCACCGCGCCTGGCTCAAATAGGATGTTTTTAAAGACTGAATAGTGTTTCGTTATGTTTCACAACCCAAATGTCCATGGACAGCAGCGTAACTTTTTGAACTGTTGTAGGACAAGGGGCTTCTCTAGACTCCTGCAGTCTTCCCTCTAGGCTGGTCTCAAGTGCTCGACTCCTCTCCTCCTGGATTTCTGCACCTTCTTCCTGTGATCTCAGTGCACATAGTGAAGCCAGCGCCTTACACTCTCCTGGTTCAGTTAACCACCTTTTAAGGGTTTTCCTATCTCAAAGAAAGAACAGAAGAGCCTTGTTCTATGTTATTTTTAAATGTGTGCGCTACAGTAGCAAAATCTACAATTTGGTTGCTAATTAATAGTGTAATCTTGAGCTTCAATAATCAAAACAAGTGAACTGGATTTTTCTGTCTAATCACATGCAGACCTAAACTCTCTCATTCTGTAATGTCTTCTCATATAACAAAATTCTTCCTATATTGTGCCAATTTGATCTAGCTTTGTGTAGCTTTGTGTATGATAATCATTAAGCAAAAAACAAATTGTGTCAATATGCATAGGAACTATTAGTATGAGAGAAAAAACCCAAAATATGCTTATTTCTTTTGCTGTCAATAAACAATACAGTTGACTGCTTTAGGATGACACTGAGGAATGTGATCTAAGGAATAAGTGAATTTATACCATAGGCATATTTATTTAAGAAGATTGATGAAAACTCTGAGAATAAAAAAATTACTTTCTAATAAGATACATTTTTATTCTTGTTATACATGATTTAATAGGTTTATTAAATGAGCATTAATATTTTACTAATGTGGTTTTGAAGTAATATGATTTAGAATGTGATGTAGTCTAAAAATCATTATAAATCAAAATCCTTATGATTTACATATTAAGTCATTACAAATAAAAAGAACATCAGTGCTAAAGAAGTTTCTCCACTGGAAGATAAAGCACTTATTTGTGCCAATCCGTATGCTTTTACTAAGTATTCTTGCAGCTAAAACAGTGATTCTTTCTTGGTGATTTTAATCATAAAAGTTGGTAAGGCCGGGCGCGGTGGCTCATGCCTCTAATCCCAGCACTTTGAGAGGCCAAGGCGGGTGGATCATGAGGTCAAGAGATCGAGACCATCCTGGCCAACATGGTGAAACCCCATCTCTACCAAAAATACAAAAATTATCTGGGTGTGGTGGTGTGAGCCTGTAGTCCCAGCTAATCAGGAGTCTGAAGCGGGAGAATCACTTGAACCCGGGAGGCAGAGGTTGTAGTGAGCCAAGATTGGGCCACTGAACTCCAGCCTGGTGACAGAGTGAGACTCTGTCTCAAAAAAAAAAAGAGTTGTTCAACTAAATTCTCAACTTTAAACCAAAATACATATACTAAATAGATAAATAGGCAGGAAAAAATGATTTTTAAATTACTTGCTAAAATGTTTAGTAGCCCACCTTTATAGAGTACTGTTTTCTAAAAAATATGAATGTATCTAATATATCTGCATGGTGTCATTTTTGATTTGCAAAAATAAATAATTTAAAAAGATCATCTGAATCATCAGTTAGATACCAACTTTACCAATTAACAGCATAAAAGTATGTTCACATTTTTCAGTTCTAATCTCATGTGTGTTAAAAGTATTTCATTAAAAAATGACAATATTGTTCAAATCACCTAAATAATAGTGACACAGGTGTCCTCAATTTGTGAGCATTCTTCAGACACATGTTTTGTACAATTTTTATTTGCATATTTCTTTCTCTTTTTTTTTTTGTTTTTTCTTTTTTTGTTTTGTTTTTTGGAGATAGCGTCTCACTCTGTCGCCCAGGCTAGAGTGCGATGATGTAATCTCAGCTCACTGCAACCTACGCTCCCCATGTTCAAGCAATTCTCCTGCCTCAGCCTCCCGAGTATCTAGGATTACAGACATGTACCACCATGCCTGGGTATTTTTTTGTATTTTTAGTGGAGATGGGGTTTCACCATGTTGGCCAGGCTGGTCTTGAACTCTTGACCTCAAGTGATCCTCCCACCTCGGCCTCCCAAATTGCGTATTTATTTCTATCAAAAGTTAATAAGTACCAGATAAATGTATGATAGTAGTAAGAAGATAAAATTAGTGCTAATAATCATGCTGTCTTCTGTCTTAATGGAACAAAGATGGTTAGGTGAATCCTATACAACTTGCAATCCTACTGTGCATTAATTCTGATCAGTGCCTTTGCCCTGCCTTGACTTTCTATCTTCATGTTGCTCACAATGTCTATATTTCAGATTTTTTAAAGTGAAATTCGAGATGGCTGAGAAATTTTCTCTGACAAGTTATTTAAAATATTATTAATCTCTTAAGCGATATCCTAAATTAAATGCAACTAGATGACTCTGTATTAATTAAGTCAAACATTAAATAAGACTAAAATAGTTATTTTCCAAGGCCATTAATGGGAGTGATGTCTGGCTGAGAATGATGTCAGATTTTTATTTAGAAATTAATTTAGCATGCTAATGAGTATGAAATTCCACAAGCATCTCTTATTAGAAAATGAAAATCAAGACTGGGCACAGTGGCACAAGCCTGTAATCCCAATACTTTAGGAGGCCGAGGTGGGAGGATTGCTTAAGGCCAGAAGTTTGAGACCATCCTGGACAACATAGTGAGGTTCTGTCTCTACAAGAATATTAAAAAAATTAGTCAGACATGGTGATGTGCATCTGTAGTCCCAGTTACTCAGGAGGCTGAGGTGGGAGGATTACTTAAACCTAGGAGGTCAAGGCTACAGTGAGCCAAGATTGTGCCACTGCACTCCAGCGTGGGTTACAGAACACGACCCTGTCTGAAAAAAAAAAAAAAAAAAAAAAGAGAGAGGCAGAAAGAAAGCAAAGAAGGCAGGAAGGAAAGAAGGAAAGAGGGAGGGAGGGAAGGAAAGAAAATTAAAATTAAGAAAGCAAAATGAGTAATGTGGAAATTAGATTGTCATAAATAACACATGGCTTAAATGTGTTATCCATAATTAACAACAGCATTATGAAATATGATACCAGATAAATTTGAAAGCAAACTTTTGTATTTCTGTTAGAGGACAGAAGGTAAGAAAATAAACATAAAATACATATTTGGGGGATATACACATATATATTTCACTAGTCAATGAATTGTTTTGATTGGCATAAAGTTTCAAATATGAGAATTCCCAGGATGTCTGGGGAGTTTAACCATAGTGTTTCCCCAAATAATGTTATCTATTAGTTGTCTGCTTTTAGGGATTTTTCAGACATTCAAGTCAAATCAGAAATGAAAAAAAATTACCTGCCACACATTAAAATTGTTATTCACATTTAAATACTTTAGCGGAAATTCCACAGTGCTATTTTAGTATACACTTTAAACCTTATTACAGATATAATGATTGTACAAGACCTAACATAGGATAGTAAATGACTAACATAGTATAGAAAAATGACTGTACAAAACCTAACATAGTATAAAAAACATTAACATTAATGAGAAAGTTTGATAAGTACCTGGGTGTAAGATAAATATACAAATTAATAGTTGTTATTTTGAAGTAACTGTGTAAACATAGAAAAGAAAAATTACTTTTCCCATTATCTATAAAATAACAATAGTAATAAACGTGAAATACTTAGAGATAATCTTACAAGAGAAAAGGAAGACCTAAATGAAAAAAAAACACACATTTTATTGAAAACATCAAACAAAGACTGCATAAAGTAAATAGCAAAATATGCTGTATTCTGGATGGAAATTTTAATATTAGAAAAATAAAAATTCTTTTCAAATTAATATGAAAGTGTGATGAAATTGCAATTACAATAGCAATGGATTTCTGTCGAGAGCTGTACAAAATTATTTTGAAGTTTATGTGCGGAGTACATACAAAAGAAATGCCAGTATCCTTTTTTTTTCAAAGTGGATGGACATTTCTTACCAGATATTAAAATTTAATGGATATGATTTTAGGTAAAACAGTAAATTTTGTCACAAGAATAGAAATATAGAAATATATATCAGTAGAAAGGGTCTAGAATTATATACAAATATATATTAAAGCAATATACACATGAAACTCATATGATTCAAAGCCTAGAACACACGAGACGATGAAGATTAATCAATGCTTCCTAAGTGTCTACATCGTTACACTTTTGTAGTATAGATCATTACTGATCCAAATATATATATATATATATATATATATATATATATATATATATATGGCTAATTTAATTTCAAAGAAGTACCAAAAATACATGTTTTAGCACAGTTACAGGAAACAGCTTAAGCATAATTGGGAGCATTACAATTTATAATGATTAAAACTTCATTTTAAAATAATTGATTTGTTGACTTTATATATAATATTGAAGTTGATGAATTTTTGCTTAGTTGTTTGCTGACTCCTCGCTTGGATCTTCCTTGATCCCATATTTTTGCTCCTGTCTTTTCCCAAATATCACATTTCCCAGGGCCTCTTCCTCCAGCAGCTCATTGAACACTCACCTCTTATTTTCAGTTTTTTTGCTTTCTATCATTTTCAGGAAGCAGAAGCGTAAGGGAGCAGAGAACCCTCTGACATATGTATATTTATTTGTAAATTTTATATGCAAGTTATTCTGTAATAGAATATATGTTTGAATTATAAGTAAATATCTTTATTTCAATCATACATTGTAAAACATAAAACTAGGGACTAATACAACATAATGAATGCGACCTACAAATTGTACTAGATTTTGAAGTTTGTTTTCGTCATGTCATTCCCGGGAAAGTGACTAAAGGCCATCTGTTATTTGTAAAACATCAATTTAATTGTGTGATTTCCTACAAATAGGATACCATCATCTTTTGACACTATCCTATCATAAATCATAAATGGCTTGCTGATACCAGTAGGGGTAGAGCTCGGGGTTATAAGAATATTACTGTAACTCTTTATATTTTAATATTATTTTTTCTCTCTAAAATGACAAGAATTATGTGCATGCTTGTGTGTGTATGTGTGCACACATGTTTGTATATGTGTACAAATGTATGTTTTTAATTTTGGGATGCTAATTTCACTTAGAATGCTGTAATTTTTTGAAACAGAAAGATCTCTCTCAAATCTTTTATAAAACTCGGTTAAAGACAAACAAAAACCCCTGTGACGTTCTGTTAAAATATAATATATTTAAAAAACAACTCACCTGTAAGTCCTCTAACTTTTAGATAGAATACCATGCAGCCTATGTTATGCATACTTCAAATTGTTCTAGAGGACAAAAACTCCAAAAGCCAATGATAGTATTTATAAAGTATATAATTTATTTCATTGTTCTGCATACTTAGAAAAATGAAATCCTGTTTCTATTCCATCTGTGTGTTTTTGTCCCTAAATATAGCTCAGTTGGAAAAAAGTGAACTTCTCATGCACAGTGCTCTGACATAAAGAATTTGCTTCTATTTCAAAGAAGGCAAACATGGCACATATGCTTTTGTAGGATAGTAGAGTGGGTGGGAGGGCTGCTGAAAAATGCCTCACTGGCAAAAAGACTTATTTTTCAAGTGACTTTATGAAGATGAGCCCCTCATTATTGATTCTTAGGTCTTAGGCGATGATATTAAAGCTTACTGGAAAATTAAGCAAGCTTAAATACTGGTACAGACCCCTTAGCAATACCGCTTTCTGCTTCACGCTGTGGATTAGTAAGAGATTGACCTGAATTAAATCCTTATATCATGTTGCCTGATACAAAAGAGGCAGGGGGGAGAGAAGGAAGTCGATGTGTAGAAAAGAAGAGATTTTTCATTTGCCTTTACATCTGGTCTGAAAGACATCACTAATGATCATTAATTCCTGAGCAGAAGTTAGATACGGATATAATTCTAGGCCAAGAGGATGCTATTCAGTTGGACTCAATATGAAATTCTCAATTAAATTATGCAAGGAAACACTGTCAGAGCTTTGAAGTGCTGACTCAAATTTTTCAGGTTCTGAGTAAAATTATTTTTTATGCAACTTTGTAGTATATCCTTTAGTGTTATATTGAAGACAAAAAGAGTGGTAGGAGGTATAACATGTATTTTCACCTCACAGACTTCTCTTATCTCCTGCCCTGTATGTTTACTTATTATAATGGAAATTACATATGTTAGAATATAATTAAGTAAAGGAATATAGAACTTAAGAAAATCTTTAATCATCTGAAAATTCCTGTTTCTTCCAATTATCTTTCACTTTTCCTCATTATTTCACATTCGTTTTTGAAAATGGGATCTAAAATTCATTTTTTCCCTAGTTTCCAAAACTTTAGATCATTTGACACTCAATTATTTGATTACCCGATTGAAAATACATATGTATATTGTTAGTTTTGATTTCTGTTTTTTACTTGTGTTTCCTTAAAAATTCAAAAAAAGAAAGAAATCAGAAATAAAACACCCACATTGGAAGTCCAAAGCAACATGCCAACATTAAGCATAAATCTTTTTGTTCTATTTCGTTTGGTAAATTTTTAAGTAGTTGAAATTTAACATACAAAATTTTTATATTTGGGGATTCTTAATTGAAAAATATAGTATACCATTTCCACATGACTTTTAAAAAGTATCTTCTTATTTCATGACTACATAATATTCCCTTTATAATTATTCTTGTACTTTTTGCCATATGTTTCTTCATTTTTTTCATTTTAAAACAATATATCTTCTTTGACTTTTTTCATTTTAACCTATTTTCTAAGATTGTATTTCTAAAACTAAAAACATTATAGTGCATTTTCTTCCCATGATTTTCAGATTCTTCAGTTTTTGCTTATTTATTTTTAAGGTCTAAATGTTATTTCTAAGAAAATTATTCTGATTTCTTTCTCAGAGGCAGAAATGTTTTCAAGTTCACTCTCTAGTTCCTGTATGTTGTAGCTTTCCTTTATATTTTTCTATTACCTACTAGAAGAATTATTTGCAGATTTTCTTCTGTGGCTGAAGATTCGGCCATTGTTATGTTTTGTTGTTTTGTTTAAAAAGTAGACAATAAGTCTATCATTAAAATTTCGGCATCTTGAAATACTTCTTACCCCATCTTTATTTTTTTACCCCTTTTAATTGTCTTTTCATCTCATTTTTTTCAGCTTAATTTCTCCTTCTAGTTGTCCCTTTCTGTTCATAGAGACCATCTAATTCCTATATTCATTTGAAAGATATCAAACAGTTTTATATAACTTTTTCTGTTTCCCATCATAACTTATTAAACATATAACAATATTTTAATTTATCCACAGGTATAATGCTTTGAAGTCATAATGCTATGGGATATTGCAAGAATTGTAAAGCTACAACTCACAGGGCAAACCTCACCCATCACCTGTTTGTGCAAATGAAATTTTACTGACACATAACTTCATCCATTTCTTTATGTATTATGTATGGCTCCTTCTGTGCTGCAATGGAAAGTTGAATAACTGAAACAGAGATTGTATGGATCAAAAAGCCTAAACTATTTACAGAAAATATTTAATGGCCTATGGTATAGTGGACATATATATATATTTAAATTTTTATTTGTTTCGTTTGCTTTGGATTGCCTATCCATTTTTTCTCTGTAAGAGCTTCCAGTACCCTTTACTGGAATTACATCTTCATCATTTGATTCAGTTAGAAGACATTACATTCACTCTGCAGGCTGAACAAATGATCAGAGCTAGGCTATTCAAATGTGCTCCTGGAATTTGTATTTGCGTAGATTGCCCTGTGTGGTGGAGCTGTGATTAGATTGTCCCCACTATAAGGCTTGGTGCAAGATATATTGGGGGAGGAAAGTTGGTAATAAACTCAGGAAGATAGAGCTTGGCGTTAGGAGTCAGATGATTAAGGACTCATGTACCATGAAAAGCAGTTTGCAACGGGCAGCCATCAAGGACTTTTCAGCAGGAAAATGACATTTAGATTTATGCTTTAGGCAGACAGATCACTTTGCTGACTGTGAAAAAGCTCTTTGTAGAATTGAAAAGCTCTTCTATTACCAGCAGACTGATCAGTTATGATTCAAAATAGTCAAGCCAGAAAGGGCAAGCGACCTCAGTAATGCAATAATGATGGAGAGATGAAAGAGTGATATTTAGAGAATAAATATAATGACGAGTAAGAGGAGAGCGTGAAATGGAGGGAGAGGAAGAGACAGTTCCAAGGATTCTGGTCTGGATGACTGCATTCATAGTGGGAAATATACAGAGAATAACTAGTAGAAAATCATAGTTCACAGTTTAGGCATATTGAATTGAAAGTGTCTTTAGCGCTTCTTGGTGAAATTATGGAATGAATAGATCACCAGAAAGCAAGAATCAAATTAGTAAAAAAGCCCCTGTGGATAGCCCCCAAAAATTTCTAAAGCAAATGGTAGGCAAGAAAGAGGCGGCAGCAAAAAAGAACAGGATGATGAATCCAAAGAAAGGAAATGGAGCAACGCACCGTTACTGTATACACACTCATTTCATGCAGTTCCTCTGTGACTTTAGCAGGTAGGAAATATTTTTTATTTTCTTCTATGAAAGAAGAAATGGCCGTTGGGACCAAAATTTAACATTTAAAGAACTACACTAGATAGGTTATGCTCTCTTTTCGTCTAAGGAAATTCTTACAAGGAAGTCCACAGAAAATACCAAGGTTGTTATAATTTATTAAGGAATTTCCTCTACAAAACTTTTCTTCCTATCAGCAAGATAAGGCCTCACCATGTAATACACTTTACAGAAAACTTCAAATATGATGATCAACTAAACTTTGGGAAACTACAACTTTCCTTCAACCCTCAACAAAGGATAAATATATTTGATCTTACTGCTTATGCTCCAGAAATTTTCCAGAAAAAGAAGGTAATGGGGTAGGGAGGATAACATTTATCAGTATGAGAGGAAAGCAGTCCAGTAAAATTTCCATACCCATAATAGGAGATAGCAAATGCCAATTGCCAAGTAAATTGGATGAAGGGCTTTTGGTAATAATCAGAGAACTCACTCAGAGCAAGCAGCTGAAATGTGTTGTCTTCAGGATTTTAGACTGTAATCTCAAATTACGTTTATGTATTGACTATCCTGTGTCCTAGCAGGCCAATTAAGTACATATTATTAAAGTTGTCAAATGTCTTCTCCACAGAAATTGAAGTTTTAAATGTAGTTTTCCTTTATACTTGCTCTTGTTAAGTTACAGTGGATAAGAACATTATACAAGGCTTGACTTCCAACCTTTCTCACTATGTTTTTTATTCTTCACAATACCATGAATATGATTGCAGATTACAGTAGAATATAGAGGGATCTCTATAACGGATTTTGTTCTTTAAAGAATAATGAAGGGACTTAGAGATGTAAGTAGTCAACCAAGTGAAAAAATGTTTATTTTAAATTTTATTTTTTGTATAAAAATTAGAGAATTAAGAAAAATAACCTGTTGCCTCACTATCTTATCAGAATTGTCTGCCAGTCTTTGTACATCTTTGATTTTTATAAACTTGTAATTATATTTATGTGTGGCATTTACATAGATGTACCTATATATGGATAACTGAGTCTAAAAATTTCTCAAATAAAATCATTTCATAAAAAACTTTTCTAGACTGCTAAACACATCATGTGTTTACCAATATTAGGCTGATGTTCTTCAGCAAAAAATTTAAGAAACATTTTTAAATAGAAAAACATCTCATCTTTTTAACGTAGTTTTCAATTTCTTCATGCAAAAATGCACTTTTATCTCTCATTAAGAAGATCTTACTTTATAGACATGAATCCTTCCTGTTGTGCTAAAACATTTAATGAACCAACATATAAAAATTTAAAGAGCTTGCATATGAAACCATTCTATTGTAAAGTAAGGAACTGGTTGCTTTTTTCTGAAGCCACAGCAAATCTCTCTACAATTGCTCATATTCATTTTGCACAAATGTTGCAAAATAGAGTATATTGGTTTACAACTCACTCTTTTAAATAGAGCATATATTTATTTTATTTTCTCTACCTTATTGGTAGAGAAATGTAGAAAGCTAAATATTCTCTACCTTATTTTCTGAACAATATAGCATTAGCTGAGCTACTTAATTTGATTTTCAACACTTTCAGCTTCAATAATGTGTGCTTTTAACTCTGATTTTTGAAATTAATACTTAATTTGTTCTTTTTTAACCTCAAAAAGTATGTCTTTTTATCTCCACAACATTTAATTTTCAAATAAATATTGAAATAAATATATCAATGCAGTGCAAATATTTTACTGTGAATTTTTATAACTTTTTGGTACCTGATTCTAAACAAGTACACAAAATTACTTTCTCCAGAAGACAGTTAGAACACAAAATTGGAGACACGGAAGTCCATATCATATAAATCCTGCCTACAAGGAGCTTACAGGATACTTAGGAAGAAGTGCACCCAAAGGAGTTATTATGCATCCAGTGCCAAAAGGAAAGTACAGATGCATGATGATTTAAAGGAGCATCAAGAGAGCCTCTAAAACAAAAAAGGTATTTTTTTGAGTTGGTTTGTAAAAGGCAATGAAGTTGTCCAATGGATGTAAAGTTTCAGTTATGCAAGATGAGTAAGTTCTATAGATCTGCTATATAACATGTCTATAGTTAACAATATAGTACTGTGTACTTAAAAATGTATTAAGACAGTAGATCTCATGTTGAGTGTTCTTACCAGAAAAGAAAAAAAAAAAGACAAATAAATGGGCAAAAACATATTCAACCTTATTCATAATCAAATAAGTGTACTTCTAAAGTAAAAAAGACATGTTGCCAGCTTATAAAAGAGGACGAGTGTCATTTTCTCTAGCCTGGCTGACTGCAGTGACCTCCTGGCTGGTTTTCCTTCTTCCATTCTTGCCCTCTGCACAGCAGTCAGTATGATCATGCCACGCCCTTTCTTAAAATATTCTGATGGCTTTCATTTCTCCTCAGAATAAAAGCATAATAAAAGCATAACAGTTACCAGCAACGGCCTACATGACAGGTTGATTGCCCATCTTTCTGATCTAATTTCTTGACTCTGTTCCCATTTCTCAGCAAAGTTCCAGGCACACTGGCCTTCATGTTGTTCAATGACACCACTTTGCAATTCCTTCTGCTTGGAAGACCATGACTTTGGATCTTTGGGGGACTGGGTATATTTGGTAATTTAGCTTAGTGTTCCAATGTTATCTGTTCAGAGATGTCTTCCCTGACCATCCAATCTAATTGCCTTCTTATCCAGAATTCCTGTCAATCACTTCACTTGGTTTAGTATTCCCTCATTACATTTGTTCCTGTTTGACACCCACTTGTTTATGTAACTGCTTGTTTCCTGTCTGATTTCCCTCACTAGAATATAATAATAATAACAGCTACATTTATTGATTACCTATTCCTTTCTGGTACTGAGTCTGTACTTAGTGCTGACTATAGCCATGTATTAATTCATTTAAACCTCAGAAAAACACTGAATGTTTGATTATATTATTGTCCCCATTTTACAGATAATAAAATCGAGTCACAGATTTAAAAACCCAAGTGAGTAGTAAAAATGAAATTTGAATAAAAGCAGTCTGATCCAGAGCCTGTGAGTTTATCCACAACTCTATGCTACACTCCGAAGCGTCTCTACATTGAATGACTTTGTTGATGTATAGAAAAGGGCATGTCTCACTGTCTGCATTTAAATAACTGTTTAAAATTTTAAAAGATACTCTCGGTCCTGAATAACATATATGGGCATAAGCAGTTTGTGTAGCAGCTGAAAGGAAGACATTTTCAAGATAGTGAATAATAACAAGAGGCTCTCAGGAAACAAAATGGGCATGAGGATTGGGGGGAAATGCTCAGAGAATACCTCAGAAATATAAACCTGGGAGGATATATTTGGGCAAGACTATAGAAGAACATATACGAGCTAAGATTAGACAGTGGCAAAACAGTCAAAGTATTAATATTTAAGTGGGAGAGTAACTATCAAATTTCTACTTTAAGAATAATGTGGCAGAAGCATCAAGAAAGAACTGTGGAAGGAAGATACTAAAAATGACTGCATCATTACTGCTGTGATACAGGCAAGAGATATTAATGACACAAATATGGTGGGTTCATAGAAATGGTTGGGAAGGATTAGATGCAAAAGATCAGTTACAGGGTGAATGGGTACTTGTAGGATGGTGGTGTCATTAAGAGGAAGAAGGAAAACACACAAAAAAGACCAACCTTGTAGCCAAGATGGTGAGTTGGGTTTTGGATATGTGAACTTTGCAGACTGTAGAACATTCAGTTGGAATTCCAGCAGGCATTGGTAACATGGAACTAATGCCTGAGAGTGGTCAGGTTTGGAGAAATTGGTGAGCCATTTCTAGGGCAGTGAGAATTGGAGTTAAGGGTATTAACTTTTAGTTAATTTAGTTTTGTAAGAAAGTGTCCATCTATCTTCCAGAGTGCCTGTACCGTATTGCATTCCCACCAGCAAAGGAAAATTCCCCTTGTTTTACGTCCTTACCAGCTTTAGATGTTGTCATGGTTTTGAATTCTAGTTATTCTAAACAGTGTCCAGTGGTATCTCATTGTTCTAATTTGCAGTTCCCTAGTGACATAGGATGTGAAACATCTTTCATATGCTTATTTGCCATCTGTATATTTTCTTTGGTGTAGCGGCTGTTTAGGTCTTTCGCCTATTTCTAATATTGTTGTTTGTTTTCTTATTGTTGAGCTTTAAGAGTTCTTTGTATATTTTGGATAACAGTCATTTATCAGTTGTATCTTTTGAAAATTTTCTCCCAATGCGTGGCTTGTCTTCTCATTCTTTTAGCAGTGTCTTCCCAGAGAATAAATTTTAATTTTAATGAAATCCAGTTTATCAATTATTTCTTTTTTGGATTGTGCCTTTGGTGTTACATCTAAAAAAAATTCTATATCCAAAGTCATTTAGATTTTCTCCCATGTTATTTTCTAGAGTTTTATAGTTTTGCATTTTATGCTTAGGTCTTGTGGTCCATTTTGAGTTAATTTTTGTGAAGAATGTCAGATCTGTGTCTAGATTATATATTTTTTTGCGGTGAAAGTCCAGTTGTTCCAACATGATTTGTTGAAATTGCCTTTTCTCTATTATATTGCTCACTTTGATTTCAAAAGGATCCATTAAACAATTCAATCTGAGTGTTGCTCTCAGGAAGTATAAGTCAGTTCAATGTTACCTTTTTATTTTTTTATGAAACTAGAAATCCAGAAAGCTAACATTTTCTTAATGCTTAAATGTTGGTAACTAATTTAAAATTTATATGAACTCTTTAGAGCCAAGCACTCATGTCACTAAAATGCCTAAGGGCCACCAGTTTGTGACTACTGCTCTGTGTGAATGGTTGGTGAAGAAATAGAGACAGCAAGCATGTATAATTTGTTTGATGTTTTAATTTTTGTCAGTTCGGTGTAGGGGAAGAGAGAGACCAAAGAAAAGACTTTACTAGCATTACATTGGTTTTTCTTTTTTTTTTTTTTTTTTTTTATTATTATACTCTAAGTTTTAGGGTACATGTGCACACATTGGTTTTTCAAGTAACAAAACCCATACTACAGTAGTTTTTGTTTGCTAGTTTTCAAATGGTTTGTTTTTAAATGGTGGTTTATTATTCCGTTAAGAAGTTAGAGCGAGGCATCTAGGAAGTTCTGTGGCTAAAATATATATATCAAAGTCTCAAGTGCTTTTTCTAATATCTTTTCTGTATATCAAAGTCTCTAATGCTTTCATACCTTTTGTAGCATTACACCTTTCTCTTAAGGTAACAACTTACTGTTGCAAGACAGTGCTGCTCCACCAGGCTTAACCACATTCCAGGCAGAAAATGTGGAAGTGGTGGAGACAAGTTATTTCTCCTGGCAAGCTCTCCTGTTTGTTTAATGACAGAATCTCTCCGCAGGGGTTTCTAGCAATGTTACAGTGGTCACAACCATGTAGGATGGCTATTTCTGACTCCAAGGGAGAATGTACAGTTGAGTTATTGGCTTGCTAGTCTTTATTGTGGAGGAAGGTAAGGAAGAAGGGGTTAGTGATGGTTTTCGTATAGTAGGTCCAGTGTCTGCCACAGTGCTGGGAGAGCAGTTACTATAAAGAATTAACCAAACTATTAGAGACTGGGATGAAGGATCTGTTGGAGAAAGAGCAATTGAAGATTTAAAATAAAAGGGAATGATTCATAAAACAAATTATTATTTTATAAGAGAAGGGAGGAAGAAATGGGTTAATTATGCAGAGATATTCCATAACGGATAAACCAGTTTAAAGAAAATCATTTCAGATTGAAATAGGAAATGAGATCTATAGGGGGAGCAAAGAAATATCTTAAAAATTTAGTGAAAGATGAATTAAAGATTACAAATTAACCCTAAGAGCACATTTGATGTTTTAAAGAATTAGCCTATTATTTTATTCTTTAAGTCTTAGCAAACTGATAGCAACAGCATGTGAAGCTCGATTGAGGGTAGGATATTTTCAATGTTTGTAACTGTAAAAGCAGATGTGGTATAAAAGTGAATACAATACATGTGAATGAATTCAGGGAGTTTATTAGAACATTATTTTAATACTCTATCATGGATTTCTTGAATATGGAGGAAAGAAAAGCATACAAGGGCACATAGTATACTAAGAGTACAGGAGATATTTAAGGGACAGGATTAACAATAAGGATTAACAGCAGGCAAAAAATGGGAAAAAGCAGATGAACTGAAATATTTCACACACTGTAAAACACCACATATTATGAGAAACCTCCCTTTACAAAATGGAAATGCTGAATACAAGGTAGTTCAACATGAAAAGTAGGATTGAGTTCACAAAAATGGAAAGGAAATTTGAAGGATCAACAGTAAAATAGGGCAGGGTTCATCTGAAGTCCAGTTACTCAGGAGGCTGAGGTGGGGGGTTCACTTGAGGCCAGGAGTCCCAGGCTGTAGTGTATAATGAATGCGCCTATGAATAATAGCACTGCACTCCAACTTGGGCAATATAGCAAAACCTCGTCTCTGAAAAAATGAGTTAATTAATTAATTAAATAACTAAATTAAAAAGACCTGAAAGTCAGTCATTTACTCTACAGTGAAGCTAAGACTGGCTGGGTGTGTTTAGAAATTTAGTAATCAGGGTCTTGAACTTTTGCAGGAATCCAAGGACAGGAAACAATGCTATGGGACTGGGAGAGGTAGGCAGCAGGAATTAAGACCTCCTGCATAAAGTTCAGACATTTGAAAGCTATGCCCTTGTGTAATGATGAGTAGTATAATCATAGGCCTCCATCTCAGATGCTTTAAGTGCAAGGTTTACTACCTATCTAAGGTGATAAATTAATTTACAGTTGTCCCACACTGGTAGATCCCTTAGGGTACTTGGCAAAAGCAAACACAAAACACACACCCGGAATTTATGGCATTTTGATAGTCTTAACATTTGCTCACTCTAAAATTGCAACAATATATATTCAAAAATTTCCCATGACTAAGATGCAAGTGGAACTACAACCAGCATTATTCGAGTTCCAGGACCTCTATGCATAAAATTATTGGCTCCAAGCTGTAGAATAAGTATATTTAAAATATTAAGAAATTAAATATGAGAACAGAAAACATACTACTCAAGAAGACCAAGTACATTTGAAAGGAAAATAAATAAACCTAGAAAAAATAGTAATAATTCAAATTATGAATCCAATGGGTAAATTAATAGCAGATGAAAGGTGAATGGAGAATTAGTTAACTGGAAGAAGACGAAGAAATTAAGTTTAATGCAGCAAAAAGAGACACTTGGAAATTATGAAAGAAGAGACATTGAGGATTAAAATGACAGACTAACGTATATCTAATTGGGATTTCAGATGGCAATATTTGAAAAAAAAATTAGTTGGGAATTTTCAAAAATGCAAAATTTTTCATCAGTTTCAAAAATTGATGAAAGACATGCATCCCAAAATTCAGGAAGCATAAAAAAATGCCAAGCAGAATAAAAAGGATGTATATATATATACACACACACACATACATATATATGTGTATATATATGTATACACACACGTATATATATGCATAAACATACATATATATGGTTTTCTGGAAGAAATCACAAGCAGTATTAATAGCTTATAGAGAAATTAAGGAGACACCCTAGTTTCAAAGGAGGATATGTTTACTTTTATTTTGTAACTTTCTGTGCGATGTGAACTTGCTAACTCTAATATTATAGTCAAAAGGAATTTTTAAAAACTTTTTACATTTAAAAAACTAATAAGTATAGTAAAAAATTAACAGGTAATAAGTGAGCCTATGTATTGGTAATTAATGAAGTGACAAAAGGGGATTTTCTTTTGTATTATTAATTTCATTTGTCTTCTTGTAAAAGACAATTTTGATATGGAGAGACAAATATTTCCTCTTTGCAACTAAAAAGAGTATATTAATTAAGAAGGCAGTATTTCCTTCCTATTTCTAGACTATTGTGTATTTTTGGACTATTTAGGGAGTATTGTTTCTATAAATTATAACGTAACAAATATTGTCAGTGCTTCATCTATATCCCCTCTAGCTCACTAACTAGTTGATTGCCAATTGCCCAAATCTATATTTACCTGAGTGCCTTTTCTGGCCACTGAAGAAGGTTTTGCCTGCCTATGCATGAGGCCAAAATTGTCATAGAATTAATGTTACTGCCAACAGTTGTTAAACAGTGGCCAGTGAAGTTTGATCTATAAAATTATACTTCAACTCCCTTGCTCCTTAATGGGATGACCAAATGGTATACATATGGTTCTGATTTACTGTGGTTAGACTTAAGATTTTTTGACTTTACAATGGTGAGAGAGTGATACACGTTCAGCAGGCACCATACTTTGAGTATCTACACAACCATTCTGTTTTTCACTTTCAGTAAATTATATGAGATATGCAACACTTTATTATAGAATAGGTTTCTGTTAGATGATTTTGCCCACCAGTAGGCTAATGTAAGTGTTCTGAGCATGTATAGGTTAGCTACGCTATGATTTTTGGCAGGTCAGGTGTATTAAATGCATTTTCCACTTGTGATATTTGTAACTTAAGATGGGTCTATTGAGACATAACCCCAGTGTAAGTAGAAGGGCATCTGTATTCCATAGTGGTTATCAATGTTATTGCTGATGGGATTAAGCTTCTATTGCTTTGAGTATGCCTCTCCTTCTGTGTCTTATTCCCCCACCTTTCTACCAATGTTTTCTTCACCAGAAAATATGGTTCGCACACTCAAATCATTGTAGCAGAGTCTGCTTCTTCAGGATTACTCACCAAAACAAACAAACAAAAAACACAGTTTGTATTTTCATAATTAAGATTCAAGTAAAACAGACAGTCAACAATGATTCAAGTAAAATAGAAAATGTATATACTTTCAGCAAATGCTATAACAAAGTATTCCAAAATAATTTGAAAAATTGCAAAGTCCCTAATGCTAAAAAAAAATTCATTTAACTTTCTATAGCCAACGGTGCCACAGTGAAATGCATTTCACAGCAAAATATCTTTAAGAAGTAGGAGAGAGTAACCAATGTAATTGGTTTTATTTTATAATTATATTCTGCTTTTAAGGTAATATTAAAACAGTTTCTGGCCTCAATTTATTTAAGACCTTTGGTTAATTTCGGTGATGATCACTGTTCACTGAACTTTGAAAGATACCATGAAACAGAGGCTTTGGATTACAATTTCTGTCATTCCTAGGGCTAAAAGATTACTTTTCTTCCTTCCTAAATAATTTGCAATTCATTTCGGTAAATACTAGAATTACTGAGAAAGAATGGCTGCTTTTTCTGTGTGTGTGTCATGTGTGTATGTGTATGTGTGTGTTAATTAAAAGCTTTCTTTATCTTTTGCAATAACGACATCATAGGCCCATCTCGAAAAATATTATTTCCCATTGATTCCTAACATTAGGCTGATCATTTGTGACAATCTGTCAGATTATTATAACTATGGCAGATGGCCTCAGACTTTTTAATCAGAAAATCCAAACTGAAGGTTCTGGATTTTCTTTATATTCCATTCTTAGGTATGAAGTGCTGCAGAACAGATGGGAACATACCTACTTGTTGAATAAATACGGTTTTAGTTTCTTTTTTAAAAAAATTACATTACAACTTTATACCCATAATAGTGGTTTTTAACCAAAGGTGACTGTATCTTCCCAGGGCACATTTGTTAATGTCTGCAAACATTTTCTATTATTATGACTTAGGGGGAGGGGTACAATTAGATCTGGAGAATAGAGGCTAAGGATGCTGCTAAGCATCCTACAACACAGAGGAAAGACTCCTGAAATAAAGAATTATCTGACTCAAAATGTATCGACTGTGGGTCAGGAAACCCTGGTCTACATATTAGAAAAAAAATGCACTTTTTTCTTTTAAAGTTATTAAAATATTCAGATATACTTTTTGCAGGAAACTTTTGAAGCCAGAAATCTTTAACAACTATTTTTCAAAATAGGAGAAATTAGGTCGTTATCAATATAAAGCCAAATACTAAATTATCTTTGTTTACTTTTAGTTCTCAAACAGATGTTCTACGAACATACAAGCAAGAAAGATATGTGACTTGGCAGATCTTTCTAATTTAGGACCAACCCAGGTTTTGATAATATCTACTTTATTTGTAGCAAACACATGAACCATGTATGAATAAAATAGACTTCTGGGGACAAGTTATTAAATAGGATTTTTACATCGAAGTAGGGGTTTCAGAATAACTTTTCCTTCCCTTTCTTTTCGTCTTCTTTTTTGTTTGCTTGTTTGTTTGTTTTTGAGACAGGGTCTTGTTCTGCCACCCAGGCAAGAGTACAGTGGTGCTATTTGCAGCCTGAAACTCCTGGGCTCAAGCCATCCTCTTGGCTCAGCCTCTCAGGTAACTGGGACTATGGGCACACGCCACCATGCCTGGCTAATTTTTGAAAAAAAAAAAAAATGTGCAGAGACAGGGTCTGACTTTGTTGCCCAGGTCTTGAACACCCGGCTTGTACACCCGGCTTCAAGCAATCCCACCCAGCCTTCCAAAGTGTTGAGATTACAGGCATGAGCCACTGCACCTGGCCTCCCTTTATCTCCTGACTTTGTGAAGTGTTTTGCACAGCATATACTTCTATTGGCTCATACCCAGCATGTAACTTTTGATCCTCTGTGATATTTCATTGCTTCATAATTCTCCCTATAAATTTTTTTTTTTTTTTTTTTTTTTTTTTTTTTTTTTTTTTTTGAGACGGAGTCTCGCTCTGTCGCCCAGGCCGGACTGCGGACTGCAGTGGCGCAATCTCGGCTCACTGCAAGCTCCGCTTCCCGGGTTCACGCCATTCTCCTGCCTCAGCCTCCCGAGTAGCTGGGACTACAGGCGCCCGCCACCGCGCCCGGCTAATTTTTTGTATTTTTAGTAGAGACGGGGTTTCACCTTGCTCCCTATAAAATTAAAGCTCTCATTGTATTGGTTATCCATTGCTGTCTAAAAAAACATACTCTAAACTCAGTGGCTTAAAACAATAAACATTTATTTTTTCACATTGTTTCTGTGGGTCAGGAATATGGGAAATGGTTTCCCTGGGTGATTCTGGCTCACAGTTTTTCACGAGGATGCAGTCAAGAGCCTAGATGGGGCTATAGTCATCTGAAGGATTGACTGGAGCTAGAGAATTCATTTCCATGTGGCTCACTCACATGCTTAGCATGTTAGAGCTGGCTGTCGGCTGAAGACCTTAATTTATTGTCACATGGATCTCTGTATAGGGCTGCTTGAGTAAACTCAAAATGTCACAGCTGGCGTCTACCACAGATAGTGATCAAAGAGAGAGAAAGGCAAAAGCAAGACTAGAGCTTATGATCTTGCCACGAAAGTCATGCATTTTCATTTCTGCAGTATTCTATTGGTTATATAGGTCAGCCTTATTCAGTGTGGGAAGAAACTATATGAAGACAGTGTTATAGACTAAATATACCATCATAATGTGATGGTATTAAAAGGTGGGCCCATTGGGAGGAAATCAGATCATGAGATGGAGCCCTCATGAATACGATTAGTTTTCTTACAAGAAGAGACATGGTAACTGGATTTCTGTCTCTGTTCTCTGCCATGTGAGGATACAATGAAAAGATATACATCTGTAAACCAGGAAGCAGGCCCTCACCAGACATCAGATCTGCAGTCTCCTTGATCTTGAACTTCCCCAGACCCAGACTATGAAAAACAAGTGTTGGCTGTTTAAGTCACTCAATCGATGGCAATTTGTTATAGCAGCCTTAATTTAGACAGACACAGAAACCCAAAGACGTGCATTGTTGAGGGCATTTGTGATTCTGGTTCCCACACTCATATTCTGATAGACTTGATGAAATATTTTACTACAATTAGCCAACATTTGTACTTCCTTCTATATATCACAGAATACATTCATAAATTATTTAGTTGTGTTTTGTAATACTTCTTCAACCCAATGACTGATGACTTGAAAAGGAAAGATACTAGAAGTAGAGAAATCAATGAGGAAATTAATACAATGATGCATTCAGAGGAGGATGAGGACTAGGCCTATGAAAACAAAAATAGACATTGAGTGGTGGGTGAAGAATAAGGAAACTTAACATTGAATAAATACACTTTGGATGTAAGTTAGAAATATTAACTGGAGGTGATTCCAAGGATTTTTGCCTCTGCTCAAAGAAAGAACATGCCCTTGAGTAAGACAGCAAAACATATGGGTGAAGAATATTTTTAAATAATGAATCTAGTTTTTATCCTATGACCTTGATATGTCAGACAAAGAGATTTGGATAAAAATATCCAGAAAGGAGTTGGAAACTTGGATGTGTAATAAGGGAAAGGGCACCTAATTAGAGACCTTGTTTGGGAATTAACTTCTAATACCGACCATTAAGGTGAATGAAAGGAAGAGTGAGGGAGAGAAATAGGAGAGAGAAAGATGAGATAATATTAACATTGAACAAAGTGGACTTTTCTGAAAGGTGGATGAACTACTTCCTGGTGGCACATTATAGAATTGATGAAGTAAATACTCTTTTCTAATTAAAAGAGCTTGATATATTGAAAATGACATTACATTAGGTGTCAAAGCTATCTCTGGTACTAGCTAGCAGACTGATCTTTGGCATATCATTTAATTTCACTTATTCTAATTTTTCAAACCCATTAGAGACTTAACCTAGGAAATCACCACAGAACTTCTAGGTGAAAAAGTTAATGATACCAATTATGTTTATATTTTTGTATGTGAATATTACTATTTTCATTCATAGGATTGATATAAGAATAAAATAAGATAAAGTATGTAAAAGTGCTTTATAAATTGCTCTTAATTTAGAGTCTGCACAGTGTTGAAAATTAATAAGGATGTTATACATTTATTTGTGCATAGATTTATAGAAACATTGGTATATTTCTCAGAATATATTGTCAATGTGACAATTTCTATTCACATGAGAATATGAACTTCATATTCATATGATTCAGTTAATATGAGAATAGTTTCTGAAAATTATAGTCTTCATTTATTTTCTTTTAATTGTCCTAAGTTGAACTGTGATCTCTGAATGTAAATATTAATCTTAATACTTCTAAAAGTGTTTTATTTGTTTATAAGAAATAATTATATTTCTAAGCTGACGAATTTCTAAAAGAAATTTATTCTTCTCTTCTTCCTCGACTCTGCCATCTACCATTCTTAGCTTCCATTTAGTTTGATTTCAAAAACTAGAGACTAAATACATAGAGCTTTATTTCTGTTGGCACTATTAACCCAGTACAATTCATTAAAAATATATATGAAAATATGGATAACCACTAAAGAAGCATAATGACTTGGTTAATCATAACTAAGCTTTATATGGCGAGAAACAATTAATGGCTTTGTTTTTGAAGAAAGTGTTAAATTGTGTGAGAAGGAAGTTTTTTATCATTTTTTTATCATTTAGAAATAGGAATCCACTTAGTGAAATATGTCTTCCAAAGCCCAACATAGAACCTGACACCCCAAATCTGTTCATGTTTCTAGTACATAGGAAAGGGCTTTCTTTTTTTTTTTTTTTTTTTTTTGAGACGGAGTCTCGCTCTGTCGCCCAGGCTGGAGTGCAGTGGCGGGATCTCGGCTCACTGCAAGCTCCGCCTCCCGGGTTCACGCCATTCTCCTGCCTCAGCCTCCCAAGTAGCTGGGACTACAGGCGCCCGCCACTACGCCCGGCTAATTTTTTTTTTTTTTGTATTTTTAGTAGAGACGGGGTTTCACCGTTTTAGCCGGGATGGTCTCGATCTCTTGACCTCGTGATCCGCCCGCCTCGGCCTCCCAAAGTGCTGGGATTACAGGCGTGAGCCACCGCTCCCGGCCAGGGCTTTCTTTCTGTAGAAGCAGGTACAGTTTTGCCTGCCTCCATGGTGTGATACATTCAGGGTTATAATTTAAACAATCATCAGGTTCAAAAGTGAGCCAAAGCATTTATTTCATCCCTGTTAAATATTAATTTAATATGGAGTTGCTGAATCTGATTTCTCCAACGCCTTCCTCTCATCCATTGCTATAAGTCATAGGGAATTCTAGAATTAGACTATCTTAGACAAACAATAGGAATTCAGAAGTCACAGAAATAGGTAAAATGTAGGAATAATCTCCTTTCCCTACTCTGGGACCCCAGTAAGGGAGATGATATGTCCACATGGGTAGAGACTCTGAATTATATTAAAATGCATTTGTTGTAGATGCTGGTCTATAATTGATTCAGGGCTGCCAGTTAAAGAGTGTGTGTGTGTGTGTGTGTGTGTGTGTGTGTGTGTGTGTGTGTGTACTTAATTTACATCTGAAACATAGTTTTTTTTACACTATTATGGCAAAATCATGGCCTTTCCTGTCAGTTTATTGGGTCTGTTGGCTCTAGCATTTTCTGTGTTGTTTAATATGTGAGCATTATCTCTTTATTGAATTTTGGTCTCCTTGTGAAAAAAGTAGTTAATCTCTTGAAAATGTTGTCAAATGGCACCAAATGTCCCCTTATGCCGGTGGAGACAAATATGAGTTCACATCCTGTAAAGGAAATGGGCTTTTTAGAAATTGAGCTGAGCAATTTATATACTTTTTGCATTTTTCGCTCGCACATTATCTCTGGTCATTTGCTGTCTTGCAAAATAAACATCACTTTGTTCTTGAAAATGATAAATTATATCTTTTAATGCTTTTATGACAACTGAGACTATACACAGAACAAACGAGTAAATGAACAAACGTACAATGGTTACAGTTGATGTTAAATCAACTGCAAAATCTACAGCAATGTTTCAAAAGCTAATAGCAGTTTCCACTGATGGCTGAAATGCCTTAAATTTATACTAGGCCTGACGAGAAAGAATCACTAATAACTAGTGTATCATAATTTTAATTACCTATAGAATGCCTTCAAACTCTTCAATGTTAGGTTTTTCATATAAAAACTATTTTACTAGTTGTCAAGATGCGTCTTTAGCTCCCAGAATACTTCCATGTTTTATCAGTTTATCCAGTAGATATGATGTCTATATTTTCAGAAGCTTAATTTTTGCAAATTTCATAATTCTGGTATAAAGAATTAATGACAAAATTCAAGTTTTATAAAACACAGCAAACATCAAAATAGAAGAATCCCCAAAGACAAACCTTATACAGTGCTTCAAGCACCATAATATGAATAAAGTCATAAAATAGAAAATGAAACCTTTATAATGGACCACCCTCTCTATTAGCAAATAAGGTTGTGAATAGAGACTAGATAATAAGGGTAGGGCTTTTTTTATTTGCTTTTTCTCTCTAGAGAATTCTGAGAAATTATAAAGCCTTCAACATTTTCCTTGCAGGCATTGTAGTCACAGCAGCTTTATGTGCTCCATTACTGGGACTGATTTCATATGCAGATGCAGTCTCTGGGGCAAAATTTCTTATGTGAGATAAGAATAGCTACTTCTACAAATTTGTTCACCGCCCTGCAGGAGAAAATGAAACATATGTCCTAACTTTCATGTTTCAGATCTTTGGTGATCTGGAAAGAGGCATTTCCCCTCCAAAAGGGGCTATCCAGGAAATCATTTTTAGTTTGCTTCATTGAAAGTGCATCTCCCTTGGGCCAATCAGGGCTTCAGAAACATCTGCTTCGACATCAGAAGAGGTCCACAAAGGAAACCTACTCTGCTATTAACTTACGTTTTAAAAGAATATCAAATCTCATTTATTTTACTTACAAAATGTATCTTTATAATTATAATAGTGAGGGCATTTTCATGAACATTTAGAAAATAGGTACTTCATTATTTAAATGTTCACAGTTAGTAATTAATTTATGGAATATTTAGTTTGATTTCTTTTTGAATTTTTAAAATTACAGTAAAATATTCATAACACTAAATGTACTACTTTAACCATTTTTTATTGTACAATTCTGTGGCATTAGGTACATTAACATTGTTGTGCAACACCATCCATCTTCAGAGATTTTCACCTTGCAAAACTGAAACTGTACCAGTTAAACAATAATTTCCCATCCCTTCATCACCTCAGTCCCTGGCAACCATCATTCTAGTTTTTGTCTCTAGTAATTTGACTATTCTAGGTACTTCATATAAGTGAAATCATGCAGTCAGCATTTATCCTTTTGGTGGATGATTTATTTCACTTAGCATAATGTCCATGTTGTAGCACGCATCACAATTTCCTTACTTTTAAGGCTGAATAATTTTTCATTGTATGTACATACCACGTTTTGTTTATCCATATTTATTCATCAATGAACACATGGGGTGCTTCCACTTTTGGACTATTGTGAATAATGTTGCTATGAACGCGGGTGTACAAATAGCTCAGACTGCCTTCAATTATTTTGGGTTTATACCCAAAGATGGAATTGCTGGGTAATATGGTAATTATATGTTTAATGGGTTTGAGGAAACACCATACTGTTGTTCATAGAGGCTGCTCCATTTTACCTTCCCACCAGTAAAGCACAAGGGTTCCAATTTCCTCACATCCTTATTAACACTTGTTATTTTCTGTGCCGTTTTTTAAAGCCATCAAACTGAGGGTGTTGATTTCTTTTTTCTTTTTACTACAAATTATAGTGCAGTAAATAATCTTTTACTTAAATTTTATCTCTTTAGGTTTTTGTTTTTTGTTTGTTTTGTTTTTTGTTTGCTTTTGAGACAAATCTCACTCTGTCACCCAGGCTGGAGTGCAATGGCTCACTGCAACCCCTGCCTCCTGGGTTCAAGAGATTATCGTGCCTCAGCCTCCCGAGTAGCTGGAATTACAGGCACATGCCACCACGCACAGCTAATTTTTGTATTTTCAGTAGAGACAAGGTTTCGCCATGTTGGCCAGGCTGGTCTCGAACTCCCGTCCTCAGGTGATTTGTCCACCTCGTCCTCCCAAAGTGCCGGGATTACAGGTGTGAGCCATAGCACCTGGCCTTATGTCTTTAGTTTCTTAGGCTACATATTCAGATAGAAATATACTAGCATAAAGGCAAAGCTAATTGTATGATTTTTATTTTTTAACAACTTTATTGAGTTATAATTGACATACAAAAACTGCACACGCATAATATATACAAATTGATAGTTTGAACATAGGCATACATGTGCTTGATTGTTATACCAAGACTACAATTAAGGTAATAAAAATATCCATTACCTCCAAAACTTTTCTTGTGTCAGAGTGTGTGTGTGTGTGTGTGTGTGTGTGTGTGTGTGTGTAAGAATGCTTAACATGAGACCTAACCCCTTAACATATTTTTAAGTGCACAATATCACATTGTTAACTATGGGCAGTATGTTGTACAGCACATCTCTAGAACTGATTTATCTTGCCTAACTTAAGCTTTATACCAGCTCCCCATTTATTCCTTCCCCCAGCTCCTGGCAACCATCATCCTATTGCCTGCTGCTATTAGTTTGACTATTGTTAATACCTTATATAAATGGAATCATACAGTTTTTGTCTTTCGGAAACTGGACTGTTTCATTTAGCCTAAGGTTTTCCAGGTTCATCTATGTTGTTACAAATGTTAGAATTTCCTTATTTTCTTAAGGCTGAATAATAAGTCTTGGCATATTATTTTACAAAGTTATCACTCTAATTTATACTCCTACTAGCATTGTGAAAAAGCCACTATCACCAAATGCTGCCAATATTGATTATTACTGTTTGGGTAATTCTACTGTTGAAGAACTATGCTATTTTAATTTCCCGATTATTATTAGGTAAACTTGGGTTATTTATAACTTCTGGCCATTTATCTGTGTCTGTGTGTGTATTTCTGTAAATTGTCTCTTCATGCCATTTGTTCATTGTTTTCTGTGGGTTAGATTGTTTTTTCTTATTGTTAATAACAGGCTTTTTATTAATCACCTTATGTGCAATTTTTTATTTTTAATTTTTAAAATGAGTTTACCATGTAGAAATTCCCAATTACCCTGATTTGACTAATCACTCTCCTAATCACTCTCCACATTGTAAGCTTGTATCAAAAAAAATGTACCCCACAAATATGTATTATTATGAATCCATAATAATTAAACATTTTTTAAAAAAGAAATTCAAAGTCTTATGTATTCAAATATGTTTGATGTTTTCCCTTTGGGTCATTTCTCACTGTCCACCATAATTATTAATGTTTGTCCTAATTGTATTATTCTTTTTTTCTTTTTTGAGATGGAGTCTCGCTCTTATTGCTCAGGCTGGAGTTTGCAATGGCTCGATTTCAGCTCACCCCAATCTCTGCCTCCCGGGTTCAAGCAATTCTCCTGCCTCAGCCTCCCGAGTAGCTGGGGTCACAGGCATGACCACCATGCCTGGCTAATTTCGTATTTTAGTAGAGACAGGGTTTCTCCATTTTGATCAGGCTGGTCACGAACTCCCGACCTAGATGATCTGCCCGCCTCGGCCTCCCAAAGTGCTGAGATTACAGGCGTGAGCCACTGTGCCCAGCCACTTCTGTTATTCTTTAGGTATTGACTTTACATTTAACTACTAAATTGATGTGTAAAATTCCATAAATATGCATTTTTTGTTAGCATAGTCTATAAGGAAGCATCTTTCAGTGTTAAAAATATTCATCCTTTCTTTGCAAGCAAACATATGATGGGGCCTTTATTATATACCAAATTCTTAGGTACACAGAGGTTTCTTAGGCTCTTCATTCTATTTCATTAATATTATTGTTGATTTCTGTATGACTATCAGTGTTAATCACTGTAGTTTCTTTTCTTCTAGTATTTTTTAAAAACACATTTTGTCACCATTGCTGCCCACGTTTGAAATTATCTTGACTGTTGTTGGATTTTATTTATCAAAATGAACTTTTTTTGTCATCTTTTATTTTAGATTGAGGGGTTGCATGTACAGGTTTGGTACATAGGTAAGTTGCATGTCACCGGAATTGGTTTAGAAATGATTTCATCACCCTGGTAGTGAGCAGAGTACACTATAGGTAATTTT
This sequence comes from Homo sapiens, assembly GCF_000001405.40. Classification (NCBI taxonomy): domain Eukaryota; kingdom Metazoa; phylum Chordata; class Mammalia; order Primates; family Hominidae; genus Homo; species Homo sapiens. Next base: position 11,772,743 of record NC_000007.14, on the reverse strand, counting down.
TTGACTCACCCTCCTTCTACCCTCCCCCTGGCAAGTAGGCCCTAGTATCTATTATTCCCATGTTTGTGTCCATGTATACTCAACATTTAGCTCCCATTTTTAAGTAAGAATGCACAGAATGTGGTTTTCCATTTCTGCATTAATTGCTTAGGATAATGGCCTCCAGCTGCATCCATGTAAAGGACATGATTTCTTTTTTTATGGGTACATAGTATTTCATGGTGTATATGTACCACATTTTCTTTATCCAAGCCAGTGTTGATGGGCATCTAGATTGATTCCATGTCTTTGTTATTGTGAATAGTGCTGTGATGAACATATGGGTGCATGTGTCTTTTTAGAAGAATGATTTATATTCCTTTGCATATATACCCAGTAATGGGATTCTTGGGTCAAATGGTAGTTCTGTTTTAAGTTCTTTGAGAGATCTCCATGCTGCTTTCCACAGTGGCTGAACTAATTTACATTCTCACCACCAGCATTCCCTTTCCTCCAGATCCCCATTGCCAGCATCTGTTTTGTTTTGTTTTTTTTTGTTTTAACTTTTTAATAATAATAATTCTGACTGGTGTGAGATAGTATCTCATTGTGGTTTGAATTTGCATTTCTCTAACGATTAGAGTATTAGTCTGTTCTCACATTGCTTAAAGAAATACTGAAGACTGGGTAATTTATAAAGAAAAGAGGTTTAGTTGGCTCACAGTTCTGCAGGCTGTACAAGAAGCGTGAATGCTGGCACCTGCTTCACTTCTGAGAGGCCTCAGCAAACTTTCAACCATGGCGGAAGGTGAAAGGAGAGCACACACATCACACGGCCAGAGTAGGAGCAAGAGAGAGACAGAAAAGGTGCAACACACTTTTAAACAACCAGATCTGAGAATTCACTCACCGTCACAAGAACAGCAGCAAGGAGATGGTGCTAAACCATTCATGAAAGATCTACCGCCATGATCCAATCACCTCCCACTAGGCCCCAACTCCAGCATTGGAGATTCCAATTCCACGTGAGATTTGGGTGAGGAGATAGATCCAAACCTTATCAATTAGCGATGTTGAGTATTTTTTCGTATGCTTTTTGGCCACATGTATGACTTCTTTTGAGAAAGATGAACTTTACAATTACTATTTACTCCAGGAAAAAAAAAAACCTGGTATGTATATATTGAAATTGCATAAAGTAATTTAGCAATAGCTGATATCTTTCTTATATCAAACTTCCAAATCTCATAACTTAGAGATTGTTATCTGATGGTTACCACTTCATTTCTCAATGTTTTAAAATTACATATTTTGCATTGGCTTTATTTATTTTCTATTTATTTAATTATAAATGTATACCTAGTGTTCACATGTCAAACTTTTCTCTCTGTATTTATAACATCAATGGCTTCATATTCAACTGTTTTTATATTTTTCTAATAAGTGTTAAAGATTATTGATCGTTGTGATCACTTATTCATCTTTATTATTAGATGTGCCTACATGATAGTTAGTATTCAATATTTACCAAGTTAAAAAATTCCAATGTAAATTTTTTATAATTGAGGAGAAATTGTTATAAACATATCTATGGGATTCTTTATTATAAATCATAAACATATTTTATATTAATTATGATGAAAAATCTCTTAATAGTCAATGTTTCTATATATATTTTTCTAAGTTGAAAAATTGATCTATGAGAAAAAAATTTTTAAAGAAAGAATGTATGAGATACTTTTATGATGAAATTATCTTTTTCTAGTCTTCTATGTATCAAAAAATTCATGAATATTAAAATTTTATATATTTATTAGGCAAATTTATTGTATATTAATGGATTTCTTCATTTCACATATAACTATTATTTTTGATTTTTTAAAAAGTAAAATACATTGAAAAGATTTCTCTTTTTACTTACCATAAATACTTCTACGTAGCCAAAAAATCTTGATATATTTCAGTATAGTCAGTAGATTTGGAGTTAAAGAATGTGATTCCACAAATATTGACCTTACTTTAGCATTAATTTTTTTGCATAGTTTTCTCAAAGTAATGGAAGTTTAGAACAAATAATTTAAATCACACAATCTAGAATTGGTTGTGAATCCTACCGAAGATTCAATTTTCATGCTATGTGTAGTCCTTGAAGTAGAAGAGAGATTTCAAAGAAGTTGTGGGTAATGATAAAGCTCAAAAGTTAGACTGAAACAATCATTTGTCAGTTTCCAGTTGATAACATTAGCCCTTTGCCTCAGAAACACTGGTAAATGTGGCTTCACTGTCAGAATTAACCTTGCTCTTTAAACTATACTCTTGACTTTAGATAAACAGAAAATAAATTCTGTAATTTCATGTACTAAATGGTTTCATTAAGATCACATTTTGAGCAAACCTAGGATTAAACCAGATTATGGCAATTGCAATTAAAATATAATTCTTGAAATTTTATTATTTTCTATTAGCAAACTAAATATTTGGTTTGGCTTCTGAGTGCAACATTATTTAAACTCTACTTAAAATTATGATTTAACTATGATTCTTTTATTTATTAAATAGATCTTTAAATATAATAGAGGGTGATTCAACTAAGAATTGAAAACAAAATAGTTTTATTAAAAAATGTATGATGAAAAGTTGGTTATTTTTTCAAGTTTTTATGCTCTGGTTACATAAAGATCACAGAATTAAGTGTCAATGCAATAGGTAAAATAATGAACATGTGGAATAGTGGTATGAATCACCACTATTCAAAGCCAGCTTCTAACATTTGTCTTTGACAAATGCCATAGTGACAAGAAAGTGAAATTTAAGATTAGAATAATATAAATTATATGTCAGTTTTCAAAAATGTTGCTTATTTACGTTATTTAATTTTCAAGATACTTGAAATTAATCACTGCTATAGATATTGCAAGTAATCATACAGATACTTTTAGATTAAAGTTAAGAAGAGGACTCACTGAAATATTTCTTATTTAGAATTTAACTGCCACAAATAAAACTGAAAATGCAAACGTTTACTGAAAATAAACTGGATATAAATAAATAGAAGGAAAAGCTTCAGGTAGTACTTCTAGATAGTAGGAACTATTAGCCAACATTAATAAATCAGGTGAGACAAAATTACATGGGGAAAAGTGAATGTCTGGGTGTGAATACCAGAGATATTTCTAGATAAACATAATCAGAATTTTGCTTAGAAAAGTGTTTCCCTAAGGACCCTTTCTTGAGACACAGCTTCTTGAAAAAAAAGATAAATATCTAGTTAAACTCATTTATCATCACAAGTTATTATGAAATGGCAGCCCACTGGTGACCTTACAGACTCACTGCCTTAAGTCCCAGCCAAGGGATCAACACAATTGATGATTTAATAATTAACTATTCTTTGGTTACAAATATCTTTGCAATTAATTTTCCAGAGTAGGCTGCTCTACAGGTGATTGCTTTCAAATCCATTAAATGGGCCAGGCGCAGTGGCTCATGCCTGTAATCCCAGCACTTTGGGAGGCCGAGGCAGGCAGATCACCTGAGGTCAGGAGTTTGAGACCGGCCTGGCTAACATAGTGAAACCCCATCTCTACAAAAATACCAAAAAAAAAAAAAAATATATATATATATATATATATATATATATATTGCCAGGAATTATGGCAGGTGCCTGTAATCGCAGCTACTCAGGAGGCTGAGGCAGGAGAATCACTTGAATCCAGGAGGCAGAGGTTGCAGTGAGCCGAGATCGCACCATTGCACTCCAGCCTGGGCAACAGAATGAGAGTCCATCTCAAAAAAATCAAAACAAAAATAAAACAAAACAAAACAAAACCATTAAATGGATTATGATAGGCTATGTGTTTGAAAGCATAAAGGAGTGGCATGCTTGGGATGCTGAGGTTGATTATATTCTAGAAAATTTGTTTGTAAGTCAACTGATTGAAATAAAAGTACTTTTAAATTTAAATATCATATTCTTAGATAAGGCTTCAAAAACAATGCATTTTATATAACAAATTAACAACGTAGAATAAATTGTCCTTAATGATATCTTTTCTTATCAAACTAAGGTATAAAATATTACACATGGGAAGTCTGCCGACACCTTTTTAATGAAACTGTGAACTCACTGTCCTTAGTTCAAGAGGTCTATCCCTGAGTTCACAATCACATGGACTAGAGTTGGAGATCACTTTTGACCATACCCATCGCTAATTACCTAAATACGCCAGTAGTACTTAGAAAGGGGAAGGTGAAAAACCTGTAAAGAGGCTTTCAGTCTCATGACTTTCAACCTCAAGATTCCTATCTCTGTCGACTCCTAGACAGTCTAAATGACTCCATGTTGCCACAAAGATTGCATGCCAATTGTTATATATATCCTATGGTGTCAAGCCAGTTTGTGATTGCCTCTATGATGTTAGCTCTTGAAACACGGAGAACTTATTAGGTGGTTTTGCCTTATGACAAACATATGATTCCGTTTGCCAATATATCCTGATATATTGTTGGACAACTAGCATTTATAATGGCCCAAGGTCTTTTGCAAATGAGTTTAGAAGGAAAATAACAACCTCAATATTAACATAAGAACCATCATTTGATTAGGATACTGAATAGTCCTGCCAAGTATGGTCTTCTTATTTAAACTCAGGTTACATGTTTCTTGCACATTACTTATCAGATATTTCACACACATCTCACTGGTTTACATTTATTCTAAATCCTTTTATTGTAAATGATCACTCCTAGATTACAGGATATTTAAAGAATAGCTAATATATTTATTTTGATCCCTTTTCAGCTCCTCATTCATATTGTTAAAGTAAGAAAATGTCTATGATGTCTTAAAGTCATCTCTCCTTCTAAGTCCTTATTCCTTGAATGTTCTCCCTGACTGATACTCTTTTATGCTGAGCTGTTTCCTTGTTGGAGCTTCTGTTGTCCTCAACCCATTGTTTTCTACAACAAAACTGCACTCAGATCTTTCATTTTCTGGCTACAAGGAGAGGTGTTCTTTATTCATTCAACTTTCAACAAGAATTAATTAAGGACCAATTATATGCCAGCAACTCTTCTAGGTTTTTCTGTGAACAGAAAACCCAAAGATCTATTCCTGTTGGAACTTACTTTGGGGTGATACTGATAATAAAATGAAAATACTATATAATAAAATATACAATAATTTTGAAAGTTATATTAAAAATCATGTGGAAAGTTAACATGTGTTGTAGCAGGGTTACAGTTTTAAACAAGGTGGTTAAAGTAGATTTCGTTAATGTGTATTTAAGTAAAGAATTAATACATCTAGACTAATTAATGTTCCTGGCTAAGGGAACAGGCAGTGCAGACACATGCTTGGTATGTTTGAGAAACAGTAAAAAAGCTGATGTGACTGGAGGAAAGTAACCACAAGGGAAGAATTGCACACACAGTGGTTAGAGACGTTATGAAGAACCAGATAATGTAGGTCATCATAATGACTGGCTTTGGTTGCGAATAAAATGGGATTCTGGTACAAGGTTTGGGGCAGAGGAATAATATGTTCTGATATTTTTAAATTGAATTTTCTGAAACCCCAAAAAACAATGAATGTACAGTGTACCCCTGTTTACTTCTCCTTATGTTCATGAACTATTGATTTCTTCCCACAATTGCTGTTTATACACAGAAACATACATGCACATGCATGTACACACACCCACACACTTTCCCAAATCATTAAAAGAAGTTTTCTGTAAATATCATGGCACTCCTCCTTAACCATTTCAATTTGCATTTTCTAGAAACAAAGACCTTCTCTTACTCTGCCACATCATCATTACCATACCTAAGACAATAAACATTAATGCAGTGGCAGTTTTGAAATTTCCCCCATTTTCAAATTTCCCAGATTTTCTTCAAAATGTCCTTTTTAGCTTTGTGGTTGTTCTTTAATCCTGTGTAAACCAAACCCCACTCGTTGCATTGGCTAAACTGTTTCTCCCTGTTCTCCACCAATCTGAGTCCTCTGCCTGCCTCTGTTCTCAATGGCATTTAATCTTGAATTCAGGTCAATTGTACTGTAGATCACTCCTTATTCTGGATTTGAGTGATAGCCTCCTGATTATTATATTCAGTTCATAATATCAGAATATATTTTGCTTGTTTCATATATTTATTGCTTGGCTAGGCAGAAAAGTCAAACATATTTACCAAGTCCACATGACATTCACTTGTTTAATCTCTATAAGGATAAACGTTTGAACCAATAGAGTTATTTCTGAAAGTCATCTTTAGTTTAAGTGATAGATGAGAATATTGGTTCAATACCCTGTGAGTTTGTCGTGGAGAGTTGTGTCTTATTTACCTACTTCATTTATCCCATAGGGAAGGCAGTTGATTTCTACATTTTGCAAAATTCTAGTTAGATGTATTATTGATAAAATTGCTGTTCAGATCTGATGACAATTTAATATAGAACAAAACTAGATTGAGTGACCTTTGCTGCAACTGATGCTGGCCTTTCTTCTTGTTAAGTGACTGGTCAATTTATCTAACTTATAGGAAATATTGTGATTGCTAAATGGACTGTCATAGTTAAAGATATACACCATTCATCTTGAAAAGGTTCACCAGGCAATAATAATGAGAGAAGGTCAAGGGGCATGAGACTTCAAACAGCTTTTAAAATTCACTGCCCTTCCACACATATGTAGTTGTATTTTTTTCACTTTTAGCTATTTACTTAGAGTCCACTGTCACTGAATTGACACTGTGTACACTCAAAGGTGAGAATATGTTTTGCCAAATAATTATAAAGTCAAACTGTTTAGATTTGTGTACAGGATAAAAAATAATTTTTGTATATTCTTTGAGATGGGAATTCAGACTCAGATAATTATTTTTATGCTAAGTTGCTCAGGTTCTGACCTATTTTTAAGGAAAATTGGATTTATTTTCTGATAGTGCTGTACATGTTCAGGGTATGTACAGGCTGCAATGGACAGAACTAGAGGGCCATAACCAGTTTGGAAAGAAGATGGAATACCACTACTGTATACTTACATGAAACTACTCAAGGGAACCAGCTTGTTTCCCAGGAAATCCAAGCAGGGGAAATGCATAGTAATCTCACTTAGTGACAGAATGTGTGACTAAAATGAATGAAGAAAATGTAATTCAAAAATAAAATTTAAGTTGGCGATAGTCAAAGTTTTTTCTCTACAAATTATTATACAAACCATATATATTTTAACTATTCATATTTATTTGAACTAGTCTAAGCAACTTCCAAGGAAGGAAACATTTGTTGCTTTTGACCTGTACAATTTGTTATTCTTCATAGGCACCTGGTAACCTATCGTACTGGTAAGAAATGCTATTCAGCTGGATATCACCTAGTATATCTCATTAACACATGCCAAAGCTGGACAAGTCTTTTCTAGATTTTTGTAATTTTAAAGCATATTCATAATTCTATGAGAAAGTATCCTAAGATAGCAAACTTAAATATTCGCATCACAAGTTCATGTATGTATGAGCAACAGCATGATGAAATAAAGTTTATTTTTCTCCTTTATAGTGAACTTTTAAATAAGTCCCTGAACTACTTTCTGTGAATGAACCTATATTTTTCTATACCTTATTTACACATTTTCCAGTATCAGTTTCTCTCAAAAATGAATTTTCATTTTTGGTAGATTTTTTGAATTATCACTTTTAATAAAAAGATTTATACATTTCTTATGCCACATATTTTTAAGTATTTAATCAGTGTCTACTATATCTTCCTTATCTCTCAGGTTTGTCATTAAGAGTTTCTATACTGTTACAGATTTTAAACCATTTCTACTTACATTAGAGTTTGACAGATTAGCCTCTTAAAATCCATATCCTAATTTTTCATAGTTTTTCCTTATAATTTAATGAATTATAAAATTCACTTCAATTTTAAAATATTGTTTTATTCAAATTACTGTATTTTCCAAGGGCTGAAATTGAATAAATTGACTTATTGAAGTCTTCCAAGTAATATAATCCTAATATAATCCATTAGTTTACTAAATTGGCTCATTCCATAATTACTAAAAATTATGATAAAACCAGAATTTAGGTTTTAAAAATATTTTAAATTATTGATCTGATTATGCTTTCATGAGAAACTAAGGTAATTGTAGTTTCATTCTCATCCCTTTACTTTTTTTTTTTTTTTTTTTGAGACGGAGTCTCGTTCTTTCACCCAGGCCGGACTGCAGTGGCGCTATCTCGGCTCCGCCTCCTGGGTTCACATTATTCTCCTGCCTCAGCCTCCCGAGTAGCTGGGACAACAGGCGCCTGCCACCACGCCTGGCTAATTTTTTGTATTTTTGGTAGAGACGGGGTTTCACCGTGTTAGCCAGGATGGTCTCGATCTCCTGACCTCGTGATCCACCCGCCTCGGCCTCCCAAAGTGCTGGGATCACAGGCATGAGCCACCATGCCCGGTCTTTACTTTTAAATTTATCTATTTTTATACTATAGACTATTTGTAAATACCATTAATTTAATTTCAGTTGGTATTTTATGACAGCTGTGTTGTCAAGCACTGACCCTGTCAAGTTCGTACTCTTTCTACCTTAGTGTGAGTCATTTAATTTAAGGTAGGATTGAATAATTGGGCTATATAAAATTTGGTTTCTTAGAACAATACATTGGTAATTATGAAGATTTGCAGGATTTATTTACATTCTTTTTCTGATTTTTGATTGGAAGAAAGGAAAAACAGAGAAAGGATGATGCAACTTAATAATATAATGGATAGCTGATCAAACAGTTTGAGTTCTTTTAAGAGTTTTACAAAATATTACTTACTTATCCCCATTTAATACTAATCATAGTCTTACTTTAACTACTCCACAGAGGAATTTTAGATTATAGCTCCAACTAATATGTTTTTATATAACATATCACCTTTAAATCCTGAGGAAATGAGCAATAAATAAGAGCTTTGAGAAAAGCTAGAGCAGGAATCTAAATATCATTTTCCTAGAAAGGCAGGAACCGTATTTAATAACCAGCTACAAATATTGCTATAATCATTAAGGGAAATGACATTCAAAGAATGAGTTATTGTGATTAAAAAAACTAACCTAATTTCTTACTGTTTAAGTTATAAACACTAAGAAGTCTTATTAATTCATCTACTTCATTTTTTGAGTTGATTGTTTTAAGGCATTATGCTAAGATTTAGGTATATGTAAAATACATATACACAGATATATCTATATGTATTTATGTGTATGTGTATATAGATGTGTATATATGTGTACATGGATATATATGCATATACATTTAGATATACATGCACAGATAAAACAATGTAAAACTATTTTGATGTATGTAAACACAATGAAGAGAGCATCTAACTTAGTTCAGTCAAGATATGGACAGCAAAGTATTACCCTGAGAAGTGATATTTTAGCTAAGACCTGAAAATTGAAAAGAGTTGGTAAGGTAGATGAGGACAGAGATGACAGAAGGCATCCCAGGTGGAGGAAGCAGCATTTGAATATGTCAGGCTGCAGGATGATTTGGTTACCAGTGGGATGGAAGTACAGTTTATATTAAGGGAATACTTGGAAAAGAAGAAAGAAAAACAATTTGGAATGGCCTTTAGTGCTATGGCAAAGTGTGGGGGGTTGTTAGCTTTTGTCTTTTTCTGGTCAGTGATAGGGACCCAATAAAGAATTTTAAGCAATGAAATGACTTTTTAGTTTATACGTTAGAAATACAATTATGTTTGCTTAGGATTGTTTGGCTATTGGGGCTCTTTTATTGGTTCCATATGAATTTTACAATTTTTTTAATTCTGTGAAAAATGACATAGGTAACGTGAAAGTAACTGTGTTGAATCTGTAGATTTCTTTGGTCAATATGGTCATTATAATGATGTTGATTGTCTAATTCATGAGAATGGAATGTTTTTCCGTTTGTTTGTGTCATCTATAATTTTTTTCATGAATATTTTGTAGTTTGTAGAGATCTTTCACCTTCATATGGGACTTAAATAAATTAAAGAGTTTCTGCACAGCAAAAGAAACAATCAACAGAGTAAGCAGACAACTTCCAGAATGGGAGAAAATATTTGCAAACTATGTATCTAACAAAGGATTAATATCCAGAACTTATAAGGAACTTAAACAAATCAACAAGAATAAAACAAATAACCTGATTTATTGAAAAGTGGGCAAAGGACACGAACAGACATTTCTCAGAAGAAGACACCTGAGCGGCCAGCAAACATATAAAAATGCTCCATATCACTAATCAGCAGATAAATGCAAATTAAAGCCATAAGATACCATCTCATACCAGTCAGAATGGCTGTTACTAAAGTCAAAAATAATAAATCATAGCTAGGATGAATAAGAAAGGAACCGCCTAGACATTGCTGGTGGAAATGTAAATTAATTCAACACCTATGAAAATCAGTATGGGGGTGTCTCAAATAACTAACAATATCATTACCATTCAACCTAGCAATCCCACTAATGGATACCTGCCCAAAGAAACCATTTTATCAAAAAGACACATGTACTTGTATGTTTATCACAGCACTATTTACAATCCTAAGTTAGGGAACCTAAGTGTCTATGAACAGTAGCTTGGATAAAAAAATGTGGTAGGTATACACCATGGAATACTATGCAGCGATAAAAAGCATGGAATTATGGCCTTTGCAGCAACATGATTGAAACTGGAGGCCATCATCCAAAGTGAATTAATGCAGAAAAAGAAAATAAAATTCTACATGTTCTCAGTTATAAGTGGTATACAGTTGGTACAGATGAACATAAAGATGGAAATAATAGACAGTGAGTACTCCAAAAGGGGGGAAGGAGGGAGGCAGGCAAGTGTTGAAGAGACTACTTATTGGGTACTATGTCCACTATTTGGGTGATAGGTTCTCTAGGAGCCCAAACCCCAGCATCACCCAACATACTCATGTAACAAACCTGCACGTGTACCCCCAAATCTAAAATAAAACCTTAAAGAAAGAAAGAAAGGAATGCAATTCTGATATCAAAATAGCAGTTTAAAAGAGAGTTTGTGACAAGATTAAAGGGTTGTTAGAAATTGACATTTGCAAGTCACTTGGAAGGTATTTGCAACCATAGATGGTAAATGATAAGAAGTACTACAAACTGTCATTCACATGTTAACACAGCCTCCTCTTGAAAACACTATACATGTAGATATATACACACACAATGTATGCATTACATATATATACATTGTATGTATGTATAATATACACATATACATACATATAATGAAATGATGCCCTTTATGAAAAAAGATATGCATGATGAAAACATCTTTATGAAATAAAGCTCTAAGAAAGTATGTTACTGTATAAGTGATTCTATTTGCAAAGATGTTATATATTGACCAGAATTTTGGTGGTGGATGACATGATATGTATTTCAACCTTCAGTTAACAGATGTTGGATTTCCCTTTCCCACAGAAGAAGTATTGATTTTTATATCTGTTTAACCACTAATGAATATGTGTTAATGAAAACCCAGGGCAAATTCTGTATTTCAAAATGAATTTGCTTTTTTAAAAATTGAATATAAAGATCTAAAAAGATGTTTGATGTAATCAAAGTTGTCTTCAAGTTTTAGAAACAGCAGTTAATCTTCGGGCTGTTCTAAAAATTTTTTGTTTGTTTTACATATTTATACTTTTGGGTTTGACATATTTATAGCTTATCAGCATCTTAGCAATATGTTTGTATTCGATTTATAAAAATTATAATTATATATAAATATATAAATTATAATTTATAATTTATAAATATTATAGCCAGTAATTTTTATTTGTGTTTTAAAATATGTAACATTAGTAGATAATTATTATGCCCTGTGGTATGATAATGGATTTTTAAAATGTTCTTAAAAGCAAATTTTAAGATTTTATTTTTATTTTCTATCATAACAAATTTAAACCTCACAAATTATTTTCAGTTAAAAGTAATTATTTTGATTATATGGTTTTAAACTGGTTGTTTGCTGATATTATTAACATAGTATGTGCTAAAGCCTCTGGTACAACATGAAAGCTGTAATAAAATTTACTGTAAACCATCCATGAAGGGCACTTTTACAGATGTTGTGATTATGTGAGCCTAGAGGCTATATTGCTGTAATTGGCATCCTGTGAGGCTGGTGTTCTGCAATTGTTCCTGGAAGCTCAGCGAACAAGAAGATTGGATTTCACAACGTTTACATTTGTTGGCTGTTACTTTGCGTTCACATAATGAGGAACATTCACATAATGAGGAACATTCACATAATGAGGAACAGCCATTCTTACTTGCCATACTGTTCTTTATAATCAAATGCAAAAATACATCCTATTTCTTTTTTTTGCCCACTACAGATTTGTTTTCTTTAATATTTTTGAAGCACTATCTATTAAACGTTACTGAATGTTCTTTCTTACAACAAACATTATATTTATTCTTGCCTCAGTGCAAATGTACTTAACTTTACTTGTATCCATCTAAATCTCCCAAATATCATTCCATTAATTTTTGAATCTTCCAGTTTGGAAGTTCATTTTATTACAATTCTTTCAGTGGATACAATGGGCATTTTATTGGAAATATTTATCAGAACAAATCCTAAGGTGTCTATCATCATCTTTCTCTTCTTTCCCAATAAGTACCTTGAGATGCTTTAAATCTAACCACCCCTCCCAACTTGTGTAATATTGCTTCTCATATTTTGTTTGTGTATATTTGTATCACTTAATATTAGATATTCTTATCAATTCCTTATACAGTCAATGGTGACTTAGATCCACTCACATATATGTACTGTTTCTCCAAACTTCTTTAGGTCACTAACTTCTCTATGCAACATAGTCTTTAGGAGTTCTATTAATGAGAATATGCAGTTTGTAAACTATCTCAATTTGTTGATATTTGAAATGTCTTTAGTTCACTATTGTTATGAAAGACTGCTTTGCCCAGCATAAAATTCTAGGTTGACAGATATTTTTCTCATAGCATTTTGAGAAACTTTAATAAATTTCTTGTATCTGGCATTCTGCTCTCTAGGTGTGATTAGGTAATCGTGTGTGTGTATATGTGTATGTGTATACACCTCTCTAGAAATTCGCTTGGCTTTCTGAATATGAGAACTGATATCTTTCATGAATTCTGAAAAATTTAGTTATTATTTCTTCTATTGCCTTCCCTTATTCTTTCTATATTCTCTGCACAGAACACTGATTAGATATGTTAGATCTTCTCACTCTTTCTGTCCTTGTCACATATTCATATGTCTGTGTGCCACACTGTGAATGATTTCTACAGATTAATATCTTTCAACTTATTATCTCTTCTCCTGTATCTCATCTGCTGTTTAATATTCTCAATGAATTTCTAAACAACCATACCTTTTAGTTGTGATCATTTCATTGGTTCTTTTTCAAATTACATGGTCATTTTTGCCTCTTCCTTTAGCATACTTTCACTACATATTGATATTCTTTTAAACAAATAAATCTTCTTAGGCTATATTTATTGTTGTATAATTCTGCTGTTTTTGCCCGCTTCAACTGTAATGTGTTTTTTTTACTGACTTTCACTCATGGTTGCTCCTTTCCTGTTGAATTCGTGTTTCTTGGAACATTAGCTATTGGAATTCTTTGACGTCTTTTGGCTTATTTTCTCCAGAGATAATTTGTGTTTACTTTCTCCAGGTCCCTGGATCCTTACCAGAAGGGGCAATTTAAAGCTAATTTTTTTACTTAAGTTTTTTTTGACCAGGCTTAGCAAACTACAGCCTGCAGAACAATTTCAGCCTGCTGCCTGCTTTCATGAATAAAGTTTTACTGGCACACAGCTACATATATGTTTTGTCCTTGGCTGCTTTCCCATTACAATGGCAGAATTGAGTGGTTGCAACAGAGGCCATGTGGCTCACAGAGCCTAAAATATTTACTATCCGGTCATCTACAGAAAAACTTTGATAACCACTAGTTTAAGCCATATCATCCATTCCTTTAAAGATAGGATTGTGGCTTTGAACTCTCATAGGATACTTTTTGCTTATTCCCTTCCAAATAGAAACAATGATAAGACAGAAAATTATCTTTGCCCTCTGTCTGTAGTTACGGATACATTCACGTTGTGGGAGTCCTGGCATCCTATAGAAGTCCTTAATTTTACTCCCCATTTTGAGCTGCTTTGGGGTTTTGTCATATGTTCAGTACACTCGTAACTTTTACAGCCAAACCCTGCACCAGCCAAGATGAACAAAAATATACCTCTGGCAAATGCAGATTTCAGCATTTACTTTTCTCACTGCATTCATGCTTTCTTATTTTTTTCTGCATCTGAGTTCCTCTGATATCAGCTCGGCCATGCATTAAGAAAATAAACATGTTATATTTTATCTAGCATTTAAAGGTTTTCTACGCTAAGAGGATTTCTCTAGACATCAGTTCCACCATATTACCAAATATAGAGCATAACCTATTTTAGGGATTATCTCAAACTACACTTCTTCCCTCAAGATAGTGTAGTTTAAGTCTACTGGTTTTGAATTCAGCCTGCTGCAAACAGTTCAGTTTCCACCATTTTCTCTATATGTGACTTTTCGTTTTTACTCAATCACTATTAGGTTCCTATTTCCCCAATTAAAGATAATGCACTTATTTATTAGGGGCTTTGTGATGATTAAAGTGAAACATTATATATATATATATATATATATATATATGAATGCATATGTATATATAATGTTAGCACAGTGCTCAAAAACAGTAAGTGGTCAATAAAAAATTTTATAATCATTATTATTATTATTACTAAATTGGCCTATTCCATTTTTAATTAAGCCTATGTTCCAGTCATTTATTCTAGAATCTGAACATTAGTAATTAACACTTGACTAGCCTTTGAGGGTAAGAGAATAATTATCAAATATTCATGTATTACAGACACTTTATAAAAGCCCATTAAAGATATTTACTCTAAATCATAAGTCATGTTACAATGGACAAAGGGAATACAAATATAACATTCTGGAGAATCAAAAAACAGAACTTATAATCTGTCAGTTACTTTTCTTAAATACCTCTAATATCAATCAACTTACTCATTTTGGGGAGTTTTATATGGTAGTTATTTAGAGGATTAAATATGAGTTAGTATTACTTAAATAATGAGTAAGTATCCAGAAGATCTGAATTTAAGTCCCAGGATTTACAGGGCTAGATCTGTAACTTGGGTGAGGCAGTTCCTCACTGCTTCTCTTTTTTTCATTGATAAGATGAGATCAGTAATACTTCCTTTCTTATTGTGTTGTGAAAGTATACAAAGGTATTCTGAAAGTATGTAGCATTGCTAAATGCCTTAACATTTGTTGTTATTGGTGTTTTGGAAAAGCTGAGCGTCATGCATCCATATCATAGATCTCATTCTGGTTACAGTCATTAAATATGTGCCAACCAATATGGTTAAACATGAAAATAGATCTGATAAATACCAAGTTTTGTCTAAATAGTATTTCCAAACTCTAATTACAATGCTGTTCTACCATTGTGCTTTTAGTATCTTTTCAGTACTTTTGTGAAACAGTAACCTTCACGTTTGCAGTGGCTTTATATTTAAAAATACATATATAGAGATCAATAAATGTTTACTAAGCACACACTAGATGTAAAACATTATGCCAGAAGTTAAAAAGAATATCTATTTAATTAGACACACTATGGCCTTAAGAAACTTATGTGCTCTGCTTGCACACCAGAGATGAATAAAATCTAAACTCACTTGATGCCAGAATTCAGCATGCAATAACTAAAGAACATGTTATTTCCTTAAAAATAATCTCAAAACCCTAGAAACAACTTCAGGCTAAAAATGTCCTCTTTAAAACAAAATGCTGTTTTGATTTAATTTCTCACTTGCTGTTGCCTACTGTACTTCTTTGATTATTGCCTTTCCTTTCTGTATTTTCAACTCTGTAGTTCTGGAGGCTGCTTTTCTCCAGTATATAAATATTCTCAGCTTACTGCAGAGCTTAATAAACCGATAGAAACAAGCAAATCCATGCAACCTACTTGCCCTATCTAATCACATCTCTCTCCTTTTTCTTTATGATCAGGTTTACTAAATGAACATTTTTTTTTTCTTGTCCTGTGATTTGCTTTCTGTCCCCGTGATTTTACTAAAGCCTTTCTTGTTCAGGTCACTGAGGACCTGTTAATTACCAAACAAGTGCATTAGACACTTCTCAGAAAAAAGTGTATTAGACACTTCTCAGAGAATTTCTCTCCCCACTTCTCCAAGATATTTCAGTTACTCCCCAAGTATTTCCCACATTCTTTCTCTCCTCCTCTTCTCCACTCTCACCACCTTAGACTTGGACTACTGCTTATCACGCCTGACTTTTCTATACACATCCAGTCTTGACCCTAGAAGTCACCTTCCAAAATGTTTGGTCATCTTTGTATGCACAACATTTATTACCTCGTTGCTCTCCTCAAAATGTTTAAATTAATAGATTTATGAGTAATTAAGAAGATGGGATTTCCAGGCTTTTAGTAACATAATAGATGTGGAAGGGACAGAAAGAGAAAGTATAAAAGGACCCAGGATGAATAACCTGGTACATTCTGCAAATAAAGAAACTGGAATATAGTGACATTTAAAAGCAGATGCAATGATAATGTTGCTATGAGATAAGTGTCTTTTATTATCATTAAGTAGATTTTTAGCTGAAACTTAGAAATATAAGTGCACATGAAAATTGTGTTTTCAAAGTGGCAATCTTTTCAGAACTACTTTTAGAATGTATACGGCGTATTTTTCCTTGCCTTTCTCTAAAAGTTGTTATTGACACAAAATTACACATTAATTCCTTTTGGCTTTATTTTAAATTATTTAAGTGAATACATCTAGATCTGTTTCTAAGCAGTATTTCTTTGAAATTTAAACTTATCAAAAGTTATGTCTAACTTCATACTAAAACAAGCAAAATGAACAACCCTTCCCCTGGTCTGCTCTGAGCCAGTGACTGTGCACAGCAGGAACACTAGAGCCAAGACTTTCTGCTCAACATGAGGTACTTCCAGCTGGCATTTTTGGTCCAAAGACTTCCCATCATCTTGACAGAGACTTCCTCGACCTGTGCTGCCATCCGAGGCTCTTTCTACCCGATCTTTCCTTCCCTATCTCTATCATAGGTGACAGAGCTGCCTCAGGGTCTGAAGGCCTTCCCTGACTTTCCAAGCCTTCCCTTTTGGCTTTCATAAGCATTTCTCCCCATTTACTATCTTGTAGTGTCCAATCATGGAGGACTTTAACTAGGACAACTTCAGAATGGGGTTCTTGGATTTAGGATTTTTGCCTATGACCAAATAGTTTGCATATTCATGCTTTTAATTGGTATTGTAATAATATAGGTATTTGCTATTTTGAGAAATAATTTTGTCAGGATTTGTAGGAAATGTCTTCCTATCATATACCATGTCCCTAAATGAGGGTTTCTCAATTTTGGCACTGTTGAAATTTTTGACTAGATAATTCTTTGTTTTGGAGGGCCATCTTATGCACTGTGTGACTTTCAGAAGCAGCCCTCAATCCTCCGCCCCCTAGAGACCAGTAGCACTGCCCTCCTGTCTCCAGAAGTTGCCAAGTGGCTTCTCAGAGGCAAAGTGACCCCTGGTTAAGAACTACTGATCATGTATATAATTTGTGTTGTTAGTGTCTGCGTATTGTCAATATATAGTTCTATTATTATATTCTTACGCCTAAGGAATAAACTTTTTTTTACTCAACATAAACTATATAATACAGTTAGAGAACCACTGATCATGTATATAATTTGTGTTGTTGGTGTCAGTGTCTGCGTATTGTCAATATATAGTTCTATTATTATATTCTTATGCCTAAGGAATAAAACATTTTTTACTCAACATAAACTATATAATACATTTAGAAAACATCAAAGATGGCAAAAAAGGAACTACATTGTATGTTGAAATCAACCATGTCCTAGGAAATACATTATATGGCCATTACAATTGAAATAGAAAGTTTTTTAAAAGATTGCACTTGTACAGATTTTGAAGAATAACAAGAATTTGTTTAAATAGAAAAACTGTGAGGCAGGAATAATTGCATGACCTAAATCATAAAAGCAGAAATAAAAGTACATTAAGAAAAGCGCTTTCCAAGGGGACCATCTTGACAAGAAGCAGAAGAAAGATTCATGCTAAAAGTGGTCAGGTAGTAAACATGTAATTTCTTCAATTATAATATTTTCTAAGGCTTAAAAGGATGTATTTTCTCTGCTTCCTTCCCTTTAATCTACCAATTACTAAGTCCCATGTATGGCTCCACAATGTCACTTCAGTGAATTTTCCTCTCCATTGTGGTGCAGGCTGTTAAACCCAAGAACTTTGTACAATCATAACATCCTCTTACCTCGAGTTCTCACTTCCGTTACTCTCTATTTTTATCATTTCAGTCTCTTTATTGATATTCTCTATTTTTCAGAGACAACATTTTCATACTTTTACTTCTTTAGACATGGTTTCTTTGATTTCTTTGAATATATTTGTAATAGATTATTTAAAATATTTTTCTAGTAAATCTGAAATAGGGGCTTCCTGGGAGATGGTTTCTATTGAATGCTTTTTTCCTTATATTAAGGCCAAACTTTCTAGTTTCTTTATGTATCTTCTAAGTATTTTTGTTAAAAATAGACATTTAATATAAAGTGGCCGTTCTGGAAATTAGATTTTGTCCTTTCCATAGTGTGTCTGTTTGTTGTTGTTGCTGTTGTTTTTGTTGAGTTTCTATGCCTCTGTTTTGTGGTATTCATAAGTGAATTCTGTAAAATCTGGATCTAATTCTTTTTAAATTACTGACGATAATTCTTTTTCTTAATATTGGTAATTTATGTTTCTCTCTGTCTCTCTCTCTCTCTCTGTCTCTCTCTCTCTCTCCATTGCATTGTTTGTGCTAGGAATTTAGCAAGTGCATTAATCTTTTCCAAATAGCAACTTTCTTAAGTGTTTTTCATATGTATGGTCTCAGGTCTTAGGGCAGGCCAGCCAGACTGGGAACTGGGCCCAGATTAACAGTAGTGACAGTGACAGCTGTAGCAGAAACAATGGTAGGGGCAGTAGTTACAGCCACTGCAGAGAGAGAGAGAGAGAGAGAGAGAGAGAGAGAAAGGGCTGCATATATAAGCAGTGTTGGGACCCATAGTGGGAAGACAGTTTGACTTTCCACCCCCTAAGTTTAAGCTATAGCAAATTTTAACACTGTGGCCTGAGTGCTGGGAGAGGCTGTCAGGTAGCAAGCTTTGTTATAAGTTATTAAAAAATAATAGTGTACAAGTAGACATTGCAATAATGCATACCAGCGAGTTATTACAATTTGACTTCAGAATCTCTAGTTTTGAAAACTACAACACTGCAAAACATATATCTACAAGTTTAGAAATGCAAATTAATTTTAAAGATCATCACATTCAGTGGAAAACAATAATTTTCATATAAGCTTCAAACAAACAAATTGATTAAAGAGACAATTTTAAAATTAATTTTTTCTGTAATTGAAGATGCAGTGATATATAAATAGATATTTTGAATTATACACATGCTATAAAGCCATGTTTGGTTTCTTATATAACCTCCATAGTTACAGGAGCCTTCAGAGGAAACATTAAAATTTTATTTTATAAACTAACACTTTAATTAAATTCAGATTTACACAAAATTGAACTATGTAAAGAGTTAAATATTTTTAGAAATGATTGATTGATTGATTGATTGATTGATTGACTGAGACAGGGTCTCTCACTCTTGTTGGCCAGGCTGGAATGCAGTGGTGTGATCATGGATCACTGCAGCCTTGACCTCTCGGCCTCAAGCAATCCTCTCAACTCAGCCTCTTGAGTAGCTGGGACTACAGGCATATGCCACCACACCTGGCTAATAGAATTTTTTTAATTTATTTTTTGGAGAGCTGATGTATCATTATATTGCCCACTGTGGTCTTGAATTTGTGGGCTCAAGCAGTCCTCCCACCTTGGCCTCACAAAGTGTTGGGATTAAAGGTGTGAGCCACTGAGATGGGTCTTTAGAAACTTCTAAACGTTGAATCATTAGCCCTAGAGGTACTAAAATTTATGTTATAAAATAATCAAAATTGATCTTAATATCACACTCTATAAAATAATCTTATCTCTAGTAACAGTTGCATCAGTGGATTCTTCCCTAAATGAACAATTATCAAAAATTATGTACTAAAAATGATCTTGCATTGCCCAAAAAGGACTGATATTGCTTTCAGTTTAATTGGAATGAAGAAGTAGAAAAGTATAAATTGTAGAAAAATGAGAAGAAAAATGTGGGGGTGCACAGGAACATATTCAAGCTTATGTACAAGGCATTTGATGTCGAGGCATGGAAAAATACTGAGGCACTGTGTGCATGTTGTTTGTGCATGAGACTGAAACTCCTCGACCCTGAAAACAGGGCAAGGAACGGAATGTGTGATAAGGAGCCTTGAAAACAGCCTCCTGAGAATGTGGTCTGAGTGCTTTTATATGTAGTAAACAAGGCCATAGGTGCCTCATGATCTGACCAGAAATCGCCAGCTGGTGGATGTCTCTTGTTTGTCTGAATTGTAGTTTAAACAAGCTCTCTCAATAAATATTTGATGGACAGATCTTGGGGCAACACTCTCTCAGAGGAGCTGCTCCCCACCCTGCTCATCTGAAATTGTTTGAGTACTTCATTCTCAGCGTTCGCTGCAGCTATAAGCTGCAAGTGGTTACCCTGACATGATTGCCTTAAAATTATGTGTGGAGTAAGTAAACTCATCAGTCTTTGGGGAGTGTCAGTAAGGGACAGTCCCGACCCATTTCAGGAGGATGGGACCGATTCATATAATACCAGGGGTTGGGTTATCCTGGGTCAGAAATTGACCAAAGAGCAGAAAGTTTTTTTTTTTAAACGGTGCAACAATTACTTAAGGCTATCCAGTGTACCGTAAAGTCTAAAACTTTGCATAAGCTTACATTTTTAATTTGACAGGAATGCCCTTGTTTCTCTGATCAAGATTAGACTAGGAGTTATGGGATCAGGTGGGTCACTGCCTGCAAAGAAGATTTGAGCAGGGTCATTTTACTAATGTTACCATTTTGACCACCTGGACTCTGGTACACTCTGCGTTGTACTCTCTTTATATGCCAGATCATGGTGAGTCAGAGCGCCCATTTTCTTCACCTGAAGGTAATTCAGAAAATTTAAAGGGGAAGAGAATGCAGGAACCAGAACAACAGGGAGGGGCTCCTCCCCCCACTTCATTCCATTCAGTAGGGCATAAAGAAGACACTTTTTCTAGTGTTGATGAGGACAGAGTGCAGCCTTTTCCTCCCCTAATAGAAAAGCCATTGCCCTCTTTTCCTCCCCTAATAGAAAAGCCATTGCCCTCTTTTCCTCCACCCTTAAGAAGACCTGCATCTGTTGGACCAACAGACAACTATCCGGCTTACGGCCAGGGGAGCCCCTGCAGCTGCACAGAACCAGTTTCTTATGTATCTGGCGGTAATTGGGAAAGCTTCTGAGAAAGTAAGAAAGACATGGGTGTTGGGGTGGCTGGTATTTCTTGTTCTTTGCCAGGTGGACTCAGCTCAAGAACATGTTTATTGGAGTCATGTTCTGAATCCCCCTGTTTTTAATGTGATTATGTGGTGGGATGCAGACCCGCCTTTGTCATCTAATGATACTTCTTGGACAGGAGGTAGATGGATGCCCTTGTCTTACCCCTTAACTGAAATTTAGGATAGATTAAACTCAGTGACTCTTTGACTCTATTGTCTAGTAATCCCCTGACTTGTTTTTCCACAATTACTCACAATAAGTGTATTACTGTCATTCCTCAGGAGTATCTTTACTATCAGCCCAAAAGGGATGCTAAGCTTGCAAATTTGTCCTTTATTTCTGCCGTTAGACTAGTCTTACTGAGGTCTCTAATGAAGTTGTACAAGTGCCGGATCTTCCTATATGCTGTCTGAGTAGAGACTGGCCATATAAGTTTGAGGCCATCCAGTAGTCCCCGTGCAGACAACCTGCGCCACGTCAGGGGCCTCTGTTTGATAATGGCACCTTACTTGATTGGGGTCCCCATGGTAATCTCGTGTCTGCAAATCAGACTATTGGGTTTGGCAGTCCCTCCAATATTGCCATCACTTGGTCAGAATATGAGCTTTCAGGACCAATGTTACAATTAAAAAAGGGAACAAGCTTTAAGCCCTGCTCATACCTGAATTTGGAGACTAGGACTTCCTTTTTTCGAACGAATTCTTTCACATGATGATTACACTAATAGCAGTGACAACTATACCCTCTGCTTGCACAATAATGTTACTGATACCGTCCTGATTTGTACTACGCACCCCTATATACTTCTGTTTGGGCAAGGTGTTCCTAACATACAGCAGAATCAATCTTTTATAGTATTAATAATAATTAGTAATTAATAATCCTTTTATAGTCTCTTCCAGTCGTTGGTATGCTACATGCTTGTCTCATCGAAATATTATACAGTTAAATATAACCTATGTCATAATCTTAAAATGGCATACAGAATTGTGGCTCCCTGTAAATTTTACCAGGAACTGGGAAGGGATTCCACCCTGCAGTTATTTAGAAAAGCACTGTCTCATACTCAAAAAAAAAAAAAAAAATTCTGGCCACTTTAATTGCCTTTTTAGTCTCAGCTATTATTATATTAACAACTGCCACTACTACAGCTATCTGTTTGACAGAATCTGTTCATACAGCCTCAGTGGTGAACCACATGCTATGCAATGTAACCCATGAATTTCAAGAACAAGTAAACATTGATAAGAGTATTTTGTCTCACCTAGAGGCCCTTGAAGCGCCGTTGAATGGCTAGGAGATCAACCACAGGCATTCATTACTCATCAAAATTTACATTGTGATTGGCAATATAATTCTATCTGTGTTACACCTTTGCCATATGATAGCTCCCGGTATGCTTGGAAGAGAGTGAAAGCATACCTACAAGGGACTTATCACGACCACCTATCTTCTCAAGTTTCCACTCTTGAGTGCAAGTTAAAGAAACAACATGAAGAATGGTCACAGTAATTATAAACAAATACCCTTCAGCAATTACAAGAAGACTTTTAATTGTTAAACCCAAATACTTGGTTGTCTGAGTCAAACATACACATTTGGGTGATGGCCGCTATACTTATTCTTTTTTATATCTGTTTGCTAGACATCTACAAATAGCTCTGTGCTGCCACCCAACACATTTATGACTAGGGAAGAATGATAGAAGCTTACCTTGCATTAGATAACCAACATGCTCTAAGAATTAAGGGGGAGATATGTGGGGGGTGCACAGCAATATATTCAAGCTTATGTACAAGGCATTTGAGGTTGGGGCATGGAAAAATACTGAGGCACTGTGTGCATGTTGTTTGTACATAAGACTGAAACTCCTTGACCCTGAAAACAGGGCAAGGAGCAGAATGTGTGATAAGGAGCACTGAAAACAGCCTCAGGAGAATGTGATCTAAGTGCTTTTAGATTAATAAGCAAGGCCATATGGGCCATATGTGCCTCATGACCGGACCACAAATCGCCACCTGGTGGATGTCTCTTGTTTGTTTGAATTGTAGTTTAAACAAGCTCTCTCAATAATATTTGGTGGACGGATCTTGGGGTGACACTCTCTCAGAGGAGCTGCTCCCCTCCCCGCTCAGCTGGAATTGTCTGTATACTTCATTCCCGGTGTTCGCTGCAGCTATAAACTGCAAAAAATCTTATGATCAATAAATATATCACATTAACAAAGTATTATGATTTATTTTACTATAACAACGTGCGACTCCAAAGAGACTTTTTAAAATAATTTATAAGTTTGTATTGTTATTCGTATATCACTATTGCCCTATTTCATTTTATAAGAAAATATTTTTAAAAGTAAAAGATTTATATTTTAGTACCTTTAATAGCACGTCTTGGTTTCTGAAAAAGAAGTCCTGTGAATTATGAGGTTGACTCTGATGATAGTTTGTACATAGTTTGGAAGTTTATAGCTTTAATAATCTTGTACACCATTTATGTGACTTTTCATGATGTCTCTTGACTTTGTTCTGAGGGTATTTTAGGGGAAGGGTGAATAAGGTTTAAATTACCGAAATATTGAGAATATATACATGTATCTTTAAAATATTCCATTATTTAAATACTAACAATTTTTGTGACAAATACTTTTTAGACTGCTTTAATACTTTTCCCTAAGAAGAGTTTTCAAGAACAAACTTTGATAATCGGGGAATGGTTTTATCTCCAATCGCCTACTAATTATTTTCATGAGTAAGTTTGAGTCACCTTCTTTATTTACAACAAACCTCATCTCACTCTCCTGTTACCCAAGCTTTGCCCAAAGAGAAACCTGTTTGTTACTATTCAAATTTAATCATGTCAGTAACTCCATCATTTTTGCCTTCTGAAACAATTTTCCAAATGACCCACCCATCTCCATTCCTGTTGTGATACTCAGGCCCTCACACATTCTCTCCTGCAGTTGCATTGTATCTGGCCTCTTTGTCTTGACACTGTGCTGGGCTGCTCTTTAAAAATACAAGAAATATTATATAACTTCCCTATTTAGAATTCCTTAGTCTTTAGGTTAAAGTAGAAATTCATCAACGTGGCATAAACACTTTCTCTTCCTCACTGCTCTCTTCTCCTGCCTTCTTATCAGCAACCTGCATACACATTCTGTCATGCAAAAATTGTTTCCATTTCC
Organism: Homo sapiens; assembly: GCF_000001405.40. Taxonomy (NCBI): domain Eukaryota; kingdom Metazoa; phylum Chordata; class Mammalia; order Primates; family Hominidae; genus Homo; species Homo sapiens. Next base: position 11,747,916 of record NC_000007.14, on the reverse strand, counting down.
CTGAAAGTGGCCTATTATGTTAATATCATTGTGCCTTTTTATACACTTTGATCTCTGCCAAGAATCTCTACTTGTCCATTGTCCTTTCGGTAAATGTACTCCTTAAGGCTCAAAGTAAATATTACTTCCTCTGAGACTTTATCCATGGCCTTCCAAAGAAATTAAACTCTCCAGGTTTTGAGCCACACAAACACCCCTTTTCCATCCCTACAGCAGCACATATGCACTGTCAATTTATTGTTGATTCAGCCATATGTCTTTCTATCCATGCTAGATAGTCATTTTTTTACAGGTAGAGACTGTCTTTTCTATATCCATTTATAAGCATCCAACACAGAGCTTGACGTGTACTGTACTAGACATAAAAGTTATGGTATAAAAGAATAAATGAATAAAACATTAGAAACTAAATTAAGAAAACTAAATTACATTCCAATAACAAGTATAATTAGTACCAACTTTAAAATTTGATTGAATTTTTCTGTATTTTGGTATTCTCAAATTCACTTTATTTTCAATTTAAACTCACTCAACGGAGAGGAATTTTAATTCGTAGAATTGTAAGTAAACTCACCTAGGCTTAGAGAAGCAGGCCAAGTGCACCTCTTTGTTCTCATCCATAGGGCTACTTCACAGGGCATCTTTGAAGGAAGAACCATGAATAAAAGTGATTGTAAGAAATGCTAAAGATACAAAGCATTATAAAAATATTTAACAGGTTTAATGTGACTTTCTCATTACAAATAATCATGTCTCCTAATAGTATTTAAATTCTCACTTTTAAGTGCAACCTCTTTTCATTAAAATATGAAAGCTAGTAATTTCCAAAGGTGAAAATACATGTCTTTTCTATTATAGAAAGCTAAAGAGGTCGGTAATTGATGAGACTATCAAAATAACTTTTATTCCATATTACTTTGTAATGTGGATATGCTCACATGTGAGTGAATGATATCCACTTCAGGGTAAAAGTCATGGGATAGTGGTTCTATTGTCAATATTATCTTTCAAAAAATGAGAGAAAGGACCAATCTTCCTTATAGAAGATTTAAAATAATCTTTTAGATACTCCTCCCCCTCCAGGAGGTACAGTTTAACGCACCCTCTAGAGTATAAACTGTATTTAATGACTCACTTCCAAATAAGGGAGTATGGAAAGAGGAAATAATAACTTTATAGTGGAATATCCTGGCAAATATTACCTCTACCAGATGATTAAGGTTAAGATCACTAGTAGTGTCATGTTAATCTAATATACTCTGTATATGGTGATGAGAAGACCACTCCATCTCTGGGGTACCTGTTCACAAAACCAGTAACCACAGGTTAATCATGAGAAAACATTAGACAAACCCAAATTGAGGAAAACTCTATGAAATATGTGACCAGTACTCCTCAAAACATGTCGAGGTCATGAAAAACAAGGAAAGTCTGAGAAACTGTCACAGTTTTTAGATTATCCTAAAGAAATATGACAACAAAATGCATTGGGGGATTCTGGATTAGATCCTGGAACAGAAAAAGGACATCAGTGGAAAAACTGGTGAAATCCAAATAAAATCTGGAATTCAGTTAATAGTAATATACCAGTGTTGGTTTCTTAGTTTTGCCAATTTCTTAGTTTTGCTAAAATGTTAACTTTAGGAAAAACGGTGTGAGGGCTATATGGGAACTCTGTATACAATCTTGGCAACTTTTCTGTAATTATTCCAAAATAAATGTTTAAATACAAAATATCAGGGCAAATGCAACAATTAAAAATTCCAAGAGAATATAGTCTTCAATTAATTAAAAGGTTGATTAAACCTGGTATCCAAACAAATGGAAGAACATTCCATGCTCATGGGTAGGAAGAATCAATATCATAAAAATGGCCATACTGCCCAAGGTAATTTATAGATTCAATGCCATCCCCATCAAGCTACCAATGACTTTCTTCACAGAATTGAAAAAAACTACTTTAAAGTTCATATGGAACCAAAAAAGAGCCTGCATTGCCAAGTCAATCCTAAGCCAAAAGAACAAAGCTGGAGGCATCATGCTGCCTGACTTCAAACTATACTAGAAGGCTACAGTAACCAAAACAGCATGGTACTGGTACCAAAACAGAGATATAGACCAATGGAACAGAACAGAGCCCTCAGAAATAATGCCACATATCTACAACTATCTGATCTTTGACAAACCTGAGAAAAACAAGCAATGGGGAAAGGATTCCCTATTTAATAAATGGTGCTGGGAAAACTGGCTGGCCATATGTAGAAAGCTGAAACTGGATCCCTTCCTTACACCTTGTACAAAAATTAATTCAAGATGGATTAAAGACTTAAATTTTAGACCTAAAACCATAAAAACCCTAGAAGAAAACCTAGGCAATACCATTCAGGAAATAGGCATGGGCAAGGACTTCATTTCTAAAACACAAAAAGCAAGGGCAACAAAAGCCAAAATTGACAAATGGGATATAAATAAACTAAAGAGCTTCTGCACAGCAAAAGAAAGTATCATCAGAGTGAACAAGCAACCTACAAAATGGGAAAAAAATTTTTGCAATCTACTCATCTGACTAAGGGCTAATATCCAGAATCCACAATGAACTCAAACAAATTTACAAGAAAAAAACAAACAACCCCATCAAAAAGTGGGCGAAGGACATGAACAGACATTTCTCAGAAGAAGACATTTATGCAGCCAAAAGACACATGAAAAAATGTTCATCATCACTGGCCATCAGAGAAATGCAAATCAAAACCACAATGAGATACCATCTCACACCAGTTAGAGTGGCGATTATTAAAAAGTCAGGAAACAACAGGTGCTGGAGAGGATGTGGAGAAATAGGAACACTTTTACACTGTTGGTGGGACTGTAAACTAGTTCAACCATTGTGGAAGTCAGTGTGGCGATTCCTCAGGGATCTAGAACTAGAAATACCATTTGACCCAGCCATCCCATTACTGGGTATATACCCAAAGGATTATAAAACATGCTGCTATAAAGACACATGCACATGTGTGCTTATTGTGGCACTACTCACAACAGCAAAGACTTGGAACCAAGCCAAATGTCCAAAAAATGATAGACTGGATTAAGAAAATGTGGCACATATACACCATGGAATACTATGCAGCCATAAAAAAGGATGAGTTCATGTCCTTTGTAGGGACATGGATGAAGCTGGAAACCATCATTCTCAGCAAACTATCACAAGGACCAAAACCAAACACCGCATGTTCTCACTCATAGGTGGGAATTGAACAATGAGAACACATGGACACAGGAATGGGAACATCACACACTGGGGCCTGTTGTGGGGTGGGGGGAGGGGGGAAGGATAGCATTAGGAGATATACCTAATGTTAAATGATGAGTTAATAGGTGCAGCACACCAACATGGCACATGTATACATATGTAACAAACCTGCACATTGTGCACATGTACCCTAAAACTTAACGTATAATAAAAAATAAAAAAATAAAAATAAAAAATAATAAAAAAACCTGGTATCATAAAAATTGATACAAGCACATGATAATCTACTTATTTTAAGTGAAAACAAATAAATCTGTTATTTCATCTTTTAATATAATGGTAAAGCTTTCTCTTGAAGTTTATTGCCACCACCCGATTTGGTACATCAGTCAGTATGTATCTCAGGAGAAATGTAGGGTTTGATTTTAATCCAACAAGTCAATGACATGAAGGTCAAAAAAGAGATCTCCTTCTAGACTGTCATTAGCAGAACAGTTTTGCATTGAAAACATTTACATGCAGGTATCCAACATGGTATGAAAAATCATAAAAGGCCTGTAGATTCATTTTGGGTTCCTTAAAAATCAGGGCATCTCTAGAAGGAAATAACATAAGAACCACGAAATTGCTATATGGCATCAGAAGACTGTCAGTCTAGTCTGTATTAAGTGTCTAACCACTGGTCTATATTTGAAGTGATGTTATTGGGAAGAACGTGGTAAGTGCTAATTAAAAGTTAGCAATATGCGCAAAGCCCACTTAATGTTCAAGTACATTGCTATGATTCATTACTTGGATCCAAAACTTTTTAAAAAGTCAAGACTCCTGTAATTCTTTATGAACAGCTGGAATATCACACAGAATAGGCAAAAGGGGCTTTCTTGATAATTTTCCTAAGTGCCTTTCAGACATTGATTTATCACCATAGCATAGAATTGGACAGACCTCTATTTACTAACACAACTTAGAGTATTGTCCTGGAGTTAATAAGTATGTGTTCACATCACTTTCCTCCACTCAGTCCCCATGTGACCTGGTGATAATTTGCCTCTAAAATGAAATGATAATATTTCCAAGAAGGATATATTAAAATGTACTAAGAAGGATATATTAAAATGAAGTAACTGAAAAGAAAATCTGAAACCAGAATGCGTAGTATTAGACTACAAAAAAGAGGGGAATATTTTTTCTTAATTATCAGATATTCTTCAAAGAAACATTGCTATCCATTGGCCTTATCCAAAAATTGATGGGATACCTAAGAAAAACATGTAAATTTGATGTCTCAGGTCAAGGTGAATATTCTCAGTGGACGATAAATTTATTTTCAATTGCTATACATTTCAGTTTTAAGACATAAGAAAACCCAGTACTGGTAAATGAGGTTTGATGTTACATTCTAAGGACCTCAACTATTTATTATTGAGCTGCCTTGTAAAGATAACAAAAGTCAATAACGCATTGCTAAGTATCTCATCTATTAGGGCCATAAAATAATTGTATGTGTTCGTAAATGTTAATGAGAAAGAATAGGTAAACAAATGTCACTGACTATAAATTAGAGTTTAGAAAGCCAATAATAAGTAGTATAGCATTTTAAATTATAAGATTCCTTAATCTTTATCCACTGAATGAACCTTGATGTAGTAGCAGATTTCTTCAATAAGGGAGAGGAGCCAGGGCTCTTGATGGCAGTGGTACACTTCTAACATTGATGGTAATATCATTGAATAATTATATTAGAAAGTAGCAGTTTGTATTGTAAACCTCAATGAACAGAACCATAATGCCACAAAAGACAGCCATTAATTAAGTATGAATTACTGTATTTTAAAGCACTGGCAGTGGAAAGGGAAATGCCACCTTTGAATGAATGGCTTCCTCTGTCTGATCTGACCTCCTCCCATTTAGAGATGTGAAGGTGATAAATCACTGAGTGCAGCAACAGCAGGGATCCTTATTAATAGCAACCTCCCAGTCTCTTGGCAATCACTGCAAGTGCAAGTGACATGCACAAAGGTTTTCCTTCTTAGCTGAAAGGACGTGAATTTTTTATGAGAATTTCTTAGAAATGGATATAGCATTTCTGAGTCATGCATCTGAGCACTTCATCAATTAGACAACATAAAGGTTCTTGGAACATGCTATTTCACCACATCCAGCTGTTATCATAATGATTTAGATTGAGGATTTTACATCTAGTAGCTATATTCTTAAAACAACAAAAAATCACTTTATTGTCAAGTTATTGTCCTCTAAATGGAAAGAAAATTGAGGCAATAGGCAAAGGGCGTATTTTTTGTTGTTGTTGTTTGTTTTTACTAATTGAATACTTGAAAGGGGAATTAAATTTTAAATGACTAGACAAAACCTGAATTTAATGATTTTCCTTTCTCTCACCCTAATTGTCACAATCAAAGACTGTTGAATATGATCATATATTTTTCCATTTATATCTGTTCTTATACTGCCTCTGAATATGACAACTTCCACTGAAAATCACAACCAGATGATAAGCAAGAAGTAGTAAGATTCAGCTTTGATTTTACAACACTTCTTTAGAATTCCTAAAATGAAAAGTTAAAGACTTTGCTTCAAGGAATAAAAGGAGTGTGAATTTAGGAAGCCTTTGTTTCAGTCCTAAATTAAGCCTTGTGTAACCTTGGACAAGTCAATTATCCTTGAGGATCAGTACCCACATCTATATAATAAAAGTGACCATGTCAGCACTACCTAATGTGAGGATGTTTTGTGAGGACCATATGAAACAGTGTATATACATGAGCTTTGGAAGCAGTTAAATGGTATACAAACTTAAGGTAGTTTTATAAATACTATTGCCTATGAAAGAGCAAAATTATGGATACAAATAGTTTGTGGATAATATGGGAATTTATTAACTATATTCTTTGTTTAGGTCATCAACATAGTTATTCAAAAATTGACTTATCTTACTTTATACTTTTCCCCTCCTAAAGTTTTAACCTTATAATTTAAAAATATTTATTACTTCTGATTTCTTTCAACCAAGGAGTGCTCACAGTTATAAATCTAATGAAAACAATGCTTAAGTTTCACTTGTCTAATATTCCCTGATATTTCATCTATTATAAAAATAATGCAACATTAGAGAATTTGACTAAAAAACCACTCGTGAGTTTATTTCCAACACTTATTTTTTCAGTGCATATATAGCATATATATTCCCACAAAATTAACCATAAATTATGTCTTAATACTTGACCAATGGAAGAAAGGGCAGAGTGCAGGAAGGATAATGAATAAATATGCACTTGGAATTTGGCATGGCATGAATCTTTTAGATTAAGAGAAATGTTTTCCCCTTTGGATCTCTTAAACGGAGTAAATTTCCTGCCAGAGGTTATTGAAAACAGTTTTTTCCTGAGTCAAAACCACAAAGCAAAGTACTCTAATATAGTGAAAACATTTTTTACCTTCGGGAGGAAAAGCTATGACATGTTTAAACACCTGGCAGAGTACCTAGGATACAATGTGTAATTATTAGTGTATTAGTGTAATTATTAAGAGTTCCCCCTTACACTTTTCCAGTTTGGACAATTAATTATATCATCGATTAACAGGTACCTAGCAAAATATTGGCATTCTCTTCAGTGTCTCAGTTTGAAAAATAATTTATATGATCACCATTTAATACATAAAAGACCTTTTCTTCTACCGAGGTGTATTTTTCACATAAACAGCGTTATGTAATTCACATGTTCAGTAATTCAGCAAATACTGCAAATATTTATGTAGTGCTTACTATGTTCCAGGACTAATATGCTATGGAACAAGACAAGTAAATTTCCAGAAGTGATGTAGTTTGTGTTCTAGGGAGAGAAGCAGATGCTGAAGGAAACAAATGCACACACAATATACTTTCTGGTACTGACATATTATAGCATAATCTAAAGACAGGTAATGGAAAATAAAATGTTTGGGAGAAGGTATATAAACACTGAACAGGGAGAGCATTTCTCAAAAGGTGACTTTTGAGAAAAGACCAGAATGACCCAAGGGAGGCATGCTAAGATTTAAGTATGTTAGGTCAGGCTATATCCAGGAAGGGGAACACCTGTGTCCAGCTGCTGAGGGGGAAAAGAAGCTCAGCATGTTTGGGAAACAGCAAAAAGACCACCACAGCTGGAGAATATTAAGCAAAAAGGAGATGTAGCTGAAGAATCTGGTGTCAAGGTAGAGATCCGAATTGTGTTACAGATGTAAGGGAGCTATTGGAGATTGACACAATCTTCATTTAGCTTCCACAATGATCACTGTGCAATGTAGATAGAGGAGTGCAGGGAGGTGTATACAATTTCTCTCATGTACCTCGTCAGATATGCTCAGCTGTCCCCGTCTCTGGGATCATTGACCACTCATTTTGTCCCGGCCATCATGGCTTCCAAATTAATGTGGGTATAGCCCAGCATTGCCTTCCTCTTGCCTGTGCCTTATGACTGTCCTAGGACTACCTTGAAGCCACTGAGGAGTGAGACGTGTGGGATCTTACTAGTGTCCCTGTAAGCATAATCTGGAGTTGTAGGAGAGTTATGTGTCCAAGTTGAATCTTTGATCATTAGAAGGGAGCCAGTGAATAAAAGTTTCTTCCTCCCTCATGACAGACTGTCAGGAGATGGTGGAGTTCTTGTGGTCTCTTAAAATGTCACCTTAGAAGAATAAGCAATCCATTGTTTTGATACCAAGCTAGCACGTTAACACACCCTCTTATTAGCTCTTCCACCTTCTCTGCCTCACCTACCTTTTCCCTTATTCCTGCATCCTTGGCATTGCACTTCTGATACAAGAGAAGCACATAAGCTTTGGTCCTACCTCTGCTTTCTGGGGAAAGCAGGGTACGACAGGTGTAAGAAGAAAAGTAGAAACACCAGTTAGGAAGTTGACCAGGCAAGAGATGATGATGAGGCTGGGTGCTGTGGTTCATGCCTATCTATAATCTCATCACTTTGGGGGCCAGGGTGAGAGGATTGCTTGAGACCAGGAGTTCAAGACAAGCCTGGGAACATAGTGAGACCCTCTTTCTATAAAAAAAAATACAAATTTAAAAAAAAATTTTAAAGAAAGAGATGATGATGTTTTAGAATGTAATGGCTGATAGTGAATGGTACTCATCTGGCTATCAATAATTAATTTAAATATATTCTTTCTCCATTTCCACTTTCTTCATCCCTATATTACATGCATATTTTAGCCTGTAAGACAGAAATGCTCTCATAAATAGTTTTCTTTATTTTAGTCTATTCCCACTTTTTAAAATACTTATAAGTGTTATTCCATGCATAGAAGTGTTTAAGGACCTTCAAGTTAACACTGTCTTAAATTTTAATTCCATTGTCTATATTTCAAGGCTCTTATTCACTGGCCTTATTAAAGCTATCTAAATTTATGTCATGTTTCTTAAAACATTATAATTTCCTTGCTTCTTAAAGTATGTTCTTATCCCTAGGATTTCACTTTTCCTTATGCTATTACTTTCTCCATAGTCAAATTATGTATGTCTTTCAAGGTTTGTTTTCTTCATGAAGAGTATAACATTTGTTACTTGGGCCACCGAATAAAAATAATTACACTAATGAGGCCAACACTGATCTACATGCTTCACATTTATGATTCCTCTAAACGTCACTATGATGCATCCATTAGTATTGTATTAGTTTCCCATGCTGCTGTAACAAATTAACATGAATTTAGTGGCTTAAAAGAACCCAAATGTGGTATCTTACAGCTTTGGAGGTCAGAAGTCTGAAGTGGGTCTCACTGTGTAACAATCAAGGTAATGGCAGGACTTTGGTTACTCTTAAAGCTCTGGAGGAAAAGACATTTTCTTACCTTTTCTAGCATCCAGAGGCCACCTACATACCTTGTTTAGTGGCCTTTTCTTCCATCTTCAAGGCCAGTGGCATAGCATCTTCAAATCTCCCTGTCTGACCTCTTCTGCCCCTTCCAGTTTAAATGAACTTTGTGATCACAGATCATAGGGATTGCGGGGAGGAGACATTATTCTGCCTACCACAAGTTTCACCAGTTTAGAGCGAGGACTCTGAGGCACAAAGAATTTAAGAAACTTAACTTTAAGCTAGTAAGTGGAGAATTCCAAAACTTAACATGGTTAACAACTACATCATACTGCCACTTCAAAAGAAGAGTAAAGTATTGCTAGCACTATCTTACCTATATTCTTTTGATTCATATTGGGTTAACCAGTGTTTGCTGAGATGCTATTGTGTTACATATATCGTAAAATAATACTCTAAGAACTATTATGAATAAAAGTTGAGCCTCCAAAATCAGAAAACACTGAAATCTGAAACGCTTGAAGAAACAAAACTTATTGAGCACCAACATTATGCTCAAAGGAAATACTGACTGGAGCATTTTAGATTTTGGATTTTCAGATTTGGGATGCTCAATCAATATAGTGCCAATATTCCAAAATCCAAAATCTGAAACACTTCTTATCCCAAGCATTTTGTATAAGGGATGCTCAGTCTGTGTAATGATTAAGTGAACATAGATCTAGCACTCAATAAACTTAGATTCCAACAGAAAAGATAAACCATATCAAATTAAACTATTAGATAGATAGATATAGATATATAAATACCATAAATGAAATACATTAAGTGATGTAAGCATCTAGAATAATGAGAGAGTCATGCAGTTTACCATTTTCCCAACTCCACTGAGGTTCCTTGATGAGTCATGGCTTATATTTATTTGTTCATTTATGACTAAATAGTGATACTCACTGATCATACTGGCTGCCCTAATTAGTACAATATTTTTGAAAATTATCATTTTCTACTCTATAGAACTTGAATTGTTTGGAGTCACCCTCTGCTCTTAGATCTGTGGGTATCTTTTGAAATATCTTTCATTTTTAAACTTGTTTTAATTTATACATAGAAAATGATGAAACTATAATATATAGCCCCAAAATTTCTAGAACTTGCTCATTGGAGAATATGACAAATATGACACAAAGTTATGGCCTATGAAAGTTTGGATCCCTGTCCTTAGTTTATGACTTGTTTGCTACTGTTTCAGGTTTCCCTGAGCACCTGAACATAAAATGGCACCTTTGCACAGAGTTTCTGTAAAATATCTACTGATTCCAGGAACTGCGTGAGTGTAGTAAATTTAGTTCTAGGACGGGGCACAGGCATGGCATCAGAATGGTCTTGCATAGTCCTCTGTCTTCTTCCTTACTCCATCCATTCTGCCTGGTGACCTTTCACACATCAAGCCTGGCTAAGAGCCTCACCGTGCCCTATGCTGATGTTAAGCCCAAAAGAAGTGTCACCAGTTTCATCCCTCACCACCACCACACATAAAACAGCTTCTGTCTTCAGAAGCAGCCAGTTCTCTCAGTCTGATCTGACCTTCCCAGTCCTCTTGTATTCAGGTGTATAAAATGTTCTCCTCCTTATGTCAGCAAAATGAAATAAATACTAAAGTGCTGTATTCATTTGTTCTCATGCTGCTAATAATGACATACCCAAGACTGAGTAATTTATAAGGGAAAGGAGTTTAATTGACTCACAGTTTCACATGGTTGGGGAGGCCTCAGGAAACTTACAATCATGGCAGAAGGGAAAGCAAACATGTCCTTCTTCACGTGGCAGCAGAAGAGAGAAGAATGAGAGCCCAGAGAAGGAGGAAGTCTTTTATAAAAAATCATATCTCGTGAGAATTTACTCATTTTCACAAGAATAGGATGGGGGAAACTGCCCCCATGATTCAATTATCTCCCACCAGATCCTTCCTATGACAGGTGGGGATTGTGGGAACTGCAATTTAAGATGAGATTTGGGTGGGGCCATGGTCAAACCATATCAAGTACTTTCAAAGAGTCAGTTTTTCACTTTCTTTGAAAGCCAGAATGTGTTTTTCTTCATCATTTGGGACTTCTAAGTTTTCCACTTATATACAGGAGGATACAAGGGTATGCTTAGCCCTTTATTTTACATTTCAACATAAATGATGGTTTTCCTTATGATTTGGGTACAGAAAAGATAAAAACATTATTCAGAACTTTCTTATTATAGCCTTACAATAGCTTTAAATAGTCCTATAAATAAAAGCCTAATTGAGTTCTATATTTAACATGTTTACCTGTCTTGAAAATATTATTTATTTTACACACACACACACACACACACACACACACAGAGTCTGCTGTGTCACCCAGGCTGGAGTGCAGTGGCACCACCATGGCTCACTGTAGCCTCAAACTCCTGATCTCAAGTGATCCACCTGCCTCAGCCTCCTGAGTAGCTGGGACTACCATGTGTGAGTCACCATGCCTGGCCATCAAATATATTAAATATTACTAAATAGAAAATATTTGCTCTTACTCCTATCATGTGGACCTAGTTTATTTTTATAGCTAATTATTATTTTTCGAAATATCATAGATACTTCTATAAATTTAGCCAAATAAGCTTTATTTTCTCTCTCTACATATGCATCTTTAGAAAAATATTCACTTAATATCTATAAACACTGTATTTTGTGGTTCTTTGCCTTGATATTAATATGAAAATCTAGTATACATTAGGAATATTAGAAATGCATTGTTGAACTTTTAGAACTATGTAAGTATTTAATATGTGGGTATCTAAAACAACATATTTAAATATGTTTAATATAACACTAGAAGTAAATACACTGCCATTTAAGTACAGTACATCCAGTAGTATTGATTTCATTTTTCTGGTCATATATTTTTCACATAATGAAGAATATTTTCATGTGTATGTCAATTTTCCATGTCTACTAAGTATGTCAATTTATATTATAATAAAGCATTCCTCATAATGTTTTCCCATAAATCAAACTTGCCATTATCTACCCAATTATGAATGCTAACAATTTTAGCATTATATTAGACTGTTTCAACTTTTGTTTCTTACACATTTAGATGAAACAGAAAGTAGTTTTGAGGCTCTAGTTCATAAAACTTGTGCTTGAGAGGATACCACAAGTTGTGTATATTTTATCCAAAATATTTATCACCAGAAATGTTTTGAATTTCAGATTTTTTCAGATTTTGAAATACATATACATAATGAGATTTCTTGGGGAATAGTATCAAGTCTAAACATAAAAATTATTTATGTTTCATATACACCTTACACACATAGCCTGAAGGTAATTTTATGCAAGATTTCAAATAATTTTGTGCATGAAGCAAAGTTTGTTTAAGTGCTTATGTATGGAATTTTCTACTTGTGGCATCATGTTGGCACTCAAAAAGTTTTCTATTTCGGAGCATTTCAGATTTTGGATTTTTTGTATTAGGGATGCTCAACCTGTAATTATATTGTTCCCTCCTCTCTTTAATATACGGGTAAAATGTTATATTACTATAACACCATAGAACACCAAAAATACCACCAACTAATATATTCTTAAGTGCCAAATAAGTGACAAAGTGTTGTGACTATAGAAGAGAAGAAAAATCCTGCCCAGGATGATTTGGTGACACTCCAAGAGTACTAAGAATTTGAGCTGGAACTATATGTGATATAATCAACTAGAAGTTAGAAGGCATTTCAGAAACGGAATTTGAACATGTAAGAAGACTTATTTGAAGAAGCAGAGGGTTCTTACAGAAAAATGTTACAACTTATATAGGTGGGCAAGTCCCATAAGTACAGTCTTCAGTAAAAATAATATAATCAAATCTGGTCCTCTAAGCAATAAATTCGTTGACCAAAATAAAATCCTAAAAAATGACTATAAAATCATCTGGAAAATGCATTGTTGAAAAAATGGGTTTATTCAATTACTTTCTCCCTTTTTCTGAGCTTTCATACTTTTCAGGAAATATGGTGAAGCACTGTGTTATGCCTTGTATGAAATGAAAAGTTGAAATCCCTGAATATGGGGAAAAAAATTTTCTTTAGGATGTTTACATTCTGAATAAGAAAATAATGTTTATACAAATAATAGTAGCAAAATAAGGTCATTAACAATGTTCTAAGACAGAAAACAAAAGAATACTACAGGTGTTTGAGAGAGCGAGATACGACATGTCAGGTTGGAAAATAGCAAAGAATTAATTATGGAGGTGCTAATTTTATTGGATAGTTAAAAATTATCAAGAAAACGTAAGGCAGATATTTTGGAGGAGTGATATGGAAAAAGATTGACCACGTATGTGAGACATTGGTTCTTATTTTTCTGGAGTGTAGAGGATGAAAAGCCTTTAAATTAAATAGTTTGAATTGAGGTTATGGACATATTTAATTTTGTACCAGTAATTTGCACTTTATTTTTAAGGTAATAGAGATCCAGGAAATTTTTGTTCCAATGATTAGAGGTTGTGCAACGGGAATAATTCACCTGCCTGTGGTGTGTGCATGGTTTGGGGCGAGGCAAAATTTTAAGTTAGAGGCCATTAAAAGAGAGCAACAATTAAGTAATGTTTTAACTACAGAAATAACACTAGAAAGAAAGCTATTTTCTCAAAACATTTTATAGTTGAATTTCCTTGGATTTGGGGGCTAATTGGACATGACATCTAATCAACAGGAAGGGGTTGAAGAGATGACTCAAGGGAGTCTCCAAGGGAGAGATCCTAGAAAGAGGTTAGAAGGGAAGACAAAGAATAGAGCCCCTAGAAATATGCCTTTAAGAAGGTGAAAAGGAAAAGGGTCTGTGAAGGGAAATATAACAAAAGAAGGAAGGTAATATAGTAGCCAGACATAGGAGTGTAGAGGGAGAGAAGGTTGCAATCCATAGTGTCATTAACAATGTATAAATTTTTTCTAAATATGAACTGAAAAATATCTTTGTATATCAACTAGATCATGAGCAGTGTTACTATGAGAAGAAACCACACTGCTTGAGATGTTTGTGACCTTAATTTCGGCCTTCTATGGAGCTATCTATTCTTAATTGTTCTTATTCAGATCCCACATTTTTGTCAACATTGTGGAGCTCTCAGCACTGATTTAGTAAAGGACCCAATGCTTCAGATCTTCACTTCCTGCCTTCTGTGTAGACGCTGCCTCTTGTCTACCACAGGGTGCATTTTTCTACACAGTCACAGTCATTATATCAGCCAGATCAATCCCATTGCCACTTTTCTCTACCTCAAAACACCTAAATGGAAGATATAAAGGATCAGATAAAGTTATCCAAAACTCTTGAAATTCCATTATTTTTGAACCCATATATCTTATCTTTTTTCACACACCTTATGCATAGATATTTTCTGGATTTTTAACATTAAATGTCATTTAAGAACCCCCAACATCAACATAATGATGTATTGACCACTGTATATAAATCAAGATGTAATTTCTATCAAATGAAAATTCATGGGGATAACAACAGGGCTGTTACTGACATAATATAAAGTGGAATAGCTTACACTTACAGTCCATGAGTATGTAAGACTCATTCCTGTCATTCAGTTGCTTCAATAGGAAACACCAATTCACTGATTGATTTTTATTACAGGACAGGACCCAGCAGAGGAAAGAAATCACTGTATTGTTGAAAACATGAGATGGGGTTGACTTGTTAGTTGGTGACTAAATAATAGAAATATCTCCAGAGGCTGTCAATATATTCTCATACTAGTATGTTAGTTACATTTCCTGGTAACATTACCAAATACTGCTTAGATATTTATGTTCCATAAACTATGTTTATGAAAAGTTTATTATGGTATATGGCAGTTCAATGCTAATAAGTGGTACAGGGTCATCCCAATGCACATATTTCTTTGAAATTGCATTGTTTGAAAGCATTTTTAAAAGAATCTGTATGAGGAATACAGGTTACAAACTTTGAAAATGAATCATCTAAAGAAATAAGCTTTCAGCCATGGTTCATATGCCCTAACCTCTATTTGATAATCTTACAAAGGCTGCTGCCACAACCCTTACATCTACTTTCAAAGCTGTAAAGATAATTAACTCTGGATAAGATAGAGTTGAAAACAAATTTGCTATTGTGGTGGTGGTGGTGGAAGTGGTGGTTTTATAAATAATTGAAAACTCTTCACTGTATATGTAAATGTTTTATTTTGTGTTTTATACATAAACTATATAATACCGGCACAGTGTAAAATACAATTCATTCTAAAACGTGCTGGAATATTTTGAAAGTAAAAGGACACTGATATACAAGCTTGGAAGAGTAATCCCTTTGGGGTTAAGCCTATGAATAAGAATTATTTTCATGTTTAACATGATTTCACTCACTTTGCACTATGCGTCCGGCAGTATGCCACATGGCTGACTGAACTTGGTTTTCATCATTGTATTTTACATTTCTGAATTGCAGTTCATCTATTTACATTTTAAGATTAGGCATTTTCATACTTGAAGTAATGCATGGTAAATTTTTCAAAATCTCACTCCAGTAGGATAACCAAAGGGTGTTGTGTGGATCTTCTATTAAAATAAAAATACGTGTTCATTTTTCAAAAGAACAAACATGTACTCATGCATCTGATGCTCAATAAACAGCATTATCTCTTTTTTCAGCTAATATTATATCTACACAGTAAGGAACTTTTTTAGAGAAACATTTTTTTAAATCCTTAAGTAATAAGTAGCATTGTTCTTAATATATACATAAATGTGTGAATATTCATTTATTAATTTTGCTAAAATGCCTGGAACACATAGCAACATGTCATAAACACTAGTGTACTAAGGATTCTGATGCTAAAATAAGCTGGACTTGGGGTTCTGTAATTTTGATAACAATTAAAATCAGCAGATATACAATGATTTTAAATAACGTTTCTAAAGCAGAGGGATGGAATGCCATGTCTCATAATTCTTCTTTTATCAACAAGATTTCTCTGTTCCCACAAACACAAATTAGATTCTTTTGCAAAGGCTGTGTGAGATTTAGTCTATACCTTGATTTCCTCCATCATTTCAACTACAGTATGTTTCTGATTTATAGGTGCATTGATTGCTGCCTGGCTTATTGCTTGCATTATTTATTTAGATCAGGCAATTAGAACCTATTCAAACTCCACACATGATATAAAATACACTGCAGGATAAAACAGTAAAAAATTGTCTTGAGATATTGGAAATAAGATCAATTTTTGAACTCAAGCAATTGACGTTAACAATCTACCATAAATATGTAACTTCTATTAGTAACTCTGAGACATTATGGAAGTAGTTAAAGCCCTTAATTTTATGACTTATAAATAAGCATATCTATTATATTTACTTGACAAATCTCTTCCAAGTTAATAAGACCTTATTAAGAAGAATCTATTTTCTGTCAACAGCATGGTAGGTACTTTTGGGAATGCACAATAATCAGGGGAGTTACCTACATTCAAGGAAGTTGAAACCTCATAGAGAAAAAGCTTATGATTATGAAAGTTAAGAAAATAAAGAGTAAAATAATCAATGTCTGTAATAGGGCAACAGTAAAATATGACACTATATAGCATAAGGAAATAAGGGATTTACTGTCAAATTATCAATATAGGGAATAAATACTATAGGATTTAAGGAAAGGAAATAAGTTCAGTATATTGAAAAGAGACAAAATTAAATATAAACTGTCTTAAAGGAAATAAACAATTTATATATGCAGAGAGGCCAAGAAAAAACATTTTTTAAGGATGAAATAGAGCAAACTGCAAAATAAGACTATGTATGGTATATGTTGAGGAAGCTGCAGTAGAGTAGCTAACTGAAATTGAAAGTTGTCATAGCGGACAGAAAGAGATATGAATAAAAAGGTCAACTGCCATCACCTTGTTGAGGACAAATTGGTGGGTTACAAGATAAATCTGAGGAACAATCAGTGGATTAAGTGAATCTCAGGAGACAGAAAAGAAAATATAAAGGGGATATTCAACAGAAAATAGTGCTCAAAAATGGGTGACTCCTAGAAGGCTGCCGGTGATGAATAGAGCATTGATTCAATGATAAAAGAACTGAACATGAGTTATGGCTGCCAATCAGTATACAGGTGGATAACTATTTACTTAGCTAAAATGTTTGGGTGAAGAGAGTAAGATGCAGAAGAAAACAGTTCGTATTCATATTTTCAACCAAAGATAAAGCAATGAGAAAATAAAAACATAATGATAGTCAAACACTAATTTTAGAATATTTGTATCACAATTAAATTTATTATAATACATTACGTAAATAACGCTTTAACTGTATTTTAAAACATGAACTTTTATAAGACAATAATATAAATATAAATTAAAAAGAAAAAAGGAAGATTGTGAAGTTCAGAGTGCATTCAGTATTCCCCAGGAACTCCATTTATTTTTCTTTGCTTTATAGAAGAGAAATACAAAAATGTAAATTACAAGAATATTACTCGATTTTGTTAATCATTAATTTAAATATCAATTATGATTTCTAAAAATATGCTTCATTTTTAAATTTTAATTCTGATTAAACATTTTGTAATACAATATTTCAAAGTTCTGGTTCTGAGTTCAGTTAAATTTTGGTGCAAGCTGTCTTGTGTGCAAAATAATTTCACAACAAAACAGGTAAATCTAAATGGAAAAAGTTTCTCATTCTCCATTCTTGTTAAATCGTTACAGTCATTTCAGATTCACTCACCAATTGTAGAAAGTGATGTTGTTGATGTTGAAAATTTCAGCATTTCCTAAGCTAGTTATGTTTTATCTTTGCTAAGGTCAATCAGTTATTTGGCAAAAGGACTGGAAGACTTTTTTTTCTGAACTTTAAGCAAATGCATCTAAAACCTACTAAACTTTATCTAAAATATTTTTAAACAAGTGAAAAAATTTTGTTTCCAAACATAAGTGTACATGGTATCCATGGGTACTTCAGTTGCTTAAAAATATTGCCTTGGAAAAACAGATTAACTGTGTTTCCAGTATTTCCGTATCACCTGCTAAGTAACATTCTATTAGAAGGCCATGAATGGATTTCTTTCCTTATAAAAGGCAACAGTTCAATCTTTAGATCTTTAAATCTGCTACCTTTAAATCTGCTTCTTTTAAGTTATTTACATGAGAAAACCAACAAAACAACCTGTAGTATAAATGATGCTTGTGTTCACTGCCACTATTATTACAGAGTATAATTAAGAATTTAGTATAGATCGTGTTTTTTGTTTGCTTGCTTGTTTATTTTTAAATATTTCTAAAATAGCCTGTAGCAGTTGGGGCCTTTCTTGCTTCAGTTTCTCTCCTGCATTTATTGTCCAGGAATACAATGAGTGAATGTTATTTGCGGTGCTGTGTATCGGTAACCTTACTCCAGAATCTACTTCATCAGTGGCTACACTAACAGTAATTTTTTCACCACAAAACACCACTTTTGTTAAGTGTCATACACGATTAAGGACATAACTTCCTCCACACATCTTTTTACTAGCTCAAATGATGTTTTTCATAAGCTAAAACAATATAAATGTTTGTTTTTGCATCCCACAATGAACAACCTTCCCAAATTATATAATTTGATATGCTGGTTCTTCTGTCTCTTCAGCAACGTTGTCTGTGTAACTTCCTCCACATAAAGTTTACTCACAAATCTATTTAAGTTTTTATGATAGTGTTGTCTAGATATCATTTCAGTCATTTTTTTTGACCAGGGCAGAAGAAATGTTTCTTTAATGATATGGTTTCATCTTTTATTTATTTCATTTTTAAGGTAGAAATTAGAAAATATACTTCAAAATATTATTTACTTTAGGAAATTTCTGTAAAGTGATAAGTGATGGTTTATTATGCTGTTTAATATTATTAGAAAAGTGGAAGCAATTGGTCTTTACTAATAAAATTTTTAGTTTTAAACTGTCTTGCTCACTGAGAAGCCTGAAACTATTAGAAAATAAACACATTACATGTTACTAATATTTAGTATACAAGTTGATACTGGCAGCCTCTCTCAGTCTACTTGGTATATATAATATTTTCAGGGAATATTAGGATTTGATCAATGCAAACCTCAAAGTACAAAATGCATTTATATAGTAATAGTTGATGCAAATCATAATTCAAATAATATTCTCTAATTTAATTTTTTATCAATTTCTCATTAGCTATGGCTAGATTGTCATTGTCTTCTACCCCATAATATGGCATAAAGAGAGTTTTTACCAGGAAAAAATGAATCAGCTTTGTCAGTTTCTTGTTCATTTGAGTTTGCACACTTTGTGCAGCCTTCAATTCATGTTTTCTATATACTTTTCAAGTCATATATTTGTTTGGGAAAAATTGGCTTGTGCCACTCTAGATTATATACTCCTGCCTTCTCTTTATCAATGTATAGGAAAACTCCAATACATTAAACTCCAGTATATGAAAAGGTTGAGCATGGCTTTGCATTGGTTAATCTTGACCTGCCTACAGAATAGTATATATACCAAATGAACTGAGTGAGATTTCCACTATCAATTGTTGCACTAAAAATTAATACTGCTTAATGTAGTTCTTATTTTCTAGATAAAAATATATGAGCAAAAATTGATGTGCACATGAAACAGCTGGAAAACATTTTGCAGATTCTGATGCAACAGGCCTAGGTTAAAACTTGAGAGCTTGCATTTTACAAGCTACCAGATGATTCTGAGACTGCTGGTCCCTTGACCATACTTGGAGTAACAAGTTCTTACAACACTTCAGAACTTCTTACAAACACCTTAGGAAGCTTGCTTTCAGTTTGAAGACAGCTGTAGACATGGAGTGTCATTTAAAAGTTTTCTAAAAGACAAAATAAACATCAAGTTTATTTTAAGGACCAAAGAATGAGATACCGATAACTAAGCTCTTACAGTAATGAGGTAAAGAGGGTTAGACTGTTAATGGAAATAAAAAGCAATGGGTGTATCCTCAGAGAAATATTAATCTTATTATGAATAAACAATTCGTATTGATACGGGAATACCTATAATTATTGTTTTGAGATGTTTCTCTGTCATTTATTTAAAATATTAGAAATATCAAATGTACTTTTAAGTATATTTTCTTGAACAATTTTATGTTTTTCACTTTCTTGAAACAGGAAACTCTTATATAGTATTTCACATCTACTCATTGTCCAAAGTTGGTAAGAGTTTTTATCAATTATTTTAACATTTTGGGCCCCAAATGAATTTTGAGAAAGAGTAGTAAATGAATGTCTATCTTATAATAAGTATTTCTATAGGTGATTTATTTATTAACTTATTCCCCACTGGATCATTGTTTTGAACTCTTCCTTCTCCTATTATGAGTGTTATCATTTTGTGATTTCAAACTCTTTGTAGGGTAAAAGGGATCAAGAAGGGGGATTGCTGTTATTAGAATGAAAAGTAAAATGGCCTAGAAAAGAACAAGAGAGCAAACAAGAGGAGGAAAGGCATAGAGATGCTGGGAAAGGAATGAATGAGAGGTTTAAGAGAGTCAAAATTGAATACCTGGTGATACTGGCAAGAATCTCAAAGGCCCAACATTTGCAAATATGTATGCCCTGCCTGCTTCATTCCTGGTAAAATAAGAATATTCTTCTCCGTGACAGCCTACATTTTCACTGGAAAGACAATACTTATAATGTAAAATAATATCAGCACCAGGGGTGTAAGATTAAATGCAAAAGTAATTTGGATGCCTGTGAAGTGAGCCTGGGAACTCTTGCTGCCTGTTCGTGGTGCATGTATCACGTCGCTCTTGTCAGAGCTCCAGCAGCCTTGCCTAGAGCTGTGTGCCAAACCTCTGGTTTTCATTACGAGAGAGACTGGGCCAGGACCTGAGGAATTATTCTTAGATGACTGAAAGGGTAATCTAGAAAACATGAGACCCACTAGGGATGCGGTATTTATGTTTTATGATTCCCAAGTCAGTGCTATTTTCTTCAGACTACTGAAGACGATGTAAGTGGGAAACAGTTAATTTCAGCACTACTCATACCCTGCTCAGGATTCACATGGTATTTGCAGATAAAACAGCCAATGTGGAAAAAATGTCGGCCCAAATTGCATTTCTCCTTGATTCAGGTATTCCACGGGGGAGTCACAATCCATTTAGAATATCAGCACAATCATTGTCCACCTCAATCAAGTTAATGCAAAAGGGGAAAGGGAACCATTAGGGTGCAAAAAAAATCAATTCTGGGCATCTGTCTGCATGCAGACCTCAGGCCAAAACAGACTGAGTACCAAAAAGTGGGCAAAAGGGAAATCCCGGATTTCATTGTGCAATTTTTTGATGGTGCTCATGTTAGCTGACTAATGAACCTTTCATTATGAATCAGTGTGTTTTACAGCTGCACCTAATCATTGTTTCTGCGACTTAAAATGATGATGTGTGGTAGAAGGTGTAGATGAGGTGAGGCGTGATGGATTGTCATTGTCAAATTATTAATAGAAAGGTTCATTTTCTATTAGAAATATAAAGTAAAATATTTTATTCAGAGCTCCCTTTTCAACTCTGGTTCCAGCTGCCAAAATCGACTGTATCATTCAGTGCTGCATAACTTTGCCAAAATGTGTAGGATATTTGGCAGTGCATACATCAAACTCCTTTTAAATTTAGCTTTTATGGAAACTATTTTACATCATCTTGTTTCTCTATAAAGCAAAAGTAAATTATTTTTTAAATAGTTAAAATGTGATAAAACTGTTTGATAACACAATGAAAGAACAATTCAAATTAGTGAGCTTTGTTTCTTGTAATATTAATTCATAAGATTCATTTTCCAAGTTATTTTCAATATATTTGTAATAGAGGCATACTGTAAAATTTTATGTTGCAACAATATTAGTTATTATTATCCCAATTTTATAGATTAAAAACAGATCCACTGAGAATAAATAATTCCCTTTAGGAGTCCCAGTAAAGAAACACTGAATCTACAGTTTGGTTCAGGGAAAGCTAGAGATCTGCACCCACATTTACACAACTGCGTATGTTTAAATCAATACAATATATACAAGCATCTCTATTTCATGGCCATGTATAAACATGGAAGATACCATTAACATCTTAACATATACCAATATAAGTCTATTTAAAATACATGACAGTTTATTTTAAAAACTAATTAACCAAATAAAGATCCATCATAAAAGTTGCAAATCATTTTCTGTTTTTATATGGTCCTATTGACATTTCGCTTTTTCATCTGGATCTACGTTAATGGCAAATTACTTTATAGCGTGAGAAAGCAGTGAATCTTAGCAGATTCACTACCATTCAAAGCCAAACAAGATAGGTATGTCTTTTATAACCCTAACAACAAAAAGATTCCAGAAAACTATTTCTGAAAATGTGTGGTACGGGTCTTCACCATAGGAACTGTGATCAAAGCATAAGCAAGCTCAGTCACAATGTAAGTTTCTACTAAAGACATCTCAAATCAGAGTATAAAAGTACATCCCATTTATCCTATTTCATTCCATGTTAAACAAATGGTATCAGGCATCCCTGAGAATTAAAGAGTAGGATTTACTTTTAATTAATTGTTTTGGTTGTTAAAACTTCAGCATTTTGTTATAAAAGAGCAGAGAAATGCTATTAAAACTCAAATGTAAATGTATATTATTTTTTGAATGAATCTTATTTAGCTGTGTTTGAGTAGGATTTTAACTTTTACAGACAAATGAAGAGTTACGTGGATCTTCTCTTCTATTTCTTTGCTCTTAATTTTGAGGCACTGCTTAAGTCTTGCATCAGAGTTATCCATAAGAATTAAAAAAACGAAGAAGAAGAAGAAGAAGAAGAAGAGATGAGGTTAGTTCCCTGGTTTGATTTGGGAGAAACTCCTCAGCAGCATTTACTTTTGATTACCACACTCAGCCTCCACAGCAGGCATTTCATCCATGGCTTTAAGCTGTTACATCTACTTATACATATGTTTCTCCTTGAATTTATGCACTGATTTGTGTATTCTGGTATATGTAATGGTGGTTTTCAAAGAAAATGGCAATTTTTCTTAAATCTAAAAATGACTTT
Organism: Homo sapiens; assembly: GCF_000001405.40. NCBI lineage: Eukaryota > Metazoa > Chordata > Mammalia > Primates > Hominidae > Homo > Homo sapiens. The sequence goes on along the minus strand of NC_000007.14, from coordinate 11,724,697 downwards.
TTCCATTTTAAAATGATTTTCTTAAATGTCTGCAATAAGTTCAAAACTGTTTTTTTGTCTTCCCAGTATCAAAGTATCAAAATTTAGATACTTCGATAATACATTGTTTAGGTAAAATACATTTTGTAGGTGTGGGGGTATGTGTGCGTGTATATACACACAGATATTCACATATTATTTTCTTTTCATTAAATTTTTGCCTAGGTCTTGATCCACAGTAACATTCTGTATGACTGATTATAAGCAATAAAATCAGTACAGAGCTCTCTGCTGTCAATACTGCAGAGTCAGAACAAAGGGGAATTACTTAGAAGTGTTTAATAAAGGGATATGTCTAACATTGATGCAACATATGCCAAAATGGAGCTACCCTGGCTTGGCTGCAGGAAGACTTTGCACTACATTGAATCCTATACTAGAAATTGATATAGTTTAGCTCCAGAACTATATTCAATCTAACTTTCTGACTCATGTCACATCTCATTAAGTAGCAGCTACATTCTTTTATGTACTTAGGCAAAAAATATTGATGACATTCTTGATCTCTCTTACTCCAATATCCCACATATATTCTTTTAACATATCATAAGAGCTCAATTTTTGAAATGTATCCCCAATCACACAACTAATCACCATCTTCACTCCTATTATTTTTATTTAAGTTCTTGCCTGCGTTGTTGCAATTGCCTTTTAACGGACTTCCTTGATTCCATCCTTACTGCTTTTGGGTCTATTCTCAATTCAGCATCTAGAGTGCATGAAACCATCCAGTAGCTTCCCACTTCATTCAGAGTAAGATCCAACATCCTTCCAATGTCTGTTAATGTCTATATGGTCTGGCCCAGTTACTTACTATCTGAATTTATTTTCTACCAATCTTCTTGCTCATTCTGCTTTGGCCCTACTGACCCTGTTATGATAGAAACACAATACTTACGGTTGTTTTTCAGAACCTTTGAACTTGCTATTTCCTCTATTGAAATGCTCTTCCCTGATGTAGATAAGTGGCTAGCCTCCTGATCTCCTAAATATATTCAAGCAAAGGAGAACCAACTGGACATAGCTCCAAGTAAAATTGCAAAAACAATCAACTAACCAACAAATACATAATATGAACATTTTGAATTTGCCTGGTATATCTGCTTGTTTTTCTTAGTACTTATTACTATTTAACATACTATTTAATTTATTTATGCATCCAGTTTATTTTTTTATTTTTTTTATTATACTTTAAGTTTTAGGGTACATGTGCACAGTGTGCAGGTTTGTTACATATGTATACATGTGCCATATTTGTGTGCTGCACTCATTAACTCGTCATTTAACATTAGGTATACCACCTAATGCTATCCCTCCCCCCTCCCCCTACCCCACAACAGGCCCCAGTGTGTGATGTTCCCCTTCCTGTGTCAATGTGTTCTCATTGTTCAATTCCCACCTATGATTGAGGACATGCGGTGTTTGGTTTTTGTCCTTGCGATAGTTTGCTGAGAATGATGGTTTCCAGCTTCATCCATGTCCCTACAAAGGGCATGAACTCATCATTTTTTATGGCTGCATAGTATTCCATGGTGTATATGTGCCACATTTCTTAATCCAGTCTGTCATTGTTGGACATTTGGATTGGTTCCATGTCTTTGCTACTGTGAATAGTGCCGCAATAAACATACGTGTGCATGTGTCTTTATAGCAGCATGATTTATAATCCTTTGGGTATATACCCAGTAATGGGATGGCTGGGTCAAATGGTATTTCTAGTTCTAGATCCCTGAGGAATCGCCACACTGACTTCCACAATGGTTGAATTAGTTTACAGTCCCACCAGCAGTGTAAAAGTGTTCCTATTTCTCCACATCCTCTCCAGCACGTGTTGTTTCCTGACTTTTTAATGATCGCCATTCTAACTGGTGTGAGATGGTATCTCATTGTGGTTTTGATTTGCATTTCTCTGATGGCCAGTGATGATGAGCATTTTTTCATGTGTCTTTTGGCTGCATAAATGTCTTCTCTTGAGAAGTTTCTGTTCATATCCTTCGCCCACTTGTTGAGCTTAGAGGCTAGGGTTTTTACAAATAATTTGGTGGGCAGGAGGCTAGGGAATGGATGCTGCTGATCAGTTGTGGATAAAATCACAGTGGTTTGGAAAATGGTCTTCATGTGCTAAGTCAGCCTCTGGGTGGGGGCCACAGGACCAGTTGAGTCATGAGTCATGTGTTCAGGCAGAGTCACTTGGTTGCCAGAATGCAAAAGTCTAAGAAACATCTCAAAAGACCAATTTTATGTTCCACAATACTGATGTTATCCATAGGAGCAATTGGAAAAGTAACAAATCGTGTGACATCTGGCACAGTAAATGATTATAGAAAGGCAAACTGCACCTACATCTTAGCAGTATTCACCCCCTTCCCATAATCCTAATCTTGTAGACTTTCATTAGTCTTACAAAGGGGACTTCAGTTCCTGAGCAAGGAGGGGCTTAATTTTAGAGAGGGACCGTTTTCATTCTTGCTTTAAAGTTAACCTATAAACTAAATTCCTCCTATGGTTAGCTAGGCCTATGCCCAGGTATTAACAAGGACAGCCAGACTGTGAGGCTAGAAACAACATGGTGTCAGCCATGCTAGAGTCCTCTTGTTATTATAATTTTGCAAAGGTGGTTTCACAATGAGTGAAAAGTTGAGTAGAAACTAACCAGACCAAGAGGATGAGAATGTTTTGAAGCAAGGGAAAGAGCGTATTAAAGGAATTGGGAAGGGGTGCATAAAATATAAGAAGAGTTCAATATATTTGGAACATAGAGAGCAAGAGGAAGATTCCAAATGAAGTTGTAGAGATATAAGTGGGGCTGGATTTTGGAAGGCCTGGAATACTATATGAATTTTAGATCTTACCTAAAATCATTGGGAAATCATTGCAGTGTTTAAAATACAAATGTAAAAATCAGTTTTCCAGTTTTGAAATATCACTATGGCAACAATTAAAGAGAGGCAAGGATGAATGAATTAAAGGGGAGAAATACTAGGTGTAAGAAAGAGTTAGCAGCTTCTATCAGTAGTAATCCAGATGAGAGGCATCAGTGGCTGCTTTAGGTTAGTGTATTAGTCCGTTCTCACATTGCTATAAAGAACTACCTGAGACTAGGTAACTTATGAAGAAAAGAGGTTTTATTGACTCACAGTTCCGTAGGCTGTATAGGAAACATGGTTGGGGAGGCCTCAGGAAACTTACAGTCATGGCAGAAGGCAAAGGGGCAGCAGGCATGTCTTACATGGCTAGAGAAGGAGGAAAGAGACCAAAAGTGGAGATGCTACACACCTTTAAACAGCTAGATTTCATGAGAACTCACTCACTGTCATAAGATTAGCAAGGGGAAAATATGTTCCCATGATCCAATCACCTTCCACCAGCCACCTCCTCCAACATTGGGGATTACAATTTGACAGGAAATTTGAGTGGAGACACAAATTAAAACCATATCAGGTAGTGTAGTGGGAATGCAGGGCCATGACCCAATTCAGGATTCCTTAGGACTAGATTACTAGGATAAAATAAGTTTAATTTTGTGCTTGTCAATTACAAGTAGAAAGTGGAGTTTTCTAACAGTTTAATATATTAATCAAATCAAATTAGAGATTAAATCAGAAACCTGAGAGGCATATGTGTAATTAATAAACAAATGCACCGTAATCAAAGGCACAAGATTATATGAAATCACTCAAGTGGAGAGTATACAGAGCAAAAATAGAAGAGGACTAAACAGAGCCCTAAAGAATACCATCAGTTAAGGGGTGGGTAGAGTAGAAGGAACCAGCAAAGGGCAGAGAGAAGGAGCAGTCCGAGTGGTAAAAGTCAAAACTATGAAAATCTGAAACACAAGGGAAAATGATGTTTAGAGGAGAGACAGTTGTGAAGATGTCTAACACTGCTGAACATTCAAGCAAATAAGGCCTGAGAAGGATCCACTTTGCTTATTAATGTAGATGTCTATAGTAGCCATGGTGCAAGCAGTTTCAGGAGAGTGATGGAGATAAGAACCAGTTGATGGTAGGTTCCTTATAGATAGAGGAAAAAGAAAATGAAAAAAGCAACTTTGGAAGAGTTAAACTGCAAGGAATCTGTTAGGGCAAAACTGAAACACAACATGCAATTAGGGAGAGTATTGCTTGTTTTGTTTTGCTTCATTAAGAGGAGAGAATCTTCAGTATATTTAAAGGCTGATGGAAAGGAGCCAGTAGAAAGAGATTAAGCATGGGGGAATGGTGATCATCAATAAATTCATATTCCTGAGAAAACAGAGATGGAATCCAGCATACTGGGGGCAAGTTCATTCCCATATGGAATGTACATTGTAGAAAGTAGGTGTGACAATGAAAAGTTGAGAGATTCCCATCTGATGGGTTCTATTTACTTTTTGTGTTGTGAGATGAAGCTAGATACTGAGGATAAAGTTCAGGAGGTGGAATGATTTGTGGAAATGGTTTGACAGTTTTCTGGTAGAGAATGGCTGTGTGAGCTGAGTAAGAAGACAAAATAGGATTTCTAGGGGCAGTGGTGAAAGATCTATGGACGTTCAAAATGTATTTATATCGTACCCCTGTCAATGTGTTGGAATGTGTTCTTAAACAGCACTAAGCCATGCTTATTTGCAGTCATGCCATGCAGGTGTGACAAAAGGAGGGCTGAGCAAGGAAGTTTAGTTCTGAGATAAACCAATACTTATCTTTGAGCATGAAATCTAATCTCATTCAGGACAGATAATACAGAGTTATAGTTAAGGAGAAAGTAGAACGGTTCATCCTTTCATTCAATAAATATTTATTGAGCAACTATTATTTTTTAGGTTTATGTATAGGGTTCAGGGCTATTTTAGTAGACTTAACAGATATGGCCTCTTCCCCATTGATCTATAAGGCCCTGTTAATATGGAAGAACTAGTGCATTGGAAATCACCGAGTGAGATTTCTAGAAGAATAGAGTTTTGAAGTTAAAGATTTTATTATGTGAAATGTGGAGTAGACCTGGTTTGTGGCCACAGTTCTAATGACTGGAGTGGAGTTGAGGAGGAGAAAAATAACTCATTGAGGGGATCACTGGGCATGATGCAGAAGCAAAAGGACCGAGCGATCCATGTGTTGCATGTGGACATGGAAGTACCTTAGATAATGACAGGATATCAGTGAAAAAAGTAAGTAAGTTTTGCAAATTGTCAATTAATGAGAGTGAGTATAATTATGAAATTGAAAAAATGATCACAAACAAAATCCAAATATAATGAGCTTCAAAGGAGTTTATGAAAGTGAGTAGAAAAGTAATGACCTACAGACAATATAGAAAATCTATCAGAACAATGAAGGCTGATGTCTCCAGATACTGAGTCTCATTTAGTATAGGAGAAAGAAGTCACCTGAGAGAACTCCAAGGGCGTAGGGTGGGAGGAAACAGAGACCATATGAGACAGTCTAGTTTTAGTTAAGGTGGGAAGATAGAAGGAACCCAGAGAAGAGAATAAAGAAGTAGAGAAATTTGCTAATCTATGTTTTAAATAGGTAATCAAAAGGCTTACCTTTTCTGGGGGATGAAAAATGAGACACTTGGCCTTCTGTGGACTTAAGAAAAACACACATGAGCGCATACACACACACACACGATATTGCTTATAGAGAAAATACATAGTCCTGCTCTTCTTTTTTCAATGGCAGCTATAAAATTTCTCAATTTGTATAAAGTAATAAATCTGTCTGATGCTTTTTTTTATTTCCTTTTTGTTTTTCATAATTGTCCCTATTTCAACAGTATCCATAATATGTTTAAAACATGTTGGGAAAGAAAAATACTGTAATAAAATTCAAAGTTCTGCATGCCCAAACTTTTTGTCTTATTTGGACAAAATCATGACCAAATGTGCCACTAGGACTATATTGTTTTGTTTTTTAAAAACATGTTTTAGAGCTCTATAAGTTCCACTTTAAAGGGACTGTGGATTTTATAATTATGTCTTATCAATTAATAATTTGGTCAGTTTCTTATACTAAAAAAATTGTGCTCAGTAGAGGAATTCTATATCAGGACCTATGGATTAAAGCAATTTAGTCAGAGATTGATGATTTAAAGGAAAATAATGTAGATAATTATGACAATTGTACACTGTTTAATGGTAGACACTAGCTTGAATGCACTACCTGCTAGTTCCATGGAATGCAACTTTTAAATGATTTGTAAAAACTATAGAATGTACCAGTATTCAAGCTGCAAATATTTTAATAGGGCAATAATGTGGCCTGTGACACATCTGATAATATGTGTCACATTATCAGATTTAACACAGAAATGAAATAACCATAGATCAAACTTTATGTATATGTATCTATGTAGACAGGTTAGGCAATTTGGGTGGGGGAACAAAATTTAAATGTACTCAAATTTGTTTAGAGCTTCCCTTTATTAAATAAATGTCCTCAGATCGCATACAAATTGTGCTGCAGAAACAAGAGGTTTTTAGTTCTTTCATAAATTTTGCATTTGCTATACTATATATCAAATAAAGTTAACTTGTTCTCAAGAGAGGATGCAGCATGCTCTCTACAAACTGGTGTTTAGGGTCTGGTCCAGAGAAATTACATTTCCTCTTATGCAAATTACTTCCATAATGATTGCATATATATTTGTGATAATCTTTGTGCATAGAGATTAGTTTTGAGAAGGGTCATTCACTTGAATTTCAGGGGATGAAATTTTGAATTTTGGAAATCGTAGACTAAACAAAGATCCTAGAATGGATTATCTAGAAGGTACTCTGAAAGCCCTTTACAAAAAATATCATAGAAACCATATCCCCATGAGATATATCTTGGATCATTGATATGAAAGTGTTAGTTAAAGACATGGAAGTTTAGAGCAGGGAAAGGACCAAAAAATAATACTTCATATCTACTTCTTAGTTTGGAACCAAGCAAGAGACAAGAATCAAACAGGTAGGTGTAGAAGCAGTTGTTTTATGGATGAAGGGTAGAACAGGCAAAATGGGCTCCCTCATACTTTGCTGTGGAATTAGACAGATATATTCTCCTAGTAGTGGATAGAAGTCTCCACAGAGGCAGGCCAGATGTCACAGGACAGATCAGAATCCTCCATCTTGCTGAAAGGTTGGTTCCAATAAAGAAAAAGAAAAAGGGCCTTTCTGGCACTGTGCCACTCCTTGTCTTAAATTTACTCCTTTCCCCATGGAAAGCAGAAAATGGAGGGTGAGGTGGTGGTAGGAGTGGTGAGGAGAGGTAGGAATGCACTTATAATGGAAGTCCCACCATGTAGAAATAGAAGGATAGAGAAACAAAATGTGCTGTAACAGGAGCAGAGGAAGTTCCTCAAGAAAAGGAAAAGCACAGATCACTTAAGGGAGAATCCCAGTGCATGTGGTTATTCAAAGGACGGGCTAGAGTCTAGCCTCTGCGAGGAGGCCGTCTTTCACACACCCACCTCTGCCTGAGACTATCACCTTTATTGCTTTCATAGCGTTCCTGCAATCAGACCTTTGAATCAGTCAAGTGTGGATCTCAGTACATAAAGTCAATTAGCACTATATTTGCAAACGATCAGTGTTAATAAAAAATGTTAGCTTTCTCTCTTATCACATTACTACGAAAAAGAATTAGCAAATGGAACTCTTGGGGAAGTGAGCTGTTTTCAGAAGGAAGAGATTTGAGGAGTTTATGATAGGAATAATAGAATGTAAGGTGAGAAAGGTGGTTCTATTTCATAAAGGGTATTCGTTACCACTCAGGGTATTTTTGTGCTTTTGTTTTCTGGGTTCTGTGTTTTTGTAATTGTCTTATGTTTGTATTACATACGCTTTTTCTGTTTTTCTTAGTAGTAGTAGTATAAAAGCAATGTAATAAGATTTTTTCTTCAGAAAGACAAATAGGACAGCCATATACATAAGGCATTGGAGTAAGGAAGAAATAGAGGAACAGGAACCAGTATAGAGAATGCCATAGGCAAGCAGTGGTGATATAGATGAATGGCAATAAGAAGAATTGAATAACATGAGGCATATAAAGATTTAAAAAAACCCCTACTGTATAGTCTATTGGATTGTCTGATTATTTCACTGAAGAATTTAGTGAGAAAAGTTTTCCAGGGTCAGAGCTGAGTTCCAAGTTACCAAAGCCTAGAACCAAGAACAATAAAGTAGGAACAATAAAGTAGGGAAGCAGGAATCTGTGGCTTAAAGGAATGTGGATGTCTGCCAGGACCACAGAGCAGGGTTGGGCAGGATGCCCATGACATTCTGTGTGTTCCCATCATTGTCCTTGAATCCCTACATTGTAATTTCCTGTTTACCTATTAATCTCTACTTCATTATTATCACCTGCTATGTGCTCACCAGATATGAATTAGACATGGCACCTGGGGACTAGAACAGTCACAGGGGCATTCAAGATGGGTGGAGAGAGTTGGAGGAAGAATATTCCAGGCAGAAGGAATGCCATGTGCAAATCCTTGTGTGTGGAAGCATGTGACATATTGTAAGACAGCAAGAATTTTAGGGAAAAAATGGAAAAGGCAGGAGGTATGGCTAGAAAGAAGGGTAAGTAGTATTGATGTTAACTTAGTGTTCTAATTGAGAGGTCTGTCAGGAATGTTCCTCTCTGCTCTCTCACTGACATCGTTATCAAGTCCTGATGGGTTCTCCTCTTTCTAGAATCTTAGTATTTCAATTTAGATCACTCTAAGGTATATGGGTTTCTCCCAGATTTTTATTTCGTACCTTAATGAAAATGTTGCTGTCTTTCTATGGTTGCAGAACAAAGAGAAATTTGATTTGCCTTTTGATATTTACAAACTGGCTTTCATGTAATAAAGCGTCCATCATTTACTGTTTTTCATCCCTCTGGAAAGTTCAGGGATGAGGATTAAGGAGGGAAAATAGACCCTTGTGGTTTTTTATTTCCAGTGAAATAAGGATGGGGGTCTGGGCTTCTGCAGAAATATTAAATCCAAATATCTCTAATTCAAATAACGCTGTAGCTTAGGTAAGCAGCAAAAGTTAGACATTTTTTAAGCAAAAATAGAATTCCATTTTAAACAAGAATCTATACAAAATATATAATTCTCAAATCAAAATTCTATTGCTTTGAGAGACAGAAAGAAGGAAAGAAAAAATCTTAACAGCAGGTTGTGTGTATATGAGTTATGTTTCATATATATCTATTTCTAACTAGTTTAAACACTTGTTAGCAGTTAATTAAGTTGAGTAAAACCATTTAGAAAGAGAGGCATTAAAATTATTTTTAGGCATTCTTCATTTTTTTCCTGCATATTTTAGAATTGCTATTGTACTATTTAATTTACAAATACTAAGTTTTGGAGTATCCTTGTAGAATAGTCTTCCATGTATAAACTTGGAATCTCCATTTCCAAGGAGATCTTTGAATCTTCATTCCCTCGCAAATGAAACTTCATTGTAATGTAATAATGTGTTTCTCAGCTTTCAGAGGAAAACAATATGATTTTTCTACATGGAATTTAATTGGTAAACTTCAGTATAATTATCCACTTCTTTCACACCTAGTTATTCTTTCTGTTTGTTTGTTTCTTGAACAATGAGTATGTTCAATTCCTGATCCAACTTTTACTGACCTGGAAGAGTTGTTATTCAACACAAATAACCCTTCGCTATAAAGAAGGAGAGAACCATGGAAGCCACTTCGCCAAATATGTACAGCCCAGTGTGAGAGAAAATAAATGTTTGTTCTCCTGTGCCTTCTTTTTTATTTGATTATTCCTGGATTTACTCAGCTAACCTTGACATGCCTTTTCCAATGGCCACACTGAACAATCTATTGTGGTTTGCAATCTTGGAATTCCTTAAATTTGGTAGAAAAGAGCTAAATGGGAAGAGAAACATCAATAGAGAGAATAAGGAGAAAGAGTATTTTGTGTATGCTGTGTTTTCTGGAAAATTTAGTCAAATGCTTCTATTAACTGAAAATATTCCCATAGTTTGACTATAATTTTGGAAAACTGCTTTTTTTCTTAGGGTACTTTTTAATTAAGAAGATGCTTTCTGTGTTTCCTTAAGAAAACAAGGGTGAGAAAGGTGGCTAATTCTAACACTACTAGCTGTGTTCTAATAGATGAAGAGTCAGAATCATTTATTCACTTATGAAATCATGCATTATTTTACACTAACTCAATCAAAATATTATTACAAGAGCTCCTGAGAAATGTCTCAGTAGCTCAATCTATACAAAATGGAAAGTAAAAATACGTGTGTCATAGGGTTAAGGTAAAGATTAATTGACAAAATACATATGATTCATAATGACTGTTGCCTGGCACAGAGCACACACTTTAAAATTTAAAACACAGAGCATAAAATTTAAAAATACACATGTCATAGGGTTAATGTGAGGACTGATTGATAAAATACATATAATTCACTATGAACATTGCCTAGCACATAGCACATACTTTTAAACACTTTTATAATTAATTTATTATACTATTATTTTATTAACACATTTAGAGGTTTAAATGCTGCAAGATTATTACATCACTTACTACAAGTGCCTTGAAAACATCGTTTTCCTGCAAACATTTTTTGACTGTGACCTTCATTAACAAATAGTTTTAAAATTGTGACCCAATGTACAGACACATATTTAACTTAAATTTTCAACAAATAAAAGCATTATTGTATATGACGCACTCTGATGTTTTTTCCTTTCTTTACCTTTCTATTCTAATATATTTGCTGTTATTTTTAAAGAACTGTCTTTGATTGACCTATTGCTTATTATCACCTATTGCTTATTATCACCAATTGAAAAAAGACTGTATTACCAGTATTCTATTTAATAAAATATAAGTCATTTTAAGACTTCAGCACCCACTGATAGGAATTGCAGTTTAAGTGACAAGAGAACATCTAGCTCTGTGTGCCTGTTTATTTACAGAAGTTTGCCAGAAGACTGAGACACAATGGGCTCTACAATCCAACTGTCATGATCATCTGGCTTCTTTAATAAAGATTGAGGTCCACTCCTTTCCTTAATCCTAAACAAAAGTTAGGATTCCACAGGCATCAGGTACATATACAATTGCTTCCTGATATACGCAATAAAGTTCGGACTTTTACTCTGAATAGGACATTTCCTTGTATTCTGTGTATACCTACTTATGCCTCCATGAGTAATCTGCTGAAAGGGCAAGACGACAGTAAATTTAGTTCTCATTCTCAGAGCATGCATGAGCAGGGAGTCTTATTTATGACAGACAGATTAGGAGTCAATTTATCTTTTTTAACTGATAGTTACTAATGTAACATGGCATATCCTAGCCAAGCTAAGAAAACCACTGGGAGAAGAAAAGATCATAAACATAAACCTTGTAAAGTGAAATTAGCTTTTATTTGTCTTTTTAACCTATTTATTCATTACTTCTAGTCCTTATCTTTTTTGAGGAATGGGAGGGAAACACAAAATGCCACAGAAGTTGAGCTTTGCATCTCTTTATCTGGCTGCTAACTGGTTTGGCAGCAATGTGCTATGCAGAACTGTGCTAATTAATGAGCCATGGCTTTGGAACTATAGATCAAGGCATCCTGTGTTTGGAAGAGTTGAGAAAATTATCTGTCCACTCAATCACTCTTTGCATATGCATGGTCACATGAAGATGCAAAATTCATCAGAGTCATGTAGAGATGTGGTACCATGGAAGTAAAAAAGACGGAGAAATTTGATGCTTATTCCTAGGCTTAGAATGTTTAATTGGAAGATACTTAAGTTCATCTAGAATCTAGTATTATTTTCTGCTCTGGGAATGAATTATACCCTTTTCTTTGACTTACATTTTAAGAAAACTTGTCAGAAAATTGATGATTTCTACATGGAGAACAGAACAGTTTCATTACTAAAATAACATATAATAGGCCACATATGTAATTTATCAACTGTTACTTGAAGGTGAGATTTGATGTTAGGATTAAGTAGAAAACACTTCTAAGTAAATAAATGTAGAATCTAAGGTTGAGGCAACAAATCTGAGATTCTGCTTACATCAAGTTCATTTGGGTCAAGCATACCTAAGATGGTCAATAGCTGGCCTCATGAGAAATGAAACTTATTACTGATATTATTGATATTTGGTGGAAAATATTTAAAGTCTAGTGCCAAGGTTAGTGACAGTGTTTGTCCTGTATCAAAATGTCGACCTTTTCCAGAGGTAAATGTTTTCAGTAAAGATTAGGTGACTTCTGTGTAATCTGTAAACTCCAAAGCAAAATGGCAGTTTCTGTGATAAGAGAGGAAAAGTTACATGTTCCTTTCCCTGCCATATGATTACATATTTATTCCTTCAAGCCTAAACTCAAACCAATGGTGAATAATCTCTACCTATAGTACTCGACTGTGGAATGTAATATGAGTGTTTATTACACAGGATCAGCCCATCACCCAGAAAAGTAGGGTATAGTCAGTGGACCTGTAATTTTGCATCATGCTGTCATCATTTTCTTTGGGTAAATTTATGGTTTGTACTAGCCCAAGTAATCAGCTGGAGGATAACTTGGAAACATATACCATAGACAGAAGTCTAGTTTTTTCCTATTCATATTTGCATAGTCTCTTTCCTGAGGGCTTCTTTTGAACATTTCTTTTCACTTGATGACTTCTTAGCTGGGAGGAAGGTTTCAGCTGAGTGTTTTTGTTTCTTTTTGTTCTGTACCACCTAGAGGACGATACCCATAGGCTATTTCTGGTGACAAAATGGAGAAATCCAAATAGGAGAAATCTGAATTAAATAAGTGATCCCCTAAAACATGCTTGTGAGGCTTTTATTTATATGGATGCAAAGATGGTAAGTAACCAGTCCTTATCTCAACTGTGATGTTTACAGACTAACTGGCCTTTGGCCATACTTCTCTTGTGCAGCATGGTTACCCATAGATGAAACTGAAGTACAACTGAGGTGTGTGTTTTCTATGAAGTTACATACTTCTGCCAGTTCTCACTGGGAAGTAACCAGTTGAAATTTTTCCCCTAGAGAAAACATTGCCATGCTTAGTACCTAAATTGTACCAAGTGTTATAGGTTCACCTTCATCATCTCATGTAATCCCTATAACAATTTTATCTGATAGCTGATGCCAGTTTCCTGATGAGGAAATTGAGGATGTTAAATACATAAAATTGCAAGTGTGGATTTATACATAAAGAAAAATAAATGTAGGAATAGAGAAATTTAATTCGTCAGCAGATCAATATCAGATTAAGGTTAAAACAGCATTTCAGAAACTTAACTTGGGGGATAGGAATGCCATGTTAACTTGGGGGCATTGACACAACAAATAATCGGCAGAGCCTAGATTTTAACTTGGGCCTCTGTGACCCCAAGAAAGGACATTTCCTGCTCTCCAACAAGCTCCTTCATTCCTAGCACATGGAATATATAATAAAGGACAAAACCTATGACTTGAAATGACTCTGGCACAAAAGTATCAGTTCCTTGCCTGTGTGTTTAACTAAATGTATAAAGCACATTTTCATTTCTGATTAATTTATATTACTTCAACTTTCCCAGTACTTTTTAGTGGTCCTTGGAAAATAAAAGAAGACACTATCAGGAATATCCCTAAGCTATATCTACAAAGGACATAATATGCATTTTCCTTCTTTGCTCACTCAAAACTATTTAATAGACACATTATTTAATAGATGCACCTTAAAATCATTTAATGCATATATTTTGTTGGCTCTCTTCAGACCTTTTATTGTATATATTATTTTATCAAATAGGGTAGCAAATACAATTATCATTTGAAAAGCAAGCAGGAGTAATTAGATCCTGGAACTTACTCAAATTCAACTCTATATTATCCTCTTCTTACATTTTGATGTAAGCTGCTGCTGATCTAAAGTACATGATAGTCTGTAAATAGGGGCATGTAACAAACAGAATGTTAAAAATTCAAAAATTTTTTTGGTTTCTTGGATAAAATAATAAAGAACTTCTCTTCCTCAGAGCATTTTGCAAACTTCAATCAATCATGCTTTCCCGAGAAGTAGGTCAGCATGCAGAGTCCCTCTGCATTAGAACTCAAGAAGTGCTTGTTAATTCTGCATGCAAGAATCCAGCAGGGGATATATACCCTGGCTTTTATGGCTACTCTCAAATAATTCTGGCCTCTACTTCCTTGGGACTTTCAGGTTACAAATTTTGCAGCATGTTTTTGCAAAGGAAGATTTATATTATCTCTTGCTACATTTTATTTCTGAGACTTAGCTTTGATGAGTGGATTGAACAAAATCAGAGTTATTGGGAATCTAACTCAGGTTGCCCAAGGGGTCTGAAACAAATGTGAGTTACAGGAAGTACATGTGTTTAGAGAAGTCACTGAGCAATAGCTCTAATTTTCTTTTCTTTTTTTTTTTCTTGTAAAGTGTGTTTAATTTATCCTTGATGCACTGATTCTCAACGCTTTTTCCCTGGCCCACAAGCACCAGTACCATTTAAGAACTTGTTAAAAATGCAGATTCTTAGGCTTCACCCTATACTTACTGAAACCACTGCTTTAATGCATATAACAGAATCCTCATTTTTTAAAAAAAAATAGCATTTATTCTATCATGTGTGTTTCCAATAAAATCAGATTGTAAAAATCAGTATTAAAAATTCACAAGATTCTTGAGATAATGACATTAAAGAAGTAGGTAGTAGCCATACATTTGATCCAACCTTTTAAGAGTTAGCAGTCAGCAAGTCTGCATACATGAAGTTGTGTGCAAGCAGGAATGCATGTTTGCACTGATCCCATTTGGAAGCCAGATTACTTTCTGCTTTTGTCTCAAATGGAAAGATAGCAGGCTTTAACTGGCAGGAATTTCTACATTTCTTGACAAACAAACTTGCTGTATTCTCTGTGGCTTCCTAGTCATGATTTACCTTCTAAATATAAGTATTTATTTTTCTGTTGATAAAGAGACCATTTTCTCTAATTAATTTTCAAGCACTGGCTTCTTCTAGGTGTTTCATATGCCATAATCAAAGTTAAGTTAAACGACTACATATGTGTCTGTTAAGGCCTTACTGTATTTTTTAAAATAGTGTATCAGGTATTGACTGAACTATACACCAAAAGAGACAGCAGTTGGAGATGGGTAGAGAAGGGATTCCTGGTTCCTTCCATTATCTCCATGAGTTATGGCCACAGAAGCAAACCTGATTCATAAGTGATTCAACTCACCATAACTCATTTACCAGGCCAAATTATGAGACTGGTAAGTTAGAAAGCATAGCAGCCCTGACACTCAGTGGTGTGTAAATCATGCCAGTAGATTTTTATTATCTCAGGCTGATCTGAGTATAGTAGGGTATTTCTTGGTATAAATTCATGTGCTTAAGAGAATTAATCACTTAAGGGATATCCATTGGGTACCTACTAGTTAGAAGGCACTATGGGGAATATCAAGATAAATGTTGTATTGAATGTATGCAGCATGAGCAGAGAGCTCACAACAAAGCCAGACCCTAAATATTCAGAAAAAACTGTTAAGAAACTCGATAGCCTTGTCTTGTTCATAGCTTAGCTCAGATTATACTAGTGATTTACATAAGAGCAGGATTATATTTTATTCACTTTTATTTTTTCAGTTTCCAGTGAGTCATGTTTCAAAATAAATCAAGGTTATTCAATGTCTTCCCTTTTCTAAATTTTCCTTATAATTATTTTCTAAACCACTCCTGTGGCATTGACCGTATAGTGCTATAATGTGTATTATATTTCCTATGTTGATATGCCTTATTTGCCCATGTACAGTGTCTAAACATTTGGTAGTCACATTAAATTTTACTCTTTACATCTAAATTCTTTAAGGACTTAATATTGGTCTATAATAACTATTTGATAATAATTGTGAAAATAGCATACTAGAATTTGGCATATTGGATCATAATACAAGAAATGAGACATAGCAGAGCATTATCAGCTGAATGGTCCAAAACTTTTGAATTAAGAGAAGGCAGACACCCTTGAGCTAGAGTGAGTGGAGAAAATAATGTCATAGCAATTCAGAGCTAGGATGGAATTTAAAGATAATCTACTCAAAAATTTACATGTTACAGCAGAGAAAACCTAATTCCTGAAAGATTAAGTGATTTATTTTCAAGGTCATACAATTTTATGTTGACTTGTACTTTGTTCTCTCAAGTTGCTAATTTTCTATTCATTTTATTAGAAGTTCTTTGTGCAGAGATGTTGTTCTTTTGGCAAATATATTAAAAAGCAAGCAATAAATAATTATGCTTTCTACTCATTGATGGTTATTTTGTTTTACAAACATATGGAAACTTTCTCAAACCTTTGAAAAGCATGAACAAAATCCATTTTATATTTTTTAAAAACTAATTATATTTTTAAATACCTATAATTATAAAGTTGTTACTGATTTATGACAAGTAATTCTACATGAATTAAAGGAATAATTATAAAAGTTTAACATTATTAAAATATAAACCTTCTCTCTACATTTTATCTGCAATACATAAAATATTTGCTTAGCTAGCTTTAACTCTAGGCTTTAAGCTGGGTATTTTGAAGATTAATAACGCATGAGTAGGGAGAGAAGCCAGGATGCTCTTCAGGTTAGAGAAGTTGAGTGCAAAAGACTATTAAGGGACAAAATTGCAAGGAATATTTGGTTTGACATGTTAGTGTTCCTCAGCTGACTCATTGGCATATTTTGTAAGGTTTAAGAAATGGACAGCAAAGAGATAAGAGAT
The DNA here is from genome assembly GCF_000001405.40 of Homo sapiens. Lineage (NCBI taxonomy): Eukaryota > Metazoa > Chordata > Mammalia > Primates > Hominidae > Homo > Homo sapiens. The sequence goes on along the minus strand of NC_000007.14, from coordinate 11,707,922 downwards.
GCATATTCAAACTTTTGACAGTGTGTTAAACAATCAAAAAAAAAGAAAGTAGAAAAGATAGAGATCCTTGAATAAAATTGTTTGTTTGTATAAGCTTCTTTCACTTTCCAGAGTTATTTTGGCTCAAGCTGAATGAATTTCAAAGGAATATCACATAAGCATTGAAGGATGCAGATATGGAAACGAGAGTGTACTGCACACTGCTGAAGGCTTTAGAACACATTCCTTTGGGTCTTGAAGCTGCTGGTTTGGATGTGCATTTTATGTTAATTAAAAATAAAAATAAGTTTTCTCTCCTGTCTGGGGAGGATCTTAGACTCTCTGATGGTTTTGCCTGCCAGGCACACACATCCAAGGTTTTGCAGAGATTATAATGATAGAATGTATTGATTTTAGCTAACAAATGGCAAAACAAAAGTCAGCTGGGGCTCCCCTTAACAATAAATGCTCAGGGTTTTCCATGATTCCTAAATCCAACAGAGTTATATATACAGGTTCAGCAAGCAACCAACACACTTGGCATACTAGGCAGGATGCCATGGTAAACAGAAGATCTGTAAAAAATTAATAGCTCCATAACTGAGAGGCAGCAATCAAACCAGAAGGGCAAAAATATCTTGCAAAGACGAATACTATGATTACCTTCCCACTGTGACTGCTGTGATTTACAGCTACTTGGGATTAAATTTAAAGAAAAGCAATGGAAGGAATAAGAGATATCACTGGTATTATGGCTAAAGAAGAGAATTCAGAGGCCTACTTGAAAGTGGTTGCTTTGCACTCAGGGAGAGAAAGGAATATCTCATTTTCTAAATTCAATATGAGCCCTTAGTTTAATGGTGAAATCATTTTGGAAACTCATTCCTTTTTATATTTAAGCCAGTTGAATATTTTGTGGAAAAAGTTTTCTCTAGACTACTCCTTAGTTTACCTCTTCAGTTCATGTTTTTAAAAAGAAAGAAGGAAAAATTACATCAGTGATAATACAAATAACAAGCTGAAAAACCCTGAATCAGAGCTGAGTGGATTGTTTGGTATCTGCAGAGTTCAGATAATGACAAGAAGATGACTAATGACTCATTTGCCGATAAGTCATTCATTCTTTAGACTCTGATAAATGTACTTTAATGATTTTCTGTTAAGCATGGGCTTAACCTTTGAAAGTGATTAGAACACATTTCCTCTATTTTCTATTAGTTCAACTGGTTTGTGGATATACCATGATTTAAGAAGCAAATGTGTTCTTGCTAGGCAGTTGATAATTTCTAAAAAAAAAAAAAAAAAAAAAAAAAGCACCTTGTTAAAATTTTTAGTCAATTTTACAAACTAAGTGGTGGCAAATTATATAAAGAGTAATCTAGACTAACAGATTATAAGTATAGATGTTACTAAAGACCACAAACACACGTGTCTTGCCTTAATAGACTAGCCTTGTGAACAAAAGTAGATTGTGTAGCTGCCAAACCATAAATGATATTTTTGAAAATGAACACTTATTTTTCTTTACTTTCTGAGTTTCTTAAGACTCATCATGTTTTTTTGCCACTTGCAAATTCAATGTGTATTTCCTTGACATAGTCATTTGCATGTGAATGAAAATAGTACTTAGTTTTATAAATGTGTAGTGTGCACTCACAGACAAGACCACAGCACTTGGGTTGACATGGGACAATACACATGTGCTCTAGCTGTATCAATAAGAGATATGTGTACAAACTACAAAATGGTGCCTTTGTAGCAGCACATATTAATGTAAGTATGATGTCTGACATTACAACATTGAGATATTCTCTACATGGAATAGCAAACTTTCTGGAATAAATTTTCAAGTGTAAAATTATTGTAATTCTGAAACATTTTATAAGAACCAGACGAATGTGGCTTCACAGTATATTAGCAAAAGTATAATCCAAATCATTTGTGTAGCATAGAGACTATAACAGAAATGCTATTATTTATAATTATATGAATTTATTATTGTTATAACATATTATATGCTCACTGATTTTATTCAAACAACCTACATTAAGGGCTAACTGGAAGCCTTCTTTGTGATAGGTGTTGAGACACTGAATAACATCAATATTGGAACAATATGGAAAATAGAATTTTTGAAACATGAAAGATTTTGGCAATCTCTAATACACCTATGAGCTAATTTACCAACATTGATTTGCAATGGGTTGTGATACTCTAAAAACATTTTCCCCTGCTAAAGAATCGTTTGCCCACTAAACCAAGTTAGGTGAAGTATAGCTAAAATATAGTACAAATTTTATTGTAACACCTAAAAACTGCTCTTTGGTAAAAATAATCCTACTTCCCTCCACCTCCAACTTGAGAACTCCCCTGTCCTTTTGTGTGGCAGGTGTGAAATGTGGTATAGGCTGCAATAGGCTGACAGAAAGGAGAGTGAAGAGCAAATAGAAGACACAGAGAAATATGATTCCTAGAATCACTCTGACACCCAATGAAAGTGGCTATTACTGAGTCAACTTCCAGAAGTAGAAGATGCAACTAGGCCTTGCTTATTTAAATGGGATAATGCATTTACATCAAATTATTGCAATTTATAATAGGCATGTTTTGAGTTTTGTATATTATATTTCCTTACCTAGGTAACTTACTCTTGCTTTTAAGTTATTTAACTGTTTCTGGGACTCTCTTTAAGCAAATACAATTATAATGAGGCTTTTTATTAAATTTAGTGCATTACATCTTGAGGTTTAAAGGTCAAATTCCTGATATTTGAAACAATGTTCTCAAATTGTTAGTTTAACAATGACAGATACTTTCAATTATATGCCATAATCCAACAGCACTTTTATTCTTCCTCTCTCTATATAAGTAATTGATCACTTACTAATATCAGTGATAGTATTTGGAGTATATATTTTTAAAAGACACTTAGTTCTGACGTGTCAACTGATGATTATCATTTCAAATATGGTGCAGCCATTAAACATGGATTAGATGAAGCAACCACTGATGGTACACTTATTTTTGGAGACCTAGTTTAAATGATGTATGTTAAATTATTTGATTTTTTATGGTGCCACATCATACGATTCTCAAACCACCACACAACTTGGCAAATTATGCCCTAAAATGTCTCAGAAGCTAGAGAGGAATAGTTTCTTAACTTTTTCTTGTCACAATCCATAAATAGACTGTAAGCTATGGGCAGTTTTGGGGGAGAAGAAGTAAATCTATACATTCACATGGAATTCGTGGACCCCAGGTTAGCCTCAGGTTACGAACTTCACTCTAGTGAATAAGATGAATAAGATCAATAGAAATATTCTCCAAAGGTCCCTTGGCAAAAATGCTCCTTTATGAAACACTTCTATAGCTACTGCCCAGCACTGAACATATTCACACAGACTCCAAAGAGTCTCTGGCTCTTTCCTGCTTCTTCTCCTTGCCCACCAGAGGAATTCAATAGGAGAGATACTGTTTTAAGATGGTATTCCACCTGTATCCCTTTTCCCCATAGGGTTATGTCACTTAAATTATACCTTCTACATGACTCAGGAAGAAAACATTATAATTCCATCAAAGTAAGAAATATTTCAGTATATATACCAAAGTATATTATTATCTATTATGTTTTAATAGTATTTTAAATCTTTTTCATCTCCCTATTCAATATGAAAATGCTGATGATTTTGGATTTCAGGCAGCCTTGTAATAGGAGTAATGGTGTACTGTGATTCATTGCTTGTAGTTTTGCTTTAAAGTTTGATTGAAATTTCAAATAACTTGTTGTAGGTAGAAACTATCTTTTTCCCACTTGTATTAAAGAGCTCTAATGAGAACTTTCGATGCTTTGTTCCTTTCAATTAAATACTTACTCTGTGTATAGCATTAGTATAAAGATTGGTGTATGCTTCAAAGATACCACTAATTAAGTGATAATCTAATGTATTCTGAAACCTATTTTGTTTTCAACTCAAGTCTGTGTCTGTTGCCAATTATACCCCAATTAATTCCAGTTTCAGTGTGAGAAATTCTTTTTCCTTCTTCACTGTACTAGATAGAGGGGATGTCTTTAACTGAAGCTTCTCTGATCTTCTAGCTTTGCTCCTCTTTCAAAAATGATAAGCTATATGAAGCATGTTAATTTGCTCAGTGAATTTCAATAGGTTCTATTGTCCATCCAAGTCTATTTGATCAGCGCATTAGAAATATATAATGGGTTTATGTTAAATCAAAAGAAAAGAGAAGGTCAAAGTACAGTCAGACACCACATTGTACATTTTAATTTTAATATTCTCTCAACAAAAATGTATAAAATGCCAGCTACATTAAGATATTGTGCCAGGCATTACACTACTGTATAGCAGTAGATTTTGTAAAAGTTTAAGAAATGCAAATATCTTAAGATAAAGACAAATATTAATTCCAGAAGAATAGCAATTTCTGAATTGTGATTAATGAGAGAGGAAATACAATGACAAAGCTATGACATTGGATCTATACTGACTCAAGTTTGAATTCTGATGCTGCCACTTATTGGGTAGGATCTGAAATAAAATCTCTGATCCTCAGATTCCCAAACTGCAAAGAAGAAATAATAAATAACAAGCACAGTTTGTGTGTGTGTGTTCATTTTAGGCCATTTTTGATACTTTGCAGATGTGTTCCTACGTCTGTTATTAGGCAAATTAAGACAGTTTGGGAAAAAAAATATTTTCTAGCCTCTTCAACACCAGAGTTTGAACGCTGCCAGGAAGTTTGAATGGTTGTGTGCAACAACACACGTGCTGGCTCACTCGAGAAGGCTGAAACTGAAGCAAGAGCCATTTAGAGAACTTGACCTTGCCTAGAGAAAATGACTAGCTGAGTGTGTATTTTCTCAAAGAAGAGCCACTTAGCTTTGAGCATGTTGCCTCAGAGAGTTGTTTAAAAGAGTTTCTTCTTCAGAGAGTTTCCAGAAGACTGAGCAAAGACATGATTATAAGTTTCTGTCTTAGAAAGCTAAAATAATTATACCAAGCTAGTCTAGCACAAGAAGCAGGAAGAAGTCTGAGGAAGTAAGTGATGTCAGTAACCATAATATTACTACTAATAATCATAGTTAATATCTATTGAATACTTAGCAGGAGTCAGGTAGTGTTCTAAATACATACAATACTTTGATACTCACAAAGATAGGTACTCATATTATCCTCATTTAAGGATGAAAGAACTGACACACAAATAATTATTTAATTTGCTCAGGTAGAATTCTAAAATGACTCCCCAAGATTCCCAGCTCTCATTCAACCAAACAGTAATGTAGCTGCTGCTGTGAGCGGACTTTTGTAGAAACAATTAAAACTGCAATTCAATTGACCTAAGACCTTAAGATTATCCAGATCGGCCTGCCCAGAAACATCATATGAGCTCTTTAAAGCAAGAAACTTTTCTCAGGCTGGTGGCAGAAAAGGATATCAGAAATTTAAACCATGAGAAGGATTTCAGGTGTTATTCCTGGCTTGACATGGAGGAAATCACTGGAAAAGACCAGAGGGTTACCCCCTACTGACAAACAGCAAGAATACAGAAACCACAGTCATGCTGTAACAAGGACCTTGATGCTGTCGACAATTTGAATGAGCTTGGTCGTGGATTTTTCGCCAGACCTTTCAGACAACTACTCAATCCAACCAGTGCTTTGATTTCAACCCTGTGACACCCTGAGCAGAGAGAACCCAGCCACATCATACCAGACTCTGGTTTTAGAAGTATGAACTAATAAATGGGTGCTGTTTTAACCCTTTTTTCTGGTGATCTGTTAAACAGCAATAGAAAACTAAATACAGTCATACGCTTTCTGAGTGCACATGCTCCTAACTGCTAAGCTCTATGGAAGTAGAAGATAGACTAAGACACCGGAAACAGACCTCACACCCATGAAATACACTGGGACTGTGGTCAGAGTTGAGGCCTGGCAACAAGGTACACCCAATTGCTTGACATGAGACATCATCTACAGGGGAAAAAGTGTGCTCAGGCATATTCCTGTCCTAGGAAAGAGGGGAGGAAAGAGAGTTAGAGAGGTAGAGAGACTGATTGAGAAGCTGGATTTTGTGATAGCCCATTTTTCATCACATGAGGCAACTTTAGGGAAGGTTTACAGTCATTTGAGAAGTAGATTTAAAAATATATAAACATGTCAGCTAGGGCTTTGTAACTTAAAATGTGGCTCAAGGATCAACATCTACATCTCCTGGGCAGTTGTTAGAAATGCTAAATGTCAGTTTCTGTCCTAGACCTTATAAATTAGAATCTGCATTTTAACAAGACCCCAGGTTATTTATTTGAACACTAAATTTTGAAAAGCACTAAGCTAGAAAAAAAACACAGTTTTTGCATAACGATCAGTTTCCAAGCAGAATGTAGCTAAGGCAAAAAGATCTCAGAATTTTAAATATGTTTATTTATTTTCTATTTTTGAATATTCTTTTAATAAATTATAGTGAAGTATATGGCTTAGAAAAGGTACACAAAAATTCAAGGATGGCACAAGTGGATTGCAGAACTAAGAAGGAAAATCATATTTACAAAGAGCTTCAGTCTTCAAATGGTTTTCACATCGTTAAAGAAAGATCTACATATTGGAAATATGTGTGTTGTTTCAAATGAATTGTATATAAAATGAATTGTATATAAAAGCTCTGATAATGGATTTACTATATGCTGCATAGTCTGATCTGCCTTGGTGTGCAACATCCCTCATAAAACACACACACACACACTTGTGTTTTTTACTTGTTTGAATATTGTGCACATCTTGAAAGATGCATCTAGAGCTCTAAAAAAATTATATTACATGTTGAAATTTTAAAGCAAATCTCAGTATTTTAAATCATGAAAACTTATTTTTAAAAGTAGTCGGAATTACAAATAGCATTTTCTTTTAAACTAGTATACAAAGAAGGAGGATAGTTTTTGTTTTCTTGTAAAATAAAATTAATAAAATTAAATATCTCATTGCTTTAAAGAGGACTTCCCAAATTACCTATTCAAAGATATACATTTAAATACAGATAGTTCTTTAAAATTAACAATTTTTTTTGCCTTATGAAGCTGGAATTACATGGAGATGAAATTTATTATTTTTTATTGGGCTGTGGAGCGGTCATGAATACAGGAATAACTTATTAGATAGATAAGGCAATAAGAGCAAGAGCAATAAATTCCCGAACTCAACAATCCTGACATATGATTTTAATTAAGATCAAAACAAATTGTTACAATTTTTAGACATGATTGTGAGAGATGATTTAGTTCTTCATCTACTTTCAGAAGGGACTATATGTAAATGAACAAAACATGAAAACACTCCAACTACAATTTTATCCATAATTTTCAATGAAGATTTTACATGTAAAGATCCTGTCATTTTGTTATATATTAAGTATTTTTTTCACTGGAGTCAATATATTTATTAATTGTTCATATGAGTTAATAATTTTTGCATTAGACTTGAATATCTTTTTTCTTATTAAGTGGATATTTTTAGGAGGGAAAAATAGAATTACGTAAATGTCAACAACTTTTCAAAAGTTATAACCTTTCAAGTATCATATGGTGGGATGTATTTGAGATGAGTGCCCTTAACTACGTTATTGTACTATTATTGTAGAGTAAAAGTGTACATTATTTAGTTAATTTTCCTCCTTTTATCCCCTGAGTTGGAAGCCTGCTAGGAATTTATCTAACAAGAGGTATCTATTTAACCTGATCTTCAGCCATAAAAGTCCACCTGCAGATAAAGTCCCGTAGCTTTAGCATGTTGTATGCTTTGTCGTTTTTAGAGAGTAATTACTTTATGAAAATAGTAAATCTTTAATAATTACAAACAATGAAAATAAATATAACTGTATATACAATTTTAAACTAATACTATTACCAAATAACTTTAAGGATATTCTTCTTACACACTATTCTGATTCTGACTCTGCTTTTAAGTAAGTGAAAAGATTTCATTTTAGATTTCGTCCAGGGTAAGACAAGACGTACTGGGACAGAGAAACCATCTATGTGTACACTTTCAGTTCCTTGCCCTGACATTTCCATCCATGCAAATTATAGTCGCTTTATAGCACACTCTACTTACATGAGATTCAATAAGTCGGATATGTGATAGCTGTCACACTTCAGTTATGTAGGTGGAAAGCCGAAGATTTCACCCTGGAGAAGTGCTGCTATTAAATAGCAAAATTGGCATGTTCTATAATTGTGTGAGTTTGAAGACAACTTAAAAAATGTATATGCAACATTTATTTATTTATTTAGGACACATTTTCATCACCATAATTAACTTTCAGGGTAACTCGTGCTCAATTTTAAAGAATGATTTCTGCATTATGCTTGTTTTACTTATGATTTATGTTATATTTTGAGTGTATAGAACTAAGCATTTAGTTGTCATAAAATCAGAAAACCCCAAACAAACTGATAAGAAAATTAATAATCAATGCTAATAAATAGCTGGATACCCTGAAAGATACAAAGCTTAAATTAGTACTTTTTACTACAAAGGCATTTTCTAGTAAGATTTTCCTAGTTTTATGAAGGAGAAGAGATAAAAAGTGTCATATAAATTGGAGCAATTCTAGGACAATAGGGTCTTAAATTTTACTTTAAAATACATTTATATACTTCATTTTCTCTTCTTTGTGGCCCTGGGTCATAGTTTTTTTAAAAATGAAGAAAAGACACTGCTTTTCAAAGAATGAGTCTGTAGTATTTAAATTGAAGCTGAAATTCCGTGCCTCAAGGTCAACATCTAACTAAACTGAACATAGAAGTCACACTATCTTATTTGTATGAGGGTGGTTCATTTATTTCCTTACAAAAAAAGTGCTGTATTTGGACTATTCTGGCTCTTAATTAGTTATCGGCCTCTTGGCAATGTTAAAGTACCTTGGCATTGTGAATGCAAAAAAAAAAAAAAAAATCAGTGACATTTCAAGGCACCTACATGCAAATATGCTTATATTTTAAATCATTTTTATAAAGAATAAGAAATAAAGTTATGCTACACAGCTGATCCAAAACCTGATCTGATTCTCCACTTCTACGTAACTATTTAAAATGATGAGAACTGTTAGTTTCTATAATTAACATCGCTCTCCTTTCACATTACCATTTCTGAAATCAGCAAATTCCCTAATCTCTGTACTTCCTTTCAATGTTGGATGATTTCCAATTTGAAGTGTTGTTTTTAACCTAAGTAGAATCAGCCCAGAACAGCTCTGTGATACTTTGAGGAATAAAGGTGTCTTTGGAGAGAGAACTTCAAGTGCAAATTAACTTGAAATAATTTAACCTGAGTGTGGAATAATTTGCAGTCTTTCTTCTGTGCAGCTGTGGGAATTGCTTCTGTAGGCCCAGTTGGGGAAGTTGCCTGGCTACTTGCAATTTTGTCACATCTGTCAGCTGTAGCTAAATGGCAAATATAGTAAGAGGTAACATTACATAGATTTGGGACATTCCCTAGAGGGTCTTGTCTCCTTGCAGCAGTGAATAAATTATATGAAAGCTGAAATGAAATACCGTATTGTATTTGCCAACTCATGCAATTTGAAAGAATGAAAAAAAAAACTTCACTGCTTAGATTCACTATTTAAATTCTCCACAACCAACAAGCTCCTATCTACCACGATCATATTTTCTGATCCAAAAATCAGACCTGTGTTATCTGTGGCAGGTTGTATTCTTTTCTGATCTGTAAATTTTTATGAAACTATTTTACAAAGAAATAATCGTATCATATTTAGATACATACATACATTCAACAAATTGCCATTTTGGAAGTAATGAAATTGTACAGAATCAGACATGCCAGCAGATCCACAATATTAAGCGTCAGAGTCTATAGAAGGCTAATATAATGATTATAATTATACAGTAAAAACAGTCAACAGCTTCCAGATCAACTGGGGCATTCGTATGACTAACATATAGTTGAAGAACCAAGTATCAGTCACTTGAGCAGTTTATTAAAAGACGGCAATGTACAGTGCCTATTTAATTTAATTTGTATTTAATTGGTATTGTTTTTAATGGAGGAAATTTGTTCAGTTTCTAGGAAGGTGCCTAAGGATGGAAACTGCGTGACATTCAGTATGGACAGGTTCTTCTTATTGGACAGGTTCTTGCATTTTCTGCACGTAGATCTTTAACTAGGTAGGAGGTTAATAATAACACTTGCTTCTCTCATCATGAAGAGTTTTTCTGAGGATAAATGAGAAGACATTTGAAAACAATTTATAAACTATAAAATATCAATGATTATTATTATCTTTTGGAGTCTAATAAACAGCTCAAGAACAAGAATTCTAGATGCCTCCTGCTTGGGTCTTGATATAAAATGTTTATCAATATAATCTCTCATATTTGTCTTGATACTCATTCAAGAAATATTTACTCCATATTAAATATCATACAAAATACTATGTAGCACATAAAATTGTGTATGTAAGTCATCAGTAGCATGAGGAAGTTTTTAGTTGTAAAATATGAAACCACATAAAAGCATGAAAAATTATTACAGAGTTAAAAATAAATAAGAATTGTTTTGTGAAGACGTCTGGGCATGAGTTAAGCCTTACAGAGTTAATGGGTAGTTGACAGTCTGAGTAAAGTGGAGAGGTTATTCCAGGTATGGAAAATGTAATGCAATGAGGTTTTGGAGGATTTTAGGCCAAAGACAGGTTGGCCAATGGCAAATAATCAATTAAATTTAAACATGGGAAAACATTAAGTTATATATTAAAACAATGAGAATTATAATATTTACTTGGAGCTCATATGTTGAAAGAACCATAAATCTTACATTAGGGAAAGTCATCAAAATCGTTATTAAATTCAAGGAGATAGCAATCAATTTGGCCTGGCCAAATTCAAAGATATTGAATCCATTGCCACTATTTAAAGGTTTGATATTCTCCACAGAATTCCTATTTCCAGTCTTCTTGAGCTTCTAATTGAAACTATAATAGTGGATCCATATTCTCTCATGGCCATAATCAGTTAGAACTGAACTCATGTTTCATTATAGATATGTTCTTTCTATATTACATTACTACTTACTCTATTCAGTCATTTATGCTGCATGCCTATAAGTATACGGGTTTGAAAACCCTGCCCTGTAAGATACAGGAACACCCTGGTTTGACATCCATAAATTAAAAATTTACTTTCCCAGGTAGCCCCATCATGTTTTAAAACATGTTTTATGTCCCTTGTAAGTTGTATTTCTAGGTATTTTATTCTCTCTGTAGCAACTGTGAATGGGAGTTCACTCATGATTTGGCGGGGCCTGTCGGGGGGAGGGGGATAGGCGAGGGAGAGCATTATGACAAATACCTAATCCATGCAGGGCTTAAAACCTAGATGATGGGTTGAGAGGTGCAGCAAACCACCATGGCACATGTATACCTATGCAACAAACCTGCACTTTCTGCACATGTATCCCAGAACTTAAAGTAAAATAAAACAAACAAACAAAAATTTTAAGAGTTCTTTATAATGAATTAGAATTGACTTCCTTATATCTTCCAGCTATATTTTTGTCCTAAATATGCTTAATGAAGTCACACAAGAAGTGTGCTATTTTTTTCTATAGTAAACCTTTAAAACCACATATTATCCATTGGCAATTTTACTCTCATTTATGGGTTTAATTTCCAACCATGTTGCCAATCCATTATTTCCCATTGCCTGCAGAACATTCATAGAGCTTTGCCCTACACAGTAATCCCAATACAATGTGTCTATTTTGTGACTAGACTCAACATCCTCCTCACCAAACCAGGTTTTACTGTGTTTCTTAGCCTAGAATCTCACCTCAGCATTCCCCAAATAACTCAGTGTAGAAATCTAGAAGTCTTCCTAAACTCCTCATATTATATCACAATCTTTACACATTTAGCAAATACCAAAACTACACTTAAACTCATTTCAGTCCTTCATTATCATTTACCATGGGCCACTGCAATAGCCTCCTATCTCCCTAGGCCACCCTAAGTCACGTCCGCTTCAATCTTTTATTTATATTGCTTCCAGTGGTTTTCTCTAAAATGTGGATTTCTTCATGTTACCTCACCAAATTGAAAAATGTCATTGGTTTATCACCATATTCAAGATGAAGCCCAAACTATTTAGCTTGTCTTTCAGAATCTGTTTCCACCTACTTTTCAGTATCACTTACCACAATGTCCTAACCTACTATCTTTGGACCAATTACTCCGTTTAGTTTTCCATATTATCTGTCAATAAATTACTCTCCCTTCATCTTTTCTCATTTGACAGTTTAATTTCCTCAGGTCCTATAATATGAGTTCAGTTCATACTTCATTGGTCAGGCCATTCTGTTTCACCCCAATCAAGACAGATTAGATACTCAATTTTGTCTTTTCACAGCACCTTATTGCATAAAACTGACACTATATGGAAGTCAATATTTGCTTGTTTTTCTTTCTCAATACTAAGTAGGCTATTGAGGATCCAGATTATATCTTGATAATTTTTTGAAGCCTAGGATCTGGCATAGAGAGTGATGCATGTTTGGTGCTCATTAAATGAAAATTGGATAAATGAATCAATAACCAGTTTTAGGTTAAACACTCTCAGGTTTTAATACATTCTAGACTCTCGATATCCTAACTATTCTTGGTATACTATGTTTTTGCCAATACTGTCCTTTAGTTAAAGTGTATTATGGTCAGCAAGAGATGAACAGGAGACATAATTCTGTGATGAAAGATCTATGAAACTTAAAGTCAGATATAGCTGGTTTAATATCTCATTTCATTCAAATGTTACCTATGAGATTATGAGAAATTTACTCACTTTACTGGGTCTTGGTTTTCTCATTGTAAAACATGAAGAATAATATCTGGCTGCAGGATTATTGCTGAGATTAAATGAGACAGTCTAGGTAAGAATTCTGCCATGTAGCAAGTTAATATTCAATTCTTTACCTCAGGCTTCTATTCTAGACTCATCACATCATTACAATATGAAAGAGATATGCTACGTTTATGTGGAATTGTCTTCCAAATTATATTTTGAACTCCTGCTCTCTTGATAGACATATAAATGAATTTATATTTGTAGGAGATGGAGTATAATATGCTATTACATTTAGGTTAAAAATGTTGGAATAGGAAGCATATTGCATATTTTAATTCAAGTATCATGGCTATATTCAGAATTACATTGTTCATCCAAGAGGTGAACCAGAAACCCAGCTGTCTTTTCTGATTGCTATGAATTGTATTTAACAAACCTTGTGAGCAGTGTAATGAACAATCCTTCAAAATTATAAAGGCTTCACCACTACCTTATATTGATTTGGTGAGATCACAGTCAGCTACTCTCTCTGCAAGGTAGCATCACTTGTTTAAGCACTTTCATTGGTATTCTAACCTGTGTCTGAATAATCTTGGTCATCTGTTTAAGTTGGAAACTCTACAATGGAGATAGAATAGCACTTGGATTTTAGTGGCTGACATGTAACAGGAATAAAAATGAATGGTACTATATCTGAATCATGTTCATTTCCCATAGGAAGTGGTGGTCCCGCAGGCCCAACTGTGGCTTCTGGTGGCCTGGGAAAAACATACAGTTGGGCTACTTTTCACCCTTGCTTCTAATGTATGGAGGCAAACACCAATTATTTGAAATGACATTCCAAAGGAATAACATTGTAAAAAAGTCCAAAATGAAATCACTGATAAACTGGAGTCAAGCTTAGAAGATAGCCAAGAGATGCAACAAAATGAGACTCTGGGAAACAGAAGGTAATAGCAAGTAGTTAAGAGTGACCAAACTCCTTTACTACCTTCATTCATACTTTTATATAGCTGCACATTTTTAAATCTCAAACTGAAAACTTTTCTGACTACCGTTAGAAACCTAATTATTGAGTTGTTGGGAAAAATAGACCAGGAAACAAAATCATTCCTGTGAGTTTTATGAAATAAATTGCTACAAAAATATTTATTGAATTGTCATGGAATAAGTAAAATAGAGATATCCTAATTAGTTGTAAGTATCATATATTATAAAACCTTATTAAAATATTTATGTAATGATAATCATGCTCTAGATCATCGGAACAGCTACCATATGTCATGGTACATGCACCTGCTGCATGCCAGGTCCTGTGCACAAATATTTTCTCATTTGTTCCAGCAGTGACACTATGATTATTGCTAACCTTGATTTCTAGATGAGGAAAACAGAGACTAAAGCTAGTCAGTGGCAAAGGAAGAATCCTAACCTAGAATTATCTGACACGAAGCCCACTACTTTTCTATTATAGTAACAAAACATGATGGTGTCTACTTACGGTTAACCCTAACTTTACTATTCTGACTGGATACCTCAACAACTAACCTAAAACAAAGACTAGATGTTAATCTCACCTCTACCATTTTCTGGCTGATGAACTGAGTAAGTCAGTTAAACTTCCTGAGCTTTATTTTAAATTACAATTTGTAGACAGCGTATGTTATTACTAGTTTTACTACATTATAAGAATTAATCTAGTTACTAATAGATGTATTCTGTGAAGTATAAAATGATATACTTGGTTTTAGAGTACCTTAGATGTGTAAATTTACTAGATTATAATATTCACATATATTGAAGATGACAACATTTCACAGTAATGTGTATGTCCTTTGTTAGAAATGTTTCTTACATGGTAAATTTAAATATACATCTATATAATCAAAATGCAATTCTACTATTTTTTTCCTACTTTAAATTCTCTTTAAGGTGTTTCCTGAAAAGTTTAGGGACAAGTTTATATTCTTGAAAAGTTCATTCATTTCATTCATTTAAGTTTAAGCAGAGGTCAATAACTCTGAGGAATATATTTGTTATTTCAACAGTGTATTCTAAAACAAACAAACAAACAAAAAAACCTTATAGCATGAGATACCCTTTAGTTGCAAGATACAAGTTAGTATCCAGATAAGTGACTTAAATGAAGGCTTAAGGGCCATCTGTGAAGCCATAGACTTGATCATAGAATCTTCTCCTGAAGAATTTCAGCTATTTGGCTTAAATTATTGTTTAAATTATAATTATTATTTTTAGTAAGGTTTTAGACATCTCACAGGACCCTTTACACAGGTCAGTGTTTATATGTAGAATTTTATATTGAAAAATTAATTCCAGAGTTTATAGTTAGCATTAGGAAATCTTGTTGTCTTTTAAACTAATTCACAGCAATTATATTTAAACTAATTTGCAAAGACTACTTGAGGTTACTTGGTGGAAGATTTAGGAAGAAAATAACTGTGAAGGTACAAGCTGAACTCGAGTCCTAACTTCTTCACACCAGAGTAGCTTTGTTCTTATTTGTTGTGTACAATTTGTTGTGTACATTACGCATCTGCCTCATATTTTATTTTAGTTCTCTTTTATTTTTTAAAATTCGGTTGTTAAGACCAAAACAACAGTATTTTAAAATCACCAGCCTGAAATAAAGCTGTCCTATTTTTCAGTGGGAAATGATAGAGAATTGCTCTTGAAGTAATGCACCCTTCCTTTAACTGTAGAGACTGAGGTATCTATTTTATTTACATAAATGATTAGCTTCTTATTTAATGAATCAGAACACTGTAAATGCATGCTTCCATAGGAAGTACGTGAAGCCATTCTGTTAGGACTGTAATTATGCCCAATCCAAATACCTGAATGTTTTCAGGCTGCAAATTTTGTAGACAATATTTCTACTCCCACCTTCTGTATTACTCTCACAGATTTTGGTTGTCATTCTGGACCACTTGTATTGAGCTGGAACCTTTGGATCCATCTCACCCTACACAAGCAGCCTCTCTTACACTAACATGGTGTTTGGCTTGACACTTGTGGCTTTATAACTCACACAGTCTTTATGATTGGAGTTTGTTAATATAGAATTTCCTTTTGTATCTCTGCTTACTAACAGATAGGATGTGATTTTTAAATGTTATTTTTGAATTATTATTTGGTATCTGAATGTTATATATTATTTCCTGAGAATGGTATTTCCTATAATTTATGATATGCCTATCATATCTCCTATGATAGGAGAAACATAAATTTTTCTATTTCAATATCATTTTTATACCAAAAGTTTTACTCATATATGGAGTTTAATAGCTACTAAAGTTGTCTTAATAATTCAATGTAATTAAATAATATGACTGAATAAACATATTTACTCATCCAAAATACAGTACTAACTCTGAATTTTACATAGAATATTATAGATAGAAAATCATAACATTGTAGATGTTATTATGTATAGATATAGATGTTATGGATTATATATAGATATTATAAGATAGAGAATTATAATTTTTGTGTATGACTCTTGTAAAAGGAATTATAGAATATAAAATTTGGAAGAATTTCCAAGGCAAGTATTACCTGATTGGAAGGTAGCCCTCTTTTTTCCAAGTTAACCTCTACTCCCACTTTCTATTAGTTTATACTCTTATTTCATCAAGAAGTCTCCACTAACACCCTGAACCAGGTTAAATATCTCTATTGTACTCTGTTTTGATATCATATACTACTCTTTGATAATACCTATTACAATTGCAACTTGCATGGTAATACCTATTACCATGCACTTTCTTATGAACATTTGAATAATGTCCCTAGTTGACTGTGAGTTCTAGAATGACAAGAGAATCTTTTTGTTCATCATTGTATCCTTAGTATCCTAACACTAGACTTACCAAGTTCAAGAAATAAATGGTTAATAAATTTTAAAAATGCATGAATGTGAGTTATTTCCCTCATTTGGAGTTACCTTAAGACCATGTTTTAAAGGATACAAAAACCTAACATATTATGGACATTTTCATTCTTATGTAAATCATGTTCCTTACTATATTTCTTCCAAAAATATGATGAAAATGTCAGCTGCCTTTTTTAAAAACAGTGAGCAATTGCTTTAAAATTCTGTGACTATACCACCTCAACATTTTTCTTTGAATTTACCATTAACACCTATGTACTTTGGTGAACATTTTAACATTTAGAAAATATCACTTCGAAGAAAACTAAAAATTGTTGAAGGAAGCATGATCCAAATATCCTACCACTTGAACACAATCATATTATTAGCATAAATAAATGTTTAATTTTAGTCTATATAAAAAGATTCTTGTACAGAAATTGACTCAGTTTTCTCAAGGAGGAAATTCGAGAAAGTATGGGTTGTTTTGAGAGTGGCATAATTGCCTTTATGGTGCTAATCTCCCCGCCAAAGGGCTCAAGGTGAATTGAGATAGCTTCCCTGGAGCAAGAGTCCTCCACAAAGCAAGTCTGTCTCAAGCTTACACCTTCCAAAATACCGAGACAACTTTCTTCACTAGAAGAGCTGAGGAGGAAAACACACACAGCAGCCTCAGCACAGGTTTCAAGACAGGAGATAAAATACCAGAGAACCAGTGGAATAAATTGTCACTACCATTCAGACTTAGGTTTCAGGAAATAGAGCTTGAGAAAAAGAGAGATAACTGAGCAGACTTTGTCAAATTGAGAACCTACTTTATGCCTTAATCCTAATTTATACTTATATTAATGTTTGTGTTATACTTCCCCTGTAATATCAATCTACCATACAAATTTAATTTTGAGAAAAACACTTCGAAAATACATGACTACCTGACACCCTCTTGAACCAAGGTGAATATGTCCTTTGCTTCTGTATATTTACCAAGTCTGGTTACTTTTTGGATCCTGAAAAGTCAGGTAGAAAGATATATAGTAGTCTGTTACAATAGACAAACAATTTATCCTTTAAATCAATGGATAAAAATATACTTAGCAGAGGAATTTGAAGTGTTGTTTTCTCCATTCTAAGATTGTATGGTCATATTGAGTACTTAGGTTCACATTTGCTATTTAATATGAATTCTTTGTTGGAAGCTAAAGTTTCATAATATCCTCCTTGAAATAAAATGAAAATTATAATTTGGCAGCCTTGTAGTAACAACTAAAGATTTGAATTTAATGTGGGCAGATACAAATCTCTGGAGCCTGGCTTGGCAGAAATGCTTTGTGGTCTTTGTCCAAACTTGCCTTTTTTTTTTTTTTTTTAACTAATTCCAAATGGGTGAGAATTTTCTTAATTGGAGTAGGCACCATACATAAAAAGCTATATTCACCCCATTTACTATGGATAGCTAAAGATCTGAACTCTTATATTTTTTGAAATCATAGGTTAACTTTCTTGCCTGAAGGAGAATTGCACCTGGGAATGGCATTTCCATTTTCTAAAGAAATATGACCAAAGAAGTAGGACGAAAATGGCCCCTGACATTAACCTGTGGCTCTCAAGGGGATAACATCATTTACTTGGTTTGATAAAAGAAAAAAACGTGGGCTTCTTTTCAATTGACAAAAAAGGAAAAGTGAGGAGTATGGACTCTTTCTTTCAAACAGCTTCTCAAAACCTTTCCTCTGTAGAATATGACAAGGCCAAGGTCACAGAAGTGGTTTCTACTCTCTGTACTGTCAGTTGTTCAAAGTCAAAATTCTGTTCCAGTAAAAATTACTTCTCTATTTCAATCAAATTAGAGGAAATGACAGTTAAGAAAAAAGCATTTTATTGCACACTGTGATGTCTAAGGCAGTCAATGAACCGGCAAGTGCTTTGACCTTACATAATAGTTGCCATTTTAGCAGCTTTAACCAATTTGGTCATAATTGCTGGGCAGATGCTTTTTCAAATAAAGAATTCCGTGGCTCAGACTCTAAGACTTTTATGACTTAGGTCTATCCTGTCTAAAGCTTACATTGTCATTGTCAAATCTTAAATATTTTTTCTATATTGTACAGAAATTCTTATCCATATTTTAATCCTAAACAAAGGAAAACTTGCAAATGTTTTTTTCCCATTTGAGAAAACAAATAGGGAAGAGAAACAGAAACTTTTTTTTCTATTTTTCTTTGCATTCTATCTGTACGAATCCCAATGAAGTCTATTTTTATTATATACTTCTTTATAGCTTAAACTTTTAAATTTTACTTACTTTACTACAAATCCCAAATGGTTACTCTGTGAATTAACTGAGATAATGCAAGATGAGTGCAGAGTAGTGAACTTGATGAAATGCAGCCCAACAATTTCCTTGTTTCCTTCCTCCTCCATTACCTCTCATTTCGGATCTGCCTAACTACACCTCTTGTTACTCTCTCCTTGCTCCACGCACCTGTACACACACTTCCTTCTCCTATTCAGAACATTTGCTCATGTTACCTCTTTATCTGAAATCTTCTCTTCTTGTTCCCTACAAAGCTGCTGGCTGTTCATTTCAGTCTCTATTTAAATCTCTCTCTCAGAAAGGTCACTCTGTGTATTCTGTAAGGGAAGTCTCGCTTCTTTTCTAAGACAACATCCTTTTGTTCCCCCATGGCATCATCTCATTTTGAATGTGTGGATGAATGATTATATGCACTCTTGGTGTTCTCTCCATTAGGCTATAAGCGATTGAGTTTTAATCCAGGCTCCTCTTTACAATATCTGAGGAGCTTTAAAATAGTATTGATTGTTGGGCCCCATTAGCTAGAAATTCCCAGTAACTGGTCTTGGGTGACGCCCAGGCATTAGTACTGTTTAGAATGTGGCACATATATACACCATGGAATACTATGCAGCCATAAAAAATGATGAGTTGATGTCCTTTGTAGGGACGTGGTTGAAGCGGGAAACCGTCATTCTCAGCAAACTATCACAAGGACAAAAAACCACCGCATGTTCTCACTCATAGGTGGGAATTGAACAATGAGAACACATGGACACAGGAAGGGGAACATCACACACCGGGGGCCTGTTGTGGGGTGGGGGAGGGGGGAGGGATAGCATTTGGAGATATACCTAATGTTAAATGAGGAGTTACAGGGTGCAGCACACCAACATGGCACATGTATACATATGTAACTAACATGCACATTGTGCACATGTACCCTAAAACAAAGCATAATAAAATAAATAAATAAATAAAATTCGCCTTAAAAAAATAAAATTAAATTAAAAAAAAAAGAAACACCCCAGATGATTTTAACTGACAGCAGAGTTGAGAAGCTCTCCCGCTGAGCTACATAATGGTTCTAGTTGGCTTCATTAGCCACTGTGTGTAATCAGTGACTGGCACATAGCCTGGCCTGCATGACCAACTATAGGATATGAATATTTGACACTGGCATTCTAGTTTTCTTTGTTTGTCAAAATACTTCTTGGAGATGACAGAAGTATTCTCAAGTAACAACACTAAAAGTTGAAATGAAAAGAGTGCTTTCAAGCCTAATAACTCTTCTGAATTTAATAATAAAATATTATCCTGATTTCCCTTCCCAGTGATAAAAGCAAGATGTTTTTCTTCAGTCTTCTACTGAGAAGAATGTTTTGATATTTTAAGGTTGTCTGAGCTCATATTCACAGAAGCCGTGTGTGACAATAAGCCACGTGTGAGTGTGTGTGTGTGTCAGTTTCATTTTTCTTACCTATCAGGATCAACCCATAGATGACTAATGACATAAACCAGTATCTCTATCATAGGACAGTCATTCTGACTTGTTACAACTAAAATGAATGATTTTAAATTGAACATATAAATTTCTTCTTCTTAGTGATTAGCGAAATACATTTTATTTATTTACTATTTTATTTTAGTGCACATTTTTATTTCTCAAGACTGGTGATTCTGTCATATACAAGGGCCAGAACCAAGGTGAGGCAAGTAAGGCATTCATCTCAGTGCAAATGTAATTGGGGTCACCAAAAACTCAGTAGTCAAAGCTATAATGTTTGATGGAATATTTTTAGAAATCAAAATTAATGTAAAAAATTATGAATAAAATATCAAAATTTCTTTCTCCCACATATTATTTTTTTATTCATTGAGAGGTATTTGGGTTTGTTTATTTTCCCCAATTTTCATGTTAGATTCAGAGGGTACATGTGCAGGTTTGTTACCTGGATATATTGTATAATGCTGAAGTTTTGGTTATGAATGATGCTGTCACCAAGGTACTAAACGTGGTACCCAATTGTAACATTTCCAACCCTTTCCCCCATCTAGTGGTCTTCAGTTTTTATTGTTGCCATCTTTATGTCTATAAGTACCCAATGTTTAGCTCCCACTTATAAATGAGAACATGCAGTATTTTGTTTTCTGTTCCTGCACTGATTTGCTTAGGATTATGGCCTCCAGCTGCATTCATGTTGCTGCAAAGAAGATGATTCACTCTTTTTATGACTGTGTAGTATGCCACAGTGTGTATATACCAGATTTTCTTCATGCATTCCACCATTGGTGGACACCTAGGTTGATTTCATGTCTTTACTACTGTGAATTGTGCTGTTATTAACATGCAAGTGCACGTGTCTTAAAGACCATTGGCAGGTTGAGCCATATGAAAGTCTGAAGCAAAAAGTCAGATATGTACCCTATGTACATGTTGTTATGTATCTTTTCATGAGCAATCTTCTCCAGAACATTATAGTTGGTGAAAAGAATGCTAAATAGCATTATTTTATGTTAAAATTTTTAATAGCTCCTTTTATTAAAATTTTAGATTCGGGGTACATGTGTGGGTTTATTACAGGGGTATATTATGTGGTGCAGGAGGTTTGGGATTCTATTGATCTTATCACCCAAATAGTGAATATAGTACCTAACAGTTAGTTTTTCAGCCCTTAACCCTTACTCTTTCTCCCCACCTTTGGGAATCCCCAGTGTCTATTGTTCCCATCTTTATGTCTAAATGTACCCAATGTTTAGCTCCCACTTTTATAAATAAGAACATATGGTATTTGGGTTTCTGTTTCTGTGTTAGTTTGCTAACACTGAAAAGGACATGATTCCGCTTTTATGGTTGTATAGTATTCCATGGTGTATATGTACATTTTCTTTATCCAGTCCACCATTAATGGGCACCAAGTTTGGTTCCATGTATTTGCTATTGTGAATACTTATGTGATAAACTTGCAATAAACAAGTGTCTTTTTGGAAGAACAATTTATTTTCCTTTGTGTAATACTCAGTAATGGGACTGCTGGGTCAAATGGTAATTCTATTTTTAGTTCTTTGAGAAATCTTCAAATTGCTTTGCACAGGGGCTAATTTAATTTACATTACCACCCACAGTGTATGCATTCCCTTTTCTCTATAACCTCATCAACATCAGTTATTCTGACTTTCTAATAATAGCCATCCTGACTGGTATGAGATGGTATATCATTGTGGTTTTGATTTGCATCTCTCTGTTGATTAGTGATGATGAGCTCTTTTTCATATGTTTGTTGGCTGCTTGTGTATCTTCTTTTAGGAAGTGTCCATTTATGGCTTTTGCCTACTTTATAATAGAGTTATTTATTTCCTCTTGATTTGTTTAAGTTCCTTGCAGACTCTGGATATTAGGCCTTTGTCAGATGCATAGTTTGCAATTATTGTCACTCTTTCTGTATGTTGTCTGTTTTCTCTGTTGACAGTTTTTTTGCTGTGCAAAAGCTCCTTAGTTTAAGTAGGTCTCAATTGTAAATTTGTGTTTTTGCTGCATTTCCTTTTGAGGACTTAGTCATAAATTTTTTACCTAGGCCAAATTCCAGAAGAGTACTTCCTAGTTTTTTTTTGTAGGATTTTTATAGTTTGAGGTCTTACATTTGAGTCTTTAATCCATCTTAAATTAATTTTTGTATATGATGAGAGGTATAGGTCAAGTTTCATTCTGCTGCATATAGTTAGCCAGTTTTTCTAGCAACATTTATTAAATAGAGTGTTCTTTCCCCATTATTTACTTTTGCTGACTTTGTCAAGAATCTGTTAGTTGGAGGTGTGCAAATTTATTTCTGTGTCCTCTATTCTGTTCCAATGATCTATGTGTTTGCTTTTCTACCAGTACCATGCAGTTTTGGTTACTTATAGCCTTGCAGTGTAATTTGAAGTTAAGTAATGTTATGCCTCCAGCTTTGTTCATTTTCTTTAGGATTGCTTTGGTTGTTTTGGCTTTTTTATGGTTTCATAGGAATTTTAGAATAGCTTTTCTAAGTCTGGGAAGAATGGCATTGATAATTTGATAGGAATTGCTTAGAATCTGTAGATTGCTTTGAACAGTATAGATATTTTAACAATATTGATTCTTCCAATCCATGAGCATAGAATGTTTTTCCATTTATGTCATCTATTTGTTTCAGCCGTGTTTGGTAGTCCCCCTTGTAGAGATCTTTCACCTGCTTGGTTACATGTATTTTTAGATATTTTTTGTATGGACTAATGTAAATGGGATTGCATTCTTGATTTGGTTTCCAGCTTGAACATTATTGGTGTATAGAAATGTTACTAATTTTGTACATTGATTTTGTATCCTGAAACTTTACTGCAGCCATTTATCAAATCTAGGAGCCTTACAGTGGAATCTTTAGGGCTTTCTAATTATAGAATCATATTGTCTGCAAAGAGAGATGATTCTACTTCCTTTTTTTTTTTCTATTTCAATGTCTTTTTTTTTTTCATGCCTCATTGCTCTGGCTAGGATTTCTAGTACAACATTGAATAGCAGTCATGAGAACAAACATCCTTGTCTTGTTCGATTTCTTATGAGGAATGCTTCCAACTTTTGCCTGTTCAGTATGGTATTTGCTGTGAGTTTGTCACGGATGGGACTTATTATTTTGAGATATATTTCTTTGGTGCCTGGTTTGTTGAGGATTTTTAACATGAAGGGAGGTTGGGTTTTATTGAATTTATTTTCTGTGTCTTTTGAGATTATCATGGAGTTTTTTTGTTTTTAACTCTGTTTATGTAGTGAATCACATTTATCAATTTGTGTGTATTGGATCATCCTTGCATCCCAAGAATAAACCCACTTGATTGTGCTGGATATTTTTTGTTGTTGTGTTGCCAGATTCAGTTTGCTAATATTTTGTAGAGGATATTTGCATCTATGTTGATCAGGAATATTGGCCTGTAGTTTTTTGTTGTTGTTGTTGTTATTGTGTCTTTGCTAGATTTTATTATCAGGATGATATCGATTTGTACAATGAGTTACAGAGGAATTCCTCCTCCTCAATTTTTTGGAATCATTTCAGTAGGATTGATACTGGCTCTTGTTTGTACATCTGGTAGAATTTGCCTATGAATTCATCTGGTACAGGGCTTTTTTGGGTTGGTAGTTTTTTTATCACTCATTCAATTTCGTAACTCATTATTGGCCTACTCAGGGTTCCTATTTCTTCCTTGTTAAATTTTGGGAGGCTGTTTGTATCCAGGAATTTATTCATTTCTTCTAGATTTTCTAGCTTGTATGCATAGACATGTTCATAGTAGAATCTGAGGATCTTTTTTGTTTCTTTGGGATTGGTTGTAATGTCATTTTTGTCATTTCTGATTGTATTTATTTGTATCTTCTTTTTCTCTTTTGTTAATGTGTTAACATTCTATCGATCTTGTTTATCTTTTCAGAAAAATAACTTTTCGTTTCACTGATTTTTGTATAGATTTTTTGGTCTCAATGTTATTTAGTTCTGCTCTGATTGTAGTTATTTCTTTTCTGCTAGCTTTGGGTTTAGTTTGTTCTTGTTTTTTAGTTCCTTTAGGTATGACATTAGATTGTTAATTTGTGATTAATTATGTTTCATTGTTCACCTAAAAGTCATTTAGGAGCAAGTTGTTTCGTTTCCATGTATTTGTGTGGTTTTTAAGAGCTCCTGATGATATTGATTTCTATTCTTATTCCACTGTCTTCCAAGAATATGCTTGGCATGATTTTGATTTTTTTTTTTTTTTTTGAGATGGAGTCTCACTCTGTCACTCAGGCTGAAGTGCAGTAGCATGATCTCGGCTCACTGCAAATTCCGTCCCCTGGGTTCAAGTGATTCTCCTGCCTCAGCCTCCTAGTAGCTGGGATTATGGACACCTGCCACCGTGCCAACTAATATTTGTATTTTTAGTAGAGATGGGATTTCACTATCTTGGCCAGGCTGGCCTTCAACTCCTGACCTCATGATCCAGCAGCCTCGGTGATTTTTTTTTTATTTGTTGAGACTTGCTTTGTGACCAAACGTGATCAATCATAGAATATGTTCTATGTGCAGATGAGAAAAATGTATATTCTGTGGTTGTGAGTGGAGTATTCTGTAGATGTCTATTAGATCAAGTTGGTCAAGTGTCAAATTTAAGACCAGGATATCTTGGTTAGTTTTATACCTTGATGATATGTCTAATGCTGTCAATAGGATGTTGAAGTCCCCCAGTATTACTGTGTGAATGTCTATGTCTATTCTTAGGTTTAGTGGTAATCATTTTATAAAATTGAATGTGCTAATGTTGTGTTTCTATATACTTAAGATAATTAAATCCTTTTATCATTATGTAATGTCTTTCTTTGTTTTGTTATTATTGTTGTTTGTTTGCTTTTTATTGTTGCTGGTTTAAGACTGTTTTATCTGATACAGGAATAGTGACCTCTGCTCTTTTTTGTTTTCAGTTTCCGTGGTAGATCTTTCTCCATCCCTTTACTTTGAGCCTATGGGCATCATTACATTTGAGATAGATCTCTTAAAGATAGCAGAAGGTTAACTTTTTAAAAATACAATTTGCCATTCTACGTCTTCTAAGTAGAGCATTGAGGCTGTTTACATTCATGGTTAATATTGATATTAAAGGTGTTAGTTTTGTCGTGGTGTTATTAGCCAGTTTCTTTGTACTCTTGATTATGTAATTTCTTTATAGGATCTGTGGGATATGTACTTACATGTACTTTTGTGGCAGCAAGTATGATTCTTTTGTTTCCATGTTTAGAACTCCCTTAAGCATCTCTTATAGGGTTGGTCTGATGGTAACAAACTCCCTTAGTGATTGCTTATTGAGAAAAGACTTTATTTCTCCATATTTATGATGCTTACTTTGGTGGGTTATGAAATTCTTTGTTGGAATTTCTTTTTTTAAGACTGCTAAAAATAGGCCCTAGTTGCTTCTGGCTTGTAAGGTTTGTGCTGAGAAGTCTGCTGTTGTTCTGATGTGATGCCCTTTATAGGTAATATGAACCCTTTCTCTAGCTGCCTTTCAGGTTTTTTTTTTCATTTGAAATTGGAAATTCTGCTCACTATGTGTCTTGGAGATGGTTGTCTTGCTTAGTATCTCACAGGACTTTGGATTTCTTGTACTCGCATGTCAACATTTCTAGTGAGGTTGGGAAATTTTTCATGCATTATATCCTGAACGATGTTTCCTAAACTGTATACTTTCTCTTCTTCTCCCTTGGGAATGTCAGTGAGTCGTAGGTTTGTTCTCTTTGCATCATCCCATAGTTCTCAGAAAATTTTGTCTTCTTAAAAAAAAATTATTTTGTCTTCATTTTTCTCTGAATAGGATGATTCATAGGACTGATCTTCAGGCTCTGAAATTCTTTCTTCTACTTGGCTTAATTTATTATTGGGGCTTCCAGCTGTATTCTGAAAGCTCCACAGTAAATTTTTCACTTCCGTAAGTTCTGTTTGGTTCTTTCTTTTTTGTTCTTTTTTATTATACTTTAAGTTCTGGGATACATATGCAGAATGTGCAGGTTTGTTACGTAGGTATACATTGCCCATGCCTATGTCCTGAATGGTATTGCCTAGAATGTACATGGTGGTTTGCTGCACCCATCAACCCATCAGCTACATTAGGTATTTCTCCTAATGCTATCCCTCCACTTGCTCCCCACCCCCTGACTGACCCCAGTGTGTGATGTTCCCCTCCCAGTGCCCATATGTTCTCATTGTTCAACTCCCACTTATAAGTGAGAAGATGCAGCGTTTGGGTTTCTGTTCCCGTGTTAGTTTGCTGAGAATGATGGTTTCCAGCTTCATCCATGTCCCTGCAAAGGACATGAACTCATTCTTTTTTATGGCTGCATATTATTCTATGGTGTATATGTGCCACATTTTCTTTATGCAGTCTATCATTCATGGGCATTTGGGTTCGTTCCAAGTCTTTGTTGTTGTGAAAAGTGCTGCAATAAACATATGTGTGCATGTGTCTTTACAGTAGAATAATATATAATTCTTTAGGTATACACTCGGTGATGGGATTGCTGGGTCAAATGGTATTTCTGGTTCTAGATCCTTGAGGAATCGCCACACTGTCTTCCCCAATGGTTGAGCTAATTTACACACCCACTGACACTGTAAAAGCATTCTTATTTCTCCACATCCTCTCCAGCATCTGTTATTTCCTGAATTTTGAATGATCGCTATTCTAACTGCTGTGAGATGGTATCTCATTGTGATTTTGATTTGCATTTCTCTAATGACCAGTGATGATGAGCTTGTTGTCATATGTTTGTTGGCCACATAAATATCTTCTTTTGAGAAGTGTCTGTTCATATCATTTGCTCACTTTTTGATGGGGTTGTTTGTTTTTTCTTGTAAATTTGTTTAAGTTGCTTGTAGATTCTGGAAATTAGCCCTTTGTCAGATGGATACATTGCAAAAATTTTCTCCCATTCTGTAGGTTGCCTGTTCACTCTGATGATAGTTTCTTTTTCTGTGCAGAAGCTCTTTAGTTTAATTAGATCCCATTTGTCAATTTTGGCTTTTGTTGCCATTGCTTTTGGTGTTTTAGTCATGAAGTTTTTGCCCATGCCTATGTACTGAATGGTATTGCCTAGGTTTTCTTCTAGGGATTTTATGGTTTTAAGTCTTATGTTGAAGTCCTTAATCCATCTTGAGTTAATTTTTGTATAAGGTGTAAGGAAGGGGTCCACTTTCAGTTTTCTGCATATGGCTAGCCAGTTTTCCCAACACCATTTATTAAATAGGGAATCCTTTCCCCATTACTTTTTTTTTTTTTGTCAGTTTTGTCAAAGATCAGATGGTTGTAGATGTGTGATGTTATTTCTGAGGCCTCTGTTACGTTCCATTGGTCTATATATCTGTTTTGGTACCAGTACCATGCTGTTTTGGTTACTGTAGCCTTGTAGTATAGTTTGAAGTCAGGTAGTATGATCCCTCCAGCTTTCTTCTTTTTGCTTCTGATTGTCTTGGCTTTGCAAGCTCTTTTTTGGTTCCATATGAAATTTAAAGTAGTTTTTTCCAATTCTATGAAGAAAGGCAGTGGTAACTTGATCAGGATAGCATTAAATCTATAAATTCCTTTGGGCAGTATGGCCATTTTCACAATATTGATTCTTCCTATCCATGAGCATGGAATGCTTTTCCATTTGTTTGTGTCCTCTCTTATTTCCTTGACCAGTGCTTTGTAGTTCTCCTTGAAGAGGTCCTTCACATCCCTTGTAAGTTGTATTCCTAGGTATTTTATTCTCTTTGTAGCAATTGTGAATGGGAGTTTGCTTATGATTTGGCTCTCTGTCTATTATTAGTGTATAGGGCTGTTTGTGATTTATGCATATTGATTTTGTATCCTGAGACTTTGCTGAAGTTGCTTATCAGCTTAAAAAGATTTTAGGCTGAGACAATGGGGTTTTCTAAATATCCAATCAAGTCATCTGAAAACAGAGATAATTTGACTTCCGATTTTCCTATTTGAATGCTTTTTATTTCTTTCCCTTGCCTGGCTGCCCTGGCCAGAATTATCAATAATATGTTGAATAGGAGTGGTGAGTGAGGGCATCCTTGTCTTGTGCTGGTTTTCAAAGGGAATGCTTCTAGCTTTTGCTCATTCAGTATGATACTGGCTGTGGGTTTGTCATAAATAGCTCTTATTATTTTGAGATATGTTACATCAACACCTTGTTTATTGAGTGTTTTTAGCATGAAGCGGTGTTGAATTTTATCAAAGGCCTTTTCTGCATCTGTTAAGATAATCATGTGGTTTTTGTCATTGGTTCTGTTTATGTGATGGATTACATTTATTGATTTGCATATGTTGAACCAGCCTTGCATCCCAGGGATGAAGCTGACTTGAAAGTGGTGGATAAGCTTTTTAATGTGCTTCTGGATTTGGTTTGCCAGAATTTTATCGAGGAGTTTTGCACTGATGTTCATTAGGGATATTGGCCTGAAATTTTCTTTTCCTGTTATGACTCTGCCAGGTTTTGGTATCAGGATGATGCTGGCCTCATAAAATGAGTTAGTGGGGAGTCCCTCTTTTACTATTGTTTGGAATAGTTTCAGGAGGAATGGTACCAGCTCCTCTTTGTACCTCTGGTAGAATTCGGCTGTGAATCTGTCTTGTCCTAGGCATTTTTTTGGTTGGTAGGCTATTAATTACTACACCCATTTCAGAACTTGTTACTGGTCTATTCAAGGATTCAACTTCTTCCTGGTTTAGTCTTGGGAGGGTGTATGTGTCTAAGAATTTATCCATGTCTTCTAGATTTTCTAATTCATTTGCATAGAGGTGTTAATAGTATTCTCTGATGGTAGTTTGTATTTCTGTGGGATCAGTGGTGATATCCCCTTTATCATTTTTTATTGGGTCTATTTGATTCTTCTCTCTTTTCTTCTTTATTTCTCAGGCTAGCGGTCTATCTATTTTGTTAATCTTTTCAAAAAAACCAGCTCCTGTATTCACTGATTTTTTTGAAGGGTTTTTTGTGTCTCTATCTCCTTCAGTTCTGCTCTGATCTTAGTTATTTCTTGTCTTCTGCTACCTTTTGGATTTGTTTGCTCTTGA
The DNA here is from genome assembly GCF_000001405.40 of Homo sapiens. Classification (NCBI taxonomy): domain Eukaryota; kingdom Metazoa; phylum Chordata; class Mammalia; order Primates; family Hominidae; genus Homo; species Homo sapiens. Next base: position 11,678,292 of record NC_000007.14, on the reverse strand, counting down.
TTCTCTAGTTCTTTTAATTGTGATGTTAGCGTGTCAATTTTACATCTTTCCTGCTTTCTCCTATGGGCATTTAGTGCTATAAATTTTCCTCTAGACACCGCTTTAGCTGTGTCCCAGATATTCTGGTATGTTATGCCCTTGTTCTCATTGGTTTCAAAGAACATATTTATTTCTGCCTTAATTTTGTTATTTACCCAGTAGTCATTCAGGAGCAGGTTGTTCAGTTTCCATGTAGTTTTGCGTTTTTGAGTGAGTTTCTTACCCTGAGTTCTAATTTGATTGCACTGTGGTCTGAGAGACTGTTTGTTATGATTTCCATTCTTTTGCATTTGCTGAGGAGTGTTTTACTTCCAATTATGTGGTTGATTTTAGAATAAGTGCTATGTGGTGCCAAGAAGAATGTATATTCTGTCAATTTGGGGTGGAGAGTTTTGTAGACGTCTATTAGGTCTGCTTGGTCCAGAGCTGAGTTCAACTCCTGGATATCCTTGTTAATTTTCTGTCCCGTTGATCTGTCTAATACTGACAGTGTGGTGTTAAAGTCTCCCACTATTATTGTGTGGCAGCCTAAGCCTTCTTGTTGCATTGATCCCTTTACCATTATGTAATGCCCTTTGTCTTTTTTGATCTTTGTTGGTTTAAAGTCTTTTTTATCAGAGACTAGGATTGCAACCCCTGCTTTTTTTTTTTTTTTTTTTTTTTTTTTTTGCTTTCCATTTGCTTGGTCAATCTTCTTCCATCCCTTTATTTTGAGCCTATGTGTGTCTTTGCATGTAAGATGGGTCTCCTGAATACAGCACACTGATGGGTCTTGACTCTTTACCCAATTTGCCTGTCATTTAGTCCATTTAGTCTGTTTACATTTAAGGTTAATATTGTTATGTGTGAATTTGATTCTGTCATTATGATGTTAGCTGGTTAGTTTGCCCATTAGTTGATGCAGTTTCTTCATAGTTTTGATGGTCTTTACATTTTTGTATGTTTTTGCAGTGGCTGGTACCAGTTTTTCCTTTCCATATTTCGTGTTTCCTTCAGGAGCCCTTGTAAGGCAGGCCTGGTCATGACAAAATCCCTCAGCATTTTCTTGTCTGTAATAGATTTTATTTCTCCTTCACTCATGAAGCTTAGTTTGGCTGGATATAAAATTCTGAGTTGAAAATTCTTTTCTTTAAAAATGTTGAATGTTAGCCTCCACTCTCTTCTAGCTTGTAGGATTTCTGCAGAGAGATCCAATGTTAGTCTGATGGGCTTCCTTTTGTGGGTAACCCAACGTTTTTCTCTCACTGCCCTTAACATTTTTTCTTTCATTTCAACCTTGGTGAATCTGACGATTATGTCTTGGGGTTGTTTTTCTCGAGGAGTATCTTTGTGGTGTTCTCTGTATTTCCTGAATTTGAATGTTGGCCTGTCTTGCTAGGTTGAAGAAATTCTCCTGTATAATACACTGCAGTGTGTTTTCCAACTTGGTTCCATTCTCCCCGTCACTTTCAAGTACACCAATCAAACTTAGGTTTGGTCTTTTCACATAGTCCAACATTTCTTGGAGGCTTTGTTTGTTCCTTTTCATTCTTTTCTCTCTAATCTTGTCTTCATGCTTTATTTCATTAAGTCCATCTTCTATCTCTGATATCCTTTCTTCCACTTGATTGAATCAGCTATTGATACTTCTGTGTGCTCCATGAAGTTCTCGTGCTATGTTTTTCATCTCTCTTAGGTCATTTATGTTCTTCTCTAAACTGGTTATTCCAGTTAGCGATTCCTCTCATCTTTTATCAAGGTTCTTAGCCTCCTTGCATTGGGGTTAGAAATTGCTCCTTTAGTTCAGAGGAGTTTGTTATAACACACCTTCTGAAGCCTAATTCTGTCTATTAGTCAAACTCATTTGCCATCCAGTTTTGTTCTCTTGCTGGTGAGGAATTGTGATCCTTTGGAGGAGAAGAGGCATTCTTGTTGTTGGCATTTTCAGCCTTTTTGTGCTGGTTTTTCCTCATCTTCATGGATTTATCTACCTTTGGTTTCTGCTGTTGGTGACCTTCAGATGGAGTTTTTGCTATGTTGTCCTTTTTTAGATGTTGATGCTATTGCTTTCTGTTTGTCAGTTTTCTTTCTAACAGTCAGGCCCCTCTTCTGCAGGTCTGCTGGAGTTTGCTGGAGGTCCACTCCAGACCCTGTTTTCCTGGTTATCACCAGCAGAGGCTACAGAACAGCAAAGATTGCTGCTTGCTCCTTCTTTTGGAAGCTTCGTCCTAGAGGGGCACCTGCCAGATTCCAGCCAGGGCTCTCTTGTATGAGGTGTCTGTCAACCCCTGTTGGGAGATGTCTCCCCATCAGGAGGCTCATGGGTCAGGAACCCACTTAAGGAGTTAGTCTATCCCTTAGCAGAGCTCCAGCGCTGTGCTGGGAGATCCATTTTCTCTTCAGAGCTGGCAGGCAGGAACGTTTAAGTCAGCTGAAGCTGCACCCACAGCCGCCCCTTACCTCAGTTGCTCTGTCCCAGGGAGATGGGAGTTTTATCTATAAGCCCCTTACTGGGGTTGCTGCCTTCCTTTCAGAGATGCCCTGCCCAGAGAGAAGGATTCTAGAGAGGCAGTCTGGCTACCATGGCTTTGCAGCGCTGAGGTGGGCTCTGCCCAGTGTGAACTTCCTGGCTGCTTTTTTTACACTGTGAGAGGAAAACTTTCTACTCAAGCTTCAGTAATGGTGGATGCCCCTTCCCCCACCAAGCTGGAGCATCCCAGGTCAGCTTCAGACTGCTGTGCTGGCAGCAATAATTTCAAGCCAGTGGATCTTAGCTTGCTGGGCTCCATGGCGGTGGGATCCACTAAGCAAGACTGCTTGGCTTCCTGGCTTCAGCCCTCTTTCCAGGGGAGTGAACCGTTCTGTCTCGCTAGCATTCCAGGTGCCACTGGGGTATGAAAAACTCCTGCAACTAGCTCAGTGTCTGCCCAAATGGCCCCCCAGTTTTGTGCTTGAAACCTAGGGCCCTTGTGGTATAGGCATCCAAGGGAAACCGCTGGTCTGTGGGTTGTGAAGACCATGGTAAAAGCATAGTATCTGTGCCGAATAGCACTGTCCCTCACAGCAGGGTCCCACATGGCTTCCCTTGGCTAGGGGAGGGAGTTCCCTGACCCCTTGCACTTCCTGGGTGAGGCAACACCCCACCTGCTTCTGCTTGCCCTCCATGGGCTGCACCCACTTTCTAACCAGTCCCAATAAAATGAATTGAGTGCCTTAGTTGGAAATGCAGAAATCACCCACCTTCCGTGTTGGTCTCTCTGGGAGCAGCAGACTGGAGCTGTTCCTATTCGGCCATCTTGTCTAGGAATCTGGTTCTTTCTTAACATAGCTATGTCATCTTTCAAATTGTGGATGGGTTTTATGGCTTCATTGGATTAGGTTTCAACTTTCTCTTGGATCTCACTGAGTTTCCTCGTTATTCATATTCTCAATTCTGTGTCTGTTATTTCAGACATTTCAATCTGGTTAGAATCCATTGCTAGGGTTCTAGTGCAATCCTTTGGAGGTGATTAAACACTCTGGATTTTTGTATAGCTGGATTTCTTGCACTGATTCCTTCTCACCTGAGAGAGCTAATGCTTCTTGCTTTTTGATTTTTTATTCTTGTCTCCCTTGTGAGTATGATTATGGCGTATGTTGTGTATAATCAATTGGCTTTGTGTCTTTGTGTCTTCAGAGGGCCAAGGCTCTGTACAGGTTCCTTTGTTGCAGATGGGCTCCTTTGGGGAGTTTCACAGTTCGTGCTTTTTGCAGCAATGTTTTTGTTATGTGGTGTAATTCAGGATGAATTCTACTAGGTGGCACTTAAAACTAAGAGCCAGCAGATAGACACTGCTGTGTTCACCCTCTGAGGCTACAGAGAAGGGTGAAAAGTGCCCTCCCCAAGCTTATGCTCATCTTCAGCCAGGGTGGAGTGTCTGGAGAACTGCGAGAAGTGGCCACTTCCACTGCAGCTTACTTACCCCAACTAGAAGAGCTGCTGCCTAACCATGACATTGCACTGGGTAGGGGAGGCAGGGCGTGAGAGATGACCCCCTTTCTAAATCCATTTCCAGGCTTTGGTGGTGCCTACTTCAGTGACTAGAGCTGTACCCAGGCTTCCTTTGTCCCAAGGGGGGATTTAGTGGGCCTTGCTCTACCCTACCTTAGGGCCTCACTCTCCCCTACCTCAGGGTTAGAACACCAGGGAACCTGCAACTCCTGAGTGACCTGCCAGTGTCTTGTGCTTGTAGAGTCGGTGTGTGTTGGGTATGTCTGCAGGTGGTCTGGTGATTCAGTGGCTCAGAGTTCGAAGATCCCTGGACAGGGCAGTGGCCACGTGTACGCAACCAGTATGACTTCTCCAGCCTGGGCTTTTCAGCCTAGCAGGTATCCATGGAGGCTGCTCAGCTCATGCTCCCCTGACCTGGTGCATCTCTTTCCAATATCCACCCTGCAGCAGGCCTGACTGGCTAGGCTTTTCCCAAGCCTGCACTCAGATTGCTGAGCTATTCCAGATGTTCCAAGGGTGGGACTCCTGGAGGAGAAGCCTTGACTATCAAGCCATGCCCTTCCCAGTCCAGTTTTGTGAAGGAAGGAGCATCCTGCTCCCATGCCAGCGTAAGAAACTGCACTGCACTGTGTTCTGTGTGGGGCAGTGGAGGCTGTGCTGTGGGCATCTTCTTGCAGGAGTGGCCAGGCAGGCAGTCTTAGGAGGGGCCATGAAGTAAGTGGGCATGTGGATCAGATGCACCTTGGTCCCATGGCAATGGTGATGGGGCCTTGGTGATGGGCACAAGAACATGTCCAGTCCCTGCAATTTCCAAGCCTGGCAGACAGCAGGTGCTGCAACCACTCTGTGCAAGATGGAGAGCCTTGGGAGATGGGTGCCTATGGGTTGTGTTTTGCTATAGTTGCACAGCACAGGGAAGTCTCTGGAGTCCATGAGGGTTCAAACTACACCTCTGCTTGTTCTCCAGTTGTCTCTCCCTGCCAATCTAAATGTCCATAGGGTGATGGGAACTCCTGTAGCTAGGATATCAGGTGTCCACAACAGCAATATGGTGTTCTGGAGTTCTTTTACTCACCTCTTCCTTACGTCCAATCTGGGTGCAGGGGCCAGTCCAGGTGCTCAGTGACTCCAGGCAGGCTGCCATGCTTCCTCCCTCTTCAAGCATAGTGTCTGTGTCACCTAACTATTAATCCTCTGTGTTTTCTCTCAAATGATCTGTTTGAATTGCAAAGGTTTTCTCAATATTTTGGTGCCTCTCTGTGGAAGAGGCATCCTCCAGCTGCTTCTAGTTGGCCATCTTGCCCCCAGAAACCTTATGTTAAATATTTAATTTGTCACAAAACAGAATTTAATCATAATTTTACTTCAGCTGAAACTAATTAAAATTATTTCAGACTGTCTCTTAATCAGGAGAAATTGTCAAACGTGTCTGTTTTCTCAATTCAAAATGAGAGAAGCATGGAAATAGATTTTGAAAAAAAGATTGATGAATTTGCTTCTGTAAAAGCTAGAGTTCACATATTTCCTTATGCCTCCAGTTCCAGCCTGGCTCCATAAAGCACCGTGAGGTATATAAGAACTTTTTTTATTAAATGATTCAAATGCTCCCAAAAAGTGAGTGTGTGATACTATGAAATCAAATTAAAATTCTAGGCAAAAGTTAAAAGTAACATCAAGATGATTGTATTATATTGATAATAAAGATGTGACATTTATGTGCTTTTAAATGTCACACAATATACTACCAACATAAATATGCAAAACATGTTTAAAATGAAAGAATAATAGAATGAGTAATAATTATAAGATTAACATCTTTATATTAGTGTATGATAGAACATAATCCACTGAGATAGTTTTAAATATAGAGTGAAAGGTATAATTTAATGGCTAGATATCAAATTAGACAATTTTTTAATGCAGTAAATTTTAAATAGCAGCAATTATACAAACTATTCTCTGATAGCAAATAATAAAAACAAATAATATATCAACCAAAAAGTAAAATGAGAAATTACATCCTGAGTCAGCAACAACAACAAAAAATCTTATAAGGAGGTTAATGCTTCTCTGTTAGAATATCTGAAAGAATGGAGTAAGAGTAGTAATTATCTAATTAGAAATGCCCACAGCCAGAAAATGAGCACAGCTTCAAAGTTGTGATGTCAACTATGCCAGAAGTTTTGGAATATTTTATCAACTATAACAAGAGTTAAGTTTATAAAAGTTAACATTTAAATTATCCCAAGTTGTACTGAATGCCATTCTCATAATAGTTAACAATGTTTTATTTTAAAAAGTGAGAGAAATGAAGAATGAAGCTAAGAGAACAAAAAGAGAAGGAAATAAATGTTCTTTCTTAATATTACTTATCAGAATATAAATGCATTATTTATTATAAACTCACCTATTCCCTTTGGAAATCTGCTAATTAGACAACCACAGAATGAAAAAATGTGAATTGCTGTGGAAAATTTTAAGCATCCTAGTTTGGATTACATGTTTCCATTTGTAAGAGGAAATGTATATATTGTGTTTCATTGCCCTAGAAAGATTTCATGATAACCAGAAATACATTCTTAATTGAAACTTCTGTATATGCTTTTAATACATTATATTTTATATTTTTTAGCTATCTACCTATAAATAAAGCTAACATCTCAAATTAGAAAACAAAAACAACAACAAAGATTATTTTATGTAACCGTCTTTTAAAGGGGTATAAAACTCTAAATGGACTTCACGACAATTCAGCAAACTGCAAATTACAATAAATAATAAATGAACACAAGGCCAGATGAACAGAATGTTTCTCAGCAAGAGGAATGTCTTACATATTTCAAAATACACATGCCTATAAAATCATTTAACTGCTATGCCTACCATTTAAATAATGAGGTGTTTGATTATTACTAATAAGCAGTTTATAGTTCTGAATTGTGCCTGGGACTGAAAAATAAACTGTTTTATCCCAGGAGTTGGTAATGTTTTAAAAAATAAAGCCACACAGAGCCAGAGGCACAACCAGAAGCTATCAAAGGAGCTGGCCATTAGGTTTCCATCTCACTTTGAAGATTGATTTCACTAGTGCTAGGAGCATCAGAAAAGCAGCTAAAAGCATTTTCTACTTTCCATTTCCACTGTTTACCCTTGAAGGTCTATTAATGTTCTCTTGTAGCCTTCAGGTATTCCATGGACATGGCAGCAGAGCTCTTCATTATCTACTATTAGCCTCCAGAACTGCTCACAATAAAACTTCTCATCAAACTTGGAAATATTACCAAACTTGTGAAATCTTATGGAAAATAGTATTCTTTAGAGAAGTCAAGGAGACTCACCATTTAAGACCAGTTGCTGTGCTGGTTGCTGATCTGTCAAGAAAATGTAAGCATTTAGCCAAAGGTGTTAGCTTAACATCGTATCAGTAAAGAGGCAGAAATATTTGGGGATAATTTCAGTATTGAACCCTGTTTTTTTATTAGATTAATTTACTCTGAAAGCATCCTCAAAAAAATGGGGTGAAAGATCTTTGAATAGATTTATAATAGAGACTTTGAAATATGTGCTTGTGCAGAATAAGTTAATACCATCTACAGTGCTGTGATCCTAATGGATCACTTTATTAAAGCATCAGAATTCTGGAAATGTGCTCATTAGCCATCATGTCTTTGGTAAAAGTCTGTTTGTTTCCAGCAGGGCTAAGTTAATACAGTAGCAGACAGAGTGAAATATCAACTTATTATTACTTGTCAACATTGGGTTGTATTCGTTTTTCAGATTATTTAGCTGGCTAGGTGAGCCCTAAGGCAAACTCTTGAATACAAATATTCTACTGCTTTATGTATATGAAAATTCAGAACTCGGGCTCCAACCAGATTGTGTGATGCCAAATGCCTGGATCATTCTTCCATTACACAGCCTCAGGCCCTTAAACCTTTGGCCTTTGCCTGGACATAGAAGATTCCTCTGTGGTAATGGATCTCCATTGACTACACCACAGAACCTAAAGGTTAAACTCCTTAGCCCAGCCTTCCAGGCTCTCCAGAATCTGGTGTAAAACTAGGTTTCCAATCTTATATCCCACTCTCCATACCCTCCATGATAGCCAAATTGAACTATTCAGCCATATGTTGACACAAAGATCTGCTTTTTGCCTGTCTTTGTGCTGTTTGCTTTGTTTAGGGTCCTTTCTTCTGAATTTTTTTGCACGCCTGTTAAATGTTACACATTGCAACTTATATTGTTTTTATTTGTAGCACACACATATTTACAAGCACAAGCTTGCACATAAACACACACACACACACACACATGAATGCAACAGTACTTAAACTTGAAAACTTTGGGAGAGTTGTTATTAGGGATGAAAATTGTTCACATGGCTTCAGTGAGGCAACAAAGCTCTGGAAGTCCAAGATGAAACTCCATCTCAAGAGTTTGTACTCTTAGATGAAGGATTATATATGTAGGCTGGGAGCATGTCTTTTTCCTAATTTCTGTGGAATTATATTGATAAGAAATAAATTTAGAAATATTGCATCTTTGAAGCAAGATCATTGGATTCTAGTTATGACTCATTTATGTAAATTATTAATTTATTAATAATTTATATTCATATAATCTCCAGATATAACTTTTTAAAGCAAAAATTTGATGTTTTTAAAAACCAGTAAAAAATTTTAAATTACAAGGAAACCATAACCAAAAAATAGAGTGGTCTGAATTTTCTCTAATTCCCCAAACAATGTTGGTCATTCCTTTATTGGAATTCTCTTCACACTTTATGCACTCTTAAATAACAGCAATCTTCACCCTGCAGAGTATCTGGAACAGCTCTTACACCCATCAGTTGGTGAATTACTTAAAAAAACAAGCCAAGCATCTTATTCTTTGTTTCTCTAGCACATGGTGTAATACAAGAAAGAAAAATATATATATTAAATTAATGATTTAAATATTGATGTCCGAAAAAAAGTATTTTTAAATACAGTATGTCTCTTTAACACTAAGAAACATTTCCTGTTGGGAGTGGCTAGAGATAAAGATCTTTTTCTCTCCTCTAGTGAGGTAAGTTTTCTGTGATATTACCTGCAGAAATAATGATTTCCATTATAAATGAATGAATTCATATTTTTATTCTGCTCTTTCACATTCCTTGTGGGGCATTTCTATAGCAGAGACCCTCTACATATATAATGGTATGTGGGTTAGGGAAATAGAAATACTAAGTAATAAATAGTTTGAACTGAGAAACTGACTCTGTAGGCAAAAATGCTGAGAGCCATACCATGTAATAGCCAACAGCACACTCGACTAGAAACACTATTCCAGTCTGCTGTTTTGAAACTGATAGTCTTGTGTTAATTAGGTACAGAATTCAGTAGAGTGTGGAAAGACTACATATCTACACCCTATATATAGTAACCAGTAGCGCCCAGCCTCATTCTTTGGCTTTAAAGGAATCAGTTGTTCTTAATGAAATAACTTCACAGCTTTCAGGACAGAAGGCTGGATTACATGAGATTTATTCTGTGCTCCCGCCGTTCCTTATTCATACTTCTGTTTTAGGACTTACATTTACTGTCACCAAAAAATTATGAGTCTCTCTAGGGCAGACCCATTTACCCCTAGTTGTGTCTTATACATGTTCACTCTTTGTTTGTTTGATTCATTTATTTTTGTTTAATTGTGCTGATTTATTGTGGAGCTTAAAAAAACATACTGCTTCCCTTTCTTTCTTCTCTTTCTTTCTTTCTGTCTTTCTTTTTTTCTTTCTTTCTCTCTCTCTCTCTCTTTCTTTCTGTCTTTCTTTTTTTCTTTCTTTCTCTCTCTCTCTCTTTCTTTCTTTTCTTTCTTTCTTTTTTTGAGATGGAGTTTCACTCTTGTTGCCCAGGGCAGAGTGCAATGGCACGATCTTGGCTCACTGCAACCTCCGCCTCCCGGTTTCCAGTGATTGTCCTGCCTCAGTCTCCCGAGAAGCTGGGATTACAGGCTTCTGCCACTAGACCAGGCTAATTTTTTGTATTTTTACTAGAGACAGGGTTTCATCACGTTGGCCAGGAAGGTCTCGGCCTCAGGTGATCCACCCTTGTAGGCCTCCCAATTACAGCTGTTAGCCACCATGCCCGGCCTTCCATTTCTTTTGAGGAAAAAAATAATAGATTTCACATCCAGAGTAAAAAGAGCACTCCACTAGGCTTAAAAGACAGGTACTTCCTGGCACAGTTTGTTATCAAGACTCATAGCCTAATCTTGGAAATACCACTTCAGCTTTCTGGTTCCTGTGTACACAAAATGATGCATTGAGTTCAATGGTCTCTAAAGCCTCTTCTTATTCTAAAAGAGTACACTTTGCTGTTACATTAACGTTAATATGCATGTTGTTTTATGCTAATACATATGCTTTCATGGCTTGAGAACTTTTTTCCAAATCCTTTGAATAAAGCAGATGAGCAATTCCTTTCAGATTTTTTTCAAGATTCCTTTATACAGCTTTGTTAAAAATAAATTTACAGGGGATTCTGAAAGAATCATGATAATCATACGTAACTCTCAATTTCATACATTTATATATAGATGCATTACTTATTTGTCTAGCCATTAACATGTATCGGCATTTTAACAGTGGGCCCAAAAAGAACCTCTCCTTCATCAGAAGTCTATTTTTGTAATGTGGTCATAGTCTATAAGCACTGCAATTGCTTTACAGAGCACAGATGTTTTTCTTCTTTCCACCTTGCCCTACTTTTTAATAGTAATTTAATATGTATTATAATCACCAGTATTTCAAGGCTAAATTTTTGCTAGAAAAGAGTATGTAATAAAAAATGACTATGAAATAAATGGGGAGTTTATAAAAGATAAAGTACAAACGCTCGTGTTGTAGGTTGAGGCAATACTGATTTCACAAGAAAATCTAAAAGAATTGTGAACAGACGAGAAGTGGTATGGTTGTAAACAATGGAATGGAAAACCAAATATCACATGTTCTCACTTATAAGTGGGAGCTAAGCTATGACGATACAAAGGCTTAAGGGTAAGGTAATGGACTTTGAGGACTCTGGGGGAAGCTTGGGTGAGGGGTGAGGGCTAAAAGACTATATATTGGGTATAGTGTACACTGCTCAGGTGAGGGGGGCATTAAATGTCAGAAATCATCACCACTAACGAACTTATCCATGTAATCAAAAACCACCTGTACCCCCAAAACTATTGAAATAAAAAAATTTGTGAACAAAGCTAAGGATGTTTTAAGTTCAGTGAATAAACCTAAACAAATTAATATCTGTTTTTTTAAAAAAACTAAAGAGTGCTATTCAGATTCCACTGGATAACTGTATACATTTTAGTTTTTTTGACTTATTTTAATATGCTTGCATTAAATCAGAAAAATATTTTTAAATGCAGCAATTGGTAATAAAATTTCAAATGCTTTAATGTCTCCTTTAGCTAAATTATGATCTGATTACTGCTCTAAAATGGAATATCAGCCTCCACGTTTAAAAAAGTCTTTATATGCTTTTAGATATGTTTTATAACATGTATAAATATATTTTAAATAAAATTTATACTATATATTAGCATAATTTCTTAAGGAATCAAAAAACAGTTTCATCATCACTGAAGCAGTATACTGTATATTATACAATCAAGATAATTATAATTTATTATTCTGATAAATTCACAGTACAATTTTATTAAATTAAATGTTGGTGGTCTCCAATACCCATCACTGTATTAGGCAGTAAAACAAAAATAAACAAGCATAAGTTAACAACAAGTTAAATTATAATACAGGTGGAGCATCCCTAATCCAAAATGCTCCAAAATCCAAAACATTTTGAGTGCTATAATGCCACAAGTGGAAAATTCCACATCTAACACCTTTGCTTTCTGATGGTTCAATGACCACAAATGTAATTTTATGCACAAAATTATTCAAAATGTTGTTTAAAATTACCTTCAGTCTATATGTATAAGGTGTATATGAAACATTAATGTATTTCATGTTTAGACATGGGTTCTACCACCAAGATATCTCACTATACATATGCAAATTTGCCAAAATCCAACAATATCTGAAGTTCAAAACACCTCCGGCTCCAAGCATTTTATATAAGGAATACTCAATCTCTAATATTAATATCTGACACTTGAACACCTACAGGCACTGCCCATGACAATTTATAAATATATTCTATTTTAATTTATTTCTTACAAAATTTTGAGATACAAACAATTAATTGGGAATCAGTGTAGTAAAATTACCTGTCACCGTTATCCAGCTAATTAGAGGAGAGTTTACCTTAAAGAGACTAAAGCCCCTCATTTCCACAGACACCTTCTAAAGCCCTGAGCAGGGGAGGACTCTGTAGTGCATACATTACTATATGTTGTCTTTTTAAAAACTTGTAATTTGTGTCTATTTTTTATCATTCTATATGCAAATTCATTCTTGTTCCATATTTTGTATTAGTAACTTTACGTTCTTTTTTCTGAGGGGGCCCCCAAATTGTACAAGCTTTTGGTCCCACACAACCTGGATCTGTTTTTGCAGCTAAAAGGTGACTGAGCCAGACTCCAATCTTTGTCCAAGACCGTGCTTTTATCCACTGTGCCTCACAGTTTTAGAGAGCTCACGCTAGTAAAGGGTATTTTATGTGTAAACAACTAAAGATTACAAAAGGAGATAAGTGTTCCAAACCCCTTATTTCACAATATTGTGGAAGGGTAGTAATTGTCACACTATAGAAACCTTCTTTGAAAATGGATGAGAACAGCTTTTGAGTGTGGAATGTATGTGGCAGGCAGATGGAGTGAGGTTCAATTAAGGACACAATAAAAACCCAAGTCACATTTGCCTTATTTTCCTCTGGGGTTTTAGGTCTCAACCTTACCACTTATTAGTTCTACTCGTACCATATTTATTGAATTTATATGCCTGAAAAGCTGTTCTACAGCTGGCAGGGTCTGAAAATTATTGGCAATTAACATTAATGGGCAGGAACATTTTCAGTGGAAATTAAAAAATCCTTTGGCGTCATAGCATAATAACTAGATCAGAGAGTTGGCTCTTCCAACATTCACATTTTCTCCTTGGAAATATGCTTTGTCCCATGATCTTATTTAAGTAGAAAGAACCGATAATTTTTTTCTTTCTTTATTTGGATGTAAACATGCCTATGCCATCAAGAAGCAGCCAAGTAAACCCTGCTTGACATCACAGACAAAGCCTTTGATGCTGTGTTACCTGTGGAATTGGTATCGATATCTCCTGTATTGTGAAATTCTATAACAAGTAACAGGCCAGTCAATTTAATACCTAAGCCACCCTTTCCCTTTTCTTTGATTTGCATCCATCTTATTAGAAAGCGACACCATCTTATTGATTCCATTCAACCTTTGAAAGAGAAGATAAGGAAAAACAAAAATGTGACAGAGATAAGAGGCTCTCAAGGTTATCCATGGATGGTGTTTAAAGGAAAGGATTGTCTGGGGTCTCAGTAAATGGTGTTAAGGGACAGCATTCAGAGGTTAGAAAAAGCATCTTAAGCTTACCATCATGTACTTGAGAATCTGTTCTGCTACTCTTTTCTTGGTAGTTATTTAAGTGCTTTGGAAAGTATGTATCTGTCATCTTTTATGTTCCTATGTGCAAAGCTGATTACAATGATATTATGGTTGATGGCCATATACAAGCTTGCATCAGTTTCAATGGCTATTTGCTGCTCTTTACTGACTGACTAAAATGTCAAGTGGGATTTCTTATCTCTAGAATTTTCTCTTTTAGTAATAATGTTACTAAGCATGTGATGTATTTATTCTAATACACACAACATCCCTATGAGGTATGTTCTCTTTTCTTCTTCATAAAAGTAAGGAAATTGGTGCTTATGGGAGATAAGTAAGCAAACCAAAGAAGTATAGTAAGTAAAACACAAACCCAAATCTATCTAGTACCAAGTCTACTCCCAGCCATCTGTTATTCGCACTGCTGTAGATTTTATTTTGCTGTAAGCAGGGACAACATACATATGTTTTGAGGTACTTCAAGAACTCTATTTATTCTTCTAACACATAATTTCTTGGTCTTCCTGAAATGTTTTCTATTAGAAAAACTTATTGAATCCTTCGTAAAAGGATGTGGGTGGCAGGGACTGAGGAATATCAATATAATAAAAAGAGTAGATAAAAAGGCAAAGAAGGGGAGATTCAGATTCTAGACTTAATGTTACTCAGAAGTAAAAGATCCCAGCAAGTTGGAGCACTTCTATTTTCACTCTAACATGCTATATCTTTTAAATAAATTTATCCTTATTTATTATTTTAAATTAAGGGAAAAATATCAAAATTGAAAATAAAATTAAAATCCAGTATCTTACAAGGCCAAAAAATTTACCATTAGCACTTTTCAAAATGTCATTCCAGTTATGTTTTTGACCAACAAAATTGAGATTCTTGTATATATAGTCTTATATCCTGTACTTTTACCCAACAATATATGTTGAGTAGTTCTTATTTTATTACATCAATTGACTTTTTAAACATTAAAACCAACCTTGCATTCTTTGAGAAAGCTCCGGTTGGTTGTGATATTTTATCCTTTTGATGTATTGTATTGGCTTTATGACTGCATTAAAAAAAATTTGCATCCATGTTTGTCAGAGAGACTGGCCTCTAATTTTCCTCTCCTTGTAATATGTCTTCTCAGATATTGGGACAAGGTTATTTCTGACTCTACAACATAAGCTCATAAAGATTCCCTTTTCCTCTATGTTCTGGAATATTTTTGAAGTTAAATTATCATGATGGGCTTCTTTTGTTTTTGTTTTTGTTTTCTGCTTTTTTCACCCTTTGGATGTTTGGATGAATTAACCAATTAAGTTATCAGGGCCAAACATTTTCCTTGCAGACATGTTTTCATTATAGATTGAATAGACGGAGGAACATTAAAGTTTTCTACATCTCCTAATGTCATTTTTGATAAGTCATATTTGTCTAGGAATTTATTTCATTTATTTTTCAAACTTATGTGGCATAAGATTTGTCATAATACCCTCTTATTTTTTTATGTCTGAAGAATAAATTAAAGAAGAATCTCCTTTTTTGTTTCTAATATTAGTCATTTATATTAGTAGTTATCAATTAGATTTATGAATATCAGTCTTTTAAAATAGTAACTTTGTTGTATATTTGATTTCCATTTCATTAATTAAGTTTTTACTCTTAGTATTTCTCTCTTTCTATTTTCTTTGGCTTCATTTTATTATTCTCTTCTAATTTCTTTATATGAATACTTAGATTGTAGTTTGTAGTTTTTACAGCCTTCTTTCTTACTTATAACTTAAGCATTTAAATGATAAGTTTTCTTATTCTAGCTTTATGTCACAAATTTTAATGTGGCACATTTTTATTTTCATATGCCATAAATATTTTTATATCAGTTGTGACTCCTTCTTTGATCCATGTGTGTTTAGATGTGTGCTGTTAATTTTAGTCACTCAAAACATTTCCACTTGTCTCTTTGTTATTGATTTATAGCTTGATTCCAATGTGGTCAGAGATTATACTCTTTCTAATTTCAATCCTTTGAGGTTTATTGAGATTTACTTTAAAGCCAGCAGATGACCAATCTTGGTCAATGTTTTATGCGCATTCAAAAGAAATGGTATTCGTTATGCAGTACTGAATGCAGTTTTGTATTTATATGTGTGTGTGTATGCCAATTATGTTATTTTGTTAATCATGTTGTTCTAATCTTCTAAATTGCTACTGATATTTCTTTACTTCTATTAGTTAATGAAAGAGGTCTTACAGTATCTTGTCATAATTACTGTATACCTCTCTGTATTTCTCCTAAATCTGTCCATTTTAAAATACGTTTGAGATCAGATGTTATTAGGCACATACAAATTTAGAAGTGATTCATCCTTCTGGTGAACTGATACTTTTATCAATTTTATTAAAACTTACCAATCTGTATTAAATGTCTGTCTTTAATGCTTTTTTCTTAAAATATACTTTGATATTAATATATCTGCACAAGCTTCTTTATTCTTATAAGCAATATATAGATTTAGGTTTTGGTTTTATATCCAGTCTGATCACCTTTATCTGACCACCTGGGATATTCATTCAACTTACATTTGATGTAAATTCATGTGTTTTGGTTTCAATATACATGTTATTATTTATTTTTTATTTTTTCCAACTCTTCTATGTATCTTTTTCTCTCCTTTCTTTCTCTGATTATTTTTATTAGCCACTATTTCTCATGTAATAGCTAATCCTTTGGTTATTCTTTCAATGATTTGTGTTTAGCTTTCCTTCTTACAGTCAACTCAAAATTAATAATTCTATCACATCCTAGAAAATGCAAGGACCTTAAAACTCTGCCTCTGTTTATCTTGTCTTCCATTGATAACACTCGTAGTGTTGTGTGTTTTAATTCTATACACATTTAAACCTCATGAGTCATACTATCATTGCTTTATGCATTCAATATTCACTGGGATTTACCTGTTCAGTTTTTATTTCTTTCTGAATACCATCTTCTTGGACATTTTTCTCTCTTTTTTCTTCTTAATTCAATTGTATCTTAAAGATTTTTACCATGTCCTATATGTTCTTTTTTTCAATCTTTGTATCATTCTGTATATTTTTGAATTGGATTTTCTCCTATTCCTCCAATTCTTTTGGTGCTTAACCTATTTGTTAAGTTTTTAATTCAGTTACAGTGTTTTACACTTTTTTTGCTTTTTTTTGCATAAAAACTGATTTTGCATTTTTCTATTTTTAAAATCAATTACTCTTCTCTGCTTAAATTCTCCATCATGTTTACCATTTTTCTGGAAAACAATAGTCACAGTTGTTTTAAAGTACAGATCTGATAGCTGCTGATATCTAGCTGTCCTATATCTTTGTATTCTTAGCAATTTTGCCTGAATTTGAGCCATTTTGATAAATAAAAGTGAGTTGTGTATAATTTATATAATCTTCCAGATAAAATTTATATTTGTGTTTGGTGTTTAGCTAGGTTAGAGAGAGATCACCTTAACCTAATCTGAAATTCAACTGATTATAAGCTGAATTTTAGTCTTTATTAAAGATGATTTCTTTATCCACAGGTATAGCCTTTTGAAACCTATAACTGATAGCCTGGGTTACTTACCATGGTTACTTCTTCCTGAAACAATTACATCATATTTCCTTTTAAGGTCCATTCTCCTGCTAAAAGTTTTGTTCACCTTCTTCACTTCTTGGCCATAGTTTAATAATTGGGAAATACCTCCAGGGTAAAAGTTGAGACAAATCACTATCCTGCACTTCATTTTTGTCCGAGATCTTGGCTCTTCGAGTCCTTGCTGCATTAATATGTCTCTGTTGTTTTAAAATAGATTTTTAAACATTTCTCCAGCTTTTCTAATTGTTCTCCTTGGGACGTTTGGTCTCATACAAGCTAGTATGCCACAGTTAGAAGTAAAAGACTTCTTTGTTTTAAAAACACATTTGCTCATATTCTAATGTCTTCTGGTTATGACAAGTTTGCATTTTTATATTTACCTACTTAATCCATATGTAATTTTTTGTGGTATATGGGACCAGGTAGAGACTTAACTTCTTTCAAACAAAAATTAATCAGGAATTTCAGTATTGTTATTTAATTTCTATTCAGTTTCATTTCATTGTTAATGTAATGTATCACTTTTATCATATATACATTTGTATGTGTTTCTGTATATTTTATTATGTTCTTCTCTTGAACTGTTTTTCTATTTTTTCTTGGGTGTTACACTTCTATTTCACATGACATCAAAATATGGCATAACATAAAATCATGTAAGGCCCTATATTATTACTTTGTTTGTAATGTTTATCTTAGATATTCCAGAATTGTTTTATAACATTTTTATTTAATTTATATCAACCTGAATTTTCTGCAAGTCTTTGCTTTGTTATTGCATAAGAACTTTTGTATTCCTTACTTAACCTAATTTTCCAAATAGGTGGAATGCTGCAAAAGGGCAGTAACCATATCTCTTTTGAACATCAGAGAATATCCAGTGCTTAGCACAGTACTTGACATAGTTGTTACTCTCTATCTGTTGAAAGCAGAAATGAGTTTGTAAATTTTTCTAGGAGAAATTGGCTTTCTTGCTATATTAATTCTTTACATCTAGAAGCATATGTGTTTCCATTCATCTTGACATAAATATCTTTTTTATAAATCTGTGTACATTAATTATCTGTGCTTCTTAAATTTTTAATACACATGTAAATTACCTTGGAGGTCTGTAAGAAATATAGATTCTTAATCATTAGGTCTGAGGTCAGGCCTGAGATTCTGCATTTTTAATACATTCCTGAGCATTGCCAATGTCCTGGTTACTGGATCATACTTTGAATAGAAGGGTCTAGATTCTTAGACAGAACATCTAGCAAAATTTGTATTATAATTGAATTAAGGTAGTGTGCTCATTGGAAGAGATTTCACCTCACTAATGTATTAACAGTGACACATTTTTCTAATTAAGCAGCTGGACATTTTATTCATTTAACTCATTCATTAACAGTATTTATGGAATACCAATTAATATGTGATCTGTACTATCCTAATCACTGGAAATAGAAAAATAACAAGAATGTACCCACCTTCAAGGCACTAGTAATCTAATTAATAAGAGACAGATAATTGCAACACACTAAGTGCTACAATAAAATAATATCTATTATTATAAATAATAATAGGGAAGAGATCTATCTGAGAGAAAATGGTATAGAAGGCAATTGTGCCAAAACACAATATCAAGAGAGAATGAAATACAATATAAGTTTACAGAGTGAAGTACAGGTCAGAACGTCGTAGAATTTATAGGTCATGCTAACAAGATTTCCTTAAACCTAAGAGCAATGAGAGGGCATCAGAGTTCTAAGCAAGAAAGTGACATGAACAAATTTGCATGTTGAAAAGATTTCTCTGACCGCTCGGTGCAGAGAACAGATGAGAAGTGGACAAAAGTGAATAGGTGATTTGCAATTTTAGAAGTCTAGATGTGAATATAGTTTGCTCCAGTGCCTTTTAGCACATTCATAAACTACTGTAACCAAATGTGTAACTGGGATCTAAGCCACTCATGGCCAAGCATTTACATAATAAGGAAATCAGTGACAAATGAGTAATAACTGGAAGAGTTGGAGATTAATTAAAGATAGGAGTGTCTGTGTGTGTGTTTAAGTGAGTTCAAAACCTAAAATGTGTCATGTATTTTTCTTTCAGAAATACCTCTAAAAGTGCAGTTTGAGTCAAAGAAATATACCCACAGTTGATAATTCCCTCCTTTCTTTTCACTCATCCTTTTAGGCATACACTATATTTATTCTGAGTTCTGCTCTGAATCTTAAGATACAGTACATCTTACATGTGCTCATTTTCTTTTCAAGAGAAACAAAACTTATATTCCAGAAGCTACAGATATGCCAGAGACAAAGGAATTCCCACACTAGTAGCCTCTGCTTTAGAATTCCTTATGTCATGAAAACCGCAAGAAATCGAATAACGTAAGACTGGAATTTTTAGGGTATAAAATCCTGAAACTCTGCTTATCTACAGTTAAATATTCAGCCTTTGGAAATATAAGTAAAGAGTCCCCTAGGAGACTGAGATTTCTTGCGATAGCTGTAAATTTCAAATCTTAGGGGCAGTGTTTATCACATGGAGAAAACAGGATGCTTTAGGAGGATAGAACCTATGAAAATGTAACACACCCTCAGAGAGACATTGTGACACTGAAGAAAATGCCATTGAAATAATAAGTCAACCATTAACACCATCTGAGTGAAAAAAAAGGCCTATCTGGAGGAAATAATTTGTATTCCATCACTTCTTGCAGTCATCTTTGCAAGTGTATTAGCAAGTGACAAACACATCTAAAATAAAATACACGTGATAGACACATCCTTCTGATGACAATGTCTGGAAAAAGAAAATAAACCAGTAGGAAAATCATGTTAAAGTTTGCTGTTATGTCTTCATTTTCAACAATAATAAGTGACTCTCTCTTAAAAAGAAATAGTCACACATTATATTTGAATTGCCTAATGCCTTTCAGCAGCTGCTTCAGTTTTGAATTAGTTTTCAGGCACAAATTTCTTTAACCTATGTGTTCATTTTTCTCACTAATTAGCCCGGTGATGGATGCATTTTTTATGTTCGCCTCACTGACTGCTGGTCCCTTGTTGAAGCTAGCAGGGTGGCATACCATCTAGTACTTGACTTTCATTGCTGTCACTTTCTGAGTGTTCTATAACCTTGACCTCCATAGCTCAGGTACTCTATTTCCTAGCCTCTTGATAACTCACACAGGAATGTAAAAATATTATTTTTAATTCAGAATCTTTTCCTTTGAGTACTTCTAGAAACAGCTACCTTCTGCTCATTCTTGCAGTTCACCAAGAATTTATTAAGGAGCAATACCAATTATATCTTAAATATGCTTTAAAAAGTGCTTTCATAACTATATTTACTGTCAGTCTAGCACTATAGTGGGAACTACAAAAGGAACGTGACAAAGTTCTTATCTGTGAATGGTTTAAACTCGTAGAGAAATAGATTTGCATATGTTAAATACTTGGTGAACAATAGAGGATACAATATAACTATGTGTCAAAACATTTGGGACAGATAATGTGAGAAATCCTCTTGAACCTACATAACTTAAGAGTGTAGGTGAGCACAATTAAAGCAGGTTATTGAAGGAGAGCAGGATATACCTATAGTTAGGCATTGAAGAGTATATTAGTCAAGGATTTACCCATAGTAATGGTTCCACACCTTCTACAACCTGATTCCAGGGTCCCTGTTTCTTTCCCATGTCTATGCTCCACTGCCTATTTACACAGCCCGTACTTGCTGTTTTTGTTTATATCCTTCCCTATTCCTGGAATTCTCTACCTTCACAATTGTACCTAAACAACCTCAAGTCCCATGATTTGCATTCCTACCTATCCAACTCAAATCTCATGATTTCCACCAACTTGTGAGTTCTACTAAGGATTTAATGTCTTCTTTATGTTCTCAGTGTACTTATTTTCCCCCATTCTGACTGGAATCACAAAGCTCACACTGCTATGTATACATATTCAATATTAATAGGATACATGGCAAAGAGCTATAATTTAAAGCACATTTTTAAGGCTACATTGCTAAGGCATACATCATATGTCTGCTTGTCCTCACTCTTCAAGATCATGACTGTAGGACACAATGTAAAATTTAATACATGGCAGTCTTAACAATTGAGTAACATGGAATTTACTTCAGAATTTGCTGTGAACAATCAAAGTTAATCTTTTTCTCTTCATCATACTTTTTAAAAAAGGAAAATAACAAATGTTTGTCCTTTGTTTTTCTATATTAAAAACAATTTGATTTTTCTTACAATAACATACATGAAAGAAAATTCCTCTACAAACCCACCTTCCGACTTCAGGTATTTCTCAACTCAGAAAGGTAATGAGTAAATGAAGAGAGAAGTAATTCTGACTGATTTGCTGGATGGGCAATGATATGTTGATGTTTAAAATTCTAGACACACATAATATTTTTTAAATCAAATGGAATGGAATGGTTAAGTTAACCAGATATTGTTATGAATGAGCCGTAGGTACTAATTCTTTTTATTTAAAGCCTGGTTTTTAAAAACACACATGATCTAAACTAATGCCTAGAGTCAAGGTGTATTTATCCAAAAGATAATCATTAAAAATAAATTCCGGTAGAGAACGAGATCTAGATAATCCAACTGCAAGCTTTCTCTATCCCTCTGGTGTGTCCTAGTTAGCCTGGAGACCATCTGTGAACTGTGAGCCCCTATGACCGTTGTACCTTAGCAGACAATGAGCATTTGGTAGTGAATGCCCACAACATTTTTAGCACTGGAACTGATTCCTGTAAAAATAATTTAATTTGTTGTGAGTGCAATTTTGATTTAAATAATTTTCATTTGTTTCCAAGAGAGTGCTGAATGATGCAGATCAATATGTAAAGCATTTGTCATGCATTCACTCTTAATTCCTTAATAACATTGCACACAACACCTTGTCTAAGCATAAAAACATATAATGGGCATTTATCTTCAAATGCAACCTAAATGCTGTCAATTTTGAACTGTAAAATGGAATATTATAGCCTCCTGAGGGGAAAACTTTGTGGGTGTGATAACTGAATACGTGACACCTCAAGAACCTGTATCAGTGAAGGCTGCTGATTAAGAAATCGGGAAGAATTCAGAGGTGAAATGAAGATCTAGTTCCTCAAGTCAGCCTCTGGATAGGATTTGTTGAAGGAATAAGTACTCAGGCACAGGGTTTTCAATATGTGATTTTGTCCTTAGGCAGCTGAGTTGCCCAAGCAATTATGCAAACAATGACCATGGCAAGTAAATTTACTACACAGCACAGTGTAAATCAAGGAATTGTGAACCTCAATAGAATGTGTGTGAGATGACTTAGCAGAGTATTTAGAGATATTTGGAGTGAGACTTACCATATTGAAATGGATATGAGGTCATTTGTCTTTTTTATTTCAAAAAGAATAAAAGATATATGGAGGTGGTCAGGTATTTTATGTATTTACTGTTTGTCTACTCTGTTTTATTTTCTTTACTAGTTTTCAAATTGTTCTATGACATTATTGTAAAATCTAGCAGTGCCCCAGAAAAGCTACATGTCTAATGTTAAGACAAGAGTCTTATTAGGAAGAAGGAACAAAAACAAGAGTATTTAGTTTGGAGGTTTTTAGGAGTTGAAAAGCTGTTAGGAATGGGGTTAGATTAGAATTCTTAGAGAAGAAGATTTTATAGGCATATGAGAAAGAAACCTCTAGTAGGTGTAGCTGTCCAACAACAGAGTCAGCAACTTTGCTAAACAATGAGCTCTGTCACCAGAAGTGTTCCAGCCTGAAAAAACATCTTTCAGTGATACACAGAAAGACTGTGTTACAGCATACTTGTGGATCCTAACAAATCACAGATTCTAAAATAAATAATATTTTTTATCATAATTTACTTAATTATTTATGGAACCCAGAAGCACTTTGATAATTTACAAAAACAGTTTAAGAAATACAATCCCACTGTGAGCTATTCATCTGAATTATAGGCTCCTAATGTTGAATGAGAGACTGCTAAGCTGAGAAGTCAGGACACCAGGGTTCTGACCCTGGCTTAGATAATGACTGTATTACCTGTATTTAACTTCTGATGGTTGGAAGATCTTGGCTATAAAACGTTGCACTATTCATCATCAAGACATCCTTCAGGTTTAAATTTTACAATTTCCTTCAATATGCAACTGTCAGCTTTCATATTCCTTATCGAACATTTGCCTTAGTTTATTCTCTATTATATTCTTGGAACCAACTACTCAGTAAACCATGTGTATTAATGCCAGAGTTCGATTTCAGTAGATATATGTTATATTTTAAAATGCATCCTTACTGTGATTTTTCAATCAAGCGAAAGACATGTATTATTCATCTGCATGTGTCTTCAAAAAGACTAATGATGTGTCTTGAAATACAGATTGGCCACATAAACCAATACTAATATATTTTTTAAGTTATGGCTATTTAATACTTGTGGAATTTGTCAGCTTACACATAGTTCCCACACATAGAAATTTAATATCGAAGGAGAAATTTATATCCATACACAAACAAGTATGTATAGAAACAAAACTAAGAAAATGGATGTTAATTACTGACTCCCTAATTTTGAATAAGATCTATTGCTTCAGGCTAAAAGAAGATTTTTCTAGTTAGAGATAAAATGTCGTGTCCACAGTTATTAAAGAACAACTAACACAATTATATGCATCTTCAACACTGCTTTATTGGGTGACATTCCTTTGAAGTTAAGACTGATTATCTGATTTTATTAATAGCACATCCTTTCATCAGAATTAGAAATACTCAACATTGATCAAATCTAGTTATGGCATTGTATTTTAAACTTAATGTAGGACTTTTAAAAATATTTGCCATAGTTTCTAAGCTAAAATTGTTGTGTGAAAAACACTGATCAAAGAATCTAATTCTTAAGAAACTTGGAAGTGTATAGATTATATTTAATTATCAAGGTCCCAGAAACTATACAATCCTCAACCCTAGAATTCAGATTATAAATTATCAGAGATTCTTCTTTTAGAAAAAAATATCTCTCAACTTTGAGTTCCTACACAGAATACTTGGATTGTGCTTCTTCTTCTCCTCAATGTTCAGTGATTTAGTAAGAACATAGAAGACAATCTAACTATAATATTATATATTTGTGAATATTTTTACTCAATAATAATCAATAAACTATTAATTCAAGTGAATGCAGAAAAGAAAATCAATTTCATTGTATTTTTATAGTAACATTATGAGAAGCAAACAGTAAGGTAAATGCATTGAGAATGTTTGATACTTATTTTAGTGCACATGACTACGATGGGTTTTCTTGGCAAAATACTGGTATAAACTAGACTTCAGCCAATTCCTGCTATTGTGCTTGTTGAAGAGGTTACTTTTCTCATTGTGTGTACAAAACTGATTGCTGGCTGGCCTACTCAAAAGCATAACTGAAGCTAGGTGCAATGACACATGCCTGTAGTTCCAGCTACTCAGGAGACTGAGGCAGGATTGATTGAGCTTAAGACATCCAGGATGTAACGTGCTATGATTGCACCTGTGAATACTCACTGCACTACAGCCTGGGCAACATAGCAAGACTCTGTCTCTGGGGAAAACACACACACACACACACACACACACACACACACACACACACACACACATATCTGGGAGTGGATCTCGGTGTTCCTCTCTGGGCTTGGAAGCTTTAGAAGAGTGTTTCTTAGAGGAAATGGTTATGAGCAAATTGGCTTGGGGACAAAACCCTGAAGTCAAACAACTTGAGCTAGAAAATCTCCCTCTACTGCTAAATAGTTGTGTGACATGGGTACTATTTATGTGTTCATAATAAGCAGGGCCTCTTAAATTCTCAAATTTTGAATCAGCAAAATAATAAAAAATAAAATAACTAAACAAAAATACAATAACTATAAAAATAGTCAGTAAAATAACTATTGAAATAATGGTAGTTAAAACCTGTATGGCAGGGTTGTTGAAAGATGCAGATGGTGAGAAATTTGCAAAAACAATACAGTGTCTTCTATAGAATAAGTAAACAATAAATGCCATATAAATCTCTTGCTTATAGTAAGTAAGTTGAGAAGATGTTACTAAAAAATTAAGCTATTCCTCAATTCGCTTTTTTTGGAAATTAAACATTTGCATTCAGATTGTTAACTGATCACCTACTGATTATTTTTCCTAGAATCCTATAGCTTTGAGTTCATGTTTAACCTAACAAAATTCAGTTGACTTTTATCAATTATAGGAATAATCAATCTAAGTTCTAATAAACATTTCCAAGTCAGTAATGATGCAAATTATTACCCTAAACCATAAATTCAGTTTCTTTAGACACATGGAGTTTGCCTCACCCTCAGATGATGCATTTTGGAAGCAAAACCATTTTTATTTTAAAAGTATATTTATAATTTCAACTTAATAAAAAGTTTTACATAATATGGTATATTTGTTATCATAAATGAACCAATTTTGATACATTAAAGAATAAATATGTAGAAGTATATTTACAGACATATACATACCAATTCGCATGTTGGAAATTTAGTTTCAGGTGCCTGAATTACTCTTCTAATCCTTTATAATGATGATGGCACTTAGTAGGACAGAAATTATTATGGAAATTACAATATACATGGCAATGCATAATTAATGCCATTGCATTAAGGCAGGCTTTACAGTGTCTACAGTGTCTTGTAAATAAGTCATGCGTTTTAGTGTTCTAAGTGTATCACAGTAGTCTTTTCAAAAACCAAATTTATTCTTATCCTAAATAATTATTTGTAGTAATGCCAGTCCTGCTCCCGTGCCAGAAAGGAAACAATTGACATTTTTTCCTCTCTTTTTTTTTCTTCAGCCTGATTAATTGCTGTACAACTTTAGGATAAAGATTTACTTTGGCCCTGGTTTACTGGTGTGGTTTATGATATGCATGGGGAATACTAAAATTTAATATGTATCTATAAATAATTTTGATAAAAAAGGAAACGTAACAGCCATGGACACATTTGTTAACCAGAGTATGGGCAAAAATGTCCTAAAGAATTAAGGAATAAAATATGCTTCTAGATGTGTAATAAAATCATTCTAGAAATCAACACATTAACTTCACTTCATTTTATGTTCCATTCTGAGAAGATGGTTTCTACAATTTATTATTTATTGGCTAAAACTATATTGCAGTTCTTGAGGTATACAATTGATAATATAATGTCATCAGATGATGAACTTAGAATATATTATTTCTAGTAACAACCACCAATTTAATATACTAGCCACTAAAACTAAGATGATAATGGGCATTTCTGAGCTATTATTTCCTTTTTTCAGTGTTTAATAAAACAAAGAAAAGCTACCAGATCTATAATTGGCCCTTTACTTTTTGCTTGACTGTCTCAAATAAATTGCCTTTAGGTCTAAGGGGTTTAAAAGTTCCCCAAGGCTTTGAACTTGGCATTAACTCCTTAGAACCTTGAGGTAATGTTGCTATATATAGAAGTATTCTCTAAGTTTCAGAATATTATATACATGACTAAAAAAGGGTGGGCTATAGTTCATTGTAGTGCTAGATAGATAGATAGATAGATAGATAGATAGATAGATAGTTGATAGATAGATAGATAATAGATGGATACAGTGGTAGAGAAAACATAAAATTTACTATTTTGACCATTTCTAAGTGAAAAATTCAGTGGCACTAAATGCATTCACATTGTTGTGCCACCATCACCACTATCCATTTCTAGAATTCTTTATTTTCTGAAACTGGAACTCTGCACTCATCAACCAATACTTTCCCATATCCTTCTTCACCTATCCCCTCATAACCACCACTCTATCTTCTGTCTCTATGAATTTGACCATTCTAGGTATTTCATATAAATGGGATCATACAGTATTTGTCCTTTTGTGTCTTGCTTACGTCACTTAGCATAATCTTTCCAGGCTCATCCGTGTTGTAGCATCAGAGTTTCGTTTTAAGGCTAAATAATATCCCATTGTATGTATATCACATTTTTGTCTATTATTATTAGACATTTGGATTGTTTCCACTTTTGGTAGTGTTTGCTTATCTTAACACATGTCAATTTTGCTTGCCTATCACAGCACCTAGCACATTGTAGGCCCTCACTATCTTTTGAGTAAGTTAATGTGATAAAAATGCAGACATCTTTAGCCTTTTGCAGTTTTGTCCCTAACATTTATTAGTTCATAGA
Source organism: Homo sapiens (assembly GCF_000001405.40). NCBI lineage: Eukaryota > Metazoa > Chordata > Mammalia > Primates > Hominidae > Homo > Homo sapiens. The sequence continues at coordinate 11,650,874 of NC_000007.14, read as the reverse complement.
AAAACAAATGCCTTTCAGAAGAAAGCATTTTTAGAAAAAAACAAAACAAAACAAAACAAAACAAAACAAATACATCTACCACAAGCTCATTGTGTGATGCTACTTCTGTGCTATTTTGCATCCTCTTGGCTCCACCTCTGCCTTCGCTCACTCTTGTGGCTTCCAGTTTTGCACAGGTTTCACCAGATTCACACAGATGCAAACTGACTGCCACTTACCACAGGCCGAGCAACCTACTTTTCCAGGGCTTCTCTGACATGGTAGTGCAAGACACCTGCAGAAACCCACTCAGCACTCACTTGTGCACAACTTGAAGTTGTGAGGGAATTAATGTTAATGATCCTGTGCTCGTTATGGATCAATGGGTAATAGAAGCAAGTGGATAGTGTTTTGCTCTCTCATCTGCTGGGTGGAAATATAGTAGCTTCCTGTTTATAGTTACTAAGACTCTCATTTTTTGGTATCTTGGGATGCATTGTAGATGGGGAATGAAACACATTGTATTGTGCTCTAGCATAACATCTTTGGAAGAATTCCAGAAATTATTGTTGCATCAAAGATTCAGAAGATGCAGGAGACGTTGTCCACATTATATTCCTGTTCAACCAACTTGTATTTTCCCTGAAAAAAAGTAGAACAAAACTGGATGAGTCATGGAAGATGACAGCAAGCTATTATAAACTTAACCATATGTTGGCCCCAATTGCAACTATTATGAATGAGTTGTATCTAAACTAGAAGAAATCAACACAGCCTTTGACACTTGATATGCAGATACTAATCTAGCAAATACGCTTTTTTCCTCAATTCTCATTGGTAAGAAATATCAAAAGCTGTTTGCTTTTAATAGCGAATATACAGCAGTACACATTTACTCCCTCACCCCAGGGCCAAATTAACACTTCTGCCGTTTGTCAAAATATAGTTGGCAGAGATCTTGATTGTCTTGACATTCCTCAGAACATGACCCTGGTCCACTATATGAATGATATATTATACTAGTTGGATTTGGTGACTAGAAAGTGGCAAGTATTAGAGATACCCTGATAAGAAAGGTGGCACCCTTAACAGTCTGTGTGGAAATCTTAGCTAGATCACCCAGTTAATTGGATATAATTTCGACTTCCACATTATTATAGGTGACAGTATTGCTCAACTTCCTGCTGTGTTATAACAAAAGTCCCCATTCCTCAAGTTTCCAATAACATCCTCCTCACTTATTTTAAGTCTTTACTGGCAGTCACTTTTAGGGCCTTCAGTCTGCTTCAAGCAGCCTCTCAAAGTACCTTTGGCTTTTACCAACACACTCATCATCGTCCTTCCAGCTGCTGGCCCCTGCACACTTTCAATATGCCATTCCCATGTTTTAGATTTTTGGGTATGGCAACATACCTATTCCAGCCACCATAATCTGTATCAGTTATCTATTGCTGCATAAAATATTACCTCAAAATTTAGCAGCTTATAACCAATAAATATTCATTATCCCATAGTTGCTTTGCATCAGAAATTCAGGTACAGTTTAGCCAGGTGGTTCTGACTCAGGGTCTATCATGAGTTTATGGTCAAAATATTGGCCAGACCTGCAGTCCTCTTAAGAATTAACTGGTGCCAAAAGATCTGCTTCCAAGAAGATCATGGGTCACTCACATGGTTGCTGGCAGGAGGTCTCATTTCCTTTTCAAAACACTGCTTGAGTATTTCCATGACATCATAGATGGCTTCCCCCAGACTGAATGAACCAAGAGAGGGCAAGTCAGAAGCCACATATCTTTCATAATCTAAACTTGTAAGTTATACACAAATATTTTGGCAATATCTCAGTGGTTACACAGGTCATCTCCATGCAATATCAGAGAGCACTATAAAAAGGCATGAACAGCAGAAAGCAGGGACCATTGGAATCATCTTGGAGACTGGCTACATACCACAGCCTCTCTGCATCCTGACAGCATCATACACGGCACTTGGAAATATTGCCACAGTCTATTTATTGGTTGAAGCAAGCTGCTCAGTCACTGAGATCATAGTGGCCCAGAAGATTTGATGTCATAAGATATATTTCAGATAGATAAAATGGCTATGAGGAGTCTCTGGCTACCCCTAATAGAAAAGTGGCAGCACAGACACTTAGGATTTGGGAGTAAGGCCATACTTTTTGCAAAAGAGAATTACTCACATCTAGGAGAAGAAAAGAAAAGCATGATACACACACACACACACACACACACACACACGCCACAAAATAGATCCTGACAAGCTATTGGGTCCTAGTAGATATTGCATGTTGGACACTAACTTTTTGGCTGGAGTTGTCTATTCTAAGCTAGATATAATGAAGCCCACCAAATAAAGTATTTGGTAAGACATAGCTAAAATCCAATGTACAACAGAAACGGAGCATTGGGGATCAGGCCCACACAGAACAACAACAAAAAAAGTAAATTACATAAACACATTGCCCAGACTCCCATGGCACCTACTTCTTTTACAGAGAGGACCTTCCCTTGACTCATGGCTCATAAGGGATTTCTTAATACCAGCTAAAAAAATAAAAACTTCAGGCTTAATAGGCTTAGCATAATATTTTGGCGCTACTTGCAAATGGACAGCTGCAACACAGCAGCCCCACTTGTTATGGCTCTAAAGGATAATGGTGGAGGGGAATCCTCCCACGGGACAGAGCTGTGAGCTTATATTTAGTTTTTCACTGTTTACCAAGGGACAAGTAGCCTAAAATACAGACTTACATGGACCTCTAAGCAATGGCAAATGGCTTATCTAGTTGATTAGAAATACAGAAGTCTAGATAAATTGCATATGAGTGTTCAATGAAAGTGGATCCAAAGGGCAGATCTTTGTGGACTGTGTTAATGCCCATCAGGCAGCATCTGCATTAGAGGCAGAATTGAGTATCTAGGTAGGGAAGAAATTTTGACCTGTGGATATCAGCTAACCTCTTGCTTCAGATTGGCCATTGTATCAGGGATGGGTGCTATGTATGGACGCAGTAGTTAGTATAAGCTTCTTCTCACCGAGGCTGGTCAAACTACTACAATTGCTAAGGACCAACCTGTAAGAAGCAGTCAGCCAATATCACACACTTCCTAACACAAATAGAACAGCAATTCATTCTTAGCAAAATTGACACTTACCTGCATATGCATTTGTCTTCTATGGCTACAGTGCCTTCTCCAGCATCATAATCAGAGGACTTGCAGATGCCTGGTTTCTTGGTCTTGTATTTTATGTATGAATAATATTGCTTTATTCAAAAGAATATATCTTATAGTAAAGGGACATGACAAGCAGCAATGACAATGAAATCCACTGGACTTTCTACATACTCATTACCCAAAAGCAGCTCTTCTAATTTGAGTAGTAGTATTGCCTATTAGAGGCTTAAGTCGAAAAATAACAGATTGCATGATTGGAGAAATGTTTTCCAGGATGAGCCAAGCCAGTAAGCAAAATATGGTGCTGTGCCATAAGAGCCAAGACATACGGGTTAAAACTCTCAGGCGAAGTAGGATTGGCCCTCTCTCCATCGTTCCCCTGAGTCACTTCAGGAATTTGTGCTGTCCATACCTACAATCTTAAACTCTGCTGAATTGGAGGATGTAGTTCTAGAGGGAAAAACCTATACTTGCAGACATTGAACTAGCCATAATATTGAGGGAGAGAGTCTGTGATTCATTGGATTTAATGGTAGAATGGTAGAATAAGAAAATCTTAGTGGTGCAAGGGATAAATTATATCAGGAACCGCCTATGTGCTACTTCAAGCAATTTTATGCAGTGAGGAACAGGAGTCAAAGAAGAAATGTTTAATCATTCTATTCTCTGGACTGACATTTCTGAGACGCATTTCATAAATCTCCTCAGAAGGTCCCACAAAGTCATAACCAGGCACCTATAGCAGTGGACAATTTTATTACATATGCTTGCACTGGCTTTCCCTTGATTTCTCCTTCTCTTATTCTTTTGTGCCTTAGCCCTGCTCCATGGAATTACTTCTAAAATAAACTATTGCATATAAACCTTTGTCTCAAGTTCTACTTTTGGGGTAATCCAGGACAACATAGCATGCTTTTAAATTTATTAAGATGTCACTTACTATTTTTTATCAAAGTTCCCTGAGATAGAGTGAAAATTGTGATAGGACTCCTTTACCTCCAATATCTTGTTTATTTGACTCCCTTAGCATCAAGTCGGACTGTTGAATATGTATTCTCCAAAGGTAGCTCACTTTTGGACAATTGTAATGGAAGATCGGTAGCCTGAAATGGGTAAAAAGTTTTGTCCATTTCACATTTTTGAGTGAAATGTTATGCAGTTCTTAGTGCTATTCTTTGACACCAATTTTAAGACAACCTATTTTAAACACTCACAAACATATGCATTTACTAGATTTGCTAGTTGCTACCTTCAATCCATTCTCTAAAGCAGCCTCTGAAGACTTGTCATGTCTTCAAATCCATTGAGATTATATGTTTGTTATGATCAACAATTTCTATTCTTATTTCATAAATACTCTGCTGCCAATCACATTTATACTGAAATCCTATATAACTCTCAAGTTTGCTTTCTGTTTTTTGGTTGTAGTAATTATTTGGGAAGTGGGGTAAGGAGGAAGTTTATGTTGTTTTGTAGATTGGCAGTGCAACTGTTCAAATAGATCTTTTTAAAATTTTAATAGATATTGAGGCTATTAGTACCACATTTTGTTATTTTGAAATCAAGATTCTAACACTCTCAAATTCTTCTGAGTTTATGAGCTTGAAAGGGAAACATTGATTTAGGAATCTGTTAACTTGAAGAAGAATTTTCTCTAAGAAATTGTTTTTGCATCCCCTTATTTGCATGAGACTTTACTCAAAAATTGGGAACTTTTCATTATAGCACCATAAACTCTCTAACTGAATTGCTCAAATACAGTTTATATAACTACTTTTTTGGGGGTGTTTAACTGCATCCAAAGAAACCACAGAAATATTTGAGTGGTTGATGGCTTTATATTTTCTTCAGATTTACAGAGATTGAACTACTGGACAGAGTAACAAAATTAATCTTGTTTATTTTTTATATCTACTGCTTGATGTAAAGATCAAATGAGATCATATAGGTGAAAACACACTGTACTATATAAATATGAAATAAAACATAGCAATAAAATACAATATAGCAATGTAATCTAGGGATGTGGTATTTAATACACCTCTTATTGACATGTTTTGAGGCTGTTTGAAAGGTACCTTTAAATCATAAGTATGTGCATTCCTGGTAAAATTGTCTAACTGTGTAGAAAAAATAGTCAGAAGTTTGCCTTATAACAAACTTGTAATAAACTTCTGATGCATTTAACGTATTTAAATAAAATAAATCTATAAGAAGATTAAACTTTTAATACATGTGTACTTATTAATCTCTGTATTTAAAAATATATTTCAGCCTTAAAACTCAATGAAAGAAATATACTATTGTGTTAGTGAAAGTCTGCATATCAAAAACAGAAAATATACACAAAATAACACAAAACACTGATGGGAAATACATTTTAATGGTCAGAGAAAATGTTAGTATCTCAAATAAATATATTGAGAAAAAACATCCATGAGAATGCTGGAAAATATAGAAACCAATTAAATAAATAATTTACAGGAGAGGAAATTATTATGTTAAAAGTCATATGAAATGAAGATTTAACTAAAATAACAGTGGATTTGGGCATATTCATCAAATTAACAAAAGAAAATATTATAATAACCAATGCTGATCAAGGTGTAGTGATAGAATGTAGATTTCTACATGTTTCTTTGAAAAATCAGTTGGGCAACATGTATTTTAAAACCTTAAAATTGTCAAATGCTTTGACTCAGGCTTTCACTTTAGTGGAATGTAACCTAAGGAAGTTGTCACTGATACATGAAGACTTTAAAATACTGTCACATGAAAATGTGAATCTTTTTGTGTAAAAGAAAGGCAATTCACAACTTTATCACAAACATTCCTCATACTATTGGTACTTAGCTTATGGGTCAGGTAGTGTTATGAGAGGATATCGTATTTTTAAAATGAGGAAACCAGAACGCAAAGAGGTTAAGTAATTCTAAAGGAATATTTAGTATAATAGATCCTAAAAATAGATTATTGTGTTTAGCATTGTAAAATCAGCTATACTAGTCACTGATTCCTCATTCATTTTCTCATCAGATTTAAACAGCCTGTTCTAATTTTGTACATGTAATTTGACATTCTTATATAATTTCTTATTAAAGTTTAATTACTCATTGAAGGTGAAAGCTCAGCTTGACATCTACAGTGATCTCTCCTTATCCACCAAACTGATTTGTCATTTGAGAGTTATGTTTTAAATTAAAATTAAATTAAAACTCAAGTCAAAGAAGCTACCAACTCTCCTCTTATTTTTCCTTTGAAAGAAATTTAAATCTAGTTTAGATGAAAAACATTCAAAATTTATTTTTGTATATTCAAAAATCTATACAAAGGGATCTACCAGGCAGAGCATATATTTATAATTAAATCAATTCAATTAGTATAATTTTGAATGGGACAGTATTCTAGGCATTCAGATACCAGTCTATGGGACTATTTTAAGACAGACATTTAAGATCACATGTTTGCTTCTACCTATGGCAATAAAATCCTTTGAAATGACCAAACGAGTATAAAATAAGCAAAAAGATGTTTCGATGCTGAAAAACAGGGAAGGATATTGTGAATTCTTCATAAGCTTTGATGTATTTCTGGAAACCACAATACACAAAAGAATGAAGGTAAAGGAATTAAGGTTTTTTTTTTTTTTTAGTCAAAGGATGAACCCTCCAAGAAAATAAGCACACAGGATTTCTCCAATAGGAGCTCAGACTTGGAGGAACAGCAATCTGCAAATATTAGAGGCTGAGAGAAATGTGCTCAGGAATTGCTGGTGGAAGGCCAAACTGGTACATTTTGGTGGGCACTTTTGCAATACTACATGTATCAAAAGCTTGAAAGTGTGCAAAAGCCTTTCACCAAATTATCTGACTGATGTATAGCAATGGAGGTTCATTATAGCATTCTTTATAATATTGGAAATAATCAGGAAAGACCTAAACATCCAGCGATAGAACATCAGTTAGAAAAATCATGGTGAATCGATAGAACAAAGCACTACGCAAACATAGTATAGATCTAAATGTGAAAATATGAAGAACAAAGGAGATTAAATAACAGTATAGAAGGTTCAATCTGTGTGTGTGTGTGTGTGTGCGCGCGTGCGTGTGGTGTATCTGTTGAAATGGAATTATAGCACATTATGAAGTAAAAAAGCAAATTATAGAACAATTAATTGGTAGCACAATCCAAAATTTCGTTTTAAATAAATTTATATTTTAATTGCCTAGTAGAAGGACAGCAAAATACGATGACTAGGATTAGTTATCTTTAGTTTATGGAATTTATAAGGAATTTTTCTTTCCTATTATTTGACAGTAATTTCTAATCTTTTTACAGAGATTTGGTTGGGTAAAAACAAATAGAAATTTTGTTTTAATTTTGTTAATTGAAAATTTTAAAATAAGATGTTCTGTAGCATTCAAGAGACAGAATTTAGTATATTACTAAGCTGTTTATGTACTCCTTGATCTTAGTAAAGTAGGACATGCTGTTCCATAACCAAATCCAGAAGGGGAAAACACACTATCTCATGTGAAGGATGCAAACATATTTAGTCAAACAAGAAACTGGCTCATTTGAGAGTTTTATAGCAAACAAGCACAAAAAGTAGTTCTCATAATTTCTCATGCTCCTTTTATGGTGTTTATCTTTTATAAGGCTCTTTGGAACAGTTGCTGGCCACCTGTCAATAATGTGGCCTTTTATAGACTCAACCTTTTATTGTTCTCATGCCCTTGACATATAAAAAGTAGTCTTAGAGAAGTCAATGTTGAATATGGTGGGGAAAGAGTAATTTTAAATTTAGACGGCTGTCTTTTGTAGACTGAAATAAAGAGACAGTTTTGAACGATATCAAGAGGATAGGCACATTATAAAATCCTCTTTAGCAGGAATAAAAATAAATTCATTATTTTATCAACATTTTGTTAAAGTTAGTGCAGAATTATACTTAAAGCACTAGCCTAAGGAAAACTAAGCCAAGTAGCATTCATTTAAAGTTTTTATTGCAATTTTGCATAATTTTACATTGATTCCAAGTGAAAATATTTGTATTGTGAGTCTATCAATTACACACAAGTTTTGGGCATATAAAACAGTTGCTTTAATTTCCTTTTAGTGAAATAAGACATCCAGTGTTTCTTTCTGGATTTACATAAAATCTGTCAAGCTAAGTGTTCTGCACATGTTTATTGACCCACATTGTAGAAGTGCTTTGTATGATACTGAGTAAACACCATCCTACAAATCTGTATGCAGGAATACATTTTCATTCACAGGGGGATATTATCCATAGCCTTAAATGGAAAGCTGCCTGTCCTTTATTTTGCTCAATCAGATTCCAAATTCCTTCTAAATAATAATGAACAAAACAATAAAAGAAGCAATTTTTGAACCAATGATAATTCTTACTGTTCTTTTCAAAAACCAAACACCACTCCACCAGATTTTCTGCTACCCCTACCTCCCACTCTTAGTAATGTAGGATGCAGAGCTGAATTTTAACATTTACACAGAAACATTTGCTGCACACTGTCACATTGTAATTGGTAGAGGATTTCATATTTTCCTTGATAGAGTTTGCATATTGTGTTTTCAAATTGTACTTTAAAACATTTGCACCCCTTGAAACATGGTAGTTAATTGGGTTAACAATTCTCAGTTTTCAAGAGGATTTTTAGATGTGGTCCCTTTTCTATTGAATGTGGTCCTTTTTCTATTCAATTTGGTCTCTTTTCAATGTGTACTTGTGTCAAGACTGCTTGGAGGGAAGAAGTAGACAGCCCTTCATCGTGTGTACTGTGGGGAAGATCTGATCTTTCAAAGGGTTGGTTAATTGGACACACATGCGATACCCAAGGTGCAATGAAAAGATAAGGGCAGTTAAAGCCTACAAGGTGGACGATGGGTTTATTTATTTTATTATATTATATTTTATTTTATTTTATTTTAGGTTCAATCATGACTATACTTCCACCTCTGCTTTCACTGGTGCCTTCATGCATTTTATTGTTTTCCTTTAGCCTCAGTAGATCTTTTTATATATCTCCATGAAGTTTTCTCAGGATATGTTATCTGCTGGTTCTCAATGTAAATATACTTGGAATAAGATAAATCCCACAATGTTATCTGTGAGTAGCTGGTTAATAAAAATCTGTGGGAATATTATTGAAATGGGAATTGGAATATATTTATATTTATAACATATGCTTTTCTTAGTTATCTAAGCAAACTTTAGAAACTCTTGTGCCTTATCTATATATAATAGTATTCTTGAATTCAATCTCTTTATTCCCGCTGGCACTGACATCAAAAATATAATGCCTGGGATATTAAGATCTATAAACTAACTTCTCTCCTTTCTAAACAAAATTATTGAAGCAATTTATCCAAAAGTAAGCCATTGAAATTAAAAGGCATGTTCAAACCATGGAATGTAACAGGTTATTCCATTAAATTAGCAGAACTGCAAAGCTTTTACAAATATAATTAGCTAATTAAGCATATGTAAAAGGTATACACACACACGTATGTGATGTTCCTGGTATTCAATGAGGAACATCAAAGTAAGAACTATCTTACTTATATAATGAATTCTGAATTTGAAATAACACTTGTCAATATTTCTATATGTCAAATGGTAATTTTAAATTAAGTGATCAAAAAACTATTTTCACTGACTAACCACCCTCTGTAGTGGGATCAACATTGTGAAAAATCAATAAAGAACTAGGTGATTAGAAATGTTCTTGGTTGAGAAAATTTAGTTTCTCAAAACTAAAGAATGAAGATATACTCCTCAACCCCTTTAGGGAGTGCATTTTTATTTTTTATAAAGTGGGAAAAGAACATTTGATTCATGGTGTTATAAATAAGATGCCAGTATTATTAAACTTTTATATGGGCTGTTTTCTTTTATTTCTTAAGGCATTTGTACATCTTGAGTAGAAATAAAATATTATATTTTTATATGTAGCTGAAAATCATTGCAGAAATATATGCTTTTAACTAGCTCTGAAGACAAGAGAATATTCTAGTAAGAAATACTATAGTTGACACCCGTGATCATCTGAAATCTGCCTCCAAGACAATGCTAATTTCAGAAAAACATCGTGCATATTTAGTTATCCAAAATATATGTAATATTACTACAACAGATAACATGGAGAAATTAGAGGTTCTCAAGGTTACACTGCGGTTCTGATTGTAATTAAATATAGATTTGTATTTTTAAGTTATGTCACTAGTATCTGCTTGTGTTTTCAATAACTAGATAAAAATCAAAAATCTCTAGATAATCAATGATATACTGCAATGGCTTAAAGGAAAAGCACATTTTGTCTTTATCCACAATTAATTATGCAAATGGCATCTGTTGAATCATAAATTGATTGGAAGTATTTTCTTGATTTGGTTTCTGATTTTATTCATTCATTCAATAAATATTACTGAACTTGTTCTATGTGTACTGTCTAAAACTGTTGCAGGCGGCAGACAAGGGCCTGTCCTCAAGGGGCTATAGAGTCAGTCTAATGTGATAAACAGATATTAAATATTTGAAAAAATTACTGATTCTACTAACCGAAAGTGTGACTAACATTTAAACATTACGTGAGAAACATATATGGTACTCTGGAAGTGTGTAAAAAGGGAGCTCTCCATAATTTGATGTCAGTAAATGATGAATCATTTTCAAAGCAACCATCTTCTACTTTTATTTTAGAATGAACTTAGAAGTAAGCCAAGATTTTTTGCTAAAATTTGGTTTGTAAGAGTTTGATATCTTCACCAGTCCTTATCTTGTCTAAGGTAATTTTCAGACTTAAGAGTTGACTAGTGTAGCATAGTTCTGTTTCATAGTTGTTTTAGGGAAAAAAAGTTATTTTCAGTATGCGTGTTTTCCTTAGCAATAACATATAGACTTGAAGTCAATTCACATTTTGTGTACTCAGATTTCTATAATAAAACATTAATTTGTGTTAATTAGTAAATCACATCTATTTTATTTTATTTATTATTATTATTTTTTTTGAGACGGAGTCTCAATCTGTTGCCCAGGCTGGAGTGCAGTGGTGCCATCTCGGCTCACTGCAACCTCCACCTCCTGGGTTCACACCATTCTCCTGCCTCAGCCTCCCGAGTAGCTAGGACTACAGCGCCCGCCACCACGCTTGGCTAATTTTTTGTATTTTTAGTACAGACAGGGTTTCACTGTGTTAGTCAGGATGGTCTCGATCTCCTGACCTTGTGATCCGCCCGCCTCGGCCTCCCAAAGTGCTGGGATTACAGGCATGAGCCACAGCGCCCGGCCCAATCACAACTATTAATAATAGTGCTGCCTACCTAAAAATGTACAGTTATGTTTTTTAAGTGACACCCTTATAAGTTTGCTATAAAAAATCATTTGTTTACACTCTGAGGATAAAAGACTAGTAGCCTCAATCTGATTAGTCAGTCTAATTTCATAATTAATTTTAAAAACTGGAAAAAAATAATATATCAGGAAGTTCAACTAAATTACATCTGGGATTTAGAGTCTGATTTAGTATAAGACACTTATATTTTCAAATTCAGACTTAATGGCATATAGTTTACTCTTAATTTGAGAGTCTGATATAAATATGTCTTTATATGTTGTGTTCAGATGGAAAATAAGGACCACTGTTTTGTTCAAGCACAGTGGGGATGGGGAATAAATGCCAAGGATGTGTGGAATTAATTAGAAAATTTTATACATATTACTGGGTTCTCATTTTGAGAAGTTTCCTAGGTTCTGTGGTTCCCAAAGTGAGTATTTAGAAAAATCTTTAAGAAAGTATCACCAGATTTGTGAATATATATTTTTTCTTTGGCAAGTTAAAAATAAGATTAAAATATTATTAGGTGGATTGCATTTTGACAGATGCAACAAACCCACTGGCTTTCTCCCATAAAGTTTCAACATTCATACTTCAAGGAGACTGTTTCCCAGTCTCCTTGAGTATTTTATATCCCTTATAAGAATGTTACATCACTAATAAGCATGAGCATTTTACATCCCTTATAATTTTGTACATGCAAACTTCATAAAGGAATGATACGGGTATGCCAACTATGCAATATTTACTTTCATGCAATAATGATTAGTTAGCACAATATTTACAGCAAGTCTCTATTCTATTTACAACTCCATAATGCCATTTGTAAGGAAATTCTCAACAAACTTTAAACATCTTTCTCATTAAGCAAAATTAAATGTTTAGATTAAATATGATAGGCACATTCTTTATATTTCTTTATTCATATACTAGCAATTGTTATGTACAGAAGAAACTAACTGAGGCTAAAGCTCTAATGTCCAAGAGAAATCATACAACTAAAAGTTGGAACTGGAATCTAAAATCCAGAATGGTTTTGTTATTCATTAAATATTTGAACTCAGCAAATCACTTTCCCTTCTTGTTTCCTGTTTTTCTCATCCGTAGAGCGAATCCATTGACCTACTTTAGCAGGTTTCAAATTTCCACAGTAGAAACCTCTTGCAGACATAATCTTATGCATAATCCCCATGTGAATAAAACTAATAATACAAATAGAGTTTTTCTTATAAAAGCATCAATCAGGGAGGACGACAGTAGTGTAAGGGTGTGAGGGGCACTAGAGCCCACCCCACATGTTGGCCCTCACCTTCCCACACAACAGATGGAAAATGGCTTTAAGGCACATCAAACAATTTCTCAAATTCATGGAATACTTTTTGAAAATCATGTACTTACATGAACTTTAAGTTTCTTTATGATTCCAAAATAATACAATTCTCAATTTCGTAAATTGGGATCTGTCTATTAAAGTACTGAAAATCATATCATCTACCTTAGAAAAAAATAATATATGTGAATATAAAGTTTATTCTAAGAAGGATTTCACAGAAAAAAACCCATATTTCATATTAAAGCCACTGATTTAAGTATCACATCAAACAGCTCTGTAATACCAAATAGTTCATGTTTAAGAAATGAATAAATAAATAAGACCCCAAATAACCTCTCAATGATTAGAAAATTGCAAAAGTCTTTTAGTTACATTTAAATTCCCTTACCCAGCTCTATACTTCACTTGGGAAATGGGGGGGAAATTTGGTAAATTTAAAGGCAGAATGTGTGTAAATGAAGATTTTTGCTTCTTAGTTTTGATAACCAGAGAGTGAACACTTTAAGCTCTAGTGGCACACATGATATACAACTATTAGACCCTTGCAGTCATAGTCTATGAAAATAAAATATGTTGAAGAAGAGAGCAAGTTCCACAAAATAGTTAACTGTCCAGGAAGAGAAATGCCTGCAGGAGAAGTTCTTCACACGGGGCCATTTTCTTTGCCAGTTACTGAAATGGATTTGATGATTGTGAGGCCGGAGTAATGAGTTTTCACTGTGACTAATTTCTGATGTCCTTTATCAGCAAGGATTTCTAACTACCTAAAACAAAGGAAATGAACAAAACCAAACTTTTCGTAATCCCTAAAGGACCCAAAGTGAAATTGTCCCAGAAGTTACCTTATATAGACTCTGTGACACAGTTCCCCTTTTGCAAAAATACTTAGCGAGGATCATTACTTTCCAACAGTCGTGTCCAGAGACCTACTTTGTAACACCGCAGGGAAGTTAATGTACTAGGTCTTGAAAGGTCTTTCTGGAATGTGCAGTAACTTGTAGTTTTCTTCTAGTAGCACTGCTAATTTTTGTGTTATAATTTTTGTAGGTCCATGGGGCCGATGTATGGGAGATGAATGTGGTCCCGGAGGCATCCAAACGAGGGCTGTGTGGTGTGCTCATGTGGAGGGATGGACTACACTGCATACTAACTGTAAGCAGGCCGAGAGACCCAATAACCAGCAGAATTGTTTCAAAGTTTGCGATTGGCACAAAGAGTTGTACGACTGGAGACTGGGACCTTGGAATCAGTGTCAGCCCGTGATTTCAAAAAGCCTAGAGAAACCTCTTGAGTGCATTAAGGGGGAAGAAGGTATTCAGGTGAGGGAGATAGCGTGCATCCAGAAAGACAAAGACATTCCTGCGGAGGATATCATCTGTGAGTACTTTGAGCCCAAGCCTCTCCTGGAGCAGGCTTGCCTCATTCCTTGCCAGCAAGATTGCATCGTGTCTGAATTTTCTGCCTGGTCCGAATGCTCCAAGACCTGCGGCAGCGGGCTCCAGCACCGGACGCGTCATGTGGTGGCGCCCCCGCAGTTCGGAGGCTCTGGCTGTCCAAACCTGACGGAGTTCCAGGTGTGCCAATCCAGTCCATGCGAGGCCGAGGAGCTCAGGTACAGCCTGCATGTGGGGCCCTGGAGCACCTGCTCAATGCCCCACTCCCGACAAGTAAGACAAGCAAGGAGACGCGGGAAGAATAAAGAACGGGAAAAGGACCGCAGCAAAGGAGTAAAGGATCCAGAAGCCCGCGAGCTTATTAAGAAAAAGAGAAACAGAAACAGGCAGAACAGACAAGAGAACAAATATTGGGACATCCAGATTGGATATCAGACCAGAGAGGTTATGTGCATTAACAAGACGGGGAAAGCTGCTGATTTAAGGTAACATTTTAATTACTGTTAACTACACAGGCTTGTCTGTCAAGAATCATGAGTACCTAAGATATCCGGTACTATCTAATAACTTCTGGATTACGTAGGGGCACAACCTAGGATGAGCTACCCCCAAATTTAAGGCTTCTGAGCTTGTGTGAGTTTCTCGGTGTTGTTTCTATTGTGTCCACATTTAGGCCCTGTATTACTTGAGTTATTTTGATTTTCCTTTCAAAGTCTGGAGCATGAGCAATTCTTCATGAAAAGATACTGCTTCTTCTCTATGTGTAGACAGTGTCGTTTCCCTATAATAGAAAAAAAAATTGCTTAGGGGCTGAAATATTGGGATTTTAAATTCAGATACTTATTTTAGTGAGCTAATAGAAAAAGGCATAGTTGTAATCTCTCCAAGACAGCATTTTCAGAATTACCCTATAAACAAAATCTGCTCTAAACAACAACCCAGGGAGCTATACCTAAGAATAATTTTCTTGCACATTGTATATAATGGAATAACTCCCTCCAGAGAAGGAAACAGCAACCAGCCAAAAATAAGGTAAGTAGAGGGTATTGAATCATGAGTAGCCTCATTCAGGAAACATGTAACTAATTAGCTTCATTTTCTAGACAGAAATTATTTAACAAATTATCTTTGGGTACATAATGACTATATTATGAAAAACTATCTCATGTATGATTTACTTATTGTGAAAATAATTTTCATTGAGGATTATCTGAAAGACATGATGTTCTCTGGGTATTTTGAATTTTGCTCTTGGATAAACCAGACCATCTGGGAGTGGCTTATCTGGATATTTGCATAATTGCTTTTTCAGAAATATTTATGCAGTTATGATTTGGATTGAACTGAAAAAAATATAGTAACATCAGTAAGAATTGTATATCAGATTTACTGTAGAAATGATATTGAAAGTGTCATCAACTCTATCACACAGTCTATTCTCTTGATTAAAAAACATATAAGACAAATTTCCCTGAAGTTTCGACCTCTGCGCTTCTGGTGAACAGCTGGATTGTTTTTCTTATGGCCTCTGGAAATCTTGTAACAGACCACATTTGCATGTTAACTTCTTCTGTTAAGAACCTAAATAGGACTGTGTGGCATGCATGTTGTTTATTAACATATCTTTAGCTTTATTTAGCTTTATTTTTTTTCTCACCTGATTTTTTTTTCAATCTATTCTTGTCTACTGATTTTGCTATGCATAGATTTTGAAATCTGGTTTAAAGTGTTTTTGGAAAAGGATATAGTTTAATTAGATAAACAAAAATTGATTGGTCTGTCTAAGACAATAACTTTCTCTCATCATAGAGTTCTGGTTACTGTTTTTTGGAATTTTTGCTACTCTCTCCCCTCTTTGTATTGACACGATTGCATTTTATTTCAGCTGTACGGTAATTTGCCCTTTTTCCATTCTAGTTCTGGTCCTGTGGCCTTGAATGAAGGCTGTTGTTCTGCCTTCATTCTCCAGGTTTCCTACAACTCCTTAAATGTGTGTGTGTGTATGTGTGTGTGTGTGTGTGTACCTCTGATTCTGTATCATGTATATTTTCAACTCAATTCCTATTTTGTTCTTTTCTGACTATCCTTATTCTGGTGATTTTCTTATCTCTTTTCCTGAAGTATATTACAGTTATATTAGTTACTTGGCTGACATCAAATAATTGAATGAGTCTCCAAGACAAGTTGAGTTGTTTCCTGCTATCACTGGGTTAGCATGCTGTAGACATTTAATTTAACGTTGACTACTCAATTAAAAGTGTAATTAGGTTAGTAGCTACCATTGCATAGAGCCTAATATTCTCATCCAGTTGTTTGAATTAAACAAACATATTTAAAACTGCAGAGTTTATTTGTCAGGAACTTGTATCCCATTAGAAATAGCATATATAACTTCCAATAAATTGATAGTTGCATATATTTTCTGACTTATTACAGTATAGGTTAAACTTTATGTTAAATATATTGGCTGTGAATATTTCTATTATATATGAATTATCATGTGTGATCAAGAAAGTCCTAGAGAAGAAGAGATAAAAATCAGATATTTTGACCTACGTTTTGCTCAGATATTATACCATGATATCAGTGAAGCCAATAAAGTGAAGAGTGAATCAATGACATCACCAAAGCACAGGGCCACAAATCAAGAACTTAGTGATCAAATTTAAAATGTTTTAGCTTCTATTAAATCCAGAAACAATTTTACCATGTAGGAGAATAAAAATAATTTAATATGGCTAAAAATTACATTATAGTAACTGCATAAGTTTAACTAAATAAAACCAAGAATCTGGGGAGGCAGATCATAGACAAAAATAATTTTAGAATTACTGCTCAAATGTTTAAGTTAACAATGATGGATCTGCCCTGCTTTCCACTTTCCAATAGACCAAAATCAATAAGAATGAAAAACACAAATGAAACTCTATTCTGACAGCAGGAAACGGTTACAGTCCCAAACCACAGTTGATACAGAAATTTGGCTAATGTGGTAAAATTAGACACAACTTAGGGAGGACACTTAGAAGGGCATTATGTGTTACAGCTTTCATGAACACTCAGAATCTCTAAGAGTAGCCTGAACTTTCTGAGGGGACAAGCCAATGACACTTCCTTAGCATGACATGGTCTGTGTCAATGAAAAGGGCTGCTGAAGCATACTTGAGTTCTGCTTGAAATCAGAATAGCATAATAGGCAGGAAGCCCACTATGCTATTATTGCCAACAAAAGACTATCAGTTTGACAGACTGAGGGATTAAAGTTTTGACAACTAGTGGAAGAGAATTCTAAATCACTACACATACACTAGGACACAGGAAGCTTCCCTGTAAACCAGTGACTTCCAGCCAGGCTGGGTGAAATCTTAGCAGGACCAAGAGATGGTATGAAAGTATACCAGGTGTTTCTCCAAGAAACCAAAGATGTTAAAGGAAATATGGTTTTCTGAATCCAAAACAGAAAGAATTTAAAAACAGAATGAGTTTAAAAGTGATCTGTTAGAGCTCAAAAAAGAAATGGAGGAGATTTATAAAATAAGAACAGAAATGCAATTCACATTAGAAGCAATAAAAAATGGAAAAATATTTGGTGGTGAAAAGAGTCAATGACATAGAGAACAGTTTGAGAACATCAAATAAACTAATTTTTAAAAGAGATAATGGATATGCAAACAAAGGACATTACTATATGAAACGCTGATGTTCCTGAAGATAGAACCAGAAAAATTAAAACAGAAAACACAACAAAATACAAGGATAAGACTTTCCTGAAATTAAAAGAAGACCTTGATTCACACATCGAAATTGTACAAGACTAATATTCTGCAAGAAGAAGTTGAAATAATGACCTAATGGGAGAACTAATATAGATCAACTTTTATGGAGAGAGATAGGTGAAGAGACATCAGACTGAAAGCTGGGACGGTGCTCAACTGTGAAACATTAGAAGCATTCTCTTTAAAGTAAAAAATAAGACAGGACAGCAGATTATCTGTAATGATAAGACCTTTTCATTCTAAGTACCAGTCAATGTACCTGAAAAGAGAAGGAAATGAAAATTAGAAAGCAAGTGGTAAAAATAAGACCTTTTCCCTCAGATGTTACGATAATTCTGGAATACTCCAGCTAATCAATTGAAAATATAAACAATAAAAAAATCAATAAGGTTGATGTACACAAATATAATATCCAAAAATCAATATATTCCCTAGATGCTTAAAAAATTAAATATTATAATGGGGAAAAAGATTAAAATATCTCATTTGCAAAAGGAAAACTTAAAACAAATATGTAAATATGCTTAACTATAAAAGTTCTGCACTTAACACTAGACTTGGAAAAATAGAAAAGGATGTAGTTGTGCTTGTCTAGAATATTTAGTAAATATACCAACTGTACATTGTTACTGTGAAATTTATAAGGGAAAAATAGATGTATTAGACAGGAAAATACTGAAAAATAAAGAGAGAGGAAAGGCTAACTTCACAAGATAATTAAGTGCATTATACTCTATGGTAATAACGATAACAAGTAATATAATAAATTATATTTATACAAACAGATTAGGCACAGCCACTCATCATTTACAGAAATTTTATATCAATGTAAGGAACTGTTTACCAATTAAGTTCCCAGATCCCAGCCAAGGGCAAACCCTCCAAGCAGGCCTTTTTAAGGATAGAAGTCTCAGCCTGCAGTACTAACTCTTATGAGTGTTAAATAAAATTTACAGGAGGCCATTGGTCAGGATTGAGCCTCCTCCTCCTGCACCAGGCCCAACAGACCAAACCAAAATGGTGTTGCTTATCTAAAAGTTCCAGTCACCAAACTGAAAATAAGTTCTTTATCTGCCTTCTGAGAAATCAGGGGAGAGAGAGGTAATAGCCAAATCCCCAAACAGGCCAATCCTAGCAGACACGATAAGGATTTTTTGTTTGTTTTTGTGTTTGTTTTTTTTTCTGCTGTAACCTTTACAGAAAAGTAACTTTGAAATGACCAATCCACGTTTTGTTTTCTGTTTTGCTTTCCTCAGCCCTTTACTATCTATAAAATCAACCTCCTCTGCTCAGCTCATGGGAATATTTATTCCAACTTGTGGAATGAAGTGTTGCCAAATTCCAGAATTGCAGATAAAACCTATTAACATATTTAAATTTGTTATGATTTTTTTCGTTTGACATAGACAAAATCATGCAGTTATTACCACATAAGGTATGTGATTTGGAATTAAACATGAGGAAGTAAAGGCAATTTTACTCCACTCCCCTGCCTTGAAATCACCCAGTAACCCCAATCAAGGAAATAATCTACAGTTTAAAAACAAAAAAAGGAAAATGGAAAACTGAAAAAACGAAGTGTCTATATGATAAATCTGTGCCTCAGAGACGGAGGAAGCTAGAACCTGAAGCATGAAAGAGACTCCTCTAAAGCACCCAGTGGCACAATCCATAAAGGTTTATCCAAGGCTCTTCTTATTGGATTATCCCAATCTGGTGGGGGGAAGGGCAAGACACAGGGAATCTGGGGAAGGTCCCTTAAGAGCCAGTTCCCCACCCCAGAATCACAGAAGTGTAGCTGTTGGGGAAATTAAGCAGAAATGTTATTTTCTGGTCTTCTGGCTGAGGTAAGCTGTCAAAGGTAGAATGGAGGAGGAGTAGGGAGAGGAGGCAGCCATCTCCAGACTGCAACAAGCATAGCCTGTGATTGCCATTGCATCCTCACCTCTGGAATGCTCTACCTGATGCAGCTCACCTTCTCCTCAAATGAAGAACCAAATCTGCGTATTGAAGAGCAAGGAACAAGGATGAAATCTGCTCTAAGTAATACTAGAAACATTTAATGGATGTAGTGCCTACTTTTGAAAATATCTTCCATTTGAACCTATCTCGTTTTGTCGAATTGTCTGACAAGGGCAATTAATGGTAATTATAATTCCAGGAGAAGCATTTCCAAAAAGTGTGGGAAATTCAGCCCAGTGAATTCCTGAGGGAATAAGACAGATTTAGGATTTTAAACAGATTTCTGTTGGCTAAGCCAAGAAAAGTAGAACTATCCAGCTTCTAGATAACTCCATAAAGCAGATACTTCAGGCACAAATACATGGGATAAACATAACTGGGTAAAACATGAAGGGGTGAATATTATAATAACCTCTAGAAATATTAACATCTTGGAGTATTTTTATCTCATTTCTGTTACCAAATTCATTTTTCATTTTAAGTCTTTATATAAATTCAGCCTTAGCATTTCAGAGAGTAATGAATAATACTTCTTAAAGTGGATTTCTGATTTTTGTTTTCCAGGCCCAGACTTTCTGGCATCCCCTCTCATCTTCAAATTTAAAACTGTTGAGCAGAAAATTGTATTTTTTCTCAACACAGCTTATCTCTTTTTGCCTGGTTCTTATTTTACCTTAGAATACTAGTTGTTAATTACTCCAAACTTCTGTTTTAGGATTGCTTTCCAGAATGGTGATATCAAACTTGAATATAAAGCATTTGCTTTATAACAGTTGTGAAGCTGGCTGAATCAACAAGAATGGAATTTCAGTAATGGATAATTGGGATAAATAAATAATAAATAAGAATAGTAAACCTATGCATTCATGGCTACAGAGTATTGAACAAGTCATTTACACTTTCTGGGACCCAGCTTTCTCATCTGTAAACCATACGTGTTCTGGGATAGGCAATGATGAGGTAGAGAGGGAGAGAGCCTAAAAATAAATCTCTAAAAGCCTTTCAACTTTTGTGATTCTAATGAACCCCAAACAAACACCATACCTAAAATTGCAGACATAAAATCCTATATATCTTTCTTGGCAGAGAGTTAATTAATTTTCAACATGGCCTACAGATCAGTTCATACTGAAACATCAGGGTGAATTTCTATGCAGTGCCTATAGACTAAGGCAGCTCTCCGCAGTCTTGGGAGTAACTGCAAGGTTATCACTCAGTTGATGAGCTATATGGTTCCTGAGGGCCCATCCCCACGCTACGACTTTGTGAATCAGTAAAATTGCAAATCTAATCCTAACCTTACCAAAGAGAAAGGAGAAAATTGCCCACTATTTAAAGTAACACTCCTTTTAGGTTGTTCAGAATCCATTTATAAAATTACTACTTCTAAATAGCAGGCTTTTAGATCTTAAAACTTTCTGTTATATCCAAAGCGTCGAGTTGCCCGCCAGATACTCATCATCACGTCTCGCAAGCTTGCCTCGGCTGCCTGTTGGCCACACCTGACTAAACAGAGTCAGTATGCCCATATTCTTTGGTAGATGGTAGATGGCTAAAAAGGACATTTTAGTTTTCTCAAAATGTCGAGCTGACCAGGCAGTATATTATGTTTGACCTTAGAGGTCCACTATCACCTCTTCCCCATCCTGCTCGTGTGTCTGGATGCTGACCTCTGAGCAGTGTATTCATAGGCTTCTGAGCCTTCTTTCTCATTGGATTCTACCAATGGGAGAAAGCAGCAGTATATCAGATGGTGGGAAGAGAGACTATTCCTGTCTGTTCCTGGCTGAATTTCTCTAGCAAAGGCTCCTGCCTGTATCCAGCAGTCCTCTCCCCAGCTCTAGGTCTACCTCAGATTCTAGTAAAATCCTTTCCCTTGATTCCTTTATCGCCATAGGGTAATAATCTTCCTATAGTTAATAGCTGCAAGATGCTATACCACTCCTCGATGCCTACAATTTTGTTAATAATCCTTTTACGAACTTTTCTGAATTAACCCCTGTGAGTTTACATTGTTTTCTGCTGGCCCTGATTGAGAAATAATAGCTATGTTAAAGTACGGTGTCAGAACCAGAGAACTGCTTCTATGTCATTGTTAGTTTACTCATTAACTAATTAATTCACTATGCATTTATTTACTTATTTACCTTTTCATTCAACAAAACTAAAGGCATCAAGACATTCTGGGCACTAGAATATTCAGACAAAAAGACAAAACAAAGATCATAATCTCAAGGATCTACATTTTATTATAGAAATAATGTCACAAAAGAAACAATAAAATATTAGAGGTGCTATGTTTTGTCTACAGAGAGAGAGAGAGAAAGTGCGTGCAGATAACAACAGAGATAATGAGTTCTTCCTGGAAGGAGGTTGGCAGGATCAAGAATGGCCTCCTAGAGAAAATGCTGCTAGCGTTAAGGATTAGAAGGCATGCACCAGGTCTAGGATGGAGATGGCCAAAGAATATGGGAACAAAAAGAGCAAAGGCACTGAGAATTGCAGCAGTAATTGTTCCGTGTGGAAAAATACTGTTTCTGTAGGTTGTTTCACCTCTGGAGGTTAGATTACAAAGGGAAGAGGAACTAGCCTAGAAGAGAAATGGAGAAAACCTATAAAGGTCTTGGAAACCTATAAAGATCTTGGAGGTCAAGTTTAAATGTTTAGACTTTATATCCTGCAGGTCTAAACATTTCCACATTTATTAGTAACAGGGTTTTTAACACGCCCCAATGTATGTTTATTTATTTATAAGTTATATACATTTGCTATTATAAAAGTATATTGCATACATTTTAAAATCACAATAATTAAAACTTTAACATAAATAAATAAGGAAATAATATTTTGCCAATCACTATGGCTTTATGTTATCTTTAGCTAGGATTGTAAGGCAAATTATTCATGAGGAGGTGCATTATTAATGATAGTGATTTTAGCTTATTTTATATACAGTATTTTATTTTTTATATAAAAAATAAACTATCTTTTTCCAATCAGTTAAAGGGGAGCGCATACATTTTCTTACTCCTACCAAAGGTATTTATATTTATTTCAAAATGATAGAGCAACTAGGCAGTCAGAACATATTCTTCACTAAACCAGCACTGAGACCCAAGACAGCTGGTCTGACCAAAATTATAATTCAAAAATAACTTGACTTCTATTTTGTTAAATTCCCATTGAACATCCCTCATTAACTATGACATCTTTATCTTCAAACTTATGCTTCAGTTTATGTACATCTCCCATTCTGATCTGTTCACCTGTTATTATCAAAATTTGTTTCTATTTACTTCTGCTCTTTTCCTCAACTTAATTTCATTCCTTAAAAAAGTACTTTGCATTTATATTATGTCAGGTCCAAGATTTCATGAAAAATTGTTAAATATTGAAGGTTTTCTCAGGAAATGTGTGTTATATTATGAAAGGCTATATACCAACACATATATATTTATATGTATACATTTTGTATGTATATATTTATATGTAGGTATATTATGTAAGGCTATATACCAACACATATATATTTATATGTATGAATTTATAATCTATGTAATAACAATAGGTGAATGACTAGACAAACTTTCTTTTTTTAAGTAAATATGATTTTTATTTAATTTTTTTTATTTTACTTTAAGTTCTGGGTTACATGTGCAGAGCATGCAGGTTTGTTACACAGGTTTACATGTGCCATGGTGGTTTGCTGCACCTATCAACCCATCTAAGAAAGATGCAACGTTAACCTTAATCGCTTACATTAGGCTAAGACAATGCCTAGAACATAATCAGCTCCCAGTAAATGTTTGTTACAGTATTAAAATTTAAGAAAATCTTTTAGTTTTAAAACCTGAGTCTTTTAGTAACTAACAGGAATTCAACTGAAGCCAATGAGAAAATGGAACCTTCTAAGGTCATGACAAAAAATAACCAGAACATGTAAAAGAATATCCTCAAAAGATATGTTTTATTCAATTAAGATAATATACATTTATACTGATTCCATTTAGGATACAACATTGAGAATATTATTTCAATATTATTGTTCCTGGTTAACACTAAATAATTGCTGTTGTTATATTTTCTTTATAAATGAGAAAATATACCATTATTAATATCATAAATGTATTCCAATAGTCTCTGAGAATTTTTAAATTTAGTGTCATCTTTTGTCCATTTATAAGTGTCCTTACTTATATCAGTCACTCCTGTTTTTATATCTTCAAGCCACAAAGCTCATCACTATCAATTAGTTGGTGTCAGTGATGGCAAATTAAGGGCTAAAATTGTCAATGTCTACCTGTAAACTTCTAACAAATTCAAAAATATTAAAGTGACCACCAGGG
This sequence comes from Homo sapiens, assembly GCF_000001405.40. Classification (NCBI taxonomy): domain Eukaryota; kingdom Metazoa; phylum Chordata; class Mammalia; order Primates; family Hominidae; genus Homo; species Homo sapiens. The sequence goes on along the minus strand of NC_000007.14, from coordinate 11,626,530 downwards.
TCACTTCTTACATCCCAGCGTATGATTATCTCATCATGGACAGGATGTCTTCACCTCTCCTTTTACTTTTCAGGAGTATTTTTAAAATCACATTATTGGGGTATGCTTGATATATGAAAAGTTGTACATATTAAAGGCATACAACTCAAGGAATTTGGGAATATGACCTTGATGAAAATGATCAAGGTCATAAACATATTCATCACCTGCAAAGATTTCTTTCTGCTCCTTTTATTATTATTGCATAATTACTATTATTTTTATTATTTTGTGTTGTAAGAACACCTAACATAAGACCTACCGTCTTAGGAAAATTGAGGTAGACAATGCACTGTTGGTTATTTTTGTTTTAAGTGAGGAAAATTAAATAAAAAGAGGGTCCTAGGTAGTATTTTAAACCTTTGATGGATTTGGGGAAGGGACTAAACTTAAGTCAGATAATATATGTCACTGCCTAATCATCCTCCACATGAACTTGAAATAAGGTTTATATCACTTTCATCACTTTTCCTGGGAGTTTTAGTAATATCTCCCATTTAGTTGTTCTATTTAGCTCTCTTGCTTGAGACATTGTGAGAGCAAGTTTCCTATGGGAGCCTTGCTGCTGATCGGGGCAGTGACCTTGCATTTCCTTGGCAGCAACTGTGATCTTACCCATTGTTTTCATTTATTTGCTGGAATTCTACTGGCTTGATGTGGGTAGTATTGAGTTTCGCTCTGACTCAAACAAGAATAGTTTTAAATAGGAGGAAATACTTTCAAAAGAAAATACAAATTCCCATAAAAGAGGGAATTTAATAAATCATTAATGCATTGTTTGTTTGTATAACCTAATTAAGAATATGCTCACTCTTTTAGAGTCTGCTAACACATTATATTAGTAATTCCATGTGTTTTATCTTATTTTCTTCTTTTTAGGCCTCTACTCACACTTTCACCTTGCTATGTTCTTTATTTTTTTTAAAATCTCATATCATTGTATTATAAAGGGATTATCTAGCTTTTTCCCAAAAGTTTCATTGAGAGATGCTTTCTTCTCTACTTAGTACAAATATGTGGTCACTGATATTAGATAAAAGATGTGATGATGAAAAATTTGTTTGAGTAGTATTTACCAGTATAGTAATTGAATTGTAAGTGGACAAAATACTGCTGTGCTTAATACAAGAAGCCATTGTACAGTAAACATCTTGGAATATTGACACAAGCACTTACAATGTAACATACTGGAATAAATGAAGCAAGTTTTTGAAAAATAAAAATTAATTATGACTAAGGTTGAGACTATGCAACAATAACAACAACAAAATCATTTTAAGATTTCAAAAGACTACATATAACAGATCACAAACTAACCTACATAAATATGAATATACATATATTCCCATTAACAGATGGGTAAGAATGGAGACAGATACTGAAACAGAGATGTACATCCTAACTCTGGAATAATAAATATGAATTTCTCAGAAATTATTTTCAGTGGTATAAAATTGGAATACATTTGAATTTTATACAATATACGATATACTGATACATTTTGGTTTGTAAAATGGTGTTCAAATGCTTTTATCAAAAATATACTTCTCTGGCATTCTAATCTATCAAGGATCCCATATAATAAAATTAAATACAAAATAGGTGAAGGAGAACATAGTAGTCACTACCTAGTTCCAATTCTGTATAAAGCCTTATCCCTAACTTTGATGTCTTTAATTCTGTTTAGGAAAGACAAGAGAAAAACAAATAAATAAAATTACTTTAAATTACTGTAATTCTGGGTTGGCCCAGAGATTTTGTATCTTTTATGGGTTGCATAATGTAGAGTTCATACTTGGTAAAAAATAAATCATTGATGAAAGGATAAATCTTACATAAAAACAACTAAAGTTTTTGAGAGAAGGACTGTACCTATATTTATTAAGGTAATTTGATAAGGCAGTAGAATTTGACCAGTTCCTCCCCAGAAATGTATAGAACTTACCTAAGTAGGGTATGGTGGAAAGACTGAGCATTCCAAGTCAAACCTCATTTTTAAAAAATCTGAGAAGTCGAATGAGCAGGTTATCTGTAAGGGGCAGTCAAGATGCTGGTATGACTTGAATTAAAGGAGCAGGTGGCAAAAGAGCAGTAAATAACTTTTGAAAAGAAGCCTAATGACCTTGATGGTAAGGCAGAAAAATCTGGCCTTTTCTTCAGTAAACTGAGGCAAAATTATGTTCATAAACAGGAATGATATGCAGAATGGATTGGAGGGGTCAAATTCTAGAGTTTGGACAGCCACAAGTAAGGTCGTGGTTATAATCCAAGAATGGGGTGAGGAAGCCCTGGATCAAAGTAGCAGCAATGGAGGCATTGAGACCACATAGACAATACAGGATCAACTCAAGTGGAAATTCAATATTGGCAGTTTTCATTTAAAAGTTTGATTGTATCTTCTGATGTCTGCCTATAACCAGCCTCCAACCTTTGGAGTTCTGATAGATAAATAAATGGCAAAATGCTGGGATGATTTGGATAGTGCTGGCAAATACTAGAAACAGAAGGAAAAGAAGTTGCCTGCCCTATTTTGTTTCTATGTTATTTCATCTTTCTCAAATAATATGTATCAAATAATTGGTCATTTTATTTGGAGTCCCACGTCCTCAATAGACGAAAGTCAGGGAAACTCTGAGATGATTTCAGGTGGCCAGAACACTAAAGCTGATCCCAGGCTCTGTTTGTTCTAACCTTTCATGATACTAACAACTGAGGTTCTCTTCTATTCCTTGTTCAACCTAGACACATGTTTTCACTGTTTATCCTTGTATGTGCTAGCCAAACTCTACATGTTCTAGGTTTGACCCTGCCGAAGAGGGAGAGATGAGTGAGAAAGGATATTTTTAAATAATCACTTCGCTCTACTCACCCCCACCCCCACATTTACTTACTTTCTCTAATCCTGAACTGCAATAGAAGAGGAAGTCAGCCATGGGGTGTGGCATAGCATTCTTTTCTTTTATAATAGATGATGAATCAGGAAGTCTGCCCTGAGAGTGTGGCATGGCAATTTTTTCTTTTAGATGATGAATAAGGAAGGAGGACTTCTAATCAAGGAATAATATGGATTAGTGGGGGTGGGAACAGGGTAAGACGCAAGAGATGCTACTGAGACACAAAATTTAATGAGGCACTCACCCCCAGGGTCATGCAAGTGCGTTCTTAAATTTTGTTCCTAGGTACTTCCTTGCTTTTCCTAGTTCCGCCCTAAGTGGGAAGAGGAGTGAGCTGACTCATGGACTGAGGAATCTCATGTTCTCTCCCTGCAAAGACTTCCTCATCTGTTTCTGTATATTTATTCAGCAAATATTTAGTGATCATCTATCAGGTGCTTAATTTTTCTTTCCTGAGTCCTAATAGCACTGACCTGGATGATAGCTACCTTCTAATTTAGATAGTCCATGAATGTAGCAATATTTTAGGCAAGTATAAAGCACTGAAGGATAAATTTTGACCAGGTTACAAAATCATGAATTACTTTTTCTTTGAGTGTAAACATCTCCCCTTGTGGGAAAATATTTAAGCCTTCAACTCTCTGCCTTTATTTTCTCCCACAACTATGAAGATATCTCTAAAGCCTTTCTAAGGGATACCTATGTTATAACATTTTGGAGATTTTATTTAGCCAAAACTTAACTTGGCTCTTACTTTGTTCCTCTATGCTTACTGGTTATTTAAAAAAATAATTCATATAATCTATTCATGACATTAATACATGGCCCTTCACTATGTTATTTTAGAAATTAATATTGAGTGGGACAATTTTAGATATTCAGCCAGGTTGATAAGAGAGAATAAGGCAAGTGAAACCCTGGTGGTCCTGTTTAAGATAGAGCTTTTAGGTAGTCTGGAGAGGTAGTGTACCTATCTGCCGGGAGCTTAGAAACTAAGTCATATTTGACACTAGAAGAATCGTTTTACACAACTGATATGACATAACACCAGCATCAGATTCAGATGGCCTGGATTAAAGTCAGAACTTTACAACTTATTTCTTAATTTTAAAGTAGGTATAAAATCCCTGCTTTACCTATGTGTCAGGATTATTGTAAAGATACAAAAAAATCATGAATGTAAAATTGCCATGTAATTTGATAATGGCTGAGGAAAACATGAATTTTATTAATAATAATAAATAATGGCCTTAAAATAATTAGATGGTAAAGATAATTGAAAACAAAAGAGAAAACAAAGTTCTTACCTTCTTAAGTTTTTTAAATCTCTTTCAAAAAAGATGGGGTTATATTGAATAATGAGGAAAAATCTATATGTGATGTATGTACAATTTGGAAAATTAAAATAAACACCATTTTTAGGTATATGTACCTTTAAAATGTTAAGACAAGACCAATATTAAAAAGATAAATGTTTACTTTGTAAATATATACATTTTACTTTAATATGTCTTTCCATTAACATTACAAAATCTTTTCCTACTCACACTAGCCAGAAAAACTGCTTTAAATTCTGGAAGCATCCAAATATCACTAATATGACGTTATCTTTAATACATCCTACTAAGCACAAAATAAGACTGTCCTTATGTAGAAGCCATGTCATTATGACAAACATATTTGAAAATTAGTTTTGTATGATTTGTGACATTCAACAAATCTGATACAAATCTGCAACAGCCAGGCCATTGAGTATTTTGATCTTCAAATAAATCATGGAGCTTTCCTTGGAGAAAAAATTACTGCATCACTGGTTTCCATTACAAAACAATTTATGAATGCAGAATTTTATAATTATTTTTATCCTTAATTATTAATAATTTATATCCTAACTAGTAAGACACGGAATTCAAAATTACAGTAGATAGGAAGATTCTTTATGCTTTTCTTTCTTTAAGTGCCAAGGATTTATGTCTATTTGTGTCTACAGGAACTCTATGACAAAGACTAAACTCTGTGACTTAGTTCAGAATAATGTGAGGTTTTCTATATAATAAAAAAGATAAATCAGAGAAAAAAAGTAAGGTAAACCAAATCTGCAATTTAAAATAAAATATGAAAATGAGGATTGTGTTGGAAATTCTGGAGAAATAGTTATTAAAGGGATGTCATCGTAAACTCATATAAAGTTTATATCTTGCCAGAAAGAAAGCAAAAGGTAGAAAGTAACTGAAAGAAATTAAAATCAATAGAAACTAGTTTAAACTGATGATATGTCGTGACTGGGATACAGTGTCATGATTTGGAAACGCAGTATTGAGTGAAACGTATAATGGATTATGTCATGTAAGGTTAATTTTGACAACTGTAAATCAGACTAGGAAACACTGTGAAATCGTCATGAATGATGCATGTTCTCTGCTGTGTCATCTTAATTTTAGACTTGCAAATTTGATTTCTGAAACTGCATTTGAACAACCAAAGCAATGTGTTGTGAAACAGATCAATTTGAAAAGAAAACATTGCCTAATGTGAGTTGTGAGGTTTCTTGGTAAAAGTGCACTGGTGACATATCTATGCAAAGTTTCATTTTACCTCCCATTTCATTATGAGGCTGGTAGTCTAGAGCCGAGGGAGCCAGAGGAACACGTGAAGCTGAGAATAAATTGGGAGTGAGGGCAGTTGTCCTATATTGTTGCTATGGATAGAGCTGAATAGTCCATAGTGAGCTTTTATTGTCTATCGGGGACATTTACTGAGAGTGCCTGATGGAAAAGTACAGATTGAATGAAAACAGGCTAGTTCTACCCTGTTGGGGGCAAATGAAGTGCTTCGGTTGTGCTAGATTAATTTGATTGTGATAATAAGCATGTGTTTTTTCATATCATTCATGTGTAGGATTTTGTTAACTAGACCATGAACTACTTGAAAGTGTCTTTCTGATTCCCCTACCCTTTCCTCCTCTGTCTCTGTTGAGAGGACTGTGAGGAGCTGCTCAGCCATTGGAGGTTACCAAAGGATGAGAAGGGTGTTGTCATTCAATATCCAGAAAATACAGCCTGTGAAACCATACCCATTGTTCTGCATTGGTCTTCTCTATTATAAATGATCATGTTGATAATGTCTTTTTTTAAAGTTGGAATTTCAGTTATGTCTTTATACTTGTAATCCCCTCACAGGCTTTGTATTTATTATTTCATTAGTGAAAAATGAATGATACTTCTTCTACATGTAATTAAATTTATCTACAAAAGTAACTGCAATGCCACAGGTGTATCAGTAATTTTTAAAGTGTTTGTGAAATTTTTCTAGAAATGTTTTTAAATGCAAGATAGATTTAAAGAAAATACTTTAGACTTACAAAAAATGCTTTAAAAATATTAAGAGACAAATTTACTTCAATGAAAGAAAATAATTGTTGAACATTCAAGGAAATTACAATTTAGGGCATTTGTAGAGGAGGAAAGATGTGAAGTAAGAATAAAATTATTAATTACTTAACTAGTTTTATTGAGACAGTTCATCACATTATTGATCACGTTTGTCAACCCCATGGTTTATCATTGCCAACTTATTCTTTTTATCTGAGAGAAGTAGACTAGATGCTAAGGAAATTCTAGACCAAACTAGAGCCTTCTTCTATGTTAAAGATGAACAGCACCTTATAGAGACATGTTTTATCAGGAATTTTTAAGAAAGGACAATAAAATAATTATAAAATTGACATATTATTCTAGAGAGGCATCAGAGTTAAATACCAATTATAAAGATAAAATTATAAATATTTAAACTGATTTAGATAGCAGGAATACTTGATATTTATATTTCTTTCTACCTTTCTTCATATTGTCTATCATTTTAAAAGTATGTAAATTGGGCGGGTTGCAGTGGTTTATGCCTGTAATCCCAGCACTTTGGGAGGCTGAGGCAGTAGAATCGCTTGACACCAAGAGTTGAAGACGAGCCTGGACAAGATACTGAGGCCTCTATCTCTACAGAAAATAATAATAAAATTTAAAAAATTAGTTGGGCATAGGAGCACATGCCTGTAGTCCTAGCTACTCCAGAGGCTTTGGCAGGAGGATTTCTTGAGCCTGGGGTTTGGAGGCTGCAGTGAACTATGATTCCACCGCAGGAGTCCAGCCTGGGGAACAGAGCAGGATGCAGTCTCTTAAAGCAAAAAAAAAAAAAAAAAGTACAGTAAGAAAAGAAATTACTGTTTATTCATGTGGCTATTTTAATGTAAAAGTTTAGATAAAATACATAAATCATATCAAGATTTATCTTGGAAACCTAGTTGTTCATGCTTAGATAAAGACAAAGATCATAGTTAAATCACATCTGGGCATTTCTTGTAGTCATTGATATACAAAATCACATTAACATTTATATCTGAAAGCTTTGAAAATCCAGTGTATTTTAGTAACAAATGTAACCAGTTTCTTTATATTTCTTATTTGCTGATAATTCTTTATCTTTGTGTCCTCTAGGTTAGATATAAATATTGCCTAATATAATGATGTTTAAAAAAGTTTTTAAACATTGCGTACTCTTTATACACAATGGAAATAGACTTTTTTAATTATTTAAATTTTATGTATTACTATCTTTATTATCTTTGGATTGAGAACGATTCATTAAAATATAAAGAAAAAATAAAAGCCACCTAAAATCTTACCACTCTGAACCCTATTAACATTTAGGTGATTATGCATTACATTATATATCTAAATTCATATGTGTGCATAAATTGGATTGTATATTAATACTAAATTTATTCTTCTCCTTCTTTTTTTTTTTTCTTTTTGAGTCAGAGTCTCGCTCTGTCTCCCAGGCTCCTGTGCAGTGTTGGCGCGATCTCTGCTCACTGCAAGCTCCGCCTCCCGGGTTCACGCCATTCTGCTGCCTCAGCGTCCCAAGTAGCTGGGACTACAGGCGCCCGGCTAATTTTTTTGTATTTTTAGTAGAGACGGGGTTTCACCTGTGTTAGCCAGTGTCTTGGTCTCCTGACCTCGTGATCCGCCCGCCTCGGCCTCCCAAGATGCTGGGATTGCAGTCATGAGCCACCGCGCCCCGCCCTATTCTTCTCCTTCTTACATCATATTAAAACATCAAGCACATCCTCATTCCCCAATGGAGTGTAAGTTATGTTAATAAGGTGTATTCATATCAACCTACACATACTGATTTTACACATACACACAATTTATCTTGCTCATTTTTAGAAAATGATTTCTATTATATAAAATATACATCTTACGTGTATATACAATATGTGTGTATACAATATGCATGTGTATACAATATACATCTGCATCTTATTTTTGACTAAATAAAACCCTGTAGAAACCCCTCCAAGTTATACAGAATAGCTCTAATCCATTCTTCTTAAATTCTTTATTGTTGGACATTAATTTTATTTCTGTTTTATGATTACCATGATCAAGCCCACAATAAATAGCCACATATAAGTGTCCATATGAATTGGCATTTTAATTTCTGTAGGACATATTCCTAGGTGTGGGAATTACTGGGTCAAATTTATTTTTAAAAGATATTTCTAGATGCTTTCACAAAAGGTGGTAACACTTGACATTTTCTTTTTTTTATTGTTATACTTTAAGTTCTAGGGTACATGTGCAAAACGTGCAGGTTTGTTACATATGTATACATGTGCCATGTTGGTGTGCTGCACCCATTAACTTGTCATTTACATTAGGTATATATCCTAGTGCTATCCCTCCCTCCTCTCCCTACCCCACGACAGGCCCCAGTGTGTGTTGTTCCCCTTCCTGTGTCCAAGTGTTCTCATTGTTCAATTCCCGCCTATAGTCCTTGTGATAGATTGCTCAGAATGATGGTTTCCAGCTTCATCCATGTCCCTACAAAGACATTAACATCTAATATTAACATCTAATAAAAGGTAAATCTAACGTAACAACAAAGGAATAGATGATTGTTGATAACCTGTGTAAGTAGAATGCTAGAGTGTGAAGTATTAGTGTTATTTGCCAACAATAAAATATTAGAAATATATTTATCTATCCTAGGTCTCCGTTAGCATTCATGTAATATAGTTAAAATTTCTGTACTTCCAATAAGAATTTGTAGGTAATTTACAACAATAAAGCTGAATGAATGAAAGAGTGAATGAATGAATCATACATACATACATACAAATATACGTGCAATTAGTAAGATGAGAGGAAGGAAGATATATGAAGTTTTAGGAGCACTTTTGCAAGAGGGCTATAGTAATTGAAAACAAAAGTTAGATTGATATACCTGAGCAGCAAATAGAAAATATGAAAGATGATTTGTCTTTAAAATGTGTATGCATGTGTGTATGTTATGCATGTATTGTACTTTTCCTGTCAGTTTCTGATGAATGTTGAGAACATAAGCTTATATAATAGTTCCGGTAAAACAATTCAAGAGGGGCCAAAGTACTATGGACCAACCAAATAAAATGTTACTTTTGGTTTGAGGAAGTCTTAGTTCCTAGACTATTATGCTCAGATATATTTGTGTATACAACTTACAGCTATTTTGCAATGCACAAATATAGCATCACTGTGATATGTTTTTAAATATTGCTTATACTCTTTATTCACAAGTTTTCTTCTGTTTATCCTTGAATAATAAGATGATAATTACATTTTTAAAATAAAAACATTTAAATGAATGATTCTGTACACAATAAAATCAAAAACTTGTGAGGATTAACAGCCTCACAGTTACGATTTAGTAATTTTCCCTGCTCTTTTTGCTATTTATCACTTTTTTTCTGAGTAGAATAAGGGGAAAAGCTACAGGATGTGCCCTTTCAAGAAAAACAATTAAAGCAACAAAAGAGCTAGACTTCTCAAAAGTCACTGGGTTATGGTAAAAGAAGACACTGGGGAGAGCTAAGGAAGGGCTGGGCAACGTGAGAACAGGAGAACACAAGGAACCAAGAAGAAAGGGAACTACTTCCTGGCACTTAAGTGAGTAAGAGAAAACTAGCAATTTAGTCAGTGCTGCTAGGAAGCAGATTTTCAATTTTAGCTATGCTTTTATATATTAAATTATTCTTGGACTGTGTAAAGCAATACACTGCAAAAAATTTCTTTCTGCCACTCTAAATAGTTTTGGATCAAAATTGTCAGACCTTATTGCTGTTACAGGATATGTACTTTAATCTGTTATTGGTGTTCAAACCTGTGTCCTCTTAACTTGATTTTGTTGTATGTCCAACACAGGAAGAGGTCAAAGATGAAGTCAGCACCACAGTCTGAATGAAATTTTAGGTGCATTTTGTGATAATGGGTCTTCCTCCTGGAAGCAGAGAGATTGAGAACCATAACAACTTTATGAAGAAAGGAGTAGCAAATGAGTCAAATATCACAGAGACATTAATAATGTTGAAAATTTGCCTACACTGGTATAGAGGTGTATATAAAAATTAAGGGATTAGAAAATATTATCTATTTAAAACTTTAGTATATAACAAAGGAAATATCACAAACCAGTAAATAAAGGAAAAATTATTCAATAAATAGCACTATGACATTAGTAATATATAAAAATTTGGTGACATAATTGTTTTTAAAAATTACTTTAGAATCTTACTCTGTACACAGTAAAACAAAATGAATACCAGTGAGATATTTTTTAAATGTTACATAATGGAAGAAAATAGAAGACATAAATAAATATTATCTAAATCTGAGTGTGTTTCCTTCATTAAAACAAGACAATAGAGGAAATTAAAGAAGGCAAAATCATATAATGTCAGATAAAATACACAGTGTGAGACCAGGAAAATCTGGATTAAATCAATGTTCCTCCACTTATTTCAGACAGATGACATTGACTACAATTGCACATTGTCATTGGAAATTGGCAATTAAAAGAAAAGGTTGTGCTCTTGTACTATAGAAGGGATTGAGCAAAAAAGCTGACCACCACTTATAAATAATATAAAATGAGTACACTATATATCCAAATATATAGTGTAGAATTTAGCCAAAGCAGTAATTATAGACATAGGTGAATTCATTAGAAAACTAGTATATTGGTTAGTTTTCTTAGCTGCAAGCAATAGAATGCACAACAGCTAGTTTAAAGTAGGAAGGGGTTTATTACTGAGGATAGGCAGAGTGCAGAATTCCTGGGGGAGTCAAGGAAACAAGTGTGGATGCCACTTAGCCAGAAGAAATACAACTGGGATAATTGCCCAGCTCCACGAGGAGACAGCTCCAGCAGAGGTCATATGCCTCTGCTCACCACTGACTGTTCAATATCTTTAGAACCAGAAGCTGCACTCTATCTGGTGAAGAATAGCCATGTACCTCTGTGGCTGCTTGTCTTCAAGTCAGGGTGATCATGTCCCTTGGTTGCATACAGTTGTGTTTACATCCCTTCCAAGATGCACGCAGTTGCATACACCTTATGAAGCTTAGGCCACATGTGGAACTCAAGCTGCAAGGGAGCCAGAGATATGTAGTCTGCATCTTTCCAGCCTGTGATTCATAAGAAGACATGCTCCAAGGAGATTGAAATAGAATGGAATTAGACAGTCTATGAAATTTGCCATAATCAGTTCCCTCCTTTGGATATTCGATGTTTATAAAACATTGGTTCCAATCCAATATTTCAAATATCAATAACATCATCAACATATTATTGAAATTTCACTTTCTTTTTTACAAAGGAAAATATATTCACCTTCTCCCCAAAGTCTCATTAGTCACTGCACTTCATCTCTTCTTGATGTTTATTTTTTCTCTAACTTGGCTATAATCCAAAATTTATCTTAATGTGCATTATGTTATTCACCACCAACATACTCTATATAAATTATAATAGGAAATAGTGAGTAAAAAATAATGTAATTAATAAAAAAAAATACTAGAACAAGACAAGCTAGCACAGTCCCAATTTCTGTCATTGATAACAAGGCTATAGTTGTGATAAAACATAATTCTTTCTGTGTGTATTCAATTTTTCTTTAGCTTTCAGCTAGAATATCCAGCTATTCAGTATTCTTTATCTTGGGAAGTGACCCCAAACTTTAATGCTCTTGATTTGAGCTTGTAGATCCGCCTTCCTAACACCAGCTACAGCAGTACTGGGAGACACATACATTCTGGATCAGCCACTCAATTTGCCTGTGATGATCACCACCAATCACCACATCCAAATAAGTAATCACCACATCCAAATAAGTAAATCTCCCCTTTTTGTTGCCATTTGATGTAGAGGCACAAAGAACCACAGACAGCTTGTTGGCTGCCTCAGCTTTCAAGTTACGGGAAGTATTGTCTCCTAGTGGAAGCGCTCACCATTTATGAACTAAAATCTCTAAGGCAGGATGTCCAGAGTTATAGTTAAAGGGCAACCAAGAATTTTCCAGTGGATTATTAGGTGTAACTCCCTATCCTACCCTTTGATTCCTGGAAATATATCTTCTGGCTCTGAGAAGAATAATACCATATATTTGCTGATGGTTCAGTTAAAACATCCCAACTTCACTAATTATTTCCCAGTTGGCACCTTAACTGAAAATTCTTTTGACCATTTTATCTTTCCACAGGGTCAGTTACTCCTGGATGATGGGTTATGTGTTAAGACCAGAGAATTCCATTATGGTCATCGTATTGCTTTTGTTCATTTGCAAATAAGTTCTCTATTCAGAAGCAATAGGACATCATGACTGAGAAAAGGCCTTGAATAAGGGTGGCACTGACAGAAGCATGGGAGACATAATAGGCAAATCCATAAGCAAAATAATTGTTAATTCAGGGGAGATCAAACTACTACCCCTTCTAGGACAAAAGAGTTCAGTGCTCAATTTACTGCTGATCGTAGAATTGTTCACCCAGAGTGTGGCGCTGTGCCAGAGTTTAGGGTTATCCTTCACTGCTGATGGGAAAAACACTTGAAGTGATTGTATCCAGTTAACTTTGGTAAAAAGAAGTGTATATTTTGGGGCCCATACAAATCTTCATTCTTACTAGTCTGACTACTTTTTCCATGAACGAACACTGAAATGACTGTAGAAAGAAACTGACTGACGTTCATAGGAGTGAGAGGTATATTTCAGAAATAAAGGAAAGATATGACTCTGCACAACAACCTGAAAGCCCCATATGTTATTATCACATGACTATGAGTTCCACTGAGCCGTAACAGCCAGGTTCAGAGCTGCTGGTATTAAACCCTAAATGAGCTGAAACTACTTTGTATGTTTTGCTCTGAGATTCACCCAGGGCTGCCAATTAGTTTACTTTGTAAGTGGATCAAATCAAAACACTTAAATGTTGTGTATGCTTCTCTAAAATCCAGAGAGTTCCATCAAATGTTTTGTCTCTTTCTTAGTGTTAGGAAAAGCAAGGTATTGCAATTTGTCTTTTACTTTGAATGTAATAAGTCCAAGATTGTGGGATACCCAGAAACCTCAATGTGGTGGGAATCCCCTGAATTTTTATTATATCTATTTCCCACCTCTAACACTCAAATATTTTACCAAAGATTCTAGGGAACTTACTACTTTCTGGTTTTGAGATTTTATTGACATAATGACATCTATATAGATGTCCTATGGGATAATGACATAAACAAAATCCCTGTAGATGAAACTGTGACAAAGAGAGTTGATGTAGCCCAAAGGTAAGATAGTGAAACGGTCCTGCCCTCCTTACCACATGAAAGCAAAGAGGAAATACAAAAGGTCAACAGGTTTATAATAAGATATTCATCCTCACTAATAATCAGAGAAATGCAAAGTAAGGCAACTAAGAGTTAACCACTTATCATCCTTCCAGTTTTAAAAATATATCTATAAAAGTTTGATAGCATTAGGTTTTGGTTAGGATATGATGAAATGAGACTCATACACTGCTTATCAGAATATAAATTACGATTGTCATGTTGGAAGATGATCTGGTAATACTGTTAAAATATACTATATTAAAATGTCTGACTCAATAACATCGCTTCTGATACTTTCTCAGTAATTTGTATACATGAATTTAAACAAATATTAATGTCTAAGAATGTTTACTTTTGAAGATTTGCAATGTGTCTCAAGGAAACACATATATATTCACAAGTAAGTATCTGGTCACATGTGTGACAGATTTTGACTGTCATACCTACTTCAAGAATATAAAAAGGAGGCAAAACACTGAGAAAGGATGTGTGACATGACTTCTTTGACGAGAACTGTTTCTGCATTCTTTATTTGTACCTAATGAGGAGACTTTCCATGAGACCTCTTCATCTCCTGAGTTCTGGGAACCTAGAGAGTGAGAGCTGGGATGATTACTTTGGTGGTGGTGGTGTCAGTCGAGCTTGCTGTGCCCTGGGATGCCTGCAGCATGGGCCCTACACTGTCACGGTCAGTCATGACTGTCAGAATCAGTTAGGCCGTGCTATGGAGAGGGAGAACAGCATGGGGTCATCATGGGTGCGATTCAGTAGAACCTTTGGAGGGACACGGAATCCCAGAAGCCAGAATCTGGACTCTTTTCCTTATGTAATTCAGGATATAATAGTTTGGAGTTGGGGGCAATGTCATGAAGGGCTCAAGCCTTCTCAGAGAGCTCCATATGGCAGCAATTAGAAAGCTAGAGGGCCAGTAGCAGCAATTCTATGAGTTTGGACTATTACTTGATATTTCTGGGTCTCAGTTACCATATCTTTCAGGGGAGCAGGAAAGATAGACAGATAGATAGATAGATAGATAGATAGATAGATAGATAGATAGATAGACAGATGATAGTGTGTGTGTGTGTGTGTGTGTGTGTGTGTGTGTGTGTGTGTGTTTTATGGTACTTTATGGCTAGTTGTAGCAATGCATTCTGGATTAACCTACAACCTTCAAAACACTCCTGTGTTTTCATATATTACTTAGTTTTATAAAAAGTTTAAAGCCTAGTAAATTATAATATTATTAAATTTATAAATTTAAAATATGAATGCATGAGTATAAGTACAGTATTCATAGTAGCTTTTCTGGACAAATAATGATGTTTAATGCCTAACAAACCATTAAATCAATGATGATAGGTATTATTAATATTAACAAAATTGACCATTAATATTTATTACTTTGTAAACATTTAATATAATTATTTTCACAAGTAATATACTAGATCTCTTGCCTTAGTACACAATTATCCATTAATATTAGAATTAGTACACTCTGAAGAATAGCCTTATTAAGCAGTTATCATAAAATATGTAGCTGATTTAATAATGATTTAAAAATACATTGTAATAGATCTTCCCTTCCCAAAATGAAAATCCATATATGTAAAAGTGTCATCTGCATATACTTAATACATTGCTTCCCTCTTCTAAAATAATTGGATTCATTTATTTTATTGCACATTAAATATTGATTAAGTTAGATCTTCTCTAACACTTGAGATATATAAAAGAAAACTGTATTTTAACTTAAAAAAAATTTCCAGATTATCATAGTATTGACAAATATGTAAAATAGAGGTTGAAGCAAGGTCCCTTAACATCTGTGGTTATTTCCCATTTATACTTTAATTTATAACTTGAACTCATGCTTGTCTTATAGCGTGTCAAACAGGCATTTAAATAGAGAATCTGGCTGTTCTTTGTGTTAATATCCCTTCGGCATCCTCTTCCTTGTAAATTCAACAAAAGAGATTTCTACCATTAAAGAGAAATAGCTTTCAGTTTGTGAAGTACACATCTTGGAACATAGTGAAAAGTGTAATGAGATAAAAATATAGCCAACAATGGGCACTTTTCCATTAAGTTGAACAAATATTCTAGCAGAAATTCCATATAGTTGTAATGAGTTTTCATTTTTCCTATTTGTTGCAATTTATCTAAAGATGTTGGTTTTTTAAGACCTATTTCTGAGTTTCTTTGTTTCTTCCTTGAGCCTTTGAAGCCTTTGAGAATACATTATAGAATAGTAAATAGAATTATCTTCTTTTAAATGATTTAGCATTCCCATTTCTCTGAGTGCAGAAAGAACTGGGCAAATTGTGTTCATCCTACATTCTACATATTTCAAGCATTTATTAAGGAGTTATTGAGTAGTGGGTAGGATCTTTTAAAATACTAGTTCTCAGGAACTCTATCTCATCAACTGTAAGCTGCTTCTCTCGTTTTATTACACATAAAATACTCTTTACTAACTTTACCTACAACATTGGTATTTTCTTCCTGTTTGGTTATCTACATCATGCTTATCAAATGAATGTACATTGTATCTTTCTTGCCCAGTATTGAGGCAAAATAAACAAGTGAATAAGTAAGACAAAGCTCCAATTTGGGGGAGTGAAAGTCTGATAGGGGACTAAATAGCATTACACATGCAAAAATTACAGAGGAACAAGAGTCAGTATATAATCAAGTGTCGTTTTCTATGTCAGGGGAAATAACAGTTTTAGGTTCACAGTTTTAGGTGGCTTCCAGAGAGGAAAGTTACTACTAAAAAAGTTATTAATATCTTAAAATATTTATATTTTCTTATCTCAATCTTGCTATCATCTTCATATCAAACATTTGTAGGCATTAACCATTTTCGAGTTGTTTTTATGTTAGTTGTTTTATGTCACATAATTTTCACAACCATGTTATAAAATGGAAAATGGAAATGCTTCTCTCCCTAATTTAGAGATGTAGAGATGGTCAGTGATTTTCTCAAGATCATTTAACAAAGGACAGATATGCAGGTCTTTTTACTCTCTCCAGGCCAATTGTTTCTTTTTCTTCCAGTGATTAAAAAAAATGATTTTAGCAGCATAACATTTGATTCAATAAAACTGAATATTAATAACCCCACACACACCAATATGTTTTTAAACAGATTGAATAAGCTTCTCTGCATGATCTGTGATGAGTATCTAGGAGTACTGCTTACTAAAGTCCCTTCCACCTCCCTGCCTGTGGTCACAATACAGGATCCTAATGAATATTCACCTAAACCCTGCTTCAGTTCTTCCGTATCTCATTTCTTTTTAGGCAGCTCTTCTTATGTTGGGCAACAATAATATTTAGGAATTCTTTCATGTGAAGCAGAATTGCCCCCAGTTCTATCTGAAATAAACCAGTTCACTACTCTTTGTCAGCCTCAGTAATCCTCTGTTCCCATGGAACAGCTCTGCCTCTTGTCAAACAGATTACTGTTAAAGTGGGTCCTCCCAGTTCTGGGTGTCTCATTTGCTAATTCAAATTTAATGTTTTAGATTTTCTTTTATTACATTGTGTCCCATGAAGGTTTCATGGGCCGGGGCAGGCTTTTTAAAGATTTATATAGTGAAAGGGAAAGGGAGGGATCCAGGAGCTGTAAAGATAATGATGTTCTCAGCATGCCATGTTTTATTCTTTGTGAGAAGCTGGGGAAGCTGTAAAGAACCCTGAAATTCAGAAGGAAGGGCTCCCACTGGGTGAAGTTGACTCTGAGCCAGACAGTGTAGGTTCTTGAGCAGGATTAATATAAATTTGTCAGAAACTTCATTCTGGCAGAGCAATGTGAGATGGGATATTCAAGGGCAAATTAGAGAACAACGGCAGTTTATCCTCATAAACCTGTGATGACACATAGAATACTTGGTTTGGAGCTATAAAATTGGAAATGGAGATCACCAGATGATTTGAAAATGTTCTGTATAGGGATTTGTAAGAACTTGTTGCAAATTACATACAGGAGAATTGACAGTGAAGAATCGGGAGAAATAGGAAACATGTGCAGCAAGACATTTTGAGGGGAAGATGGCGAATTCTGTTTGGGAACCATTATATTGGATTTAAAATAAAAATAGGAATCACTTCTGTAGTTATTTTAGTGGAAGTCATGGTTGTGGATGTTCATCTAAGGGAATGAAAGTTTAGAAAAAAAGAGGAGACCAGAGAAATAGCCTGGAATTTGAATAACAGGAGCAGGAAAGAATGGCATTATTTTATGATAACTGCATTGCTTTTTCTTATATTTTTACGAATTATAAATTACATTTTATGATTAGGTTCTATATGAATTTTTACAGAGTAATCACTGGGACCTCCAGGTTGTCCAAGCAATGGGGAATGGTCAGGTCAGGTGAACGTTAATGTAACCCAATGTTCTAGTCAACAGGAGTGCTTGGCAAGAGGTTCTTGCCTTTAACCTCTATCCTTTAATTGCAGATATGTTAGTGTTAGTTTCTCTCTCCCTCTCATTTTTCACAGGAGTATGTAACAGTTAATCAATTTTTAAATTGGTACTTGGTAATTCTCCTTTTAAGTTATTGATATCTAAAACATCTTTTGGTTACCTTTCCTAATCTTCTTGTTTAAGTTTTAAAAACAGGCCTCTTAACAGGCAAAAATTCCATAATGCTAAAAAATAGCTTTGATGAAACAAATTAGGAAAATCAATCATGCCACTTAGCATCATTTTTGAAGTGTGGTAGGTAGTATTTACTCAGTCTCATAAACCCACCTAGAGTTTTCACTTGAGGTGGGCTTGGGTTTGTGTCCTGAATTTTCACCATGGTTCACTGCCTGGAACAGCATGGGTGATAAGTAAGCAGCTGCATGCAAGCATTCACTGTGTGAAAGGATAGAAAATCTATGTACTGGCTCTTTCAGGGAGGCCTCATTACCGTAGCAGTTTATCCCATTACTAAATATGTGCCATGCTGATATCCTCACATTCAGCTGCTGACCAGCAACATGGCCCTCAGCTTTCATAGGGAGCATATGATCACTCCAGCTGGCAGGTGACACCGTTTGGCAATGTTCCCCAGCAGCTCAACAAAAGATTTTCAAATATCAAAGCAAGGGAAAAGACCTCTGTTTTTACAAGGAAAATGGCTTTAACATGAGTGCATTTTGCCTCCAACAGAATTATTGCTTCTAACTTGCTGAATTCCATGAAGGAATGGGCACACTTAGAGAGTAAAATTCATTCAGGGAATTTGTAAAACACTCATTTGAATTGATAAATGAATAAATAAATAAATAATTATAAGAAATTTAATTTTGTATTCAAGAAAGAAGTGTGACTTGAACATAGTTAAAGGTGGAAAAGTCTTTTTTTTTTAAAGGTTCAATCTGAAAACACAAGACAATCAGAACTGAGGTTAAGTTATAAAAACTTAAAATGTTGAACAATTTTATTGAAGAAAGGGGCATTACTGATCTTTTAGTAAAATATCATTTCACCATATGGAAAAACTGTGGGACAGAATGATCACTATCTACTCAGGGTCATGTAATTCAAGGGCGGCAGTTTAGGAATATCTTAAATCTCTTGACTATGAGCACAGCAGTCATCGTCCTCTGTCTTGCTATAAGTAACGGTCTCAGAAACACTGAGAAATCCTCCTACCCCATTCATTAGTATTGAAAAAGCAAACAATAGATTTGTCGGAAAACATATATATTTCCTACTAGCGTTATATTCTAGTACTAAATCTGAGTATAATTTTAAATATAATCTTTTTACATGAAAGCATAAGAGTTGGGACTACAGACCTGTCAATCGGCTGATGGCTGTCTTAGCATATGTGAAAAATGCATCTACCTTGAAAAGCTTCTCATTTCCTTTTTCTTTTATATATATATTTTTTTATTATTATACTTTAAGTTCTAGGGTACATGTGCACAACATGCAGGTTTGTTACATATGTCAAAAGAGTTACAGTAACAGTTTGCATGTGGTTTAAGTCCCATTACTCTTATATTTTGAAGGCCAGTATTTGAACAGCCATTTTCATTCTTGGGACAAATTATCTAATTAAATAAATCTGTGGCCATGCTGTCATTACAAAGTATACAAGCCTACAAATATATTTTGCTTTACACAAAATGAATATTTTACTCTACTCTGAACACTAAATTGTTTGTTCACATTACAAATATTGGGGAAATTTGTTAATATTGTCAAGTGATGTCAGGTAATATCATTAATATAAAAAAGTATTATTAAATTTATTTGTATCTTTACAGGAAGAAAACATTTTTGTAACTCAATAAGAATATTATAAGTGCTTATTAGAGACATTCTACAGAGGCTAAAAATGAAATATTGCTATGGCTTTTGTTTACAGATAATATATTCTTAAGTGCTAAAATGCTTTATATTTATGAAAAGTCATACAAGCTTATCACAGTACAATAAGCCTCATAAAGGGGCTAGGAATTGAACTGGGTTTAGGAGGGTCCCATTCATAGGTTGCGCTCATCAATCATCCAACTCCACCAGTGCAGAGCTTCTGAAGCTATCTGGGGCAAAGGGTCACATTTTTGGTTGCTTGTTTTCATTTGATTTCCTACTCTTCCAGTGACATGGTCTTACTGTGCATGTCTATTATGTAGCTCATGCCACATGCCACTCAAAGTAGAATTCAACAGTAACAAAACTGGCCTATACCCTGTTCATCGAGTTGAGTCCACTGATCATGCACATGGATGCCACAGCAATTTCAAATTGCTGTAAAATTGCCTCAGTATTTATTCTGAATTCCTGTGCTTAGCTCATTGCACACCCCAACAAACAGTTGCCTTCATTCATGGATCACATTTTGACTAGCACTGCACTAGTGGGACTTCCTGAACTACAAAGGCAGGAAACTAAAATTGATATTTCCCAAAGTTGCTTGCAGCCAGGTGCCTGGATGTGATTTAGATTCCAACAATTACATGTTCTGGAGCTGGGCTTAGATTCTGAACTGAGGTCAGTAGGGAGAGGCAGAGTACCCATTTCATGGGGCAGTGTGTGCCAGCAGCAACATAGCTTCCTGTAGCCACAGAAAATAGCTTTATGAAAAAGCTTTAGAGAAACAGCAGTGCAATTCTGAGGGCTGGAAGTTGCTCTGGAAACTTGGCTTAGGGCTTTTTCCTCCAGCCTATCCAATTATTGGTAAACTGCCTAATATGTGGTAATAAATTCTATCTGTGTGATATACTGAATTTCTGTTGTCTGTTACAAGTAGGGCTACATTGATGAAGATTAAGTGTAAATGTTAGCTGGCTTATATTTTTTGAGTGCTTGAGTGTTTTTCAAACTTTATTGTGCATGTGGATCTTCTGGGAATGTTGTTAAAATCAGATTCTGATTTGTAGCATGGAGCGGGGGTCTGACAAGGTCCCAGTTAGTGCTGATGGTGTTGGTCCACAGCCCCAGCTCTGATTAGCAAAACTTTAGATTAGACTAAGCCAGTAGGAACAACTTCCACTCCAGTGCCCTAGACTGCAGATGTTAAACTTCAGCAAAATGATGAGAAATTATTGGGCTCATTTTCATGACTTTCCCTGGATTAGAAGCAGTGGACCTATGGTGACATCCAAAATGCAACCATCATTTGTTTTTTTCCATATTAGGAAGAAAAGTTTAAAAAATGTTTTTTCATATATCTGTGTCTATATCTATAGATAGATACATATATACATATATACATGTACATATAGAGAGAGGAGGGATAAAGGAGAGAGTTTAAATATGTCAATTCTAAGTAAAGCATTTTCAAACATGATTTACAGGTGACAGTTCAGGTTATGCCACTACAGTGAAGACATACAACCTACCCATTTTCAAAATGAAAGAAATGAACATTACAGTCCTCATGGTCCCACCGAGGTCCACTTTAAGGCCATGTGTGTATGATGCAGCAGTAACATGAGTCCCAGTGTGTGAGCGCTCATCTACTCCTGTGGCCTTGGCTTTGAACTCTGATATGCTTGTGATTTCTAAGAAGCATATATGCCATCCTGAGCTTTCAAATAAATTCCAGCCTTTACTTCTGCATCTGTCTGCTCAACATTTCTGCCTACTGGATATATGCTGGATATATCCACATCAAGTCAAGAAATTAATGTTAAACTCATTTATAAACTGCCAGAAATTTGCTTCTCATTCTGTGTTCTGCATTTCAGAGAACTGCATTGTCATTCGCAAGATTGCCAAAGTTAGAAACATCTGAATAGTTTGAATTCCAGGCCTGCTAATTTCTAGCTGTATGACTTGGAGAAAACATTTAAATTTCATTTCCTTGTCTGTAAAAATAAATCATATCTCATTAAATCTGGGAAAAAAAGAAACATTTTTTAAAAATTGTGATGTTAAAGAAAGCTTTAATTATTAAAAATATGTTTTTTTAAAGTGATGCATTTAGAGAATAGTTCCTGGCAGTAACTATTAAAAACAAATACATGGATAGATAGAGTGGACCTCTGCTTTACAAAGCAGTTTTGAGGATTATCTGAGATATTCTAGGTAAAACTCAACACGGTACCCGGTTCTTTGTAGACATTCAATGATGGATTGCCTGTATTCATCATAATACCTCACTCAGTTTGAGTGCTTCGTAAGCAAGACCTTGGGAAAACTCTTTAACCTCCTTGTACTCAGTTTCTTCATCAGTACTAAGTTGCAATAATAATAATACCTACTTCATGAAATTGTTCTGAAGTCTCAGATTAATAATTCAATACATTTTATATACATAAACATTAGAACAGTGTCTGGCACATAGTAAGCACTAATATATGTTTATTGTAAATACTAATGTTATCATCATCTTGAGAATCTTTTTTTTTTGGCATTTTTTTTTTATTATACTTTAAGTTTTAGGGTACATGTGCACATTGTGCAGATTAGTTACATATGTATACATGCGCCATGCTGGTGCACTGCACCCACTAACTCGTCATCTAGCATTAGGTATATCTCCCAATGCTATCCTTCCCCCCTCCCCCCACCCCACCACAGTCCCCAGAGTGTGATATTCCCCTTCCTGTGTCCATGTGATCTCGTTGTTCAATTCCCACCTATGAGTGAGAATATGCGGTGTTTGGTTTTTTGTTCTTGCGATAGTTTACTGAGAATGATGATTTCCAATTTCATCCATGTCCCTACAAAGGACATGAACTCATCCTTTTTTATGGCTGCATAGTATTCCATGGTGTATATGTGCCACATTTTCTTAATCCAGTCTATCATTGTTGGACATTTGGGTTGGTTCCAAGTCTTTGCTATCGTGAATAATGCCGCAATAAACATACGTGTGCATGTGTCTTTATAGCAGCAAGATTTATAGTCCTTTGGGTATATACCCAGTAATGGGATGGCTGGGTCAAATGGTATTTCCAGTTCTAGATCCCTGAGGAATCGCCACACTGACTTCCACAATGGTTGAACTAGTTTACAGTCCCACCAACAGTGTAAAAGTGTGCCTATTTCTCTACATCCTCTCCAGCACCTGTTGGTTCCTGACTTTTTAATGATTGCCATTCTAACTGGTGTGAGATGGTATCTCATTGTGGTTTTGATTTGCATTTCTCTGATGGCCAGTGATGATGAGCATTTTTTCATGTGTTTTTTGGCTGCATAAATGTCTTCTTTTGAGAAGTGTCTGTTCATGTCCTTCGCCCACTTTTTCATGAGGTTGTTTGTTTTTTTCTTGTAAATTTGTTTGAGTTCATTGTAGATTCTGGATATTAGCCCTTTGTCAGATGAGTAGGTTGCGAAAATTTTCTCCCATTTTGTAGGTTGCCTGTTCACTCTGATGGTAGTTTCTTTTGCTGTGCAGAAGCTCTTTAGTTTAATTAGATCCCATTTGTCAATTTTGTCTTTTGTTGCCATTGCTTTTGGTGTTTTAGACATGAAGTCCTTGCCCATGCCTATGTCCTGAATGGTGATGCCTAGGTTTTCTTCTAGAGTTTTTATGGTTTTAGGTCTAACGTTTAAGTCTTTAATCCATCAACGTTAGACCTAAAACCATAAAAACCTGAGAATCTTCTTATCTTCAATCTTGTATTGTAATAATTCATTTTCCCACCTCACCACCAGAATCTACGTAAAATACAAATATCATCTTCTTTTTGTGCCACATGTTTCAATGGCATTATCACCCACAGGAGGTCTTATTCTAGACTTACATAACAGCCTGGAATCAGACCGAGGCCTTCAATTTCCATTCTTATTTTCACTGCTCACCCAAAACTGTCTAAATTGAGACCAAGGAAAAATCCATTTTCTCCCATCCACCAATAAGCGAACAAAAAAAGGCTATTTATCTGATATTTCCATTAATTACCTTCATCTCAACATGACAAATTCTAATACGTAATTTGAAATTCACCATAGTAACCTACTACTTTATGTAACTTTCTGTACCTCCCCTAGCAAAATTACATGCTTCCAACTTAATTGCTGTAATCTTATCTTTGTACTTCTGAAGCCCAGTATTAAGTAGAGTTACTTAATACACATTTGTTGAAAGGTTTGGGGTATTGAAAAATTATAAAAAGATAAACTACATATATACACATACACACACACATATATGCACACACATACATGTATATTATATATGTAAACTATATAATCATATAATATCATATTTTTCTTTATGCAATTAATTTCTCATATTTAATACCTGTGTTGAAAATTGTTAACATTTATTAGAAAAATATATCTGGTTTGTCTTTTCCATAATTCCTAAGTTCTCCTTTGGGCAAGCAGCACATTTGCAAAGTGCATAGATAGTACAAATCCTGTGTCTTTGAGACAGTGATACCAGTTGATCACAATATATCAGTAACTTTGGCATTGGCTAAAAAAGCAGTTGCTCTAACAAACAGATTTATAGCCAGTTTAAACTGTGAGAAGTGAGGTTAAGAAAATGGGCCTTGCTTTTAGGAAATCCAAGTTTGAATTCCAGTCAACTGCTTACTCTGTGTGAACTTTGCCAAGTTTTCTAACCTCTTGAAGGCTGCTATTCTATGGAATGGGACTAATAGTGATCTCCAGATAAGAAGATTATTGAGAGTATTAAACAAGGTAATGTGAGTAGTTTTACATTTTGGGTTCTACCAAACATTCAAATTCTTAAGATTCAGACGTCTACCATAAGTCACACCGTCATCAGTCTGCTTAGAAGGACACAGAACAGGAACTGGAATTTGTCGTTATTGTAGTATCACACATTGCTCGTCTGGTTGAAATTCTCCTAGATGTCCATGCAGCACAGTTCAGATGCAAGATGAGTTGCATATCAGGTAGGTCCAGGAGCTCTCCTGGCTTAAAAGCTTTATTTCCCACAAGAGCTGCATCTCTTGAAGTGATCCTACAGTCATAGCCTCCAAGGTTGCCACAAGAGACAAGCTCTGTTCTAAGAGTTGCCACATGCAGAGAAGCCCAAAGCTGCGACTGCTTACCAGGTGTTCACAGTGTCCCCAGTGCAGGTGCAATTTATCTCAGGAGATATTTTATCATAAACAATATAATCTAGTAACAAGTTGTCATTCTTCTTTTATCAGGTTACCAGAGTAACTAACTAGAGGCAGTCAACCAATAGTCATAGTCTCTACAAAAAGCTGAGATTGTTAATCCTTTCTCTGCACATACAATATGAGCTTAATAAGTATGAAAAAGAGGATAATGTATACATATGAATACGAAAAAAATATTAGGAAGAATAAGAAATGTATCTAAAGGAAGTGAAATATGTAGAGTTTTGTAAGAGAGGAATTACAGAAGATGTCAGTCATTATTTTGCATGACTTTCATTGATAAACTCATAAGTATAAAAGTGAAATCTTCCTCATCAAAGAGAAAGTCTTGCTTCATGGTTAGCATCAATACATGACACTGAGTAGCAATGGGATTTTGGTCCTCTCTGTTGTAGGGAAAACAGAGCTGACTCACAGAGCCCTTTTACCACCACTCTCAGATGATCTTCTTCCCAGACCCCTCAACTCAGACAAATTGACTGTGATGCTTTGAGCTGTAATTGTCTCCTGGAAATGCAATTTTCATACATATGCCAGTAGGATTAAGAAGATTGAACATGAGTTGTTGCATTAAAATGGACCAGCATCTCTATGGTTGATTACCACAGTTAAATATAGCAACTGAATGATGAGGCAGAAGAATCAGTGCATTTTCCCATTGGACCAGATGGCTCTTCATGGCGAGAGCTCCCTGTGTCTTGTAAATATACACTATTGATTATTGAGAATGCGCAAGAGTTAAACTACAAATCAACACAAGTCCATCCAATTTCACGAAAACTCTTCAAAGTATATGTACCACCAATTGATGACGTCCATACCATCATCTTCATCTTCATATGTAGGCATTATAATTTAGAATCCACCATCCCTTTAATTAAAGTACAAGTAGATAGATAAAAGTTTGAACATAAATACTGATAAAATAAATATTAAAGGTATATTTAGTGGATATCTCTACAGTTTTTAGGTAAATAGATGTATATTATTAATACTTATGTTATATTTAATTAGGAAACCCACATGTATCCTACGTGTCAAAGTTTGAATAGAAAAGTGGATGTACTTGAATAAGCATACATTATAATTATAATTGCCTGTAAAGTTTCAAGTGATATTAAAAAGAATGTTTAGGCACATATTAATTTTTTTTCTATTCTAAACAATATGGTGTTAAGTTATTATATTAGTCAAGATTCTCTAGAGGGACAGAACTAATAGGCCATATATATGAGTTTATTATTAACTCACACAATCACAAGATCCCACAATAGGCCATCTGCAAGCTGAGGAGCTAGGAGAGCCAGTCCGAGTCCCAAAACTGAAAAACTTGGAGTCTGATGTTCGAGGGTAGGAAGCATCCATCACAGGAGAAAGATGTAGGCTGAGAGGTTAGGCCACTCTAGTCTTTTCATGTTTTTCTGACTGCTTTATATTCTAGACTCACTGGCAGCTGATTAGATGGTGCCCACCGAGATGAAAGGTGTTTCTGCCTTTCCCAGCCCATTGACTCAAATGTTAATCTCCTTTGGCAACACCCTCACAGACACACCCAGCATCAATACTTTGCATCCTTCCATCCAATCAAGTTGACACTCGGTATTAACCATCACAGATCCACCCCTTGTCAACTTGAACCCATACACATCTCCGGAGATGATACATAATCTTAAAATAAAGACAATAGTAAGGTCATAATTATGCCTAACATAATACAACTATCCTTCGTACAACCAGAAATGCACCAATCCCCAAACCAAATACTATTACATAAAGTTAACAATACTTAAATACTGATATGAAGTCAGTAAATCTTATGTCACATGATAAAGGGAAAAGGAAATAAAATGAAGACATTTTCTTAGTACAAGTGTATACATAAACAAACATGTTTTTAACAAAAGAAGGAGGAAATACTGATGACAATTACGGTCTTCTTTTCTGCAGCTGGCCACGTGGTCGTAGCTGGTATTGATGACTACCTTCTTCTGCTACTCATTCTGTATTCCCTTTGCCTTCAGCAAGCACCTCAGCAGTCTGTGGTATTTTTCCTGGTGGAGTGACCCAAACTTTCATTTCTGAAGAGTCTGGGCCAGTTGTAGTCCTGCCTGGATTTGGCTGTTGTAGTTTCCCATTGACCTTAATCACAGGGCATGGTAATACTAAGAGACGCCCTAATTGATCTCCTGTATTCCATGCATACTTTTCCTTATCCTATCCACTTTCCTTCCTATTGACCTTAATCACAGGGCGTGACAATACTAAGGGACGCCCTAATGGATCTCCTGTATTCCATGCATACTTTTCCTTACCTCTGTTATGGAGTAGTAAACTGATTTCATCTTGTTAGTCTGGGTCAATCACCCCAGCCAACACTGTAACTCCCTTCTTAGCCTGTTGAGTTAAAGGTAGAAGGAGCCCAAAGTGTCCAGGTAGCAACCTTAACTTCCAGTTTAATGGAATCATTGTTGTGTCTCCTGGTGGCAGCATTCCTGTCTCTGGAACTAAGACCTCTAGGTCAACAGAACGTAATGTTGCAGGAACAGGAAGCAAAAATTTTGCTAGTGGATCACTAGGGATGATGGTGAGTGGAGCCACTTCTACATCCAACCCTTGATGCCTGGACCCATGAATTCTGGCTATGGGAGAAAGAGTACCATATATTGCATGCTGATTCAGAGCATTCACGGCCGTCTGGAGAACTTTGCCCCAGCCCTGCAAACTATTGTTACCTTGTTTACGTTGTAATTGTGACTTCAAAAGGCCATTCCCCCATAAGTGCTGGCAAATTGGGCACTTAGCAGTGGCCATAGCCAGGTCAGCCTTGGTGAGTGGAAGTCCATGTTGCTGAGCCCATCCATAACCTCCATCTGTGCCACTATGGCCCCTTTGTTCGTGGGCCCACTGGGCGATGACAGGGGTGGCTGGGGAAAGAGGCTGAATGGTGTCCACAGAACAGGTCATCCTATCCACTTGATTATTAAAATCCTCCTCTGCTGAGGTCACCCATTGGTGAGCACTCACATGGAATACAAATATCTTCACAGTTGTTGACCACTCAGAGAGTTTCATCCATACACCTCTTCCCCAAATTTCTTTGTCACCAATTTTCCAGTCATGCTTCTTCCAAGTCCCTGACCATCCAGCCAAACCATTGGCTACAGCCAATGAATCAGTATGTAATCACACATCAGGCCATTTCTCCTCCCATGCAAAGTGCACCACTAGGTGCACTGCTCGAAGTTCTGCTCACTGGTAAGATTTCCCTTCACTGCTGTCCTTGAGGGGTGTCCTAGAAAGGGGCTTAGTGCTGCAGCTGTCCACGTTCAGGTGGCGCCTGCATACCGTGCAGAACCATCTTTGAACCAGACCCTAGTCTTCTCTTCCTCTGTCAACTGATCATAGGGAACTCCCCATGAGGCCATCGGTACAGGCTGGGGAAGAGAAGGCAGGGTGGCAGGAGTGGAGACCATGGGCATTTGAGCCACTTCCTCATGTAGCTTACTTGTGCCTTCAGGACCTGTTCTAGCCTGATCACATTTATACCACGTCCATTTGATGATGGAATGCTGCTGTGCATGATCCACTTTATGGCTAGATGGGTCAGAAAGCACCCAGTACATGATAGGCAGTTCAGGTCACATGGAGACTTGATGACGTATAATCAAACGTTCAATTTCCACCAAAGCCCAGTAACAGGCCAAGAGCTGTCTCTCAAAAGGAGAGTAGTTATCTGCAGAAGATGGCAGGGCCTTGTTCCAAAATCCTAGAGGCCTCTGATGTGATTCACCTATGGGGGCCTGCCAAAGGCTCCAAACAGCATGCCTATCTGCCACTGACACCTCAATCACCATTGGATATGGGGGGTCGTATGGCCTAAGTGGCAGAGCAGCTTGCACAGCAGCCTGGACCCATTGCAGAGCCTTCTCCTGTTCTGGACCCCACTCAAAACTGGCAGTATTTCAGGTCACTCGGTATATGGGCCAGACTAACACACCAGTTGAGGAATGTGTTCCCTCCAAAATCCAAATAAGCCCACTAGCCATTGTGCCTCTTTCTTGGTTGTAGGAGGAGCCAAATGCAGCAACTTATCCTTCACCTTAGAAGGAATATCTTGACAGGCCCCACACCACTGGACCCCTAGAAATTTTACTGAGGTAGAAGGTCCCTGAATTTTAGTCGGATTTATTTCCCATCCTCTAGCATGCAAATGTCTCATCAATAAGTCTAGTGTGTTTGCTACTTCTAGAACTAGATCTCACTGGATCTAATCAGCATAATGTCATCAATGTAATGGACCAGTGTGATACTTTGTGGAAGTGAAAAGCAATCAAGGTCTTTCTGAATAAGATGATGACACAAAGCTGGAGAGTTGATATACCCCTGAGGTAGGACAGTAAAGGTATACTGCTGGCCTTGCCAGCTGAAGGCAAATTGCTTCTGATGGGCCTTATGGACAGGAATGGAGAAAAGGCACTTGCCATGTCAATGGCTGCATACCAGGTGTCAGGAGATGTGTTAATTTGCTTAAGCAATGAAGCCACATCTGGTATAGCAGCTGCAATTGGAGTTGCCACTTGATTAATCTGACGATAATCCACTGTCATTCTCCAAGATCCATCTGTCTTCTGCACAGGCCAAATGGGAGAGTCGAACAGGGATGTGGTAGGAATCACCACCCCTGCGTCTTTCAGGTCCTTGATGGTGGCACTAATCTCCTCAATCCCTCCAGCTATGCGATATTGTTTTTGATTTAATATTTTTCTAGGTAGAGGCAGCTCTAATGGCTTCCGTTTGGCCTTTCCCACCATAATAGCCCTCACCCTACCAGTCAGGGAGCCAATGTGGGGGTTCTGTCCGCTGCTAAGTATGTCTATGCCAATTATGCATTCTGGCCCTGGGGAAACGACCACAGGATGAATCCCGGGAACCACTGGACCCACTGTAAGTTGGACCTGAGCTAAAACTCCATTAGTTACCTGACCTCAATATGCACCTACTTTAACTGGAGGACCACAGTGATGTTTTGGGTCCCCTGGAATCAATGTCAGCTCCGAGCCAGTGTCCAGTAATCCCCAAATTGTCTGATCATTTCCCTTTCCCAATGCACAGTTACCCAGGTAAAAGGCCAGAGGTTTCCTTGGGGAAGGATGGAAGAAAGATTAACAGCATAAATTGTCCATAATGTAGTGGTGTTCTTCCCCAAGGGGACCCAGCCTCCCTTTCATTCAAGAGGTTCTGGGTCTGTAAACTGGCTCAAGCCTGGAAATTGATTGAGGGGCCATGATTCTCTGTTTTTATAATTCAAATGTCTTTTGTCCATTTGACCTAGAAGTTTTCTGCCTATATAAATTAAGTAGGAATACGGTAGGCTTCCTATCAATTTCACTTCTAGGAACACTATGATTAATTAACCAATGCCAGAGCTCTACATGAGTCAGACTATTCTGATTGCTGCTTTGCCTCTGCTGTCCATTACGATAGCTATGCCCGCCTT
This sequence comes from Homo sapiens, assembly GCF_000001405.40. Lineage (NCBI taxonomy): Eukaryota > Metazoa > Chordata > Mammalia > Primates > Hominidae > Homo > Homo sapiens. The sequence goes on along the minus strand of NC_000007.14, from coordinate 11,595,849 downwards.
GCCTTTGATGGTTGAGTGCCGCCACTTGGCCCTTGCCACCTCAGGATCCAATTATTCTCATTGTATTTAAGTTTTGTAGTTGAGTGACTTTGGTTTCCACTGTTAGATCTGACATACAGAGAAGAGCAATTACTGGACTTTTCAAAGATGCAGGTGCTGCCCTCACAAATCTATTTTGCAAGGCATTGGTCAAGGGTATGTATTCTGGACCTCCTAGCTGGGATGAGTAGGTATAAAGTGACTAATCCACTTCACCATCCCAATCTCCCTAAGCCTTTGGATCCCTTCCTCTACATTAAACCAGGGGAGATCAGGCATTTCCAGCTCGCTCACAATGGGCCATCTTTTATCCATATTTTAGCTAACCAAGCAAATAAACCATTAGAACCTTTTTTTAACTCCCCAAGCTGGAACATTAAATGCAGAATCCCTACTTAGTGGGCCCAAATCAATAAATTCAGCCTGACCCGACTCTATCTTCCTTCCACCATTACCCCACACTCTTAATATCCATTCCCATGCCTGTTCTGCAGATTTCTGTTTATATTAATTAGAGAATTCAAGCAGTTCTCAAGTGTAGCACACCTCCTCATGGGTCACACTGTCAACCCCACCTCTAGGGGCCTGCCAGGACTTTAGTCTAGTTGTAGGTCTAGAAGCAAACAGGGGTGTTGGGGGTGGCTCCTGAGGAGAATCAACATTATCTTGCCTGGCAACTGCCTCAGGGGAGGCCATCACTGTTGCCTCAGGCAGTGCAGGGTTTATCTCCTCAGACAAAGGTGGAAAGGCTGATGGCAGCATGGGTTGGGGAGTGGATGTTGTCACTACTGGGGATGGGGAAGCTTTTTCTTCTGGCAAAAAAGATTCATCAGAGTTTACAAACTCAGTGTCCCCAGCTTCATCAGGGTCCCCCCACACGTCTGCATTCCAAGTTGCAGGGTCCCATTCTTTTCCAATCAATGCCCTCACTTTAACAGTAGACACCTGGTGAGGCTGTGCATGCATCTTTCCTTGCAGATGACCCACTCACATGATAAGAGCTTGTGTCTGTTTTTCCACAATTTCGGCTCCTTCTCAACAGAAGATAAGTCTTTCACTCAGGACAATTTATCTAGCAGATTTGAGGCTCAGTATCTGCTTATGAAGCTAGGAGTTAGAATCCCTGAGTTTATCATTTTCTTTCATCACTTTTCCATTGAACTTAGGAGCAATGGACTAGCTTCATTATGTTTCTTGGTTCTCCATATATGGTCAAAGGTGTTATATATAGAGTCTCTAAACTCCTTGCCTTCACAAGCAATGAATCAGGAGCGTCAAATGCATTTATTTTGCATAACTCCCTAAACAGTTCACACCAAGGACTATGAGTGTTCTCCATACTATTAGAAGTAGAGTCCTTAGCATTTTGGGGTCTAATATTAAGCAGCCAACTCCAGAAATCCCAAAACCAATGAAAGAATTCCATCCTTAATATTCTGCTCCTGTAGAACCACTCCTGGTACCAAAATCTGTCTTAGTCAGGGTTCTCTAGAGGGACAGAACTGATAGGATAGATATATGTATAAAGTGTAGTTATTAAGTATTATCTCACATGATCACAAGGTCCCACAATAGGCCATCTGCAAGCTGAGGAGCAAGGAGAGCCAGTATGAGTTCCACAACTGAAGAACTTGGAGTCTGATGTTCGAGGGCAGGAAGCATCTAGCACGGGAGAAAGATGTAGGTTGAGAGGTTAGGCCAGTCTACTCTTTTCATGTTTTTCTGATTGCTTTATATTCTAGCCGCATTGGCAGCTGATTAGATGGTGTCCACTCAGATTAAGGGTGGGTCTGCCTTTCCCAGCCAGTGACTCAAATGTTAATCTCCTTTGGCAACACCCTCACAGACATGCCCAGGACCAATACTTTGCATGCTTCAATCCAATCAATTTGACACTCAGTATTAACCATCACACTTACGCAGGCATATTTACTTGATTCCCTAAACAGAATGGAAATTAGCATATGTTAACAGTTCTTGGTTTCTCATTTTCTAAGTTAAAACAAGTCTGGAATGAGTAAAATGAACAGTATGGTAAACTTAGCTTTAGCTAATTTTACTTAATTCTCTTTATTTTCTATTTCCTATGAATGGTTTAACAACTCTTAGAAAACAGAAGAATATGCAAATGTTAGCTTTGAGTCTAACTGCTTTTCCACATCATAAATGTTGATGTATTTTCGATGAAACTGGAATCACACCTCCAAGTAGAAATAAAAATGCCCAAGCTGATTCACTCTTGAGCGTAGAAGACAAAGTTCATAACTGCCTGTGAGTCTGTAATGAGAATATCAATGCTCTTTTACAGCTTTTGCCAGCAAGAGAAGCTTCCAATGACCTTCCAGTCCTGTGTGATCACCAAAGAGTGCCAGGTTTCCGAGTGGTCAGAGTGGAGCCCCTGCTCAAAAACATGCCATGACATGGTGTCCCCTGCAGGCACTCGTGTAAGGACACGAACCATCAGGCAGTTTCCCATTGGCAGTGAAAAGGAGTGTCCAGAATTTGAAGAAAAAGAACCCTGTTTGTCTCAAGGAGATGGAGTTGTCCCCTGTGCCACGTGAGTAAATAAAGAAGGGTATAGCGTCTGCCGAAACTACATTTGCTCAGCTATTTGATTTTGACTGAACAGTACTCTAAGCAACAGTAATTTTTACACATAAAAAATATCTTTACAAACAGTATCCTTAAAAAAAACTTTTTTTACAGAATAAAAGTGTCCTGACAAACTAAATCTCCATGAAATTTTTAGCACCAATTCTATGTTTATGTATTTTCTATAATAGGAGTTGCCAAAATTTTTCTGTAAAGGGGTAGATAGTTAAAACATTAAGCTTTGCAGGCCATACGTGTCTCTATTGCAATGACTCAACACTGCTGTTGGAGCTAGAGGTAATATGTAAACAACTGAGCGTGGCTGTGTTCCAATACAATTTTATTTATATAAAAAAAAAGGTGGCAGGTTGATATGATCTTGGGCCACAGTTTGTCAACCTCCATTCCACAAGGTAAAATAAACTTTCCAAATATAGATTATCGTTAACTATTAAAATTCAGTACTTTGTATAACAAATCCTATTCACTAGAGTAAAATACTACATCAAAATAATGATACTTTAAGTTCCATGAGGACAAAGATTGTGCTTACTAATATGGGGAAAAGGGTTGGGTTTTTTGCTTGTTTGCTTTTTGTTTAATTGCTAGCATATATCACAATACCTGGTACAAAATATGTGTTCAATAAATATTCATTGAATTCAGATTAAATAAGACTCATTCTGAAACATTTGGCAGTATGACAGTATTAAAATATAATTTCCAAGTTATCATTGTGAATTATTTTGGTAATAGCAATATTTCAGCTTAATCTGTATATAGGATATTTATAAAGCAACTTATATTAGTTTTTCAATAGAGATGTGTGAACTTCATTGAGAGCATCTCTGGATTATTCCAAACATTTAAAGAACATGCATATAGCTAGATCTTTATGAACCAGTGGGGAGGCAAATTACTACTACTACTATTCCTATAACAACAACAAAAAAAATAGTAATGTTTTATACCAGATATATAATTCTGCAGCACTTTGGACTCATCCATTGTGTTCTAATGTGAAAAGTGACTGAAACCTCCACAGAGAATTTCCTCCCCAATGTCTCTGCCTATCCCACTGATTGTTCTGGTTCCTCCCCACATAATAGGCTCAAGGAAGTTGCCAGGATTTCCTGTATTTTCTCTCCTATGAGTTTCCTCTATTTTTGTTGCAAGCTAAGTGCTTTATTCTTTTTCTTCTCAGATATTCAAACACAATTAACAAAATAAACATATATCCTTGAGTATCTTTCTCCATGCCCTTTTTGGGGGGAAGCATTTTTCATAGAATGTGTAACCAATCTAAATTATTGACAGGCTATTCCTCTCATTGGACTTTTTGGCGTGACCTAAATCAGAACTTCAATTTATTTAGAACAATTATTGCAGCTCCCTTAACAAATGATCTATTTGGTTTTGCTTCCTTCCCCTTCAATCCCCAAACCAGGCATCAATTATTCGTGTTTCTATAATTGACCTGAGTGCTGCACTTCCTTTATAAATTAATGTCAGGTGTTGTTTCTTCATGACCCAGTCCCACAATTCGTTAAGCAACAAATCCCCACTTATAAAATTTAAAAACAGGCATGAAGTTCATCTTTACTGTCACAAAACCTTACCACTGACAGAGTGAAGCATCTAGATTAGACATCTGAGGGCCGTTTAACCTTCTGCCTGATTCAGATGAATATTTGCACATCCATTTGCACCTATGTTGGCTGTTCATCTGATTACTAAGGAAGCATCTTCGTTAAAGTGACACAAAGTGCTACATGAGTCATGTTCTTTGTGCTTTTAGAACATCCATTTTCCTTGAGGTGGAGAAATGCCATCACTTCCTGTCTTCGGTGGCATCGAGAAATATTTCCCTAGCTATCTCCTTCAATCACGTGTTGGACTGACAATCCCCTGACATTTTTCTCACATCATAATCTTGATTGGAGCTTTAATTGAGCATCATAGATCTTCTTTCCTGTGCTCCACTGATGAGAAGTGCCAGCTCTTTGCATCATGCATCCGCACTCATTAGGAATGCTCAGTGCTACCAAAAAAAAAAAAAAAATCTTATTCTTGACAATAAAGAGAAAACTCTGATTTATTGTCTTATAATTTTTAACCCTAATATACAAGCATAATCTTGCTACACTGTGCAGTTTTCATTTATTTTGTAAAAGGCAAAGCAAATGTTTTGGTTCATCATCACTCAGAATGTTTCCCATTTTCATATTCAATCCACCTTTGTTTATAGGCAACAAGAAAGGGCAAGCCTGGGTTCAGCTTAATTGAACATAAAATTTCATGTTTTCAGCATTGTGCTCCCTTTTCATAAAATATTTATAAGTAACTTCCAGTAATTGCAATTGAAACAGGATCACCCTAAATTTAACCCCTCGTTAAATGGAGCACTGCAGAGCATAAAGGAGTTGAAACCAAATATGCACCATAGATGTAGTCTACGATGGATTCTCTAGGAAAATGATTTTGAGACTAATTTTCGTTAAAACAAAGTATGACAGGAGTAGAGAAACACGTCATTCAATAATTATGGTTGCTGCTGGTGGTGTTGTCTTTATTTAGGTATGGCTGGAGAACTACAGAGTGGACTGAGTGCCGTGTGGACCCTTTGCTCAGTCAGCAGGACAAGAGGCGCGGCAACCAGACGGCCCTCTGTGGAGGGGGCATCCAGACCCGAGAGGTGTACTGCGTGCAGGCCAACGAAAACCTCCTCTCACAATTAAGTACCCACAAGAACAAAGAAGGTAACCTTTGCTTTCTTCTCAAGGATTCACTTATGAAGACTGACTGAGCATGTGATTGCTCTGAAGGGATATATACACAGCCATCCAGGTTATGAGGGCTGCATTTCTGTTCACATTGTGGTTGGTATTCACTATGGTAAACAGTAATCCACATTATGGTTGTGAAAATATTTAACACAATTCCATCTTTGGTCAGTTCTGGTTTACTGACAAGTTTCTTTAAAATTTTGACTTAAAGGCCTTCTTGACTCAACCTCTTCATCAAAGTTTAGCAGGAATAATGTAAAAACTAGACGAAAATTTATCTGTAAATATACACATATCATGCAAATATATATTCTAAATTCCAAAATTATATAAGAAGTAAAACCTGCTTGTCAAAAGAAATCTTATTTGGATAAAATGTGGTTAAAAATAAGTTAATTATGATATTGAATAAAATTGTCAATTTCAATTTAAATAAGTACAGAATAGAAACTACAGTAAAAGAAAACTTTAACCCAAAGGCATTTTTTAAAACTCTTCAGTTGTTTGGCAGATAAATCTTTTTTTAATTAAATCTGTTTCAGGACCAGATATAGGAAGTGTACAAAAGAATAAGTGAATACAAAATGGCCCAAGCTAAAACTATATATTTTAGATATTAATATGACTCTAAAATTATCATAATTATTTGATTAAGTGTATATTGAATTAGTACATCTTAAGTTCACACACAAATATGAACATCTTTAAGCAGTACTGTAAGCAGTCTTTATCCTCCTTCTGTCTGAGGAATAGCAGGACTTCTTTCACTGACCCATTGAACGTATATTAACATATACAATTTGTTTAAGAGAGTGAGGATAGAAATACCAATACAGATTGCATGTCATGGAAGTCCTCAAAGTCATCAGGAGAGCATGTAGACAAACCAGTAATTAAAATGCAATATGCCATGCCATACAACCAAGTTTCAGAATGAGCGTAAGGGAGTAGTAGAAATAGAGCCCTTTATGGAGGGAGTGGCACTTGAGCTCAATGACGACAGAGACACTACTTGCAGGGAAGCATGGCAAGAGTGCAAGAGGGAGTTCATTTCAGGCAAGGGAACAATGTGTATGAATGCACAATGCTAAAGAAAAGCAAAAACCAAGGGTAAATCTCACCAGTAAAGATGGGCGTGTTGTATTTGGCAGGTTGTAGAGACGGGAGGGGAGGAAAGGAGATGAGAGGAAAGGATTGGATTTCCTAGAAAATACCTTGGTAGAAAAAGAACAAGGATAAAGGCCCTATTTGATACCACCAGATGAAATACCAAAAAAGGAGAATATTTTGGGAAGGAATATGAGCAAAAAGGATCAGAAAATAAGGTAAAGAACCAAGAGAAATGAATGTTTTTAAAACCAAAGAAGAGATGGCTTCTCTGCCCCTCCCAAAAAGGACTGACACCAGTGACCAGTAATTCATGGAAGAAAAAAACTGAAGTTTTGCAGTTGCAACTTTCAAAATTTAATTGTTCTGTATCCACTAACTTTACACAGCATGTCAACTCATTTAGGAGTCTAGCCTAGGGATACATTTTACTACTAATGTATCTTGAGGTTATAAGGAAGTAACATAAAACATGTAATGTTAGGACATTAATATTTTCTTGGCCACTTTAATGGCTGCATTTTAACACTCTTAAGTAGATTTATTATAGCAGTCTTTCCAGGGTAGTATAATTTCATTGCTAGAGGTAGATCAGATTTTAGTTTTGGAATGTCAATTATGTCCTGTAGGTTATTGCTTTCCAAAGATCCTTCAGAATTCTGAATTGCAACTGGGTATTTTTTTTAAAGCATTTTCTTTTAGAGCTCCCCCCAACCACTGCTAAATCACTGCAGACACCAAAAACAGTCACAGAAAAAGAAGGAATATTGCAAGAATATCATTATTAAGATGTAGTTGTTAGACTAAAGCAAATGCCAAAGCAAAGGTCAATAGATATGGAGGTAACTAATTCACCTAAAATTAATATTTATCATGTAAATATGTAACATGAATAATTTAGGAGTGTGTGTCCTTTCATATCAAATACCAAGAATACTAACGAACTTCTTAAAGTCTTTGCAAAAACAGTTAATTCTCCCTAAAAATGTAGCATTTATTCCACCAAATTTAGACTATGTTAGTTTCTCCCCGGGAGCACTTAACATTTCCCAATAGGAAACATACTCAGTATACCAGCATCCCAGGGGTGACATGCGAAGTCTATAAATATGTGTGAATGGAGAACAATTAGGCTGTGGGCTTGAAGATTATTCACACTCGATGTTCAGTCATGTTCATATGAAAGAATGTAAAGCTTATCTTATAAAAGAGAGAAATCCCTCAAAACAACTCCCCCAGCTAATAAGAAGACACTCATTTCAAGAATCCATGACTGTGTAACCATGAACAACCTGTACTATGAACAACTCAGTTTTACTTAAAGAACTATCTACACTGTTCTCTTTGCAGTTTCACACCATGTGTTCTCTAGATGACTTGTTTTCACATATAACCAAGGTGTGAAAAAGACCCTAACACAAAACAAAATACTTTAACTCAAAAATAAAGTGTATTAGTACAAAAAAATACTGAAAGCAAGTGATATGAAATTTATGTAAACTTCCTTTATTAACTTGGTGCATTGTGTTACACAGGGGAATGATACTGACTACCTTAGCATAAAGGCAGGAAGCATTAATAACTTTTTTACTCATTGGTATATTCTGTACTACTAAGTGACACACACCATAAGGGACAGAAAAATTCTTATCCTCGGAGTTAATACATTTAATTTCCAAAATAATAAAATGTATCTTATTAAAGTACTCACAAGGTCTTTAGTAAAATATTCACAATTTAGTATGCTATTTGTGTCAGTAGAATTATATCATCAGAACATATCCTAAGTTGGAGATAGCACCTGTAAAGAGTAGGAAGAAATATATCTCATCAATATTGGAGAGTGTCTATATTTTATTATTGCACTGCTCTTAGCTGTAGGTAACCCTCCCAATCCTGACAACTATTCCCCCACAATATTCAGGTGAGCAGAATTTCTACTATATCATTTCCGTAGAAGAAAGGCTTGACAAGTTCCCTACTGACAGTGTCAGTAGTAAAACCCTTGACAGTTTTTGTTCAGCCAGCTGATATGTGAAGAATGTCCAGCTTATGCTGGCGTGAAATCTACCCTTATCAGAATATGACAGGAAGAGGCCTTGCCTGTGGGGAGGTTATCTGTATGAGTCCTAGAAAGTTGATGAACATCTTGCTGATCATTGGATGCATGGAAGTAAATTGATTTTTTTAGAGTTCAAAGTAAAATGAAAGTAGATTTTACCTACAGTAACTCAAGAAATTCTTCCATTTAGTACAGATTGAACATGTTTTTAAGTGAGGGAAGCTGAAAGTATTGGTTATAAGACAACATTAAGTTTACAGTGACTTATAGGAAACTGAAGAGCATTTCTCTGTAGAAAACATATTAAAAATCCACACTAAAATCTGGATATTGTCTGTGGGATTGAGGGTTATTAAGAAAGACAGCCTAGATAATAAGCCTGTATGATGACATAGAATGAGATATAGCAACAGAAAGGATTGGAGGATCAATGGGAAGATAGGCGGAGGGATGGATGATTGAACTGTGAATGGATAGACGGAAAGGTAAGTAAAAAACTCGCATTTCCTCATGCTCAACAAAGAAATAAGAAAATAAAATAGTCACACCATTGCTAAATGGAAAGTAAATTATTTATCACTATATTTTGTCTACGGTTTCCACACATAAACCCACTTTAGAAAAAGCTTTTTGGAAAAAGAGAAAAGAAAAGAAAGGCTATGCATTACGGTGCTATTTTCCTGTTATTTTAGAAAGTAAATATCAGAGTGTGTTGAAGTCTTGTGCTGTGTCTTTCCTGTTCCTCACTTTTGAAATAAAAGGTAGGTAAGAATATTTTACATGATAGTTCCACCTGAAGTGTGTATAAGGGAACCATGTGTCGCTGATACCTAAGAGAGTCTCCATAGATTCTCAGATGCAATCCTTAAGTCGTTTAGGAAAGGGAGTGGTTTATTTTTACTTTCTATTTTGCTAAAAATATATCAAACCTGTCCCATGAAGAAAAATGATTTCATGTTTTTTGACTTTCTATAACACCATTATGTAGATGTAAATCACAGGAAAACAAGATTTTTAAATTTACTGACTTCTAAAACTTTCACTAGTATACTATAATTATACAAACAGGCATATAAAGTTTGGCTATGAACACTTTTTGAGAATAATATAAGTATAAACACTCCATAATTTATTGTATTTCTAAGCATACCACTTTCTGCTCATCTTAATATGGTAAATGAAAAAGGACTAGAACCCATGATGGCTACAGCTTGGAAACACAATGCACTGTAAATACAGTGGGATGTAAAAAGCACTGGAAAATAATACGGCAGGTCCTCAAATAATGCTGTTTTGTCCATGAACATTTTGTCATAACATTGACGCGAAAAAAAAAATTGATTCCCAGCTGAGGAATGTGGAGTCTGCATGTTCCTCCCATGTCTGCATGGGTTTTCTCTGGGTATTTTGGTTTGCTCACATGCCTCAGAGATGTTCACATCAGGTGAATTGGCATGTCTACGGAGTCCCTGTCTGAGTGAGTGTGGGTGTGTGTGTGAGTGCACCCTGAGATGGGATGGTGTGTTGTCCAGCCACAGTTCCCACCTTGCTCCCTAAACTGACGGAATAGGCTCTGGCCACCCACGACCCCAGACTGGAATAATTAGGTAATGAATGATCTTACTTGTTTTTAATCTTTCTTAAGTGTATGTAAGCTTAGATTTATTTCAGTGTTTAATATTAAAAGTGTTTTGGTCTTTATTTAGAAGTTTAGTGATGTTTTTGTGACCAGACGTATGCGGTGGGAACTTAACTCTCTTGTTTATATCAATTAGCCTATGGAGAAATGAGTTCTCTTTTAACGATCATTAGTCAAGGCTTCCAAGAACCTATTGGTGACGTTAAATGAGGACTTACTGTATATAATAATTAAAACATAGGAATCCCCAAAGGAATCAGAGCCTCCTTGTTAGCCAGTCCTCTGTATATCTTGTGGGAGAGAACAGCTTTTACCCTATGAAATTACTCTGTGATCACTGGACTACAAAATGGAAAGTGAGATGTCAAGAGGTTCAGCTGTTGGGGTAAAAGGTAATAAAAACTCATGCTGGGAATTAGATTAAGGTAGTTAGTTGTCTACCCAGAGGTAATGTAAGAGTTTTTATTGGAGAAACAGCTTACTGATGAGACTTCAGGAAGTATTCAACCAAAAAGGCAAAGAAACATATCATGAGGCAGCTCAGAAGTCAGATAAACATGAGTACTGTGCTTTGTACCTTTGACTTGGTAGGTTTTTAATAAACATTTGCTGTTTGATATATTTACTGTTCCCTTTATAAAATGGTACAATCTCTTTTAATTTGTCTGAAAATTATCTCTTGAATATTTCAAATATCCACCCCCACTTCCTTAAATTCTGTTTCACAAAGAGGCTATATTCGCACTCACACTGCCTTTTATCTCTGAATATAGAACTGTTTACACCTCTGAATTTGAATAGAGGACACATGATCTAGTCCTTAAATCAAATGACATGAGTCAAGATTCACACACCTTGTTTTCAGTTTGGACACTAATTTAAGGGAACAGTTTTTATTTCTTTTATCTTTTCTAAATATAGTATATACTTTAAAAGTCTTTTAACTTCTCATCTTAAGGCTATTTTCAATAGAACCCCAGATAGGAATCAGGAAACCTGGTTTTCATTTCTGCTTGGCATGTATTCTTAGGCACATTACTTAACTTTATTTGCCTGAAGATAACTATTTATAAATTACTCTTCTGTTCCCATTCAAGCTATGTGACAGACTAGCTTACACGAAAAAACAGCCTTTATATAACACCTAGTCAAGATTCACACACTTGGAATATATTGTTTGGGGAAAAAGGTAGAAACATTAAACACTCTTATATTTTATTAACTCATTATGCATGTTAAAAATTTAAGAGTAATTATGAAGTAAAAATACATATTTTTGTTTAATAACTACTAATATATTTGTATAATTATGTATTATACAGTAATATAATCAATTATTAATAATTGCATATATATTTTTTCCAATGTTGTTTTAAATGATCTTAAGGGCAGAACTGAGGTCTTGACTAACTAAATGATTCCCCAGAACAAACCAGCAAGGCTGAGCTGCTGATGCTTTCTGTGGTTGCCCTTGGGTGGGGATGGTACAGGAAAAGTGTTACACATTTTGGGAACCTAGGAGGAGTGAAGCCAATAAGGAGCATGACACAGAAACTTTAGCCAGAGAAAGAGAATACAGGCAAAAATACTGCATTACTTCATTAATCTCAAAGGATAATCAAGTAAGTAGAGAAACTCAACTTACCTGTAGAGGGAGATGACAATTAAATAGGTCAGCCTCAGTCTTAACTTAGGAGAAAAATAAGACTCACTAAGAATTCCAATTATGGGTCTGTATTCATATTGGTTTTAGTTTCAAACTTATGCTTACTTCCATGAGTCCAAAAACTGCAAAGCTGAGAAATTAATATAAGAAATTATATCATTCCACTGGTACTACTAGAATGCCTGAAATAAACAAATGCAAAAACTCTCTAGATAAAAATACCTTAACCTAAGGCACAGGATTTACCCCTGTAAACTGCACCATCCAAAATTATGAATTATGCAAGGAAAAATAATCCATCATAAACAGGATTTAAAATGCCTAACAAGCAGTAAGATTAGACTCCCAAGATTGAAAATACTGTATTAGAAATAGCAGATAGAGGCCAGGCATGGTGACTCTTGCCTGTAATCCCACCACTTTGTGAGGCTGAGGCGGGTGGATAACTTGAGTCTGGGAGTTCGAGACCAGACTGTGCAACATGGTGAAACTGTCTCTACCAAAAAAATATAAAAACTGCCAGGCGTGATGGCATGCACCTGTAGTCCCATCTACATGGGAGGCTGAGGTAAGAGGATCTCTTGAGCCCAGGAGGTGGAGATTGCAGTTAGCCAAGATTGTGCCACTGCACTCCAGCCTCGGTGGCAGAGAAAGACCCTGTCTCAAAACAAACAAAAAATCACATAGAGACCATAAAATGCTAAAAACTTATTAAAGATTTAAAGGAAAAACTTTACAAGATTAAAAATAATGAGTCAGATTTAAAAAGACCAATTTTTTAAAATAGTAGTTTTAGAACTGAAAAACACATTCACTGGAAATAAATAAATGGGTAGTTTGGACAGATTGAACTAAAGAGTTATTAGCAAACTGAAGACAAAAAAAATAAGGAAATAATTGAATATTTAACACTGAGAATAGAAGTTGACAATAAAAATGAGGATAATAGTCATGCAGAGTTGACAAGAAGGTTCAGAATATAAGAATCAAAAGCAAGGGAGAGAAAATGCTCCAGAAGTGGTAAAAAAAAACACAGATATACAGAATTAGGAAAAACAAGAATTTTCAAGCAGGATAATAAAATACCCACACTAGGGACAATGTAGTGAAATTTCAGCTCAACAACTACAAAGATATGTTGAAAGGAATAGAGACAAGAAAAACATTATTTACAAAGGAATTAGCAAATTAATAGTGAAATTTTCAGCAGCTACAGAAAAGCAAAACAACACTAATTATATATTCAGAGTTCTGAGAGGAAAGTAACTGGCAACGTAGAATTATTTACCCAGCTACCTAACTTTCAAAAGTATGGGCAAAATTTAGACAAAGGTGAAAGGGATTGCCTTCAATAAACTCTCACTGAAAGATTGCCAAAGGATATTTAAGAAGAAGGAAATCAAACCAAGAAAGATTGATTAAAGATGAGAAAAGAATTTGGTAAACCCATGGATAGTCTAATTAAGCAGAGATATGTATGAAGCAATACTAATATTATAATGTGCATTTAGTTGATGAACAAAAATAATATAGGATAGGAAACAATAAGGAGAGTATTGCTTAGGAAAAAGGTGGAAATATTGAACACCCTTCTATTTTACTAACATTATGCATGTTAAACATTTAAGCATAATTATTAAGTAATAATACATATTTTGGTTTTAATAACTATTAATATATTATTGTATACTTATGTATTATTATACACTAATATAATCAAGTATTAATAATTAAGTAATGTGCATATATATTGTTCCAATCCAATAGAAAAAATGAAAGAGGCTGGATAAAATTTAATCAATTTAATAGAAGTACTAAATAAGAAAAAAATACCGATTTTTTTACACGGACTATCTAATACCAAATAAAGACTAGAATTGGAGCTTTAAAATGTCAGAGTAAAAGATTATTACAGAAAATTATTTTGTTCTAACTATAAACTGCATCTGAGAGACAAATCAGCTGTATTACAAATGTTTACAGTGACCAAACTAAGAGTGTGGACTATTGAGTCCAAACAGTCACCACCGCTGGAAAATATGTAAGCAGACTAACAGATCACACTGTGTATTAATATTTTCTAGTCAATAATGCCAACTTTATATACAAAGCATGGTAAAAATCATATTTTTTCAAGGAAATAACAATATTAGTTTGCCATATATGTGTACAGTGTGTCAAAACTATTCAGGAGAGTAAGAGGTTGGATCAATTAAATGGCATTTGATAGAACATTTTCTTAGATAATAAAAAAAAATGCCCAGAATTTTCTCCAATATTTTTAGAGTGAAGGATGATCTTTACAAATGTAAAATTCAGAAGCAATCATGTTACCAAATTGATATTGTTCAATGAAGCATGAAAGCAATTGCCAACTTCTAAAATTGAAGGATAGAAACATGTGAAAATTCATGAGTATTTCAAACCTATCTCTCTTTTTATCATTCTAGTTTTTCCCAGTTTGCTAATGGAAAAGACAAAAATGACATTGGCAAAGAAATTATTACCCAGACAGGATTATAAAATTCATGGTGTATATTGGTGTCTGGTACAAAGTCATGGATGATGTACTAATAAAGTATATGAGTCATATTAAGCTAATAATAAAATATTGGATAATAATCTTGTGACACAGGAATATTTTAATAGACTACAAACAATAGAATATCTCTAACAATATGAAGAATAATGAGTACGTATAAATACCCAGTTAAGTCCCAAATGCCCACTATTAAAAAGTAGTAATAACAATGATGATAATGATAATAACAATATTAATTACATTTATTAAGACATTATATTAATTATTTGGTTGCTTCAAAGATTAAATGTGTATGTTGGGAACACACACTTGCAAGGATTTAATATTAAACTCATTCTATGTTCATTCTCCCAAGTGTTATTTTTCTGACCATCAATTACAGTAGAGGAAGGATTGCAAATTTAGGTATCTCACTTATTATTCTTTCATTCACTCAACAAATACTTATTGAACAATTATTAGGTTACACCACTGATTTAGATGTTGAAGATATAATTTTTTATGTTTTTATTTTATTTTAATTTGTATTTTAAGTTCAGGGATACAAGTGCAGGTTCATTTACATAGGTAAGCTTGTGTCATGGGGGTTTGTTGTACAGATTGTTTCATCACCCAGATATTAAGCCTAGTATCCATTAGTTAGTTATTTTTCCTGATCCTCTCCCTCCTTCCACCCTCCATCTTCCAAAACACCCCAGTGCGTGTTGTTCCCCTCTATGTGTCCATGTGTTCTCATCATTTAGCTTCCACCTATAAGTAAGAACATGCAGTATTTGGTTTTCTGTTCCTGTCTTAGTTTGCTAAGGATAATGGTCTCCAGCTCCATCCATGTCCCTGCAAAGGATATGATTTCATTCTTTTAATGGCTGCATAGTATTTTCTGGTGATTTTTTAAAAAAGTATACTTGATACTTGTCATCAGGAAGTTTATAGCCTGATAAAAGCCTTGAAGTTATAGCTTTGTGTACTTGGAGTTTAGACTGACCCTTCACAAGGCTGACATAGGGTGACTTGTATGGATCTGTCAGTTTGGGGCTGTCTAATCCCTGAGAGTGCACTACACCATGGTCCGTCCTTAATAACGAACCTGTACCCTTATTCCTCAGGTGAATTTTTTTTCTCTAAAGCATATATCCTCAAAATATAGTTTAAGAATCACCTGCATGCTTTAAGAAAATGCAGACATTCCTAGATATTACCCACTGGGGCTGTAATTCTGTAGGTCCTGAATGAGGCAGGAATCTGTTTTTTATAAGGATTGTCATTGATTATAATCAAGAGTTGATTTTACCATGCAGCTAATGAGAGTCTTTTGGGACCCAAAGCTTATGCGATTTAGAGAACCCTAAATGTTATTTTAAAAAAAACAGCCAGATTTCAAAATTCCAAATTCAAAATCACTCACTAACATCTCTGCCAGGGCCTTAGAAGGGCCCAAACCTTAAGCTTCATGGGCTTCTCAATAAATCTACCCCTAATTCTAACATAGATTTTTGTCCTCTATTACAGCCAGTGAGAATGACTACTTTAAGATGAGAAACAGAAACACATGCATTGTTTCTTGAAAAGCCTTGTTTTCCCCATAGTTCTAGAGGTACGACTGGGAAGAATGGAATGACTAGAAAAAGTCACTATATATTTTCCAAAGTGAACTGGACCTTTCAGTAATGATATTAGTCTTTTCTACATTCTTTGACCCCCCAGTTTTAGATCCCTGAGCTCTAAATCTTTAGAAACTCACAATACTTTGCTAGTATTTAAGCTGGGAAATTAGGGAAGGATAGATACTGTTTCATCTTACTTCATACCTGTAACCTGAGATGGAAAGAAGACATAGCAGTTAATACAGACCTTCCATTAATGAAAGAAAGATGGTGGATAAAATGTCATCTAACCTGACACTATCAAGGGACTATAGTATCCGTGCTTTTTGTAACCCTTAAGCACTTATTTCATCGAGTTCGTTGTAGATGAATGATAGCGCCAGGAGGAATTTTGAAATGAGCACTCAGGGATGTGCACTGGTGAATGAGTAGCATTTTTTCAGAGGCACACTCCTGCTATCTAAAGATGTAAAAGAAATGGTTTGTGGCTAGGGCTGGTTGTTCCCTGCCTTGCTGATGATTGCTCAATAGGGAGTAGCTACTCTCTCCAGTGTTAACAGAGGAGTGCAAACTACATTGTAGAACTCATTAATATTTATTCCTTCTAAAAGCAATGGGCAATAAAAAGGGAAATAAACCAAGGAGAATAGCAATGGGAAAAGAAAACTGTAACAACAGATTCATCTTGGAAAGGTCTCATCATTTATTGCACACAAAAATATGCTCAAAATACAAGGATACAGCTCATATTCTAAGTTTGAAATCCACTAAAATTGCCTCTTATTGGGGAAATTAATTTAAGAAAAAAATGCACATTGAATGCAATTCAAGAACTCAAAGTAGTAATCTATATTCTTGTAATTATATGCACTGGTTGTACCTCTTCACAATTTTACATTTTCTGTATTTGACAAAGTTACATGTCCTCAGTGTCGGAAGCTGTTTTGTATTTGTGGATGCACAAGAACTCTCTCTAAGCTAAGCATCACCTATCCATTGAAGCAAAACCAGTGCTATTTCAGTTCCTTTTCTTTTGCTTTTCCTCTATTTTCTGCCTTGTAATGCCTTCAACCATTGTCCCAATTATCCAAATATCTCCTCTTTTAAAGAATATTTTTCAAATTACAAGACCTTAATCATCTTCCTTTATCCAAAGCCTGTATAGCCCTTTTCTGCTATATTTCTTGATTTGCCATTTGATTTCATATGATTATATTCTATTCATGCCAACTTCCCAAGATTTTAAGCTTCTGAGAGAGGGCATAGTGTTTTATCCTTCCCTAAACTTCTTTAGTACAACCTATCATTCTTAGCAGAGGTCTGGGTACATTTACCAATTGTATTCTTTGGAAATATCTTTTAAAAAGACAGAGAAATGCCTTCAGTCAGAGGATGTTGACTTCCTGGACATTTAATTTATAAGGTTTCATTTTGAATTAACCTATCTTTTGCACTAATTCATTCTATATCTCTTATGCTTTTCTTTCCTTTTTAAAGGCTTAATGAGATGACATATGTAACATATGTAAATCATTTCCTAGCATAAGGCCTTGCATTTATTATATGCCAAATGAATATTAATTGCTTTTGTTTACGTGTTTACTTTTCTGGTTGAATTGAGAAAAGGGAATTTTTTAAATAACAGTTTCGCTCCAAATCCTTAGCATGCAATAAAGGCTAATTGTATACTAGCTTGCTAGTTGAGAAACATAATGGAGAGCAAATAATACTGTCTCTTTACAGTATGTGTTAAAATCCTGCCATGGGCTAACATTATATACAAAATTGTCCCTTTCTTGGGAAAAAAATAGACCTTTTCTAAAGCTTTCATTGTATTATTTTAGAATAAGAATAAATACAGTTAATTTTACTTCTATAGTTATGGTAGTCAGAATAATTACAGCTTCCTTTCCTTTGTGATTCAGAAGCCTTGCGAATTTTAAGTAGTAGTCCATTGCTGAAGAATTCTGACAAAGATGCTTGTAGTAACCCTCGGATTGTTAGGTTACTCTAAAACAGCACTTTCACCATTGCTCAAACTTGGAATGCCACGCTGTTCCATCTGCCCCTTATATCCCACAGGATTTCTGGGGATCTAAAATGCCCAGATAGGGAGCTTTATGCCTGGGAAAACTTAGCCCTTGTTGTTAAAATAATAATTATAGCAACTAGATACATAAAAACATAGGGTTTAGAGGCCAGCCATGGTGGCTCACACCTGTAACCCCAGGCCTTTGGGAGGCTGAGGCGGGCAGATCACTTGAAGCCAGGAGTTCAAGATCAGTCTGGTCAACATGGCGAAAATCCATCTCTACTAAAAATACAAAAATTAGCTGGGTGTGGTGGCACATGCCTGTAGTCCCAGATACTCAGGAGACTGAGGCACAAGAATTGCTTGAACCTGGGAGGCAGAGGTTGCAATGAGCCAAGATCACACCACTGCACTCCAGCCTGGGTGACAGAGCAGACTCTGTCTCAAAAAAATAAAAAGTAAATAAAATAGAGTTTAGAAAACACTTCTATTGTTTTATATGTGCTCAGCTAGATCTGTTTAGAAAGTCTTGGATCAATTAAGTTTCTAGTTCATTAAGAATCCCAGAAGTACTGTGAAAATACAGTTATGTTTTTAACTAGGAAAGCTATTGACTTATTTATCAAAGCCTTCTACAAATCTATAACAAGGGGGTAAGAAAAGTCCCCAACATATTGCGGTAGATAGTGTTTTCCCATTAATACATAACTAACCTGATAATTAGAGAATAATTTTCTCAGACATACTGAAACAGTCAGTGGCAAAACATGGACTCAATGCCTTGTTTTTGACTCTAAAGTGTAAACTCATTGCAAGCATACTCGCTTCCCCTATGCATTTGCTTCAGAATAAATGCCCTGGGTATAATAGCTGTCTACAAGTTTATCAAAATCATCAGAAGTGCATCCTATTAGCTGATAATGTTTCTGTTGCAAAAATAAACAAAAATGGCCTAGAAATCTACTTCTTATAAAAGAAAATTGAAGGGAAAAGTATAATGTAAGCCCTTTATAGGAGCCAACGCAATTAAGTTCATTCTGTGACATGATTCTATAAGGTCAATATGGAGTCTTGTTCACAGTTATTTGAACCAGCATTATGTTGAACCATATGATATTGCTATTTTTGTAGGTCAAGATCTGTCAATTAGTGGCAATTTCATACAGTTTAACTGAAAAGGTACCTTTGATGTATTATATCAAGTCACCTGGTATGAATTACTGTCTATCCCACACTTGACATTATCAGAATCAAATCCAGACCGGCTAGCTATGAATCGCAGTGACTCTTTCCATGTGAACAATATGCATTCGTGCTGTGTGCAGTGTCCTCTAGATAGGGCAATGATTGTCTTCTGTAAAAATATGTAGATTTCCCCATAGTAGATATTCTTTATGGGAAAATAACTCAAATTGATGGCTTCAGAGTGACTGGAATTCATCAAGCATTGTTTATGCGCAGTTAGAAAAGAAATTGCTTGCATTCAATGATGTGATTTTGAATATTATGTCCCACTTTATTGTCTATAAATACCGACAATAAAGGGAGATAAAGTAATTTTAAGAATAAATGGATGAGGAGTGTGGGGCAAAGGAAAAATGCTAGTAGAAAGAGGATATCAAACCAATAATGAATATAACAAGGATGATGCACAAAATGTGTATCATAAGATTCTGTGAATTTCTTGAAGTAGGCCACAACTTCTGGCTCTAAGCTTGTAATAGCCAATGTAGAAAGGAACACTGCATTAACCGTGAAATTTGCAGTGCCCATTAGGCAACAGAAACCAGTTGTAAATGAGAAGCACCATGATTTCTGGTTCTAGAGCCAGAAAGAAAATTCACCAGTGGGCCTTCATAAAAAAGACACTGTAACTGTGTTGAATTACAACTTATTAACATCTTTACAATAAACACCATAATGAATTTTATAAGGAAGCTTTTTCTTTAAGCAATTTTCTTATACATAGGCCACTAGTAGAAATATCAAAGTGTAATTCAGTAAAGGGTAATAAGTGGCGGTTGATATGATATGGTACAGATTTATAGGTCTCACTAAGCTGGATAACCCAAGGATAGACTTCGAAATGGATGTACTAAATGAATGGAGGTACAGCTATTCCCTCAGGCAATCCTCCTCTGAGCTTTGATAGAGGCAGAGAGTTCCGTTATATCCCCTGACACAAGTATCTGGAGTACAGCTCTTCTGCTTACTGCTTAGGTGCAGTTCAATGCAGAGACACAATTTCCAACCATCATTGCGGTGAGGATAGGATAAGCATCCTCAAATGGAAATTGAAAGGCTTGACAGGACATAATCTTGAATAAAATATTATCCCACTTCTACAGGGGATCCAGGCCTAACTAGATGCAGGGCAAAGAAAAAGTTTATCTAGGCACTGATAAAGGAAAATCAAAAGTCCTTAAATCTGTTTGCTGGCTTGTAACCCATAGCAAAAATCTGAAGCAGATGTAAGAAAGACCCAGTGTTAACAATAACGCCATCTCTTTAAAAAAGCAATTTTGCTTTCTAGTATTTCCTTCAAGAAAAAAATAATTACCAAGTTTCTGTCTATAGATCAAAATGCGTTAATTTGAAGTAGTAATAATAATGATGCAGAGGATGACGAGGATGATAGATGATTACTATATGTGAGACACTATTCTAAGTGTTTTACATTTATTTACTTATGAGACCCTCACTATAATCCTATGAGGTAAGCACTATTATTATATAATATGGACGTACAAAGAGCTTAAATAATTTTCTTAAGGAATATAGCTAGTAAACGTCATAATCAGGATTGTGAATCAGTCTGGCTCCAGAACCAGTGATCTTAACCACTGTGCTATACAGTATAGGGTTACTACTTGTAAGCCAGTTTTATGCTAGAGAAAAGCTATCTCACCTCTAAACGATTATTGGTTTTAGAAAATGTGCCTCTCTTTTAAATAGTGATTCAGTCTTATAGCTAATGGTCTATTAAGGTTACTCATATTTAATGACAATAAAACTGCACTTCACATGTATGATAATGTTTTTGTTGGCCGGGCGCGGTGGCTCACGCCTGTAATCCCAGCACTTTGGGAGGCCGAGGTGGGCGGATCACGAGGTCAGGAGATCGAGACCATCCTGGCTAACATGGTGAAATCCCATCTCTACTAAAAAAAAAAAAAAAATTAGCCGGGCGTGGTGGTGGGCGCCTGTAGTCCCAGCTACTCGGGAGGCTGAGGCGGCAGAATGGCGTGAACCCGGGAGGTGGAGCTTGCAGTGAGCCGAGATCGTGCCACTGCACTCCAGCCTGGGCGACAGAGCGAAACTCTGTCTCAAAAAAAAAAAAAAAAGTTTTTGTTTCCCTTTTCTATGACAGGAAGGTATCCATACATTTATTCATTGAACCAATGTTTACTGAGTGTCTTCTATGTCTTAGGCATTATTCTAAATGCTGAAAATAGAGAAATGAACAGCACAAACACTATTCCTGCTGTCACAAAGTTTACACTTTAATGGAAGGAGAAAAATTATATACCAAAAAATAAATAAGAAAATATCAAAGAGCAATAAGCACTATGCAGAGAATTAAAACAGGGTTATGTGAAAGAGAATAACTGGGTAATAATGTTATTTAGATCACCAGGTTTTGTTTGGATTCCGAGATTTATATATCTAGCCCAAAATTTTCCCCTGAGAAACAAATTTGCATTGATCTTTCTACGTGACGTCTCTAATCATAACACTCAGGTATGCTTGTTTTTCCTTCATATGCTCTTAAAATGACAAAATACATGTTTTTATAACATCAGAGTACACGTGTCTGAATAGTAGGAGCTCCATGATCTTGAATTGATTGAATAGATGTGTTCATATAAATTTCCTAAAACTACTTAGGGGAAAGATATTAACAGAATAGGTGACACATAATGTGTTCAGTAAATGTTTATTGAATAAGTAAATAAACTGACTCAGTAATAAACCCAAGCGTCAATAAATACGATTACAGACTAATCTGTACTCTTGCAAAATGCCTTTCTCTGATAGCCAGAGAGATGAAAGACCTAAAACTTGTATATTTAGGAATATATCACAAAGCCTAGGAAGTAAATAATTAAAATAATCAGAAAGCAAACATATTGTTAGGCTTCTGCTTCTATCCATAAGAGAATAAATGGAACCCTGCCATAAGAACAACTATAAAATTTAACAAATTATATAAAGCAGCTGTTTTTAGTCATTGGCCAACAAGCCAGAAGACCGTGATTACAGTTGTGAACTGAGCTTCAAAATTGCCTCCATCTGCTACTGGGAGCTCTTTCTTGCCACAGAGGGAGGTGAAGACAAGAATAGTGTCAGGTGTAGCTGAGCAAAGGAGTCAGAAATCTAAGTGCTGGGCTAGGAATTGGCTGGAAATTTTAGGACAAGGTACAGAGAAGGGGAATCTACACTGGAGGGAAAGGACAGAGTCCAAGAGTCTCAGTGTGGATACACCATGAATCCTTGGCCAGAGTTTGGCTGAATACATGTGGGGTGATACCCTGGAGTCTAGCAGAGGTCCTGTGGTGTGAGTTTGAGAACTGAAAGGTGATAGTATAGGTAGCACAGTGCTGAGTGATGCTGAGCTCCAGCCCTGTGAGAGTGAAGAATACTTGTTGAGCACCTCAGGTCTCAGAAAGACTATGGTCCCAGAAGGTCCACACTGTCACAGTGCAGTTCAAACTTAAAAAGAGCTAGCTCTAATGCAAATAAAATCAAACCTGAAAAGATCAGTAGGATCTGCCAATAATTAAACTGTTTGACAGAACAAAACTTAACACCTTATAAAGGAAGATGACATAATCGAGGTTCTCTACAATATACTGTTCACAAAGTTCAAAATATAATAAAAAGTTACTACACATGAAAAAAGGAGAAGAAAAAGACCCATTATTGACGGAGGGAAAAAGGCAGTCAGAAGAAACGTATCATGAGATGGCCTAGATATAAGAATCAGCAGACGAGGACTTTAATCCCAGCACTCTGGGAGGCTGAGGCAGGAGGATCACTTGAGCCCAGGAATTTGAGACCAGCCTGAGCAAAATAATGAGACCCGCCTCCAAAAAAAAAAATTAATTTGCTGGGCATGGTGGCTGGTGCCTGTAGTCCCAGGTATTCAGGAGGCTGAGGTGGGAGGATCACTGAGCCTAGGAGGTTGAGGCTTCAGTGAGCTATGATTGCGCCACTGCACTGCAGCCTGGGCAGCAAGTGAGACCCTGTCCCCCCAAAAAGAAACTACTAAACATATGTTCAAAGACATAAAGGAAAAGAGTGTCTTGGGGAGTGAACATATGCGAGTATGAAGAGAAAAACAGACATTATAAGGATGTGGAAATTCAAGAATGTACAAACTCTGCAATAAAAACTCACTGAGTGGGCTTAATAATTGAGGATTGCAAAAGGAAGGCTAAGTGATATTGAAGACAAGTCAATAGAAATTATTGGATCTGAGTAGAATAAAGCATTGTTGATCTTGAGGACAAATCAATAGAAATAGATCTAAAGAGAGAAGATTGGAGGGAAAACAAAGTAAACACAAGGTGGGACTCATGCCTGTAATCCCAACACTTTGGGAGGCCAAGGTGGGGACACTGCTTGAGCCCAGGAGTTTGATACCAGCCTGGGCAACATAGTGAGATGCCATTTCTATTAAAAGTAAAAGTGAACAGAGATTCAGTGATTAATGGAATAGTGTCATGGTGTCTAATAAATGTATTAATGATATTCCAGAGAAAGAAGGGAATGATCTGACAGAAAACATATTTGAAGAAATAATGGCCAAAAAAAAAATCTCAAATTCAGTTAAAAAAACATCAACTTAAAGATCCACAAAGCTCAGCAAACCACCAGCAGAATAAATACAAAGAGGACAACAGCAAAAATACCCTATACTCAAATTTCTGAAAGATAAAGAGAAAATTTTAAAGCAGCCAGAGGAAAAAAAAAAGATACAATACATACATGTGAATAAAGATAACGAACGAGGGTTGAAATCTCAGACAATGAAGTCTGCAAGACAATGAAATAGTGTTTGCTGAGAAAAACTGAACGACTACATTTGGTGAAAATAGTCTTCAAAAGTGAGCATGACAAACGGACATCTTCAGAGAAATGGTAACTGAGAGAAGTGGTTACTGAGCAGTTGTGAACATAGACTATGGAGATAGATTACCTGAGCCATGTGATCTTGGACAGGTTACTTAACTTCTTTAGAAAAATGGTAATAATAGAATTTTTAAAAATTTAAAATAGTCCATATACTGCACTTAGAACAAGGCCAGGCACATACTAAGCTCTCAACAAATCTGATCTAAAATATAAGGCACGGCCAATGATTTAGCAAGAAGTATGAGATGAAATTCAGCAGTAGCTCAACAGGGGAAAACATGCCCACAATTACAGCTTAGAACTTGGGGAATGAGTAAGTAAATGAGAACATCATGTTCCTCAGAATAACATCGTAATTTCCTTTCAGAAAATAAATCAAGGATCTGTGGAACCTCCACCATCTCCTCAGTTCCAGAGAGCCTCATATAGTGGAACCAAAACTTATGGTCTGGAAGAGAAATCAGCTTCCCTTCTCATATTTGTGCCTTCCCATATCTGTTTGGTGCCAGCTAATGTAATACCAGTCCTGACCAACTGATGTGTCCTCCCAACTAAAATGCAGCTGAGCCCATTGAAAACCATTCTCCTAACTAGAGAAAGGAGCAAGAAAATCACAGCCAAGAAGGTCCAGCCAAGAAGTGCTGGGAGTCCTCTGAGGACTTCATCAAGAATGGAGACAGAAATAACCCCAAAATAAGAATACAAGAATTAAATGGAATACATATGATACCACATACCTTGTTTTGGATCTACCTCTAAATATCCTCTCAAGAGTTCTTTTCACATTTCATGCCAACTGGTCCCCCATCAAGGGGAAAATAGAGGCTTAAATCCCTCTCCACCCCTACCCACTGCTGTCTCCCTACAGTCTCTCCTGGCTGGGTAGCAATGCTGACATTTTTTCCTGCATGTTCAATGGTTCTTTGTGTCCAATTAAAAGGATTTTAAAACAGGTAGTTCTTTATGTAAACTTTGAATGATGTAAAATATTAAAAAGCAAGGCCATTTTTATTATTGACACATAATAATTGAGTGTATTTATGTGGTACTGTGATGTTTTGATACATGCATACAATGTATAATGATCAAAACAGGGTATTTAGGATATTTGTCATCTCAGACATTTATCATTTCTTTGTGTTGGGAACGTTTCAAATCTTCTCTTCCAGCTATTTTGAAATATACCATCAATTATTAACTAAAGTCACCCAACTGTGCTATTGAAAACTTGAACTTACTCCTGTGTATTTGCCCCATTAACCATCCTCTTCTCATCCCCCTCTTTCCACTACCCTTCTCTGTCTCTGGTAACTATCATTCTACTTTCTACCTCCATGAGATCAACTCTTTTTAGCTCCCACCATATGAGTGAGAACATGTGTTATTTGTCCTTCTGTGCCTGGCTTATTTCACTTAACATAATGACCTCCAGTTTCTTTTTTCTTTTCTTTTCTTTTCTTTCTTTTTTTCTTTTTTCAAGATCTTGCTCTGCCACCTAGGCTGGAGTGTGGTGGCAGGGTCACAGCTCACTGTAGCCTCAACCTCCTGGGTGAAGCAATCCTCCCAACTCAGTCTCCTGAGTAGCTGGGACTACAGGCATACACTACCATGCCTAGTTAATTTTTGTACTTTTTGTAGAGAGGGGGTTTTGCCATGTTTCCCAGGCTGGTCTCCAACTCCTAGGCTCAAGTGATCTACCCACCTCAGCCTCCCAAAGTGCTGGGATTACAATGTGAGTCACTGTGCCCAGCCTAGTTTCATCCATGTAGCTGCAAATGACATAATTTCATTTCTTTGTATGGATGAATAGTATACCATTGTGTACATGTACCAAATATTATTTATCCATTCATTTGTTGATGGACACCTAGGTTAATTCCAAATCTTGGCTATAAATAGTGAATAGTGCTGCCATAAACATGGGGATGCAGGTATCCCTTTGATACACTGATTTTCTTTCCTTCAGATAGATGCTCAATAGTAGGATTGCTAGATTGTATGGTAGTTGTTTGTAATTTTTTGAGAAACCACAACACTGTTGTCCAAAGTCACTAATTTACATTCCTACCAACAGGGAACTCTTGTTCACTTTTCTCTTCATTCTTATCAGCATTTCTTATGTTTTCTCAATTTAATAGTAGCCATTCTAACTGGATGAGATGATCTCTCATTGTGATTTTGATTTGCGTTACCCTGATGAGTAGTGATGTCAAGCATTTTTTTCATGTATCTGTTGGCCATTTGTATGTATTCTTTTAAGAAATGTCTATTCAGACCCTTTGCCCACTTTTTAATGGAATTATTATTATTATTATTGCAGTTGAGTTCCTTGTATATTCTAGACGTTAGTGCCTTGTTGGATGAATAGTTTGCAAATATTTTCTCCCATATCAGAGGTTGTCTCTTCACTCTGTTGATTATTTCCCTTACTGTGCAGAAACATTTTATTCTAATGTCCCATTAGTTTTTGTTTCTGTTACCTGTGCTTTTGAAGTCTTAACCATAAAATCTTTGCCTAGACCAATGTCCTGAAGCATTTGCTTGCTTTCTTCTAGTCATTTTATAGTTTCAGGTCTTATGTTTAAGTTCTTAATTCATTTTGTGTTGATTTTTGTGTGTGGTGAGAGATAGGAGTGTAGGGTTTGTTTTTTTTTTTGTAGCTATTGTAAACGGGATTGCTTTCTTGATTTCTTTTTCAATAAGTACATTTTGATGTATAGAAAAGCCATCAATTTTTGTATATTAATTTTGTATCTTGCAACTTTACTGAAATTTTATTTTTATCAGTTCTAAGAGTTTTATTGGTGGAAACTTCAGGCTTTTCTATATATACAATCATGCCATCTGAAAAGAGGGACAGTTTGACTTCCTCTTTCCCAATACGGATACCTTTTATTTTTCCCCTTGCCTGATTGGTCTGGCTATTTCCAATATTCTATGGAATAAGAATGGTGACAGTAGTCATCTTTACCTTGTTCCAGATTTTGGTTTTTTTTTTTTTTTTTTTTTTTTTTTTTTGAGACGGAGTTTCACTCTGTCACTCAGGTTGGAGTGCAGTGGCGTGATCTCGGCTCACTGCAAGCTCTGCCTCCCAGGTTCACGCCATTCTCCTGCCTCAGCTTCCCAAATAGCTGGGACTACAGGCACCTGCCACCACACCTGGCCAATTTTTTGTATTTTTAGTAGAGACGGGGTTTCACCATGTTAGCCAGGATGGTCTCGATCTCCTGACCTCGTGATCCGCCTGCCTCGGCCTCCAGAGTCTTGTTCCAGTTTTTAAGGAAAAGAAACTCATTCCATTTTAAGTGATATTTGAAAATACTCAGTGACACTACAGAGATATGCAGAAGGTCAGCAGAGTGAAGAACTCCCCATCCCACATACGTTGCTGTGGGTTCTCTCATTGTTTCTGTCCAGAGGAGAAAACAATCTGAAATGTCTGAGAACAGTGAACTTAATAATAATACAACAGATAAGGACTAAAGTTGTTGAATTGCAAATAAAGTTTTAACGAAAAGTAATTAGGTAATTAGTATGATACTTAAAATACTATTTAAATTCACGAAAGAATAACGATAGGAAAATAACAAGATTTTGAGTGACTATAGTAGATTAGAAGTCAACAAAAACATAAATGTAAAAAGCATAGTGCTGAGATTAGAGTTCAAATAGGTGAGATAAAATGTAAGGACTCATTAATAGTAATTACCAAAAAAATTAGGTGAGATAGTTTAAAATCTATAAGGAGAACATTTTTTAAGTAAAGGAAGAGCTTAAAGATTTGAGGGAGAGAAAAGGAAAAGAAGAGAACGAGACTGGGAGACGTGGAGTGAGCTAGGGTCAAAATATGCAAAACTGGTCTGACTTGTGGTGAATCCCAAGTTGAGGTAACAGGGTCCATATACAGCTGTGGTTTGCAATCTTATCTCTTCACTGGAATTACCCAAGGAGCTCTTAAATATCCTGCAGCTCAGGCCTTACCTGAAAACAGTTACCCTAAATCAGATGTCAGGGTGAGAAATCCAGCTATCGGTAGTTTTAAACCCTCTCCAGGTGATTCCAGTTATGGCCCAGGGTGAGAATTATTGCTCTATTTGGAATGAACATCAAGAATGCAGAAAGCAATAAAATTTCTTCCTGGAGTAAGTGGAATGATATGGTTAGGCTTCGTGTCCCCACCTAAATCTCATCTTGAACTGTAATCCCCCTAATCTCCATATATGAAGGAAGAAACCAGGTGGAGGTAATTGAATCATGACGGCGGTTTTTTTCTGTGCTGTTCTCGTGACAGTGAGTGAGTTCTCACGAGATTTGATGGTTTTATAAGGGGCTCTTCCCCCTTTACTCTGCACTTGTCTTTTCTGCTGCCTTGAGGGGGAAGTGTCTTGCTTCCTCTTCACCTTCCACCATGATTTTTAAGTTTCCAGAGGCCTCCACAGCCATGCTGAACTGTGAGTCAATTAAACCTCTTCCTTTATAAATTACCCAGTCTCGGGCAGTACTTTATAGCAGTATGAAAAAGGAATAATACATGGGATATTGGGCCCTAAAGGATTATTAGCTTTTACTTAGTAAGTTAGGACTGGAGGGAGATACTTAAAAACAAACCTAGAGCTGGTCCTTAGAGATAAACAGGAACAACAACTTTAGGAAACTTTGTTGGTCAGTCCCCCCCCCACTCTCCCACAGCTGGATCCACTTTGCCTGAGATGCGGTTTTATCAGCTCACAAAAGAGTTAAGATGATCACTAATATCAAACATTTAGAAGGATTTCCTAGCAAGATTTGAGATTTTCAATGACAAATATTTTTGAATTTCTGGTGTCACTCTTCTAAGCAGTTTTATTTAAAAGAATATAGGCAGTGTAAACTTGAGAAAAGTATTCCAACTCAGCTTATATGTTGGCACAAGTAAAAACGGGGACATAGACTTTCTGAAATATCCAGGAATATATCACGAGTAGAGAAAATAAAATACCATTGAAAAAATTATTCTGCATATTCTTATGGTCAAAGACAATAATAGCAAGCAATTGTTTATCAGAGTGCATGCAGCTCTGTTCTGGAATGTACATGGCATCTCTAATAGGTATGCATGTAGTACCATGGTACTTTGGAGCACCTTGTGGTTAACTTTTGCTGTACTCCTTCATAGCTGTGTTCCTCAAAGGGTGATCTAAACATTACTGCATCAGATTCACATAAAGTACGTGTTAAAAATCCATATCCCTAGTTTATATTTCTGGATTTCAACCCAAATGTAGTGAATCGGAATTTCTGAGAATAGAACCCAGGAATCTGCTTCCTTAAAACATCCCTTTCTGTCTCTCCTACCTCTCTCCCCAAACCCCAGTAATGGAGACATGTACTGAAAACTGAAAAATTACTGTTCTAAGGTTGAGCATAGGTCATGAAAATTATGATTATGCATCACAGACTGGGACACCAGTGACTTTGCCACATTCCAGAAAGCTGCATAATGATATTTTTCTGTGGGCAATGTTGACACTCAGCAACATTTGACCTTTCGTATTTGTTTTTAAGAAACACATGCAGTAGTTTAAGTAATCCCAGAAGCCTTACTGCTATTTTTTTAAGGAGCCTTGTCATAGATATCATGTGTCTTGCGATGAGTGGGGTGAATATTAGCAGCCTTCATGCTTAGCCTAATAAAAGGAGAACCCAGAAGTACTGAAAACTCCATTTTTTAAATGTCAAACCCAGCAGTTTAATTCAGACCTGCCAATTCAGTTGGCAACTGCAGGAACAGGTGGATTCGTTGTAGGTGGAGTGAAGCAAGGCAGGAATGGAGGTACAAGGAGGAGGAATTGGGGTGATTGCTGTCACTTGCAATTTTGTATGTAGCAAAGGACTCTGATCAACTAAAAAGCAGTGTGAGAAAATAGACTTATCATGGTCTAGGGGTTCTAGAACAAGAGGAAACGATGTGATGACAACCAAGAGCCAGATATTGCTTGCTTAGACCAAAATCTTTGGAGCCATACTTGATTCTTCTCTCTCTAACCCCCACAACCATTTCCTTAGAAAATTTTCCTGACTCTGCTTTCAATATTTATCTGACCCCTTCACTTCCACTATCATCTTCCAGTCCAAGCCACTGTTTCTTGCCTGTATTATTGGAATAGTCTCCTAACAGGTAACCTTGTGTTCCTTGCCCTGCACAATCAATTCTTCGCATGACAACAGAGCATCATTTTAAATCTGAAGTCTGGCTGTCACTCTTGTGTTTAAGCGACAGTCTGTGGATTTTTTTGTGATAAATAATTATATTTGGAGTTGCTCAGCAAATGTGTGGAGCTGTTTGCAGAACTTTTTTGATTAGATACTCAAATTCTTCTTCAGTACTTACTTTGAAACAAGGATTATGATTTCACAAATTCTAAATGCTACAGTTTTGTTATTATATTTTGGATAACATACATATTCCAGACTGCTTATTTTAATTTACAGTATCAGTTAATGCTGTTTTTGTTGTTAGGGACATCGTGAGAATTTGAGTCAATAACGGTATGCTGGAAGAGTTCAGTATGAGTTCTATGTACACTATTCTACAACATGTCCTATTTAGAAAAAATGGAAAGACAGACTCTCCATATTTGCAGTGTTGCAACAGATGGTACATCCCCATAGTAGAAGAGTCATATCCCCAACAAGCTGTTGATACAATTTGTGAAATTTAAATTCTAACAATGATGAAATTGTTAGAAAAATGTATATTTTGAACAATCCCACTATTTTTAAGTGTTCTTATCTTACACGAAACAAGGTCAGTGAGAGAAATTATCTGACATATGTTTATTTCTATAAATAATTTAAAAATAGCACAGTTGTATTTTATTTGAGTCATGACATGAGGAGTGATTTTCTAGGAAATATGGCATCGTGGGCATAGACATATGGACCTTTCTCTATAATTCCCTAAAATGGCCAGTGAATATACAAATAGGGAAAACCCTATACCTGTCCTTGAAATCAGGAGACAGCCCATCTAGACTCTAGACCCTGGGAGGAGTTTCTGTCTGCTAAGATGGTATTTATATAAGACTGGAGGAACAGACACCAAGGCAAAGCAGCAACCCCTGTGAGACTGAGTAATATTTGTAAGAGAATTAGGAAGGGACCCTGGCAAGGCTCACTGGCATCCTAGCTTGGAAGAGTGAAGACTGAAGGCAAGGGCAGTCAGGACCCATCGCTCAAATATCCTCCTAACTTGCTGACACGCAGCATTCAGGCAGCAGACCAGCTGCAAGGTGGGCTCAGTCCTTTATGTAGAGGAGAAGGCTTTCTTGGAGATCTGTCCCTATCTGTTACAACACTGTTAGTGTCCACGTGATAACTCCCTCCTCACCAGCAGTGTTTTCGACACCCATAATTGGGAAGTTAAAACTAGAATATAAAGCTGAGGAGAAAAGAAAAAGGAATGCTCTTCAGGTTTCAGTCTGGACCTAAAACGTCCTTTTTTCAAATATTTGGAAAGAACCTTATCTAAATTTATATAATGTATACAGTGTATCTTTCACTCGATTGTAAACCAAAATAGACCAAGCCTAGACCTTCTCTAACTCCAAAAGAATAAACAGAAAAGTCAACAGGTTTATGTAAAAATGTTCTAATTCCAAAGACAGTGACCGCTCCAATGAACAGCTTAGCTCTGAAATAGTCTAGTGTAAGAAAAAACACTTTTTAAAAATATGATTTGTGACCTCACCACAATTCAAGAGATTATCCAAGCAGCAAGCATGAACACGTGCAAAGAGGATGCGATCTATGATCAAGCAGGATGGCCAGGGATGAAAATAATGGCTATCAATTCATGAACTGCACAGAGTAGTTGATTGGATACTGAAGATATTGATTATGATATAGAAAATGAACTCAAGTACAATTCATGTATGCTTCCTAAATTATATAATGTCTTGGTTTAAAAGAACAAAAGACTAATCAAAAACCATAACTCAGTGGCTGGGCATCGTGGCTCATGCCTCTTGTCCCAGCACTTTGGAAGGCTGAGGAGGGCGGATCACCTGAGGTCAAGAGTTTGAAACCAGCCTGGCCAACATGGTGAAACCCTGTCTCTACTAAAAAAATACAAAAATCAGCCAGACATGGTGGTGTGTACCTGTAATCCCAGCTACTCAGGAGGATGAGGCAGGAGAATCTCTTGAACCCAAGAGGCGGAGGTTGCAGTGAGCTGAGATCACGCCACTGCACTCCAACCTGGGAAACAGAGGGACACTCCGTCTCAAAAATAAAAAATAAAATAAACTTAATAATGAGTTATCGTAGCTAAAAAGGACTGGCAGGGAGCTTTGAAGCGCATTAAATACCAAAAGATAATTCTCAAGCATTATTTTAAATATGGCTCAAAATTGATTGAGGAATAAATGTATGAGCTTTGAAAACAATGTGTTATAAATTTTTTTTAAGTATGATGGGGTTTATGTCACCATTATATTAACCAGGCTGAGAAAGACAAGAGGAAATAAACTTCTATGATTCAAGTTTAGTACAGGAACATCTCCAAAAAGCTTTGAGCAATCACTGGTAACATTGAATTTGATTAATTTTCAGGATAAAAGCTTTCTTTATTTGCTTGACGCCAATTACTGCGTGAATTTTTAGTGACTCTAGCTAAGGTCTAAGTAAGCTTTGAGCAAATCATCCATAGAACCTTCTTGAAATTAAAACTGCTTTGGTAAAATATACCTGAAATTACTACCACACACTTGTAGTAACTCAGAAGGACAAAACAGTAAAAACAAAACATCAAAAACGCACCACTAGTGCCAATGGCACCAAAACACCCTTTGGCATGTAATGCCTAACATAATGGCAGGGAGTTGCAAAGAGTAAGCACTTAATATTTATTTTAACTTACTGAAAAAAATTTAAAAAAAATAAAAAGGGAACAGAAAGCCATTTGTAACTAATTTTATTTGTCGGTCTTTGGAATCTCTTGTTATCAAGCATCCTTATATTTAGTAATAAAGTTTTGTCAGTTCCTATACAGAAATGAAGGTTTAAATCCAAGAGAATTTCCTTGTATTTGTGAATTAGCAATCAAATAAGTTCGTTTAAGGAAATAAAATGCTAATTTAAGAAAAAGGTAGATTTACAGGGATGACAATGGAAAAAAAAATACGTATCAGGAGGTTTTGAGTGCCTGAAATGCTCAGCTGTTTTGCTAAATGGATGAATGAATTATTAAATTTATTGCATTTTTCTCAACCTTTGAGCACCAGTATATCTTTTGAATGAATACAGAAAATGTATATCATTATTCAAATTAGTCTGAAGTAGACTGTGTGAGATCTCTGATTCAAAATAGTCTGAGAATTCAAAGATATATTTTTATGATTTAGAAAAATTTTAAAAATGTACATTTGTACATTTGAGAGCCTTAGAACAAAAATGATTTAGCTTTGAAAGATTAGATATTTAAAATGGATGAGAATATAAATTGCTTTTTAAGTAAAATACTGGGGATTCATTTTCAGATGAATATCTCTACCAGATTCTGCACTGGTCCACATAAAATAACCAAATAGTCTGTTTTGAAAACTTATATCATTCTAGTCAAACTATTCCCTGTACTAGACTTCCAGGAGTTGGGTGGGAACTGGGGGAAGAACATGTCTTCTACTAACTGCCATATTAAAGTGTAGCATAGTGGGTAAGTCAGCTTTGAACTGTTGCTAATTAACTGTGTGACCTTGGGAAAATTACTTAATCTTTTTGAGCATCAGTTTCTTATTTATTTTATTTTATTTTTTGACACAGAGTTGCTCTGTTGCCCAAGCTGGAATGCAGTGCTGTGACCTCCCTCACTGCAACCTCTGCCTCCCAGGTTCAAGCAATTCTTGTGCCTCAGCCTCCCAAGTGTGCCACCATGCCCGGCTAATTTTTGTATTTTTAGTAGAGTTGGGGTTTTGCCATTTGGCCAGGCTGGCCTTGAACTCCTAGCCTCAAGTAATCCACCCGCCTTGGCCTCACAAGTTGTTGGGATTACAGGTCTGAGCCAACACACCTGGCCTCAGTTTCTTAATTCTTAAATGTGGATTACAGTTGTGCCTACTTCATGAGATTTCTGTGAGGACTAAAATAATTTCTTTAGTAAATGCCATGTAAGTGCTTACTGTTATCAGTATAAGTGCAGAATATCCCATTTTAATAATAATTTAATTAGACAGGTAGTTATTGGTATCTAGCAGAAGGAAAATTTAGTTTCCATTTCTCACTGCGGCACAGAAGTCAGAATAATTTTCATTGATAGACCACTAGGTTTGATATGTGATTATCTTGATAGCCTCAATCATATTATGTTACTACATGACATTATATTAACAACCCTCATTAAATGTATTTTTAATTATGACCTATATTAAATAAATATGCATATGTGTGTGCCTGTGTATTTAGCTAGACATATATTATTGAAACCCTGTCATGTACCCTTCCAAGATTACATGGAGTAGTAATTAGAGGTACATACACACTGAAGACTATGGAGCCAGACTGCTTGGATGTGAATCTGAAATCTATACTTTCTCAGCTATGTAATTGAGGGCAACTTCATACTCGGTTGCCCTATATGGGGATAACTGGAATACCTACCTCATGGGTTTTATAAGAATTAAATAACTTAGTATCTGTTAAGTACTTGGAACAGTGTGACATTTCCTGGCATGTAGCAAACACCATCATCCATTTGTTATTAAATAAATTACATCTCCATTCACAAGTGGAAACCCTCTTCTAAACTTTTGTTTGTAATTCCTTGTTTTTCTTTATATATTTGACTTGTCAATGCTTTTCAGCCACAAACCACCAGGAACACACCCGTAGTTGAGCAAGTTGGGTTTGTTACTCAGTGGAGCTGGGGAGAATGCAACCATGGGCATCTCAGTAAGGATATCAGAAATGACATTATAAATAATGTGTTAGATTATTTTTAAGGAGTTTCAATAAATGGGCTTTGCATGGGTTGCATGCTATAAGGGAGCAAGAATAATTCTACGACTGGGTATCTAAATAAACCTTATCTGGAAGGCGAAAAAACTGGAAGGAGACTAAAGCTATAATTGGTAAAGAAGCAGAACTCATTTATATTAGCTGGTAGAAGGAAAGATTTGATATTTCAGGGCTCTCACAGTGACCTTGTTTTTGCTTAGACAAATTTTATAGTCTTATTTTTTGTCTCACTCCATCATAGTCACAGAATATGTGATGTGCTGCCCTATGAAGTTGTTCATGTTAAACAGGAACCATGTCATAGGTGTGAGTGCCAGGCCAGCCCCTAAAAGCATCAGGCCTAGCTGAAAGTGTCAGGCCAGGTCCCTGATATTCATGACTGCTTTCCTCTTTCTCAGACTTATGCATTTATCCCAAAACCTTATGATACTGCATTTTCAAAAAAATAAAATAAAGCTTTATATGAATGGTATCATTAAAAAATATATTCTTCGGCTTGCTTTTTCACTTTCTGATGACATGTATGTGGATTTTATATTGGTGATTATGCTCTAGCTTATTTCCACCTCTGTATAGTTTTGACATAACGTTATTCAATACCTCTTCTCTTTTAATTGGACATGAGTTGTTTCTAGATACTTGCTATTATAAACAATACTATTATACAATAACCATTCTTATAAATATCTCTCAGATAAATGTCTGATAGTTTTCCATGGGATATACCTAGAAGTATGCACATCTTTTCAATCATACTAGAATATTCCAAATTATTTTACATTTTGATCAAAACAACTTAAATTCCCACCAGCAGTGTCTGTTTTAGCTGCTTTATGTCTTCTCCAGCACTTAGTGTTATCAAACTTTAAAATGTTTTGACAAACTAGTGGATGTGCCATTTTAGTTTTTAGTTTCCTATTCAGTTGATAATGTGACCGTTAGTGGTTAATTTTAGCCTTTTGCAATCAATTCTTCCATCTTTTTTTATTCTCTTTCTTCTACTTTCTTCACTTCTCCTTTCTTGCCTTTCTTAAAATTTATTGCAACAGTTTTGTTATTACACTACTTCCCATGTTTCACAAGTCATACATCCTTATCCTATACATATATGGATTTATATATATATATATGGATTTATATATATGTATATGTATGGATTACCTTAAAATTTTAAGGTGGAGTTGCAAATGAATATAGTTTGTAATTAATGTATTTACCTTCCTAAGAATATTTTACTCTTATAACCCTCCACCAACTTACATAGTCTTCTATTTTAGGTCTTCTATCTTGCAATTATTTATAACTGTGTGTATTAGTTTTCTACTGCCTCCATAACAAATTTCCACTAACTTCACACCTTATCATACAGTTCTGTAAGTCAGAGGTCTGGCATGCATCTCTCCAAGCTAAAATCAAGGAGCTGACAGGGTTCCATTTCTTTCTGGAGGCTCTAGGGGAGGAGCTGTGTGCTTGCTCATTCAGAGTGTTGGCAGAATTCAGTTCCTTCGAGTTCAAAGACTGAGATCTTCATCTCCTTCCTGATTGTGAGCTGGAGACTGTTCCCAGCTTCTAGGAATCACCCACATCCCTTGGCTCCTGGCCTCTTTCCCCAAAGCCAGCAATGGCATATCAAGTACCTTTTATGCTTGGATATCTCTCCACTCCTTTTTCTTCCATCTCATCTTTCTAACGCACTCGAGAAGCTTCTCTCCTTTTAAGTAATAATGTAAGTAGATTGGGTCCACCTGGATATTCTAGGTTACTTTCCCCATCTCAAGTTTTAAACCTTTAATCACATCTGTGGAGTCCCTTTTGCTAAGTAAGATAACACATTCACAGGTTCCAAGGATTAAGGCATAGAACTTTTGAGTGACCATTCTGCCTTTCACACTTTTCCAATTATTATTTTACAATCAATGCTTAATTTTACTCCTATTTGATATTTTCTCTGACCACTATTCTCTCTGAAATTTTAGACCCTAGTTTTGTGATCACTTTCTTTTTTATGAGACATAAGTTCTTTAGAAATTTCTTTAATTATGGTCTAGTATAGTAATACTTTCATTTTCTGTCTGAAAATGGTTTCCTTTGCCCCTAATAATTAAAGATCCCTGGATATGCAATTCTAGGTTTCCCAGTAGCCCATTAAAACAGAAAGTTCTGTGACTTGGGATTAGTAGTTCACCAGGAGAGAGGCCAGATTTAGGACTGTGGTACTATAGTAGATCGGATTTATGTTGTAGATTTTGGGGATCCTCTGAGGATTTTTCTTATTATCCCAGTTGTATAATAAAAGGCTTTATTTTTAAAATAAGACACAGACTTTTACTTTCAAAAAGATAAAGGAGATGTACTTTTTCCTGTAGTTGCCACTAAATTAAAAAATATTCCCTGGAAGTTGTATAGAAAACAAACCATAAAAAGACTTTGAAAGTTGGAGAGAAGAAGGCAGATAAGCTAGATATGTCAAGGCCCAAAATGACAAGGTGATTAGTTCCCTTGGTTTTCTTTTTGCCTCCCACATCTCAAGGTTGGAGCTAAAGAAGCCAACAACACGGAAACATCAGTGGACACAGATTTGTAAAAACCCTAACAAATTCCTGCTCTTTCTAGCCAAAGGACAAATAAAAGACCAACTTAGCAAGACACAAAATTTTAGACAATAACCACTCTACCCAGCCAAAAACACACAAAAATAACATGGCCATACCCTCACCCATATCAGCAAAGTCGTGATGGGAACCTCAGTTTTCACCCTTGTGATACTGTAATGAGTCGCTCAACACTCCCACTAGGTGGTGTTAGAGAAGGCCAAGTAGGGAACTGACACTTCCATCACTGCTAGTTGCTATCTGGTAAAGCACTCCCCACCCCCACAATGTTAGTGAAGACAATTAGGCAACCAGTACACACAGCCACATAAAAGTAACTAGAAGTTCCTCTTTGTTATCAATGGAGGTTAAATAAGAAACCTGGACTTCTGCCTTCACCTTGCAGTAACAATGTGGCATACATACACCCTTTTGCCATTCTGGAGCAGGGTCATAAAAAGCCAGTTAGAAAGAAGAAAAGGATTTTAAAAGATCTAGAGTCTTGTGACATGAGGCAAAAATGTCTGGGTTTCAATCAAAGTCACTCCTTATGCCAAGAACCAGGGAGTTACCAGATTCAACGAAAAAAATAAATAAATAGCAGCCAACACTGAGATGATGAAGATGTTAGAATTATCCAACAAGATATAAGGAAGCCATGATGAAAATCTTTCAACAGTTATGAGCATGTTTGAAACAAATAGAAATCTTCAGCAAATTAATTGAAGATGTAAAAAAGAACCAAGTAGAAACTGCAGATCTGAAAAATGCAATAACAGATATAAAAACTCTGTATACGGGTCTAACAGCATAATGGAGGGGAGAGAGGAAAGAATCAAAGAACTAAAATACAGAATAATCAAAATTACCTAATCCGAACAACACAGAAAAAAATATGAGGGAAGAAAACTAAAAGTATTTCAGAGACCTGTGGGACTGTAACAAAAGATCTAACATTCATGTCATTGGAATTCCAGAAGAAGAGGAGAAAGAGGGCAGAGCTTAAAAGAAAAAAAATGTATTCAGAGAAATAATGGCTGAACACTTCTCATATGTTGTAAGAAGCATAAACCTACAGATTCAAGAAGCTGGATGAATTCCAAATAAGTTAAACCTGAAGAAATACATGCCAAGACATATTATAATAAAAATCTGAAAACGAAAGATAAAAGTATTTGAAAGCATCCAGAGAAAATTGATAACCTTACTACAAGAAAAAGAAATTTGAGTGACAGTGAACCAGAAACCATATAGGTCAGAATAAAGTACTACCATATTTTTCAAGTGCTAGAGGAAAAGAACTGTCAACTTGCAATTCAATACTCAGAGAAAATATCTTTCAAGAATGAAGGAAAAATAATGACATTCTTAATGAAGGAAAACTAAGAGAAGTTGTTACCAGTAGACTTACCCTAAAAGAATAGCTAAAGAAAGTTCACTAAATAAAAACGAAAGATTAAAGGAAGAAACCTTGGAATATCAGGAAAGGAGAAAGAGCGGGTAAACAAAGTATAGCTAAATACAATAGGCTTTTCTTCACTTGAGTTTTCTAAATTATATTTGACAGTTGAAACAAAAATTATAACACTGCTACCTGATATGATTCTAAAAATACGTAGACGATATATTTAAAACAATTTATTACAAATGAGGGAGGGTAAGATTTCTATACTTTAGTTGAACTAGCAAAATGAAAATATCAGTAGGCTGTGATAAGATATATATATATAGTATATCTTGTATATATATGTACATATATACACATATACACATACACACCCATATATATGACATATATATGTAATGTAATATCTACAGCAAACACTAAAAGAGCTATAGAAGGACATGCACTCAAAAACACTGTAGATAAATCAAAATGGTATTCTAAAATGTGTTAACTCACAGGAAGACAGGGAAAATGAAACAGAAATGAATAAATAAAAATAAATAGAAGACTTAGTCCATAACATATAAATAACTACATTAAATGTAAATAGTCTAAGTATACTAATTAAAACACAGATTGGTAGAGCAGATTTAAGAAGCAGGACCCAACTATTCACATTCTACAAGAAACTCACTTCAAATATAATGTTATATGCAGGTTTAAAGTAAAATAATGAGAAACTGTGTGTCATGAAAATGTTATTCAATGGAAGCAGGAGTGGCTATGATAACATCGAATAAATTAGGCATCAAAGCAAAGAAAATTACCAGAGACAGAGAAAGATATTATATAATTATATAATGACAAAAGAGTCAATCCACCAAGAAGGCAAAGGAATTCTATGTGTTTGTGCCAAACAACAGACTGCAAAATATATGAACAAAAACTGATAGAACTGAAAGGAGAAATAGACAAAACTGTAATTGACAAATAGATAATTGTAGTTGGAAATGACAATACCTTACTCCCAACACTTCATAGAATAATTAGGACGAAAATCAGCAAAAATACGGAAGAACTCAGTACCATCAACCAATAAAATCTAAAAGGGATTATTATAATTACTCCATCCAACAACAGCAGAATTCACCTTCTTTCAAGTGAAACATATACCAAAATAGACCATGTCATCATCCATAAAACATAGTTCAACAAATGTAAAATAATTTATAGAGTGTTCTCTGAGCACAATGGAATCAAATTAGAATTCAATCAAAAAAGATAGGAGTAAAATCTCCAAACACTTGGAAAACAACACACTTCTAAACAATCAATGTGTGAAAGAGGAATTCTCAAGGAAAATCAAAATACTGGATGAAAAGAAAATATATCAAAATCTGTGAGGCATAGCTAAAGCAGTGCTGAGATAGACATTTGTAACACCAAATGCTTACATTGGAAAAGAGGATAAGACACAAATCAATAATCAAAGCTCCCATCTAGAGAACCAAGAAAAATGGGAGTGAAATGAGTTGAAAGCAAGAAGGAAAGAAGTAAATAATAAACATAAGAACAGAAATCAATGAAATTGAAAATAAAAAATAGAGAAAAACCAATAAAACAAACAGCTGGTTCATTCAATAGATCATTAAACCTCTAGCAAGGGTGATAAAAGAAAAAAGAAAAAACACAAATCACCAACACCAGGAATGAAATAGGGAAATGTCACTACACACTTTACAGACATCAAAAGGATAGCCATGGAATACCTCAGACAACCTGATACACATAAATTTGACAACTTAGACTACATGGGAAGAATAAAAAAATCAAAATAAATTGCAACCTACCACAACTCATCTAATATGAAATAGAGCATTTCTACACAGAAAAAAAGAGGCAACAAAGGCACTGACAGTTCACCAAAAAGAAAAATACAGACCAAAATGCCTCATACATAGACAAAAATCCCTAACAGATATTAGCAAGTAGAATTCAGCAATATATAAAAATAATTAAAATATAAGACCAAATGCAGTTTATTCAAGGATGCAAGCCTACTCCAATATTAAAAAGTTAGTCAATGTAATTCACCAATTTAACAGACTAAAAACATAATCAATACAGCAAAAGCTATTTAACAAAATTTAGCATCCATTCATAATAAACTCTCAGAAAAAAATAGGAATAGAGAAGAACATCCTCATCTTAATAACACCTAGGAAAACCTATAGCTAACATTATACTTAATGGTAAAAGACTGAATGCTTGTTCCCTAACACTGGAACAAATGGTCTACTGGCAATCCTTGGTGTTCCTTGGCTTGTAGCTGCATCATTCCAAACTCTGTCTTCGTTAAGCATGGTACTTCTCTGTATGCCTTCACATGGCCTTCTCATAAGGACACCACCCATTGGATTTAGGGCTCACCTTAATCCGGTAAGACCTCATCAACTAATTACGTTTGCAAAGGCCTTATTTCTGAATAAGGATATATTCTGAGATTCTGGTAGACATTAAGTTTGCAGGAACACTATACAACCAAAGTACATTGATTGTAATAATATCAATATTCTGGCTGTAATATTGTACTATGTTTATACAATCTTGCCTATGGGAGAAACTGGATAAAGTATATGTAGAAGCTGTCAAATTACAATTTCATATCAATCTACAATTACCTCAAAACATTTAATTTAAAAATTATAGATATAATTTATAAGATATATAAACTATCTTTAGAGGTTATATAGTATGTGTATCTTCAGAATACTTCATTGGCCATCTTGATAGAAAAAGAAGTGTTGAGATTATTTTTATTTTTTTCCATTTGTAGAGCTTAAACATTCAAAACACAAGAATATTTCGGAACCATAAACATTCAAAACAAGAATATTTCAGAACCACAGAAATGCATCAGCCTCATTTTTTAAATTTGTTTTGGAAACTTCAGAAAGTTTAGACATTCTTTTGTGACCTTGTGAAGCATGGAATATACATTCATTTGAATCCTCTTTAAATTAAGAACAATAAAATTTCTCCATTATTCTGAGAAATCAAAAAGAAGTCTTCTTAAAGTTTAATATGTATTTCTCTGGAGTTTGTATTGGCTGAAGAACCATTTCTTAAATAGTAAATTATACAAGAGTAAGAACTGGGCCATTCTAGAAAATAGAAATCTCAGTATAAACTGAAATCCAGTAATTTTTCCTAGGTCTGTCCTTTACTTCATTCACTGAATTACACTGATTCCAAATAACTCTTGGGCAATTGCAGAAATGTAATCGTCTTACAGTTTTTGAGGAACTCAGGTAAGATCTGTGATTTACAATTAATATGTACTCTATTTCAAGAAAACCTATAATGAAAATCACCAAAGGAATAGAATTATACATAGCAGGTATTCTTCCCTGTTTCCTTGATTAATGAAAAAAAGCTTATGTATACATAGGGACAACTGTTAAGTAGAAATCATTCTTTGACAATTATGTCAGTGTTGATTTGGTGCGCTTAGCAGCTGAGCAAACCTCAAGAAGGCTTTGTTTCAGCAATACTGAAG
Organism: Homo sapiens; assembly: GCF_000001405.40. Lineage (NCBI taxonomy): Eukaryota > Metazoa > Chordata > Mammalia > Primates > Hominidae > Homo > Homo sapiens. The sequence continues at coordinate 11,553,113 of NC_000007.14, read as the reverse complement.
CAGCTATGTTGTCTGGGGTATATACCCTGGGATTTGTCTCGTGCCAGGAAAATTTAGGACACAGACACAAATGCAGAGTTTTGGAGTGGAGATTCAATAGGCAGAAGAGAAGAGAAAGAGAAACATCTCCCTCTCTAGAGAGAGAGAAGGGTGTCTGAGCAGAAAAGACCCGAGGGAGGGGGATGTGCTGGATTTTATAGTCAGGTTTGAGGAGGCGGTGTCTGATTTACATAGGACTCACAGATTGGTTTGATTAGGTATGATGTTTACATAGCTTATGGGAAGGCTGGCTGCTCAGCCCTAATCTTATTATGCAAATGAACTCTCCTGTTGATCGGTACCATCTTGTCTGTTCCTTACTGTACACGTATGTGGCTCATAAAGACAAGGGAAGGTGGGGTTGCCATTTTAAACATGATTGGCACAACTACCAGCTTCTATGACTGCAGCTCAATTTTACAGGCTGTTCTTTGTTAAAAAGGAAAATGATGTGGGGCTGCTTTTCATTAAAATGGAAACCTTACCAAGGACTTCTGTACCCTCACTATCTGCCTAAGTAATTTTTTCTTAACTCCTGTATCAATACTTCCTTGAGCCTTTATTTATCACATTTCCCTTTTTGTAGCTCAAAATTTTGTGGCTGATTATTCTATTTAATTTATTGAAAATACACCAAAAGCTAAAATAAAACTTATTTTTTAAAAAACGGCCACGAAGTAAAAGCACAATGTTTTAACCTGTTTCCTTTTTTTACTTGTTTAAATTAGGGGTTGGGAGTGTGTGTGTATTTTTTTTCTAACTTTTAAGTTCAGGGATATATGTACAGGTTTGTTACATGGGTAAATGGGGAGTCATGGGGGTTAGTGTATAGATTTCATCACCCAGGTAATGAGCATAGTACTCAATAGGTCGTTTTTCAATCCTCAATCCTCACCCTCTTCCCACCTTACACCCTCAGGTAGGCCCTGATGTCTGTTTTTCCCTACTTTGTGTTCATGTTTATCAGCTTCCACTTGTAAGTGAGAACATGCAGTATTTGGTTTTCTGTTCCTGCAGTAATTTGAATAAGGATAATGGCCTCCAGGTCCATCCATGTTGCTGCAAAGGACATGATTTCTTTCTTTTTTTGTACCACATTTTCTTTATCCAGTTCACTGTTGATGGGCATCTAGGTTGATTCCATGTTTTTGCTGTTTTGAATAGTTCTGTGATGAACATATGCATGCATATGTCTTTATGGTAAACTGATGTATTTTCCTTTGGGTATATACCCAGTAGTAGGATGGCTGGGTCAAATGGTAGTTGTTTTAAGTTCTTTGAGAAATCTCCAGAATGCTTTCCACAGTGGCTGAACTAATTTACATTCCCACTGGCAGTGTATAAGTGTTCTCTTTTCTTAGAAACCTTGCCAGCTTCTGTTATTTTTTGACTTTTTAATAGTAGCCATTCTGACTGGTGTGAGATGGTTATCTCATGGTTTTGATTTGATTGTCTCTGATGAATAGTGATGTTGAGCAATTTTTCATATGTTTGTTGGCCATGTGTATGTCTTCTTTTGAAAAATGTCTATTCATGTATTATAGTTTGCCCATTCTTTAATGGGGTTGTTTATTTTTTGTTAATTTGTTTAAGTTCCTTATAGATTCAGGATATTAGACCTTTGTCAGATGCATACTTTGCAATATTTTCTCTCACTTTGTAAGTTATCTGTTTACTCAGTGGATAGTTTCTTTTGCTGTGCAGAAGTAGCTCTTTAGTTTAATTAGGTCTCATTTGTCAATTTTTCTTTTTGTGGCAAATGATTTTGGGGTCTTCGTCATGAAATCTTTGCTGGGGCCTATGTCCAGAATGGTATTTCCTAGGTTTTCTTCTAGAGTTTTATAGTATTAGATTTTACATTTAAGTCTTTACTCCATCTTGAGTTGATTTTCATATATGGTGAAAGGAAGGGGTAGAGTTTCAATTTTCAGCATATGACTAGCCAGTTATCCTAGGATAACTTATTGAATCAGGAGTCCTTTCCGTATTGGTTTTTGTTGACCTTTTTGAAGATCAGATGGCTATAAGTGTGTGACTTTGTTTCTGGAATCACTAATCTGTTCCATTGATTTATGTGTCTGTTTTTGAATCAGTACCGTGCTGTTTTGGTTACTACAGCCTTGTAGTACAGTTTGAAGTGGGGAGTGTGATGCCTCTGGCTTTGTTCTTTTTGCTTAGGGTTGCTTTGGCTATTCAGGCTACTTTTCAGTTCCATATTAATTTCAGAAGAGTTATTCTAATTCTGTGAAAAATGTCATTGGTGGTTTGATAGGAATAGAACTGGATCTGTAAATTGTTTTGGGCAGAATGGCCACTTCAATAATATTACTTCTTCCTATCTGAATTAGTTCATTTTCACATTGATATAAAGAACTACTTGGGACTGGGTAATTTTTAAAGAAATGAGGTTTAATAGACTCACAGTTCCACATCGCTGGGAAGGCCTCAAGAAACTTACAATCATGGCAGAAGGCAAAGGAGAAGCAAGCACCTTCTTCACAAGATGGCAGGAAAGAGAGAGCAAAGGGAAAAGTGTCACTTCGAAACCACCAGATATTGTGAGAACTCACTATCATGAGAATAGCATGGGGGAAGTGCCCCCATGATCCACTCGCCTCCTGCCAGGTCCCTCCCTTGACATGTGGGATTACAATTTGAGATGAGATTTGGGTGGGGACACAGAAAAAAACCATGTCACTATTCAAGAGCATAGAATGTTTTTCCATTTATTTGTGTCACTTCTGGTTTCTTTGAGCAGTGTTTTGTAACTCTCATTCTAGAGATCTTTCACTCCCTGGTTAGCTGTGTTCCTAGGTATTTTATTCTCTTGGTGGCTATTGTGAATGGGATTGCATTCCTGATTTGGCTTTCATCTTGGATGTTATTGGTGTATGGATATTCTGCTGAATTTCATACATTGATTTTGTATCCTGATAGTTTGCTGAAGTGTCTTATCAGGTCTGGGAGCCTTTGGGCAGAGATTACGGGGTTTTCTAGGTATAAAAGCATATCATCTGTGAAGAGAGATAGTTTTACCTTATCTCTTCCTATTTGGATGCCTTTTATTTCTTTCTCTTGCCTGATTTCACTGGCTAGAACTTCCAGTACTATTTTGAATAGGAGTGGTGAGAGTGGGCATTCATTTGTTTGTTTTAAGTTCTGGGGTACATGTGTAGGATGTGCAGGTTCATTACATAGGCAAATGTGTGCCATGGTGATTTGCTGCACCTGTCAACCCATCACCTAGGTATCAAGCCCAACATATATTAGATATTTTTCCTGATGCTCCCCCCAACCACACTCCCCCAACAGGCCCTAGTGTATGTTGTTCCCCTCCCTGTGTCCTCATTGTTCAGCTTCTACTTATAAGTGAAAACATGAAGTAATTGGTTTTCTTTTCCTGTGTTAGTTTGCTGAGAATAATGGCTTCCAGCTCCATCCATGTCCCTTCAAAGACATGATCTCATTCCTTTTAATGGCTACATAGTATTCCATAATGTATACGTATGAGATTTTCTTTATCCAGTCTATCATTGATGGGCATTTGGGTTGATTCCATGTCTTTGCTATTGTGAATAGTGCTGCAATGAACATGAGCATGCATATATCTTTATAATAGGATGATTTATATTCATCTGGGTATATACCCAGTAAAGGGATTGTTGGGTCAAATGGTATTTCTAGTTCTAAATCTCTGAGGAATCACCACACTGTCTTCCACAATGGCTGAACTAATTTACTTTTCACAAACAGTGAAATGTAATTTGTGTAATTTACATTACACAAACAGTGTAAAAGCATTCCTATTTCTCCACAACCTTGCCAGCATGTATTGTTTCTTGACTTTTTAGTAATAGCCATTCTGACTGACATGAGATGATATCTCATTGTGGTTTTAATTTGCGTTTCTCTAATGATCAGTGATGTTAAACTTTTGTTATGTTTGTTGGCTGCATGAGTGTCTTCTTTTGAGAAGTGTCTTTTCATGCCCTTTCCCACTTTTTAATGGGGTTTTTTTTCTTTTAAATTTAAGTTCCTTGTAGATTCTGGATATTAGACCTTTGTCAGATGGATAGATTGCAAAACTTTTCTCCTATTGTGTAGGTTGTCTGTTCACTCAAGTGGGTATTCTTGTCTTGTTCCAGTTCTCAAGGTGAATACTTACAGCTTTTGTCCATTTGGTATAATATTGGTTGTGTGTTTGTCATAGATGGCTTTTTTTTTTAGGTATTTTCCTCTGACACATAGTTTGTTGATGGTTTTTAACATGAAGTGATGCTGAGTCAAAAGACTTTTCTGCGTCTATTGAGATAATCATGTGATTTTTGTTTTTAGTTGTTTATATGATGAATCATATTTATTTGTGTATATTGAACCAACCTTTTGTCCCAGGAATAAAGCCAACTTGATTGTGGTGGTTCAGCTTTCTGATGTGTTACTGGATTTGGTTAGCTTGTAATTTTTGAGGATTTTTGCATCTATGTTCATCAGGGATATTGGCCTAAAGTTTTCTTTTTTGTTGTTGTGTCTCTGCCAGGTTTTGGTATCGGAATGATGCTAGCCTCATAGAATGAGTTAAGGAGGGTTTCTTTCTTAATTTTTTGGAATAGTTTTAGTAGGATCAGTACTAGCTCTTCTTTATATATATATGGTAGAATTCAACTGTGAGTCTGTCTACTCCAAGCCCTTTTGTGGTTGGTAAGGGTTTTTTATTACTGTTTCAACTTTAGAACTTGTTATGTGTCTGTTCAGGGTTTCAGTTTTTTCCTGGTTCAATTTTTGGAGGTTGTATATTTTTAGGAATTTATCCATTTCTTATAAGTTTTCTAGGTTGTGTGCATAGAGGTATCATAATAGTCTCTGAGGGTATTTTGTATTTCTGTGGGGTCACTGGTTATGTCACCTTTGTCATTTCTTACTGTGTTTAATAGGATCTTCTCTCTTTTTTCTTTATTAGTCTAGCTAGCAATCTATCAATCTTATTTATTCTGTCAAGCCAGCTTTTAGTTTGGTCATTGTTTTGCTTGTGGGTTTTTATTACACTGTTTTGGAAAGCACAGCTTTGTTTTTGGTTATTTCTTGTCTACTGCTGGCTTTGGTGTCACTTTCCTCTTGTTTTTCTAGTTCCTCTAAGTGTGATTTCATGTTGTTAATTTGAGAATTTTCTAATTTTTTGATGTGAGCATTTAGTATTGTAAACTTTCTTAACACTGCTTTAGCTGTGTCCCAGAAAGTCTGGTATGTTGTATGTTTGTTTTCATTAATTTCAAAGAATTTCTTTATTTGTGCCTAAATCTCATTGATTACCCAAAAGTCATTCAGAAGAAGGTTGCTTTAATTTCCATGTAATTGTATGCTTTTGAGAGATCATCTTAGTATTAACTTCTGTATTTATTGTGCTGTGGTCTGAGAGGGTGGTTGATATGATTTGGTTTTTTATTTTTATTTTTTTGAATTTGTTAAGAATTGCTTTATGTTCAAGCATATGGTCAATTTTAGAGTATGTGCTGTGCACAGATGAGAAGAATGTATATTCTGTTGTTGTTAGATGGAATGTTCTGTGGAGGTCTGCTAGTTTCATTTGATCAAGCGTGAAGTTTAGGTCCCAGATATCTGTTAGTTTTCTCCATCCTTTTACTTTGAGCCTATGAGCGTCATTGCATGTGATATGGTCTCTTAAGATAGCGTACAGTTGGGTTTTGTTTCTTTATCCAACTTATCACTCTGTGCCTTTTAAGTGGAGTGTTTAGCCTATTTATATTCAAGGTTAATATTGATATGTGAAGATTTTATTCTGTCATTATATTGGCTAGTTGTTGTCTAGATTTGTTTTTGTAGTTGCTTTATAGTGTCAATAATCTGTGTACTTAAGTGTGTTTTTGTGGTGGTCAGTAACAGTCTTTCATTTCCATGTTTAGCACTCCCTTAAGGACCTCTTGTAAGGCAGGTCTGGTGGTAATGAATTTCCTTACTCCCTTTCAGAGATGCCAGTGAGTCATAGGTTTAGTCTCTTCACATAATCCCATATTTCACATAATTCCTTATTTCACTTTTTTAATTTGTTTACATTATTTTTGTCTGTCTGATTTGATTTGAAGAACCACTCTTCAAGCTCTGAAATTTCTTCATTAGCTTGGTCTATTCTGCTGTTAATACTTTCAATTGTGTTATGAAATTCTTATAGTGAGTTTTTCAGATCTATTAGATCAGTTTGTTTTTTTTCTTAAAAAAGCTATTTCATCTTTTTACTGGATTCCTTAGATTTCTTGGATCGGGTTTCAACTTTCTCCTGAATCTCAGTGATCTTCATTGCCATCCAGACTCTGAATTCCATCTCTGTCATTTTAGCCTTTTCAGCCTGGTTTAAAACCAGTGCTGGGGAACTAGTGCAGTCATTTGAATGTAATAAGGCACTGTGGCTTTTTAAGTTCTCACAGTTCTTGTGCTGGTTTTTCTCTCATCTGTATGGGCTGATGTTCCTTAAATCTTTGAAACTGCTGTCTGTTGAATGTGGCTTATTGCTTTTATATTCTTTGATGTCCTTGAGGGTTTGACAGTGTTATAAATTGGGTTCAGTCAACTGGCTTCATTTCCGGGTGATTTCAGGTGGCCCAGGCTCAGCTCAGTACACTGGGGACCTGGGACCAGGCCTATGGCTTTGTTCTCTGGCCCCTCAAGGTTAAGCACCTGCTGTACTGCAAGGGCTGAGGTGTTCCTAGTCAGCTAGCAGCAACACTCTGATGGAGGGTGCTGGCAAAAGCACTACATTGGGGTGGTGACAATGGGGTCCACACTTGGGCATGCATGCCATCAACTACAGGGCAGCAGTGTGGCAGGGTCCACGTGTGTGTGTGTGTGTGTGTGTGTGTGAGCGCGCGCCCACACCAGCAACAACAGAGCAGCAACAGGGTGGTGGGCCCTGGCACAATGGTTGGGGAAGGCTGCAGGCAGGAGCATGCTGGGGAGGGTCCATCTGCAGAAGCTCTCTAATGGTGGTACCTACCAATGAAGGAGCTACAGTAGCAGCTGCTGGAAAGCACCCTCATTGGGCATCTGAGATTGTACTGCAAGTGTACAAGGCCAGGCAGTTACCCTGGGACGGGCTGGAAGATAGGGGGTGCTGAGATCAGACTGGGCTTGTGCCATGGGGAAGAAAGCTATGCTCTGTTCATGTCCTACAGTCAACAAAGGCCAAAGCCATCTTGAAGAGTGTGGTGAGCCTTGGGAGAAGGACATCTTTGGCCATGCTCTTCTGCAGCTATTTCTGTGCCAAACGCTCTGGATTCTGCACATATTAGAGACCTGCCCCTGATAACTCTCCAATAAGCTCTCTCTGCAAACTCAAATGTCTGTTGAGGAGTGGGTTCCCCTGCAGCTAGGATTCTGGGGTCCATGGCAAGAGTGGGCCATTCCATGCCTGTTTAATTCACCCCTTTCCCAGGAGCCCCTCAGGGCCAGGAATGGATCTTGATGCTCAGTAGCCCAGTGCAGAGTTCCCAGCTTCCTCTTCTTTTAGCCCAGGTTCTATGTTCTCCCTCTGTCCACCTTCAATGCCATCCTTCTGAAGATCTGCTTGGAGGGTGCAGGTCTTCTTAATGGTCTGGTCACTTGGTGGGAGAAGCTCTTCCTGTCAGCCATCTTGCTTAACCTGTTTTCTTAATAAAACAATGTTTGCTTCCTAAAGTTTTCAACTTTATATATAAAATAAATTCAGACTCTAATAAGATTCCTCACAATTTCATACCCAGTAAATTTTATTTTATATAAATTATTATTTCAAAAACAATATAGTAGCACCAAGATTTAAAATGACTTTTCATCAATTGAAGGAAAAAATGGAGATTTTAAGGTCTTCTACCCAAAACCTCTCATTTTAAATTAGATACTCCGAAAGTTTCCATAAGTAAAAATCATTACTTATGTTAATTTGCAGCTAATTTGCTACATAGTATAGACTCTTCTGCCTATACATGTCTTTAAAAGAATCCATTTTTATATGAAATGTGTATCATTGGTGTCAAGTTTTTTATATTCAGAGAGTGAAGCTTTTAATTTCTATATTTTATGTCATTAGTGTGCTGAACACTTCTGCTCCTGGAAAGCAATGAAATTAATCATTTTTGGCTTCGGCTGCTGTTGTGATGCACATAAACAGCAATCCTGTTGAACTCGAGTGAGAATGCTCACTGTGCTCATACTAAGCCAATTAGTGCCCAGTTATTTATTTTCACTGTAGTGGCGAGTGTGGGAGTGGTGGGGGTGGGGAGGCGGGGGAGATGTGGAGAGAGAGATAAGCACTACTAGTAGAGAAAAGCAGACATAAAATTGGCAGAATATTTTTCAGAACAAAAACTGTGGTAGTAAGAGGAATCAATGTCATAGGCTTTAGATAGCATTTATGACTGTGTGCTCGTGTGTGTGAAAACTTATAGGATGTAAAAGTGCTTACAATTTGTCTTCAAGTTTAAATTACAAACAGACATAGTACTTTCATTTAAAAGTTAGGAAAATGTAGTTTAAATTTTTTTAATTTCTCTGTGAGCTTCTGCATGCAATCCTATGCAATTGGAATTTGATAGTCCTTTCACACAGGAGAATGAGAAATAGCTAAGCATCCATTATTTAAGTCATTTTTTCTGCAAGTGTGGGCTCACCCAATCATGAGAGTGATAAAGGAACTGGAACTAGCTATTATTCAGGAAATGTGTGACCAAGAAAATGACTTTTTTTTTTTCCGACTGTGTCTCGCTCTGTTGCCAGGCTGGAGTGCAGTGGCATGATTTCAGCTCCCTGCAACCTCTGCCTCCCAGGTTCAAGTGATTCTCTTGCCTCAGCCTCCCAAGTAGCTGGGACTACAGGTGTGCACCACCACGCCCAGCTAATTTTTGTATTTTTAGTAGAGACGGGGTTTCACCATGCTGGCCTGGATGGTCTCTAGCTCTTGACCTCGTGATCTGCCCACCTCGTCCTCCCAAAATGCTGGGATTACAGGCATGAACCACCGTGCCTGGCCATGTATTAGATTTTTTTTTAAAACAAAAGCAAATATGGCATCAGGAGATAGACAGACAGATATTATATAGATAGATAGACAGATATTATACAGCTAAACTTGATTCTCTTCCTCTGTCCATATAGTTTTACATATCTTCATCACTTAGTCATTTTTAGTTAGTTCTATGTCCAGAACTATGGATATATATTGACCTTAACTGTCAAGTATATACAAAAGAGCCAAACTGCAGGCATAAAAAAAACAAAAAAACAAGGACAAGCAACATTTATCCACAGTTTATTGGTCAAATTATGAACAAATGTAGATAATTATAAATTAGCATCCTTAGTGATTACTAGATTTGTGTCACATATGCAGATAATGTGTTATTATTTAGACATTTTGGAAATAATTCAGTGAGCACTGTAGCTGGGGGGTACAGAGAGTAGCCCCCATTTGAGATCCTTCTTCATCTCACCTGCTACCTCTCAATCCCGGTGAACCAAAAGAGATGGGAGAGTTCTCCACCAGGAACTACTCAGTGGACATTTTTTTCATATATGTTGAAGCTATAGTCCCCCTCCTATTTTTGTTCAGTCCTCTGAAGTTTTCTTTTACTTTCTTAGAATATTGCTATAGAATTTTAGATCTAACCTTAAGGAATATTTTGCAGACTAGGAAAGTTATATTCAGCATTATTAATTGCATGACCAATTAATGGTAAAACTGGTAATCAAACAATTTGCAAGACATCTCCAGTTTCCTTTGACTACACTTTATTGCCTCTTTTATTTCCATTCGTTCTCTTTTTATTCTCAGGATGTGGCTGAGAAGCATTGGAATAATGTCTTGGTAGCACTTCTTTAAGGATTTTCCTTTTCCATACACACAGAAAAATCATATTGTTGGCCATATATGTTCCTTTTGTTCATTTTTTAATATGTGTCTGTATTTTTCTCTAGCCTCAAAGCCAATGGACTTAAAATTATGCACTGGACCTATCCCTAATACTACACAGCTGTGCCACATTCCTTGTCCAACTGAATGTGAAGTTTCACCTTGGTCAGCTTGGGGACCTTGTACTTATGAAAACTGTAATGATCAGCAAGGGAAAAAAGGTAGGTAACGTGACCATGACATGCCTTTTATACCCACCAATTGTATCAAATCATGAATTATTTTTAAAATGCTCTTCTGTGTTCCTTGTTTGTGGTATTTTCCAGAATGGCTAAAGACTATTAATTTCAAAAGATGAATTAACCTTCTCCAGTGATAGTACCAGAAGATTAAAACAGAAGAACATAGGCATAAATGCTTGTTAATTTAGACAACATGATGGAGAGGATCTGAGACAGTTTAGTGCAATGGTTAGGATGAGCTGTGGGGTCAGGCCTGGATTGGAAAATCTACTGTGTCCCTTACTGTTTAGATAAGTTAACTAACATATCTAAACCTTTGTCCCCTTATCTGTAAAAGGGATGTAACAATATCTGCCATCCAGATTGTCTCTAAGCAGTCAATCAGATAAACATAAAGCACTTAGTTCAGTGCCTGACCCATACCTAGTGCCCAATAATAAGGCTGCTTATTACTTTGAAGAAAAAAATGTAAAAACTGTATTACTTTCATATGCAAATGATAGAGGAATAGAATAAATGCAATGGTTTTCTTATGGTAGACGTGGTGAGCTAATTTTCACATGATCTCATGATTGAAAACATTTTTCAATTTTGTTTCAAAGACCAGTCTTCTAGTGATTCTAGTATGTTTACATAGCAATAAACAGACTTGTTAATTTTGTTACACACTCTCATGAAGGGCAGCATTTAGGTGCTATTAAAGCACAAAGCAGGACTTTGAATATTTCACACTGGAGCCCACATGGCTTATGTTCCTAATTCAAATTTCCAGAGGGTCTAAAATCAACTGAACCTCAAAGAGATTGTTTCTCTGGAACCATCCAACTTCTTAGAGGTTCATTTTCCAAATTTAATCATGTGACATTGCTGAAGATTTAAGAATAATAGCACTTTTGTCTGGTCATCGGTATTTCTAAATAGCTTGAAATTTCACTCCTTCTTTGAATATTCTATAGCTACAGACTTTCCAAGTTGACCAAAATTTATCTCTCTCTCTGTTCCCACCCTACTCCTCTACGCCCTACAAGGGAGATGGGTACTATATGACATTTCTAGCCTTACCTTTGCAGTAGTAAGCTAAAACCAAAGGTTCTCATTTTTTTTCATTCCATTCGTTAATCCACTCACTCATTTAATGGATGGTTCATGACCTCACATTAGCTACAGTTTGGGGATACACCAGTGACTCAAAACAGAAATGACTTCTACCTCCACTCTTATCCAACTTTTACTCTGAGGTTTTATTCAACTTTCTGAAATACTAAACCTTTGATAGTAACAATAGATTTTTCCTTCCCCCATAATTCAGGCTTCAAACTGAGGAAGCGGCGCATTACCAATGAGCCCACTGGAGGCTCTGGGGTAACCGGAAACTGCCCTCACTTACTGGAAGCCATTCCCTGTGAAGAGCCTGCCTGTTATGACTGGAAAGCAGTGAGACTGGGAAACTGCGAGCCAGATAACGGAAAGGAGTGTGGTCCAGGCACGCAAGTTCAAGAGGTTGTGTGCATCAACAGTGATGGTAAGACAGACGTATCTATTATGTTTTTATGGATGTCCAACCCTGCATATATGTTTTTACTTTCTGTTAAAATCCTGTGTCTTCTCGCATTATAACTGATTCTGTTTACAAACGTAGAAATAGCTGCTTCTCTCTCCCTCCCTCTCTTTCCCTGTCTCTTTCTCTTTTGTTCTAATGAAATGGTGGCAGTGGGAAGGATCCATGAATAGTAACAAAATAATGTTAAATGTGAAAACAGAACAGATCATATAACATAAGAATTGAATTATCATTAGGGCAATAATTGCCAAATTTAACAATAACAAGTAAAGGTAACTTTTTTAAGTGACTTTTTTAAAAAAGTCTATAGCTCCAGTGTTATAGAAAATGAAATGTAAACAAAAAAGGGTTGTAAGCATTGTTTGATTTGACTCTAAAAGTATTTTCCTTTAACCTCCCTGATATCGTGTCTTAGTGTTATCATTTAATTTCCAGGCTCCCAATCCACGAGGCCTACCACAGCCTAGAGTTCCTGAACCGACCTTTTGCTCTCTAGGGCTCCACTATTTAGGAATGTCCTAGAGCCACTGGATAGTGGCTTTCCGCAAGATTCTTTTCCCCAACCTCAGGAATTACCTTGGACTTTTACAACTAATATTTGTTTGATAAAATATACTGTCTTGATGTTAGCTCTGATATAAGATTTTTACCTTCCTTCCAAAGAGTACTGCTACTGTTTTGGGGAGAACTCCTTACCTCTAAGTCATCCCTGAGTCACACTTGAAAACCACAAGACTCCCCCAGACATACTTTAAAACCTCTGGACAAGATCATCTCTAAGGTTGCTCTATCTCTTGAATCCTATGACTCTGCACATCAGAGAAGCATGAGTGCTAAACCCCAGGGTCCAACAGTTGACAGTTTATGCTGTTTACAGCATGTGCAGAAACACCCTGGTGCCCCCTTGGGGGTACTGGAACATCTGGTAACCGTCATAATTCTTTCCATCCTATTTTCTTCCAGTAAGCAGAATTGTTTCCTCCTGTGACTCAGTCACTGTTCAGTCGTAAAGAAAGACACTCTCTGGTGTGGGAGACTGACAGACACTGCTATTACTGAGAAATTAGCCTTTTGTCTTTGTCCAGGGTCTAATATAGTCATGCGAGACAGTATTAGGTAAAATCTGAACCAGTGCTTGAGTTTGAAATGGGAAGAAGGAGATCATTGCTCCAGATCTTTTATGATGAATTTTATATATTCTGCTTTTTTGCTACGATAAGCATAATCTGCTGTGATATGTCCTCTGTTTAGCTCTTACTTATTCTATAATAAAGAGAGGAAAAAAAGGAGGAAGTAACACTCAGAGATTGGCAAGAAAGCAAAAGAAGCATGTTCTGTTTCTCTTTTACTCACACTTTAAATCCTAGTTTGGATTACACAATACTGTTACCTTCTGAATTGCTGTAAAAACAGTCAGGGTCGTATTGAATTCCCTCAGTAATAGTACTTGATCGTTTTTCTCAGTTCAAATAATTTTGCTTGTCCTTCCATAGTCCTATAGAGGAATTAGGGTCTCAGGTATTGTGAAAAGTATTTTTGAGTGAAACAAAACGCTAAAAAGTTAACTTTGCATGGCACTTCTGCCTCAGTGTTATGCAATGAAAAAATCAGATTTAGTCCACTTAGTACAATGATCTTCCTGGTATTTGTGCTAATGGAATATATTTTATATAGACTAAAGGAGCCAGCTATTTAAAAAATATCAGTGGCTTATTTTCATTTTGTTAAGTGAAACTTATTTTGCAACACAAGTAATTACCTCCTAGCTTGTCTTGTGAAAAAACACTAAAAAACAAGCAGAGGTATGACTTAGATGTGTGTAGTTGTACTGGCAATGTATGTTATAACCTAAAAAGCAAATTGATAACTCACAATACAAATGAGCTGGTTTTACTTTGTGTACATCACAAACGGAATGAATTTTAAAAAGGTAAGTATGCAACTGCTATTAAATTTGTTATTGTCCTTTACAGGACATCTTTTCCACCATTAAATTTTATTTCCTGACATTAATTAGTTGTAGTACAACTTAATACATTAGCTGTTTCAGCTACATGGATGTATAAAATCAAGAAAATTATTTTTTTATTATGAATCCTAGAACTCACTCAAATTTGTATATAAACTGAGACATAATTGGGCTGATAGAATGAAAGAAAAAGCTGGAGACTTGTAACTACTGCTCCCATATTATCATGTGGTCACCTGGTAAGTGTTTAGCAGCTGCACCAAATGTTGTTTTGTAATTAAATTGGGCCCAGGGAATTAAAGTTGATTAGTTGTAGACTCTACCTCTAGGCCTGGGCTGCAGCTATACATTTTGTTTTATAATTAAGTTAAAGCTCGACTAGGGGCATGAAGCATTAGAGCCTGTGAACTGAAGAAATAATAAAAAGACTTTTTTGCTCCCACATTCCTCACAGATTTCACAACTTTGTTAATGACCTCAAAACACTTAAAATCTATTTGTTTTCTGAAATATTCTTTGTCCAGACTCCCAGTGATCATTAAGATTTGCTGCTGCTGTTCATTTTTCCATTTCCCTTCTAAGGAGGAGGCTTGGGGAGGGTTGTAAGAGACCCCAGGAGGAGTTTTGCATAGCTTCTCTGTCAGAGAAGAAAACAGAGGGATGTAAGAGAGTCGCAAGACAAAAGAGAGCACAAAAGACGATTAGACTCTCCAAAAAGAGATAAACATTTCACTGTAATAGAACAAATATTGCTCATTACTTCATGATCATCGGATACACAATTCCAGGTCTCTGAACACAAACGCAGGAACCTACTCCAAAGATCTGTGGTCTGGGGAATGACCCAAAACCCGCCCTATTTTAATTTTTCTGATATTTGAATATGTTTCATTTAAAGGTGTAAATCTGGCAAAGCAAGTGTATTTTGTTTCCTAAATTGGCTTGTTAGAGGCTGAACAAACCAGGCTATTGGACCGGAGCAAGGGGAAAAAAGTATTATTCCTTACTTGAGAGTGTAAATCAAATATTGTTTCCATATTTCCTTCTCCTCTGCCAAAAAAAATGATGCTGTCTATATTTCCTTATCATGTGTGCTATTTCAGATATCGAATATTGACACTTTTCCATGTGACTTTCGAAAAAAAAGTCAGTTATGTTATTTTTTTGTTTGTTTTTGCATTATTTTTTAAAGCAGTACACCTCAGTGGTTTCAAATGCCTGAACTTCTATGCTATCTTCCTTTTCTTTTCCCCACATTAGCAAAGTTAACCAATGACATGGGCATAGGCAACTCACTTTCCTCCTTGACCCAGATTGTTAAGAAACCCAAACATACTTTTATGGAAGTAAATCATTGCAACTCAGCATTACCCAGCTATTAATGTTACAGTATAAGAGTAATGAAGGTCACCGGCTAGGGCCATCCTTGTGTATTGTGCCATTCTTGAATGGGAGTAACTCTGCTATCCAAAGACTCTCAGCACCATGTCAAACCGGCTGGCTTCTAGTAATGCTGAAGAAGGCCTATGTCTAAGCACATGTGGAGATGAGCACTGAGGTAAGCCCTAAAAGCAAGTTTTTCTGCCTCTTTTGGGAACATTTCTACATATCATCAAAAGTATCAAAAGAACTGGCTTTGAAAACACCTGGGGGAAGTTGACTGTGTTCGGCTATTTGTGCATTGCTTATAAAGAAATACCTGAGGCTGAGTAATTTATGCAAGAGGAAAAGAGGTTTAATTGGCTCGCAGTCCTGCAGGCTGTACAGGAAGCATGGCGCTGTACAGGAAGCATGGCACTGTTAGGTGTTCAGCCTCTGGTAAGGCCTCAGGAAGCTTTTACTCATGGTGGAAGGCTAAGTGGGAGCAGGCATCTCACATGACAGAGTGGAGCAACAGAGGGAGAGAAGAGAGAGATGCCACACATTTTTGAACAACCAGATCTCATGAGAACTCACTCACTATCATAAGGCCAGCACCAAGGAGATAGTGCTAAAGCGTTCATAAGAAATCTACCCCTGTGATCCAATCACGTCCCACCAGACGCCACCTCCAACAGTGGGGATTACATTTCAATATAAGATTTAGTGGGGACACATATCCAAACTATATCATTGACTTTAGTATCCAGGGCACTGGCTTGCCATGTGACTGCTTAATCTTTCTCAACTTTTTACCACCAATTTCTTCCTTCTGTAATAAGATATGTTTCCGCCTATAAGATGAGGAAGGGGAAAACTTGAGTACTATTTCTTTCCCAAGTAGTTCTTGTCATACTTCTTTGTTTCCATGTAGTTAGCACTAGGAGGAATATGGGGGCATATCATTTCAGTATCTTCAGGAAAATGTAAGAATTTTGAAAATTTATACCACTGGAGAATAGGACTCATTGTGGAAAGAGATAGGGAAAGATAATGCCCTATTTTAAGTCTTATAGTACAATTTGTATGCAATATATAAACTGTATGAATACTGAATTTTTTTTCAGACATATATTATTAAAAAGTAACAGTGTGAAGGGGGACAGAGGTAAGTGGGACAATCGGTAGAAGATTGGGAGCAAAGCAAGCATGCCAGGAATAGAAAAAGAGAAGTTATAGAACTCATAGTTGAGACTAATATTTTGACTGATTCAGAATATTCATAGATTGTTCCAGAAGCATAGGCCAGGTCAAGGATGAAGATGCATCGAGCTTATTAAGGATGTGCTCCCAGAAGAAACCAGTAAGAAAAGGGGGAATGAATAAGCAAAATACAGAAAAGAGAAAGGGTCTTGAGCTCCTAAAACCATTCCCAGGTTTAGTGATTCACTAGGAGGATTCACCATACAGTTGTACCTATAACCATGACTTATTAAAACAATAGTATGCAAAACAAAATCAGCAAAAGGAAAGTGTACTTGAGGCAAATTCCAGAGAAAAGAAGATGAGTCCCAGAAACTTCCAATTCTCCATATTGGCCAGAAAAACCTAGTGTCAAAGGGCAATCAGCCTAAAGTCAGGGATGAGGCTGAAGCTGCAGAATCTGAAAGATGGGTGCAGAGATCCAGTGAAAGGGATCACATGGGATCCAAACTGGCCAGCAACACTACCCATTACAAAACGAAATCCAATTATGTGGTAAGGAATATAAATGTTGTATAAACTAAAAGGAACCAAAGACCCGATTAAACAGTGTCTTCTGGGCCCACGAGAATATGCAGTTTTCCAGTCCGCTGCCACTTAGGAGGTTCCTGGATTCCCAATGAAATTGAAATAATTCTATTTGAATTTTAATGCAGAAAGGAGCTTCAGAAGGCTGGAAAACCTGAAGACTCCCAAGTAGCAGACATTAAGATTGTTTAATATTGGAAAATGTTAGAATATCTTTTCAATAACTTAAAATGGAAGAGCACATTTATAAATATTTTTGTGCCTTTCTATCAGGGGAGTACCTTTTGTGCCATATTTTATCATTTATTAATGATAAACAAGGACATTGTAATGTACAAGGGAGAGTGGTAGACAAAAAGTTAAAATATATTTATAGAATGGAAACTCACCTAAATAAGATTTGCTTCTGAAACCTTGGTGAGAACCTTGAGTTCAGATCAATTCAAATATCTATGGAACTAGATGAGAGCACAACTTCAAATGCATGATCATTCTTTGGAACTGGAATCTACTTCTTAACACAAATTACAAGGCCATTATGTAGAAAAAACTTCTTTTAAATGCAAGAATCCATCCTATAACTGAATCGTTTTTCCATAATTTAAGCAATAAGTCAACAAAGTTTCCTTCCTGTAGAATGTTATGTCTTCTAATGTGTTTGAAATATAATTAGGTTGGATATTATGTTAAATCTAAGGTCTCTCACTTACAATTAGGATCGTCTAAAACTATTGGTAGGAGTTTGTTTCCTGTAATTGGGTTGAGACTCTTTATTCAATTTGTTGTAAAGATAAAAGTCATTATAACCTTTTAGAAAATTTCAAGCAATATGTTTTCCTTCAGTGTTGGTGTGTAGTAATCACCATTTTATTTTGGACTATAAAAACTTGGCATCAGATACTCTGATTTGTCTGCTATCTGTTAGTATATGTGTCTGTGTATGTATTACAATACACTTGGATATCTTAGTAAAAAATACTTTTTTAGAAAAAACCGTCAGAGTTGAACCAATGTTCTTTGTTCTTTTGAATGGCAATGTTGTAGCAAAGAGTAGGATTTTCTATATAATTTTATGTATTTTATTTTTTAAAGTAGGGTAGATTCAGCAGAGACATCAGATAAAAATTGAGTAAATAATTATTTACCACTTAGTGATACAAATTCCCCACTGAATGTTAGCTACAACTTCAAATGGCAAATATAAAATAGCCATTTACTTTGTCATAGGTGGTGGGTACCTTAACACAACACAGAGCAACCAATTTTCTCTTTATTTCCTTTTAGAGATGTGGTCTCACTGTGTTGCCCAAGTTGGTCTTGAATTCCTGGGTGCCAGCAATCCTCCTGCCTTAGCATCCCAAGTAGCTGGGGCAACAGTCACATGACACTGTGCCTGGCCAAAGCCAGTATGGACATTGGACAGAAAGCATAACTTTCAGTTAAATTAGGCAGGAGTTTAGTTATTAAACCCAACAGATGCATTCCTCACATTAGTGAGCCTCTTGCTTGCTTCTTTGATTCCCTTTATATCCACCTTCTCTGTAAAATATTGTCTTCCCATGACTTCATTGATTCTGTATTCCCTATTCTCTTTCCACCTCTCAGACCATATATCATTTAACTATTGCTAGGTAACAAACCACCTCAAAACTTAGTGGCTGCAATCATGAGAATGCAGAAGTGCTTGCTAAGGTTTCACCTGAGCTCTCTTGTGGAAGTTTGACTATGGCTGAAAGGTCCAAGTGTCCTCCCTCACATATCTGGCATTGGTGCTGTCAGCTGGGGTACATTGGTACCCCATTGGTACATGGACTCTCATCCTCCAATAAGCTAGATCAGCTTCTTTTTATATGGTGGCTTTTGGCATAACTTCAAGAGGACCAAGCAAAAGCTGAAAGTCCTCTTGAACTCACACAATATCACTTCGTCCACATTCTGCTAGTCAAAGCAAGTCACAAGTGACAATCCAGATTTAATGAGTAGGAAAATAGACTTTGCCTTTTGATGGAATATATTGCAAAGAATTATGGCAAATAATTTACTATGGTCTACTCTCTGGTTACAATTATTTTCAATCCTCTCACATGCAAAATATACACCCTCCCCATCCAAGACCACAAAAATTCTCATGCAATTATATTATCAGGCTTAAAGTTTACTATCTCATGATTTGCATCTGTTTCAAATATGAATGTAGCTACTCTTGAATCAGAGGTCTGTGAATGAAAAGAACAAGGTATCTTCCACTAATTCCCTTCAAATATACAACATACAATATTGTGAAAGAGAGTGGAAAAGCACTCTCCCATTCAAAAATGAGAAAAACAGGAAGCATTCAGCCATTTCTGCCCTATAACAGTTTTTTAAATCACTTTAAGTCCCAAGATACAAGTGCAGAACCTGTAGGTTTGTTACATAAGTATACATGTGCCATGGTGGTTTGCTGCACTTGTCAACCTGTCACCTAGGTTTTAAGTCCTGCATGGATTAGCTGTTTGTGCTGATGCTCTCCCTGCTCCCCACACCCGACAGGCCCTGGTGTGTATTGTTTCCTATGTCCCTGTGTTCTCATTGTTCACCTCCCACTTATGAGTGAGAACTTGTGGTATTTGGTTTTATCTTCCTGTGTTTATTTGCCAAGGATGATAGCTTCCAGCTTCATCCATGTCCCTGCAAACAACATGATCTCACTCCTTTTTATGGCTGCAGTATCCCATGGTGTATGTGTCCCACATTTTCTTTATCCAATCTATCTTTGATGGACATTTGGGTTGGTTCCATGTCTTTGCTATTGTAAATAGTGCTGCAATAAATATATGTATCCAGCTGCTCACCATAAAACAGGAACAGAGTAAGTTCCTTGATTAGGCTCTACTTTTGTTCTCTGGGAATCGTTTCCTAGTCCACTGTTTTCTTGATTCTTTCATTCTGAGCTCTTGAATTTTCCCCTAAAATATCTTTCCTTTTCCATAAGAAATGGCTTATATTTGTAGCCGAGGAACTTTCTCAGTTGGCCTCTGGACCACAGAAATTAGGCCAGAGGACATTTTTTTCACTCTGAACTGTCTGAATTTCTCCAAGTCTAAATTGGCAAAGTTTTATCAATGCAACACCCTTAAAACGTTTTGAGTTTTCTATATATCTCATTGGATATCACTTTATGCCCCAAAAGCCATATCCATCACTGTTTTTCACACAACCTTCTTTTTATTTTGGGCTACATGTGAGTCTGCTGTGGGAGATGCTTCTAAGATTCTTAAAAGCCCTGTCTAGCTGAGAGGGTCTTCTGTGAATCACGTAAGTCTTTCTCTGGTGTTATCAAAGAATTATTAGCTATATCCCAGATTAATTTTTACCTTAGGTCACTTCTTACTTTTTCCCAGAGAAGTAAGGATGAGAAATAGTTTTATTTTTTCATTTTATAACAGCTCTTGTGGCATCTTCTAAATTCCAATTGCACATTGAATTATTTCTTCTCTATTTCTCTTCCAATAGCATATCATTCTCAGAAGAAAAAGAAAACATTAAATGGACATTTTTAACATTTTTCCTGGGAATTTCTTGAAATACTTACATTTTCTATCTTGCAAGTTTCCACAAGAAACAGTTTTGCCAATTTTTTCATCACTGCATGATGTAATATGTACATTATGGAACTAATTTTTCACTAACAATCTTCTTACCTACTTTTGCCGATCTAGATTCAATGGGTAGGAAAATAGACTCTGCCTCTTGATGGGAGAATTATGGCAAATGATTTAATTTATTATTTAATATCTGTCTCTATCCTTCACTAACAGTCTTCTTGCCTGCTTTTCAGCCTTTACCAATCCCAAGTCTCAAAGCCAATTCTACTTGTTTTAGATTTCTTAAAGCAGCATCTCATTGCTACATATTAAATTCTATACCAGCTACGTATACTACATAACAAATTACCCCAAACTTAATTTTTTGTGTTTGTTTCATTTTTTCACAATTCTTTGGGTTGGGTGGGTAGTTTCTGTGTTGGCTTTGCCTGGTCTCACTGATGCAGCTGTATTTAGCTGAAGAGCTGGCATGGGTGGAATGGCCTAAGTTGGCCCCACTGATGTCAATGAAGGTGCCTCATTTTATCTCCAGGTGTCCTCTCATGTTCCAGTAGACTAGACTGGCATCTTTTCTAGGTGGTCTCAAGATAATGTTCTAGGAGAGAAAAACAGCTGAATGGTCACTTATTGCCTAGGTTCTGAACTCTTGTAAGACCACTTCTGCCACATTCTATGGGTCAAAGCAAGTCTCAAATCTAACAAGGCTCAAGGAATAGTGGAATAGACTATACCTTTTGATGAGAGGTACTTGCCAGAATTTGTGGACATACTGAATCTGGCACATGCTACTTCCTCTGTTTCCTATATGCTATATTCTTTCTCTGATCCTTTCTTAAAAGTTAATATTTCATTTCAACGCTCTGCTATAGAGCTATACCCGGAAGTGCCAGCCAAACCCTACTGACATTTTAACCTCACTGTGTACCAAAGTCAAACTCATCATCTTTTCTCCAAAGTCAGTTTCTCTTCCAATTTTTCCAACCTAGTTCACAACACTACAATTTATTCAATCCTCAATCCTGCTGATGGAGTGACATCTGTGAAGAGACACAAAGGAGATGAGAAAGTAAGCCCTATGCGAATTTGAGAAGAGAACATTTAGGGCAGAAGGAACATTAAATGCAAGACCCAGAGGTAGAAAATGCTTGGACTATTTGAGGAACAACAACATGGCCAGTGTGGTTGGAGTAGAATGAGTTAGGGAGAGGTTATTAGGTGATGAATTTAAAGAGGCTGCAGAGGCTTGAGATCATTCAGGGGCTTTGGCTTTTATTCTGACTAAGATGGGAATCTATTGAAGGGTTTGAAACAAATGACCAGAACCGACATGTTTTTAAAGAATCACTGATGTTGCTTTGTTGAGAACGAACTTTAGGGGAGCAGAGAAGCAGCAGTGAGGAGACTATAGCTTCAGCTATAATTCCAATGAGAGATGACAGTGTGGCTTAGATAAGGGTTGCAACAGTGGAGGGGACAGTGCTAATTTAAAAGAATTACACTAGTTGAGGAAAACTAGAGCAGCAAGTGGAGATGTTGGAATCCTTGAATCAGGTTTTCCTTATACTGGTATTATTTTCTTTATACTAGTGTTATGGTATTATCCACCATAAATCCTCTCTTGATCACATCATTCAGCTGCTTGAAATCTTGTTTGTTTGTTTTTGTGACAGAGTCTTGGTCTGTCACCCAGGCTGGAGTGCAGTGGCACGATCTCAGCTCACTGCAACCTCCACCTCCGAGTTTCAAGCAATTCTCCTGCCTCAGCCTCCCAAGTAGTTGGGATTACAGACACCCGCGACCATGCATGGCTAATTTTTGTATTTTTAGTAGAGACCAGGCTTCACTGTATTGACCAGGCTGGTCTCAAACTCCTGACCTCAAGTGATCTGCCCACCTCGGCCTCCCAAAGAGTTGGGATTTACAGGCATGAGCCACCATGCCTGGGCAGAAGTTTTTTACTGGCTTCCTTTTGCCTTCTGCGTGAAGTCCATTTGGGAATTGCAGAATGTCCTCCACCATCTGTCTTGTCCGTTTTACCAGTTGGCTTTTCTACCCCTCCCTTCATTACACCATTGTACATTTTATGGAATTTGGAATATAATCATTTACAGTTTACTATTCCCCACTATTCCTTCTATATGGTTGCTTACTATGGGGTAGGTATCATGTCGTAATTATTTTTGTGTGACTGTTTCCTAGCACTGTGTTCCACTTAACAGATTGTCAATAAATCTCTGAACCATAACTAATTCCTTTCTTTTATCCCTAAACATCACATATTTTCAAGAAATGACTCTTAATTTCTCCTCAAGTAAACTTTTATTATTGCCCTCACTGCAAATTCAAACTTTGCCTACCAGATGTCGAATAAAGCATGACACCAAATTGCACACCCTATTAACATCTCAGTATGCCTTCAAATTCCATTACACTCAAGTCCCAGTACAGTGGAGCAAAATAGCTCCTGTATTTTCATAGGAAGAAAAAAATAAATGTACAGAAAAACTTGAAATTTGAAGGATTCCTCTCACAGCATTTTATCATTAAACCATGTTTTATTGAGCTTTAACTTTCTGGAGACCGGTCATTGCAGCACTGACTCTAGGTTCACATGCTAACTTTGCCACTTTATTTGGCAAGTTCCTTAAATCCACAGTGACTACGTTTCCTTTTCTGTGAAATGAGACCTGTTTATAATGCTGTTTTGTAGTGCAAATGAGTTAATATATGCTAAATGCTAGGAATTGTTCCTAGTGTGTTCTATTTAAGTGTTTGTTGTTACTTTTATTCCTCTAAGGTGGGTTCAATAGAGAGAAAGTTAGCTGAGCATAGAGACTGCCTTGTTTTTAATTTGGTTACAGATAAGAATTTTATTGCTTACTGTATTAGTGTATCCTCACATTGTTATAAAGATACTATCTGAGACTGGCTAATTTATAAAGGAAAGAGGTTTAATTGGCTCACATAGTTCTACATGGCTGAAGAGGCCTCACTCAGAAAACTTACAATCATGGTGGAAGGCAAAGGGCAAGCAAGGCATGCCTTATATGGCAGCGAGAGAGAGAGAGAGCAAAGGGGGAACTGCCAAACACTTTTAAAACCATCAGCTCTTGTCAAAACTCCCTCACTATCACAAGAGCAGCATGGGGGAAACCATCCCCATGATGTAAATACCTCCCACCTGGTCCCTGCCTGGTGGGGTTTACAATTCAGATTACAATTCAAGATGAGATTTGGGTCGGGACACACGCAAACCATATCACTTACCAATAACTTGATTACATGATTTGCAGCCTAGCTCATTTATTTTCATAACACACTCATCAGATAAGTGACCTCATTTTCAAAGCACATATACATGGCCTTAAATAAATGTCTATTGTATTCACTAACAGAAAATAAATATATAATAAAATTCTATAATAAAAAAATTATTTCACCTGTTTTACAGAGAAACATATCTCTGAGTTGACATTGAGCTAATATCTTTTGAATAGAACAAGATTATGTGAGTTTGACCAAACTTATAAAAAGTATTGTAGCAATGTTACTAATTTTAGAGTAGATTAGAAATGCACGTTTTTTATTTGTATAACATAAGAACTATACTGAATGTGTCACTAGAATCGTACTTTTCTGTTTTTAGAAGACAACAAGCTACTGACTGTGGGCAGAAATTGGACTTGACTTATGTATGATCAGGGAATATTGCTGTAGAAAGGCAATTAAATATAATTAAGAAAGCTGTAGTAATCTTTAAACTTTAAGACCGCTGGTACTTAGCCTTGTGTTAAGTCGAAGCTGAGGAAAATATATCTTCAAAAAAAAAGTCACCAGGAACCCACATTAGGAAGTAAAAAAAGAGATGCTGTTTACCTTTGATTCTCAATATGAGATTTCTTATCTCAGGAGCACCTATGGTTGAAACAGGGAACATGCTATAGCTTGCTACAAGATTAATACAGTGCATTTTCTTGACTTTCTTGACTTCCAGTTTTGCTAGTAGGCTAAAAAGGGGTAAGGAATTTAAGTAAATTAGCTCATTAAAATGTTAGAATTGTTGATCTTATATTGAAATTGCTGAATTGATATAAAATTATAGAAGATTAATATACATTGTGCTGCTTGCCTCCTCAACATTGTTTCATTCTCTTCTATCATAAACCGCCCTGATTTTTCTTTGAGGAAAAGAAATCCCCTAAATTATTGAGGCTTGCTGGGATGGATCTTACCTCCCAGTCGAGGCAAGCAGTATATCCCATCTACTTGGCTGTAATAATCGCTTTAAGGATGAACATGTGACCCAGTACAAGCTAACAGAGAGAATATATCCAAGAGCTTGTACAGAAATAATTAAAAGAGACATTGGAGCTCTTTGCAGTCACTATATAAATTTGATAATATGAAAGGCAGAGAGCAGAGAAGATATTCATTGGTATTACTTGAGCCTTTAGAGCTATCCTCACATGAAGCCACGTGTTGTTTTCTACATTTTATTTTATTTTAGAGAATGGGTCTCACTCTGTCACCCAGGCTGGAGTGCAATGGCATGACCATAGCTCACTGCAGCCCTCAAACTCCTGGGCTCAA
The DNA here is from genome assembly GCF_000001405.40 of Homo sapiens. Lineage (NCBI taxonomy): Eukaryota > Metazoa > Chordata > Mammalia > Primates > Hominidae > Homo > Homo sapiens. The sequence goes on along the minus strand of NC_000007.14, from coordinate 11,528,083 downwards.
ATGATCCTCCTGCCTCAGCCTTCCAAGTAGCTGGGACAACAGGTGTGCACCACTAGGCCCAGCTAGTTGTTTTAATTTAAGTTTTTATTTTTTTGTAGGGACAAAGTCTTACTCTATGGCCCGAGATGGTCTCTAACTCCTGGGATCAACCAATCCTCCCACTTGGCCTCCTACAGTGCTGGAATTAGAGGCATGAGCCACCATGCCGAGCCTGAAGCTATGTTTAATTCTTACCTAAAGCCATTATTTAAACCAGTAAAGTCTCTTCATTGTTTTTATCCCAAAAGAGGTCTAAGTGATATAGAAAGAGAGGAGAGGGAAAGTTCCTGCTTTGAATAAGTGGCTACTAGGCTTAGACTCACAGATGTATCCAAAATTTACCCCTAACCAACTATTTATTCTACATTTTTCTTTAGAATATGTCAATGAAAACATTTGCAAAACCCCTAGATTATACTAAAGGAAGGATCTAACGTGGCTTTTCAAAACAAGTTAATTGTCTATGGAAGATTTCTTGATAGAGTGCAAAGTAAAATCTAGTTGGAAGAGGATTCTTCTAGAACTGGTTTCATCTTTGTAGAGCATGTGATGTTAGATAAGAAAACATCAACTGTCCTTACAAAAGCAGAGTTAGCCCAACAGAGAGACAGTGGAGTGGGAGTGGCTAAAGTGCCTCAACATATATATATATATATTTTGGCCAATTTTGTTTCAAGATTCCTTTTTTTTTATTTTTCCTGATTCTCATCTCCCTTTGGACAGAACACTGAATTGCTAGAAATCATAGCTGCTGAGATCATGATAGAAATGACATGTTGTCACAAAATATTTGGCTTATATTTTCATTAAGATTCCAAAATGTTAACTTTGATTCAGAACTATATACAATAATTTTAAATAAGAAATCTATATGGAGAGCCTTCTGGATATTTAGTCTTGACTTCTCTAGGATACACAACCCAGGAAATGGCTATGGTATGCATTCCATTAGAGAGCTAGAACACTGGAGAAAAATTCTGACCTTAGAAACAACATTTAAACATTATCAACAAACTGGTTTAATCATTGGTTAGACTTCTCAGTCTGCTGCCTAGGCTCATTCATTCTTTCATTTCACATTTATTGTGCTTGCTGTATAAGGTGAGTGCAATAGAGAGAAAGTTAGCTGAGCACAGAAATTTCATTTTTTTTAATTTGGTTACAGATAAGAATTTTATTGCTTACTATATTAGTCCATCCTCACACTGCTGTAAAGATACTATCTGAGACTGGCTCATAGTTCCACATACCTGAAGAGGCCTCACTCAGAAAATTTACAATCATGGTGGAAGGCAAAGGGGAAGCAAGGCATGTCTTACATGGCAGCAGGAGAAAGAGAGGGGAAAGGGGGAACTGCCAAACACTTTTAAAACCATCAGCTCTCATCAGAACTGCTGTATACTAGGCATTACATGCTATGTTACTGGCATTATATGCACATTTATTGTGCTTGGTATGTCACAGGCACATGGTTATGCCTGCTATGTTGCAGGCATTACACCTGCATTAATAATAGCAGCCCCTGCCCATTAAGTATGCACTATTTAGTTGGAGATGGGAAAATATGTAATCAAATGATTCTAATATAGTGCAACAAGGACTAGAGACATGCTCAATGTGCCAAGGGGCACAGTGGATAGAGTATACTCTCTGCCTCATAGGATCACTGAAGTTTTTAAAAAGGAGATGACTCATGTTAACTCAAGGAGTAAATAAAAATTAAGAAGGTCAGTATATTTTAGGTTAAAAGCATGATTATGCAAAGCACAGAAGTATAGAAGAACTTGGGATATTTGGGAAGCTGCAAATAGTTGGGCATGTTACTGAACAGTTCGTGTTTGAAAAGCTGGAGGAGATGAATCTTTGTGGATAAAACCAGATCATGAGAGAATTGGTAAGCCAGGTTCAAGAGACTGTTTCACACAATTCAAATTGAAAATATTCTGGTAGGGAAATGGTATAATCAGATCCTTTAACGTAGAACTCCAACCACAGCTGTAAGGAAGGGAAGTTGAGACACACTCTTGCTCTCTTTCTTTAGACTAAACCATGAACTCTGGCTATAAAACAAATTTGGTCTAGGAATATTCCAGATAACTTTCTTGCAGTGAAATCTGTTTTCACCCAGTGCTGCTGATGTTCTCTTGCTTTCCAGTCACACGTTACATTTAGAATGTGGACATGTATATCCATATGTTTTAGAGTCTTTGTTTTATGTGAAAGACCTTTTATGGGTTTATATACTAATGAAAATAACTGTTCCAAATGAGTATAATCTAGCAAATAAATAAGAATAGAAGTCATATTGTACACTTTTTCTTTATGTTGTAGCATCTCTGAAATGTAGAATCATGTAGGTAAGAATATCTTTTATAATTATTGGGAAAATTTATACCCAAGCATTATACATATACACTTCTGACAACTACAGAAAGGTAAAAACAATTGATATATCATAATAGTATTTGGAAAAGCTGTAACTTTTAAATATATTTTATGTGCCAGAAATAGTTGTATAGTTGTATTACTATAGTTGAATAGTATAGTTGTATTACTTCCATTACTTGTAAGTAGTAAGTTGTTTAAGCTTCATGTTTTGGAAATTGATCTATGGCTTTATTGACAGTGATGAATTACTAATTGTTCTTACCTTCTTAATTTAAAAAACTGATCTTCATTTATTTTCAATTTGACATGAAGAACATTATGGTATTTATATATTCTATGGTATTTTTAATATGTTCATTTATAATATTTCTTGGCAGGGTGAATTTAAATAACTTCAGTGCTCTTTGGATGAACTGTACTCAGGCATGATCTATTGATTGCAGTTAGGGGAAAATGACAAACAGAAGTTGCATCTGAGTCATAAAGCAAGGCTTCACCTTTGTTCTCAGTGTAATATCTTCTTATTCTAATTTGATAAAAGCATTTAAAAATGGATTTGCTGATGGCTTAAAATGTAGCTTTGGTCAATAGAAAGGTTAATATTAAATGTGAAAAACATGATAATGTGTATGAAGAACGTGCCTTTCATCCACAGAAAGTGAAAGTGTTTATCTCCTGCTAAAATTAAGAAAGGCAAGGCAGGTTCCCTGCTGTTTCTTTTGAAAATGATCCCATAATTATATAGCCAAATTCAGGAAAAAGAACAAAAAGCCTTTCTTTTTTTGAACTCTTCCTTTACAAAATAGTGTTTCATGTTGATTTGGAGTATACATTAACCATATATCCTGAATTAAGTGTGTGTTGATTTCTTTCCACTTTTACCCTTCCTCAGAGAAGAGAATGGCAGAAATTCTTTTGATGCAGAATGGTTCCCATTATTCTGGTTTGACTGTCCATGTGTATAAGAGGAGGAAAATCAAGTTCTGGGACTATTCAAAGCACCCTGGAAAGCTCAGACCCTGTGGAGCTCTGTTTCCGGCTGGCTAGCCACATATAAAGACTGTAAACATTTTCACAGCTAAATGACCTCTCTACCTACCTTAAATGTTCATCGGTCTTTTAAAGTCGAACCATCCAAAAAATATTATTCATCCGAAGGGAATTAGTTTCAACTTAAAGGTTCGTTGAAATACACCCAAGTGTTATTCTGAATGAATGGGGGTTTATGCTTTTTCTAAAAACTGTACATGTCTTAAACCTGCTCCAGCTGAAGCAGTCAAAAAGATACCAAGCTCTGTTGTACTAGCAATAGACAACATGACAGAGCCCAGAAGCCCCATTGCCATTCTGGGAAGTTGTGCGCCAAGATTGTCATACATCTAGAATGTATGCCAATACTAAGGGCACCCTGGACCTGTCCAATACACTGGCATTCAAGCCTTCATTTAGGGCTGGATTCTGAGTACCACCACAGAGCCAGGGTACAATTCATGTAAGAAGAAATACAGGTGGTTACTAAACATATAAGAACATTGCAATAAAGAAATACAAATTGATGGGACAATATATCTTTTTCCACATCTGCATACTAAAATAAATAAAAAGAACCTAAAAGCACCCAGTGTTTTGAAATAGAAACTTTTACATAGAAAAGTAGAAACTATGAAATGTTGTTTAATCACATATGTTATAAACCTCAAATATAATAATCTATACCATGTCTAGTAATTTATTCTAAGGAACCATATCCCAAATGTGGATTCTTATTTAAAAAAATTGTGTACAATATGTACTAAAGGCAGAAGAATGAAATAACTTAAAAATAAGACCTGAAAGAATGACAAGCGGAGAACAATAAAAATGTCTTTGTATAGTTAAAATCTATTATTCTAGTAATTACTACGTACAACAGACCAGTATATTCTGGTTTTTTTAATCTTCCTGTCAATTATTCCTGTGAATTCTTCTGTTCTTTCACCAGGTCCAGACAACTTTTCTATTGTTTGATCATTTACTTTACTATTTAGTAAAGCCATTCTTCCTTCTCTATTATTAACTTTCAAAAATTCATTGATTAATAGTTTTTCCTAGCTGCAGACTCCTGTTTTTTGTAATTTTTTGTCAGGGATTATGGAAATTTTAAATACATTTAGGAAAATTAACAACTTTAATCACACATAATCTCTCCATCCAGAGTTCGGTGTACCCCCACCTCCATTATTTGTCAAGTTTTTCTTAATTTTTCTTAGTGGTGATGTGAAAATTTTGTCAGATGGAACAAAGAAATTCTCAAAGAAATGGGGTTGTATGATTTTTGCCATTACTTGTATTTCTAGTGCCTGTGTCTCTCATTTAGTAATCATTTCTCAAAAAGCAAAAGTCTTCATATTACTATAAAGACTTTTTATTTTTAGAGATCAAGAATCAGGAAGCCAGATTTTTATTTATGACTCTGCTGTTGAATCGTTTTTATATAATGCTTTGAACGTTTTGAATTCTTTATTCACCAAAGTACAAAAGCAATATAGAACTGAAAATTATGTGTTATGTTTCATTAGGTCTTCAGAAAGTATTTTTATATTGAAATATGTGTGACTAATACAACGCCATTTTCTGTAACTTTGTAGTGTGGACATACTTGAGATAGTTCATCTGAGTTTGTTTACCATAATAATCATTTTGGTTCCTTTGGATTCAAATTCTACAGACACTTATAAAATGTCTAAAGAGACCTGGTACAGATTATTTTGAAAGGGACTACAAAAGTATAACGAAAGAAAAATATCATATGTACCTGTTGATTTTTATTAAATGTGTGCTATGAATTGATATTTTTATTTTCCATGTACTTTCGTATTATAGTGGAAACAAAAGAAACATTGCCACAATAAATATTTTCCCATAACAAAAGTGAAAGCAATGGGCTGATAGGAATTTTAAAAGAGCTATTATATCACTATTTCCACGGCCTTGATATAATCTACTTCTTATTTTCAATAATTAGCATTAAACTGATTCTTATTTTACCTTTTATAATTAGTGATACAAAATTCTCTAATAAGAATAAAATTACTCTTTAGCTGTCAACCACAGATTTTATGTCAGATTGTCTAATACGGTAGCAACCGAAAATAAAAAGCAGTCAAATGAAAAGATAAAACCCATAGAAAAATAAGCAAAGTACTTAAAAACAGTATGTTTGTGTTGAATCTCATTTATAAACATGAAAGTATGTGAAAGATAACTTGTGGAAATCAATGCAATGAAATATTTACCCAAAGAACATTTTAAGTTATATTGATTTCCACTATTTCCTAATTAGGTGAAAGTTACCTACTTCAATTGCATGTTTGCCCATGGCCTTGGGGAAACATGTACTTGTTACAGGGAAATGGGGGAAGCAGGCTCTGACTCTTAGGCTTCTAAGTAGGAATTCTGTCCAAGGAATAAGAAGAGAAAGGAATATGTTATTACGAATGCCCTCACTCCGGCAAACAGCTCTGCTCTTTACCACTCACTTTCAGTTTCCCTCACACAGTCATGAATGATGCTATCAAAATTTTTATCAGGTCCTAATTCTACTTTTCCTAATTTTGGTCACAGCTTGCCTGGATTTAGGACATAAAGAGCTTAGAAACTCTTAATTTTAATATTAGAAATGTAGCTCAATCCTATATCAGGAACAGTTTATAAAACCCTTTTAGATAATAATGATCAGTTATAATTTATTTTCATAGAAAAACATATTCTAAGATGCTCTATACAATTGTTTTTACACTGAATTGTTTTACTGAATGGTGCCTGTATTGAAGGCACTATCAGAAAGGGTACATTGAAGTTGAGGTAACTTCAAAAGGTAGTGAATACCTGCTATTTGGCAGTCCTCTTTTCTGCCTGCCCCTAGTCCGCCATTTGAAGGAAACGTCATACAATGAATGCATCCTCGTGGTGGGGTCGGGGGAGGGGGGAGGGATAGCATTGGGAGATATACCTAATGCTAGATGACACGTTAGTGGGTGCAGCGCACCAGCATGGCACATGTATACATATGTAACTGACACGTTAGTGGGTGCAGCGCACCAGCATGGCACATGTATACATATGTAACTAACCTGCACAATGTGCACATGTACCCTAAAACTTAGAGTATAATAAAAAAATAAATAAATAAATAAATAAAATAAAAAAATAAAAAAGAATGTGGCCCTGTCTCAGTGCCCTAAGCTTGTGACTTCAGTGTCTCTAGAGAGTTCTATATTAGAAATCACAGTGGCCAATTAGCAATTTTTCTTTAAAATTAGTGGTCACAAAGTTCTTTGTAAATATACAGCTAAATGAATGTAGTTGGGCATGTTTAACTCTTAAAAGTTCTAAGAGAATGAAAGGTAACCTAGATGACATTTTGTAATCAGAAGGAAGTACTTCTAATGGAGCAACTAGGTTAAGGACTGTTCTGTATTTGTCTTAGTATGTATGTATTCATATATATATGTCTGTGTGAATATGTTCAGAAATATGAAATGTCTGTGTAGTACATTTATGATCACTATGTTCCTTAAATCAGGCTGATTGGTGATGTTTTTAAAATTCTTCAATAAAAGCACATACATTTTAAATGATTACATTTTGAAGAGCAATATTTGTGCATTTTTTGAATAGCACAGTCAGCGTTCTGATTTCCTATAAGACCTTTCAGTATATTTGTAGACTGGTGGTCTGCATATTGATCCCTCTTGTTGCCATGGCTAAAATTGATTTCACCACCTCTGAGACCTTTGCCTGTCATCAAACTTACTTTTTCTCTTATGCCAAAATGACATTTGATTGGATTATCCAACAGAAGAAGGCTTCTGTGGTTGAGCACAATCAATATGCTTGTCTTCACTGATTTTATAGACCTTACAGTGACTACCTTCATAAATGAAAGCTGGAGTGATTTAAATTCTAGTCAAATTATACCAAGACTTGAAGATGTTTTACAATTGTAAACTCTTTTGTCAACTTAATATTCAGCAAGCCTGTTTCTAAAAATATTATGTACTCATAAGTAAATATGACATCAATCAACATTTTCAAGCACTTGATATTTGCATGATACTGTGGCATATGCAAAGATATATACATGATTCTTAGTCTAAAGGGTTTTATATCCTGGTGGCATGTGTACAGTATATGCATAAGAGATAATTGTCAAGAAAAAGGTATATAATTAATTTTAAATAAGTCATACTATCAAAACTTATAGAAGTAATAGCTTCTATTTATTTAAGCCAATATTATGTGTCAGGCTTGTTATGCTATGTTCAGCTATGATGTCGATCATACCTAATTTTTGTAACAGCCCTCCAAAGGATTTATAATTAACTCCATTTTGCAGACAAAGAACTAGCATCATGAGATTAAGAAACTTAGATTGTGCAGCTTGCAAACAGTTTAAAACTCACCTCTATTTGACTCAAATGCCTGCAGTTTCTCCAAGCACCATATTACATCTCAGTAGTTGTTACAGATTTTCAAAAGTTAGAGATTGTTTCCAGCTGTGATGATCAGGAAGCTTTGACAGAGAGGGTGCAGATTAATTCGGTTTCTCAGGATACAAAGGGTTCTAATAAGTTGAGAGAAGGAAGACAAGGTTCTAATTTGGAAAGGAAAGACACAAGTTGGTGTGTAAAGACAAAGAGAAGAGGAGCACATGCATTCTGAAAAATTGAATATACTGGTATGTCTAGAGCAGAAGGGCCATCTGAAAGTAGTTTGAAAATAAATTTGAAGAGCCAATAGCTTAAGAGTATAGAAGGATTTGCATGCTTTCTGATGGTTTAGAATCTGCTCTTGAATAGACTAGATTTACTTGAAAGCTTTTTGGGGAAAAGTACAATATTATCAACAACTATATCAAGAACACTATTAAAATCGGTATTAGTCTGTCAGAAGTGCAGGATAATCGAATGTTTGAACGATATTTTTCCAAAGAGACATCCTAAGTCAATAAATACATTAAGCATTCTCATCCTTATTTTAACTGAGAAATGCCAGTTAAAACCAAAATGATACACCTCTACACACCAAAATGGCTAAAAGTGTAAAAAGCTAAACAATTCCAAGAGTTAGCGAGGATGTGGAGCAAGAGAACTTTCCAGACCTGCTGGAGTGAAAGTGACAGTGTGCCAGTACCTAGCGAAGTGAACATAGTTCTGACCAATGGCTTAGGAATCCTGCCGCTGAACATATACGAAGAGAAATGTGTGTGTAAGTGCATTAAATACATGTAAAGGAAGCTAAAAATTTATTCACATGAATTTCAAAACTAGACAAAGCTAAACAACTGAGTTAAAAGTCAAAATAGTGGTTGCCTGTAGGAAGAAGAGAAGGGGAAATAGAAGGGTTGTGATGGCGCGGGGCAGTTCAGGGCTGCTGGCAGTGCTCTCTTTTGTGATCTGCAAAGCGATTACCCAGGTGTTTGCTTTGTGATAATAACTGAATGGTACATTTTTTTAGAACATTACTGTCTATAACTTTTACTTCAATAAAGATATTATATATAAACCAAAAAATTAAAAACAGGAAAAAAGTCATTTATCTAGAAAATGGAAATAAGTGATTCAAATTCAGATATGCCGAACTCCAAAGCCCATAAGTTATTTATCCTCATTCAGGAGAACAGATGCAAATAATGAATTCTTGGTTCATATTCAAATTTGGTAAACAAATATGTCAGGTAGTCTATATTAATAAATAGTGAAAATGAAAGTATCAATAAAGGTCCATGAATGAAATATGTTTCTATATGATCCTCTGTTCTTAACTCTGATTTCATTTATAGTCCATGCCATAACATTTGATAATTTATTATTTCACATGTGTTCATTTTGTCCAGTGGACTTGATTGTACATTTCTGGAAACCACTAGCCATATTTAATTGGTTTTTAATTTTCCAGAGCACCAAGTTAAAGCACATAGCACATGCATAGCAAATACTTTTTGGGTGATACAATTTCAGGGAAAAGAAATCTATGTGTGCGTGCCTGTGTGTGCGTGTGTGTGTGTGTGTGTGTGTTTCTATTTTATTTCCAGCTACAGGGATGATCTGTTGTACTTTTTCAGGAAAAGAATTCTTGTCTTACCTCGTTTACTACATGTATCCACTGCACCTAGAACAATGCCAGCATGTAATGAATGAAGCCTGGCACTTACCAAAGCATTCATTCATATATGCCCCAGTTTTGCTTTTCTACAAACTTAGAGTACACTCTCCTACCCTTCTCTCTACTGAAATTCTACCCATTCCTTTAAAGCCAAATTGAACAGTCTTCTCCACAGTCTCTCACGCTTCCTAGTCCCAATCAAAAGCTTTCCCCTTGCATATCAGAAGCAATTTCTTTGTATTCCTATTGTAGCATCTCTGGTGCTTTCCTCTTGTTATACTTAATTGTGTACATGCCTGTGTCTCCAATTTAAACTGTAAGATAGTACATAATGTGGGGAAAGCAAGGGGTTAACAAACAAGCACTAACATTTTTTAAATACCTACTATGCCCTAGACTCTAAGCAGGGGGTTGTCTCAGCTCTCAGAAGTTAAATAAGGTGGGCAGGGTCAACCATCCAGCAAGCAGTCAAGCTCTCTTTGTATCCAGGTCCTTCTGTCTCTGCAGGCAGTTCCCTTTTCATCTCTCCATGCTATCTCCTGAGCAGACAATGTGTCTGTCTTACCTATCTGTGGCACTCACAACTCCTTGCCCAGTGTTCTCCACATGGGTGGTCCGGAAAGATTTGTAAATTTGAATACTCTGTTGGTTCTTCAGTTATAAATGTTAAATTTTTCTCAAAGGCACCTGATTCTAGATGGGAAGAATGCAAATTAGCATATAGAGATAATATGTCTGTCAGTTTTCATAAGGGATCAGAAAAATAAACCTACTATAAAATTATCTTCTATGTATCTCATTGCATGCAGCTTTAAAATATGCTTTCTATAAAGACTTCTATTAAGTTGTGTTAAAAATGGTGTAGTTGTCTACCAACTGCTCAGATCAAGAGAAGAAACTAAAAAAGACTTGAGGTAAAATGGCAATCAAAAGCTGATGTCAAAATATTATGATATGCTGGGCTTTTCTTCTTTTATCTGATTCTCTTGTGCTTATTTTTTACTTCATAGCCTTACTTTGTTATACTTAGTGTATCTATTTTTAATGATATTCCCTGTTTCAGGAGGGCAAACCTTTTTTTTTTAACTCTTTAAAAATGTAGTTTTGTGATTTTTTAAAAATAATGATATGGGGGCCGGGCATGGTGGCTCACGCCTGTAATCCCAGCACTTTGGGAGGCCGAGGTGGGCGGATCACGAGGTCAGGAGTTCAAGACCAGCCTGGCCAACATAGTGAAACCCCGTCTCTACTAAAAATACAAAAATTTAGCTGGGCATGGTGGTGGGCACCTGTAATCCCAACTACTCTGGAGGCTGAGGCAGGAGAATGGCATGAACCCGGGAGGTGGAGGATGCAGTGAGCCAAGATTGTGCCACTGAACTCTAGCCCAGGCAAAGGTGAGAGACTTGATCTCTAAAATAAAATAAAATAATGATATGGAAGTATTTATATGTTCTCTTGCTTAAACAATTGGACCTATGAATGTGACAGATGGCAATGCGTATTACATATACAATTATTTTGATAGGAAAAATACTATTATTTTCTCTTTTATTTCATTGCATCATGTAAAGGCTCTGTCTACATGACCATGACTGCAATTCTGGTAGGCGATGGCAATATAGTGATGTATATGTCCTTTTCTTACCAAAAATACTAATGGCATTACATGACAATTGGTGCCATATCCCTGAATTCAAGCTCATTATTTAATACACCTGGTGCCTCCTATGAAATTATTAAATATATCCTTATTTTCAAATAACATTTTATATTTAATCCTTTAAAATGCAATTTAAATTCAGCTTTTCTGTAAAGGATAGTTTTATGGAGATTTATATTGTTAGCAAATAGCAAATTTTTTCTTAAAGAGAAAGCTTTACAGATAAGAATTTAAAGCCAAAATGTTATTGACAGAATTTCACACTGAAGATGGATGTTGGCATTGACTGCTGTACAAACAAGGTCATCTCTGCACACAGGCAAGGTCAATGGGCTTTTGGAAGCTTCCTTTTATAGGAAGATGGGGATGAGGCACTATAATATAGCCATGAAGTACACTTCAGTAATTTTTCTTCTGGCAGAGCTAGCTGATCAGTAGTAGGTCATCTAGAATCGTGAATGAGTTCTCACCAAATCATTCCTCGGGTACACGGACATTAGCTTAATCAATAACCATACTTATCTTGTATTCTGCCTTGTTTCAAAAATGGGTCAATGCATTAGTTTAAAATTTCTGATTTTGTAAGTGCATTTTAAGTATTTATGTATGTATTTTATGAGGGCAATTTAGCTTTTGGGTTTGAACCTATTTGCAGTAAGTTCAGTAAATTAACTACATAAGTATTATACTTTATTACAGGTTTTATTTATTACAGCCAGAATACAACTTAAAATAAAGATGCACACAAATAATAGCTCCTAGAAATCTCAAATTTAGAAAGGAAAACGGAAAAATCACTTTTAAAAATGATCACAACCAAAAGTTCTCATATTTATATAGTTTAAACATGTTTCATTCACTATTTATTCATTCACAGTATACTTTAAATCATGATTGATAGTGCTACTTGAAATATTTTGACAGGCTTTTAACTGAGTTTGGGCAGTCACAGTTATGAAGTCACAACTCACTTAGCCAAAGCAGTACTCCTTGTTTCTTCTCAGTAACTTGTGAGCTTATATCCCTGGATAGTAAGATACAACCAAGATATTATGTATGTAAATCATTGCCATAGATGTACTAAAAAGACTACTAAAATATGAAATGTGAAGTCTAGGTCTTGTTCTGCCACTTACTATAAAACATGGGCTGTCTTTTCTCCCCATCACAAGCTTGGTTTATTTATCTCTAAAAATATATATATAAAAGATCTCTGTAGCTTTAATTTTCTATGACAATAGCTGTGTGTTTGGTAATAAATCTAGCTAGATGCAATGAGTTATTTTCATAATCAGTAGATGATGAGTTAAATTTTTATATTATATAAATAGATCATAATTAATTGTTGATATTGTGCTTATTTATGGCACTATGGATTATTAAATTATCTGCCTTGTGCATTTACAGAGTCTTCTTTCAGCCAAAAGGTAGGTTTGCTGTCTGAAGTCAAGTTGAACATTGTCAAAAGCCAGAGTTAAATAACAAGTAGAAAAGTGGGATAAATTCACCATCATCATCTCTTACAGTTGTTCCATAGCAAACTTGTTGAAGCTGTGAATATTCAGTTAAAGTATCACAGACCTAGCAAGTAACATTAATATTCTGAGAGGCTAATAAAGGTTGATACAGAGTCTAATGAATAAATTTTATTGTTTGAACAGGAACTAAAATCATAGTGAAATGTTTCCATTTTTAGATGAAAGCATGTATTTTAATTGTTTTTGATAGGATGGGCTCAGATGTGATTTCCCATTAGTTACATGTAAAATTTATTTCTAAAGTTAATATTTGCATAAAATCATTTATCACTTATGCCACTCAAAGCAAAAGAAGACGGATTCAAATGAGTATAAATTTGAAACAACAAGTGATCTTCTGAACAGAAAGATCCATCTTCTTAGGTTAGAAATGGAGTAACAGAAGGCACTGTCACTGAAGGTGGAGCACCCCTACAAATATTAGTGGTTCTTAGTTTTGGAGCTTTCGTGCAGTCATAGTAAAATGTTTCTATGTTCTTCCAAAGAATAGAGTAATAATCTTGAAAGGAGAAAGCAAGTACAGTCATTTATTTTTAATTAAGCAACTAATAAAGTAAGCACACGTAGTATTGTTTAATATTACTGAATAATTATACTGCTAACCTGTTGAAAAATTTTGTGAAATATTTGATGCATGTTAAAGATTGCATGCAATATTATATATCATAAATCTTAAAGACAAAAAACACTTATTTAAAATGTTATCCAATTAAATAAATAGAAAATATATAGAAATTTACTCATAAAATTGAAACTCCTAGACCCCTCATGATCTCCTCCTTCTCTTTTCTCCTCAAGCCCTCTCCAGAGTGAATCTCTAAATGAATTTTGTGTTTATCATGATGGCTTTGACACATATATACGTGTGTCTAAACATATCATGTTTACTTGTTTTGGAACTTTATATACAAAATACTCATTTATTCAACAAATATTAACTGACTGGCTACTCTGTGCCAGGCACTGTTTTAGATGTAGAGGGTATAACAGGATTTAAATAATGTATCTGTCTTCATGGACCTTACATTGTAGAAGAGAAATAGGCAATAAATGAGTAAACAAGTAAAATATAATGTGTCAAAACAATGATAAGTGTTATGAAGAAAAATAACACAGGCTGAAAGAGATGGGAGTGTATTATTTTATTTTGAGTGGTCAAGGAGAGCCTCTCGGAGGTGGAATATTTAAGCAGGGACAGAAGAAAAGGAGTGAATAACTCTTAAAGGCAACTGTGGGGATTGAATGCCAAATGGAGGCAAGAACCAGTGCAAAGACATTGAGGTGGTGCACACGTAGCATGTTTGAGAAATGGCAGGAGGCAGGATGTCTGGGGCCAAGAGGGTATGTGTACATTTGTGTGTGTGTGTGTGCACCTATGCGTGTGTGCTTGTGTGTAGGGAAAGTGTAAGGGGGGAGGGGGATGAAGGGGAGTAAAAATGTATCAGGTTGTCATATCCTAATAGCCTTATAAACTATAATCAACACATCAAATTGTTTTTTAAATTAAGGTGAAATTTATGTAACATAAAAGTAACCATTTTAAAGTGCACAATACAGTGGCATTTAGTATATCCATAATGTTGTGCAACCACTACATTGATCTAGTTCCAAAATATTTTCATCACCTCAAGAGAAAACATTCTATTTCACTGTCTATTTCCCTGTCCTCTCATCCCATGGCAACCACTGCTCTGTTTCCTATTTTTTATGGATTTACCAGTTCTGGGTATTTCTATAAATAGAATGATATAATATGTGACCTGTTGTGTCTGGCTTCTTTAAGTTACCATAACGTTTTCAAGGTCCATCCATATGATGGCATGTACAAGTCAGTACTTCATTCCTTTTTATGGTTGAATCATATTTTGTGTTCCTCACTTTGTTTATTCATTCATTTGTTGATGGACATTTGGGATGTTTCCATTTGACTAATTTGTTTTTTGGTTTTTTTTATTCTTGAAAAGTTTGCTATTTTTTATTTTTTATTATTTTATTCTATTTTTCCATAAGTGATTGGGATACAGGTGGTGTTTGGTTACATGAGTAAGTTTTTTAGTGGAGATTTGTGAGATCCTGCTGCAACCATCACCCGAGCAGTATATGCTGCACCACATTTGTTGTCTTTTATCCCTGGCACCCCTCCCACTCTTCCCCCCAAGTCCCCAAAGTCCATTGTATCATTCTTATGGCTTTGCATCCTCATAGCTCAGCTCCCACCTATTAGTGAGAATACACAACATTTGGTTTTCCATGCCTGAGTTACTTCACTCAGAATAATAGTCTCCAATCTCATCCAGGTCATGGCAAATGCTGTTAATTCATTCTTTTTATGGCTGAGTAGTATTTTACATATATATATATATATATCATAGTTTCTTTTTTATTATACTTTAAGTTCTAGGGTATATGTGCACAATGTGCAGATTCGTTACGTATGTATACATGTGCCATGTTGGTATGTTGCACCCCTTAACTCGTCATTTACATTAGGTATATCTCCTAATGCTATCCCTCCCCCCTCCCCCCGCCCCATGACAGGCCTGGGTGTGTGATGTTCCCCACCCTGTGACCAAGTGTTCTCATTGTTCAGTTCCCACCTATGAGTGAGAACATGTGGTGTTTGGTTTTCTGTCCTTGTGAAACTTTGCTCAGAGGTTTCCAGCTTCATCCATGTCCCTAAAAAGGACGTGAACTCATCTTTTTTTATGGCTGCATAGTATTCTGTGGTGTATATGTGCCACAGTTTCTTAATCCAGTCTATTATTGATGAACATTTGGGTTGGTTCCAAGTCTGCTCTTGTGAATAGTGCCAAAATAAAAATATGTGTGCATGTGTCTTTATAGCAGCATGATTTATAATCCTTTGGGTATATACTCAGTAATGGAATGGCTGGGTCAAATGGTATTTCTAGTTCTAGATCCTTGAGGAATCGCCACACTGACTTCCACAATGGTTGAACTACTTTACATTCCCACCAACAGTGTAAAATTGTTCCTATTTCCCCACATCCTCTCCAGCACCTGTTGCTTCCTGACTTTTTAATGATCACCATTCTAACTTGTGTGAGGTGGTATCTCATTGTGGTTTTGATTTTCATTTCTCTGATGGCCAGTGATGATGAGCATTTTTTTCTGTGTCTTTTGGCTACATAAATGTCTTCTTTTGAGAAGTGTCTGTTCATATCCCTCGCCTACTTTTTGATGGGGTTGTTTGATTTTTTCTTCTAAATTTGTTCAAGTTCTTTGTAGATTCTGGATATTAGCCCTTTGTCAGATGAGTAGATGGTAAAAATTTTCTCCCATTCTGTAGGTTGCCTGTTCACTCTGATAATAATTGCTTTTGCTGTGCAGAAGCTCTTTAGTTTAATTAGATCCCATTTGTCAATTTTGGCTTTTGTTGCCATTGCTTTTGGTGTTTTAGTCATGAAGTCCTTGCCCATGCCTATGTCCTGAATGGTATTGCCTAGGTTTTCTTCTAGGGTTTTTATGGTTTTAGGTCTAACATTTAAGTTTTTAATCCATCTTGAATTAATTTTTGTATAAGGTTTAAGGAAGGGATCCAGTTTCAGCTTTCTACATATGGCTAGCCAGTTTTCCCAGCACCATTTATTAAATAGGGAATCCTTTCCCCATTGCTTGTTTTTCTCAGGTTTGTCAAAGATCAGATAGTTGTAGATGTGTGGTATTATTTCTGAGGGCTCTGTTCTGTTCCATTGGTCTATATCTCTGTTTTGGTACCAGTACCATGCTGTTTTGGTTACTGTAGCCTTGTGGTATAGTTTGAAGTCAGGTAGCGTGATGCCTCCAGCTTTGTTCTTTTGGCTTATGATTGACTTAGCAATGCGGGCTGTTTTTTGGTTCCATATGAACTTTAAAGTAGTTTTTCCCAATTCTGTGAAGAAAGTCATTGGTAGTTTGATGGGGATGGCATTGAATCTATAAATTACTTTGGGCAATATGGCCATTTTCACAATATGGATTCTTCCTATCCATGAGCATGGAATGTTCTTCCATTTGTTTGTGTCCTCTTTTATTTCGTTGAGCAGTGGTTTGTAGTTCTCCTTGAAGAGGTCCTTCACATCCCTTGTAAGTTGGATTCCTAGGTATTTTATTCTCTTTGAAGCAATTGTGAATGGGAGTCCACTGATGATTTGGCTCTCTGCTTGTCTGTTATTGGCGTATAGGAATGCTTGTGATTTTTGCACATTGATTTTGTATCCTGAGACTTTGCTGAAGTTGCTTATCAACTTAAGGAGATTTTGGGCTGAGACGATGGGGTTTTCTAAATATACAATCATGTCATCTGCAAACAGGGACAATTGACTTCCTCTTTTCCTAATTGAATACCCTTTATTTGTTGCTCCTGCCTGATTGCCCTGGCCAGAACTTCCAACACTGTGTTGAACAGGAGAGGTGAGAGAGGGCATCCCTGTCTTGTGCCAGTTTTCAAAGGGAATGCTTCCAGTTTTTGCCCATTCATTTATGACAGACCCATATTGGCTGTGGGTCTGTCATAAATAGCTCTTATTATTTTGAGATACGTTCCATCAATACCTAGTTTGTTGAGAGTTTTTAGCATGAAGGGCTGTTGAATTTTGTCGAAGGCCTTTTTTGCATCTATTGAGATAATCATGTGGTTTTTGTCTTTAGTTCCTTTTATATGATGGATTACATTTATTGATTCGTGTATGTTGAACCAGCCTTGCATCCCAGGGATGAAGCCAACTTGATTGTGGTGGATAAGCTTTTTGATGTGCTGCTGGATTCGGTTTGCCAGTATTTTATTGAGGATTTTTTCATCGATGTTCCTCAGTGATATTGGTCTAAAATTCTCTTTTGTTGCTGTGTGTCTGCCAGGCTTTGGTATCAGGATGATGCTGGTCTCATAAAATGAGTTAGGGAGGATTCCCTGTTTTTCTGTTGATTGGAATAGTTTCAGAAGGAATAGTACCAGCTCCTCTTTGTACATCTGGTAGAATTCGGCTGTGAATCCGTCTGGTCCAGGACTTTTTTTGGTTGGTAGGCTATTAATTATTGCCTCAACTTCAGAGCCTGTTGTTGGTCTATTCAGGGATTCAGCTTCTTCCTGGTTTAGTCTTGGGAGGGTGTTTGTGTCCAGGAATTTAAAACAGTTTCTTTATCCAGTCGTTGACTGATCGGCATTTGGGTTGGTTCCACTATTTTGCAATTGTGAATTGTGCTGCTGTAAACATGCATGTGCAAGTATCTTTTTCAAATAATGACTTCTTTTCCTCTGGGTAGATACCCAGTAGTGGGATTGTATGTATTTATGGGTATGGTGTGATATTTTGGTACACGTATACATTATGTAATGATCAAATCAGAGTAATTAGCATAGCCATTACCTCCAACACTTTTCATTTATTTGTGGTGAGAACAGTAATGCTGATTATCTTCCAATGTTCAGATTCTTAATATGTCATTTAACTTATTTTTGATTCTTCAGATGTTATTTTTTTTTTTTTTTGAGACGGACTCTGGCTCTGTCGCCCAGGCTGGAGTGCAGTGGCCTGATCTCGGCTCACTGCAAGCTCCGCCTCCCGGGTTCATGCCATTCTCCTGCCTCAGCCTCCCGAGTAGCTGGGACTACAGGCACCCGCCACTGCGCCCGGCTAATTTTTTTTGTATTTTTAATAGAGACGGGGTTTCACCGTGGTCTCGATCTCCTGACCTCGTGATCCACCCGCCTCGGCCTCCCAAAGTGCTGGGATTACAGACATGAGCCACCGCGCCCGGCCTTATCTTTTAATTTTAAAATTTGTAACTGCACTGTTAACATGGATCATCTGTAAATTGTAAATATTAATTTACATACATAGAAAAAGCAGCATTGAAAAGTTATTTGGGTTCAATACATTTCTAACCTTTGAAATCAGATTGTATGGTAGCTAAATCTGGAACAATTTTGTTGGATGAGAATGTGTAAAGGAAATGTCTAATTTTTGACTTTATATTATATAAGTCAGTTATTGTGTCTTGAAATGATTGCAGTTCATCACTGCTCTAGTACTTGCCAATTGCTATGCATGCCGTAAACCAAAACATGTCCATATCAAAGCCCCAAAGAAAACTGTTTTGTTCCCAGTGGAATATAGAAAGCTAAAAACATTAAACTTTAAAGTTAAATTTAAAAGTTAATATTTAAAGATTTAAAAATTATATGTAAAGTGTATATTTTTAAAGTTTTATTTTGTGGTAAGAATACTTAACATGATGAGATATACCCTCATATTTTTAAGCATATAATACATTATTCTTGGCTGTTGGTATAGTGTTATATAGAAGATCTCTAGAGTTTATTAATCTGGCTTCACTGAACAATTTGTTGGTAAGTCTTCATTTCCCTCTCCTACAGCCCCTGGCAACTACCATTCTACTCTTTGATTCTATGAATTTAACTATTTTATATATCTCATATAAGTGGAATCGTGCAGTATTCATATTGCTGTGACTGGCTTATTTCACTTAGCATAATGTCTTCAAGATTAATCCATGTTATTGCATATTGCAGAATTTCCTGCTTTTTTAAGGCTGAATGTTATTCCACTATGAGTATATACCACATTTTCTTTATCCATTCATAAATAGACACTTAGGTTGTTACCACATGTTGACAATTGTGAATAATGCTTCAATGAACATGGTAGTGCTAATATCTCTTTGACATCCTGATTTCTGCTTTTTGGGATAATTACCCAGAAATGGGGTTACAGCATCATGTAGTAGTTGTATTTTTAATTTTCTGGTGAACCGCCATATCATTTCTCAGAGCAGCTACACCATTTTGTATTCTCATCAATAATGTACAAGGATTCTAATTTCTTCATATTCTCACCAAGAGTTGTCTTTTTTTTTCACCTTTTGTTTTTGCTTTGCCTTTGCCTTTGATCATAGCTGTTCTGACAGGTATGAAGTGGTATCTCATTGTGGTTTTATATGCATTTACCTGATGATTAGTGACACTGAACATTTTTTCAAATACTTGTTGGCTCGCTGTATTTCTTCTTTGAAGAAATGTCTATCTAGTCCTTAATCTACTTTGTAATGCAGTTATTCTTTTTGGTTCTTTGTCTCCACCCAAATCTCCTCTTGAATTGTAATCCAAATTGTAATCTCCAGGGGTCCAGGGAGGGACCTGGTGGGAGGTGATTGGATCATGAGGGTGGTTTACCCCATTCAGTTCTCATGACAGTGAGTGAATCCTCACAAGATCTGATGGTTTTATAAATGGCAGTTTTTCCTGCTCTCTCTCTCTCTCCTGCCACCATGTAACACATGCCTTGCTTACACTTTACCTTCTGCCATGATTTTAAGTTTCCTGAGGCCTCCCTTGCCATGCAGAACTGTGAGTCAATTAAACCTCTTTCCTTTGTAAATTAGCCAGTCTCAGGTAGTACCTTTACAGCAGTGTGAGCACAGATTAATACATAAGAGTTCCTTATATTTTACATGTTAAGCTTTTATCAGATGTATGGTTTTAAAATATTTTTCCCATCCATAAGTTGTGAATAATACATTAAAGCCTTACAATAAAAACCAAATATTTCTTCCACTGTATATATAAACAGAAAACATGAATACTTTCAGAATATTTACTCATTATAAAAATATGCCAAATTAGTATTATTAGCAGTATTATCTATTTGTATGTAACAACTCCAGCAGTTAAAAATTAAAAAAAAAAAAACACACATTATTTCATGGAAGAGTCAGTGAACTTGTAGAGCAATAAAAATCATACCTGGATTAAATAATCCTAAATAAGGATAATATTTTTGTTACTTATTTCATACACAAGTCAGTATAAACACTTGAAGAATAAAGCAGAATCATGAATTTATGGATTCAGCATAGTATTCGGGCATACAAATTTCCCAAATTGCCATTTTAGATATTGTTATAACAATATATAAAGTCACTAAAGCACTTTCTTTTGAGTTATCTTTGTATTGGTGAGAATTGCAGTGATATCTACATAATATAAGGCTTTATATTAGAAATTTAACATGAACTCACCCCAGAAAAAAATTTAAGTTGAAAAATTAAAATGTAGAGTGAGTATCCCTAATACAATGCAGTCTTTGACTTGTTCTTCATATTACTTTCGAGCTCTTCTAAATTGCTCTTTAGAAATCCTGGCTTGCTTCAAGGTCCATAGTACCTCACTGTGACTGCTTAATGTCTTTAGGTATCATGCTCACTTATTTACTCAGAAAACATTTAATAAGAATGTTCTGTGTGTCAGGAACTTTTAAAAATCACTAGGCCTACAGCAATGAGAGATGAACAGACAGTACCCCTGACCTGGTAGAACTTACATTGTAGGGAGAAGAGACAGAAAATAAACACACAAAAAGATACAGTTCATGATCAACATATCAAAATTGTGAAAAGTATTGGGGAAAAAAACAAAGGGGTACGGTGATGGAGAGTGACAGGTGGGTCATGCAAAGACTCTCTAGGAAGATAGAAGTTAAATGGATACTTGATATCAGGGAGCAGGCTGAACATCAGAATTCCCAGAATAAGCAAATATCAGAGAGGAAAGTGTTAGAACTGGAGGGGAGAACAGAGACAGTAGAATGCTTAAAGTGTTCCAGGAACATTGAAAGGCCAGTAAAGCTGAAATGGAATAAGGGAGAATGAGAAGAGTAGAGGGAGCCAAGAAGCAGATCATACAGGGCCTTTTAGAAGTTGGGAAATAATTCCATGTTAATGGAAAGCCACTGGAAGGTTTCCACAGAGAATGTTGTGATCTGAACTATGTTTTAAAAGGCTTATTCTGACTGCTGAGTGGAGAACATACTGTGAGAGAGCAAACATAGAAGGCAGAATCTGGAAAGTGACCACATCAGTCATGGAACCATCAGGATGTAAATGAATGTAGTACTAATAATGGCCACAGAAAGCAAGTTAAGTTCTTATAATTAGTGGTGAAATGCATTCTCTTTGGTGAAGAAAATATGTAATTAACAGAAAAACTTTAAAAATCAAAACATCAGGCCCAGCGCGGCTCACTCCTGAAATCCCAGCATTTTAGGAGGTTGAGGCAGGTGGATTACAAGGTCAGGAGATCGAAACCATCATGGCTAACACAGCGAAACCCCATCTCTGCTAAAAATACAAAAAATTAGCCAGGCGTGGTGTCACATGCCTGTGGTCCCAGCTACTGGGGAGGGCCCCCTTTTGAAGTTAAATTATCTGCATGTACTGAGGATGCTGCTTCATTCCTGCTTCAGGGACTGTGCCACCTCTGGACAATCTCTTTACCTCTTTTTGTCTATCTTGTTCTCATAAAATTGTATTTAATTTGCTTCAGAAGTGCTTTCAAAAACAGGTGCTCTTTGCAAAGCACTCTTAGATTCCCCATCCCGCAAGTCCAGATTCTTCTCATGTCAAGTCACTACGAGAAGAAGAAACTAGATAATGAGCCCCATAGTTATATAAATCTCAAGCCACAGTGCTTGTCCTAGTAATATGGTAACTGCACAGATGGCAGTCGTTTGGCATGCTTCATATCCCAGTTATTCTGAATCCTAACCTCACTTCTCAGCATGTAAAATTTGCCATAACCCTATTGACTGAACACCCAATGTTGTATGCATTCTTATTTTTCATTCTAATGGAAAGGATTATTCTTCCTGAACCCATCCAAGCCTTTTATTATGTGAATTCTTTAGTGTATTTTAATTGTTTGCCTTAAGTTATATTCAAAATGCCTCCTTTTAATTTAGATGTTTCTATCTTTGGCAGGGTTTCTATTCCCAATTCAAGTATGAGAATTACTTTGCCTTCTTTCTTTTGTCTTCTGTTCAAATCTTTTAAATTAAAAAAAAAAAAAACTTTACACTGGTAGTGTTAGTTTTCGGAAACCTAAGGTGTAGCTGAGGGTTCTTTTAAGTACTGAAATCATCAGTATTTTAAGTTGAAAAGGAAAAGGAAATTAGACTCTCATATCAAATATTTGAAATGGATATTTGAAGTTAGTAGCCCTTGTAAAACATTTTGAGAGAAGAATTTGGACGATTAATGAAATTAGCTACAAAACTTAAACTATTATTTTCTTTTATCAAAGAATTTTAGTCTTCTAGTATTTAGAATATCCAGATTTTCCTTTCAAAACATAATTTAGTTTTTTCATCCTCTAAAGCTTCATGAATTCAAGACTTTTTCTAAGCAATGATATTTTTATTTAAATCTGCTTAACTTCCTACCGAACCAAATGAGAATATGATGGCTGAAGTTAAGTTTGACAATCAGGAGTTCTGAAACATGCCTGCATCTCTAACTAGTTGCCTTATGCCTACAACAAAGATATTACATACCTTAGCAGTTATTATTTTTATTAAAGTGTTTTGGATTGTTTACCTTAAATATATTTCCAAATCTCCTTTTAATTTTGCCAGTTTAATAATACATACAACTAAAATTTACAAATAAATGCAATAAAAAAAAAGGAGTTAGTTGTCCTTTCTTTTTAAACCATCCAGAAGAAAATGGTTCATGCAAATGTATCAGGCAAATGGATGGTGGAATTGATTTACTGAGTTGAATCTCAAATTTTGCTAAATGATTATCACAATCATGAAAAATTTGGCCCAAGATGAATGTTTAACTCTCAAACATATTCAATTTTGTTACAATATATGTAGATTATTATCTTACCTGCCACATCCTGGACTACTTCATATAGATAGCTCCAGGGAAAACCCCACTTTGTAGGCCAGATTATATCTAGGGTGTGTTTGTGTCATTTTTTAAAAAAGGAATAATAGCGGACAGTTATTCTTTTTAAAATTTTTTTTATTTTAGGTTTGGGCCTACATGTGATGATTTGTTATATAGACAAACATGTCACAGACTTTTGTTGTACACATTATTAGGTTGGTGCAAAAGTATAATATTACATTACCCAGGTATTAAGCTCAGTACCCCATAGTTAACTTTTCTGCTCCTCTCCTTCCTCCCACCCTTCCCATCAAGTGGACGCCAGTGTCTCTTATTTCCTTCTTTGTTTTCATAAGTTCTCATAATTTAGCTCCCACTTATAGGTGAAAGCATGTGGTATTTGATTTTCTGTTCCTGCATTAGCTTTCTGAGGATGATATCCTCCAGCTCCATCCGTGTTCCCACAAGAGACATGATCTCGTTCTTTTTTATGGCTGCATAATATTCCATGGTATATATGTATCACATTTTCTTTATCCAGTCTGTCATTGATGGGAATTTATGTTGATTCCATGGCTTTGCTATTGTGAAAAGTGCTGCAGTGAACATTTGCATGCATGTATCTCTGTGGCAGAATGCTTTATATCCCTCAGTGTGTATACTCAGTAATGGGATTGCTGGACCAAATGGTACTTCTGCTTTTAGCTCTTTGAGGAACCACCATACTGTTTTCCACAATGGTTGAACTAATTTACGCTTCTACCAACAATGTATAAGCATTTCCTTTTCTCTGCAACCTTGCCAGCATCTGTTATTTTTTAACTTTTTAATAATAGTCATTCTGACTGGTGTAAGATGGTACCTCGCTGTGGCTTTGATTTGCATTTCTCTAATGATCAGTGATATTGAGCTTTTTTGCATATGCTTGTTGGACACATGTATGTCTTCTTTTGAGAAGTGTCTGTTCATGTCCTTTGCCCACTTTTTAATGGAGTCGTTTGTTTTTCTTGTGTAAATTTGTTTAAGTTCGTTATAGATGCTGGATTTTAGATCTTTGTCAGATGCATAGTTTGCAAATACTTTCTCCTATTCTGTAGGTTTTTTGTTTACTCTGCTGATAGTTTATTTTTCTTTGCAGAAGCTCTTAAGTTTAATTAGATCCCATTTGTCAATGTTTGCTTTTGTTGTGAAAATTGACATCATTGTCATGAAATCTTTGCCCATTCCTGTGTCTAAGATGGTATTGCCTAGGTTGTCTTCCAGGGTTTTTATAGTTTTGGGTTTTACATTTAAGTCTTTATCCATGTTGAGTTGATTTTTGTATATGGCATAAGAAAGGGGTCCAGCTTCAATCTTCTGCATATGGCTAGCCAGTTATTGCAGCACCATTTATTGAACAGGAAGTCTTTTCCCCATTGCTTGTTTTTGTCAGCCTTGTCAAAGATCAGATGGTCGTAGATGTGCAACCTTATTTCTGGGCTCTCTATTCTGTTCCATTGGTCTATGTGCCTGTTTTGGAATCAGTACCATGCTGTTTTGGTCACTGAAGCCTTGTAGTATAGTTTGAAGAGGGGAATGTGATGCCCTCAGCTTTCTTCTTTTTGCTTATGATCTCCTTGGCTATTTGGACTCTCTTTTGGTTTCATATAAATTTTAAAATAATTTTTTCTAGAAGAATGAAGAATGTCAAGAATGTTATTGATGGATTGATAGGAATAACATTGAATCTGTAAATTGCTTTGGGCAGTATAGCCATTTTAATGATACTGATTCTTTCTATCCATCAGCATGGCATGTTTTTCCATTTGTTTGTGTCTTCCCTGATTTCATTGAGCAGTGTTTTGTAATTATTTTAGAGATCTTCCACCATTCTAGTTGGCTGTATTCCTAGGTATTTTGTGTGTGTGTGGCAATTGTGAATGGGATTCCCTTTCTGATTTGGTTCTCAGTTTGGTTGTTGATGGTGTATAGGAATGCTGGTGATTTTTGTACATTGGTTTTGTACCTAGATTATTGAGAGTTTTTAAGATGAAGGGATGTTGAATTTTATCAAAAGACTTTTCTGAATCTATTGAGATAATCGTGGGTTTTTTTCTTTAGTTCTGTTTATATGATGAATCACATTTATTGATTTGCATATGTTGAACCAGTCTTGTATCCTGGGGATGAAGCCTACTTGATAATGGTGATTTAGTTTTTGACGTGCTGCTGGATTTGGTTTGCAAGTATTTTGCTAAGGTTAGTTGCATCGATGTTCATCAAGGATATTGGCCTGAAGTTTTTGTTGTTGTTGTGTCTCTGCCATGTTTGGGTGTCAAGATGATGCTGGCCTCATAGAATGAGTTAGGGAGAAGTCCCTCCTCCTAATCCTTTTGGAAGAGTTTCTGTAGGAATGATACCAGCTCTTTATACATCTGGTAGAATTCACCTATGAATCTTTTAGGTCCTCCTGGGCTTTTTTGTTGTTGTTTTTAGTAGGTTCTTTATTACTGATTTAATTTCAGAGCTCATTATTGGTCTTTTCAAGGAATCAATTTTTTTCCTGGTTCAGTTTTGGGAGGGTGTGTATGTCCAGGAGTTTATCCATCTCTTCTAGGTTTTAGAGTTTGTGTGCATAGGGTTGTTTGCAGTCATTTCTGATGGTCATACTTATATTTCTGTGGGATCAGTGGTAACATTCCCTTCATCATTTCTAATTGGGTTTATTTGGCTTTTCTCTCTTCTATTAGTCTAGATAGTGGCTAAACTATTTTATTACTTTTTTCAAAAAAACAAACTGCTGGATTCATTGACCTTTTGAATGTTTTTTTGTGTCTTAATTTCCTCCAGTTCAGCTCTGATTTTTTGTTATTTCTCATCTTCTCCTAGCTTTAGGGTTTATTTGCTATTGCTTCTCTAATTCTTTCAGTTGTAAAGTTACATTGCTAATTTAAGTTCTTCCTAACTTTTTGATGTGGGCATTTTAGTGCTATGAATTTTCCTCTTAACACTGCCTTAGCTATTTCCCAGAGATTCTGGCATGTTGTATCTTTGTTCTCATTATTTTCAAATAACTTCTTGATTTATGCCTTAATTTCAGTATTTACCCAAAAGCCATTCAGGAGCATGTTGTTTAATTTCTATGTAATTGTCTGGGTTTCAGCAATTTTCATTGTGTTGATTTCTATTTTTATTGTGCTGTGGTCCAAGAGTATGTTTGGTGTGATTTTGGTTCCTTTACATTTGTTGAGGACTGTTTTATGTCCAATTATGTGGTCAATTTTAGAGTATGTGCCATGTGGCAATGAGAAGAATGTATATTCTGTTGCTTTTGGGTGGAGATTTCTGTATAGTCTATCAGGTCCATTTGGTCCAATGCTGAGTTTAGGTCCTGAATATCTTTATTGATATTCTGCCTCAATGATCTGTCTAATACTGTCAGTGGAGTGTTGAAGTCTCCCACTATTATTGTGTGGGGAGTCTATGTCTCTTTGTAGGTCTCTAGGAACTTGCTTTATGAATCTGGGTGTTCCTGTGTTGAGTGCATATATATTTAGGATAGCTAAGTCTTCTCATTGAATTGAAACCTTTACCATTATATAATGCCCTTCCTTGTCTTTTTTTTTTATCTTTGTTGGTTTGAAATCTGTTTTGTCTGAAATTAGGATTGCAACTCCTTTTTTTCTTTTTTTTTTTCTTTCTTTTTTTGAGACAGAGTTTCACTCTGTCACCCAGGCTGGAGTGCAGTGGTGCGATCTCAGCTCAGTGCAACTTTGCCTCCCAGATTCAAGCAATTCTCTGCCTCAGCCTCCCAAGTAGCTGGGATTACAGGCACCCACCACCACGCCTGGCTAATTTGTTGTATTTTTAGTAGAGATGGGTTTTCACCATCTTGGCCAGGCTGATCTTGAACCTACCTCGTGATCCACCCGCCTTGGCCCCCTAAAGTGCTGGGATTACAGATGTGAGCCACTGCACCCGGCCCCTTCTTTTTTTCTTTTTTCCATTTGCTTGGTAGATTTTTTTCCATCCCTTTATTTTGAGCCTACAAGTGTCATTATATCTGAAATGGGCCTCTTGAAGACAGCATACCTTTGGGTCTTGCTTTTTTATCCAGCTTGCCACTCTGTGCCTTGTAAGTGGGGTTATTTAGCCCATTTACATTCAAGGTTAGTATTAATATGTATGGATTTGACCCTATCATTGTGCTGTTAGCTGGTTATTGTGTTGGCTTGTTTGTGTGGTTGCTTTATAGTAACCCTGGTCTGTGTGTTTAAGTGTGTTTTTGTATTAGCTGGTAGTGGTCTTTCCTGTCTATATTTAGTGCTCCTTTCAAGATCTCTTGTGTGGTAATGAAGTCCCTCAACATTTGCTTATCTGAAAAGCATCTTATTTCTCTTTCACTTAGGAAGCTTAGTTTGGCTAGATTTGAAAGTGTTAGTTGAAGATTTTTTTTTCTTTTCTTTAAGAATGTTGAATATAGGCCCCCAATCTCTTCTGGCTTATAGAGTTTCAGCTGAGAGGTCCATTCTTAGCCTGACTGAGATTCCTTTGTAGGTGACCTTCTCTTACTCTTTAGCTGCCTTTAACATTCTTTCATTTCAACCTTGGAAAATCTGATGATTATGTATCTAGGGGATGGATGATCTTCTTGTGAAGAATCTTGCAGGAGTTCTCTTAATTTCCTGAATTTGACTGTTGGCCTCTCTAGCAAGGTTGGGGAAATTTTCATTGACAATATCCTGAAATATATTTTCCAAGTTGTTTGTTTTCTCCCCCTCCCTTTCAGGAATGCCACTGATTCATAGATTTGGCCTCTTCACATAATCCCATACTTCGCAGATGTTTTGATTATCCCTTTTTAATAGTTGTTCTTTATTTTTGTCTGACTGTCTTATTTCACAGAACCAGTCTTCAAGTTCTGAGATTCTTTTCTCAGCTTGTTTTATTCTGCTGTTAATACTTGTGATTGCATTGTGACATTCTTGTGTTATTCAGCTCTGTCTGACCCATTAGATTCTTTTTTGTACTGGCTATGCTGTCCTTCAGCTCCTGTATTGCTTTACTGTGATTCTCATTTTCCTTGGATTGGGGTTTGCCATCCTCCTGAATCTCAGTATCTTTGTTCCTATCCGTATTATGAATTCTATTTCTGTCATTTCAGCCAGTTGAGTCTGGTTAAGAACAACTTGGCACTCCTAGGCTGCCCACTGAAGCTCTAGGGAAATCTTGGTGTTTATATTTCTTCTTCAGCTTAGGGGCAACAGAGGAAGACATCTTATTAGTGGTTGTGGTCAAGTCATTTGCTTGACTCCTGAGAGTCAGAGAGATGCATGTCAACTCAGTGCAGTCAGCAGGTCATGCCCAGTGTAGTCAGCCCAAGATGGAAGGTTTGTGCTGAGGGCCCAAGCCAGGAGTTCCCTGTCTGGTGACAAGCCATGAAGGGTGTGTGGATCCCACAGGAGTTGGACTGACCGCCTCTCCTTGGGTCAACTGCAGCTTGTTGGAGGTGTGGATAAGGCCCTTAGGGTCTTTGCTCCTTCATTAGTCTGAGGATGGCAAGGGCTGTTCCACTACAGAGGCAGTGGCAGAGAGGCTTTCATTTGCCCCTGGAGGCTCTGTCAAAGGAGTTGCTGAGTTGGTACTGGCTTGATAACTCCAGTGCAAGGTGGCTGAAGATCCAGGCTTGGAGGACCTGCCCAGTGAGGAGATATGAGAACGGGAACCCATGTAACAGTCTGGCCACTTTTCCATAGGGCTGCTGCTGTATGCTTGGGGCCTGCTTCAGTCCCTAGTCACCTCGGATTTTCTGGAACCTGGAGGTATCACCAGTGAAGACTGTGAAACAGCAAAGATGGCATCCTCTCTCTCCCTCTAGGAGCTTTGTCCCAGGGAAGTAGGGACATTTTTGCCACCCAAAGGCATCTGCATGAAGTGGCTGGAGACCCTAGTTGGGAGGTCCTGTCCAGTGAGGAGGAATAGGATGAGGACCTGCTTTAAAAAGCAGTCTGGGCATGTTTTGATAAAGCAGCTGTGCTGTGCTGGGGGTCCAGTCCACTTCAGCCCCCGGTCACTTCAGATAGCCAAAGGCTGGAACAGCTAAGTCACCAACAGCAAAGATGGTGGCCCACCCTTCCCTCTGGGAGTGCAGTCCCAGGGGGAATTCAGATCTCTGTCAACTGGAGAGCTCAAGCAGGAGAGGCTGGAGGTCCCAGTTGGGAGGTTCCACCCAGTGAGGAGGAAGAGGATTGAGCTCCTGTTTAAAGCAGCAGTCTGGCCACATTTTGGTAGCACAGCTATACTGTGCTGGTGGATCCCTTTCACATCTCCAAAGCCTAAAGGCTAGAATGGCCAAGGCACCCAAACAGCAAAGATGGCAGCCCGCCCCTCTCTCTGAGAGCTCCTTCTTAGGGATTCCAAGCCAGTGGGTCTTATCATATGAGGTGCCATGAAAGTGGGGTCTGTGGGCTGTTATGGATCAGCCCCATGGCTTCAGCCTCTTATCTAGGGGTATGTACAGGAGTCTAAGCTCCCACTTTGATGGAGCTGCAGCTACTTTTGCCAGAAGGCCCAAGTATCTAAGGCTCCAGGGTCTTCACACATGCCTGAGCGGCTGCTCTGCCAAGACTCCACATAGCTATATTGGACTGAAGACTGAAGGTGGAGTGGGTTCTCAAAGAGATCTCCTAACCCAAGGGTTGCAAAGATCTGTGGGGGAAGCATGGTTTCCCGGGATCGCTTATTCACTCATCACTTCCCTGGGCAGGGGATGGTCCCCTGGCTCCATGTTGCTCCCAGGTGAGCCATTGTCTTGTCTTGTTTTTCTTCCCTCTCTGTGAGTCAGGTTGTTTCCTTGATTAATCCCAATGCAAGTACCTGGAAGTTTCAGTGCAAGGTGTTATATTTACTTGCCCTTCTGTTCCTCTCCCTGAGAGCCACAGCTCTTAGCATACTAGCTGCTTCTAGTCGGCTATCTTGGCTACTAGTCAACAGTTATTCTTAAGATAAACATTTTCCAAGTGGAAAGTTCTATTATGTATTAAAGATTATTGAGAGTACATTATACTCCAAAAAATGTATTTACCAAAAAAATGACCAGTGTTTTCCATATCTTTGAAACAACATTGGATTGGTAATTGGCTTTGTTTGAACTACTTTCTCAGGAGTTACCTTATTCCTAATGTCCCCTAAAGAAATGCAATGAGGTACATTTTTATCAATACCATTAGTTTTATATTTGACAGATGCACCAAAATATCTGGCCTATCTCAACAAACATATGTCTATTATCTTATTGATTGATATGTTTTGGCTGTGTCCTCAACCAAATCTCATTTTAAATTGTAGTTCCCATAATCCCCACACATTGTGAAAGGGACCTGCTGAGAGGTAATTGAATCATGGGGGCAGTTTCCCTCATCCTATTCTCATTATAGTGAGTAAGTTCTCATATGATCTGATGGTTTTATAAGGTCTTCCCCCTTTACTCAGCTCTCATTCTTCTGCTTCCTGCCACCATGTGAAGAAGGATGTGTTTGCTTCCCCTTCCACCATGATTGTAAGTTTCCTTAGGCCTCCCCAGCCATTCTGAACTGTAAGTGAATTAAACCTCTTTCCTTTATAAATTACCCCATCTCGGGTATCTCCTTATAGTAATGTGACAATGGACTAATACATTGATTTACGTTGGATAGCTTAATTTCTGGACTCATGACATCTATATTGTCTGCTCTAATAAAGTCTCACAACTTTTTAGCCTCAGTGTCTTTATTTACCTAGATTCAATGATTGTTGACTTTGGTTCTACCCTTGGTTGGCTAAATGTTTTCATTTGTTTATTTTGTTTCAAGAACATTTCATTGTATGTTTTGCATGTTTGAGTGAAATTTGCCACTTTTATATTTCATCTGTATAGTTTCCTTACTTGTAGAAGTGAGATAATATCTCCTGCTTCTAAAAATTAGTGTAAGCAGCTTACGTAGCCACAGGCTCCTGGCCCTTGGAAGAAGTGTAATTTATTTGTGTTCCTTAGTGCATTAGATAGTTGAGCACAATGCTGTGGAGGAATATCTATCATCTCTGTAACGATAATTTGGCCTCATACATGAAAAAAATTACGGATGTCTCAGCCCTAAACCCCAGGTCATATGGTCACTGAATCTCCAACTCCATCATCAACTTGTGTAACCTTGGGCAAGTGTTTTCCATACTATGGGCCTCATTTCCTAATCCTTAAACTGGATCACCTCTCGCATATTTTCTTGCCACATACAATAGTGTATTATTGAAAAATCACAAGAGAAGACAAATAAATTAAGCTAGTCTCTCACACTAAGAGGGGACAGCATAGTATAAAGTTGGGGACATTAATCAACTTCCATGGTTTTATTTCTCTGTAATATGGGTATAATAATCATGTCTACTTCATAGAGTTGTTGGAAAATTATATCCGCTAAATCCTGTAAAACACTTAATGCCTGGCACATAACATTGCACAATAAAAGTCAGCAATTATTAGTTCCATGTTATAATTTTATGTTCATGACTTTCAGATTAGAATTCAGGAACATTATAGTCACATATAAGCATAGCATTTCTGCATACTTCTGATTCTGTAGAATATATCACTTTAAAAATTCATGATACCAGAAGACTAGCTGACAAGATTCTCCCATTTGGGTCTCTATTAGTATTCTTTCCATTGACTTCCCAGTAACTTAACTTGTCTAAAAATCTTAACTCTCCAAATCCCCTGTTATTTCGATTCTGTGTATTTCATCTCATCCATTTTCCCCCGGCTTTGTAAGTCCATCCAAACTCAAGCAAAGTAGCTTATTATTCTTACCCTCAGGGTAAAGACTTCAAAAGTCTCAGCACATTATCTATGAAACTCATTCTGCCTGCATCTTCTCTCCTTGTTTGATCACATAGGCAGCCTCTATTCCATCTTTAATATGTGCACATAAGCCAAACCCTTTTTAAGATTTTTCTAGTTCAATAGTGGTTTTGATTTTGTAATGGCTTCTAGAGAGCAGTATCTTGGCATACGATGCTAGAAGATACAGTTTTGCAATAGAAAATCTTCAAATTGATTTTATGTTATCTTCTTTGAAACTGTTCACCAACTACTACAGAATTGGGAGGTAAAGGTGTCAGTTTGTAAGTGAATGTGGTAATGATTTCCTTAGTATCCTAGCTGATCTTTGGCAAAAGCATTCACGTATAAGTGCTGTTTATTTCTCTTCTTTCTTTATTTGCTTATCCATCATATTTTTAACATTTTTCTCATAAGCACCTACGGCCAAGGGTCTTCTAAAGTTTACCTACTTACTGCATTTGTTCTGAGCCACATATTATAAAAATATGATATAAAACAGCACATACATACAGGATGTTACGTATTTTTAAATAAAGGTTAATTTATAAATCAGATGAAATTTAATCTCAATGAGCAATGATTTGTAAGCTAGACTTTTTAAACTTTTCTAGTGAATATAATGTTTCTGGCAATTTAGCAAGCTACAAGTTTGAAAAAAGAAATGCATCAAAGGTCAAGTTGCCCATAAAAGCATTACTGAAATGTCAAAAACAATTACACTGCACAGAAGAATAAACCCCCAAAGATATTAAACATCCATTTATGAAAAGTCTTCTTCATACTGCAGTTTCATCTCCCAAACTCATACATTTGATTATTTCCAAATTTTAATATGCTACATAGAATTAATATATTTTAAGCATAGATTATCTCTGAAAGAAAAAGAAAACTATATTTTAGAAAATGCTGTATTATAAAGGTTTAGGTAAAACATAAGCTTATTTATTTTACCAGCTTTTATGAAGTGCCCATAAGAATGCTCGTGCCTGGAAGTTATCATATGATGTAGAGAACATAGACTTTGGAGTCTGGGAATATGGACTAGAAATCCTGCCTTTGTCACTAAATAGCTGGTAACTTCGGGCAAGGAGAAAAGAATTCTTTTTGATTCTGTATTTCAAATGCCATAAAATGTGATTTTACTTCCCACTTGAATTGCCATATTATCATGCTTGAACACAGTAGCTATTCATAAGTATTATTTTCTTTCCTTTCATCCCTGGATGTAATAATCAGTGTATAACTAATAGATTTTTAAACAGTAAAGCAACATTGTAAAAGAATGTTAGATTATTTTACCTGGAACTTTAGTCATAGGCTGATTTAGATTGGGGAGAGGTTTGAGTCTCTAGTTCAATCCTGTCATTTGGGGATTTTTGTGGTCCTTGTTTTGTTTTGAAATTATAATAAAAACAGTGGGAATTAAGAGTGGAGGACTTATAAAGAAATGGTTGATTAAACCCAGAGGTTTTATTTATAGTATTTAACAAAGTATTTAGTGACAAAGGCACAGGCACTGACCAATCAGAAGAGAGGCCATGACCAGTTGGTTTTGTTTTTAAAACTCAATATGTCTTTATCCATGCAGACCAGCCCACATCAACTGACTATTTGTGCCACATTGGCATCAGAAAATTGTATATAATATCTGTAGCCTAATGTAATTATGTTTCAATTTTAGAGACTATTTTCTTCCTTCTATAGGAGCAAAATTCCCACTAACGTTTATCTGTACCTGCTTTTAGATTTTAGGTAAAATTATACTAAGGTGTATTGGTATAAATCTGTGTGTATGTGTGTGTGTGTTTCTTCAGAGCAGTAATTGTATTTTATTGAATCATAATTAAATGGTCCTCCTAACACTCGTCAAAATACCTTATAAACTAGATGATATTACCCCCAAAGGTTTCTATTAGGCAACCACTACCATAAAACTTCATTACCTTCTCTGTTCATAGATGACCATGAAACAAAAAAGAGTCCAGTCTGGTTTACTTATGGCTCTTTAAAATACTTAAATAATTGCTTCAACTCAGAGCATGAGATGAACAACAAAAAAGAACTCTTTGAAACAAATTAAAATGGTACAATGGGCCAATATTGTTTACCTTCAATTAAATAACTATATGTAAATTCAAGTTACAAATATGACTAGGAGAATTTGGTTTGAACCATCAACTCTTTCTTCTTACATATTGGATTTTAAACAGGAATGAGCAGACATAGTAGTTCCCACATACTAATGCATCAGAAGCATTAGGGACCTTTAAAAATGAATAACCCTAATATCTTCCCCTGTCCATCCAATTGAGTAGTTCTCTGATGGAACTGAAGATAGGATTTTTAGAAACTTCCCATCAGGTTTGAAACGTGTGAGCTAGACTCATTCTTCTATCTTTTTCAAGATCTTTGTTCTCGTTGTTCTTTAATTTCAACGTATGTTGACTGGTTCCAGAGTTCCATCTTGGCCCATCCCAAACTCACCAACTTTTTATCAGGTCAGATATGAACATTTTATAGAACTCTCTGCCTTGTTTTCTGCAAATATTCATTAACCATGATTTGATTTGGTTTGATTAATAGACACTTTCTTTGTCAATCAACAAGCTAATGATGCTTTCTGTATCAGCTATATACGTTTTATTACAAATTCTTACAAATGTTAATAACGCTGAGACAGCCCTGAGCAACTTTTCATAAATGCTAACTGTTGATGAAATGGGCTGGGAGTTCCTAATACATGTGTGGTTCCCAAGGTGGAAGAGAACCACTTCTGACCAACTTATAGAGCACTTCCTCCATTGCTGAAATTTCATTCTCCCTAGGATTCTTTTCCTGTGATCTCCTAGCAGACAACTATGAAGATTAAAGGGTCAGACTGTGATTTACTCAGCTGCAGGCCTTAGGCTAGTCTTTACGGTTCAAAGTTTTTGTGTTTTTACATGGGGTTCATAGAGGATAGAGTGGGAAGTTTTGGAAAAGTTTAATGGTGATGATTAATTCTTTGGATTAGATTCTGCTTCAAAGCCTTCCCACATAGACCAGTCTCCTACATTTATATTGCTCTTCCTCATTTCCAAGCACTTAGCTTCAGTTCTCTCCAAATATTGTTCAGATTTCACTGCCTTAGAAATGTTTTCCTTTATGAACTGTGCCATCTCTAGTCACTTCATCAATCCACAATCTCCATCAGTGGGTCAAAATTTTACACTGTGTTTACTGGTGCTTGTTTTCGTGTGATAAATATAGAATGTGTAAGTCATTTGGTCTTACTCATCCTGGCAAGATTCCAAAGTCAAATATAGTTATATTTAAGCTATTTCATAATTTCCCCATTACCCAGTAGACTTGTTTGCACACTGTGATCTTGTAATAACTGTCTGTGGAATATGTGGTATAACTATACTTTCTTTTTATTTTTATGAATCTGAAAGAAATCCCAAGCAGTAGGAGTACAGAAAGAGAGGCAGTAATCATTGTTTTAAGCAAGAAAATTTACAAATTGAAGTTGGTTTTTAGCCTAGTCCTTAAGAGTTGATAAAGGCACAGAGTCATCCTCTTCCAGTCCATGGGGTCTTTTGCACCTTTTCTGGTTGCAAATAGAGGATAGAAAATGGACTTGCTAGACAAGGTGTGTCAAGTGGGGGCAGATGGCGGAATGTCTCTAAAACACAACAGACGTGAATGCATGCTTGATCAGGAGAACCACAGAGAATCATTAGAGGGTGTAATGTAGTCACAGCAGTGTGGCTGGCAAGCTATTTGGCTGATAATTTGCAGGACAGATTGGAAGTGTGAAGACCCCTCAGAGAAAAAAGTGTGAGATAACCAAGACTTAAGAATAGAAAGAAAGAAAGAAAAAGCCACTCAAAGGGCTCACCCAAAAAGAGCGTTGCAAGGCTCCACGAGGGACTAACTTGAGATTAGAACTCATAAGCTTCCTTAGTGTGATGGAGGGCAAAGCTGGAGAGATCAACACAGGAGCTGTATTTCATCCCAGAGTAAACGGAATTCTGTTGAAGCACTTGATGTGGAACCATCTATTTATGTAAGCTCTTAAATTAATTAAGCCAATAAATTCTGATGAATGTGACTATTTGGGTGATTGTATTGATTAACTCTTCAAATGACTATGATATATAATTTATCTTATTTAGTAGCATAATTCCTCTCATTAAGTACTGTAATATAGCTCAGTGTAACTGTATCATAGCACTTCCAGAAAACATTTGTTTTTCTTCCTGCTAGAAGATGCCTGAGAAGATTTGATGACCAAATGTAGCTGTGTATAGCTGTTTAAATTACAGTTTTGAAAAGTTCATGTTAATTACGTAGTCCAGAGAGAAAGGGGACTAAAGGAACTTTATAGAATGCCATGTGTCTTAGTACTCCTACTGATCACTGTGAGCTAAATATTGTGTAGTACAACTTTCAGTCCAAATTTTTAATTGAAGCCCAAAGATACTTAGAACCCAACTCTAAATAATTTATAAAATATGGACTATAAAATTTAACAATCAAAAATTACGTAAGTTAGCTTTTCCTAGGATTTCTGGATTTCCTCGCAACCTTAGCACTTTAACAAAAGGAAAAATGCAAAATTACTGAATGATGAAGATCATACTCTGAGTCTAGTACAATGTATATACCTGTAACTTTCCACAAGTCCACACATAAGCAAAATTCGGAAAAAATGATTAAGTACATCAAATCAAGTGAATTGGAACACAGTGGGGTTTAGAATGGAGCAGATCCATTTCTGTAGTAGTATGGGAGGGATGGTCAACTCCTCCACAGATGAGTGATGAAAATAGCCTCATGCTGCTGTCATATTGAACAAACTTTATGTGCCAATAAAAATTTTTCTCAGTTAATATGAATGGGAATACCATAAGTACTATTATTAGCTTCCATTAAGATTAAGTAAGTTTTAGAATAGTTAAATTATCTGCTCAAGGGCACATTAGTGGTAAGTGGGAAGCCAGAATTTGAACTAGTTACTAAAAAACTAAATGTGGAGCACATGAAAATTAACATTTTAGGTCATTTCAAGCTTAAAAACAACTGAGAGGAATGAAATCACAAGAAAGAACTATTCAAGAATGAAGATATAAAATGAATAACTGGGGAAAAAAGGAATAAAACATTTTTCACACCTTTATTCAAAATACATGTGCATTTGATTATACCCATACTGTACACTCAGAGAACATGCACATGTACCATGATAGTTGGCATTAAACAGGAGCAGAAGTCATGAGTCTCATGTCAAAGCTTACAGAGTACACACATACCCTTTTTGTCTGTCTAACCTCAAGTGAAATCCTTAACCAGAGTTATTAGGAAGGGAAGTCATAGATGTTTTAATAAAATTTGTTTGCCTAATGCCCTGCTTACTAAGTGGGCAACTTATATCATGGGTGGGTTAAATTCAATGAAATAAGAAAATGCAAAGTTATGATTGGATTTAGCCCTAAATTTTCATCATGTATTTAAAGGTCATGTTATTTACTGCACTTTGTTAAAATGGGTTCTATCTCCGGAATGAAGTCAAATGTGATATTATTGATTACAACAAAGCCTGGGCTGGAAAGTGGGTGCTATCAGAAGAAGGAAGACAGCCTTTTACCCCAGCATCACCTATTCATTTTGCTAGGGTCATGAAGGAAAAATATGAACATAAATATATGAACAGAAACTTGAGATTTTAAAAAGTGACAGGGAAGAGAGCATAGTGGAAACATAGGCAAACTTATTGTGAATAAAAAGGGTTTTGAAAATGAAATCCCTGAAAATAATTGTATCATACTGTGAAGACTCCCAGGTTTCTTAAAGATATTTAAAAATCAATAGGTAAATATATATGTGGGGGAAAAAAGAGAAACCTAAAGATAATATATCATTATAAATTGAATATCAAGGGTTTGTTAAAGTTGTACCAGACAAAGCTAAACTAGCAAAGAAAAGTGTATTTGAGATTATTAAAACAGGAGAAGATTGAACTCAACTCTTGCAGTAATATTTTTAAATACTGGAGTGACCTAGTGGAAAAAGTGCTAGAGGACGTTAGGGGGTGGGGTGAACAGTGGGATATGCCAAGCACATTGGGTTATTCCTGAGTTTGCAAATGCTTTTCTCTATGATTAGTCCATCTGTGTTTGCCAATTAATGCCTATAGAAGTTAGGTACCTGCCCTCCTACAGAGACTGGGAGCTCAGAGCACTATTTCCCTCAATGTTAAAATTTCAAAGACCCAGTTCCTATTTCCTTGAGAAAGATAATTCCTGGTTTGCAAAACTGGCAAGAGGCTGGGAGAAGATTTACATACATTACAAAGGGGCAGAGAAAGAATTACAATTGCAAGTTTCCTAAAATAAGTCCTTTAAGAAAAAAGAGGTCAGGGGCCTATAGCCAGGAAGAAATCTGCCTAATGCTTAATCAAGCTGAAGTGAATTTCAAGGCCTTCTTGGTTAGGTTCTAGTAAGCCAACAATTAGAAATGTATAAACACCAGTGCTTTTTTCTTTTGCAGAAAAGCAATATAGGTTCTGGCATTTTAGGTTCACTTTTTCCCCTCATCCAACAAATATTTACTGTGAAACTCTAAAATAACAGTGACTACACCAAGGACTAAAAGATACTGAATAAGACAAACTCTCTGGCCAGAAGGTTCTCATAGGCTAATGGAAGTAAAGGTGAGTGAACAGGGAATGAGAAAAAGTTTTAAAAGTGACATGTCTGCAATGCTATGGGAGCAGACAGGGCAGAGCACAACTCCATCTGGGGCATTTGAGAAAGTCAAATAATGTTCACAGAGGAAGAAAACCGAGTCCTAAAGGAAGACAGCGAGAGATGGGGACACCAGGCATGAAGAACAGTGTTTGCAAAATGGCAGAGGAGTGAAAAAGCAGCATGTCAGTTCATGGAAAAATGAAAGCTTTCTGTGGATAGAATGTAGAGAAAACGTGAGGCAATGACAGAAGATTTCTATTTTCTTTGTTCTAGTGAGGAAGTTGGTTTTCAGCTAATATATATTGGAGAGACTATAGTATTCAGACTTAGATTTTAGAAACAGACCCTTGGGATACAAGGGAAATGAGATACAACAGAATCCCAGGGGAAAGTGTGCAAAGATTTGGAAGAGAAAATGGATTCGAGATTTGTAAAATCAGGCTCACTACCTGGATATGGTAGCAAAAATAATGCAGGGATTAAAATTGACTTGGAAACTTTCTATTTAAAATGAAGCAATATGTAGCTTCATTTTGAGAAGGGGAGTGAAGAATGAGGCATAAGTCTCAGTTCATGGGTCTTCTTCAGTAAGCTGAGGGTGATTCTGGACCTACATACCTTATGGTTGTTAGAGAGTTCAGATAAGATGGTTATATGAAAATGTTTTCTAGAAAGGTCCATGCAAATATGAGACTCCATTTTTTCCCTCTTTAATTCTTTTGTAAACTTTTATTGGTTATCAATAAATAAATATATAAAGACTATCACTCTCAAAAGTCAATGTGAATTTTTAAGATAATTTCTGAAGAACACAAAACATATCAAAAACTCAGTAATAATTATCGGAGTTACTCCGGATTTTGTATAGATCTGGCAAGAGAAATCTAATCTCAAAATTACAATCCTGGGATCTCTCTAAATAATGTGCTTTTTAATCTTGGCTCTGTGTCTGGTCCCTCTCTGCTTCAATTTCTCCTTTCTGCTTACAATTCCATTATGTTGTGAGTTGCAATTTTACAGGGGAGGTGCTTTGCACATAGCACTGTTGTGACTGTTAAAATCAACCATAAAAGTTGCACATTTCTATGATTTAAAAAAAAATCAGGATAACTCAAGAGGCGTTTAGAGAATAGGCAGAACATTGACATAGTTTTGCTGTGTCCCCACCCAAATCTCACCTTGAATTGTAATAATCCCCACGTGTCAAGGGTGGGGCCAGGTGGAGATAATTAAATAATGGTGTCGGTCTCCCCCATGATGTTCTCATGGTAGTGAATAATTCTCATGAGATCTGGTAGTTTTTTTCAATGGGAGTTCCCCTGCACAAGCTCTCTTGCCTGCCACCATGTAAGGCATGCCTTTCCTTCTTCTCTGTCTTCTACCATGATTGTGAGGCCTTTCCAGCCATGTGGAACTGTAAGTCCATTAAACCTCTTTTTCTTTATAAATTACCCAGTCTTGGGTATATCTTGATTAGCAGCATGAAAATGGACTAATACAAATATGTGTATATTTTGCATTAAAATACAATTGATTGTATGTTTAATGTATTAATTTTTGCATTCTTGCTCAATTGCTAAACCAAAGAAACATTGAAACTATAAAAACCTTGATAAACCATGGTTTATCTTTTATGTTTTATTTAGGCTCTAACACGATAAATGCAATAAACTTTCAGTATATACTTTTACCAAGGAAAAAGACTATCCACTGATCTCAGTTCTCATTTTGTGTTTCTATGGTAGTCTTCATGAATTTTTATAGTAATTATCTTGAGCAGATGTTTTAGTCTCTTATCCTGATAATAAGAGATACAGTCGAATAAAAAGGAATAGTTTAGGAGAGCTCATGAGAGTGTGGTGGCATTCATGAAAATAGACCAAACAAGGGAACGTTTAGGGGTGACTTTAAAATGTCAAAATACATGTTTAAGTTTATTAGAATAGTGGATTATGAAAACATTTTCTTAAAATTACATTTTTGAAGAAAGATAAATGGAGGAATACAAATATAAACATTTAAATCTCATTTTGAGTTTACAAAAATAAACCAAAGCATTTTCATTTTATATCTCAACCTCTTTCGTAGGGTATTCCAAATAAGTTTAAATAGTATATGCTTCAGTTAAGGCCTCAAAGTAAGGTGTAAATTGTAAAATGTAGACAATGGTTCATTTAGTCTGTTTTATAAATGTTCTGTATTTTGGCAGGTTTGTTTATAATGCCTAGACCTTTGTGGGTGAGAAAAACAAAGTTATATAAATGCAAAGCAATCCTTTGAAACCATTTATGTTTGTAAATGTATGCCAAAAAAGATAGTATATTTAATATGAATACACGAAGAGAAGCATAAGGAGGATTCTAAATGTTTGTGACATCACAGTCAAAATCTAGCTAAGAAATTGTCCTCAGAGAGACTAAAGAAGAAAAACAAGTTGCGTTGGTTCATACCTACACCAGTGATAGAACTACACAAATCACAGTAGTGATAATCAGATGTGTCTGTCCAGATTTAATGGGATGCACACTTGGATAATCAAAGTCTCAAATAGTTCTATAGTGGGGACATCTGGTGGATGAATATGTCCTAACTGTGGGGCTGCTGATATGAAAAAGTGGAATTCCCATAGTGCTAGGCAGCAAAACTTCCATTTCTCCAAATAGAGGAGTATAAATTAACCTGATATTTAGATATGTGCGTGTTTAATGTACTCCTATATATACTCTGAAGTAATGTTATGCAAAACAGTTCTTATCCAATCAAAATAAAGTGTATCAATCCAAAACAAAATTTAATGTGAGGAAGAGGGATGAAATTATTTTCTGCTACTCTTGTAAGACCTTAAGAGTAGAGTAAGTTCTTATAAGTAAGATTCAATTAACCTTATAAGTAAGATAAAATTAATAGCCTCAAAAAGTGGCTGGAATTGACAAGTTATGAAGTTGCCTGTAATAGCCATTGACCCAACTTTTTATTTGATTTTATTTGCCTATGGTTTCCCAGATGACTTATGCCTGGAATGCTGAAGATTTAGCTTAAAAAGAAGACAGCTCCTAAGGGTTCCAATTAGCTGAGTTGATTAAAGCATTCATTGAAAGCAAAATCAAAAATTTAATTATTCCATATTCTCATAGATCAGTTGCTGTTTGTTCAATGGCTATGAGCCAAAACATGTCCCACTGGACTCATCAACAATGCATGTCTTTGTATTTGAAGCACTGTGTGGCTGGCAACATGCATCACTGTGTTGACAAACAACTTGAGAGTGCCTGTTTCTTGACTTCTTTGGAGGCAAAGCCTTATCTATTATTTACTGCCTTGGCATCCTCAGTTCTCCACCAAGAAGAACCCCAATCTAGTTCAAAAGCAGATTGGGGTATTGGTGAAAACTCATTTCAATTCTCTGTTCCTTTAGTCAAACTTTTGCTATTTGAGAAAGATAACTTAACCTTTTTGAGTCTCAATTTCTTTTAAAGTAAAAAATAGATAGTAATACTGATGTCAAAAGGTTATTGTGAGAATTAGCTGAGGTGATGTATACAACATTCATACATTCTTAGCATAGTGCCTGACAGAAGATGGGCATTCAGCAACTATTCATTGAATAAATGTTTTCAGCCATGGATACTCTGTGTGAAGAGAAGTATAAGGAGAATCTCCACAGAGAAGCAAATGCTATTAGGTATGAAGTCCAGATGAATTTGTTTTACATACCTGCCTGTCAAGAGACAATCTGGTTCTAATCAAACCAGAAGACAATAAATGGAGAAAAATTCTAGAGCATTGTTTCTTAGATTTGATATGCATAGAAATTACCTGGGGATCTTTTAAGAATGAAGGTTGAGTCTGGGTGCGGTGGCTCATGCCTGTAATCCCAGCACTTTGGGAGGCTGAGGCAGGCAGATCATGAGGTCAGGAGTTCGAGACCAGCCTGGCCAGTATGGTGAAACCCCTTCTCTGCTAAAAATACAAAAATGAGCCGGGCATGGTGGTGCATGCCTGTAGTCCCAGCTACATGGGAGGCTGAGGCAGGAGAATCGCTTGACCCTGGGAGGTGGAGGTTGCAGTAAGCCAAGATCTCACCACTGCGTTGCAGCCTGGGCAACAGAGTGAGACTCCGTCTCCACAAAAAAAAAAAAAAAAAAAAAAAAAAAAAAATTAAGGTTGTGATTCAGTGGGTTGAGTCTGAGAGGCTGCATTTCCAGCAAACTCCAGGGGATGCATGTGCTGCTATCCACTAAATACACTTTCGGGAGGCCCTAGAGCACTCGAATGCATGACAAGAAATACTGTGCTTAGATCTCTATTTGTCTAGACCAACATTCTATTTCCTAGCACAACTTAAAATTTATGTATTTATTTAACAAAAAATGATTTAGTGCTTCCTACGTGTCGGGCACTATTCTAGGTTCTAAGTATGAAGTAGCAACCAAGACAGATACGGATAACACCCTCATTTAGTCTAGTGATAGTCAGACAATAAACATATTAACCAATTAATTAAAATAGTTTCTAGTGGTGATTAAAAGTATAATGAAAATAAACTGAAGTGACTGGGAGAGTGTGTATGGTCAATGAAATCTCCTCTAGGAAGGAGAAAATTGAACTGAAACCTGAATGTTGAAAAACAGGATTCTGTGTAAGACCTGAAATTTTCATACAAAGTGAAGAGAAAGTGCAAAACTGCTGAGACAACAATGGGCTTCGTTTGCAGGAGGAAAGGGAAAAAAGTCATTATGGCCAGAACATAAAGCTTCAACCTAAATGTGAGACAGTGATCAGAACAGTAAAAAGGGACAAGATCATACCTGGAAGGGTTGGGGATGGTACAGAAATCATTCTAAAACCATCAGGGAAATCTCAGATGTTGGATCTTAGATGGGTCTTAATAGCTCCACAGAGGATTAAGGGTGGTAGAAGGAGTGATCCTACAGGAAAGTACACCTGGCCAAGCAGAACAAGATGATTGAAAAAGAGCTAAAATAAGATATGGGACACAAACTGGGCGGATGGGGGGCAGGGGGAGTGCGGAAAAAAGCATAACTTAGAAGAAAGGTCAAAATTGCACATTTCTTTGGTTTACATGACAACAAACAAAAATGCATTACTTACGCTAGGCAAGCTAATCTAATGGCACCCTTGTAGCAAAGTCTGCATTGCCACAGAATAAATATTTTTCTGAATAGAAAAGATTAGGTAACTATTAGAGGATAAATAAAAATATGACGTTTGTTAGCTATAGACTTTAGCCCCAAACTTTTCTTGCTTTCCACAGAATATTGGAAACAAAAGTGAGAGAAGGTAGATGGTACAATAAAAGACAGCAGTGAAGAAAATAAGATATAAGAGAGCACCCCTTGCACTAAGAAAAAGCCTAGTAGAAAAAAGAGTCATCATTATTATGTCAAGTGTAAAATATTAAATGCCTTATACAATAATGATTTTCATACTCTACCTATGTACCTATATATCTACTATCTGTTTAGTACATTTTTTTAATTGGGATACATGCCAAAACCCAACACCAATAAAAACAAAATTTGAGAGCTCCCACAGATTAGAGTAGCTAAATAAGAATGAATAATAAAATATTTACTCAATTGCAATTTTAATGAGCCTTCTTTACTTACTAGTGAGTAAGTCTAATGATTTAAGGCCTTGCAATGTAATGGCTATTAACACGTAGGTGCATTCCAATTGACTTCTGATTTTTGTCTCATGATTAAAGGCTCTGCAAGCTAGTAGCTATTAACATATTAGAGCATTTGCAATTTACTCTGATTTTCTGTCTTGTTTTTAAAGCATATGAATAAAGGAGTGTACATTAAAATGATGCTCCTAACTCCCCAAGTGAGAAACAGCTTGGACTATTTTGTT
This sequence comes from Homo sapiens, assembly GCF_000001405.40. Classification (NCBI taxonomy): domain Eukaryota; kingdom Metazoa; phylum Chordata; class Mammalia; order Primates; family Hominidae; genus Homo; species Homo sapiens. Next base: position 11,483,155 of record NC_000007.14, on the reverse strand, counting down.
CAGTAGCCTCTGTAAGGAATGGCAAGGTGAGTCACCCTTTCTCACCTGAATGCCTAATGCGAGGCACACACTTTTTATATATTCACCCAGAATTATGATTATATTCTGTGCCAAAATAGCAGGTTAATTTTTGTTTGATTGTGTATGATTTCATTCTGTTCTGTTCCCTTGACCTCGTTAACCACCTATATTAATCAACTAAACCATAGAGTTCAGACTTTTTCTCCTACCCTGTTTTGGTTATTCTGTTGGTTGTTTTTGGCATTTATTAACAGCAACAATGTTTTGTTTCTCATTGGCCTTTTATATATCTCATTTCACGCATTCAGCAAATATTAAATAAGTGTCCATTTTTGGGCCAATCTCTAGAGTGTCAAGGGCAAAATGAGGGAGTGAAGTGAGATGAGGCTAGGAAGAGAAACACAGCGAGGTCATTTGAGGTCGAGGTCTTGTAAACTTGAAAAATCTGCCCTTTATCTTAAGAGCAACAGGGAACTAATGAAAAATATTAAGCACTGGAGTGACATCACATTACTTCTGCCATTTGTTTGTTTTCTATTGTTTCCCTCCCTCTCCAACTGGGATCACCTTAAGCAGTGACTTTATAATGTTATCCCATCATTTACATTTCCTGTCTATTTCCAACTAACAAACAATTTTTTACGAAAGAAGAAGGTTGCCAATTGTATGAAAATAACTACTCTGAGAGACACAAGAGAGTTTGTAAATAGACACCTATTAGTTGGTTCATGAAAACATATGATAGATGCTATGGATAGAGTCATTATTTGTAAATCATAGCTCATCTCCAAAAAAGAAAGAGGGGACATGCTTTGTTGATGCTCCTTATTACAACTTAAGAGTACAAGTATAAAAATTAGTACTTAATGGGCAGGTGTCTGTGGCATAAGAATCGTCTCAGCAATGTGCTTGATATACCCTGATAATGAAAGAAGCCTCATTTAGGGTCATGAGTGTATATGTGTGTATATATGCTTGTTCCTGGTGTTCTATTAACATCTGGCTATAGTAGGCAATCCCTCTTTTGGCTACGTTTTTTTAAGTAAGAGCAAAAGAAAGATAATGTAACTTATCTGGGTGCCCATCTGGTTTAAATTGCTCATTTTACATTAATTTAACAATAATAGCTGTTGGTGGTCATGTTTTCCCCAGGAGAAGAAGTTGACAGACAGCTGTGCAGAGATGCCATCTTCCCCATCCCTGTGGCCTGTGATGCCCCATGCCCGAAAGACTGTGTGCTCAGCACATGGTCTACGTGGTCCTCCTGCTCACACACCTGCTCAGGGAAAACGACAGAAGGGAAACAGATACGAGCACGATCCATTCTGGCCTATGCGGGTGAAGAAGGTGAGTCGCCAGCTTCAGACGCCATCTAGGTTCGTTTCAAAAGTTAGTGTGCATCTTTTTTGTGTAGCCTGGAAAAGATGATATTCTATGAAAGTCAACAACCAGAAATTCAGCCATCCAAGATTTAATATCTGTTGATGTGTTGAGCAATTTGATTCTGTCCCCCAAAATTAATCTTGAAAATGGATCTCTAACAAAGGAGAAAGACTTTTTAAAAGTGAACTCATTTTGCTTTTTCCCACCCTTCCAGTCATTAGAGTTCTTTGTAAACCAAAGTGTTAGGCCTTTAAGAAGGTCTGAAAATGGCTCCCAAAATTTCAGATGTTTCATTGTTTTTTTCTGAATTTCAGAAGTCAGTTTTATCTTTTGAAAATCATATTCTACCTTCTCATAAATAAGTATATATATCCAATCATAAAGTTTATTTAAAATCACAAGAATAGCTACTGTTCGACCAAAAATTGCAATTTTCAGTTTCTTTGAGTTTCTTGAACATAGGCTCCGAGGTCCAGAAATCTCATATGTAAATTTTGTTCATTTTTAAAATATGTTGCTCCTAAATCTCTTCACCCTATAGGGTGAATAAAGCATGTTTGTCACATATTCAGACCTCACTTGCAAGCTTTATTGCCAAGAAATACAAGGCTCTTGGTAATTGTCTCTCAAGATGATATCCAAATGCTAATTTGGCTTCTGTGTGACTGGGTAATATAATGTCATACTTAATCTTGTCTTTCTGAAAAATAACACAAGAGTGAGAAAAGCATAAAAGTAAATCAAGTTTGTTCATATTAAGGCATGTTCTTTCTCAAGAATATAAGTGTATGTTATTTAAACATTATCAAGCTAAATGACTCTTTGTTCACATTTAGCACTGATAAATAATTATTTCTATTTGTAATAAGCATAACATTTTATGTTTTCCCCAAATTATCGATTTGGGGGGAGTTTTGTGTTGCCTATACTTTTTCTATTTTTCTGTTCATGAAGTATTTTAGTGATAGAAACATAGTGTTCCTAGTCAAATTTGCTATCTGTGTGTGTAACAACTGTGCACACCTATAATTACCTTGGCCTTTGCACATGAGTGTTACATGCGTAAAACATTTTACACACAGAAAAGCCAACCTGTGTGAAATTTTAGAATTTTCTTTATAGTGTTCAAAAACTTTTTCCTACCACCTTAATATATATTTAACTCTTTGCTCCAAAAAAAAAGTGTATCTATTGAAAAATACAACCTTTTACAAAGAAAATTATATTTCTTGTGTTGTCAAACAATGACTCTAACCTCGTGAAGATTGTATGAAGGCTTTAAACTCTATCAGCTCAGATTTTGCCTTGGGCTTCATTAAAATTAGATCTGTGGTCACCCTGCTTCCTGTAAATTCATTATACTCTGCAGACACTTGCTGTGTGACTACTAATGAATGACTTTTCACCCCACCCCGAGTCACATGGCAAGGATTTTGCCATGCTTGCAGAACTCACCAGATCATTATTCCTGTAGACATGATGCTTCACACGGAAAGGTCATGAAATGTTTTAAAGGCAGAAATTTGTGATTGCTCTTTGATATGTATCATCCACTGAGTTTGAAAGGGTAGGGCTTCAATAATTTTTAATTAAGTTTAGTGGTTGCATTATAAGCAAGTCATGCTGGAAAGTTATAGATGTTTATATAGTAAATCATAAGGGCATTAATTCAAAACAATATAGTTCTGTTTTAATTGACGTGTAATAATTGTATATATAGGGTGCAGTGTGATGTATCAATATATGGATAAATTGTGTAATAATCAAATCAAGATAATTAGCATATCTATCACCTCAGACATTTATCATTTCTTTTAGCAAGGGCATAGAGAATCCTCTCTTCCAGCTATTTTGAAATATATAATACATTATTGTAAAACATGGAAGCCATAAAAGAAACTCTGTCAATGCTATTTGTCTCTGCTGCTATTTACCTCTGTTAATAACATTTATAAAAGCTGGTATAATTATGTGAAATTTATACTTCAAAGCCTATTTAGTACCTATTAGTGGACACTGAAACATGTTTTATGAGAAATTTGTACTTCAAAGCCTACTTAGTACCTATTATTTGTTGGACACTGAAACACATTTTCTCTTACTCAAAATAAATCTTTCCTAATTCTGAACTATTTTTAATGATTTAGGAACAGCATCTGCAGGAAGTTTTAAAATGTGTTTCTCTGCCACTTAGATAATCCTTTGTAATTCTACACAAAAGTCAGTCTTTCCATTATTCTTCAAGAATTAGTGCTTTGTGTCATAAATGTTCTTAAATTTCTGTGGATCAGACACTGATTGTGATAACTTTAAAGGAAAGTGCCACATTTGAGAAATGATATATGAAGTGTTTAAACAAGAAATTATATGATTTTCTAGGGAAATAACATACAGGACAAGTCCATGCGAAAAGTAGATCTGGATTTATGAAATAAATGCTCCAACCTATACTTTCACTTATCTTAATCAGAATGCCACCATTAAACAATACTGAAGGCTGGATAACTCCTTGTAATTAATAAGGATAGACTAGGTTGTGCTTCAGTAATGGACAGCCCAGACATTCAGGAGCTTAAAGAACAAAGCTTTATTTACTTCTTCCTCATGGAAATTTAGCTACAGTTTTGGGTAACTCTACAGGGCAATTTGTCCTTCATGAAATGTCACAATATTGCATCACCATATGAAGACCTGGTTCCACAATCTTCATGTGCCAGAGGAAGAAAATACTTGGAGAATCTATCTGTCGATTTTAAGCATCAGCAAGTAAATTCTCCCATCTAAGAGTGATTTATGTCATTTCTCACGTTTCATTGTTAATGTAAGTTGTATAACTATGCCTAACTTCAAGGCGAATGAGGGAAATATAATCCTATTGTGTGCTAAAATGAGAGGAGTATTGACTAGTACTCTTACCCCTGATTTACTCAGTGTTCTTATTGTGTATCAGTGTGTATATATGTATGTATGTATCTATCTATCGATGGCCCCAATCCAGTAGATAAAACAGGGCTCCTAACATTGTGAAAATGTTAGGATTAATTATTTTTGTTCCTCTTAAATGAATGACAGAATGATAGAATGGCACTTTCTCTTCCTCATACTGCACTTCTTTTCTTTCTTTTCCTTTTGCTTTTCCTTTTGCTTTTCCTTTTCCTTTCTTTCACTTCCTTTTATTGCTAGGCTCTTTTTCTCCTTTCCTGAACAATTCTATCCAAAAAGCCATTTGGTAAAGCCAAGCAGCTGGGCATCTGTGCCAGCAGATAGGAGGTCTGTTGGTGATCTAGAGTGGGTTGTCAGAGCCCAACTGGGTGAGGAGCAACCAAAGTGGGAAAAGAGGTGGCCTGGCATGCATTTTCAGAGCCAGTGAGCAGGGTGAAGGACAGGGGGCACATGGGTTGTATGAGAGGATAGAAGAGTGACTCTACACTGGATGTCAGAGCATAGCTGGGTCAAGAGAGAATTCCAGCATCAAGGTGGCCAGCCCAGTATGGGGTGTCACAGCCAGACACAGTTGAGGAGTGTTTCTGTCATGTGGGTGGCCTCATGTAGGATGTCAGATCATGAGCAGAGTAATGAAGATATCTTGTGGGTATAGCAATGGAGATAACAATGGGTAATGGAGTGTGAAGTGAGAGGGAATTGACAAAATAAGTACATGTATTTAACATAGTGAGAGTTGGTTTTTTTATTGCTGGAGAAGAGAGTTGCAAATATGTTAGGAAAGAAAACTAGTACACTCTGTGGTACAGCATTGGAATTGGATGTTATTAATTTATTTGAATTCATGGTGTTCAATTTGTAAAGATAAATATAGAATAAACATCAATGTAAGTGTGCAAATATAAATATGTACATATTATATACATATAGACATATATTAGCCTCATTCACTGAAAAGACCTGAGAGCAGCAAGACCTCAACAGAAGTAAGTAGCTGCAGCAGTCAGATCTTGGTTTCTAATACTATTGTCTAACAAAAGGAACAAGGGAAACTTTGAGAAATGGCTGATTCCACAGCTGCAATAGAAGAAGTACAAGATGGGCCAGGAGGATCTTGTGGTAGAAAGTAAAGAGAATTGTCAAAAGGCCACAGAAGCCAACTTGAATGTTCTCCCACTGACCACATTTGCAAACAATTTTAATGACAAAATAATAATACCAACAGACCATTAAATAGGAAACCATGGATCCACATATTATATAAATAAATAAAGGAATAAATTCAATCTCATTAAAAGCATTGTAGTTATATAGTCTCAAATATTTCCCTAATAGAGAAGTCTGACAGACACCCCCTTAATCTGGTGACCAAAGTTAGCATTATCAATAATGAAGCAAACCAAAATCTTGTGTCCTCAGTATGATATAATGAGAATACGATATCATTTCTGTAATAACTCTATCAAAGATGCATATATAGAATCTAGTCATGAGGAAACATCAGATAAACTCTAATTGGAAGACATTGTACAAAATAATCTTTAATCTTCCAAAGTGTCTAAGCCATGAAAATGAAGAAACAATTGAAAAACTGTTCAAGATTTAAGGAGACTAACAAAGTGTGACATCTAAATGTAATGCTTGATTCTGAACTAAATCATCTTGCTGTAAAGGACATTTTGGGACAGTTGGCAAACTTGAATGCAGTCTGAGGATTCAATGGTCATAACTTATCTGTTTATATTCTGATTTTTGGATTTTGAATATTTAATTGCTTATGTATAGGAGAATGCTCTTGATCATAGGAAGTACACACTAACATAGTTAGGGTGATGGACATCGTTTCATCTTTTTCCAAGTGGTCCAGGAAAAGAAAAGTATTTATATCATACTTTTAATTTCACTGTAATTTTGAAATTAGTTCAGAATTAAACATGAAAATGAATTTGTATATAATCGCTTTCTACACTATCTTTTTTTTTTTTTTTTTCTCTGAGACGGAGTCTCTCTCTGTTGACCAGGCTGGAGTGCAGTGGCCCGATCTTGGCTCACTGCAACCTCCACCTCCCAGGCTCAAGCGATTCTCCTGCCTCAGCCTCCTGAATAGCTGGGATTACAGGAGCACCACCATGCCTGACTAATTTTTTGTATTTTAGTAGAGACAAGGTTTCACCGTGCTGCCCAGGGTGGTCCCAAACTCCTGAGCTCAGGCAATCTGCCCACCTTGGCCCCCTAAAGTGCTGGAAGTACAGGCACGAGCCACTGTACCTGGTGCTTTCTACACAATCTTGAGTAACATTATATAATCTATTATCAATACACAAAAATTGTCATAAAATTGCTAATTATTGAAATGTCATTTGGAAACCAAATCACAAGTACTGGCAACTGGTGATAGTTAATGTACTGGAGAAGGTAAAATTAGTTCTTTACACTTAAAAAAATGGTGTGTGTGTGTGTGTGTGTGTGTGTGTGTGTGTGTGTGTGTGTATCTTCCAGAGGCTTGACTTCTGGTTAAATAAAAGTGATTCACTTTTTAATATTCTTGCCTTAACGTATAAATATTGTATAAACTGTAGGAATTGTCTCAAAAAATATTTTAAAGTTATGTTAGGAAATTCTAAAGGGAGGCAACATTTTAATACTTAAGCCTGGCATATTTTTAATATAAATAGTTGAATTTGAACAAAAAGTTAAAAATTAATGTTAGACTTTTAGCTTTACCAATTTTTTGAACCTGTATTGTAGATCCTAACAAGTTTCATTTAAAAAGGAAAAGGTTATTTTTTAAATGGTTCCCACTGGGTATACAATTTGTTAACTCTCATGATATAGTTAATTATTCTTACAGAGCAAAAAAAAAAAAAAAAAAAGGAAAGTATTTATTTTTGTTAAGTTCAATATGACCTGATAGAACTTCATCAACCAAATATTAATGTCTTTGCACCTGTCTTATACAAGCAGAGAATAGATGCAGATGGAAATAAATTATGTCATTTTTTTCTCAAATAATTATCTTCAGAAGTCATATTTTACAATGCAAAACATTGAGAAGAATATTTTTATTTAACTTGTTCAATTTTTACAGCTAAATGATTTTAATTATAGTAACCAGGTAGTACCCATATTCCCTAGAAAAATTTGAAGAATGCAGGATTCATTACATGTATGCATATATATGTTATATATATGTTATATATGTTATATATATGTTATATACATATATGTTATATATACATATATGTTATATATATACTTATAACCCTGATTTCTAAGTAAATACCATCACTTCCCCATTCTCCCACTATTGACCTTGAAAAGAGAGTTCTGCTTCAATCTGTCACTACTTGACCACCACACAGGACTTACGCAGGCTTCACGGTGGACAGTCTTCTGCCTGTTTCTGCAAAGAAAAACCGGGAGGTGGGGCTGTGCTGCCGCAGAATCTCCTGAAGTACCCCACAGCTAATGCTGTTCCAATTCGGTACCCCCAAAGCATATCCTTGCCAATGCACTTTTCACCCAGCAGTGGTCTGCTGTCAAAGGAATTCAGGCTACAATAGCAGGAAACGTTAGAAGCACCTTAAAAGTATAATTTATAGTATTATGATAATAGTACTCTTCACACTAATAGCTTCTTTATAACATAAGCCCAGTCTACTTTCTTATTCTTGTTGCCAATTACTTTCTGATGTGAACTCTACACTCCAATTGACTATGTCAATATTGTTAATTGCCAAGGTCACACCTGCCTGCATGCCTTTGCTTCTGTTTATTTATTTTTCTACTTAGATACTATTCTCTTTTCCTTCTGTCCCTTCCCAGAATTCTGCTTATTGAAATCCTACTCCTTCAAAATTTTTCTCAGTGCCTCTTTCAATCTGAGGCATTCTTCAGACTCCAAAAAGTAGTGAAATTGTACTCCTTGAATCCCAGTTATACTAAATACCGCACAATATAATTATTTCATTCTATCTAGAATTATACTCATTTGTATCCTTATCTCCCCTACTACTTTTCCCTACTACATTATGAGATCCTTGAGTGTAGCAGAAACTATTTTTAACCCCTGTAGGTATCCCTTGAAGCATCTCACATAAATATTGCGTGTATTTATGAACTTGATGTGGGGAAGAAAAGTCACTTTTTATTTCTAAGCCATGTTAATTCCAAAGAACAGAGTATGGTAAGGTTCCTGTTGGCACCGTATCTAATTTGCTATCATTGTCCATGTTTTTAGGTGGAATTCGCTGTCCAAATAGCAGTGCTTTGCAAGAAGTACGAAGCTGTAATGAGCATCCTTGCACAGTGTACCACTGGCAAACTGGTCCCTGGGGCCAGTGCATTGAGGACACCTCAGTATCGTCCTTCAACACAACTACGACTTGGAATGGGGAGGCCTCCTGCTCTGTCGGCATGCAGACAAGAAAAGTCATCTGTGTGCGAGTCAATGTGGGCCAAGTGGGACCCAAAAAGTAAGAGCTTTAGAATGACAACAGTAAATCGTGTAGCCACCTGTGCAGAGGATTGGCTCAGGCTTCACTGGCTTCATGAAATGGAACATTTTGATGCTTGTCATACCTGTCCTCAAGAGCAAGATTTGTTTGTTTTGAAAGTCAGCCACTGATAAAGCTATAACAGCTTTGAGTTTTATACTGGGGAACCATAAATTCTGTAGAAATCTTTCTATCTGGTGCCTACTCTCTGTTTTATAGTAGCACTTTCTGCTTTTATTAAGCTAGTGAGGCAATGAAAGAAGTGCTTGCCGTAAGCCTGGCTGATCAATAATGACAGTGTACTAGGTCCTGGCAGTGTAGGTCATCCATGACCTCCTATATACCCGTAGGCTACGGAGGCTGCCCAATCTAGTTTAATTGGGTAGAAGCCTTGTATGATCTGCCTTTCATTTCCCCTAGAAAACACTATATCAAAAATACCGAAGCATACTTACTGCGTCTTTCAATGGTTAGAGTAAAAACCATTTACTTCCAAGAGAGAGCCTTGGGATAGGATGAGTGTTATTATAAGTAGAAAAACTATCATTTTCTCAGGGTGCTTTTGAGTACTATAATAACAGGGCAAACACTTTGCTGGAGGGGAGAACAAAGAACCAGAGAGTCGACATATTATATGTGCCTTGTGAGAAGTATAAACAAAAATAATGGCATAACTGAGCTAATCACTTCATAGAGAAAATTAATAAATCTACTCTAAAAAATTGAGGGGAAAAAGCTTTATTTTTCAAAACTTAACATACTTTTTAAAAATTCAAATCACCTTAGCCATGTAAGATATGAAATGATAAATGAGTCGATTTTTGCATGGGTTTAAAAGTGGCCTCATATTTACTAAATACTCAGCCAAGTGGTTAAATATTGTGTGTAATCTTCAGCGTGCTACCTAACTTACTCTGGCCAACAGTTTTTGCAGTCTGTTGAAAGGATTTAATGAAACATATAATAGTAATCTAAGCACTCAATAAATGTTAGAAATTGGTCTTTTTCTTAAGAATTTCAGCTACTCCTTAGTGTTCCAAGAAAATGAAAATAATGTCTCTGATGCATGAAAAACTCCAGGGAAACAAATATGAATCCCATTATGAGATGTTTGTGTCTGGCCAGGGTTCCAGACATTAGGGATATTTTGCCCCACAATTTATTTTTTTATATTGCTTGAAATTAGGAAACACAGAAGACATGCCAGTGAGATTTGAATAAATTGAAAGACTATTTCACATGTTTAATAGGTAACCTCAAACCAATATTTTAATAGAAATTTTGCTAAAGCTGTGATGAATCTAACTCAGGAAATTAATGTACAGTGTATTAAAATTCAAAAGTGGTAACAGCAAGAGCAGATGTCCCAAGTCCTGGAGGATTCTGACTCTTGCTGGATCAAGAACAAAGGTAGAAATATTCACTACGCAGGCACAGGACCAACCTGTTGTGGCGCAGGATGAGGGTTATTGTGCTGAGCTTCTACCAGTGAGCTCATTCTGTTCCTGTCCCACGGTTAATCACCTTTCAAATGTTGCTGTTTTGACATTTTCCTCACTTACATAAGCTACAAAATATTTTTCCTGAGTAATGGATGTACATATGTACACGCCTATATGTGAAAGAGCCTGCTGGATTAACAGCATTAAATCAGTGGGAAGGGTATCCTGAAGCCCCATGTGATACTACCACAATAATTCATTAAAAATTTGCTTCACCCTTGCAGCCTTCATTCAATGACTTATGTGCATCTATAGACTTGTTAAATCAAATGGATGTACTTTACCTCTCAAATTCTAGAAAATCAAGCAAATACTGTGAATTCAAAAGAAAATATTATTGCCTTTCTCCCTACATGCTAGGTTAAATTCAGTGAATTCTTTCTAATACTAGGTATATGAACCAAAAAATGCAAATTGAAAATTTGTTTTAAACTTCTCTTAATAAAACAGATTACTGTGCAATGGTAAAATCAATGTTATTGATCTTATCTGTCCTCCCGGTAACAAACTTCAGTTCCTATCACATCTGTTTAATTTGACCTTGAATAAGATTTGGGGGGAAATCAATTTCTTGATTTAAACCACAAACACTAAATACAAACAGTACAAAGGATAAAAGAAGCCTGCTGACTGAACCAATTGCCTTGCCAAAGGAAGTCCAAATTCATTTTATTGGATGTAATTTAGGCTGTATAATTTATCTTTGTGTGTTCATTTAACAACTTTGTTGTTTGTAATTTTGTTCTCCACAGTCAGCCAAGTATCTTGCTGTGACTATTTCTCAACTAAAACAGAATATTTGGAGGTTGTCAATGATAACATTGTAAATTTCATTGATTTATTCAGGGCTAATATCTGAGGAGCATGCAACTGAGTAATGCTCTCTCATTGTTAAAGTTATAAAATTGCCTTATTGAACAAAAGTGCTGACAATAATAATTACTGACCAATAATTTCATAGTTCCAAAAGAATTAACTGAATTATATGTGGAGTTTTGCCATATAATGTTTCCTGGTTAAGAATGCAGGTTAAATTGTAATTCTACTGATTTATAATCTAACATGTAATAATAAATTTGCTTCTATGATTCAAATCTAAATTTATTTGTTGTCCGTGACTTTGAATAGTCATAGAAATTAGGGAAATTCCAGCGCAAGATAAATCAAAAAGATTATTTTTGAAATGTTGAATCCTTAAATATTTTAAAATCCACTTCCAAATAAACACTGGGGTTTTAAAGTAAGAGAGGAGAGCATTGATCTATATAATTGAATAAAGCATAGTATCTATGTATGAAGAAGAAAATTTACATAAATACTTATAATACAAGATATGTCAAAAATGAAGTATCAGCAAAATACTATAAAGAAATTATGGGAAATAGATTAATGATGTTGACTTTTTTCACTCGTAGTTCACTTCTGAAAACCTGATTAACTTACTTGACAAAAGACAAACTTGAGCTACAAAATATTTGAATTCTCTTATATAGAGTATTTTAAAATCCTATTTCCCACTGATCTGCCAATTTATTTTAGCAAGAACTATACTAGTTGTTTAGATTATTTTTTCATTGCCTGTTAGCTTACATGGCAGGGATTTATATGACTTCAAAAGAGAATTGCTTAGGAATCAGAATAAGTTATTTGTTACTTTTAATTATATGAATGATATTATTATATTTTACTTTTCTAAGCTACATCTTTTTCTAGTGTTAAGGCTCATTATCAGCATTTGACCTCTAGCAATAGTAGCATCAGATTGTAAAAATGCAGAGAAGAATTGGGAAATTTAAAAATTATTACTTCTCAGCCTTTTGGCTAAGCTCAAGTGTAAAAAATTATATACTAAGTATATTTTGAATAAGACAGTATATTTAAAACCTATACATCAGCTTCCTATTATCTCTTAAGAAGTGAAAGCTTATATGAAGTTAGACATTTCAGTGTTCTTCATCCTTATCTTTCTGTTGTGTTCCCAATAAATAATATATTTTTGCTGTTATTTTGAAAATAGTAGTTAATTTTACTATAATTTATGTCAAAAATACAGTATTTTAGTTTTCTTTACTGATTTACTATCTTTATTTATCTTCACTGTTTTTGTTTCAAAAAAGATATTGTAGTTTATAAAAACATAAAAAAGATTAAATCCCATCATTTAAAACTAGGGACTAATGGAAAAGAAAACACAAATAGATGCACTAAATAAAAGCAGGAATAAAGCAAAAACTGCTTATCAGATTGATTTATACAGTTTTATTATCTTAATTATTATTAAATATGTAGTTTTTAATACAGTATTGTGTTTTGAGCATGTACTGTGTAAAGAACATACTCCACTATAAATTTATTTTATACAATACATATTTTGTAAAAATAAATTGTAGAATAACCTGGAAACTTATAATAGGCAAAAGGCCTAGTCATACAAATATGTATCATAGAATTAGATCCTTAAATTAATAATTTAAATTTTCACAAAATTTTTCTTAAAACATATTAGAATATAAATACTTATTAATGGAGAGATTATAAGAGGATAAGGTATAAGTGTTATATTTGTTTCTAAATAGCATTATTGGTATTAGTAAATCTGCACATCTTTCCTTGAGAGGCTTTATTGAGGTCCGGTTTGAAACAATCAATTTAGTTGTATAGTTCTTGCCTGTAGCAGAAAGAAAGACTCCTGGAAGTTAAATAATACAGATGAGTGACTTGTTTTGCAATTTTACCAGTGAAAATTCTAGAGAAATTAAATTATCTGATTTTCTGCTTTACTATTGAAGCCTAATAATTCCCCTTTGCCTTTCTAGATGTCCTGAAAGCCTTCGACCTGAAACTGTAAGGCCTTGTCTGCTTCCTTGTAAGAAGGACTGTATTGTGACCCCATATAGTGACTGGACATCATGCCCCTCTTCGTGTAAAGAAGGTATGGTCTGCAGAGTTAGGAAGGCTGTTCACCTAGAAAACCTCCTCGGTAGACTTCTGAGGTCTTCTGGCCTAGCAATGTTTGTGAGTTTTGCACAGGGCTATGTAAACCTGATTTGACATGCATGCCATAAAATGTTAGTTTCCCTCTAGGAAATAACATAGCTTTAGAATACCAGACAAGTGAGGTTTATGCCAAAACCTGGCTTGAAATTTTATGATATAGATTAAAGTGAAGGATTCTAAATCTTATTGTATTAATAGTGTTTACTTTCACATTAGTTCTGAAGGAATATATCGTGGTATATGTATTTCAAAATGATATACAGTGCTTTTATCAGTACACATGGCTTTCATCCTACTTAATGGCAAAAAATAACATGGGACCAGATTTGCTACAGATTCAATTATGCAGCCCCAAGAATAGGAATAAAAGAAAGAGAAAAATGGCCAAATTGTTTCTCTGCCAGCATGTAATGTGTCATGAGGAATTTATGAATATTTATTCCCAGTTTGGCTTAGTTTTGCTTTTATTACTTACAGACAAAGACTCGTTAGTATCAAGCCAAATACTTTGATAATTCTTTCTTCACCCTCTAGGTCAGGGTCTTTTCTCATTGCTGATGAGAAAGGTATCAACATCCTCCAGGTGACTTATGCAATAACTGAGCAAATTTTCCTGCAGTGTTACAAATGACGCTGTCTCCTATTTCTTATCTTACTCAACAAATACAGATAATTTTTTCTAAATTTCCTGTATGCTTTTATTTTTTTCATGTTTCTTAACACTTACTAGAGAGATTCAATTAAGAGTCAACTTCTAGCTTAACAAACTATTTTAAGTTGTCAAAATTTAATCAAATCCTTTAGGTATTATACATTTAATAATGGATACTTTTACTGTGTTACTATATTTTTATATAGTTGAAACATGATTTTCCTTTTGATGGTTTTCTATTTAATACCCTTGAAATATCCAATAAAATTAAACCACACTTAGAAGTGATAGAAAATTATTATTATTCTTTATTTTATTTTATTTTTAAGATAGAGTCTCTCACTCTGTCATCCAGGCTGGAGTACAGTGGCTCAATTTCGGCCCATTGCAACCTCAGCCTCCTGGGTTCAAGCAATTCTTGTGCCTCAGCCTCCCAAGTCACTGAGACTATAGGCACATGCCACCACACCTGGCTAATTTTTGTATTTTTAGTAGAGATGGGTTTGTGCCATTTTGGCCAGGCTGGTCTAGAACTCCTGGCCTCAAGTGATCCACCCATCTCAGCCTCCCAAAGTGCTGAGATTACAGGCACGAGCCACTGCAAAATATTTTTATTTAGGAGTCTTTTAAGACATTTAAATAGCTTTTGGCAAATTAAAAGGAGTTATAAGCATTAACTTTTATAAACATGTTAATGGCATGAACTTGCTATGCAGTGTCATTGCCTGACATTTTAATCCAGATTTTCCTCTCTTATTCCTTTTTTTTTTTTTAAGCTGAATAACACCGGTCACAGTTGGCAGTAGAATTGTACTTTCTTATAGATTAATATTTTACCTATGATGGCACTTATAGGTGGTAATTGTTGGTTATTAATTAATTCAATTAAAAAGCATTAATTACATAGAATTAATACACTTACAAATTTTGTTCTTGATGCCTTTATACTTGATCTTTTCTGTTTATATGGAATATGTTCATTTACTAATAATTCCAAGCATGTGCAGTTACATTTATAAGCAAATTGTTAATAGTCTAAAACAAATTTTAAGTGAAAATTTTGAAAGTGGAAAGACTTTGCCTTTCCCTTATTTTGGATATTTTCTTGTATTGTGTAAATTACTCTTTTAAAAAAGTTGATTTGATCTAAAGTATTTCAAGGAAGTAAAGTTTAAAAAAGAACAGAAAATATTTTATTAAATTGATTCCAGAGTAGTCACTAATAAAAGTGAAGAATCAGAATTTTTCTCATTTCTTTAGACCTTTATTTGAAAATAATTTTGGATATTGGAATGTATCCAGGAATTAGGAACCATTTTAATAGCCTATAAATTTTTTCTTAAGTTCTTGAAAACACATTTGTGATTTTGTTACGTATTATATACATCTGGAAAGGAAAGAAAAAATAGAGGTTTTTTAGGAGTAAAAAACCATACTTGAAAAGAAAATAACATGATTTTTAAATTTGTGATTTTTACAGTATGAAGAAACTGATTTGCTCTTTGCTGTTTGATCATTTATAAAATAAAAAATCTAAAACACTGTGATAACTCACATAAAGCACTTTTAAAAACTTCTTAGCAGATAGATGAGAATGAATAGATTGTGAATGCTACATAGGTCTTAATTGAGTCAGTACTTATTTGTGTATATATGTATAAATACTTATTTAATTACTTATTTATTGATTTTTGTATATAACTAGCACACTAATGGTCATATAGAGAAATCACAGTCCCAGACATCAAGGAAGCTTTTAATTGCATTTAACATATAGAACTCTTCTGCACAGCCCAGATAATGTAAGACTTACATGGTTCAATAACAAAATTTAATGGTAAAACACAAAGAGCTCTAAGGAAGGGAATGGAATAATCATGTCAGAGCAAATATATTAAGAAAAATCATACTGAAAAGGAGGTACAAGAGATCTTCTTGAAAGATGAACCACATGAAAGAATTGCAAGTGAGGATTGGAGACATCAGGAAAGCCTTAAATGACTGTGAGAAAGATGTGATTTTGGAACGACCAGCCCACTGGAGCCCAAGATGTGAAGGAAACTTTCCCAGAAGAGACTGAAGATGAGAGATCATGTGTTCCAGTGGGCGCAGCGGTAGAAGGGCTAGAGGATGTAAAGGAATGAAAAACTGAATCGTGTTATGCGGGTAGATAGTGCTGTGGGTCCGGGTGATGATGAATGACCTGGAGCTGGGGAGGGCTCATTTCTTGTGGTGAGTGGCAGGCATGTGAGGCATAATGGGTTTAGTTGGGTTGGTCTCTTGGGGGAAGGTAGGAAACCTCTGTAAGTAAAAATGCATGGTACCACTAGGATACTATTCTCTCCTGGTGTTCCTGAGATGGTGGTGGCAAGAGAGTGCAAAAATGCCAACTCGGGAATCGGCTCTCTTAGAAGCAAGAGGCTCTCTAAGCGGCAGAGCAGTGTTTCCCTGAACACAGGTCATGTCATCCGGAGCAAGGAATGAGTGCTGACTGTTTTATTTGGCAGCTCATGTTGTTTCTCCTAGAACAAAAGGTTTTCAGAAACCCTAAACCTAGGCACTCCGATTTTTAAAAAATCACCTCAGTTGGGTATTTGAGGAAATAAAAATTTTTTAAAGACTGGAGAGTGATAGAAGGGTCATTGTTGGATAACAGTGCCAAGATGCTTTGTGCTCTAGAAGCAGTTTTTTCTGTTTTGCCTGTAGACTGCTGTAACTGAGAATAAGGAGACAATGGTGTTACAGAAAGCTAGCCTTTTGTTGTGAAGAAAATAAAGTAAATGGCATGAGGTTAGTTTTTTTCATTATTTCATAAGAAATGGAAATAACCCAAGTATCATTTTGAAATTACACCAATTTACACACACCATTTAAAAATGCTAAGCAAAGTTGAATGTTCAAAGAGAGGTAATAGCAACAGAAAATTAATTCAAAGTTGGGGTGGTTCTTTTTACTTAATTCTGCGAGTAAAGTCTAAATTTTACAAAGATGTTGGGCTTATTAAAGTGCAGGACTATCCTTCTTTTTAAAATCACTTTAAGGAAGTCAAATACACAATACTATTGCACAAAATAAAACAGAATAGTAGGATTCCAGGAAGAACTAAAAGAGTTGTTTGAAATGTTATTCAGCCTTCTTCTAAAATACCCCTTGAAAAATCAATGCTGATAAAGATCAGTATTAAGTGGAGTGTAGTTTAATCCTGAGACCAGTGCACTTGCTAACGTGTTTTTCAAATTTTTGTAAATTTTGACAGAGGGCATTTTAAAAAATAGAAATACCTTATGCACATAAATTATTTGTACCTCTAATTTTAAAAAATCAATACTTTTGATCAAATAATATATTTGGTTGCTCAAATTCTGTTTGCTCCTTTTTTTTCTCACTGCATTTATTGTGTTGAGAAATAGAAGGAATATTGCAGAGGCTTCTTCCTCATGTCCTAAATCACTAGAGCACTAGAATTACCACCAAAGATCTGAATACTACCTTTACATTTTGCTTCTTGGATGAGACATTTCCCTTTCAATTTCCTATTACTGTACTGCTTCAACCTGCAATCCATCCCATATCCAGTTTAATGAATCAGTTTTGCCTGCCTTTTAAATCCTTTTCATCAAGTAATTTCTCGGTGAAATTTATTTTGAATGTCTTAAGATATCTGAAAAAATGCTATAACTGTGTGAGAGATTACATATCTTCTGAATCTGTGTACCCCATCATCACATGATTATTTGCTAGATGTACGATCTGTTTTTTCCATTCCTATCCTGGATAGGCATTTTTAAGCACAAACGTCACAGGCAGGTGCCCTTATTTTTCGCGTACTTGTTATTTCCAATGAAAACAAAGTGATAGCTTATTTTTATTAATCCTTAATGCACAGCATTGGTACCTGTGCGCTTACCACTATAAAGGAATAAGTGGAAAGAAATAGAAGGTGCTAACTAATAATCCAGTTGAGAAGATGTGAAATAAATGTGTTTGTGCGTTCAGCAAATATTTATTAAGCACTTACTATATGTGACTCTTGTCTTAGGTATAAAACACACAGATGAATAGAAACACTACAAATATATCAACCGCATATAATAAAATGAGCATAAATACAAGCAGGGGATGATGAAAGGTATAAAATTCCCAGTTTGCCAGCTCAAGTTATTAATGATGAAACTTTCATTTTTTGTTTTTAATGTGTGCTGTATAGCTTCCTTTTTTTCTGCTCTCTGATCTGAGGACTGTATAACCTGGCAAAGCTCTACAGCGCTGTAACTTTGAGTACACAAGCAATTTCTTAACTGCAATATGAGAAGAAACAGACCTGCCAATGGGTAAAAACATAGATGTCATTGACACTTCCTGTGTAACCCCATTAAACGTCTTCTCTGGGTGTCATATCTTTGAAGAGTTCCACTTGAATCAGGTCACAATCTCTATCCTGTAGGCTGTACCAGGTTAAGGAATTTGAACTTTTCATAAGAATAAATGGATTGCCACTCTGGAATCCATTAAGGACGTGAAGAGAGTCATCATAGTCTTATATATCTAGTACTAATTTGTGGAGTTTGTGATGAGAAGGCATTAGGAGAATGTTTCAGAAATGTATTCTAAGTGACATTTTTTCTTTCAAATCAACAAACAAAATAGAATTGAAACATTAATGTTTGGTAGCTGCTTCCTCAAGTAGAACAGCCCTGGCTATGCACCAGGTGCCATCTAGGTAGTTAATAAGTAGGAGCTTTAGTCTATGAGGTGCCACTAATGCTGAACTCATTGTCTCCACCAGCCCCCAAATCCCCTGGTCTTAATCCTGTGTCTGTCCTCTATCTGCAGATTGGAGAGTAATTGCCTCTAAGAATTTTGACCAACTGGGAAACAAAAACCCATTTGAGCCCTTTACGTCTTACCTCCCCATTAAAAAACAAAACAGAAACCTCCCTGCTTCCCCCAATGTTAAACAAATGTGAGTCTAATTAGTTTGTATACTTTAAAAAAAAAAGATTATGGACAGTTCATACACATAAAACAAAAGAAAAAAATAGAAATTGTAAAAGAAGGGCAAATCCAGGTAGTGAATAGGAAGGGGGTAGAAGGAAGAGGGAGAGAAAAATTATGCTAGAAAATCAAAGCTGTGGCAAGCTCCTTCAACTGAGAAGAAAATTAGCTCTGAGATTCTGGTGACCAAAGCAAAAAATAGAAGTACAATGGATTCTTTACAGATTGTCAAGGGAGACAGAATTTTCCCTAGCTCTGAATTATTAAAGGAATTTATCACCTGGGCCTTAAAATACAGGTCATTTTGACAATATAATAGATGGAGACTGCATTAGCAATTTATTAAAAGTCCTGTTGACATTTCTTAGATCTTCCCTAGATAAATTATATTTAACATGTAAAAGTTGCAGCTGGCATTCAAACTACTGCTACAATTAAAAGTCCATGACAATATTTTCAAATACTTTAATTCTCTGCTGCCCAATACTTCTAGCCCCCAATTCCCTACTCCATTACCTGTAGTATCCCGCTTATTCATTAAAATAGTTATGCCATCATTAATAGTACAGACGACACCCCACAACGGGAATAATAATTCTAAAAAGTTACATGTAAGCCCAGAATCTTACATTGGGATAGGTCATACAAGGTCGTGTATTACAGTAGATTTCAAACCAGGCCCTTCATCCCAAATACCTGGCAAGATTTTTAAATATCCTATTCCCAAACCCAGCTTCCAGATTCTGATTTAGTAGTCCTGGGTATAGGCCCAGAAATTTGTTGTTGTTGTTGTTAAAGAGATTCTCCTATGAAGTCAGCCATTTACTGATCCATTCTCCCATCCAATACAGAAATCCTCTCTAAACATGGCAGTGAGTCAGTTGCCCAGACCGTGTTGAAGAATATCTTTGACTGAATGAGAAAGGATATTCCATTATGGCAATGTTCTAATCATCAAATCATACTTTCTCCACCACCACAGTATCTTTTAAAAAGGTTTCATTTGATTTCTGATTAAACATTAATTGTTAGGAGCTGCTAATCCTTTAAAATATTTCTGTTCCTGTAGTCTATGTATGAAATATTTGAAGATCTTGCAAAATAATGAAAATGCATCAGGAGGATTCTATTAACATAATTCTTTAGAGAATTATTTTGTAAGTAAAACCCTGTGCCATGCAGCTATTCATCGTTAAAGTGTACGTAATCTTAATTGAAATATATTTTATTAAAGTTGGCAAGTTTTATACGCTACATGATCTGTATACTAAAAGATTTTTGAATCCTTACATCAGTCATACTGTCAAGTTGATGTCTTTATTGAAAGTGTATCTTAATTTTTTCCATTTTTAACATACTTTAGAGTTACTTATTTATAGTAATTATTGCTATTTTGACTGCTTCTCTAAAAAGTCTGTGTCTGCCTCTAAGAAACCACTTTCATTTTACTACTTAGATCCCTAATGTTTAGAATGTGACCTGAATTGAAGGTCTTAGACTGTCTAACATGAATAATAAATGACCGGAATAATTTACAAGTTATGCATTTCAAATTAAATGAATAACAAAGAAATAAAATTTCACATTATAGCACTGAATATATTCTCCTAAAGAAGATTCATTACATGTGTATGAGTCCCATGTGATAAACAGGGCTAGGCAAAATAGCATGACAATGAATTTAAGGTAGAGGAAAATAAATTAATTAGATCTGTCATATTCCTCAAGGGAAAGAATTATACAAAAGAGCAATTACTTTGTGACTGCACCTTAGGAAGGCTAACTGCCTACAGAACTGTTTTCTCCATTCTTCACATTTTCTCTATTTTTAAATATGAATTGATTGGGTTTTTGATATAAATGGTCTTTGGGAGAATTTAGTGAATGTTTAGACCAGGTGAAGCCTCTCAGGGATGTCAAAGCACATGTAGCTGGAGGCAATGTAATTTCTTCACACAGACTGGTATTTAGAGATTATCTCATCAGTGTAAAGTACAGAGGTTAAAAAACTGCTTCATTGCAGGGGACTCCAGTATCAGGAAGCAGTCTAGGCATCGGGTCATCATTCAGCTGCCAGCCAACGGGGGCCGAGACTGCACAGATCCCCTCTATGAAGAGAAGGCCTGTGAGGCACCTCAAGCGTGCCAAAGCTACAGGTAGGGTTAGAGAAATGCATCGTGAGGGAGGAGCTGAACAAATACGTCAACTCCACATCCTTTCCTAGGATAAGGAAAGGAAGTCAACACTGTTCCTTCCACAGGCTCAATGGAGTTGGGATGTTTATGGCTGTAGCTGCCATTCTTGTCTCTTCAGCAGAGCTGCTGTGCTACTGAAATGATGTACAAGAAGGCAAATATTTGTGTAAACTTCCAAGGTGACGTGTTAGCTCCAGTAGTTTGGGGAAATGTCTTATGTTGATATAACATACAAGAAATGCTGAAAAGTGATTAATAATTATGAAACATGTATACTTTAGGAAGAAATTCTTTTTCACTTAGAAGACTAGCCTAAGCATTACTCCCCTGCTCCAAAGAGCACCTGTTTGTAATCATAAATGCTCACATTCTGGCTCAGGAAATGACATCTGTATCTCAATGATGCTGGTAAGATGGCTGTTCTGTTCATTTGTGATCACCTCAAATAAAATTGTAGTTATCGAAGCTATATATCATCTTGATAATTTGTTAGAGAAATTTTACCTCCTTATGATTAAGACAGAAATTATCTAATAGAAATCTGACGTATACATTTGCAGTCCTGACAGCAAATGAAGTATTATGGCATCAATTAATGAAAAATGTAATCACAAAATAAATATTTAAGATGACATTGTCAAATTTGGCATCTTAATATATCAATCTTTAATTCTGAGATGACAAATACTATAATTGTATACTTACACCATGCACATTGACAACT
Source organism: Homo sapiens (assembly GCF_000001405.40). Classification (NCBI taxonomy): domain Eukaryota; kingdom Metazoa; phylum Chordata; class Mammalia; order Primates; family Hominidae; genus Homo; species Homo sapiens. Next base: position 11,461,247 of record NC_000007.14, on the reverse strand, counting down.
ACTGGTTCAAACTTATTTATTTTTGGAATTTGTTTTTGTAAAGCATATTATACTTACAGTTGCTGAGATACTCCTACAATGCTAACCAAAAGAGCACTATACAAAAGACTCATGACTTGAATACAGTTTCATAACTTGAATAAAATAAATATACATTATTTAAATGGCATGCATCACTTCTGGGGCCATCTGGTGCATTTGTTGGCAGTCCTAATCATTAAAAAGTCTAAATGTTCTCTGTAGAGTCCTATAGAACTTGACAATGATGTACTCTTGTCTTCACTGCCAGAGAAAGTACTTTTATATTTAATGTTACTTCTTCTAAAGCCTAGATGGAGATCTAAATTAAATTTAGATAGAACTGAGCATTGCTAAATAACTGTGTTTGCAGTGGTCAAAGTCATGTTTCCATGCTGCTGTGTCTCTGTGATTTGCTGGCATTTTTGCTTCTTCCCCACTGGGCTTCTGTTCCTGTCTTGTAGGTGGAAGACTCACAAATGGCGCAGATGCCAATTAGTCCCTTGGAGCGTGCAACAAGACAGCCCTGGAGCACAGGAAGGCTGTGGGCCTGGGCGACAGGCAAGAGGTGGGAGGCCCCATTCCACAGTTCATTTCTCCAGCATCGCTAGTTTAACTACTGTTTTGATGCATTTGCCACTTGGACACCATGCTTAGCAAACAGAGCAAAGCAGATATAAATCTGCTATGAGCCATTCCACAAAACATCAGGACATAGAAACATGTCTTTTTAAATTGTTCCCATTGTTCTTTGGCATTAGCTCATAATTCTTGAATTTTTCTCTCATTTATGTCTGAAAGAAAGTCAGGCCAAGCTTTCACTTATGACATAAATGGTACACTGAAGCTTTTTTGTTTGTTTGTTTGTTTGTTTGTTTTTAGATTACGGTATCCACAGCATTTTGCTTGCCACCGTAATAAGCAATAAGATTCTTACCTCCTTGCCTATATGCATTATATATGTGCATACATACAATGTAATAGAATTAGTTAACTTTTTCAGAAGTTCTCAGAATGACATCTCTTTCATTTTCATGGCTATCCACAATTCTGTTCATATTTAGTACTGATTTTTAAATGGCAGACTTATTTACTTAATTACAATCTGCACCACTAAATAACGTGGAATCTTGCAGAAATGGGTAATGAGAATGTTCAACTTTGCCATAATTATTTACTAGATATTATAGGGAATATAGAAACTCAAGATTTGGAATATGTTGTTTCTTCCAGACATAGCAAATTCAGTCTTTAAAGAGCACATGATTATTTTTACTCATATTGACTTATAGCATACAGCTCCTGCTGCGTATTTAAAATGTAGCATAATACATAATTGAATATGCGAGCAACTTTAATTTATAAAAAACGTATTTTGCTCTCCCATGTGTAGTTACGTATTTCATGTTGACACAAAAATTTGAAGATGTAGAGCAGAATTCCAGTTTTTGCTGATTTGATCTGGGACTTCATTTTCTGTACAGTGAAAAAAAACTGCCTTTTTAAGAAAAAAATGCTTCTGTTTTGTAAAAAAAAAAAAAAAAAAAAAAAAAAAAAAAAAAAATCCCCTGTTTTTATAATCTTCCTTTTAGAAGTCTTCTTCTGGAACATAAAACTTAGTTTCCAAATAATCTTAAATTGCTAGTTGCAGTAGTTTTTAGGATTTTATTTTATTTGCATAATTCTCATTATGTATCTCCCACCATCAACTTTGGGTAAAACATAACTGTGACTCCCTTTACAGTTATAGAGACTTAAGTATATAGAACTGAAAGTCGTTCTCCTCCATTTCAAATCATTCTTTAAGAAATTGAGTGATATGAGATCTTCTTGTCATGCCCTGCTAACTCCTTCTTGAATCAGGCATTGATTTGCATATATTTTGGGTTCTATATAGAGGTTATAATGAAAATGAGCATGAGTTTGGGAATCAGGAAACATAAGTTTTAGTCTCCATTCTTTTACTAATACAGTGTGTCTTACTCATCCCTTCACCTTCTGGACCTCAATTTATTTAGATTAAAAAAAAAGAGGGGTTTGGACCAAATGATATTTTAGGATTATTCAAATTTTCATAATAGATGCACAAACAATACCCAGAGATCAAAATGTGAAATAAAATTAGGTAAAGCAGATGAAAACCATATCTTTATAAAACACCACTGGAGGAAATACAAGATCAGTAGAAGCAGCACAAGTGTGAAAACAGCCTCAGTTCCAAACAATGACGTATAAGCTGCACAACCTTGGATGATTCATTTCCTCCCTTTAAGGCTAAGAACACAAAAGCCTTAGAGTAGTTGGCACATGCTGTCTTCATTAAACGTTAATTTCTTCCCTCTTCCTGTTTGTTCATAACCCAAGTGAATGTATGCATATGGGCCTTTTGGGTTTTGACACACAATCTGTACAAAAACTATTCTGTCTGTGATTACCAGCAACCTTTGCATTTCCAAATCGGAAAACTGTTCGTTCTTCATCCTGGGTGGCCACCTTGTAGTAGTGAATACTTGTTACCCACTCCCTCTGTGATAAAAGGGTCTTTAGCATCTTCAGTGTGCGACTTTCTCCTATCTTTCTGATTGTTCCATTTTTGATTTCCTATTACTGGTGTCTCTTTCTCTGCCTGTACTTACATAGTGCTTCCTAATCTTGGCATATTTGTCAAACAACTTGCTGTACCTCAGCAATCTTATCCATTTTCAGGATATCTGGGAAGTGAAAGTTGCATTATAACAAGTGATATATTCATAAATATATTTAGAACAATCCCTTTAACTTCCATATGAAGACAGTCTTTTTCTTTGTTTCCTGAGTAGATGAAAGACTGCTTTTTCGTACAGCTTATATTTCTATAGAAACATGAAGTGGAGAATCTTAAGAATGTAGAAGTATCTTTTACTAATTGCAAGAAGACAAAATTTTCTTCCTTTGATGGTCGTGGCTGTTTTCAGAACTCCATATTATTTACTCGCCAAGTTCTTGCTATTTTCATCTTTATCCTTACTTATATGGTCAGAGACTTAAATAAAAAAATGAACTTGTGCTATTTTTATGACAAAAATAATTATATAGTAAACATTAAATCAATCAACAAAGACTATAGAGAAGCTGCTCTCTGTCCCCCCTAGCACATCAGAATTTCTCATTTCAATTACTCATTCCACTGTTTTTGCATTTGGAAGACTGTAGAAAAAGCTATAAATGTTAGGAAAGAATGAAGATCTTTAAACCAGAGAGCTTATATTTTTTAGGAAAATTAGATCACTGTTAATGTCACCTAACAAGAATTAAAGACTGAAACTTATCAATTGCAAAGCCAATCATTTGAAGCTGAAGAGCTGAGGAAAGACTTAAAGTACGGGTTGGGACTTGACTTGTACCATAATATTAGAAGAAGTAGAGAGGATAAAAGAATACAAGATAAGATCAATTCTATAAGCTAAGTGTTTGAGGTAAGAAAAACAAAAACATTAAATGTGTTCACAGAAAAGTGGGTGGATTGAGCTCTGAAGATGTGATCTGGAGCCTGGGGTGATTTTGTGGAAGGCTATAAATGTCAAGATCAGTATTTTAGACCTTGTTCGATAAGTGGTATGAGCAAGGACCTGATGAAAGCAGTGTTTTATCTGTCAGCGTGTACAGAATAAATTAGAAAGATAAGACACATGGGCCTGAATGCCAGCTAGTATGCTGCTGTAGCAGTGCAAGGTTGAAGTCATAGAAACAACAGTAATATGAAATAGGCAAAAATAAATAAATTGTGGACATACGATAGAGGGAAATATTTTGGGGACTTAGTAGCAGACAATAGAAGAGAGATAAAAATAAAAGAGTCAAAGTTGATCATATGACTCTTTAACTCTAACATTTTTAATTTAAGAATAGTTATATTGGTGAAAATTCTAGGTCTAAAAGTAGAGCTAATTTTGGAAAGTATATTTTATACAGTTTATATTTGAGGCCATGGCAGGGTTAGCCAAGTGGAAATATTCAGGTATGCACTTGAAATGTAGAAATGTAGCTGTAGAGATAGCATAAGATGGCAGATGGAAATTTGGGTAACATTTCCATAGAGTGAATTGCTGAAGTTATAAAAAAGCTAAGAACTCTAAAATGCAACTTTTATTATATATATGAATAAAAGCGATTATACCTTATCATTAATAGATTTCTTTTTTCTCTAACAAGTTTGCACTTGTAGATTCTTTAAGCATTTCTTTTAAAGAATTTAACTTAAATGTTATTAACTTTAAATTATTGTGTCCTTGTACTCCCACTTGAATAATATCATGTAACTAAGATATGAGATAGCTAACTTTACCATTGTATGATTCTAGAGATAGAAATGTTTACTTCATGACTTTTATCAATCTATATGTCCATACCAGGAGTCAGTAAACTATATGGCCTGTGAGCTAAATCCAGTCCGCAGCCTGTTTTTTTGTAATTAGTTTTATCAGAACACAGCCACAGCCATTTTTTTACATATTGCCTATGGCTGCTTTCATGATACAAGGCACAATTGAGTAGTTAGGACAGACCCATATGGCCTACAAAGCCAAAAATAATTACCATGTAGTCTTTTACAGAAAAAAATTGCTGACCCTTGATCTAAACCCAAAAGCCATGTAACCAATGATGTAGTCAGAACTTCTAATAATACTGAATAGTCATTACCCAATAGGATCAGAAAATCCCTGGAATTTATCTTGTCAGTTGGGAAGATGTATACAAATTCAATTCAGCAATAAAAGAACTATTTTATAGTTATGAAAGTAGTAGATTTTAAAGACTGGGACAATAGTAAAATATCTGCCTTTAAGGATGAAATTGCAGCATTCTTTTTGGGGGAGGTTAGGAATAAAATGTTGACTCTAAGAACTTTAGTAGTAAAAATTAAAATTAAAAAGGGGCTAAAGGTGAAACCAGAAAATACATGGGCTATGGAAGACAAGAGAGAAAAACATTCCAGCCTTCAAAATTCCCTTGTCTAGAACATGATAAATTATACTCAAAAGCTGGACATTCAGAGTTAATTTACTAAGTACACATAGAAAAGAGAGAATGTGTGTGTCTCATATAATATGTGCCATTCAGCCCAACACTTAAAAGGTCACCTATTATGATTCAGTTCTTCTCCAACGTCTGGACCCTTCCATATTGATAGAAAAATGTAACACAAATTCCTTCTTATCACCTTACTAGCCATGCCTCCTAGGCCTGCACCTACTTTTAACCACCTGTTAACAATAAAATAAAGTGGCCTTTATAGACATACTTTCATTTTTACTCTTAATACTATTAATAGCATAATTTTTCAAATTGGAGGAACTATCTGTGATGACATATTTCAAAAGATTTGGGAAGCAATTGTGTTCCCAGAGCCTCTTTAAAAATTGTAAACTGTTTACTTATGATCTCAGCACTGACATTCGCTCTAAAGCAAATTTGTGAGAATCATCCTTATTCAGAAATGAGTTAAAGCAACACAGGAATAAGAATATAGGTAGAGTCTCTTCTAATCAAGTAAATGCAGTCTTGATAAAATCTATATTTTATATATGTCAAAACTATATGAAAAGTTTTTCTGATCTATTATATTAGAACACAAAGTACTTTAAAAGAAAATTTATATATTCCTGAAAGTTTGAAAAGCACATAGGAATTTTTTATTTATGACCCAATTCCTTTACATTTAAAAGGAAAAGTGGCATAATGCTGAAGCAGAATTTTATATCAATTATCCCCAGAATCACCAGTAATTTTTGCCCAATCTTCTCTAAATTGAATTAGCTACTCTGCTACATAAAATGGGTATTTTCTTTAAGTTCATCAAGTGTTTCTGTAGAAACATTAGAAATCTTTTCTAAAACAAATGCTTAAAATGTTGTGTTGATAGTTTTATCAGGATTCTTGGGCTTCTATAACAAAACACTATAGATCAAGTAGCTTAAACAAAAATTTATTTCTCACAGTTCTGGTGCATGTGAAGGTCAAGGTGCCAGCCAATTTGGTTCTTGACGAAGACCTATTTCCTGACTTGCAGACAGTCATCTTCTCACTGTGCTGTTACATGGCAGAGAAAAAACAAGGCAGAGAGAGAAAGCAAGGGGAGTGAGAGAGAGAGAGACAGAGAGAGAAAGTGCACTCAGGTCTCATCTGAGAAGGGCATTAATCCCGTCATAGGAACCTCACACTCATGACCTCACCTTCAAATACCACCATCACATTGGTGATTTCAACATGTGGATCTGAGGGAGATACAACTCAGTATATAGCAATAGTGCAGGATCCGAACTTTTAAATAAAATTCCTATCATCTTAGTGTACAGAGCTATATGTTTGTTAATATTATGCTCTTTCAGAAAGCTGTGAAAACAGGTAACTCAAATTTCTAAAAACCAATCCAAACTTTCTGAATATAATTCAATATAATACATTCTCTCATAAATATTTATTGAATGCATGCTACATATTTCACATTGCCTTCATGGTACTAGGCCCAGCCTCTTGAGATATTAAAAATGTATAACAAATAGATTCAGTTAACTTAGTATGGTAGAAAATATACTATAGGTATACATGACTTGGGTTACAAGTCATAATAATACAGTAGTAGTGTATATACACAATAATCACTGAAGAATTGAAAAAAAAAAAAGAGATAACCACTGATACGGCATAGTGAAAGAGACACAGCATTTAAATATAGGATGACTCAAGCAAAAAGGCAAGAAGTAAAATCTTTATGTTTAGGAACAGCTCATTGACCAGTTTGCCTAGGGTTCCTGTGAGTGAGTTAGAGGCAAGGGGCAAGGATAGTTTTGTTTTTCTTTTTCTCATTAAAAAAATGAGAAGTAGTGAAGGATTTTTACAAGGCTTTGGGTATTGAGAATGTTATATTCCAGGAAATTTTGTATAATGGCATAAGAAGTAAAAAGAGAGAGGAAAAAGAGAAATTTTTAAAGAAGACATTGACACGATTTGGCAACTTTAAAATTTGAATCATTCTTAAATCTCATATGGAAATTTTAGAGGATCTTTGAAATAGGCATCTTCCCTATAAAATTGTCAATAAAAGAGAAATGCAAATAACATGAAGTATGGCCATATTTCATTTTAACTTTGAAGTGAATAGACAGCTTATATTTTCTTCATACTATTCAAGTCACTAGTGTATAAACTTTGAATAGAACTGTAACCTCCACTGTCTTTTCTCTCTGTTCATATTTATACAGTTCAGATGGTATTTAGAAGGCTGAATTATTGGTCAGTGGCTATGTAATTGAAACCTAGCCATAATAACTATGGATAGAATTGCCATTAAATTTGCATTAGAAATATATGACCATAATGTCAATTTTGGATGCTTTGTTTATTCTTTTCTTTACAACTGCCCTAAGAAGCAATGTCAATAACTACTTCTTCAATGTGTATCATTCCAGTGTTTATTACTTTGTGACATGTTTCTACGAAGAGTAGAATTTTTAAAAGTTGCAAAGATTCAAGGTAGACATATCACATAAATGATGGTAAATTTTCTCTTGCTCAATCTTCATGTTGATAATCATGCCAAGTGTACTTGCTGTAGATTAGATGGAACTAGAGTTAATATTTTCTAGGGTCTACCCCGTCTAGCCTAATCTAATAGCCCCTCTGTTTTCTTGCCTGCCAAGGAACATCTGTTGTAATGTCACTGGTCACTAAAATCTGACATCAGTCTCTTTAGATGGAAGCCAACATAATTTGGATGCATTCTTGAATCTAGACCACAAAAAAGAAAAATACTTCAATAATATACCTTGCATAGGAGAGGTCCTCCTGGCCCTAGGAGTCCTCACCCTGTGTCACTTATTGGTTTAAAAAGATTACAAAAGGAGAGTCCTTAAAAAAAAAAAAAGGTAAAAGAAAAATTCTAATTCTCCCCTATTAAACTTAAATCTAAATGTGGAATGTGCAATACAATAATTTAACTATATTTTATGCTCTTATTTTTTGTGAACAAATATGCTTAAGTTACATGGTTTAATCTATGTTGATGGGCCTTGCTTCACCCTTTGCTGAAAACTCTGACCCACTTTGCTCTTTTTTTAAAGGTTACATTTTAGAGGCATTATTGAGGTTAGGCTCATAATATCTGGGCCAATTTATCCTGGCAGGGCACATTATCTGTTAATTGTCAAAAGAGAGTTCTTCAATAGAAAGAAAAAGAAGTGGAAAAAGAACTAGGTAGGAAAAAGAGAAGGAGCTTGCTTTAAGGAAATTTTATACAGACGTAATTTTTAATCTCTTTTTTGGCTGATATATTTATTAGTTATTACCCAGGTTTTATACTCTGCAGTTATATATACCATTATTTAAAACTTCTAGAATTATTTATATTTTAAAATGTTTAACTTCCTATGAATATTAGCATCCTCGTTAATTTGGGGTTTTGGGTTTCGTTTTATATCTCTCTGGGAGATCTGTCATAAAATGCTTATTAACATTTGCCATTTTTTAAATAGTAGCTCATAAAATAAGCTTGGCACCGTGCTGGGTCTGTGATTGTTCTTGGATGCTCCATGTGTTCTGATGCAGTTAACCCTTCCCAGATCCCAACTGGGGATCTTAGCCAACCTCAGTCTCAGCTACTCCACTGGGAACTGATTATTATTTCCTAGTAAGTTCTCATCCTAGTATTCTCACATATATTATAAGCATCAGTGAGACTGGGGATCATTGGTAACTATTTAGGATCAATCAAAAATGAAGGTACATTTCTTTCCATTGTGCCAGGGCTACACTCAACAAATTGTAGTTAGGAACTATAATTTGGCAAACTTGCCAGTGAAAATCTCTTTTACACAGAGAAAGACCAGGATCATTATATCTACCTAGTAAACAACTGGAGCCCTCTTGGATTATTTATAGGTTTGATCTTATTTCTAAGCACAATTAGGTCTCTTGGTAACTAGCTCACACTCACATTAAGCTTTTTCTTCTTCATTTCTACATGATTCATTCTCGCTATTGCCATTTTTTTCATAAAACCATAGGAGAAAATCACTCATCTAATTACTTAATGAGCTGATCATCTTCTGTCTCTAATGCTACCCAGACACTAGTGTAGTGGTATAAACCATGTTAATATTGTTCAGTTTAATAATAAGGTCACAGAGCTCTTTGACCATTTGCTACATATAATCCAACAGCTTTCACTGCACTAAGGCATTGATCCTATTCTGTTTCCTGTAATGAACTTCTATGTGCCCATTTTGGATCAGGCAATTTATTTCATTCTGATTATTCAAACAAAATGAGTGCATGGCCTTACACGCTGAAGGGTAATTCACTGAGCAATAGAACACCTTCTTCTTGTGAAACCTGAATAATAAGGAAATTTCATTCCTCTTCAAAAATGAAGATGAGCAATTACACTCAGAATTCCATTTGATCTGCTTCAGAGCTGCATCAGTAGCCTTCCATTTACACATCCATGTATGCATAACACAGATATCCATGTCCTCTTAGCTCAGCCAGTGTTATCTATTCCCTTTTAGTCCATGAACCTTTATTATTTTTCTCTTTAAAACATAGCTTGAAACTCAATTTACGTGAAAACATTCTAGAATTAACTTTACTTATTCAACTTACTAATCTTTTTAATTTAAACTTATGGGAAGTTTCAAAGATACACAAAAGTAGAGGGACTAATATAATGAGTACTAGCAATGTAGTCATCATTTACTCAGCTTCAGCAGTTTTTAACATGTTGCTATTCTTGGTCGTCTGTCCACACACTTAAAAAGAATTTTGCTGGAGTATTTTAAAGCAACTTCCAAGTAAGATATATATCATCCATAAATACTTGAGCATTTTTAACATAACAATAGCATTATAATTAGCAATTCTTTCAAACTATCTAATACTTTTATCTAATAATTTTTCTCCATTGTCTCAAAAATGTTTATGCATAGTTTGTTCAAACTGAGGTTCCAAAAGGTCTCCACGTTGCATTTGGTTCGTGTATTTCTTAGGTCACTTTTAATCTGACAACAGTTATAGCTCCCTTTTTCATAGCATGTATTTGTTGAAGAAACTTCTCTTATTTATCTTTACAGCATTTTCCCAATATTGATGGGCTAAGCTTGTTTAAGTTGATTCATATGTAACCCACAAATCAGTCATATTGATTCTTCCCGTGCTTTCAGTCTGCCAGGAGCAGCCTGTCCTATATCACTTAAATAAAAATTGCTGTGCTTTATATAAATACAATAAATAAATGAAGTAAATGGATATAATTAACAGAGTTAAATATGGAATTTTACTTTAAAATAATCATCTTGATTTTTGCGGATCTCACTGAGAAGCTTTCATGGTGAATTATCTGTAGGGTAACATGACTTTTTCCCATCTTGCTAACAATGCTTCAGCTCAAAGGAGAACTTGTGTCATCATTAGATATGACATATACATGCTTCACCTGTAAATACAGATACAAATTTTCTGGGTATATGTAGTTTTCTGGTGTGCTAAGAAACTGTGCTCTTAGTATGATCCATCTTTTCTACTATTCAAATCACCCTGTTTTCAGTGTTTCAGAAATGATTTTTAAGATCCATAAAGTTGAGAGACCAGATGGTTTCCTTTCCAAACATTTATATTTTCCTCGCCCTAGTATCAGGAAGTTCATTTCAGATTGTATTTCTGTGTTTGAATTGTGTTTCCTCTAAGTCAGAATACAAACAAGTTGAGATGTAGGATAAATTTTCAGTATATTGTACAGATTGTGCTGTTGCTGCTTGTTTGGATAACATTGTATGAGTAATTTATTCCAAAAGTACACTGTCTAAAACCTCAGATAAGAGGTGTAAAGTGCAGAGTGAGAATAGCTATGGGAATTTTACACAATTTTTTTTTCTTTTCAACTAGCTAGAGTACTTAAGATTTTATGTAGTGCAGGTATATGGGGAAAAGGGATTCCAGTTTATGTGAATAGTATAGATCTGCACAAAATAAATTGTTTCTGGAATTGTATTGGTAGTAGTGTTATTTTATTTTGTTTTTCTTTTTGGTGTCACATAACAGGATAATGGTTGGAGCAATTCTGAAACAAAATTTGTAAGAAAGACCCTTAAGAGAGAACCTAAGTCAGTTTCATCTAATTTCTCAAAAGATTTATATTGAAGTCTGTTTCAAAGAGCTAAATGGAATGAGTAGGTAAAAGTAGTCTCATTTCAAATAACCCAAATTTAGTTTGGTAATTTTTAATTTTCTTTTAGTTACAAACAGTGAAACCCTCTTCACAGCTTACGATTCTCATATGATCAGATGTCTTATTTTCCAAATATATCATTCTTGAGGCTCTTGCATGTCCTGATTAGTAAAAAGTTTAATATCTTTCTCTTTATCAATTTTTTTAGCATCCTTGGGGCAACTTTGTCCATGAACCATCGGCACTTACTAAGTTTAGAGTGTCTGAAAGGGTCAATCCTGCTTCCAAATGGCAGGTGTAGAAAGAACTTCAAAATCATAGCAGCTCGTTTATAGCCTGCATCTCGAGGATTTCTCCTACACTGTGTTACAGATGATGTTCTTCTAAACTATATGGATGTTCTTTTTTATCTATTCCCTGTACAAATTTCTATCATGCCCTTCCTTTGAACTCCAAGCTTAGAGCTCTTTCAGTTCATACAATGTTCAGCCATTGTTTCCCAAAGCTTGGCATGGTACCAGGCTGATTAGGTACCAAAGGATTTTCTGTCTTAGCCATATGTGTTTGCCAGAACCCTTCCTGTACCTTGAATACTCAAGCTGGTGGGTCTCAAACTTGAATCTGCGTAAGGATCACCTGAGCATCTTGAAAAAAATGCATATTCCTGACCCCATAGCAGGTATCTCATTATCTGGATTGGTCCAGATTATGGAACTCTTTTTGGGTCCAGGGATCTTCATGTTTAATAGCATTCTAGGTGTTTCTGATGCAGGTGAAAATATATTACCTACTAGAGCAGTAGTTCTCATATAGCTTGGATAATTAAATCATCAGAAAGCTTAAAAAGTATCCTAAATCCCAGGACCCCAACCTCAACCAGGGAAATCAGAGCATTAGAGTTTAGTAAGGGCATAGGTATTTTCCAAAGGTTATCCAGGGGATTATAATCTGCAGCCAGACATGAGAACCACCATCTTAGACTGCTATGATTAAACAGAGTACCAGATGTGTCCTCCCTCAAGGGGGTAGATTCTCTTTGAGACACTTAATGTTTTTTATTTGTTTCTGTCATCTAACCTTCATCAAGGCCAACACTGTTCACCCTACCAGGATTTTCATATTTTTAAAAATTTAGGGGCCCCTGTTCTTTTCTTACAAACTGGCCCTTCCAAAGTCAAGTCATGTGTACTAAATGAAAAGCACATCTAAAGCTAAGAAATAGGGAAGTGCATCCACAATTGAACAATTTAGAAGGGCCTTTTATGTTAGGCCTGAAGCAGTTGCATTAAGTTGTGTTCAACTACACAGAGAAAATCTTGCCTTGCTAAAATTGCTAGTTATGTCCATTTACACACTCTATTACAAAGCCCTGCACTCCTAGGCAATAGGTTTTAGTACACAGATCCAGACGGTGTTGTCTAACCTGAGGCCCTCTATGCCCTCACTGTAATTTAAGGTCAAAAACGTCAGGCTCCTTCACCTCGATTTCATGGTGATGGAATCCTGAACAGGGCAGAGATCAGCGGCAGTTTCAGCCTAGACCATAAACCTGAAAAAGCCAAGTAAATCAATCTGAATGAGGCCATTTAAGATAATTCAGTGAAGCCAACTTTAGGACCAAGGTTTAATGTTTCATCTGCTTCCTCAATAAGTGAGTTGTTTTTAAAACCAATGGAAAGGAAATGGCATAGGGAGAAAGTGGGCTTTAAACATGCTTGCTCTTTTTCTTTAAGACTTGTTACCATAAAACACTCATATGTATATGTTCAATAGGTAAAAATATTATTTCTCATTTTAAGTCAGCAGAACAATATCATAGGCGAAATAATTTTTATGAATTTAAACTTTGATTTTTTAAATTTATATGTAATTTTAGAACTACAAATTTTAACATAATAAATGAAGATTATTGAAAATTTTTAAGTGCCAGGTTGATGTTTGTGCATGTGAAGAACTTGTAGAAAGAGGAGATGGAGGACTTTGACATTGCTTATCCATTAATGATTCCAACCCTTCCTAATAAACTTGAAATGTAATACAGTGAACATACTTCCCATGCCAATGCAGTTTCAAGATAAGTTCTATAAGCACACCTTCCTGACCCCAAACTCCAACCTACCAACCAGCTTTCTGCCACTAAAACACTTCTATAAAGGAATTCTAGGGTGTCCAATGATATAAAACAATATTAGATATACCTAGTATCTTCCAGTCCCTCTCCAAACACCCTATGCTCAACATAAGCTATTATCAGAACCCACGTATGGTTTGTCTTACATTCTTACAAATTTATTTCTAAATATACCCTACATGTGACATGAATTGAAACCCTGAATACATATAATTAAAACTGGTAAATGCTAAGTATGCATATGTGTCCACTTTTCTGTGCCACAAAAATCACTCAGGGTTGTGTGTTATTTTTAAAAATAACCAATTTAATGGCTACTGGGATTATTAGAAACACTCCTATAAGATTTCTACTGTAAGTAAGGAACTACAAGAGGCTTTCTCTGACTGCTTAACCAAATGTTAGGTTAGCTTCTAAATTATAGAGTAATTAGACGTTTGAATTTGTTATAACAGCTTTATGCTTTTCTTTTAGCCATTACTTGTCGCAAGCAAGATGGAGGACAGGCTGGAATCCATGAGTGCCTACAGTATGCAGGCCCTGTGCCAGCCCTTACCCAGGCCTGCCAGATCCCCTGCCAGGATGACTGTCAATTGACCAGCTGGTCCAAGTTTTCTTCATGCAATGGAGACTGTGGTGCAGTTAGGACCAGAAAGCGCACTCTTGTTGGTAAGAATAATTGGGATGCCAAAGCCAGTACACGTCAAAGTAGAGGAACATAATACAAGTCAGACTGAGAGAATTCTGACAGTGTATTTGAAAAATAATATGCCAATGGATTTAGATGTATATTTTAAATTTAGCTGGCAGTGATAAAAGCATTATGTACTTTTAGTAAAAAGAAAAGGAAGGCTTGAAAATTGAACTCTGACTCCCTATATAATATGCAGTGGATTATTTTCTGGTGTAGACATAATCTTTTAGTGGACTGCCTGCAGACTGTAAAGTGCTTGGAGCAAAGTTTTTGGGGAACAAGAGAAAAAGTTGCTACTTTGTTAACCCATTCTCACTGTCAGAGCCTCAGATTATCCTTTCTCACCTAGAAGGGGGAATATAGCATTAATTCTGTATCTGAAAATTGTATTTTAAACCATAGTAATGACTAACAGCATGAATATAATGAGCAGGATTAGGATCCATCACTCTGAACTAAAGCTTGGTGCATTTGAAATATTGCCAATGGCAAAAGCAACCTAAAAATATTGGTGCTAGTAGAGTACTCAGAATTTAAGTTAAAAAATGAACCACCTATGTAATGAAGACTGTCGAAACTATATAACACAGCCTATGAAGGTGAGAGATAAATATATACTTATCTGTAGTATAATTAAAAAGTATGTGAAAAATAGTGTTCTGAAAAAATAATACAAATTTTACTATGCAAAGCACCCAATACCAACAGGAGCCTATGTAGAAAACACTGTGGAATGAGAAAATAGCATTGATTTATAGGCTACTGTTAAATATGGTTAAAAATGAAGAAAAAGAAATTAGGAAAGCAGAAAATTTAGGGATGTGTGAAATTAATGATGGTATTTTCCAACTTAAATTGCCTGATTGTTTCTCTTCCACAGGAAAAAGTAAAAAGAAGGAAAAATGTAAAAATTCCCATTTGTATCCCCTGATTGAGACTCAGTATTGTCCTTGTGACAAATATAATGCACAACCTGTGGGGAACTGGTCAGACTGTATTTTACCAGAGGGAAAAGTGGAAGTGTTGCTGGGAATGAAAGTACAAGGAGACATCAAGGAATGCGGACAAGGATATCGTTACCAAGCAATGGCATGCTACGATCAAAATGGCAGGCTTGTGGAAACATCTAGATGTAACAGCCATGGTAATTCAATCTTCATTGTTACATATTTGCTATCTTCGGGAGTGTGGAGGGAAAATGCACACGCATCATAGTGGAATGGAAGTGAAGGTTTACAGACGTATATTCTAAATTAAACTCTGAAGCACCACACTATACATATATCATTTATATGTAACAGGACATTCAATGGCATTGCCTCATTGTCCAGAAGTTGGCAACTTAAGTCCCAAAGATAATGACAGGAAGCCTGATGGGGCCCAAATCTTGCAAAGGGTAGGCAAAACTGGTGCCAGAACGGTCCCCCAGAGCTTATCAAGAGCCTGTACATTAAACACACCCAATAATCCCTAACAAGTCTGTGCACAGGAAGGGAGTAAGGAGGAAATAAGATTTGAATCAGTTTGAGATTTAAACAGACTTTTAACACCTAAACTGGCAAGATTTGCAATATGCACAAAATGTCATTAAGCAGCAGAGAAGATGGCAACTAGTAACTGGTGAAAACTCAAACGTTTATTCTCTATTGAATTTAGATTGACACACACACACACACACACACACATAAAACAAACGAACAAACAAAAAGAAAAATGTGCATACTCCTAGGAAACTGTGCCCACTTTTATTTTCTAAACCAAAAAAGAAAGGAAAAACGCAGCAATTATAATTGTGTTGCCAAAAGATTGTGAATGGTGCCATCTTTGACCAGAATATATTCAATCTTAATATAGGCAGTATTAAGCAATTTTCTCTGGTCTTCTTTTATTTTAATACATCTGTCTTTTTATAATGGAATGAAAGAAGTTTACAGTGGGGCAGCCTGAAACATAGATACCACATACTTGCAACACCAGATGATGATCTCTTACTTACTTGATAGAAGTGGCCAAGAAAGGATGAGTTAAATTGCTAGAAGCATGATACATGGCAGTTATCCTCCAACCTTGCTGAAATATTAATATATCCTGCTATTGGAATGGTGCTGCTCCAGTTTTATTATATGGTTCAGAAAACAATGCTAATAAAAACCATCTCATATTTATAAACTATCAAAGTGTATGGTGACATATTTATTGAAATCTCTTAAACATCTCACTACAAAGAAGTTTCATTTAATATATATATACATATATATAGTTTCATTCTATATATACATATATAGTTTCATTATATATATACAGCATTTTATATATATATAAAATAGTTATATATAATGATAGTTTTATATATATAGTTTAATTATATATATAGTTTAATTATATATATAGTTTATACACACACACACACACACACACACAGAGCAGACAACTGTGCCCCCTCTCTTTTTTTTTGTTATACTTTAAGTTCTGGGATACATGTACAGAAAGTGCAGGTTTGCAACATAGGTATACACGTACCATGGTGGTTTGCTGCACCCATCAACCCGTCATCTACATTAGGTATTTCTCCTGATGCTATCCCTCCACTGCCCCCCATCCCCTGACAGACCCCGGTGTGTGATGTTCCCCTCCCTGTGCCCATGTGTTCTTATTGTTCAACTTTCACTTTTGAGTGAGAACATGCAGAGTTTGGTTTTCTGTTCTTGTGTTAGTTTGCTGGGCATGACGGTTTCCAGCTTCATCCATTTTATGATGTATATGTGCCACATTTTCTTTATCCAGTATATCATTGATGAGCATTTGGGTTGGTTCCGAGTCTTTGCTATTGTGAACAGTGCCACAGTAAACATACGTGTGCATGTGTCTTTATAGTAGAATGATTTATAATCCTTCGGGTATATACCCAGTAATGGGATTGCTGGGTCAAATGGTATTTCTGGTTCTAGATCCTTGAGGAATCGCCACACTGTCTTCCACAATGGTTGAACTAATTTACACTCCCACCAACATTGTAAAAGTGTTCCTCTTTCTCCACATCCTCGCCAGCATCTGTTGTTTCCTGACTTTTTAATGATCACCATTCTAACTGGTGTGAGGTGGTATCTCACTGTGGTTTTGATTTGCATTTCTCTAATGACCAGTGATGATGAGCTTTTTTTCATATGTTTGTTAGCCACATAAATGTCGTCTTTTGAGAACTGCCTGTTCATATCCTTTGCCCACTTTTGGATGGGGTTTTTTCTTGTAAATTTGTTTAAGTTCTTCACACAAAGAAGTTTCTAAAACTCTTGTCCTTTTGTTGTTACCTTATCACATAGATTCTATTGTATTGAAGTCTAGTGATATGCAAAGAAATGATAAATGTTTGAGGTGATGGGTCATCTCAGTTATCCTGATTTGATCATTACAGGAGTATGTATGTACTCTGTAATATCACAGGTACCCCATAAATATGTATAATATTACCATTTTAACTATCTTTAAGTGTGTTCAGTAGTGTTAAGTACATTCACGTTGTTGGGCAATCAATCTCCAGATCCTTTTTATTAAAAAATAAATTTTATTGTGTATATTTAAGGTAAAAACAAAAAAAAAGTCTAATGATGTGAACTCCAAAGACTCCATAATATTGAAGCTCTGCATATAAGTATGTTTCAGGTTAATATACATGCATTGCTGAGTTGAAGATTATTACATGCCTTGAGAACAATAACTATAAAAGTAAAGGGAACTTAATATTTATAATCCATGTACTTTGAGAAACATCTCAAAGAGTAATTGAATATTTTATTCTCTATATGAAATAACATAAGTGTTATAAATTAGATACCAAGAAAAATATAAATTCTCTTTCTACTTTGAGGTGATAATGTAGAAAACCATAATTAGCCATTAAAATATAAAATTGAAGATCACTTAAAAGATGTGTTTATTTTGGAATGCAGCACATAAGTGTTTGCTCACATTTTAGCTTGTTATGCATACTGAATCACTAAAATAATTGTTTAACATTACCTGTGAGCTTCCAGAATAACATTTATATTTTCTCACTCTTGCCTTGATTTGTTAATTAGATGCATGAGAGCATCAGCAAGCCACTTCAGTCAATCTTATATTTAGAAACATCTTTTAAAATATTCTGTGACTCACAGAAATGTTTGATCACTTCAAAAAAGTAAAAGAACAAAAATAATTGAAATTGGCCAAAGGCAGTATACATTTTTTATTTTAGTATTGTCAACTCACAGCATGAAGAATGCAGTACTGTATTCTAGAGAAAGGCACTTACAGAAAAATGATGAATCCATGATGACATTGACTTCGTGGGGATTCCGAAAGGATCTCAGAAAGATCCTTAATGAAGTGAATGGTTCTAGTTTAGTTCTTCTGCATGTCCTGCATCATTCCTTTCTCAATCTGGTATCTGACGGAATGTCCAATTGATATTTTAGTGTTTACTAACATAATTACTCAAAGTAAAGTCTTGAGAAATTGAGTCTCCAATGCCTGATTTCTTTGGGAATTCCTGCTTTCCTTAAATATGTTCTGCAAATTCTGGTGTTTGTGGAATGTTATGACTTTGCCACTCTATCCCAGTCATCCCCTAATTATAATCTCTATGACAACTTCTTTCTTTCAGCCAAATCAGCTTTCTAGATGGATGGTTATTAAGTGGCTCTGGAGAAAAAAGTATCTTCCAGCTTTCAATTTAAAGACAAAATTGATCCCCGTGTGTGCAGTGCAATGACAATAATCCCCTATTCAATAGTGTCCTTGGGGTATTTCTGTTTAATCATTGTTGTCTATCTGTGGATCATATTACCAGTTATTATATTCATAAACCAGTTTGACTTTTACCAGCTTAATTATATTATTTTAGACTGTTTCCCACTAGGTCACTTTTTTTTAAGTTTCTTAAACTTGAGGCAGAATTCTGTTATTTTTGAACTTGTGTGTAATAATAGGCTCTGTGCTGAAAAGTGATATAACTGCATTGCCAAAATCAGATATTATAGTATTCTTTGGGAGCCACATAAAAGTTCATCCATCCTGATGCATGGTATTAAATATAGTCACTGCACAAATGATATATAAACACACTTATGGCATATCTGCAGTAAAAACATAATACAAATTTTGTATATTTACTCTTGGTATGAAATATTGGAAGGTGTCACTATAGCAACAATTTTTTAGCAGTTTTTTATGCTTTTTTTTAAAATTATACTTTAAGTTCTGGGAAACATGTGCAGAACCTGCAGGTTTGTTACATAGGTATACATACGCCATGGTGGTTTGCTGCACCCATCAACCTATTGTCTACATTAGGTATTTCTCCTAATGCTATCCCTCCCCTAGCCCCCGACCCCTGCCGACAGGCCCCAGTGTGTGATGTTCCCCTCCCTTCTGTCCATGTGTTCTCATTGTTCAACTCCCACTTATGAGTGAGTACATGCAGTGTTTGGCTTTCTGTTTCTGTGTTAGTTTGCTGAGGATGATGCTTTCATCAACCAATATCATCTTAGAGGAATCTTGTGATGAATAAAAAATGTGTAATATGATTTTTGAGTGATTTAAAATTGTTGCTATCCTCTCAAGGAAATAAGAGAGGGTAGCAACAACTTGATGATTAATTTATTAGAAATGTATTGAGAGCCTAACCACACAGTACTAGGTACTTCTCAAGTTAATCATCTTCAAAATGTTACAAAACAAAGGGCAGAATATCTGGAACTTTTTTATTATATCATTTAATCTTCATATTTTAAACAATCTTAGAGGTAGCCCAGCTTATGCAAGGTACATGTATACAAGATTTCTATTTAAATGGAAAGGATAGAATGGTATTGTGCCACCCCTCAGCTTGATCCAGTGCTCCCAAATCCCTTTATCCGGCTTTACATTTTACATTTCTAAAGGGTGTATCATCTTATAACATACCATATAATTTACTTACTTATTATGTTTCTTGTTTATTCTTTATCTCCCATTCAAGAATAGAGATTGATGAGGATATCTTAGACTATTTTATTCACTGATGTATCCTAAGTACCTAGAACAGTAGTAGGTGTTCCACAAAATTTGTAGAATAAATGGATGAATAAAAAGCTGGAGAGAATGATTTTTTTCCAGATAAAGAGTTACAACCTACTGGCGTTGCAGTGGTTTCTATACTTTGGGGTGACTGTGGCAATTTCTTAAAATAAGACAGTAATGAATTTTGCTGCATCCATTGACTTTTTCATTCACTAAAGAGTTCTCTGTTGCATGCAATGTTGTTTGATAGCATTTTACCCACTGTGGAACTTCTTTCAAAACTGGAGTATATCCTCTCAAACCCTACTACTGCTTTGTCAACTACATTTATGTAATATTCTAAATTCTTTGTTGTCATTTCAACAATTGTCACTGCATCTTCACCCGGAGCAGATTCCATCTTAAGAAACACTTTCTTTGCTCACCCATGAGAAGCAATTCCTCATCTCTTCAAGTGTTATCATGAGATTGCAGCAATCCAGTCACATCTTCAGACTCCTCTTCTAATTCTAGTTCTCTTGCTGTTTCTACCACATCTGCAATTACTTTCTCCACTGAAGTCTTGAACCCCCTCAAAGTCATCCATGAGAACCAACTTCATTCAAACTCCTGTTAAGGTAGATATTATGACCTCCTTCCATGAATCATGAATGTTCTTAATGGCATCTAGGTTGGTGAATCCTTTCCAGAGGTTTTCAATATACTTTGCCTGGATCCATTGGAGGAATAACTATGGCAAGTATAGTCTTACAAAATGCATTTCTTAAATAATAAGACTTGTAAGTCAGAATTACTCTTTGGCCCATGTGCTGCAGAATAGATATTGTGTTAGCAGGCAGGCAAACAACATTCATCTCCTTGTACATCTCCATCAGAGCTCTTAGATGACTACATGCGTTGTCAATAAGAACTAATATTTTGAAATAAATCTTTTTTTCTGAGCAGTAGGTCTCAGCAGTGGGCTTAAAATATTCAGTAAACCATGCTATAAACAGATGCAGTATCATCCAGGCTTTGTTGTTTCATTATTGAGCACAAGCAGAGTAGATTTAGCTTGATTCTTAAGGGCTCTAGTATTTTCAGAATGGTAAATGGGCATTGGCTTCAACTTAAAGTCACCAACTGCATTAACCCCTAACAAAAGAGTCAATCTGTCCCTTGAAATTTTGAAGCCAGCCATTGACTTTTCCTCTCTAGCTATGAAAGTCCCAGATGTTGTTTTCTTCCAACAGAAGGCTGTTTCATCTACATTGAAAAATCTGTTGCTTAATGTAGTCATCTTAATCTATTACCTTAACTAGATATTTGAGATAACTTGCTGCAGCTTCTATATCAGCACTTGCTGCTTTACTTTGCACTTTTATGTTATAGACAGCTTCTTTCCTTAAATCCAAACCAACCTCTGCTAGCTTGCAACGTTTTTTATGTAGCTTCCTCACCTTGCTCAGCCTGCATAGAGCTGAAGATAGGATCTTGCTCAATTAGGCTTTGGTTTAAGGGAATGTTCTGACTGGTTTGGTATTCTTTCTAGACCGCTAAAACTTTGTGCACATCAGCAATAACACTCTAGTACTTTCTTATTATTTGTGTGTTCACAGGAGTACTACTTTCAATTTCCTTCAAGAAGTTTTTCTTTGCATTCACAACTTGGCACCCCCAAACAATTACAATAGTAACAGCAAAGATCACTGATTACAGATCATAACAGATATAATAATAATGAAAAAGTTTGAAATATTGCAAGAATTACCAAAATGTGACACGGAGACACAAAGTGAACACATGCTGTTGGAAAAAATGGCACCGATAGATTTGCTCAATGCAAGATTGTCATAAACCTTCAATTTGTAAAAAATGCACGATCTGCAAAGCAAAATAAAGCAAAGCCCAATAAAATAAGGTATACCTGTAAAACATTCTAATATACTTACATTGTTTCTTTATCAAGTTTTATTACTCTGTGTAATGCATTGGGTATTAAGTCTTAATGGAAAATTGGTGCTGAACACTATTAAAAAATCAAAGCCCAATTCAGATTTGTCCTTTGAAAATAGTCATATTTTTGCTGAAGGAATTCCATATTAATTGAACTTTAATGAAAAAAATGATTCCACATTTTACAGCTCAATAGTTTTTATTATTTTACTCTAAGACTTTTTGTGCTTGAAGAAAAAAATTATTAAAATTGCAAAGAGAACATAAATGAATATATCAGCCAAAATATTAAAATATATCTGTCAAAGTATTGAGGAAGAAAAAAGTCTTTTTCAGTTCATCTAGAGAAATAAGAGGGTTCTAGGTTTATTTACTACCGGATTGTCAAACAAAATACAATATTATGTTTAAGTGCCGGGCACACTTTTCTTTGTGCTCTAAGAATCATGATCCAATGGCTCTAAAATTACCAGGCCTTGGTACTGCCATGTGGACATCATACTGGCATTCAGAAAGCTAACATACAGTTTTTGTAGGCCACTTTAATTATGTTCATTTGTCTTCCAATTGTAGTAACAATTAAATAGTTCAGAATAGTTTGTCTAATGCCTTATTAATATAATATCTCTTTAACATTAATTTTTAAATATAGTGATTTGTATTGACTTTTCCATGTTTTCTCTCTTTGCCTAGTATGCTTGTGAATGATATTACAGAGGACTTTCTGGACATTAATGAGTAGCTTAAGCAATTGCTTTTTTGCAAGCATCTGTAGGATTCAAAGTGTGCTTTGCTAGCACCCAAAGTTTCTCTTTAAAAATTTGCTTTCATACCAGTTTGCACTATAGCACTAATTATTAAAATAAAAAGAAGGCTCTACAAATATTACAAATGAGGAAAAACCTTTTAATAGAATATCTTTACATTATAAATATGTGTGTGGAGTATTTATATCCTTGTGTGGAAACATTTAACATTATTGCCTAATAGCCTAAGCAGTCTACTGCTTATTCCACCAGCCTCTCACAGTTCTGACACAGATGATTCCAAAGCAGGTGTCATGTTTCAATGACCATTACTAGCTACTGCAAAGAAGTAACTGTAAATATGAAACACTGTTTTGTATCACTCAGGGCTCCAGTACACATGTCTCAGCTGTGGGATTCTTTTCTACTAACATTTGTAGGAACAGGAAAGAATCATCAAAAAAAAAACCTGGAAAAGGAATACATCGTGGATGAACTTTAAAAATTATAATACCCAATTTACAAATAGACTTTAAGAGTTTGTGCTTTTAAGTTGTAATATGGAACTCAAGATAAAACTGATAAATATAATCATGAATATGGGTAGAGAATAACCCACCTGACCACTCAACCATAAAGTAACTGAAATGTATTACTTTTTGTAATAGGATTCTACCAAAGATTATATAGGTTCATTATTAGAGGTTAATTAGAAACAAAATTGAATGAGAAATTGTTCCTTATCATAGTGGATACTCGTATTTGAGGAAGAACATGTTTAATTAAACCAGGCAGAAAAAGCAATAAATAGAGTCT
The DNA here is from genome assembly GCF_000001405.40 of Homo sapiens. Lineage (NCBI taxonomy): Eukaryota > Metazoa > Chordata > Mammalia > Primates > Hominidae > Homo > Homo sapiens. Next base: position 11,437,668 of record NC_000007.14, on the reverse strand, counting down.
TGTAAACAAGCTGAAATGGAGTCCTAATTTCTCCAAAGAGCTTTTCCATTTGGTAGAATTTATTTAATGTCTAATGCATTTCAGATTTTCAGTGTCTCATTTGATAGCATAGGTAGAGCGAGTATTGCTTTTGCAGTTATCATTCACAACTGGAATCTTTTTTTCCTTTCAAATGTAAAAGAGAGGCAGGGGATGAGGGACAGACTTTTCCTGAGGTAACTAGTTGCAAGTTTAAAGAGCCAAGGAAAGAAGGAAAGAGCATCTAAGGATACTTGGGCACAAAGAGAAAGCAATTGCCTAGGGTCGAATTTAAATAAGGTGTGGAGATCAGCACTAAGCTCACACAGGCTCCCTGAGGGAGCACAGAGGAGGTGATGAGGGAGAGAAGGGCTGGAGATTTTCCTGCAGCTGCCATTCATGTCTGGTGTGATGGAAGAGCATCTGCCATTGTCATTTAGTTCATGTTCCGACACCTCAACTCATCTACTACTTCATATCATGGTTTTCAAACTGGGTTTCCCAGAGCCCCTCAGGCCAGGCTGTCAAACATAGCCTCCAATAGATCCTGTGTCCTTATTTGGCTTTCCTTCAGTTTTTTAGGAATAAAGTGTTCTATTGCTTAAAATAAATTTAACTGCCAAGAACAATTCATTATTTGCAACAACCAAAAAAGAAAAATTAGAATTTTGCCTTTATCAGCAATTTCTGCCACTATAGGAAATTTTAGGTCATCTGGATATAAAACAAAATTGACTCTCCTTTGATCTTTTAAATAGACATTTTATAAAACAGGAAATTTATCCAAATAACACTTTCCCCTCCCTTTGTTGAAATTAATTTATTGCTAGTTTATCCATGTTTGACTTTTGACCTGTAAAATATAAAATAATGTAGGAAGAAGAAACTATCTTAAGCTTTTGGCATTTTTGTTTGGTTGCTTGGTTTTGCATTTTCTTCTATATCTGGAAATGGAAATTAAAAAAAAAAAACCTACTTTAAAAAATCTTAAATTCCGAATGTTTCAAAACATGAATTCAATTTTAAAGCATTCCAATTATAATCTATTTAGATCTATTTCTCTAGTCCAGTGAAATGCTATGTGAAAAAGTCAGTCAGTAATTATGGGAATGCAGTATCTGAGTCATTCTCTCAGAGAGTCATAGTTTGTATTACCCAAAAGGGAAAAGTCCAGGGTAAATAGACCTGTATAACCTAGTTTCATGCAGCAGTTTTTCAATTTACCACAGACTGCTTTTTGTTAAAATTATGTTTAATACTTATTAGAATCCAGTAAACTAGTGTTTAAAGATCATCCTTTGCAAATACTTTCATGGCAATATTAGATTTTAATTGATTGAAAGAACAGTGCATTGCACTGGATCAAGTTAAAAATAAATCATTTTAATAAGCTTCAAAATTAATACATCTTCCATTACTTCATCTTCACAATTTGAACACTCCATCAAATATGTTTGTATTCCTGACAAAGCCCTATTACTAATGTGAGGTTTTTAAACTCTGCATCTGATTTTCAACATCATGTTAGTTAAAATTATAAATGTTAAATATGAGGAGAAAGTCAATAAATGCCTTAGTATGTGTAATGATTCCCAAGGTTTGTTATTATGGTTGAATAAGTAAAATATAAACACAGGTTCTTACATATATAAGTTTATTTTCTTTTTTAACAAAATATATATTTGAAAGTGCAATATAATTCTGACACTAACTACCTGGAGTTAGGCCAAACTTCACAGGTTAAGGGCCCAGTACTCCACAAGACTCCTCTCACTTCAGATATCAGCTGCAAATTTGGGAGTCTCCAAGCCAACCTTACTTCTCACAAGCTGGCTGCAAATTTCTGACTTCCCAGTACTGCCCCAGGCTCAGTAATTCACTAGAACAGCTGACAGAACTTGGAAAAGCAATATATTTACCACTGCAGTTTTATAATAGCAAAAGGATACAAATCAGAACCAGCTCGAAAGGACAGGTAGCTGAGGTGAGGGGGCATCTGAAACATGAGGCATCCATAATCTCTTTAGTGGAGGCAGGAGGCATCTTTCTCTTAGCACACTGATGTGCATTTCCAAACAGAAAGCTCACCTGAGCTTTGGTATCCAGAGTTTTTATTCAGGTTTCATTATATAGGCATGACTGAAGAATCATTGGCCATGTGGTTAAATGCAATCTCTCTCGTCTTAAAGGTGGTCAGATAACATGTAGCTCAAAGCTCCAACTCTCTAATCAGATGATTGGTCTCTCCGGTGTGACCAGCCCCTTCCTGAGATATCCTTACAGCATAAAATCATAAGTAGTCTGAGGAGCCCACCATGAATAACATAGATAGTTCTATCACTAGTGAAATTTCAGGGCCGAGAGACCTACCTGGCCAAGGGCCAGGCAAATTCTTTATTATACAAGAGAAGCCTTTAGAGTTTGCTGTAAGAAACGCCCTTGGTAATGAACTTGTACATAGATATCACTCAATGAATCTGAAAAAGCGTGGTCATTGAGTAAATTCCCAGTATTAAAATAACAATAACAAAACCTCACAGCCATTCATACTGATATTGAAATTTTCTGTGAAAATTTATAAATACTTAGCAGATATGAATACATATGCTTTCAAATGTATATAAAATGAATAAATATAATTAAAATAATATTGTATTATACTTCTATAAATTTGCCTGGGTACTTTACTATGATAATTAATTGCCTAATATTGATTTATAACTTTTCATCCATCAAATATACAACGGGTAGAACATTGGAATATAGGAGTTTGGATATATATACATAGTAATTTGGTTGCCCCAGGTATCAGATCACCAGTTTTTAATATATAATTGCTCAAGAATATTGTCCGTTTGGAAAGTTTTTGCAAAATGATTTTTTTTTTCAACTTTTTCCAGCCTGTGAGGACCACAATAGATAAAAGTCTAGCTACATTTTCTCATTCCCAGTTGCAATCAAGTGAATATAATACACAATTAAGTAGAAGAGATTTTTTGAGGTTGCTTTTGAAATTAATCCAGATGTTTCAGAGAGAATGCCAGAGTTACTCATTCACACAGCTATAAATCAGAAGCAACCAGTATTTTCTATGTGCTTTCAAAATGAATTCTTTGATCCATCAACAGTATTCCTTTCAGCAGCACAATTTAGTAATTGTGAAAGTTGTTGAAATCTACTTTATCTCCACATTCATAATTCAAATGAATGAGTGATTGTGTGTATCTCAAAGGCAATATGTCCTCCAGTTGCCACTTTAAGCCTGCTAGTCTTTTGTATTTATTTCAACCTGAAAGCAGCAGTCAAAAATATAATCAGAAGTCTGGAGTTTAATTTTTCCAAGCGTCAAATTCTGTGTTGAACTGCTGAAAGTTTTAATATCCTAATTGTGAAGTCATTTATTTTATCCTAGCATCCTCAGAAACCATACATTGCTATAAGATGCCAGCAGTTTATTTAGCCTTAAAACATTCTAAATGTTTTTCTTTCTTTCCATCCCCCATGATTGTTTGGTGTTAATTGCCCTAAAAAATGATCTGAGCAGAGAAGGCAGGGGAATGCTTTTCTAGCAGTTCACTAGTAGCATTAAGGATTTTAATGGTGCTAGATAAACATGACAGGCAATTAGTGAATGTTGTCAGACATTGGAAAATAAAATTGATATGCTAGGCAATATACGCTTTTGCAGTTTTATCTTTATCTCAGTTTCTAATTTGCATCTATCTTTTAACAGTTTAATAGGCTGCATTTTATTTGAGAGATGTTTTCTGGAATATGCTATTGGAAAATCGGACATAAAAGTTTTGTATCTCCTTCCTTAATAACACAACGTGAATCAGTCTGAAGTCATACATGTTAAATCTTACTAAAACCATAATATTTCAATCAAAAACAATTTTCCATTTATCTGTTACTCTGTGGGGTAGTGACATGTAAGGCCACCAGGTGATTCTATTTTCAGTTATAATTACTGAGCTAAAAAAGCCTAGAGGTTTACTTTTGAGAGACATTTTGCAGTTTATCAAGGTGGGAAAATGCAATTCTTATAAAAATATTTCCTTTGAAATAACTTATTACCTTTGAAATACTAGTGCTCTTTTGCCAAAGCCATTGATAATATTTGGAAATGATTTGGATGGTTCTTAATTCATTGTAGTCTTACAAATATTATTAAATGATTTGGTCATAATGCCATTGATTTGGAAATGACTTTAGATACTTTTAAAGTTTGATTGTATTTATTAAACTATAACTTATTTAAAGAAAATAAGTGATTACTGGCCCTAAAATAAGAAGAGTTATTTTTTGGGCATCTCATACTATTTTAGGTCAATTAATTTACTGCCTCAGCTGTAGGAAAAAAGGCATTTGAAGTATATTTCAACTCAGAATCATGAAGGGGCTTATTTCTCCACCCCAAAGCATAATTAAAGTCAAAATGTAAGATTTAAGTAGATCACTGCAATCTATTTTAAAATTTCAGTAACACTACTGTGAAATATTCCTTTAGTTCTTTGTTGGACTTTCCTCTGGATCATTATCGATACTCCAAAAGTCATCTTGAATATATGAGAAGTACATTAGAAACTTAGCAGTGGCATCTTCTTTCTGTCTTCTATGTCTCACAACAAACAAAATCCCAACTCTGCCACATCTGCCCTCCAGAAGATTATCTGGGACTAATGCCCACTTTCAGAACTTTTCATTGTATCCTAATCTTCATGCCAAATTTGTGATCCCATTTTTTAAAATTTATTTTATACTTCATTTACAATGGATAATATAATATACATACCATCCAATTTATCCATTTGTCTCCTAGGAGTACACCAAACAGAAATACATACATATGTCCATCAAAAGACACATTCTAGAATATTCATAGCAGCACTGTTAATAATGGCCCCATATTGAAAACTACCTAAATGCCCACCACCAATAGAATGAATAAACAAGTCATAGTATATTCACACAATAGAATGCTACACATCAACCAGAATAAACAATATTCAGCAATATGCACCAACGTAGATAAAACGCATATCACAATGTAGAGTGAAAAGGCTAGCACAAATGGATATAAACTATATGATTCGATTTACATGAAATTTTTAAAAAGTAAAACTATTCTACACAGTGAGTAGTCAGGATAGTTGTTGCTCTTGTAAGAAGGGGCAGTGGCTGCAAGGGAATACGGAGGAGAGTTCTGGACTATTGATTTCAGGGGTGTGTTCAGTGAAATTTACGTCTATGGAAAATGCACTTTTGCATATGAAGACTACAATACGAAGTTTAAAACAAATATCTTTGACAAATGTATAGGAGATACTACATAAAAAGATATGCCAGAAATCTATTTATCTTCCATTTTTTTTGGTTCTGTCTGTATCTTATAGTAGCACTTCCTAACTTAAGACCTACACAATCACACACACAAATGATTAAAAGTAAAGCTTGTGAAACCTGAGTAAGTGCTATGGATTGTATTAATGTCAATAACTTGAGGGTGGTAGAAGCTTATGTTTTTAACATGTGTCTCAGATAATTTATGATTAGGCAAGGCTAGGAAATACTGTATAGTAAATTAGTATTTTAACACTTTCAATACAGGACAGTTTGGGCACAATCTTATAGATTAAATTTGCCATTTTGGTTTAAAGGTGGTCTGACTTTCCTTTAATTAAAGAAATTAATGTTGGTAGGTTCTTTTTAAAATCCACCTACAATAAAAAGAATAAAATACTTAGGAATAAATATAACAAAATAAGTTCAAGACCTGTACACTGAAAACTACAAAACATCATTGAAAGAAATTAAAGATCTATATAAATGGAAATGAATTCCATGTGTCTGAATTAAGACGGCAGTGCTTCCAAGTTGATCAACAAATTTGACACAATTCCTATCAAAATCCTAGCTGCAATTTTTTGCAGAAATTGACAGTCTAATTCTAAAATGCATATAGAAGTTTGACTCAAAATAGCCAAACCTATCTTTAAAAGGAAAAACGAAATAGGAAGACTCACACTTCTGGATTTCAATACTTGCTTCAAAGTTACAGTAGTCAAGACTATGTGGTACTATCATGAAACTAGACATGGAGATAAATGGAATAGAATTTACAGTTCAAAAATAAATCGTTACACTGTGGTCAACTGATTTTCAACAAGGGTGCCACAACAATTAGGAAAGAACAGGTTTTTTCAACAACTGAAGACAGGATAACTCAATAACCACATGCAAAAGAATGAAGTTGGACCCCTACCTTTTATCATAAACAAAAATTCACTCAAAATGAAACATACACCTAAATATAAGAGCTAAAACTATTAAATTCTCTTGAGAAAACAACTATAAACCTAGATGACCTTGACTTTGGTAGTGGATTCCTAGATATAATACCAAAGCACTAACAACCAAGGAAAAAAGATAAACTGGACTTCATTGACATTTAAAACTTTTGTTCTTCAAACAACACCAAAATTTTAGAGACAATAACAAGTTTGACAAGAATTCATAGAAATTGGAACATGCGTGCATATCTGGTGGAGTATAAAGTGCTGCAGTCATTTTGGAAAACAGTTTGACACTTCCTGAAAAAGCTAAGTGAGTTACCACATAACTGAGCAATTTCACTGTAATGTATATATTCAAGGGAATTGAAAATGTATGCCCACACAGAAGCTTGTAAACAAATGTTCATAGCAGCATTATTCATGATAGACAAAAAGTGAAAACTCAAATGTCCATTAACTGATGAGTGGATAAACAATGTGAAATGTCCATACAATGAAATATTATTCAATCATAGAAAGGACTGAAGAACTGATACATGCTATAACATAAATGAACCTTGAAAACATTATACTAAGTGAAAGAAGCCAAGCCAGGCATGGTGGTTCACACCTGTAATCCCAATATTTTGGGAGGCCAAGGATCACTTGAGGCCAGAAGTTCCAGACCAACCTGAGCAACACCGTAACACCTCATCTCTATAAAATATATATATATATGAAAATTCGCCTGGCATGGTGGTGGGCACCCTTAGTCCCAGCTCAGCTACTTAAGAGGCTGAGGTAGGAGGATCTCTTGAGTGCAGGAGGTCAAGGCTGCAGTGAGCTATGATGACACCACTGCACTCCAGCCTGGGTGACAGAGTGAGACATCTCTAAAACAAAAAAGAAATAAGATCACATAATGTTTTACTTCATTTATATGAAATGTCTAGATTAGGCAAATTCATAGAGATAGAAAGTAGATTCATGGTTGTCAGGGGATGAGGAAGGGGAAAGTAGGAAGTGGCTGCCAGTAACCATAGGGTTTATTTTTGGAGTAAAACAAATGTTCTAAAATTAGATGGTGATGATGGTTGCACAACGCAGCAAACATACTGAAAACCAAAACATGGGGTTATTTTTATGGAATATGAATTATATCTCCATAAATTTTTAAAAATCTACCTAGAGTTGCCTAGTATCAATTGTTTACATTATAATCATTGTCAAAATCGAATCTCTGCTGTTGAGATAAAATGGCAAGGCAGAGTGTTTTCTTGTACCAAGAACACCTTCTCTCCACATTCAGACTATTATAGAGGACAACCGTGCGTTTCATTCTTGACTAGAGGAATTTTGCTGTTTTCACATGTTTGCCTTGAGAATAATAGTGTTTAATTGATATTGTGAAATGGCAAGTTTGTAGTTAAGAAGTATTGAAAGAAAATACTCCCATTTCCCAAAACAAATCTGTGCACTATTAATCGAATTGGTTGGATGATTTGATGGAATGAGTACTGGATTAGACCTCAGAAAACTTTTCCCTGTCTCTTACTGTGTAACCTTGGACTCAGTCAGTCATCGCTCTGCATTTGTTTTCTTACCTGCCTGTTAGAATGTCAATACTTGCACAATTCATACATAAGATTTTCAAGAGAATCAAATGGATATAAGATGTGAAGATGCTCTGAAAGTGACAGCATGTAAAACATGAGACATTACTTAACATCCTGCATTTTTCTTCAGACTTGATTTTCAAAGAAGGAGAAACGCAAGATGCTAAGTTAAATGGTTCCTTTTGGGTATTGAGTGAAAGGGACTGGGATTTCTTAAGAAAGAACGTTGCATGGACTCAGAACCCTGAACTTGTGTGACATTAACAGATAGGGTTTTATAGAAAACTGTTATAATTTTTTAATGTATCATTCTGTCAGCATGAGAATGATATGGCAGCAGACAGGTTATTGTCAATTAAACACGAGCTGTCAGTCAGAAATGTTGAAATATGGTGAGCATGAATCCTAAGCAGATCACATGGCAGCTGCTCAACTGTTATTTTAACAGAGTCACTGTATGTATGTGACATTTCCCTGCAGAATTTAATTCAAGTCCCTTACAACAGAGACACCTCTGCATTTGCATGCTGCTGTCAAGTCAGTCTTGGACCTTCTAAATGACCTAGAATAGTGGGTGGTAATGGGAGAGTGACAGGTGGAGGAGATGATTCTTGTCTCATTTTCCTCTACTCAGGTTACATTGAGGAGGCCTGCATCATCCCCTGCCCCTCAGACTGCAAGCTCAGTGAGTGGTCCAACTGGTCGCGCTGCAGCAAGTCCTGTGGGAGTGGTGTGAAGGTTCGTTCTAAATGGCTGCGTGAAAAACCATATAATGGAGGAAGGCCTTGCCCCAAACTGGACCATGTCAACCAGGTATTTTCTATCATTGACAGTGTTAAGATATTGTTGAGATTCACAATGATCTGATTTTTTCTCCAAAATGGAGAAGAGGAAATAATAGCTATTGAATAAAAAATTGACCCATTTTTACCATTAGAATGCCTGAATAAATACATACATGTTATTAAAATTTCAAATTAGACATATCTGTATTCTCTGGAGATTCCATACCTTGCAAGTATATATGAATATGTATGTAATTCAATGGGGAGAAAAATGACACCTATCTTTGAAATAATGTCAAGGTATTTAATCTGTCATAAGATTGTATCTAACATGTAGGCTGAGATTATCTCATTCTTATAGTTTCCCCAAACTGTCAGAAAAGACATCTCAATTACCAAATGCTTAAATTAAAATCAAAGAAATAATATGGGTTTTGGTCTAAAATTAGGAAAAATATATACTGTTTATTTAAATGTGTTTGATATAAAACAAACTGAGAAAAAGAAATACAAAGATGGCCTCAAAATCACTGTAAGTATGCTATCAATTTAGTCATTGACCATTTTCAATTTTATTTGGAACTCTGACTTTTGATGCATTCTTTCTTACCTGCTGTTAATAGTTGTCGTTCTGTTCTATTAGAGATAAAAAGAAAAAGCCTAATGGAGGAATTGTGACTGATTTAAATGGAATGTAACATAATCAGACAATTATTACCATGTTTGGCCTATAAGTGAATTAGCAAAGAATAATTTCATTTATTATGTGTGGGTGTTAAGTTGTGTATTTGAATTTAAATCACAATCAAATGAATCAAGTCCTTAAATATGTAGAATTGTTTCATACATACATAGACTCATTTTAATCTCTAAACACACTGCTTACCTGTATACATACTTTCCTTCCCAGATTAACATAACTTTGTTCATAATAAAAGTACATTGTAGAGAAAACAGAAAGAACCTTGGAATTAAGTAAATTAAGATGAAGATCGTGAAGAATTAAATTCTATAAAAAGTACTCTAAAGAGTCTTGATTGTTCCCCAAGTGAAGTTGCTGATTTTATCTTTATGTGCAATGGAGGGTAAATAACACACTCCCTTGCTGCCATCTACTGGTAGTTTAGCTTCCATGTCACAGAGCATTTTGCATTTCTAAGATGCTAAGGAAATTTCCAAAGAAAATTCAGTTCAGCAACTATAATTATATAACTGCAAAACAGAAAAACTGAACTAAAATGTTTATAATACAAAAGAATATTTCTCTACAAATTTTGAAACCTTGAATTTTCAGTAGCAAATTTAAATAAATTATATATGACTCCCAATCCTAATAAAGAGAAATTCTACACATACTCATACCTATTTCACTTTAGCGTGTATGTGTACACCCAGTCAGATATGCAATTAAAATCTGTGTTTTCCTCAGATTTTCCTTAAGTGAATTTCCAAAGGTTCAAAACCTCAGGCCAAGTTGTCTTTGCTATTCCTAGTGTTTGGCCTAAACCATTTGTCACTTTCCAACTCTAATATATTCTGATGCAGTTTGATAAGGGTATTGTGACTTGGTATCGGTTGACTGAAGGCTTACTGAGACATTAACAACTGAAAAATCAAAGCTAAAACAAATAATAAATTTTTGAACATTTGAGCCTAAATGTTCTGCATAAAAATAGAAACTTCTATGAATTTGTGTATTAAGAAATTTAGGGAAAATAAAAATGTAAAGTTTTGTGTTAATGTTGAAAATTGTAAATCACATAGGTGTTTACTACAATTATATGTTCCTCAGTAAAATAATCAGAAGCATTGGCTTGAAAACAGTCTCTGAGTTTCTATTTTTCTAGCTGAGGAAGGAAGTACTCAAATCCTCATTTTCTACAAAACAGATGAACTGATTAAGGTAAATCAACGGATAGATCAATCTATAAATATACTGATAGACAACAGTACATTGACAAGTTGGATCACAAGTTATTTGCATCATATATCAATTTCCCATGCTATGTATTGTGAGGTCAACTCCATTTTCTAAGATTTCTCCATCCTGCCCATCTAATTTTCTCATTGGCTCTGCTATTTACAATACCCATTTGTGTATCTTACTTTTTAACATTAATAAGTAGTTGTGTATTATCTCCTGAGACCTAAGAAAAATGTTCTAATATTTTACCAAAAAAGTAGGTTTTTACATGTAAGTAATAATACTTGAAACTTACCATGTGTTCTTCTCATAGCATACTGACATTTTCACCTACCTTATTTCTCTCCCTTTTCATCATTCCTGTTGAACACCACTCCAGGCACAGGTAAGAACTCTTAAACCTCATGCTTTTTGATAGAATCCTTCTTTTCTTAAATTTCCTGATTTCTGAGAATACATTTCTCTTCTTGCTTTGTCTTTTATGTTTTACAGGGAGAAAATGTCATATTTTCCATTAAAGAATTTTTTTCTATAACTGTTTTATTTTTCTTTTCTATCATAGTTACCTGTGTTCCTACATTTCATATCCCTCATTGTAATATCAAGGACTGAGGTGAACAAGAGTTGGGGAGAACAAGTTTCACTTCGCTAATCTCGACAGGCAGTGACACCCATTATTAATGGTCTTGTGCTTTTCAGAGGGAGAAGGAAAAAGTGCAAGTGGACTGAAAATGGGTGGGTTGGAGATTGTTCTGAACTGATGGGTATTCACTTCAGTACAGGAGTTTAAAATAAAAGCCATCAAAGGATTAAGAAGAAGAGCATTTCTCCTTCAGTTTTTCTTTTCACTGCAAGTTGTAGGGTAATGTTTTATCCTGTGCTATTTAGTTCTATTTTTAATACAGCAACTAAATGTGAATATAATCACTTATGGCAATAATTGCAGAATTTGACTCCAACAGTGCATTTTTTTTTTAATGTTTTTTTTTTTTATTATACTCTAAGTTTTAGGGTACATGTGCACATTGTGCAGGTTAGTTACATATGTATACATGTGCCATGCTGGTGCGCTGCACCCACTAACGTGTCATCTAGCATTTTTTTATTCCTCTTTGAGACAGGTCCACTTTATTCATTTTACTTAGGTTTTTAGTTCACTAAAATTGGCACAAAAGAATGGCTGCAAAGGGCTATTTAAATCTATCTTTTCTAGAATTCATTACATAAAAAGCTATAGTTTCTCTCTTCCCTTTCTCTCTCTCTTGCTCTCTGTCTCTGTCTCTCAGTGTGTGTGTGTGTGTGTGTGTGTGTGTGTGTGTAAAATAAGGGATAGAGTTGGACTATCACAGATTAGAAAAATACTTTCAAAGAATTTTATTTAATGCTTGAGTCAGCTTGGTTGCAATGGATTAAGTGCCATTTATTTCCTTTATTTAGTCATTCTTCTCATTGAAAAAAGAACATAATTGGTTCATTGTACTAAAAAAAAACCTGAAACCAAGCATACCACCCCAAATGTGGGACTGAAAGGCTTTATGGACCCTGGAGCAGAGACAATTTGCCTTGTTTCATGTGGCCCTCACTGCTTGGGCTTGTACACCAATATCAGACTTTGCTTCCAAGCCTTAAATGATTGAGGATTAGTTTTAAGATGGCTTTATTTCATATTGTTTATCTTTTTAATTTAGTTTCCCATATGATACACACCAAAAATCTAAATTCTCATCATTATTTATAGTTATCTGGAAAATAGGCCAAATTATATTTATTTGGAAAACAGCTATGTTTTATACTTATTTGATTCATCAATCCTCATCCTTCATTCAATCATTCTGCAAATCCCTATTGAGTACCTAACATGTGAGCACCCTGGGCTAGTATTGAAGTCACACAAAACTGTAAATGACACAGATGGTCCAGAAAGTTACAATACGGTGTGTTAAGGGTCAGCATAGGAAAATATGTAACCTATCTAATGTGATCCAGTGGATCAGATTTACACCTGCAATGTAATAGCAGAGCAACAGAGTACAATATGGTTAGCCCTATCCTCTACTGCTAGAACTCTTGAGTTCTCTCTATTGCAATGTTAGAATAATAAGCAGTAAAGGAGGGGAGTGAAAGTAGCTTCACAGTGAAATGATTGCTGTTATGGTGTGGAAGTCTTCCTCCTCACTCTTACCAGATTCCCTGAGATTGCTGAGAACCATGTGTGTTTCAGGTGTATGAGGTTGTCCCATGCCACAGTGACTGCAACCAGTACCTATGGGTCACAGAGCCCTGGAGCATCTGCAAGGTGACCTTTGTGAATATGCGGGAGAACTGTGGAGAGGGCGTGCAAACCCGAAAAGTGAGGTAAGACAAAGCCTAATTATACAGAAAAGCAAGACACAAAACTATCTCCCAATTGCACATGTGCCAACATGACTGTTCACTCCTCCCCAGTCTTCTGGATAAAATTGTCTGCAGTTTTGCTTTTAGGGAATCTGTGCTCATAGAAAACTCTAAGAGAATCTGCTTCAAGCAGCAGTTTATTATATTCTGGCCTTCTGATTTAGGAAGCATCACTTCAAATACTCTTAAAGAGAAGGAACAGCATATTCAATCTGAACTAATGCAGATTTTCAACCCCAATAACTTTTTTGCTTCAAGGCCAAATATATTTCCAAGTTCCTTTCTAAAATAATCTGTTTTAAACTCTTGCTCTTTTGTATCAAACTGGCTAACTGAATACTATCCTGTTGTCCAGGGAGCTTTCTCTGAAGCCCCCAGCTGGTTCCTGCGTGTCACTTGTTCTTCTGTAGCTACACTGTCCCATAGGATAGCCACTAGCCACACTAACTCAATTTAAATTAAAAAAAATTAAGTTTAAATTAAATTAAAAATGCATCTCCCCAGTCACACTAGCCATGCTTCAGTGCTCCATAGCCACATGTGGCTGGCAGCTATCTGTTGGAGAGCGCAGACATACAGTATTTTTTGTAATGGCAGAAAGTTCCATTGGACAGGGTTGTTCTATTACACTCCATATACCCCTCACTGTGTTGAAAAGACCCCTCTTCATGTCTATCCCCTTAATAAAACTTTATAAAATTTCTTAAAACAGAGACCCCACATATTCATAGGAATTCCCTACTGCCTAACACTAGATTGATACTCGTTAAATTTTCCATACAGTATCTATCACATGATCCTTAAGGGCTCTAGAACTCTATGAAACAAATGCACGAGGTTTTATCACCTCCATTTTGTAGATTAGATTCCCAAGTGCTAAATAATGTACCAAGAATACCCATCTAGTAAAGTGGCAGCCTTGGAATTCAAACCCAAGTCTCCCATCACTCTTTTTAAATACACTGGTTTCTTTTAACCCTTCTCAGTGGCACCCAGGAAAGACAAATATAAAAACATCCAACCACTTTGGGAGGCCGAGGCGGGTGGATCACGAGGTCAGGAGATTGAGACCATCCTGGCTAACACGGTGAAACCCCATCTCTACTAAAAAATACAAAAAATTAGCTGGGCGTGGCGGCGGGCACCTGTAGTCCCAGCTACTCGGGAGGCTGAGGCAGGAGAATGGCGTGAACCCGGGAGGCGGAGCTTGCAGTGAGCCGAGATCGCGCCACTGCACTCCAGCCTGGGGGACAGAGCGAGACTCCATCTCAAAAAAAAAAAAAAAATCCAGCACTCGGCAACCCATGTTATGAAGAAGTTCATTCTTACCCATAACCCAACCTTTCATGCATTTAAGATTGGTGTTTTAATCTACTTCAGTAGGAAAGCAGAACAAGTTAATATTTGTTTTACCGTATAAAACCTTTGCATATGGACCTATATATAATTTTATGTCTAATAAAAAGTTTTATATTTCTTTTTTCAAAAGCCCATCTGAACTCTCAATTTGTTTTTTCTCTGAGGACCTTAATATAGGTGGACTGGGAATGGGGAAGAGGTAGAGAGGTAATAAGTAGATAGGGACACAGAAAAAGAGATTCTGTTTTCCACTATTCTCCTTTCAAATTATTTTTTTTCTTCAAAATAAAAAATATTACCTTAAGAATTTGATCAGGTTGGTTGTTTCATTAGTAAAAAAAATTATAGGCCGGGCACAGTGGTTCATACCTGTAATCCCAGCACTTTGGGAGGCCGAGGAAGGCAGATCACAACGTCAAGAAATCAAGACCATCCTGGCCAACATGGTGAAACCCTGTCTCTACTAAAAATACAAAAATTAGCTGCACATGGTGGCATGCACCTGTAGTCCCAGCTACTCAGGAGGCTGAGGCAGGAGAACTGCTTGAACCCAGGAGGTAGAGGTTGCAGTGAGCCGAGACGGTGCTACTGCCCTCCAGCCTGGCCACATAGCGAGACTCCATCTCAAACCACTGGGTTGTTTTTTCAGCTTTCCCTTCAACTATCTGTGTACATGTTACTTTTTTTTTTTTTTTTTTTGCTTTGTAAATAGATAGTCTTAACATTTCCAAACACATTCTAAACAAAGTAACTTTTCAGATCAATTTATTTTTTCAGTAAACAACTTCAATGCAAATAGAGAAGAGAGGTCAGTATTGATTGCGATCTCTAATCATGTAATGATGTTTCTGTTTGTTACTGATTGAGTAGTACACTTCCCTTAAATTATCCTCTGCTAATGAAGGTCAAAATGTCCTGCTTGAATGCAAGTGTTGGGTAACATTTCAGGATAGATGGGTCTATAAAAGAGGAGGTTTAAATTTATTCAATTACACTCTTCCTCTTTAAGGATGATATGGCCTATCAAGGAGTGGTGGTAGAAGTGGTTTACCTTGGTAGGGAAGGATATTTTTTTCACTGACTTTTTCTAGAATTGCCAGCACACAGTAATAATAAAAAACAGACAGACTTAGTTATTGTTGCTTTTTAAATCTATGCAGAAAATACACTGTCTTATTACCACACCTGTGATGGGCTTCTGACTCAACCCTTTGTCTACAACTTGGTTCTACACCGTGTATCTCTAATATAGTTCAGTTTTCTCAAAGTATAATTCTTGCTCCTTAGAAAGGAGAAAGGCCAAGAATTTGGAGAAAACAAAGGAATTTAAAGTGCCTTCCTTTGGGCTTAAGACTTGATCCAAATATTCTGTATTCTAGGGTGATTATAAAAATTTTTAATATAAAATAACAAAAATAAAGCCTGTAAGTATAAATGCCACAACAGGGACATTTTAACAATTGTGGCACATTTAAGCAATGGAATTCAGATGTAGACATTAAAATATATCTTAGAAAAATAGTTAATGACAGGAAGATGTTCATAATATATTGTAGATTTTTAAAATGGTACAAATAGGTAAAGTTTGCTTCCATTTTGTAAAATGAAAAGATACATTTAAAGTAATAGTCCATTAATAAATATAGTCTGTTATGAGTGGTTATCTCTGATGAAATTGTGGAAATTTTTATTTCTTCTGATTTTCTTAAAATGAGTATATTACTTGTAAAACAAAAAAATAAAAGGAAGAGAGATGTATTAATCTTTTCTCATAGTGCTATACAGAACTTCCTGAGACTAATTTATAAAGAAAAGAGGTTTAATTTGACTCACAGTTCCACAGGCAGTACAGGAGAGACATGGCTCGGGAGCCTTCAGGAAACTTACAATCATGACAAAAGGGTGAAGCAGAAGCAAGCATATCTTCACATGGCAGCAGGAGAGAGAAAGAGCGAAGGGGGAAGTGCCACACACTTTACAACAACCAGATCTCATGAGAACTCACTCACTATCATGAGAACAGCAAGGGGAAAATCTGCCCTATGATCCAATCACCTCCTACCAGGTCCCTCCCCCAACATGAGATTTGGGTGGGGACATAGAGCCAAACCATATCATTCCACCCTGGCACTTCCCAAATCTCATGTATTTCTCATATTTCAAAATACAACCATACCTTCCCAACAGTCTCCCAAAGCCTTAACTCATTCTAGCATTAACTCTAAAGTTCAAATCCAAAATCTCATTTGAGACAAGGCAAGTCCCCTCTGCCTGTGAACCTGTAAAATCTAAAGCAAGTTAGTTACTTCCAAGATACAATTCTCCCATTCCAAATGGGAGATATTCGCCAAAACAAAGTGGCTACAGGCCCCATGCAAGTCCAAAACCCAGCAGTTCAGTCATTAAATTTTAAAGCTTCAAAATAATCTCCTTTGACTCTGTGTCTCACATCCAGGACACAATGACACAGGGGTGGGTTCCCAAGGCCTTGGGCAGCTCGACCCCTGTGGCTCTGCAGGGTACAGCCCCCAAGGCTGCTTTCATGAGCTGGCATTGAGTGTCTATAGCTTTTCCAGGTGCACAGTGCAAGCTGTCAGTGGATCTGTCATTCTGGGGTCTGGAGAACTGTGGCCCTACTTCCACAGCTCCACTAGACAGTGCCCCAGTGGGGACTCTGTGTGGGGGGGCCCAACCCCACATTTCTGCTTCACACTGCCCTAGTACTGAAAGCTCCACCCCTGCAACAGACTTCTGCCAGGACATCCAGGCATTTCCATACATCCTCTGAAATCCGGGTGGAGGCTCCCAAGCCTGAACTCTTACCTTTTGTGCACCCACAGGCCCAACACCATGTGGAAGCCACAAGGGTTTGGGACTTGCACCCTCTAATGCAATAGCCTGAGCTGTACCTTGGCCCCTTTTAACCATGGCTGGAGCTGGAGAGACTGGGTTGCAAGGTGCCATGTCCTGAGGCTGCACAGAGCAGTGGAGCCATGAGCCTGGCCCACAAAACCAAATTTCCCTCCTAGGCCTCTGGGCTTGTGATGGGAGTGGCTGTCATGAAGTTGTCTGAAATGTCTTGGAGGCATTTTCCCCATGTCTTGGCTACTAACATTTGGCTCCTCTTTACTTATGCAAATTCCTGCATCTGGCTTGAATTCCTTCCCAGAAAATGGGTTTTTCTTTTCTACCACGTGGTGGGGCTGCAAATTTTCTAAACTTTTATGCTCTTCTTACTTTTTAAATATAAGTTCCAGTTTGGGGTCATTTACTTGTTTATCCAAATAAGCTAGGCTTTTAGAAGCAGGCAGGCCACATCTTGAATGTTTTGCTGCTTAGAAATTTCTTCCACCAAATACCCTAAGTCATCTCTCTCAAGTTCAAAGTTCCACAAATCTCTAGAGCAGGGGCACAATGCCACCCATCTCTTTGCTAAAGTATAGCAAAAGTGGGCTTTACTCCACTTCCCAATAAGCTCATCATCTCCATCTGAGAACACCTCAGCCTGGATTTCACCATCCATATTTCTATCAGCATTTTTGTCACAACTATTCAACAAGTCTTTAGGAAGTTCCAAACGTTCCGTCATCTTCCTGTCTTCTTCTGATCCCTCCAAACTGTTCCAACCTCTGCCCATTACCCAGTTCCTTAGCTGCTTCCACTTTTTCAGGTAACTTTATAGCAATGCTACACTTCTTTTGTACCAATTTTCTGTATTAGTCTGTTTTCACACTGCTATAAAGAACTACCTGAGATGGGGTAATTTATAAAGAAAGAGGTTTAATCAGCTCATGGTTCTGTGGATTGTATAGGCTTCTCTTTCTGGGGAGGCATGAGGAGACTTACAATCATGGCATAAGGGTGAAGAGGAAGCAAGCACATTTTCACATGGTGGCAAGAGAGAGAAAAAGCAAAGGGGGAAGTGCCGCACACTTTTAAACCATTGTATCTCATGAGAACTCACTATCATGAACAGCAAGGGGAACATCTGCCCCCATGATCCAGTGACCTCCCACCAGGCCCCTCCTGCAACACTGAGAATTCCAATTCAGCATGAGATTTGGGTGGGGACACACAGCCAAATCATATCAAGAGAAATCTTTGAAAATAAAGATTTATGGACATAACTGCTTAATAGAGTGTTGGATATCTGTTCTTAACTCTGGTCAATAGGTAATTCTACAAGTTAATCCTTGCATATAGTGACACCACCTACTCAAATGTAATATATTCTTAGGAGCAAATGCAACTTTTGAGCACTGAAATGTCCTGTCTGCAACATGTCTCTAAGCTGCTGTCACCATAACATTTTTTTAATGATATTGAAGGTAGAAATTTTTCCTGGGAAACTCAGATTCTCCCAAAAATATTCACAATTTGATTTATTTTTTTCAACAAGGAAATCATATCAATATCTACTTTGCATATTTTTGTGATTGCTTTTTATGTATGTATCCAGTATACAAAAAAAAAATGCACAGGTAGGTATTTGTTTGGGTATTTTTTTCAGGCTACAGGCTCATTAAGACATGACCAACAACACAGTTTTCCAGTGTTTGAATGTATCCCACAGGGAAAGGACATTCCTAAGTTCAGCAGCACTGCATAGCAAGGTGACTCTGCAGAGGAGATTTGTGAATGTCCCTGCTGATTGTAAATCCCTGATAAAAGTTGGGATTCCAGGTATCACTGGCAATATAATTCAAGTGATATTTTAAAACATGACACTAGGTTTGAGAGACTTGAGAGTTCAAGCCTTCCTTTTCAACTCCTGAAATGCAGTTCTGTTCCTAAATCCATTAAGTTGGCTGACCTTTTCCAAGTTACACATGAGAGATAAAGGTTTTCTCTCCTGCTATAATACTTAAGTGCCCAGAGAGATTATTTACTATGGTAAAAGTGAAGTCTGATAGTAGCCATGTTAATTAGACTCCCAAAAGATGAATAAGGAGCCCTTCATGACTGCTTACAGGAGAATAAAATGGAACACAAACTAACAATTTTTTCAAGTCAAGTAGTAGGAAAATCCAAATAACCATATTTAGAGAACCTATGCGATACCAATTATAATTGTCTTTTCACTTCTCACTTTCTTTTAAGATTCACAGCAGAAGGGAGGCTAAAATTACTTTTAAAATGACAAAATGAATCGATAAATGCCTCTAGTTGTTTTCAAAAACACTCAATGAAATCTCCCACTTAGAGATTTCAGTGTGCCTGGTCTCTCATCACATATAAATCAACTAACTCTACCTTCTCTATGAAATCCATCATTTTCTTGAGAAGAATAAATGCATTATATGCCAAATTGTAAGCCCTCTACGAAGCTCTTTGGACAGTTCCTCATTAGTTTCTCCCTCATATGTGTATAAATGACCCTCTTCTTTCAGAGGAAGCTTGCATAACATGCAGAGTTTACATATACACAGTGGCTCTTATAGTCAAAGACTCATGAATGCAAACACATTTTTGAATCATGCAGAAGCACTACAGATATTTAGGAGAGGCAAAGATCCTTTTAAGTCTTCATTTGTGGAGAATTTTATTAGATAACAAAGCTTCCTACTCCCCACCCCCATAACGATGTCTTAAGGAGAACCATCTGTCCTGTGGGTTGGTCATTCTAATTGTCCTGTTTTCTTTACTTCTAGAATGTATGTATATTTTCTAGAATATGTTTATGTTCTTTTCTAGATGCATGCAGAATACAGCAGATGGCCCTTCTGAACATGTAGAGGATTACCTCTGTGACCCAGAAGAGATGCCCCTGGGCTCTAGAGTGTGCAAATTACCATGCCCTGAGGACTGTGTGATATCTGAATGGGGTCCATGGACCCAATGTGTTTTGGTGAGATGATTAACCTTTTTATTAATGTAGAGTTTATTTAATTATTTGCCACTGAAGCTTTAAAGACATTATTTTTTGAATATAATAACTTCAATGTAAAATCTGTTTGTTTGCCATATTTAGCAAAGCAAGGTGTGTCTTCTCTGCCACATCATTCTATGACTGTGCTATTTAAAGTCTGTAATGTTTCCTCTCACACTAGAACAGCTCCACCTCTTGCAAGCTTTACTAACCCATCATCCTAATCCAGCACAAAAGGCCTTCAGTTTGCCTTATAAATACACAGCATGTTAAAAACTGCAGTGGTGATAATGATTCCCTCCAGGTAAAAGGGAAAATGAATGAAGTAAAGGTACTTTAATGGTGTCAGGTTATTCTCATCCATTGCTTTTTGCCCAGTACCTTTTATTTAAATGGTAGGAATAATCTCTCACACAGTGGGAATACAGCAGCAGGGGTATTAACATTAAAAAGCAAAAGATACTGGGTAAGAAACTAAGTAGAAGAAGAAAGCTGTGCACCAATGAATCTCTCTTTACACACTGACTCTGTGTCTCTTTGGGCCTGGAAAGCCAGCTGAGAGTTTCAAATCACACAAAGCTTCTATATTTCAACAGCCAGTAGGGGCTCATCCACGAGACTCTGGGAAGAGAGTCATTTGAAACAGAACTGGCTGCTTATGTAAGACATTTGGCTTACCCATGGGCACCTTTGTAAAACTGTGCATTTCAAAAACAGCATCAAAAGCATGAGAAAAATAACTAATATGGAATTATTTTGTTGAAATACAATATAAAACCATTTCAAAGAGGATTTTATGGTGCATATTTTCCAAGGAGAAATTGATATTCCATTTCAGTGTTAAACATACTGATTAGCAGACAACTGATACAGCAGGAATAAAACAAAGATGGCAGTTGATTGGAATGCAAGTTACACTGTAATAAAGAATCAGCTGTTTCACAAGGATATACAATTGATTTTCTGTTCTAATTTCAAAGGATCAGATTTGAAGTTACATCAAATAATTGGGCTATATGCTACACTGTCTGTGTTTATAACAGTGAGATTTTTTGTCAGATATCATATTATGAAGAGATTCCATTTTTATAAAAATAGGAAATATTGAACCCAGGCCCCTTCTTAAACTTATTAATAGGGATTTTAATAAAAGGAACCACTAAACTGGAACTTTGTCCAGTAGGTTTCTATATTAAATGATCAAGGATAATCATCTTAGAAGAATTATTGAGGCTCTATTATTTATAAAAGAGAGTTGGTGAAGCATCTTTTGTGTTTCTGAGAGTTTGCCAATAGGAATGTTTGGATAGGAATAAAATTCAATGAGGTGAATAAACTGTGCTTCCTGGGCTTTATATTTCTTTAAAGAAAAACCTCAGAAAAATTAAATTTAACAGTTTAATTGATCAAAGAACCATTCAAGAATCGGGCAGCCTCGCAAACCAGAACAGGTTCAGAGAGACTCCAGCACTGCCACGTGGTTGGAAAAGATTTTTGGGCAGGAGAAGATAAGTGTCATACAGAAAATGATGTACAGAAGTGAGGTTCAGAAACAGCTAGATTGGTTACACCTTGACTTTTGTGACAAACAAAATGAGTAACTAAGGCAAAAGTCCCAATCAATCGAAGTTTAATAAGCCAGCTTTAGGACACATCTGGGAAAAAGCAAGGAGGTTTTCTGAAGAGGTGTTCAGGAGGTTTTATGTTTATACTTTCCCTTAAATGGGGGAAGGCACTTAGGAAGAGAGACAGGCATTAAGGCAAATAGTTATATTCCTGTGAGACTTTAGTTAGTACCCCGTAATCTACATTTTACATAAGGTAAGGTGAATGTTCGAAGAGAAAAAGGTAATAGAGGAAAAATCAATTATGCAGGCATCTCTCGGTAGGTGGAAGAATGACTGATCTCCTCTTGTTTTTGTTCTGAACCTGGGAAAATAAGCTTGTGATTGATAGCATCAGTGTGGAATCAGACTTTAGTTTTGGGAGTTAGACTTAGGCTGTAGACCTAAAGTTACAATTGGTATAATTGGTATGTCCTTGTTTGTGGGAGGCCATGAAAGAATTTACCTATGAATCTTCTATGGGAGCAAGTTATTCATGATGCCCGAGGCCGTTTATCTTTCCTTGGGAATCTGGCACAATGCTAGCAATAGCTATTCATTTGGAAGAGAATGTTGCAAGACGGCCTCCAAGCTTACGCTTCCCTTTTGCATAGGGAGTATGAGATCCTGAGATTTTTTTAAAAACTTTCCTTTACATTTGTCATATTTGAACATGATTTGAACAATTGGCCACATTTGAAACTCAGTGATTGCACAAGAGTAGGTTACAGTCTTTTTACACATCCAAAGAGGGTATAGTTCACTGTGTGTGAAGAAACCTTTAGGATGAACTTGAATGTAAGGAGGCAGCGTTAGCCTAAATTTAATTTGACATGTTTTACCTTTAACTCACATTGTTTCTTCACTCAGGCCTTCATTAAACAGATACCAACTAAGCTTTTACTGTCTATCAGTAACGGTGTTAGGTAGGGAGAATATACAGCTATCTAAAACATAAGTCCTCTCCTAGTGCACTGCAGAAACGAACAAGACCTTTATATAATACACATTATGTCAAAACAGATAGTGTTATTCCAGTGTGACCAAAGTGCAACGGAAGCAGGGGAGGAGGAAGCAATTATTTTAGGCCTTAAAAAGTCCATGGAGGCTTGTTCCTGGTTTCTTACTGTTCTTAGAAACCAACTGTTTTCAGAAGACTGTACCAGTAGATGAATGGCAAGCCAGTCTTTTTAGATGTTGTCAACTGAAGAATGACAAGGTTCATAAATTTAGAAAGGAGAGCTTTACATCTCATAAAGGGTTGCAGCCTGCAGGGTGGCCATCCTGACAGGCTGGGAATCATAGCTGCCAGCCAGAAGCCAGAAATAGACACTTCTAGGGAATGGAAAGGGAACAGTAACTAATTTGTGTTGAGCAGGGTGGCCAAATATACATATTTAATAAGCTATATGAGGAGTCATGAATATTTATAAAAAACAAAGAGTATGCATGTGCAATTGAGCTTTATGCCCCCTCGTGTCCCACGTACCAAAAATGGTGGCATTAGCATGATCCAAGGGTGGGATTTTCAGTGCTCTAATGTCAAAAGGTGAAACAGAGGTCACAGAAACCCTTACTGTACATCCTCCATGGACTACCCAGAACCACTCCTTGGTCAGTGGTTTCTTATTAGGAAGAAATGCTGGTTGGTTGTTTTGTTGCAACCATAAAAGGGAGAGGCAGTGTCAGGCTGTAACCACCCATGGGGTTCTTCCTGCCTGCTGCACAAATAAAGACCAGGGTATTGCAGTAAAGAAAGAGTTTAATAGACATAAGGCCAGCCATGCCACATGGAAGATGGAGTTAGTACTCAAATCAATATTGTCTAAGGCTCCTAGGTAGGGGTTTTTCAAAGGCAGTTTGGGGGAAGGGGTGGGACTGCCAGGGAATGGGTGCTTGCTGCTGATTGGTTGGGGCAGAGATGAAATCACAGGGGTCAAAGCTGTCCTCCTGCAGGCTGAATTCTTCTGAGGGGCGCACAGGAACTGGGTTGGCAGGTCCAGGTAGAGCCCTGGGTGTTAGACATGCAAAAAAATGGAAAAGATATCTCAAAGGCCAATCTACTATAGTGGTGTCATCTGCAGGAGTAGCTAGCAATCATTTATGTCTACACCTTAGCAGAATTCAGGTTCCTCTCCTCTCCCAGCCTGATGGCCTTTCATTAGCTTTACAAAGGCACTTGGGTTTGGGGAAAAGCCTGTTATTTAAACTATAAAGTAAATGTTTCTTGAAGTTAGCTCACCCCGAAAACCCAGGAATAACTAAGAGAAAAGCGAGATGAAGGTGGGTTAGATCAGATCTCTTTTACTGCCATAATTTTCTTACTGTTATAATTTTTGCAAAGGCAGTTTCAAGACAATTGGTTGATCAGGTGCAGAGTGAGTTTTTCCAAAGGGCTTGTTTCTGTATAACCCTTACGGAAGAACGCCTAAAGGCCGAGAACTCAGTTTTCAAGGTTTCTCTGTGGTCCCTATGGCCAAGAGGGGGTCCATTTGGTCAGTTGCAGGTCTTAGAACTTTATTTTTTTTTCTCAATTCTAAATTAAGAATTAAAATTAGGATTTAGAATTAGAATTGTTTATATGCATGTATATGTGTGCATCAGGAAAAGGAAAGTCACTAACACCTAGTCATTTAAAGTTATTCTTAAAATGTCTTTTAAGGCCCAAAAGACTATACGTAATCCACAAACATATAATTATATATATAATAATACACATATAACTTTATATATATAATAGCATAATAATTAATATGACCACCATATGTGTGGCTGTGTATAGGTGTGAGGTGATGTGTGTATTAACATTTGACACATGGCATCTTATAGCTAGATGGTACATCAAAATCTCATTCAACACCTTCATTTTATACATTGAACAACTGAGGCATAATGAGGTTGACTGACTTTTCTGAGTTAGCCAGTGGCCCAAATGTTCTAACTCCTGCTCCAGTGCTGTCTCTAATATACCAGTTGTGTAGCTGAGTATTCACCTTTCTGAGAATTTGTACTGTTCTTTTTAAGCCTTGCAATCAAAGCAGTTTCCGGCAAAGGTCAGCTGATCCCATCAGACAACCAGCTGATGAAGGAAGATCTTGCCCTAATGCTGTTGAGAAAGAACCCTGTAACCTGAACAAAAACTGCTACCACTATGATTATAATGTAACAGGTACATGGATCATCATCTGATCACGGAGTTAAGTCCAAATCCTGTGTCTGTCAGCTCTGAAGCATTCCTGTCAGTATAGTTCATCTCTACCTGTGTGCCTTTTGGATATGCTGCTTACTTTCCCAGAAATAATTACATATTAAATGACAGAAATACTTATCTGGGTTTTTTTTTTAGTAAACACTAAGATAGAGGAAATAAAAATGTCAACAGACATTAGCCCTTAAAGTAGGTTGTGAATATACTAAGTGTTCCTACATAAGACAACCTCTCACTTCGGGAAGGTGAATCTAAAATATTTTTGGCACAGGTATCAGATTTATTCAAAAATGTCTTTCTTTTTCAGAAGATGCTTAATTGCTAAAACATACTGGGGCAACAATTCATGAGGTGTGGGCAGTTTATAAACATGATTAGTCAGCAATCTTAAACTTGCCAAAGATTATAAATCAATGCTATAAAAGGTGCAGGTAAAAATTGATGAGTATTTTCAGAAAAACAGATTTATTATAAGTTGCATTTTTCCCCTAAAACTCATTTAATACCATCAAGGTGCATACTCTAGGAAAGAAAATCTTTTATTGGTTTATATGAATTGGGGCAACACGAAAGCTTACTTTGGAATTTTTCCCAAGTAATTTTCACTCTGCAACAAACTCAAGAAACTGTACAATGACACATAACAGTCATATTGGCTTTGTTTCTTTTGGTTTTTCTCTTCAGTTTCCTTTGATGATACAAAAAAAAAAAATCACAGTTATCTGGGATGTGCTATGTTACCCAGGGAAAGAGGTGTCTTTTATGTCTTCTTACGAAAGACATAAGAGAATGAATAAATATGGCCAAAGTGATTTTTATCACTTTAATAAACGTATGCATTTTCTTGCATTCTAAATATGGATAAGAAATAAAATGTATGTTTTATCTGAATATAACTACACAGTTAAAGTACCGTCTGTCACAATTATGATTATTTGGCTAAAAGTAATGCTAAGATTTTAAATTATATTTTTATTGGGAAAGAAAGTTTTTAAGTGACATTGATCTGTAAGCCAAAGCCATTTTCACAGTGTCACCAAACGGCTAGCTATCAAGATTTTCAAGTAGACATCTGCCTTTAAGAATAATCCCTGTAGCTATGTGCAACCCCAGCAATTCCATTTGACTCCTGATACGTTCAAAGCTGGGACCCATATGCTCTGCATGGGGGATGATTGATTATGGGGCTTAGGAAGCAGTTGTGAATTAAATATGGGATTCAGGTCATCAGAGTTTCATTTGAAATCTGTTTCTTACTTAGCCTTCTGTTCTGATGGGCTTCCCTTTTTTTCAGACTGGAGTACATGTCAGCTGAGTGAGAAGGCAGTTTGTGGAAATGGAATAAAAACAAGGATGTTGGATTGTGTTCGAAGTGATGGCAAGTCAGTTGACCTGAAATATTGTGAAGCGGTAGGTGGATGCTGTGTTATATCTTCGCGAGTAAATTCTTCCCTAATAATTTCAATTCATGCTGAGCCAAGTGACCCGTGCTCCATGCAGCTCATTGCCAGCAGATGTTTTTCTGCACTGTTCACAGGCTAAGTATGTTCTTGAAAAGACACAATGTCCAACACTACTGATTCCTACATATAATTTCCTGTATTTTCTTCTGCTTGGAGCCCAAAGGTATGCTAATTAGCCTATTCTGAAAGAAATGCTTGGGGAACAATACGTAAGGTGAATAAAAGCAATAAATTTTAATCAGACTACTTATCATCTTTGTAATGTGATGTGAATTTTGTGTAGTGCCTGGGACACCTGCCAAGGTCCATCATTTATTCTCTTTGTTGCTAAACATTGATCACATGTGGTTTCATAGCAGATTTTGATATTAGGATCTAATACCCAGCTGTGACCATCTAAGTACTCAGGTCTGATTAAGTGAAAGCCTGAAATTCAAACAGAGGAATGAAGTCAGCCATTACTATCTTCTAGGTACAGAGAATTGTAACTGGTATTATCTAATTGATTAAAGTAATGTCACACCTAGATGTGAGCGTCTGAAATGTGAAGAAACGTATTTGTCCTTTCTTAGTTTTTATGAAGCTACACTTTATGTTGTAATAATTTTATCTAATTTCCATACCAAAAACATGACAAATGTTGACTCTCCATGCATCTGAGGTCCACTGGGTCAAATACCAACCAAGATAAGTAGGAGCCTCAATAGATCTGGAATAGAGTAGAAGTGGTTTGTAACCTCATTAGAGTTTAGTATACACAGACACCATGTGTCTTCTGTCTACACATCCTGGGGTTATTATAGCCCACAGTAAATTGTTCCTATACCTAGGGGAAAACTCTACACAGAAATATTTTAATTCATTTGATATGTTTATCATGTGGACCTAACTTAACTTTCTTACATCTCCGTTCATGAGAGCAGAGCACCCACATGTGTTGAAAACACAAATTTGTTTAGTTAATAAATGCCTCCTGCAATAACCTTGTAACGTTACCTAATGTATTCATTATTTAAACTTGAATAATTAGAAATTTCACACTTGAATCATTTTAGTTTCATAACCAATAACATTGAAGCAATATAACCATTATGAGAATAATGTCAGTATTGAGCCGAGTAGGGTGGCTCAAGCCTCTAATCCCAGCACTTTGGGAGGCTCAGTCGGGCGGATCACCTGAGGTCGGGGGTTCAGGACCAGCCTGACCAACATGGAGAAACCCCATCTCTACTAAAAATACAAAATTAGCCGGGCGTGGTGGCACATGCCTGTAATCCCAGCTACTCAGGAGGCTAAGGCAGGAGAATCGCTTGAACCCAGGAGGCAGAGGATGCCATGAGTCAAGATCACACCACTGCACTCCAGCCTGGGCAACAAGAGCAAAACTCCATCTCAAAAAAAAAAGAACATCAGTATTAATGAAGATAATGGTCATATACTGGCTGGAGAGCTTGCTGTGATCTACTTCTGGTTGATTAGTATGTCCTTTTTTCTGCACACATAAATGTACTCCTTGGTCGGAATGAAATATAAAATAAATGAGAGCTTTGCGAAAGCTGAAACCTAAGCATACATGACCAATTTTAAACCATTTCATATGATTAAAGGACAAAGCTGGAAACCGAATTCTTGATTTCTTACATCGAATATGAGTAAAAACCTGGGAAATAACTAATTTTAATTATATGGGAGCCTAGATGACTTTAAGCTTACATGCAAATACTACAATATTTGAATGTTGCATGGCAATTAGGGACTCCTAGTTTTAACATTCTAGCAAACACTGTCTTCAAGGACTTAAAATTCGACTGTGCAACCCTGCATTCAGTGCCACATCAGTAGGTAACACTGGCTGCTTCCCTAACAGCCACAAAGAAAGATGGCATTGTTATCTAACAAAGAGGAAAATTAGAGTTAAACCTAACTAGCATTTATGTAGTATTATTTTTATCTTCAGTGTTTTTCAGACATTTACTCATTGGATACCTAGTAATTGGTTTTTTCTTTCCTATTTCTTAGATTTTTGAATAGATTTCTTTTTAATTTATTTACACACACATTTAGGTAAATGAGAGAGCAAATTAAAAGAGAGATATGATCAATGTAAGGAAAAAAGTAGTACAGGACTAAAATGTGTAAGTGGTGGATATGTAAGTCAGTAATAATTGAATCCTGTGATTCAAACTGTCCCCATGAAACTATTATTTACCTTAAATGTAACACTTATTTTTATCATATCACCTCAAGATTCCTATCTCCAACCTCCCATGACTTTTAAGTGGCTTTATGAGGCTTCGATTGAGTGATATGGTAAAAGTTTTCATACCAAATACTCAGCTCTGTCAAGTATTACTGGTGTAGAATATAATGGGAGTGCCTGCAGAGAGATGTATTACACAAAGCTTTGATCTGATCCTCTCTCAGTGGATAACTTAGAGCTAAGAGCTATACTTGAAACACAACGTAATGTTTCAAAATAAATTTTTGCCATTATCTGCTGTATAAATTAGAAAATATAAACTTCTCTTTCATGCAGAAATAAAAAAGGTCTTGGAAATTCCAAGAATTACTAGTTTTAAAAACTTATATTCTCCTAACAAGCTCTTACATTTTCCTATTTCTTTTTCTTTCTTTTCATTTTTTTTTTTTTATTTTGGAGACAGAGTCTTGCTCTATTGCCCAGCCTGGAGTGCAGTGGTGCCATCTCAGCTCACTGCAACCTCCACGTCCTGGGTTCAAGCAATTCTCCTGCCTCAGCCTCCCAAGTAGCTGGGACTACAGTCATGCACCACCAATCCCAGCTAATTTTTATATTTTTTTTAGTAGAGGTGAGGTTTCGCAATGTTGGCCATCATGCTTTCAGGTGATCCGCCCACCTCGGTCTCCCAAAGTGCTGGGATTACAGGCATGAGCCACCGCACCCGGCCAACATTTTCCTATTTCAATACTACTTTGTACCATAGAGATTTTAAATGTTGGAATATACAGTAGAAGAATTTGAAACCTCATCTTATATTTTTAAAGCAGAATATTTAAGTAATGGAACCCAAATGCCAATAAAATGGCACAACATTATTATCTGATGAGAAGGTTTGACACCAACATAACTGAATTATACCACAGTTAAGTTTTAGAAGTGAAAATCTTTGTTTTAAAAAATGCACATAAAATATTCATAATCAAAAAAAAACTTTGGTGACCCATATTTCTTTTTTTAAAAGATAGCTGATACTTTATATTATTTCAATACATGATATCATTAGTTTTGAGTATGAATTTATGTTTAGAACCTTTTCCTTTTGCTTTTCAGTTTAAGATATGTAAAAATAAATAATATCCCTAAGATACAGTTGTAGATCAAAATATTGATGATACTAGTTTTTACCTAATGGAAAGTATTTATGCTTATATTTACTTGTTCCTCATTTAGGGAAATTCAACCAATTTGGAGGTTAAATCTACTTTTCTACATTGCTTATTGAAAACACTTAAACAATACATAAGTATAGATTCAATGGGCCCCTTCTTTCATCCTGTGCCCCTAACTTCCACTCTCCTAGGTCAAACCACTTTATACTTTCAATAGTTTGGATGTTTGTCCTCCAGGTAACATTTTATTCTCTTATGTGGCTTGCTTTTTCTCCCTCCTTCTCTTCTTTCTTGTCACCTCATTCTCTGGCTCCCTCCCCCAATTTACAATATACATCCTGATCTACCTCTGTTCTTCCAGCTTGGCTTGGAGAAGAACTGGCAGATGAACACGTCCTGCATGGTGGAATGCCCTGTGAACTGTCAGCTTTCTGATTGGTCTCCTTGGTCAGAATGTTCTCAAACATGTGGCCTCACAGGTTTGTTTGTACCATAACTTATATTAGGCTACTGGTCAAGGAATATGAAATAAAATATCCCTCTTGCTTTAACCCATATCAAATAATCTTCAGAAAGGTTGGATTGGTTGTCTTTCTTTGCAAAACATCTAAGCCTTACTTGTTCCTGGATTGCCTCAGGAGATATCACTGTGATGCCTTCTCCCAATGAGATATATGCTTGCAAAACCATAACATATATTAAAGGTGCATCACTTTGTATCTCTTCAAGGAAAAATGATCCGAAGACGAACAGTGACCCAGCCCTTTCAAGGTGATGGAAGACCATGCCCTTCCCTGATGGACCAGTCCAAACCCTGCCCAGTGAAGCCTTGTTATCGGTGGCAATATGGCCAGTGGTCTCCATGCCAAGTGCAGGTATCAAATCTCAAGAAGTTGTCAGGAAGTGTGTACTCTATCTGCAGAGACTTCATCTGCAGAAAAACATAAAAATAATGTGTTAGAAATATGTTTCAGAGCTCACAGATGACAAGCTTCTTAAAATTTGTATGTACTTGCCATTTTATAACCATTTAATTAGTTTTGATAACAAAAACTCCATGCCCTATATTTTTAAAATCATTTGGAGACTGATTCATTTTAATGAAAATTTATTTTCCTGTCTTTAGCTAGGAAACAAATTGTTCAATGTATGCTTTATTGCTAGTGCCCTATAGGGCTTCTTCCCTAGGGTTTCAAATCCTTCTCTAAATGTTCATAAATCAAAGTCAGTGGTGCAGAGATAACTAAGTGATGAGCTCTCTAATGAAGTATTTCTCTTTTTCTAATTAGTTATTTCTTCCTCCATTCCAGGAGGCCCAGTGTGGAGAAGGGACCAGAACAAGGAACATTTCTTGTGTAGTAAGTGATGGGTCAGCTGATGATTTCAGCAAAGTGGTGGATGAGGAATTCTGTGCTGACATTGAACTCATTATAGATGGTAATAAAAATATGGTTCTGGAGGAATCCTGCAGCCAGCCTTGCCCAGGTAACAACGGCAAAGGAGAATTCATATTCTGATTATTTTTTCCTAGGACAAGGGCCGTGAAGGGGTTGCATATAAAGTATAAGTTACAGGATGTCAACAGTCTTCTTATTCAGTAATATCTATGCCAACAGCTCAACACTATGCCTGTGGGGAACGGGACGCTGTCTCATTACTGCCAGGTAGGGTTGAAGTCCAGGTCTCCCATGTGGCCTCTCAACACCCTCTGGAGTTTTAACATCTGCAGGAGATGGTATTTAAGGCCTTAAGCCCATGCTCCACAGAAAAGTTATGAAATAAAAGATGAGAAAATAAGGACAAAACATAACCTATTCGGGATTTCCAGAAGAGAGAAAGAGAGGCCAATGTTTAAATACATAATGGCTAAAAACAGATTAAGTCCTCATAATAACAGCTTACCCTGGGTCCAGGGTAGAATGAACAACAAACTCATACCTAGATAAATGTAGTCAAAACATAAAATATAGAAAAATAATTAGTAAAGTCTTCAGTAAGAAAATAACAGATTATCTACAACTGGAAGACAAAATAGCAGTATGGAGGAAACTATTGAAAGATATTATTCAGATTCAGTGTTAGACACAATGAGTGCATGCAGTAAAAGTAGAAAGAAAATTTTGTTTATCAAATAGTATGGAAAAAATGGCAGACAGTGATAAGCTAATATTTATGAATTTGGGCTTGATGCAGAGAATTGTAGAGGAAATTTAATGTCAAAATATGCCAGAAAACCCATCCTTGAACAAGGTATAGATAGGGGCAACAATTTATTAGTGGACTGGAAATGAACAGATTGAAAATGAATTACCTGTATTTTATCCCCAAGTGGAAAATTTGTATTCTCCCAATTTGCTTATAATTATGATTTAAAGATTGCATCTCTTTCACAATATTTTCTTTTGAATGTGACCTCAAAATATTAAAAATTAAGGATTTGGCAAAAATAATGGGGCATAAAACACATTTTCTATATAAAAGGATGTGATTTAAGAAAATTTTAAAAGTGGATAACATATATCAACAAAAATTTGTAAATGGGATTGAGTCCCTAAAACCTGGAAAAACTGACATGGGCTAGCTATTTATTCACTCATCGAGTTACTTATTCCTTCGTAAAAAAAAAAAAAAATCATTTGAGATGATAAAAATGGTAGGGTATAGTTTAAGATGAACTGAATGAAATTGAACAGTAAATAAAATAACCCTGATAGGGGTTATTTTGAGGACAAGCCCCCTAGACTCTGAAAATATCCAACTATTGTATTGATCTTTGCACACATGGATATTTTCATCTACTTCAGGTCAAGAACTAAACTATTTTTAAAAACCAAAAATCTGAATAGCAGCTCCTTCTCAATGAGTGTAAAGGTTCAGCTATGCAAGGTGAATAAGTTCTAGAGATCCGTTCTAAGACATAGTGCCTGTAGTTAACAATACTGTATTGTATACCTAAAAATGTGTTAAGTGGGTAGATCTCATGTTAAATGGTCTTATCACAATAAAAAATAAAATAGAATAAAATAAAATTTAAAAATAAAGTAAAAGAAAAGAAAATCTGACTTTCTAAAGCCAGGCAAAGTGTTGCTGCCAACAACCTTTTGCTGAGCCAGCAATTCCCCTTTCACTTCCTGCTGCTGAAACTAGTCTGATATCATTTAAGATCTCACACACAATTCAATAAAATCATTTTGCTTCACTGCAGACCCAGCCTAAGGCTGTGGCAGCAGGTGACAGCTCCAGGCAGGGCCAAGGACTGAACCTTTGGACCTTGATGTACTGAATGGCCATAGAGGCAACAAAAAGTGACCCTTGGCTAAAAGTTGTAAGGCCTACTTTTCCAAAACCAAATCTCCAGCACCAGTAATAGGATTGTTGTGACATTCACACCATTGAGCAGAACGGGCATCCTTGTCAGACTGTGGTATAT
Source organism: Homo sapiens (assembly GCF_000001405.40). NCBI lineage: Eukaryota > Metazoa > Chordata > Mammalia > Primates > Hominidae > Homo > Homo sapiens. The sequence continues at coordinate 11,404,354 of NC_000007.14, read as the reverse complement.
GCCTTACTATGGACACTCCTCACATGATTTCATTATACTTTCTGCAGCACACACACTCACTCATTTGACTGTTACTTATCAAATGTAATTACAGGTCAAGCCCTGGACTTGAGGCCAGAGATACAGTGCAGACCAAGAGACCCTGTCCTTGTACAGCTTACTTTCTAATGGAAAGAACAATTGCTAATCTAATAGTGACAATAATATATAATATATAAGATTATAACCTGTGGTAAATGATGTGAAGGAAAATTACAGGATCCCATGATAACATAGAGCAAACACATTGTTTTAATTAAAGTAATTGCAAATCTAGGAGGCTGCTCTTCTCTTCTAAATTACAATCTATTCATTTCAGTTCCTCTCTTGCTAGTTTTCTCTAATGATGGGTTTTGAAAGCTGGCAGTATGTGAACTAATAAGCTTTAAAGAGTAGAATACTAAATTAGGAAATACATCTCATGTGTTTAATTGTCATATCTTTGGCAGGCATCGGGTAATTTTATTGTTATTACAATGGTTTACATGGTCAAAATAGAAAAGTGTGTTTAGGACAAGGGAGTATCTCACTCTCATTTGCTGTTATTAAATCTTTGAAGCCTGACATGTATTACTTAGGGGCGAAAATTACATAACTCACAGACTATCATTAAAAGATTTATTACATTTTGTTGCAAAATAAATGATGCTAAATGTGAATTGCCACAAAGATAAAGCCTACTGGTGAAAAGGTATGTTTTCTTTCCATGTAATTTTCAATCACTGAGGTGAAATTTTATTACATTCATATTGACAGGAATTTTTTTAACTTTAGCAGTTTTCCTACATAATTAAAAACTGAGTAACTCCAAAGTGACATTTCCTAGGAAATAAAAGCGTTTCTAAAACTTTCTCAGACTATTTAGAAATTCTTTCTAGTTTCTTTTTCCTTTGCATTTCCAAAATTTACTAGAACTTTCTGTACTTCAGGAGTACCAATTACATTCTTTAATAAAGGCCTACAAAAATCACTCCATTTTGCTATTACGTATATATATGTTAGTCAATAATTCATGTCTTACCAGGACTTCTTAGGCATGACACAAGAAGTTTTTCCATTAATCAGATCTCCAGGCAACTTTCTGCTAATACCAGTCACCTTCAGCATAATATAAGGCAATATGAATTATTCATATGACCTGGCTATAATAAATAAGTGATAAGAAACCCTTGTGAATTTGTGTCTATCATAATTGACTGTGTACTCTGAAGAGTATCACTAAGCAGTCACTCTGAAGAATGGATGGGTTAATGGAAAGGGTGTATTTCATAAAATCTTTTCTGTTCTTAAAATGGCTAAAGATTTTGGAAGCATGGATGCACTATGGCCCAGCAATTGCACTCCTAGGTACATACCCAACAGAAATGCATATATAAGTTCATCAAAAGACTTGTACTGAAATGTTTACAATAACATGATGGGAAAAATTTACAACTCCCCACATGCCCATCAGTAGTAGAATGGATATCTAAATTATGATATATTCACACAATGGAAAGTTGTACGAATGAAGAAATTAGAACTTCATAAATGTATGATGGATTTCACAAACATAAATGAGAGAAAGAAGCCAGACACCAAAAAGTACATATGGTATGATTTCATATATCACACAAGGGAGGGTTTTGAGATCCTGGGAATGTTCTGTTCCTTGATTTGGGTGTTGATCACATGGTTATATAATCAGATTATCGAAATTCAGCTATCATCTGTGCATCTATGATATGTGATCATTTTACATGTTTGTTATCCTTCAATAAATCAATATTTTAAAGAGAAGTTGATTGAGGATGTAGATCAGAGGAAATAGTGAGCATTATTTCCAGTACTGCAACTGCTCAGTTGTCTCTCTCACCTCCACTCATCTGGGAAGAAATAGGAATGAAAACATAAAACCAGCTCTGTCGGCCTTGGATTTCAAACTTTTCAAAATTGTGAATACCTAGAAGACTAATTCTGTTTATATTTAGGCTTTCTTTGAGTGTAACTCATGTGTAATAAACCACTTTACTATGATAATGACAAGAATGATAGTAGGTTTTGATCAAATATTTGTTGTATCCTAAGAAGAGATGAATTACGGTGGATGAGCTCCTGTCAGCCACAATTTACCTTTGATATCATTAAGCAACACATAGACCAGTAATAGCCATACGGAAAATAACAATACATATACAAAGTTATACAATTACAAATTTACAAATATTAAATGCTTATTTAAATCTTATAAATATTATGTGTGCCTGGGATACCAGAAACATTGCCTACTGGGGTTGGAATTAAAATGATTATCGGGCTGGCTTTTCTCTGTGGATATGGGTGTAAATTACAAATATGTGTTTTACAGGTGACTGTTATTTGAAGGACTGGTCTTCCTGGAGCCTGTGTCAGCTGACCTGTGTGAATGGTGAGGATCTAGGCTTTGGTGGAATACAGGTCAGATCCAGACCGGTGATTATACAAGAACTAGAGAATCAGCATCTGTGCCCAGAGCAGATGTTAGAAACAAAATCATGTTATGGTGAGTGCTACCGTTCATATACTCTATCTTAAGCAAAAGCATAAGATTAAAAAAAAAATAGTCTGTTAAAAATAAACAAAGTTGGCCACGTGCGGTGGCTCACGCCTGTAATCCCAACGCTTTGGGAGGCCTAGGTGGGCGGATCACCTGAGGCCAGGAGTTGTGAGACCAGCCTGGCCAACATGGCCAAACCCAAACTCTACCAAAAAAAAAATTATGCATGGTGTCAGGCTCCTGTAATCCAAGCTACTCAGGAGGCTGAGGCAGGAGAATCACTTGATCCCGGGAGGCCAGAGACTGCAGTGAGCCGAGATTGCACCACTGCACTCCAGCCTGGGCAACAAGAGTGAAATTCCATCTCAAAAATAAATAAATAAATAATTTAAAAATTTACTCAGATGTCACTTGAGGCTGAGGACTAAAGTAAGGGGAAGATTCTGAATTCTAAAGATTGGAAAGATGGAACATCCTGCCACCCTTCATAAATAAGGTGTGAGTTTTGCAAAAATGTTTCCCGGTTTTATGAGCTCAAGAAGGCTGAGATAATTAGGAGCACATTATTTGTACGCTTATAACAATTATGATCAGGTAGGAGTCTAACAATCTTCAATTTATTTAAATCAAATGACACAATTAAATAAAAATTACAAATCCACAGCAAAGTGTGAGATTTTACTATATTTTTTCAAATGGATAAATCAAATTATTGGTAAAAATTGATTTTAATCTGAATTTTACTTAGAATATATATAAACATCTATGTTTATATGTCTGTGTGAACGTATACACACATAGAATCATTCACTCAATGTAAGCAATACATCTTCAAGAATCACAGCATTAAATGTCGTGGTTTGGGAAACAACACCCGAAGACTCGAAAACAAAAGAATTGCTATTTGGTAGAGGGTGTGGGGCTCAACAAACAACCCTTAATGCTGCTGATGTTCTGAAATAAGTAATATGACATAGTAGCAAGTAGGAGACAAAATATCACCTTTCTTACTGAAAAGTAGGAGACAAAAGCTTAAAGTGTTGGAAAAGAATACTTGCAGTAAAAACCAAATGGGCTAGATGACTTAGCCCAAGAATTAGATGGAATTACCTGCTCTGTCAATTTGATCTTCCTAAATTTATCAACTAGGTAAAACACTCCATATGCCAGCATAGGATAAGTAAAGAGTAAAGAAAGGTCAAAAGTTACAATAAATAAAATAATTCCCAAGGCAAGAAAGAAAAGTATTCACTCCAAAATGACAAGGAAATAAAATTAGGAATCAATAGAACAATGACAAAAGAGATCTCCACACGCACACCTTAGAGAGTAAAATCATACCTCTAAAGCATTATCCAGCAAATGTTATATGGGATGCAGCAAAGAAGTACCTAGAGGAGATCTTGAAGCTTTAAACGCTTCTACAGAAGGGAGAAAAGTTAAAAATGAACTAAGCATTCAACTGAATAAATTCTTTTTTAATTTTTTTAATTATACTTTAAGTTCTAAGGTACATGTGCACAACATGCAGGTTTGTTACATATGTATACATGTGCCATGTTGGTGTGCTGCACCCATTAACTCGTCATTTACATTAGGTATATCTTCTAATGCTATCCCTCCCCCCTCCCCCGACCCCATAACAGGCCGCAGTGTGTGATGTTCCCCTTCCTGTGTCCAAGTGTTTTCATTGTTCAATTCCCACCTATGAGTGAGAACATGCGGTGTTTGGTTTTTCGTCCTTGCCATAGTTTGCTCAGAATGATGGTTTCCAGCTTCATCCATGTCCCTACAAAGGATATGAACTCATCCTTTTTTATGGCTGCATAGTATTCCATGGTGTATATGTGCCACATTTTCTTAATCCAGTCTATCATTGATGGACATTTGGGTTGGTCCCAAGTCTTTGCTATTGTGAATAGTGCCGCAATAAACGTATGTGTGCATGTGTCTTTATAGCAGCATGATTTATAGTCCTTTGGGCGTATACCCAGTAATGGGATGGCTGGGTCAAATGGTATTTCTAGTTCCAGATCCTTGAGGAATCGCCACACTGTCTTCCACGATAGCTGAACTAGTTTACAGTCCCACCAACAGTGTAAAAGTGTTCCTATTTCTCCAGATCCTCTCCAGCACCTGTTGTTTCCTGACTTTTTAATGATCGCCATTCTAACTGGTGTGAGATGGTATCTCATTGTGGTTTTGATTTGCATTTCTCTGATGGCCAGTGATGATGAGCATTTTTTCATGCGTCTCAACTGAATAAATTTTTAAGAAAAGCAAAAAGGAAATGGAATGCAACCAACATGGATGAGTATAAATTCAGTGAGACAGAAAATAATCAACAAAACCAATAGATTGTTTTTAGAGCAAACTGACAAAATAGACCAGCTCATGGCAAATTCAGTGAAGAGGAAAAAAAAAGCAAAGTTGTCATTACCATAAATAAAATAAAGTTTAGAAAAATAGAATATAATTCGGTGAATAGCTTTTTCTAACAGAAGTAAAAATGTCAAGATAATTTAGAAGGTTATATTTTATCAAGAGTAATGAAAAACCTACACCATAGATTATATAACTATTTTCAAACCTATGAAATACATACTCACATATGCACACAAACTAAAATTTAAATGGCTTTAATTATGAGTTTTCCCAAAATTTAAAGAAACAGACAACTCCTTGTTGAGATTTGATCAGGCTGGTGGGAAAAATACCAGTTATGATAGCCACAAAACCCTTTTGGAAGGCCTGAGGGTTTTCACATGACTTTGGTAATAGACCTGGTAGAAGGCGGCCTAGTCCCATTACCTTTAGTTAAATAGATTAGAGTAGTAAACAACGGGATGTGAGGAAGTTATCTAGTTAGCTTGTTTACCCACGTGGTCTCAAGATGAGCCTTTGATACATGCTTTTTACTCTTTAAGTCCACAATGTCAATTACCGTCTAATGGCATTGACTCAAGCTTTTGTTAACTAATAAATGTGAGTCTCCCTCACTGATCAGGGCTGGCTGCAGTGACAAACCTCTCTGGTGTGTAGATGGTCAGACACTCAGCAGGACTGGCAAAAGATAATATCTGTGTGTCAGTGTACGTTTTATTCATCCATCGCTGGGGTCAGGGTCTGCAGACAGACCCCCGTAGCTAATGCCCTCTTGTGAGGAGCAATACTTCAACTCCTACTTACGTGAAATCTTTTTTTTTATAAGAACATATTCTTTTCTTAATATGAATTACATTTAGTTTCTTTTTTTAATTATACTTTAAGTTCTGGGGTACATGTGCAGAACGTGCAGGTTTGTTACACAGGTATACACATGCCATGGTGATTTGCTGCACCCATCAATCCATCATCTACTTCATCTACTTTACGTATTTCTCCTAATGCTATCCCTCCCCTAGCCCCTACCCCTCGACAGGCCCCAGTGTGTGATGTTCCCCTCCCTGTGTCCATGTATTCTCATTGTTCAACTCCCAATTATGAATGAGAACGTGCAGTGTTTGGTTTTCTGTTTCTGTGTTAGTTTGCTGAGAATGATAGTTTCCAGGTTCATCCATGTCCCTGCAAAGGACATGAACTCATCCTTTTTTATGGCTGCATACTATTCCATGGTGTATACGTGCCACATTTTCTTCATCCAGTCTATCATTGATGAGCATTTGGGTTGGTTCCAAGTCTTCGCTATTGTGAACAGTGCTGCAATAAATATAAATGTGCATGTGTCTTTATAATAGAATGATTTATAATCCTTTGTGTATATACCCAGTAATGGGATTGCTGGGTCCAATGAATCACCATTGGAATCACCATGCTGTGTTCCACAATGGTTGAACTAATTTACAGTCCCACCAACAGTGTAAAAGCATTCCTGTTTCTCCACATCCTCTCTAGCATCCATTGTTTCCTGACTTTTAAATGATCACTATTCTAATTGGTGTGAGATGGTATCTCATTGTGGTTTTGATTTGCATTTCTCTAATGACCAGTGTTGATGAGCTTTTTTTCATGTTTGTTGGCTGCATAATGTCTTCTTTTCAGAAGTGTCTGTTCATATTCTTCGCCCACTTTTTCATGGGGTTGTTGTTTTCTTGTAAATTTGTTTAAGTTCTTTGTAGATTCTGGATATTAGCCTCTTGTCAGATGGATAGATTGCAAAATTTTTCTCCCAATCAGCAGGTTGCCTGTTCACTCTGATGATAGTTTCTTTTGCTGTGCAGAAGCTCTTTAATTAGATCCCGTTTGTCAATTTTGGCTTTTGTGGCCATTGCTTTTGGTGTTTTAGTCATGAAGTCTTTGCCCATGCCTATGTCCTGAATAGTATTGCCTAGGTTTTCTTCTACGGTTTTTACGGTTTTAGGTCTTGGGTTTACGTCTTTAATCCATCTTGAGTGAATTTCTGTATAAGGTGTAAGGAAGGGGTCCGGTTTCAGTTTTCTGCATATGGCTAGCCAGTTTTCCCGACACCATTTATTAAATAGGGAATCCTTTTCCCATTGCTTTTCTTAGGCTTGTCAAAGATCAGATGGTTGTAGATGTGTGTTATTATTTCTGAGGCCTCGGTTGTGTTCCATTGGTTTTTATATCTGTTTTGCTACCAGTACCGTGCTGTTTTGGTTACTGTAGCCCTGTGGCTGTGGGTTTGACATAAATAGCTCTTATTATTTTGAGATATGTTCCATCAATACCTAGTTTATTGAGAGTTTTTAGCATGAAGGGGTGTTGAATTTTGTCAAAGGCCTCTTCTGCATCTATTGAGATAATCATGTGGTTTTTGTCATTGGTTCTATTTATGTGATGGATTACGTTTATTGATTCACATATGTTGAACCCGCCTTGCATCCCAGGGATGAAGCCGACTTGATCATGGTGGATAAGCTTTTTGATGTGCTGCTGGATTCGATGTGCCAGTATGTGATTGTGGATTTTCACATCAATGTTCATCAGGGATATTGGCCTGAAATTTGTTTCTCTTTATTGTGTATCTGCCAGGTTTTGGTATCGGGATGATGGTGGCCTCATAAAATGAGTTAGGGAGGAGTCCCTCTTTTTATATTGTGTGGAGTAGTTTCAGAAAGAATGGTACCAGCTCCTCTTTGTACCTCTGGTAGAATGTGGCTGTGGATCTGTCTGTTCCTGGGCTTTTTGTGGTTGGTAGGCTACTAATTACTGCCTCAATTTTAGAACTTGTTATTGGTCTCTTCAGGGATTCAGCTTCCTCCTGGTTTAGTCATGGGAGGGAGTATGTTTCCAGGAATTTCTCTCTTCTAAATTTTCTAGCTTATTTGTGTAGAGGTGTTTATAGTATGCTCTGATAGTGGTTTGTATTTCTGTGGGATCGGTGATGATATCCCCTTTATCATTTTTTATTGAATCTATTTGATTCTTCTCTCTTTTCTTCTTTCTTAGTCTGGCTAGCCATATATCTAAATTGTTGATCTTTTCAAAAAAACAGCTCCTTGATTGATTTTTTTAAGGGTGTTTCATGTCTCTATCACCTTCAGCTCTGCTCTTAGTTATTTCTTGAGTTCTGCTAGCTTTTGAATTTACTCTTGCTTCTCTAGTTCTTTTAATTGTGATGTTAAGGTGTTGATTTTAGATCTTTCCTGCTTTCTCCTGTGAGCATTTAGTGCTATAAATTTCCCTCTAAACACAGTTTTAGCTGTGTGCCAGAGATTCTGGTATGTTGTGTCTTTGAACTCATTGGTTTCAAATAACTTACTTACTTATTTCTGCTTTAGTTTTGTTATTTACCCAGTAGTCATTCAGGAGCAGGTTGTTCAGTTTCCATGTAGTTGAGCGGTTTTGAGTGGGTTTCTTAATCCTGACTTCTAATTTGATTGTACTGTGTCTGAGAGACTGTTTGTTATGATTTCTGTTCTTTTGGATTTTCTAAGGAGTGTTTGTTTTACCTCCAACTATGTGGTCAATTTTAGAAAAAATGCAATGTGGTGCTGAGAAGAGTGTATATTCTGGGCCGGGCACGGTGGCTCATGCCTGTAATCCCAGCACTTTGGGAGGCCGAGGCGGGCGGATTACAAGGTCGGTAGTTTGAGAACAGCCTGGCCAATATGGTGAAACCCCATCTCTACTAAAAATACAATAATCAGCTGGACATGGTGGCGGGTGCCTGTAGTCCCAGCTACTCGGGAGGCTGAGGCAGGAGAATCACTTTAACCTGGGAGGTGGAGGTTGCAGTGAGCTGAGATAGTGCCACTGCACTACAGCCTGGGTGACAGAGCAAGATTCTGTCTCAAAAAAGAAAAAAAAAAAAAAAAGAATGCATATTCTGTTGATTTGGGGTGGAGAGTTTTGTAGAAGTCTATTAGGTCTCCTTGGTCCACAGCTTAGTTCAAGTCCTGAATATCCTTATTAATTATCTGTCTCATTGATTTGCCTAATATTGACAATGGGGTGTTAAAGTCTCCCACTATTATTGTGTGGGAGTCTAACTCTCTTTGTAGGTCTCTAAGGGCTTGCTTTATGAATCTGGGTGCTCCTGCATTGGGTGCATCTATATTTGGGATAGTTAGCTGTTCTTGTTACATTGATCCCTTTACCATATGTAATGCTCTTCTTTGTCTCTTTTGATCTTTGTTGGTTTAAAGTCTGTTTTATCAGAGACTAGGATTGTAACCCCTGCTTTTTTTTTTTTTGCTTTCCATTTGCTTGGTAAATATTCCTCCATCCCTTTATTTTAAGCCTATGTGTGTCTTTGCACGTGAGATGGGTCACCTGAATATAGCCCACCAATGGGTCTTGACTTGTTATTCAATTTGCCAGTCTGTGTCTTTTAATTGGGGCATTTAGCCCATTTACATTTAAGGTTAATATTGTTATATGTGAATTTGATCCTGTCATTGTGATCCTAGCTGGTTATTTTGACCATTAGTTGATGCAGTTTCTTCATAGTGTCGATAGTCTTTACAATTTGGTATGTGTTTGTGCTGGGTCTGTCCCACAGACCCTGGCCGACCGATGAATGAAATGAGTACTCGGCCACAGGTATGCAGTGTAAGAGCAGCTAGGCGTCTGCCTGGCTATAGCTGCCAAAGTGCAGCCCCGAGAAGCTGGAGCTGCATGCTTTTATTCAGTGTAGGCGTGATTCCAAAAGCCTGGAGCAAACACAATCTGTGGGTAACTAACATTTATTGTTCCCCTTTCAAGGAACATCACGTGTGCGGGTGATCAAAGATCGGTTCTTGGTCAACACAAGTAAACAAGCCTGTTTAAGATAAATTCCCCTACACTCCCTTGTACCTACTCCTTGCCCTCTGCCTCAGGGTCAGAGAACAGCTGCCTTTGGCTATTCTCCCGCAAAGCCAGGCAGAGCCTTCGCACCTTTCCGAAGGCCTGCTCCTTTCCCTATAGTTTCTCCCACCACTCTGACTGATCTACATGTTTGCAGTGGCTGGTACCAGTTTTTTCTTTCAATATTGAGTGTGCCCTTTAGGAGCTCTTGCAGGCCTGCTGGTGACAAAATCTCTCAGCACTTGCTTGTCTGTAAAGAATTTTATTTCTCCTTTGCTTATGAAGCTTAGTTTGGCTGGATGTGAAATTGTGGATTGAAAATTCTTTAAGAATGTTGAATATTGGATCCCAATCTCTTCTGGCTCGTAGGATTTCTGCAGAGGGATCCACTGTTAGTCTGATGGGCTTCCCTTTGTGGGTAACCTGACCTTTCTATCTGGCTGCCCTTAACATTTTTTTCGTTCATTTCAACCTTTGTGAATCGGATGATTATGTGTCTTGGGGTTGCTCTTCTCAAGGAGTATCTTTGTGGTGTTCTCTGTATTTCCTGAATTTGAATGTTGGCCTGTCTTGCTAGGTTGGGGAAGTTCTCCTGGATAATATCCTGAAGAGTGTTTTCCAACTTGGTTCCATTCTCCCCATCACTTTCAGGTACAACAATCAAAGGCAGATTTAGTCTTTTCACATAGTCCCATATTTCTTGGAGGCTTTGTTTGTTCCTTTTTATTCTTTTCTCTCTAATCTTGTCTTCTCACTTTATTTCATTAAGTTGATCTTCAATCTCTGATATTGTTTCTTCTGCTTTATCGATTTGGCTATTGATACTTGTGTATGCTTCACGAAATTTTTGAGCTGTGTTTTTCAGCTCCATCAGGTCATTTATGCTGTTATCTAAACTGGTTATTCTTGTTAGCAATTCATCTAACTTTTTTCAAGGTTCTTAGCTTCCCTGCATTCTGTTTGTTAGAACGTGTTCCTTTAGCTCAGAGGAGTTTGTTATTACTCACCTTCTGAAGGCTACTTCTGTCCATTTGTCAAAATGATTCTTCATCCAGTTTTGTTCCCCTGCTGGCGAAGAGTTGTGATACTTTGGAGGAGAGGAAGCATTTGGGTTTTTGGATTTTCAGACTTTTTGTGCTGGTTTTTCCTCGTCTTCATGGATTTATCTACCTTTGATGTTGGTTACCTTCAGTTCGGGGTCTCTGAGTGGACATCCTTTTTTATTGATGTTAATGCTATTCCTTTCTTCTTCTAACAGTCAGGACCCTCTGCTGCAGGTCTGCTGGAGGTCCACTCCAGACCCTGTTTGCCTGGATATCACCAACGGAGGCTGCAGAACAGCGAAGATTGCTGCCAGTTACTTCCTCTGAAAACTTCATCCCAGAGGGGCACCTGCCAGATGCCAGCCAGAGCTCTCCTGTATGAGGCATCTGTCAACCCCTGCTGAGAGGTATCTCCCAGTCAAAGACACAGGGGTCAGGGACCCACTTCGGGAGAGAGTATGACCCTTAGCAGAGGTCAAACACTGTGCTGGGAGATCTACTGCTCTCTTCAGAGCCATCAGGCAGGGATGTTTAATTCTGCTGAAGCTGCACCCACAGCTGCCCCTTCCCCCAGGTGCTCTATCCTATCCCAGGGAGATGGGAGTTTGATCTATAAGCCCCTGACTGGGGCTGCTGCCTTTCTTTCAGAGATGCCCTGCTCAGGGAGAAGGAATCTAGAGAGGCAGTCTGGCTACAAGGGCTTTGCAGAGCTGTGGTGGGCTCTGCCCAGTTCAAACTTCCCAGCAGCTTTGTTTACACTGTGAGGAGAAAACTGCCTACTCCAGTCTCAATAATGGTATACACCCCTCCTCCCACCAAGCTTGAGAGTCACAGGTCATCTTCAGACTGCTGTGCTGGCAGTGAGAATGTCAAGCCAGTGGATCTTAGCTTGCTGAGCTCTGTGGGGGTGGGATCCACTGAGTTAGTCCACTCAGCTCCCTGGCTTCAGCCCCCTTTCCAGGGGAGTGAATAGTTCGGTCCTGCTGGTGCTCCAGGCCCCACTTGGGTATGAAAAAAAAACTCTTGCAACTAGCTCAGTGTCTGCCCAAACAGCCACCCAGTTTTGTGCTTGAAACCCAAGGCCCTGGTGGTGTAGGCACCCGAGGGAATCTCCTGGTCTAGTGGGTTGCAAAGACCATGAGAAAAGCATAGTATCTGGGCCGGAATGCACCATTCCTCATGGCTTCCCTTGGCTAGGGGAGAGAGTTCCCCAACCCCTCGCACTTCCCAGGTGAGGCAACACCCCACCCTGCTTCAGCTCACCCTCCATGGGCTGCACTTACTGTCCAGCCAGTCCCAATGAGATGAGCCAGGTACCTCAGTTGGAAATGCAGAAATCACCCACCTTCTGCATCAATCTCACTGGAAGCTGCAGGCTGGCACTGTTCCTATTTGGCCATCTTGGATCCAGGATCTCCCTATGTGAAATCTTAAAAAAAGAAGTTGAGATTCTGGGCAAGATGGCCAAATAGGAACAGCTCCGGTCTGCAGATCCCAGCGAGATCAATGCAGAAGATGGGTGATTTCTACATTTCCAATTGAGGTACCCAATTCATTTCATTGGGACTCGTTGGACAGTGGGTGCAGCCCACGGAGGGCAAGCTGAAGCAAAGTGGGGCATTGCCTCACCTGGGGAGCGCAAGGGGTCAGGGATTCCCTGCCCTAGCCAAGGGAAGCTGTGAAAGACTGTGAACGGTGTACTCCAGCCCAGATACATCGCAGTCTTTGCAACCCGCAGACCAAGAGATTCCCTCTGGTGCCTCCGCCACCAGGGCCCTGGGTTTCAACCACAAAACTGGGTGGCAATTTGGGAAGACACCTAGCTAGCTGCAGGAGCTTTTTTTCATACCCCAATGGCACCTGGAATGCCAGCAGGACAGAACCATTCACTGCCAGGACAGAACCATTCACTGCCCTGGAAAGGGGGCTGAGGCCAGGGGGCCAAGTGGTCTGGCTGGGCAGGTGCCACACTCACAGAACCCAGCAAGCTAAGATCCACTGGCTTGAAATTCTCGCTGCCAGCACAGCAGTCTGAGGTTGACCTGAGATGCTCGAGCTGGGGAGGGGCGTCTGCCATTACTGAGGCTTGAGTAGGCTGTTTTACCTTCACAGTGTAAATAAAGTCACCAGGAAGTTCAAACTGGGCAGAGCCCACAACAGCTCAGCAAGTCTGCTGTGGCCAGACCGCCTTTCTAGATTCCTCCTCTCTGGGCAGGGCATTTGTGAAAAAAAAGGCAGGAGCCCCAGTCAGGGGCTAATAGATAAAACTCCTATCTATCTCCCTGGGACAGAGCACCTGGGGCAAGGGGCACTGTGAGTGCAGCTTAGGCAGACTTAAACATCCCTGCCTGATGGCTCTGAAGAGAGCAGCAGATCTCCCAGCACAGCATTTGATCTCTGCTAAGGAACAGACTGACTCCTCAAGTGGGTCCCGACCCCACGTCTCCTGACTGGGAGACACCTCCCAGTAGGGGACAAAAGACACTTCATAAAGGAGAGCTCTGGCTGGCATCTGGCAGGTGCCCCTCTGGGATGAAGTTTTCAGAGGAAGGAACAGGCAGCAATCTTTGCTGTTCTGTAGCCTCTGCTGGTGATATCCAGGCAAATAGGGTCTGGAGTGGACCTCCAGAAAACTCCAGCAGACCTGCAGCAGAGGGTTCTGATTGTTAGAAGAAAAATTAACAAACAGAAAGGAATAGCATTAACATCAATAAGAAAGGACGTCCACTCAGAGACCCCATCCGAAGGTCACCAAAATCAAACACCAATGGTAGATAAATCCACGAAGATGGGGAGAAACTAGCTCGAAAGGGCTGAAAATTTCAAAAACCAGAATGCCTCTTCCCCTCCAAAGGATCACACCTCCTCACCAGCAAGGGAACAAAACTGGACAGAGAATAAGTTTGACGAATTGACAGAAGGTGGGTAATAACGAACTCCTCTGAGCTAAAAGAGCATGTTCTAACCAAATGCAAGGAAGCTAAGAACCTTGAAAAAAGGTCAGAAGAATTGCTAACATGAATAACCAGTTTAGATAACAACATAAATGACCTGATGGAGCTGAAAAACACAGCTCAAAAATTTCGTGAAGCATACACAAGTATCAATAGCCAAATCAATAAAGCAGAAGAAACAATATCAGAGATTGAAGATCAACTTAATGAAATAAAGTGAGAAGACAAGATTAGAGAGAAAAGAATAAAAAGGAACAAACAAAGCCTCCAAGAAATATGGGACTATGTGAAAAGACTAAATCTGCCTTTGATTGTTGTACCTGAAAGTGATGGGGAGAATGGAAAACACTCTTCAGGATATTATCCAGGAGAACTTCCCCAACCTAGCAAGACAGGCCAACATTCAAATTCAGGAAATACAGAGAACACCACAAAGATACTCCTTGAGAAGAGCAACCCCAAGACACATAATCATCAGATTCACAAAGGTTGAAATGAACGAAAAAATGTTAAGGGCAGCCAGATAGAAAGGTCAGGTTACCCACAAAGGGAAGCCCATCAGACTAACAGTGGATCCCTCTGCAGAAACCCTGCAAGCCAGAAGAGAGTGGGGGCCCATATTCGACATTCTTAAAGAAAAGAATTTTCAAGCCAGAATTTCATATCCAGCCAAACTAAGCTTCATAAGTGAAAGAGAAATAAAATTCTTTACAGACAAGCAAATGCTGAGAGATTTTGTCACCACCAGGCCTGCCTTACCAGAGCTCCTGAAGGAAGCACTGAACATGGAAAAGAACAACTGGTACCACAAACGTAACAAATTGTAAAGGCCATCAACACTATGAAGAAACTGCATCAACTAACAGGCACAATAACCAGCTAGCATCACAATGACAGGATCATATTCATACATAACAATATTAACCTTAAATGTAAATGGGCTAAATGCCCCCAGTTAAAAGACACAGACTGGCAAATTGGATAAAGAGTCAAGACCTATCAGTGTGCTGTGTTCAGGAGACCCATCTCACGTGCAAAGACACACATAGGCTCAAAATAAAGGGATGGAGGGATATTTACCAAGCAAATAGCAAAAAAAAAAAAAAAAAAAAAAAAAAAAAAAAAAAAAAAGCAGGAGTTGCAATTCTAGTCTCTGATAAAACAGACTTTAAACCAACAAAGATCAAAAGAGACGAAGAAGGGCATTAAATATGGTAAAGGGATCAATGTAACAAGAACAGCTAACTGTCTTAAATATAGATGCACCCAATGCAGGAGCGCCCGGATTCATAAAGCAAGTTCTTAGAGACCTACAAAGAGACTTAGACTCCCACACAATTTAACACACCACTGCCAATAATAGACTGATCAACATGACAGAAAATTAACAAGGATATTCAGGACTTGACTTGAACTCAGCTCTGGAACAAGCAGACCTAATAGACTTCTACAGAACTCTCCACCCCAAATCAACAGAATATACATTCTTCTCAGCACCACATCACACTTATTCTAATAGTGACCACATAATTGGAAGTAAAACACTCCTCAGCAAATGCAAAAGAACAGAAATCATAAACAGTCTCTGAGATCACAGTGCAATCCAATTAGAACTCAGGATTAAGAAACTCACTCAAAACTGCACAACTACATGGAAACTGAACAACCTGCTCCTGAATGACTTACTGGGTAAATATTCTCTGAAAGCAATGAGAACACAGACTCAAAGTACCAGAGGGAAGTTTATAGCACTAAATGCACACAATAGAAAGCAGGAATGATCTAAAATTTACACTCTAACATCACAATTAAAAGTGCTAGAGAAGTAAGAGCAAACAAATTCAAAAGCTAGCAGAACTGAAGGAAATAGAGACACAAAAAACTCTTCTAAAAAATCAATGAATCCATTACCTGGTTTTTTGAAAAGATCAACAAAATAGATACACTGCTAGCCAGACGAAGAAAGAAGAAAAGAGAGAACAATCAAATAGATGCAATAAAAAATGATAAAGGGGATGTCACCAGTGATCCCACGGAAATTCAAACTACCATCTGAGAATACTATAAACACCTCTATACAAATAAAATAGGAAATCTAGAAGAAATGGATAAATTCCTGGACACATACATCCTCCAAAGTCTAAACCAGGAAGAAGTCGAATCCCTGAATAGACGACAAGTTCTAAAATTGAGGCACTAATTAATAGCCTACCAACCACAAAAAGTCCAGGACCAGATGGATTCACAGTCAAATTCTACCAGAGGTACGAAGAGAAGCTGGTACCATTCCTTCTGAAACGATTCCAATCAATAGAAAAAGAGGGAATCCTCCCTACCTCATTTTATGAGGCCATCATCATCCTGATACCAAGACACAACAAAAAAAAAAAGAAAATTTCAGGCCAATATCCCTGATGAACATTGGTGCGAAAATCCTCAACAAAATACTGGCAAACTGAATCCAGTAGCACATCAAAAAGCTTATCTACCACAATCAAGTCGGCTTCATCCCTGGGATGCAAGGCTGGTTCAACATACGTACATCAATAAACATAATCCATCACATAAACAGAATCAATGACAAAAACCACATGATTAGATGCAGAAAAGGCCTTTGTCAAAATTCAACACCCATTCATGCTAAAAATTCTCAATAATCTAGGTATTGATGAAACATATCTCAAAATAATAAGAGCTATTTATGACAAACCCACAGCCAATACCATACTGAATGGGCAATAACTGGAAGAATTCCCTTTGAAAACTGGCACAAGACAAGGATGCCCTCTCTTACGACTCCTATTCAACATAGTATGGGAAGTTCTGGCCAGGGCGTTCAGGCAAGAGAAAGAAATAAAGGGTATTCAAATAGTAAAAGAGGAAGTCAAGTTGTCTCTGTTTGCAGATGACATGATTGTATATTTAGAAAACCCCATCATATCAGCCCAAAATCTCCTTAAGCTGATAAGCAACTTCAGCAAAGTCTCAGGATACAAAATCAATGTGCAAAAATCACAAGCATTCCTATAAACCAATAACAGAAAAACAGCCAAATTATGAGTGTACTTCCATTCACAATTGCTACAAAGAGAATAAAATACCTAGGAATACAACCTACGAGGGATGTGAAGGACCTCTTCAAGGAGAACTACAAACCACTGCTCAAGGAAATCAGAGAGGACACAAATAAATGGAAAAACATCCCATGATCATGGATAGGAAGAATCAATATTGTGAAAATGGCCATACTGCCCAAAGTAATTTACAGATTCAGTGCTATCCCCATCAAGTTACCATTGACTTTCTTCACAGAATTAGAAAAAAACTACTTTAAGTTTCATCTGGAACAAAAAAAGAGCCCGCATAGCCAAGACAATCCTAAGCAAAAAGAACAAAGCTGGAGGCATCATGCTACCTGACTTCAAACCATACTACAAGGCTACAGTAACCAAAACAGCATGGTACTGGTACCAAAACAGATATATAGACCAATGGAACACAATAGAGGCCTCAGAAATAACACCACACATCTACAACCATCTGACCTTTGACAAACCTGACAAAAACAATCAATGGGGAAAGGATTCCCTATTTAATAAATGGTGTCGGGAAAACTGGCTAGCCATATGCAGAAAACTGAAACTGGACCCCTTCCTTACACCTTATACAGAAATTCACTCAAGATGGATTAAAGACGTAAACCCAAGACCTAAAACCGTAAAAACCGTAGAAGAAAACCTAGGCAATACTATTCAGGACATAGGCATGGGCAAAGACTTCATGACTAAAACACCAAAAGCAATGGGCACAAAAGCCAAAATTGACAAATGGGATCTAATTAAACTAAAGAACTTCTGCACAGCAAAAGAAACTATCATCAGAGTGAACAGGCAACCTGCCGATTGGGAGAAAAATTTTGCAATCTATCCATCTGACAAAGGGCTAATATCCAGAATCTACAAAGAACTTAAACAAATTTGCAAGAAAAAAACAATGCCATCAAAAAGTGAGCAAAGAATATGAATGAGCACTTCTCAAAAGAAGACATTATGCAGCCAACAAACATGAAGAAAAGCTCATCATCACTGGTCATTAGAGAAACACAAATCAAAACCACAATGAGATACCATCTCACACCAGTTAGAATGGTGATCATTTAAAAGTCAGGATACAATGGATGCTAGAGAGGATATGGAGAAACAGGAACGCTTTTACACTGTTGGTGGAAGTATCAATTAGTTCAACCATTGTGGAAGATAGTGTGGTGGTTCCTCAAGGATCTAGAACCAGGAACACCATTGGCCTCAGCAATCCCATTACTGGGTATATACATAAAGGATTATGAACCATTCTATTATAAAGACACATGCACACATATGTTTATTGCAGCACTGTTCACAATAGCAAAGACTTGGAACCAACCCGAATGCCCATCAATGATAGACTAGGTAAAGAAAATGTGGCACATATACACCATGGAATATTATACATCCATAAAAAAGGATGAGTTCATGTCCTTTGCAGGGACATGGATGAAGCTAGAAACCATCATTCTTAGCAAACTGTCACAAGAACAGAAAACCAAACACCACACATGTTCTCATAAGTGGGAGTTGAACAACGAGAACATATGGACACAGGGAATGGAACATCACACACCGGTTCCTGTGAGGGGGTGGAGGTAAGGGGGAGGGATAGCACTAGGAGAAATACCTAATGTAGATGACAGGTTGATGGGTGCAGCAAACCACCATGTCACGTGTATACCTATGTAACAAACCCCCAGTTACTATGAGAGTATAACCTTGGCAGTAAAACCAGTTAAAAATAAAGTTACTTATGAAAGTAGATGTCAAAATCATAAAAATAAAATATTAGCTAACCAAATTAATATTTAATAATATGACTATAATTGTTGAAATACAAAGATAACCAAATAATTGTTGAAATACAAAGATAACCAAATATTAATAAAATCTCTTAATGTAATTTATCACATTAACAGAAATAAAGATATAATTTTTTATACACATTAAAAGGTATTTCTAAAATTCAGTTCACTTTCACAATAAAAACTTGTAGACCAAACTTGAACTAGAAGAGAATCTTTTTACTTAATAAATAAGGTCTATCAAAATTTACACAAACATCATAATACATGGGGAAACATTAGAGGCAGGCTCTTGGAATCAATAACAGAACAAGGATACCACTGTTGCCACTTATTTTCAACCTAGTGAAGGAGGTTCCAGCCAAGTGTCATCAGAAGTTTAAGAATTGAAAATGAAAAAATAAAATTATCATTCTCATAGTATATGAATTTCACATTTTAGACAATCAAGATAATTTATAGACGACTGTTTGGAAGTAAGAAAATTCAGAAACATTGTACAATTTAAAAACCAATACACAAAATAAATAGTCTTTTTTTTTTTTTTAACCAGCAAAACTGTTATAAAATTGAATTGGAAAAAGCTGCATTGACAATAAAACTAAAACTATAAAAAATAAATGCAACCAAAATCATCTAAGATAGGTATGAAAAATTATAAAATCTTATTGGAAGATATGAAACTAAAACGTTGGTGAAAATGTTTATGAATAAAAAGCCCCAATATTATAACATGTAAATTTTATACAGATTTACCTATAAAATCTATGCAATTTGAACAGGTTGTTAATGTAATCTGAGAAATTGATCCTAAAATTAAGTCAGAGGAGTTAAAGGCCAAGAAGATCCCAGAATGTTTTTAAGAAGGAAAAGTGGGAGACTAATTCAAGGGACTTACATGGCTTTATATCAAGACTTACTCTAAAGCATCAATAGTTAAAAAGGGTAATTGATCAACAATTAAGCCATTAGACTAAAAGAATAGAAAAGAGAATCTCCACGACAAATTCTTATGTAGGTAAGTAAGTGGCAGAGGGAAAGTCAGTGGGAGAATGAGTGGATGAATAATATTGCCAAAATGTGTTATCCATATCAAGTTTTAAAAAATATCTTTAGCTTACATCACATACAAAACTATATTTTCAATAAATTATAGACCTAAAGATGAAGAACAAACTGTAAATACTAAATATAAGAGGATATTTTCATGAACTCAAGGTAGAGAAGGATTTCCTAAATATGACACCAAAAGCACAAACAAAAATGAAAAAATTTTAAATTTCTTTAAATTAAAATTTAAAACTTCTACACAGTAGAAGGTTACAGGACAAGCCACAAACTTGAAAAATATACTTATGAAGCCAATTAATTTCAAAGGATTCATGTCTAGAATAGCAAATCTAGAACTTTTTGATCCAAAACAAGTTAATAGTCTTAAAATTGTTGAGGACCTGAAAGAACTGTTCTTTTCTGACATGTATAATTTTAAAAATAGAAAACTTATAATATTTATTAATTTATTTAAAATGATCAAAAAACAAAATTGTATGTTACTATAAATAACAAATTTCCTGCAAAATAAGTTCACCATAACAAATGGAAAATAACTTTAATGACGAGAGTGGTCTTGTTTGGATTTTTGCAAATCTCTGTGAAGTCTAACTTAAGACAGCTGGATTCTCTTATCTGCTTCTGCATTCATCTTATTGCAATCTTATTTTAGTTTATGTATGTAAAGAAAATCCAACCTTACACAGATTGTAGTTGCAAAGAGGAAATCCTCACTCACACTCTGAAAGAATGTCAGTGTCTCCCAGGGTCTCTGAACCGCACTTTAAGAATCACTGTTCCAGAATGAAGAATTTCTACAATTCAATGAGAAAAAATATAGAAGGCCAAATGTTTAAATAAGCAGCTTGCATACCAGGAGATCCAAATGTCCTGAAACATTTTTGTTACTGTTCAATAACTTTAGTAATCAAGGAACTTTAATTTAAAATGACAAGATAACTTTCCATACCCAAAAGACTAACCAAAAAAAATTAAAATCTGGCAATTATAAATTTTCATGAGTGTTTAGAGCAATGGCAGTCTTTATGCACTACTGATGGATTTGTAAATTGTCACCTTTTGCAGGAAAAAAATGGGCAATATTTAATAAAGTTTCAGCTAGCCATACAGTGATACCAAGAAATTTCCCTTCTAGATATGTAATTTAAAGAAGCACCAGGCCATTTGCACACAGTTGACCTTCAGAGCATTGTTTGAATAACAAAATTAAAAATAATCTAATAGAAAAATAGCTAAATAAACTGTGTTATGTAGTACAATGGAATTCTATGTAGCCGTTAAAATAAACTGACTGTACTACATTTTTTAAAATCACTTAGAAGTATTTCACCTGTAACATTGACTAAGTTTCAGAATGCTACACAGAATAGGATACATTTTTAAAATTTATGACTGTATGAAAGTAATACCATATATCATTTCTGTATATAGTAATTATGTGTGTGTGCGTGTGTGTATAGTGAAAAAATTAAAAGCATGGCAAAGAAAGTCATACATCTTCAGAATAGTATGTATTGCTGGACAGACAGGGAGGGTGATCAGAACAGAAAAGAATATAATTATATATCTCATGTTTTATTCATCAACAAGCTAATGAAAACTGAGGCAAATATGGATAAATAATATTTGTTAAAATTGCATGATGGGAGATATATATATATATATAACTATATATATATACAGTTATTCTCTATACCTGGCTGCATATTTATTTCATAATATTTTTTAAAAATTAAATTAAAAACCTAGGTTCCCACCAGGTAGTGTGACAGCAGACATGGAAAATTAGTTGGGATTGAGGTATATAGCTGCAATTTTAAACATATGCATGGCAACTTCAGGACAATAAATTGACATTTGAATCATCAGAGATGAGCTTATTACTTTTCAGTAATATGTTATTAATACTCTATCCCCATGATTGTCCTTCTGGGTAACAGAATGCTTCTGCTAATGTTTATTATTTCCCTGCAGATGGACAGTGCTATGAATATAAATGGATGGCCAGTGCTTGGAAGGGCTCTTCCCGAACAGTGTGGTGTCAAAGGTCAGATGGTATAAATGTAACAGGTAAACCTCCAGTTTCTCTTTGTCCTTTGAAAATCTTCCTGTAACACACATGTGATTGGTTGAAGAAAATAATTAAGGAAACAAAGTTACTCTTTCAGTATTCAAAGCCTGTTTGGGATTCAGGATGCCTAAGCTGTATATACCCATCTGGTGACCAATGACAAATTATTTTATTTTATAGGTGGTTCAAATTATCTCTCACCTAGCCTTTTTAGGTATTGCTGCTGAAACTTAATTAAAATACTATCTAATTCTAATAAATAATTGTTATAAATAATTTTCAGATCTTTTCTAGAAATTTTATATATGAGTAACTTACTATATGTTTAAAAATCAATTTTTTTGACTTTCTGCTTCTGTGCCTTGAAGGCAATATAAATGCAGACCAAAAATACCAGCAAGGGAATATGATTATACAAATCCAAATACCTTGCTTAAATTCAGAAGTCTATGATTTAGAGATTTTTAAATTAATTAATAGGGAAGACCTACTGGTAAATTTCAAACCCAGACCATCTGAGCAGCTGACCTACTGTGCCTGCATCCCCAAATTATTATATATCCAAAGAAGAAATCCAAAGGAAGAACTTTATTTGATTGTACTTCGACCAACATATACCTCCAAAGAACTACTCTAGTGTGGAATTACTAAAAGCCTATCTGAAGCCTGTAAGCGTGAGGGATCCTAAGGACCCCTTGAAGGAGGAAGAGACTTTGGCTCAAGATAGGTAGTGAACCACCAAGCAAATTTCCTAGAAAGAAATACAAGTCAGAACCAGAACCTTAATTTCAGGCACATGGACCCAGAAATCTAAGCCTTTCCATAAGCAATTTCTTTTTATAAATCTAACTTATAGGAATTGCCATAGCATAGCAACAGCAGGAGTCTTGACAGTTAACTGCTCAGGCAGACCTGCTTACTTGCTGCTGTTTTGACCCTGCTGCGGGGGAAAAAACAGTGTGCATTTGGATGCCTCTGAGTGATGTTTGTTTAGAAATTTAACTTTAATATATACAGTAAGAAACAGGAGCAAGGATCAATATGGTTTTTGAAAACTATCCATCTTTATATTGAATTTTAAATTACCTGGATTTATTGAAACCCAATTACTTATTTCCTCCATATGGGAGCTGGATCAGGATGTCAATTTTTTTCTTGTGAAGATATGATTTTATACATGAGAAAGCTCTCTCAAGAAACCCTTAATAATAACAACTCCCTGTGGTCACATACGGAACAAAGAAAAGACATCTAGTAGAAACCCTTTGCTCTCTCACTGTATTATTTTTTGGGAGAAAAATCTGCTCCATCTACCCCACTCTAAGAGGTATGGAGTGAGAAGAGTCCTGAGAGGGATAGACAGGCTTTCTGAATGAGGAGGTGTTACAGAAGTCATCCATTGAGCTCAGAGATTGGAAACGAATGTCTCCATTCTTTTTTAAACTATTCAAAGAAAATTTAACAGCTTCTCTAGATGATCCTGTAAGTTTGCAGTTTTTTTTCAATAATGGATGCAAATAATATTTACCTGACTTTTCTTCTACATATTCAAAACTCTTTTTCCACTGCAATTGGGGCTATTCCCCCAATGCAAAGGTAAGTCGAATTTTAAAAGACTTACCTATAAAATCATATTTTTAATTTCTTTTCAATTCAGCAAAGTGTACAATGGATTATTTCTAATGCTATTCAGTACCAAAAGGCCAATGTGTAAATGATTTGTGTTAAGCTCTATATGCATTCTTCTTTCATCTTTTAGGAGAGATGAGATTCTTTATGACAAATAGACAAGCATGTAAAGTATATTACCTATCTTGATCAATTGCTTTAATTTATGAATTGTCCTTGTAAGAAACTCAAAATACTGCTTTGTGTGTGTGTGTTTAATAATAACTTCAGTGTGGCCAATTAACTGCGATTGCCTTGCAATGACTAACTGCTTTTCTGTGACAATTTTTCTATGAGTATTTTGTGATTATAATATTGAGAGAAACACAGACAATTAGCAATAGGCGCCTGTGATTAAATTCCAGAGAATCATCAGTTCCATAAATAAAGAAAAAATTTTGTTTTGCTAAAATTCTGTTAAACTGAACAAGTATAGTTTGAAAATAGGAGCTTCCTTCACGTCACCAATGTTTTTTATGACATCTATTTCCATCTTAAAACCTCACTTGAGACAAATTAGGCACAGTTGGTACTACACTTGAAAATAAACGAGATAAACAGCTGTAATATCAAGTTAAAACCATAGTGCAAAACAAATGATTTCGTAGATACATTTGTTTTCTTCTCTATATCCAAAAAACACCATGAATTAGCAGAAATTGTGACTTTTCTGAAAAAGAAATATGCATTATTTAAAGAAAACATTTATTTAACATAAAGAGCTGAAGAGTTATTTCAAAGTACGTGAAAACTATTGTTTTGAATCTCCAAGAAAGAATTTTAACTTGAAATGAAATCAGCTTTTCAATTGCTGGACTTGGATTCATGTGCTCCTGACAGAAAAAGCTTGTGTGCAATTAGTATTTTCAAAATAGCAGCTATAAAATCATTCTTTCAACAAATGCTTGTTGAATACCTGCTGAGTACCAGGCACTGAGCTAGCTCCCCTGGGTAAAAAGGGCCTGGAGTCACTACATAAGGTGGTCAAGGTTAACCAAATATTTCACAGTCAACCACTGACAGAAAAATTCCTGGGATTCCCAAGGTGGTTCAAGATTCAAAGACAAGTCACTAACCACAGTGTATTTTCATCATAGCAAAATATATTATTTGTCAAAACATGATTTTCTGTTCCGCAGGGGGCTGCTTGGTGATGAGCCAGCCTGATGCCGACAGGTCTTGTAACCCACCGTGTAGTCAACCCCACTCGTACTGTAGCGAGGTATGTGAAAATTCATCAGGGCAGACAAGCCAGCTCCATCATGTGTCACCCCACTGTCTCTTATGCAGTTTATCTTCCTCCAAAGAAAGCATGTCTTGAGGCATAAAAATCCCATTTTAGACATCTCCTTTTATCAATCTAAAAAGTCCTGACTTCACTTGCTTTCACCTTTAGAATACATTTTCATATAATGCCAAAAGTATGTTTCTTTGTAGTTAAAAATAATAGAGGAATTATGTATAGTAATTCCCAAAACAAACCTTGTTTAAAGCCTTCTCTTCAAGTCAGGTCTGTTAGACTTCCAAAGATTCCTTGCATGGCTAGTATAAATCTTCTTGTTCTCCTGCAGACAAAAACATGCCATTGTGAAGAAGGGTACACTGAAGTCATGTCTTCTAACAGCACCCTTGAGCAATGCACACTTATCCCCGTGGTGGTATTACCCACCATGGAGGACAAAAGAGGAGATGTGAAAACCAGTCGGGCTGTACATCCAACCCAACCCTCCAGTAACCCAGCAGGACGGGGAAGGACCTGGTTTCTACAGCCATTTGGGCCAGGTGAACTGACTAGACTAGTGTTGAAAGAGAAACCTTTAGTTCTTTTAGGCAATGCCAAAGGATTAAAAAAGTGAGCAAAGCATTTTTATATGAGCTATTGATTATTTTATCTACATGCATTTATTCTGATAGTGCCATCTATTCTTCAATTTTTTACTATCATTATGGAAAATAACTCATGTTTGAAGTTCAGAGAAATGAAATTACATTCTTCTGAGAAAAAATTTTGGATCAATATAATTCAATTCAATTCCAGTCCAAAAATTACAAGTATAATTAATTTCAAATTGAACAAAGTTAGAAACATGAATTTTAAAAAATGTGTTGTCATTCAGAACTAGGATAAAGGAGACTATAAAGACATTCCAGAATTTTTCATTTGATCATAGGAACAGTAATAGTTTGACCCTTAAATAAAAACATCACTAATGCAGTTCTGTGCCAGGGCACACGTGGTAGCTAGACCAGTTTCTATTAGCCCTAAAAGTCAGCATACTCAAATACTTGGAATCTGTACTAGTGCCAGATAAACAGGGAGACAATGGAGCCTTCCCTTCTGGATAGGATGATCCAAATTTGTTTTCACATTCACAGACAGCTCTTAATGTATCTGGTAATAAATGCAAAGCCAATACAGGCAAATGCTTGAATACCTCATGATATGCTATTCTCTACTCTGCACACTTTCCCTCCTCAGTTGGATTTCATCATATGCTCATCCCTAGAACTAACCTGGTGCTTGAAAATGTGCTACATGGATTATAAAGCAGCTAATATGCCACTTTTTCTCACAACCTGGAAGAACTACTAGTCTATGAAGTAATCTCCAGGCAGAGCCAGGCATAGTCTACTTTAAAATGCCATTAGAAACATGAGAAAAGATGGAAGGAATCTGCATAGCTAGCACATCTCCATTTCTATGCATTAAGTCTGAATACTTTCCCTTATTGGAGAATAAATATTGGATTTTTAAGATATTTTAAGTGTTTGGGTGATTTGCTTTTAATCACATTATTCCTGCTTTAATTGGCTTATTTAGCTGATAGTATGATTTATTTTGCAAAGCTGACTTATCTGTGTAAGCATGGGAAACTCTTCCCTCAGTGTTTAAGACAATGGACTAGCAGACAACCAGTAGCAATTTTGACCTTCACTAAGAATTGAAGCAGATCTCCTCAGATCAAAACCAGTCCTTTTGAAAAAAAAAAGAATATTATTGTCATTATTTTAAATTTTATATATAGTTTCCCCAAAGTTAAAATTTTAAAATATTTAAAAGGTGCATGTTCTGAAAACTTAGATATTCTTTGATTTTGAAAAACCCCAAAAAACATTTGTTGAAGAAACTCTCAACAGAGATCCTCAATCGTGGAACAGCTCTTTTGATTCTAAACTGAGCTCAAATTTAAAAAATGAAAGCTTTAGGATTAGAAAGAAAGGATATTTAGAATATTAATTGAGTTTATTCCCAGCAAATGAACCTCTAACTTGATCTAACTCCGGGCAAAAAAATTCCACAGTACCAATTTCCATTTGATGCCTTTCAAATATTGAATAAACCAGAGTCTGTGTGAGGTCAATTTTGCCCAATCTATAATTTTAACACTAAGATCAAATATTTAATTGCAACAGAAAATATATGTTGATGTGAGGATCAAATTAAATTAGCCAATATCATTAATAACATCTTGTGCTTGAAGTTTATTCGGAGCATAGAACTGAGGAGTTCAAAGATGAGACCAGAAACCCAAATTACAAAAGTTCCTGTTATGTCTGATTCCATATAATAGAAAAGGTAGAAAAAAAATTATTTATAGATCCTTTTATATGTTAACCAAACCAGTTGTTTTTGAAAATGACATTGTCAGCCAATTTTAAAACACATTGTAAGTGCAGACTAGATAAAAGATTATTAATTCCATAAAATCTTAAATATATTCACTTTCATTTTACCTGGAATAAAAATGACAAAGTTTTTGTTTAAATACCTATATGCATTAACTCGAGTTTGTAGAAACTTTCTTAAAATTGCATTTTTCATCTTTTCTTCTCATTGCAATTCTCAAAATACACTGAAAATCAGAAGAGAATGTTTATATAGCATTACACATGTATTGAGTTTGAAGTAAAATTGAGATGAAAGGCAGCTGAAGTTTAGCCAAAGAAACTTGAAATCTGAAGTCAAACATTTATAATTTTTCAGTTCAGTTTTCCTTGATAGCTTATCTTTAATGAAGCAGAATCTAACTCATAATAGCAGCTTTGCATTAATCATTAACTGTGCTGAAGCAATAATTCTTTTCGGGTTTTGAAAGAAATTGGTCATATATGACTGATCATTGGTCATAGTTAAAGACTGCCTCATGTATACCAGACTAATGTAAATTAATAACTAATATCCATTCTTCTTAGATGGGAGACTAAAGACCTGGGTTTACGGTGTAGCAGCTGGGGCATTTGTGTTACTCATCTTTATTGTCTCCATGATTTATCTAGCTTGGTGAGTGTTTAAATAATTAAAAATCCAAAGAGATACTTAATCGTAACACAGAAACAGCAAACTAATGTCTCAAATAAGTACTCTACATTTATCTGGTGTTCACATGAATTTCTAAATAAACATGGCTTTAGTCCTAGATGGGCTAAAAGCTACCAAATCTGAGCCATTTCGTTTCTAAAGATGAGCAAGAGCTTGCTGCAGGTCATCTTCTCGAGTATGTTCTCTTGCATACTTTCAAGAAAATATTGCTTTGTACTCAATATGGTGAACTGTAGATTTTTATATTGAATTACTAATGGAGGAAGATATTACAGTAATACCTAATCATATTCAAGTATCTTCTAAAACATGTATAATTTATAAATTATGCATTATTTATAAAGGTTTCTGGCCAAATGAAAATGACCCTACTATGATTTTATTTCTGTTGTTAATACTAAAAGAATCCCACTTGGATAATTTATCTTTTGTAGGGTAGTGAAACACTTGAAGTTTACTTAGAGTTTATTCAAAGCATAAAACTGAAATTCAAGATCAGAAAATCAAATTCTAAGGTAGATAGACTTTAGGCAACGCAGGCAACGAGGCAATTTCAGTTTATCAATTTGCTTTTACTTTTTTTTCGCTTAAAGCAATCAAATTTACAATTAGAAACTGATTTTCTTTCTCCTAATTCCGAATTTTTTTACAGCAAAAAGCCAAAGAAACCCCAAAGAAGGCAAAACAACCGACTGAAACCTTTAACCTTAGCCTATGATGGAGATGCCGACATGTAACATATAACTTTTCCTGGCAACAACCAGTTTCGGCTTTCTGACTTCATAGATGTCCAGAGGCCACAACAAATGTATCCAAACTGTGTGGATTAAAATATATTTTAATTTTTAAAAATGGCATCATAAAGACAAGAGTGAAAATCATACTGCCACTGGAGATATTTAAGACAGTACCACTTATATACAGACCATCAACCGTGAGAATTATAGGAGATTTAGCTGAATACATGCTGCATTCTGAAAGTTTTATGTCATCTTTTCTGAAATCTACCGACTGAAAAACCACTTTCATCTCTAAAAAATAATGGTGGAATTGGCCAGTTAGGATGCCTGATACAAGACCGTCTGCAGTGTTAATCCATAAAACTTCCTAGCATGAAGAGTTTCTACCAAGATCTCCACAATACTATGGTCAAATTAACATGTGTACTCAGTTGAATGACACACATTATGTCAGATTATGTACTTGCTAATAAGCAATTTTAACAATGCATAACAAATAAACTCTAAGCTAAGCAGAAAATCCACTGAATAAATTCAGCATCTTGGTGGTCGATGGTAGATTTTATTGACCTGCATTTCAGAGACAAAGCCTCTTTTTTAAGACTTCTTGTCTCTCTCCAAAGTAAGAATGCTGGACAAGTACTAGTGTCTTAGAAGAACGAGTCCTCAAGTTCAGTATTTTATAGTGGTAATTGTCTGGAAAACTAATTTACTTGTGTTAATACAATACGTTTCTACTTTCCCTGATTTTCAAACTGGTTGCCTGCATCTTTTTTGCTATATGGAAGGCACATTTTTGCACTATATTAGTGCAGCACGATAGGCGCTTAACCAGTATTGCCATAGAAACTGCCTCTTTTCATGTGGGATGAAGACATCTGTGCCAAGAGTGGCATGAAGACATTTGCAAGTTCTTGTATCCTGAAGAGAGTAAAGTTCAGTTTGGATGGCAGCAAGATGAAATCAGCTATTACACCTGCTGTACACACACTTCCTCATCACTGCAGCCATTGTGAAATTGACAACATGGCGGTAATTTAAGTGTTGAAGTCCCTAACCCCTTAACCCTCTAAAAGGTGGATTCCTCTAGTTGGTTTGTAATTGTTCTTTGAAGGCTGTTTATGACTAGATTTTTATATTTGTTATCTTTGTTAAGAAAAAAAAAGAAAAAGGAACTGGATGTCTTTTTAATTTTGAGCAGATGGAGAAAATAAATAATGTATCAATGACCTTTGTAACTAAAGGAAATCAAAATTATATGTTGATTTTTCTTTCTCTCTGATTTCCCAGTTTCAGATTGAATGTCTGTCTTGCAGGCAGTTATTTCAAAATCCATAGTCTTTTGCCTTTCTCACTGGCAAAATTTGAAGCAATCTCTCTCTTCAATGTATGATTTCAAAACTAAAATTTTAAAAGAGAAGAATAAATATCTTATCCAAGACTTCATTGCATATCTAGAGCAAGAGTGGCAAACTTTTTCTGTAAAGGACTATATAGAAAATATTTTCCACAAGGTCTATGTTGCAACTTCTCAACTTTGCCATTCTGCTAATGCAATCTTAGTAAATAAAAGAATGAACATAACTGTTTTCCTATATAACTTCCCTTACAAAAACAGCCAGTAGGCCACCTTTGCAGGTCATATTTTGCTGACCCCTGGTCTGGATGTTTTTTAATGCTAGCTCTCCATGGTGTCATCTTTCGTTTTCATTCATTTTTCAAAGGTGAGAATTTACAGTCATTACATTTCCCACTGTATCAGAAGTAGCTGTATTTTCTACAGATGTAGCCCTGGGAATGGCACAGTGGAACAATATTTAACTAACTCAGCAGACTTCTTGCAAATGAAAAGAAAACTCAAAAGGTGCCATTAAAAAGCAATACCATTTTCAGGCAACATTATTGCAACAACCTTTGTGAGAGAGGACACTAGCTTTTCAGGATATTTGAAAAATAATATAACTAACATGCTATTTTATCTTAAACAGCTGTGTTCCTGTAAAAGTGTTTTGGATTAGAAGGTATTTTTACCTTCATACTGGAGTATGAACTCCCCCTGCTGTTCATTAGAGTATTTGCAAAGATTACAAAAGACATCAGGTTAGGATGTCATTGTCCCCAAAATGAAAATATTTGTATGTATTTCAATAAGAACTAAATGCAGTAAGCGCTAATTCCTCATTCAATATTCACTATATTAGGAAATGTAAATCATTTCAAAGAGAACAGGTAGTCAGGAAGATGAAAATTTTACTTTAAAGCAAGGATTTAAACAAAGAAAACCATAAAAACAAAGTCCATTTTATCTGTTTTATTAAAGAGGAAGAAAAAATAATATTGTTACTTTAAAACTGTGATTGTCAATATATATAATCAGGGGTCTTCCAGATAATCCTAAAGTTGATCTCTTTGAATAAAATAAACTCCATTTGTCCAAAATAGTTAAGAAAGACTCTATTGTGGTTACTTGAAAAATTCAGCTAACCCTCTTATGAAATGTGTGCAACACCTATTAATTTTGAAATGTGGGATAGAATACCTACTAAAGCTATATTTAAGGTATTGTAAAATGTCATTAATTCAGAAAAGATTAGTATCATCCTACCTATAAGAATTAAATTAGCAAATCAAAATTATAGAATGTTATGAAAAATACATTTTATTCATAAATTAATTAGATTTTACAGCATATATGCATGCATATATATATATACACACACACACACACACACCCATATATATGAGAGAGAGGAAATTAGGTTCAACATGACCTAATATTAGAGAACATATTGGAAGGTCACTGTTTGTTAGGATAAATAAATACTGGATAACCTCGTTAGAAAGGTGGAAAGAGGAGAACGTAGCAATCTGGCTATTTTGGACAAAGGGAAGGTTATTATATTCATGTTTATAACATGAAAATGGCCTTATTTTTGTTTCTGACATGAGACAATAATGAGTTAAATATTTTATTGGAATTTCATCAAAACCTTATTTTTACTGTTCCTTCTAAAAATTTGGGAGGGGAATATAGTAGTAACTTCTCTATTGACACTTTTACCTCACCGAGGGGGTAAAAGATGTAGAACTGCTGTTCCCTAGAATGAAGGTCTGTTGTTTGGTTTTTAAAAAAAGAAGAGCAGAAAAAGTTTGACACAGTATTATATGATTTTGCTGGACTATTTCACTAGAAACCACGTAGAATAGGACTAACTGATCTCTTTTGAAAGGGGCTGATTTGCTTATTCATCAATAACTAATCCAATATGTGGACAGTAATCTTAATTTCAAAGCCTTTTTTGAGGATACTACGGTGTAGCTTAAGTGAATTTAAAAAGAGTGCATAAAAGCTTGTTTTTAATTACTTATAACAAAGCACAAATTACTTCTAACAAGGCAAATATTTATTGACATATAAGACATTCTGCTAGGCATTGTAAAAAAAAAAAAAAAAGTAATGGCTTTTGTATACATAGGTACTTAAGACAGACATCCAAAAGAAGGAAAAAATGCTTAATGAGTGAAGATAGCACTGAAACATGTTGACTTTTACTCTAGGTTTGTTTTTAGATGGGGTTAGTATTTTCCCCTACGTAATGTACATGTCTTTAGGCCACAGTATTAGGAGTTTGATTTTTCCCTGCCCCACCCTCAGGTAGGTGGCAGTGGTCATTGTAGCTTAATCAGACCCCTGTTAAGTTCCTGGGCATTTCAAGGTAAATTCACGTCTTCCTTCTCACAGAAATTGAATAGACCTCTCACACACTTATTTACCTCCCCCAACAACCTGTATCCTTGGCCCTTTCTGATTTTCTCTGCTTGGTCTCTTTCTACTCTTGACAGCTATTCTTACCTACTTCCCACTAAACATGCCCAATTTTTTAATTAAAAAAAAAAGAATTCCTATATTTCCTTCCCTATTAGAATCAAAGTGTCACTCACTCAGAGTGTGAACATCCTGATTTACACCAAATCCACTGGTCAAAGAAATGAATAAAGGGAAAAGGAAAAATGTGGAAGGCATGCAGGAAAAAAAAAAAAAAAAAAGCCCTTTTCTGTAAAAATGTCCATGCCTACACTTGCTTTAGACCATCCCATATCCTCCTGCCTCCATCTCGAGTCTTTGTTCACATTCCACACCACAAGACAGTGAGGGAGGACTGTACTTTTCAGTACCATACAGAAGGGAGAGCCTGTTCTAAAGCTGACGTGGGTCTCAATAGTACATGAGAAGCACAATTCCCAAATGATCTGGGATCTCCTGTTTATAAATATATTACCAAATTCAAGTGTGGGTTCTTCTTCTATTTCCACTGTAAGATTGAGGGTGTTGAAAAAACAGTAGTCCTTGAGCAAATCTGTGAGGAATCTTGTCAGAATGTGATCTTTCCTGGGACTAGTTTAGTTGTGAGAACTACATCTGCTTGTTCTGGGAATAAGGGTCTCCCCAGGTCCTGCCCTCAGGTGGCCCTGGCTGCAGGACAGGATTTCAGGTATCAGAAACTGGTGTGTGAGCCAAGCAAATAGTTATCCATTTATAAAAAGGATGGTTTGCAGTGTGTTATAATAATTTTATATCTAGCAGGGACAATGAAAAATGGTTATGTCTACATTATTAAATGAATGAAACTAATGCTAAACAGTTAATTTTGCATTTTTATTTTTCTGTGTTTCTACCAAGTCAGATCTTAAAAATGGGCAGTATATGAAGAGCTTTAGTTTGTGGGAGTCATGTTTTCAGTGATCAAAAATCTCTATATTATTTAGAATATAATTGTCAGTCTTGTTGTGTTTTGTAGATTTATTGTTTTTAAGCCATAGTTTCTAGATTACCTACTTTTAACCCTCAAGTAAACTTTTCCCTATTTTTCAGAAATCTGTTTGTGTTTATTTTTAGAAAGTAAACATTTAGATTCCTTTTCTGGTACTTTTTTTCTCCATTTCTATCACACAGATTTGAAGAGATCAGTATCTATCATTGTAAAATATAACTTTATTAAAATTTGCAATCTGTCTTTCTATAAATTATTATTCCCTAAATGTGTATTTTATGTTAATTTAACTACCTGAATATTTATTTTGTTTAAATAAGGAGGCAGCTGTCTAAGAATTTTTGTTAATATTACTTTGTAAATTGCGTAATGTAATTTATTTTACATTATGTACATTTCCTTTTTAACGCACAAAATGTCTATGTACAATTAACTACAGATTTGCAAATAATGTCACTAAGCTTTATTCAGTCAATACAGATGGCATGTGAAGATGTAATATGCTTTTTTACATTTTCATATGGGTTATTTGTAAATAACTATATTGCTGACAAACATAAATACGGAAATCATTTTCATTCTAATCATGTGTATCTGTGTTTTGATTTGCACCAATTGCTTCTTAAATATGGATTAAAATTTTTTTCCAGTGAATACCTAAATCCTTTTACCTACTGTATTGCCCTTTCCTGGGTTGTATAACAACTCCAATTTAGAAAGTTCAAGAAATGCAAACTTTTACTTTGAAAGTTGGCTGAGGCCACCAGGTGAATCATGGACAAGGGACCTCCTGGTTTCCAGTCAATTCAAAAATGGCAGCAGCAGAGGATGGGGAAACTCTCTACAACAGAGTACAGCTTTTCCCACCCAATCAGTCATAAGGCACATCCCTCACTGTCTCTTGTCCCTGTGTCTACCCACAAAAAACCAAACCTAAAAGTCAAAGCAGAAACTTATGCCTTAACAAATTCAGGAAGGGACACACAACTTAAGACAAGTTACTTCCGGGGTAGTTTGCAGTTAAAACATTTTCTGAAATAGCTATTTGCTAAAATGTAAGTAAGTAGGGAACCATTTAAGCCCTCAATCTGTGAACCACTCAGAACATGTAGCTAGCCTACATGCTTGATGAAAAAATGGTAATTTCCAGTCTTTTTCTTTTCTGTATTACTCATTACAAGTGAAACTAGGTGAAAAAAATTTTCAATGTATCACACAGATTTTTTTCTAGAAATCTGGACTTTCATAGTCAAATAGCTAACTTCATTTATTATTTTGCAATTCCAATTTATGCCCTACAAACAAAAATATGAATATTACTGGTCTACATTTTATTTTTGCTACTTCTGTGTCCCTAGTGATTCTTTCATTAAAGTCTGTATATATTCCACAACACACTTCAATTTATACCTCCCATCAGTGTCAGTTACTCTGAAAAGATATTGTACATACACAAAAATGCATAAATGTAGTCAGGGTTTCTGGTATTGCAGTACTTTTATGTGACTTCCCCTCCCCCTTTCATCTTCTTCCATAGCATCTCCCAGCCAAGTTAACTCAAGTTAACAATCTGATATGTATCCTGTCATATTTTTCTCCCTGATCATATGACATTATAAATATGATAGTGGGGAGTGAGATGGAACAGAGAGAGTGAGAGAGAGAGGAAGAGAGAAATGGGTGAATTTAGTAGATACAATTAGGAAACAGCTTCATTTTTTTTTTCCTATTACTGTTTTCAAACATTATCAAATGTCCTTCATCCTGTCTTTGGTAACACCTAAGGCAAATCCCATAGCTTTTTGATAACAATAAGAGTTATCAAAGTATCAGAGTTATCAAAGTTCCAATCCAGGCTAATCAAAACATCAATCCCTCTCATTGCTTTCATCTCCTTGACTAGTAGCAAATTTGAGCAGCTTTTCATCTTTTCATATACGTCTGGATATTTGGACTTGACCTTCTATAGCATATAATTTTCAAATGGCAATTCTGATGATGCCAATATGTTGTTAATTTTAGGCCATCAACTAATTTTTATTTTATTATTTTTTGAGACAGTCTCATTCTGTTGCCCAGGCTGGAATACAGTCGTGCAATCTCGGCTCACTGCAACTCTGCCTCCCGGGTCCAAGCGATTCTCCTGCCTCACCCTCCCAAGTAGCTGGGACTATAGGCATGTGCCACCACGCCTGGCTAATATTTTGTATTTTTAGTAGAGAGGAGGTTTCACTGGTGTTAGCCAGGATATTCTCCATCTCCTGACCTCATGATCTGCCCACCTTGGCCAGGCATGACCCACTTCACCTGGCCCTAAATTTTAACGTTTTTTGTAAAGAAGGAAAAATAAATTTTGGGATTCTATTTCCCCACAATCTTTTTTGTTGTCATCTCAGGCAGAGGTTCCCCCACCATGTGGCCACCTCACTGTCCCCCTGCCTGTTGTGAGGCTGGATATTCTCTCTCTATCCTAGCTAGCCCCTATGCATGCTCATTCCCACTCATGCTCACCCTTGAGCACAGTGTTACTGGAAGTGATGAAGCTGGAGCCCAACCTTCTATTAAGCTATACATTCTCTTCAGAGCTTTGACATTTTTTCCTACCTCTACCTAGAAACTTCCCCTTGATATAGGCATGGCTGCTCCCCGACTTCATGCAGGTCTCTGCTCAAATGGCCCCCCTCTGAGACGCCTTCCTTGACTATCCCATCACTCTCTATTCTCCTACCCTTCTTTTGTTTTCTTCATGGCACCTGACATTACATATCTTCCTGTCGTTTGTTTTTTTCTCTCTCCCACACAATGAGAGAGGCCAGGTCTTTGTTTTGTTCCTCGCATGGAATAATATCCAACACATAGTAAGAATTATGATTTCTTTTTGGGTGAATAAATTAACAAAAGAATTAGTGAAGTACAAGTTTTATGACTAAAGAGTAGATAATAATAAATAGTGGATTAATTATGAAGAGGCCACTAGAGTTAAAAAACCAACTAACTCATCCATAGCTTAAAGCTGTCAGTACTCTACTCTCATAAATATATCTTATATTCATTTCACTTGCCAGATATATGTTACTCTAAACACTTAGAATGCACAATGCTGACAAGAACAGAACAGTAACAGAGCAGTTGAAGAAAGAAAAACAGTAACTGAGACTGGCATCATAGAGGAGTGATACTAAATAGCTAAGGATACTCCAGTAAGATGTGGGCTATGGGATTTACAAAACTATATTGAAAACAAGGTCTGCAAAATACATAATTCTATCGTAGCTTTCACTCAATTGTAATTTAAGTGAATCAACTTAAATTAATAGGAAATTGTTCCAGGGGAAGTAGGCAAGAGAGCTTGGAATACTGGAAAATTAAGCAAAGGACAATTTCAAATTCCTAAAAAGCCTTTGATCCAGGATATAAAAGCAGTCTGATTATACTTTTCAGTCTTAAATAAAATTGATTTTGTGATATCAGTAATAATCAAATTATATACTCTTTGCTTCAGAGCAGAAATAAAATGGAAAAAACAGAATAGAGTAACAATTCAAAGTGCTTCCAAATTCCCATAATTTGCTTTGAAACAATAGAGGAGGACATTCAGCAACCATGTAAATACTTTAATAGACCATTTAAAATCCATTCCTTTTCAAAAACAATGTCTTGATTTCCTTGAGAAGTAAAAAGAATTTCAAAATCAGAATCAGCCAGAAAGTACTACAGAGGGAAAGCCAGCATCTTAGTGGATAGCGTGGACCTGTGTCCCAGTCTTTTATAAACACAGTGAGTTTAGCGAGAATCCTGTCACACCACATCCCTAGTCACCCTCCAGCGGCTATGCTGACAGCTGAAGTATAACTGTACCCTTTCACAATTTATCTTTATAAAAGGTTCACGTGTTTACAATATTTGTCTGCTGGCAGGGGGTTATTCTTAATGTTTATCACTTTGTACAATTTGTTTGCCAAAGGGTATAGGTCTTTTCTTCTGATGGCACTACCTTGGTATCTATGGGGAAAAAAATGCTTTATAAAATAAGTCGAGTAGAAAAGTATCCTGGCTGTAGAAGGAGGTATAGTGGAAAGGATTATAATCAGAGACTTATATAAATGACCCTTAAAAATTAATGTTGGTATGCTTATGAATTCTAATCTTTATACGGAATAATCCATAGGAAAATCAAATTAAAATGTCTCCTACAATGATAGACTGAGGCTATGTCTGGTAGTGATCATGATATAAATGCATGTTACAAAAACATTACGGCAACATTTGTTCAGTGATAAAAACTAAAGAGGCCTTTGATACAATTCTCTTCAGAATAGGCATCATATTGGCTTTCAGAAATCAACAACTCCTAGCCAGAAAGATTTAAATGTAATTATGGGTTTATAATGAAAGCAGATGTAGGATGTAGCAATAAATTGGTACATTATCTTACTTAGATGATAATGCCAAGTGTAGAGACAGTCCATTCGTATGGAAGTATTAAGAGCAATACCTACCACTGACAATGGTCAGATCCTGCATATTTTACAAAGTTTAAGAAAAGGAAACCAAGAAAAGACGAAATACCTGTATTGAAAGTTTTGTCAGGATATGGGAAGAGGGCCCAAAGAACAAAGAAGAAAATATAATAAGTAGCTTTTGAACTTACCAAAAAGATTCTCATGAGCATTTATCATTAAAGAAATGTTATTTAAAACAATGACGCAATAGATGGGGAAAATGAAATTTGACAATCCACTATCCGATCAAGTATATAAGAAAAACAAAAGTATCGTTCTTTTCTATTTCTAGTAGAGGTAGTATTAATTATCAAGTCAATAAAGGGCCATGTAAATAGTATTTTTAATTATAAATAAACATATCCTTTAACCTAGTAATTCCACTTCTAAAAACTGACCCCAATGTCTAGAAATAGATGATTGACAGATAATGATTTGTGTATTATATATACATGTGTTCATGTGTGAATAGAGAAGTGACAGATATATAATATAAAACATGCACAATAATATAATACAAGGTTATGTGTTGTATCATGTTGGTATTCACTAAAGTATGGAAACAACATAAGTAGACAGAAACACTGCTCACTGTGTTTTGTGGATGAAAAGTTTAAATAACACAAGATCTTGTCTATAAGATCTTATTTCTGTCTTTAATTTGTCAGAATTGGGGACTGGTAAAATTATTAAGAAATCTCAGCACATATACATATTCACAAAATATTTCTTAGTTATCTTTTTGAAATGGCCCTCAAGCTGTTTATTTTTAATGCCTCAAACTATTTTTTTTTTTTTTTGAGACAGGGTCTCACATGTGCCCAGTGCAATGGCAAAATAAGCTCACTACAGCCTTGACCTCCTAGGTTCAAGCAATCCTCCTACCTCAGCCTCCCAAGTAACTGGAACTGTAAACACACGCCACCAAACCTGGTTAATTTTTTGTTGTTGTTATTGGAAGAGACAGGGTCTTGCTATGTTGCCAAGACTGGTGTTGAACTCCTGGGCTCAAGCTATCCACCCACCTTGGTCCCCCAAAGTTCTGGGATTACAGGCATGAGCAACCGCACCCAGCCTGATACAAAATATTGATTGGAAGTTGAGACTCAAGATCTTTGATGTAGTATAAAACTCAAAAATGTTTACTCCTAATCATGCATTTATAAAGCCAATTTAAAAAGCAATCATAAGTGAGGGTCCTTCTGTATAAATAAAAGTAAAAATGATGCTAA
This sequence comes from Homo sapiens, assembly GCF_000001405.40. Lineage (NCBI taxonomy): Eukaryota > Metazoa > Chordata > Mammalia > Primates > Hominidae > Homo > Homo sapiens. Next base: position 11,365,284 of record NC_000007.14, on the reverse strand, counting down.
ATATTTGTCATTTTGGAATGGACCTTTTTTTCTGCCTAAGTCCCTATCTTCCAAAATAATTTTAATTTTTTAACCCTCTGGCTCATTGTTGCTAATGTGAAACTGTACTTCAGATGTGCCAAAGGAATAACGAAAAGGAATTATCTTACATTTTAGCAATTGCCTGAAGTTAAATTTAATGAACTGAAAAAAATGTTTCTGCAACATTAGCGAGAACAGCTTAAAAAAAAAAAAAAGGCCCTTTTCTGTCTGTAGTGGTCAGTGCTTACCAAATAATGAGCAAAACTTTTGCAGCTCATGTGGACTTAGAAAACCATAAAACATCAACTTGGAAGTTCAGAGAACTGATTGTCTTTCTGATTAGATATCCAGCCTCAATTTTTGAGGCTAACAAGTAGGTAGATGGAAAATGTACATCAAAGACCTCTGGGGGAAAAAATGGAACAAATGCTTGCCTAATTGGATTACTGCTATATATCTCCCAAAACATCCTGTTAGAACCTGGCTATGAAGAACAAGAACAACAAACACATGAGAAGCTTTTGTCTTTCATCCAGGGATAGTTGGAGGAAGTTGAAAAATATGGGAAACTTAATATCAATGGTCAATCCAAGGACAGGTGTAATGAGAATATTATTTACCACAAGAAAAGATTCAGTTCTAACATTCCTCAATTGCTTCACTAATGTGATAACTGCTGGCAAACTATATTTATCCTATAGTATAGAAGGAATTGCAGACAATTAAAGCTGAGAGTCTGAGAAAACCATCTTCTCTCAAACAAATGAGAAGATGTAGTGTAAGTATTCACTGAATACAGGCAGTGGCATGTGGTGTGCATCTCTACCCATTCATTCATTTCATAATAATTACTGAGAATCTATTACGTGCCAGACACCATCCTAGGCTTTGAAGGCATAGTTGAAAAGAAACATGACAAAACTTGTGTTTATGGAGCATACATTCTAATGAGGGGAAAGAGACAATAAAGAAACAAGGAACTACAATATACTGGTTGGTGGGAAAATGCCATTGAGAAAAATTAAGTAGGGTAAAAATGATAAGAAGTACTAGAACATGGAAGCCAGCCCCCTGATCTGGGCGCATTAAGAGGGGGAAATGTAAAGGATGTAACAATTGAGAGAAACAGGGGTCCCAGGCAGTTAGCCTGTGTGCAAAGTCCCTGAAAGGAGATCATGATTTGCTCATTATAGAGTTATACAACAAATCCTATGTGGATGAGAAAATTCTGCCTAAGAATAATAGTGGGTTGCTCAACAGGGAAACATTCTCCATCATCTCCTTAGATATTATGCAATACGTTGATGCTTCAGTTAGAAACTTCATGGAAAAAAAGAAAGATTAGACTGAGAAAACTGAGATTCCAGAGTCAGAACCACCCCAACTTTCTATTACCATAATGAAACATCTCTGCATCTCTTCTAAATATATCAAAATGTTCTTAGTATGTTTGGGAAAATGCTGTAAATGTTAAAAGAAAAAAATGGTATCTATCCTCTTAGAAATCAAAGGCAATAAAGACTTCGAGAAATATTTTTAATTATAGTATTCAGGTTTGTTAATAAGGAAAAGATATTGACTTACAAGAAATTTAGCAATATATATCGATCTTAAAATGTTAATGCCCTTTGACCATGTAATTCCACTTTAGCAATCCTAATTATTCAATATTGATAAACTTTTATGCACTTCATTGCAACATCACAGATATTGGTTGAAAATATATGTTCAATCGTACACATGAAAAAATTCATACTTAAGAGAAATCTATGAATTTAAGGTATATGGGAAAGTATGCAATCTTCCCAGTTCTTTCTGAAAATATGAAAGAATTCATACTGGAGGGAAAACCCTATGAGTGTAAAAAAATGGGGTAATAGCCTCAGTGTTTTTAGTTCTAGTTGAATACATCAAAGAATTTATTTCTGAGAATAAAATCTATAAATGTACAAAATGTGGTAATGCATCCATTTCTCTCAAATACACTAAAAGACATGACAATGCCCACTGAAGGTGGGTCTCAAATACAAGAATGTACCCTTGGTTGAAAACCGAGTAGTTTGCAAAACATAGGAAAGTTTTAATTTTAATGATTATTTTTAAAGTCATACGGAAACATCCATTGGAAAGAAACCTCGTAAATGTAAGTGATTTGGAAAGCTGATGCAAATTAAATATTGCATAATGCTCAAAAAATGCACATGGATGAAATGTTATGTAAGTTATAAAAATATTGTGCTTATCAGTGACTCATTCTTAGAGAGGGTCTCTAGTCTATAGATTTCTACTTCTTTTGCAAGGAAACAGGTAAGAATTCCATATTCTTTAAGCAACAGTACATACATTTAATAGGTAGTTTTTTGTTCTTAAGTCAGTTAATAAAATTTTTTTTTCATTTATCTAAAAAGGTGTTGGATCCATGGGTGAACTGAAATCAATTTCTAACATATAGGTAAGGTGGATTTTATATAACTTTTTCATTGTTCTGTGATTAAATGAGTATTGATTGTTGGGATTTTCTTACTACGTGTATATAGCAAGTTTTGGTTATCCCTCATCCATTATATATGCTCCACATTTTTTATTAGAAAAACTATTCTTCTTCGTCACAAAGAATTTTATTCTATATTCTTTCCTAATAGAATTAGTATCAAATTATAAATATGTAAAGTTTAGTGTATAGTCTCAGATGAATTATTATCATTTCTTGTACTTTATCCTTTGTGACTATTTCTGCCTGTTATTTGGATAGTTCACTTTGAATTAAAAAGAGAACTGTGAAATGTGTGTGTGTGTTCAATCTTAGGGGATGTTAGAGGAAATATGTTACATTCATATTGAACACTGAAAATTCTAAATTCTATGCTGATTTTCAGTTTTATGTTAGTGAAGAATTTTGACATGGAAAAAGTTTATAATGTTCACTGAAAAGAAGCAGGATACAAAACATTGCACATGGTAAAAATATACTTCAGCATGGCCCCATGCCATAATGCAATGTAAATGGGAACTTGGAAAGAGAAGGCCTGGGTTCCAGCTCGTGCTCATCACTTACCAGCTTGATGTCTGAGAGCAAGTCACTGAGCCTCCCTACACTTTGGTTTTCTCTTCTATATAAGGGAAGAGAACACCACCACTTCTGCCTTCCTTATAAAATGATAAATACAAACAAAATAATATGAATACATTTAACATGTTTTATAAATGCTGTTATGATTGGTGTAATCTTCCTTTAAACATTTTTAGAGAGTTTTAATATTATACCATAGAGTTTGAACTTAAGGCATTTTAAGCTGAAAATTACATAGAAAAATCACTCTGGCAGCCATCAGGGCAAGGTTGGAAACTAATTAGAAGACTACTGCATTGGTCCAGAAAAAATAAAATGAGAGCGAAGAAAAAGGAAGGAGTAATAGATATTAGAGTAGGATTTCAGCAAGATATGTTAATGAGTTTGAATTGGTAGCACTTGATAACCTTTTGGATGAAGAGAATGATAAAAAGGTAATTCCCAGGTACCAGCTTAATTATCCATTTACTAAGACTGAGAGTGTAGAATAAAGATTGCATTTGGGAGCAATTTTTAAGTTTCAGGTGACTGTAGGACATCCAAGTGGACCTACGCAAGGAGGATACTATACACTGGAGTCTAAACTCAATAGAAGGCCGGGCGCGGTGGCTCACACCTGTAATCCCAACACAATAGGAGGCCAAGGCAGGCAGATCATTTGAGGTCAGGAGTTCAAGACGAGCCTGACCAACATGGTGAAACCCTGACTCTACTAAAAATACAAAAAAATGAGCCAGGCACGGTGGTGACCACCTGTAATCCCAGCTACTCAGGAGGCTGAGGCACGAGAATCGCTTGAACCCAGGAGGCGGAGGTTGCAGTGAGCCGAGTCTGCACAACTGCACTCCAGCCTGGGTGAAAGCGTGGGACCCTGCCTCAAAAAAATAATAAAAAACATAAAATTAATAGAGAAGTTCAAAATTATAGATTCAGAATTTGTAAGTCGTCAGCTCTCAGCTAAATAAGATTAGTCAGAGTGCTGTGTAGACAGACAAGCCTGAGAAACACCAATATTTAATGGATGAAAATACAGAGATGAATCTGCAAAGGATAACATTAATGTAGAAATGAAAGAGAACAAGGAGAGAGTGATATAAAGGCCAAGGATAAGAAAAGAACTTGTCAAAATATTGTAGAGAAGGCAAAATAAGATGAAGACTAGAATTTGTTATATTTGGCACTTGGGTCATTGTTGACTTTTGCCAGAGCTGGCTGAGTGGAGTGGTGGGTACAGAAGTTTGTGGAAGGGCAAGTTGTAGGTCAGGAAGTGAAGACATTTTATAAATAGTCCTTTTGAGAGTGTTGGCTAGTGGGACAGACAGAACGTCTCCCTAAATAAATGAAAAACATGAGAGAGCAATAAAAATATATGTGATTTAATATAGAAGGTAAAAAGAGACAGTTGTCATTAAAGATACAATTATTTAAGTTTACTCCATTAACTGAACTAAGAGCTTAGCATGCATCATTGTCTCATTTTCACAATGCTTCAATGAGGTAACACAATACAATATTGTAAAATGATAATATTGAGACTTGGATGACAAAGCAGACATGCCTGTCAGCCTCCAGGGCCTGTCCTCTTAACCACTGGACTGTGCCAATTATAAGTTTATTGAGCTGAAGCCTGCAGCCTAAAAGTGTTAAATGAGTCTCAGTTTCTCTTCTAGAACTACAGAGAATATTCATATCTTTTTCCTTATTACAGGTTGAGCATCCCAAATCTGAAAACCTGAAATTTGGAATGTTCAAAAATCCAAGATTTTTTGAGTGTCTATGTGATGCTTAAAGCAAATGCATATTGGGACATTTCAAATTCGGTATGCTCAACTAGTAATTATATAATATCAATATTCCAAAATTTAAAAAAATCCAGAATCCAAAACATTTCTAGTCCCAGACATTTCAGATAAGGGATACTCAATCTTTATTCATCTTTAAGTGTTTAAATTAAAGTTCCTATGATATCCCACACCTCCTTTTCAAGCAAAATATCCCTGATTCCATCATAGTTCTTCAGATAACTTTGATTTCTATCTAAGCTTGCTTTTAATACACAAAGATTTGAGGTTCACAGACTTCTTATAATTCCAGTCATCCCACTGCAGACATTCTCCATTGTATCACTCTTCTTCGGATAAAATGCCCAGAACTAAAAATGACACACTAGATGAAGTCAAACCATCCTTGTCCTAGACACGAAATACCAATAAAAGCACACTAAGATTATATTCACACTTTGTGGTACAAAATCTTCTTTCAAACAACTAAGACTCCTAAATTTTCCTATTCTCATGAAGGAAAGTTATAAATTCTTTTCAATATTACATTCTATTACTACCATATTACAGAGTTCATTATTTTTCACTGATATACCATCATTTGCATTTATCTATTACATGACTTTAGTTTTATTTTCCAGTCTCTGACTTTTAAGAAATTTTGGAGACTTGTCTATAATCCAGTGTATTGTCTCCATCTTTGTGCCCTTTGTGGATTTAATGAGCATCTTTCTGTCTCCATCCAATACATCCATACTATTTGAAAGTATAAAACAGATCCTGAATACCTCTCAGAGACTGTCATTCATTCAGTAAATATTTATTAAGAAAAGCCTTCTAGGCCAGGCACAGTGGCTCATGCCTGTAATCCCAGCACTTTGGGAGGCCGAGGCGGGAGGATCACTTGAGGCCAGAAGTTTGAGACCAGCCTGGACAACATAGTGAGACCTCATTTCTACAAAAAAGAAAAAAAAAAGAGGCTTCTAGGGTATTGGTAATTTTCTGTTTCATTACTGGTGCTTAAATATGAGGTTCACATTAGGATAATGCATTGAGCTAAATATGTATAATTTGTGCAACAGAACAGAATAGAGTTCAAAAATCCAGGTACATTTAGTTTATAATAAAGGTGTTAATTGAAATAAGTAAGGAAAAGTGTAATTATTTAATAAGTAGTAGTATAGATACAACTAATAATCATCTGGAGGAAAAAACCCTGAATAAATTTCTAAATTATACTTTAAGTTCTGGGGTACACGTGCAGAACATGCAGGTTTGTTACATAGGTATACACATGCCATGATGGTTTGCTGCACCCATCATCTACATTAGGTATTTCTCCTACTGCTATCCCTCCCCAAGCCCACCACCCCCTGACAGGTCCCAGTGTGTGATGTTCCCCTTCCTGTATCCATGTGCTCTCATTGTTCAGCTCGCACTTATGAGTGAGAACACACAGTATTTGCTTTTCTGTTCTTGTGTTAGTTTGCTGAGAATGATAGTTGCCAGCTTCATCCATGTCCCTGCAAAGGACATGAACTCATCCTTTTTTATGGCTGCATAGTATTCCAAGGTGTATATGTGCCACAATTTCTTTATCCAGTCTATTGTTGATGGGCATTTGAAAACCCTGAATAATTTTAAGGTTTATTTTTACAGTTTTATTTTAGTGTTTATTTGTCCCTTATCAGCTTGTGGTTTCTAGTCTGCAAATGGCAGAAATTTTTGCCTCTAACATTGCAATGTTGCAACATAGTTTTGCTTATTCTGATGTAAACAAGTATTTCAATGACATTGTCATTTGCTTATTTTTTGTTTCCCTTACTGATTAATTTGAAAGCACACATTTCCTCATACTTAAAAAAACTTTTCTAAAAAAAGAAATGTTATAGTCAAATAAATTGATTCCTAGCAGAAATGTTAATTCAAAAATCTGGCTTTACAACCACAGAGGGTACATTCCTTTACTCATGGAGTCATTAACAGATATTTATTGTGTATATAGTATATGCCAGGCCATGTGCTAGACTCTGGAGATACCAGCAATGAAAAATCATGATCCCTTTTTTAAAAGAATTTTTATTCCTGTAGGTTTTTGAGTAACAGGTGGACTTTGGTTACATAAGTTCTTTATTGGCAATTTGTGAGATTTTGGTGAACCCATCACCCGAGCAGTATACACTGAACCCAGTTTGTAGTCTTTTATCCCTTAACCCTCCTCTCACCCTTTCACCTGCGTCCCCAAGGTGGGAGCTAAGTTATGCAGATGCAAAGGCGTAAGAATGATACAATGGACTTAGGACCTCACGATCCCTCTCTTAATGGGACCCAAGATCCATTGAGAACTTTGTCAGAAGAATGATCACTTGAGACAGAATAAAAGAATCGTTCTCTGATTAAATGTTGACAATGTTAAAAATAAAGAAAATTGATGAAATATTCATTTTTTGTAAAATCAATTGGGAATATCAAAAGAGTTATAAACTTAAAATGTGTTTTTGGTTCAAGAAGATAGTGGGAAAAGTAATAAACTTTATAAAAAGCATTAATTTATTAAGTTAAATAAACTAAAATTGATATTTGATTGATATTTTCCCAAAGTGAAGAAAATACCACGACGTCTTTCATGTACCGATCAGGTTACCTGTTTCTACAACCTGAGAAAATAAAAGTAGTCTTCTTCCTTGGGTTGTTTCCCAAGAACTCCAACCACTCCTCACCTTTAGTCAGGACTGCTCCGAAGGATGCCCCAGCACATGCCAGCAATCCCAAAGCAAGCAGAATAAGGAAGTAAGACTTCAACCCCTCACCCCATTCCAGACACCCAAACAGATTCTATAGAAGAGAAGATTATGACATTTCACACATTAATTAGATCACTTCAATTTCATGGAGTTATTTCAGAGCGTCTGCTAGGTTCTGTGTAGCTGTAAAACAACCTTAAAAGGCTTATGGCATGCCAGACCAAAAGGAATGGATAGCGGGGACGGGTAGGGGAAGACCACAGTGAAAAGCATAAGCTATCTGATGCACCACTCTCCCTGGGTGCTCAAAATGTCAAAAAGGCTCATGTATAGTCTTGGGGAGACCTCCAAGAGAATAGATTTAGCATGCCCATATACTCAGATGTCATCATGGTACAGAAACAACTAGGAAGAAAATAGATGATCTTAAATACTGAATTTTTTTATCCCAGAAAAAGTGAACAATGCTTAAGGAACAATTAAAATTATTAGATCAGATTATATTTGAAATCAGATAGTATAAAAAGTTAATTTTTCTCAGAAGTGAGATGAGCTGTAAGCAAAATAAAAATAATGAGGATTTAAAATTTGTTGAAGTTTAAAATTTATAAATCTGTTAGAATTTGTTACATCAACACACTGAAATAAAAGCCAGTCTTCACTGACCAGTGGGAGTGTTTCCTATATTTACATATTAAGATCCAGTTCCCTTGAGGCTTTGATTGGCAGACTTAAAATTAAACCATAGTAGTCAATTGTAAAAGGCTTCTCTTTGTGAAATTTTCTCATAAAAGTGTACTTGTTAAGAACAAGGAGTCTGTGACCTCACTCCCTGGATTAAATGTTGAGTTCTGCCACTTACAAGCTGTGTAAACTTGGGGAAATTAATCTTTGTGTTTCCATTTTCTTGGTTTTAAAATCTGGATAAAATTAATATCTTTTCTTTTGCAAAGTCTTTCTACTCCTGCTATATCCTACCCTTTTAAGGTGGGCAGAATATGTGACTGCTTGATCAATGGCATATGGTAGAAAGGATTCTGTGTTTAGGAGACTGATAGCTTCCACTTTAACCCTCTGAGAGCATTTATTCTTGGAATCCAGCCACCATGCTGTAAGGTCTCAAGTAGCTCCATGGAGGCGCCATATGGAAAAGCACCAAGCCTCCAATCACAGACAGTGGCTGAGCTACCAGCCAATAGCCAATACTAACGGAACGGACAAGATGAGTGAGTTGTCTTAAAAGTTGAGACACCTTACCTGTCTTCACTTCAAACAGAGATGAGCTGACCCCACCAAACTATGCCTATATCACAGGTTTGTGAGCCAAATAAACTATTGTTGTTTTAAGCCACAGAGGTGTATACAGTTTGCTATTCAGCAATAGAGAACCAAAACAAAATTTGATACCTAGAATTTACAAATGCCTAAAACATGTGACACTAACTTTGTCACCAGGCAGCAGGTGGAAGCTCACAGGGTCTTGGGAGATTTGCTCATGAAAGCTAAAGTGGACTTTTCCTAACTTCAGATAATTGTGGACGTTGGAAGTCATGTTAGGACCATAATTTACCCCCAAGTTTTTGAAACATAGAAGCTCCAAGTAAAAATAGTTTAAGGAAGAGGAAAAGAGATCAATTACACTAGAATATAATCAGCTGCTTTGGGTCCAGTTTAAAGGGTTATAAAATGGGATCTGTCAAGAAAGTCTTAAAGTTCTAGAGATTAATTAACATTGAAATAGAAGTGGCTGAGATTTGCCAAATAACTCTAAATCACCCAGAGTTTTTCTCCTCTGACAGGACAATAAAACTCGTGCTTAAATAGCAGCAGGAATGCGACAGGATAAATTTAAAACACACTTGGCAATAGACTTAAACTTGTAAGTTCTGAAAAGGTAGCATAAATCTGTCACAGTTGCTCTGGGGGAAATCCTGACAAAATGTTCACAGACAAACTAGTTGACCTCGGTTTTCATTTGTGTGCTTTCAGCTGCAAGTAATCCTAACTCAAATTGCTTAAGCAGTGAAGCCATATATTACTGTGCCTAGCAGGGAAACCAAGACCACTGCAGGACTGACGGGCTCCCTGGCTCACTTACATCATCACGGATCCAGCTTCTTGGTACCTCTTGGTACTGCCCACATGTTATCAGTGAGAATTCATTCATGTGACTATACCCAGCCACAAGGCAGGCTGAGGAATATAGTCTCTGATTGATCAGCCATGTCTCTGGATGAAGTAAAAAATATATTTAGGGGAACAACAAGAGTCCGGAACAAAGAGTTTGTGGCAATAGCAAGCAACACTAAACTCAGCTTCTATTTGCTTTGCAGGCTATATGGGAATAGTGCTCACTGGTGTTAACTGGAGAGTCAAAAACAAAGGCAGTTGAGACTCTGATGAATCTTGATCCCCCAGAAAGTTGAATAGTAGATTTACGTTTTCGGTAGGCATAGTTGCTGGAATGAGAACACGGGACTCGTGCTCAGCTGGGAATCCTTCACATGGTAGTAGGTGGGCCCATAAATGCCAACATTCTCACATGTTCACTCAGCCTAATAATAAAAAAGCAGGGTGTTCCTGCTCTAAGCTCCTGTGACCTAGAGGATTCTCAGTTCCACATAGACTGCATTGACCAAATTTTAGGTGGATTTTGTTGAAGAACAAGAGAAGCAACCGGGAGCTATGTCTACTTTCTTTTTTCCTTACCTAGTTATTTGCACTGGTTGGGGTAGAACCTGAGAAATCACATAAGCCAAGAAAAAAAATGGCATTCTTGAAGCCATGAGCAGGCCTTGGTAACCTGGCCTCTCTCACCTGCACAATGCTCTCTATCCACTTCAGAGTCAGCATTACCCATTCTCAACTTGGAGTGAAATTACATGAGGCATTCAGTGAAAGAGATGAAGCTAACCTGGTCATGTCTAACACCTGCAAGAGGTCTTCACAGCCCAGCTTCTGAATGAGTTACCTTTCTATCTGAGAGCCACTACACCAAGCTGCTACTTTCCATTCCATCATTAAATAAAGCCTGTTTGGGATTATTTTATGTTTTGGATTAATTTTACTACCATTCCTTTCTAAGTCAATGGTTGAGTACACAATATGTAATGCAAGATGTTATCTACATCCAGAAATTTTAACAGCCATGGAAATTCAATGTGTATTTCCCAAAACACATAATGAAATGCCTTAAATTTTGAAAAGAAAAACTAGGGCCATATAACCACTTATCTCACCCCAACCATCTCCAAAAGAGCCATATCTAGCACCTCCTAATTGTTAATTTCTGTGCCTGGCCCTTATCAAAAACAATAGGAGGGAACCCAACTGATTATACATGCATTTACTATTATATCTTGGTTTGATTCCCAGGAAAGCCCCTTAAAAAAAAGCTGGTTATGTCACACACACACACACACACACACACACACACACACACACACACACACACAGAGAAAGAGAGAGAGAGAGAGAGAGAGAGTCACACATGTATAAACACACACATTTCATAGATGTCTCATCTTTAAACAGATTGACATCAAATTTCTTTTAAGACAATGGCAAACCCCTGAGGGTTTCAGTACTGAAGTGTGTGATATATAATGTCAGCCTAAGCAAATTAATTATTATACAACACTGAAATTTATACAGAGAAGTGAGGTGGCAGGGCAGCTGCACTGTAAAACTCCAGAGAATATTATGTATATCACAGAAACTGTGCAGAGCAAAACCTAAATAGCCATACAAGGCAGCCCCGCAGGTTTTTCCTTGCTCCCTCAAAACTTACAGCTATACATGACATAGGGATTTTCCACTGCTGCCCTTGTGGATGACAACTTGCCAGTATAAAAGGCAGACCCCCAACTTCCAAATGGCATCACTTTACATTTGATGCCGAAGTGAACACAGTTGAGCTTCCATCGCCTGTCGGAAATTAATCCCTCCTTGCCATGAACACTAGCTACTTCTAAATCTCCAGGACACTATCACAGATGGTTTAGACACAAGTGCCTCACATGCTTTAGCGCCAGCTTCTCCACCATGCCACCTTGCTGCTGCCTCCTCAGCTGGTCACCATTGTGAGTTTGGGTTAGACAACAGAAACCTGGGGCCGGCAAGTACCTCTGAACTGCCTACTGCCAATGCATTTCTCCACTGCTGAGATACAAGATAAGGTAAATGCCATGGGACTCATATCCATGCAGGCTTCCTTCTGCCTCTGTTTCCTGGAAAGGACTGAAGACAGTCATGTAATCTCACAACAGGAAACTCAAAAAGAATACGATTTGACTCTCTAATTGGGGTGTAGGGGTCCACATAGCATCCCAGCTGCTCTCTCATTGCATTTACCTCTGTACTATCTACATAACAACAAGCACGAAGCCTTTCCAGTGCTGGGAGGTCCCTACAGGTCATCTCCGAGGACTCTGGAGACTGCACCCTGGAAGATAAGTGACTATGTAGAAGAGTGGCTTCAGAGCTGGTGCTGAATGGCTGATTGGCAGAGCATCTTGGTGCTTCGGCAGCAGCAGGAGCATTTCCCAGTGTTAGGAGGAGTCACTTAACACTAAGTGTCTCCTCCTTCAGCTGCAAGTAACACCCAGGCTTCCAGGGGATGGAGAGTACCCTCACCTCTGTGACTTCAGCCCAGAGGCAGATTTTCAATTAATTATCCAGAGCACAACAGAAACCAGTCCATTGGTTTCACCAAGACTTTACAGAAGGATCTGAGACAAAGGAAGGAAAGAGCATATTTACAAGCAGCATTATTTATGGCTACACATAGCAGGCATAAGCTCAGCTGTATCTTCAGGGTTCCTTGTCAGACTCCCCTTTCCTGGTTCATTGCTCACCAGGACAGTTTAGAGCAATTCCACCCAGACCCTTGATATTTGTTAGTGTTACTTCCCTGAATCCCCAAGCTCACCTTCTAGTGCAAAGCCTACTTCCACAGGCTTCATTCTCTGAGCAGCTGGGGAAGTACATACCCCAACAAGATAATCACATTGTGTTTGACATCACAGCATTTCCCAGTTATGAGAGGATTACAGACAACTTTCACTTTCTTATTTATGCCTTTTTATTTACTAGAATGTATATAGAAGGTAAATATTATTTTCATAACAAAATTTAACATTTTCATTCAAAAAACAATAAACTCATTTCTGAGTAATGTTTGTTGTGGTGGAGGACACTTTTCTGGAAAAAAATGAAATTTTCCTTTGTAAAGATTAATTTCGTGAAGCATACACAAGTATCAATAGCCAAATCAATCAAGCAGAATAAAGGATATCAGAGACTGAAGATCAACTTAATGAGATAAAGCTCGAAGACAAGACTAGAGAAAAAGGAATGAACACAGCCTCCAAGAAATATGGAACTATGTGAAAAGACCAAACCTACGTTTTACTAGTGTACCTGAAAGTGATGGGGCGAATGGAAACAAGTTGGAAAACACACTTCAGGATGTTATCCAGGAAAATATCTCTAACCTAGCAAGACAGGCCAACATTCTGATTCAGGAAATACAAAGAACACCACAAAGATACTCCTCGAGAAGAGCAACCCCAAGACACATAATCATCAGATTCACCAAGGTTGAAATGAAGGAAAAACTCTTAAGGGCAGCCAGAGAGAAAAGTCGGGTTACCCACAAAGAGAATCCCATCAGACTAACAGTGGATGTCTTGGAAGAAACCCTACAAGCCAGAAGAGAGTGGGGGCCAATATTCAACATTCCTAAAGAAAAGAATTTTCAACCAAGAATTTCATATTCAGCCAAACTAAGCTTCACAAGCAAAGGAGAAATAAAATCCTTTACAGACAAGCAAATGCTGAGAGATTTTGTCACCACCAGGCCTGCTTTACAAGAACTCCCGAAGGAAGCACTAAACATGGAAAGGAAAAACTGGTGCCAGCCACTGCAAAAACATTCCAAATTGTAAAGAACATCGACACTACGAAGAAACTGCATCAACTAACGGGCAAAATAACCAGCTAGGATCATAAGGACAGTATCAAATTCACACATAACAATATTAACCTTAAATGTAAACGGACTAAATGACAGGCAAATTGGATAAAGAGTCAAGACCCATCAGTGTGCTGTATTCAGGAGACCCATCTCACATGCAAAGACACACATAGGCTCAAAATAAATGGATAGAGGAAGATTTACCAAGCAAATGGAAAGCAAAAACAAAAATAAAAAAGAAAAGCAGGGGTTGCAAGCCTAGTCTCTGATAAAGCCGACTTTAAACCAACAAAGATCAAAAGAGATAAAGAAAGGCATTACATAATGGTAAAGGAATCAGTGCAACAAGAAGAGCCAACTATCCTAAATACACATGCACCCGATACAGGAGCACCCAGATTCAGACAGAAAATTTTAGACAGAAAATTAACAAGAATGTTAAGGACTTGGACTCAGCTCTGGACCAAAAGGACCTAATAGACATCTGCAGAACTCTCCACCCCAAATCAACAGAATATACCTTCTTCTCAGTACCTCATCTCACTTACTCTAAAATTGACCACATAATTGGAAGTAAAACACTCCTCAGCAAATGCAAAAGGATGGAAATCATAATGAACAGTCTCTCAGACCACACTGCAATCAAATTAGAACTCAGGATTAAGAAACTCACTCAAAACCACACAACTACATGGAAATTGAACAACTTGCTCCTGAATGACTACTGGATAAATAACGAAATTAAGGTAAATAACAAAATTAAGGCAGAAATAAATAAGTTATTTGAAGCAAATGAGAACAAAGACACAATGTACCAGAATCTCTGGGACACAGCTAAAGCGGTGTTTAGAGGGAAATTTATAGCAATAAATGCCCACAAGAGAAAGCAGGAAAGATCTAAAATCGGCACCCTAATATCACAAAAGAACTAGAGAAGCAAGAGCAAACAAATTCAAAAGCTAGCAGAAGACAAGAAATAACTAAGATCAGAGCAGAACTGAAGGAGATAGAGACATGAAAAACCCTTCAAAAAATCAATGAAATCAGGAGCTGTTTTTTTGAAAGATCGATAGACTGCTAGCCAGACTAAATAAACAAGAAAAGAGAGAAAAATCAAATAGATGCAATAAAAAGTGATAAAGGAGTTGTAACCACTGATCCCACAGAAATACAAACTACCATCTGAGAATACTATAAACACCTCTATGCAAATAAAATAGAAAATCTAGAAGAAATTGATAAATTCCTAGACACACACACCCTCCCAAGTCTAAACCAGGAAGAAGTAAAATCCCTGAATAGACAAATAGCAAGTTCTAAAATTGAGGCAGTAATTAATAGCCTACCAACCAAAAAAAGTCCAGGACCACATGGATTCACAGCCCAGTTCTACCACAGGTACAAAGAGGAGCTGGTACCATTCCTTCTGAAACTATTCCAAACAATAGAAAAAGAGGGAATCCTTCCTAACTCATTTTATGAGGCCAGCATCATCCTGATACCAAGACACAACAAAAAAAAGAAAATTTCAGGCCAATATCCCTGATGAACATCAATGCAAAAATCCTCAATAATACACTGGCAAACTGAATCCAGCAGCACATCAAAAAGCTTCTCCACCACGATCGAGTTGGCTTCATCCCTGGGATGCAAGGCTGGTTCAACATATGTAAATCAATAAACATAATCCATCACATAAAGAGAACCAGTGACAAAAACCACACGATTATCTCAATAGATGCAGAAAAGGCCTTTGACAAAATTCAACACCCTTTCATGCTAAAAACTCTCAATAAACTAGGTATTGATGTAACGTATCTCAAAATATTAAGAGCTATTTATGACAAACCCACAGCCAATATCATACGAAATGGGCAATAACTGGAAGCATTCCCTTTGAAAACCGGCACAAGGATGCCCTCTCTCACCACTCCTATTCAACATAATATTGGAAGTTCTGGCCATGGCAATCAGGCAAGAGTAAGAAATGAAGGGTATTCAAATAGGAAGAGAGGAAGTCAAATTGTCTCTTTTTGCAGATGACATGAATTGTATATTTAGAAAACCCCATCGTCTCAGCCCAAAATCTCCTTAAGCTGATAAGCAACTTCAGCAACGTCTCAGGATACAAAATCAATGTGCAAAAATCATAAGCATTGCTATACACCAATAATAGACAAACAGAGAGCCAAATCATGAGTGAACTCCCATTCACAATTGCTACAAAGAGAATGAAATACCTAGGAATACAACTTACAGGGGATGTGAAGGACTTCTTCAAGGAGAACTACAAACCACTGCTCAAGGAAAAAGAGAGGACACAATCAAATAGAAAAAAATTCCATGCTCATGGATAGAAAGAATCAATGTTGTGAAAATGGCCATACGGCCCAAAGTAATTTATGGATACAATGCTATACCCATCAAGCTACCATTGACTTTCTTCACAGAATTAGAAAAAACTACTTTAAATTTCGTGTGGAACCAAAAAAGAGCCCACGTAGCCAAGACAATCCTAAGCAAAAAGAACAAAGCTGGAGGCATCATGCTACCTGACTTCAAACTATACTACAGGGCTACAGTAACCAAAACAGCACGGCACTGGTACCAAAAGAGATATATAGACCAATGGAACAGAACTAAGGCCACAAAAATAACACCACATGTCTACAACCATCTGATCTTTGACAAACCTGACAAAAACAGCAATAGGGAAAGGATTCCCTATTTAATAAATGGTGTTGGGAAAACTGGCTAGCCATATGCAGAAAGCTGAAACTGGACCCCTTCCTTACACCTTATACAAAAATTAACTCAAGATGGACTAAAGACTTAAACATAGGACCTAAAACCATAAAAACCCTGGAAGAAAACTTAGGCAATACCATTCAGGACATAGGCATGGGCAAAGACTTCATGACTAAAACAGCAAAAGCAATGGCCACAAAAGCTAAAATTGACAAATGGGATCTAATTAAAATGAAGAGCTTCTACACAGCAAAAGAAACTATCATCAGAGTGAATAGGCAACCTATAAAATGGGAAAAAATTTTTGCAATCTATGCATCTGACGAAGAGCTAATATCCAGAATCTATAAAGAACTTAAACAAATTTACAAAAAAAAAAAAAAAACATCCAAAAGTGGGCTAAGGATGTGAACAGACACTTCTCACAAGAAGACATTTATGCAGCCAACAAACATATGAAAAAAAGCTCGTCATCACTGGCCATTAGAGAAATGCAAATCAAAACCACAGTGAGATACCATCTCACACCAGTTAGAATGGCAATCATTAAAGTCAGGAAACAACAGATGCTGGAGAGGATGTGAAGAAATAGGAATGCTTTTACATTGTTGGTGGGACTATAAATTAGTTCAACCATTGTGGAAGACAGGGTGGCGATTCCTCGAGGATCTAGAACCAGAAATCTGACCCAGGAATCCCATTACTGGATATATATGCAAAGGATTATAAATCATTCTACTATAAAGGCACATGCACATGTATGTTTATTGTGGCACTGTTCACAATAGCAAAGACTTGGAACCAACCCAAATGCCCATCAGTGATAGACTGGATAAAGAAAATGTGGCACATATACACCATGGAATACTATATTTTATGCAGCCATAAAAAAGGATGAGCTCATGTCCTTTGCAGGGACATGGATGAAGCTGGAAATCATCATTCTCAGCAAACTAACACAAGAACAGAAAACCAAATGCCACATGTTCTCACTCATAAGTGGGAGTTGAACAATGAGAACACATGGACACAGGGAGGGAAACATCACACACTGGGGCCTGTCAGGGGTGGGGGTGCTGAGGAGGGATAGGATTAGTAGAAATACCTAATGTAGATAACCGGTTGATGGGTGCAGCAAACCACCATGACACAAGTATACCTATGTAACAAACCTGCACGTTCTGCACATGTACCCTAAAACTTAAAGTATAATAAAAAAAGATTATTTCAAATAAACAAAAACTGAACCTCAGCAAGTAATTAAGATGTCATAAATCTACATAAAACAATGTAGTGAAGGAGAGTGTTGTCTTTAATAAACTAGATACTCATATGCTTGACTAAGGTGCTCTGGATTTTGAAAAAAAAACTAAGATAAATTCTCACTGTTTTAGTTGTCTAACACTACTATAACAAATTATCTTATTTTAATAATAAATTTTAATGATTTATTTTTAAAATTATTTAAGCCACAAATTTAGTGGCTTAAAACAACACAAACACTGGAGAACAAAAGTCTAAAATTAAGGGAACATCAGGGCTGGACTCCTTCTGGAAGTTCATGGGGAGAATTTTTTTCTTTGCCTTTTTCACCTTCTAGAGGCTTCCTGCATTCCCTCCTTGGCCCCTTCATTTCATCACTTTAGCTTCTTGCTTCCCTTGTCACATTTCCTACTATTATCTCTGATCTTCCTTCCTCCTTTGTGATTGCTTTGGGCCAACTCTGAAAATTCAGAACAACTTCCCCATCTTAAGATCCTTCACTTAATCACACTTGCAAAGTCCCTTTTACCATGTAAGATAGTATCTTTGGTGATTCTAGGGATCTTTTTTGGGGAGGGACATACTCAGCCTATCACATCCATTTATATTTATGCTCTTACTAAGTAGCTACACAGATGTTGCCAATATACATACAAATTCCAAATTGGAAAACTCTGCAGTAATTGTTTATTTTAAAGGCTTACACAATTTTTTTATTTTATATCTTGAATTATTTTTAAAAATAACCTCAGATTAGAAACTGGTTAACCTCTAAGTCTTTTCATGTATAGACATAGAAGAATAGTTGTAAATATGATTATGATCACTTTTTGAAAATGTAATCATTCCTAATCATGCCTTTATAGAAACACTTAGTCCAGAGATTCTATAGTCTCTCCAGTGAACCTTTGCAACTGTTCTTTTCCTAGAAGGAAAGGGAATGGGTAGTGCGGGAAAGGAACGGAGAGGAATAGGAGGGGAGGGGAGGTGAAGAAGAGAAGAGAGGAGGGAAATGAGAAAAGAAAGAGAAGAAAAGACAAACTGCAGTTTAGGAGAAGCAAAACACTAAAGTCTAAGTGAGAGTTCTCCTTGTGTCACTCATTAGTCATATGACTAAACAAGTCACCTTATCTATCCTCCTATATAAAACTGGGCCGATTACTTTCTGCCTTGCCTTTCTTACCAGCTGGGGCAAGGATCAAATGAGATACATACAAACTCAGGCTATTATCATCATCCTGCAGGGTGAGGCATTTAAACTGCTCATGTCCTACTTGTCATTAAGATCACAAGGAGAAACACTTCCAGTCTGAGCTATTTACCTCGAATACAGAGCAGGGTACAGTGAATCCAAAATTTCTTGTCTTCACATAAAGCCTTCCAAGGGGAAAAAGAAGGATCATTTTAAAAGTAAAAAGTGTTCTTTAAGAAACAAAGATGTCTGTGCCATGTACAGACTTAATGATGACTTATCTAGTGAGTATAGCTCAGTGAATTTGTGAGCAAAATTGGCCTACTCCAGCTTTATTTCTTCCACTTTCAAAAAGTTCTGTCAAGTTTTCAAAGAACAATGGAAAACCACCAAAAAGAATATATATTTCAGGCTGGGATGGCCTGAACTGTATAATTTGAGCTCCATCCTGTTTCCTGGGATAAAACCACTGCATTGTAAAATATGCTTATTCATATGATAGAGTCAATTGGCTTAAACAATTTTAAGCTTCTCTTAGTTGCCTGAGTTTCCAAAAATTATGTTTTTGCACATAAAACATCAAGAACTTCTTTAGCAAACCGCAACATTATAATTGGCAATACCACACCTCAAATATTTTGCGTGGACATATTCCAAATTCCAGGCCTTTAAGAGCTAGATGATTCAGTATTTCCAGATCTTCTCAAGGCAAGGCTGGCAATCAACTGTAAGAATCAACAGTAGCTTTGTCTAGCTTAAAGAAAACCTGCTTCAACTTCTATTTAATATTACTGAGAGCCATCACATTTCTCTTTGACAAGACTGTTTGCACAAAGGTTTCTCCAGAGAGAAAGCCATGAGATTAATTTACCTCCACCATGGTGATTGACTCCAAAGCAGCTGATGGGCAACTGAAGTGTCTCCAATCTCCCTCACAAATTACTCTAAATGGTTTTGAGGATAAACTTGCCAAGCCTGTTTTGCCTAGCAGCTCTGACAGAAAAATGGGCAATTGACTTAAATAAAAAACAAGAGGATCCATTTGGGCTCTTCATAATAAAACTGCCAAGGGGCCTTTGTTAGTTGATGTTTGAGAAGCCACAGATATATCACGTACATCTAGAAATTAAGGAGCCTGTTCTACACACACTTCTTAGGGAATTCGTGATCCAACAACATAAAGCTGAGCTTGTCTAACAGGTAAATGCAGAGTAAGGCTAGCAGGAGATTTCATAAAATGTGAAGAAAAACATTCATCACATAATGTTGTGAATTCTGTTTCTGTCCATTGTTCTTAATGCTGATGAATCCCAAAGGAGAGTAATGTATTTCTCTGCTCCACTTTTTCGGAGAGGTGAATTGTGTCTCCACAGCCTTAAATTTCAAGAGAACCTGACATTAGAAAATAATCAAACTCTCAACAAAATACACATCACTTCAAGGTGGCATTATTTATAAGAGAAAAACATTTGGAAATAGCCTCTACTTTTAGTAATTAGAATTGGTTAAATAAATCTCATATAAAACTATGAAAACTATTTTATAGTCATTAAAAATTTAGTTCTTGAATCACGTGGAAAAAATGTTTATCTTGAAATATCAGTTTTAAAAAGAACCAAACTGATTAAAATTTTGTCAAAGAAAAATTGTAAATATATTACATCTATGAAGAGGTTAAAGTCTGAAGAAGGAAAATATATAAAACTAATAAAAAAGGGTTTTTCTGGAGAACAAATTATAGGTGTCTTGTTTATTCTTTAATTATTTCTGAATTTTTCCAAGTTATCTGTAATGAACTTGTGCTACTTTTATAATCAAGAATTATATTTTAAAATCACAGAATTCAATCAGGACGAATTTCTTCCAAAAAAAATCACTAATTGATGATCAAAGAAAGCCAAATAATATGCCCTTGTATAATTACATACATTCATCTATGCAAAAAAATGAGTGAATTACATAAATAAAACCATCTGATACTATATTATACCATAGGAATAGCTACGTGTTCCTTTAGTCTTTGCAAGAGCATCTGTCACAGTGAAAATACTCCACGTGATACAGTTAATGAGAAGGTTGACGACGTATTTTTGAAAAAAGTTTTTTCTAGGACAAAATGGCTCTGTGATTTTTAATCCTTCCCAGGAAAGACACCTGCACTTAATTTCACCCTTTCTTCTAAAACCATTTATTCCATTAGTTTCACCATCTCACTTTTCACAGCAAATATTACAACTCTTCAGAAGCTCTGCAGAACTTAATAAAACAGCAAACATAGTTATATATCCAGCAGTCATTTTAGACAATTAAACGCAGTTTTCAGTTTCTCTACACGAATTTGATAAGTTGGAGCCCAGACATTGCTTTGAACTGTGATGAAAGGAGGAATTTCTGTTTCAAGCGACACCGTGCCCAATTTAAATTTTGGGAACGATCACCATAAAAAGTTGTCTTGACCAATTTATTCCACTAGATGGCAGTCTTGGGATGCTACATGTAACGAAATTGTGTAATTTCTGAACATTAACCAAAAGACTAGGAAAAAGCAAGGCCATGGGAAGGTAAAATGAGGTTTAAAACGCTACAATAAGGAAATATAAACAAGCAACGGGGAAAGATTTAGGAATCACAGCTGAGACTGATAAGGGGAAACAAAAAATGACTAGACTCTCCTATCTTTATTAAGCATGCATTTTCAGATGTATAGCTCACTCCCTTTCTTGCTTTGCTTTCATTAATCAAGCCCTCATGGAGCCAGTCCCCACCAGTGAGTGGACCAGATTCAGTGTGGCCTTGTGATGATCAACTCTGGCTTATGGCTCACATGCATGGCAAGCAAAAGTGGGGATCTAAAAATGCACAGAACTGCTTTGCTGCCCTCTGAAATGGAAGGGGAAGGGAAGATAAACAGACACCAGTTAGCAATGCAAGATGGAAGATGGATCATGTTCCTATACCTCCCAAGATACCACTTTATGCTAACTGAATGATTCATCTTTTTATGCTAAAGAAAACTACTTTGAATTAAAATTAGGCCATTTCAGAATCCCAGCAGTTTGAGATCACATCACTGATTCTTTCTGACTGAAGTAAAAGCTGGAAGTGTAGCCTTACAAAGACTTGAAACTGAAAAACACTTTTTGCCCAGAATAGAGAGGACATGTAACAGTACCTCATGCCTCTCATCAGGCTGTAGCATTGCAGGTAACTGCTTAATGTGGCTTTCTATGCTTTTCCTCTTTGGACCCTTACTTTTTCCAGTACTGGTTATGAAATGGAATTCAGGCTTCAGTTATTTCAGGAATGCCACAGATGAACTCAGCAGCACTAAACCACCTGAGAACCCAAGGACAAAGAACTATCGCTGAGTCTCTCATAATTGGTCCTTATCCTTCCACTAAAGTCATCACTATTTGAGACTGAATTGCTAGTACAAAGACTGAGTAGAAATCACCTAATGGCATTCATTTACTGGGTCAAGAAGGCTGTTTATTTTATTCTTAGAAAACACTGTTAATTCTTTAGTCTCCCCTTTCAAGAATTCATCTAGCACAATATTTGTCTGTAATTCTTATTAGTAAACCAGGGCAACTCCACAGATGTAGGAGAATGGTGTCAGGTGACTGCCTCATTATGAATGTCAGACTGAAGTTTAGGATATGAATTTCTAATTTTAAAAAATAGTCAATCAGGATGATAAAAATTTAGATAATCCTCAAATGCCAAAATGCTAAAAAAAAAAAAAAAAAGAAAGAAAAGAAAAAAGAAGCCATTGAATAGCACATCATTAGGAATAATGTGGAATAGAATACAAGCATCATCACGTACGCTATTACAAAAACTTAGTGACTATATATTTTTACCTAATCAAATATTGTTATTCGTTTCAACAGAAAGTAAATACTTTCTTTATCATCCAAATTGTCCATCTATATTGCACTAAATGTGTACCTGAAAATTTCCTGTTCAAGAATCTGTATGTATTATGTTTTGAAATTCAGTGTACAATAAATCCACTGTAAATCTATAAAATAAATACGTACTTGAACAGAGATGCTCATACAAGCATACATTGGGATAATATGAATGGAATGAATGAAAATATTGAATTAAGAAGTTTGATATGGAAAATATAAGACAATGGATATATTTTTCCTGGGGACTTGGTAGGTCTTCTTAAAAGGCATAAAGGAAAATATTAATAATTTTGGCAATATTAAAATTTATAACTTTGTTGCAAAAGGCATAACAAAATTAAAATATAAGAGATTGAGTGAAGTTATTTCCATTGTGCCTCCAAGACAAAGGATTAGAACCCAGAATATATATAAAGAATACAAATTACCCAACAAAAACAAATTGGCAAATATACCCAGCAAATCTCAGGTTAGGACAAAGTATATAAATATGATCCCAACTCTTCTGTGAGCCAAGGGAAAGGCTAAAGTAAAAAAAGGACAGTTGAAAGCAGAGGTGGAAATGGAGGGAAGACAGAAGATAATTTCATTGCCTTTGCATCTCCTCAGCTGTTGGCTACAATTTTTTTAAACTTTTACTTGCCTACCATTTATTTCAACTTTTGTACATGAATTAACTATGTTTTTTTAAAAAAAAAAAGTCCAGATTTCCCTAGTTTATTGTATCAAGAAAGCCTTAAACTCTATTCACAATAACTCAAAGACACCAATGCCAGGTAGAAGAGGAGGTGGTTGAAGAAAAAGAACAGACACTCTATTGCATACAAAGATGTAACGAACATTTTTAAAAGAACAATGGTCAAGTCTAGCCTTTAGGTGTAGATTTGATTCTGCATCAAGATGATGAATGAAATCCTGTGTATGGATGGCACTCAAATTTCAGATATGGTTCTGAGATTCTGACAAAGTGGACCACTTTAAACCAGGTCTTGTCTAGGAAAATCATAAGCAACTCAGCCCAGGCTTTACAAGTTGGCAATACAGATTTCCACAAGAGAGCAGCACGTCCTCAGTTTTGAAAAGTACGTTGGTGTGTTTTGCTTCCGTTCTCCACTCCAGATTTTTTTTTCCTTTCATACCAATGGCTGCTAAACACAAACATGTTTGGCTTCATCTGGGAACACTGATGTGAACAGAATACATTCCTCCTCTATGCAGGCACAGGTGAGATTCTACTGCACACATGCTTATCATTTGCAAGAACACAGACCTGACCCAGCATAAAGAATGTGTTAAATGACAATGGGGACAGTGGAGAGCTGTTCGAGATTATGTAATCTCATTCTACACAAGCTGATAGAATTTTTCTCTTTATTAAGCATTGTTTACCCTCAGAAAATTTATCTTCCTCTCTTGGGTGAGTATATATTCACCAAAAACTTACAGCAACATGTACTGCTTATGTAAACATACGATGGATAGAGGTACTGTTTTCAACTTAAAAATATATATATTTATACAATTTAGAACCTTGTTTCCAAGGCAATTAAATTACAATGTTTTCATCTTGACTGAGTACCAAAAAGGTGCCAGGTTCTATAGTTCATATGGAAATAAAGTTAGGAGGGTATTAATAATATAAGAATTCAGTTTTTATTGTCTTTAATTTTAACACACAAAAAGAAAAATTGAATTTTGCAGTAAATATATTTTCCAAATTGGTAAAAGTTATTTTAATCTCAAATCTTACTGTCTGCATAGACTACTTAAGCATTTTGTAATTTAAGTAATTTTGATTTAATGAAACATCAAAGAACCTAAAAGTAAAATCCTCTGTTTTTTACCCTTATTATCTATAAAACAGATTTGTTTTGTTGGGTTTTGTTTTTGTTTTAAATTCCCTGAAGCTTGGGTTGTTTTCCAGGGTGAATTATTTACTAATACCTATTACCCTCAAAAAAGGAGATTTCCCATCAAACTACTGGCATCCACTAAGTAATAATAACCTAAGAAATCAGCTGTGCAAAAAAAGCTACCTAAAGGGGCCAGGAATGAATTACTTGTTTCATAGATAATTCTGTCTCTGCACAAAAGAAACAGGGGAGGGCTGCATTGTTCTTTTGATAACAAATAATAGAGACCTTCTCTTATTTTCTCCTTTGCCTGCTCCAGGAATGAAGATGGAAATTTAACGCAAAGCATCCTGGTCCTTGCTCATTATGATTCTGTAAAGTCCTGCCATTTAGGAAATGTGTCTCAATTTCTGTGGAGATGAAGCAGGAAGGTCAGACTGAGCTTTAATCAAGGTATCTCCCTGCTGGGGTAGGAAGGCTTCCCTCCCCTCATATATGTGGCTTTAATTTGACCGCTTTTTTTTTTTTTTTTTTAAGTGCCTGAAGCCATGTCAGGGTCTGGCCATGGCTGCTATTCACTTAATCCCTGAAGCCCAGTGAGTATACTGATATTGTCATTGACAATTTACTCTTGCGGTATTTTTCTGCTAAACTGAGAGGGATTTTGTCACTGGTGCACTATCAAAAATACATGAAGGACTTGCCCCTTATTAAGAGATGCCATGTCAGTTGAGGTCACATTTATAATGAAACCCCAGCAATGAGGAGTCTCCATCCCTCACAGGAAACAAGGAAAAAAGCAGAACTCTTAAATTGCTCTATGCTGCAAGGAGGATTAGCCTCCTCCTGGGGAAAATGTAGTGGGCTGTCATGCCATTTTGTTCAAAGGATTTCCCCTTCTTCTCGCTGCCTTGAACTCCTTGTCATCGTCTCTCCCCTCACCCTGCCCCACCAGCATCCCCAATGCACGGGCACGGCCCCCAACCCCTTTGGCAATCTTCTTCATCCCTTTTATTTCATAAGAATTTCTTTTCTTTTTCCAGTGTCCTAGATGCTATAATTCATTCTGCATTAGGTGGGGATTACTGATTGACTCCCGAGAAGTCTGGAAAGTTAGACATTGATAAATCAGGTAGTTCTTGGGTTAAGAAGGGTGTCATACATGCTGCCAGACTTGATACTAGGTATGCCAGCTAAATTTTCCTCTTCAATTTGAAAGTCTCTCAAATCCCACTGAAGTGGTAGACTATATGCATTAAAAACAAAACTTGATTGCTGTTCATCAAGTTTGAAAGAATATAGGTTTCCACCCTTGGGCATTAGACATATGAAATGGTTATGAGTGGGGCAGCCAACCCTAGACAAAACCATAGGAATGGGAATCCTGTCACTGCCCCCTCCGCCACAATTACCCTTGTCAGCCCCCTCTCCCGAGGCACCTTTTCTTCCCCATTCTTCCTCTGGCTGGCTATCTGTTGCCAGTTAAGGGATTATTAACGTTATTTTAAATTGGAAACATTTTCAGACAGGTTTGCAACTGAAAAGTGAGAATCAAGAAAGTTCTTCCATATGGCCTTTGGAAGTCTGCTTACCTGAGTTCTAAATAAAATCTCCAAAACAACTTCAAGGATGTTGTTTGTAATTAGGGACTTTCAAGGAGGTTAGGAGCTTCTCCATGTTGTCCTCTTTCTTTACTTTAACAGACTGTTCCTAATGAAATACCTGTCCTTTTGCTAAAATACCTTGAACTAAGATATTAATATTAAGAGATTAAGTAACAGTGCTTCAAGAAATAGAAAAAACCATTCTGTTAATGCCACAAATATTCCCCTCCCAACTTTTTGGTTGTCAAAATCACCTGCTCTTACTAGATAACACCTAGACTTTTCTAAACCATTTACAAGACACATTAACAAAGTGTCTTGGAAGCTGTGTCTCACCTCCCAGTTGTCAGCCCGGAGACTGCCCAATATCCAATGTCAAGGGATGCAAAGTTTGATTCTTATCTACAAGTCTTGGCCTTCCTAACCTGATAACAGCCATGTTCTCTCTCAATATTTATATTCTTACATTTGCTAAGGCTCTTAATTGAGAGCAACAAAATCAGGCTTAACAGAAGAAAATAAAATTTTTGTTAAGATGTGAAAGTGTCTTGCAGAAACTAAGGAAGACTTGACCAGCAGACCAAGGTAAGGGCAGAAACTCAGACGGTAGATGGGCCTCAAGAATGGCATTAGGATCATGGTAGGTCTCGCACCCCCGTCTCTGCTGTATATGTTCTTCAATCATATTCATTCTCTCTCTCTCCCTCTCTCCTCCCCACCCCTCTCCCCCCGCCCCTGCTTCTCTCTCAACTGGCATTGTTTTCTCTATTCCTTATGGCAGAAAAATACGATAACTAAGCGGTCTAAATTTTATACAGTATAGGTCTGTCATCTTGACAAAGACAGAATCATCCTCAGAACAAGTTTTAAAATGCAGACAAATGCTTTGGCCTATACAAATATCTTAATTTGGGGATATAAATTGTGTTCAGAAGATGTACTCAGATGTTAGTGCACCCTGGAACATGGTGGCCAAAAAAGGTCAAGAAACGGAATGAGTACTTGTGATCAGCTGAATAATAATCACCAAAAATGTTGTTACCTTATTTGGCAAAAGTAACTTTGCAGGTGTGATTAGGTTAAGGCTCTTGAGGTGGGAAGATTATCCTGGATTATCCACTGTGCCCTAAAGGTAATCACAAGTGTCCTTATAAGAGACAGGCAGAGTGAGATTCAGTTTTAGCAGAGATGAAAGCAGAAATTGGAAGGACGTTCTTTGAAGGTGGAGGAAGAAACAACAAGCCAAGCAATACTGGAGTCTAAAACATGCAAGGAAACATATATTCCTGGAGTGTGCACAGACCTACTGATACCTTGATTTCAGCTTAGCGAAAGCCATTTCTTTTTTGTTTGTTTTTTGTGAGGCTTTGTTGTTGTTGATTTTTTCATGTGAAAGCCATTTCTGACTCCTGTTCTACATTACTGTAAAAGAATAAATGTGTGTTTTAGGCTATCAAGTTTGTGGTATTTTATTAGAGCAGACATAGGAACCTAATTTAGTAATTCTTTAAAATACAAGAATGGGGCCGGGAGTGGTGGCTCACACCTGTAATCCCAGCACTTTGGGAGGCCAAGGTGGGCGGATCGCCTGAGGTCAGGAGTTCAAGACCAGCCTGGCCAACATGGTGAAACCCCATCTCTACTAAAAATATAAAAATTAGCTGGGTGTGGTGGTGGGTTCCTGTAATCCCAGCTACTTGGGAGGCTGAGACAGGAGAATTGTTTGAACCCAGGAGGCAGAGATTGCTGTGAGCCGAGATTGTTCCACTGCACTCCAGCCTGGGCGACAGAGTGAGATTCCATTTCAAAAATAATAATAATAAAATAAATAAAATAAAATAAAATACAAGAAGGGGTAGCAATGCCAGGAAGGGAATTCTTAGTAAGACTCTGAGACCTCAATACAAAAGACTATAAATGGTCACTTGGAAGGAAGTTCAAAGAAAAACCAAGTATCGGGGGGAAGACCTAAATAGAGGAAAGAAAGATAAATATAAAGGCTAGAAAGGACACTAAACTGGAAATTAAGGTTCTGTTCCCAGCTCCCTGACTCAGATTATAGTGTAGAATAGGCCCTCTACCTTCTTAGCCTTTGTCTATGCACCTTGACATGAGGGTTTAAGTAACATAATCCCAACGGTCCCTGCCGCTTTAAGATTTCACGATGCTAAACCTCTGTCTAGATTTTGGCCTAGATTTTGCAGTGTTAGCACCTGGGGGCTCTTGAAGTTTACATTTCTGGTTTTGACATGGTAGATATATTGACACAAAATCCAATACAACTAGAATGGAAAACCCCCAGATGGGCATGTACAAAATCTCTGAGATTATTTAATAAGAAGGAGAACAAGGGAAACTAAAGGCAAGACCCTTGAGTCAGCTCTGGAAAAAATTTTCGCAGTGGACTAACAACTGCTTGTAAAAGCATATGTGAATATTCCTCAAGGAAATCTGGAGACAGCTCTGCAGAGCTGAAAGTAAAACACAAATCTATCAGCACCACTGGAGGGAAAAACACATTCCCTGGTGATGACAGAATTTGTTGGTATAGAACAAATAGCACTTTAAAATAATAAGGTAATGTTTATGTTTGGGGAAATAATTTAAAGATAAACAAATGTGCCTACAATTGGTACATCAGAATTTATTTTGCCCTAAATTCCTCGTCTGTGTTCCTTTTGTTGGCTAAAATCATAGCAATTCTAACAAAAGTTACTAGATATTTGAATCCTTGTAAGTATGGCCATAAATTGTGTTTTAAAAATCTTCAAATCGTTTGCATAGTTCTGTCATCATATGGAAATGCAAAGATGTTTGTTCTGTCTTGAAACCGTAATAAAAAGAAGACAAGCTATGTGTCCGTTCAGTATTGCATTCAGCTGAGTGTAATAGAACTCAAGCTGTAATTGTTTAATGAAAGTGGGTAAACTCTTCTTTGATTAAAATCAGTCCAAATGTAGGCAATCCAGGGTTAGTCCAAGGATTTCACAATGACATAAGTCTCAACTCCTATTCTTCTGCTGTCATCCTCGCAAATGGATTTGCTTTACATTACTGATCCATAGCACAAGATAGCTGCTCCAGCTTCAACTCCCTCTGCATTCCAAGCAGGAAAAAGAGATGAATGCAAAAGGCAAAAGGTTTATTAATCCCTTTCAAGAGCTTTCCTCAGAGCAACATCTACACACATTACATTGCTAGAACTATGTCCCTCTTTACACACCCCCAGTTGCAAAAGAGGCTGGCCAAAGTAATCTAAAAAAAAAAAAAGGTTGAGTACTTGCTTTCTTAAAAACATCAGAATTTGTTTTAGAAACAAAGCACAGGATAATGAATATTAGGCAGACAACTAAAATGTCTGTCAAATTCTTGAAAAATCGTCAACCATTTTATTTGCCTTAATGAAGTGATCATTAGGGCTTCTCTTATAATCTTTTTTTAAAGAAGACTTTTAAAGGAAACTTTAGATTTTAAGATTATTTAACTTTTATTTTAAGTTCAGGGGGACATGTGCAGGATGCGCAGGTTACACACATGAATGTGTGTCATGGGGGGTTGCTATACAGATTATTTCATCACCAAGGTATTAAATCTGGTATCCATTATTTATTTTTCCTGATCCTTTCCCTCCTCCCACTTTCCACTCTCTGGTAGGCCCCAGTGTGTGTTGTTCCACTCTATGTGTCTATGTGTTCTCATCGTTTAGTTCCCACCTGTAAGTGAGAACATGTGATATTTGGTTTTCTGTTTTTGCGTTAGTTTGCTAAGGATAATGGCCTCCAGTTCCATTCATGTCCCTGCAAAGGACATGATCTCATTCTTTTTTATGGCTGCATAGTAGTCCATGGTGTATATGTACCACATTTTCTTTATCCAGTCTATCATTGATGGGCATTTGGATTGATTCCATGTCTTTGCTATTGTGAATAGTGCTGCAATGAACATATGCGTGCATATATCTTTATAACAGAATGATTTGTAATCCTTTAGGTATATATATACCTAGTAATAGGATTGTTTGGTTGAATGTTATTTCTGTCTTGAGGAATCATCACACTGTTTTCCACAATGGTTGAAATAATTTACACTTCTACCAACAGTGTGTAACTGTTCCTTTTTCTCCATAACCTCACCAGCATGTTATTTTTTGACTTTTTTATAATGGCCATTCTCACTGGCGTGAGATGGTATTTCATTGTCGTTTGGATTTGCATTTCTCTAATGATCAATGATGTTGAGCTTTTTTTCATATGCTTGTTGGCCTCATGCATGTCTCCCTTTCACAACTGCCAAAAAAAAAAAAAAATACCTAGGAATATAGATAACATGGTAAATGAAAAGATCTCTACAAGAGGAACTACAAAACACTGCTCAAAAAAAAATCAGAATTGACACAAATAAATGGAAAAACTTTCCTTGCTCATGGATAGGAAGAATCAATATCTTTAAAATGGCCATACTGCCCAAAGCAATTTATACATTCGATGCTATTCCCATTAACCTGCCATTGACATTCTTCACAGAATTAGAAGAAAAAAAAAACCTATTTTAAAATTCATGTAGAACCAAAAAAGAGCCCAAATTGTGAAAGCAATCCTAAGCAAAAAGAACAAAGCTGGAGACGTCGTGCTACCTGACTTCAAGCTATACTACAGGGCTACAGTAACCAAAACAGCATGGACCTAGTACAAGAACAGGCACATAGACCGATGGAACAGAATACAGAACCCAGAAATATGACTATACAACTACAAGTATCGGATCTTCAACAAACCTGACAAAAACAAGCAATGGGGAAAGGATACCCTATTTAATAAATAGTGCTGAGATCACTAACTAGCCATAAGCAGAATATTGAAACTGGACCCCTTCCTTATACCATATACAAAAATTAACTGAAAATGGATTAAATACTTAAATGTAAAACCTAAAACTATAAAAAACCTGGAAGACAACATATGCAATAGCACTCAGGTCATAGGTACGGGCAAATATTTCATAAGGAAGATGCCAAAAGCAATTGCAATAAAAGGAAAAATTGACCAATGCAATCTAATTAAAGAGCTTGTACACGCAAAAGAAACTATCGACGGAGTATAGAGACAACCTACAGAATGGGAGAAAATTTTTGCAAACTATGTATCTGACAGAAGTCTAATATTCAATATCTATAAGGAACTTAAGCAAATTTATAAGAAAAAACAAACAACCACATTAAAAAGCAGACCAAGAACATAAATTCAGATTCTTTTGGTTGCAGCAACTCAACCAACTGACAGACTCCAACAGAAAAGGGGGAGATTCTTGGACATATACCAAAGAATTTTATAAAATGAAGAAAAGTTTGAATAACTACTCTCAGAAAGAAAAGAAAGTAGGGCTGCTCCAGAGACATTGTGGATTTTTTCTCTACCAATCTGTCAATAACAGGTACAGACTACACAGTACATTTTATAAAATAACTCTCTAAAATTGCAAGGTGATAACTGCCAGCTCCTGTCACAGCTGGATTTTTATTAGGTCACTGAATCATCCTATCAGGCCAGCATTTTCTGAATGATGGGGTATATGATTGTTTGCATTACTCCCTTGGGTATGATCCCATTGCCTTGCCACTTTTGCTGTGAAGTGAATTTGGAGGTAATAAGTTTATTCCGACAGTGTATACAACCTTCAGTAAACTCACACATGGTGATACAGAGGAATAAATAGAAGATAAAGAAAATCCAAATCCAGACTATGCATAACTATTCTAATATGGGAAAAAAATTCCGATTTTTTCACTGATGAGAATTACCCAATTTAGTTAATTGAATTACCTGGTACCTAAAAAGCACCCTTGAGGTTTGACGTTAGATTGGTGTTCAGAATTGGGTTCTTTTGCTTGAAAAATCATGCACTTAGCAATGATAGTAGGCAAGTCAGGCCCAGTGAGGAGACATTCATGCAGTTGAGCCTACAACAAGCCTAACATCTATCTTTGTACCATGTCTGCCTTGTTCATGAGCCCACTGATTAAATACCTTACTGTCTAATAAAGGGAAATGACTGACAACTATGGGTCATTTTGTCTACCTGATTTACTAAGGGCCTCTTCTATAGTGAAAGTCTTCTGAAAAGCGTACATAAGATACAACCCTTTTCATCCTCTAAATGCGTTCTGAGAGATCCATCCACACCAACACATCTCTTAACCTTCTTGTCACCAATATTCCAATTTTGATCTTCCCCAACTAGAACTAGACAATAACTGTTGCCTAGAAATTAGTATAGATCATGATTTCAGGCCACATTTCCTTTTAGCAAAATAAACAGTAAATTGTTATGCTTTGTGTTCTGGTCACAAAGAGACTTAACCTTCTCTACTGTCTTTCAGGGCCACTCATAACTGGAACCGCAACACCACAGACCATTTCCAGTTCATGTCAGCATTTTACAGAGAACCAGGCATGAGTAATTTATCTTTAGTTAAGTGGCCATGGGAAACTACCCATGAGGCCATCCTAGGTATTAATTGAGGAATTTATTGCAATGTAAACCATGGAAGTGAATGTGACCTGATTATGCAAATAATTTGTATATTCATGATCTAGTTTGATGAGAGAATATTACTAGTTATATGCAGCTTTAAAAATAACATATAGCATAAGTTGCTTTTGAGTAGCTCAAAGCCTGTAGCCGTCCAAGACCAGATGTTCTGTCTTTAACAGAGTCAGTTAGAAAGCTGAGACTCATTCTGAGGTGAAGGAGAGTTACATGGAAAAAGAGGATGGCTCTGCTCTCAAACTCAGACTTACACTCAATTGTCCTATGAGAGCTTGTCACAAACTACACAGTACTTCCTATTCTCCGTACAGCATCTTTCGAACTGCTGGTCATAATGGCTGAGTAAAGAGTAATGTAAATTTTCTTACAGAAGAGCTAAAGATGCTTCTCTTGCTCTGGTAGATTTTCGGATACCCAGAGGTGATAGGTTCATAATTCTTTCCCTCCTCTCTCTCGGCATGGTTCACTGTGGATAGAGCCTATTTCCCTGTCCCATAGACTTTGGGCTTCACCACCATATGGCTTGGTTTTATCAATGAAGTGTTGGAGGATATATATCAGTATTCCTATTCCTGAAAGAGACTTTGAGAGGTGATGTGTGTTTCTAGCTGCCCTCTTGCATCCCTGCCTTCCATGGAGAGAAACTCATATCTCAAGTAGGTGGCGCTCCTTCAACTTGGACTCTAGAAAGAGAAGACATCTGAAGCAGACTTGAACCCTACCTGCAGCCTGAATTAGAGCTCCAGTGGCAATGTACAATGCAAGTGAAGGAGAAATAAATGCTTGTTTTTGTAAGCTACTGAGATTCTTGAGGTTGTTACAGCAAAACCTAATGGAAGTAGACACATATGTCAAAGTAAACAGGTCAGAGACATTGCGTAACATGCTTCTTCACAGTGTGTTATAAACTGTCTTTGCAATCTGAATAGGACCACTTTGCCATGTGTTATGCCTCCTTTTTCATAAGGGACACCAGATATAGAAACTTATCTTTTAATTTGGAAGTAATATCTCAACATAATCTAAACCATTAAAATCTTGGAAACTTCACAGTATCAAACCTCAATTATTTTAGAAGTTATGTGCTACCCCTCGAAACAAAATGTCTAGGGTAACTCCCATTTCCTGTTTTTCCAG
This sequence comes from Homo sapiens, assembly GCF_000001405.40. NCBI lineage: Eukaryota > Metazoa > Chordata > Mammalia > Primates > Hominidae > Homo > Homo sapiens. Next base: position 11,331,431 of record NC_000007.14, on the reverse strand, counting down.
GTCCATCATCTTGACATCGTCAATAGAACAATAAAACCCATATAATACAGACTCGGGTTTGCTCAAACTATGCACCAGACTCCAGATGCTTTAAGTGTTGTTTGTTAATGACTCATAGCTATAGCCTTTTGCTCAGGGCTACATGAGGAAGAGACTTTTTGAGCAGAGTTCCTAATGGTCAATTTAGGGACCAACAAGCTGATAGTTTTCCATCCTATAATATAGAGGGATGCCCCTCACCGGCACACACACAAACACGCACCCCAAAAACCAATTTCAAATACCTAGCTTCCCACGTTTCCTGAGAGTCTACTGTCTGCAATCTCTTCCCCATATGACTGTACTTATTTAGGTTATTAGGGTTGTGAGCAACAGAAATGAACTCTAGTTAGCCTAATTTAAAACATTATTGTAAGATTATAGGAGTGGCTTGCAAATTAAAATAAGAGTTGAACAGTGAAGATTTGAAATGTGAAGAAACCACAAAACCTCCAGGGACATTTGCAGCAGAGATTCGAGACTAACACTCTGGCAGTTTCTGGAGTTTGGCTGCACATTGGAATCACATGGGCATTATGAAAGTTTTGTTGCTAATGCACCGTTCTTACCCTAGATAATCTAAAATAAAAATGTTTTGGAATGGGACCCAGGCCTCAATAGCCTTTAATATCTCAGAAGTGATTTCGGTTAGTAGCCATGGTTGAAATTTAAGCTGCATTCGCATCACCTGGAGGGCTTGTTCAATCTCAGTGTTCGTGATTTACATAAAATCAGTTAGAAATAATTTGCATTCATAAAAAGTTCCAGGTGACGCTGCACCTGGGTCTGGGTGGGGTCTGAGCTACTGCAATCCTAACAGCTCTCGTGTTCTGAGGCTGCTGATCCTGAAATCACACATAGCCCAGCAAAATTCTACAGCAGTGGCCCTCAAACTTTAGCATGCATGCATAGTAGTCATTGCAAACTTTGTGAAAACACAGATTCCTGAACTCCATCACCAGATTCTGATTCAAGCAGCTCTCAGATGATGCTGATGCTGCCAGTCCGTAAACCAGACTTTTTATAGCACTGCTCTAGAGCACTGAATCTAAACCAGAAAAGATTTTTCCCCTGAGGGGACACTTGGAAAGATCTGGATACATTTTTTATTGTCACACTGGGGCAAATGAGAGAGGAGGGCAGATGGAGAGTGCTACTGGCACCTAGCACGTAGAGGCCAGGGATACAGCTAAACATTCTATAAGGCACCGGACAGCCTTCCACAACAAGGAATTATCCACCCAAAAATGTCAATAGTGCCAAGGTTGAGAAACCCTGCTCTAGAGCGTGGCCATTAGCAAAGCCCAGTTGCTCCTCCCTAGCTATCTGTCCTGATTTTATAATTCCTGTGAAAAAGAATAATACTGCTCCCTCTAAGGTTACATATCCACCCCTGGATCAACCAGCTATACCAGGGAGGCAAGACCTTGCCATACACGCTAGAGATACAGCCTTTGGAGAGATGCAATAGAAGGCAGAAAACAAGATATTTCAAAAGTTAAGAGAAGCAGGGCAAGTCTAACTTTAGCTGAGACCATTGTGTTCACTAGAGTAGGGATGGTGGTGAGTAATGGGCATCTCTTTCCGAGGCGTAAAAAGATGTTTGAGTCTTCTTATATGCAGCAGTCACTGGAGCTGCTGCTGTAACCTAAGCAGCTGAGAACTTCACTCTAGGCTTTGAAGCCTAATGCAGCTGCAAAGTGTTCCTTGTATTTCTATACTTCTTATGTTCCTTGAAATAAATCATCATCCCTGAGGTAGCTGAGCCTATTTCTTTTTCTTGCAAACCAAAGTATGCACACACACACACACACACACACACACACACACGCACGCAGGCACACACATACACACAATGCTTGGTATTGGTTCAATGTGTACTTTCCATCTGTCCCTCCCAGGATCTGGTGAAACGCACAGCCAGCTGAGGCTAAGGGAAATGGCCTGCCCAGTCTTATGGGATCACCCTTCATTTTAGTTGTTCAATACTGTATCAGCACTAACTTCTTTATTCTACCAAAGTGTTTTGGAATTGTTACTTTATGGAGTAGAAGTAATAATAGCTATCTTTTATTGAGCACTCTTTCAGGCTTTGTCCTGAACAAGTATTCAAAATTTGTAGATACGGATATACACATATACAAACATATATTCACATATACACACATATATACAAATATACACACATGTATACATGTATACAAACATGTTTGTATGCATATATACGAAATATATATATATTTTTAGTTCTAACAAGATTCTATGAGATAGTAGTATTATTATCAACAAAGAAAATTAGTCTTAATGAAGTTAGATAACGTGCCCAAAATAATATATTTTGAAAGTAGAACTGGAATACAAACCCAGGTCTGTAAAACACCAAAATCTTTTACTTAATCACCGTATTCTCCTTTATACCCTACCCTCCCTGCCATCATCCCACCATCCATCCACCTAGTAACAGTGGTACAAGACTTTCATCATTCGATGCACATTTCTAGGCTACATGTTAGCTAAAACATAACTTCATAAGTGCAAATTTTACCCACACACCTACGGCAGAACCTGGCCAGATAGCAGGTTGTCAGTAAATGTGTTTTTAATAAGTATTTTGTTTTAGAAGAGTTTTAGATTTGTAGAACATTTGCTAACACGGTACAGACAATTCCTGTCCACCCCTCACCAAGTTTGCCCTTTTGTGATTTCAAACAGATGGTAAAGTGAACTCAGAATGAAAGAGCCCTCACTGTAATCATTTTCTTAACAAAGACACCGCATATGAGCCTGTAACTGCAACCAACTCCCTGTAGATCAGCCGGCAACATGCTGTCAGATCAGCCCAGCTGGAATGAACCCTGGGTGTCAAAGAATGTTCTGGGAATTTCCCAGTGCTTTGTGGATTTCAGACCTGACACTTCACTGGCTCTTACAACAGAGGCCAAGTGAGCAGAGTCTGTATTTTTCAGGCTAGCTCCTCAGAAGGTTGTGTCTCACTTAGATCATCAAAGCCATTGGCCAGACGTCCTGTCATGCCCTGTACTTTGTACAATGCCAAGTATACTGCAGATAGTTCCACAAGTGTCTAACTTTCATGGGCTATTTGCTGTACATTCATTCTTTATATTCATTCTATTAACTGCCATTGTCTCTGCTCTTGGTGAGAAAAAGTGTTACGGGTTATAAGATGGACATATGGTTAAAAGACATCTTCAGAAACAGAACTCCTTGCTCCCAATCATGTCAAACTCTCACAGTATTTGACTGGAGCAAAGCATAAAAAAGTTTTAGTGGCTTGTCCTTTACGCTAGTTGCAAAATTTACAACCACCCCTCCACTTGCATCTTCTCTGAGATCCTATCTGCCTTTGAGGACTAACATGACATAATTCTACTCAACTATAATAATGTAATGGTGAAGAGGAATTTTCTGCTTGGAAGAGACCATCTCATTTCAATACGCTGTGACATCTTTTGGAAACCAATATCCTCTATAATGGAGAATGGCTGCAGATCAAGGGCAATCATTTCTGTGATTTATGAGCAGTGCAAGCAGATGGTTTTTTGAATATTTGGCCTTTTCCCAAAACCTCATGCAAGCTAAGCTGTTGTATCTTATTGCATGAAAAGTCTGCTTCCAGGTGAGGGAATGGGCTGACTCAGAATCTGCCTTTGTACTTGAAACCAGGGGCAGAAGATACAGCTACCCCAAAGAAAGTCAAAGAAACTGGGTTTCATTTTTGAATTTTCTCTATAGTTAGTGGCAATCATAAGTACAGACCAATTTGTGTCCGCCAAAAAGGAAAAAAAAAAAAAAAGCCAGATACCTGGTCTGGAAGGTGACGATGTCTCACTTTGCCATGGTTATTACATTATCAATTTTCTCCCCCCAAGACCTGTGTGATTGACAGGGAACACTATTAACCTGGCAAGAATTAATTACAGCCCTGATAAAGGTGACCTTCCAAACAAAAGCAAAAACACAAACCAGTCTTTCGTGTGAGGCACCTGAATGGTTAGGAGGTTTGGCTGAGATTCTTAACAGGATCTTGGGAATTGCTATCTGATTAAAAAGGAGCATGTTGGATTGTTTTAAGCAGAAGGCCAGAGTGTGTGGGACTTTAGCCTAAGCCATGACAGGAAATATTAATTATCTGTATTCAATATATAAATTTGAAGGCTTATATTTCAATTCTGCTAATCTCTTCACAGGTCATAAAAAGATGGGAATATTTTGAGGACTGGAGACTGACAATGGAGAAAGAAATATCATTTCATTTCATTTCAGCATTAGAAGACTTGGGGATGTTGCACATTGTCTTAGTCTGTTTGGGCTGCTATAACCAAATAATAGAAACTGGGTGGTTTATAAACAACAGAAATTCATTTCTCACAGTTCTGGAAGCTGGGAAGTCCAAGATCAAGGCGTCAGTAGATTTGGTGTCTAGTGAGCGCTCACTTTTGGTTCATGGATGGTGCCTTCTCACTGTGTCCTCACATTGTCAAAGGGACAAGACAGGTCCCTGGAGCCTCTATCATAAAGACACTAGTCCCATTCTAATGATCTAATCACCTTCCAAAACTCCACCTCCTAATACCATCTCATTGCTGATTAGGTTACAACACATGAATTTTGGAGAGGCACAAACATTCAGATTGTAGCACACATAGAAGTGAAGGAAGCCAGTCAGAGCCACCTGAAACAGGACTCACAAAAAGTGACTTTCTCTACAGTCAATCTATCCAACACTGTGTCCCTAGCTTGAGATGCTATTTGTTACTCTTTCTTTTCTAGGAAATTAATATTGGGAAAATGTATGAAGTCACCAAAATGACTCTTTAACAATCCCACATTCTTCCCTGTAGGAGTGAAACCCTCCCTCTCCTCAGTTTCTCAGTGACCAACAGCACAGCAATCCTTTCCTATATAAAATTGTGCATTCAGGAAAGGTTTTGCTACCTGTAACACACCTCGAAATAAACCTACATCACTTTTTACTGCAAAGGTTTTATTTTGGGGTTGAAATGGAAGGCTATGGCACATGTTAAAAGGATTTCAAGGATAAACAGTAAGTTGTTTTTTGTTGTTGTTGTTTTTGGTTTTTTTTTTTTTTTTGCAATGCTACTAACTTGTCACAGAGGCAAGCTTCCTTCCTATGATGAATTTTGCTCCCAGAAAGTGCCCAATGTCCCAGAAATGAACAATTAGGCAGATCCATCTGTCTCTACCAGTACATTCTAAGACCATACTTGGTTCAGCTCATAGGTTTCCCTGGAAACATGTACTTGCACTGGTCTGTCCATTTTCACAGCTCTGGGTGACAAAGAGTACAATTCTCTTTAAGAATGTAGCCCTGGCCAGGCGCAGTGGCTCACACCTGTAATCCCAGCGCTTTGGGAGGCCGAGGTGGGCGCATCACCTGAGGTCAGGAGTTCAAGACTAGCCTGGCCAACATGGAGAAACCCCGTCTCTACTAAAAATACAAAAAAGTTAGCCAGGTGGGGTGGCGGGCGCCTGTAATCCCAGCTACTCAGGAGGCTGAGACAGGAAAATCACTTGAACCCGGGAGGCAGAGGTTGCAGTGAGCCAAGATCGCCCCATTGCACTCCAGCCTGGGCGACAAAGAACGAAACTCCGCCTAAAAAAACAAACAAAAAAAAATTTAGCCCTGAGCATCCTTAGGAAGTCTTACAATTTTCAGCTCTATTAATATTCTTCTTATTCCACAAGTTCAGTTTTTATTCATCCCCTTATTTGATCTTTCACATACCCATTTAACAAAAGTTTACTGATTGCCTGTCCTAGCCTAATGACACAGCCCTGGGCTCACAGCTCTGAAAACAGCACAAAAGGTTTATGTTCTCATATATAAATTTAATTATCTGCTTAACTTCATGTTATTTGATTATACTTTTAATCATTTCTTGAGCTAATTCATTGTTTTTGAAGAAGCAAAATATCTCTAACCATTTTATATTAAATACCAACACAAGCCAGCTTCTCATAAACTATTAAGTAAAAGAGATATTCAAGTCAGTTATTAAGAAAAACAATAGCAAGGAAAATATTAAGAAAATTAATGGCATATTATTCAAGCTGTAATGAGATACAAATTCACAGTTACTTTGGTGTTGGCCATTGTTTCTTATTTTAGCCATTCTGATAGGTGTATACTGATATTTTAATTTGATTTTCCTAATGCTTATGACGTTGGAAATCTTTTCACATCCGCTTTTCTCATTCAGTAAAGTATCTCTTCTTGACATTTGCCCATTTTCTTGTTTTTGTTTTACTGTCGAGTTTTGAGAGCTTTTGCATATTCTAGACACTAATCCTTCATCAGACATGTAGTTAGCAAATATTTTCTCCTAGTCAGTACCTTACCTTGTCATCCACTTAAAAGGGTTTTTCGCAGAGAAAAGGGTTTTTTTTTTTAATTTTATAAAGCTCAATTTATCAATTTTCCTTTTCTGGATCATACTTTTGGTGTCAAGTTTAACCCTAGATCTCAAAGATTTTCTCCTATTTTTTTTCCAAAATTTTATAGTTTTACATTTAAGTCCATGGTCCAATTTGAATTAATTTTTATACGAAGTATGAGACTTGCATCAGTGTTTGTCTATGGATGCCCATTTGCTCCAATATAGTTTGTTGAAAATGCTAGCTTTCATCCATCAAATTGCTTTTGCATCTTTGAAAAAAAATCTATCAGGCATAATTTTGAGGACCTGCTTCTGGGTTTTCTATCCTGTCCGCTGATCTATGTGTCTATCCCTCCACCAATAACACAGTCTCAATTACTGTAGAAATTCGGTAGACTGGTTCCTCCCAATTTATTCTTTTTCAAATAGTTTTAGCTACTCTAGTTTCTTTGACTTTCCATTTAAATATTAGAATAATCTTTATATATATACACACAAAAAATATTTCTGGAACTATAGGAGTTGCATTCAGCCTGTGTGTCAATTTTTGGAGAATTGACATCTTTACTATGTTGATTCTTCCAATCTATGAACATGGTATGTCTCACCAGTTATTTAGATCTTCTTTGATTTCTTTCATCAGTATTTGTAGTTTCTGTCTCCAAGTCCTATTTATGTTTTGATATATTTACACCTCAGTATTTCTTTCTCTTTTTTGGAGTAAATTTAAATGGTATTTTATTTTTAATTATGGCTTTTCTACATGTTTATTGCTGATGTATAGAAATAAAATAGATTTTTGTAGGCCTATCTTGAATCTTGCAACTTTGCTGAACTTACTTATCCATTCCAGGAATTTTTGTGTAGATTCCTTGGAATTTATACATGAACAATTATACCATCTTAAGGTAGGAACAGGTTTTTTTCTTCCTTTCCAACCAATATGCCTTTTAGTTCCCTTTCTTGTCTTACTCTACTGACTAGAACTTCTAGTACTATGTTGAATAATAAGAGCAGATACCCTTATCTTGTTGCCAATCCTAGGGGAAAATATTTAATCTTTCACTATTAAGTAAAATATTAACTGTGGAGTTTTTGTAGATGATCTTTAACAGATCGAGAACATTCCCCTTTATTTCTATTTGTTCTGAAAGTCTTTGTGATGAATGGGTGAATGTCCAGTGCTTTTTTCTGCATTGCTTGCTATAAGCGTAAGACTTTTTTCTCTACCATGCTAAAATGGTAGGTTGCATTAATTGATTTTCAAATATTGAGCTAGACTTGCCTTCTCTGAATAAATCCCATTTGTTCATGGTGTCTAATTCTTTTTAGCTGAATTATATTTGATAGTGTTTCATTGAGGATTTTTACATCTATGTTTATGAGGGATATTGGTCTATAGTTAGCTTTTTTCGGTTAGTAGCCATGGTTGAAATTTAAGCTGCATTCGCATCACCTGGAGGGCTTGTTCAATCTCAGTGTTCGTGATTTACATAAAATCAGTTAGAAATAATTTGCATTCATAAAAAGTTCCAGGTGACGCTGCACCTGGGTCTGGGTGGGGTCTGAGCTACTGCAATCCTAACAGCTCTCGTGTTCTGAGGCTGCTGATCCTGAAATCACACATAGCCCAGCAAAATTCTACAGCAGTGGCCCTCAAACTTTAGCATAAATGAATGATAGCATAAAATGAATTGAGAAGCATTTTCTTCTCTTCTAATTTCTGGATTACTTGATGTACAGTTGATGTTAATTCTTTTTTACATGTTTGCTAGAATTCCCAAGGAAAACCATCTGGGCTTGGATATTACTATCTTGGGAGTTTTTAAGTAATAAGATCAATTTTTTTAATAGTTACAGAGCTCTTTGAATTATATGTTTTATATTGGGTGAGTTGTAGTAATTTGTGTTTTTTTGAGTATTTGGCCCATTCATCTAAGGTGTCAAATTTGTGTGTGAAATCATTTCTTGTGGCCTCTACTAACATATGGGGAGAGTGAGTGGTCTTTCCACAAAAGGGAAGTCAGGAAAGTCCCAACACTCCTCTAGGCCTCCATCCAGGAGAGACAGAGGTGCCGGATTACTGCCAGGTGAGACTGAGAGTTCAAGATCCCCATGTGGTATCCACTGATACCATAGAGTGGGTGGGTCCTCATAAGTGCCTGGTAGTTATGAAAGTCTTGGCTCCCTACTTACCTTTCCCTAAGATGACCCTGAGAGCGGAGATGATGCACCTTGTCACATTCTGGTGAGGATAGAAGTCTAGATTCACATTTAACCCTTGTTATTGTGGATGAGGGTTGGGATCACAAAATTTCTGTGGTGTTTGGCTACGGTGCTGTTTTTTTCATCTAAGAGGGTTTTTAGGGTTTTATTGTTGTTGTTGTTTTGTCTTTCTGGGCTGCCCATTTCTTGGTCCTTTGGCTAGAGGAAGGAGGCTTTTATTGAGACTTCTGAAAATGTGTGCCTTTTGGTTTTTCTGGGCTGCCAGCTTCTTCAGCTCCAAGTCTGGGGTATATTAGGCAAAAAAGAAAATCCAAGGAACTTACTTCTCCATTATTTCTTGGGTCTTAAGATCTCCAGTAAGTCCACCTTCTTCTCTTCACCGTTCAGAGTCTCCTTATGCTTGTTTTATATGTAAGTCTGAGGTTTTAGTTGTAGTTAGTGGGAAGAGTAAAGAATAATACATCTAATCCATCTTCCCAAGAGCAGAATTCCTGAGTTTCTTTAAAAACAAAAATAAAAAAAAGTTAAACTGTAATTTTTTATAAAGAGTAATATGTGGAGTATATAAATTTTATAGCTCATATAAATCTATCAATAGATAGTAAATGCAAAGCTTCTCTGATTCCTTTACATAAGAATGATAACATATGATTAAACAGAGAATTTCTGGTTAATCTCAAATTATTTTTACTTACTTCAAAATTCTATAAATGTTGCTCCACCATTAGCATCTAATGTTCAACATTATGGAGAAAAAGATTGAGACCAGCCTGATCTCTCTACCTTGTCTTTCTAGATGCTCAGAGGATTCTTTGTTTACTATTGAAATTCAAACATTTCACTAGGATACGTTTAAGGTGTTGTTTTCCTGTTGACCAGTTTGTCTCATGTGCTGCCTTAGGATATTATTCATCTCAGGAAAGTTTTCTACTATTAGTTCATGATGCTTGCTCTGTTCAATTTGTTCTCTCCTCTTTACCAATCTTCTGTAGGCTGAACTTCTGTTCTTTGCCTTTTGTTTCTATCCTCTTCTTTTTGTTAATTTCTTCTATTTGTTATTATGTTATGAATTCTGGGAGAATTGTTGAAAATATCTTCGAAGTTATTGGTTACATCTCTAAAGAGATGATTCTTATCAATAACTGCTTCCAACGCAGACTTTAATTTCCTAATTACATTTTTAAATCCTTTACAATGTAAATTTTTCTTGCCAATTCACTTTGTACTTACAACTATGTAGAAAACCACTTTTGACTTTTTTAATGTCACCTTTCTTCCCCTACTTCAGGGATTCTGATGTTGTTTTGAAGTTGAGTGCATAATTAAGATGTAATTACCTTCCCTCTAGTAAATCTTTTCCGACTGAATAATATGTGGATGGAAAAACAATTAAATATGACAAAAACAAATGTAATGAAAAGCAAATCTCCCTTTTACCGCCAAATATGCAACCATTTTTGGTAATAAAACATTGTTAATAGTTACCTATTTCCTTTCAGAAACATTTTATTTATACTTAAGCATGTAAATGTATATTCATCTGTGCTGTTTTTAATATAAATCATATCATAGCAGCCTTGATTTTTTAAAAATATCTCGAAGATAATTTTATAGCAGCATATAATATTCTATACATTCTACTAACAACATAGAATTCTGCTAAATGAATTCACAATAATACATTTTTCTACTACCTCATCATAGACACTTAAGTTGTTACAAGTACTTAACCATTGGGAATTTTTGAAAAGCATGGTGTTCTTTTATTCTTTAGTTATGTTTAAGGGTGAGTGGGTGGGTTGTAGACATTTGTTTTTTGTTTTCTATGTTTCTTCCATTTACTTTTCTTTTTAATCTTGTCTGAGTATCATCTTTGAATAACAGGAGATATATCCAGACGTTGTGCTGACCTTACAATGGAATGACTTAATTATCCTTGTTTCCTCTCATCCCATCCACATTTTTACAGTTGGTGTCTTCCTTCCAAACAAAACTGAGATGCTGATCGCCTTTATAGACAACCGATAAAGTCTGAAGAAATTCAAAATGTTAACAATATTTATCTATGAGTAACTGAATCAAGGGAGATTTTCACTTTTATGCTGATGCCTTTTATATTGCTTAAATCCTGTAACTGAAAAGGTTTTAATGTCTAAGAAAAAAATGCAATAGAAATTTAAAATATAGCATTACCAGTTTAACAAGCCAAAATATGGGAGTAGTAGGCCACTAAAGTTGAAAGTTATTCAAAAGAGGAACTTCATCTCTATGCCATTTTTCTAAGTGTGTTGAAGCCATTCCACTGGTGGCAAACTTTCACTTGGTCCTGGCCCCATAACAGGAAGAGCAGACACCTTTATATGTCAGCCCATAAAAGTTCTCCCTTATTCGCTGCTAACAAAACCCCAATTTTATTTGGGCAGTAAATTAAGCCACAATGAAAAGATTTAATAGGTAAAAGCTCAGCAAAAGATTTGAGCTGGGTCCAAAGATCAGCAACAACAGAAAACTAAAACCTACTCCAGGTCTGAAAGAAAAGAGAGATAAGCAGTTATTCAATCTATGGCAGAGTTATAACTACAGGAAAAGGCCTCCTAGCAGGAGCTGTGGCCTTTGGTAGAGAGAGAATGATATTACCAAACCCAAAGAGGGGTGGAGTCATGGAAGCAGGTTCACCCAATAGGAGTGGCAGCCAAGAGTAACAAACTGTGGCAATGCAGGAAGGACAGAAGATAGGGGAAACAAATACTCTCAACCATTCTATTCTCCTGCTTTCAGATTTCCTACCATTTCTTCTGGTACCAAGACTCAATGAGAAGCCAGATGGAAAGGGAGTTCAGGTGATCTATGCTACAGAGGTCAGCTCCCTGAGGTACGAAGCAGGTTGAGAAGGACAGGGAGACATACATTTTCAATGCCCTGTCTCACATCCTCTTTGCTCAGCATTTTGTTCTGACTATTGCTTTAGCAACCAGCTGAAGCAATAGAACCTTAACTTAGCTGCACAAATGTTTCTTGTGCTTCAGGAATTCTTTGTCTCCACAGCATGAGATACCTACACAAGACTAGCCTGCTTACTCATTCTGCATCATACTCTGACTGTACATCCAAGGAAGTTAGCAGCCCCAAGGGCAAGACTTGACCAACTGGAGTTGGAAGCAAGTAGATAAATATACCCTTTTCCATGTCTTGAGTAAACAAGTCTGAGGAAGGATCTATACCATTCTTCAGAGGGTTTTCAACAAAATTGAACCCCAGTTGCCCATAGTAATAACTAACATTCAGTCTTAATAACTCGACTCTTGGATTATCTTTACATTTTCTCCATTTCACTAGTCCTAGTACTCAAGTTTTAATTTGTATCAAATAGAGAAGAGGCTTCCAATACCGGCCATTGAACCCCAAGACAGAATGCCGTAGCTTTGCCCGAAGCAAAATAACACACTACCAACATCACCGTTGAATCCTCTGACTCCTGTTCCCTGAGATCACTCCCTCAAATAAGCTATCTATCTGCATCCATCCCTTTTCTCTGGCTCTTCTTTTTGGGGAGACCCATGATAAAATAGGCAGAGAATGGGTAGCTCTAGAGTAGTAAAAAGAAAGTAACCAATCCAGGTGTCCATCCTTCTCCCAAGCAATGCAAGAGTAAATAACTCCATTCCAAAATTCAGGTGTAAACTAGGCATGGTGGTGAAGACCTGTAATCCCAATTACTTTGGAGGCTTAGGCAAGAGGATTGCAGGAGCCCAGGAGTTCAACACCAGCCCAGGGAACACAGAGAGATCCCATCTCAAAAATGTAAATTTTTAAATCTAGATACAGATTCTTATTAATCTACAGTAATGGTTTAGTAATGGTTGTGTGACCAGTTTTGGCCAATGTTAAAAGATAAAAGTATGCTGTCATGCTTTACAGCATAAGAGCAACTATAGCACAAGGGCAGTTATAAACATGTAGTCTAAAATGTGAAGCCATCTCTGCAAAAAAATAAAATAAAATAACTCCAAGGCTTTATGTAAAAATACACACCACCAATCCAATATTATAGTCTACCAAACCCAAACTGCTGGTGCCGCAGTCACAGATAAAAGCACCTTGAGAAAGGGAGAAAAGAGAAAGTGAAGCTTGTGGTTGCCACAAATGTCTAGCCAGAGTCCAAGGGATGGGAAAATCTTAGCATTGTTTCTCAAATATGTAATTTGTTTCTCCCTTGGTTTAGAGGATGTGCACAGCCAGCTCTGACTCCACAGGATCAAGTTAATGATGTAAAGCAGAGGTAAGCAAACTTGTTCTAGAAAGGGACAGATACTAAATATTTTAGGCTTTAAAGTCCATATAGTCTCTTACAAAAGCAGACACAGAAAACACATAAACAAATGGGCATGACTATGCCCCGGTAAAACTTTATTTACAAAACAAGTGGTAGACCTGATGTGGCCTGCAAGGTGTAGTTTGCTGACCCTGGTGTAAACCAAGAAGCCTTTTGCTGCCACTTCACAAAGAATCCAATTGCACCACAGTTAATAATCTCTTCAAAATGTGAACAATTTCATTAATGGATAAAATATTCAACTATCCAGTAGCTGTCCTCAAAAATTTTTTCGCTCACTTAAGAATATTAGCTTTGTTATTTCCAGAAAAAAATCAGATCACCAAATTACTGTCAAATGATCATATCTTTAATATTTTTCATCTCACAAATCAGTTTGTATCTCACTCTGAAACTTCCACACCCCCAAAAATGAAACTGAAAAGCCAAGACCTGAAAACCTATTGTGAAAGTCCATCAGTTTAAAAAAGAACACTAAGTAGAACTAAAGAAAATCTATTTGTTCAAATACAATCACATAACTAAACCAAAAAGTAGCCTCCTGGAGATAACCTTATGTTAAAAGAGTTTCATGTTTTCTTGAGAGCCTTTCATGCTAAAATTTCTAAAAGCCCACTGGTTGCACACAGTGGCAAAATGCTACAGTGATTTAACAACCCCAGGCAAAATTAAATAACAAAGCTAAGATATGATGGAGTACATTTCTTATCCAGTCGTAAAGTAATCTGCAATTTCACAAGTTAGAATTTGGTCAGGACCCAGATGTTAATTTCAGTACCAGGCAGAGTGTACTCAAGGTTTAACTTATATCAAACAGAGACGAGGTTTCCAGGACCAGCCATTGAACCCCATGTTGGAATGCAGTAGCTTTTCCTAAAGCAAAATAGCACACTACCAACATCATTGTTCAGCAGCACCATAGGTATCTCTGTGGGAATTTTTTAACAAATTACTGACAAGGGTTGGCCCTATTTAATCCATAATCGTGAATGCCATCAGCGCCTATGGTTAGAGGGCTATAAAGCCAAAGAGTAGCACACACTTTGGTCTTGTTCAGACTAAATTACTACAGAAAAAGGGTCAAATACCAAAGTAACCACGACTGCATCTTTAGATTGCCCTCTCAAAATTGTTATTTGTTTGTTCTGAGGATTTAATGGAAAAATAAGCAATTCCTTTATAGTTGGAAATTAATTTTTTTCTGGTAAACAGATGTTTAACTATCCCATTAAATGTGGATTTATTTCTTCTTTTTTTTTAATCAACACCCACACTTTCTATCAAAGGGTACAAAATTTTTCTGGCATCTTCTTTAGATATTCTACAAACATAATTGTTTGATTATATATAGATAGATACTGATATCAAGCAACTTACGGCTAGAGAGTACAATTTACACAGATTTGAACAGATGCATACATTTCGAACTTAAAAACCACTGACCAAACACTGAAGCATTTTGGTGGTGGTGAGCAAATGCAGCAGTTACATGTGTATTCAGACAGAAGCGTGGGGTCAAGGTTCCTACTGACCTCCATTTTATCACAAAAGTTCTCCAAGAGATAGAGTTGTAGAAAGGAAGTCCAAGTCCAAGACAAAAAAAAAATAAAGACAGATGAAATAGAGATAAAAGTTCAATTTAAAACATTATATACCATTTAAATGAATGGGAATTGGAATAAAGTTTCCCAAAAGGTACACAGAAGGAATAATCTGAATATGAAAAGTTACCACCGTCCTAAAGAGACACAATTGAGGTCACATTAAGGCTACTGGTTAAGTAATGGGTAAAAATCAAAAGAAAAGCCTCTAATCTGTCATTCATAGTGCTTTGCAAAGGATGGCATGTATATTGATTTAATCCTGATAACAACCCTGTGAAGTAGATGTATTATCCCAATTCCCCATAAGGAAGTCCAGGAGGGATGGTGCCTCATCCAAGTCAGTTTAGCTAGTAACCGGTAGAAAGAAAAACAAACTCAGGTCTTTTAGCTGTCTGTCTAGTGTTATTTTCATGCTACCACAGCACTTGTTTTTATGAAGGACAAAGCAGCAAAATGTCACAGTACGTGCACCCGTGGACTGAAGGGTATAACATGTTCCAAGTCAGGTTGAAATATTTCACCTCCATACTCTGTATTTCTTCGGTCTTGCCAGTCACTGGCTGGCTATGGGATCACATTAGTGGTGATGACCCAAATTTCACTGGTCTTGCCCCTACCTATATTGCACACACTTTCAGACTTTTGCAAACCTCTCCAAGAGCTTCCAGGAGATCCGGAAGTATCTCGTGAGTTATTTTCTCACAGTGTCTTAGCTTTTCAGTGACACCCACTGCTTCCAAAACACTCGAAGACTGTGCCTCTCAGTGCCACTGCTACAGCCACAGGAGAATACCCTTGTTTGATCAAGACCTTCTTAAGGTTCCCTTCAGCTTGACTAAACTTTTGACAGGCTTCTTCCTGAATGTATAAGCCCCTGACCTCCCCTTTTTTAGAACATTTACTTTACAAAGCTTACAGATGCAAATTTTTACTCTTTCACTTTGAGATGTCAATCTTCTAGTCTCTTGCTTCACAGTCCAGTGATGTCTGTCTCAAGGACCTGAGAGCCATCTCTTTGAAATGCAATCATCAAGAAAGATAGCACTCTTTTCTCCCAGTCTCTGTGGGAGGGTAGAAACCTAACTTCCATAAGTGGCAATTAGCCAAAACAGATGGCCTAATCACATGACCAGCCTCTCCCCTAATAACTTTTTAAGAACTTTTCTACTAGCCCAGCCTGGCATTTAAAAGTCTTCCCACCTCTTGTTTCAGCAGAATTGTATTCTATTTATCTTCCCTATTGCAAGAGTCTTAAATGAAGTCTTCTTTGCCTGTTTCCCTCCCTTCAGTGCAAATTTTTCACATCAAAAGCGTCACTGCCAAAATCTTCCCAGGACAACAAACCCTCAGAGACTCACAGAGACTCCTGGGAGAATGTCTCTCTCCCTGACTCAGGTTACAGCTTATAACCTGCAGTAAAGCCAGAGGACTCACTTTTCTCATATCTCACGGAGTTCTTTGTGAAGTGTTCCTCTGCTTTCTGGCTGCAAGTCTATAGCCTCAAGCAGAGACAGTGTGGTGGGCAGACACACGCTGCCCTCTTCATCTCAACTCTTGTTTCAGGTGCACAGAAAAAATCCAGAGCCCCTCAATTTTTAAAAAATCAAAATAAACTCCTCATGAACCCACGCAACTAAATAACAAAGATGCTCATACACATTTGAATTCCAGTTTAGTCCAAAACCAAGATCTTGATTTCACTTAGATGAGTGAAATAGTGCAATGGAGATGCTTAAAAATAAAACAAATGAGAGAAAATTAAGTGTTTTTATTCTTTACCCCTTTCGCATTTTTTTAAAGGTCCAATTTAAACGACCACTCATAGAGTATGTTTAAATGCTATGTCTTACACTACATATCAATTTTTCAATTCAACTTTAGATTCCAACCCAGCAAATTTAGAGCAGTTTTACAAGAGAGAGAGAGACAGAGAGAGAGCGAGAGCGAAAAAAGTAGAGAAAAGAAAAAAGAGGACTACCAGCATGGTGAAAACTAGAGAAAGCATATTTCAATTCAGTATTAGGAAAGGGTGTAAGAATTACAGCTGTCCAAGACTTTAATTTGTGGTTGTAAAAAAAATTGTTTTTGTCCATGTTTGGATCAGGGTAGAGGCTGGAGATAGTGCATTCAGGATGTTGTAGAGGGAATTCACACATAGGAGAGGACACTGAAACATCTGAGATGTTCAACGCTGAGATGATACTATTTGATGGTATTACTCTTTGTAAAATATTACTCTTTTGGATCCCTTAATGAGGTTTTCTTAATTTCTTTTACATGTATTACCACCTCATTAACCAAATGGAAAATATTCTCAAAATATAAGAGTATTTTCTGAAATGAACTCCCAATATCAGAAAGTCATTTTTATCAACACATAAACTTTAGGGCAGGGCAAAAACACTGAATGGTGCATTTAATTAAATATTATGTATTGCTACTATCTTTACTCTTTGGCATCATGTGTGTATGTGATTTAGTTCTTCCTTGTGGCAGTCTTCATGCAATTAGGCATTACTTACTCTTGGATGAATGATCTGAGCACTACAGATAGGTAAATTGTTCTTCCTCTTTTTCTACAAATATTGCATTCCATAGTTACCAGAACACTGTGCCAGACATAAAACTACACCAGAAGATAGAATCCCTATTCCTAAACAGCCAGTGCTATAGGAAAGAGGGAGAGAGCTCCAGACAGGAATCAGATGTTTCTCTTTTAGTTATTGTCCGCCACCCCCAGGGTAGAGGGTGAGCAGCTGGGCTCAACCAAGTCTGGAAACCAAGCCAATTGGTCTGGCATCTTGGGCACTGGCTCACTTAATTTCTGGAGGTCATTCAATCTGGCTGGCACAGAGAGCCATGCAATATTAACAACAGCAAAAAGAGCTTACAGATTTTAGGGCACTCTAGTGTTGGACATTCTAGGCTTCAAATCTTAACAGTTCCTAAACCTCTGAAAAATGGCAATAATACAGTGGGCTCTCCTTAACTATGGTTTCCCTTTTTGCGGTTTCAGTTACTTATGGTTAACTTTTGTGGACAATATTCCTGGCCCGAAAATACTAAATGGAAAATTTCAGAGGTAATGTCTAAGTTGTACTTTGCCTGCCATTCTGAGTAGCATGCTGGATCCCACCCCATCCCACTGGGGATGGGAATCATTGCTGTGTGCAGCGTCTCCTCACTGTGTATGCTACCCAGCTGTGAGTTACTTAGTAGCCCTATTGATGATCAGATCGACTGTCTCAGTATTGCAGTGCTTTACTTCATAATGGTCCCAAAGCACAGGAGTAGTGATGCTGGCTACTTAGATCTTTCAAAGAGAAGCCATAAAGTGTTTCCTTTAAGGTAAAAGGTGAAAGTTCTCGACTTAATAAGGAAAGACAAAAATCGCATGCTGAGGTGGCTAAGATTTATGGTAAGAACCAGCCTTCTATCTGTGAAATTGTGAAGACAAAAGGGTTTGGCATTATCGGCAGTTTCAGGTATCCACTCCACTGGGAGATTCAGAATACATCCCCTGTGGATAAGGGGGGACAACTGTACCACATACAATGATCACCATAAGCTATTGTTGTGACAATTAAAGGACAGAAGTGTTACATACTGAAAAGCGAGCCAGGCGCCATAGCTCACGACTGTAATCACAGGGCTTTGGGAGGCCAAGGTGAGTGGATCACTTGAGGTCAGGAGTTCAAGACCAGCCTGGACAACACAGTGAAACTCTGTCTCTACTAAAAATATAAAAATCAGCTTGGTGTGGTGGTGCACACCTGTAATGCCAGCTACTCAGGAGGTTGAGGTGGGAGAATCACTTGAACCTGGGAGGTGGAGGTTGCAGTGAGCTGATATCGTGCCACTACACTCCAGCCTGGATGACAAAGTGAGACTGTCTCAAAAAAAAAAGAAAAGAAAAGAAAAAGAAAAGTGGTTATTATTTTTGAAGAAAAACACGAATAAAGAAAAGAGCCATTGCCACATTATTAAGAAGGGCCTGAGACTATGATTTACATATACCTAATGCCCAAGTTAAGGAGAGAAAAAGCAGATGACAGACAGATAGGCTGAGGCAACATTTGCTAACAGGTTGTAGCAAAGTAGAGTAGATCTATTAGATTCCAATTTCCTGTCCTTCATCAGAAATGTCAGCTACTAACCAAGACTCCAGATACAGAACACTAAGAATTTTGCTTATACTGAACACAAAATGTTCCCTCCCTCATTTGCCTCTTAGTATATATTTAAGGCTCTTGAATATATGCAAAACATAACCTTATGCACCTTAACATGACTTTTTTTGTTACTAGAAGAATTTTAAATAAGTGCAAAAAGAAAAACAAAAACAAAAAAACCACTTGTTTTAAAGCTTTTTAACTCTAGTGGGATAGAATGCTAAGAGTAATAGTAAGTTCTGCCCTTGGCTACACCATTTCATTCTGCTCTAACTGCTATTATTTACCTATCTGATTATGTCACCAAAAAGAGTAAAGCCCATTATATAAGAAAAACCATTTATAGAATGTATTGGAATTGTATAAACTGCTCTACTTATCACAATACATGGAGAGCAGAATTGTCTGTGATTGTTGGAATCCAGCACTCGCGGATTGTGTCAAGAAGAATATAAACAGCCAGATTCCCCATCCACCAAAAGCCCACATGAGTCCCTGGTTCGAATGAGGTTATCAGAATTTGAAACTTGCAGCAACTAATCAGAGTCACGCTATTTGGTTTCACCTAAAAATAAAACATCTGACTACTCCTTTCTTCTGTAGTAATAATGCTATTTTTTTCTGAAGGTGGAGGAAAAACTTTAATGGCATGAATAAAAAGACTAACAGTTTTTCTTTGAAAATATAGCTCCAAAAGGAACAATTCTGTTTCCTTTTTTTTTCCAAGTTACTGCCTTCCTTTTATTTTCACCAACAATATTTTAGGTAAGCTTCTCTTTATCAAATTTTACTTTGAAAGACTATGAGTTTAAATTCTGTTGGTGTTCCCTGCTGCTCTAGCCAGAGCACAGAGAATTATGGCCGAAGCCTATCTTTAAAGTCAGTGTGTTGGCTTAGACACTGGCCAGCTTTCATTACAAAGGTGCTTTATGAATCATGAATCAAATGAATAGCATAATAAAAGCTCACACCTCTGGAAGTATCCATCTAATGCATTTTAGGGGGAGAAAGAATATCTAGTCTCTCTCTTCTGAAACTATGCATGCAAAATAAAAAGGGGTTTTATTTATACAAATGTGCACTTCTTTTCGTCCCTTCTTTTTGTAGGGGGCATTACTCATTTACAACGTGCTCTCCCTAGGGAAGTCTGGGACAGGCAACGTCTTGCTTGCCCAACAGTCAAAGAAATGGTGAGCACATAAACATCAATTATTGCATGCCCCCACAACAAAAGTGCAATAACTTTGGTAACAATACAAATCAAATAAGGGTAATGGGAAACACACACACAGACACAAAGGTTAAAAGCAATAATGAAGGTCATTCCTGAAAGTTGTCCAAAAATATTTCTAAGTGCTTTTACAGTGACAGAAGTTGGTGGAAGTCTCTTGAATGTACTGCCGTATTTACCTCAAGCACAGCTTTATTTAAAAATGTGTGTTTTTCTTCCCCATTTCTTCCCCAAATTGTTTCATCTTTGAAATTTCTTAAAACTGAAATTGAAGATATAAAGAATTTAAGAAAACACATTTCATCACAGAAGAGATAGTCTTTAACATTTGTGCATAGGTTATTAGCAGAGAGGTGAATGGGAGAAATTTTTACCCCGTAACACTTCCTCAAGGGTAAGAGTTCTCCTTTCTACTCTTCCTGCATCTTTACGTGCTATAAAACCCACTGACTATGAGTTTTTGACCCTTGAAAGGCCAATTCCAAAGGGGACAATTCAAAATCAAAACCACAATGAGATACCACCTCACACCAGTCAGAACGGCTATTATTAAAAAGTCAAAAAACAACAGATGGGCCGGGTGCAGTGGCTAACGCCTGTAATTCCAACACTTTGGGAGGCTGAGGCAGGCGGATCATGAGGTCAGGAGATCGAGACCATCCTGGCTAACACGGTGAAACCCCGTCTCCAATAAAAATACAAAAAATTAGCCGGGTGTGGTGGTGGGCGCCTGTAGTCCCAGCTACACGGGAGGCTGAGGCAGGAGTATGGCGTGAACCCGGGAGGCAGAGCTTGCAGTGAGCAAAGATCGTGCCACTGCACTCCAGCCTCAGTGACAGAGCGAGACTCCATCTCAAAA
Organism: Homo sapiens; assembly: GCF_000001405.40. Taxonomy (NCBI): domain Eukaryota; kingdom Metazoa; phylum Chordata; class Mammalia; order Primates; family Hominidae; genus Homo; species Homo sapiens. Next base: position 11,310,548 of record NC_000007.14, on the reverse strand, counting down.
AACAAACAAACAAACAAACAAAAAAGATGCCGGTGATGCTGTGGAGAAAAAGGAACACTTACACACTGCTGACGGGAAAGCGAATTAGTTCAGCCACTATGAAAAACATTGTGGAGATTTCTCAAAGAACTTAAAACAGAATTACCATTCGACCCTGCGATCCTACTACTGGGTACATACCCAAAGGAAAATAAAGCATTCTACCAAAAAGACACATGCATGCATATGTTCATAGCAGCACTATTCATAATAGCAAATGTATGTGATCAACCAAGATGCCTAACCATAGTGGATTGGATAAAGAAAATATGGTACATATACACCACGGAATTCTATACTCTATAAAAAAGAATGAAATCATGTCCTTTGCAGCAACAGGGATGGAGCTAGAGGCCATTATTCTAGGCAAACTAACACAGGAACAGAAAACCAAATACTTCATTTTCTCACTTATAAGTGGCAGCTGAACACTGAATACACATTTACACAAAGATGGGAACAATAGACACTGGGGACTGCTTGAGGGGGTGGGAGGCGTGGGATGGAAGGCTACCTGTTGGGTAGTATGCTCACTATCTGGGTGATGGGATCATTCATACACCAAGCCTCAGTGACATGCAATTTACCTATGTAAAAAAACCTGCACATGTACCCCTAGAACCTAAAGTAAAAGTAGAAGAAATAAAAAAAGAGGGGACAATTCAAATACATTCCATAAAAGCTTCAGGCAGGTGTCAGTGGAAGGCCCTCCCTTGGCCTAAAAAGAGCAATTCATGAGGATTCCTTGCAAAGACTACATGAAGCTCATGGCACTAGCACAATGATATTCAGTGAGCTACTCTCCATACCCTCAGGGAGAGGGTACCACATGTCTCAAGTCTCACCAACCTCCTCTTATTTTCCATCTAACCTTCACACTTGATCTTAGCCAAAAGGCTGAAAAGCAATCCCTCTAACCCTCTGTCCCTCCACCCCCAAGCTGATGTTGCTCTTTCTTTCCTTGGGAAAGCTACGCTAAAATAAAATAAACAAAATAAAACGTTTCCCAGACTCCTTTGTAACTAGGTGTGGCAGAGCCAACTTTGACTTATAAAAACTTAGCATACTTCTCAATGGGTTTTACTTTCCCCCATCCTCCTTATTGCTTGCCTCCTCTTTTCTGTCTAGTCAGAACACAGACATGGGGCTGGAGCACCCATCTTGCGATCATGCGATCACCATGCCAATGAGAACCAAAGAGAGGTAACTGGATAACTGAGCAGAAAGACCAAGTCCAGAATATTGACATCATGGAACTGCTATGCCAGTCTAGAATGACTTTTCCTAGGCTTTTAAAATTAACCTGTGCTTGGTTAAGGCACGTATTGCTGGTTTCCATTACACGCAAATGTAATTCCTAACTAATATACCAACTGTGGCTCATCTAATGTCCTAGAGGGAGGGGACAGAAAGAAAATAGTTGGATCTTTCTGTTCTCTTTCTACTCTATTATGTGCCTGCTTCTTTCCGGGATTTTTTCTCCCCCTCCCCGCCAATCAAATTTGTTCTGAAAAAGCAAAATCTTTGGCTTTTTAAAATATTGATTTTGATGTGAATTTCAAGAGTCTATTTTGAAAGTCAAAAACTGAACAGCTACTGATTCTTTTTGCATTGTAATTATAACAATTTTAACTCTCCTCAAGGCAATGTGGAAATTATTGACTACCAGGAGAATGATCCTACACTAGGAATCGTGGACAAGAAACTACAAAAAAATTAAGATATTATATGAAGTAACGGGAAAAAGCAAATAGGCTTACAACGTTATCCTGAGCTGGGTTTTTTTGTTTGTTTGTTTTTGAGATAGAGTCTTGCTCTGTTGCCCAGGTTGGAGTGCAATGGCACCATCTAGGCTTACTGCAACCTTCCCTTCCCGGGTTCAAGCAATTCTCCTGCCTCAGCCTCCCAAGTAGCCGCGACTACAGGCATGTGCTACCACGCCTGGCTAATTTTGTGTATTTTTAGTAGAGATGGGGTTTCACCATGTTTGCCAGGCTGGTCTCGAACTCCTGACCACAGGTGATCTGCCTGTTTCGGCCTTGCAAAGTGCTGGGATTACATGCGTAAGCCACCGCGTCCAGCCCTGAGCTGTTTTAAGTTTCCAAGTTATTTTTATTACAATCAGTAAGGTAGGTTTCCTTTTTATCCTGTATTTCAGGTTGCACACTCCACCTAGAAAGAGATGAGTTGCTTAGGCTTATTTCTAGATCCCAATACACATGTACTCCTCCAATCAATGAGTATCAACAGAAAACTATTGGGTGGTGGCTGTCAAGCCAACAAGATACTAAACCTGGAAGACTTCTAGAAAATAATAGTAGAGCATAGCCTTTAAACCCTAGAGAGGCATCCGGACCTATGGAAAGTAGACCAGAGTTTTGATACAGTGCCCAATGTTCACAACACAGTGGGACATATAGAACCTTGTTTCTCTAGAGAATTGAAGACAGCTCGGTAGATTCTTATAAAACTAAATGTATAGAAAATGTTTAATTCTACTGCTACTAGAGGGATAACCCTTTAAAGACAAAACAATAAAAAGGAAACAGATTTCAAGAGTAGGAATCAGCATCTTAGAGGAGAAGATGGAGAACAGGAACACCAAGCTCTATAGGACACTAGACCAAAGCCATTGATTTGCAAATCTCAAAGTGTGACGCAGCACCAAGGAAGTTGGTAAAGACCAGGGAAAACTTCCTAAGCAATGGCCTTCAGGAATCACATGGCCTCAACATGTCTCTTCAAAATGAGAAGATATCAACTCTGCATCTCTGTATTTTTCTTGAGAAAGAATAATTTCCCATGGCATACTTGCAGAAAAATAAGATTACAACCAAACAGATATTGGATTTTCAGATATTTTGAGCAAGGGCTCAAACTACTAATGCCAATCTTACAGCTCTTCTGAATTCTAGACAGAAATAAGCATACAAATTTATGAGCAATGATATACCACCATTTAATCTCCAATTTAAGTGTCTGGGAACTTACAAGGACACATCACCATTCTGTTTATCTTTCAATAAGTGCATTGCCTTGGGTTGTGTTTTTCTATAACTCTTTCAGTAAAAGAAAATTGCGTCTACTCTCAAAGACAAAGACTATGGCTTATACTTCCTCTCTATAAGAAACACTAACTGGACTCTTATTAAAGTTTGTGGTCAGCCCCAAGATGCTCCATATCATGTTTGAATCATAAAATTTTTGTTTAAAAAGCCACAATTAATCTGTGGGGCATGGTTCATTTTTATTATGAGGCTCCCAACCTTCTCCTTTTAATTTCTCAAGTCATCTCCTACCTCTAGTTACTATAATTCTTTTTTAAGATTATTCATAAAATGTATTCCCTTCATGCACCTCAACACTCCTAGCCCATCCCTCCTCCCACCATCATTGTTGGAGAGGGGACCTCATCCAGAGATCCAGACCACTCTTTCTTCTCACTCTTGCCTCCCTTGTGATGCTGGTGTGTGATGTTGTCTGTATATCTCCCTTCTCAGTCCACTGCCAATAAGCAACTATTTAAGGAATGAAAAAATTAACACTGTGGATCTTTTCCAAATGTTTCATGAAACTTTTGACATAATGTTTATTATTCTTCACTTCCTCTTATCTTCTAAACCTATGTCCCTGTGAAGAATTCCATGAACTTGAATCCCAGGCCTCACTATTCAGTGAACGTAAGGTTACAGTACACCCCAGGCTCCCACAGGAACTCAAAGCATCTACCACTGTCTTCTAAGAATTACAGATGTACATGTGCAAAGCAGCTCCCTTGTTCCTCTTTTTTCTGTCCTTCTTTTTAAGCTTTGGTGTCCCTTGCCCTGCTGTGAATGGCCTCCAATGACTTTTAACGGCCCCAATGGCCTCCAGTAGCAGCTACTCTCACCTCCAGGTAGAGATACAATTCTCCAGTTTTCTTCTCTGTCCCAAGCAATAAACAGCCTTCTTCTAGTTCTATATTCAGGCAGAAAAATTTCTGAGACTGACATTAGCTTTGCTCTTGGAAGCAACATTCTTGGGGAAAAGGAAAGAAAGAAGGACTAGACAGAAAGAGAAATTTAGATGTAAAGCAGTCTCAATGAAGATGTCATTCATCCCACAGTGTGTTCTAGAGCTGGGATAACCTCTCGAAGTCCAAATCTCGGACAAGGAGGCCAAGCCTTTATATAAATTCATCAAGTCATTGGATATAGGTTACCCCAGAAGGGGACATGACTTTGGGCTTGACAATTCTCTTGAGATGAAACAATCCCAAAATCAGCTGACAGCTGAGTTGTCTGTCAGCAACACACCCTGTAGTACTAGGTAACTTTCTCATTCTCTTCATACAAAGCCTATCTACCCTCTCAGTCCAGCTCTAACCCTGCAAATGCCTCAACTATGACAGCACTAATGTGTATCTTAGTTGCTTGCTGAATATGTAATAATTGTTGCAAAATACATTAAACAAAAATTATCTGCAGATTTTGAAGTGTCTAATGCTTAAAATCACTATATAGAGCTCTTAGAACAAAGTCCATATTGCAAACATTTCTCTATAGTGGTTTTCCAAATTCTTGTCTAAATAATAGCTATTATCACTAGCAACAACCAGAAAAAAGCATGTGGTTGCTATTAACTAGCAGAAATGTGAGTCTGCTTCACATGAAAAATATGGATCATTAATAAGTTAGAAAGTTGGTAAGAGAATTGAATGAAATTGAGGGGTCTTAAAGAACATAATGTATACTAGAATATCCTATCCTGGTAGCATTGTCTAACACAGCTCCAGAAAATAAATAAATAGTAATTTCAGAATGTACTTTTTGAAAATCCTCAAAGTTTAGTGACTACTTATTGGTCTTCCTAGATCTAGCAATATTTACAATAATATCCTGTTTTCATAATTTTTATTAAAAAGACAATGTATTTCCTGATGCATATCTTATAACACAGTTTAACCCATATTTCTCATGTTTTTAAAATACTGGAACCTTTACCTCTACCGAGTGTCACAATGTCTTTGTAACTATGAAGAGTTTTGTGACATTTCCTCTCCATCAAATATCATTTAAACATGCTAACAACCTTGAATATAGGATAATTTATTACTCAGTCTCAAGGATTTGGTAAAATATAAAAGAAATATACTGTATTAAACATTTTTACCTAAGTATTTGGCCAATAACAGATTTTATATGCTTTTTTACTGAGGTGTAACATATTTATGCACACAGGTGTTAAATGCAATCACCACCCAGATCAAGATCTAGAATATTTCCAGCATCCAAGAAATCTCTCTCATTTCCCTTCAGGACAATGCTCCCAACCAGAAGTTAACGATATTCTATGTTGCTCACATCCCTTGTATCTTTCCTAATTTTTGTCTGCTTGTTTCATCAACTATTTAGATGATGTTAAAATCTTTAACTGTGATTGTGGATTTGTCTATTTCTCATTTTAATCTTGTCAATTTATATATATTTTTTAAATGATGTTATTAAGTGCAAAGTTAGGATTGCCTTGGTTTCTTATTAAATGGACTCCTCTTTTTTATTGTAAAATATCTTTTTTATATCTAGCAATATTTCTTGCAGTAAATTCTTCTTTGCGTTATATTTTTATAGCCACATTTCTCTCCTTCTTTTTTTAGACAGCGTTTCATTCTGTTGCCCTGGCTGGAGTGCAGTGCCGCAACCACAGCTCACTGCAGCCTTGACCTCCTAAGGCTCAGATGATCTTCCCACCTCAGCCTCCTGAGTAGCTGGGCCCACAGATGTGTGTCACAACACCCGTATAATTTTTGTATTTTTTTTTAACAGATGGGGTTTTACTACATTGCCAGGACTGATCTCAAACTCCTGGACTCAAGCGATCCACCTGCCTCAGCCTCCCAAAGTGCTGAGATTACAGGCCTGGGCCACCCTGCCCTCCCTGAATTTCTTTGTGTTAGTATTTGTATAGTATATCTTCTTTAATCTTTTTATTTGCAATCTGTATCTATAAAGTTTGTCTCTTTCAAGAGCATATATTTTATTTTCTAAAATCCATTTGTCTTTTAAATCATGTTTTATCCATTTTTATGTAATAGCTAATGTAGTTGCATTTAAGAACTTCTCAATAATTGTTTCTCTTTGCACCATCTGGTCTTTTTTTTTTTTTTTTTTTTGGAAACAGTCTTACTGTGTCTCCCAGGCTGGAGTGCAGTGGCACAATCTTGGCTCGCTGCAACCTCTGTCTTCTGGGTTCAGGTAATTCTCCTGCCTCAGCCTCCAGAGTAGCTGGGATTACTGGAGGCCACCACCATGCCTGACTAATTTTTGTATTTTTAGTAGAGACGGGGTTTCACCATGTTGATCAGACTGGTCTTGAACTCCTGGCCTCAGATGATCCACCCACCTCGGCCTCCCAAAGTGCTGGGATTACAGGCGTGAGCCACCATATTTGGCCTGTTCCTATTTTCATCCTTCCCTGCGTTCTTTAGAATTAATCAATTTTTAAAATTTACTCCCTTTTATTTCTTATTTTAACTTGTTTTTCATTTTTGTATTAATTTTAGTGATTACCCTGAAGATTATCATATGCATTTATGCCATCATACAATCCTCCTAAAATTATTTTATCACTTTCAAACAGCACAAAAATCTTACAACGATTTAATTCCATTTACAGATCTCTTGACATTTGTGCCATTTTAGTCACATATTTTACATCTACCTGTGTATAAACCCCAAAGATATTTCTATTGTTGTTTAAAACACCAATATCCTTTCATATTTACTCATATATTTACACTTTCCATTGCCTTTTATTTCTTTCTGTAATTCTAAGCTTTTGTCTGGATCATTTTTCTTGCATATGAAGAATTTCCTTCAGCATACTCTATAATCTGCTTCTACTGGTAACAAATATAACTTCTTTACTTCACCTTTTTTAAACAAACCTTTTTTTGAAAAATTTTATATTTATATCAAACTTACAAAGACAGTACTGAGAGTTTCTGTATAGCTTCACCCAGAGTCCCCTAATGTTAACACTTTATATACCCATGGTAAACTTCAAAACCAAAACACGAACACCGCTATTGATTGACTGAACTAGAGTTTGCTCATATTTTACTGTATTTTCTACAGATTTTTTTTCTCTCCCAGGATCCAATCTGAGATAATGCACTGCATCTAGCTTCTTCATTTTTGAAAGATATTTTTGCTGTGTATAAAATTCTGTATTGGTAATTGTTTTCCTTTCAGCCCTTTAAAGATATGATTCTATTGTCTTCAGGATTCCGTAGTTCCTCCTGCAGATTTAGCCATCAGCCTTATTGCTCGCTGCTCCTTTAAAGATAATGTGTGTTTTCTACTTCTGATTGATTTTTAAGATTTTTTTTCTTTTACTGTGGTTTTGAGCTGTTTTAATATCATGTGCCTAGTTTTCTTTACACATATTTTGATTGGAGTTCACTGAGTTTCTTGTGCCTATGGGTGAATATCTCCCTTCAATTTTGGAAAATCCCCAAATACTATGTCTACAAATGTTGCTTCTGCCCAATTTTCTCTATACCCCGCTTCTGATACACCAAGCATATGTATGTGACAGGTTTTCTTTTGTCTTGTGTTTCTTGTGTTCTGATTTGTTCTGATTTGTTCTTTCCATTTTTTTCTCTCTTCACTTCAATTTTAATAGCTTTTGTTGGCCCATCTTCGAGTTCACTAATATTGTCTTCCATTTCATCCAGTTTGCTGATAAGCCTCCCAAAGTGTTCTGAAGGTCAGATTTTATGTTTACTTATAAATGTCTATTTTATTCTCTTTAACGGATTCTATTCTTATGTCAAAATACTGAGTCTTTTCACTAGTATTTTTAAATATTTTAATTTAAATGTTTAATTTTTAAATTTAAAAAAACACTAGTGAAAATTTTTAACATTTTTTAAAAAATGTTTTAATATATTTTAAATATTTAAAGTCTTCGTTATGTCCAATACCTAGATTATTTGGAGGTCTGCTTTTATTGGCTGTTTTTGCTATTATTCATATTATCCTATATTTCATATTCCCATAATTTGTATTACATGTTAGACATTGTGCAAAAAATAATTTTAACACCTGCTTGTGGTGTTATTTTCCCCAAATGAAGGTTATTCTTTTCCCCCCTAGGCAGTTAAAGTGAAAAGTTGGTTACTTAAATCCAATCATAGGTTTAGCTGAGTCAGCTCTAGATAGCAGTTTTAGTAAAAGGTAGCTCACCATTTGTTCAAATGTTTCTTGGGCATGGGAACCTTGGACTTTTGCTTTAGACCCTGAAAGATTTCTCTTTGTTTCTTAAAAGCTATGGGTGATTCATTTCTGATCTTTATAGATTTTGAGTTTAGCTCTTTTAGTTCTTTAAGATTTTGAGTTTCCTGCTTTAAATACAAATATATTGATGTATCAAATACTTTAGTGGGGAAATTGGGCATGTCAATCCTCATCCCTGTAGCAGGACCTTATCTCTAGGCAGAAGGAAACAAAGTAACTTCACCTTACCTTTTAAAGTTTGGACCGGTCCCCATCCTTAAGTCCCGTAGGAAAAATGAACTATACTTTTGAGTTTCCTCTGGATCAGTCAATCATACTAGCCTGTACAATTATCAAAAGCTCCAACATGTTTTCAGTAGGATTCTGTCTTTAGACTAAGGCCCATCTTTTTCCAGACTATGCAGGCAAATGCTGCCTGAGAAGAATATAGCTGGCAAACATGAACTCATCCAAGAAAGGCTCTTTGGTCTCTGGAATTTTATTTCATCTTTTCTTATTTACGAAGTTCTCCAATATCTTTTAAAATAATTTTTCAATTTATCTTGTTTTTTTAATTTGTTACAGGGGGGTCGTGGACTCGTTGCCTTCCCATGATCTATTACATCATACTTGCAGGCAGAATTTTAATCCCATTACATTTAAACAAACATATATTTTATTATTTGAGGTCTGTGTTAAGAAGGAGAATTGTAAATAATCTTTAAAACAAGTCTTTGGCCTATAATGTTGGAACTAAAGTCTGAAAATCATAGTGATACTCTAGAAAACACAAAATCATTGGCATTACCTACCCACTCACGTCCAAAGTGACCAAGATGTGGCCACTCTCCAAAACATGCCACTGAGAAAGCATTATATGCATTTATCATGACACTAGTTGTGTATACCTGGGGTGAAGGTTTATTCCAATTTTCCCAGGACACTCTCAGTCTATATCTACAATTATTCCATAGCTATAAGCAGTGCCCCTTTTACAAACATATCCCAAGTTAAATGGCAAATTATGGGGTTCCACCTCAGTTTATAAATGAATATGAATACATGCAGGAAGAAAACCTTTTTATTTTCGTTATCCCTTCTCACCACCCATGCTTGTGTATATCATTAGATCTTACTATCAATATAACAGTATGTTGGGGCTTCTAAACCATGGCCCTGTTACAATATCATTTTCCAAAAACAAGAGCAAAAATAATGACTCATATTTAAAATATTCCTTAATAACTCACACTGCAGCTTTAGAATTCTTTTTTCTTTCTATTATGTTCATCTGTTTACAGCTTTAAGAAAAGCACTAACAAAAGTTCACTATTGACATAACCTTACACCAACATAGGTAAAATTTGGTTTAAGTCCATCCAAATATTTTTACATTTTAACATAAATGGCTTATTGTTTTAAGATATTTAGAAATGTACTTTTCTTCAAGCATAATATGAAAGATACTTGAAAAAAAAAGAGCCAGAAAACAACTTTGGAATTCTTATTATTTTTATAGGCAGCATACAAAACATGTTGCATTCAATTCTCTATGGAGTGAAGTATGAAAATGAGGCTGAAGTATTTGCAGATGACAAATTTTAGACCCTAAAACATGCACGGTACATTGGAGAAAATCTTGTTGGTTAAAGCGCCTGAGCTATCAACTTTTTCTTAAAGTGTCTTGATATGCTTTTGACTGATGCCATCTGTTATCTACTGAAAAAAAAATTATTTTACCTTGGAAGGTATTCATCAAATTATAGGTGACATATTTGTTTGAGAATATACTAGACCATCTGGTACTATAAAAACGTGTTTCTAAAAAATACTGCCATCCTGTCTCAGCAATGCCAACCGTATTTTCAGCTCTTTTTGTTACACTCTGAAAACAGAAGCACATGATATTTTTGGCTTCTGGCTAAAGAAGCAAAGAAAAACATTTACGGATTTTTCTAAGCACCATGATATTTTACAGCTATTCACTAAAAGACACTAAGTAGGTGTCCAGGAGAATGAAGGGTGGAGAAGAAAGAAAGAAGCCATGGTGGGCTTGATGAATATTTTATATCCTGAATAGAAACCCACTGAAACAAAGAACTTCAGAAAATCTCCCTGCATATATGAGTTTTGTAGAACAGCTATGTATGTTACCTTATTTGTGGTCACAGAAACTAGATTTTCAGTTTACAGACATACTCCCATTGCTATTTCCATCGTGCAGTTGCTACTTTCTGTAAAAAGTTCTGTCTTTTCCTAGGGATGCTTTTCTATTCATTAAAATAATAGACGAGAAACCTAAGAATATTCTCTCACCTTTGATTTTCTGATTTTAGTAAACTTGCTGAAGTCCAAATTTTCCTCAACTGTAAAATGAGCCAGTTTCTAACCAGAACAAAGTTTCTCTAAATCAGGCCAAAATTTCATTTTAATACTATGACTAGAGCAATGGTTCTCAAACATTGACACTATACATCTCACCAGTCCTCCTATATGGCTGTAAGCCATTGTGTAAGAAGGAAGCTCTACAATTTTTCTATTAAGAATATTCATCTATTTTACCTCATTTAAATGATACAGTACTTATCTATTCATTTAAAAATATTTACCAAACACTTACTGTATTGCCAGGACTACTAAACTCTGAGAAGCTAATAATCAACAAAAATAGTCATGGTCCTTGTCCATAGGGAGCTTAAAGTCTAGTAAGTTAGAGACACATTATTTAAGTAACCAATGAAACAAATGTAACACTACAAGTGTAATAAGAATTATTGAGAGATAAGGGGGATTTAAGTACATTGTAGGTACATAATAGAGGGCAAGGAATTATTGTAAAGGTCATGTAAGATGTGTGTAGGGAGGCAGTACATCATGTGAGATATAAAGTAGGAGTTAACTCATTAAAGGGGGAAACATTGAAAATAAAAAGTCCCATACTTGATTGGCTTGCACAGAACTTTTAGTGTAATGTAATTTACAATTTATATCTGGGAAGGAATAGCATGCCTGATAAAACACCCAATATTCTGATAGATTTTATTTGGTTTTAGGGTTCTTTGGGAAACTTGTAAGCCAGATGACTGTCAGTTGACCTTTAACCAGATGTTCATTTCTCTTTCCCTGTTGTCCATCCATGATTATTGAATCACCTGGTTTTTTTTCTATAAATACCACTTACTGAGAGAAATCTCTGAATTGCCTGCGAGAGGCTTTTCAATTGTAACAAAATTACATTAAAATGTTGACATGAACTCATAATTATTGTCAGGAAAGTTTACCCTGCAGTTTTGGAGAACTCATCAGGATTAGTTTTTTTCACAAGGATCTACCAGAGTGGAAGGGATCAAAGAACAGCACAGTAACACGCTAAGACCCTTTGTGTTGCCCCAGTCTTCCAGGACCTGAGCTTCTACTGGAAGTCTTCACTGACATGTGAAAAATGGGTTTCATTCTCAGAGGGTTCTTATGTCAAATGCCAATGGCCAATGTATTCGTTTTCTATTGCTACTGTCACAAATGATCATAAATTCACCTCTTAAAACAACACAAACTTATTATTTCAGGATTCTTTAGATCAGAAGTCCAGGTACAACTGAAGCGGCTACGTTGTCTGGGGTATATACCCTGGGGCTCGTCATCGTACACCAGTTAAATTTAGGACACGGACACACATGAGGAGTTTAGGAACTGAGGTTTAATAGGCGGAAGAGAAGAGAAAGAGAAACAACTGTCTCTATAGAGAAAGAGGCCTCTGAGTGGAAAAGACTGGCAGGTGGCAGATGCTACGAATTTTAGAGTCAGGTTTGAGGAGGCGGTGTCTGATTTACATAGGGCTCACAGATTGGTACAATTAGGTATAACATTTACATAGTGCGTGGGAAGGCTGGTCGCCCCACCCTGATCTTATGCAAATGAGCTTTCCAGTTGATCGGTGCCATCTTATCTGCTTCTTACTGTACAAGTGACCCACAAAGAGAAGGGGAGATGGAGCCACCATCTTGAACGTGTCTAGTCCTTAGTTCCTGCGGGCATTCACCTGCGCAAGCTCCCAGCTTGCTTGTTTATGTCTGCAGCTCGACTTTACAGGCTGCTCTTTGTTAGAAAATGATTTGGGGCTGCTTTTCATTGAAAAGAAAACCCTTACTGAGGACTCCCATACCCTTCCATCTGCCTAAGTAATTTCTTCTTACCTCCTGTATCACAGTGTGGCTCAGCTGGTTCCTCAGCTCACAAGGCCAAAATCAAAGTGCCAGCCAGGCCACATTCTTTCCTGGAGGGAGGCTTTAGGGATGAATCTCCTTCTCAGCTCATTTAGTTTCTTGGCCAGATTCAGTTCTTTGTGGTTATGGAACTGGCTTTCTAGGCTAGCTGTCAGCTGGAGGCTTCTCTCAGCTCTTTAATTCTGCTTGAACCTCTTCCATTCTATTGCTCTCTGTATCTTGAAAACAGCAACAGTGTATCAAGTCCTTCCCAGGCTTTAATCTCTCTGGGTTCCCTTTCAGCCACATCTCTTCCATCTCCAGTCAGAGAAAACTTTCTGCCTTTAAGAGTTCATATGATTTTATCATCCAGGAAAGCCAGAATAATCTTCATTTTAAGGGCTATAATCTTAATTACATCTGCAAAGTTCCTTTTGCCATGTAACATTACATATTCACAGATTCCAGGCATTAGGGAGTAGGCATCTTTCAGGGGCTATTATTTGGCCATTTTAAAAGATGACTGTGCATCAGCCATTTTAAAAGATGATTGCTTTTGAGACATCTCTCCATCCGAGGTAAAAGCTCAGAGAGGAAGTTCCGGTCTGCAGTTTGGGTCCTCAGTGACCTCCTTCAAAGAAAGCGCCTGCAACGGTGATTTGATATGTAGGCAGTGTCAGATTCTCCCAAGAAGGGGAACTAGAAATGGTAACATATGGATCTGGTCAATGCTTGATGTTAAGGAATTCTAGGAATGTTTGAGGAATCATGACTATATATTGTCTTCTGCCCGAAGCATTTATTTTGGGACACATTTGTCACATTGCCTAGAATATAATATTTCATTCAGGATTTTCTGTATGTTTGTGTATAAATTTAAGAAGTTGCTGGCCAGGCACAGTGGCTCACACCTGTAAATGCAGCACTTTGGGAGGCAAATGAGGGAGGATTGCTTGAGGCCAGGAGTTCAAGACCAGCCTAGGCAACATAGAGAGACCCCACCTCTATAAAAAATACAAAAAAACAAAATTTAGAAAAAAAAATGTTTAAAAATCTAGTTGTAGGCCTTTGTGTTTATACATAGTGAGAGTCTATTAGAACCTTGGATATACACAGTTGCCTATTTACTGAGAGCAGCAGTTTTCAAGCTTTTGGTCTTAGGATTCCTTTATGAGTCTTAAAAATAATTGAGGACCCCAAATGGCATTTTTATGGGAGTATCTCCATTGATATTTAACATATTGCAAATTAAAACTAAGAAAAATTGTATCATTTTAAAACTAATAAAGTCATATTAACATAAATAGTTCATCAGAAAAGAACTAAAATTTTCTGAATAAAATTATATTTAGTAAAAAGAATAGCATTGTTTTACTTTTTTACAAAACTCTTCAGTGTCTGCCTTAATGGTAGATAGCTATACTCTCATACCTGCCTCTGCATTCAATCTGTTGAACATGTTTTTTAGTTTAAGAAATGAAGAAAATCTGGCCTCACAAAGATATATAGTTGAAACACAGAGAAATTTAAAAATATTATTTCAGATCACTGTGAATATTCTTTTTTCACACCAAAATTCAACAAGTGGTAGTTTTTAAGAGGTTAGTTGGCATGTGGAATCTAATACCGTATGTACATTAAAATCCATTGCTCTAATTTGCTTTAATAGATTTTTTAGACACCTGATTTTGTAACATCATGCATTTATCACTTGGAAAATACTGATTTATTGAGTTATGAAGACATTCCAAATGCTGACAAATTTCATTTATAAAATAATAACAAAAAAAAAACTTTACCCAATATCATCACTGATCTCTCATCAAATGAGTGTTATGAACCTATGAACCTCCTATTGGCAGATACAAGTTTTCCAAAATTCTAATCTTTTACTTGAAAGTTCAAATATGTTACTGGCAACAAATACCAGCAGATGTTTTTCTTGAAGTGAAAGATATGTTTCATTATTTTCAAAGAGTGTTGGCCAATTGCCCAACTGTAAATAATCTTGTTATTTCAAGTAAAAATACTGTTCCATAAAAAACACCACTAGTTGAGCTTACCTTTCAAACTATTTCTAATGTGCATTTTGCTAAGACAGCCATCATATTTTCATATGCAGCAGAAGTGCTATACATATATTTCCCACTTTGTCACATATAGTATTAAAAAGAATATTCAAGGTCGATATTTAATAATAGTAATCATTTGTACTGCCTCATTAAGAATATTCTTAAGTCAAACACATTTTTTGTTTTACTATGAATAAAATCCAGCAACACAAGCACTGGAACAGTTTGGTGGAGCAATTTTATCCTCCATTGCTTTTGCCTCATGCCAACTCAGTGAAAAAGGCAAATAGTTTCATATTATTTTAAAAATAGTTTTGCCCTTTTAGATAGAACTCCAGAGGTGTACGGCCCACATTGAAATCACTTAGCCCAGAACATCTCCAAAAATCAAGAGTAACGCTTCAGGGTTTATCCTTTTTGTGACCGTAAGGCTATCTAACTCAAAACAAATAGATTGACCAGATAAGGAGACTCGAGAGAATATTCTACCTATTTATGCATTATCGAGAAAAGCTCTCAATAACTTAAGAAAACGGTACTATTAAACTAGAAATAATTTGAATTTACAATGGTACATTAGTTAACTATTGCTGGGTAACAAATGATCCCAAAATTTAAAGGATTTTTTTAAAAGATTAATTATTCTTTTTCACAGTGCAGTGTGTTTGCCAAATGGTTCTTCTGCTGATTTTGCCTGAGCTCACTCATGCAGCCCATTCAGTTGGAGGGCAGCTGTGTTCGAAGATCCAGAATGGCTTTACTCTCATGTCGAACAGTTGGAACTTGTTGTCACTGTGTACATTGGTATTCCGCCAGGTAGAATTTCATCCTTCAAAGGCTAGCCTGGCTTCTTTACATGACAATCTCAGGGCCAAATTCCAAGAAGGTGAAAGTAGAGGTTGCACATTCTGCCAATCAAAGCAAGTCACAAAGCTTGATGCAAGGGCCTGCAAAGACTCTATGGCCGTATTTAATCCATCACAAATGGCCACTGAAAGTCTTTTTTAATATGACCAAAACAAATCATCTTAGAGAAGTCCTTAATTCAAACAGCGGCAAAATTTCTCATCGTGCCTGCTCTATAAGATGGGGATAAGGTATTCCTCAAAAGATGGCACAAGTCTCTTGTGTAGTCTATTTAAAATACTTTAATTCAACTGTATTATAAGGAAGTGCCGAAAGATGAATGCAGACATAGCAAAAGAGCATAAGAGTTCTCACTGGCCAAAGAAGGGACAATTTGAGCATCAAAATAAATAATGATAGTAATGGATTATGAACCATTAAATAAGAATACATGAGTTCATACTGCTATGAATAAATAAACAAATGCGGGTGAGGGGAAGATTGCTCTTCCTTACAATAGAATGCCAAGTAATAAAAATAGAAGAAACACTGGAATTAGAAAAATCATCATTTGGCTGCGCTCTATTAGTAATTCCTTCAGGCAAAAATCATCAATATGTGCTAAAACTAGTGACTGTAAGCTTGATGGAAAAAAAAAAGATATTTATGTCATCTCAGAGTAAATCCCCCTCAAAGACTTTTTTAACTACAGAAAGGAAACTGAAAGTTTTCAGGGAAGAAACCTGGCCAACATGTTTACAAGTAAACCTGGTTAAACTCGTTTAACCAAGTGATCAAAATAGACTTTACCAGCAAAAGGAAAACTAAATACCATGTGGCTCCTGACAGGATGCACTGGGAGAACACAACATCACTTCCTTGGCATTCTTGACAAATTGCATAGCCCAAATCTAACCAAGATGAAACTTCAGACAATCCTAAATTGAGGAAGATTCTACCACATGACTGAATATCACGTCAAAAATATCAAGGGCACAAAAGAAAAAGAATGACTGAGGAACTTTTTCAGATTAAAGGAGACTAAAAAGACATGACAACTAAACACAACTTGTGTGTTCCTGGATTGGATTCTGTACTAGAAAAAAACAAAAGTGCTATTTTCTTGTGCATTCTGAAGGACAGCAGGACAACTAGTGAAATTTGAATAAGGTCTGTAGATTAGTTAATAATGTTGTATTGGTGTTAATTTCTTGATTTTGATATTCGTTCTTTGGTTATATAAATGAATGCCCTCATTTATCGGAAATATACACTGAAGTATTTATGGGCAATCAGGCAACAAGTCCTCAACTTGTTCTCAAATGCTTCAAAAAATAATAATACTTAGGTATAAGTTTATATATAGAAAGAATAATAATGCAAATGTGATTGAAATGTTAACATTTGCAGCATCTGTGTTAAAGGTATATGAAAATTATACCTTCATGTAATTTTTACAGCTTTTCTGTAAGTCTGAAATAATTTTAAAATAAAAAGATTAATTTTGTAAATTACTGTTACAAGTTACTGTTTTGTAAATTACTGTTACTGTTACTGACTCTAAGTTATCTTACCATGAACCAAAATATAAAATTGTACACAAAACTCTGGAGAATCAGTAGCAAATTACCTAGTCTGGCTGTATCAGTTATTTATATAACATAGTGGTTTCAGAGATCCTAATAAAATGATAGGTGCATATTAGCTGCTACTTTTTAATGGACTGAATTCTGAAATCGGAAGCTTAGTGAAAAGCTGAAGTTTAATTGGAGCCATTTTGGAGGGGATTCAGGCTACATCAGAACATTGCCAACATAACCTCTTAAAGACAATAAGAAATCTACAAAAATAAATGGATTGATAAATGTAGCAGTTAAGATAACCCATACAAATACAGAGATCTCAGAGATGCCTGAATTGATCCAAATTCATTTCAAAATCCCCAATACATTTCAGACCCTTTACATTCACCTTAATATTTGCAAAGAAATAGATCACTGAAAAAATAAATGCTTACACAGAAACAATAATTTCTACATCAATTGTATTACAGGGAAGTTTTCCACAGTTGGCTCTAAAAATAATTATGTTTTCCTCACAGAAAAAAGGAAAGTCTCCAAAGAGGAAAGAATTGAATTTCGGTTAATGGAAGAGTCTTGGTGATTAACATCATAAAAAAAGATTAAAAAAAACTGATGACAAGCCATCCTTTAAAAACCTTTCTTTACTGAGATTTTACCATTTTATTAAAAGAAAATTTGTAACCCTAGTATATAAATATTTTAATCATTGATAAGGAAATAATTTATAAATATTTTATATAAAGCTACAATATTTAACACTCTTAATTATAGTAAATACTTGAACAAATTAAACATTTTCACAGTGTAGGAGAAAATGAAAACATTTTAGTTCATGTATGACTTTAATTTATGTTCTGACAAGGAGCCTAACTAATTGGAGACAACTTACATTTGTCTTATAGATAAGTGATTATTAATTATACTGAAATTTTAAGATTGCAGAGATATAAATATAGAACTATACTGAGTTAAAATAATGAACATCTTTAAACATTATTGTAAACTTCAAGCAGTGCTACAAATTACTAAACCAACATAATTATCTTTATGTGAGTAAAATTTTGGGGATAAGTATTTAATACCAAGTAGATTTATTGTTTTTTAGTGTCAACTTAAATTGTATTTTAAGACTCTTAATTAACTTTAAGACTTCAGACTTAATTAACCTTAAGACCTGAGGTTTGGAAATGTTTAAGTAATTAAATAGAAACCTGTCCTTGCAACAGAGGATGTAACACTTGGAAAGCAAGGATACTACCAATAGTTTCAATACAATTATTTTTTTTACATATTCTTGTTTACTTATAAACACATTTGTTTTTCTTAATATTCATTTTAAAAGGATGAAATTAATAGAGTAAAATGTTGCCTTAAAACATGCTTGATAAGAATAATTACATCTCAGTACTAATGTGTAAGCCTAAGTAATGTCAGATTATTATTGTGTAGTATAAGTGTGTATATTTGAAATAAAATACTTAAAGGTATTAAGATTAAATTTGAAAAGAAGCTCTGTACAATAGAAAAATGAGCACTGGTAGTTCACAAAGAAAAATGGCCATTAAGTATACAGACTGTCTTCAATATGAGGCTGTACAAAAATATTTTTGTTTTCTTCATGGTCTACCCAGATGGCACCGGGTTTTGCCTAACTGCTGCATATGCGTACTGTTAAAAAGATTTATTGACTTTAGAGCTTCTTCTGTCTATTTTATAATTGTAAACAATTATAGCAAGCAAACAAAAAATTAGGAAATTTCTCACTTCTATAAAAGTAACATTCCTATAGTAGTTATAAGATACTATCATTCTGGTTAATAACATAGCTGATACTTTGGCTATTTCTTGTTCTCGAGCTTCTGTGATTTTATCCAAAACCATTTCATTGTTGCTCTTCTCCAAGACAAGTCCTCAAATTCAGAATACTAAAACTGAGCAGTTTTTAAATATACTGAAACCATCTCTTCTACTCCCTTGAAGCACAGTCTCCCTCTTGTAACAGAAGATGTGGTCCTCGGAAGGGAGAGATAATAGCAATATAAGACAGATATGGCATGATATTTTCTTAGTTAAATAAAAAAGAGACACTTAAGCAAACCTAGACTAATTTCACTCAGGAAAAGTGTTCTTGATATGAATGTAATTTAGTGATTATATAACTCTTTTCCCTACAAATGTCTCTACCAAGAGAGAAATCCTTGAAATGGCCTGCTATTTTACAAGCCTGTAAAATCTTTGGTATGTGTACATAACTAATTAATAAATGTTACTGAATAGCATTTTGTGCAAGAGGAGCAGTAAATTGTTAATAATTAACAGATGTTTAAAAATGATAATGTTGAAGATAAATTGCATTGCTATGGCTTAAGAAAAAGCACATTGAAATAATAATTACATTAGTCCCAGGCTGGGGGCAGGGAAATAATTCCAAGATCATCAGTAACAACATCTTGTGACATGACAGCCTCCCCTGGGGTGACATGGGACACATGTCTGAGCAAGGGAGTGAAGGAGAACAATGAATAATTCCCGGTGAGTGGAAGAAATTAGGGAAAATGAATAGTGCTTAAAGTGCCTAGAAAAATTAAATATAACGGATTGATTGTGGGTGGTAGGGAAAGTAGTCAGAGGATGTCATGTCACATAAACATAGGGGCTGAGAGAAGAAGGAAATACTTCGTAGTAAGATAGAATAAAAGTAGTATATCTGCTGTGTCCCCACTTCTGCAACACAGAGATTATGATTTATCTTAAAGGTTTAAGCATGTGTATAGATATTTACGAAATATTCAGCAATCATGGCCCTACTTTGGGGATATAAACATCTACTTAGACTGTCAATTACTAAAATTATCCAATATTTATTTTCAGTTACTACTAAAAAAAAAACCATTTGATATAACATACGCACCTATATTTTTTCCTTCTTGGTTTTTTAAAATTTCAGTCATCCAAGAGCAGACAACTCACATCACATGAAAAAACTTATAGAATGTAACTGTGAACAACAGAATGCTTAATTTCAGTGTAGAAAAATAAGCCAGGCACTATTTAAGGATATAGACAAGAGATATGGATACAATAGATGAAAACTTATAACCCACCATTAAGAGGGCCAGGGGCTGGGTACAGCTTTTCCAAAATGCTGGGCCAACTCTTAATTCTTCTTGTCTCTTGCAAGCCACAGAGATGAAAGCAGAAGATAAGTCTTTAAAAATATTTGGGGAGTCAGATGGTAAAAGAGAAGGTCAAAAAGTAGGGAAAGACGATAGATCTGGATTTTCCTGCTAATGTACACACCCAATATGCAGCTATACAATCCTATACATATAACCATATATATCCTTAACAACAGGGTAAAAAGAAGTGTATTACCTATTGGTTACCAGTCCCGAATCGTATCATGTAATCTTTAGGATGTATGTGGTAAGTCCTTAGTGTAGTTGAACTCTCAGTGAGTATCCCAGGGCTCTGAGTTAGTATAAAAAATAACAACTCAGATAAGAGGAGTGAACTGTAGCAGAGAGTTCATTTAGGAACCCATTTTGCTCCATGTGTTCAGGGAATTCAAATTCTCTTGAAACAAGGAAATTGAAAACAAGAACTTTGTTAGACCCTAGTTCGCTGCCTAGACTGCAATTCCCAGCCATAGGCACCTATGGGATCTACTCTGAGAAGCATCCCATTTCTTCAAACCTCTTCCCACCTGCCCTGAGGAGAAGAGGGATCAAAGCAGGGCTGAGGACAATTCATGCCTACCATGGTGTCAACACTCAAAACCCAATGGTGCTGTTCTAGGACTCTCTGCCCTGTACAGCTTCCATTCTATACCTTATTCTTCTGAAATGCATCCCAGACCTGTCAGCCTTCTTTTGAAAACTTAGGTCACTCTTCTTTGTACCTGACCTTTTCTACCTGGTCTACATTTCTTGTAACTAAAACTAGCAATTTCATTTGGAAACTACTCTTGCCTCTCAGAGACTGGCCAGTCATCTGCCCTCTTGTTGATAATTAATGGACACTCTCTACTAATTTCCTTGGACTCTTTATCTTTTTCCGTCAATCAGGGTGCAGAATTCTAGAGACCCCCTCTCACTCCGGAATGATACAGACAAGAATAAAGAATCACATTCTTGGATCTTGAAAGCCACAGATAGAATTATTTTAAAGTCAGGGCTTTCAATCGCATGTGCATGTGTGTGTGTAAGTTCCCTGTGCTGAGGTTCCCACTGGCAGTTTATTTCATCGCTCTCTTCTCCATCTGCTATTCAATCCCTTAACCAATGTAACTTTATTTTCTAATGATCAGGAAGAATCAGCATACACACGAACTCATCTCAATGCATTGGAAGCCCAGCATACATAGAAATTCTATTTAAAATTTGAGTGACCTGAACACAGAACACAAGGTATTCTGAATTCTTTCCTGCCCCAACATAGTGCTGCAACCAGAAACAGAAATGATGGCAGAAGAAAATAACTGAGGCAGCTTCCCAATTAGCCGTGACCACAGAGGGTATGAGAGCATCTACTATTTCCTGGTTACCCAAGATGAACACAACAATGACTCAGAGAAGACAGAAAAACATAAAGGGGTCCCATGGTTTCGACAAAGGTGTACTGTCAGCAAAGGTGGTGTAGGTAGTGACAGGGACCATGCTGGGACTGCAAACAGCAGCAGTAGATGGTGGTGGGACAGATGCCAGCTTCCATAAAACAAACAGGTCCGAATGGACAGAGGACAGTGGAAACCAGATATTCCTCTCCAAACTCCAACCCCAAGATGTAAAATAAATCTAAGCACCCTGAAATATAACTATAACTCAAGAGAAGAGAGGCTGAACCTCAAAATACATCCTTACTATCAGAAGTGATGTAAAATCTCTGAGCTTTATTCAGTTTACTTGAGAATGGCAGGTAAAGTTTCCTGTTTTTAGGCATGGTGGGTTCAAGACAGATACTAAGATACAATTAAGTAAAGCATTTTTGTATATCTGAGTTTGTGAAAATTCACTTTTATACGAACTGTTTTACTTCTCCAATTCTGCTTTCTAAACTAACTTCCTTTCCCTCTCCTACTTGTCCTGTGTTTTTGACACATGCTACCCTCAGACTCCGGAAATTGAGACCCACTTCCCATCTAACTAGATGTCTGGGCTGCCACATGCATCCAGCAAATGGCATTGCCCAAAGTCATTAGCTAAGTAAATTAGCTAGATACACACTTCTCACTAACAAGATCTACTTTTAAATCCACTGGTTTCCATTTGTTTTCAATTTTAGGGATTTTTAAAATTGATTCAGTCTTGTCTCTAAAATAATGGTAAAATTAACGAATAATCCCAAAGTCAAAGAGTAGAGGTGAATAAAAAGAATTTGTTATAACAAAGCCACTCAATTCTTTGAATGGCGTCTGAGTTATATGGCAAAAAAAAAAAATGTATATGGATTCATAATTTTTAAATTGCAATCAGTCTTTCTTACAATGAAAGCTTTTAATTGGAAACCAACTGAATCACAAGACTACTTGTTACCCAGACAACAGAGTGTTTCACTTTCTCAATTTCATTACTAATATTTCCAGTTGATCCATTTTTTGGTCCACCAGAAGTTTTGATACCTTAGAGAAACACATGATATTAAGATAATCAGGAAATAGGGTTTGCTTTAAAAAAGAAAAAGGTATAGAAACTATTGTTAAAGGGGAATTGGGAAATAATCTGAATGATGGATTCTCAAGCAGATCAATTTTAGAAAAGAGTACATAATGGAAGGTGAACTGGAAGTGAATATCTCTTAAAACTGTCAATGTTTATGTCCCCCTTGGACTATTTTTACTTCACCTTAAAGGCCAATACTATCTATCATTCTAGAGCTAGAGATAAAGCAGTGAAAAAGACAAAGTTCTTGACCTCGAAGAAATTGTATTCAATTCCGAAGACGATTTTTTTAAGTAAATACATGATCAAGGCAGATTATTTCAGATAGCGGTAAGTTACTTAAAGCATTTAAAGCACTCCTTATTAAAGCACAAGTATTTATAAGGGGTGACAGGATGCTCAATGACTTTTGAACTGAGAACCAAGGGATATAAAAGGGACAGTAATATGAGAAAATTTCAGGAAGAAAAAAAGTAAGTCCCAAGGTCCTGAGTCAGAAAAAGACATGATTAGAGAGAAGGAAGAGGGCAATACTCAATGAAGTTTGAGAAGAAAACAGTAGGTACCAACTGCTAGGCCATACTCAAGAGATGGGACCTTATTCTAAGTGCACTGGGAAGCCACTGAAGGCTCTGGGCATGAAAGTGGTATGATTTAATAGGTTTGTAAAGAAGGAATTACAGAGGGACCTATTAGGATACTATTGCAGCACTCCAGGTAAGAAATAGTAGAGGGTGTGAAGAACATGGTGGCAGTGAAAAGAATAGAGGTATATGGATTTGAAATATGTTTTACAGGAATGGAGACTGGTTCCTTGTGATTTGCAAATGCATAACAAAAGAAAAAGGGAAATAATAACAACTCCTTAATTTTTTATTTGAGCCACTAGGAAGATGATTAATCCGAGACAGCCTAAGAAAGGAATAGGTTCGGGAAGGAAATCTAGAGTTCCATTATGAATGTGCAGAGTTTGAAAAGCTTATTAGACTTCTAAATGAAGGCATCAATTAAATATTTGTCTATATGAGATACTCAGAGAAGAGGTCAGATTTACATAAATACATTTGAGAATCATTAGTATATATGTTGTATTTTAAAAATAGGTCTAGAAGAATGAAATAGATAGAATAAGATACATTAGGAACAAGCTCTAAAGCAATCCAACATTTAGCACTCCATGGGATTCAGAAAAATGAAGATCATTGGTGACTGACAAGACCAGTTTCACTGAAGTGACAGAGTGAGATTAAGCATAAGTAGGAGGTATGAAAATAGAGACAAGGAGCAGAAATTGGATGGTAGCCAGAGATGATGGATCAAGACAGGAGTAGTTCTGTACTTCTTATTTATCAAAAGGAAGACCCTAGAGTAGTATATATACTCATCAATACAGCCTAGTCAATAATGAGAAATTGATGCAGGACAGCAATGAACAGTTCAAGTATGGGCTGACAGTAGAAGAAAGTGATTCTGTGCTTAGGCAGGACAGGTATCAGCAGTAAGGGGACATATCTGAAAAGCTTATGCAAAGGAAGAGTGAGATCCAAATTTTTTAAATAACTGTGATCCCAGGATGCAAGCACTTCCACTTAAAATAATTCTCAAAATCAATAAAGTAGCAATGGGAAGTGGCTTTGGGACATTGTGAAGAAGACTAATCAGAGGAGTTTAGTGCCAGCAGCTGGGCCAAGTGATCCCTCCCCCCCAACCTCATGTGTGCCACAGAACACATTCCAGCAGCTTTTTCAGTGGTGTGCTGGTAAAGTGACTCTCCAGAAAAAGGAAAGGAGGAAGGGAAGGAGAGAGGGAAGGAAAGGAGGAAGGGAAGGAGAGAGGGAAGGAAAGAGGAAAGGGAGGGAGGGAGAGGGAAGGGGGAGAGGGGAGGGGGGTGAGGGGAGGGGAGGGGAGGGAAGGGAAGGGAAGGGAAGGGAAGGGAAGGGAAGGGAAGGGAAGGGAAGGGAAGGGAAGGGAAGGGAAAAGAAGGGAAGGGAAGGGAAAGGAAGGGAAGAGAAGGGAAGGGAATAGAGAAAGAGGGAGGGAAAGAAAAAAAGCCTTGATTTGTGGTGTTTGATTAATTCCATGGTGTAATATTTCTAATATTTCAATTTTAAACAACAAACAGATGTGCTTGAAAAATTCCTGAATTTTTAATAATCAGCTCTAGGGAGTAAGTACTGTCAGCTCTATCCCACTACTGCAGCAAAGAAGTACTCCATGACCAAGAAAACAAGCCATTGCCCCACACAGTCACTTACCCCAAGGCAGGATAGAGAAGCCCAAAATTTAGAAGTCAACTTTCTGACAAGCGCACCTGATACACATAGCTCCTCTTCCTACACTGGAAGACAGGCTACAGCAAAATTAAGTGAACAAGGAATCTCAAATACAAAAAGGAGCCTAAAACCCTACATCACCAGACATGTGAGAGAACCAACACCAAGAAAAAGAGATGCTCAATTCAACAGAAAAAAAAAAAATATTGGGAACATAAATAGTACCACATTAAAAATAAAACTTTAAAAGAAATATAATTAATATAGGTGGAAGGAAGACAGGCTATGTGGGAAACATGGTAACTCCACTGTGACTTGTTCCTCCTCTATTCACCAATAATAGACAGACAGCCAAATCATGAGTCAACTCCCATTCACAATTGCTAGAAACAGAATAAAATACCTAGGAATACAACTTACAAGGGATATGAAGGACCTCTTCAAGGAGAACTACAAACCACTGCTCAAGGAAATCAGAGAGGACATGAACAAATGGAAAAACATTCCATGCTCATGGATAGGAAGAATCAATATCATAAAAATGTCCATACTGCCCAAAGTAATTTATAGACTCAGTGCTATCCCCATCAAGCTACCATTGACTTTCTTCACAGAATTAGAAAAACTACTTTAAACTTCATATGGAACCAAAAAAGAGCCTGCATAGCCAAGACAATCCTAAGCCAAAAGAACAAAGCTGGAGGCATCACGCTCCCTGACTTCAAACTACACTACAAGGCTACAGCAACCAAAACAGCATGGTACTGGTACCAAAACAGATATATAGACCAATGGAACAGAACAGAGACCTCAGAAAAAACACTACACATCTACAACCATCTGATCCTTGACAAACCTGACAAAAACAAGGAATGAGGAAAGAATTCCCTATTTAATAAATGGTGTTGGGAAAACTGGCTAGCCATATGCAGAAACCTAAAACTGGACCCCTTCCTTACACCTTATACAAAAATGAACTCAAGATGGTTTAAAGGCTTAAACGTCAGACCTAAAACCATAAGAACTCTTGAAGAAAACCTAGGCAATACCATTCAGGACATAGGCATGGGCAAAGACTTCATGACTAAAACACCAAAAGCAATGGCAACAAAAGCCAAAATTGACAAATGGGATCTAATTAAACTAAAGAACTTCTGCACAGCAAAAGAAACTATGATCAGAATGAACAGGCAACCTACAGAATGGGAGAAGATGTTTGCAATCTATCCATCTGACAAAGGACTAATATCCAGAATCTACAAAGAACTTAAATTTACAAGAAAAAAAACAACAACCCCATCAAAAAGTGGGTGAAGAATAGGAACAGACACTTCTCAAAAGAAGACATTTATGAAGCCAAAAAAACATGAAAAAAAGATCATCATTACTGGTCTTTAGAGAAATGCAAATCAAATCAAACCACAATGAGATACCATCTCACACCAGTTAGAATGGTGATGGTGATCATTAAAAAGTCAGGAAACAACAGATGCTGGAGAGGATGTGGAGAAATAGGAACACTTCTACATTGTTGGTGGGGGTGTAAATTAGTTCAACCATTGTGGAAGACAGTGTGGTGAATCCTCAAGGATCTAGAACCAGAAATACCATTTGACCCAGCAATCCCATTACTGGGTATATACCCAAAGGATTATAAATCATTCTACTATAAAGACACATGCACATGTATGTTTATTGCGGCACTCTTCACAATAGCAAAGACTTGGAACCAACCCAAATGCTCATCAATGATAGACTGGATAAAGAAAATGTGGCACATATACATCATGGAATACTATGCAGCCATAAAAAAGTACGAGTTCATGCCCTTTGCAGGGACATGGATGAAGCTGGAAACCATCATTCGCAGCAAACTAACACAAGAACAGAAAACCAAACACTGCATGTTCTCACTCATAAATGGGAGTTGAACAATGAGAACACATGGACACATGGAGGGGAACATCACACACCAGGGCCTTTGTGGGGTGGGAGGCTAGGGGAAGGATAGCATTGGGAGAAATACCTAATATAGATGACGGGTTGATGGGTGCAGCAAACCACCATGGTACGTGTATACCTATGTAACAAACCTGCACGTTCGGCACATGTACCCCAGAACTTAAAGTATAAAATAAAAATAAATAAATAAATAAATAAATAAATAAATAAAGCTCTGGCCTCTTGGCCTCTTTATAGCCAATCTGCAAGTTCCACTGTGAATGAAGTACAGTAAAACCTTGGGCACTGTGGACATGGGAACAGATGGAAGAGAGGCATTAATTAAACAAATAGAAGAAATTTCCCAATGATGGTAAAATCCTACAGATTGATAAACTGCAACAATTACCAGTGAGATTAATAAAAAATATGTGAACTAGGTAAATTTCAAAAATTTCTAATTTCAAAGGATAAAGAGATATCTTACAATCTCAAGACTGCAATAAACTTCTCATTCACACCAGAAAGCTAGAAGAGAGTAGAAAAACATCTATAAACTCTGAGAGAAAAGGACTCCTATCCAAAAATTTAACACTGTACCAGAATATCATTCACCTGCCAGAAAAAAAGGAAGATTTGAAAACATGCAAAAATGCAGAGATTATATCTTCTACATCTGAAGAAACACTCAAGAAAAAAACTCTTACCAAACAACACATGGACCAAAATGAGAAATAAATATTTTTTTTAAAAAGGGAAAGAAAATTAAAGCATAAGAAACAATGAAATTTCGAGTGTGTGTGAGAGAAAGAGACAGAGAGAGAGAGATCTAAAAGTATAAAGACTGAATAGAAAAGTGTTTTATGAAACATGAGTTATACATTTCAAGGTAAATCCTAATAATTATCAGGAGCAAAAAATAGTTGTTTACTAAATTAAATCCTCAAAATTTGGAAGTTGACAGAGGAGGCAATGGGAGTTAAAAATGAGAGAATAAAAGCATTTTGAAGATTTTAATTGTGGGGATGGAGCCAGGGAGAAATAGAGCACCATGGTGGAAAAAAAATTTATTAAATTTGATTTGTTTTCAAATAAATCAAAATATATTTGAGTGAGTTCTGGGAGGGGAAAATTAACTATTAATGAATTTAAAATGTAAAATCGAATTTCCAATTTAAAATGAGAAGGAAATAAAAAGCCATTTGCAAATGTCAGTAAAAATAAGGAAAAGAGAAAATCATTGAGAATTTAAAAATTATATAAGGCATAAATCCAAAAAGAATAAAATCTGGTATATAAGTGATTTCACCAACTATACATTGACTGAGTTCTCTCATTAAAAGATTTTCATCTCTCTGCTTTTTAGATAAAACACATTTTAAAATAAACCAATGAAGAAAGGTTAGCCGTGGAGAAATGGGAAAAACCAACATTCTATTTTTTGTTGTTGTTGAATGTAAAACCATACAACCACACTGGGCAAAAGCATGACAGTTTCTTATCTAACTAAGCATAAACCATACCCATGATTCAGCAATTCCACTCCCAGATATTGACCTAAGAGGAATGAAAACATATATCCAAAGACTAGTACAAGTAAATTCATAGCCATTTTACTCATAATAGCTGAAGACTGGAAACAGTCTAGGTGTTCATTAATAGGAGAATGGATAAGCAAGCTGTGGTATATTCACGCAATGGTATACCACTCATGAATAAAAACTGATACAACAAAATAGACGCATCTGAAAACAAATTGTGTTCACTGAAAAAAACTTTACATAAACAGTATATGCTGATGATTCCATTTATATCAAGTTCTAGAACTGACAAATTAATCTGTGGGGGGACAAAATCAGAATAGTGGCTAATTGCATAGGCTGGAAACAGGGATAAAGTGAGGGAAACTTCCTGAGTTATGATCATCTATTTTAATCTTCATAGGGGTGTGAGTTATATCAGTGTATACATCCAAAAGTGAAGGAATGTATACTTAGAAGTTATGCATTTCATCATAAATTTCATCAGAAATTCCAAAAGGATAAAACCATAAACAAAATTGAACTATAGTTAGTGAAAGGCATAAAAAAATATTTAGGGAAAGTGACAAGAAATTGAAATTTATTTTTAAATGCATCAAGTGACAACATAAAGATTGGTGGGTGAAGAGAGGTATAGACTGATATACGACAAAGCAATTATGGTAAAAAGTGAATGGTAGGATTCAATTTTAGTTATATGAAGTTCTCAGTAAACATCTTTCAACTTTGCTATATGTTGATTCTTAGTTTTACTAAACTTAAAAACAATTGTTCTAGATCTAGACCATAGAAAAAGATTTTTTAAAATATCCAGAATCTACAAAGAACTTAAACAAATTTACAAGAAAAAAAACCCCATCAAAAAGTGGGCAAAGGATATGAACAGACACTTCTCAAAAGAAGACATTTATGCAGCCAACAAACATATGAAAAAAAATGCATCACTGGTCATTAAAGAAATGCAAATCAAAACCACAGAGATATACCATCTCACACCAGTTAGAATGGTGATCATTAAAAAGTCAGGCAACAACAGATGCTGGAGAGGATGTGGAGAAATAGAAATGCTTTTACACTGTCGGTGGGAGTGTAAATTAGTTCAACCATTGTGGAAGACAGTGTGGCGATTCCTCAAGGATCTAGAACCAGAAATACCATTTGACCCAGCAATCCCATTACTGGGTATATACCCAAAGGATTATAAATCATTCTACTATAAAGATACATGCACATGTATGTTTACTCTTCACAATAGCAAAGACTTGGAACCAACCCAAATGCTCATCAATGATAGACTGGATAAAGAAAATGTGGCACATAAACACCATGGAATACTATGCAGCCATAAAAAAGTACAAGTTCATGTCCTTTGTAGGGACATGGATGAAGCTGGAAACCATCATTCGCAGCAAACTAACACAAGAACAGAAAACCAAACACCGCATGTTCTCACTCATAGGTGGGAGTTTAACAATGAGAACACATGGACACATGGAGGGGAACATCACACACCAGGGCCTTTGTGGGGTGGGGGGCTAGGGGAGGGATAGCATTAGGAGAAACACCTAATGTAGATGACGGGTTGATGGGTGCAGCAAACCATGGCACGTGTATACCTATATAACAAACCTGCACGTTCCGCACATGTATCCCAGAACTTAAAGTATAATAAAAAAAAAAAAACTTCTAAATTTATTTTATGAACTCAGGATACTTTAACAACCAAAAGTTGTTAAATATAGTAAAAGAATTAATAAGTAAAAAAGATATTAAAAAGATACTTATGACTTTTTTAGATATAGAAATAAACATTTTAATATAAACTCATGATACAGAAATAAACATTTTAAATAAAATATTAGCAAAAAGAATCTAGCCACATGTCACAAAAACAATACATTAAGACCAAGTTAAGTTATTCCAGAAATGCAAGGGACATTTCAAAATCAGTAAGTCTGTTAATAAAATTTATTTCAGCATTACATTAAAAAAGTAAACAACCACTCATAATAAAAGGAATAGAAAGAAAAGTTGAAATATAATTAAAACTATTTACTAAAATCTAAATGATAAAATAATAAAATCAACTAAAATTAGGAACTGGATAAAACTGTCTTAAAATTATAATTATTCATCGTTTTCTGTAAGGTTCTAAAAAAATCAATAAGACATGAAAATTAATACTCATAAACACAGAATACATAAAGCTATCTCTTGCATTTGATTATATGATTTTATACCTAGAAATCCAGAGACACTTTAGTTAAAAAATATAAATAATTCAAGAATCAAGATAATCTGATAATTTGGTTAGATTCTAGATATGTAAACAAAAATCAATCTTTCCTGAGTCTAGCAAACTAGAATAAAAATGTGGAGAAATTTTTAGTTTTAGAAACAGTAGTTTCTAAATGACAAAAGTTTGTATCAAGTAATATTTAACAAACATTTAATAAAAATCAGTAAGTAATATATGGGCCCATATATAAATTTTAAAATTATGCAATTATTTTAAATAACATAAGGCAAAATTTGAAAAAAGGGAAAGGCATAGTTCATTGTTAGATAAGAGGTCTTACCATTTCAAAATGTCAATTCTCCCATAAAAATAAATACAGCAATATTAACACCAAACAAAGAATAATTTAAAATAAAACTGATTATGTAAATGAAGAGAAGTGTTTCACACCGACAAAACGTATGCTTTTACTAAGAAGCATTTTGTAAACCTGGTAATTGGCTTCAAAATATAAAATTAAAACTTAATAGAAACATGGAGAAAAATATAAAATCTACAAACACAGTGGGAAACTACCTCTAACTAATCAAGAGGTTAAGCAGACACTAAATAAGGATATAATAGTTTTGAATAATGCATTTAACTGTCTTAATCTAATCAACATATATATAAAGAACCCTCTACCTAACAGAGGATACCTATTCCTTTCAAACAAAAAGCTCACACTGACAAACATTGACCACATAGTTATGTTAACAAAATCAAAAAGTAGAAATCATACGGGCTAAATGCTGTAGTACAGAGCAGCAAAAATAAACACAAAACAATAAAATAGCCACAAAAATTTAAACACATGAGAAAATTTTAAATTATATAAATAATTATTGGTTTAAAAAGAAAATCAGAATAATTATTCTATGACTCAATAACTGTCTCAAAATGATATAATGAAATCCAACACTTGCTTCAATTTTTAATAAAATTCCTCTCTGGTAATCTCAGAAAAAAAATCTTCCTTTACATGATAATAAGTATCAGTCAGAATCCCAGAGAAGATATGATACATACTATATATGAAACATCAGAAACTTTTCTACTAACATCAGGGAAAAGGCAAATATGCCCACCACCATTGCTGCCCTACAACATTGGACTAGAAATTTAAAACGTAAAGAAAAACTCAAACTTTCCTCGTGATATGGTTTGGTGCTATTCCTCACCCAAATCTCACCTTGAATTGTAATAATCCCCACATGTCATGGGAGGGACCGGGTAGGAGATAATTGAATCAGGTGGGCAGGTTTTTCCCATGTTGTTCTGGTGATAGTGAGTAAGTCTCACAAGATCCGATGGTTTTATAAAGGGCAGTTCCCCTGCACATGCTCTCTTGCCTGCCATCATGTAAGTCGTGCCTTTGCTCCTCCTTTGCCTTCAGCCATGATTGTGAGGCCTTGCCAGCCATGTGGAACTGTGAGTCCATTAAGCCTCTTTTTCTTTATAATTACCCAGTCATGGGTATGTCTGTATTAGCAGCATGAAAAAGAACTAATACACCTAGTCAAAACAACACTACTTTCTACCTCAGAAATTCAAGAGTATCAATTTTAATAAGTAATAAAATAAGGTTTTAAGAGGGGTAGATCAAAATACAAAACTCAATTGTTTTCTCATATATTAGCAAAACCAATTTGAAATGTGACTCCCAAATTATTCCATTTATAATAATAATTATAAATAACCTAGGGAAAACACAACAAGAAGTGTAGGACCTAGATGAAGAAAAATTTAAAACATAAAGAACTAAATAAATGGAGAGATGTTTCATGTTTCCAGATGAGAAAATTCTGTCTTAGAGATGACTTGTTTAACTGTGTAGAACAAGTATTTCCCAACCTTCAGAAAATAAGTGGAGCTTTTCAAGCTTTTTAAGACTTGGGAGAAATAGGAGGGAAGATGGTGGCTAGATTTATGCCCAAGGCAAATATAAAAGGAATTAATGATTGGTGCTTTGTGAGAATTGGGCATCATATGTATTGGCCACTTGATCTATATTTAGTGCGATTTGCAAAAAGGCACAGAAACAGATAGAAAGGAGATACTTTACCCAAATTCGATGATAAAATAAGGTAAAACAGTTAATCCTGGGGTCTTAAGGAGGAGGCTTAAATTTCCTAAACCTTTCTTCTGTAAATGGAAGTAATTTGATTTAATAATCCCTGTTAGCCTGACTTTCTATGAATTGTGACTTACGTTTTATTTGATTCAAAATCAAAACTGAGGCATCAAGTTTCATTTCTCTGATGGAAATAAATCCTTTTTCTATGTCTATATAGAGTCACTCTGTTTGCAAAAAGATGAAAGTAGTAAATAAATAAATCTGTACTCACTAATCAGCATAATACAAGGGATGAAGTAGACCCTAAGTTACCGGTAACATTAAGGTACAATTGTTAAAAAGCTGAATTGTACAGCATGGAGCAAAGGGTGAATATGAAATGAAAAGCAAAAATCATTCCTTTTTGTAAGTGTGTAAAATGTTTTCATTGATATGTCTTATTCTTAAATAATTCATGCTGAATAAAAATAATGTGGAACCAAATTCTGCAAACAGCAAGTAGTAACAAAGATCGAAACTATTTTTTTGTCATCATATGAATCTACAATTTCCAGGTATAATAGTTTGAGTAAACTGAATAGAGTTCTAAGAATGCTATGCACATTTGCCAAACAATCAAACCACTTCCAACAGAGAGGAGAAAGAAAAGCAGATGTATGAAAAACATTTTCATGATATAGAACCATTGAATTAAATGATTTTCAAATAAAGATGTGAACCTTACAATAATTTCAAGCCACATTCAATATAAAGCAAAGATTTACATGATAGAACTAACATTAGGTGTATGAGCACTCAGATGAGAAAGATGTGCTCCGTGAACTAGAGAGCCTAAAATGCTTTGAAGTATTCTGTCCATCACTAGAGCATGATGACTTCAAAAGAAGCCACAGAAGGAAATGGAAAATTGGAATAAATGCTGATCCAGCAATGAAAAGGCTGAATAAAATAGAGTTCCCATCTCTATATGTCCAAATCCAGATATCATGTCTGCATAGGTGATCCAGAGATAATTAAGTTACAGCATGTCAAGACTTGAATTAATCTCAACTCTGTTACCAAATTTTCTTTCTCCACATCTGATTTTATGACAGCACATCTACCCAGTTGCCCATCCACAAATCTGACAGTCTCTTTTGCATCCATGCTCGCTCCCACTTTTCCCCATCTTTCACCAATACTACTGATTTCCCTGATGTTCTCCAGGCACTTCTTTTGTCCGTATGCTAATGATACAAAGCAGAGCCTCATCAATCTCCTGCTAAGGTCACAGTAACAATGTCTTCATTGACCTCTATGTCTCCAGCTTTTCTCCTTTCAACCTGTTCTCCAAGTTGCTGCCAAGGTAATCATTCCAAAATGCAAATCTAGTCGTATCATTCCTTGATAAACTTCCTGCAGAAGTTCTCTGTTACCAACTGGAATAAAATCCAGACTCTTTAGCATGCATATAAAGCTCTTGAATGGTCTGACTTACACCACCTCCTTCCTACCGATTCTTTTCCTAAATACCCCATGTTCACCATTCAAGACCCAATTTAAGAATTATCTCCTCTGAAAATTCACTAACGATAACCTTATCTGAATCAGGTTTGCTAACCACAGCACCTTGTAGTTTATTCTGTCTTAGAACTTATCCTTGTAAGTTGTAATTGACTGAATATTTCTCTTCATCTCCACCATTCTGTGAACAACTGAAGCAAACAGGCTGTTCTACATTTTTGCATGCCCTGCTTGAAACACACACAGTAAGCAATCCAAATGTTTGAGAAAGAAGGCAAATAGGAAAATTTTAAAAAGACAGTAACAATTAGTTGACTCTAGGAACTTTTTAGTTCTAAAGTTCTGTTTCCATGATTCCATTTATTCAGGCCAGGCTTCCATGTCATGAACATGCAATCTACAGGGAGTGAGGGGTAAATTGTCAAAACCAACAGCTATTCTTCTGTTCCTCAACCCCAAGAGAAAGTGTTCCCTTAAACCCATCAAATAAAGGCATCAAGGAAGCTTTAAAATGAGGAAAACTTGTAGTAGTATAAATGTTTAGGATTACCAAGAGAAATAGATCCCCTGGTGCTGTACCTGGAATTTGGGTCCAAGGCAACAGTGCCCAAGGAAGCTTGGATCACAGATCACCCTCCCATTCTGCAAAAAGTCGCCGGAGTTGAATGCCCAAGATATGAAGGCTTTCCACCAACTAGAGGGCAGTCCTAGAGCAGCAGGGAGTGTTCTCCTGATTTGAAGCTTCCCTTGTCTGGATTTCGCTTTCCTCCACAGCAAGTTAAAATGTATCTTCCTTTATTCCTAGACTCCCCAAAGCAGATGTGGTTGTGTCCTCCTCTGTGGCATACCTATATTTCATCTACAGAATGTATCATAGTTTAATGCTATTAATTTCATTATATAAATGCTGGGAAACAATTCTCCATGAGTCTCTCATATTTTTTATTATTTGAATGACGACATTGGCAGCCTTTGTCTTCAACAATTTTTTTAAGGATGTTTGTATGGAAAACTACCTTAGAAGAGAGAGATACTGTATCTATCTGAGAAAGGAGAAAGCAAGTTTTTTCCTAACCTATCTTAATAAAGATAATGTTTCCCTCCAAGGTGAACCTTAAGCAAAATTGATAACAGCCTCCTTTATAATACCAGAAACTTCTTAAGCTTGGGGCCTCTCAACAGGAATACAAACCTATGGTGTGCATATCCACCTGGTCCTCTTTATATCGCCCCCATGGAACTTGGTGGGGTCTGAAAAGAAACCTATGGCAATATTGAAGCTTATGTTGTCTGCTGTGCCATAAGTAATAAAGTTCTTTTCTCTGACCCAGGAATCTCATGTCTTCTGCCAGCATCCATGAAACTATAGCAGGCTCACTTTTTAAGCCTTCAAATAGGGTGAAATCTCAGACACTTTAGAGGTTTTGATAAGGTGCAGTATGTTGTGTTTGTATGGGGCATGGGTGTCTGTGTGTGTTTAACATATCTGGTTTCTTCTGACCATGACCTTCTCAAGAGGAAGGATTGTATCTAATTCATCCGGGTATATTCAATACCCAACCTAATTAAAATAGATGTTAGCTGAATAAAAATATGAGAACACAGGTAGTTAAAGAAGAGGAAAAGGAGCCAGGGAACACCACAGCATAATTTTCAGATCTTTTTATTACTCAAATTCACGCACCTTTTCATTAAGGTGAATTAATGCTATTGTTTCAAGTTTGAAAAAAACTATTGTCCATATATATTCTTCACATGACAAGTACGATCTCAACCCCAACTTTCATATTGTCATTCTATTTTCATATCAGAAATTTAATTTGACATACATCAGCAAAATGAATGCATTAATTCTCAGTATCTCCAATATTTTATCACAGATAACATAAAAATTTACACAGGGTTTTGCTTGAGTAAAAATCTGAGCTTATATGTAATCAGTGATAGAAATGAGATGCCATTCCTTCCCCCAATGGCTTGGCGTGGCTCAAGAGGAAGTGGGGAAAAAACCCTCTTTCAACATATATATGTTTAATGCCACATGCTTACATAGGGAAACAGGAGTCTCGTGGAAGATAAAGAACATGAACTATGACTCTTCTTCTCCACTTACCAAACCACCAACAACATTAAAGTTCAAAATATAAAACTATGTCCAGCTGGGTGCAGTGGCTCATGCCTGTAATCCCAGCACTTTGGAAGGCTGAGGTGGGTGGATCACTTGAGGGCAGGAGTTCGAGACCAGCCTGGCCAAAATGATGAAACCCCTTCTCTACTAAAAATGCAAAAATTAGCCAGGTGTGATGGCAGGCACGTGTAATCTCAGATACTCAGGAGGCTGAGGCAGCAGAATCACTTGAACCCCGGGAGGCAGAAGTTGCAGTAAACCAAGATCACACCATTGCACTCCAGCATGGGTGACAGAACAAGATTCCATCTCAAAAAAAAAAAAAAAAAAAAAAAAAAAAAAAAAAAAAGATATATATATATATATATATATATATATATATGTCTTTTTACCAAAAAGGACAATGAGGGCTTCCAGCCCAAAGTTTGCCATAATAAAGAAAGAGTTTTGACCTGTGTTGCAGACAGACATGTTGCTTCTGGATCTCATATTTGGTCAGACTTGAAACTTATCCTTATTAAATCACTCTTGCACTGTATGTCTGGAGAAATGGCTCTATGTACTTGCATTTGCAATAGACTAAATGTTTGTGTTCCCCTAAAATTCATATGTTGAAGTCCTAGCCACCAAGGTGATGGTATTAGGAGGTGGGGCCTTTGGGAGGTAATTTGGTTACGAGGGTAGAGCCCTCATGAATAGGATTAGTGATAAAAGGGACCCCAGAGAGCTCTCTAGTCCTCTTTCCACCACATGAGGATGGATCAAGAAGTTGGAAGTCTGCAGCTTGCAGACCTGAAGAGGACCCTCAACAGAACTCAACCACGCTGGAACCCTGAACTTGAAATTCCAGCCTCCAGGAGTGTAAGAAATAAATTTCTGTTGTTTATAAGCCATCAGTCTATGGTACTTTGTTATAGCATCCTGAACTGACTACAACAGTATCCAGAGAGTTAAACTATTGTAACTATTAAAAATTAGGGCCCAAGTAGTTTTATCCTAGGTCTCTCCCTCCTGAGTGTTACACTGAGGAAAGACATGTTCTCCTCGTCACTGAGATGAAACCTCATGGGTGGACAAAACTAGTGCAAAAGATAGTGGTGATAGTGATGAAATCAGCAAGGGAAGCAAAAGGACAGGGAGAAACAAATTTTAAGTAAGCCTTATCTCTATGAATCTCCTGGGGCACTTGAGGCTGCTCACAGTGACTTACAGAGATTGGGCTTCAATGAACTGGTAAGCACCTGACTGGATGTACCTGACAGATAAAGTTATCTGGGTATCAGCTTCAGTAGGATCCACACCAAAGGTATGAATTTCTGTTTCTTCTAAAATAACTGACTCACAGTTATTTGTAAGCAGGTCCCAGTGAGTCTCAGAAAAAAATTGGGAAAAGGAACCTTGCAAGAAAACTGGGTGAGGTTTTAAAGTCATTGAAATTTGGTCATAAATACAAATGCAATTCCATTATATCCACAAGCTTATAAAACACAGGGGACATTTGGTAACAAAAATATCAAAGTACAAAAGATAAATTTCAGAAGAAAAGTTTACAGCTTGTCCTCTGCAGGGCAGACGATCTATGATGCTCTTTCATCACAGTTAGTTAAATGAGGGCTCTGGCAGTGCAATGACTCAGAGATAACAACCGAAAGTTGTAACATTGATATCCTCAAATGTTTGGGTATATATGTGAGAACATAAATATTCAATGATGAAAAAGAGATTCAACCTGTCCTTCAAGTCTAGCCAGCTGCCTTTCCTCCATCATGCAGTGTCCTCTAAGATTATCCTAATGAAAAAAAAACAAAACTCTCAAGGAGCAATGGAGTGCAGTACTTTGTTGAAGGGTAGTGGTTTTATTGTTTTATTAAAGAAAAAATGAATCGTTCTGACTCCACAAGAACAGATACCTCATTTGAAGGCAGCTATTACAGTATTAGGGCCACTGAGCACTTCTAACCAATGAGGCCATCTACCACTTATCCAGAGTCACCACTGGTAGGTAAATTTCAGCAATTCTTTTCTGTGAAGGAAGGCCTTGTTCTATATGAACATTCAATTAACATTCAAGGTCTACTGGTTAATAGTGCATTAAAGTAACTTTATTACCCTTTCCAAAATGGCAGCTAAGAACTACCATTTGGAATAATAAACGGTGTGAGGAATAAGTCAAGAATATGGCATACAGACTTTCTCTTTACCCAAAGTTTTTATAAAAGAGGAAGGAAAGAGGAGAAAACAGTAAACAAGGAGGTGAGATGGCTCTAGAGGTAAACTGCACAGAAATAACCTGTGACCTGACCATAAAGAGCCATGCTAAAAATCTGAATTCCTCTGAAGTATAATAAAACTTTCTACCATTTCTTGCAAGTGCACCTCTCACAAATATGTTAGATGACAGCCACTAGGGGAAATCTCTAAACCCTGCTTTGCTGTACATTATTTGATAGAAGTACAATATCATCTTAATACACTAAAATGAAAATCCCATCAAGAAGAAAAAGGTTGGTATAGAGAGGTAAATATTCCCCTAGCATATATGATTAACACCTCTGACTATTTTTCTTAAGTTCAAAGAGCTATTAGAAAATTGTAGCAGTGTGCAGTTAAGTGTGGCAGATGGCATATAGGAGTGAGTGGTGTGCAATTTACAGTAAACAAATTCTTTATCTTTGACGGGTCATGGGGAGAACTAAAACGGTCTCCAATTCAATCAGGGAATATGCTAGAAAATACTGACATGCAGATTCACTAATTATAGTGAAATGTGTTAAAAAGCTACAATTATCCCCATGGATGAAACCTTTCCCATGAAGATGAGAGAAAATAACCAGGCGTCATGAGCTGACAGCAGGATGCCATTTGTAAATGTGCCCCCAGATTGGTTGACACCTGTTCAGAAAAGAGATTCAAATCTTCAGGGCCTTAAACTTGGTCTCCTCTGGAGATAGGTACACTTTTTGATAGTATGTGTACTGTGAGCTCATCAGCTGTTTTTTTTATCAAATATATGGGGGAAAATGGTAACTGACATTTCTTTCTGTCTTCAGAACAAGAACCACAACTCAGCAGGTAATGAGTTCTGTAATGTTCATTAGTTTGGTTATCATCAAATTAATATTTCAAGTATTGCAGAATTTGATCTCTACCACTACTAAAAGGAAAAAGGGAATATCTAAATATTATGAACTGTGTTTTTCAAAAACAGTTTGATCATATATTGAACTGCAGCCATGAAAATGTATTGGACTACAAAAGAATGTACAATTATACAAAGTATGGGAGCCACTCAAATGATCCAGTATGTGTCTTACATCAAAGCACTCCATGAGATTTACAAGTGGCTTGGGGCATGTAGAGGCCAAGGGAAATGGAAACCTTCCCCTTCACCCTCTGAAGGTTTGCTGAAAATCAACTGACAAAAGGCAGATTCATAGGAGAAAAGGCATACAAATTTGTTAATATCCACATGTGTGCACAGGAGTCATGCAAAATGTGAAAACTCAAAGGAAGGGACAGATGGTTGACTATTTTATGCCATCTTGAGATTACAGAAAGAATGGGGGCTTGGAGTGTGGCAAGACAGTTTATGGGAGGGAGAGAAGAGGAAAGGCATGGCTAGCAAGGGCAGTCTTATTATATAGATAAAATCTCATTGGTAGCTCTCAGAAGGAATAGATGGTAGCCTGCGGTTGAGTTAATCTTTCCTACATCTGGACAAGCAAGGGGCCTCAAATAAAGCCTTTTTATTTCCCTAACTTGGATTTTCCTCTATAGATGCAAATCTCCTCCACAGAAGGCAGCTTGGCAGCACTAGTCTGGTCTGCAGGCCCTTTGAATAGCTGTCTCAAAAGATGTCAAAGAGGTATATTTTAGGGTAAATATTTTTGGTTTCCTTTAGGTGTGTGAACCTGCACAGAGGTGCAATGGGATGCTCTTAAACAATGCCATGTAAGAATTTGATTCAAAGGGTCAAGATCACTGCATTGAGGAAGAGTTGATTTGAATAATCCCTTAAATTCAATGGTAGATATTAGGATATATAAAAGAAGACCTAGAATTTGAGGAGAGCAATTTACCAAACACCCTCCAGATACATGGAGCCTGGGAAATTTTACTGGGTTTGTACCATTTTTGTGTGTGATATTGCCTGTAACATAACCATTGCTTAAGAAAGCGCAGGCTGGAATTTCAGTCCAGCAGCTGATGTTTGCTGCACCAGGGGTACTGCGAGTGGTTCAAGCACCCTTGGATATGTGAGGCAAACTCTGGAGCATGAGGCTGCAGACTCTACCCTAGAAAGGTGGCACTGCCATTGTTTTAGATGAGAGATTGACTTCTCACTTCAACTGGGAAGAGATTCCCAATTCCTCAGAAAAATGTAACAATGTGCCATTTACAAGACTTATTCATAAGGAGTTGAGTTGTTTGATCTCACTTACTGTTCATCATATCACTGACCATACATTCTCTCCTGAAAGAAGTTCATGACTTTGTGTTGGGCCAGTGTTTCTGGACCTGGAACAGATGTATAAACAGATATCCACCAAGTGGGCCGTAAGGTAATGTTTTTTAAAATAATTCTATTGTATACAAACTGGTTGAGAAAAAAAAAGCACAAAATTTAATTATTTAGTTTTATAACTCACAGGGATAAGATAATTTGATTTGGGACTTTAAATGTCTTGGTGTTTAACTTAAGATTTCTGGAATTTAATTTCTTTGTGATTTTAATTTTTGAACTTTAGTCAGTCCCTGACAATTTGTTAATAGTACAGATATTCAAATGTGGGGCACCTCTATATTGGTGGCATTTTGTTATTGGAATAGCTTTCTGTTGTCATCTAATCTCACTGCATATCCTCTGGTGAGCTCTAGTAGACAATGTGTCTCAATATAATGTGAGAGGAGAAATAAAGTGACCTCTAAGCAAAATCTTGGAATTAATTTAGATAACATACCATTCTCACTCATTTCTAGAGCCTTTTGTATCAAAGCCTACACAGTTCACCAGCAGACCCTGAATGCTCCACGGTAGTGCCTTGTTGGAATTAAGAGAATGGTGCCATGAGGGTAAGAGTACTATCATGATAAGTGGGACCTATACCTACAGGCCTGCAGAGCTGTAGACCAATTGTTAAGCCAAACAATTTATAGACACAAAAAGTTGGGTATGTGATGAGGAACTCTGCATGATTCCCTGTGGAGAGGTTCCAAGTAGAGCAAGGCATTTTGTATTAGTCCATTCTCACACTGCTATAAAGAAATACCTGAGACTGGGAAATTTATAAAGGAAAGAGGTTTAATTGACTCACAGTTTCACATGGCTGGGGATGCCTCAGGAAATGCACAATCATGGTGGAAGGGGAAGCAGGCACATATTACATGCCAGCAGGAGAGAGCGAGCGAGTTAACAAGAGCAGGAAAACTGCTTTATAAAATCATCAGATCTCATGAGAACTCACTCACAATCACAAGAACAGCATGGGGTAAACCACCCTCATGATCCAAACACCTCCCTCCCACAACACGTGGGGATTATAGTTAGAGATGAGATTTGGGTAGGGATACAGAGCCAAACCATATAACTTTTGCATCACCACTTCATCACTGCTCACCACCCCCTACTCACCCACTATTTGGTGGGGGAAATTATTAGATCAGATTTCCAAACCAGGCGGAGTTTCCTTATAGGTCTCTTAAACAATGAGGACTTAGTCTTCCCTAGCCATCCAAACCAGTAAGTGGGAGGCAGTGATACTAGATAGCAGGGAAACATTAGCAACCTCATTTGTTCCTCTTATTTAAGCCATATTCTTCAAACCATCAATAAAAGAAATGATATTTTCATCCTCATCTGCTTGACTTATGTAACTATTTCTCGAATAGTTCTATACTCAAGCAGAGAATAAGGGTGTTATTTATTAGCCTACTCAAATTCCTATACATTGTAATTGTCCTGGTACTTAAATTATTTTAAATATCAAAATGGGAACATTCACACTTGTGTATTTGCTCTTGGAATATCCTTTGGTTTCTAAATGCTATTTTAGAACTTCATCTTTCCAGAAAAAATGAAGGTCAACTAAACATACTTTCAGAGCTTTTATAAAATTCCCTTGTTATATATCTGGCATGAAACAAAGTCACTATTTCATGATTATTATACTTATGTTGGGAAGGAAACATTACATATATAAATTAAAGTTTTTAATTAATTTAAATTCTTTTTAGATTTTTAAATCATCAGGAGGCCCATCCCATCCCACTGGATAGTTAGAAAACCCAGCCTTGTTAATTGAACATTGTCTTCTTTTTGGACTGTCACAACCACCCTACCCCACACATGGGAATTCCACATGTGGGGAATTCCCTACTCCATGAATCTTGATGAGAGGCAGAGCCTCTCATTACTTCCCCCTCTGGGAAGTAAAATTTTTTTCCAAATTTTTTTTTTTTGCAGCTGCATCACATGACCTAGATTCTTCTAATAAGATGCACCCACACTAGCCTGGGCTTGGAAGCTGGGATGCAAAGAAGCAGGGGGTGTGCAGAATCCACTCTGTCAACATTGGCCATAAGGGCAGTGGTTGCATCCATTTTTCAAAGGTGGCAACAACTGAAGGAGTTCTAGCATTGTCTCTATTGTCCAGAGTTGAGCTCTGGGGCACCTCCAAGGGCAATACACATTCTCAGTAGCACTGCCTTAATGGACAAGTTCTGCAGAATGATTTGTACTTTTTCTCTGCCTATATAGCCTCCAAGTCCAGTTTTCCAGCAGTCCCAGAGATTGTGAACCATGAAATAGCCTTTTAAAATCTCATTTCTGCTTAAATTAACCAAACGTTCTATTGCTTGAAGGTAAGAATCTTGATGAGTACCTTGTTCAATAACACTATCTCAGCTTCTGCCAGTATGAATACCCTCCTATCAGTTTAACACAACACTAATAAAGCCCACAAATCTACAGCCATCTGATCTTCAACAAACTCAACAAAAACAAGCAATGGGGAAAAGGCTCCCTATTCAATAAATGATGCTGGGATAACTGGCTAACCATATGCAGCAGAATGAAATTGGATCCCTATCTATCACTCCTATCGCTATCTACAAAAATTAACTCAAGATGGACTAAAGATTTAAATGTAAGTCTTCAAACTATAAAAATTCTAGAAGAAAACTAAGATAATAGACTTCTGAATATCCGCCTTAACGAATAATTTATGACTAAGTCCTCAAAAGCAATTGCAACAAAAACAGAGGTTAAGTTAAAGAGCATCTGCACAGCAAAAGAAACTATCTGAAGAATAAATAAACAACCTACAGAAAAGGGGAAAATATTTGCAAACTATCCATCTGACAGAGGTCTAATATCCAGAATCTATAAGCAATTTAAACAAATCAGCAAGCAAAAAGCAAATAACTCTGCTAAAATGTGGGCAAAGGATATGAACAGAGACTTCTCAAAAGAAGATACACAGAAATACAAATCAAAATCACAGTGAGATACCATCTCACACTGGTCAGAACAGTTTTTGTTAAAATGTCAAAAAATAACAGATGTCAGCAAGGCTACAGAGAAAAAGGGACACTTACACACTGCTGGTGAGGATGTAAATTAGACCAACCACTGTGGAGAGCAGTTTGGAGATTTACCCAGGAATTCCATTACAGGGTGTATACTTAAAGGAGAATAAATCATTCTATCAAAAAGATACAGGCACTCGTATGTTCACCACAGCACTATTCAAAATAGCAATGACATGGAATCAACCCAGGTGTCCATCAATGGTTTAAAGAAAACGTAGTTCATAGACACCACAGAATACTACACAGCCATGAAAAAGAACAAAATCAAGTCCTTAGCTGCAACATGGACACAGCTGGAGGCCATTATCCTAAGCAAACAACACAGGAACAGAAAACCAAATACTGCAAGTTCTCACTTATAAGTGAGAGGTAAACAGTAGGTAAACATGGATGTAA
Organism: Homo sapiens; assembly: GCF_000001405.40. Classification (NCBI taxonomy): domain Eukaryota; kingdom Metazoa; phylum Chordata; class Mammalia; order Primates; family Hominidae; genus Homo; species Homo sapiens. The sequence continues at coordinate 11,266,161 of NC_000007.14, read as the reverse complement.
AGATGGAAACAATAGACTCTATGGACTAATAGAGGTGGGAGAGAGGGCTGAAAAACTACCTATTGGGTACTATGCTCGCTACTTGAGTGACAGGTCCATCCATACCCCCGACCTCGGCATCACATAATACATCCTTAAAACAAAACTGCATATATACCCTGATTCTAAAATAAAACCTAAAAAAGAAAAACAAGGCTTTTTAGGTAAGTCCTCAGTCTTTCAGAGTTCTGCCCTCCTTTTTTTTACTTCCACAAAATGTATCTAGCTCTCCATAGTCCAACAGAACAGCTACTAATCCTAAGTGGCTATTGAGCATTCGAAATGTGGCTATTCTGAATTGAGATGTGCTATAAGTGTGAAATGCACGCTGAATTTCAAAGATTTAGTATGGAAAAAAAAAAGAATGTGGAATATCTCCTTAATCATGTTTTATATTAATTACATGTTGAAATGACATTTTGGAAATAGTGGGTTAAACAAAAATTAAAATTAATTTCCCTTTTCTTTTTACTTTAATGCAGCTACTAGAAAATTAAAAATTACACATATGGCTTATATTATACTTCTATTGGAAAAACATGAGGGAACGTGGTCATAAATTTATATATTATATTACATTATTATTCTGTTAATAATCCAAATACCTAGTTCTTAAAAAAAAATTCTTATTTTCCACAATATAATTTTATAACTAGATCATTTTTTATTACCAATGGAAGGGAAAGGAGCTAATGGCTATTAAGTGCATAGGTGCCAGGCACCATGCTATGTAATTCACCTAATCCTCATTATCTCACTGAAGGAAATATTAAAATGAGGAGATGTAAATGAGGAGATACACTAAGAAGTTAGGTAGCTTTCCCAAGGTAATATATCTATTACATGGCAAGACCAGGCCAGGAACACAGATTAGTTTATCTTCCAAGAACTCGTTTCCCATTACCCTGAGTGGTGACACCTCTTTCGCTCTGGCCGTCAACCCATTAGCCATTCAGAGGAAAGCTTCCAAAATAAATTGACAGCCCATGGAGCAACAAAAACTCTTTGTTTTAATCTGTGTATCACATTCCCCTATTTTTCTTTCAGAAAATTATGGCCTTTTCCATAAACTATTTTATGGTTTACTGTTTTGGACTGTCCCAATTCCATAACTAATGGGAACTTAAACTTATTGGAATGAGATATTCTTAGCCAATACAATTTCTGAACTGAAAGCAACTCTCTATTACATCTTCATTTGAGGTCTAGCTCCTCAGCTCCAAGTGAACTTAGACCTATTTTAAAACATAGATATTTTTAACTCTGTATTTTAATCAACCGATTAGCTGGTCCATTTGGGACCCTTTGAACCAGTATAGACAATGGCTTTATTTTTTATTTCAAGAATATATGCCGGTGGTCAAATAATTTTCCATATGTAAGTGGTAGTGTAAGAGATATATATTTTTTTCTTCTACTTTTTATTTTAAGTTCAGTGGTATATGTGCAGGAAGTGCAGTATGTTACATAGTTAAATGTGTGCTATGGTGGTTTGCTGCACAGATTATCCCATCACCTAGGTATTCAACCCAGCAGCAATTAGGTATTCTTCCCATGCTCTCCCTCCCCCAACCCTCACCAACAGGCCACAATATGCGTAGCTATCCCTATGTGTCCATGTGTTCTCATTGTTCAGCTTCCACTTATCAATGAGAATATACAGTATTTAGTTTTCTGTTCCTGTGTTAGTTTGCTGAGAATAACAGCTTCCAGCTTCATCCATGCCCAGGGAAAGGACATGATCTCGTTCCTTTTTATGGCTGCATAGTATTCCACTGTGTGTGTGTGTGTGTGTGTGTGTGTGTGTGTGTGTGTGTGTGTGTGTGTATGTGTGTGTGTGTGTGTGTGTATGTATACACACATACTGTGGAACATTTTCTTTATCCAGTCCATCATTGATGGGTATTTGGGTTGATTCCATGTCTTTGCTATTGTAAATAATGCTGCAGTGAACATATGCATGTATGTATCTTTATAAAAGAAGGATTTATAATCTTTTGACTATATACCCAGTGATGGGATTGCTGGGTCAAATGGTATTTCTGCCTCTTGGTCTTTAAGGAATTGCCACACTGTCTTTCACAATGGTTGAACTAATTTATACTTAGGAGATATATTTTTAATTTCTGATATGTTGAAATTTCTGGAACATATTGATAATTTATGAGACCATCTGGAAAGATTCCTTTTTAGTAAATAAAATATCCAGAGCAAATAAAACCATAAAAGTCCAGGAAAAAAATTAATACTACTATTTATAGTTGCAAAATAAACAAAATAGGTTAATTTAGCTTTCAAAACAGATTTTCTCCCCAAATCTTGTTCTTCATAGCCTCTGAACTTTTGCCAAATTCAGATTAATCTGTTCCATATACACATTTATCCAAACAGTATTAGCCTTGTTATTCCTTCTGTGGTGACTATAGAAGCAATAGTGAGAGAGACCTGTAGAATCAAGGTCTTTGTTGAAATGTTCTTTTAACAAAAATCTTCACAACCTGACTGCCATAACCCATATATCCCAGGAAGTTGAGAGAACTAGGGTCTGAGAAAGGTAGAAGTGGTGTCACAGCACATCTTTTGTCATAATAAAATTGAGTGTATTCAATTCTTCTAAGTAGCTTCATTTGAGTACTTTAAAAAATAAACTAGATGCTATCTAAAGGGCTCTAAAATATGCTCAAAGGAGAGACATAAGAAACATATATCCTAAAGAAGTGCGCAGACAGTGAGGTTGAGAATAAGAGACACTCTGACTTGAAGTGCAGGAAAGATTACCATGAACTGAAATGATCTGAGGAGGTTAAGAGGCCTTTGACAGGGATAGGCATTGAGAAGTGAACCTCAGAAGTGAAAATTAGAGGCAAGGAAGAGAATAGCATTTTGCAAGACAGCTAAAGTTGGTTGGAGTACAATGTAAAATAAATGAAAGGAAAATCAGATCAAACATCTGTGCCTTAGTTTATGTTGTGAAATATCTCGAATGCCAAGCTGAAGACCCTGGATATTATCCTATCTGCTATGAGGTAATATTCAATAATTTTATGCAAAATGATGAGAATATACTGGTTTGATAAGATTCTGAGCTAATGAAATCAAAGGGAGGAAAAGAGGATATAAAATACACAATAAAGCAAGCACTAGCAAAATGGTGGCTCTAGTTGAGGATTAAGGATGAGGGTTGAATCTGAATTGGAATGAAGGTACCAGGCCTGGAAATTTAGAAGGACTTCAGTATGAACAAAAATACAATTAATATGGATATTGCAAGAGAAAACCAATTTGAAAGAATCAAATGCTAAATTCCATTGCTAAGTTGATAATAGTATTAACAAGACATCAAGACTGTGTAAAGGGTTGTGGAGTTTGAGTTTTCTGATTTGCTAACTTTACCACATGTATTAAGGCATTAGAGCAGTATGAACAGTCAAAATCATTGGAAAGTTGCTTATTATTTATTGGAACTATTTATTACCTTGAATCACTGCCTGATTTTAGCTTAAATAACTTACTACGAAGTGATTATTCAGAGGTGATCACAAATATTCCAAGTAATTGGGCAAATGAAAATATGCCAAAGCAAAGAGACTACTACTAAAGGCATTTATCCTTAGCAGATATGCATTTTTATTTTTATAATAAAACACCTGAACTAGTTGTTTTATTTTGTTCTCATTGATTGGAATGCATCCTTTGATTAGACATAATTTTTTTGATAGGTATGATTCACCTTGATCTTGACTTTTTAAAAATGTAATCAGCAGTTCTCCAAAACTCCATTCTTATTCCGTGTTATTTATATATGGTGTACCCAAACATAGAAACTGAGTGAACCAACAGCACATTGACTGGTGCGGAATTTGTTGATTCCTTTAAAATAATTTATACATTTAACCAAAATTATTGTTATGAGAAAAACCTGGGCCAGGTGCAGTGGCTCACACCTGTAATCCCAGCACTTTCAGAGATTGAGGCGGGTGGATCACCTGAGATCAGGAGTTTGAGACCAGCCTGGCCAGCATGGCGAAACCCCGTCTCTAATACAAACACAAAAATTTGTCCGGCTTGGTGGCAGGCACCTGTAATCCCAGCTACTCAGGAGGCTGAGGCAGGAGAATCGCTTAAACCGGGGAGGCAGAGGTAGCAGTGAGCCAAGATCACACCACTGTACTCTAGCCTGGGCAACAAGAACGACACTACATCTCAAAAAAAAAAAAGAAAAAGAAAAAGAAAAAAGAAAAAGAAAAACCTGGGACTATAAAATCCCCCTACCCCCACAAGCTGGGAAAGAGCCAAGCAACCAAAGAATGACTCAGACAATTCCAGCTTGACCAGATGAGTTTATCAGGACTTACATATAGGGCTGCTGATGGCAGCAGGACAGCTCTAGAGATCCACCTTTTCTCTAAGCTACCTTTAAGCTAATTTTGTGGCTCTTTGCCTACTGTGTATGTGTAATGAGGCTGTTTTCCCTGGCATGTTCCCAGCTATGCCCCAGGATGTTTGGGTTCTCAGGGACATCCACTCTTTGACTGGGCACCATGGCCTTGGCTCACTGCCCAGTCTTCATTAAGTAACCTGGTGGGAGACCTGTCACACTACAATTGTTGAGTTCTCTCCATATTATTTTAAACACATAATCCTCCAATAAGAAATACATAAGGACTTGATTTTTAAGAATGCATTTGGGAGGATTGGCTTTTATTTGACCACATACTCAAAAGTAATCACTTATAACAGATTGAAGTATATTTTTCTTTTCTTTTTTCTGTTTTGCTGTTTGCTATCTAAAATTGTCTACTAAGTTCATTGTTTTTTTTATTTTTATTTTTTTTAGAGATGAAATATCACTATATTCCCCAGGCTGGTCTCGAAATCCTGGCCTCAAGTGATCTTCCCACCTCAACCTCCCAAGTAGCTGGCATGAGCCACCCTGCCCACCAAAGTCATTCCTCTAAATTAAACAAGTTTGAACATAGAGATTTGGGAATTTTAAGAGCATCATAGCTGGATTAATGCTTGATAACTCCTTATAGTACATTATAATAGACAAGAAAATTACTTACTTTTTTTCTAACACATCTCTAGACCACAAGTATAATAGAGACGCTACAAACTTTATTCTAGCTTGATTCACTTGGAAAAATACAAGTGCATAAAAGAGTTCTAAGACAAATGGACTACTATTACTACAGCTAGCAGCTATTAGTATTATTTATAATTACTACCCCCTTCTAAAAGGATTTCCTTGCCAAAGAAATTATAAAAGCTACCGATTTTAACTTGTAAGGAGATGGATTTGTGGATATTATGTCTCCTTTTGTCACATCTTTTTACTTTATCCAGCAAAGTAGAGAGAAAAACTAAACTGGGCAGAACAAATAGAACCTATTTGACTTGTATGACAGAAAATTCCCCCAGGTGGAAGCTCCAAAGAGCTATAATAAATTTTGATTTGGAGAAATATAATATTTCATGACAGAAAATATTTCATTTCCCTAAACTGCTGTATTGCACATGCCTATAAGAGAAGAACAAGAAACATGAAATTTTATTGACTGATAAAAACAGGACTGATAGTTAAGATTTGGGGGGTGGAAAGGGAGCAAGCTAATTTGGGAAATGAAGATAAGGCTATAAGTTGTGGGATGATATTAGTACCTACAGTATAGGGGTTTTGAAGGATTAAAAGAGACAACGTATATGAGGTGCTTGTCAGCATCCATGTCACACTGTAGGTATTCCAACACCCTTCCTAACATGCTACCTACTATCACCGCTACCAGTGTTACTTCCATCACTACTAATATATCTCAAGCAATATATTAATCAGAAGTATCTAAGTTGCAATTAAATGACTTTCATTATATTAGAGGTTACCATTCAATCAGAAATCATGCTTTTTTTCCCACCCATATTCATACTTGAATTTAATTTAATATATATCAGGATTACTGGTTTAATCATCATAAACTTATTTGATAATTTTTAATAAACAAAGTCCAGCTTTAATTAGCCAATTTCTCACTCTAAACATTCAATTTTCATTTTTTGAAACAATCAATATTTAATCCCAAAAAGAGTCCCCAGATTGTTTAATGCAGATATGCTGGAGGCGAGGAGGCGATCATCAGGTCACACCCCAATGTAAGTGGGGTTTCAGAAATACTTGTCAGCCAGCCAAGGAGGGGCCAGACTGGAGAGGAATGGAATGTTGGTGGAATGCATAAGTTATAAGGTTACTGAAGTTAACCAGGAATAAAATAAGGATATGTCCAGTTTTGCAAATAAGAAATGAAATAAAAAAATATAATAATACCTAATTTAGGTAGAAATGAAATTTTATCAGCCCTAATTACCCAAAACAAAGCTGGGAACCTGTGCTAGGAAAAAATGGCCACAATGCACAGACACAGAAAGTGGCCCTCAGCCCTTACTTAGAGTCTATCGATTTCCATTTTGCATACAAATCATGCAATCCATCCCAGATTGTAAGACAAATGGTTCAAGAAGAAGGAGAATTTTTAAAAAACACATGAAAGCAGTAAACTATTCTAAAAGCAACAGTCTAATGCCTTTGTTGTGGGGAAAATATATCTTGAAGCATAGAGATACCTCCAGGGAACGTCTTAAGCTGGCATCATCATAAAGATGAGTTGGTTATTTTACAACTCAACAAGAGGGAGAAAATGATTTCTGCTAAATTTCTGAGTGCTAGGGAGAGTCAACAGCAAGAAGGGGCTAATTTACAAGATGGTGGCAGGATAGATACAGAAAGAAGGCGGCTAAGTATTCCAAAGGACAGCCAGAAATAGGAAGGGCCACAAAAGTGTGTAGCCTTGGGAGGGGGCAGAGAGAGAAGCAGAGGACCTGAGAGTTGAGGCAATGCCATGGAACCCCATGAGAATACAGTAATACCTTCTTCATTGGATTGTTGTAAGGATTAAATGATGTATCTGAAGTTGTATTCATTGTTGATTGCTGTGTAACAAATTGCCCCACAAGTTAGTGGTTGAAAAAAGCAAACGTTTATCATCTCAGAGTTACTAAATCCAGCCAACACTCCAAGGGGTAGAACTACACAAAGCATGAATTACACAAGGTGGAGGTCGTGGGGGCCGTCTTAAAGGATGCTGACTACAATTGTATGTAGCAAAGTGCCAGCACATAAGGGCTCAATATATGCTAGCCCCTATAACTATTATCATTCAGAAAATTCACAAAACAACTATTTACTGTCACTGAATAAATGAGGTATTACTGTGCTCAAGTTTCAAATCATGTTCTAAAGAATAAATAAAATGAGAAATACCCAATGATGAAACTCAAGCCACCAAATATTAATCCAGCAAATTATATCTAAACATATAATATTAGAAATAATTTGTATTGGGAAAGGAGGGACAGTCAGAAACAAAGGGCAATGGAGGCCACTAGCATCACCTCCTCACTATGAAGGTTTGCAAAAGTGGCCCCCTCGTGCTGGTGTGTTTCCATCCTGCATGACTGTTCTCTGGAGCAGTAGTCATTACCTCTGTCCACCTTTTCTCCCACCTAAGTCCTTGCCACCACCCCAGTGGAAGATTTGACATGAACCCCCTAAAGCCCCAGAACTATCTTTTTGGTTATGAGCTAAACACTGACAAAGTTTCTCACTTTAATGTGAATAATGATGAAAAAACTACAGTTATCTTTAAGAATAGTCACTTTAGGGGCTGATACATAGGATGAATCGCACATTGCTGAAGCAGAGGCAATGAATTACAAAGGTGGTCCGATTGAAATAACACTGGCACTTTGAAAATGTCTATACAGCCAGTGGTTTCCCTTAGGGGCTTTGAAATACCACCACCCGTGGTCTTATGGTTGAAGCGTGGTTCAGGGCCAGGGCATATTAGTGGACAGCACTTAGTAGCTGTGGAGGAAGAGGCAGAGTGAGAAGATGAAGAGGAGGAGAATATGAAGCTCTTAAGTATACCTGGAAAGCAATCCGCCCCTAGAAATGGTAGTGAGGTTCCACAGAAAAAAAGGAAAACATGCTGCTGATGAAGATGATAATAATAGAGATGATGAAGATGAAGATGATGATTTTAATTATGATGAAACTGAAAAAATACCTCCAGTGAAGAAGTCTATATGAGATACTTCAGCCAAAAATGCACAAACATCTAACCAGAAGGAAGAAGACTCAACACCATCAGCACCAACATCAGAAGGTCAAGAATCACTCAAAAAAAAAAAAAAGGGAAAAAAAAAACTAAAACACCAAAAGGACCTTGTTCTGTGGAAGAAGACATTAGAGCAAAAATGCAAGCAACTGTAGAAAAAGAGACTTCTCTTCCCAAAGTGGAAGCCAAATTTATCAATCACGTGAAGGACTGCTTCTGGATGACCGACCAGGAAGCTGTTCAAGGTCTCTGGCAGTAGATGAAGTCTCTTTAAGGAAGATAGTTTAAACAGTTTGTTAAAAATTTTATCTTATTTCATTTCTGTAACTGTTGATATCTGGCTGTCCTTTTCATAATGCAGAGTGAGAACTTTCCCTACTGTGTTGATAAATGTTGTCTAGCTTCCATTGCCAAAAATGTGTTGTCCAAAATGTCGGTTTTTAAAGATGAAACTCCAGCCTTTGCATGGTTTTAAGCATATATGGAATGTTATGATAGGACATAGTAGTAGCGGTGGTCAGACACAGAAATGATGGGGAGACAAAAATATACATGTGAAATAAACTCAGAATTTTAACAACATAAATAAATAAAAGCTAAAAAGTTGCCCTTTCTTACCATGACCACCAGATTCTTCCACTCTGCAGCTGCAAACCCCTGCATTAAATAGTGCTCTGCTATCTCTGCTTTACGGTGGATCAAATGGTGCATATGGAAAAGAAAATAAGCATCTATTACTTCAAAAATTGGTGGAATTATTGGACAACAACTTTTGTAAATCAAATCAGATTTCCATCAAATTACATTAATACAAGCTGCAGGAGAAAAGGAAAGAGGAATTAGGAGAATTCGATGGGGCAAATTCTGAAATAAAATAGCTATCTCTCTCATCTCTGCCAATGAAATATTAAAGATGTCAAAAGTGGATCATTACCACTGCTATCAACACGAACAGCCCTCAGAAGGGAGCAACCTTGGATGCTGTGGCCACCCTAAAACTGACAAGCTCAAATCCATTACACTGTAAATGTATCTTCGTCCCCAACCCACCCACCAGCAAAGTGTCCTAAGACAGCTGCTAATTTAAAGGCAGAATTAATTATAAGCGACTCAGTGACAGATGCTCTGCATTTGGACTCCAACTGAAAAAGCCTCTGTGTTCTGGGCATGATGCTGGTGTTCTACTCTGAAGATTCCCCCGCAGTGGAGGCCACATTACTTGGTGGGTGGCTTGCTTGCCACCTGTTTGGGCAAACCACTGTGACTTAGCCTAGTTTTCTGATTTCCCCAGCTTGCCGTTCCTTCTGCTGGTCTTCTCCTTCTTTCCCTGTAGCTAAAGCACAGTCTTATTTGCCACCACCCGTCAAGATGCACAGGAGAAAGGGGATCCATACCAGATAATTTTTCCTGCATTCCTTTCTCTAGAAGCCAAACAAGGTATCCTTCAGACAAAGAAAGCACTGACCATGCACAGAGTCCTTTGCCTCTTTGGGATTAGTCACAGCCTCAAAAGTGACCAGCTATCGTGTCAATCCATGCTCCTAGCTCCCCATAAACTTCCTCATGCCTCATGCTAGAGAAGACACCTAGAATGTTTTCATGTTGATTTTAAAAGTAATACATTTACATTTTAGAAAAGCTAGACATACAGAACATTTTTAAGAAGAAAATAGTCAGAATACATTTTCCATTCTATTCAATGAATTCTTTTCAAAGAGTTCTCCACGCCCTATATTTGGTAGAAGTCCTCAGTATGTATTATGCATAGAGAAAAAGGAACAATTTTACCTTAAGTTTATACCTTATATGCCTGGAATAAATGATGGCCACTAATATTTTTATATTTTTCATTTTGTTTAACACGTACTTTTGGGTTCACTCTAACATATTTTAAACCCTGAATGCCAAGGTCATACAAAATAGCCAATTTTATAAATTATTTTTCTTTATAAAAATTAAGCTTCACCTATTGATACCTTTGGAGAATGTCTCAGTCAGTTCAGGCTGCTATGCCAAAGTACCATATGCTGGGTGGCTTATGAACAATACAAATTTATTTCTTATATTTCTGGAGGGTACCGGTCCAGGATTAGGGTGCCAGCATGATTGGGTACTGGTGAGGGTCACCTTCCAAGGTGCAGACTGCTGTCTTTAATTGTATGGCAGAAAGAGGGTGAGAGAGCTCTCTAGAGTCTCTTTATTACCTAATTACCCCCAAAGTTTCTGCCTCCTAATACCTTCACATTAGGAGTTAAGATTTCAGCCTATAAATTTGGAGGGGGAGGGTACATAAACATTCAGTCCATCGCAGAGAATATTGCAGTGCTAGGAAATTGCTGCTTTCCTTTTAATCTGCTTTTAGATGAACTCGTCTCTACAAATGTTATTCCTATCTCATGTTTTATCTGCCAAATTCCAAAACCCTTCCAACTCTCTTCCATAGATTCTACTTCTCAGCCTGCCGTTTTTATTTTGTGTAAACATTATGTTTAACAATCATGACTTGCATAATACAATCATAAGTAAAATTTATTTCTATATCTTAAAATCCACTCTAATAGGCTAGATCTTTCTTGATATCCTTGATGTTTCTGGTACTTCTAGGGTAATAAAAATACCCATAATTCATTCAAGTCTCATGACAGTCTCAGTAATTATTTAGTCCTGTGCAATGGTCAAAATTCAGTCTTGCATTAAATTTAGAACAGATAACTCCTTTCAAACTTTTGTATCGTGATTTTGTATCTCACTTTGAAATATGTTATCAATTTTCTCAGCACTTCAACTAAAGCTTCCATGACAACATCCTTTTCAAATGTTTCCCTTCCTCTTCTTATGCCCATAACCTTTAGAGGGTCCACTAGAATTCCCCAATGTTAGTCATTAGTATAATTTATAGCACCTGCTCTCTCTGTCAAGTGAAAAACCAAATCAGAAAAACATTGACTTAGTATTTACCTTCTACTTACCACAAAGAATCATCTACTTTCTCCAAATGGTGTCAACAAAGAGCCTAAATTCCATCTGAAGGGTCCTCGTTGAAACCCAGGGAAGACAATTTTGTTTCAATGAAGCTCCATCAACTTTCCTTTTAGATTACCAAGGAGGACCTGCCCACTTGCCTTCTGATTCCTCATCCCTCAGTATTCCTGACCTACTACTCTGTAAATTACTCCCACCAGGTCAGACATCCCATCCTAATTTCTCAACACTCCTCTCCCAACCCTAATACCCCCTCTGTTAATGTATCCCCCTGCCATGCTGCCAACACACTGCTTTATCCATCATACTTGTCCTTATCAATCCCATGGTGCCAAAACCCACTACTCTTCTATAAATGAAATCTCATCCTAATCTGCATCCTAATGTGTGAAAACTCTTCTCTACCCCAATTTTTTGTTCACATAGTAACATACATTAAACTATGCATTCACATCATTTATTCCTTATTGGCCTAATAAAGTTTCCCTTCCTCTGCCCCTTTTGACTCAGAGACTAGTGAGTGAGAGCCAAGCATCTCTGTCCTTCTCCATGGCTTAATTGGATGACTAGTGCACCCATTCCACATAGAACAATTACAGGTCACTCATGTCATACCCATGCTCTGAGTCACAGCTGCCCATGTGTTATTTATCCTATATCCACAGAATCTAGTCTCTGTCTTCATGAAGCCCAATCTTAAGTTGCTTTTTCTTTTTTTTTTTTTTTGAGACCGAGTCACTAGTCTAGTGTCGCCCAGGCTGGAGTGCAGTGGCATGATCTTGGCTCACTGCAACCTCTGCCTCCCAGATTCAAGCAATTCTCCTGCCTCAGCTTCCTGAGTAGCTGGGACTACAGGTGCCCGCCCCATGCCCAGCTAATTTTCGTTTTTTTTTGTTTTTTTTTTTTTGTAGTAGAGACGAGGTTTCACTATGGTGGCCAGGCTGGTTTCAAACTCCTGACCTTGTGATCCACCCACCTCAGCCTCCCAAAGTGCCGGGATTACAGGCGTGAGCCACCGCACCGACCAAGTTGCTTGTCTTCTAAATGTAAGCTTATCTTCTAAATTTTCTCCACTGCTTCTCAAAGCCAGAGATATGGGAATTATCCTGATGATCAGGAAGATCTCATTCATCATCTATCCTAGCACACCATTATCATTTTTGTTCTGCTAAAACACAATTCTTTTTACATAACCCTTTGGTCAACTGCCTTTAATGGCTTCCCTTACCTACAAGAATAGATGCCAGTTCAGATTTGAGCTCCTTCGCTGTAGAGATTTAGCCCTACTGTACCAAAGATAGGGTTGCCAGGCTTAGCAAATAAAAACAGAGGACTTTATCTGGCAACCTTGATTGAAGAGTAACCAACTGCAACAGTAAAATCATACTGCTTCCAAACCATACAAATGCCATAATTACTATTCAAAATCCTAAACAATCAGTACAGCAAGGATACTGAACAATCAGGGTGGATGAAGATGGTCAACAAGTGAGAGGCTGAACCAATGCATCCTCATAACATCGCAGCTATGAGTACATCCCAACTCATACTACCTTCCACAAAAGGAATGCCCATTATCCTCTCCTTTATCCCTTCAGATATTTCCCATCTTCCAAAGACTTCTTAATTTTAATTTTCTCTATAAAAACCTTTCTTAAATAACTAAATTAGGGTGTTTGGAATTGAAGATCAAGTTTATAGTTCCTTTAACTGAATTTCTCTAGCTAGTACTGCCTATGCAACTTACCTTGCAAGATGCTGCCGATTAGAAGACAAATCTCCATGGGTCTTTTGCATTTCTCCATGTCTTTTGAGTAGAACTATTGACTGCCCTTTGTTCAAGGCTGTCTTTTCAAGGATGTTTACACAGCAAACAGCCCTGGAAGATATAGTGTCTCTTTCCAGGCCAAAGGGCAGGCATGCTTACGGCCTATTACAAAAAATTCAGGTTCCCTACACATGGTGTTCTCTTCTGTAGCAAAATCCAGAAAGTGAGCTGGCATTTATCTGGCCTCCTGCATCACTTCTGGGGAACTCAGAGGAAAGGGGAAGTGACTTAAATATGCTAACACTCATTTAGCGTGCTGTTCTGTAAGTAAGAAAATCTGAGCTGTCTTGTGTCTTCTGCCAGGGTATGAGAAACTGTGACAAGCCTACTTGTAAGTTTACAAATAAGGTAAAATATAAAACCCTTCACAGTTCTTGACACTGCCATGCTACTTCAATGTTTCAAACATGTAAATCTAATAGCCCCAACTAGATTATGCTTCATTAATCCTACAATTCATTCAGTGCCTAGTTTTGCAGAGTGACAGTTCTATAAAAATCTCATTGAATAATACTTCAACATATTTTGAGAAACAAAACAGAAAGGAAAGAGGTTATCTCTCATGTTTATGAAACCCTATGATCAAGGAAAGGCTTCTTGAGAAATTGGGTAATGTCTGAAAGTTAAGAATAAGGCTAAACTCAGAGGGCTAGAGAAAGATCCAAAATGAAACAATCACTGAGAACCCATCTCTAGATCTGATTTCTGAATCTGTGCTGCACACTGATACTGCCTAATCTGAAAGCAGCCTGCATCATTATCATCCTCACCACCTCCAACAAATTACTTACTTCTCTAGTGTGCCTACTTGGTCTTAAGAAGGATGTAACTGTCATGGTGACAGCACAGTTGAACTTCAGGAATTAGAAAAGCAGCAACACAGAGCTTCTCTAAGCCTTGAACTGAGGCAGGTGGGCCACAGTTAACAGTCATCCGGCTATGGGCTTCCAAACAGCTGTGGACCACTCGGGCATGAGCAAGAAGCCTGCATAATGAGTCTATGCAGGAGCTAGGGTAAGGCACAGCTGTCAAGTAGAAGGTCGCACACTAGAGCATTGTGCCACACAAGAAGTTCAACATTCACCGGAAAAAAAAAATTGTTTAATATCCCACTTAGAATGACCTCTACCTACCTGTATTTATTTAGAAAGTGAAATCTGTAGCACTGTTCACCCCAGAAGCTCTGGAAAGAGTATTTCTATAGTTACTGAATTAACCTCGCCAGCATTCCACAGGTGATCTGGGGTAAAATACATAACCTCAGTCATTTAAGAGAAAACACCAATGGAATGATGGCACTTGATTCATAAGTGGTAAAGTCCAAATTTGACAAATCAAAACTGTTCTTGACCAGAAACTTTAAATTCCAAACGTCAAGTGAACTAATTTGAACTAAATGTCAAATTTTTTTCTAGCCTTCTTCTTCCCTGACATTTTTAATTTCACACGACAATTTTGGATGTCATCATGCTGAGTCTCATCACCCATCAGAACATTTAAATTAAAGACATCTGACAGACAGATTTGGCTTATGAATTCATTTTCATAATGTTCAAATATCTGTGTCTGACAAGTGGGCTTTTTTGTAATAAGCATATTATAAGCCAGCAGGAGTCATCTTGCTAGTTACATTTTCATGCAAGAATTAGATATTAGAAGATTCCTAGGTCAGTGCAATCAACTGCAATTTAAACATTTTTAAAGGACTTATCAGCTTTTAGAAAAGGACTATCGTGACTTCCAAATGGGACCAGAAATGGCAGAAAAGAAAAGCAATGTATCATGATATTTTTCCTATATCCTTATGCCCTTCATCTTAAAACTTGTAACTGAAATATAAAAGGTGGTTAAAATAACGGTTTATGAAATATGTATTCTACAGGGATTTTTTTTCCTCTTCCCTTCAACAAGGGCTGCAACTGAAAATCAGCAAAGTTTTATCTTGCTCGCTTCATTCCCAACCTCAGGCAAACTCTCAACCCCAAGCTCCTCTTTTGCTGCCGATACTCCACAACTTACCGCAAGTGGATTCTCCAGGTCTCTGTGCCTCCTCTCCAGTCCTCTATCCCAGACTTCCAGGGTGTAGTCACACCCCATGATTAATAATTCCATGGTATGGAGTAAACATCAAGCATTTTGCACATTATTCTTCTGAGTCCAAAAAAATGTACCTCATCACAAGCTTCCTAAGAAGGATTTCGTTAATACCAGAAGGTTTTTCTAATTGTCACCTAACTTAGTCCCTGGACATAACATGTGCTCAATCAATGGCTTTTTAACTGAACTAATTATAACAATTTTCAGCAGATCAAGAGCAGAGATATTGTGGTTCACAAACATTTTACAACACAGGCACAGGGCCTGATAGACACTGACTGATCAATTCTGCGGGGAGAGAGAGAGAAAGAGACCATACATAATATTTTACTCAATAAATGTACAAGAAAATTTGAGCCATTTTATCTTCATGAGAAATTCTTCAGATCAAATAACAGAATCATGATAATAACCATAAAATAATACAATTTTAGGCATTTACAATGCACCATATATTATCATCATCATGTTATATACATTGCTTCTGCGCTGGGCTATACCACATATATTAGTCAGGTTATGTGAGTTAATGCTACAAATACAGCCCTGAAATCTCAGACACTTCAATCAAACAGCAAAGGCTTTTTTCTGCCTCATGTTATATGGCCATTGGTGGCCAGCTGGGGCTGACAGAGCACCATGTCAACCCTTGATTCCACGATTCCCAAGTCAGGAGAAAGGATGTGACAATGACAACTAGTACACTGGTTTGCAAAGGCTTCTGCCTAAAAAAGACACACAGCGTTTCAAAAAGCCCTTCAAACCTCAAAAATCACTCAAAAAATTGAGCATATAATGGAACCTAGGAAGTTCTTTAAATAAAGCTCTTAAAATGACAACAAAGGATTAAAGTAACTGGACTGTCCAATAGCAAATACAATACATTAAAATTGCAATGGTAGCAAAACGTATCACACGTTTTCTATGTACAAGGTATCATTCTGACGTTTAACAGGTACTAGCTCATTTAATCCTCAGGACAGCCTTTTAAGGTAGGTACGAATACTATCTCCATTTGACTGACAAGGTAACTGAGGAACCAAGAGGTTGAATAAATTGCCCAAGGGCACACAGCTGTTAAGTAGTAAACAAGAGACTGGAAATAGACATTCTGGCTACAACGTCTGTACACTGAACCTCTGTCAATCTAAACCATTGCAATACATGTGAAGACTTTGTTGGTTAAATTTCAGTATGAATAAATATACACAATAATCTACAATTACACAATTCCTGTCTAGTTTTAATTTCCAGTTCTTTCAGTAATGTGTGCCTTGAAGAAAATGTTCCTGGCCTATCTGGTCTTTTCTGTTTTGTCTGTTATTCTTGGTAAGTTCCTGTGGGGCAGAGATCACACTAACATCCAGCAACATGACAGCAACATAATTAATGCTTAATAAATATTTGTGGAGCAAATGAATAAAATTCAAGTTTTCCATTTCTTCTGACTTATCAATCTGACTCATAACATCTAAACTAGAAAGTGCTTTTATTACTTTTTTAATGTTAATGCATATTTTAAAAACCTTTGAGTTCCTGGTCTGCAAAATTCAAACATAGTCATTATCAATTGCTAATTTCTGTCAACGTACTCTCAAAATTCTGGCCATGTATGTTGCCCAAGAAATAGCTTGTTGGTATCAATTGCACAAATATTCTTCTGATCTCCCCCATGCTGTTTAACCATTTGGTACTATGTCCTGTAGCCTGCATGAGCACCCTACAGCATCCTGAGCAGAAGGCCCTGAGTGCACAAGAAGAAATTCAGTTGCCTATTATACACAAATTCCCCACCGCCCCTCATGTCTTCCTCACTGTCCAGAATCCAGACTTGGAGATAATAGATAACAGGTCAGAGAAATCTGATACCAAGCGTAAGATTCAAAAAACTCATCATTTTATGTAGAAATCTATACTGAAAATTCTTTTTTCCTTTGATGTATTGATCACTGACTGCAACAAAATAAGCAGAAGTGAGACATAAGGAGATAATAATGGAGAAAAAAAGAGACTGCAAAACAGACTACTATACTAAAGACTGTAGTCCATATTGGAAAAGAGACCGTCTCATGATTGCCCCTCTGGCTGTTACATTAAGTACCTAGTTTCCTATATGAACTTTGCTTTACATACTAATAGGATGTTCTTAAAGATTTGAAATAAGCCACAGGCCTAGGAGAGTATTCCTTGAACTGTACTCCATTGATTTGCTTTTCCTGAAATGCCTGTATATCCTTGATGTTAAATGGGTTCTTTGATCAAATAGACTAGAAAAAAAATGGATCCAGGATAATTACGTCAGTTTCTTTGTTCAGACTGCTCAGCTACTTTTCAATGCACACAATTGTATAAATAGAAACCTCTAAGGTATGTTCATTATATTTTCCCATCTTTGTGCACCACCATGATGAAATAGCCTATGCTTTTGAACATCTATACTTGTATAGAAAATGTATCTTTGTAGAATCATATTTGACAAGTAAAGTCTTTCTTTCAAATCCGTGGCTGATGACTTAAATGTTCCCAAAGCCCTTATAGTTGAGGACCCACGTGTCAAATAAGCATGGCATTTTAACTCAGTCCTAAGCACACACTGTGTACACACACACACACATACACACACACACACACACACACACACACACACACACACAGAGATCAGTAAACTTTACCTTGTTTGGAGAATTAGTCATTCAATATTTTGCAGTTCCTTACTTGGCTGGATCTTTCCGTGGGTTGGGGGTTCACCTTTCACCTAATTAATGCACGAAGAATTACTAACTGGACAATTGGCTCTGTAAGATTCCACAGTGTGCCTAAAACTCATGCTGTCTTTCAGCATCTTTCTTTCCCTTTGATTATTTGAGACAGAGAACTAAATTCAACTTCTATAGTTACCACTTACTTCGTAAGTTGTGCAACTTATTTAACCTTTGTTAGTCCCCATTTCCTTACCTATAAACTGAGTAGTAATATTTCTCTTGCAGAGTACTCCTGAGATTAAATGAGAACATTTGTAATACAGAACTAGTACAACTCATTAACAGGAAGGACTCCACAGACGCTACTTCCCTTTATTCTACCACTTCATCCTCACCTCCCTTCTACCTCACCATCTAATATCTCTAAATATTTTAGTAAAAATAAAATAAAATATTCCAAAGCATACTTTGTATTCTAAATCAATTTCTAAATTGTCTATCTAACTGGTATAGTGAAGCTCTCTTAAGAGGCAGTGAAATTAGAAGGGAAAACCAATGATACAATCATGCTATGGTTGGGTATACTTATCCAGTCATCTCTATTCTAATCCTTCCAGTCATAACAAAAGATGCAACATTTCTACCACTGAAAGTATTGCAGAAAAGCCTATAAAAAGACTTTTAATGTGAAATTTGAAAAGATAACGTTTAATTTTGTTGACTTATGTGTTCATCACTGTCTCAAAGGAAACCTGTAGCTGATTGATTTTGTGTTAGATATTCCTTGTCATAATATTAAAACTTTCTTTCAATTGTAAAATTTGGATTAAATAAACTATTTAAGCTAATGCATGTAATTGTGGGCATGATAAATAAGGAAGATAAAGCTTTATCCTTGTTTTAATTATGGAAAATTAAAGCACAAAAAAAGTTCATGCTTCAGTTTTGAGATCTCATTCAGGCTATGTCCCAATATCTAAAAAAAATCTGAATCAGGATTAAAATTCTGGCCCATCTGCTTCTACTCAACAAATCAGATATTTCTCTAACTCCAACATAGAAAAATAAATCATAGATTTCTTTATAATTTCCCCCTTGCTTTTTGACATATTACAAGTACAACTTCAGAAAACCCTGTTTCATTCTCCATTAGAAAAACAATTTTCTTTTTAAAAAGTATCATTGCTCCCTAAATTATAATTTAAAAAATAATTAATATTCTCCCTTCTTAAGCAGTAAAAAATATGTTGTTTTCAACAAATTTAGGCAATATACAATGCTTTAAAATCTTTAGAATTGGGATTTTTAATGAAAATATGCCTGAGAGAAAAAAATTATTTCCACTTTGGGATTTACCCAGTGTCATAATCTAAATGTTTATTCCAGAGGAAGCTTATAATTCCGCCTATATCAGGTTGTTCTAGTCATCATGTTAATTTTACCACTGACATTGCTCATACTAGGAGTACCCCCTAGGATTTCCACACTGAGTAGGAGCAACCTTCTTTCCTCTTCCTGGTCAGAATCAATCACCCTAGCCAAATATTGTAATCCCTCTCCTCGTTACCCGAGTAGCATGAAATGGGCAGGTGACAGCATCTACTTCTAATTAAATAAATCAATTGGTATCTCTAGAAGCATTGCCCCACTTCAAGCTAAACTCAGAAACCAGTATAAAAGTAAAAATTTTGTGAGTCAGTTAAAATGTGAAAGGAGCTATGTCTTTGATATAGATCCATGAATTTCAGTTATGTAAGAAGCAGCACCATATGTCGGTAGTTGATTCAGAATGTATGTTGTATAGTGTAAGAAAGGATTTGATCCTACATGGCATCCTACTGTTTTGAGTACTCCAGTTGCTTTTGGGTGATAGAGTATGTAATAATACCAGCAAATCTCATGGCAGCATCCCAGCTCCTTAGTTCTTTCACTCTAACCTGAGTTCCTTAGGAAGAAACAATGTTGTGTAGAATGTGATGCTTTAAACGATATTCGGTAATTCCTTAGAAGAGTTCGTGGGGAGGAGGTGGTGTGGTGGGTGTGGTGCTGGCAAGAGCTTGATGCAGGAGAAAAACCCACCTGAACCCGGAGTATATATCTATCCCAATGAGGGCAAACTGGTGCCTTCTCCAAGATGGAAGGCTTCCAATAAAATCAGACTGTTATAAGGTAAATGCCAGGTCCCTCCTTGGTCAGTATCAAATCAGGGACTTAGTGTTGGACCCTCTAATCACAGGAGGACACTAAACGATTTTGGTAGTCAGGTTCCTAGTTACAGTAAGAAAACGTACACGTTGTTGGGCTCATGCCTAGTCCCCAATCCTCACATCATCATCACTTTCTTCGTTAGCCTGTTTAGTCTTTTCAAAAGAGCTTTCAGTATTAGTTATTTTCACTTCCTTGCCTCCAATTTACTCTGATCCAGTCTGGCATTCATACTCACCACTGGTCTTAAAGAGCCCTTTTTAAGGTAATTAAAAACCTCCATTTGGCCAAATCCAATGGTCACGAATCAATCCACATCCTGGTCAACCCTCTTCAACTCCTTCCTTGAAACTTTTCTTATTTTAGCCTCTGGGACCCCTCCTTTCTCCGATTTCTCCCTACTTCACTCCTCCTGTCACCTTTGTTAGATCTTTCTCCTCTTCCAGCTTCTAATCACTGAAGTTCCCTAGGGCTCTGTCCTTAGATATTTCTTCCCTACCTACACTCCCTTTAAAGATGATATCATCCAATCTCTTGCCTTTAAATGTCCTCTATATGCTAGGGATCCTCACCTTTATGTTACCACTCCAGACCTCCTCCCTAGATTCCACTCCCATATAACTACCTACTCAATATCTCCATTTATTTATCTAATAGGACTCTCAAAACTAATTATTTCTTCTTATCCCACAGTCTGCTTCTCATAAAGTACTCCTCATCTCGGTAAACACCCACTTTATCCTTCCCATTGCTCAGACCAAAATCTTTGGAGCTATCCTTGACACCATTCTTTTTCTCATATCCATATCCAATCCATTAGCAAATTTTGTCAGCTCTACCTGCAAAGCATATCCAGAATTCAACCACTTCTTACCACCTTCCCCACAACCACCATAGTCTCATCCATCATTTCTTTTCCTATGGTCTGTTCCCCCACAGCATTCCAAATGACCCTTTTAAGACATAAGTTCTATCATGTTACTCTTCCAACAAAACTTACTTCCCATTTTGCTGAGAATGAAATCCAGTCTTTACCACAGTCTATAAGACCCTATATGACTGGGCATCTGCCTCTTCCACTTGTTCCCCTGATTGCTGTCAAATTTGCTTCCTTGCTGCTTCTTGAACAGAACAAGCATGTTTCTGCCATCTATTCCAAATTGTCTGCAATGCATTTACCCTGTATTGTTGTCAGATTCCCTAAACAATATCTAAAATATCACCTCATTACTTTCCTCATTTAAATTGCTAGACAGATAAGATAGCACAGTTTTTGAGGGGTGACTCAGCTTACTTCATCCCACAGTCCTATGGTCTCTACTGAGCCAGTTACAAGTAAAAGCTGCTTTTCAAAATGGTACAGTTACTTGCCAAAGAGAGAATTATTTTTCTAACATTCAGGGCCTTCTGTTGCAGATTCTCCTCTTGTAGCTTGATTTAGGTTTTGTCAGCCTCCCAATCTGCCACAGATACTTTCATCATCACTAGATGCGCTAGGTCATTAAAGCAGAGTGGCACTGCTGCTTGCCCGGCCAGCTAAAGATCTCCCCTCTCATTCTGGAAACCTTTTGGGTCATGGAACACACACGGATATGAAATATGTCAACTCTAAAACAGACATATACCAAAAAAAAAAAAAAAAACATTCCAAAGGATTGTACCTCTTTCTTGGCGGCAACAGGGTCAATGAATAACTATTTGTTTTTTCATCTGAAGTAGAAATCTTGATATTGCCCAGATACTTCAAAGAGCTGACAGGCCTCCATAGCATCGAGATATTTATCTTCCTCCTCTGGCACAGTCATCTTACAAAGGCTTCCAGGCTCTACTTTTTCACTTCACATTATCAGGATGCGATACATGTGGTGAACCAACATGGCTTTCTGTGAAACAGTGACATGGACAAATTTCCTTCAGACAAAATGACACAGAGTTGGACAACTGATTGGATCCTGAGGCAGAACAGTAAGGGTGTACTATTTTCCCTTCCAGGTAAGAACAAACCACCTTCGCTATTTTTTATTTACAGAATAAAGGATGGAAATATTCACCTGTTTAATTGCTACATAACAGATTCAAAGGGCTGTAATGATTTTCTCTAGTAAGGAGACCTTATCAAGAAAATCAAATATAATTGAATTCGCCACCTGATTAAGCTTATAATAATCCACCATCATTCTCCAAAATACATCTGTCTTCTGCGTTAATCTAACTAGGGATGTGATAAGAATCATTAATCTTCATCTTTCAAGCCTTTCATGGCAGTATTAATATCCACAATTTCTGCAAGGATACAGAGCTGACTTTGACTTACTCTATGGAAGAGAAAGGAAATTCCAAAGGCTTCCATTTTAGCATTCCTACCATAATGGGATTTACACCCAGTGGTCTTCAACCTACAGCAAAATTGCGATGCAATAAAATATCCTTATAGTTCTTTTTTCTTTCCCTTCTGCGCCTTACTCCAAACTTTACAGTCTTAATGCCTGATTTCTAACACCTTTCTATAAGCAAATCCTGAGTTCTATCATTTGCCCTCTGAAACATATTAATGTCCAAATAAAAAAGAAAGATCATAAGCTTCAAATATAACAAACAGAATTTCTAATTGTAAACCTATCGCTTCCTGAATCTTGTGAGACTTTGCCCACATTACTTAATTTCTCTAAGCTTCAGTTTTTTCCTCTATGAAAGGATGATTGATACTTATCTACAGACTTACGAGGTAAAAGTCACTGAACACAGTAGGCACTCATAGTAACCACAGGGTTCTAAAGCACATGGTGTTCTCTTTGCCTAAAATATTTCAATTCTCCAACCCTTCTACTCTTCCTCCAGATTTCCCTGGAAAACATTTTCTGTTCCTTTTCTTTGCTTAGGTCAAATTTCCCTTGTATGTATGTTCCCATAACACCACTTCTCTCCCCTTTCCTTCCAGTGTTTATCTTGGATGTTATTTTATATTAATTTTATATTGATATGACTAATGTCTGTCTTTACCATGGCTCTGTATTCCCCTTGAGGGAAAGCCATGGCTGTTTTTGCTCATCTTGGTATTTCTAGTGCTTAACATAGGGCTTGACCATTGTAGGCACTTAAAATTAGTTGAATAAATGAATACACAAGGCAACAATTAATGAGCACTTCCTATTGGTAATACCACATGTTATGTGCTTTGTGTCCACTACCACATTTAATACCCATTAACTTGATACCCAACAGCCCTCATATTTATTATAAATTTAGGAATGTGTGATTTACAGAACATTAAATTCTGAGGTTTTTCACTGTCTTCCTCTTTGGTTTGGGTATCCCCCTTCCTACAATATCTTATAATATATTCCAAATCTCAGGATCATGTTATAATTTGTCTGTGCATTGAAGACCTCCAACACAACACAGTTGATTCAGAAACTCTGGTCTGCATCAGAAACACCTGAGGGCTGGTTTAACATTTCCCCCATACATAGAGATTTTAATTACGTAGTTCAGGAGTGGGACCCAAGCCTACATGTCAATACACAATACCTCAGGTGACACTGATGCTAATGCAGAACCTGTGGATATATCACTTCAGAATGTGAGATTTTGGAACTCCGAACTAGGGAAAAATACAAGTGGTAGAGTTGAAATATTCAATAGTAAACCACAAAGAACTTCAAAGTTAGGGGAAAGATATTCTCACTCTTGGAAGCTGACCTCTAGCGTTCTGAAGTGAACAAGTGTCCTAGGTGGTCAGAGATTGTTAACTAGTATAACGATAAGCAAAGAAACTATATGCATAACAATAACTAGTATAATGATATGCATCAACACTGAAAGCTTTAAATATATATACTGAAAAGTTGGCCTCACAGACTGAGAAACCTTGATTTGGTTACATGAAAGAAGCACAAGACTTATTTCTGCGAACCGTCTTATTACATTTATGCCTAATTACCATGGGCCGAACAATACTCACGTATACCCCTAAATATGTGTTGGAGTGCTTCTGTTGTCAGCTTTCATGTGATTAGAGCAAAATCTGTGGATCTGTCTTTTTAGTTTACTGTCCTAGAACCACAGTCATTTGATCACAACTTTAAAACAAATAGTAAAAGTATGGTTAATGTAACATATTTAGATTTATTTTGGTGATTGTTTTTGGCATTGTTCCTCTACCCTACTAGAAAGAGACAACTGGCATATATGTTCTAGAAGGCAATTGGGCATCTCTAAGAAAGACAACTGAGATTTTGGAGATGGACACAGAATGATTAGTACTCTTTTAACCACTTCATAGATTGGCTCTAGCAGTGGACAAAGGATCCTTGTATGCTCCACTGAAGCACCCATCTCCAGCACTAGCACACATCCCAGGTACAGGAATGGACTTTCACTCGATGGACTCAATAATATATCTTGCCTTTGTTTTTCATGAAGAATATCGGGGTTTTTTTTTGTTTTGTTTTTGGTTTTGAGATGGAGTCTTGCTCTGTCACCCAGGCTGGAGTGAAGTGGTGCGATCTCCGCTCACTGCAACCTCCACCTCCCGGGTTCAAGTGATTCTCCTGCCTCAGCCTCCCAAGTAGCTGGGACTACAGGCACATGCCACCATGCCCAGCTAATTTTTGTATTTTTAGTAGAGATGAGGTTTCACCATATTGGCCAGGCTTGTCTCAAACTCCTGACTCGTGATCCGCCCACCTCAGCCTCCCAAAGTGCTGGGATTACAGGCGTGAGCCACCGCGCCTGGTCTCATGAAGAATATCAGGTTTTTTGTTTTTTAATGTTTGCCAAGATCTCTACAAAAAACAGGATTTTTCACTTGCACATTCAACTTGTACATCTCCTTTATTTCATTCCCTTGAATCTTCAAGTATTATCATTGAAACAGATACAAAAAAACTTAATGGAGGTAAAAATAAATATATTATCAAATAAAAGAAAATTCCAACCTGATTTTATAGATTTTAAGTTTCGGACAGCTCTTTAGTACAAGATAAATATTATATTGATATATATAATTGTTAAGATAACTCGGATTGACTATAGTTGAGTCATCAGCTCCACACTTTACTGGCTGTGTGATCAGAAGCAGTTTCTTAACTTCTGCAAGACCCAGCACATTCATTAGTAAAAAGGGATAATATCTATTGCATGTTATAAGTTTCATGTAAGCATGTTAAAAGTATTCTGAAGTATACCTGGTATGGGGTAGATATTTAAGAATTATTACTATTTATTATTACTAGTCATCATTGATAATGGGATATATTGAGAAAAATTATGATTGTGAGGATATAAACAGTACCTTAGATTATAGCTACAGTTGTTTATAAACTCCATTTTCAAGTCTAACTTTTAGATTCTGATACTTTCCTTTTTTATTTCAGTTGTTAAATATTTTAAAATTTGAAGTTAATTTACCTGTTGAATAAAATAACAAAGATTCCTTTTGTTCCCAGTTTCTTGTGGCTCATGCTTGTTTTGGTGCTTTTTGGAGGAGGGAAACTATTGTGATGTTGACATGGTAGCAACACTCTCATCTGAGGGTCCATCAGTCATTTTTCCCAATGTGAAAAGCTGAACCTAATCCATACAGCTATCATTTAGCATTCTCACCTATCCAATGAAAAATTAAAGGAGGATGGAAACTTGCTATTTTTCTGTTTCACAAATAAAACCAGGCTAGTAAAACTGTCATCAGATCACTTTTCTCAGAAAAGCATTGCTGTCATCCCAAAAGTCAATTGAATTGTAAGCAGAAAACATTCTCATTGATTTTTGCAGGACAAAGCAGAATAACTGGGGACAAAGCAGGCCAGGAGTTGACAAATTAGGAAGAAAATTGAACTGTAAAATAAGCATCCATGAATTCACATTAGTGCTGCCTTTGCTTTATTGAATAAACACAAATGATTTAGGATTTGATTTTATTGTTAAATATCTAGCTAAAACGTGATTAACACAAAAGTATTTAATTCAGAGTACCTAACTCTTATGATGCTAACTTTGAATTTAGAATTATGGGTAAATGCCCAAGAAAGCTCTCTGTCAGCCACGGTTGCAATATTAGAAGATATTCATGTAGTGGCATTTTTTCCAGTAACTCAATTTGCATTACTTTGGATATAAGTGGGAATCATGATTTGACTCACAATGAAATGAAGGACAGGAATGACAGGGCAAATAACAGCGCTAAGTACAGAAACAATCACATCATATCTCACTAAAACTTTAATTTGGAGCTGGGCGTGGTGGCTCACACCTATAATCTCAGCACTTTAGAAGACCAAAGTGGGTAGATCACCTGAGGTCAGGAGTTCGAGACCAGCCTGGCCAACATGGAGAAACCCCATCTCTACTAAAAATACAAAAATTAGGTGGGTGTGGTGGCGGACACCTATAATCCCAGCTACTTGGGAGGCTGAGGCAGAAGAATTGCCTGAACCCCGGAGCCGGAAGTTGCCGTGAGCCAGGATCACGCCATTGCACTCCAGCCTGAGCAACAAGAATGAATGAAGCTGCATCTCAAAAAAAAAAAAAACAAAAAAAAAACCAACTTGCATTTGGCAAGATAACACTGCAAATAAAGTATTTAAAGAATGAGAAATACATTTATGACTAAGTAAGTAATGACATCATGCATGGGAAGAATGTATTGCATTACCAGTTTCTTCCTTACAGTATCTCTTCACTAGCTTTTATTCATTGGAAAAATGTTTTGGGTGAAATTCCTAATGGAAAGTACTTACATTTATATTGTTCTAAGTAATCTTTTACACTGAGTTAGATAGATTCAGTTTTCAAAAATATCTTATTTGGATAGACATCCTTTTAAAAAAAAAAGTTGTCAGGAATTCTAAGGGCAGCTAGAAGTTAAAAACTGCAATAAATTGTAACTAGAAAATAAAGAGTAAACTTATATGAATAACAAAAGGAGTAATTTTTCTTAAAACATAAGTTTTTCACCAAAATATGTCTGAATTATCAGTAAAGGATGCTAAAAAAAACTAAGTCATAATGCCTAATGATCTTTGTGAGAAATCTCATAGATGTAATCATAAAACATAAAGAGACCTATGGATGGGAAAATTGATGTAAAAGATAAAGAAATTATTGTTATGGTAAAAGGCCATATAATTTAGTAGAGAAGTGAACTGAAACAATATGTAGGGACTCAGCAAAATTGTGATAGCCTTAAAGCATTATTTTAATAAATATCTTAAACAGTAAAAAAAAATTAAATTCTAGGAATAAAAAACAGAAATTCGCTGGGCATGGTGATGTGTGCCTGTAATCACAGCTCTTTGGGAGGCTGAAGCAGGAGGGTCCTGTGATCTCAGCAGTTCAAAGCTGCAGTGAGCTCCAACCTGAGCAACAGAGCAAGACCCTGTCTCAAAAAAAAAAAAAAAAAAAAAAAAAAGGAAAGAAAAGACATCTCCCCTTATTCATGACAATGAAATTGGTAAACAACATAAGATGACTGTGCCATATACTTAGCAGAGCACTATATGAATTAGCAAGCTCAATCAATATTTCAGTACCAAGAAAATTAATATAGAACTACAGGCATAAACCTACACATAAAACACTCTTATCTGGACTAATAAAAATGTTTACTAAAATGAAAATTATTACCTGTAAATATGCCTTTCACTATGTGGGCCTCTGTCATTTGATAACACAGATAAATCAACTATCTAACAAAAGTTTTCTTGTTTTGTGTGTTATTAGAACTATACACAATATAAATTTTCACTTAAAAATAAAAATGTGTTAAGCCATTGGTACCTACCAGTATTTTTTTTTAACTACAAATGTCTATTAATCAACTATTATATGCCAGGGAATTTTCTAGATGCTATAGATACAGCAAAAAACAAAACCCATGAAACAATGTAATTTATATTCTAAGGGGGAGAGAGTCAATAAACATATTTTCAAATATTGACAGATACATGTTTTGAAGAAAAATAAGGCAAGGTAATGGGGAAAAGTCATGGGGTGCTGTTTTCCATTGGGAGACTAGGGAATTCCTCTCTGAAGAGGTGACATTTGAACAGATAACTGAAAGTGAAACTTAGGGAGCAACACCAGGTAGGAGGCTGCAGTCATGGCTCTGGAAGAAATATCTGCTAGTGCATTGGCAGATGCAGTGTGGCAAGACAGACAGGCTGAGTTGGGTTCAGGACAGATTTACATTAGATAGGCGTGGCAGCGCGCACCTGTAGTCCCAGCTACTCTGGAGGCTGAGGCAGGAAAATCGCTTGAATCCCAGGAGGCGGACGTTGCAGTGAGCCGAGACTGTGCCACTGCACTCCAGCCAGGGCAACAGAGCAGGAGTCCATCTCAAAAAAGACAGATTTACAACATGGGAGAAAAGTACTTAAAACTGTCATTCTACTGACAGCATTTACCTCAATTTTCTCCTTGAAAATCTAATGCAAATTTCAAAAGGGGCCGAGGGAAAACTTTTACATGCAAATCATGGAATTTAAAACAAATGAACTATCTTTAACATAGCTGAGAAATCAAATCCCCAAAGGCTCTAAGGAATGCCAAAGGAGACAACTTCATTTTCCTCTCATCTTCAACAGAAGACTAAAATCGGTGAAGTCACGATCAAAATACTTAATAAGAAAAACTGTATAAAAGATGGAGACAATTACAGCCATGTAAACTACTACTATTAGTGGTAATATTAATTGTTCTAGAGAGAGACTATAGCATGCAATTACCTTATAATTTGTGATGCAAACTGTGTACAACAAAAGATAGGGTAATTTGCTTTATGGTGTTAACCACAGCAAACAATCACAGGGTTCTCAGAGTTTATTTGCAATAATTAGACATTTTACTCAGAATGTTGCTTTAAATTCATTAGGCTTAGCTCATAGTTTCCATGAAACATTAAACTCTTGGATGTCAAAAATAAACACCATTTTCTTTACCTTATACTTAATGTAGTCAGTAACTGAGAACCTACACATGCTCACACACAAATGGCTCAGAAATCTTAAAGGATAATGAAAATGTGTTATAAACTTAGTTTATTGTCTTAGCAGGATAGATGGATATATGGAACTCATTTGGTGCCCAGATAGTAATCGTTGTTTTTTTTTTTTTAATTCTCTAATCCGAGACTCTATATATACAAAGCTGAGAGGTAAAAGAGGCAGCCAGCAACAAGATTAAGCTTTGAAAAATTGTGAAGCAAATACTTCAAAGAAACTACATGTTTTCCCTGGAACACTCCACAGTGCTTAGCTGGCAAGTTGTCAGCAAACAAAGAGAAATTCAATGTTATCATTTATGACCAAGCACACACCATGATACAAGAATCAGAGTGAATAAACAAATGATCCTAAAATGCTTATGACAATTTGTAGCAGCACTTTAGGACTGGAGCAGCCTTGCAGCATTCTTCTTTTCTAACAACCGTTTGTTGCCAGCCCCCTGAAATAAGCAATGAGCCTTATTGGTATTACTAAAAGCTGAACAAACGAAAGAAAAATAGGAAACCTCATTAAATGCTGCCAGCAGCTTCAACTCATTATGAACATTCTCATATAGCAACCAATAATCCAATAATGCTATTGTTTCCAATAATACAGCTAAATATATCTCCTTGCAAATAATTATGGCTTGACACTCTATAAATCTGTTGCATAGAGAATTTTTTTAGTTCAAACATCTTAATTTTGTTAATATTTTATAAAATTTGACCATTAAAATAGATTAGTACTATAAGAAACTGTACACAATAGCATAAAGTACCTGAAGTATTCATCTTTTTTTTTTAATCTATAGACTGCCCTTTTATATCTACCCACCTGCCAATGTTGCAACTAAGCTTTGCTTATTGTCCTAACTCACCTGAGTCCCTCAGAAACATATTTTTTCCTATAGATTTGTTTTCTTGGCCTCTTTCTTCTCCTCAACACCCTCTAATACACATTCATGCCATTTTTGAATTTGATGTTTTGTTTGTTAGGTCTGTTGTATCAAACAAGTTTAAACTCTCTGACCCTTTCTACTGTTCTCCCACAGTTCACTGCCCCGATTTTTTTTTCCATTTTTTTTCTCCTTAATTTCTCAAAGAGACACCTCACAGGGAAACTTTAACTTAGTAAAAACTGTCAATGATATTGACTATAAGGAAGAGTAACTATGTATTAGTCTGTTTTCATACTGCTATAAAGAACTTCTTGAGACAGGGTAATTTATAAAGGAAAGAGGTTTAATTGACTAATGGTTCAACATGGCTGGGGAGGCCTCAAGAAACTTACGGCAGAAGGTGAAGAGGAAGCAAGGCACTTTCTTCACAAGGCAGCGGGAAGGAGAAGTGAATGCTGGAGTAACCGCCTAACACTGGTAAAACCATCAGCCCTAGTGAGAGCTCACTCGCTATCACGAGAACAGCATGCGGGAAACTGCCCCTTGATTCAATTACTTCCACCTGGTCTCTCACTTGACAGGTGGGGACTATGGAGATTATGGGGATTACAATTCAATAGAAGATTTTGGGTCGGAGAGCACAGCCAAATCTTATCAACTCGCAATCCATGCAATAGACTGTCAGGATTTCAGTTGAGTTTACAGTGGTAATGGTATGTGCATGTTGGTGTTCATGAATACTACTAGTCAGGAGAGAAGGATATAGAAAGATTCACATGTTAGCTCCATGTATAGTGAGATAACATTGTAAAAAGACACATGTAGCATATGTTGAGGAGGGGATGGGTGGTACTATCAGGAGGAAAATTTTTTATACAAGGAAGAAATGGTAGCTAGCCAGACATGAGCAAGGCAGGAGATTACCCTCCCCACCAGCCCCCCAGTCC
Organism: Homo sapiens; assembly: GCF_000001405.40. Taxonomy (NCBI): domain Eukaryota; kingdom Metazoa; phylum Chordata; class Mammalia; order Primates; family Hominidae; genus Homo; species Homo sapiens. The sequence goes on along the minus strand of NC_000007.14, from coordinate 11,235,311 downwards.
CCCTCCTCCAATGCCCGCATTTACCTCATTTACGCACACACCAGGAATGTCAGGCAACCATCAGGTGATGGGTCAGGCAGTTAGTAACTATCTCTCTCAAATAGTAATCGGTCTCAGCCAGCGCCAAGGAAAGTCAGCCTCCCAACAGACAGAAAAAACCTGAAACTGGTGATCAGCACTTCTGGATAAGGTCTCACGAGTTGGGCAAGTGAACTCAAGTATGCACATTAAGAGACAAAATGGTGTAGTTTAACTGGTGTATGACCTTCTAGGAACTATTTGGCTGGTAGGGGAAGAATGCCTCAAGTGAGCATGCATACAACTCCAGTAAACACACTGTGCATGTTCCCTCCCCAGTGCTAGCAGGCCACTGCTCATGCAAACAGCCCACCCTAAGGGAAGAATCAGGGGAGAAGAGATGCAAGACCCTGAAAGCATGCCAACATATGAAACCTCCAAGTCAAAGGTCAAACTATGCACTTGATCTCTCAAGTCGCCTGCTTGGCCCTCTTCCAAGTGTACTTTACTTTCTTTCGTTCCTGCTCTAAAGCTTTTGAATAAATGTTTACTCCTGCTCTAAAACTTGCCTCAGTCTCTCCTTCTGCCTTATGCCCAAGAGTTCAGGTTGCTGCAGACCTGTACAGATTTACCACTGCTAACAGAATGAGTAATATGTTGTCGGAACTTCTGCTCTGTGGTAAAAGCAGATGAATTCAGAAGGAAAAAAACTCATTTTCTCACTGCTGGATTCATGACTGAGATATTTATGAATATAAACCAAAAATAGAATTCTAAGCCCCCCAGCCAACTGAATGAACCCCTCCTTTCTGGCAAGGGAATTCCACAGTAAACCTGAAACCCTAGTTCAGGCCATGATGGAGAAGGGTGGTCAGACATGCCTCATTATACCTTCCTCCCTCCAGAATTCAGCACAGCTGACTAGCATTAACATTAAAACAGAAACCTTCAGACTAACAAAACAGACTCTTTGTAGCAATAGGATACCAACATGATGGATAGCAGGCCCTAAAAGAAATCAAAGTATTTTAACCCAAAATATATTTCTTTTACATGTTTTGAAATGGCCCTGCAAAGCTGTCTCTTGTGGGAAAAATCTACATTCTTTAGAGAATTCCTTCCCTTTCCAGGTCTTTTCCTGATCCAGGAGAGAATTGACTAAGAGTCTGGTGCCTTTTAAAGTCTGATAAGAAACCCTTACAATCTATTCTCTCTAAAGCCTGCTAACTGGAGGCTTCATCTGCATAATAAGGATCTTGGTCTCCACAACTCCTTATCTTCACCCAGACACTGCCTTCTATTGATTCCAGGTCTTTAGATAAACTCTTTCAACCAATTACCAATCAGAAAAATCTTTGAATCCACCTATGACCTCGAAGCCCCCACTTCGTGTGGGGCTTTTAGCTTTTGACCAAACCAATGTACATCTTACATGTTTCGATTGATGTCTTATGTCTCCCAATAATACATAAAAACGAATTGTAGCCTGACCACCTCAGGCACATGTTGTCAGGATCCCCTGGGGCTGTGTCATGGGCCAGGGTCACTCGTATTTGGCTCAGAATGAATATTTGACTGAACAGTCAAATATTTTACAGAGTTTGACTCTTTTCGTCGACAATAATAAACTTGACACAAGAGCTTTCAAAAATACAGACCCAAAGAATCAGGACAACCTGTATATTTTTATGCTAGTCTGATGAAGTGGACAGTAGTGCAGAAGTATAATTAGACAAACAGCATAAGATCTAATTGTAATAAACTTGGAGGAACTTAGTGAGGCCTGTGTGTTCAGATTCGTTTCTGTGTCCCAGTGTCTTCAGAGATAAGAATGTATAGGGAGAGTATCTCTGGAATGACCTACTTTAGAGGAAGGTCAGAGAAGTCTTCTATGGTCTACACCAGGGGAGAGAGGATGGGGAGTCAGAGAGACTTTGCTGCTTCTACTCTTTTCTCAAATGCCAAGGTACCACATTGTGGGGTAGCATGTCCTGAGCATTATCATGTTGAATAAATATTACTAGATAAATATGATTCAGAAAGCAAGCAATGTTTTGGTCAGCAAGGGACTTGTAGTTAAGGCATAATTTCTGGAAAGGACAATGAGATCATACAGGAAAGGAAAGGGTTTATTCTATATACATTTTAAGAAAAACTGAGCCCACGAACTCAAGAGTATCTGTTTGGTACTTGCCTATCAACTTTCCCACAAATTTAATCTATCAAATCTTAGGTAGAATCAAGTTTTTAATAGACCCATGGTGCCTCCCAGGCCTGTCTCTTGTCATCAATCTGTGGAAGAAACCCTAGAGAAGGAAGGTTCAGAGAATCTACAAGTGTGATCATATTGCTTTCTTTTTTTTTTTTTTTTTTTTTTTTGAGACGAGTCTTGCTCTGTCGCCCAGGCTAGAGTGCCTCTGAAAGTTGCCAATCGTAAGTGTTGCCCATGACTCCTGGGAACTCTATGGTAGTGTGGCTTGCTATGAAGCCAGGTACCCCAGCCTCCTCAGTAGGGGAGAGGGAGAATGATACAACAAAATTAAATACAAGAGCAATGAAGATCTGCGCCGTACTTCTTGTCTGGATCCCTGGAGATAGACATCTTGTAGGTGTGAGTCACCCTGGCATGGGAATAGTCTAGAGATGACTGCCTAGGATTTCAGAAGCAGATTGAACTTAGAAGCACCCCTACCACTAAGCTTCCTTTTCCCCAGAGTTGCATGAGAAAACACCTACATTTTTCAGTGTCCTCCAGAAGGATATAGGAATTAGTTGCAAAAACAAAAGCCAGGAGACTCCCCTCCTCCACCTTCTCTTTCAAATGCAATTTTTCCTAAAAATTTCTCAGCTGTATCTTCTCTCCATCTTTTCTTCCATGGTCTCTGCTCATGCCCTCACATTCTCTCCCCTGGACCATTCCCATGGACTCCTGGCAGGATATCTATCTCCAGCTCCCATCCCACCCCACCCCTGCAAATCCATTCCCTCAAATCCCACCAAGTGATACGTGTGATACCAGAAATGATTGTAGCACTGCACAGATTAAATGGCTTTAGGGAGCATCCATCCCTACATTACAAAAGCCAAACTCCATCATGTGGTTCAGAAGTGCCTACACACACTGAAGGTGATCTAGCTTCTGCTAACTTACTCCTTGTCTGCTTTCATGTAACCAACAAACTACATCCAACTGTCGTTTGTGGTTGCCCCTCCACACACAATGCTGTAGTCCCCTGTGCTTTTTGCTCCTACTGGGCCTCTGCCTGACACCTTCCATCCTTTGATAAACTTCTCAGCAAAGCCCCTCCTAATAACAGCCAGTACAGCTTTCTGTCTGCACTTCTGACATTATATTAAACTGATCTCTTTATATGCCTGTTTCCGTTACTAAATCAGTTCTTTACTGACAAGAAATGTGTTTTATTTGCCCCGGTTGCAATATCAATATATGTTCATTGATGCTGAATATATATTGTACTACTAATAATATATATTAATATGTTAATATTAATAACTGAAATTATATTGTATTTAGCACATAATTAGATATAGTATCAACAGGTACTATATACTCTTTGCAAAAAAAAAAAAAAATACGCTCCAAGTTTCTTTCTGAAAGTTTTCCTTTTCTTTCCTGTGGGAAAGTGGCCAGGGATTATTGTCTAAATGCCCTTTCTAAGGCTAGCTTTTGTTTGTTTGCTGTTGTATTTTTTATGTTTTTATGTTTGACTGCAGGCTAAGCAATTTTATGGCCTCCTGTTTGTCCCAGTAGAACATGTGTACTTTTAATTTATTTTATATTCCTGAAAAAGGAAGAAACGAAATGAGTCTTCCTTGTTTTGATTAGAAAAGCACAAAAAGTCAGGGTGGGACATAGGGTTCAGTGAGAAGGAAATTTCTAAGCATTTTCCACACAAACCAAGACATTTTCTCAGATAAGGTCTATATCTGGATGTTTTCCTCTTCTATCAATTGTGTTTATCAACAAGCCACAGAAACAGCAAAAGAGTCACTAAAATCTGACATTGAGGAGGCAATACACAAGCAAGAGGCTCAGCTGCATCTCCCCAGTAACTGAAGGGTATATTAGTAGGGAAACACTTTTGTAAGCAGATTTGACACCCTCAGAGTTAATGGCTAGAGAAAGGGAAATGTTAAATATGACGAAAGGGTGCTGTGTCGATTAATTCTTGGGCCACGGTTCAAGAAATGTGAGCTTACTCAATTAAGAAGAATGCACTTTCCTATTCTCCTTTCTTTTCTTTTTCATAAAAGGATAACTGCTGTTTATTGATTATGATGACAGAAGGATAGTAAAATGAACCATAGATTAGGTAAGTAAACTTCAGTATCATCAAGGAATCCTTAGGGAAATGGAAGGCTGCAATTAGAGGTGGCAGGACTTAGCATAGGAGTCCTGCTAAGGAGTGGGAGAGAATAGAGATATAAAAGAATCAAAACAGTTATTTAACCTTATGTAATCTTCCTAAAGATCAATTATATGTTTAAAAATATAGCTTTCAAGTCACTAAATGTATTTTTACTGCCTAGCCTGCTAACGCCATGAGTAACCTTGAAGAAATATAGCACCTTCTAACTTAAATCAAAGAGCTTACAGCAACATTTTCTATGTCTATGAGCACTGTTGTTTAAAAGTTACATGATAAACATTACCACTGGATGTCAGAGAAGGTAAATGAGCACTATTTACTGAGATTACATTGGTAGAATATTTCTAGAGAACAATTTGGCAATGTGGATCATAAACTTTAAAAATCTGCATATTAGATGCTCAATATCATTAACCATTAAGAAAATGCTAATCAAAACCACAATGTGATACCGCCACACATTCATTAGGATGGCTACCATTAAAAAAAGAAGCAGAAAATAGCAAGTATTGGTGAGGATGTAGAGAAATTAGAAAACGTGTACAATGTTGTTGAGAATGTAGAGCCACTGTGGAAAACAGTGTGGTGGTTCTTCAAAACATCAAAAATAGAATCATCATATGATCCAGTGATTTTATTTCTGGATATATCCAAAAGGATTATGAGAAGAGACTGGAAGCAATGTTGTCCATCTACATTTATAGTGGCAGAACTGGCAATAGCCTAAAGGTGGAAGCAACCCAAGTGTCCACTGATAGATAAACAAAATATAGCATATACATCAAACAGAATATTATTTCAGCTTTTAGAAGACAAGAAATTCTAACATATGCTGCAACATGGATGAACCTTGAGGACATTATGCTAGGAGAAATAAGCCAGTCACAAAACGACACAAATGGTATGATTCCACTTATATGAGGTACCTAGAATAGTCAACGAAGTCATAGAGGCAGAAAGTAGAATGATGGTTGTCGGGGGTTGGAGAGCGGGGAAGGGGCAGCTAGTGTTTAATGGAGACAGGTTCAGTATTGCAAGATGAAGAATCCTATGGATGGATGGTGGTGATGGTAGCACAAAAATTTATTTAGGGCCACTGAACTATACAGTTAAAAAGTATTAAGTGTTAAATTTTATGTTATAAGTATTTGACTACAATTTTTTTAAAAAAATTTTAATGTGTATTTATCTTATGTTTATGGGATTTATCCTTATAAAATCATCACCCAAAGGTATAAATATTTCCACAACAAAATGTCTTTACCTTGTTTATAATGGGCAAAAATTAGAAATAACCCAAATATTTGCCAATAGGAAATTAATTGCATTACTGTATATTTGCACAAGGAATTCTATTCAGCCATTAAATAAAAGTACTTGCATGTGTATTTATTAACATCAAAAGATGACATGATACAGTGAGAGAAAAACAGACATGTTTCAAAGCAACATGTATGATGGGATCTCATTTTGTAAGTACAGAAAAATGCACACACAAACACCTCCCTCTCTATACAGACACACACACACACTTGGAAAGATATACATTATAAAGTAAAACCGAAAGTAATTTTATTGGGTGATGGGTTATGAGTAATTTTTCTACTTTAAGATTTTTTCTTGTGAAAACTTTTTTCAAATAAGAGCATTTATTTGGATATTTACAAAATATAAAGTTATGTTTATTTTTTTGAAGTTATTACAATTGGGAAGTCTCATTCACAAAGAAATCAGAATCTTTAAGGCTTAAAAGGTAATCTGAAATAAGTAAGCTAAGGAATCTACTGGTTATTTTCCAATATTCCCCTAGGTTCATACCAGAAACCCAGAAGCAATGAATTTTACACAAATCTTGTCACTGAGTTTTCAACACATATATCTGTTTCATGCATTTTTTCATCCTGGCAGTATTCTTCTGAAAAGCTTATGCCTAATGCTGAGAAAATAATTACTCTTGTGCCTGCAAATAGATAAATGACACAGTCCTGACCCTGTAATAATTTGGTGTTCTGTGGGCTTTCCTCAGCTCCTTAAAAGACTGGCATCCTGTAGAACAGCTCTTTACCAATTCATTCCCTTTTTCCAGTCCAAACACTGCTAGAACAGATTGTCTCCTATGGTGTAAACCCAATTGACATTTGATTCACCAGCTGGCAGCCACCCAACCCTATCTGGACAAGCAGTTCTCACTAAACGAAGGACTTCAATTTCTTTTTTTTTTTACAGTGTTTATCGGCTGTTTTCAAGCTGTTGAAATAAACTTGGCAATACCATTCAAAGTAATCTCTCCCTCCTCTTCCCCACCACCACTGTCCTTTGAAACACAGCTTCCATTCTGTGTTGAGGTTTATTTATCTTCCAGCCCTGGTGCCTATGAGGCCTATAGAAGTTATCAATCAAACCAAATTTATGAAGTTCTTTTGTGGAAGCACTGCAAGCCATTGGACAAAAATCAATGGAGAAATAATAATGGGGAAACAAACGTTTAAGCTGAATTAAATTAAGCAGTTTATAGTTTCACCTCAAAGTGTAAGCATAGGTAGAGAAATGGCTTAGGAGGAATGCAGCCAGTCTACTGACTTGTTTTCAAGTTCCCTGCTCTGAGAATCCAGTTTCAGTGTGTCAGAACTAACAACAGCAATAGCTAGTTTAACGGACGAGAGAAATTAGATTAAAAAAAGAAAAGAATTTCTGCCTCCACTTTCACATTCTGGGAGAAATGAAGAATTGACTTAAGGATTGACTATTTTGTTGAGTAAAAGTCATTAGGGTTTTTAGACGTGTGAAGATAGACCAGGAGTTTAATCTCAATTAAGACCAAATTGTTTTGTATAATAAAGAAACCAAATTTGCTCCAAGGCAGCTGGGGAAACAGGAAAAGGGTAATGGCTGAAAAGAAGCCTAGGAACATGGAGGCAAAAAAGACCATAGAAAAAGGTAACAGAGACAAATCCCTGCTACCAGTGAGACCTGGGAATTTTTAAGAAAAGTGTTGTCACGTATTGAAATTCTGCTGTATTGCTGGGTTCCCGGTATGTTACTCTCATCGTGTACATATCTGTTAGACACAGCAGTATTATGTGAAAGATGGTCTGAGGAGTGAGAGGAGTGTGTGAAGCTTTCTGTGTGAAGCTTTCTGGAAATAGCAGCAAGGAGACCAATTGTCAGGAGACAACAGAGCAGCAAGCTGTGGCATGGGACAGCTCAGGAAAGGACATAACTCAAATGCCACCCTCCCCAAATCTACCAGAGTCTAGATGCAACCCTTAGATGAGCAGGGATTTCCAGGTGGCAGCTCTGTGTGTTCCAACACTGTGTGAAGCAAGTACTCTGTGTCATGTAGTTTATATCATCACTTCAAGGTAGGTATTATTATGGTTCTCTACCTGGGGATGAGAAAACAGAGCCATGAAGAGAGAATTAAGTAACTAATCCAAGGTCACTTGGCAATGAACTGACAGAAGGAGCAGAGAATCAGAGCCCAGGAAGGTCTGACCCTCATCTTGCATCTATCCACCAAGACTCTCTCCCTCTCCCTAACACCCATGAATATTGAGGGATTCCTCTATGCCTGACTTAGTGCCATTTGAAACTTACTGTCTAATGGCAGAGCCACCACATGCAGAGTATAAAGTCATCATTCCACTTTACTTTAGCAAATGAAAACATCCCCATGTGTCACCAGCATCCAGTGACCAGTCTGTAAATCTATGAGGATAGGGTCATGTCCCTTTTCTATCCATGTCTCCCCATCAGCTATTTTCCCCATGACAAAAGCTGTGCTCCAAATTACTTATTGAATAAAAGACTAGCACATAAAGGAAAAGTTTAATCTCACCATTTTAAACTGAATATCCATGCCTTATCTTCTCTCCTTGATCAGCTCTAGAAGAGGAATTTCACATTAAATGTAACTGATAAAGTTCACTTTAAAATAGGCTTTTCTTGACTTAAAATATTAATACAAAGTAATCCATGCTGTTATAGAAAAATTAGAAAATTCAGATAAGCAAAGAGAAAAAAATGAAACTATCCATAATCCCAGGGCCTAGAGATAAATTGTTACTAATGCTTTGACATGGAGTGCTATTCACCGTGAATAATGCTGTGTGAACTGATGCCCTGTTTGAAGATCCATCAGGCATACACAGAGATTTGAACTGACACCACCGATGTCATCATCATCATCACAACTGTGCAGACTGATACTATGCCTTTCAGGAGAAGATTTTGGAATAACCACAGGAAACAAACAGTGACAATAGCAGCTTAAAAATGTCTGTAAACAGAACATGTTTTCTGGTTCTTTCTCTACAAAGTTTTCGGAAGTTATAAAAGCCCCTTTTGGACTGACTAAACCTATAGCTTTCATAAACATTTTAGAAGAAAGAGGGACTCTCCCACCAGCCTCATCCCCACCAAAGATGTACTGCATTTGCTGCTAATTTAATCATAGAAGTGATCAAATCAGACTGTATTTGAAAAATAAGAGCTGTGTTTTATTTGTACTTCAGGCTGGACTCATAACATAAATTATACTACAAGGATGACTGTAATACATCTTTGCAATTTAGCTGGCTTAACTTATATATTGATATGTCCCAAGCGTATAGAGGGTACCTGGTTCATAGCAAATAATTAACTCATTTGAAAAAGTTCTTGGAAGGGGAACTGCTACCCCTAAAGGCTCAGCTTTAATGCTTAAATTCATATTGTCAAAATACTCAAAATGAGACCTGAAATCAGTGGTAAGGTCCTTGTAGGTGAATGGCTCCAATTTACTTCTCTAATCCTCAATTTTATTTTTTCTCTCATTGGGTCCCTGAGGCTCCACTCACCATCAATAGATAAACAACTATAAAGATATTTAGGAGGTCTCCCAGCTAACTGTTTAAGAAATTATTTTCAAGGACTTCTATAGCTATTTCATTTTAATAGCTACTGCGTCAGGTACTCTACACTCATTATCTCATTATCTGATCCTGACAACTGAATGTTGTTATTATGTCTACTTTACAGACTAGGAGCTGAGGCTCAGAGAGAGTAAATGACTTGCTTAAATTTATATAGCCACAAAGTAGCAGAGTCTAGATTAAAATGCTAGTATACGTTATTTTAAAACCCATCCTCTTGATGAAAAATTCTGGAGACCTATTGTTTAGCGTGGTGACTATCATTAATGGCAATGGACTGTATACTTGAAATTTGCTAGGAGACTAGATCTTAAAAAAATAAGTATGTGAGGTGATGGATATGTTCTTTAGCTTGATTCAATTGTTTCTCAATGTAAACATATATCAAAATATCACATTGTATGCTGTAAATATATGCAATATTTATTTGTCAACTCTACCTTAATAAAACTGGCAGCGGGAAGGGAAGACATCCTTTCAACTGCTACCTGCCACATTTGACAAGGGACTTGTAAAACACAGATGCCTTCAAATGAAGGGAACGGAAATTTGAACTTCTACCATGCTCTGATTTTTATCAGATGCTAAATTGTGTCCCTTGATCACAGTGACTCCCTACAAGGCGGACCTTCAAACAGTAACCTAAAGGGAAGAGGCTCAACTGACGCCCTGCAGTTTATCAACAGCAAGCAGGAGAGCATTCCACCAGGTGACAAGGATGCTCTGAGAACTGGGGGCACAGAAACAGTCTCTGAACTTCCCAAGTATAACATGACAATTTTTGGAGAAATATTATTTTTTCCTACCAAAATATTAAACTGCTAAAATGATTGTAAATTCCAGCTTGACCCTAGGGTGTTTAGTGACATTTGTGAAGCAAGAAGTTTCAAATAAAAAGAAAATTAAGTCTGACTACACTACAGCCTTTTTTGTAGAAAAAAAAAAACTTATTCAATCATGTAATTGGTAATTAATATTTGGATGGGTTAAAAAAACACTGTTCAATTTTAAGGATAGCTTTATTTACTGATTGAGAAAAATGAAGTTACATTCTGGAATATAAACTAAATATATTTTCTATACAGTAGCTTGAAGCATAAATAGAGATAGTATGGCATAAATCCCATACAACAAAGTTTTTGTATAAACTTCTTGTTCTCCTCACTGAATAATCCTGCTGCTTCTTTTTCTGCTCAAGTTATGTGGCTCTCTTCTGGGAAATTCAGTTTGCTTGGGTCAGGTCAGCTGCAGTTTGAACTTTTTTGTAAGAGTCCACAGTCAGTTTCTACATATGATCTTGTTCTGTTTGCTTTATGCCTTTTTCTTCCTGCCTTAATGCTCTGCATGTCTGCCCAATAATTACATATTCCCCTAAACAGAAAAAAAACTTCTGCAATGCTAGACATAAGTTCCATTTTTTCATTTGAGCCCTCAGTGCTATAATTTTCTATAAAGTCTTCCCAGTTTAAGAACTAGCTAGTTAAGTAATTAGTTAACAATATTGAATATAAAGGCTCAGATACTTTTGATATATTATTTCTGTTATCAATATGAGCTGTCCTTTTTTGCACTTTTAGTGATTTTCATCTTGAATTTATTGTATCTATCATCTCAATTACTATACATGCTTTCTTTTTATAAACAGTTGCCTCATACATAAATATCTACTTTTCTGGAAACTTCTGAGACTAAGTTTTTAAGTCTGCAAATCTGTTGTTTAATAAACTTAATATATTATCATGTACTGCAATTACTAATATGTTTAGATTTATTCCTCTCTTATTTTGTGCATCCAATTTTCCATGATTCTTTTTAATTGTCTATCTTCTGTTGGATTGCTCTAGATACTGTAGTCTGGCTCACTGAACTCTGATTCCATCCCTCCTCTAGCTTGCCTTCCTGTTCTATAGAGTTTGTCACCCTGGAAATTGTGTTCCCAACCTCCCAGAAGCTGGATATTTACATGGGACCTTAGCTCTACCAAGCAGATGCTCCCACATGAGGCTCAGGACAGCAATGTGCAATCACAAGGGAAGGCCAAGTGCAAAGAGGTGATGTTTGGGCAAGCACAATGAAAGGGGTACCAAATTCCTCTGGGGGCTGTGGCAGAATTCAGTGTATGTAGTTCTTAGCATCGTAGGTGATAAGCAGCAAGCGGATACAATTGTAGGGCCTTCATGGCCCTGTGCAGTGATTTGGGTAAGTGCCCCTGCCTCTGACTGTGTTGTTCCTGCTGTACAGCCTGTTAACCTCATTCTCTGGCCCTCCAAGAGGTTCTGTGAGCTTTCTAAAGTCCTTTTATAAATCCCTTTCTGCTTAACCTTGATAGATACAAGGTTATCTATGCTCTGTCACTAAGAATCCTGACTGAATCAACTTTTATGTTTGAAAATGTGTTTACATTGCCCTTGTCTTTGAATAATAGATTCACTGGGTATGAAATAAGAGGTTCAGGTACATTTTCCTTCAGCATTTTCACATTATTCCATTTTCTTCTTGCACTTGTATATCTGTTTCTCATTGCAAAGTTAATCTATTCCTTCTCTCTAGAAGTCTTAACAGGTTTTTTCCTTATTCCAAGTATTCTGAAATGTGTCTGCCATTTATCTAGGTATGAGTTGCTGTTATTGTTCCCTTTACCCTGCTTAGTACTCAATGAGCCCTTTCAATCTGACATTTAATGCCAAGAAATTGTTCTCTTATTCTTTGCATGCTGCCATACCTCTGTTCTCTCTAGTCTTTTCTAGATCTCCTGATTGACTGATATTGGAACTTCTTGATGTATTACATATATTTTTAATTTTCTTTTATATTCTCCATGCCTTTATCTATTAACTACAGTGTGTGTCCTATATCTGTGCTTCTCAAACTTTAACGTGCATACAAATCACCTGACCATCTTATTAAAAATGAAGATTCTGATTCAATATCATGGGGTGAGGCCTGAGCTCCACATTGCTAACAAGTTTCCAAGAAATGCCAATGCTGCTGGTCTGTAGACCGTACTTTGCAGAGCAAGGTCCTAGGTAGCACGTTAGGCATGGAGGTACAGAGATGAATAGTGACGAGCACATGCTCTCCACAGCCAGACAATGTGGGAGTCTTCCTCCACCACTCACTGGCCAGATGACCTTGGGAAAACTGACCTAATCTCTTTGAGAACCAGCTTTTCTTTCAACAAAATAGAGATCTTAGTCCCCATGCTTCTGAATTCCTGCAGTTATTAGTGTGATTTTTAGCCTGCACAGACCATAGGAGGCATGAAACAGAAAGGACAACCCTGGGCTTCTGCTGTCAGGGATAAGCTTTAAAGACGTGGGACAGGAAGTGTCCTGGCACCCACGTCTCTGCCCAGTGGAAAGGGCTCTATTCTCAGCTTTGACCTCAGCCATGAAGTTCTTTGAGTTGAAGGCATTAGAACAAAACACCCACACCTGTCTCATCCCCACACAGACGCACACTCCACACATAGAATGGGAAAAAGCATGCTCCATTTCAAGAAAGAACAACCTGCAGTGTCAGCCACATGGACAGAGAGAAAGTAAGTCATTCTGTGATTAATGTATATATTGAAAGAGTAAATTTCTGTTAAGAAATAATTTCTAAAGGCAATTATTAAAGTAGAAATCATGGAAAGTCACGAGCAGAGAATTAGGACATGCCTGATGTTTGGAGGGAAAGTTTCTTGACCTGAAACCATTTGACACGTTTGCTCTGAACGGTGGGAGTGAAAAAGGAAGAAATAAAAGGAAGAGAAAATAAGGAAGGAAAAACATCAATTGAGTAACTCTTCATGCCAGGCATTTTGCAAATATCATCGTGTAACACTGAGTCCATTAAGGCTGAACTGAGCATACCACACCCCAAGTTGCCAGCCTGCAAAAAGAGTGTGAACTGCTAAAGAGGGGAGGAGCCTTCCACAGCACAACGGGAGGAGGAATTGGTCCAGACGAATGTTAAAATCTTCTTCTGATACTAGAAATTTAGTTATATGTATATTTTTGGTTATAATCTTGCTGTTGACACATACAAGAAAATGTTTGGTTACTATTTCACTATTTCATCATTTAGAGGCCAACTGAAAATTTTAGTCTTGGTAATGACATTTTTAGAAACAGAGAAAGGTTGAATAACCCTTGTTAAACCAAATACAAAAAGAAGTAAAAAATGCAAAAAAAACTAGAGTCCTGAAAGAATGGATAACAGATTTTCCAAGAACAAATTTTAGTCCCATTAATTTCCATGAAGTTTACTTGAAAAATGCTTAGCATTTTTTAGCTCTGCAAATATCTTCCCAGAAGGAAGTCATGGATTATATTTGCACAAAAAGATTCTGTCCCAAACAAAGTTTGGTGAAATTTTTTCCTTGGTTAAAGATTTTTACATTTCCTTAATGAAGAAAAATGCAGAAATTTAAAACCCATTCAATATAAGGCATAATTTGCTTTGTAATAAATTAAAAGACTATTCAAGAATGGCTGCAAGCCATTTTCTCCTCTTAAAGGGGGTTTCATGAGAGAGACTCTTGTCTATTTCAGCCACAATTCAACTTTCCAGAGTAGATGAAATGGTATGTGCCACCTCTTGAAGTCCTTGAGCGGGATGTTTTCTGTGTGGGTGGACTACACGCTACACCAGAACACATGTGAAGTGTCTGTCACTTAGTGTGAGCTGATATCCACATTTTGTTCTTTCTTTTGTTTTATTTACCTTCCCTCTTTCTTATCTTTCCTTCCTGCCCATTAGAGCTAGACTTATTTATGACAGTATTTCAGGAATCTAGAGGTTCTCTCCAGGCTCCTACAGTCTTCCCAACCTGCTCTCATCAGTCTCAAATGTATTTAAGAGAATACAAACCTGAAAATTCCACAGTTTTTTTTCCATTCTGTCACCCAGGCTGGAGTACAGTGGTGTGATCTCAGCTCACTGCAGCCTCAACCTGCCATGCTCAATCAATCCTCCCACCTCAGCCTCCCCAGTAACTGGGACTACAGGCACACACCACCATGCCTAGCTAATTTTCATATTTTTTGTACAGACGGGGTTTCACCATGTTGCCCAGGCTGGTTTCAAACCCCTGGGCTCAAGCAATCCTCCTGCCTTGGCCTCCAAAAGTGCTGGGATTGCAGCACTTGTAATTGAGCCACTGCACCTGGCCAAAATTCCATATTTGAAGATTAAAATGCAAGTAACTAGATGCTGTGGTATTAATGTTTGTGTGCCCCAAATTCACATGTTGAAACCATATCCCCAATTATGAGGGTATTTGGAACTAGGGCCTTTGGTGGGTGATTAGATCATGGGGACAGAGCCCTCACGGATGGGATTACTGTCCTTATGAAAGAAACCCCAGAGAGATTCCTTGCCCTTTCTGCCAAGTGAGGAAACAGTGAGGAGATGGCCATCTGTGAGGAAACAGACATTGAACTTGCTGGTGCCTTGCTGTGAGACTTCCTAGCTTCCAGAACTGTGAGAAATAAGTATTTGTAGTTTATAAGCCACCCATTTCTGGTATTTTGTTATAGCAGCCTAAATGGACTAAGACACTAGGATCCAGAGTATAATGATGGAATAATTAAGTGCATAGCATAGTGCTTAGGATATAGCATTCTATCAGACAGCTATTGAGGTATATAACAAACAACCCCAAAATTCACTGGCATGACAGCAATAAGCTTTTATTCTCATACTTATAGGTCTAGAGCTGCCTAGGGTGAAAACATCAAGTTGCAGGTTTGTAGGGAAGCTGAGGAGGCTCTGACAGCCTTTTTTTTTGTTGTTGTTTTTTTTTTTTTTTTTTTTTTGAGACGGAGTCTCGCTCTGTCGCCCAGGCTGGAGTGCAGTGGCGCGATCTTGGCTCACTGCAAGCTCCGCCTCCCAGGTTCACGCCATTCTCCTGCCTCAGCCTCCCGAGTAGTTGGGACTACAGGCATCCACCACCATGCCCAGCTATTTTTTTTTTTTTTTTTTTGTATTTTTAGTAGAGACGGGGTGACCCACATATCTTTTTATCCTGGGACCAGCAGGGTCTCTGGTGTGTGTTCTCAGAGCAATGACACAAGCACCACCACACAAGTACCTTTCAGGCATTTTCTTTTTATGTCCACTACCACCCTATTGGCTCAAGCAAATCACATGACCAAGTTCGGCATCAATGGGACAAAGAAGTGGGAGGGGGAAAGGAGGATCTGCTAAACGATCATGCGAACTACTACAAACTATAATCTTGTTTCTATTTATTCATATCCTCCTCATATGCAAAACTCATTCATCCCCAGTTAAAGACCCACCAAAGTCTCATCTAATCATAGCCTCATGTTTTAGGATCTTGTGATTTTACATCAGGTCCGAATGCAATTCGTCTTAATCCAGAGACCTCTTAATTAAAGGACAAGTTATCTGCCCAACACAAACTGAACATACAAAAGTGGAACAGGAATAGGATAAAAGTAATAAATACTCCCATTAGAAAAAGGGGAAGTATGGGAGTCACACGACAGTGGCTGCCTTGTAGATAAGGTGAAATCCTGCTGCTCAAATGTTGCCAGATCACCCTCCTCTGAGGGTAGGAAATGTTTCTTGATGCGGCCCTGCTTCTGCTCCTGGAAGTGATTTGGTTAGTTTCCACAGCTCTGCCTTCTGGAATTATCTTCCTTTTCTATCATTCTCCTTGGCCACCTCAGGAGATAGCATTGGAGAATACACCATTTTTGGATATTGAGCAGTTTTCCCAGCTTGATCCCTGCCTGAGGAAAGCTGGGAGCCCTGAGATTTTTTCATATCTCAAATGATTTCAGGCTTTTAGAACAGCCTGGCAATGCTTCCTCTAATACAGCTTTTTCCAAAGCATTGTAAGTTCCAAACATGGTAGGCCCCAAAAGCCATACTCATACTTACTTTTGAGATGTCTCTCTCTAGATACTCAATCACAGATACTATGGAGGTTTCCAGGTTCTATAAAATCAAGATTTTAATATTTTTAGAAATCCTTTTGTGCACATACAAGGATCTAGTAGGCACCTTAATTGTTTCAAAAGCCTTGGCTGAAAGGCCTTTCAACCAGTTTTGACTTAGTCTTTAGCCTCACCCTTAGTCTTGACCTGAGTGTCTTTTTTAGCGATACCCTAAATTTGTTCTTTTCTCTGACACTATATCACAATGGCCACACGGCTTTGGTGAGGAACAGTTTTATTTTCTGTTTCTACTCCCACTGCCATGTATAATTTCAACATATTTATTAAACAGACCCTGATTTCTGATAGTAAGGGATGACCATCTTGTCTATCATTCTTACAAAGAATAACACTGAGAGCATATGGATCCCTCCAAATTGTAGATACTGATCTTTCGAATGTCTTCTCAGACATGGTTAGATCGAAGGTAACATGTAGGGAATTTACAAAGTAAGAGTCAGAAATCTAGCAATAAGAGAAAATTAATGATTGCATTTTAGGCAAAACATCTATTCTTGGCTTTGGTCTTCCCAATGCAATAAGAGTAACCTAATAAAGAGCTTCAGAAAATGTTCGTGGACTAATTCACTGCAACACAGTGAGCATTATTGATGACTGAGAACAATCCTTAATGGTTATACCTGGGACCTTGGTGTGAAGAGAGCAATTAACAGCCACTCAATTAAAAAAATATGAAGGAAATGAATGTTCGTAATGATTCATAATGAATGCCACATAATTATGTGAAACAATACTTTCTTACAGAATCACTGGGGGCCAGAAAATTATTCAGTGTCATCAAGCAGAACTTCCTGTCTTGACACACGAAACTGTAAAATATAAAGCTAACTAGAATTACATAAAGTCATGCTTTTTATCCTGTCTTTGCCATTCTTGGCACCCAGAAGTGGCTTCTAATTTCCTCTCAAATAAGATAAAATGTCCAGTCATAAATACCACATACACCAACCCCATACAACTACGAATATTTCCTGAGTACACTTTTGATGATTTCTCAATTCCTTGTGGCCTCTTATAGCCCTTCATTATCTCTGACTTGAATATGATAGCTGTGCTGCGCCATCATCCTTAGTTCTTACTTCCTTGTCTTTCAAAGCCTTGTTCCAATGCCACTTTCTCCGTAAAGACTTTCCTAATGACCCTGCTCAGAATTGTTACTACCTTTTCATAGCCCTTTGTTTATCCCTCCTTTGGGAATAATAATAATCCCCCAATCCTTACTAGAGTCTGCTATGTCTAAGTCTATTGCCCCTCTGGATAGTAAGATTCACAAGGTAGCAAATGGGCCTTATCCCACTTTGCCTCTTGCACATGGTATTCATTGTTCTAAATTCTGTATAGTTCAAGACTTCTAGCAAATGAATCATTTATAAAATGATTTTGATTTACCGATATGATCAGACTCCAATTAGACAAACATAAGCTATCATACTATTGACCTAACTCAATCCTTTATTTTTCTAAGTTATAGTTCTACAGGCAATCTAATGCTGCCCAAGCCCTTCAAAACAAACTTCCTACATAATTTGAAGCCAAATTTATGTTCATACATTTGGAATTCTGTTAGCAATCGTAATTCTACTGACTCTAACGTATGCACTAAATCATTATGAAAATGGGGAACTACAGATATGCTCATATGCACACAGGTCGAAGGTTTTTCAATATTTATAAACTAATGTTTCAGAGAAGAAGCTTAAAACCTAATTATGGAAACAATCAAATAAAGAAGAGCAATTCCCGAAGATTTATTTGATTGCTATCTGGCAACTTGAGCATATTTTTTATGAAGCCAAAGATGAATGAGACTGGCTTGGAAATCACTGAACCTAAGAGTTAATTGAGTATGCATGTACTTTGTAAAGGTCAGGTGATATGAGCAAACAAGTTTTCTGAGAAAACTTTGGTGTAAAAACTGAAGTTGAAAGCTCCAGTTCACCACTCCAAATATTGTATTTGGCCTCTCAAAGATGCAAGTAATAGTTAATAATTGTACAGGGAGGTTCTCGAGATTTTATTGTTGGTGATCTCCACTGGGAAAGTGAGAAAAGGAAAGTTGGAATCCGCCTAATTATGGAGAAGAATTTTCTAAAAGAATTGATGCAATTACCTCACCATGAAAGATACAAAAGGCACGGGAAGGTCATATTAAACATATTTTGTTCTGGATATTGAGTTTATTTTTGTTTAAAAATGTATGGTGAAGCTCAGATAGTTTGGAACAATGAGCACAACCTAGCCATAAAAAAATGGTGAGCACAAGGTACCTAACTCTTTGTCCTCCTCAACAAGATAAATCAGTTGAATCTTCTTTTCTCTGAGTAGCTCTTAAGACTGAATAAACTGTTGAGAGATAAACCCACATGTCTGATATTCAGAAGCTGAGAAGGTGAGCATTTTAGAAGATTGAAGACTGAATTTATTGCAATTAACATACTATATACATGTGTCCAGAAACCCAGCTCTGCTCCTCTATGCCCCGCCCTTTCCCTCATGAACAGGATCCTTGGCACCTACTGCTGTTGAGTCTCAGTCAAGGAGGTACTTTTAAGCCTGCATCCTTTGCCAGCCTCATTCATTCCAGTGGAAACTGCCTTGAATGCAGAGTGTCTGGCCATGGGACAGGGAGTGAAGGCAGGCAGTGGCTGCCACTATTTACCAAATAAGTCTCTATTCCTTTTTTATTTTTTAAGTGCCTAGAATTGAATGCTCAGTTCTATTGCTACACCTGAGTGCGTAAGGAAGAAGCTATAAAACTCTGGCTAGATCAGCAGAGGTACTCCTAACAATAATTAACTTAATGAAAGTGGAATGGGAGTATATTGTTAATTGGTATAAGTGCATATTTCTTTCTCTAAGGTACTTTTGTTATAACATAAATGCATTTTTTTTTTTGAGACGGAGTCTCACTCTGTCATTAGGCCGGAGTGCAAGTGGTGTGCGCCACCATGCCCAGCTCATTTTAAATGCATATTTTAAATCAGCTTTTCCTGTTAGCTGTTATTGGTTTCAAATCTTTCTTATTGCATTCAAATTAATTATCATCTGACATTTTCCTATAAATCTCTGCTCAATACACATGTTATCATGGATCTGTTCCAGAGAAACTATCAGGTACCTGAATAATCATATGTTCTATATCTTTGGCCCTGATATGTTAACAATTGGTTTTCTTTAGTTCCACTATTTACTCTTCAAGACTAAAAACTGTGGTTTCCTCCTTCTTTGGTGATTCTGAAGCATTTCCTTGTTTGGTAGGGCACTCCACTCATCTCATACCCAAAGGAAAGAACAACTATTGAATGGGATGCTTACGACCATTCTTTTTCACATCCAAACTATCTCCAAATCCTACTGATTCCGCTTCAGCATGATTTCTCCCTCTCCTCCTTCATTGCTACCAGCCCCGTACTCTGTGTGTATTTCCGCGATGCTTCCTAACTCTCCTCGCTAATTCTAACATAATTGTTCTGATCCATTACCACCCACTGCCGCCACTATCACTCTAAAACACAGTCATGATTGCATTTAAAAACTTTTGATTTTTTTTCATTTCTTCAAAATTAAATTGAGTAGAGTACTTTGCACACTAGGCAAAACTATTCTTAACTTTCCTCTATCTTTGGACCTTCATCTCTTGCCACTTCTCCCCAGGTGTCCTTATCTCTCATCACCTGAAGTTACTCCCAGTTTCCTAAAACATACTGCTTTTATTCATGTTGTTCCTGCTTCCTGGTGCCCTGTGACCATTTACAGAACCCCCAAATGTATATATGGAGTTACTCTACATTCTACAAGACCCTCTGTAACAGGATGTTTTCCCTGGAGGCATTCACAGATGTGCCCTGCACTGTCTTTATTTTCTGTTAGTATCTTTCTATTAATTTTAAATATAATGTGTTCTAAACGTGAACACGTGTTAGTGCAACATAAACTGATTTGTTTAATCAAATTCCGGATTCCTTTAACTAGGTGAACAGGAATGATAATGGGCCAAGGGATTTCCAAAGAACACTTTATGGACAAATATTTATTCGGTCAGTCTGTTATTTTATTAAGGATTTACCATATGCCAAGCATTTTTTGGAGCAGGTAAAGAATAAAGAGTTGAACAAGACAGTTTCCTCATGAAGTTTACATTCTGAAGAGAAGGGTGGTGGGGAAGAAAGACATTTTAAAATAACCATGTAATATTAGTGAGAGATAGGAAAAAAAAGGATAAAACAGTGTAACAGGAAGAGTGACAGAGCATTCAGGAAAGGCCTCTTGAGTGGTAACATATGAGCACAGAGCTAAACCAAGTGAGAGTCTCACCAGGCATGTGAAGTCCCAGGGAAGTTTAAGTGCAAAGGCCCTGTGGCAGGAATGAGTGCGCTGTGTTCATGGACCAATTAGCAGGCCTGTCCAGCTGGAGCAAAGTAAGTGAGAGGAGAGTGGTGGAAGAGAAGGCTAGAGGTAAAGGATTGAGGGTACATCTGGAAGGGCCAGGCACAGGGTGATGGTTGAACTGAATGCACTGGGGTTGTTCCCCATCTGTCTTCATGAAGCAGAGCTGTGGAGGCATAAAGACCATGATCTCAAATCGGGTAGAGGGGACTGGAGCTGTCAGTGACTTTACTCTGTCTGCTTCAGATCTCTGACTTTCTAGGCCTTCCCAAAGACAAGATCTAGGATATCCATAACAACTCCTAAGAAGAGAACTCACCAGTGTTTTGTCTGCTTTTTGCCTCAAAGGTCCATAAACCCACCAAGTTCCAGACATTATAAGTATCTACCATTGGAGTGAGGGGTAGGGGAAGACAAAGAAGGCTGTACTGAGCTTCCCATGTGACCACAGCTTGTCAATGACTAAGCTTCTGTTTTTGGAGCCTACAATTATGTTTGCAAATGTTATAATGTAGGAATCATCTAGGAACTTCGTTTAAACTGTAGATTTCCATGTTCCCCAACAGTCGCAAATACGCAACATTCACAGAATCCGCAAATAATAAGGATCACCTGTACATATATGGTGAAGGAAGGGACCAATTTCCATTCCTATCATTTGTTGCTGCAAAGAGAGCCCTCAAAGGTGCTGTGACTATATAGAAAAGTTGCTGATGGCAGCTGTTTACTTAGTAATGATGGAGTTTACTTCCTATATACTTATATCGCTATTATTCTATTCTATTACTCTCCTATTTAAATCAAACACTCTTGAAATAACAAATGTCTTCTGAAAGTGGCCTCATCCAAGACTTTTCACCCATAGTTATTCATATACATACTTTCTATTTCTTCCCCAAGTTTCATGAAACTCAGTCTTTTCAGATCAAAGCAGCTCAGAGAGGTGTTTAGAGGGCTCCTCTAATGGGACTCAGTGCTGAGGTTAAATGAAAACGGGCCATGACAGAAGTTTCCCTGACATGCAAGGCTCTGTTTTGTTACAGTTGCCTTCCTCTTGTCATCTGCATCTGCTGAGTGGCCAACCCCAGTGTCAGACAAGAAGTAAATGTGAGATTTAACAGATTTGCTCTTGAACAGCTGATCTTGCATAACAAGACTGCAGCAAGCTGTCAGATCCTTATGTCCCTAGTCTCTGGACCTTTGCACCTTCTCCTGTGCTGCATTCCTGCTGACCTATTATCCTAAAAGTGTAAAATGCTAACTTGCTGTCTGACTTGGTATTTTCCATGAGATCCCACAATTTGTAAGACAGGAACTCAGTGTCTCAAATTCATTTCTTTTCCTAACTTGTTAAATGGGGACTGGTGAGTCAAATGGGGAATACTGCAGTTTTTTAGACTTACAGTGCAGTTAGAAATACCAATAACACTCATCCACGAGTACCACAATGCACACAAAATGACAAAAGGATAAACAAAGAAATTATGGCAAAATCTTCATCATAAAAACAGTGGCTATACTTGTTTCCCATGTGAGTGCTCCAGCAATTTAAAGATCTAAAATATGTGAAGTAGTTAACCCATGACCAGTAAGACCTCATGTGTTTATCCAGTGAGAAAATGTCCTCTGGGCATTTTTCTGCAGCTTTGCTTATTTGCCTTTGTTTACATATAACAATGAAGCCATCTTGGAATTCATCCCAGTCCTTGAGAGAATTTCATGAAATGTTTAGCCAATGATTTGTTTTCAAAAGCAGTCTAGTTATCAGAGAATAATAAGAAATTATCAGTCATAATTTCAAGTGTTGATCTTTCTGTAAACCTAATAATTTAAATGTTCATTGTTTTAGCAATTCCTTTTTTCTTTACCAGAACATTTCCCTGTTTCTTATATCAGACAAAGTTCATTTACCGAATAAAACCTAATGAGGACACCTTTATTTACAAGATGTTTTATAAAAACAGAAAGAATAAAATAAGACATTAGTAGTTCAGCTTATCTGACTATGTTTTTTGTCCCCTGCCTACAGACATAAGCATCCAAGCAAGCACATGGGAGGAGGCTCAGATCTGTGCACCCGCCCACTGTCCTCTACATCTCATTTGTTTGCAGAGGCCATATTTTAGACACACCGTATCTGAAAAACAAATGGAATTTGCTTAATTAGGTGCATCTTCCTGGCAGCAAAGACAGAGAGAAGATAAAGCACATTCAGAGGAAAATGCTATAAGCTGGAAAAAAAATGGTGGGGGATCCTCTGCCATGGCTAGTAGCAAAAGACATTAAAATGTGAATCTGAATGTCTTTCCAACACCCCATTCTAGTGCAGATGCAAATACTAACATGATCCAGCAGATGGCGCAAGGCTAACTCCAAAGCCTTCTAGAAAGCTAGAACACATTCATTCCGAAGGGCCCCAAATATCAAACTAGAGAACTAATAAGAACTGTTATACAGTACACCTTGGAGCTATTTAATTATGTAATTTTTTTTCAGTTCAACACAGTCCTAGAATTACCTGTCACATTCCTTTTTCTCTCTTTTTTCTGCACACAACAGTAAATTTGGGTGGTGCTTGTTAGAGCAGACAGCCAAACAAAAATCACTAAATACACACACTTATTCTATTCTGTTTAATCTGTTGGATCTACTTGTCTTTCAATACATAATTAATGTACCCAGATCTATTATTTTTATGTGATTTATTCATAATCATATAATTAAAAGTAAATGGAACTGAGAAGTGTGGAAGGCTTTAAAACAGGAAGGAGGAATCTAGTGGTCTTTAATGATGTCAAAAGCTCTCTTGTTTATTCATTAATAACTACTACTTTTGCCTCAAAATTTCCTAAGTTTTTGCAAGCAGTGCAAATCTAATTGTCTGTTTCTTGTGCAAAATTCAGAAGGAAAATATTTCTCAATTACCTAAGTTGTAAAACTACACAAAAGGACACTGAGTTTTTAATAGCAACATTATCTGGAGAAAAAGAGGACCTTCCAAGAATGAAAACAGGATGAGTGTCATAAATGGACAGTCATGACATTCTATGTTTTTTTTTCCCCTCCAGGATCACCATCCCCACCATTAGGTTTTGATTTTACAACAACGTATAGCTCCTCTTAGAAAATGCTTAGGATGGTTTCTACATAGTAGATTCTTTCCAGCCTAATTAATAAGCTAAAGTGACCGTGTGTTTTTCAGTTATAAATATCAGCGTGTGTGTTTCCTGCTGACTACAGCTTGTACCCACTCACTTCCTTGCAATTAACATGTTATATTGTAATTTGTGGATCATGTCTTTACTTCTCCAACTATATTGTAAAGTTCATAAGAATACGTACTTTTATCTTTATACCCCCAGTGTCTAGCAGGACCTAACACATAGAAAATACTTCACAATACCAGCGAAGTAGTCAATTTAATAAAGTGTTCATTCAATCAAAAAGTTCACTTTAACCAGTTATGTATAGGCTTCTTGAAAAGAATTTGTTTTTTTTTTTTTTTTGCAAGTAACATCAAACAGTGGTGACATCTCTGGTGGTCTCTCAGCTCAAAATCCTTCCAAGAACTGGAGATACTGTTCTTTCTAAACAATTTGGCTCCCCCTCACCTGCGAGAACATCAGCAACAGCTATACATGGGAAAGAATATTAACAAGAACTTCTACTTCTTGAGAATTAAATGTGGTTGAAATGACCATGAGTTCAGTCAAAATAGCATTGTCAGTAGCTTCAGACAAAAATAGTCAGAAAAGGCAGTCAAGAGTAGCGAGTTGGCTGCTAGAACTCCAGCCATTCAAAAAATTTTTTTTAATTTAAAATAAAATGAAAAAATTTCAAAGTAGATGGTACACTCCTCTTGGTTGATGACTGTCAACAAGGCTTTTTTCCCTACCATTTATAGGTGTTTTCTTCTAATTCCATACAACCATTTTTACTCAATTTACTTCTCCCCCTTCTTGACATATTTTGCAGTTGCTGAAAATTATACTGAATGTAAAAAGAAGAAAGGAAACACCTACTCAGTGGGGATAAGATCACATGAAAGGATGTTCCTCAGTTAGTCATTTGGGTCACCTACCTATCTTGAGGCAGTCTGTGTTCAAAACAAATCCTGAAAGATAATTATAGTCCCTTTCGCTTTTTATTTTTGAGTGTTTAAAATTTACATAAGTAAAAGATGCTGGTACTATGTTTTCACCTTGTACAATAGTATCTAATTTTCGCCTCTACAACCACCCCTCAGTTACATTTTCCAGAGTGATAGTTCCAACTTTTTATTCCTTTCCAGAAATGTCACAGGTATATATAATAATATACACATACATACGTGTGTGTGTGTGTGTGTGTGTGTGTGTGTGTGTGTGTGTGTGTAATGTTTTGTTCTTCTTTAGAGACAGGGCCTTACTATGTTGACAAGGCTGGATTCGAATGCCTGGGCTCAAGGGATCCTCTCGTCTCAGCCTCCCGAGTAGCTGGGACTGCAGGTGCTCATTACTGGGATCCACACATGTATATATATTTTAAAATGGAATTATACACCACAAACTGTTCTAGGGCTTGCTTTTTTCAATGCACACTACTTGTTTTAATACTGAGTAATATTTCATCGTGAAGTTGCACTATAATTTATTTAATCAATTCTTTTACTGACCAATGTTTAGTTTGTTTTCAATTTCTCATTTCTAAAGGGCACTTTTGTGATCATCCTTCTATCTACCTTTGCATGTTTATACAAGCATATCAGTAGAAGAGTTTTCCTAGTAGTGAAATTGCATGATCAAAGGGAGTTCACATTTTAAATTCAACTACATATTTCCAAACTGTCTCCTAAAACAATGCACCAAATGACTTTGCCACCAAGAGTATACAAACACTCCCCTCTGCACCTTGACAAACTCTCTCCCCAGGTGTATTTTATTATTAGCTCACAATAACTAAAAATATAAGTAATCATAGATAATTTGTAAAAATATAGGAACAGCAGGAAACACAGAAGATAAAGCTTATTCTTCACATATTATATATTACTATAATTTGTGTTATTTTCATTATTTTTGTAACAACAAAAATCAAAAACATATGATAACAAAACATGGAAGGATAGGAATATAATCAGTGTATGTATAAACTCCAATTTGTTCTGTCTGTGAGTCCCCTGCTTGCTGAGACAAAGGAGGTAGGCTGTTGGCTTTAACCAGAAAAAAATAAAACTCTATTACCCACAATCCTTACAACTTCCTTGCTCGTTGATGCAGCAGTGACAATACAATAAATCTGCTTGTTCATGAGAGGCTGACATAGCCCAGTTTAGGAAGGTAGCACACGGGGGCCTGTATCATCATACATCACCTGCAGGTGCTGCTGGCCGTGCTCTGCAGAGTGACAGTGCTCTGATTTTCCTCTTTTTTTGTCACCGACTCCTCCAGACATCACTGTCTCATCAAATGTAGCTGATTCCTGGCCATATTTTCCCTCTTCTTGTCACCTTCCATTACTTGTACTCAGATAAATCTCCTTGCTTTGGCAGAGGGGTTGAATATACAACCTTTCTCCCAGCAGTGATCAATACCCACACAGAGATAAGCCAGCCAACAAAGGGTGGGTGAGAGCAATAGGACTGGCTCTTTCCATAATTATGTGTCACATTTGAGGGGTTTCTAACCTCCACAGTGTAATCCGTAATAATACTCCACATTTTAGGAGGATATGATCACAAGCTAGACACTATTGTGATAGTGTTATAAACACATGCCACAGAGGCTTTACGATACAGGTTAAGGGCCCTGAGCCACCAGGCCCAATGAGGTGCGCTTCTGGTTCTATCATGATTTATTTGTAACCCGTATCTCCTAGGCCTTACTCTTACGTGGAAAGAAGCGAGATTCACAGTATCTACGTGAACACTAATTTCAATGGCATTGATTCCATCTACTTATGCAACACCCTGTAAAGTCTGATTCAATTATTTTGGGGAGTCTGCAGGGGGTCACCCTAATGTGCTCCCGTAGCCAGTTGTCAGATCACTCCAGAGTTACACTGCAGCACCCGCCATGTTCTCTTCGGTCTGCTCCTTTGTAACTGCTACCTGCAAAGGCACTTGAAGATGATGCCCTCCTAGCCATGTCGTCTATGAGAACTTGAAGGTCTGTTTCCAGGATCAATTTCCTGATTTTTCCTAACTTTTAAGGAGCTAGTGTGGCCCTGTGGCCCTTGAGGAAGCAGAAGCATGCTCCTCTCCATGCAGCACCCGGGCACAAGGGCGACTTTGTCCATGCCCCTCGCCCCACATTCCCTCCCAGAAACAGCTCCACCAGTCTCAGCCTCTAGTCCCTCTTTACAGAACTCGACATAAGTCCCCCCAGAAGCAGCAAACCTGGCTTGGACGTCTCCGCCCCTGTTTCTGGCTTTCCTGAAGTTTACTTCCACTCAGGCCCATCAACTCTTGCAAACAGAGGCTGAGGGGGCTCCAACCCTACCGACTCAACAGTCCTCCCCCTAAGTTGCTTCTATATCACTCATTTGATGTCTAATGCAATTCCATGACGCCAAAAAGAAGTTACATGCATAGCTGCATTCTGTAAATCATGTGAAAGATAGGCTTATGCAGTAAGTCTTTACTAAATAGTAACAACCTTCTGGAGTTGCCTTCTAGACAGAGTTGTTTTTAATAGCAGTTTTGTGTATTCTAAAATTCACAAATTTGAACACAGTTGAGCATGCTGTGTTCCTAACAGGAATCTTCCCTGTGAATTCAGCAATGAAGACAATATCTAGTCTTCCCAGACAAATCTATAACACGGGCTCCAGTGCCCACATCACATGCCCTTGGCCTACCTCTGATTGCAGCTAGAGGGAGAGATGCTGGGTGAGTGTTTCCATGTTCTTGCTCAAGATGTTCTCTGATATCCGATAAGCTCCAGGCCTGTACAAGCACAGCTCAAAGCAGAGAGGAGTTAATGTCTTCCTTCCCAAAGGAGATAGTGAAATACCTCAGACTCCTGTCTTCCAGGTGGGCAATTCCAGGGGCATTCTGGATCTTTCTCAGAGATCCTGGCGGAATTGAACCCCATTGCTTACAATGGCAACTTTAATAACACATCTATCTCTCCATCAACATTTCCTTCTTCCTGTTTGTTTTCCTGCTCCTTAACTTCTGCTTCATGGGATCACATTCCCAAAACTACTTGGTGCCAAGTCCTTATCTCAGGCTCTGCTAACCAGGGAAACTAAACTAAGCCATGGAGCTTAGTTTAATTTAGTCACCCTCCTGGATGACTGGTCCATTCTTTCTGACACGTTAGTGCATGAAACAATGTACCACAGCAGACTGAAAGAGATCTTAGAGGTATAACAATTAAATGCAATAAGGAACATTTTTGAGACAATTATAAAAATGTGAATATACTCTGGTGTTTGATGAGATAAAATAATACTGAATTGAAAAATAGACATTATTAACTAAAGAAGCAGATTACCCCCAACATTATATACATATATATATCCCAAAGACATAAAAAGTTATCTGGGAAGATGTATCTACTGTTCAGTCTTTAGGCATTTGCAATATAGTCTATTTATTCTGCTAGTTTTACTTTTCTGTGTTTTCTAATATTCTACCACACTCGTATACTCCTTCTGTATTTAAAAATTATATTTTTAAAAAGCTAACGCTGTGCCTAACTTTCAACTTGTTATTTTGCTATTCCAGGGAAGTTTTTATACAATTCAGTGATGAATGAATCTGAGAAACACAGAAAAAGGTAAATGGACTAAGGATTCCCCCATAATGCTCTGTGGCAAGATAAGAATATACAAGCCATGACCCGGCTCCTGTGCAGACAGGAGCCCATAAATATCAGAGTCCAATTCCATTTGAGTTATATTCACTCTTCCCTGTAAACTCATTCACATGCATTCATTAAAATACTGAGAGGACAAAGACACATTCCTCAGTCCAGATGCTTGTTTTAACTGGTATTTCATAATTTATGATTGCAGGGAATAGGAGCCAGCCTTCCTGTTTACGAACTGCACCTGATGTGACTCGGCAGGAAACTTCCACCAAAACATACATATTCTCCATAAGCTGGTCATCCTCCTGTACACTTAATCTTCTCCCAACCAATCCTCCCAAAAGAAAATAAATATTTGTAGATTAAAGGAGAACTGCCTTCTCATCCTTTACGCTGCTGGTGTGCAAGCTGTTAAGCACAGAGTGTTTAATTAATGGATAGATACCATTAGAGAGACAGCTGGACCTGCATCCAGATGAGTTTGGATTCAAGGTGCCAGGAGATAAAGATCTGAAAGTGGGAAAGCTGAACTGCAATTGGGTTCATTTATAAAAGAGGCTGTTAAAGGTCAACTGTGTTTTCTTGTGCTAGAGATAAAGAGATGCTATTAAAAACAATTGGAAAGTAATTCATAAGGGAGCACTAAGTCACTCATGTTAAATTAATTTGTCTTTCTGATAGCATGGCATTCATGATGGGAAAGTAAATTTACCCCAAATCAAGATCTTTCAAAAACAGCCATTGATCATGTACTCCCTGCAAAGCCACTGGAATAAACCCCTGTGTGCCGGGACCACTGGTGCTGTGTGATCACAGCATCTCCATAGTTCACTGAAGCCCCTTCCCAGGCTGAGAATTAACCAATTATTCTGAAGGACAGCAAGTGCAGTGACATTTCTGTGGATATGCTGAGATGCCTGAGCCTGCTGATGTCTTTCTGTCGCCTCTGATGAACTAGTGGCCAAGCACCAGAACAACCCATCGTGCACAATTCCACTTTTCTGAAATTCAGCAATGTATTAGAACATTCTAGCCCACTGAGCTCCACTTACAACCCTCCCACCTCTCTGCCAGTACTACAACACACCCCATGTTCAAACATACACTTACCATGATGAAAACTTTTTAATTTATCCAAACAATATATTTACAATTATGAATGGCAGTTTAACTCCACATAGTGACATCAAACACTTTCTTTGATCATCTCCTCTTCAAGGTAAAGCTTTTCATTCAAACACTATCAACTGTTCTCCCCAGTTTCCTGATGGCAGCACATGTTATGACAAAGGGTGATTGCTTTTAGTGCTCAGAAATGCCAGCCTATTAAGACACATCTTCATCTTTCTCTGGGCAAGATAGAGATTGTGTCTATTTGCTGCCATGCATGGGGATGAGAGGGGAAAAATCCACTCCATCAGATTGTGATTCCTGTAGACATAACCCTGGGTATGACCAGGTTCTCTCTCTCTCTCTTTGTTGCCAGAGGAAAACTGCTTGTTGCTTCTTTTTCTTTCTTGAGATTGAAAACTAATTGGGGTCTTTCTTTATTTCCTAAAATCACGGGAATAATGAGCAATTCCCCACAAAGTTCTATTTATGAAAAGGTCTGCACTTCCAGGCATACACTAATTACAGCCCAGCATAGCGAGCTGCTCGCCATTTTCCCAGCATCAGTCAGGAGTGTCAGCCAAGGAGAGACAAAGAGAGTTACAGGCAGTTAACGTCTCCCATTTACCACTGCTGATCATTTGCAGGTTTTAATAACAGCTTTGCAATTCAGATTCTGCACCAAAAAGGATTTCCAGGTCAGATATCACAGGGTTTCTTCTGAGGCTGCCACCTTTGAAAAACTAGAGGCATGGACATGTTCAACATTAATTGCGCTAGAATTGATGCACCTTGCTCACGTTCAGACTTCACAAACATGACTTTAACAGCATGTGCTTTAGGCTGCAGTCAGTGGAGGGAACTCCAGAAATGCAAGAGGCAAGGTCATGAAGGCTCCCCTCCTTCAGTGGAAGCTAATGAGAAATAGCCCATCACAGAGGGGTCAAGGATACCAGCCACAACAACAGCTACCACTTACTGAGTGCCTGCTATACGTCATGGACTAGCCCACTTGTTTTACATACATTATCTCATTTAATTCCTAACACCACATTGGGAGATGGGAATTATTATTTTCATTCAAGCTTCCCTAAGATTAAATGCCTAGTAAACAGAGGAGATGGGATGCACTCATGCTCCTTGCTCTATGTTATGTGTCTGAAGTCATTTGTTGCGATCCAGAGTTTCCAATGAAACTATGATTTTAGAAATAACTAAAATGTTCGAAGTGCACCTTTTTTTGTTTTGTCTGCCCAAACTTCCTCTCATCTTAATTTAGCATCAGCACTCATGTCTTCTGGGGAATATTTCTTCCACCACATCCAACCAGCCGCAATGTCTTTACAGACCCTCCACTCCTCTGTCCTCACTGGATTCGTCCAGGGATGAACACCTCCCCGAGCAAGGTCACTTCCTAGGACCCCGCCCACCTCCCTAGCAACAACTGTTTGTGAGTGGGCATGTGAAAGAGTAATCATCATCATCACCATCATAACTAAAATATACTCGTGTTTTTATGTGCCAGACATTGTATATTTAACAACTTTTATTCTCACAACAATTCTATGCTGTTACCGTCCCCATTTTACAGAGGTAGAGAGAGAAATACAGATGGGTAGGTACCTCCCCCAAGGTCAGGTAGCTAGGAAGTCACAAACCTGAGACTTAGTTTGTATCAATTAACTATTGCCTCAAAAATTCTAGGTTTACAACTCAGCGGCTAAAAACAACAATCATTTATTTTCCCTGGTCTGGGTGTCACATGAGTGGCAGCTGGGCTCAGCTGTGCAGCTCTGATGATCTTGGCTGAGCTCGCTCATGCAATTAGGGTGAGCTGGGGGTCAGCATCTGCAGCCTGGACCAAGCTGGGTGGCTCTGCTCCACATGCCTCTTATCCCATCCTGGGACCTGAGAGCTGGCCTGGGCATGTCCTTCTCATGAAATAGCCAAAGAACAAAAGCAAGGCAGAAGCAGAAGAGGCCTTTGAGGCCGGACACTCTGCTATCTCCACTTCATCCAAACATGAAGTCAAGAGGTGGGAAATGTAGCCTATCTTCTGGGGAGAACTTACACAGTGAAAATCAAAGAATAAAGATTCAGGGAGAAATAAAGATTTGGGGCCAATGCCACAATCTACCTCATATCCCCTCTAATCCTACAGGAATTTCTCATCTCAAGCTGGGGAATTTTTCAGTTCCTGTGGGTAGCAAACATTATGAGATGTGAAGCTCTAAGCCTGTCAGCATCCACATTCCCCCGTGTGAGGAGGAAGACAGTCTGCCTTGGTACTGGAGAGCAATACAGAGACAAAAGACAGAAAGTCTCAGCATGTCCACAATCCTGGGACCAGCTGTCCTCCAGCCTCAGCCATGTCCCTGCCCTTCCTGTCATTGGGTTGCTCAAGCCTGCTTCTGAGGTCTTCACCCCAAACTCTTTCAAGTTAGTTTGATTTTCTGTCCCTTGTTACTCAAAAAGTCCTGGGCAACCCAATTCTCTGTAATGAATGAAACAAATAATAAACTTCACTAATTAATGTTACCATATGCAACACCCAACATGTATTTTGTGCATCTACTATTTGCAATGAATTACATTAGAAACTGGGGGTCACAAAGAATGGGTAAGATTGAACTCATTATCCCTGTCCTCAAAGAACTCATATTCTAGAAGACATAACACAGCCACAGCTTGCAACACTGCAAAATGGGCACAATTTGCTCCGAAAGGGAAGCACAGGAGAGGGTGGGATTAAAGTCTGATTTGGGCAGAAACAGGAATGCCTCGCAGAAGAGTTGGTGTGGGCTGTCAGATTCAAGAAGATGAATTTCTACAATCAGAGAAGAGAAAAGGGGTGGGTGGCAGTGAGAGGCTTTGGGTTGGGGGAGGATGGTGATGGCAATGGGCAAAGTCCCAGAGGTATACATCATTTGGTGATTGATAAGAAATATTAAAGAGGAAAGTTGGAAAGAAGAACTGTCAGTGTGCCTCTAAGAACTACGCAAGGGAGCAGGGCCTTGTTTAGTTGGCAGAATTGTTCTGCCCTCCTTAGCAGGCATTATGTCCCCAAAGCGCCACAGATTGTCAAAAGTGCCCCCTTGAGATTGTCCGACTCCTTTTATCCCGACATTGCACTTGCGAAGCAATCTTTTCATCATTATTTGGTTTCCCACATAGGCTGTCCTCTAGGGAAGAGAATGAGCTACCCAGCCTACAGTAAAACCCCAATCTTCTTGGCAGTTATTTCTTAGCATAAATTTTTAAAATTGACAGCCTAGTTTATAAAACAAACTCTTGGGAATACAGTGCATAGCCAGCACTCTTTATTTTACATGAACCCAACCTACGCTAAGCAAAGAGGTTGTCTGGAAAATGATCAGTTTGGCTTGCAAAGGAGGAATATCAGGAACCAGGGCTGCTTTGAGGCCTGCAGGCTAGGGAACCTAGCACTCCACATTCTGTTCTTGTCATTGTTTGGGGCTTTTCTATGTGTGGAAAGATGCTGGCAGCTCTGAGGTCATAGTTTATAGCTCACAAGGAAGATGGAAAAAAAGTGATTTTGCTCATTCCAACAAAGGAAATCTTAAAGAATACTTCCTATTGTTCAGATTTGGATTATATGCTCATTTGTGAGAAATGCCAAGGGGATGAAATACAATGATTATTCTAGTGTGGGCTCAGGTGGTCAGAGATGGGTAAGAATCCTGTTTCATCCTCCCTGTTTGGGAGGATGGGGGTACATCCTTCAACAGAGAAAATCAGCATCACCACCTTTGTTTATCTTGAACCAATTATGCTTAATGCCCAATGGTCCCAAGGATAATGGGTGAAACTGAGTCTGAACCTACAAAGTAGGGGACTACACATGGATCTGCCTTCCCCACTCCCCTCTTCTCCTAAGGATGGAGCAGCCCAACAATTTTTACTCTGGCACTGCATTTCTTTAAGTCATAATTTGTGACAATACAAGTTGAACAAGCTTTCTGACAGGTCATGGATTAAGTCTGTATAGGTCAACCCTGTGAGTAGGGTATTAAATTTACACCGGGGTGGAAAAATCTGGCTGAGCATCAAAGGATAACGAAAAATGGTTGTCTTTATCTATGTTGTTTTCTTGGGGATGCACTCATGTGCCCTGCAACATTGACAAAGAAGCTTTGGGATCAGCAATATTCTAGATGCTCAGGGGAAACAGTAGGAAGAGGACTGGCATGCTCAAAGCATATGCAGTCTGATAGAGTTTAGATATTTGTCCCCACCCAAATCTCATGTTGAAATGTAATCTCCCAAAGCTGGAGATGGGCCTGGGGGGAGGTGTTTGGATCCTGGGGGCAGATCCCTCATGAATGTCTTGGGCCATCCCCTCAGTGATAAGTGATCTCTCAATCTGAGTTCACATGAGATCTGGTCATTTAAAAGTGTGTAGCACCTCCTGCCCACACTCTCTCACTCCTGCTTTTGCCATGTGAAGTGCCTGCTCCTGCTTCACCTTCCTCCATGAGTTAAAGCTTCCTGAGGCCTTCCCAGAAGTAGATTCTGGCACTATGCTTCTTGTACAGCCTGTAGAACTGTGAGCCAATTAAACCTCTTTTCTTATAAATTACCCAGTCTTAGGCATTTCTTTGCAGCAATTTGAGAATGGCCTAATACACAGTCATTCTCCACATCTCAGCCTAGGGAGCCGGCCTTCCCTTACCCCTACTCACGAAGCTCAGCACTGCTTTCAAAACAACACAGGAACCTGCAGTACTCACAGCTGCAAAGGTCAATGGTTTTACAGTGATGAATGATTTCTTTTAGCCTAAATTAAACTAAGGACTACTTATGCAGGTCAACAACAGCCTATTAATAAAGTTTTAAATTAAGAGCAGTTAAAAGCATGGCTAATAATACAAACTTTTGAAAGTGAGGCTTGAAACATAATCAAAAATGCAAGGGACATCAGAAGGCTAAAATCCCATTGCTCATCTGTGTCACTCTTGACCAAGGCCCAGCCTCTTTGATACTGTCTCTTCATTTGTGAAAGCAGCCTGTGAGACAAGTTCATCTCTAGGGATCTTTTATTGTCGAAAGATCTAGGATTCCACCGGACTACACAATTCCTAATCTTTTCCAGGATGGATGCCTTAATGTGTTCTCAGTGTGTTTTGTTATTTGTGAGAATGGTGGGAACACTGGTGTGGGAACAGTGTCTATGTGCTAAACCATCTGCAATAACTAATTTATACCGCATAGAAGAGCATTTAGCACTCAGCACTTGGAATCACACAAAGCTATGTTCAAATCATGCCTCCTCCTCCGCCATGTGAGGAACATTGTGAAGAAAGAACCTGTAAGATTTGTTTCTGGCCTTTAGGGTTTAGGACACTCAACAGTGGCTCCTTGACTTTGATTCTGGAAGATATAGGAAGATGAGGATGCAGAGTCTAGTTTTAGACATCCTAGAGAAAATGTGGAAGAGGCAGAGAGAGAAGACAGAGTGGAGGCCCTGAGCTATACATTCTTTTTTTTTTTTTTTTTGAGACAGAGTCTTGTTTTGTCACCCAGGCTGGAGTGCAGTGGCATGATCTCGGCTCACTGCAAGCTCCATCTCCTGGATTCACGCGATTCTCCTGCCTCAGCCTCCTGAAAAGCTGGGACTACAGGTGTGTGCCACCACACCCAGCTAATTTTTTGTATTTTTAGTAGAGACCGAGTTTCACCATGTTGGCCAGGCTGGTATTGAACTCCTGACCTCATGATCCACCCTCCTCGGTCTCCCAAAGTGCTGGGATTACAGGTGTGAGCCACTGTGCGCAGTGTAAATTCTTAAATTGGCAATAAAATCAGTAGACTGTTTGTTTCTTCGCCAGTGAGGGATAGAGGCTGAAAGAGTTGGTTCTGACATGTAAATTAGTGATGGTCTCAAAAGTGGTGTTTCACTAGAGACAGGATAAACAGGGCCTTGGAGTACAAATACAATTGTAGTGCTCTGTTGACACAGATACTATGTGGAGACAGCTGAAAGAGGTGGTCGTGTCTTTCTCCTGCCATCTGGTGTGATAAGGGCAAGTCCACTCAACCTCACCCTCACTTTATTTTGGTTAGCTGACTCCCACTTCATGCCTTATATTGTTGCCTTTTGTGAATAAGGAAAAGACTCTTCCAAGTGCCTGTCTCTTCCTAAAGAAGGTGGGGTAGTGCCTAGGATCTGCAGTCAACTAGGCCTGGGCTTAAATCCTAAACTGAAACTGATTTATTCCAATTACATAACTACTTTCAAGGAGATGGGTTGACAAATGTCCATCAATAGATGACTAGTAAATAATCTATGCTTTACCCAATGAAATACTATGCAACTATGAAAGAGTGAGAAGTCTTTTATACACCACAATGGAAAGGTCATCAGGAGATTTTGTCATGCAAAAGAAGCAAAATACAAAACAGTCTGAATAGTATGCTACCTTTGAGCTATGAAGGGAAGAAAAGAACATATTCATATACATCATTGACATGTACTTTTTGTATTATATACATAAACAAACATTGGAAAGAGATCCAAGAAACTGTTAAAGTAGTTCACCATAGGGCTGGGAAACGAGAGCATGGAGCACGGTGGACAGAATAGAGTGGAAGTGAGAGTGTCAATGTGTGGCTTTTATATTGTTTTGATTTTTGAACAATGTGACTATATTGCCTATTTTTCAAATTTTAAATTCAACAGAAATTGAGGATGTTTATTCATTAAGTTAATGCTAGATGCTATTGAAAATAAATCACAAAAATCAAAGGCTTAATATAATATATGTTCACTTCTCACTCAGGCCAAAAGCCCATAATCATTCAGGGACCCAAGCTCTATCAAAATAGGTCTCCATCCTCCCATGAATCTTGGAGTCCTCTGCATCCAGCTGGCAGGGAGGAGGGAGGAGAAATGGGCCTGAAAGGCTTTGGCCAGAATTCAGCCACATGGCTACCCCTCACTACAAAGGAAGCCAGGAAGACAGGTAGCCAGTCTCTGACATCAGAAGACAGGGAAAGGGGAAGAGGGGAAGGAGGGAAGGAGGGAAGGAGGGAAGGAAAGAAGGAGGGAAGGAAGGAAGGAAGGAAGGAAGGAAGGAAGGAAGGAAGGAAGGAAGGAAGGAGGGAAGGAACGAAGGAAGGAAGGAAGGAAGGAAGGAACGAAGGAAGGAAGGAAGGAAGGAAGGAAGGAACGAAGGAAGGGAGGGAGGGAGGGAAAGAAAAAAGGTCTGATTAATTTTGTTTGCTGAGTTCTTAAACTTATGACTAGAGCATTGTTTTGAAACTGTGGCATTCAGTAACTGTTCTTGTGGGGCAAACTGACACTTATACAACAGGGCTTAAAACAAGACAGACTTATTGACGTTGATGAGATCTGCACATTCTCGAATCCCATCCCTTCATCAAACGCCTAAATCTTAGGTTAAAGCCAGAAACACATCAAAAGATGTGTTATTAGGGCAGATCATGAGGTTCCACGGACATCAGGACTCTGACCAGGACCCCCTATTTTGTTTCCTTCAAGATTGAAGGCTAGTGCTTCATTTATGAATCCCAGGAAGTATGATAAAGAACACAATTGGCAGCTCACGCCTGTAATCCTAGGACTTTGGGAGGCCAAGGCGAGTAGATCACCTGAGGTCAGGAGTTCAAGACCAGCCTGGCCAACATGGCGAAACCCCATCTCTACTAAAAATACAAAAATTAGCTGGGCATGGTAGCGCATGCCTGTAATCCCACCTACCTGGGAGGCTGAGGCAGGAGAATTGCTTGAACCTGGGAGGCAGAGGTAGCAGTGCACTGCACTCCAGCCTGGGAGACGGAGCAAGACTCCATTTCAAAAACAAACAGAAAAAGAATACAATAGTCTTCAAAATGCCCCAAAGGTTGGCACTGCTAGTGTTCCAGGATTTTCCTTAGTTCCGCTAAAGACGGGGTTCTTGTCTATCCCACAGCCACAAAAATTTAGGCTGGCAGATGGTTTAAAGGGTGAATAAAGCAGAGTTTTATGGGGTGAAAAGGGAAAAAAGAGCAAAACAGGGACTCTTACTAGGTCACAGTCCCTCTGCTAGAGCACTTCCCACCTGGCAGTTTGAATCCCAAGCTCCACATAGGAAAAGGAGGGGCCAGGCTCCTCCCTGCTGCAAACAGCATGAACTCCCCAAGGCTCCACCTCAGTGGGCAGCTGGTTGGGGTTTCTCCAGGGACCCCCTCCCACCTGGCTGTCTCATTCCCCTCTCTAAAGAAGTAGATTAAGGATAAGGATGAAGGCCAATCTTAACTGCTTCCTGATGGCAGGGGGTGCTGTTTTGGGGAAACAGCAGTCAAAGCTTCTCTAGAGGCTGATCTAAGGGTCCCAGGCAGAAGGGGTCATCCTCAGGAGGCTCCAGTTGCATAACTGTTTGGAGTCTGATGGCCTGAAGACAAGAACAGACAAACCAGGTTATTAGAAAACATGTGTCAAAACAAAATAAGGGGAGGGGTAAGGACAGCTCAAAAAATTCCAAGGCCTTTTACCAGTTTGCACAGGGAAGGGGAGGCGACAAGCCTGACTGGCAAAAATACTTTACCCTTTTGCAGGCATGTTGGGCTTCTGAGCTCCCTTCCTCTGAATCCAATCCCAAGCCAAGTAGTTTAAGGTTTGGGAAATTAACTCTTTCTAGTTTGGAGGATGCAGCTGAGGGGGGTGTCCCATAGTATGGAGTCACAATTACCTATTAGTGAAGAGAGAACCGAGGAGAAGAAAGAAAAAAGACGACTCTTTTTTAAAAGAGTCCCAAGGGTTCAAGATGCATTCGAAAGGAGTGCAGACTGAAGATGAATGGCTACCCATCTAGAAAGAGGGGAGCAGGCATCCCTGGTTCCCTTCTCTTCCTCGCAGATACTCGGGGTATGTGAGGGAGAGAAGGAAGAGCATCCTCATTCCCTCTTCCATCCTTGCATCCCTGAGTCCCGGTGACCTTGGCAGGTGCCGCCATGGGTGTCAAAGCAACTTGCACCCATGAAGCAGGGAGGTCCTAGAGAATAGGAATTATCTGCTCTCACCTATGGCTCTTTCCAACCTACTTTCAGTAGCCTGGGAGTTCCCTAACCCCATTTATGCCAGGGATATTAACGTGGCCTTTATCCATGAAACAGGAAGCTTGGGCTTGGCTTAATCAGCAGGAATCGGCCATGCTCACCTGCTCTGTGCCTTTTAACTTCCGTTATCATCTGCCTCTGGATCCCTCAGATCCAGTTTTCTTTTCTAGGGCTCTGACCTGAAGCTTGGAATTGAGTCAGGGACAAAAGTGTGTCTCAGGGGGTTGCATGGACTCCTTATTATAAGCTGAATGCTAAAGTGAAACTGTGGAACAGAGTCCACCTCCAAAAAGAAAGAGAAAGGATGTCTCGTGACATACCCATATAACTGGCAGCTATAGTTATGCTTGCCAGGATTAGGGTGCATGATGCTTGGCTTCAATTAGCTCCCTTGGTTTTACTTTCCCAAAAAGAAAACTGCCAGGTGATGGGCACCCTATTTATTCCCTCACCTGGCAGGATTTGCAGGATAATTGCTCGGAACTAGAATATTGATCCAGATTTCTACATTACCCACCCCTCTTGTTCTTTCTGAGCTGCAGCTGAAGATTGCTGGTTGGTTCCCAGGAACAAGTAGGGTTACTCTAAAATGTAGGCAAAAACTTAAAAACTAATGAGTTTAGAATTTAATGACAAATGTATAAGTTTTAAAACATGATCTCTCTCCAGTCCTCATTTGTGTTAAAAAAAAAAATCATCATAGGACTTAATGGTTTGCAAAACAGGCTTTATAGTCTTATTCTTGGCCTGATTATTTGCATAAAGTGCAGCAAGAATAATTGTTTCTACATAGGCCTTTTGGATTGGCTTTGATGGAAGTTTGTTCCACAAGGAATCTCCGATAAGACCTTTTAAAGCCAAGCCCAACCATGAGTTTGTATTCTCAGGCACCTGTGAGTTGGGTAATCCTTTCCTCTTAAAGTCCCAAGATAAACTGGGAGCTCCTAGACCTGTTAGAAAGTGACATTCTTTACTGACCACAAGCCAGGAACCCTGTACAGGGACTGCAAAGACAAGGGTATGAGGCCAGTTTCCCCACGGGGCTTTTATTGGCTCTGCAAGTTAAGATTGACTCCTTAAAAGGAAACATACCCTTCCAATCAAAGCCTTGGTAAAATAACCATTTTCTCCAATCACGTCCTGTTGCAAAAGCAAAATGGATTCTTACTGCACTGATGCAAACACCTATATTGCCGTAAGTTAAGAATGCTCACAGATAGTTTCCAAATTCTTAGAGGAACCAGCCAGAGAGAAACAAACATGCTCCAAATTTTGATCATAGGAGTATACCTTGCCTAATAATTAAAAGCCATAAATAGCCCAAAATAACTTTCCTTAACTGTGAAAAACAAAACAAGGATCTGCAATATTCCAAGCAAAGGTTAAAAAGATTGCTTCAGCTTCCTGAGTTCAGTCCATTTAGTTAACTCTTGTTTTGCTTGATATTCATAAACATTTCAGCTCTTCATGAGTCCTGTACATTTTCCTTTATTCCAATGTTACAATCTCTAAAGTTATCAGAAGCCTGCATTTGAGAGCACATTTTAAAGTTCTATAGCTCATTATAGACCATCTTTGAAAAGGATTAAAACAAGACAATTGTCTGTGAATGCAAAATGTCCAGTTTAGTTACAGTTAGAAACACAATTGACAAAGAAGTTTGGTTATCTCCGTGGTTTCAATAACTTAACATAACTACCTTAATTACGATTGACAGCATATACTCAGACATTAGAAATTTAGAAATCCCATACAATTTGGGAACATATATTAGAATTATTCACCGAGATATAACTTAAAGAAGACTGAGCATCATTTTGGCATTCCCATGTACCTAAACATGTCAAATAATCCTGTTTACCTCTCTTTCCTGGACACTTCAGAGGCCCTCTGAAGCATTCAAAAAGCCAGGTGCCAAGGAAGACAATTTTGAAACTAAAGTGTGATTTGGGGAAGGCTGTTAAATGTTCAAGGTTCAAAACACTTGATATTATGAAATAGAATTCCAGAATACCATGAGTTATTTATTGTGCCAAAATGATTACTCAGAAATTTTAAAGAAGCAAAAACCTTTTATAACCCTTTACAAATTTTGCCAAAGAGCAGACTAGCGCCTTAGGAAAACCTTGTCGTCCTTTTGTTTCAATGCTCAACTTACAGAAAAACAATGTAATAATATCCTTTTTTGAATTTAGTCAATATGTTCACACAGGGAACCTCTTCTGCAAGATTAATTTCCACAATTCTTCCACCACTTCTTTGAACCTTCAGCTTTTCCTATCTAACTCAAAACAATCCTTTAACCCTAGGCCAAAGTTTACATTTCCATGCCTTCTTATAACCTTTTACCAAAACACACACACACACACACACACAAACACAGTAAAAATTTTGCTGTTTTTACACACGTTGATTGTAAATCTATTTTCAGTAGTCTCAATTACATGTTCTAATGGTAACACCTTGCAATTTTTAACTTTAAGGTAAAGCTTGGTAAGTTGCTTTAATTGTGTGCTAACTGCAGCCAAGGTTTGCCCTCTTAAGAGCGTGTTTAGTTCCACATGTCCCCAGTCCTTACCAGTTGTGAAGCCAGCAAGTCAAATAGCTCCCAAAACCCAAAGAGCAGCAGTTGGTAACCTCAAAACACTTAGCAAACCTTTTATCTGACCTGCATTTTACCAGTAGTCTTTAGGGCTGTTTTTATTTCTCAAAGATTAAAGTCATGTGAACTGAAAGGTACCACAGATTTTAACTTCCCTTAAAAAAAATACATGATCCAAGCACTTGTCTTTCTTTAAGCCAAATTAATTAGAGCTCTTTTTACAGACATTACACACAACACACACACAGACAAGAGAAAACCCAGTCGCTGTGCGGGGCCCTTTAGGAGACAGGGCTAGGAAAACATGCTGATACTGAACCAGAGAGGGCTCACTCCCTAAGGCACGGTTGCTAAACAAAGCTTTGCCAAGTGGTTACTGGCCATGCCCCCAGGATGTAAAACATGCTGGAGGCTTGCAGTGCAAACAAAAAGACGCCGAGCACACCAGATTGGCCACAGCCCAAGACTAGCCCCACAGATCCTTTCTCACAATTAAAGCTTTACAGAAAATATAAACGGTGATAGTTGGGGAGCCTAACCTAGTAAAGGGGAGAAGAAAACTTTAAAGGTTTTGCTGCTGATGGGGCGGAGAAGAGGGGGAAAGAAAAGGTGTAAACATACCTGGGGAACAACCTCTTATTCTCATGCAAGTGGTTCCTCCACCAGGGAGAAAAGGTTAAGCTTAATTACTGTCTGATAGAGTGAAACCCCTTGGCGAGGGAAGGGGAAGACTGCGCAGCCGCGCGTGGCTGGAAACCAGCCAGCCTGCTGTGCGGGACCCTTGCGCTATGTGTCCCAGCCCCGGCTGGGAGTGGGGAGCTGCTGCTCACCAGTGGGTCCTGAAAAAGGAAGGAAAAAGGCCTTTAAAAAGGAAGGCAAAGGCCATGAAAAGACCTGGGAGCGACGGGGGATGGGGGCATGGTTTCCCCACCCTCAGAAGTCCCAGGATGAAAAGGCTGAGAAGCGACAGTTTTGATCCCCCATTTCACTCACCGCTTTTTGAGCCCCACATTGGGCACCGAAAATGTTGCAGGACTTCATGGATGAAGCTGAAGATCATTATGTTAAGCGAAATAAGCCAGGAACAGAAAGACAAACATTGCATGTTCTTAGTTATTTGTGGGCTCTAAAAATGAAAACAATTGAACTCACGAGAGTTCAACTATCCCCACCTCCCCTCAATCTCCCACTACCCTTCCCAGCCTCTGGTAACCATTCTCCAGATGGGCCTCAGATGTGCTGTGGGGAGGTGAGGATGGTGAAATTGAGAAAGCCTGGTTTGGAAAAGATGAGTAACGAAAGGGTGAATATCATTGTGGGATAGCAGACAGTAAAGCGTTCCGTCATAGAAAGAATGAATAAGACTTGCTATTTGATAGCACAACAGGGTGACTACAGTCAGTAATAACTTAATTGTACGTTTGAAAGAAACCAAGAATGCAAGTCCCTATAGCTGTTTAAGTTTAAAAAGGAGGTAAAATGGCATTTATTTTTGTATGTTCATGGGATAACTCATGACTATCCCCCATGTACATCATTTGACTTTCTCTGAAACTAATAAACTTTGTGCTTCCCTTAAACTTTTCAATTTAAAAAGGCCCAACACAGTGGTGGGCATCTACAGTCTCAGTACTCGAGAGGATGAGGAGGATCCTTGAGCCCAGGAGTTTGAGGCCAGCCTTGGCAACATAGTGAGATCCTGTCTCTAAAAATAAGTAAATAAACAAATAAAAACTTGCTTTTAAATGTTCAAAAAAATGTTGCAGAACTTTTCCTTAGTTCAGCCAAAGTCGGGGTTCTTGTCTATCCCACGGGCATGAAAATTTAGGCTTGCAGATGGTTTAAAGGGCAAGTAAAGCAGGATTTTATTGGGTGAAAAGGGAAAAAAAAGGGGTAAACAGGAACTTTCATAAGGCCAGAGTCCCTCTGCTAGAATTCTTCCCGCCCAGCAGTTTGAATCCCAAATTCCACACAGAAAGAGGAGGGGCCAGGCTCCTCCCTGCTGCAAACAGGGAACTTCCCGAGGCTCCACCCCAGTGGGCAGGCTAGTTGGAGTTTCTCCAGGGACCCCCTCCCACCTGGCTGTCTCTCTAGTACCAGTGGGGTGTCCAGGATGGAGGTCAGATTTACTTACCAGAATAAGGAAATTCAGAGCAAACAAATAAGATTACTAGGTATTTCCAATGGAAAACGGTGCCTCATTTAGAGATACCTTTCCAGGGTTACCTAATTCTAGCCTTTCATTATCTTTGAGCTATTGTATAATTGATGACAAAGCAAATCATAATGTCTGTGGACATATAGCTGAATTGTCTGGTGGAGGAACAGCCCTCCTCCTCCATGGAAAAGCCACTTATAGGTCCATTTTAAAATTCATTTCGGTATTACTGATCTATAAATGTATCTGCTCTTTGGATTCTCCTTTGAACTGATGGTAACATTTCTCTGGTTCTTTCCTTAACAAGGAGTTAAATAAAATCTTTAACATGCATTTGTTTTTTATCTGCATGAGAGTCATAATTCTATCGTCTTTTGAAATGCTTTGTTAACACCCATAATTGTCAAGAATTTCTGTTAAGGATTTGTGCGGAGGGCTCTCGTCAAGCTTTCTTGTTTTCTTTCTTTTGTTTATTTGTTTTGTTTTCCCTTTAAGTTATGCCTATCGTCATTGCCAGAAAAGCTGTTATGCAGCACAGCAGAAGAACCAGGCAATGAAACAATCTTGCTATCTTCCTCTTCCACCCTCACCCCAACTGTTAGGATGTTATGCCTGCATAATATCATCAGAAAGCCTGTTCTGATGACATTTCAAGCTCCCACAGAATATGCTGTGAATCTTCTGAGAAGGCCTTATTTGCAAGATTTGTTCAACAAAGAGGTTGGATAAGCATCTTGGATTAAACCTTCAAAGCAGCAGGCTTTTGGTTACTTTTCCCCAGATTAACCTGGGAACACTTTGAAACTCTCTTCCTTATCATAACATGTTTTTTGAAACCATCGGTTTTCATAATGAGAAACACTTTTGTAAACATGCTTCTTTATACATTTCCTTCTAATTAGCAAACCCTTTATTTTGCACAAAATTTCCATATTTAAACTTTATCTGCATAGGATATTTAGTGTGAAGTATTAAAGAATTAGACGGCTAATGGAAAATACATTTTTCCCACTGATAGCATATCAAAATCTGTTAGTCTATCCATTAATTTCTAGCTGTTTAGCCTCCAGGAAGCCCAGAGCCAAATTTGCAACTTGACTTTAATAACTCAGTAGGACATACCTGTCTGCATTCTACTTTTCTCCAGTCTTAACCTTGGATTCAAATTTATATTTTACCTGTTCCTGATTTTACTTACTTATGTTTATTTTCTTCTATTGTATT
This sequence comes from Homo sapiens, assembly GCF_000001405.40. NCBI lineage: Eukaryota > Metazoa > Chordata > Mammalia > Primates > Hominidae > Homo > Homo sapiens. The sequence continues at coordinate 11,190,661 of NC_000007.14, read as the reverse complement.
TTGTGCATTTTATAAGCCATGTATACTTCTTTGGGGAATAGGCCAGCTATAGAGAAATAAATTTATACAAGTAGATCATATATGCCTCTGTATTTCATCTTACATGAGAAATTCCAGAGAAAATCACAATGTCTTTTGTCATTGTTTTTTCCTGGTATATTTCATTCGGAGACAATGAAGCACCTGTACTTGGGTATCTTATTTAACTTGTTCATGTGCTATGTAACTACTGAATATACTTTAGGAATGGATAAACAAAGTCATGGTAAATTAAGCTGGTGTGTTTCAGTTCTTACAGTGACTTACATCATTTAAATAATGTTGTATTTTTCAGTTTCTGTAAATATTTCTCAGCCATACCTTCATTTATTAGAAAAGTACTTCCTGGGCCGGGCGCGGTGGCTCACGCCTGTAATCCCAGCACTTTGGGAGGCCGAGGCGGGCAGATCACGAGGTCAGGAGATCGAGACCATCCTGGCTAACACGGTGAAACCCCGTCTCTACTAAAAATACAAAAAATTAGCCGGGCGAGGTGGCGGGTGCCTGTAGTCCCAGCTACGCGGGAGGCTGAGGCAGGAGAATGGCGTGAACCCGGGAGGCGGAGCTTGCAGTGAGCTGAGATCACGCCACTGCACTCCAGCCTGGGCGACAGAGCGAGACTCCGTCTCAAAAAAAAAAAAAAAGAAAAGAAAAGTATTTCCTGGCCAGGCGCGATGGCTCATGCCTGTAATCCCAGCACTTTGGGAGGCCGAGCGGGCAAATCACGACGTCAGGGTTCGAGACCAGCCTGGCCAATATGGTGAAACCCCATCTCTGCTAAAAATACAAAAAATCAGGCCGGGTGTGGTGGCTCACGCTTGTAATTCTAGCACTTTGGGAGGCCGAGGCGGGAGGATTGCCTGAACTCAGGAGTTCAAAACCAGCCTGGACAACACTGTGATACCCCGTCTCTACTAAAAAATACAAAAAAAAAAAAAAAAAAATTAGCCAGGCGTGGCAGCGGGTGCCTGTAGTCCCAGCTACTCAGGAGGCTGAGGCAGGAGAATTGCTTGAACCCCCAGGAGGCGGAGCTTGCGGTGAGCGGAGATTGTGCTGCTGCACTCCAGCCTGGGCAACAGAGCAAGACTCCGTCTCAAAAAAAAAAAAAAATACAAAAAATTAGCTGGATGTGGTGGCATGCACCTGTAGTCCCAGCTACTCGGGAGGCTGAGGCAGGAGAATCGCTTGAACCCGGGAGGCAGAGGTTTCAGTGAGCCGAGATCCACCACTGCACTCCAGCCTGGGTGAGAAAGTGAGACTCTGTCAAGAAAGAAAAAGAAAGAAAGAAGGAAGGAAGGAAGGAGAGAGGGAGAAAGAGAAAGAAAGACAAAAGTACTTTCTGATCACCAGAATCCCATCAGTCTTTCTATAAACTTCTCATGGGGTTAAAAAAAAAAAATGGCCTGCCGTTATGCTTTCAAGTTAAGTATGTAATTGAACAGGTTTACAGCTCAGGGGCTTAAGTTGCATCTCAATCACGCTGGGAGCCCAGTGCCCTCCAGATCCCTTGGAGAAGGAAAACCTCCCTAAAAGGAATCTAAGGAGTTGCCTTACAAAGGAAAAGGAAATGGGCTGGTTTGCTGCCTTCCTGCTGAAGTGGGGAAAGCTCACGTGACGGTATTAAAAGCACACTGGATATGAAGCCCCAAATCTGGGTTCAAGTTCTGGTGTTGCAAATTATCAAAATGTAATTTCCGACACTTATACAACATGTATAATAATCCACCTAACCTTTAGAGTGGCTGTGAGGATTCAATATCAAGAGGTTTGGCATGGAGCTAGGTTCCCTCATTACCTGCTCCCTCCCTGCTTTGCAGTAAGAGTTAACTCAGGGTATACATGAACCCCAGCACTTACTCAGCTTCTTTCTTTCCTCATGACTGATGGCCACACTCAGGCAGCCTTTAGCAAGAGAAGCTCAGAGCTTTCGGTTTTACTCTGTCATGAGTGATGTGCCTAGACATATCCTTGGACACAGTTCATTTTACCTTAACTATCGATGAGGAGACTTTCGTTTATGTCCATTTGTGGCAGGCTGTATTTTCCAATGATCCACATCAACTCCTCCCATGCTATAAGCTCTTCTGCAAAGTGAAAGAAAAGAATAGGAAATCTGGTTTGTCTATGCATCCAAAAAAGAACTAATATACAGAATTTATAAGGAATTTAAACAAATAAGAAAAAGAAACCCATTAAAAAGTGGGCAAAGGACATGAACAGACACTTCTCAAAAGAAGACATACAAGCAGCCCAAAAACATGAAGAAATACTCAACATCACTAATTGTCAGAAAAATGAAAATCAAAACCACCATAAGCTACCCTCTCACACCAGTCAAAATGGATATTATTACAAAGTCAAAAAATAACAGATTTTGGCAAGGCTGCAAAAAATGAAATAAATGCTTATACACTGTTGATGGGATTCATTCAGCCACTGTGGAAAGCAGTTGGAGATTTATCAAAGAACTTAAAAGAAAACTACCATTTGACACAGCAATCTCATTACTGGATATATACTAAAGGGAAATTATAATAAATGTCCTTCCAAAAAGACACATGCACTCACATGTTCATTGCAACACTATTCACATAGAATCAAGTAGGTGCCCATCAATGGTGGATTGGATAAAGAAAATGTAATACATATATGCCATGGAATACTATGAAGCCATTAAAAAGAATGAAAAAATGTTCTTTGCAGCAATATGGATGCAGCTGGAGGCCACTATCCAAAGTGAATTAACGCAGGAACAGAAAACCAAATATTGCATTGTCTTTCTTATAAGGCGGAGCTAAATCTTGGGTACACATGGACATAAAGATGGGAACAGTAGATACTGGGGACACTAAAAGTTAATATGTTCACTATCCGGGTGACAGGATAAGTACAAGCCCAAACCTCAGCATTACAGTTTGTTACCCTTGTTACAAACCTGCACATGTACCCACTGGATCTAAAATAAAAATGGATTAAAAAAAAAGAGAGAGAGAGAGAGAGAATCTGGTTTGTGAAAAAATTCAATACCCAGGCTTCAAGTCATTCACTTTCTCAATATGGAACCAATGTTTCAAATTGTCCTTTTGATTGTCATTTATAGATTTTTTGGGGTTGGATGGGAGGGATGATTTTTTGTAAAGTAGGAATGGAAAACTGATTTGAAGACTCCTCTGGAGTATTCTTGGCAGGTCAGTTTGGAAAAGAAAATATAAGGAAGTTGAGAATCTGGAAATTGATTACCTTAAAACTACAATGGGCAAGTGTGTTTTGCAGGTCTTAATGTACCTCAGGGAAATGCATTCCCCAGCTTGAAGACTTGCTTTTTCCAACCACCACTTTTGGTGAGATAATTTGAAAAGCAGTTTTATAGGATGTTACTAGAAGTTAAAAAAAAAAAAACTGAATAGGGCTTCATAATGGAAAAATATTGGAACAACTCCAATGTAACAAGGTTTCTTCATGGTACTTCTCAGAATACACTGTGCCCTTCTAAGGGGGTAGAGGATACAGAATGCAACATTTCCCAAACTGATGTGGAAAGATGTGAAAACTTTTTTTTTTCTCTTATGGTACATGGTGATGTGGGAATATGTTCAACTGAAACTGCTTTTGGAAACATCAACTGTTTTAGCTATCTGTTGCTGTGTAAAAAATTACCACAAACTTAGCTAAACACAACACACATTTATTATCTCATGGTTTCTGTGGGTCAGGAGTCTGAGCACAACTTAGCTTGGTCATCTACAAGACTGTAATCAAAGTGTTGTCCAAGGATGCATCTCATCCAACTGTTCCACTGGCAAAGGATGCATTCCAAACTCACTCAGGTTGTCAGCAGGATTTACTTCCTTATAGTTGTAGGACTGACAGCCTCATGATCTTGCAGGTTGCTGGCTGGAGGCCATCCCCAATTCCTACAAGCCTCCTTCAGTTCTTGCCACTTGGGTGTCCTTTCATTAAAGTCAGCAAATGAGCAGAGAGTCTTGGCTTAGTTTGTTCAAGCTGTTATAACAAAATACCATAAATTGGTGGCTTATAAACAATGGTAAATTTTTTCTCACAGTTCTGGAAGCTGGGAAGATGAGGATCAAGGTGCCTGCAGACTCAGTGTCTGGTGAGAGCCTGCTTTCTGGTTCATGGATGGTGCCTTCTTGCTGTGTCCTCACAAGGTAGAAGGAATCATGCAGCTTTCTGGGACTGTTTTATAAGGACACTAATCCTGTTCACGAGGGCTCCATTCTCATGACCTAATCATCCCCCAGAGTCCCCACCTACCATCACCTTGGGGGTTAGGATTTCAACCTATGAATTTTGGGAGGACACAAATATTCAGACCATAACAAGTGTCTTCACAAGACAGGCATTACTATCTGTTTTGTTTTGTTTTGTTTTGTTTTGAGACAGCGTCTTACTCTGTCACCCAGGCTGGAGTGCAGTGGCGCGATCTCGGCTCACTGCAACCTCTGGCTCCTGGGTTCAAATAATTCTCATGCCTCAGCCTCCCAAGTAGCTGGGACTATAGGCATGCACCACTACTCCCGGCTAATTTTTTGTTAATTTTAGTGGAGATGGGTTTCACCATGTTGGCCAGGCTGGTCTCGAACTCCCGACCTCAAGTGATCTGCCTGCCTCAGCCTCCCAAAGTGCTGGAATTATAGGCATGAGCCGCCATGCCTAGCCAGGCATTACCATTTTATGTAACATAATTACATATGTGATTCATGTTCATCCTGTCATATTTATCATAATCACTTAGATAGAAGCAAGTCATAAGTCTCACCTGCACTCAGAGAGAGAAGATTAAACAAAGGTATAAATATCAGGAGGTAGGGAACGTGGGGGTGAGGACTGTAAAACTCTTGACACAGATGACTTTGCTATCACCCAGAGTAGGAGACTTGAACAAATTCTAGCATGGCGTCTGTCCACTGAAGGCTATGTCCGTAGGATGATGATATCAGGCCCCCTATAATGTTTCTCTGAGAAACCTCAACACTGCCAGAAGAATTTACTGTTTCTTCCAGCTAGAACCTAGCCCCTGACCTCCCTTCTCTTAGAGCATTTACTTTAGAAAACTTGCAATTGTAAATTCTTTCTCAGCTCCTTTGAGATGTAAATCTTCTACAACCAGAAATGTCTTTCTCAAGGACCTAGGAGTCATCCCTTTGAAATGTAACCATCAAGACAGATAGGGTCCCTAGCTCCCAGTCTCTGTAGGAGGGTAGGAACCTAATTTAAATAGCAGCAGTTGGCAGACTGGATGGCTTAATCACATTGACAGACCTTGCCTCATAACGGCCTTCAGTATGTTTTCTTTAGCACATTCCAGAGTTAAAAAGGCCTCCTGCTTTCTGTCTTAGCATAGTGGAGTCTCTCTCCACTGCTGTACTAGCTTAAATAAAATCTATCTTGCCACCTTTGACAAATGTCTTCCTCTTTTTCTTTTTGACAGGGGCAACCTTAAGAGTTTCTCTGACTCACGTAGAGCTTTCGGTATCATTTTGCTCTCCATTCTGACACAAGTAGTGTAGCAAAACTAAAGCCTCAATGAGCATTTGTGGATTATGTGTTTATAAAGTGGTTTGGGATTTCTCTCTCATAATAGACATGCTCCTGAAAGTCATAGGTATTTTAAAATAAATTAATAAAGAGTAAAGCCCTAGGGGACTCTGCTATTGAAAAGAACTACAAGTGAAGAACTACAGGCAAGGAAGCATAGTCCAGGTTGTGAGTCTGGCCCTGTCGCATAGACTGGCCTAGGTGGTTAAGGTGGTAAACATGAATTCCTTTGGTGGTGAAATGAGGTTACCTTTAGGCACGTTAACAGAAAAAAAGTCTCAGCCTTACTGGAAGAGAGAAGTAGCTGGAGTTGAGTAACACACCATTACTCCCTACTAAAGCCCTTCAAAGGGAGAGAAAGAGGGAGGAAAGTATATTTGGGAGAATAGAGAAGAGAAGACATTGCAAGATAACCTCAGTTAAATGTAGGGTTGGAGCCATGTGTATTAATGAGGAAGTTTGAATTATCTAGAGGAAGAAGTTAAAGGCCAGAGTTCAAAGCTTCATTAGGTGAAGAGGGGTGTTTGAAGACATTGACTTTATGAGAGAATAGTCTCAAAGAAAGAAAGAAAGGCAAATGAATATAACAAAAGGATGCTACTAGTTCTAGAAAACATGAGGGAAAAAGAAAATTAGATTATTACCATGAAAGAGCAACTGACTGCCTCAGTCATAGAGAAAAGCACTCAGGGACATTAAAAAATGACTTTGAAAGCAAACGACCCAATAGAAAAAGGGACAGAATATTGGAACAAACATTTCGGCAGAGAATATATATAGATGGCAAATAGGCACATAAAAACTATTCAACATCATTAGTCATTAGGGAAATACAAATTAAAACCACAATGAAATACCACCACAGACTCATTTGAATGGACAAAAACAAGACAAAGGAAAGCAAATCAAAAACAAAAAACTGGCAATCCCAAGTGCTAGTGAGATGTAGAGATATGAAGCAACTGTAACAATTTTCATTGCTGGTGGGAATGTAAGCTGTTACAGAATCTTATGAATTTGAATGTATACTTCTTTCAAGAGAAATAAAAACTATGCCATTACAAAGATCCTTACACAAATATTTACAGCAATTTTATTCATAATCACTAAAAACCGGAAACCATTCAAATGTCTCTCAGCTGGTGAATGGGTAAACAGACTGTGGTACCTCCATACAAAGGAACATCACTCAGCAATAAAAAGGAATGAGCGTCTGATGTAACAACATGAATGATTTAGTTGAAGTGAAAGAAGCCCACTCAAAAGGCTACATATTGTATGATTTCATTTATACCCTATTTTGAAAAAGGCAATAGTATGAGACAGAAAATGGACTAGTGGTTGTCTGTGGTTGGGGCACAGAGGAGGCATTGACAGTTGACTACACAGGGACACAGGGGAATTTTTGAGTGTGATGGGATTCTTCTCTCTCTTAATTGTGGTAATGGTTACACAACTGTGCATTTTGTGAAAACACACAGAACTGCAATTAGAAGTGCAAATTTTATTATATGTAAATCATAACTTTTATAAATTAAGGAAAAAGGAATGAGGATTCTGGCTTGGGTGACAATTGGAGAGTGATATTGCTGAGGTGAATAGAAAAGCTTGGGGCCAGAAGCTGTGGCTCATGCCTCTAACCCTTGCATTTTGGGATGCCAAGCGGGGAGGATCACTTGAGGCCAGGAGTTTGAGACCAGCCCTGACAACATAGTGAGACCTCATCTCTACAAAAGAATACAACATCAGCCAGGTTCGGTGATGTGTGCCTGTAGTCCCAGCTACTCAGGAGGCTGAGGTGGGAGGATTGCTTGAGCACAGGAGTTTAAGGCTGTAGTGAGCTATGACCACACCACTGCACTCCAGCCTAGGCAACAAAGCAAGTTCCTATCTCAAATAATAATAATAGAGATAGGCTTGGCAGGGCAGCCAAAAAAAACAATGCAGATTCTGCCTTGGCAAATAGTTTGAGGCACCAGAAATACATAGGGTTAATATGGCCAAGGTAGTGGGAGCTTTTTATTGATGAGTTGCTTTCCATTATATGAATATACCAGAGTCTATTTGTCTAGTTGCCAGTTGAGCATTCGAGTTGTTTCCATGTTCTGGCTGCTATGCATAACATCTCTGTGAGCATTCCTGTGGCTCCTGAAAGATCTGAGCAGAAAGACCAGGGATCTATGATTCACACAATTGACAGACCAGATTGCCTAAAATGCAAGCCTGATCACCTTGTTCTCCAAATTAAAATTTGTCACTGGTTCTCCATTGTCTATAGCAGTGATTCTGCACCAAGACTGCACATTAGAATCACCTGGAGTACTTTTCAAGGTGCCAGATGCTCGGCCCACCTCCAATTGGTCAAGGGTCAGGTTTTTCTGTTTGTTCATTCGTTCGTTTGTTTTTGTAGCTCCTCATGTGATTTTATGATTTTAAAGCTTAAATCTTTTCTTTTTTAATTATTTTTCCGAGACAGAATCCTTTTCTGTCACCTAGGCTGGAGTGCAGTGGTGCAATCACAACTCACGGGAGCCTCGAACTCCTGAGCTCAAGGGATCGTCTTGTCTCAGCCTCTCAAGTAGGTGGAACAACAGGCATGCACCACCACGCCCAGCTAATTTTTTAAAAATTACTTTTTGTAGAGATGAGGTGTCGCTACATTGCCTAGGTTATAAATGTTTTTTTTCAAACAGAATTATTGAGATGTGATTCACATACCACATAATTCACCCATTTAAAGTATACAATTCAATGTTTTTTGGCATATTCCATTATTAATTTTTAAAATTGTAGTAAAATATATACAACATAAAACTTGCCATTTTAATCATTTTATGTGTACAGTTCTGTGGCATTAGTTACGTTTACAAAGTTATGTAGCCATCGTAGCTATTTCCTTAGCCCCATGTGATTTTAATATGTATCCAATTCTGCAGAACTAAATCCAAGTGCTTCAAGCAAACCCTCAAAGCCTTTCACAGGAAAGTCTCATCCTATATTCCCAGATTCTGCGCCTAGCACTTTCTGCCTGGCATTTTCTTGGATCCAGACACACAGAAGCATCTTTAACCTTTGAAAACCCTTTAACATCGCACGTTGCTATTTTGTCCCTTTGAAACAGTATTCCCACTATTTACATCTGATGAAATCCCTTGCCTTCAAAGGTAGACTCAAGTATCGTTTTTACGGAAAGTTTTCCCACCCCCAGGTTTATGTAGCTTCCTCACCTCTGCGTTCTAGGGCACCCTTTATCAAGCTCTGTCCAGCGCTTACTCATGACAACTTTCTGTGTCTGTATGTCGCTCCTACCAGACCGTGAGCTGTTTGTGGGCGGAGACAGTGCTCCACACAGTGTGTGTCTTATAATAGAGACTGTTTGACGAATGAGTTAAGAAACAATCATAAATATTAAAGCAGAAGAATGGTCACAATGGATGGTATAATTTGGGGAGCAGTAATAAAACTAAAGTAGTGATCCAGTCTCTGGAGAATGTGTCAGTGAAAGAAGAAGGGCAGTTGACAGACCCCAAATAGTCAGTACTCTTATTGAATATGCATGATGGAACAGGTCGTGCTAAGTGCTTTATATATATCATCTCTTCTAATCTTTATTAAAAATTATGTTTGAGGTTCTGAGCAAGCCTGGTTACTACGTCACTGCTTATTCTCCCTGGATTCTGAACCAGTTGAGAAGCATACAAAGAAGCCAAGTGGAAATTTAAAATATGACATCAGCCTATTTTTGGTAAAGCTGGATTGTACTTGAAAATAGGCTATATACAATTTTGCCACTAAATTGTACTGACTCACTCACCTGGTTTCTGATATGAGGCTATCACATGGCCGAGGAGTGAAGCAAGGGATGTGAAACATAAACAGTAATCCAAAAAGTCTCTCCTACAATGGAATGAAGCTAGGAATAGGCAAAGAGAAAGGTGGAAGTCCTTTCCTCAATTACTGCCCGAGAGGGTGAGAGTTTAAAAGAATTTAAAGAAGTTCCTGTTTCATGAACCAAGACAGAAAAACAGGGTAAAGAAGAAAAGCATGCTTTAAACAAATGGTGCTATGAATCTGAATATCTACATGCAAAAATGTTACCTTACAACATATATAAAATCAAGTAAAAATGAACCAAAGATTCAAACACAAAACCTGAAACTATAAAACTCCCAGAAGTAACATAGGAGAAAAACTTTATGCCATTGAATTTGGCTATGATTTTCTGGATATGACACCAAAAGCACAGGCAACAAAAGCAAAAAGAGATAAACGGGACTACATCAAACTTAGGAACTTCTGCACATCAAAGGAAACAATCAACAGAGTGAAAGGCAACCTACAGAATGGAAGATAATATATAATATGTTATATATATTATATAATATATAATACGTTATATATTATATAATATGTCATATATTATATAATATATAACATGTTATATATTATATAATATGTCATATATATTATATTATATATAATATGTTATATATTATATAATATATGTCATATTATATATAATATAATATATAATATAATATATTATATTATAATATATAATATAATATAATATAATATATTATATAATATAATATATAATATATTATATTATATATAATATAATATAATATATATAATATAATATATAATATAATATAATATAATATATTATAATATATATAATATAATATAATATATAACATATTATATTATAATATATAATATAATATATTATATAATATAATATATAATATAATATAATATAATATATTATATAATATAATATATAATATATTATATTATATATAATATAATATAATATATATAATATAATATATAATATATTATAATATATATAATATAATATATAATATATTATAATATATATAATATAATATATAATATATTATAATATATATAATATAATAATATATAATATATTATATATTATAATATGTATAATATAATATATAATATAATATACAATATATAATGATATATAAATATATATCATTATATATTATATATTATGTATAATACATTATATATTATATATTATGTATAATACATTATATATTATATATTATGTATATATACATTATATATATGTCATATATAATGTATTATACATACTATATATTATGTAATATATGTGTATATGCTTATATATTTATGTTTATATAATATATTATATAATACATAATATGACATATATAATATACATATATAACACATATAATATATAATAAATATTATATAACATGACAGTATATATGTTTTCAAACCACATATCTGACAACAGACTAATATCTTGAGTATATAAAGAACTCCTACAACTCAACAACAATAAAAAGCAATCTAATTAAAAGATGGGCCAAGGACTTGCATAGATATTCCTCAAAAGAAGAAATGGCCAAAAACATATGAAAATGTGCTCAGCATCCCTAATCATTGGGAAACGCAAATCGAAACCATGATGAGACATCATCTTACACCTGTTAGGATGGCCTCTACCCCCAAAAACAGAGAATAATAAGTGTTGACAAGGATGTGGAAAAATTGAAACCCTTATGCACTGTTGATGGGAATGTAAATGGTGCAGCTGCTATGAAAAACAGCATGGAGGTTCATCAGAAAATTAAAAATAAAATTACTATATAATCCAGCAATGTCACTTCTGGGTCTGTAGATGAAATAATTGAATCCACTCATATTCATTGCAGCATTATTCACAATTTGCAATAGCCAAAATGTAGAAGCAAACTAAATGTCCATTGACGAACGAATAAAAGAAAATAGTGTGTTTGTGTGAAAATGGAATATTTTTCAGCCTTAAAAAGAGAATATTATCATATGCCATAACATATCAACCTTGAAGACATTACACTAAGTGAAATAAGCCAGTCACAAAAGGCAAACATTGTGCGATTTCATTTATATGAGGTATTTAAAGTAGTCAAACTTTTTAGAAGCAGAAAGGAGAACGGTGGTAGCCAGGGACTGAGGGGCGAGAAGAAAGAAGACTTTTGTTCAGTGGCCACAGAGTTTCAGTTTTGCAGGATGAGAAGTTATAGAGATCTGTTGTATAATAATATGCATCTACTTAACATGACAGTACTGAACACTTAAAAATGGTAAAGATGGTAAATGTTATGTGTTTTTTACCACAATATAAGTAGAAAAGCATGAAACCTGGATATTATCTCTATTTCACAGCCTAGAAAACTAAGGCTTAGACAGGTTAAGTTACTTGCACAGGGTAACACAAGAAGTGTTGAAGCTGGGATTGGAAATCAGGCTGGTCTAATTCAAAACCTATGCCCTAGGCTGGGCGCAGCGACTCACACCTGTAATCCCGGCACTTTGGGAGGCCAAGGCAGGTGGATCACCTGAGGTCAGGAGTTCAAGACCAGCCTGGCCAACATGGTGAAACCCCGTCTGAACTGAAAATACAAAAATTAGTTGGGTGTGATGGCGGGTGCTTGTAATCCCAGCTACTCCAGAGGCTGAGGTGGGAGAATCGCTTGAACCCGGGAGGCAGGGCTTGCAGTGAGCCGAGATCGCGCCATTGCACTCCAGCCTGGGCAACAGAGTGAGACTCCGTCTCAAAAAATAAAAATAAAAATAAAATAAAATAAAAACCCAATGCTCTTAAGAGTCATGCCATATGTTACAGTGCTTCTGGGTAGAGGGGGAAATATGTTAAGACAGTTTTCAAATGACAAGAAAAGGAATTGAGATATATTCAATGCTCTGTGTTTAGTTAGCAGTGTTGCCTCTTATCGGGCACACATCCAAGACCACCTTACCTTTCTCAGCTTCCCTTATCCTTAGGTTGGAACCATGGCACTCAGTTCTTGCCACTAGATATGTGGATGGAAGTGATGCAGCAGAGTCTGAAGGAATGAAGTATGAGTTGATTCTTCATTCTCTCAATCTCACTCCAGCCCCCACCCTACTGCTCTCCACGAAGAACACTCAAATGGTGAAGTTGCAATATGAACACATGAATCCATGAGGCAGTTCTTCTCCAAGAAGAGCCACCTGATTCACATCAGGCAGTGGTGTGAGTGAGAAGTGAACTTTTGTTTGTTTAAGCCACCGAGATGTCAGGGATTGTTTTCATAGCATATCCTAGTCTAGCCTGACTAATATACTCATGAAGAATTTACTCACCATATTTTTCAACTATTTTCTTGTGTTATAACTGAAAGGAGGATGTGGAATCCGTGGGAAAGAGATTCTGGGTTTTGAGGGGAGAAGGAAAAAGAGGTTGATTTTAGAGGGGTCTAGGAAAGGTGCAGTTGTGAAGGAAAGGTCTTGAGCAGAAATTGTTCCCCAGGAAAGGTAGACTAGAACTAGGATGAGGGAATAAGAAACTCCCAAATGTGATGTGTCTAGGGACAATGAAGGAAATCTACTAAAACATTTTCTGTAAGACTGACTATTCCTGACTTCTAGAGTTAGATATAATCAAATACATAAATCCCAAATCAATACTTGCCAAAAATATATAGTCTCAAAAAAAGCATTCCCTAGGAGAAATAATCATAACCCCGAACAGATGTTCTATTTGTTAATTTGATTTTTACTAACAAGGTAACATTTTTGAAGGCATTGCTGAATGTGCTAGTTTTGTCTCTTGTTAGTATCATCAGTAAGATATCTCAGTTCCACAGTGCTCTGGAGGTTGAAATGTGTTCTCCTTTATGATTTGTAGCTCTGATTAGTTCTGTTTTTCTGCCTAAGGTGCAAAAAATGCAAATGTGAACTAAGAGTCTGTATAATTTCTGCTGCTTACATCATCACCATTAAAAAGATCAAAACAAAAATCTTCTTTTGAATCTCACTAAAAACATAGTCTGAAGTGCATTAGGCAGACTGTACTGTCATCCAATCTTCCATTATGTATTAATCTACTGACCATCTTACATTATTCAAAAACAAAATATGCATCTGCCATGGAAAAATATGTATATATTAAACATATTTAATTAAAAAAGAATTGTTGAGAGGAGAAAAACATGCATGTTAAAAAGCATGGCCATCTGGGATCTGCTTTAAGACAATTTGGTAGAAAGGGAAAGAAGGGACAGATAAGGCAAGCATGGCAAAAATCTTAATAGTTGTTCATCTGGGTCCTGAGTACATGGGGATTCACTGTACTCTTCTCTCAAGTCTTGTATATGTTTGAAATTGTTGATAATAATAAATGGTAAAGGAATTGTAAACTTACAGATAAAATACCTTCAAACATTTGCACAAATTTAAGGAAACAGCTTGCAGAAATAGGTTCCTTAATCACAATTTCATTGCCTAATGTCAGAAAATAATGAATTTTGAAAACAGTAGTTTTCTTTTCTTCAGAGTTTTTTCATGTTATTTCATCATGTAACATACAATGATGGATTCCTGCAGTGTTTATTATCTGTTTCTGATCATTAGGTACTACCTAATAAGCTGTCTTTCTCATTGCCTTAAAATCAGAATATCCTGAAAGAGCTCATCTATCTTTAAAAGAAATAATAATCTTGCATCACCTTTAGAATTAAACATAATATTAAAAATGATAACAGTTGGAACTGACATGCATCATGGAGATTCACATTTTCTGCTCCTTAAATGTCAGGGAAGGTTTTCATATTCAGACTTACACATGTAATATCTGATTCAATTATCTGTTGTTTCTAGAAGTCATTATCTATTGACTCTTTGCAGCTTGAAAGTCATGGATATGAAAATAGTAATTTTTTTTTACTCCATCGACGGTATCAATATAGGTAGAGTGTATCTCATTTTCTAGAGTGGGATATTTAGCATGCAATAGGTGCAAATGAAAGATGTAAACTACGAGACAAAAGTGAACCTTTCAAACGTTAAATGTGATGCTGGCTGTGTTATTATGAGCTTAATGATATCTAGTGCACACAAGAACACATAGGTGTCATGCTGGGAAACCAATGATCTAGCTCTCATCTTGACTGCAGGCAAAGAATATCTCATCAAAGCTATAAATTTCAGGAGTCTGTTCCCAAATTTAAAACCCTTAAGGAAAATGGCTTTCATGGTTCAAGAGTTTTAAAGGGTTATTCTTACTTGGCTTTGTAACAAGGAAATTAATAGTTTTTCTAAAACAAATCAGAATTATACCATAGCTGCATGCGTTTTCATGCTGTTGCTGTTAGCACTTAACTTCCTCTCTAGATAACAAAGCCTTGGACTTCACATTGAATTCACCATGGGAAGACATTTATTACCTGCTATAAATGCTCAGGATAGTCTTGGATGGGGGTGAAATTTGCTCATTCATGGCTATGTAAAAATTGTTTTCTTGAGGTAATGAGAAATGGAGTAGTTTTCTAATCAACTTTCACTATTCAAAGTGAATCTTGTTGAGCCTAATGTCAGAAGTACGTTGTTTCAGTCCCAAGCAGTGTTAGCACACAACCAGTAGAAATATGTGCAGGCCTCAAGGACTCCAGGCACTGGGGAAATGCCGAAGCAATGAAATGAACTTACTTCTTCTTTCTCAACGGGCTTCAAAATAAATCTGATGTAGCCATGTGAAAGAAGCAGTTGTAGGAAAGATTCCCCTTTTTTGTTTGGTATACATTCAATTTAAAGAGGAATAGTTTATTGCATCTGGGAAAAACTAGACAAATTTATAATGAATGTAGGAGAGTACAGACATATCAAATGCCTCCAACTGTTTAAGCTTAGAGGAAAATCATTAGTGTAAGGAATAATTACAGTCATGCAATAACTTGGATGAATCTCAAAACTTTATGCTGAGTGAAGAAAGCCAGACACAAAAGGTATGTATAACATAATTTCATTTGTATAAAATCTTAAGAACATTTTACAGAAAGAATATACATATATAAAGTGAGCAATAAGAATATCATTATCCCCTTTCAAAAAATATTAGAGGAACAAAACTACTCAGACTCACCTCATTCTATCTGGATGATTAGAAAGTCACAAATGAAAAATGACTATATCCTGAGAAGAGTATGTCCTATTTGGTATGGTATGTATAAAAATGAAACCTAAAGCAGTTCATAGACTCAAAATTGTTCATAGACTTAAAATTGGAGCAACTGGGCACACACCTCTGCTTTTCCCCTCATTCAAGCTTTCTAATCCCCAGGAAAGTAGATGCAATTTATCAGAAGATATAGCTATAATTTTATAATTTTAAAATTGAGTTTAAATGTATTTCTAACTGCAAGGGTCATTCAAAGACCATTAAAACAATGTGAAATCATTTAAAGACTTTAACTACATTAAATGTTTTCAAATAAGATATACACTATTTTTATTTTTTGCCTCTAGATATGAACTGACTAGTTTTTGAATGTTGGATTTGTAAAAAATTTTGTATATTGTTTAGTTTTTTTAGGTCTTTCATTAACATGTTTTATAGACAGTGATTCTAACATTTACACTGGTGCTATAAATATTACACATCAAATATCCCCCCTAAAATATCAAGGGTCAAACCCTAATTTTGTGAACTACACCACACAGCTTAGTGTGACAAATGGTTTCTGAAAAGAATAACCAGTATGAAGTGGGACTTTTACTTGAAAAGAAAAAGAAATTAGCTCCAGTTTTGGGCTACTATAAATAAAGCTGTTAAAAATATTCATGTGGCTCACGCCTGTAATCCCAGCACTTTGGGAGGCCGAGGCGGGTGGAACATGAGGTCAGGAGATCGAGACCATCCTGGCTAACAAGGTGAAACCCCGTCTCTACTAAAAAAATATAAAAAATTAGCCGGGCGCGGTGGCGGGCGCCTGTAGTCCCAGCTACTCGGGAGGCTGAGGCAGGAGAATGGTGTGAACCCAGGAAGCGGAGCTTGCAGTGAGCCGAGATTGCGCCACTGCAGTCCGCAGTCCGGCCTGGGCGACAGAGCGAGACTCCGTCTCAAAAAAAAAAAAATAATAAAAAGTTATTCATGTACAAGGCTGAGTACAGTGGCTCACGCCTGTACTCTCAGCATTTTGGGAGGCCAAGGTAGGAGGATCAGGAGTTGAAATCCAGCCTGGGCAACATAGCAAGATCTTAAAAAAAATTCATGTACAAATCTTTGTGAGGGCACATGCTTTCATTTCTTTTTGTAATATCTATTAGTGGAATTACTGGGTCGTATATTAAGGGTATGTTTAACTTCATAAGAAATTTCCAAACTCTTTGCCAAAATAATGTATCATTTTACACTTCTACCAACAATGTATGACGAGTTCCAGTTGCTTCATAACCTTACCAACATTTCATTATCGGCCTTCAAATTATAGCCCAGGAGGCCCGTCCAGTGGGAAAACAATGGAAACTATAATATATAAATTCAAATTTTCTAGTAGCCACAATTTAAAAAGAATAGTTGAAATTTATTTTAAAATTTTAATCAAATCTATTCAAAATATTATCATTTCAACATGTAATCAGAGTAAAAATTATGGATTTTTTTTTGCACTCTAGCTCCAAAATCTGATTTATATGTTTACAACACATCTCAATTGGGACTAGTCATATTTCAAGTATTCAATAGCTACACATTTTTAATAGCTGCTGTTTATATAGCTGATAACAGAGCTATAGACATTTCAGCGGGTATACAGTGGTAACTCATTGTGGTTTTAATTTGCATTTTCCTGATAACTAATGATGTTGAGTATATTTTCATGTGTTTTTTGGCCATCTGTATATATTCCATTGTAGTAGTATTCACACAGTATAATTGTAGTATATTCACACAATGAAAAGTACTCAGCAATAAGAAGAAATGAAGTCATGCAATAACTTGGATGAATGTCAAAACTTTATGCTGAGTGAAGAAAGCCACACACAAAAGATGTGTGTGATATAATTCCATTTGTATAAAGTCTTAGAAAAGGGAAAACAAATAAAGAAAGTAGATCGGTGGCTATAGTGGGGGTGTGTAAATGATTGCAAAACTGAAGGACAGAAGCTTTTCGGGTGATGGAAATGCTTTATATCTTGGAGAGGTGGTTACATGAATATATGTATTTGTTGAAACTTACTGAATTGCACATACAACATGAGTGAATTTTATGTAAAATATACTCCAATAAAATTGACTTAAAGAGTATAAACATTAGTGGTATCTACTACGTAATCTGTGAGGTCAGTGAAAAATAAAACCATGGGGTCTCTTTTTCAAAAGCTAAGAATTTCAAGACCGTAACAGCACAGTAAGCTTGTCTGTCATTGAATCCCCAGTGATAAGCAGAACAGTATATCTTATAGTAGGTCCTACTAAAGCTTTGTTGAATGATTTAAAAAACTTGAGCATCTTAGTGCCCAGCAATTTCCATTCAAGAGTAGCATAATATCCCTTCCCGCTTCTGCTATTTGTTCCCTAGACTGGAGGAAAGAGTATGATACTGGATACAATTTAAAAAACCATGCTTTTCCTAAATATGATAGAAACAAATACTCATTTAAAGTTCTTTTATTTTTAAATTCTTGGAAGGTATGAAGAAATACAACTCAAATAACTAGCATGAAGAGAAGATAGTTCGGTTCAGTAAGTAAAAATTATACAGGTATCATAAAATTCTTGTTCTTAGGGTATTCTACAGTGCAAGTTACAGGCTGACTTACAGTCACAGTGTTACACCTAGTATAGGCCAAAAAATGAGCTAGGTAATAGGGATAAAGAGGTAAACAAAACAGCTCCTTTTTTTTTTAGTGGTTTGTCTTCTTTAGAAATCGACTTATAGATAGATATCCCAGTTATCAACGTTTATAAGGACTCTCCCTAAATACATCTAATCTATATTGCCATAGACATTTCATTGGGATTTTGCTCCAGTGCTCCTTAACATAGCTCAGAATTATTATAACAGAGGTACTTGGACTTTATTTAAATGTATTATGAACTGAATGTGTCCCTCCTCCCCCACCCCATCGAAATTCCTGTGTTGAAGCCCTAACTCCCAGGGTAGCTGTATTTGCAGTAAGGATGGAATTAAGGTTAAGAGATCATAATCCTGATCTGATAGGATTAATGTCCCTACAGGAAGATGCCAGAGGCTCACTCACTTCCTCCCTCTCTCTGTGCGTGCACAAAGGAAAGGCCGTGTAGGATGCAGGCCATCTGCAAGCCAGAAGACAGTCCTCAACAGAAACTGAACCCTGCTGGATTTTGATCTGGAACTTCCACCTTCCAGAACTGTGAGAAAAAAATTTTCTGTTGTTTAAGCCACCCACTCAGATATTTTGTTATGGCAGCCTGAGCCGATTAATATGTAAAACATTCTATATAAAATATGAAACATTTGACTCAAATAAAGCGACTGGCTTAATCACAGTCACATAATCTTGTAGCATTCTAAGACTTATATGTGTATATACACAACATAATGGTATGAGCCCTAAAAATCTGAGTGATTCATACAGAAATTTTTCCTAAAGGAAATGTAAATTGATTTTACTTTATTACTGACCATCCTAAACCAAGGGGTATATATTTTCGAAAAACTTTCTGAAAAGGAAAACTGGGTTTTAAATGATCAAAGATACCATTTAAATTTAATATTTAAAATGCCTGCAAGGTGGCTAAGTGTCACTGTGACTCACACTAACAGTTTCATTTCATAAATGCAAGTGTGAAATGATGAGATAACAGCATACTAATAACTGAACAATCTGCTGAAAAATATGGCCAAAAATTTCTTGAAAAATCTTAGAGAAGAAATAGGTGCTTCCATCCTTGTTCCATGATAACTTGGTGTTAAAAAAAAAAACATAAAGCAGGATTAGCATGTTACGGAGCACACAGAATAGTGGTTACAATGCTTTCACTTATTTTACTTAAATCAAAGTCTTCAAAATAAACTAAAGCGCAACTAAGAGATTGGAGAAGAGAAATAACTAAAGAGGAAGCAGGTGATGAATGAAGTGCTAATAAGACTGTACATTTTTAGGAAAGACAGTGGAACAAATGACATATGGTATTAGTATTACACAATGATTAAGTGTCATATTCTGTGGTAACACTCTTGAGTCTGAACTCTTACTCTGCCAATTACAAGTTACATAACCTTTGTTAATCTATTTCCCCTGTCTAAGCCTTGGATTGATCTTTGGTAAAATGGTAAAAGCAACAGTACCTAACCTGTAAGTTGATAATTAAGTGGCATGACACGTTAAACATTTAGCATAGTACCTGTAACATGTTAGCTTTTATGTGAATCATGTATTATTTCTTCTTTTTAAAAGTAAAACTACTGATATGACCCAAATCTATGTGAATGTGGGTATTTTGAAATAAATTGATGTGGGAAAAGTGTCAAATTAATTTTTATATTTGCCTATTGCAAAGGCTCCCTGCAGACTCTGAACTGCCATCTCAACCTTTTCTTTGGCTTAAAGTCTTTGCTCCAAAATTCATCCAGGGAATTCATTAGTCCAGGGATCCCATCTGTGGGCTCTAGTTGTTTTCCTGACATGCGTACTGAGATTATTTGAGACTATCCTTTTGATTTTTCTGTCTTAACTACTTGCAGTTTCCTCCATCTCAGCCCAATGTATCATAGCTGCCAGCGTATCCTGCTGTCACACATTTATTGGGCTTGTTGAATGCATATAATATGGCTTCAAGGCAAATACACTGATTCCACTCTCACATTCTCTTGCAAGCCTCCCAAAGCTCTGCCTCTCATTTTAAGAAACTCTGCCTTAAATAATCAAACAAAGACATCTGCCAAAAACACTTGGCTCTGCAAATAGCAAGCAGATTCATTGCTCTTCCTGTCATTGGCAAATGGCAGCTTGGAAATTAGAACCGGGGAGAGTAAAGAGGCTGGTTACTGAGAACTCTGATAAAGACAGGGGACAGGTGAATTTTGAAAAATTTCTAAGCCAAAGAAATACATAAAAGAACTATTCTTGAAATGTCCAGGAATAGTGTGTGGGACCTTGCACACAGCAGGTCCTTAGTAAATGTTTTATAAATTATAAATCATGGCATTACTTCTGCCAGAGACCGTCAAATTATCATTTCTTTTTAGTCTTTCCCTGCAGTCCTAGAGTATCGTGTAATATATAAATAGATGAAATCAGGAAACAGTATTTCTCCTTGTGGCATTGACTGGTTTTAACCATTTTCATGTGCAAGCATTCCCTGTTCATTTTTGAACTATGTTGGTTTTTCTTTATATTGATAATCAAAATTATGTTAAGGCCCTTAAAGAAGAACACAGAGTCTAGTAAGAAGAAAAAAGACTTTCAGAGGTTTTTTTTTTAGGTCATTTAAATGTGTTAACAGTTAGGTTACAAAAAAAATAACATTCTGTCTCTGTTCTCAAATTTGAGTTAAGAATTTTTCTCCTTTTAAAAACTTTTAAAGGTCCAGCTTTTGAATAAAAAAGTCGAAATTACTCTAAAATATACGAATTCCAAATACAAGCTCCTATTTCATTTTGAATGACTTTATTGAGAACATTTTGCAAATTAGATTTTACAATTTAACATTTTACAATTAGAAATTTTATCTGCTATTACATAAGCTGCAAACTTTTCAAAAACACTACAGAAAATCTTTTATTTCTTTGGATTTTTCTGTTCCATGTTGAGCTCCTGAGATATATTTTTTCTTTCAGCTTCATTTTCATCTTCCTGTGAAATAAATTTTAGAAAACATTAAAATATAAACTTTAGAGCATTTATCAGCTATACTTGACAGATTTTAACTGCATCTGTAGAACTATGAACTACTGTGATTCTAATAATCCTAAACACAAATGGTAAAATTATGTAACATTTAAATATTTGCAATAGGTGCTGTTTTATAGAACACATTAAAATTTTCTGTATGTTTTTAAAAGCAACCAATTTTAACAATGCCCTAAAAATTACTTTGGAAACACCTGCCACTGAAAAGTGTTCTTTGCAGGGGATGAGCTAGATATTTTTACTTCACTGCTTGACAAAAAACAATAAATTTAATTGCTAAGACACTTCATGTGCTCCAGCATGGCATTTTTTTGCCCCATCTAGTATACTTTCTTGACAGGTGTGCCAATTTTCCAATTACTTGTACCACCATATGTTATCTGAAGATCAGTGAGGTCTAAAATAGGAAGCATGTGCATGTCGGCTTAGAATGCTTACAATCTTCTACAGTTTCAATTCTAAGTGGTGGCCTCATAATTCATAGCAGGTTCCTGTGGAACATGGTGAATAGATGAAATGACATCATAATGTCTGCTTTCATAGAAATGAAGTGCATCTTGTGTTCAGTATTAAATGGTAACCTTCAAAGTATAAGCAATGAGAGTCTGGAAAAATATTTCATCTTACAATTTGTAACCCATCTCATCATACATGTTCTTTCAACACACCCAAGTACAAAACAGTCTTGCTTTCCTAATATTTCTGATTTATCATTTAAGATTATTTATTTTTATTAACTGACATAAAGGTACTCTTCTGAGTTAATTAAAGCATAAACATCAATTTAAGTATTTCTAGACAACAGTAATAATCATCAATATCATCAAACATACCACTCTATCTCTGTATCTGATGAAACCAAATTAAATCATTGAATTAAATAATTGTTGAACTCTACTTTGTGAATTGACTTTATAAAGTAAAAGCAAACCAAGGTATGCATATTTGTTTTCTATGACAAACTACATACTTGCCAGTAATGATTAAGGCGGGTGAAAAAAGCTTTTTTATATACTTTGTTTCTCTAAACTCAACGGAATCTGTGATTTAGACTTTGTTAACACTGGGAAAGTAGAGAAATTATCAATATTATCAACCAATCTGAATCATTATAGATATGTAGAACACCAGGAATGGGGTTTTGAATATCATTTTGGCAATGTAACTTTGATATATTTTTCCAAGTATGATAGCCACTGTTTGTCATTTCATTTTTTCCTTATTTTATCTCCAGTGAATAGATACATTAAGTTTGATTCTTGAAAATTTATTAATGAACATGTGTTTTCCACTTTTAGAAAAAAGTTCCTACAGATGACATTTCTTTTTTTTTTTTTTTGAGACGGACTCTTTCGCCCAGGCTGGAGTGCAGTGGCGCGATCTCTGCTCACTGCAAGCTCCGCCTCCCAGGTTCACGCCATTCTCCTGCCTCAGCCTCCCGAGTAGCTGGGACAGGCACCCACCACCACGCCCGGCTAATTTTTTGTATTTTTAGTAGAGACGGGGTTTCACCGTGTTAGCCAGGATGGTCTCGATCTCCTGACCTCGTGATCTGCCCCGCCTCAGCCTCCCAAAGTGCCGGGATTACAGGCGTGAGCCACTGCGCCCAGCCTAGAGATTACATTTTAACTACATTATAATAAAAAGTAAATCTTACTCTACACTTTCCCCTGTCTTCTTCAGGAGAGACACTGTTAGAAAGTGTTAAATCAGCAGGTACGGATGGCAAGAAATTTTTGATATGTAGCACTGAATTTGTCCATCTGTTCCTCAAAGGAAGGTTTTATCTTCTGTATCTTATACATTCCTACCATCTAACAGGACATACTTAGTATATAGTTGTAGTCCAATCAATATTTTCTGAACTATGTGAAACAGTGGAATAATGAACGAATAAAAGGTATGCCTGAATTAATACATAATTTGGAAAAGCACAATATTGTTCTTAACTATCGTAAATTAAGATTGCTAGTACTCACACTTCTAGCAATCTTAACTTACTATATAACAACAGTGAAAATAAAAATAAGCAAAAATGTTTGAAGCAACATGAGCCAAAACAGCCATTATCAAGCTCATACCCTTTAATTTATAAAAGAAAGATGGAGCCTTTATCACACGGACAGTCTACTAAGTTTCTCCACCGTATGACTTCCCGGTTTAACATGCTTGGCTATCTAGTTTTCTCTAGCAACCTTGCTGCTCTAAGTCAAAACACAAATGTAAAGACTTAATAACCCCAAGGACTAGGAGGTACTTATATACTTTATTTTCATATTTAACTATGGATATAAGCTATTGGAACATGGTTAAATGAAATAAAAATTTGCAACTTCCATTAATTTGAATATGTTTTAAATATATGGATAAGATATATATAGATATGCCAGTTAAGTAACATTCTTAATATAATGTTTGTCTTTTTGTTGTTGAATTTTTCTTAGAAATAAAGTACAGTTTATAAATGCATGCCTTCTAACACTGCCTGCTGTTCAGGACAGGTACATAACTGTTTCACACCTTTCTTTGTGCTGAGGATTTGTCTTAAAACATCTTGCCTTTTATGCTGTTAAGTCACTTATATAACAAATAAGAGCCAATCTCTTTCTTCCTTTTAGAAGGATAGCTGTAACCTAGGTGCAGAAAAGCATTATGAAGGGGTGAAAAAGGCATTCCACTCTAATTGCTAGAGTATAATATTAAAATTGCTATAACATTATCAAAATAACAGTAATAGATTTTATCATAAATAACATTAAAATTTGATCTAATAAAGCTCTAGGGAAGTCTTTTTGGAAATGCTAATTTATGTTTTTCACATTGCAGGTCAATTTTTGTAAGAATTTATACGCAGTTCCAGATTAATAAAAATCATTAAAGTAACTCAGACAGCAAATAAAATATAATTGATAAATGACTGCATAATAAATAAAATTGCAAAGGAAGCTTTTTACCAAAGCATTTCTTTACTACTGGATATTATAGGTAAGCAAAAATTTCTTCTGATATACAGGAGGGTTTTTTTTTTTCTCTCTGCTGAGATAAGACATCTGTTTGTTTCCCAATGAAAGAAGACCCTGGCTACATGGATCATTTTCTTAGTGACAGCCCTGACAAGTTTGACATTTGTTTCATGAAGTGTTCTGAAACAATCGTAAAGAAAATGTATCCTTTGAGGCTACTGGAAAGTAGACAGGCTTACCTCTTAATGTTTAAACTTGTTAATTCATACTCTAAAAAAATACACTGACTATAACAACTTTGCAGATCTGCTAGTTATATGTGAAATTTCAAGAATGTGCACTCAATTAACAGTAACACCTGTAATATCAAATGACAAAATTTGGTTCCTTAGCCTTGCTCTTTTTACACGGACAGAATTGTAGTGAGAATGGTAATTTCTAGGCACAGATGGACCATTTAATAATGGGCTGATACTCCAGGTGGCAATATGAGACTGAGTTATTCTAACAGAGAAATTAAGTAAACACACTGCCATGTTTATCTTATCACTAAATAAAACTTGCAAGATTTTGCTTAAATGTTAGTCAGCTTGCACTATCAATTTGTGATAGAGGAGACCCTCGGTTTTTCTTTATTTATAAATGTGATTTAGTTCTCATGATAGTTCAAATAATTGATGCCAATTAATAAAACCTATCCATTCTTTTCCTTCCTCTTAGGACGTAACCAACTCCTAACAATGGCCAACTATTTTAGCATCTGGAATTTATATCACTCAGGTAATACCTGGATACAAATTACACTCTATGAGTACAGATAACTTTGTTTACCTTGTAGACTGCCAAGTTTAAAAGATTTCTTAAACTCTTGTAATCCTTTATATAAAAGGATTACACAAAGAGGCAACTCTCCCTATTCTTTATATCTTTATAGATGTTGATGTAAGTACCTTTATAATGGAGAAACATGGCAAACAACACCTTAACCAAATGGTCAAGGTTAATATCACCAATAATATATATTAACACCCTGATACGATGTATTAAAAACGGCACATCACCTCTGGTTTGTGGTATCCTTCCCAACAGGGTATAACCTAATTCTAATCTGAGAAAACATCAGATAAACCCTCTACAATATAATTAAACAGTAGTCTTCAAAATGTCAAGGTCGGCCGGCTACAGTGGCTCACGCCTGTAATCCCAGCACTTTGGGAGGCCGAGGCAGGCGGATCACAAGGTCAAGAGACCGAGACTATCCTGGCCAACATGGTGAAACCCCGTCTCTACTAAAAATACAATTATTCGCTGGGTGTGGTGGCGGGCGCCTATAGTCCCAGCTACTCGGGAGGCTGAGGCAGGAGAATCGCTTGAACCCAGGAGGTGGAGGCTGCAGTGAGCGGAGATCGCGCCACTGCACTGCAGCCTGGGCAATTGAGCGAGACTCCGTCTCAAAAAAAAAAGAATGTCAAGGTTATGAATGACAAGACTTGGAACTATCACAGACCACAGGAGACTATGGGGACATGATGACTGAATGCAGTGAGGAATCCTGGACTACATAAAAAGGACATTAGTGAGAAAACTGGTAAAATTTAAAAATGGTTCTTAGAGTAGTAGCAGCCTCTCAAAGTTAATGTCTTGGTTTCAATAATTGTACTATGGTTACATAAAATGGCAACACTACAGGAAGCTGGATAAAGGCAAATGGGAAATTTCTACACTATTTTTGCAAATTTTCTGTAAATTTAAAATTATTTCAAAGTAAAATGATTAAAGAAACAGAAAATAAAAATGGCTACCTAATGAAAGTTTCCTAAATTCAAATAAAGTAAGTAAAATGTATGGGAACAGATTTTATAAGAAAACAAATGCAAGGCACCTGTAGCCTCTACACTGAAATATACAGCTATAATTAACAGTTTGCTTTCCATCATTCTACCCCAAATTCCTAAGTACCTAAAATATTCATAATGTTGATATTATTGATTTTTATTTTCTTACCTGTGCTTTGCCACATTTTCTTGTTTTCCCACTGTGAGCATAGATTTCCTTCGTAATCAGAAAACATAGCTTTCTTTTACTAAGTCCCTTTATAATTTGGCCATATGAACAAACTATTTCCAGAAATAAGTAAGAGTTACAAGACTCTATGAATACAAAGAGAAGATGTCACTTGTTTTTATTTTACCAAATATGTTCTTCACAGCAGGCAAACATCCATGGTGGTACAACAGTAAAATGAAGGGAGACGGTGCAGACAGGCACTAACTTAAAATGTTTCTATATTCTTATGATATTTTCTTTAGATTTTAAATATTCCTTTTACTAACCAGAGAAGGAACAGTTATTATAACTGGATCCAAATTAATAGTCAGAATTATCTCTATACTTTAATAATGTTTCTTTTAAAAGTGTAAGAATACATATATAGCTTTTAGGGAAAAAACATGTAGACACTCAA
This sequence comes from Homo sapiens, assembly GCF_000001405.40. Classification (NCBI taxonomy): domain Eukaryota; kingdom Metazoa; phylum Chordata; class Mammalia; order Primates; family Hominidae; genus Homo; species Homo sapiens. Next base: position 11,163,931 of record NC_000007.14, on the reverse strand, counting down.
CCTGTTCTAACTGCTGGTAGCTACGGAACAAGTGTAGAAAGAAAAACAGATACACTACTTGGCTTCCATCTGTGGTCAAAAAACTATATTGTTTTATTCATTTAAAAACATATGCTAGATATGTAACTCTCAACAGCATTTAAAACTGTGTTTTTAATACAGAAAATATGCTAGTGCTGCACAATGAAGAAATAATTTATCTTAATAACTGGAAAATACTGACGATAATGAAAATGTTTTAGGCAAAATGAGCACACTGCATGCTTCAGACTGAAATTAATTAGAGTTTTTAACGTTTTACAATTCCACCATAATTCTTTAAATGGTGCATTTACCTCATAGTAATAAACACTTGGATCATTAAGTAAAGTGCGAAATGTGTGTGATATGCTACATTTAACAACCTTTGGCCTTTTATTTTTCTATACTTCTGCATTCAGTTTTCCAATGCATTGAATGAGCAATTGAAGACCACAATTAGATTTCCTGACTTTGCATATTTGAGATTCTTATTTCATTTAATACAAAAGGCAATTAATATACCATTTTACAACTGAATTCCAACTTTAGTGAGCCATGACAGATACTGAAATGAACTTACAAGAAATGCTTAATTAAATTTACTGTAAAAAGCATAAGAATTTTTTTGTATGATACAAGTTGCATATTTAATTAGAAATTCTAAGGCTATATTATGAAATTAAAGTCACTTGGGATGTTCTTAGTAAACTCAGCTCAAACACATATATCATTAAGTAGAATAGAGCTCTTTTTAAAAACCTTACCTTTTTTCTCTATTTAGTGATGCAAACAAAAGATAATCAAAGAGATCTCCCTTTATTTAATACTGCAACATTTCATTCATTATTTATTAATAGTAAATATTTTTTAAATAGCAAGATAGAAAAAGGGCAGTAACAAATTTCTAATTTCATGTATGGGAATACATAAATAACTATTTCTTTTCTTGAGCAATCACTTCTCTCTCCAATTCATGATTCTGGAGCAGATTGAGTAGAGTAAGTTTTTAGCTCCTCCTGTAACTTTTTACTTCTTTGTGGCAGCTTTTCGTAGCAAAGAAATAGGGCAGTGGTGGTGTGTGCCTGTAATCCCGGCCACTCGGGAGGCTGAGGCAGGAGAATCACTTGAACCCAGGAAGCGGAGGTTGCGCCAATGCACTCCAGCCTGGGCGACAAGACCGAAACTCCATATCAAAAAAAAAAAAAAAAAAGACTTTGGATTTCCCATGTATGACCTGGGATCAAGAGGGACTCCCTCTGATCTGGGGAAAAAAAGGCCCTAAGGATTGCCACAGCCATCTGAAGAGGGCATATTTACACTAAAGGCAACAAAGATCAGTGAGTGAAAAGTGACAGTGGCAAACTAGGATAAAGAAAGGAAAGGAAATGAATGATGGATGATAAGTATGAGTTAGGGTAGACTCTTAATGGGCACAATCCCAATTCTATAAATTTATATATTTCCATAAACATGAAAAGCTACAACTTTTATAATGAATATTTGTAGGTGTTTAAGACATCTGGCTAGGCGCCATGGCTCACACCTGTAATCCCGGCACTGTGGAAGGCCGAGGTGGGTGGATCATCTGAGGCCAGGAGTTTGAGACCAGCCTGGCCAGCAAGGAGAAACCCCGTCTCCACTAAAAATACAAAAAATTAGCTGGGTATGGTGGCGTGTGCCTGTAGTCCCAGCTACTTGGGAGGCTGAGGCACAAGAATCGCTTGAACCTGGGAGGTGGAGGTTGCAGTGAGCCAGGATTGCACCACTGCACTCCAGCCTGGGAGACAGAGCAAGGCTCTGTCTCAAAAAAAAAAAAAAAAAAAAAAAAAAAAAAAAAAGACATATTTTTAAGATATCCTGCTGATCTGAAGGGGCTAAGAATACTGTAAACAGCCTTTTCTGACAGGTGAATTCTTTTATGGTGAGTATGTTTGATAACCCTGACGAACTTATGGTCTTGACAATAGAAAATTTTCCTTCAGGTAGTAAACTACTAATATCTGGGAAATACGCATGAAGTGTATGCTAGAAATCTATATTAAGAGGCTCCTACATTGGTAACTTTCCTTCATTTATAATATTTTTATTTAAAAGTTATTACCCGCTTTTGAAATATTTAGGCAAAAATAATATCTAAAAATGTTATCTAAAATCTAAATATTTTTATTTAAATAAAATATAATATTTTTATTTAAATAAAATATAATATTTTTATTTAAATAAAATATAATATTTTTATTTAGAGTTTTTACCTGCTTTTGAAATATTTAGGCAAAAATAATATTTAAAAATGTTATCTAAAATCTAAAAATAATATCTAAAAATGTTCAAGATAGGCAAGATCACTAGTCAAATTACAGTTCCATAGTCAGATTTTTCAGATTGAATAAAAATCAGTGATTGGCCCATTAAAATTTTCAGAGACGTAAATGACTAAAAATTACTCAGCGATAACTAAGTTTGTCATACACACATAAAAAAACAAGTATATTACTTATTCATTAATATAAGCAATAATCATGAATTGTTTAGGATTGGCCATTGTGGAAACAATGCCTTCTTTAATAGAATATGACAGCATTTTGTTTATCCTTCTCACTGGACAATGAAAATTTTAATACAACACTCGACTCATTGTATCAAACTTAAAACTTGTATTGAGAGAAAAATATTTTTTTTGCTCAGGCCCTAAAATTAAGTTTTACCAAACTTCTATACTGCCATTAAAAAAAAGTCATAATATCTCCATTCAATAAATGGTGCTGGCAACTGGCTAGCCATATGCAGAAGAATGAAACTGGAGCCCTACATTTCACCATATGCAAAAATTAACTCAAGTTGTGTTACAGATTTAAATGTAAGACCTCAAACTATAAGAATCTTAGAGCAAAACCTAGGAAACACCATTCTGGACATCTGCCTGTGGAAAGAATTTATGACTATGTCCTCAAAAGCAATTGCGACAAAACCAAAAATTGACAAATGGAACCTAATTAAACTCAAGAGCATCTGTACAGCAAAAGAAACTATAAACAGAGTAAACAGACAACCTACAGAATGGGAGAAGGTATTCACAAACTATGCATCTGACAAAGATCTAACATCCAGAATCTACAAGAAACTTAATTCAAAAAGCAAAAAACAAATGACTCAATTAAAAAGTGGGCAAAAGACATGAACAGACACTTCTCAGAAGACATACAAACAGCCAACAAACATATGAAAAAATGCTCAACATCGCTAATTGTCAGCGAAATGCAAATCAAAAAGATATTATCTCTTTTGTGATAGTATCTCATTGATACCATTCAATACCAGTCAGAATGGCTATTATTAAAAAGTCAAAAAACAACGATGCTGGGAAGGCTGCAGAGAAAAAGGAATGCTTATACACTATTGGTGGGAATGTAAATTTTTTCAGCCACTGTGAAAAGTAGTTTGGAGATTTATCTAAGAACAGAACTACTATTAGATCCATCAATCCCATTACTGGGTATATAGCCAGAAGAAAATAAATCATTCTACCAAAAAGACACACACATTTGTATGTTCACTGCAGCACTGTTCATAATAGCGAAGACATGTAATCAACCTAGGTGCCCATTAATGGTGGACTGGATAAAGAAAATGTACATATATACCATGAAATACTATGCAACCCTTAAGAAGAATGAAATCATGTCCTTTGCAGCAACATGGATGCAGCTGGAGGCCTAAGTGTATTAACTCAGGAACAGAAAATCAAATGCCACATGTTCTTACTCATAAGTGGGAGCACATTGGGTACACAGGGACATGAAGATGGCAATAATAGACACTGGAGACTACTAGAATGGGGAGGGAAGGAGGGAATAAGGGTTGAAAAACTAACTACTGGGTACTAGGCTCATTACCTGGGTGATGGGATGAATCACACCCCAAAACTCAGCATCACACAATATACCTATGTAACAAACCTGCCCATGTACCTCTTGAATCTAAAATAAAAGTTGAAAACCTTTTTATTAAGTTGATAGAAGCGGAAAATTGCTTCTCATTCCCTTTTTATTTGCATTTTGAATAAAAAGGAATATCTTTTCATCTATTGTTAGAATTTTTTCTTTCTATAAATTGCCTTTCCTCAATTTTCTGTACTTTCAAAAATTAAGTCGAACTTTTAATTTTAAGATCTTTGTAGTTCACATGCAGTTGAAAGAAATAATACAGAGATCCCTTGTACCTTTTACTCTGTTTCCCTCAATGGTAACATCTTGCAAAGCTGTAGTGTAATCTTATAACCAAGATACCCACATTGATAAAGTCAAGAATGTAGTTTTCCTAATTTTTGCCCACTTTTCTATTGTGGTAATCATCTTTACTATGATTGGCTTGAATATTTTCTTTGAAAATTAAGAAAATCATTTCATATGTATTAAATATATATTTTTCTCTCAGAAAAAAACAGAAAAATAACAATCATCATCTTTGGCCATTTAATTGACATCACAATAAAAAGTAGGAGAAAATACTAAAAATATAATTTTATATTTCCTTTGCTGAGTCTTGATGTTCTAGGCAAACCATAGCACACGTTTACCTATGTAACAAACCTGCACATTCTGCACCCCAGAACTTAAAAAAAATAGTTATAGATCACACCATGTCAAAAACCAAAAACAAATAGAATTTATATAAATGGCATTATAACAATCTTAACATCACTTTAGAATAAATAACAGATATTCAAAAAATGAAAGGTAACAAATTTTCTTAAGGAAAATAATATTACCTACATAAGAACTTGATTTCACTGACTCAAGTTTATAAGATTCAGAGTGAAAACTATAATTTGCATTAAGATATAAAATAGCCTGATTTAAATATTTCAATACTTAAAATCTTTTAATATTATTACTTCTGAGGCCAGATAAACTGTAAATAGTTTAAACTGACAATTTTGAGACTAAGAAACAACTCAGTATCTAAATAACAAAATATCTAGATAATAGATTTTCAGTTAGGTAATTTAGAAACTGTTTAATATGTCTTCAGTGTACAATACCCTTGTTAAGCAGAATGATGTCAAGGTATTCATTTCAAAAGCCAGTCAAATTCATAGATGGACTTCAGGCTAATCTGTAAGCAACTATGACATACATGGAACATCTTATTCTCTTATATTTCTCCTTAGAGACATCAAGTCATAGAATATTAAAGGTGAAAGAGTCCTAAGATATCTTATTTAAATCCCCATTGTTTGTATGAAAATACTAGATTGACAAAAATATGAAATCAGTTTCTTCACCAGATTTTAAAACTGCTTAGTGACTTAAAAATAAAACAACTCCCCAAGCTGTCTTCCAAACTCAAATGATTTAAAACTACTTTGTTAAAGCAAAATAAAAAAAGTAGCTTCATAGTGGAGAAAGCTGACAAATACTACCTTGACTGATGGACCAAGGCTAACATCACTAGTAATGTATAGTATGTATACTGACATCATGTTCCCCTGCTCTGATGCACAGAGAAGCGACATCACCTATGATCTATGGTAGCCTTCCCATTAAGGCACAAACTCAATCTAATCATGAGAAAATATTAAGCAAACCCAACTTGTGGGACATTCTACAAAATAACTGAAGAGTACTCTTCAAAAGAACAAAAAGATCATGAAAGGCAAGGAAAAAGTAAAGAATTGCCACAGACTGGAAGAGATTGAGGAGACATAATGACAAAATGAAACAGGAGATCCTGGATTGAATCTTGGTCCAGAGAAAGAACACTAGTGGCAAAACTGGTAAAATACAAATAAATTCTACAGTTTATTTAACAGTATTGTATTAAGATTAATTTCTTAGGTTTGAGAATTGTTCTATGCTTATATAAGATGTTAACCTAAAGAGAAGCTGGGTAAAGGGTATATCAGAACACTCCATCCTATTTTTACAACTCTTTTAAATCTAAAGTTATCTCAACAAAAAATAAAACCAGACAAACATCTAATTTTTGTTAGATGATTTAGAAGTACATTTGATTTCTAGTACTATAAAGTTACCTGCCAAAATAATGTGCAGAGGCAATCAGAGTTATGGAAAATGGGGTTTCAGTATTTCTATGATTTCAGCTCATTACAGACTCCACACTATAAATGAGTATTTACTGCCAGCTAGTAGAATCATACAGTCATTCAGTAACACTGAGGGATGTCTAACACATGAAATTCATTGTCATGTTTTTAAACGCTTGCAGTTTAAGAACCATTAGAAAATTATTCAACTGTAATATGGTAAAAATGTAATATGATCCATTTTTATTTCTTCAACTGTAGTTTCTTTGGGAGGTGGATGTCCTTATTAATACTGACATTTTATCTCAGTACATTTAATCAAGGGTTTCAAAACAATGTCTACTATATAGGGAAAAAGAGGTACTTAAGAAATTTCTCCATAGAAGCATCATTTGATCTAGGACACACTGAATTAAGAATAAAATGTCAAAACAAAGTAAAAATATTTGGCAATCAACACCTATTTTTTTTTTTTGGTAACCCATTGACAGACTTTATTGTATTGATCAAATAATGTTCTCATTTTAGAAGAGTATGGAATACATTTAGTCCTTTGACTCATATTAGACATTTTGTCTTTTTAAGATATTAACTCTTGAAGTCACGTCTATTCCTAGAATCCTTCCTTTCTTCCTCCCTCAAAAATTTATTGAACAATGATTGTGTGCCAGATACTAAGCAAGGTGTTGCAGAAAATATGAATGAGATGTTTTATTGCCTAGAGGATCTCATGCCCCAGTGTGGTAGAGAGGCATGCAAATAATCACAATGCAATGGAGAAAGTATATAATAAAGTGCATCAGGTATACATGGAGGTGATAAAGATAACTGAACCATGACAACATATAAGGACACTATTTTTATGATTACTATGCTACAGAGTTCAGTTATGATATCAAAATAATATACCCTTCCTCATGCCCAAAGGTGAGTATTGTGAATCTTTAAAACAAATACTGCTCAATGTAACTTATACTGCTCTTTTAACATAAACTCAACATCAAGGACTATATGCTTTGGAAATAAACTTAAGTGTAGAAAGTTAATTTCTTTTCTTTTTTCTGTTTTTTTTCTGAGACAGTCTCGCTCTATGACCAGGCTGGAATGCAATGGCACGACTTCTGCTCACTGCAACCTCTGCCTCCTGGATTCAGCGATTCTCCTGCCTCAGCTTCCCGAGTAGCTGGGATTACAGGCGCCTGCCACTACACCCGGCTAATTTTTGTATTTTTTAGTAGAGATAGGGTTTCACCATGTTGGTCAGGCTGGTCTCGAACTCCCGACCTTAGGTGATCCGCCGCCTCGGCCTCCCACAGTGCTGAGATTACAGGCATGAGCCACCACGCCCGGCCAGAAAGTGAATTTCTAAAACTTTACTACCAAGTGAAAAGATTAAGTTGCTCAAATATCCTTATTTCAAATGGAATGTTATTTTCCCCAGAGTGAACCCATTAATCTTCAGTTTTATTGGAACGTAATAGCTCATTAGATATCTAAGTAACACTTCTCCCATGGCACATTAATTTTTCATGGGTTAAAAAGAAATTGAATTTGCTTCAAGAAAAATTTAAAATACTATTTTAGAAAATTTCACACAAAAAAATTCCTCAGTAGTGGCACTTTATTATCAGTGTCAAAAATAACGTCCCTATTTTCATTATTTCCACATCTTGGATTTACTGGTTATGTCTTAGCTACTACTTTGCTTTTATTAAAGAATGATTAAATGTTTAAAACTGTTTTGAACTGTTACCATAATGAAAACCACCACTGGTATGTACTTAAATGATTCACAAAACAGGCCACTTGGCAAGTATCAAATCACTTATAAAGCTTGTCTGAAAATGCATTCATTTAGCCAATGGTTTCTATTACCTATTAGCTACTACATAAGTATAAAGTTTTTCCCAATATTTCATAATATAGGCTATAAAACATAAGGACAAAATTATTTTATAAAATAAAATTTTAAAATATCTTACTTGAAAACAGATCTCCAGCAAGCTATATAAGCCATCTATTCATTCCTTCCTGATTGAACATCAACTAGCTAGCTATGTGTCAGGCACTGTGCTAGTTGCTAAAAAAAAACAAAAAAAAAACATTGTATATAAGACAGACACTGTCCCTGCCTTATGGAGTTTACAATCTGACTAAAACAATTGATCACTCAAGTAACTGTATCATTGCAATTATGACACATTCAATGGAAGAAAAACATAGTGCTATGTGACTTTTAGTAGAAGGATCTAAAAATTTCAGCAAAGTCCCCTACTCTCCAAAAAATGACTAATGCAATGAGACATGAAGGATAAGAAAGAGTTGGTCAAGCAAACAATGGAGGGAAGAATATTCTAAGTAAAGGGAACAGTGGGAAGGGTAAGTCAGCCAAAGCCCAGTGAGAAAGAGCAAAGTAGTGGAAAATAACACAGAAAGGTTGGGAATTCTGCTTTTCTGGTTCTAGCATTACACAGTGCTCATGGTTGGTTACTTCTGACATACTTCATATTTGTTCTGTTTCTTCTATGCAATTGTGTAGTGGAGGAAATTTGGGCTTTGTTGTCAGTGACTGGCAAACCCAGATTCAAATCCTAACTTTGATACCTACACTACCCAAAAATACTTTGAAGAAATCACTTAAACTTTTAGAACCTAGTTTTCTCATCTATAAAATGGCAGTAACTATTTTTGACGACTAAAATTATTAAATAAAATAAAATATGAGGAGCCTAGCACAAATCCTGGCCCACAGAAAGCACAATCAAGTCTATTCTTTCCTCTTTCTAGGCTTAACTTTACGACAGTTTTTAATCATTAATGACATACTGCTGTAGTGAAGATAGGTACCTACAGATAGATAGTAAGGATCCTCTTCAAAAACAGTGCTTTTTTTTTCTAGCTAAATAACCATCATTATGTTATTAAATAGAAGCCAATTCTACCTATGTCACTCTAATTTCTTGATCTTGCAATTTCAACTGTTGGTATTACAATATAATTGTATTATTCATAGACAGCAAGAATAAATAAATAAAGTGGGTGAATGATTACATTTAAAGACATTTGTTCCTAAGTAGTAATTAGGAAAAGGCTATTAATTAAATAATTCCTCCAAGTCACCCCACGGGCATCTGATTAGCATTTTTAACTGAAGTTCTTCCCAGAGTTACTCTATAGTCTGCATGATGTTGTCATTGTAGAGAATGTAAATTAATGCTCTTTCTCTCTGAATAAAGCAATAATGTTAGCATAATAGTCCAACTGATATGAAAACAATATTGGGAATCTAGGTAGGACCAATATAGGTCTAGGTAGGACTATTATTTAGAAGACTAAATAATGATTTGGTACAGAAATTAGACAAATATAGTTTATTAAATTGACTTAAGACCTTTTTAGGCATATAGTTGCTTAAACGAAAGCAGGCCATATTCTTACAAATACAAAGCATTTTTATCTTTGTATCTTTGATTTTTAGAAATACTGACTATTGGAATGGGAAGAGAAATTAAAAGTAATTTAATTCACCTTGAAATGATGTTTACATTTTGTTTTTCTTTTATACATGCAAATGTACAGACACACACACACATACTCAAGTGGATGTGATTTTAAATTGAGGAACTCTGTATACATAAATGGTAAATATCAGTATTCCTTAATATAAATACAATAGTAATTATTTAGTAAATAATAGTCCAAGTCATAGCAATGAAGTTTCACTGCAATGTAAATTCCATATAAATAACCTGGTTAAATCCATTAGTTTCTTTCAAATGTGTTTGTCTATCATTATCATGGTAGACCCTACCGGCGACATGAACTGATTCTGGATAAGACATGTATGGAAGCCTACAGGGGAGCTTCTGGGAAAGTATTCCTTATTCTTAAAACACACACACACACACACACACACGCACACACAGACAGGGACCACTTTCATAGGCTTGCCTCTATGTATTATAATGTGAGGACACAATACTTCGAGACTCTGTAGCCATCTTGTGGCCATGGGAGTAAGTCTAAGGTTGAAAGTCAACACACTGACAATGTGAGAAAACAAAGTCTTCTTTAATTAATCCTATAACCACCCAATTTTCTCAATTTTGAATATACAGGGTATGAAATATTAAAAGTAGGTGGGTTTTCTGTTAAAGAATCCTTACCAATGACAATATTGGCCTCTTAAATTTCTTCTAGTTCTATGAGTTTTTCCCTCTGTTTAATGCTGTCCTTAGAACTCTGCTATCCTTTGATAATAGTCATCTGGAGATGACTCTAAATGGCCACAAATGCCAACTACTTTATGATGACTTTCCCATTTATATCTTCAGCCCTCACATCTATACCATGCTTTAAACTCATATTCCAACTGCTACTTGTCTCCAATAAACTTTTTAATAAGGACCTCAAACATACCATGTACAAAGCCAAATTCTTGATTCCCAACCCTAAACTTCCCCTACCCCCACTAAAAAAGACTTATACCTCACTTGGTCTATAAGACTCAGTTGTTCAAACACAAACTCTAGGGGTCATTCCTTAATTCCTTCCTTTCTCTTATACTCTATAGCCAACTCCTGTTATCTTTATCACCCAAGGGTATCTAAAATCTGTCTAGTGCTTTCTATCTCCACTGCTACCATCTTAATTCAAGCTATCATGTTTCTTGCCTGTGGATTAATCCAATAGCTTCCTAATCAGCCTCCTTGCTTTGGTTTTATAATTGTATACCTATTCTTTATACAGGAGACAGTAATCTTTGTAAGACACACATCACATCACAATCCACCCATGCTTGGAACTCTCTAGTAGCTTTGTATTTAGGGTAAAATCCAAACTACTGCCATGACCTAGAAAGTACATCATCAGGCCCTTCTGACCTTTCCGGCCTCACTGAGTTCTCCGATCTGCTCACAAGTTCAGTTTCCTCACCTGGCTCCAAACATGCTGCTCTTCCCTCTGATTCCTGAACAAAATGCAGTAGGTGTTTCCTCTGACTTTTATTTTGTATGGCTCATTTTTCTTGTCATGCAGGTATCAGTGAGTGAGTTCTTTGACTTTATGCACAAAATCTGCCCTTCCTCCATCACTCAGATTGTTTTCCATAACATTTATTACAATAAAATGAACATCCACTTGGTTATTTACAGATTGTCTGTCTGCCTTACTAGAGTGCATGCTCCACGACAGCAGATTTTCTGTTTTTCTTATTACGATATCCTTATAAGTTAGTCTTATTCCTATCATATTGTAGCCTTTCAATGAATAGTTCTTATGAATAGTTATTGGATATATGAATGAATTCCTTACTATATAGAAGCATGGGAATCAAGTAAATAATAATTTTGACTTTTTGAGTACTTCCTATATACAGAATATATTACAAATATATTATTGTATATTATTAAAGGCTTGTATTTACGTTCGTTATTTATAATCCTCACAAAAGCCAGGCAAGATAAATATTATTGTTCCTATGTTCCAATGAGGAAATTGAAGATTGGTGACACTCAGGAACTGCCCTTGGTCACATATCCAAAAATATTAGAGGAGCTAGGATTCCAAACTCAGCTCTGACTATAAAAAGTATTCCCTTTTCAATATACCGTATGTACAGTTAGAATTGCTCATGATCAATAAATTTTAAAAGCTTCACATACTTTTCCAAAACAATCCAATTTTTGCTCAATGGATACTGACCAGATTATTATTCAGTTATCTTAAAAGGTCCTAAGTCTATCTTGCAGTACTGATCAAAAGCAATTTTCAAATCCAAAACAGCTTGACAGTTCTGCTACCTGAAGATTATTTATGAAAATTTTGGTAAACATATTAACTCTCCTTCTAGTTTTTCTACTATTCTGAAAATATTTAGGATTTATTGTGGTATACTTCTTAAATCTTATGAGGATACAGAAATAGAAGAGGAAAAATGTATATTGGAAAAATGTACAAGGATCAGCTTCTGAGGAACATAAAATTCTGTCATTACCTTGGAATGACTGTTCTTATGTCTTAAAATACACTCATATAGTGGCTTTCTCAATACTTTAACAGCTACTTACAAAATAAGTTATTTTCCAAGCAAGAAAAAAATGGCCTTTATTTGTAAGAAGAAGAATCACAAGCCTCTACAGAGCTAGGGCCATGCATGACTCCTGGGGGTCTTGGGAACATTGATAGCTCAAACTCAAGAGTCTTAAAGGAAAATCTCAGAATACTATTAAATTGACTACAAAACTCTGACACAATGCTACAGTTAAGAACAACAACAACAAAAATGAAGTTATAAATTTATTTATTTTGAGATAGGGTCTTGCTGTCGCCCAGGCTGGAGGGCAGTGGTGTGATCATGGCTCACTTCAGTCTCAACCTCCTGGGCTCAAATGATCCTCTGGCCTCAGCTCCCCAAGTAGTTGGAACTATAGGTGTGCACCACCACAACCAGCTAATTTGTTTTTATTTTTTATAGAGAGGGTGGTCTCACTATGTTGCCTAGGCTGGTCTCAAACTCCTGGCCTCAAGCGACCCTCCCACTTCAGCTTCCCAAAGTGTTCGGATTACAGGTGAGAAACACTGTGCCTGGCCTGAAGTTATAAATTTAAATATATAAAAATGAGAAAATACACAGAAGTCAGTGACTTCATAGTGACATTATGTGGCAACCACATTGTTCAATAAAAATATTTTAAATGTTTACAAAGTGCTATTTCTCATAATATACATGTTCAACAATTACTCAGAAAATTTAAATTTATATTTCACCATTGCATTATGACAGGTTTTTTTGTCTAAGATTCTATTTTGCTTTTCTTATTTTTAAAATCATTGATATATCTTTTATTGTAAACAGAAAACCCATTAAGACAGTGTAGTTCTTTTACTTTTCTTTTAAAGTAGAAAATAAACTGTACTTGAATGTTTGTACATTTCAAACTTTCAGGATTGTTTGAAACCTTATTAACATACTGAATTTCAAAAGACTGATTAAAGCAGGAATACAAGTGAACCACAGTAGACATTTGAGACTTTGATACCAGTCTGAACTCTTAGAATCTAAGTAGCCTGAATCATTGTCACAGAAATGATATACCCCATAATTAATTTGTTACATATTTCACACACACCACAAACAGCACAATAAATACCTAATAGTATGCTGATTTCTAGAAAGCTGTATAGAAAACTTGGTAACATTCTGCTTTCTGGAAAAAATAGAGGATTCTAATATACAAATAAATCTCTATGCATTATTTAAAGTAAGCTTTACTTAAAAATTTAATGATGCAAATGAAAGAATGAGAAGAAAGAAATAAAAATTCCCACTTCCTCTCTCTTTCCTTTCCTTCTTTCTTCTTTTATTCATTCAGTAGTTATGTCGTGAATTCTTATAATGTGCCATATGTTCAGGACAGGGAGGAGAATAGAGGTGATTTCCATTCTCAAGAAAATTATACACTTGAAAGGCAAACCTGTGTTTAGTTTATGCCTCTGTTCGTCTTTATAACCAGCAAACACAGAAACCTTCATGTTTCTTTAGCATATCAAATTATTTTGTTATAAAATGTTTCCTGCACAACAATAACCATAACTATAACCAGTAACAATAACCATAAGCATTCTAATGCGTATTGTAGCTCTCTTGGATGTTCTTTCCCCATCCCATTCTCCTCCCTTCCTTCTTACCAGATGTGACCAATACAGTGAATTGAATATTAATCACTCCCTGGCATATTGTTATACCTCAATATTTCATATGAATGTATGATGCTATGTAAATCTTCCGTGACTTGCAATGTATTTTCAACATTACATGTATATATTTATCCATGTTATACTTAATATTAACATATATGCTTTTCATCTCAAAAGCTAGCCTCACACACTAGAAACATTCAAGTTAAAGTAAAAGTAAATATATCACTATTATTTAATCTTGTTTTAGAGATGTTAGCCAACACAAGCAGAAAAGAGAAAGATATGAAGTATAAAAATTGTAAAAGAGGTGAAACTATCCTTACCTGCTATATACTTAGAAATATAAAAAAAAATCAACTGAAACACTATTATAAACAAGATAATTCAGTGAGAATCTCTATTCATTCATGAGGAAAATCATCAGTAGATAACAAAAAATAAAACTACAGATTATTCAAGACAACTTTTAAATTCTGTATCAGCATTCTTTTATTTATCTCCCTAAATTTCAAGACTGATTAAAAGGAATATTGCCCACCAAGTGTAGTTCTAGGAAGAGAAAACTGATATATTAAATAAGTAATTTGCATTCAAAAGATAAATCAGATGCCAAGGCAAGTTGCAATAGATTGTCAACAGATTTCTAGATTATTTTTCTTTAAAGGGCCATAAGATTTGAGAGCTAGAAGGTATCTTATTTAAAAATCATTTCATCCATTTTTTTTTAGTCTGTAGATAGAAAAGCCATTCCCAGAATACATAATGAACTTCCCCAGGGTCCCATAGCCAATTGGTAGAGTTAGAATCTGAATTTATGTCTCCTAAGTTGTAGTCAGGAATTGTTTGCCATGACGAGTCAGTACTGACCATAATGAGTCAATATGACTTTAGATTAAATGATGGCAAATCAAGCATGTTAAAAAAATTTGTGTGTGTGCATCCTATGAATACATCTTTTAAAACAACTGTGATGGCCTTACCTAAAACATCTACATGAGCACAGCAGAAAATGCACAGGCTTTGGTGTCAGACAAATCTTATTTTGAATCCTGCTTTGGCACTTAACTATTGGTTTGACTCTGTGAAAGGCATATGACCCCTCATTCTCAGTTTTCTTACCTGTAAAATGAAAACAAAACAAAACAAAAAAAAAACCCTATTTCAAGGAATGACTTTGGGTTTAAATAAACAAAAATGATTATGTATGCAAATTATGCTAGTAAAATGTTTATAACACAATAAAAGTAGATGTTCAAAACAATGTTAGCTACAGTTATTATAAAGTTTAAAATATATTTCCAAAAATTGTGGTTCAAAGTTGAGCTCAGATGCACAGTTGGTGAAAGCGCTTTTTCTTCTAACTAGAATTGAAATAAACATTTTTGCTTCCTTTTCTAAAAGTTGTTATATTTTAAGAATTAAACTTATATAAATGTTTGTCTATTAACCTACAAATGTGTGTCTATTATGTGTCAGGTTCTGTTCTAGGAGATGGGGTAATAGTGGTGAACAACAGCGTATCGTCCTCATGGCCTTCAATTTCAACAGAGACAGGCAACAAACTGTTAACAGATAAATAATTTCATATTTTGATACAGTGAAAGAAACAGGGTAAAGGGACAGAAAGTATGGGAGCACATGTTCTCTTAGGCAAGGTAGTCAAGGAAGCCCTGCTACAAAAGAGCTGACATTTGAGCAGAGACCTGAATGACTTGAAGGAAACAGTCATGTACTGATCTGTGAGAAGAGAATGTACAGGCACAGGGAACAAGGGCAACGGTCCTAAAGTAGAAAAGAGCACAGCATGTATTAGCAGCAGAAGGGACAGGAAATCGAGCATAAGATGAAAAGTTAAGTTGACTACATAGCCCATAACGGTTATTTGATTTGCAGTGAGAAGCCACTGGAGGGTTTAAGAATTTAAATAATATGATTTGCTTTTGGGTTTTAAGCTTATTCTGGTTGAGGTATAGAGAAAGATGGGTAGAAATTAGGAAAGAACACAAATACAGAGATAAGGAAGCAGTCTACTGCAAACAGATCAGGAATGATGGTAACTTGGAGTACTGTAATGTAGTCAGAACGGAAAGAAGTATGATATGCTTTGGAATTAAACAAAAGAAAGTAATTAGGAATGATTACACTGCTGCTGGTTGTCAAAAATGATGAGACTGAGGTAGGAAAGACTGTGGGAGAAGTAAATTGTGATGGGAATAGAGAAGAATCAAGAAACCAATAATTCTATTTTGGTAACATTAAGTTTGAGCCAATCTTTAGTTATCTAGTGGGAATGTCAGGCAAACATTTGAATATATGAATTTAGATCTTGGAAGAAGAGTTTGTGGATGGTATTACACATTTAAAAGTCCCCCAAATACAGGTACAACTGCATGCAATCACTCAGGGACATACAAATAGAGAAGGGACACAATGACCAAGCGTTACTAATACAACTTGAGCACAAATGGAGAATTCAGTTAAGAAGACTGAGAAGGGTCTGCCAGTTACAAACAAAGAAAATTAGAAGTCATGAAACCAAGAAAAGAAAATGTTTCAAGAAAGACAGAATGGTTGACATTGTTAAATAACATTGAGAGGTCAAGTAAGATTCAGACAGCGGCATAACTATTGGGTCTGATAAGAAAGAGATTGTAAGTGACATTAACAAGAGTCATTGTAGTGGAGTAATGGGGACCAAAGACTGTTCAAAATAGCTTAAAGAGGGACTGAGAGATGCTATTTTGCACTTCACCCTTACTCTTAATTTCAGGAACATGGATAATAACTGGAGTTGTAGCAGCCATCTTCGAATCATAATGGAAAGACCAAAAGAATCACAGTAAAAATCACTCCTGACGGCCTTGAGCTGCTATCTCTGGACTTCTTAAGTGTTATATTTTATATGTCCTATATTTAATGAAACCTTTCTTGCAGCATAAAAATATATCCTGTACAACCAAACAACACATATGGCTCTGTATCCTAGTTTCTCAGCTTTCACTTTGAATAAAAAATAGGCTGGGTGTGGCGGCTTATGCCCGTAATCCCAGCACTTTGGGAAGCCGAGGTGGGCAGATCTCTTGAGCTCAAGGAGTTCGAGACCAGCCTGGGCAACATTGCAAAATCCAGTCTCTACTAAAAAATACAAAATTAGCCAGGTGTCGTGGCACACACCTGTATTCCCAGCTACTCAGAAGGCTGAGAAGGGAGAGTTGCTTGAGCCCAGGAAGTTGAGGCTGCAGTGAGCTGTGATCGCACCACTGGACTCCAGCCTGGGTATCAGAGTGAGACTCTGTCTCTAAATAAATACATAAGTAAATAAAAACCAAAAAAGCTGCATCGTTGATTTGCACAAAAGTGAGTCAATTGCATTTATTGTAAACAGAACATGTTTCATCATCTTATTTTATATTTACATGTCCTAGTTCTGCTGGAAATGACCATGCGGAGCTGAATGTATGTATGAAAGGAAAATCTCAAACATAGTAGAGTTCTCTAAATGCTTTTGTAAAAATGTACATATATGTTGCCCTATATCCCCAACCATAGATAGATACTCAAATTCAAATCTCTCAATTTCAATTTAGTGTCCTAAGAATTATCTCTACATGATTGTAGTCAGGGGTATATAATATTTTGTAGTCTTTCACTTATTTCTTAAAATATTTCCAACTCTGGTGAAAAAGAGAGACATGGAGGTGAAGAAATGGAGGTCCTGAGTCTAGATAACTATTTAGAAATTTTGCCATAGTCCAGAAATGGGGCAACAGCTGGAGAAGGGATGAGGATAAGGTTAGAGTCTCTGAAGAATAGAAGCTGTTAAAACATTTGTCAATGAAAATATTGAAAAAGAAATTCCTCTTGAAGGAACAAAGATATTTCCCATCTGATATTCCTGTGGCAGATATATCCCATCTGATATTCCTGTGGCATATTTTCAAAAGTAAAGTCTTAAATCATATAAAAATTGTATTTCAAAATATAATTTTTTAATTTGTAAGTAATGTGAATATATTTGTAATGTATATAAATATATGTGAAATATTCTATTGGAGGAATTCTGACATTTTCACTGTTTACAGCACTAGAAACTGTCAAAAAATAGAATGTCTTGACCACAGATTTTCCAACAAGACATTTAAATATAATAATGTAATTTAATTAATAGTTTGTGATAAATTTAGGCTCAACATATTCAAGAGTTATCTGCCATTGCTTTAAAAAAATTAATGAGAATATAAATTATGCTTTTACATTTTCCTCAGTTTACTTGCTGATGCTAATCCAACAAGTATAACATATGGTAATGTATAACGTATACGATAGAAGTAAAAGAGCAAAAAATTAAAAGGTTTAGGCATCTATGATGTTAATTTACTGTTTTAATAAAATAAGATAATAATATTCCATGTATCTATAATGCATGTTACTTTTTATGCTCATTAGTATATTTCCTTGTGGTACAAACAAAGCATAGTTATTTGATCAGAAAAGTAGTTCTTTAAATAGTTCGATGAAGTATATTAATATAATTTTTAAATAAAGTTGCTATTGAATTGCTGCTTTAGGGCAATGGTAGTGTTAAAACTGGAAAAATGCTTTCATAATTATAAAAAGTGAATCAGCACCTTTATATTATAAGAATTAAGAAAATGCTCAATTCTATTCTGCTTATAGTGAAGTAACTGCCTAATGAATTTGGAGATTTGCTCATTTTCAGTCTATATAAGTTTTAGCAACAATAATTATAGCACAGTGACTTTTTTAAAAATGTGAGTTTTTCAGATATGAAGGATATATGCACATTCTAGGAAGAACTGTTTTTCCTCCTAGAGCCTCACTGAAATGGCCAATGGAATTTTAAAAAAGAGAGAAAAAGAGAGCAAGTGAGGACATACACCTATAATAGTACTGAAATGAAGGAAAAACTTCTACCACATTTTAAAAATATCAGGAATATTTTGCTGGGACCTTTCAAACCAGGTGAGTTCCTCTGCCACCTGAACCCCTCCCGAGGGTTTTTTTTTAATCATTTTTATAATTGTGGTATAAAATAGACATAAAAATTACCATCTTAACCATTTTAAGTATACAGTTCAGAGGTATTAAATATTTATATTGTTGTGAAACCATCACCATCATTCATCTCCATAACCCTATCTTATAAAACTAAAACTCTGTTCCCGTTTATACCACACAAAA
The DNA here is from genome assembly GCF_000001405.40 of Homo sapiens. NCBI lineage: Eukaryota > Metazoa > Chordata > Mammalia > Primates > Hominidae > Homo > Homo sapiens. Next base: position 11,144,961 of record NC_000007.14, on the reverse strand, counting down.
TACCTCATTCTCTCCTTTCCTTACCTCCTAGCAACCATAATTCTACTCCCTGTCTCTATGATTTTTTACTACTCTTACTACTTCTTACAAGTGTAATCACAGTATCTGTCTTTTTGTGACTGGCTATTTTACTTGGCAAAATGTTCTTAAGGTTCATATATGTTGTAGTACATCTCAGATTTTCCTTCCTTTTCTTCCCCCCACATCACCACAAACATTTATCATTTGTGTTACGAACATTCAAAATCCTCTCTTCTAACTTTTTAAGAATATACACTAAATTACTGTTAACCATAGTCAACCTACAGTGATATAAAAACGTTAGGAACATTAGTAAATATAATTATATATTATTATATAAATATATTACATTAATTTATATTTTATATATTATAAATTATAGTGCTACAATAAACATGGGGTGCAGGTACATAGTTTATTAATTATAATGCTGCAATAAGCATGGGGGTGTAGGTATCTCTGCAATAAACATGGGGTATAGGTACATAATTTATAATTACATATTATAGTGCTGCAATAAACATGGGGGTGCAGGTATCTCTTCAATATACTAATTTATTTTCCTTTAGATAAATACCCAGTAGTGTGATTGCTGGGTTATAAGTTAGTTCTACTTTTAGTTTTTTTGAGAAACATCCATACTGTTTTCCATAATGGCTGCATGAATTTACATTACCACCAACAGTATACAAGATTTCCCTTTCCTTTGCATGCTTGCTACCATTTGCTATTTTTTGTCTTTTTGATTATGGCCATTCTAACTGGGATGAGAAATCTCATCATGGTTTGATTTGCAATTCCCTGATGATTAGCGATTTTGAGCATTTTTTCATATACTTATTGACTGCTTGTATGACTTTTGAGAAATTTCTACTCAGATCCTTTTTAAAATCGGACTATTTGGGGTTTTTTTGCTGTTGAGTTGTTAGAGTTCCAGGTATGTTCTACAGAGCACTTACTGGGTGAATACTCTGCAATTACTTTTTTTTCCCATTTTATAGGTTGTCTCTTTACTCTGTTGATTGTTTCCTTTGCTGTACAGAAGCTTTTTAGTTTGATATAGTTCCATTTGTCAATTTTTGGTTTTGGTACCTGTTTTAAGAGCACCTTGGGTTTTTCTTCCAGTTTTCATGTCACTTGTCTAGATACATTTTATAGGCCATAAACATCAAGAGGATAAAGGTTATGACCTGCAAGAATACCAGAGTATTCCCCTGTACTATTAGTGGGTGTTACACTTACAAGATGCTTAGTAGATATTTGTTAAATAATGGTAAAAAGAAAAGCTAGAAAAACATACACCAATATGCAAGCAGCGGTAATCTCTCGAAGGTAGGTCATGACTTTTATTTTCTTTATCTTTTATTTTTCTGCATTTTCCAAATAATCTGTAATAAACATGTATTATTTCCAAAATGAAAACAAAATAATACAGTCAAAAATGTATTATTTCTTGAAGTGATCTGTCACTTAATTCCTTATTAAATAAATCATAGATAAGGAACAATATAAAAAAAATTGGCTGGGCATGGTGGCTCATGCCTATAATCCTAGCATTTTCGGAGGCAGAGGCGGAAGAATCACTTGACCCCAGGGGCTTGAGATCAGCCTGGACAACACAATGAGACCTAGTCACTACAAAAAATAAAAATAATGTTTCATGGTTATTGATAGAAAACATTTATGCTAAATGAAGTTTATATATTTTATTTACAAATTATTATAGCATATTATCTTCAAAAAATTATTTAGGTACACATTTTAGTACTATAAACCATAGTTCAATACAATTTTGTTTTTCCATTGTTGAAAAAGCCAATTATCAAGCCAAATTCAAGAAATATAGATACCCAAAGTAAGGCAAATATTTCTGACAAAACTAAAATGCTTTATATTCCTAATTTCTAAGTGATGTGGATCAAATAGATAACTTTTTCCTATTCTATGCAAACATTTCACTGTACAACAAGATATAAGCAGTTGTAAATTATAGGGCTACAATTTCTGTGTGGGAAGAAAATTCTAGATTTTTTAAACTGAGAGGTTGTATATTAGCCAATTAACCATTAAGTCATTAACGGAGTTTTATCAATGTATACTTAGAATAACAATTTGTTTCTGAAAACTTACAGTAGAAAACTGTAATCTAGTAACACAGGAACTATTTCATTTGTATTTTATTGCATCTTAGGAGTTTTGTGAAAATCTTGGATAGTGAACAAGTGACTAAAGCAAAATCTTATCATCATTTTTTCCCCTATGAAACCTAACAGGATCTTCTTTATACTAAAGTTTATGATGATGATAGGTTAAAGTTGTCACAAGCATTTTTAATAAAATACTGCTTTTTTACTTTAATATATGGAAGACACATTTTCAAGAAGGAAAATGCTGATGTTATCTTGGTTATAAGCTTGCGGCTGAAATGATTTAGATAGTTTTCTACATGATATCAGAATAAGGCATTTCTTTTCAAGCGATGAATTATAGCTGATACTTCAGACTTATTCTATTTGTATTTCCTAGTCCAGGAAAATGATAAAACATAAATATTTATTCTATATAAACAGAACAGGCACATGATGCAGATAAAAATGATCCATTATGGCGCAGTGAATAATTGCTATGTGTATCACTATAAGAACAGAAAAGGGCATCATGTATTTCTACCAGCTTTAAATGTGAAGATACCTGAGTTTACTGAGAAAATAAAAAATCTGTAATTTTATATGTTGGGATAATATGTGTTTGTGGTTCATAATTTTTCATTGATAATACATTTAACATTGTTGTCTACATTTTGGAGAAAGCTCAATAAAACTATTTGCTTTTACTGAGAAGCATATGCAGCAGCAAAACTAACAACAACAAAAACCCCTAAGAAATTTAAAAAACCCCAATCTAAAAATAAGCATTGAAGCTATTTGCTTATTTTTCTGATTTCTAGATATTCAAAATATGGCCATTTGAAATTTTCTAGGTAAATACTTCTCATATTTTGATAATTTGAGGAAGATATGCTAGTATTTTTCTCTCACAGAAGCAGTATTTTCAATTGTGACAGATAAGACAGTAAGAAAAAGGCAGTATCAAGTAGGAATAAAAAAATCTATATCAATAATAAAGTTATGTAAGTATGAAAAACTTACAGCTGTTAGACACACGTTCAGACTAGCTTTAAAAAGTGAAACCCAAAAATACCAATAATCACGTAGAGATTTACATACTGTCACTGATGCAACACGAAACTATTAATAATTTCAAGGAATGAAATCTGTAAATAAGATAAAACTTCCCTGTGGGAAACAGCTACCAAATTATACTCCTGATGCAACTTAGGCTATTATATAACACAATGCCAGGAACATTTTAAAATAATTTATATCAAAACAATGAGAAAACATTTTTACTTTTTCTGCATATAACAAACAATAAACCCAACTAGCATAATCATACTGTGAGATATATATACTTTTTGGGAATTGTGTAGGCACTGTAAGAGATTTAATCAGAAAATGAGCACCAGATTCTATACTATACAGGGGAAAGACCATTAGACTTGGAGACAGAAAGTCAAAGTCCTCATCTGGGCCTGCTCCTACTTATTACATATCTTCAGACAATTCATTAACAATCCTTCTGAACTCCGGATTTCTTAATTACAGAGATAACCCTGACAGAAACAAGATCTAAAAGAATTTGGCCAGTTGCTCTAAATTTAAATTATACAATCTCAACTATGCTAAATGAATGAGAAATACAAGTAAAACTTAAGGTGTAACTGGATTGATATTTTCCTAAAACAACCTTGGAGAACCAATTCATTCCCTGATGAGGAAATGTAAACTCAGGAGGGTTAAGGAATTTTCCCAGAGTGGCACAGCTAAGTGGAGAAGTAGATATTCAAATCCAGGTCTGTCTTATGTTCCTCAGAACATATTTTACTTAATTTCAATTTTATGGAAACAGACATGAAAAAGGAAGTTACCTAAAACATAATAAATGTAACAAACAGGAAACAGTATTGGTTTTTGGACATTTACATGAAGAAACTGACCATATATCAAAGACGCTTCCCAGGAATTAAACATTTCTCAGTGTCAGTAAGTACTTGGGAACAATTTCAGATAATGCCAGCATTTGCATTCTACTGCCATTCTACTGACATAAAGCTCTTTATTTTATCATAAATAGTATAGAAATTTCAATCCTATTATTTGACCATGTTTAAAATCCTATTATTTCAACTTCCTTGCTTGAAATGGTAGTCTCTTTAAATATTTCTGTATAGTATATTCTTGCAGTTATGGATTATATTATTTCTTTGTATAAGAAAAACAAGAAATTTATAAATCCATAGCTCATTATTGCTGAACAATGAAAGATCTCATCACAAAAGCCTGAAAAAACCCTACACAAAATTAGCAGTATAGGCAAAATATTACTTTCTCCTATACTGTACATATTTGCTTCTATAACTGCATTCATATATCTAGATACCTAGCAAACAACATATAGACCTACATATCAGCCCTAATGTACTATAATGGCCAGTGCACACTAGTTTAAACAAAATGTAGATTTACTGAGCTGTGAACATTTGTTTTAAAGCTGAAATTGAATAGGTAGAATAAAATAGGGTATATCGCACATAGTAAGGATAAAAAAAGTTTTATTTCCGTGTGGGGGTGTATGCATGTGTATATACGGTAGGGTCGTATAACGGGCTATGTAGGGCTGTGTGTATGGGTATGTGTAGAGTTGTTGGTAGAGATGTATGTACAGGTGTGTGCAGGGGTATGAGAAGGTTTATATATAGAAGGATGTGTAGTCATGTATAGAAATGTGTATAGAGGTGTATGTAGGGATGTGTACAGAATAGTGTGTAGGAACGTGTAAGGTGTTACAGGGTAACATGTATTTCTTACTGTGAGTTCTAGTCAAAGACCTCTGGAAGTTACTGCTCCAACAAACCAGCCTGTTAGGCTGGGTCATTCCCACTAGTCTAACAAGAATCTCAAAGTCAATATCATTATTATATGGACTTGCTGGTCACAATGATGCATTAGAATATTATTAGGAATAGTACACTAAGTCATACCCTATGGAAAATTTTACTCAATTTTCATCAATTCTATAAACATTTACCTTTTTACTTTTTGTACCTTAGAGAGTACCAAAAGTTATCTGTCTTATATTTTCTAGTTTTTGTAATTTATTTTTCACATATTTCAGAAACCAAGGTAAATGACTGACACACAATACACACTTGACTTCCCTTTTAAACCTCCAGTACTTTAGGGTTAGTGTGAAATAGATACATTCTTCATTTAAATATAGTACAACTTGGTAAAATCCTTTAAATTTGATTTCAAAGCAAAGGCTGATGATTTCTGTTTGTCTTTAATTTCTCACAATATAAAATTCATCAAAGTGTGACAATTAGTTAACTCCATTAGGCTAACTTGATTATGTTCCTGCATAGGTCAATATGTAAAGTTATTCAAATTGAGAACAGAACTTGTAAAATTAATCTTCTTATATAATGCAAATGACACTAAGTCATGTATCAAACACTCTCCAAATAGCAGAAGAAACAGGTGAGAATACAATCAAAATAAATACAGTGATTCTGGATGGTGAAAGATAGATGAATGCCTAATTTTTAGAAACAACAAACAAAATTATTTAAACATTTTCTCTCAATATGTTTTTTAATAAATCTGTAAATTTTAAAACAAATTATAAATAATTCACTTCTATGATAGTGGCAAATTTTGTGTTAAATTACTCAAAATTGCTTTCTACTGCCAATTTCAGTGAAACTAGAACAAAATTTTTCATATGTATATAAATATTGTGAATATGAAAACAACAATAATACCATTTGCAGACTTCCTTGCTCCCTTAGATTTTTATAATATCTCCACAGCCTTAGCTTGTATTAGATATTTTAAAACTCATTCAGGGGAAAAAAGAAAATATTTGTTTTAGAAATATCATCTTCCCCAAGCTACCAACATAGGAAAAAAATGTAACAACCATCTGCTGGTATTCAGATAGGTTACTTGAGTTCCAAGTAACACAATGAAGCAAACGACAGTGAAGCAAATGACACTGAAATTGAGTATAAAATAACAGAAGTCTTCAAATTGTAAAAACAAGGAAAATACAATTAAAAATACATTATTCCCACTCCTCATGTTAAGACTTTGAGCACTTATCTCTCACGATCTCTTTTCTCTTTAAAGAACTTGCACGAATGATATGCAAGTGAGATAAATATCAGAAATTAAAATATTTGTTAAGTATATGATTTATATGTTATTGTTTTATTTTATTCTGCCAAATATTTCCTTGTTTAGCTTAATTATCACAATTGATGCTGTTAACACAAGTTAATCTACTGTTTACTTCCTAATTTAGTAGTATGGTAATTGTGCGCAGGGCACAAAACTGGCTTTGCTTAAAAATAATTTTTAATGTTTACTATGTAATAATAAGGGATAAAGTGGGTAAAAGTTGATTATGCCAGTGTTTCTCAACTGTGTTTTTTTTTCATTATCACCTTGTAAGGAGTCTCTTTAGAAATATTTTTCCGGCCAGGCGCAGTGGCTCACGCCTGTAATCCCAGCACTTTGGGGGGCCGAGGCGGGTGGATCACGAGGTCAGGAGATCGAGACCATCCTGGCTAACGCGGTGAAACCCTGCCTCTACTAAAAAATACAAAAAATTAGCCAGGTGTGGTGGCGAGCACATGTAATCCCAGCTACTCGGGAGGCTGAGGCAGGAGAATGGCGTGAATCCAGGAGGCAGAGCCTGCAGTGAGCCAAGATCGTGCCACTGCACTCCAGCCTGCTGGGTGACAGAGCAAAGACTCCGTCTCAAAAAAAAAAAAAGAAGTATTTTTCCCTGTTTCCTCATGAAATTTTAATGCCACAGATATACTGCTGGTCTGTTTATGTTTATATGCATAGCTGTACTTTATACAAGGAAAGAGCTAGGTATAAAGGTTACCTTTTTATTTAATACAAGATTAAGAATGACTCAACAGGGCCGGGCGCAGTGGCTCATGCCTGTAATCCCAACACTTTAGGGAGGCCGAGGTGGGCAGATCACCTGAGGTCAGGAGTTCGAGACCAGCCTGGACAACATGGCAAAACCCCGTCTCTACTGAAAATACAAAAATTAGCCAGGCGTGGTGGCAGGTGCCTGTAATCCCACCTAATCGGGAGGCTGAGGTAGGAGAATCGCTTGAACCTGGGTACAGGGAGCCGAGATTGTGCCATTGCACTCTAGCCTGGGCAACAAGAGCAAAACTCCGTCTCAAAAAAAAAAAAAAAAAAAAAAGAATTTTTAAGTTAAAATGTAAAAGTGATTAATGTTTAACTTTAGAACTATATTAATAATAAAGTTAAATCAAGTTTTAAAAAAACCATTCAAAACTATTAAAACTGCAGTTCCAGCTAAAGTAAATGAAAAAAATTAAATAAATGTCTTAAAAATCATTCTTGGTGAACTTTAACTTTTTAAACCTTTGGTTGGTGAGAAGTAACTCTTAACTAGGGAATTGTGTAGAGCTGTCACACACAAAAGCACTTAAGATCAAGCATAAGAAGTATCCACATGGCAGCCAATTGGCAGGCACTGGCCACCTCTTCTAAAGTAAGTTTAAGATCAAGCAATTGATCAAAAGTCCTCCCCTCACAGCCATTTGTCATGTTCTGTGGCATTAATTTTGTATATATTTTCTGTATTTTCCATGAACTCAATGTCAGTAATGCTTGTGTGATACCCAAGAAAACCTGAGAGATTAAATCTTAAGAATAAAATTTTCTTGGGAAGGGTTTAAGCCGTGGAGTCACAAACCACTTTAATTTTGCATTTTTGCCCCCATAAGAACCAATGTTTGTCCCCACTGAAAATGCGTAGCATATGTCTTATATATTAAGGTCCTAACGAAATGTTAGTAGTGGTTATTTCTTGAATATTTTTTATCTTTACATATTAATTGTTCTCCAAGTTTTCTATAATAAGCATGTGCTAGTTCATAATTTTTTTTAAGTAATTAAAATAATTATGACCATGTTGACCACAGACATCATAATTAGACCACAAATGTTTGGTCTTAATGTCTAACTAAATATCTAGACAAGTCTTTTTGAAACTACAGAATTTCTTGGTCTCATATATCTAATCTTATGTTTATATACATCTGTTTATTCACCTTTTTCTTTACCCTACATATTCAAAACATTTGTTGTGTACAAAGTGAACTACACATGATTAAGAATTACAAATGCATTTCTTAAAATTTTGATACTTTCTAGGATGTTAGAATAGAACATGGCAAAAGACATGCTCAACCTCCACTTTTTTAAGATAAAAAGTAATAACTATGCAAAAGACTTAAACATAAAAAAGGAAAATGTAATTCAGTTTTTACTTGTGAATGGTGAAATGAAATTTCTGAAAATCTGGATTCATTCATAGTACAGATACTTTACTCTGGTAATTATATTATTTGTGGGTTAAATGATTAAATATGCTAAAATAAAGAGATAAAAACAGCCAAAGGCAAAAGGCCTAATACTGATTTTTCAGCTCAAATAAAAATGAAAAGTTCTAAATTCCTTCAGTTTGCATCTTGAAAAAAAATTATAATTAAAATTCTGACAGACCAGAACTATTTAACAGCATCCCACCACGGCATACAATAGATTTGGCACTGCGGAAGTCACAACAGTGACCACATTGACCTTACAGCCTTACATTGACCTTAATATGTGATGAGAAATGAAGGATTTTACCATGTAAGAAATGCAAATAGAAGAAAGGACAAGAAGCTAGGTTTGAAAGATGACAGAAGTGTAAACTATTTTCAACAATGTTACTTATGTATACCAAAAGCTTACCAATTTTTTTCTACATTTTCTTCTCTTTCTTTTTTTAATACCAGTTAACTTTAACGAGGAATGTCTGAATATTAATTCTTTATCAGTTTTCATACATCATCCTTTACCTTGGTCAGCCAGCTGAAAATTATGTAAGCTATAAATTAGCTTTAAACAAGCTTTGAATCAGGTTAGAACTGGTTTTCAAATTAAAAAGCCTTCCGTATATTACAAGGTGCTGTCATTTTATTACCCCAATCAATTCTGTGTGGCCTGAGGTAGAAGGAAAATGAAGGCTGTCTTCATTTGCAATAGGTTTATCTCTTACAGCAGGCTGTGGAAATATAACCACGGCAATGAATTGAAAGCTATAGTTACATTTAACATTGCCAGTGCAGGAAATTGTTGCTTCTTAACAAAGATGGAGTTTCAATGGGAAAAAAAGAACATTTCTTTACTGTAAAAAAATACACAAAAATTAACACTGATTAAAATTAAATTTAAAATAAAGAGCATTTCCAAAAATTATAGTTCAGCCAGCATAGTATCAAAATAATTTTAAATGGTCTTCAAATAAAGAAATGAAAAACACAATAGATGTGCTATTTCCACTGCTTCAGAAGTATTAATCTATTTACAAATATATTTTTCACCTTTATCTTAATGAAAACCATTTCTTTTCCCTGTGGACATGTGCAGCTGAACAGAAGAATGAATTAGGTATTGGTCAGGTTCACTGTCATCATCACTAGATTCTAAGAAAGTGACAAAAGAACCCCCCCTCAAAAGCCCTGATAAGTAGGTATTTTTATTGTCTCCATTTTAACATGAGGAAACTGAGGCACAGAGCCATTATGCCACTTGCCCAAGTTTACACAGTTACCTAAATAATTTGACTCCAAGTCTGCATTCTTGAAGGAGACTATTTGACTAAAAGTACAGGGACATTGAGTACATCTAAGAAACTAACTTCTCAGGAAACATTTTGTAACAGATGCAATGAGGGATATTGCTGAGAGGAAGTTAGAGACCTTAGAAGGGTCTGTCAAGTGAAGAAAAAGGTGGGTTTCATTGCCAGAGGACAAAGATATCAGCATGTTTATGTGCAAGTATTCATATTACACACACATAAGAATGCATTCAGTCTTTTGATAAAAATTTACTTGGTGGTCTATATGTTGCTCTACTGAATTATTCATTGTGTATCCTTCTATAGTTTGAGTTTACTCATGTTTTTTTGCAAAATTATTTTATGTATTACTTTTCAGCACTAAACTTGTTTTTAAGTACTGAACAGATTTAATGACAAGATTACGATAATTTCTGAAGTGCTTAATGATAGACTGAACCAATAAATGATGGCAGAAAGAACACTGACCAGAACTGACCTGGTCATAGCTCTGTCATTAACTAGCTGTCAAAAAGTTGTGTGATCCTGTGGCTACTCTGAGGTTACCGCTCCAAGTCTCACTTTCCTCATCTGTAAAATAAAGCGCTTGGATGAGATCAATATTTTTCAAATTATTTAACCATACAAGTGGCTGTAAAATCAATTTAGTGGATACTGATTAACTTTTTAAATCTAAAAATAAAAGAGCAAAAATTATCAGCATGCTTTACTCCATGAAATCTTTAAATTATATAGCAAACAATATAAAATGAATCTTTTGTTTAAAAAGTTTGCAAATCTCTCTAAATGATATTTCAGGTCCATATTAGCTATTAAATTCTATAATTCTAATATATTTAAAGATATATCTTTTAAAAGCGGCAAAATGTTCACTCACAAACTTTAGATTTTAAGGTCTTTTTTGAATTGAAAATACAGGCAGTACTCAGTTTCTAAGCAAGTTAGATTCTACAAGCCTACTGTAAAGTTCATCATTTTAAACTTAGAACGCTGCCCAAAAAAATCTTTTAATGGGTTACAGCCCCACCACAAGGCCTATTTCAAATTCTGACTCCTGACAAGACAAGAAAAATTTCCCAGGCACTGGATAGTCTTTGATAAACGATTTAAGTGGGAAGGCTAATTTGTCAACTCCTCTTACTACTTAGTAGCTTTCTACTTAAGTGATTAATATCCTTAAATTCCTCACTTGGGTCACCTGGTCCAGGTTAGTCCTTACCTTAATAAAAGTTCAAACTCCAAAATTATTTCCTACAAACTCTTCTATAAACTAAAACTTCCTTTTCTATCACTGCATACTGCAATTGTTGTGTTTAGTAGATAAGCATCCAGGAGGAATCGTTTTATGATGTAATATGTGCAATATAATATAAAGATGTGTTTGTGGTTGAGGATAATCCAAATGTATAATTAGCAGAACTGTGAGCAGATGAAAAGTGCAGTAAGGACACTGCCCTAAACTCCATATTGCATGTTCTATTTTGAAAAAAGAGTGTCTTGCTAGGGGAAGCACTCTGGAGATTAGCTTTTCCTGTCCTCTTCTGATCCCTAACTTCCTCTAATGGGCTCCAAATAGATTTTCAGTGGCTATAAACTCATGACATAATATTTACCACCCTTTATGATATGGTCTCAATCTAATGCCCAACCATTTTGCATTAAAAATATATTAACTGAAAAGACTATATTTTCTTTACTGAATTGCCTTTGCTGCATTGTCAAGTATCAGTTAACTATACTTATGTGGGTCTATCTCTGGGCTCTCTATTCTGTTTCATTGACCTATTTGTCTTTTACAAATACAACACTGTCTTGATTACTGTAGCTTTATAGTAAGTTTTAAAGTTGGGTAGTGTCAGTCCTCTGACTTTGTTCTCCTTTAATATTATGTTGGCTATTCTGGGTTTTCTACCTTTCCATATAAACTTGAGAATCAGTTTGTCAAAATCCACAAAATAACTTGCTGAGAGTTCGATTGGGATTGCACTGAATCTATAGTTTAAGTTGAAAAGAACTGACATCTTGAAAATATTTATTTCTCCTGTCAATGAACATGGAATAGCTTTCTATTTATTTAGTTCTTTATTTCTTTTATTAGAATTTTGTAGTTTCTCTCATACAGGTTTTGTGTATATTTTGTTAGATTCATACCTAAGAATTTCATGGGTTTTCTGGTGCCAAATCAAATGGTATTATGTTTTAAATTTCAGACTTGAATAGACATTTCTCCAAAGAACAGGTAAACATCATCAATAGGTATATGAAAAGGTGCTCAACATCACTAATCATTAGGGAGATGCAAATCCAAACCACTATGAGATACCATCTCATACTCATTAGGATGGCTAATTATCAAAAAGTCAAAAGATAACAAATGTTGGTGAGGGGGTGGAGAAAAGGGGAACTCATGTACACTGTTAGTAGGAATGTAAGTTGGTATTACCATTATACCATTATAAAAAAACACTATAAAGGTTTCTAAATAAATTAAAAATAGAAAGACCATATGACCCAGATTCCCTCTTCTAGGAATATACTCAAAGGAAATGAAATCACCACCTCATAAAGATACTTGCACTCTCATGTTCACTGCAGCATTATTCACAATAGCCAAGATACAAAAACAACCTAACCGCCCATTAACAGACAAATGGGTAAAGAAATTGTGGTATATAAATGAGATGTTATTTATCCCTAAAAAAGAATGAGATCTCGCCATCTGCCACAACATGGATGGACCTGGAGGACACAAGACTAAGTGAAACAAGCCAGGCACAAAAAGAAAAATATTAAATGGTCTCACTTTTATGTGGAATCTAAAAAAAAAAAAAAAATCTCAATTATACAGACAGAACAAAACCCTGGTTATCAGTGGGAAGAAAATGGGCAAGTAGAGGTCAGAGGATGTAAAGCAGCAGATATATAAGATGAAAAAGGTCTAGAGATAAAATATACAATATGAGGGCTACAGGTATGCAATTGTACTGTATTTGGAATTCATGCAAAATGAGTAGATTTTAGCTATTCTTGCCAAAACCTTCCCTCCCAAAAAAATGGTAATTATGTGACATGATGGATATGCTAACTTGAACTATAGTAACTTTTTACCATATATCTGTATCCCAGAACACCATGTTGTATACCTTAAATATACACAATAAAAAATTTTTAAAAAAACCCAACAAGAAAAAATTCCAGTAGTCCATTGTTGTAACATAAGAAAGCAATTGGCTTTTGAATATTAACAAATAGTGCTGGACCATATGGACCTCCAAATGTCAAAAAGAAAGAATGAGAGAGAGAGACAGAGAGAGAACGTAGGCACAGGTCTAACACCTTTCACAAAAATTAACTCACAATGAATCACAGACATAAATGTAAAATGCAAAACTATAAAACTCCCAGAAGACAACATAGTAGAAAATCTAGGTGACCACAAATTTGATGATACAATACCAAAAATATAATCCATAAGAGAAAAAAATTAAGCTGGACTTCATTAACATTAAAAACTTCTACTCTGCAAAAAACAGTGATAATATTTTGCAAATTGGAGAAAATATTTGCAAACCACATATCTGATAAAGGACTGGCATTCAAAATATACAAATAACTCTTTAAAATTAAACAATAATTTTACAACCCAATTTAAAAAACAGGCCAAAGATCTGAATAGGTATCTCATAAAAGATATATATATGGCAAATAAGCATATGAAAAGATGCTCAACACTACATGTCCTTATGAAACTGCAAATGAAAACTACTTCCCACATGCTAGAATGGCTAAAATCTAAAACACTGACAGCATCAATGCTGGCAAAGATATGGAACAACAACTCTCATTTGTTGTGGGATGAAATGCAAAATGGTACTGCCATTTTGGAAGACAGTTTGGCAGCCAAACACACTCTTACCATATGATCCCATAATGGAACTCCTTGGTATTTCCTGACTAAGTTGACTGGTGCCCACTTAAAAACTTGTACCTGAATGTTTATAGTAGCGTTATTCATAACTGCCAAAACTTGGAAACAAACAAGACTGTTGTGTACAAAACAAACAAATTTTACACGTACTCTCTCTTACCTTTAATAGGAGCATATCCATACAATAGAACATTACTCAGTGATTAAAAAAAAAAGCTCTCAAGTCATGAAAAGACATGACAAACCCCTAAATGCGTATTGCTTACGGAAAGAAGCCAAATTGAACAGGCTACATACTATATGACATTCAGAAAAGGCAAAACTATGGAGACAGCAAAAGGATCTGTGGTTGCCAGTGGTTTGATGGTAGAGAGGGAGTGGTGAATAGGCAGAGCACAGGAGATCTTTAGGGCAGTGAACTATTCTGTATGACACTGTAATGGTGGACATGTGTCATTATTACAACTGTCAAAACCCACAGAATGTACCACACAAAAAATAAGTTATAATGTAAACAACAAACTTTAGTTAATAATAATGTATCAATACTGGCTCATCAATTTTTAACAAATGTACCACATGAATGCAAGATGGTAACAGAGGAAACTAGGGGAAGGAGGAAGGGATGAGGGGGCATATGGGAAATCTGTAGTTTTAACTCCATTTTTCTATAAACCTAAAACTGCTCAAAAAGAAACAAAAAAATCAAAAATACTACCAAAAGGCTATTTTTAAAAAAGCAAAGAAAAAAATCAAGAGAACATATTAGCAGCTATTACTACTACCATTACATTTCACACTATTATGCAGTTTCCCCCATATAAATTGTATATACGTTCTCTCTCTCTCCAAGGATTTCCTTGAATCCTGGAATGAATCCCAGAAAGGTCTTGGAAGTATGGTAGCATATGGTGGTAGCATTACACTTACTGGCTTCTTAAAGTTAGGTTTGACTGCGTCATCTGAGGAATGTGGCCTGGAGTGATATGTATCAAATTCCAGATATGATTTTAAAAGCCAGTGTGACATTTGTGGTATTTCCTGCTACTATGCTGTGGACCACATATGTTGAAACAAAACCTCCATCAGCTCGGGTCCCCAAGTGACTATAATGAGCAGAGCTGCTCTGTCAACCTGTACTGATACGTTACATGAATGAGAAATCAACTTATATTAATCAACTAAAAATTTGGGATTCTTTTTTTTGCTGCATAACTTAGCATATCCTAATTAATACTTCTGTCAAATCCTACTAGCCTTTATAATTCTATTGAAATGTTGTATTTTTTGCCAATCTCTTTTTGCTTGGTGCTGAAAGCAATCATCCTACTCTCAAAATTCCCACTGTACCTTACCTATACTTCTTAATGGCATTTAACACTTTAAATTTGATATCATAATTAAATGCATACATGCTTTATCTATCCTACTAGCATCTAAGTTTTTTAAGGGCAAGATTTATGTCTCATCTTACTACATCTGAAGCACCTAGTGAAGTATGTGGCACACCTTCTGAATACTATACAGATTTTTATCCAATAAAAATGAGACTCCTATTGCTAATATATTGGTAGGTCCATCAACAGAAAGAAAATATTTTGGTAAATAAAGGGTTTACTGTCTCTTAAATTTTATGTAAAGGCAAAAAAAAAAAAAAAAAGAAACATACACACAAAATAGGCATTTTCATTTGGATTAGTTTTATACCCTTAGACAATGCCAGTGTTCTTTATTCTGAAGGAGACAACTTACTTTCCTTTTAATTTAAAACTGTGTCTATTCCAAAGAAATCTGTGAACAGGTACTATTAAATGTTAACAGAAATGCTGAGTGAACTACATAAGAAAATAATCTAAGAAAGAATATGATTTTAAACTTGCTGAACAGATATCTTCTTGGTCTTTTTTGCATATTTGGGTCATGGCTGCCAGAAATTTATGTTCCAAACATCATTTGTTGTTTCAATAAACAGCCTTGGGCCTCTAAGGCAAAAACTAGAACCTGCACCACCTCTACTGCCATTTGGCAAAATAAAAGTTTTAAAAATAATTTCAGTAACAACTAAGAGAAAATAGGCTAGCAGTGGAGAACTACCAGGAACAATCTTAAATCTATCTTAGAAAAAATATGCAACATCCAGGTTCCTTGCTTTAAGAAAGTATGACAGAAATATCCTCTGTTGTAAGAGAGTTTGTAATCTAGCTGGTAAAAATAACCCAGATATAAAAAGATCAATAGCATGACAAAAAAAGTCTACCAAATGTCAAATGAACAGCCTAGCAAAAAAAGTGCAAAAGAAATTGAATCTAGGCCTAAGGATTGTAGGGCAACTAGAAAACTATAATTTAAACTGGACATTTAATTAAGAAGAAAAAAAACCTGATGATATATGAGGCTTTTTGCAAAAGAGTAGTGAGAAAGAAGGAGGGGAAGAGAAAAAGAGAGGGAGAGAGGAGGGAGAATGGGAGAGACGGAAGGAGAACGGGAGGAAAGCAGTGGGGGCGGGGGGAGAGAGAGAGACTGATTTACATCTAAAATACTAGCAGCATGAGTCTAGATTATATATGGCCTTGAATGTCAGGGATAAAACCCTGATGTCTATACTATAGTATAGACAATGGAAAGCGCCTTACTTTTTTCTTGGATTTTCTGACCTGGAAATTTGAAAAGTGATCTTTCCCAAAGAGTGACTGGGAAAAAGTGTGTAGAATGGCTTAATGAGAACAGAAACAAGTACTGAAGAGAAAGGAGATGTTTGGAATAAAGAACAGAGGAGGTAGTGGCACTTTTATTTTCTGAGACAGGAAATAGAATGAAGTAGGGAAAATAACAAAGACTTTTTTTAAGGCTGAGAGGAGAAAGATAAAAATATCACCCCCCTTTCCTCAGTGAAAATAAGAGACAAGATCATCTTGAAAAAGTAAGTCTGCTGGGAATAAAACTGAAGCCTTGATGCATGTGTCAAAGATTTGAAATAACTGCTATAAGAAATCTGATAAGGAGATCACAAAAGATAGCAATGAGGTCTGGTTTAAATTAGAAGGCATGAATTTGTAGTGAACTCAAGTACATATATTTTATGTTATTTCTGGCCAAAAAAGAAACAGTTGAGATAAACCAATACAGTGAATCTTGAGAAGTTGGGCAGTTACAATGGAGGACTCTAATGGTTTTAAAAAGTGCACATTAAAATGTCAAGTTACAACTTTAAAAAGGTGGAGGAGAGTAAATGGTGGCCTGGAGGTCTTGAGAGGAGTTCAGGAACTGGTATAAAGTGTTTGAAGAAGTGAAAGAAGTGATAATTATGAAAAAAAAAATCATGATTTAAGTCATGGTGATAGGATATTTGATTTAGGACTCATGGGTGAGTGAAATTTTCTCAATCTCTCGTAAATGGTCTAAGCTATTCATTTTTAAAGATATGCACTGATAAAATACTTCAGAAAATATTTTCTTCAAAGTCTTACACAAAATTTGGTATGGTAACTCATTAAAGGAGAAGTCTGAAGAATGAGGAAAGGTGAAACTGGAGAGTAAGGATTTCTTTAGAAGAGGTACTTTAAAGGAAGTCCCTCTCAGAAGAGGAATTTTCTAAAAATTACTCAGAGTTTGTCCCCTGGGAGTTTGGAGGACAAGGACTAGATGATGATACATGCCTGTCTGTCTGTAGTAGCAAAGCAAAGATGCATGGCTGCAGTGGGAATGGCTGTTCTTTCTGAGCTTGTTAAGGCAAGGGGTTGTGTGTTTCCCCTAGGACAAAATGTGGGCCCGTTAAAGAGCAAGACTCTAGAAAGGAATCTAGCCAAAGAGGACAGCGTTGGTGGGATGGGGATAATGCCAATCAAAAAAGAGATAAACGGAACTAAGTTCTGAAAAGGAAGTCACAAGTAACCCACAGAAGGCATCTCTCATATCAAGGCACCTCTACATAGAAAAGCTCTAGCAATGAGTCAAAAAAAAAAAAGGAGGGGCAAGAATCAAAATCTAGAATGCCCCACTTCCAAACTACAGGTTTCCCAGTTTAAAGGAGGTCTGAGCTGCTGAGAATAGAAGATTTGACATTAAACTGGACTGGACTTTGATATTTAAAAAAAAGACTATTAATACCTAAAGGTAACTGGAAAAGCTGTAAGATTTGTCTGAGAGTAACTGGGGGAAAAAGGAAGCTCCAAATGAGCATGTTTAAAGGCACTGGGATGGAAGGAATCGAGCTCATTTCTGTTTGTACCTTGTCTTGGAATTAAGAGCAAAATTTACTTAAATCACAATAAAAACGTAAGAGTGGTCTGTTAAAAATAGCTCACTTGAGAATCCTTAAGGCATTTAATATGAAGAACAAATAAAACCACTTTTTTGTCTCTTTTTATACTGTTTAATTTGAAGAGTTTTTGTTTAATGATGTCAAATTCAGACTGTAGCTTTTTTTTTTTTTTCATCCTATTGCTATGAGGAGGTTAAAAAAATACAGCTAACTGTATTTTACCCTATTAGGGACATTGCTATCTTAGGGAAGCTTTTCATTGATAAAAGAACATAAACATACTTGAAAAATATATTGTCATGTTTCCAAATACTGCTTGGAAATGTGAAGGAGAAAGGAAGGAGTAGACAGGAAGACAAAAGTTAGGGATTTTGAAACAGCTAAATAACGAAGAGAGAAAGTTTATTTCACTGCAAAAATTAGATTCATATGTAGTAGATTTGAGAATACTAAAAAATAAAGATTAAGATTGTACTTAACAGAGTCTTTATGCTGTAAACAGGTTAAAGCTTCAACATTGTCACAAGGAAAGGTAAAGAAATATCTATCCTTTACAGCACTTAGCCTGCTTATAAAAGAGTAAATAATGTATCCTAAAAATATGTACTTCATTCACACTCTGAAAATTGTTTTAAGTGGTAAAAATTAATAATTAAGCAAATGACTGGATACTAGGATAAATTTTAAATTGAGTCATTAAGATGATTTGCTGTTGGTTGTTGAAACTGCTGCATTAAAATAAAGAAATAATGCTGAAATACCTTATACTTATTACCTGCATTAAGCTACCAATACATCTGTGCTTTGGAAAAATGATTTACAAATAACTAATCATCTAAATTTTGAACTCTGATTTTAGAAACAGAATATAAAGAATACTATTGGTCTTTAAAAATTGAGAGAATGGTCCAGCCCTCAAGAACACGAAAGTGAACACATTGCTGACAAGTGCTTTGATACAGCTTGAACTTTTCAAAGCGATTCTTAAAATGTTAACCTCTATAAGCATACTTTAAAGAGTTTTCAAACCAGTGAAGCACATAATCTTTTGCAGCCATTATTGAAGGTACCCTTAACAAAAAACCGACTTAATTTCAATGAAGGTATAACACTATAATATAAACCTTTAAGAAACCTTCAGAGAAAATATTAAAATAGGTTGTATCTTAGGTGACCAGAGATTAGATTTATCATATGAATATAGTCCAGAGGAAAAAAAGAGAACAATATATTAAACATAAAACAACTTGTAAAAGTCTGAAATCACAAAAAGAGGTGGCAGAGCTAGGTCACAGGTGGAAATATAGTAGAATAAAAACAGTTACATACAGACCTTTATCTGTCAATGAGGCAGGAACCATTTCTAAACCTTTTATAGGTGAGGTAATAATTTTGTACTCCTTGTTTAATAATCAAAAGAATTAACAAAAGAATTGTCAGCAAAAGAATTAACACAAACGAGTGTAAACTGAATTGTATTTATACTCAATACACTTAGAAGCAAGTATTCTTTTGAAGAAGAGAAACTTGTACTGCAAAAGAATGCTGATACTAGGATAAAAACATACAAAAACTGCCAGTGTACACAAAGTATAATAGCTGACACTACACAAATGAGAATATTCTTAAACTATCTTTGCAAAGGGATTGAGTGTGGCTGGCTGTAGTTACTTTTCACAGTACTGGTTTTCAAACTTCACAACTCATGACAAACATTAAAAACTAAGATTTGACTGAGGTAAAATACAGTGCTTAGTGTCTAATAAAAAAAAATCACCTTTAGATCCCTTTCCTTTACCTCCCTCCAAGTTCAATAGATTAGTTTCTGCTGTGTCTACATAAATCATCCATATTGTCAAATGGTACCTCCCCTAACACAGATCTTATTTAATTGAATTTCATGAAGAAAGGGCCCTGAGGAGTTGAGTTACCTCATCTTCCACATTCATCTTCCCACACCATACCATAGCACCATCTTTAATCAACTTATTTGTTTTAAAATATCTTTGTGTTTTATTCCCCTATCCATTAGAAAGACAAAAGCAGATCCCACTTAATAATATTTTTCCCTTTCCGATTAGAAGTCATGTTTATTTATAATAGAAAAATTATCTGAGTTTTACATGATGAAAATCTAAAATGGCTTTAGGACAAAATCTAATTTGAGAATCTCTTACAATAAGAAATAGAAAATACCTATTTTAATATATAAAATCTAGTTTCTAAAACACAGGCTCTAGAGTCAGGGAGATCTGGGTTTGAATTACTGTTATATCACTTATTAGCTGTGTAATCCTTAACTTCTCTGAATCTCATTTCTTTCTTTCATCTGCAGAAAGGAGATAAAAAAAAACAATAACCACCTTAAAGGTTGTGGTGAGGATTACATAGAATTATACATTTTAAATGCTTAGAAAATGCCAGGCACATAGTGGTGCTCAACAAAATGTTAACTTCTATTATTATTATTAGTATGATACTTTCTTATTTTAAAAATGTTTATATTGTTTGATCTAGTCATTACATTAAAAGTATATTTGTATAAGAAATTGTACAGCACTTAAAAATAGATTATGTAAGAGTATTTAACAACATGGTAAACTGCCATACATGCAATTATATTTTTCAAAATACCATTATATAACAGAAAGTATGATCTAACTGTAATTTTTTTTAAAGTAGGTTGTAGTAGGACATACCACCAAAACATGAGCAGAAATGTAGTATCTTTAGGTGCTAAATTGCAGATAATTTAAAATACTTCTTTATGTTTAAAATTTTTTTCCAATATTCAACAATGACCATTTACTACTTTTACAATATTTTTAAAACCCCAAAGTGTATTTTTTTTTCCTGATACCAACTTTCTTCAGAAAAGTGGAGTTAGAAAAAAGAAAAGGAAAAAGTAAGGAGAAAAACAGTGAGAGGCATGTATTTTTTAAAAGCAATATTTTAAATAAAGGATATCAATTTTACTATATTAAACAAAATTCCTATTTTGAATTATTACTTTCTAGTTTTTTTTTTTTTGAGATGGAGTCTCGCTCTGTCACCCAGGGTGGAGTGTAGTGGCACGATCTCGGCTCACTGCAACTTCCGCCTCCTGGGTTCAAGCGATTCACCCAGGCTGGAGTGTAGTGGCACGATCTCTGCTCATTCCAGCCTCCGCTTCCTGGGTTCAAGCGATTCACCCAGGCTGGAGTGTAGTGGTGTGATCTCGGTTCACTGCAGCCTCTGCCTCCTGGGTTCAAGTGATTCTCCTGTCTCAGCCTCCCGAGTAGGTGGGACTAAAGGTTCACACCACTGCACCCAGCTAATTTTTGTATTTTTAGTAGAGATATGGTTTCACCATATTGACTAGGCTGGTCTCGAACTCCTGACCTTGTGATCTGCCTGTCTCGGCCTCCCAAAGCACTGGGAATACAGGTGTGAGCCACTGCGCCCAGCCAACTTTCTAGCTTTAAAGTTTATCAAAATTCAAGAGTCCAACATTTTAATTATAGCATATTTAATCATATCTTCAGAATATTTAATTTGAAGATCAAATTAATATACATTCGCCTACTTAAGTAAATGTCAGTTAAACTACTTAGTAAAAGGAGACTATAAGAGGAAACGGCCAATTAAACCATATATGTAAATTTATTGCTATATTGTCTTAATCACTAGACAAAAGGATATTTTAAAAGGCAAAAAAGTCTCTCTTGAGGGACATTAACTCAGAGAAAGCAGATGGATCACTTAAATCCTAAATCCCAAGATTTCCTGTTGCAAAATGGGTGTGGTATTGAGCTTTGGGTATAGATGCTATCAACTGCAGCGAGAAAAAAAGACTGTGAAACCAACCTAGAGAAGCCTATCAAAAAAACCAAAGAAATGGTCCGCTAAGAAAAGGCAAACGCAGGAGAGAAGAAGTTCACTGAAGGCGAGAAAGAAGTATTTTTAAAAGGAGGAAATTACCAACAAGGTGGATGAAACATGACACAGAATAATAGAGGAAGATTCTTGATTTTGACAAACTGAATTTACAGCTCAGAGAAGTTCCTGGACATGCAGCTGGGCAATTTCAGAACTTGGAAAAGACAAAGGGAGCATGTTTTATTGGTGACCAAGAAAACACTACTGAAGCTACTACTAATTTAATATACAGCAGGACTGGACTAAGCTGGAACTATAGGGCAGTGGAAGGACAATGTGGACCATACTCTTATAATTTGCCTTATTTGTTAATGGCATTTTGCCAAGGAGAAACGTGTTAACAACAGCATATCTGATATTCCCAGAAAAAGATAATTCAATTTTTAAAGTAACATGAAGGGAAACAAATAAAGAAACATATGCTATGATTAAGGAAGTATATCATTAATGGTTCCCTCTACTGGGAATCAGGACAGCAGGGGGTAGAAAGGGAAATAATTGTAGGGCATAAAGATAGGGTTCTGAAGAATTTATATGTATGAATCACTACCCTTTGACACACACACACACACAATATATATATATACGTATATATATATACGTGTATATATATATACGTGTATATATATATGTGTGTGTATGTATGTGTGTGTGTGTGTGTGTGTGTGTGTGTGTGTATATATATATATATATATATAAAAAGTACAAACAGTAATCTCCCCTTAACTGTGGTTTTGCTTTCCCAGGTTTCAGTTACCCATGGTAAACTGTGATCTGGAAATAGTAAATAAAAAGTTCCAGAATACCATGGAACACTATGCAGCCATAAAAAAGAATGAGTTCATGTCCTTTGCAGGGACATGGATGAAGCTGGAAGCCATCATTCTCAGCAAACTAACACAGAAACAGAAAACCAAACACCCCATGTTCTCACTCATAAGTGAGAGTGGAATAATGAGAACACATGGACACAGGGAGAGAAGCAACACACACCAGAGGCCTGTCGGGGGGTAGGGCAAGGGGAGGAAGTGCATTAGGACAAATACCTAATGCATGCAGGGCTTAAAACGTCTGACGGGTTGACAGGTGCAGCAAACCACCATGGCACATGTATACCTACGGAACAAACCTGTACGTTCTGGACACGTACCCCAGAACTTATAGAAAAAAAAAAATTCCAGAAATAAACAGTTTGGAAGTTTTAAATTGCATACCATTCTGAAGAGCATGATGAAATCTCATGTTGTCCCACTTGTTCCCACTTGGGACATGAATCATTCCTTTGCCCAGAATATGTCCATACTGTATGTGCTACCTGCTCGTTAGTCACTTAGCTGTCTCAGTGACTAGATCGACCATCACAGTACTGCAGGGCTTGTGTCCAAGTAACCCTTATTTTACTTAGTAACAACCCCGAAGTGCAAGAGTAGTGATGTTAACAATTTTGATATGCCAAAGGGAAGCCATAAGATATTTCCTTTCACTGAAAAGACATGTCTAGGAAAAAATAACTGGTTTAAGGCATCTTCTAGGGGTCTTGGAACATAACCCCTGCAATTAAGTAGGCAGTGGGGGGAGGCTACTGTACTGAGAGTCTACCTTTCTAAAAGAAAAGAATTAGTAGCATCGGAGAATTAGTAAACATTTCCTTACTTAAGTGTAAGGTTTTCTTTTGCATAAATGCTGTAAGGCATATTGATGGCACATAATCATGCTTTGAAATTCTAAATGTGTTTATACAATATGCTCTAAAAGTTAAAAACCTTAACTTCCAGACTCAACAAGGAATGTGAAAGTGCTAGCCCAGATTTTCCAACATATCCATCCTTAAAAGATCCCACATGTATATAATAAAAAGGGTGTGTTGCTGATATTTACCTGTTAAAAAGTCATTCTTTAGGGATGATGAAACTTTTGTTATCAGAAACTGCATACACCTTGACAAAGTGGACTTATAAATTGTCTTACAACTGTCTTCAGTGGTTTGTTACGTTTACATTTTACTGGATTTACTTTGTATTTTCATTTCAGTTTCAAGTTTACAGTTTTAATGACCTTGACAAAGAAAAAAATATGCCTTTATAGTCTAAGAAAAATTTCTTGGATATTTCTTCACTTGTTACTAAAATATGTCGTCAGTAAAAAACAAGTTTCCGTATGAGTTAGATCTTTTCCTATTATTCATACCAGGCAGAGTCAGTGGCTTAAATATGGCTTAAACAAAACAAACCTTTAGTTTCTAAATATCATTCTCTCTACTTATAAAATAAATATATTAGTGCATGATTCACATAGGACCATAATCCTATATTTAAAGTGAAATATGAATTACCATCAATATTAAAAGTACTAACTACAGTACATTTAGAAAATCTGATAGGATAGCATATACTTTAAAAAAATTTAGGGAGCCATGAATGCCATGGTTTAAAAATACATTAATTATAAAGATAGCTTTCATTGCTACCAAGAAATTATAACAAATGGACATTTTTCTGCATGAAAAAGTTAGACTTGACCTTCCCCTGTTTAGTGTGAAACTCTGAGACAGGAAAGATTTTCATTTGATGTGTGTGAAGGCAGAAAATGAAACAGAAAATTACTCTTCAGGTTACTTTTAAAAAACATTTCTTAACATTTGAAAATCAGAGTATTATCACTAATTTTGAACTTTTCTCTCTGTGCCTAAAATGCTTGTCACTTACTGAGCACCTCTATACTTCCCAGTATTGCCATTCAACCTTCTACAAATGAGCAACCTAAAAGTTAGGTGAAACAACTTGCTGAAGTTCACAAGTAACTATAAATAGTTAAGACCTGAGCCCAGTTTGTTTCTTTTCAAAGCTCAGAAAAACACTTTCATCTACACCAAATTGCATACTTAACTTTCTATATAATTTAAATTACTCTATCTTCCTACTATACGACGCATCCAATTATAAGAACTCCGCCAATTTAATGGCAATTTTTTGGGAAAAAATAACTATTATCACTTAAAGATAAAAACTGCTTATAGATACACAATCTAATTTCAGAAATGTCAAAAATGAATATATTAAAAGGCAATTAACATGGCATAATGCACTTTATGTTTCTAACCTCTAATTTACAACTTATCACACCTAGGAAAGATTCCATCAGAAAATCAAAATTGGAATGCTCAACTATATTTGATTTCAAAGAACTCAATTCCATTAACTACCAGAGTTCATTTTTCGAATTTTCTTGGCTTAGATTTGAAAGTTTTCTTGAAGAAGTCTCTTAGTCATAAGCAAAAGAGCACTTCTTAAACCACAATATGTAGGTTGGAAACAATATTTTTTAACAAATATTTTATAAAATTATGAACTAATTAAAATGTTTAATAAATTAGAGGAACCAAATTACTCTCACTATATCTACATCTACAATGCATGCAATCTCACTTTGTTTTTTTGAAGCCAGGATTTAAGCCTTTTCTATTATTTAGGCGATATTTTCACAATTGTGAGAATAGTTTAATTCCACTAGGAGTATCTTTTCACAATGAACATGTCTCTCACACTCACACGACAAATAAAAACTGGAATAAAAATTTACATAATTAATATATTCCACACCACTTCTGAATTTTATAACAGTACGATCTATGATATATTGGTTGATTATATAACCTTATTTTAATATTTCAAATGCTGGGTTAATAAGGTAAAAATACTTTTATTAACTTTTGTAAAGCCGTAATAAAATGTCCTTTATCTTAACTCTCAGCATTTTAGTAGCTGAAATAACAAAATAACAAAAAATAAAAACACACAAAAAAATTTTAAACTACAGGACAGTATGAGGTTTGCGACTTTTAAAAGACATTTATATGTATGGCAACCTACTGTACTTTGATTAATTATCTCAGTTATGATTTAGTTTCTCATCACATATGGTATTCCACAGCATGCTATGTAAATGCACCAGGCCACATGCCACTTAGAAAATGGCTTAGTTTTTCAAGTTTGTAGTAAGCGTAATTTAGAAAGTGGCTTAGTTTTTCAATTTTGTAAATTATCAATATAGTGAAAGATGGTCTATTTTTAGATGTTCTAACCATTTTCCTTTCTCTGTGAATTTGATATTTAAATATATCAAAATATGTGTATCATAAACACTGACAAACTTATCTTAATAAATCATATTTTCAAAATGATGCTTAAGGAATAATTTACTGAAGTATATACGTTTAATATATATTATCTGATTCCCATGAAAACTACCTTAGGTTAAAGAACCAAACAGATCAATACTGATTCCAATTCTATTAATACTATTAAGAATGACTAATAAACAATCTATGTTTTACTGAAAATGATTACTTGATAAAAACATTGTCTAGAAATAGGTTTCAGAAAACACGTCTAGGACAATAAAGTATTAATAAAACCACCTACTTGACCAGGCAATAATGATGACTAATAAGTTCAATTCAGGACATAAATGTTCAGTATGAACAATAAAACACTCTAATTTTTTTTTTAAAGCAAAGTACCAACTATAATTAGTGGGATTGTTAAGCAAATAATTATTAATAGTCCCAAAGTACAGCACTCAATTAGAAACTAAGGGATTAAAAGACATTTATACAAACAATTTCACTTGCCAAGGAACATGCTAGAAGCAATTAGCAACTGCCTGAACTTAGTTGAGGACCTTGTTCTACAGTAGAGGATCAACTGGAAATCTGTGGGCTTTATCCCACCCACCAGGAAAGAGGAAATCTAAAGTTTAATACAAAACTAAAACCATCTTTGAGGATAACCACATACCACAGTTTTAATTCTCAGACTTTTAGTAAGTCTACAAAACACCGCAGATTTGTTCTATTTAATTCTAATATAGGACACAATAGAAACAACTTTTTTTCCAGACTTTTTACATATCTGTATTAGTAAAAAGGCAAACCAAAACTCAGTAAAGCTCCATGAAGCACATTTTTGTAAGCTTTTGTAAGCTTGTCCCACAAACGCTAGAAGAGTACTGAATTTAGACAGCTGAGTGGTATACATCTTACCTAAAAATGATGTCTCTGTCGGCCATATAAAATCCAGAAACTTAAAATTCAATCTAATGTCAGATAAAATCCCAGAGGTCAAATGAATAGTTAAAATATTTAAAAGTCTCTTTTTTATGCGTCAGTTATATGCTTCAAATTTTAAAGAACTTTAAAGGATAATTCATTTTAATTTTATATTTTTCATAAATCTTCTCAATGCATAAAATTCAGACATTCAATTTCCAATATTACCAAGTTCAATTAAATGTGCTTGTTTAATGTATTGTGGCAAGATACTCCTGAAGAGATTGTTCCGTTCTTAAAGACACAAAATTCTCAATGACTGTTTTACTTGAAAATATATATTTATACATATTTATACATACAAATACATATTTGTATTTATACATATAAATACATATTTATATATATCGTTTGGGCATAGTTATAGAATTTATTTCAATGCAGAAAAGATAAAAAATAAAACCAAAATTAAAAATATCGTATGTCCTCTACTTAAAGATTTTTAATACAAATGATTATTGAGAAATATCACTCGCCTTAGCTAGTCTGTCACGCATTTGTAGTTCTAGAAAATCTCCTATAAGGACTTGGATGAAATTCCTATGCATATGAATTCAAAAATTATTACTACTCAAAAAATGTAGCATACTAGAAAGATCAAATAAGACTGAACCAAATAGAAGTCTCCAAGCTAAGACAGCTCACCTTGTAGTAGTCAGATAATGACCTGTCATGTATACTCCATGGCTTCTCACAAAACATAGCTTTAAACAAAGATGAAAAGCTACAATAGTAACTGACATAGTCACGATAAAGTACATGATGGATATTTAAATCCTCAGTGGCGTCTGTGAATACATATGACCTGGAGGAAGCACTTTTAAAAGAAATATTTATACATGTTCATGTAACCATATTAAGACAAGTTATCATCATTTTAAGTGTTTCAGCAGATACAAGTTGTTGAGATCTTTATCAAGAATATCCTGGAAAAGACTGAAGCATGAGCTATGTCCTACTTTTTAAATTACAATACTAAGTCTACTTTATATCTTATATGGCAATATACAATATAATATTAAAATGTCAATTTGTTGACATTTGACTTGGGTTATACACATTGTTTTAAAATTTAAAATTCCAAAAAGTTAATTTTTAGCTTCAAAACTTTGTAAAAACTGAAGTTTTTAACAACTAGGTATAACAGTAGTTCTTATTCCTAACTGCTCATAAAATCTCATAAAATCACCTGTGGAACTTGTAAAAAATACAAATGTCAGTCCTCATCCCTTCTCTCCTCTTCCTGAACAATTCAGTTTAAAAGTTATCAAATGACAAGCAAAGTAGGTATCCATGTGGGCAGGAGTAGAGGGTGATAAGAGATTGGTTTCATATCAGGAGAGTAATGATACAAGAGTATACATTAAGGAAAATGGGAGCCAGTTTTCTGTCAGAGAGTTATTTACAAAGGAGTTATTTACAAAGATGAAAAGGAAGAAAATTAGTTTTCAATGTCTATGAAAGCAAAAATATAGATGTAAGTGTGGCTGTGTATGAATACGTATACCTACATCCAGTCCTTGGCTTTTTCTACTGAGAAGAACCGGGAAAAGCAATATCCCAGTAACAATGACCACACCAGATCTTGGTTTCTAAATATCGTTTTCCACTAAAAGGAACCTGGGCTCCTTGGAGAAACAGCTGATTCCAGGAATGGAGATAGAGACAGTAGATAAGCTGAGCCTGGAAGACCTTCGGCAAGAAAGTACCTGAAGATTGGCGGAATCATGTCAAAAGGATATAGAAGGCAGCTTGAAGTGGCTTTCATTAGCTGAATTTGTAGTAATTTGAAAATAACAATAAATAATAACATTCAATATAACCCCACTGAATAAAACAGAAAATGAAGGTTTGATGAGGAATAGGATATTTTTACATAGTCTCAAGGTTCTTCCCCAGAAATCACTAATTAATTAGAAAACTAGCAGACAACTCCTAAGATATAACATCATTATCTATAATTCAAATCAAAATTTTGTGTAGAATGCACACAGCATCACATCTGTGGTATTCTTATCAAAGATGCATAATGAATCTAAACCACAAGAAAATATTTGAAAAATGCACAGTGAAATACATTCTACAAAATAACTGCTCTGTAATTTTCAAAAGTCACAAGCTAATGAAAGTTAAGGAAAGACTAAGGAACTGTCCAGATTCAAGACAAAAGAAATATGAAAACTAAATGTAACCTGTGATTCTATACCGAATCCTTTTGCCATAAATGACCTTACTGGGATTAATAGCCAAACCTAAATGAAATCTGAGGATCAGACAGTAATAATATAGCAATGTTAACTTCCTGATCTGGCTGATTTTATTTTGGATATGAAGAAGAATGAAAAAACACTGACAGATTTCAAGCAGAGGTATGATAACTACATTTTCAGAAAGCTATTTTTGATGATGCAAATCAATAGAAAAAACATCTTAAGTATGCACCTCAACATAAATATGTATGTGTGACGTTTTATGTACCTGTTCTATAGTACTAGCTTATTTAAATCATGAAAATAGACTCAAACATGAAAATTTAAAAAGATGTTATATAGAATTAATTTAATGAGTCATTTTGTATATCTACTGTGGGGCAAACACTTCATTTAGAGGGCTCTAGTAAGCAGAATGGTTAAAAAGGGGATAAGTCTGGCCCATCTATTCAGATAGCTTCTCAAACAGGAAGAACCATAACAGAATGAGAAGAAGTGAGGCACTAAATCAAGACAGTAGTAGTGGAAAAAAGGAGCAAAGAGCAGACTGGAGAAATATTTAAAGAAGAAAACTTTTATAGGACTCAGGAAGTGATTTGCTATGTGAGATAAGGATGGGGAAGGCTTGAGGATGATTCCAGATATGTGACTTGGGTGAACGGATGGAAGAAGAAATAAGGGAAAAATAAGAGAAAAGTTGAGGTTAAGAAAGAAGAAAACACATTTCTTTTCCAGGCATGTGGCATTTATTAACAATAGGATTTTCACAACACAGTAAAGGGCAAGAAAAAAAAGCCCTAATGCAGGGTGACAGGTAGCAATGAACTAGCTCCACTGAATATAAGCATAGTGCACTGTCTGGGTGGCTGCTGTCTTAATCAATGGCTTTGAAGCATAGCCTATGCGAGAAGGTATGTTTTGTGTATGAGTGTATGTGTCTCTGTGTATTTGTATGTGTGTATATTTGTGCCTCCATGTATGTAAATACGTGTGGATATGTTTGTGTCCATGTAACTGACTATTTTTTATGAAACTCAAAATGACTACTTAGGTTTATGAAGAGTTGATGAGACAGAGAAAGTCTTATCATGCTATACTTCATGGGTATGGGTATAATAAATGGTCATTCTTCTACTTTTAGGTGAATTGTTATTAAATCAATATTATTAAAACTAAATATTTAGGTGTATTTCCGCTTTCATGTGCTAAAACAAAAAATTATGAATTCAGATATGATGAATCTTATTAGACTTACGGAATTTCTATAAAAGTAATAGACAGGGGTAAAGATAGAAATTTTTGCCCTCATACAACCCCATATCAAAAACTTGTTACTTGAAAGACAAAGTAATATATAAATAGCTGCTGACAGTATAAATAGCAATATTTTAGAGTTTCCCCTGGTCCACAGAATTTAGACAAAATGTTAAAGTGCAATTCATTTTTCCAGCAAATATTCAACTATACATGCTATGTATTATCTAAACTTCTAGGCAAAACAAATAGGGAGTCAAAATTTCAAATAAAAGTGAAGACTTGTTGGACTTAACAACATGACTACCGCAGAGAAAGAAGTTGGAGACATTTTACCATCTAAATTTATTTGCAATTGATTACTTCCTTTCTTATGGCAATAAGTATTTCTCCTTTAGCTTTTCATTTCATTAAAATATATGAACATGGCAAATATACCCAGTGCTACCTAGCAAATAATATTCCACCTAAGCAAATGTAGGAGAATAAAGGATAAAGCAAAGCATATGAACTTTCATTCTGGGTTTCTTTTAAGCCCTAAGATGTCACTAATTTTCTTGACTTGGATGTTAATAATATACAGCTTCCGAATGTAAAAGCTTCTGCAGCATTCACTGAATTATAAAGCATGACATTATCTATCAATGCTTTCTTCTTAGGCTGTAATACTAGCAAACATCTTTCAGAAGAAAATGCCAACAGAAATTTACTACCCACTGGTCATGAATGGAAGTCTTCCAAAGTAAGAAAAACCACTGATGCAGCACAAATATTCAAGGGAATCAATTAAGTCTCCGGAAGTTTCAGCTTAAATATTATATTAAATTTCATTTTTCATTGGAAAATGGTAGTATATTAAGTCATATAAGTATAACGAAAATACAAATACATTTCACTGTTGTTTCATTCCTTACAGTAAACTGCTGTGACATTCCAATATTAGAAACCATATTTTATAAAATTTTGAAAATGTTAGTTGTTTATATTGGTATTCAACCACAGGTCAAACAGAGTACAGCAAATATAAAGCAAGTTTTCTAACAATGTGCCTTCCTAACGCATTTCCACTCAGAGTCCAAAGACCCATTCTGTGGTAGAGAAGAAAACAAAACTAAAACCTTATCCAATGGCTACTGGCACCTATGGCATGTACAAAATGTATGCAATGTTTCAAACAAATCTAAAATATGCCCCCTTGCCTTTTCAATGTTCATTAACAACATTACTGTATAACTTAACATTTAACATAATACTACATATTTATAGTATTATTGAGCCTTCTCAAAAGAATATATGCAAAAAGGTATATTTAAAAAAGGTGGGAAATCCTATTTCAAAAATTGTTTTCCTAACTTGTTTGCTGGGGGTAGGAGAAAATCCCAAACAAAAAATGCACTTAAAAAAACTTATTAAAGAGACTCGTAAGACAACTATTTAAACTCCATAGTGTTTCATTATTTTTACATTTAAATAAAATTTTGGGAATACATTTTTGAACTGTGCAATAAAATCTTTAAAATTAAATATGTTCTCTCTTAAATCTAGGCCTTAATAAAATGCCTGGAAAATAATTCTTGCTACTATATAGTTTACAATTTTAGGTTAAAATGCTTGATTATTAAATAAAATATATGCAAATATTATATCTTAATAATCCTCATACAAATATTTATAATTTTTTTTTTTTTGAGATGGAGTCTCGCCCTGTCGCCCAGGTTGGCATGCAATGGCGTGATCTCGGTTCACTGCAACCTCTGCCTCCCGGGTTCAAGTGATTCTCCTGCCTCAGCCTCCCAAGTAGCTGGGATTAGAGGCACTCGCCACCATGTCTGGCTAATTTTTTGTATCTTTAGTAGAGATGGGGTTTCGCCATGTTGGCCAGGCTGGTCTCGAACTCCTGACCTCATGATCCACCTCCCTCGACCTCCCAAAGTGCTGGGATTACAGGTGTGAGCCACCCGGCAAAAAATGTGTATAATTTTAAATAAATTCTGATATTTAAAAAAAGTTTAGTTTCTTTCTATAACCAAATGTCTTTTTGCAGTTTTTAATAAATAAACTTTTGCAGAAGGCCTCTGTGGTAAGCTGAAGCAAATCATTTTAGTTAATGATAAAAGAATGTTTTTGATTACATGATCAATTTTAATTCACTCTAGGACCAAAAAAATCATTTAAGTAGCATTGAAGAAAGATGGCTGGATGTCCATAATACAACAGACAGTTAATTTTCGTCATCTTTTTTGAGAAAGAAAAATCGGATTAATCTACAGTTGACCAGAATGTCTTCATTCAAATGTATTCAGTATTTCTGCCAAATCAGTCAAAACATTAGGAGTCTGGCTATTTACTTACTCACTTTAACAAACCACAAAATAAACTATGTATTACTACAATGTAAGTTTAGAATGTTAATATTAAAAAGATGTAATTTTCAAACTGATTTGGGGGTATAATCTATTAAACATTAGATTATAGAAATTTCATTCTACTCAGCTAAAATAAATATCAGAAATAAGATTTAGGATATGAAAACTATTTTGTTTTTTTTTTAAAGGAACAGATTCTATAAGATATTACAATATATTATATTTTAAAATAAAACATCTATAAAATTCTATTTAATTGGTTATTCTGTTAGCTAACATAATTTATTATGACTCAGGGTGGAATTTTCCTGCCATTCTCAAGTGTGTTAAGTTAGCAGAGAGTGATCTGTTTGGGCTTTCGGAGCACTATTTAATATGTTACAATAATAGAGAATACGTAAAACAACTAAATATTCCAGAGAGAAAATTCACATAATTTAGTAGAGTTGTTTTTTCCTTAATTTAAGAGCAAGAAAATAACCATAGCAATATATTCTTAAGGTGTACTGGTTAAAATGTTGGTTCTTCATATTCCAATTATCTTTAA
This sequence comes from Homo sapiens, assembly GCF_000001405.40. NCBI lineage: Eukaryota > Metazoa > Chordata > Mammalia > Primates > Hominidae > Homo > Homo sapiens. The sequence goes on along the minus strand of NC_000007.14, from coordinate 11,111,545 downwards.
AGAAGCTAATTGTGTGACATGGGAAAGCTATCAAACGGAAGGACACCAATACCTTTTCTTATAGACTTCTCCCCTTACCTTGGAAGATGAAGAATCACATTCCTGACATATCCATCCGTAGCCTGTCTGTTTAGGAGACTTTTTCAAAGGAGGATCCAAACAGCCAAAATGGTAGCAGAGTCTGCATTCATCACACCTGCAGGGTAAACAGATTTATAGGTAGGTGTATCTAAATAATATAAAAACCATCTACTTCATGAAAAGACAAAAAGACAAACTATTGTATATTTCAACTTCAACACTGTTAATTTTATCCTTGGCTCACAAGATCATTAAATTAATGATGATGATAAAGGCAAACTAAACCTGAAATAAATGTTTTAGCAAAAACAAAATACAACAGCAATAAAATCAACAAACAAAACAAATATTTAGAACACTGACAGTAGAAATATTAAGAGCATATGAATGAACGTATATGTATAATCATGTGTTCAAAACAACCACAACAATTTCAATTGTGAACTTAAAGAATTAATCATTTGCCCATTAAATCATTTTAAAGTATTTAATAAGATACATATATAATTCCAGGATATGAATTCAATAAAATACATTTTGATTATTTAAAAAATTTTAAAACTCAGAAATTCTACTAGGCTACACTAGGTTGCAATCAATGCTATACAATTTGGACCCGATTTCTCTCTTTCTTCAAGTTAAAGTAGATTGTAAGTGAACTTTCTAACATTTATAGCATGCTAACACAATCTACAACAAATAAAAATAACCTTTACATGTTAAAAAACAGAACATTTAAATATACAAAGAGGTAAGACACTACCCCAATAATTTAGTTTTATTCTCACAAATTACCTGTCACTTTCTTCAGACCGTTTGGTTTTACAAAGTACTTCCTAGTACATTTAAAAACTTATGTTTTGATAGTGTCTTTGCCACCTATGATGTGCAAAATCTAAGAAAACTATCATACCTATTCTTCGTTTCAGACAATCTCATCCTGCTGACAATGAAGAAAAATCTGTATTATTTCAGTGCTTTGTAAAAAGAATTTTGCATCAGTTGGAATAACAAGACCAAAATTTAACAACAAATAACAAAGAGTATACATCTTATAGAAGGGATTACATTCCTCATTTCATAGTTTAAAAAAAATTAAACAATAATACTTTCTCAACCAATCTGTCAGATTTTCTTTATTGTTTATCTTTCACTGATTTAAAACTTCAAATGTCAAGAAATCTGCAATTAAGAAACCAAGGGGAAAATTTATAGAACATATATTACTTGATTAAAGTTAAAAACTACTATTCAATAACCTTTTAGGAAAAAAGGGGGAAGAAGCTCTTCTTACATAAACAACACACAAAGAAAAACAATTGACTTTAAGAAACCATCATAATAAAAGGGACTGTAAATCTACATTTTTAGTAGAAATTTCATATTATGATACAAAAGTCCAATCTTCCAAAAACTCATTTGGGGAATCAAGAGTTCCAGAAAAGTTAAGCAACTTAATTAAGTTACTCAGATATAAAGAAGTTTAAAACACAAATGAATGTCCTAAGTTTATGCATTTCTTCCTCTACAACTTTCTCCTTATGAATAAAATAAGCTTATGTACTTTTCCAAAAACCTTGTAGATTCAAGACTTTAAAAAATGCTTACTATGACAGTTCTAGCTACAGGAATAGATAAAATCAAATAGGACCAATAGGACCAACAGTACTTTATTTACTATGACAATATCACACATCTAAAAATATATTTAAAAGCAGTTAAAATGTTCAAATACCTGTTGTTCTGGCATTAAGAAAGAATAATAAATAATATAAGCTAAGTTCAAATGTGACATAAAGAGACTGGCAAGCCCACATAATTTTATGCTCTTTCTCAGTACAACATATTTACCTTTCATTAGCCAAAATTTCGATTAAACCTATGGATATAGAAACCTTCAAAGTATAAGTATTTCTGAGTTTATGAGAAGGCTGAGATTTCTAAATAACTGAGAGCATACTCCTTCATACATAAAAACTGGAGTTTTAATCATCTTTGATGCGAAATTTAAAAATCACATTGCTCGTTTCATCAAATAAACATATTAAATATAATTTATATTTGTCATCTCAGGTCATCAGTAAGAATAACATATGCTGCTACAGGTCTAGCAGTGTGTCAGCCTTTTGTCCTTGGAATGAGGACCAGGAGTCAGCTGTTCTATTTGAATTCTTGTATTCAATTTTTGTAGATTTTCAGGGTCCTCACTTGCCTGAAAACTATCAGCCACTGCTTCCTGATATTTTCGGTGTGTTTGCTTAAGCATAAATTCCCCAACAACAATCTGTTATGGATTCAGAAACCAGACCACTAAAACTTACTGAGGCTATGTAAACTGACAGTAAAAATACATGAAAATGATAATTGCTACTGAGTTAAGTAAATGGGCTCAATTTTGTTTGTTAACTATAGTCTTTTCTCCTTAACTTTAGGTTTTTGGGTAGTGCGCCAGAGTTCAGATTGCTAATAATCAAAGTTCTTGATGAAGTATTAACATTTTCCTAGTTCACATCAATTTACTACCTAATTACTGCATATTTACTTTATAACTCTGTGTCATAATAATTTTCAAATTATGATTTCTAGTGTATAACTTGAGGCAACTATCATGATGCATGTGTATCATAATTCATTATTTATCACCTTAATGTACATAAATAATTCTTGTTGATATAGCTATGAAATTCCAGCTAATAAACCAAGAACAAGTTTGCTACACTAACACAGTTCCAATCTGTTGCTGATTTCAACTACTCGTACAATTAAATTATCTTTCAGCTCAAGAACTAATGAAAAGAGGAAGAGAAAGATTTTATATGCTAGCTTATCAGAAGATAACAAATACATGCCATTTAAAAATGACCTAATCCTTGCTGATTGATTCCTTCATTAGTGATACCTTTCAGAATTACTTAGTCGACATGTGGAACTCTCATGTATTTGTGATGCATTCCAAAGGAAAAAGAATTTGCTTGTCAGAATTAGGGGTGATAGGCAAGTTCTCTGAGGTTCTAGCTCACTCAAAAGTAAATAAAAGCTTCAGCTTCAAGACTAAGTAGCAAAAAGTAGTAGTACCCTTAGGAACTGCCAAAATCCAAAAAACAGAAGGGGAAAAAAAGAAAAGAATCCAATCTTGAAGTCAATAGTTTTGGTGATAAACAAATATACAAATATAAGATCTTTGTAAAGATGTCCCAAAATTATTTCAATGTGAAAAAAATCTGTTGTTTCTATCTTAGAATATTGAATTGAAAAAATCCATAGCTCTATGTGCTAATCACAGAAACATCTTACTGGACACAAGTGAACTCTAGCAGAACTTGCAAGAATTAATAAACTGTGGACAAATATAAGAGATACCATTAAGAACCCAAGAAATCAAAGAACAATGTGGATGGCCAAAATAGTGGCTTATTAATTTTACACACAAATACCACTTTGTAATCTTCATCAAATCCTGTCACCCAACAAACCCTGAGCTATGTTGCAAATTTAGACCATTTAAAAAAACTCGTAAGGGACTATAATCATCTGCTACCTAAAAGCTGCAATGGAGTTAAAGTAGTTATTGACCTATTTATGGTTTCTACCTTTATTTCTTACATAAACTTGGAAACACATGCAGCACATAATATAGGACAAAATTTATCAAAATAAATAGTGAATAAAATGTTTTAAAAAACTTTTTCAGAAGCAGTCATTGACCCACAAAAGTATAGGGATATAACACAATATACTTTATTAAATAACACAAATGTCTATGTAATAAAAACAGATTATTATACGAATAGCACATTATTAAATAGGAAGGCAATGTCTTAAAATATTAAAAAAGAATACAAAACTAACCTGTAAAGAAACACTAAGATTTTTTAATAAAATAAAAACTGGATGCTTAAAGAAGTATCATTTAAGCCTCTAATAAACACTGTACACATTAACACTATAGAGCATAAAGGAATCCCAATTATAAGATAAAAGCAAACCTAATTAGATTCTTACTAAATACAACTTCCTAGCTATCAGATTAATAACAGATATAGATGTAAATAACAAAGTAGCTTAATATATGGTCTTTTACCCATTAACAAAATGTAGTGACCAAATAAACACAGTCTATATGTATGTAAAATACTTACTTAGTATATGATTAAGAATAGCACCCTAAACAAAGAAGAGGGAAAAAAATGATTTACCTTCATATGTGCTATGATCCATATAACAAGCAATTAGTCAGGTGTTTACCTGACTATTGAGAATATGCAAACAAGTAAAAAGAAGCAGCTGATTTATTTCATCGAATGCCTAAGAGGCCAAAAGTCAGTATTCCAAAGGGTTTAACATCTCTAATTTCATTAGAGGAGTAAACTACAACTACTTTTTAAAACCTAACTGAAACAATTAAGTGCACCTCCTATGCAAATAATTTATAGCCATTTGTAAGCTAAACTTTAGAAAGAAGCAAAATCCATAACATAGACTTGAACAAGGATGTACATTTTTATGATCAAGTTGATTGTGATAATCACATTATCTTTTATGCCAATGGAACATTTTACTTGTAGCCCCTATAAGTTTATATAAAGCAAAACAAAAACTGGACTCTGAAAATATAGACTATTATGTCTGTCCACTTAAAAAAAACTAAATATCCAGAGAACTGATGGGTTGGATTTTCCAACTTTTTCATTTCTGTGTAAAAATTCCATCACAAGAATGTTCAAAAAAATTAGTCTTGAATACTGTCATTACTTAAATAAAAATCTCACTAGCAGCTCAAACATCTACGCAAATCTATTAACAGGTAGCGATGAGTTCTTTCATTGAATAGTGGCCAATTATTTTGATTAAACATCTTAACAGATGGAGAAAATACAAATTGTGGTCAATGAGTTAAATCACTTTACAAATAATACAAGCTTGCACAAAATTCTGCATTCTACCAATACGGAATAACATTTAGTATCAATAAGTACAATATTTTATTCCTTGTAATTTACAACAATTTTAGTGCAAATTACCTACATGAGCAGTTTCTATACAAAATAATTAGAAAATGGTTTTTAATCATTTCACAAATATAAGACTAACGTGGAGGGCTTGAACCTATTTCATTAATACCACTACAGACTTCTGTATCAGCCAATAATGAATGAATGGGTAGTAAGAAAGACAAAAATATTCTTTACACATAAAAATTAATTTTAAAAAATTAGAAAAATATCCAAATCCAAATCTGTATTTAATAGTCACTTAAAGAGTGGGATCAATTCAGTTAGCTATATCTGTGGCAGCCAGATTACAAGATTAAATGTGAAACAAGAAAATGAAAGATGAGACAAAACAATTCATATAAAAATACACAATAAGGTCAAGCAACTCTTCACAGCATGAGAGAAGAATTAGACATTTCCATACCTGAAACATGTCTGCTTTGTTCTTTAATAAACTGATTTCCATCTGCTCATGCCCTTGGAAATTTTTCAGCAGTACAACCTGCTGAGCTCAAGCTCCATGTAACTTTGTATTTCCCTGTTCATAATTAACTAATTATGCTCTAATCAATAGTGTAGATCCTGATTTTACAATGTAAATCAGATAAATGAGATAATTGCTGGGTGTCAATCTCATTTTATTTACAAAGCCCAGCATGTGCATCCAATTACATTACATCTTATGTACCTGAACAGCAGTGAATCTTATCGGCAGGCCTACAGAAAGCCTTAAAGTGAGCACTATGGGAAAGAGGCTTCCACTTTTATAGAGAAATATTTGCAAAGCATGCCTATCTTAGAAATCACAATCCTTAATTTTATGTAAACTTACAAAGTGCTGATTCAGACAGGTAGAAAAAATGATTCTGCCTTCGTATGTCAGGAAACTCCAAGTTGAGTCTCTTAAACAAGTTTCAATTGCCATTTTTAAATTTTTTTAAAAATTTAATGATGTAAATATTCTGCTCTGCTGGAGAGTCCTTCTGAATTCCTTGAATAAATTTTGGTGAAATAGTCATGAAATATTCTCATATTGAGAATCAAGTAAAATAGTGGTGAGTTTTATGAAATAAGTAACTTTGTTTAAAACCAGTGGTTTTCATTAATAGGATGTGAATACAGGGAAATAGAATGGAGTGTAAATATTTTATTATTTATTGGTCAGCAGTCTATTTTTAACATCATAAATATAAAATCAGATGAACACTTAAGCAACAACGAATGACAATGATCTATAAACAATGCATAAATATAATTTCTAAAGTTAAGATGGATAAAAGCTAAGGCTAAATTTTGTTTTCATGTTAAAACATAACCCTAATTTCAAGTCTTTTTATAACAAAAGGATGAGTGAATTGTGAACACAGGCTATGTTTATTGATTTCTTTCTGTATCTAAAATAGTGCTGTTTCCATAGTCAGTGTAAAACAAACATTTAACTAAATTTTATAAAATTAAAAAAAATTGTATGTGTTGCAGATGAAATTACTAATTCTTTTATCTAGAGGAAATCTAAGGGACCTTTTAAGGAGATGTTAAAAGCACATTCCTTTATCAATCAATGTTAAGCACAACACAACGATGTTTTAAAAAAAATACTACCTATGAATGGTTCTTAATGTGGTGTTCCAGGCCAGTAGCATCAGCATCAGCTGGGAACTTGTTAGAAATGCAAATTTTCTACTAAATCAGAAACTCCAGGGTGAAGGGGGAGGGAGTAAAGTGGGCAGAGGGCAGATCCAGGAGAGGAATAGGGTAGTCACCTGTGTTTTTACAAATCCTTCCTGTGATTCCAATGCACAACGTTTGAGAACCACTACTTGCTATTATGTCATTCTTCCTGTATTTCAGAGACATTTCATCTCCTTCCTGATATTTTCATGTTTCTTCCTTTCCCTACTGTGTGATAAACAACTATCATTTACCTGATGTGCCATTTTTTTCTTATGTAGGTCTGTGAAATATGAATCATTTAGTACATATTTTCTTAAGCACACATCAATTTTCTCCTTATAGTAGTTGGACCGATTATGGACACGGAATAATTTTATACTGTGGATATGAGAGCATTTAAGAGATTATTAGGAGAAAGTATTCTATTCTAGTTACTTCAAGTTTTCTTACTTCAACTATACTTTTTGCAGGACCTATATCTTATGAATTTTGCAGTCTATATGTATAACATGTGACAAAGATTCTTAGGACTAGCACCAAATGTGGAATAGAATATCCACCACCACTGAAAATGCAAGATGGAAAATGATGATAATATAGTATTATAATTGGAATCAAAGTGAAAAGGATTTTGATTAACAGTGATACCAAAACAAGGCCTAAGAGTTTCTCAAAAAACCTAAAATAAAGCAACTGCGAGTAATTTCTCACTAAATATTAAAAGAGGGCCATGGTCTAATGGATTAGTATATTCCACTTAGAAAATGGCAATCTGTCATTTTGCTTAAAAGCAGCCAGAGTTCAGCAACAGTAATAATTACCAACATTTCCTTAAGCTAATATAGTGACAACTAGTCCTATCTTATTCTTTTAAACAAAAGTCTACTAGTTTTGCTAAAGATTATGAATATTTTTCCTCCAATGTTATGAGATCTTTCAATAAGCTAATAATCTGTTTATATGTAATTTCATACACATTTTACTTTTATCAAACATCTCATCCAATCATAGCGTTCCTCACTGTAACTAGAGATCACTAGATTACAGCAGCTTTACAATTACAATTGCTTTTGATTATCTATAACATTACCTACTCTATTCCTAAAGTTTAAACTATTTTCCATTGTCACTATACCCGAAAAGATGTCCAAAACCACATTTATTAATCAGAAAATTCCAAATTACATGTTGACAATTTACATGTATAAGTGCAATTCAATTTCAGCAAAGAGTCTCTTCTAAATCAGTTCAAGATTGAGTGATGAAATATTCAACATACTTCTGCCGTTGACTTAAAACTGGATCATTAAAGCTTGAAGATCAAATTTTAATTCTGTATACCTCTGGAAAGATACAGATGTTGATGAAGATCTTTCTTTCAGCTGGTAGGTTGTATAGTCAATAATCTTTGTACTTCCCTCCTTATTTCCTAAGTTCATATTTAAGGTTGAGAAAAATAAAATTATACTGAACACAGAAAGCTTATATTAAAACAATAAGGACTGAATATATTTGGGTATTACTAAAAATATCTAGAGATCAACACAGATATATCTTTATTCATGAGCTTAAAATCTGAAGTAAAAATTTCATGCTAATAATATTAATGCTTTCACACTAGGACTAATAAGTCAAAAATAGAATGTCATATGCTTCACAAGTCTTTCACTTTTGCTGAATATTATAAATAGAAATAACATTTAATATGAGTCTATAGTTGTTTTACAATGCAGTACTTCATATATGAATCTATGTATGAAGTTGAAGGAAACAGAATAGCAGACTAATGGAATGCATTGTCTTTCTTGTTTGTTATTTGTATTGTTCAATCACAACAGGGAGTAGCATATTGTATTTATTAAGTCCCACAGGCTTCAGTAACTCTTCAGTAAGTCCAAACACTGTGTATCAACATTTGCCAAAGAAGCAAGAGGGAAAGACATTACTTAATACGACAATTCTGACAAGACATGTATCCAGTATTTTTCAACAATGCACACATCAAATATTTCTGATAAGTGCAAAAAAAGCAAAAAGAAGAAAAATAGGAAAAAAAATTCCACACAGGCAAATCTACTGCCTTGTTAGTCCAAGTAACAAACCAATCAATTATATTCTATCCAAACCTGACAAGCAAAAGGCAACTTTTTGCAGTGACAAGCTTATAGAAAGGACAATATAGCTGTTCTCCTTTACTTTATGTACTCTATCGAGAGTTTAATCCACATTTTTAAAATCACACTTATAAAAGAGGTTTCCGGGATTGCCTCCGAGGATGAGCTGTGGCAGAGTTGGGTCTCATGAAGGGTATCTACACAGTAAAGTGATAAGAAAAGAACATTAACATTTAAAGATCATAGCAGCTCTGCACTATGTCTTATGAAACATACTAACAAACCACAGTAGATTCAAATAACATATGATCTGGTCCAAAGAGATAGATACTCTAAACCTAAATGCCATGATCTTGTGTAGGTTCCTATTGGTTAAAATTGAACTATTTTATCATTTGAAACATTGAGTTGCCTCCTCTTGTATTATTATTATTACTTTTGGTTGTCAAAATAAACCTATCTTTCTAAAGCAAAAAAGAAAATAATATTAAAATGATGAAGGGCTTGTATTTATAAAAGGAAATATTTAATCAATAAATATTTTGAAAAATTTCAATTTGCTATTTTTTCATCAAATATGGCAATTTAACATCGCTTGAGAAAACATAAAACTGTGCTGAAAACAAGCACATCTGATCAGTGTGTTACAGTGCTGGTTATACTCAAATACAGAGACTCGGGGAAGAAATTTTCAAATGATTCTTATCCTGTGCCTAAGCTGACTTTCTTTTAAAAAGACTATATTAGAAATATGTTTGGTTACAATTATTTGTTACCTTTTTGTCTTTATTTTCAGTGGAGAAATTTTAGTGATTAGAAGTAAAATTTTTTGACTGGGGTAAACATAAAAAGTTATCATTTCCTTCAAACATTTAGATCTGTGAAGATGAGGTAAAAATGCCAAGTAGTCACACATCGCAGAAAAAGTTCACTTTTTTATATTAACAATTAAGAGATGTGTTTAATGCTTCTAGGTTCCATTGAGAAAAAGAAAGTGAAAAGTGGCACACAGACAAATAAAGCGTTACTGAGGAGAGCTATCATGCCAAACTGAATAACCTCCAAAGAAAGTAAAAACAAAACTGTAAACACCCCCACAAAAGAATACAATGTGAAACATAATTTTCAAAGACATGTTGTATTTATCAACATATAAGAAATAATAGAGGTCAATTTGCTTGTTAAATAGTAAGATCACACGTGCTAACTTTTTTCAGTGCTTCAGTCTCTAAGTGAAGAGCTTTTGAGCACATTCTGAATCTGATACTCTGAGAACTACTTTGTCTGTAGTTTACTACTGGAAAAGTATAATGCAAGAGGAAGCAACCAAATCATTTATAATAGAAATACAATTAACTCTTAATTACATGCACAAATAATAGAGATGAGAAGACAACTGAAAATATGTATTTGTATTTCACTTTGAAATGCATCCGAATATAGACACATTAGATATGGAAATCTGCTTTAACCCCCAATTAAATTCAAGTTGATAAGTTTGATAAAAACTAAAAAGCTATTGCTAATATCCCTACATCCTAAATTTCACTAAAATAAGCTAGAATAAGCAATGTGACTTCTCTTGGCTCCTATCTTCCCAGGACAAAAAACTGTGCAGTATTTTAAATCAAAGATCAAGTTTGGGCTTTGTATTTATTTCATATGCAACTAGTAAACAAATTAATGTAGAAAAAATTGTTTTCAAAGGGCTTCACTGATGCACATACCAGTAACTATCAATATATTCTGTATCTTATATAGTTAGAATTGCCTGTTAAGAGGAAGTATCTACTTTTTTTGTCCCAACAAAGTCAAATATGCTAAAGCAGTGTAGTGCGGTGAGGCAGTATGCCTAATTAGTGCATGAACTGTATGGTTAAGACTGCCTAGACTCAAATTATAATTCCACCATTTTCCAGTTGTACAATCTTGGGCAAGTAATTCTTCTCATTTTCCTCACCCATAAAATAGTAATGAAATCAGTATCTATCTCAAGCAGTTGTTATGAGGATTAAATGAGATCAAATGTGGAAGGCACTAGCACACTGACTGGCATATAAGCCCTCAATAAATCTTGGCAACTAATGTGAAGGTCAGTAGATTTTATCATACACTATGGTAGTATTTTTCTGGAAGGGAAGAAATTATATTCTAATACATAACTTAATTTACATAATATCATTTAAATATATAACTGGAATAATTTCTATTTCACACTGCTTAGTGTCTATGTACCCCAGTTACCTCTCTTCTAAAATGGAGATATATATACCTCATAGGACTGTTGTAAGAACTGAATGTGATAGTAGAGTCAAAGACCAGAAAACATAGTCTGGGATACAGTAAGCATCTAACATTATCATTACTATAATTCCCAGGCCAAAATGACTTAAAAATAACATTTTGCTGGGGAAATCAATCAAATTTCAAAATTTGTGTCCAGTCCTATTTTCAAATTCAGTTCACCTCGTTTCATTATTATGTCTATTTCAAATGTCTATTTCATATGTCCAAAGAAATATAAAATCAATACAAATGAAAACCTTGATACAGGAGTAACAGATGAAACAGAATGCTTAATTTAAAAATGAAAGAAAAATCAAAAACAATATAGTTGGCTTTTCAACTAGAAGTTGGATCATACTTGTTTTGTATGACTCCAAGTGTTTAAATTTTTAGTAAAGACATATCATCAGCTCATTTAGAGAAATTGTCAATAGTCAATTGTCAATAGTTCCTGCCAAGAGGGAGGAAGGGGCTCACAGCTCTATCCTTGACAAAGCTCATTCCCTGCTGCTTAGTAGTGATGCTAGGCAGATAAATCAAGTGTCAGATGAATGGTGAGATTACAGACTTTAGGATCTTTTTTGAAACTGTATATTTGTTTTGAAATCTCTCAGTTATAAAAGTTACATAACTTAAGAAAAAATGAAGTTAATGTCTTCATTTTAAAGATAAGACAATGATCTTAGAGGTAACTTGATTCAAGGTCATTCATCTAGTCAACAGCAGAACTGTGGTAAGAGTCTCAGTCTTTCCAAATGATTAAGTATATAACATATAATCCTTCCCTTGTATAATTTAACAATATTAACACCCTGCAATGGAGGATAAATTAAAACTGCAAAAACAAATCTTACAGAAATATAAAAGTGTAAAATGAGAACTATTTCACTGCTGTAGGTGCTTGAAATTATGTTTATTACTCTAAAATTGTGTACCCCAGAAATACCACACTTCACTATGTAATATATACCATGTTCAGGCTTCTGTTTTCTTTAAATACAAATTACCTGACTATACTGCATCTATTAAAAATGTGTTAAAAATTTTAAAATCCAAACATTTATAACATAAACAAAAAATATTTATGAATAATACAAAGACACTTAAAGGTCTGATGTTATAATACAGATTTTAAGTCAAAGAATGTGATACAATAAATACTAAATGTGTTAGACAGGTTAGCCATTCCATGTGTCTAACAAGATCAGCAAATCAACTTAATTATAGAAAAAATATACCAAGTAAACATTTTTTAATTTAAATTTCATCAGAATACCACCTTAATAAGAAAAATTCAGTGGCAGCTGGGCTACACTCATTATCCAAATATGAATATTTTTTAAATTAAACCTCTCTTCCCTGATTTTTACTAATAGAAAAGCATTTTTGAAATGAACTTTTAAAAATTATAGCACAAAATTTACTTAATTTTCTAATTCCTTCCTTAGAATCTAATCTCTTCGTGACATACAATGAAGCATCATTTTAAGTCTAAAGACATTTATCTTAAGTCACTGATCACTGCTTTTTATAAAACCTGGTCTAAGGCAAAAAGGAAACATTCTTAGTGGCAAGGATGGCCAAGTAACTTTTATGAACAAGAATACAAAGCATTTAATTTTAAATCTTACACTGTTCTGTGTGTAAGGCCTCTGTTACCCTAAATTGTTCAGTAAATGTCCAAGACAGCCTTGGAATAATGGTATTTAGAGAAAGAAGTAAAGAACAGCCGGGTGCAGTGGGGATTAAAGAAGGAAGACAACATATGCCCTGCTCTGGATATTAGTGAGGACAATGGTGCACTTTCCACAAGAACTGGAGTTCAAGTTCTGGCCATTTTATCAGGTGAGGAAACGAGCCAGAAGGTTGGGGGAAGTGAGACATAGTAGAGCTGTAGAACCCAATTATACACTAGCAATAAAAATGAGGAGAGGCAAGGCAGACAGAGAGGGATCCAAGGGAGAGATAATCAGAAGTGAGGAACAGAGAAAGGCGGCAAGAGAAAACAGCAAAGAAGCTAAGGTGAACAGAATAACATGGCAGAAAACAGAGGCTAGACACTGCGAAAGGTCTCAAGGAAGCCATAGGAATGGGAAAGGAAAAGAATGGATCAAGAAATGTTTTAATAGAAAACTGTTCCCAAAATATTCTGATATTTTCAGCTTTCAAATTATATACATGGCTAAAGTTTTTTAAATGTTTTGAACAGAATCATCAAAATGTCTGAATAGAAGTAAATACATTGAGATAGTGTAAGATTATAGGTGATTTAAAATTACTTTTTATATTTTTGTATATAAATTTTTATAATTAACAAAAGATTTTAAAAGAAAAATATTAATTTTTCTACTCACAGTCCTTTAACTTTTTAAAAAAGACTTTTTTAAAGGAATATGATAGATTTACAGAAAAATCAGGTAATATATAGCTTCAAATACACTCCCTCCTATCTACACACACACATACACACACCCCTTCCTTTAAATTTAAATGTTAAAGTCTTCATTTTCCCACCATGGGCTGTTTGACAGCTCAGAGCTAGAGAAAAGATGAAGGAGAAGATAGAATAGAGGAAGGGACAAACAAGATTTGGAAGAGTGTGCACTTTATTGATTCTTATGTAATACAATGATATTAAACAAGATGCTGAGTTAGATAAATGGGTATCAACAATGAACTTTGAGAATGTGAAGGGAAGGCAAACTTTCAGATGAGGACTGAACTAGCCTGAACTCTGCCTCTAGCATTAACTGTGGTAAGGGAAAGTATTCAAACAATAGCTGCATAACAACATGGTGGGGATACTGCTGATGAAGTTCAAAAGTCAGGTAAATTTTTGAAGAGCTCAATATCTCAAATTCCTCCTACCCTTGAATCCTAATTCACCAAGAAATTAAATTGTGATTTCAAATGATAAAGGCCTACTACTACGCCTAATGGTGATCCCTAGTCATAATTTAGAAAACTGAGGAGACTCTGATATCAATACCTATGATAGATTAGTCACCTTAAATCTATCAACATTAGCTTTTATTGATAAAATATTATCTATTTTAGGTGTCATAATAATTCTCCATTGTGGCAATATGAATAAAATACGTTAAAAAGTTCTAGTCCTGGCTGGGCACGGTGGCTCGCGCCTGTAATCCCAGCACTTCGGGAGGCTGAGGCAGGCGGATCACCTGAGATCGGGAGTTCGAGACCAGCCGGACCAACATGGTGAAACCCCATCTCTACTACAAATATAAAATTAGCCGGGCATGGTGGTGCATGCCTGTAATCCCAGCTACTTGGGAGGCTGAGGCACGAGAATCACCTGAACCTGGGAGGCAGAGGTTGCAGTGAGCCGAGATCGTGCCATTGCACTCCAGCCGGGGCAACAAGAGCAAAACTCCGTCTCAAAAAAAAAAAAAAAAAAAAAAAGTTCTAGTCTACTATTGTTGGGGCAAAATACTATCAATGAAGTAAACAGGTACTAAGATTAAATGTACTGAATTGGCTGAAATCATTTGAAGATGAGTTTTTTTTTCCAGTATATAGTGATAAGTCAAAATTCCAGAAAAACACCAACAGAAATTGGTAAACTCAAGAAACAACTTTACTTCCTATGTAGTTCCTTATTAATCACCATGACTGTCCTGTGGGAAGATTATCTTGAGTTCTTTTTGAATGGCTATAAAAACTCGATATATCCAAACAGTTCTTAAAGGTCTACTTTTCAAATCTGCTTTATCTTTTTCTTTTTCTTTTCACATCTGCTTTATAATTGGCAACAACCAAATAGAGCTTTTAATAGTGTTAAAAGGCTGCTGGGTTCTGTCCCAGGTTAAAGCAACATACGATATGAAATACCCGTAAATGAACTGGAAAATGGCATCCAGTTCCCTTTCTCCTGTAAGTGGAACTGTCAGGTCTGTATTAGCATTCAAAAACTTTACGATAAGAACATCCTAAAGTAAAAATATATTTGATGCTAGTTACTGATGAGGAATAATTGTGGAGGATGATCTTCTTTACAAAATTCCCTTTCTCCTATAAGTGAAATTGTCAGGTCTGTATGAGCATTCAAAAACTTTAGGATAAGAATATCCTACTGTGAAAATTTTTTTGATGATAGTTACTGATAAAGAGTAATTATGCAGGATGATCTTCTTTACAAAATACATGGATGGCCCTAAATGGTTTTAATCCCACTTGAAGTTTACATGCAAATATCCATGCATGCATATACTCAGACACCGAAAAAGAATAAAAGAACCAAAATGAACTTTGCATGACTGGGAAAACCATGTGATTAAGGAAGACCTCTTTATTCCTTATTTAAAATAAACCTTTAAAAGTTAGCATTCTGACAAAGACACAAATCTCTTGGGATTCTCAGTGGACTAAACCTCACAGCACCTTGAAATAGAATTACTAGTTATGAATTCAGAGTATAGCCCCAAAGCTGACCTTCTATATACAGGTAGAGATATATCCCCTGACTAGAGAACAACTAGAAAAAGATCAGTCTCCAATTTCAATGGTGATGAGAGTAGGGTAAAAAAAAAAATCTACAGAATCCAGTTGAGGTTTTATCTCATACTCTAGCTGAGATGTCCGTGATGATGCTTGATACTTACATCATGCAGGGATTATCATTTTGTAGGTGATTATAGGAGCTTCTCATTTGAAACACAGAAAATAGAAAATTATTTGACTTTTTTTCACTTCTCCCAATTTAGTAGATAATGAATACAATTTAAAATCCACTGAAAAAACATTTATTCTCTACATTTAATGGATGCCTGAGAGTATTAAGAATTGATTCTCCCAGGAAACCCAGGTTGAGAAAACCTGATCTTATTTCCATTTACTTCTAGGGATACAGGATTAAACGAAATGCCCTTGACTCTCAAAAAAATTGGGAAATAGTTCAGCAAAAAGTTCACAGAGGAAATTGAGTTAATTACAGAATAAAGACCCATCATATCCTCAGAGCAAATTATTTTTTGAGAAGCAGCACAGCCTCATGCTTAAAAGTACAGATTCTGGAGAAGTAGTTCCTGGACTAAAATCCCAGCTCTGTCAGTATCAGCCTGACACCTTGAGAAAATGACTTAATCTCCACTTGCCTCAGTTTTCTCACTTATAAATGTAAATAAAAACAGTAACCACCTTATAGAGTTTAAGGATTAAATAAGTGTATAAAATAATTAAAATAATGCTTGGCATATGGTTGTGGTAAGTGCTTACTTACCTTCACTATGAGTTCAACTCAACCACTCTTACTATCACTACAATTTGTTCTAGTTTATTACTACTGCTATTACTATAAAGCTGAAGGTAGTGATTACTGGCAGTTGACTTGTGTTCCCTCAGGCTCAGTAAAGTTTCTGAAGTTTCTTTGAACTGCCTCTGGCTAGAATGGAAAAACAATAACAACAACAACAACTGGAAATAACACTCCTTCTATCCTAGCAAGAAAAAAAAAGATAAACTACAAAATTATAACTTTTCAAGCCATGAGAGAGCTGATGTCAGAGGGCAACCAAGTGGCCTGAAATACAAGAAAGATAGACCCCATAAAAGAAGGATGGGATCCAAGCTCTGGATCACCTGTGGCAGAGCATGAGAGGAAGAGCTGCTCAACACTACATGAGTAAGAATTCAGTTATAAATTTTAAAGGTTTGCTAAAGGTGAAATGTTGGCTAATATCAGAGTACAGAAGCCTTGGGAGCCACAGCCCCAGGGACGGTTACCTTCATTCACAAACTTTTTTCCAGGAACCCTGTGGTAGGCTGAATAACAATACAAAAGAGTCCATGTTCTAATGCCCTGAATCTGTGAATATGTTATCTTGTATGGTAAAAGGGATTTTGCAAATATGATTAAGAATTTTGAGAAGAGGGGCCTGATATAATCACAGGAAAGAGCTCTTGTAAGAGAGAAGTAGGAGGAGTCAGAATCAGAGAGATAAATAGATGTGACTATAGCTGCAAGAAGTTGGGGGTCATGAACCAAGGAGTGCAGAACAACTCTAGTGCTAGAAAAGGCAAGAAAATGGGTTCTACCCCCAAACACTCTAGAAGAAACCAGCCTTGCTGAACACCTTGACCAAATGAAACTGGTTTTGGACTTATGTCTTCCAAAATTATGAAAAAATTTTATATTGTTTTAAGCTACCAAATTTGTAGTAATTTGTTCTAACAGCCAGAGAAAACTAACAGACACCTCCACCAGGTACTCAAGAAAAAGATTCAGACAATTTGGGCCATTAGAAAGACCATTCACTGGTTGGCAGTGTAGACCTGGAGAAGGGGAGCGGCCACCACAGTGGGAAAGACCCAAAGTCTCACCCAGACCCTTCTCCTTTAAGGAATGAAAGCCATAATGTCATTAAAAGAAAGGCTGTAAACCCTGCTGCCACACAGGGAACAGAGTAATCTCACTGTGAAGAGAAAAAAACATAAGAGGAAAAAAAAATCCTCTACTCCTACAGGAGTGACAGGAAACATTTCTGGGCCCAGTATACTACCCTTGTACTTTTAAAGGTCTCCTACCCCTGAGAGTCAGAAGGAAACTCCCTCACAAGATGTGCCAAAGACACAAGCCAGAATAAAGCTGCCATAGGAAAAAGGGCAGAGAACAATGAAAAAGGCCTACACTCAAGAACCAAGCTTGTGATTCTTTGGAGGCTGAAGGCTGAGTTTGAATGAGGAAAATTAAGAACTCCTTTGGCTAATACCACCAGACCAGCAAGCACTGAGTAATATGTGACAGTCTACTGCTAAGTAAGAGGAAAGACAGTGCAATGGGGCTTCTTCAGTAGCACAGGCATACAGAGAAAGGTGAAATTTAACAGGGGAGTACAAATGACGAAAAGCACTCTGGCATTACAACCTCAACCAGAAACACAGGAAATAGTAAAGAAATCCAAAGAAATCTGAAGCCTTGTGGTACACTGAGGTAAGCAGAGCAACAAGAAAATATAAGCCCAGCTCAACTCCAGATTAAACTGACTCAACTCCCCCATACTAACAGCCTTGAAAAAGAACAGGTGTGCCCTTTTCAGGCGTAAGTATTCTACTGTTCAACTCATGATGTCCAACATTCAATCAAAAGTTATGAGGCACATAAAATGAAAAAGAAAATCCACTGTCAAGAAACAAAGCAATCAGCAGAACAAACTCTGGGATGACGGAGATATTAAAGATGCAATTAAACCAGAAATCATTAGCAGAAATATATATGGAAAATCCTCCGAATATTTGGAAATAAAATACACTTCTAAATAACCCATGAGTTAAAGAGAAAGTCCTAAGGGAAATTAGAAGTTTAGAATCTAAAGCCTGAAAGCTAGTTTTGCTTGGCAGGACTGTATCACACTTTCTGACTATAGTGAAAACAGATCACTGTCTCAGGGAGACAACAGACAAAGTGCTATTTCAGAGCAATCTAGAACGTTGCCATGCCAATCTGATTCAAGGGTCACTATTAGGGGGAAAAAAACACCCTTTAACTGGTGTGTTACTTTACAAAAAGAGCTTTTAATAATTCTGAGTTTATCAGCACCTGGCTTCAACATTTTATAATACCATTTTGGCCAAGACAACTGTATCTCCTCCCTAAAAGCCCTAAGAGTCAATGATCAGGTTCAGCGAGTAAAGAATGGAGCTCTTGGTCTCATGACATCCTCACATTAGAACAAAAAAAAAAGAGACTTCAAAAAGGCAATTCACTGGGTTTAGATGAGTGATATGTGGGCATATGCAAAAAAGGCATATGCCCTTAAACTCTTAAACTTCTTAAACTTAAACTCTGAGGTACTATTGCTAAATTGTTCACCTACTGATTGGAATCTTCAAGAGTGAGATCCAGGCCTGTTTTTGCTTATTTTTCTGTAATTCCTTCTATAGGTGATATTTTTGTATCTCTAGCCAATTGAGAACCACTATCTTAGGACTTTAGCATAAGGGCTTTATGCATAAGGCAGTGATTGCCATAGTTTAGTCTCCAGACCAGTAATATCTGTATCACTTGGGAACCTGTTAGAAATACAAATTCTTGGTCACCACTTCAGAATTTTAAAACAGAAACCCTTTTAACAAGCCTTTCAGGTGCTTCAAATGCACCCTAATGTTTAAGGACCACTGTCTTAAAGTAGAGCAAATTTAGCTGGGATGAAGGTAACCACAAAGAAAAAGGAATAGAAGCAAATACAAAACAGATAAAGGGGGTAAAAGACAAATTACAAATATTCCACAACTTTAAAGTCAATCAGCTGACATACAACTAAGCAGAGATAAGTATTATTTATACACAGAGGTATTTCAGTCAGCAAAACAAAGCTTAAAAATGGCAGAGTATTAAAATCTCATCTTGAGGCTCTGCTACATGGTAATTAAATTTCTCTGGAGTTAGCCTGTGACTCAACTAAACCAAGGACACCTACCTAATTCTTTCAGGTGTTCCATTCTTACAGAGCATGATTTCCTGCTGTACCTTCAATATCCACTGAAAGACGCAGTCATTTACTTAAAGCAAAGGTCGGAAAATTAGAATTGAATACTTAAGGGGTAAAGAATAAGTGTTTAACAGTTATCAAATTTATTTCCAGAGTTCTAATCCTCTTTATATTCACTTTTATTTTATTTTTGAGAAAGGGTCTCGCTCCGTCACCCAGGCTGGAGTGCAGTGGCATGATCTCAGCTCACTGCAACCTCTGCCTCCCGGGTTCAGGTGATTCTTCCACCTCAGCCTCCGGAGTAGCTGGAACTACAGGCATGCACCACCACCACACTCGGCTAATTCTTGTATTTTTAGTAGAGACGGGTTTCACCATTTTGCCCAGGCTGGTCTTGAACTCCTGGGCTCAACTGATCTGCCTACCTTGGCCGCCCAAAGTGCTGGGGTTACAGGCGTGAGCAACGGCAAGCAGCTCCTCTTTATATTTATAATCCCATAATTTTAAATGCTTTCTGAAAATGTCTAATTCAGTAGACCTTTAAAAAAAACCCTCTATTCACCTATTATATTTTTCTCCAAAAAATAAATATAGCCAACTCATCTTTTTTCTGTTTCTACTCTCACCATTCTCTCCCATTATTCAGCTTAAAGTCATCCAGTTTGCTTTAAACGCTTCCCTTTCTTCCTTGCCTTTCCATTTTTCATTAATTATCTGCTACAACCCTAGTATGATGTTATGTTTCCGAGATCTTTCTAATCCTTTGCATTTCTACTTCCATCAGTCTAGGTTCACAGCCCTCAAACTGGTCTTCCTCCAGCTGCCCATGTGTTCATCAGGTATGTCACCACAATATCAACCTTTTACAATCCTCTCCTTTGTATCATCCCTTGTCTTCAATAAATCTCCATTGGACCCCTTAACATCATTAGCTTGCACTCAAGGCCCCAATCTACCTATTCTCTTAAACCTACATCACACATGACTCATATGGTCCCACTTTGTCTTTATTTGTGTCTGTTTATTCCCTTGAATGACTGCTACCTCCTGACCCAATCTCCTAAAACCTACTCATACTTCAAGATTCAATTCACCTGTCACCTTGGTTTATATGAAGACTTCTTTATCCTTTTAGGAATGATCCCATTATCCTATGAATTCTTCTGTCTCTTATAAACCCTCTACATAAAAATCTAATGTATAAATAAGTGAATGCCTTTCAGTATCTTTAATATGAAATAAATTCAAAAGTAAATCTGGTGAGAAGAAACAAACACAGGAATCTTATTTTTAAAGGGAAAAACAAGATTCCACAATTTCTTTACAGTTACAAGCTTTGGAAAAAGTCAAATCTTCAGTCAACGTGCTCAATGCTCTACATGAAACTCAACTTTCTTTTAAAAAAAGATCTACATTTACAGACCATGTCACAACAAGGTCCTTGATATAATCAGGCAATTTTGCAGTTCTTTAATAATTGACATAAATGAGTAACCTGAAAAGGAAAATATGGGTCTGGAAGATTTCAGTCACTTATAAGGAAAGTTATTGACTGATATAATTTCACTTGCTTGTGACTGAATCCCATTGATTTAGTCCTTTGTAGGCCTGTCTTCCTTGTGTAGCTATCTTTGTCAACCTGATTCACTGGGCAATTACAGGGAGTGCCTACCAGTTTCATTCAAAGCAGAACTTCTCCTCCTCTTGCTACGATTCATAGAGAATATACTTAAAGAATTACTTTCATGTACTTTGACCAATCACTTCTCACAGAGCTCAACTGGTTGCCTATTTATGAATTAAATCACACTTGAGGCTTCATGCATAATCTTAAGTATAAAAA
Organism: Homo sapiens; assembly: GCF_000001405.40. Classification (NCBI taxonomy): domain Eukaryota; kingdom Metazoa; phylum Chordata; class Mammalia; order Primates; family Hominidae; genus Homo; species Homo sapiens. The sequence continues at coordinate 11,090,106 of NC_000007.14, read as the reverse complement.
AATGACACACGTACACACATAAAGAAGGCATGAACAGGCCAAGTGAGGTGGCTCACGCCTGTAATCCCAGCACTTTGGGAGGCTAAGGCGGGCGAATCACCTGAGGTCAGGAGTTCGAGACCAGCCTGACCAACATGGAGAAACCCCGTCTTTACTAAAAATACAAAATTAGCCGGTCGTGACGGCACATGCCTGTAATCCCAGTTTACTCGGGAGGCTGAGGCAGGAGAATCGCTTGAAGCCAGGAGGTGGAGTTTGTGGTGAGCCAAGATCACGCCAATGCACTCCAGCCTGGGCAACAAGAGTGAAACTCCGTCTCAAAAAAAAAAAAAAAAAAAAAAAAAAGAATGCATGAACAATTCTACACTAAAGTCACATCATAAAGTCACACTTTTAATAGTATATTCATGAGGCAATAATCAACCATTCTAACTTTCTCCTCTTCTACTCATAATACTTTGCTCAAACTTGCCTGAGTATTTGAAGAATATAGACATATGTTAAGTATCTCATTAAAAAATATTTCCAGAGTTCTGAATTTTACTTATTACACCTTTTTTGTCCTTTTTTTCCTTTTTGTGGAGAATGGAGTCTCACTTTATTGCCCAGGCAGGTCTTGAACTCCTGGGCTCAAGCCATCCTCCCACCTCTGCCTCCCTAGGTGCTGGGATTACAGGTATGAGCCACCATGCCCAGCTGAATTTCACCTTTTAGAGAAACCACGGTGTGTTCAAATACGATCCAAGCTTTAAAAGATATACATATATAAAAGTCAATGAATTGTTTGTGCCTCAATGAACATATCCTTACACCTTATTTAGTATACTGCATAACTAACTGAAATTACATACGCAAACAGCTGATAACTTTAATGTTGTTTTGAGGAAGAGATTTGATGTTTATTTCATTTGAATATGAGTTGCCCTACTCAATGGTTGCTCCTGATAAAAGGTTTGTCTTAGGTTTTTATTTGCTGCGGTTAACTGATCAGGGCTACGGTTTTTTTTTTTTATATCTAATTAATCTTTGTGTCTGTCTGTGCTCAAAATGAGGCTCTACTTAAATGTTACATTCATGAGATTAATGTCCTTAAAATGGTGTTGAAGATTTTACTTTACTCAGACTCCTACCATTCTAAAATAATACCATGCTCATTTTTTGTTCCCTTCTAATCTTTAGCCACTTATATGTAACAATTTAGTAGCATATACTTATGACATAAAACAGGTTTCCTCATTCCTATGTAAATATCTTATAATCTATAAATCTATAGGAGATACATAATTTTTTAATACTGATTTGTTATAGTTTATCACTCCCCTCCTATACAGTGTTTTCAGTTGTTTTAATTTGGGGAGTTATATATTTACGGTGGGAATAATTTTCCTACTATAACTATAGCTATAAATGTCTTTTTATATTAGCATTTCTTTCTTTGACTATTTCCTTATGATAAATTCCCAGGAGGGTTATTATGATTAAAAAAAATTTCATGACTAACAAAACCAAAACAGTAAGAAAATGAAATTCTTCATTAAAATGAAAAAGCAGGATTACAAATGAAATACATTTATAAAAGACATTTAAAAATGGATGAAAACAAAAATACTCTGTTATTTTCATTAGTTATTAATGCATAAAAATTTGACAATTTCTCATGTTGGGAAATAGGACTGTGTGTGTGTGTGCGTGTGTGTGTGTGTTTGTGTGTATGTGAACAACACACATTACCTTCTGAAGTTAATACAGTCTGCCCTCCATATCTGCAGGTTCTGCATCAATGGATTCAACCAACCATGGATGGAAAATATTTGGGAAAAATAAACCCAATAAAAAATAGCAATACAACAATAAAAAAAATATGGTATAACAACTATTTACATAGCATTTACATTGTATTAGGTATTATAATAAGTATCTAGAGATAACTGAAAGCATACAGGAACATATGCATAGGTTATATGCAAACATGATGGCATTTTACATAAGGGACTTGAGCATCTTCAGATTTTGATATCCGAGAGCGGTCCTGGAATCAATGCCCCACGGATATGGAGGGATGACTGTAATAATGATAACTCTGCAAAGTTATATTTTATACTGAATTAAACAAAGTGGACTATTCTATAAATTAGAACTTATAAAATTATGTTTTATAAATAATTGCCCTGGGTAACTTTTAATTGTTATGTTAGTTTCAAGTTATACACTTTAAAAATCTTTTTGCCCCCATTCGACTTCTTAAAATAATCCTAATGTTCCTAAATTATTTATTTCTTATTGCATATTTCAAAATGTTTATCCAATGCCAGAAAAGAGTGACAGAGTCTCATACATGTGTCCATATGTATCACACACACACCACACACACAGATGAAGCATGGGCCAAATGAAAACACACAGAGATTATTAAGTGAGAAGACCACTGGGAGTCAAATATAGTTGTGGTTATAATCCACAATATAATTAGCAATAGTCAGTAAAAGGAATAATTGCGTGAGTAAAGATTCCTTAGAAGTCAATCATTGGAGCAAAGCCAAAGATTATGGCCCAATATCATAGTACCTATATCTAAAACAACAACAAAAAAACCAGGTCAAGAAAGAAGAACAGTGCTGGCCAGGCGCAGTGGCTCATGCCTGTAACCCCAGCACTTTGGGAGGCCGAGGCAGGTGGATCACAAGGTCAGGAGTTCGAGACCAGTATGGCCAACATGGTGATACCCCGTCTCTACTAAAAATATAAAAATTAGCTGGGCATGGTGGTGTGCGCCTGTAGTCCCAGCTACTCGGGAGGCTGGGGCAGAAAAATCGCTTGAACCCAGGAGGCAGAGGTTGCAGTGAGCCAAGATCGTGCCATTGCACTCCAGCCTGGATGACAGAGCGAGACTCCATCTTAACAAAAAAAAAGAAAGAAGGGCAGTGCTTTCTATTACCATAAAATCACTCCAGGAAGCTAAATTAGGAGTTCTCAATTTGTTAACAAATTTCTTTCAGAATAGAATGAAAAGGGAACCCAGGGACTTTACAAACAAAGTATACCCTTATTTATTTTATGCTACCCAAAACTGGATTAAGATGTAGTGAGATCTAATTTAACTGACTTGATATTACCCCACGTAAAAATTAGCAAAAACTAATAGTACATACATATTTTTAGATTAAAGATAACGCAGAGATTTCAGTGAAATAGGTACTATCCATAGAAACCCAAGAGGACTAAGAGTAATAAAACTCAAGTAAGAATTTAATAGGTATCATACACATAGAACAATAAAAGCCATGAAAACAATGAATTAAATTACTATACAAATTATATTCAAATGATGACAAAAACTACCATTCCAATCTAACCAAAATTTCAATGTTTTGTATATAAAAATAACATAACTAAGCCAAGATCCCATTAATATCTGACAATTATAACTTTTAAAATATTAAATAAGTACCACTAATTAAAATCCACAGATTGTTTTTTCAATTTGGTTATGTACTGGGGGCATACTATGTGATAAGCATTGGCTTCGGACCTGGAATATTAAAATTAATTTAATTATTAAAAAATGGTGCTTATACACTAAGAATCATACACTGACCAAGACATATGGACTAAGTATAAGTGATTGAGAAGCCCTCATCCCAGAGAAAAAGACGAGGTTATTTCAGAGAGAAGGTATAACATAAAGTATAATAAAAGCAAGATGGCATAAAAGCAACAGGTTAGTTTTAGAAAGAAAAAATGACCTGCGATGATCTAAATTTAGGTCACCTGGAGCTGTGAACAGCTGGAAATGAAAACAAAAAGACAGACTGAGGCTGGGTTTGGAGGGCCTTATAAGCCATGCTATACAGTCTAGATTTACCTTGCAAGAAATGGGAAGCCTCTGGACAAATTTGAGTACAATAGTAACAAATTCATGTTTTAGTAAGACAACTGGATACAGACTAGAGGTACTCAAACTAGAGAAGGTGATGGTTATTGCAACGGTCCAGGAGAGAGTTGATGAAGGAGAATAAGCACTACATATTTTTATTCATTTAATCCTCACAGCAATTCTAGAGGTAAAAAAGATTATTATCCTCGGTTTACAGATGAGGAAACTAAAGCACAAAGATTATGTAACTAGACAAGTTACAACTAATAAATGCTGGGTGAAAATCTGAACCCAAATAACTAGGCTCCAGAATTCAAGCATTTAACCACAGTTTTTTTTTTAAACTATTATGTTTTGCTACTGATAAAAACTAGGGTTAAAAAAAACTGTACTTATCAGTAGCAAATCCCAGGACTTTGGGAGGCCAAGGTGGAAGGACTGAACCTAGGAGTTGAAGACTAGCCTGGACAATATAGTGAGACCCTGTCTCTTAAAAAAACACAAAAATTAGCCAGGCACACACCTGCAGTTCCCGCACTCCAGCCTGGGTAACACAGTGAGACACTGTCTCAAAAAAAAGGAAAAAAACAAAACCAAGAAAAGATAGTGTTTTAAGGAGGAAGGTTGGTCACCAATGTTAAATGTTGAAACGAGGCCAAATAGGATGAGTATTTAGAAAATTAAAAAACGATTAAATTTAGCAATTCATTGTTCACCACTGACATCTACAATAGAAACAATAATTTTTGCCTTTAGAATTAATCACCAAACATGTATCCAACACCATTAAGATCCAATACATTACACAAAAGGTTACATCAATGATAGCTTCAACATGTTTTAAAATCAGCAGTCCTGATATTCAAAAATTAACAAAATAGAGCCTCTGAAAACTAATAAATTGTTTTAAATCAACAGAAGAATATGACATTCTGGTAAAGCAAAACAGTATTTTTATATTAAGCTAATGTCGCAATGTGTAATTAAAAAATTATTTATAGATGACACAGTATCTCAGTAAATCTTTAAAACATGTCAAGCAAAACTGTACATAGATCATCTAAAGGGCAAAGACAGATAATTTGCATTTCCTGCCTAAATAATATATATCTGTTGTCTATTTCATAACATACCAAATTAGGTTTTAGTTTTTCAGACATAAATATCACAACACAAAAAAATGTAAATTTCAATTCAGCAAAACATACCATTAGCAATAAAGCAAAAACAAACAAAAAACCCAACAACCTTAAAGAAAATATTTGCAACTTATACAAAGATATGTAATAAACTCATTTTTAAAAAAGAAAAAAAAATCTCCAAAGATAAAGCGGCAAAGGATATGGAAAGGCAATTCACAGATATGAAAATCCAAATGGTTCATCAATATATGAGTGAATAAACATTGAAACTGATTGTTACAAAATACAATCAAAATGCCAATTTTCATCCATCAAATTGACAAAAATCTCTGCTATGACATCATTACACATTCATGTCCAGTGGGTAACAAGATAATATTATCCATTAACATGTAAAATATGCATATAATTTTGGCCTAGCACACTTACTTTGGGATAGAAATTAAACAGGAAAAAATAAATTTTCAATAGGGAAATATTACAGTAAATTATGATACATCCAAATTATATTTTGTAGCTACTTAAAAACTGGCTTAGTTCTATATTTACTGAGAAAAAGTCCATTATGCATTGTGAAGTTAAAAAAAAAAAAAAACACAAGAGTAAACCCTATAATAGCTAGAATGGGAATGAAAAGAGGAGGCCACCAGTAGGCCCTGAATATTTTGTTTGTACTTAGAGGAAAGAAGTATGGATGATGATATACTAATTCTGTGCCCTCAAAGGGACAGGTTTAGAGGATGTAAGAAGAAAATAACACTTGGTCCTTTAAAAATAAATCCAATAAAGTAATACTTATGTTCTAATTGCTATTATCTTCAAAATAAATGGCTATCTGTGTATGCTGAAACATTTGCTTTTCTAACATTTTTTCAGATTGTGTGTGTGTACATATTTTGAAGTTTAAGTTCTGTAATTATTTTTACTCTATTTTAAACAAATAGTAATGGTTGTAAATACTTTGAAGTTTAAGTTCTGTAATTATTTTTACTACATTTTAAACAGATAGTAATGCTTGTAAAAATAGTGTCTTTAACGTATCTTCTCATATCCTTATGTAATGTTATACTCCAATAAAAACAACCACAAATTGTGCTGTTTCAGATAAAGTTCTCCATAAACTTTGCTTGAATCTACCTATTGCCCCAGACGGGCATCCCATCTTCTCCTCTGGAATGCTTTCCTCCATTATTTATTTTCTCCTAGCTTAAATCTAGCCAATTTTTGTACAGCCCCACTGGTTTTACTGGCAACCGCTCATTTTTACAATTATCTTACTAAGTGATTCTATCCCAAATAAGAATTCTCATTAGGTAAAATTAGGGAAAGCAGGCCAGGTGTGGTGACTCACACCTGTACTCCTAGCACTTTGGGAGGCCAAGGGGGTGGGTCACGAGGTCAGGAGTTTGAGACCAGCCTGGCCAAGATGGTGAAACCCTGTCTCTACTAAAAATACAAAGAAGTTAGCCGGGCGTAGTGGCGGGCACCTGTAATCCCAGCTACTCGGGAGGCTGAGGCAGGAGAACTGCTTGAACCTGGGAGGCGGAGTTTCCAGTGAGCCGAGACTGCACTGCAGCCTGGGCGACAGAGCAAGGGCTCTGTATCAAAAAAAAAAAAAAAAAAAAATAGGGAAAGCAGAATATTTCTATGTGGCAACTTCCTGTGGCTTTCCAGTCACGATGATACGGGGTGGGAGTGCGGGGAGAAAGAGAGACGGTGTGCACACACCTAGAAGGTAAAGCACAATATAAGTGAGGAATAAGACTCCAAACTATAATTCCAGAATGTCAGAAATAAAGCTTGGAGTCTTAAGGAAAACAAACACTCAGACAAAGGATTTCTCAGCAAAGCAAATTTACTTCTGCACAGAGGGGTGCTTCTCTTTGGCCAGTCACCAAAAGGAGAGTTAAAGTTTTTATCCCTGACGCAAATCCTGCCCCTGTGCCCTTTCCCCATTGGCTGGGGTTGGACTGCACAATCTAAGCTAGACCCGATTCTCTGAACATTTGAACTTTTTCTTAGATAAGGTGTGCACATAAGGGAGAGAGGGGAGAGGGGGTAGAAGTCATCTGTGATAAGCTAGAGAGCTAGTTTTCTTCCCAAATAAGGAAAGGAATGTGAGCTGGTACTGATAAGCCATTGGTGCTGTGGCATGCCTGGGCATGTAGTAAAGGCAGAAAGAAAGAAAAAGAGAAGAAAAGGGAAGGGGAGGGGTACTGTGGATTAAAGAATAAAGGATTAATAGGCTATTTGAAGAGAAATCTTGTCATATCCCACACAGAAGAAAAAAATGAAACCAAAATTCTACTGAGTGTGAAGGCTGAGACTAAAGAGAGGCTCCTGACATAGCTGAGTGGAAGTACTATGTGTGATAAAGAAGGAAATGGAGAAATATCTATTTGGTCAGGATAAACTGAGTATGTTTAGTTATCCCCAACTCTTTATCTTCTAGTAATTGTGATATAAGGAAGACTGGGAAGTACAAGTCAACAATTCATTGTCATTAAATCAGAAAGGCACTGAATGCTGAATTTATAAATCAGAAAGCATAAATGATTGAATAACAAGGGAAAATTAAGCTTATCTGCAAATAATGCAAAATAGACATTGAAAATGTGAGGGAAGAAAATTTATAAATTTGTTATGCTAATTTAGGATAGACAAACAAAAAGAGAATTGACTTTGTTTCATGCCTTTCCATAATGGTTTTATTAAATTGATGTTTTTGTTTGCTTTGTTTTTTGAGACAGGGTCTTGCTCTGTTGCCCAGGCTGGAGTACAGTGACGTGATCATGGCTCACTGCAGCCTCAATATGTCCCAAGCTCAATCAATCCTCCCACCTCAGCCTCCTAAGTAGCTGGGACTATAGGCACGTGTCACTATGCCCAGCTGATTTTTTAAAAATTTTATTAGAGACAAGGTCTCGATACATTGCCTAGGCTACTCTTTAACTCTTGAGCTCAAGCAATCCTCCCACCTCGGCCTCCCAAAGTGCTGGGATTACAAGCGTGAGCCACTGCACTCAAATTGATTTTCTAAGGCAGTCAAGAGATATCTAATATCCAGAGTCTTCTGTTAGAATTCTACGTACACTATTAGCTTTTAAAAACCAGTTTTCTGGTATAAAAGTAAGATACTTTCACTATCAAAAACCTATGAAGATAGAGAAAAGCTTTAAAATGAAATAAAAATATTTATAAAAAATTAAGATCATAAATCTCTTTTTTTTTTTTTGAGACGGAGTCTCATTCTGTCGCCCAGGCTGGAGTGTGGTGGCGCGATCTCAGCTCACTGCAACCTCTGCCTCCGGGGCTCAAGTGATTCTCCTGCCTCAGCCTCCCAAGTAGCTGGGACTACAGGCACGTGCCACCACACCCCGCTAATTTTTTGTATTTTTACTAGAGACAGGGTTTCATCCTGTTAGCCGGGATGGTCTCGATCTCCTGACTTCATGATCCGCCCACCTCGGCCTCCCAAAGTGCTGGGATTACAGTTGTGGGTCACCACGATAAATCTTAAACAAATATGGGACGATTCTAACTTAAACTTAAATGTTTTCCCACACAGGAAATACTCTTTTTAAAAAATGGCTGAATAAGGGGTCAAATAAGAGGATGAAAATTTACGGTATATTATTAATTTATTTAACCACTCTTGTAATACCAGGCATTTGTGTTGGTTCCAAATATTTTTCACTATTATAATGAGCACCATAAAGAATATTCTTATATAAAAATTGAGCTAATTTCAGAATATTCCTCTGGAAAGAGTCCTCCAAGTGCTGTTACTTTACAAATAGTATTGTCATGCTTAATGCCTTTGATTCACATTGCTAAATTATTCCCCAGAAAAGTTTTACTACTTTGATTTTCTACTACCAGGGTAAAAGGGATTTTAACTTTCTCTGTGCTTATCTCGTTTTCCAAACTAGAATGACACATTTCTTGCAAGTACTTCTTTTATAGTTTCATACATATATTTATATACACACACTCACATATATATACATATAAATACACACACACATATATACATATATATTTAATTTCAATAGCTTTTGTGGTATAAATGGCTTTTGGTTACATAAATGAATTGTATAATGGTGAAGTCTTTGATTTTAGTCTATCACCTTAGGCCAAATCACCAGCAACACTCTAGGAATGACAACAGTGTCTTAGACATTATCTTCATTACTGTTGTAGCGCAATTAACACATGGATTAGTAATATTAACTAGCTGTTTCTGCTATATTCAAAATTCAAGACTTTGTGCTTGATGGCCCTCTAATGCATTTGCTCATTAGGGCATGCTTTAATCACATCACTAACAAAGTCCTTCAGTCATTTTTGGTTGAAACCATTAGGATATATATCCGCACTGCAGAATGTCCTGAATAGTACTTTTGATCTAGAAAAGAGTTGTTTGCAAAAAATTAAATAAGATAAAATGAAGACAAAGAATTGCTGACTAAATGTAAACCCTTCTATTTTGAGACATCAGGGAGAAAAACCAGCAGAGTTAATGTTTATTTAAAAACTGAATCTAATCTATACCTGCAGAGTTCCATAAAGAGCAATAAAATCTACTGAAAAAGTTATTTAGTTGAGTGAAAAGGAACTACTGATGCCATACTGACTGAGAAACTTCAACCCAATTTCCATTCCCTTAATTGAAATTGCAACTTTTATGAAAAATTCTATAATTCTGAGGGGGGAAAAAAACACCAAGTAGTGTTTAGTCAATCACTACCCAATACATTTTTTAAAGTGAGATGTTAACAAGTATGCACGTGTAATATAAGTTATCAAGTTTTTTTTAAATTTTATTGTTTTTTAAATAACGATGTGACAGGGCCTACACCTAGGTACTCCACATCAAAGCTAAAACTGAAAATCTAATGCTACAAAATTCTTACAAAGTCTATTTTGGCAAGTTACTTCCTCTATCCAACTACACTTGGTATGTTCTCACAGGTGCAAATAAACTTTGAACTCATTTTACGTGGAATAACTTTATGACATTCATTCGTAGTAAAAATGTATCCTCTTAAAGTTGACAAGAATCCATCTTTTAGACCACTGAGTCTATTCATATTTTGTTTCCTTGTATAATCAGCTCTAGCAATATGCAACAAAAGTGACAATCAAAAGTATGGCACTTTTTGAGTTACATGCAATTGGTAATTTCTATGTCATAAAGCTTTCCTGATTATTGACATGTCATTTATGATCAAAGGTTACTAAGAAGAAAAAACAGGATGACGACAATGAAGAAAAAAAAATTAACTGTAAAGAACAAACAAAATCATTTTTGATAATACAGCTAAATGATTTTGTATATCACAGTTAGCATACAATGTAAAAGGAGAAAAGCCATGTTCCTAACATATTTAATTAATTTATTTTGAAAACAGAGAGTCATATTATAGAATTTAGTGCTTGGTCACTCTTCCCCTACACTTCTATCCTAACTTTGGTTTCTTTTTAATGAAGAAAAAGAAAGTCAGCAAAACAAAATGCCAACATTAAATCATTTTGCAAAATTTTATGTCAAAAAAAGTAATAGGAAATACATACATCAAGGGAAATGTTACTATTATTCCAGAACATCTTTTCACTTGGTTCATGGTTCATTCTTCTACATAACTGTGCAGGTACTACGAATGGCTTTTTCCTCTAGGTTTAATGTGGCATTTGAAAGATTATGGCATTTTCAGGAAACCACAATGTGGTGATTTTAGCAGTTATCTGGCTGAAAGTAATGATGTGATTTAGAATAACCGCTCAGCTTATATGCCATGGCAAAAGCCAGCTACCGAGCCATCTCACAAAGACAACCTAATTCTGGATATTTTATTAATAATACATGAGGTCAGTCTAGAGACATAGAGCAGAATTAGAAGAAGCTCCTTTTGAAAGGGCACATACTATATATATAGGTATGTTTAGATTAAATCCTTTTAAGTTCATTGTAATAGTTAGAGCTCATTCAAAAACTGATAACCTTAATTCATCTTAGTTTAGGATAAATGTAATTGCTCCTTGAAACTTTCACAGAAGGAATTTAGGCACTTAAGAATTAAAATAAAAAGCAACCATATATCATACATTAGTAGCTACATAGATAATAAATATGAGAAATGCTAAAAATACTTATGTAGATAATATAATTCATATTAATCTACATATTTTAGTCCATTTAAAAGCTCAATTTACTTTGTTTTACAGAAAGGAAAAGACAAATTTTTCAGATTAAAACATTTTCTACTACAAAATGTTTCTTACAAACTTATCTCAATTAGTAATAAATGAAAAGTGACTGCGTTATAATTAATTCCCATGTTTTTCAAAGCTATAGTCTAAAAAATATATAAATAAGAACAAAACTTTAAAAATACGATGGGTCAATAATACAAATAAAAATAGCACTGTTGGGTGAGAGGCTTATTCTATAAATGACTCACATTCCTTACACCTGAATAATACTTTGCATTTCTGAATTTCTTTCTCTTCTTAACTTCTGAAGCATTACAAAATCATGAAATTTGAAAATTAAAAGGGATTTTTAAATCAATCTAATGCATTGCTCATTCTATGAATGAGAAAACTGGCTCGCAGAGAGGTTATTTGCATTTCTCATGGTTATACAGCCTCTCCCTGGCAGAGACTTAACCAAAATTTCAACCTCTTAATTTTAGCTCTATGCCCTCTCCCCACCATTTTTCCTAGTTAGTTATTGACCGAATTTTCAAGTGAGGTTCATATTCTGTTATTCACTAAGATAAATATTAAATGCACTATCACTGCCCAGAAAAGAGGCAGGATAATCATCCTGGTTTTCCTAGTTAACAAACCTCTCCATGTATGTCAACAATATTAAGGGAAAAATAAGGGTTAAGCTAATGACACACATGCCACCTAGAGAATAAGTGAATAAGGATAAATAAGGGGAAAAAATGAGGTTAGATAGCTTCTCTTCTCTTTCGTCAGAAAACAAAAATGTGAAAGCATTTCTATTCAAATACCACAGTGTGAACTAAAATACCCACATGCCACATATACTCAGGCATTTTAATACTTGAAAAAGATCAGTCTAAGGTTATGTAATTCTGAGGTTATATCTTCTTGAAATTTAAGCCTCAGTTTCATGCACGCTGAAGAGAGAAGCAACTTAATGGTGCAAAACTTCTCAACTGAGGAACAAACTGACATTTATTTTATGAAGATTCTGAGATAGATAATGTTCTTACTTGCTAAGCTTACTAAATTTCAAGTGACTGCAATTCTTTGTCTATTACCTTGTATTGCTCCACTCATTTAACTGAACCTGCCTCTCAAAATATAGTAATAGTAATAATGATAATAAAAACAACCTCTAAGCTCACAGGCAAACAAGAGACTATGTACGAGGTATATCTGTTCTCCAAATCATACTCACAAAATGCAAATACAGTGTGCTTGAATCTGTCTTTTTTTTTTTTTTTTTTTTTTAAGACAGAGTCTCGCTCTGTTGCCAGGCCGGAGTGCAGTGGCGCGATCTGGGCTCACTACAACCTTTGCCTCCTGGGTTCAAGTGATTCTCCTGCCTCAGCCTCCTGAGTAGCTGGGACTACAGGCGCGTGCCACCACACCCGGCTAATTTTTGTATTTGTAGTAGAGACGGGGTTTTACCACGTTGGCCAGGATGGTCTTCATCTCTTGACCTTGTGATCTGCCCACCTCAGCCTCCCAAAGTGCTGAGATTCAGGCATGAGCCCCACTGCGCCCGGCTGAATCTGGCTTTTTTTTTTTCTTTGCACTACTGGTTAATTCAAATGCTTACGTTTCTAACATTTTTACATAATTATGCCTATATATTCAGAGGTTTCTTCAATTTATAATTAGAGCAATAATATGTGTTGATCTTTAAGACAAGACAAAGGGACTACAAAAGCATTTAGTAAATAGATGACCATAATGAACATTACTAACGACCAAAAGAGTAAAAGTGTAGATGGTAACATACTATGAATTTCCTAAGAAGCAACTTTCATAAATATAGATAGTATTAAATGTAGTATATATGAATTAAACATGACACATGGCATTTTAATATGTGCACATACAACATAAGTACAACATATATATTAGTATTATATTAATATACCATTGAGATACTAACATATCTTAGAATTATCTGAAAAAGGTGTAATTTTGCCAAAAAAAAAAAAAACCATATTTGAAAGCTAGGCACAGTGACTCATGCCTGTAATCCCAGCACTTTGGGAGGCCAAGGCAGGCGGATTGCTTGAGAACAGGAGTTAGAGATGAGCCTGGACAACATTGCAAAACCCCATCTCTACCAAAAATACAAAAATTAGTCGGGTGTGGTGGTGTGCACCTGTAATCTCAGCTACTCAGGAGGCTGAGGCAGGAGAATTGCTTGAACCCCGGAGGTAGAGGTTGCAGTGAGCTGAGATCACGCCACTGCACTCCAGCCTGGGCTACACAGTGAGACTCTGCCTCAAAAAAAAAAAAAAAAAAGAAAAAGAAAAAAATATCCAAGATAAGCATCTCTAAAGAAGATTCAGTTCCCAATCTGTGCGATGGTCTTCATTCAAAATAAAATATAAAAAATCCAATGACATCTAAAGTTAAAAAGCAGACAGTACATTTTAAAAAAATAATATTAAATACAACTAAACAGCATACTTATAAGAATAGAGGTTATAGCACTGAAGCCTCAAAGAACAACAAATATATCATTGAAAACCATAAAATAAAGAAAATAAAACAGCAGGTATGATCACGGAAGGGATGCCACCATTTAGCCTTTAACAAATTACATTTATCAAAGAAAGTTTTACCAACCACACTGTTCAAATGTAAATTATGCTGAGACTATAGAGGTTAAAACCATGGACTCTGTAGCCAGACTGCCTAACTCTGAATCTCAGTTCCAACACTTTCTAGTTACGCAACTTTCTCGCTGTTGCCCAGGCTGGAGTGCAGCGGCACGATCTTGGCTCACTGCAAGCTCCACCTCCCGGGTTCACACCATTCTCCTGCCTCAGCCTCCCGAGTAGCTGGAACTACAGGCGCCCGCCACCATGCCCGGCTAATTTTTACTTTTTTATTTTTTTTGGTAGAGACGGGGTTTCATCGTATTAGCCAGGATGCTCTCGATCTCCTGACCTCGTGATCCACCCGCCTCAGCCTCCCAAAGTGCTGGGATTACAGGCATGAGTCACCGCGCCCAGCCTAGCTATGCAACTTTTAAGCAGTTACTTAAGCTCTATTCTTCAGTTTCCTCATCAATTCAAAGGAGATATTAATACTTATTTCATAGGGTATCTAAATGACTTAATACATGTATATAAGATACCTGATACATATTGATATAGTTTGGATATATGTCTCCTCCAAATCTCAGGTTGAAATGTGACTTCCAGTGTTGGAGGTGCGCCTGGTGGGAGGTGTTTGGGTCATGGGAACAGAACCCTCATGAATGGCATAATAATAAAAAAAAAAAAAAAAAAAAAAAAAACCTCTTTCCTTCCCATGGGAATGAGTGAGTTCTTGTTAATTCACACAAAAGCTAGTTAAGAATCTGATGCTTCCTCCTCTTTCTCTTGCTTGCTCTATGTGATATGCCAGCTCCCCCTTTGCCTTCTGCCATGATTGTAAGTTTACTGAGGCCTTGCCAGAAGCAGATGCTAGTGCCATGCTGCTTGTACAGCCGGCAGATCCGTGGGCCAAATAAACCTCTTTTCTTTATAAATTAGCAAGCCTTTGGTACTTCTTTATGGCAACATCAACTAACAGAGAAAATTGGTACCAAGAAGTGTAGTGTTGCTATAAAGATGTCTGAAAGGCCAGGTGCAGTGGCCCACACCTGTAATCCCAGCACTTTGGGAGGATGAGGCAGAAGGATTGCCTGAGCTCAGGAGTTTGAGACCAGCCTGGGCAACACGGTGAAACTCTGTCTCTTCTAAAAATACAAAAAATTAGCCAGGTGTGATGGCATGTGTCTGTAGTCCCAGCTACTCAGGAGGCTGAGGCAGGAAAATTGCTTGAACCTGGGAGATGGGGGTTGCAGTAAACGAAAATCATGCCACTGCACTCCAGCATGGGTGACAGAGCAAGACTCCATCTAAAAAAAAAAAAAAAAAAAGATATCTGAAAATATGGAAGCAGCTTGGGAACTGGGTAATGGGCAGAGGTTGGAAGAGTTTAGAGGGCTGAGAAGAAGACAGGAAGACAAGGGACAATTTGGAACTTCTTAGAGTATTGTTAAGTGGTTGTGGCCGAATGCTGATAGCAATTGACACCAAAGGCCAGACTGATGAGGCCTCAGATGGAAATGAAGAACTTATTGGGAACTGGAGTAAAGGTCACCCATATTATGCCCTAGCAAAGAACTTGGCTATATTTTGTGCATGTTCTTGGGATCTATGGAAGTTTGAACTTAAGAGTGATAACACAGGTTTCTGGTAGAAGAAATTTCTAAGCAGTGAAGCAGTTAAGATGTGGCCTGGCTGCTTATAACAGCCTATGAATCGATACAGGAGCAAGGAAATGACTTAAAGTTGGAACTAACGGGGCCAGGCACGGTGGCTCATGCCTGTAATCCCAGCACTTTGGGAGGCTGAAGCAGGCGGATCACGAGGTCAGGAGATCGAGACCATCCTGGCTAACACGGCGAAACCCTGCCTCTACTAAAAATACAAAAAATTAGCTGGGCGTGGTGGCAGGCGCCTGTAGTCCCAGCTACTCAGGAGGCTGAGGCAGGAGAATGGTATGAACCCGGGAGGCAGAACTTGCAGTGAGCTGAGATCGTGCCACTGCACTCCAGCCTGGGCAACAGAGCAAGACTCTGTCTCAAAAAAAAAAAAGAAAAAAAGAAAAAAAAGGAAAGGCATTTTCAGGAGAGGAATTCAAGGTGGTTGTGGAGCAACCATTTGCTAAAGTGATTAGCATGACTAAAAAAGAGACAAATGATAATAGCCAAGACATGGGGGAAAGGCATTGAACGCATTTTGGAGATCTTCCAGGCAGTGCAGCCCATCACAGGCCCAGAGGTCTAAGAGAAAATAACATTTTCAGAGGCCATGCCTGGGGCTCTGCTTCCTTGCTCAGCCTCAGGACACTGCTCCCAGAATCCTGGCTGCTCCAGCTCCAGCTGATGCACAGAGCCCCAGGTACAGCTCACATCACCAGGTACAGCTAGCTCGGGCCACCAATCTGGCCTTGGTGTTTTCCACATGCTGTTAAGCCTCCAGGTGCACAGAATGCGAGAGTGAAAAAATCTTGGCAGCCTCCACCTAGGTTTCAGAGGAACCCAGGTGTCCAGGCAGAAAAGCCTGTCACAGAGACAGAGCCTTCACAGAAAGCCTCTACTAGTGCAGTGCGGAAGGGAAATGTGGAGTTGGAACCCTCACACAGAATCCCTACCAGGGAACTACCTGGTGGAGCTGTGGGAAGGGCGCTGTTGCCTTCCAGACCTTAGAATGGTAGAGCCACCAGCAGCTTGCACCCTGAGCCTGGAAAAGCCACAGGCATTTAACTCCAACCCATGAGAGCAGCCAAGGGGGCTGAATCCTGGAAAGCCACAGCAGCAGAGCTGCCCAAAGCATTTGGAGCCCACCCATTGTACTAGTGTGCCCAGGATGCAGGATATGGCATCGAAGGACATTGTTTTGAAGCTTTTAAGGTTTAATGTATGCCTGGCTGGGTTTTAGAAATATGTGGGGGCCTACTGCCTGTTTCTTTTGGTTAATTTCTCATTTTTGACATGGGAATGTTTACCCAATGTCTGTACCACCATTGTATCTTGGAAGTAAATAACTTGTTTTTGATTTTACAGGCTCATAGATGGAAGGAACTTGCCTTGAGTCCCCAGTAAGACACTGGATTTTGGACTTTTGAATCAACGATGGAGTGAGTAAAGACTTTGGAGGACTGTTAATAAAGGACAATTGTATTTTGCAATGTGGAGAAGATAAAACTGGGGAGGGGGGGCAAGGAGTGAAAGTATATAGTTTGGATGTTTCTCCCATTCAAATAACATGCTGAAATGTGATCTCCAATATTGGAGGTGGGCCTGGTGGGAGGTGTTTGGACCACAGGGGCAGATCCCTCATGAATGCTTGGCACTAAACCCATGGGAATAAGCAAATTCTTGCTGTTAGTTCACATGAAAGATGGTTGTTTAAAGGAGCCTGACACCTCCTCTTTTCTCTGTTGTTCACTCTATGTGATATACTGGCTCACCCTTTGCCTTCCACCATGATTGTAAGTTTCCTGAGACCTCACCAGAAGCAGATGTCAGTGCCATGCTGCTTGAACAGCCTGCAGAACTATGAGCCAAATAAACTTACTTTCTTTATAAATTAGCTAGCCTCAGGTATTTATAGCAATGTAAACAGACTGACAAACACAATAAGCACTATATATGTTATATCAGAGTTGCTGTTATTTGCATATATATAGCCTTTACCATTTTTTGTCCACTGTGCCAAGCCCTTTACTTGTACGGTATTACTTAATCATCCAGACAATCTATGGAGTAGGTACTATTGTTTATTGCTATTTTATAGATAATGAAGGTAAAACACAGGCAAGATAAAAGCAGAGTTCACAAATAACAAAAGAAGGTTTAAAACCTTGATATAGTTTGGATACGTGTCCCACTCAAATCTCATGTTGAATTATAGTCCCCAATGTTGGAAATGGGACCTGATGGGAGGTGACTGGATCACGGGGGTAGATTTCTCATGAATGGTTTATACCATCCTCTTGGTGCTGTTCTCATGATGGTGAGTTCTTAGAAGATCTGGCTGTTTAAAAGTATACAGCATCTCTCACATCTCTCTCTTTGCCCCTGGCCCCTGCCACATAAGATGCCTTTACCCCCTTTGCTTTCTGCCATGATTAGAAGTTTCCTGAGGCCTCCCCAGAAGCAGAAACCGCTATGCTTCCCTTACAGCCTGCAGAGCCGTAAGTCAATTAAATATCTTTTCTTAGTAAATTACCAGTCTTGGGTATTTCTTTACAGCTATGCAAGAATGGACTAATACAACTCAGCAGAATGGTTATAAATCCTCATACTTAATCATTCATTTTACAGTACTGCCTCTCAAAATAATAGACACTTTGAAATGTAATAGAATCTAGGCTCTTAATATAAATTTAGCAGGCTTACTTTTTTAATATCCAAAATTAAAAGTACTGAGTTGAAGAATGAATAAAATGGTGTAATTTTTTCATATGAGAGTCACTTTAACACTTCTTTAATTAGAAGTTCTCTTATTGCATTAAATTAGTTGTGGAAACAAAATCTAATTTATACATAATCAGAAACATGTCTCAGGGCTATGAGAAACCAGTGACAAAAGAACATTTGCAGTGGTTGCCTGACGCTGGAAATGGGGGCTATGAATGACTATAAACAGGCATAGTAATTTTTGAGGTGATGGAAATACTCTAAAAACTGGACTGTAATGATCGTTGAACAATGACAAATGTACTAAAAATCATTAAGCTCTATACTTATAATGGGTAAAATTTAATGGGACGAAAATTAGATACCACTAGAGTTGTTTTTTAAAAAGGAAATATCTGCTATTTATCAAAGGAAGTGGGTGTTTTAAACTGACTTATTTTCTACTCCTCTAGGTAAATGAGAGAAAATGCAACTGGAAAACTGGCTTCCATTCTAAGATATTTAAGCAAGAAAAATAATCATAGTCTACATAATCACAGAATAGCTTGGAAGAAGATGCTACTGAGTATGTTACACAGGAGCTTGTGATCAAATGTAAATAAACAGGTAACATGGACTTGGGAACATGGAATATATAGTCTTTGAATATCAGAGCTAGTGTACTAGGCTTCAGAGAGGTTACAGCCTAAGGTATTCTCCTAAAATAAGAAAAGTGAGATTGAAAGAGATTAAGTGACTTGCTTAAAATTACAAAGCTGGCAAGTGACAAGCTTAAACTAGTTGAGATCTCCTAACTCTCAGTGCAGTAAACAACTATCACAAAAATAAAGATTATCAGTTAATCAAAAACCACTATTTGTCACCTATTATTTTAGCTTCAAGAAGCATACACGATTTTTAAGTTTGTACTCAGTAATTTTAAAAGTTTTTATATTTTCAAAAATAAAACAAATCAGGAACTATGTAAAGAAATGTCCCTGCCCAAAAACAAATTATAAACTATTTTAATTGTATAGAGTTGCAAAAATATACAGATATGGCAGTGTATCAGTAAATTAACAAGCATTTATTCTGAATTAACAGCCTGAGCCATATTGCATTAGACTATCACGGTCATTAGAAATAAATGGAAGGTCCAGATGCTATACTCACCTCGTGGACAAAGTAAATTAATTGACAGACAATAATGACACAACTTACAAGCAAAATGGATCACAGCATGACATGGGATTTTATGAGGGTTCCAAGGACAATCAATGTAAGACGATCAATATGGGGCCACATAAGTTAGGAAGAATATATGAAAGAAGTAAATACTGATGTAGGCTTAGAAGGAAGAAGAAAATATGCCCAAATACATTACAGAAAGCAGGAAAGTCCTATGCAAATAGTTACAGTGAACACTGAAAAGGCCAGCATGACTAAAGAAAATACCATGGTGCTGACATATAAGAAAGAAGCAACTGGCAAATGAGATGAAATCAATACATTCCTTGAAAAACACAGCTTAGCTGGGTACAGCGGCTCATGCCTGTAATCCCACCACTTTGGGAGGCTGAGGATAGAGGATTGTTTGAGTTCACAAGTTCTACACCAGCCTGGGCAAAACAGTCAGACCCCATTTCTACAAACGATTAAAAAATCAGCTGGGCATGGTGGCGCGCACTTGTAGTCACAGCTACTAAGGAGGCTGAGGTGGGAAGATCACCTGAGCCTAAGAGTTCAGGCTGCAGTGAGCTGTGATCATGAGACCTTGTCTCAAACAAAAAGAGAAACACAGCTTACCAAAAATGACACAAGATGAAAGGAAGTATTTATTCTAAAAACTGAATTTATTATCAAAAACATTTCCACAATGAAAACTCTAGGTTCAGATGGTATCACCGGAGAATTCTATCAAAATTTAATGAACAAACAGTATCTTAAACAAATGCTTTAAAAACAAAGAATAAGGGAACACTTTTTCCAACTCCATTCAGAAGGCCAGTATTATCTAATAAAATGTGATACTTCTACCAGAAAAAAATAAATAAATAAATAATAGAACAGCTGGGCATGGTGGTGTGGTGGTAATACCAAGCCACGGTGGTAATTCCAGCTACTCAGGAGGATCACTTAAGCCCAGGAGTTTGAGACCAAGCCTGGGCAACAACCAACCAACCAAAAAAAAAGGAAAGACAAGAAAGAAGGAAGGAAGGAAGGAAGGGAAAGGGAGGGGACGGAAAGGGAGGGGAGAGGAGAGGAGGGGAGGGGAAGGAAAGAAGGGAGGGAGGGAGGGAGGGAGGGAATACGTTCACAGAGAATGTATAACCCTTATCAAAATATTAGCAAATAAAATTAAAAAAAATACATAAAAGAGGCAATACATCAGACCAGAAGGGTTTATCCCAGATTTGCAAGGTTGATTTTGAAGCCTCCCTGGGACAGAGGGGATGGAAGAGCCCAGCAAACACTGTTCAAATACCTGTGCCTTATCGTCCTCCTTATTAAGGAGACTTGAAGGCACTTCTCCATGCGGACTCAGTACTTTTCTACCTCCTACCCCTTCCCCATCTCCCTTCCAGAAGCCCCTGGGTCCATAAAACAGCAGGAACCTTTGTTTGGGAATCCTTTAGCAGTAAGACTAAATTTCTCCTCTAAGTACAAGGGTATGTGTGGTGTGGGGTGCTGGTTGGGGTTGGGGGTGTATCTGCACTTATCTTCCTGACTCTTGCCCACTGCTGTTCAGTGGGAAACAATGTAATACTCAGGAGCCAGCAACCTTTCCTGACTGGCTTCTTCCTGATGCTACCAGAATAAGAAAATAAAGTTTTGTTACTTTGAACTTTGCTTGTTTTCCTAACTGACCACCTGGCAGCTCTAAACTCTAACAGAAAACAGAGAACTTTAAAGATAACCTATACAATAGCATCAAAAACATTACATTCTTAAAAATGCATGTAATAAAAGACATGCAAGATTCCTAAAGTCGAAACTACATCAGTGAGAAAAAATAAAGACTATCTGAGTATCTGAATAAATGGAGAGATATACCATGATCATAAATTGAAAGATGCAACATGGTTAAAATGTTAATGTCCCCCTGCCCCAGCCCCTTTCCCTGCCACTAAATCCCATGTATTCAACACAAAGCCTATTATAATCCCTGTAGACTTTTGTTCTTCAGGTTATTTTTAAAAATCAATTGTGGTAAAATATACATAGCATTGACCATCTTAACCATTTTTAAGTGTACAGCTCTGTGGCATTCACATTCACACTGTTGTGCAACCATCCCCACCATCCATCTCCAGAACTTTTTCATCTTTCCCAGCTGAAACTCTGTACCCCTTAAACACTAACTGCCCATTCCTCCTTCCCCCTGGAAACCACCATTTTTACTTTTGTCTCTATAAATCTGACTACTCTAGGAATCTCATGTAAGTGGAATCATACATTATTTGTACCCTTCTGTAACTGGTTTATTTTACTTAGCATAACGTTCTCAAGGTTCATCTATGTTGCAGTATCAGATTTTTTTTTTTTTTTTTTTTTTTTGAGACGGAGTCTCGCTCTGTCACCCAGGCTGGAGTGCAGTGGTGCGATCTTGGCTCACTGCAAGCCCTGCCTCCGGGTTCATGCCATTCTCCTGCCTCAGCCTCCCAAGTAGCTGGGACTACTGGTGCCCACCACCATGCCAGACTAATTTTTTGTATTTTTTAGTAGAGACGGGGTTTCACTGTGTTAGCCAGGATGGTCTCGATCTCCTGACCTCGTGATTCACCTGCCTTGGCCTTCCGAAGTGCTGGGATTACAGGCGTGAGCCACCGCACCCGGCCCAGAATTTCATTCCTTTTTAAGGCTGGATAATATTCTACTGTATGTATGCTATGGTTTGGATACCTGTCACCTACAAACCTAATGTTGAAATGTGATCCCACTTTAGGGGGGTCCTAATGGGAGGTGTTTACGTCATGAAGATGAATCCTTCATGAAGAGATTATTGACCTCCTCAGGGGTGTGTTCTAACTCTATTAGTTCCTTTGATAGTTGGATAGTAAAAAGAGCCTGGCATCTCCCCCTCTCTTGATTCCTCTCTTATCATGTGATCCCTGATCATACCAGTTCTCCTTTACCTTTCACCATGAGTGAAAGCACCTTGAGGTCCTCACCAGATGCAGATGCCCAATCTTGAGCTTCCCAACAATGAGAATTGTGAGCCAAATAAACATTTCCTTCTTTATCAATTATCCACCCTCAGGTATTTCTTCTTAGCAACATAAAATGGACTAAGAGAATATACATATATACACTACATTTTGTTTATCCTTTAATCCATCAGTGGAACTTGGGTTGCTTCCACCTTTTGGCTATTGTGAATAATGTTGCTATGAAAACAGGTGTTCAATTATCTGTTTGAGTTTCTGCTTTGGGTGTACAGCTAGAAGCAGTATTAACAGATCAAATGGTAATTCTGTCTTTAATTTTTTGAGGAATTAAAATACTGTTTTCCCTAGTAGCTGCACAATTTTATATTCCCAAGGGCAATTGTACAAGAACTCCAGTTTCTCCACATCCTTGCCAACACCTGTTATTTTCTGTTTATTTATTTATTTTAATGATAACTAGCCCAATGGGTGTGAGGTGGTATCTCACTGTGGTTTCGATTTACTCTTCCTGAATGATTCGTGATGTTGAGCATCTTTTCATATGCTTGTTGGCTACTGTATATCTTCTTTGGAGAAATATTTTCAAGTCCTATGCCCATTTTTAATGGGGTTGTTTCTTATTGCTGAGTTGTCCAAGTTCTTTATATATTCTCAATCCCTTAACAGATACATGACTTGCAAATATTCCCCCCTATCCTATGGGTTAACCTTTTTACCATCTGGTGATGGTGTCCTTTCACACACAAAAGTTTTTAACTTTGAATTTAGTCCAACTTAGCTAATTTTTTGTTGCTGTTATTACCTATGCTTTTGGTGTTATGTCCAGGCTTTCCTTTTTAAAATGAAAATGGACAAGCTGTTTCTAATATTTACATGAAAATGCAAAGGATCCAGAAAAACGAAACAGCTTACTCCACAGCCTGAGTAATCAAGAGTTGGTCTTGGCACAGGAATAAATACATAACTCAATGGAATATAATAGAAAGTCTAGAAATAAGCCCACATTGAAAAAGCCAACTGGCATTTAAAAGTGGCACCAAAGTAATTTAATGTGGAAAGGCAAGTATTTTCAACAAATGATACTGGGAATCCACATGGGGCAGATAATAAACAAACCTTCCTTAACTCTACCTGAAACCATATACAAAAATTAATTTCAGATAGCTCATATAAAATATAAAAGCCAAAACTACAAAGCTTCTAGAAGAAAACAAAGAAGAAAGTTTTTGTCACCTGGACCTAAGCAAAGAATTATTAGATAGGAAATAACAATAACCATAAAACAAAACATTGCCTCCATACTAGTTAGAACAGAAAAGTTAATTAAAAATAAAAAATCAAGTCTCAGCTACTCGGGAGGCTGAGGTGAGAGGATTGCTTGAGCCCGGGAGGCAGAGGCTGTACTGCGTCAAGAAAGTGCCACTGCACTCTAGCCTGAGTGACAACGAAAACAAACAACAAAAAAATTATAATCAGAATAACGAGAGACTAATATTTGAAATTAAAATGTAATACATATGAATTCTTGCTGGTTTTCCTAATAATTTATGACACAAACAAATTTAGTTGGGGAGGATGCACTGACAAGCCAGATTTTTAAATGTAAAATAAATAAAAGTGCGAACAACAATGTTTACAGACCAAATTGACACCCTACCCTTGTAATCAAAATGGTTCAATACCTATGTAATTTGCCATATACTCAAATAAAGGGGAGAATCTGGCAAGCATTTGATAGTGTAGAATTAGCTATAAAAGTGAAATAGCTTAATAGATCATTTCCTACCCTCAATGCTTCTGAAAAATGGCCACAATACAAAATAAAATTAAAGATGCTATTTAAGAGGGCTCATGGATTCCAGGGTTCTTAGCTTTAGGAAACCTTTCTTCTCTCTCTCCTATCTCTGATTAAGTAATAAATGTGCCACATTGAGTCTATAAAGTTAAGATAAAATTTGAGGTTTAGAAGTTTGGTGTTATTCCTAATTTGATAGTTCGATAAAGACTGAAAGACAGGCCCACTTCCTTTTCATATAGGCTCAAGGAGAGGAATCACTTCATCTCTACTTTTCATAGATTAATCATTTATTCTCAAATCTATTTCCTTACTTAAAATACAGCAGAGGAAAAACTATCCACTACATTTTAGTGACAAAAAATCAATTGTCCTTTATCAAGCCCTTTAAATACCTTCATCAAACATTATATTTTGTGACTCAATTTGCTCTAGAATTAAATTATAATAGTGACAGTTTTTATTAATTCAGCAAAAGAATACTCAGTCATTACTTATGTAGAGTTCATTTACCAAGCATTTTCTGATCATTAAATGTGCCATGAACTGTCGAAACAAAAATAAATAAGGTATCACTAAGTAGTTCCATAACTACTTCCAACAAAGAATGACCTATCACAGACAAAGCCTTTAAGACTTCCCAATTCCATGAAATAGTTTCAACTTGACCTTTAGCATTTAGATTGCATTAAATAGCATAAAGAAATATATATTTAGTTGAGAACTTCTCAGATAATTTCTAATTAAATTTTAAAAGTAGATGGCAAAAAACCAGCACTTAAAAAAATAAAATTGCCTGAGATGCTGTAAACCTTCAATCTAATCATTTTAGAAAACATGTAATGACAAATTTCCTTTTGTCTCCTAGATTCTAGACAAAA
Organism: Homo sapiens; assembly: GCF_000001405.40. Taxonomy (NCBI): domain Eukaryota; kingdom Metazoa; phylum Chordata; class Mammalia; order Primates; family Hominidae; genus Homo; species Homo sapiens. The sequence continues at coordinate 11,065,062 of NC_000007.14, read as the reverse complement.
TTATATACAACAGGACATGTACATTTTCTGACATAACAAGTATTTATTATAACTGGAAACATATTTACCAATTGTGACCTTTATTTCAATGCACACATACATGTATTCTTTGTGTTACTAAATAATACTACTGTTCTAACATTTTATATGGAAAGAACCTTACTATCACTCAGCAATTATCCATAAGGTACCTAATGAAGCAAGTATGATTGTGATCATGTACAACGGGGGGAAAACCAAGACACAGAAATGCTAAATTACTTGCCCAAGTCCCAAGAAAAACAGGCAAAGCAGAAAATAACAGTTGAAACTTACTAATTACAATGTACTGACAAATTGCATGCAATTGTTCAATGATATAAAAAATTATACATATAAATTCACAAGTAAACACATACAAATAACTAAAAAAGGACAATTAAGAAGGAATTTTCTATATAGCCTGAATTACATAGAGAAGTGTGGTTTAAAAAATCAAAACTGCTGAAGAGCAGATTCTAGTGTGATATAAACATCAGTTTAAAAGAACTTGAGAAAGTAAACACAGTATATTAAATAAAAGACTAATTGTGACCCATGAAGTTTAATTTTAAAAGAGAACCTAACAGACATACACGTATGTCTGAGTAAGCGCTGAAATATATCTGTAGAGAAAATAAATCCTTATTTAAAATATCTTATTTGAAAGTTAAAAAAATAGCATGTAAAGATAGTATTTAAGATGCAATGTAATAAAAAAGTGTAGACTTTTGGGGGGTGATTTTCAAACAATAACAGTGCCAATTCCAAAATATGAGATGCCAGGGAAAATGGCAGATATTAGCTTATGAGATTACTTTTATTAAACATATGAAATTTTATATAAAAATTCTTTAACCCAAGAAGAATAGTGCATAAACAATGTATTTTTTTTAAAGATCACATTATAACCAAAAATATTTTATGGCATTGCTTTATATCCAGCTTATCTTGTCCTAAGAAATATTAAAATATAGTACCAATAAAACATTTAATTTCCTCTACATTACCTCTTTAAAACTTTGCAGACAATTTACGATATTATCTTCTTAATAAGGCAAAACGAAGGAAGGGGACTTTGCATATCCATTATTTTAGAGTAATAAAAATATCTTTACCTTCCAGAAGACTTTCACAAAATTCCAGACATTGGCATATTGTAATAATGCAATTAGAAATAAAAATTTCATAACAGAAACTAAAGAAATAAATAACATAGAGTAATACTATTCAAAAATCTTATCAAAATTAGAAGATGGCACTTTTTTTATTAAACGACTAAAATATGATGGGTTGGAAATCTATCATAAACTGATTTTTAAAATAAAAATTGTATTTCTCAGGTTCCTAATTTCCAATATATGACAAAAGCAAAACAAAAAACCTAATAAAAACCTCTAAGTCCTACAGCAAAAAGGCCTCAATCAATCTCATATTAAAAAAAAAAAATTAGTAAGACACAGTAGATACTCATACAGGTTCAAATAATTAATAAAAGGATCACCAGCTCTATAAGTTTTTAACTACTGTTTCAAAATCATAGTCCTCAACTCCACCCTCAACCCCAAGGGAATTTTCCTGAATTAAATTTTTGTTCATTATATAAGATTGTTATTTTTTTTCTTTATTTTTATTGTTTCATTTACTCCATTATGTTACGCTTATGCTTGGGATTTCATTTTCGACATATTGCAAAATTTATACTGTGGTCAGAATTATTCAGGTGTATCTCCTGAACTTGGAACTACTTACTACTTTACCCTAAATTTTAATAAACTTAACCTTCAGGATAGCTCCCAACACACTCTACATGAACTACCTCAAAAAAATTAGCCAATTATTATAAACTTTCTTAACTTTGTTGAAGGACTTTGTCTTTTTCTACTGTAATTTTTACTTTATCTTTCTCATTGATAGCATAAAAAACTCATAAAATTTAAGACTTCATGCCTTTCTTTGAGAAATTAAGACATATTTTAATGACCAAAATAGATTAAATCATTTGGAAGTAAGTATTTAAAAACATACAACAACACTAATATATTTGTTTTATCAATATGTTTATTCTTTTTGAAATGTTTAATTTCTGTGTCCTCAGTTAATTTAACAGGGCTTTACCAGAAGACAATTTTTTAAAGAAATAAGAATGGATTCCCTTACAAAGTCCCTGTAAGAACTGTAAGAACTTTTGTGACACTGTCCTTTGAAAGTCTGATGCCTCTTTTAAATTAGCTCTCTTTTTGTTCACACACTCACTCCCCCATCTCACCAGAGCTTTGATCAATGTCTTCATTTCCGCTAAAATTAGCAGCCTCTGGACCGTTGGGAAAAGCCAATGTGCAGCATCAGCTAAGATTTCTGATTAGCATTATGTCTGATTAAAAAAAAATAAAGTACCAAAACGAAACAAAGAAACAAAGACAAAACAAAAAATAAAATCAACCTAGGCCATCTTTTCACCTTTCTTTATTTCGTAAGGGAGAAGCATTTAACACATTTGTTTTGATAAGCAATAAGAAAGTGCTAATTAAGTTCTTGTCAATAAAAAGTCTGTCTTCTCACCATTGCTTCTAAATTTCAAACATTTAGAATATGCTAACAGAGCTTAGTAACTTTATTGTTTTCTGACATAAAACATAATAATCTTAGTACACAGTGTTTAGATCAAATTACTTTCATGGCCTCTAAATAGAGAGCACTGTCAATTTCTCTTGTCAAGAGAAAAATAATTCCCTGTGTTAAACAGGCAGATTATCACTCTTATTTACATTTAAATCCAGAGTATAACCATGTGTGAGAGGTTAAGAAGTGGATGAAATCTGTTTCTAAAGTACTGTTTCCACTATATAATATTTTAAGAAAGGTCTTATCCTGCAATTGTTTTTTCATTTTTTCTGTGATGAGAAAATAAATATAGAACTTTCATCCCCTAAAGACAAGGTTTTAGCATCCAACTTACCTGACAAGATTTTCATTGTCTCCAGTTCCCTTGCAAGTTGCACATTCAGTTCTTAAATCTTCAGCCTTGGGCTTCTTTTGCAACACAGACTGTCTTTGTCTTCTCTCTCTAGGAACTCTTTCCTGCCATACAAGGGATAATAAAATAAAACATAACAAACAAAATAAGGATATGAGGGAAACAATTTTAAGCAAGAAAATTTCTCAAAGTTAAGACTGTGTAAAAGTGCTTAACTTATTCCAACCTCATGTTTTTCTTCCTCAGGAACGAAGCTTCGTTTTCGTCCTCTGGTTCTCTGGAAAAAAACAAAAAAAAAAACAAAAAACAAAAATCCACAGTATATCTAATGTTTAATTAATAATAAATATAAATTTCCTCTGTTAAATGTTATTGCTTAGGTTAGGCACTTGCAAAATTAGTTATTTCTAATTAATACTATATTGGACTACTGCACTTTGTTACCATTTATGCCATAGGAAATAAAAAGTAACAAATTAAATATACTTTATAGTACTTTACTTTTAAATAAACATGTATCTGATAGAAAAAAAATGAATTCTCCAAAATTATTTTAAAGGATTTTCTCCACACTTCATAATTGTCCATAATTATGATTTACTCAGAGCATTTAAATTTTCATAACTTATCACATCACTTATATAGCTGAAATGCTAAACCTGGGATCATACTACACACATTGTTTGCCTACATATATGCATGTGCATACATGTTTATGTAAAGAAATAATTCTTAAGCAGCCAAAAAAAAGTAGAAGGAAAAGTTCTCACATATCCAAAATCCTAGTTAACATAAAACTAATTAAAATGCCACATAAAATGACATTTTAAACTAATTTAGCTAAAATTCACATCCTATATTTCAGAATACATTTACCATTTGAAAGAACGCATACAAACGTTTAAAAGAACTGTAACTACATTAGTATTTGCAGCCAATATGTTAGAAATATCCACCAATCACAGCACAGCCCCATATGCAGACCACTGTTCCCTAGAGACTGGAAGAGAATGCAGGCACTGCTTCCAAAAATTACTTTGACAGCTGAGATCAAGGAACATTCCCAAGCTAGAGTAGGTACCAAATAATTCTAAACAGAATTACATTATAGTATAAATATATTAATATTTTCTTACATTAATTTCAATTCTTCATATCAAGTACACTGTTATTTAATACCATGGCTAACTACTTACCATTTAATCTGTTCCTAGATAACCAAGAGTCAACTAAATTAGTCATTCAAAAAAAGTAAATTTATAAACTATGAATCTGTTTACATTTATATTGCCAATCAGTCTGTTTTAATTATATTATGGAAGTAATTAGGCAGAAAACTGAAGACTATATCCAGGAAAGGCCTTTAAATGCAGATCCTGCATCTACAATTCTGACTTCCAAAGAACAATACTGAGACTTGCTTCTCAAGGTGTCAATCATGACCCATAAGCACTGGCATCACCTGAGTGTCTATTAGAAATGCAGAATCTCAGGCTGACTCCGACACACTGAATTAGAAGCTATCTTTTAACAAGAATCCTAAGTAGGTCAAATACACATAAGTTTAAGGACACCAGTGTAGAAAGGTCCTTAACAACACTTATTCAAGTTCTAACTGAAAACTTATGGCTAGTAATTTCTACATTCATCTCTTTTCCTTCTGTGCCACTCTTGCCCTTTAATGCTTTATTTTCTGTCCCCTTACAAAATTCATTCCCAATTTGGTAAGGACCATATCATATTCATCTTTCTACACCCAATTAAACTTAACACAAAGCTTATGACATAAAGACTCAATTAACTTGTTTTAATAAAATAAATTTATAAGTGGTTAAATCAGAACTAATGAATGATGATACTATATAATACAAACTAAAAGATCTGACTGACAGGCCAGGCACCATGGCTCACGGCCATAATCTCAACACTTTGAGAGGCTAAGCGGGGAAGACTGCTTGAGCTTAAAAGTTCAAGACCAGCCTGGGCAACACAGAGAGACCTTATCTCTACTAACAATAAAAATGAAAAAATCAGCTAGGCATGGTTGTGAGTGCTGGTAGTCCCAGCTACTCAGGAGGCTGTGGTGGGAAGATAACTTGAGCCCAGGAGATCTAGGCTGCAGTGAGACATGATCAAGTCACTGCATTCCAAGCCTGAGCAACAGGACGAGACTTTGTCTCAAAAAAATAAAATAAAATAAAAATTTGACAAAAAGTTTAAATTATTTTTCCCTAATTTGGTACTCTATTATCTAATTTGCATAATGTATATTTACAGGGCTTTTTTCTTTTTTTAGACAGACTCTCCCTCTGTTGCTCAGACTGGAGTGCAGTGGCAGCAATCTCAGCTCACTGTAGTTTCCGCCTCCCAGGTTCAAGCGATTCTCACACCTCAGCCTTGCAAGTAGCTGGGTTTACAGGTGTGCACCACCACACCTGGCTAATCTTTTCATTTTTACTAGAGAACGGGTTGCCATGTTGGCCAGGCTGGTCTCGAACTCCTGACCTAAAGCGATCCACCTGCCTTGGCCTCCCAAAGTACTCAGATTACAGGTGTGAACCACTGCACCTGGCCTACAGGGCATTTCAATAAGATGCTCCAAATTAGTAACCAATATCAAGTGGAAAATATTCAAATTACTCATTTGAGCTCTACAAACTTCTAAACAGAATGTGCAAAAGACTTCCATACATTTTCACATTTTTCTTCATCCAACTCATCTTTTAGGTAATGAACTAGCAAATGTATCATGTAGTTTTGAATTTTTCAAGTATGTATTTTAATGCTGCAAGTTCATGTTTTCAATTCTTTTAAGGATGTTTATTTACCATTTTGATAATAACTTAAATCTTCAAATATCTGGTATGACTCCATCAATTGAAACTCTCTTCATACCAGATTGCAATTAGCATCATATGGTATAATGCCAATTAGTGATTCAATCACACAATGGTATAGCTCCATTTCTCTCTATATTTATAAATTTCTTCTCATATATTAGGTGTATTTGTAATTATCTAAAATAGTCACTTTAAGTACATTTATTACCAAATGGTAATCGCTGATATATTCATGTAATAATTTAAAATAACACAAGACACATAAACAATTTCCATCTACAAAAATAAACTTATTATAAAAATATAAAATAATATTATCTTAGAGCTCTGAAAAAGCAATCCAGAGAAATGACTTGCTGATGTCACACAGCTGGTAAGTTTCTGAGGTAAACCTGAAACTCAGTTATCTCAACTGTCACTTCAGTGACTTTTCTTGCATGGCTAATCCAAGATTAATACTTTAATCCCAAATAGAAATGAGCTAAATCATTCAGAATGCAAATCTCTTATTGCACGTAAATACTTAAACTAAACTGTAACATTGTGATGCCCAATGAAGATTTCTTACATTTCAAATGAAGTTAGAGAATTATACCCAATAAAGAGTAAATTAAAACTGGCACTATAGTCTACATAATTTGGTAGCTCCATACTACATACTAACTTGATTCATTACCAAAGTAATTACAGCACTCTTATTTAGCATTTATCACATTACTAATATTTCCAAAGAAAAAAATAAAAGAGAATTTGGTCCAAATATAACTATACAAAATACCAAGTCCTCCAACCAAGAAAATGTTGAAAGCTATGGGATTTTTTTTTTCTAGTTTTAATGAAGTGGCAGCAACTATAACTACGAAAATTCATAACTGCTTAAGATCACAACAGACAAGTTATCTTGAAAGTAGTGTACTTGAATGAATCCCAAAACATAAGTAGAATTTAAAAGAGGGAGAAATGGTACAAAAAAGCAAGAAAAACGAAAATAAGTTGGGCCTATCTGACAAATTTCAGTTACCAAAGAGCTTGTCCCATCTCAGATGAATAGAAGTATATATAACTGGGTGGTCCTTTTCTGATATATTTTGAGGCTGAAACTACTTTAGCAACAATAAAACTGTAGGATGAAAATAATATGTGGAAGAAGGAAGAATTTTACTTTTCAAGAATGTGCTTTAGAATGTAACACAGATACGTTACCTGGAAATTCCACATGATTAATCAAGCAAGGGTGCAATTCCAAACTGATTAATTTTGACAGTAATTAGCTAACCTATTAAAAGTAAATGAAAGTTTAAAACTCATTCCAAATCTTGACACATTCCAATTTTTTGTTTTTCTTTTTTTTAAGAACTTGATTTAGCTAGGGAACAATTACAACCTGAGCTGCTTAAATCACCTTGCTCGTAATCTGTCCGTGATCAACTTACTTGAAAAGAGGTGATTAAAAAATCCATAGAAGAGATTGGCATGGTATTAGAGACAATGTATTTAAACTGAAAAGGTGTAAAATTATCTTATCTAGCAGGCAACTTTTAAATAGTTTATTCAGGCCGGGAACAGTGGCTCAGGCCTGTGATCTTAGTACTTTGGGAGGCCGAGGCGGGTAGATCACCTGAGGTAACGAGTTTGAAACCAGCCTGGCCAACATGGCGAAATCTCATCTCTACTAAAATACAAAACTCAGCCGGACGTGGTGGTGCACACCTGTAATCCCAGCTACCCAGGAGGCTGAGGCATGAGAATCGCTCGATCCTGGGAGGCGGAGGTTGCAGTGAGCCAAGGTCACACCACTGCACTCCAGCCTGGGCGACAGAGCAAGACTCTGTCTCAAAAAAATAAAAATAAAAATAAGTAAATAAATAGTTTATTCATCTAAAACAAATAATTAAACATTTCTCTAACTTTTCTATCATTTGGACTAAAAAACATGTAATGTATTTTAATTAATTCTTTAGAGCTGAGGTTATTTTAATTTGCAATCAAGTCAAATGCATGATTCATTTGGCAAATGAACTAAATTTAAAACTAAAAGAGTCAGTACCTTAACATCTTTGATATCAGTAAACTAGGCTTCACATATTCACTTGTGACCAGGTCACTAAATTTAACACTTGTGTTTTTGTTGACATATCAATATTTATACAAATTAATAATTAAAGTAAGTCACATATGGTGAATCATAAGAAATGCTTCCCTCTGCAACTTATATGTAAAAATAGAACATGCTTATTCATGGGCAAAATTCCAAAATCAATGTTAATTAGGACAATTAAGTCAAACTTTGAAAACCTCTGTTAAGCTAAATAGCATTAGATTTATGCTGGGGAATAAATGCCAGTAGCTTTCTGGCAGCTATTCAAAAATGCTTCAATATAAAATTTATTCTAATATATAAAAATATAATATATATTTAATTCCTAAGAATATAAAATTATATGTATAGCATATATTATATGTAGCAATATATAATAAAAATATAATTTCTAAAAAATATAAAATTATACATATACATAATTCCTAAAAATATTTGTCTTTCAATTATGAAACTGCATTGAAAACAAGTTAAAGTTCATGAAATATTCAAAGAAAATTGCTATATACAAAAAACAAATTATGAACAAGGTGTCATCTGTTTCTGTTGGCTACCAATAAACAACCAATGGAATGGCAGTCACCAAAAGTGAGTGCTTTCCCTTTGGTCAATTGACTGTAGAGTTTCTTTTTATCTAATTTAGCTTATGTTAACAGGGTTATGAAAATATATGGGAGAATAAAAAGAAAATCATAACCAATTTGTCTTAACTACTATAAACTGAAATAACTATGGGTCTAATGATATATAATAAAATATGTATTCTACATGACAAGTAAGTGCTGCTATAAAAACCTTCTCAGAGATAATGGTATATACAAAATAAGGAAAGTCTTGAAAGCTCCACCTATTCTTATCTTTATTTCATACTCCTGGGAATAAATAAAAGTGATGGATTTCCAAGAGGCAAAAAGCAAAACAGGAGTCTCAGGGTTCTGAATAAGATTACTTGAGCTAAGGACACCCACAGAGTAGATCTCTTCCAAGTAGCCAAAGTGAGTTCTAGTTCACTACAAAAACTGTTTGCCAGGGTTTCTTCTAAGAATCTATGACAGATAGAGGTTTTATAATCTGACTCGTACCTCAGAGGTCACCTTGAGTCTGATAATAGAAAACTCTGGTATGTAAAGCCCCCACAAATAACTCTTCTTTCCCAGAACTGTAGTAATTCAAACAGTTAGTATAAGAATAAGTAAAATAAATATGAACATAATGTACAGTAACCTTTAGTCACTTCAGTAGAACTGAATCCAAATGCTTCAACATTTTTCCTAAACTAACATCTAAAAAATATTTATATGAAACATATTTCATATTTTCAGATTCTCAAGACTTAAGCTTAAACATTATTAAATAGGTACTTTGTATATGCGTAAAATTAGTTAAAACATAAATGTAATAAAAGTAGGCTCTAGGATATTTGATTATCTCTCAAATAAAGACTGCCACTTAGAACTGGCTAGTGGCTCACATTGTTAAGTGCGATGGAAAAACGATTAGATGTGTTTAAATCTCCTTCTAAAATAATGATCTAAAAGAAATAATGCATCCTGAAAAACAATATGGTTTTCAGTCAAAGCTGCTAAAAAGTATTTTGCCTATTTATTGCATTTATTTTGCAAAAAAGAAAATATATAAAACACAACCAGAATTTGTAAGTCAGGAAGAAAGATCTCAGAACTTCAAAGAGAGTAGATGATGCATGCGTGTGTGTAAAAACAATGGAAAGAGAGGTCCCAACAAGTCCTTTGGCACTTCTACAAAAGATGAAAAGTCACTACATGACTTAGAGTGCAAAGAAAGCAAAAAGAAAATCTGAAAGCTTTCAAGTTACATTAGAGTATTAGAAAATATGTCCACAAGTATAAACACCAATTTTAAAGTAACTTCAAAAGGGATATGGGTAAGCTAATTTATGTTTTCTTCAAAATTAATTTCCTTGCCTAAAAGTAAGTAAAAGTTTCCACATAGAAAATAATGCAGAGAAAATGTCTAAATAACAAAGTACTTAAACAGAACTATCTCAGGCTGCCTTTACAATAATTCTATAGTTTCACTGATGAAACATAAGAAGAATGGGACCCATTCTTCTGTGGTAAACAGGGCAGTTGCTGTCTGCCAGGAGTTCAGGTCCATGAGCTTGGGGTATGTCATGATTGCCCTACGTATGTCATGAAGGTAAAATTTTCTTCAAAATCATGACAGAATAATAAGACTAACATGAAAACAAATTATACTTTGATCAATTTATGGCAGGAAAAATGAAAAACTGACAAAAATAAAAATACTATAATAATGTATTACAAGACAGAATGTTCCCAATTGTAATACCTGTGCTGAAATAAAAGTGTAAGTAGGAGGATATTGGGAGCAATAGTTTAAAAATGTAACAATGGGAGAGAAAAATTAGTTATATATTGCAAAAGGTATTTATACAAGTTAGTAAGCTGTTGTATGCCTGGTCTCTCATAATTAACACTGTTCTAAGAAACACAATTAGAACACCTCATTTTTCACCATACCACCTATTGATTAAAAAAGATAAATACAACTCAAATAGAAATAAGTAAAAACTTAAGGTAACAACAGGAACTCAGCATAAATGGTAAGATCAAGACCAAAATGACTGATCACTCCCTTCTGTATCTCTCATTCCTACATTCCTTGAACAGTTTAGTATGATACCTCGCACCAATTGTCTGGTTTTCTGAATGGATTGTTGGAAGGCAGGCAGAAAAGATGAGAGGGAAAAAGGAAAGGTAATCACCATTAGTAGTTATTTTCAACTTTTATTTAGTATAAGCGTAGCACCTAAGAAATCTGCTTAGTCAAACCCCTAAATTCTAATTGATTAATTCCAGAATGGGTCCAAAGTCTATACTAGCTCTAGGGTGGGTCCAAAGTCTACATTTCAACAAATACCCAAGATGGTCCTAATGCAAGTAATCCATGGTCTCCGGAGCATCATTTCCAAACTTAGCACCACACAGTACTCTATGCTACCAAAAAAAAAGTGTCTTAAAAAATGCTTTTTTGATAAAAACAAGTTAAGAAAAAGAATAGATAAAAGTAATCCTGTTTCTAAATATTAGGATTTTTTTTTTTTGGAGCTTCAACATGCATTGGAATTTCTACAAGTAAGAAAATAATCACACTGCATTTCCTGAAATTACTGGTCATGGACTCTTTCCCTGGTGTTTCACTGACCAAAATCTGTAAGAAGTCTAAAACTTTTAAACAAGAAAACTAGAGACAAAGAACAAGATGAAAGGAATGGGATTATATTAGCAAATTTTAAAGCTTCCTTATAATTCTAGGATAAAAAAAGCAGACCAGTAAAGGTGAGAAAAAAATAGAAGGATCCTTTAATGTTAAAGAGTTCTCTTTTATCTCAAGTAATACTGAACTGTGGGCACAAAAATTTCACTGTAATATACATAATTTCCCTCTATATGATAACTCCAAAGTTAAGGATGATAATACTAGTCAAAAGGCTTTCTTGAAACAATAAAGAAACTGGAAAAATAATGTTTCATAAGAGGATAATCTTTGTAGACAGACATACGAAGTAATAACTCTTCTCTAAGATCTTAAGAATAACTAGTTACCATTTTCAAACAATTATAGAAAATATTTTAGAAATAGAAACTAGCCGGCTTATTTAACAAAGGAAAAGTCTCTCTAGTTCCCTTATAAACAAAATATATTTTTGAAGCCTAAAAAAAGAGTTATAAACAGTTGAAACTACAAATAAAAACTATTTCAAGTTGATCTACTTAGAGCACCCAAAATAAACTGTTTCAATTATCTAAGAGATAAAGATTTGCCTCATAAATTTTATATGACCCCATAACACAAAACTGATTTAAAAAATCAAGCTGAATCTCCTGAATAAGATCTTTTAAGTGATTATAATATAGGAGGTTAATACAGATTAAGAAAATGTTTTTTGAGAAAACTGTTACTTTAAGGAAAAAATTAAAGACTCTTTAAAATGAAACAGGTAACAGAACAAATGATGACAACTAACCCTAAAAATATCTTTGTATCTCCCTTGTGGAAAGGAAGATTTTTGAAAAGTGCCTGCCTCAGCTCAAGCAAGGAAAGTATGCCCTAAGAATTCATAACTGTAAGCCAGCACTTAAAGGTTTGAAATTTACACTCCTGATGTAATAGAAAACATACACACCAAACTTTTATTTAAAATATTCTCAAGTTGGTAGAGGCCCCTTCAAGGTACCTGGTAAACATGAACATAAATGATTTCCCCAGAAGAAACTCTTTAAAACCTGGCCTCAAAGAATTTGCAATGAGAAAAAGGTAAACACCCCAACAGAAAAACTGGTGAAAGGCTTGCATACACATTTCCCAGAAAAGGAAATACAATTTACCAAAAATATGTAAATAGATGAACAAAATCATTAGTACTGAGAGAAATGCAACATAAAATGTCAAGATACTATTTTCCCTGTACCACACTGGAAAGCATTAAAACACTGGACAAAACTTTGTGAAGCAACAGAAACATTATCCATTGCTGGTATGAGTGTGAACTGGTTTGGAAAACAATTGCAGTTATCTAGCAAAACTGAAGATGCAGATAGTCTGTAACTTAGCAAATCTACACCTTAATACATACACAAACTCCTTGTTACCATGCTGCAGGAGATATTTATAGGAATATTTTAAACAAAGCTGTATAGAATAGAAAAACATGAAAAAAACCTAACTGCCCATCAACAAAGCAAAAGAAAAACTAGGTAATAATCTATTCTTTCCATAGAAAACTATACATTAGTGACAATAAATAAACTACAACTACATGGATCAGCATGTCTGAATCAAATCAACATAATTTTGGTCAAAATATCAAATTACCAGAGAAAAACATTTGATTCCATTCATATGAAATTCAAAACCTACAAAAATAAACCATGTATTATTTATAAGTACAGAAATTTAGAGTGTAAATCTCTTCTATAAAGAAAAAGAAGTGAATGAGAAAAGTAAAGCTGAGTAAAGAGGTGGCCTCTGGGCTAGACAGATAAAGATGAGCTTGTCGAGGGGTTTACGGGAAACTTCTAAAGCTTTGGGAATGGTCTGTCTTTCAAGGTGGGTGATGGATGCTCTGGTGTGTTCCTTATATTATGCCTCCAACAAAATATAAACTACAAACACTCAGGTAAGCATGTGGTATATTTCATAATATAGAAAAAAAATTGTTAAGAATAACCAATAGATGTCTTTTTCTTTGACTTCTGAGTATATGTTTGCCCTGTGTCTTTCTCACTCTCTTAAATTTTGGCCTCAGAATTGTATGATGCTTATGATAAATAAAAAATAAACTACCGTGTTTCTTATCGGAATCTTCTTGGGTTCTGGTGGCACATCCTGTGGAACAAATTTCACTGGTTCCTTAATCTGCCTCCTTGATCGTTTGGTTCCATCTGGTAGGGTTTCCATGGCCATATCTGCTTCCATGTCACTGCTCCCTGCCTGGTCACATTCCGAGCACTGCCTACATAAAGGGGAAAAATTTAAGTCATGCATTTATTATTATCTTCTGGCTTTAGCTATAGTTTTTATAAATACAAAATCCAGGTATATAAGAATAATATATAAAAATATACACAGGTAATGTGATTATAGGGTACATAATGAAAAAACATTCAGAAATACTCCTCTAAGAGTGACTACTATGAATATAATATTTAAGGCAATTTAATGTATCCTGTAAGTATAAGAACACATTTAACAATGCTATATGTTTAAGTGAACCAACATGAGATTCAACACTGATTAAAAAGGTGGTTTTGCCAGCTGCAGTGGCTCACTCCCATAATCCCAGCACTTCAGGAGACTGAGGCAGGATGACTGCTCACAACATAGTGAGAGACTGTCTTCACAAAAAAAAAAAGAAAATTAACTAGGCTTGGTGGCACACGCCTATAATCCCAGCTACTCAGGAAGCTGAAGTGAAAGAGTCACTTGAGCCCAGGAGGTGGAGGCTGCAGTGAGCTATGATCTCAACACTGCACTCCAGCCTGGGTAACATGAGCAAGACCCTGTCTTAAATAATAATAATAATTTACCTTTGGAAAGCATGACTTTTCTTTAAATGACATATACTGTGATACCTGAAAATCAAAGTCCTTCAAGGACCCTAACACTACTCCTTGTCACAGTTATCATATCTTTTAATTGTAGTCAGTGACAACTTGTGCTGAATATACTACTTAAAGAAACTATACAAACAGACTCCAAGAAGTGTTGGGGGAAAAAAAAGGTCATATTATTTGGTGGCCCCTACTACTTCTAAAAGAAGAAATATACATTTATTTATCAAAGGAATTTGTTAAAGTAGCATTTATAAAGAATTTTAATATGGGTAATATTAAAAATTAATTGAAACTAAAACTTTAGACAAGTGGTATCCAACAGAACTTTTTATAATATTAGGATTATCTACATATCTGTGCTGTCCAGAACAGTGGCCACTAGCCATAGATGGTTACTGAGCACTTGAAATGTGGCAAATACCACTGAGAAAATTTCTCATTTTAATATTAATTGATTTAAATTTAAATAGCCATATGTGGCTAGTGGCTAACATTTAGACAGCAGAAATCTAAACAACAACTGCTGGAAATCTTTATATTGTCAATCATAAAGGACCATTTCAAAAAGTTAAAACCAGTTGTTAAAAGTAAATTTTTACTCATATTTTCTTCAAATGTAAAAGAATGATCAAAAGCAAATTCTCCAAAAGTTTGATAGTATTCTCTTAATAAAAATGATTATAATCTGTAAAATTGTATTTGATATTTAGTTTATATGTTTATATCAGTATCTTTGAATGTAGCTTATAATTCTCATAGCAAGTATTTTCAAAGATTTATGATTTGATTTCGTTCCATCAAAATTCACATCTTTCACTAATACTGTGAACTTATTAAACTAATATTTAATTGTCAAAGTGACAGCTTTAAATTTTGAACTCCAACAAGAGTTAAATACCAAGTACCATTTGTTTTGTTAATGCAAACATATTATTACTAAAATACAAATTAATCCTTAACGTATTAATTTAAATATCTTAAAATTTCCAATTATTTAAGAATAGGTTAGCAAAACTTTGAGCACTAGAAATACTGATCAGTGAAAGCAAAACAAAAATGTACATAATCATGTATTACTCAGAAAACTTTTATGTATCTATTGCTACACTTCATGTAAATATAGCTGGCAGGTTATCCCCTAGGTTGTCAGATTACCATCATTAACAAAGACACAACTAAACGAATATATTAAATTGCTCCTGCATTTGTCCCATATGAAAACATCAAGGACTGGCAAAAGAAAATACACACCTTACAGAATCTCAGAATTGAAATGATAAGTATATTCTGACTTTATTAGCAGAACTGTGAAAACCCCAGAAATGTTAGATATTGTTAGTTAACTAATAATAAATGCAACAGCCTTCAAAACAGATGACTAGAGAAATTATCATATTATATTACAAAAAGGCACACTGCTTCACTTTTCAGCATTAAATTGTAATCTTAATGCTAACTGATCATTTCTATCAGTTGAGTGAAATGTAGTCAGTTTCTCAAACAGTTCTAATTTACACTTTTTTTTTTTTTTTTTTTGAGAGACAGTCTTGCTAAGTCGCCCAGGCTGGAGTCCAGTGGCACGATCTCGGCTCACTGCAACCTCCACCTTCCCCATTCAAGCGATTCTCCTGCCTCAGCTTCCTAAGTAGCTGGGACTACAGGTGTGTGCCACCACGCACAGTTAATTTTGGATTTTTTAGTAGAGACAGGGTTTCACTATATGTTGGCCAAGCTGGTCTCAAACTCCTGACCTCAGGTGATCCTCCCGCCTCAGCCTTCCAAAGTGCTGGGATTACAGGTGTGAGCCACCGCGCCAGGCTCTAATTTACTTTTAAAATATGTTGTTTGTCTACTTAAATAACAGGCAAACATAATGTTATCTAAATCCCCTAGGTATAGAAGCAGGTACCTTTTCAGATAAATCATTGTTTTGTTTTGTTTTAAAAACTGAAATATTTCCTCTTCGCTTCTCTTTTGGTAGCAATTACCCTTGTCAGGACATTCTTTATTCTTATGTTCACTTCCATCCCCACTATAAATAATAGTTAGGTGACAAAGAAATTTGGCTAATTCCCAGAAAATAGAAATGTTACACCCTGAACACCACAAAACACGGAACAACTCAAAAAATCAAAACAAATGTAACTGCCAATGCAGAATATATCCATTCCTATTTCAAGACAACCGCCACATGATTGTTGCAGTAGATAGAGTCCACACTGAGTAGACTACAAGAGTATTATGGACATAATACTTCTTAGCCATTCTTCAACAATCTATTAAACACTATAGTCTTCATCTTATAAATATCCTTTAAGATATGTAAAAAATGTTTCTGCTACATTAATTGGTACACAAGATGGTAAGAAATAATAACCTAGAATAAAGCCATGGCCTGTCTAATTCAATGAAATCAAATAATTATTTTTTCTTTGTTTTCAGACAGAGTCTTGCACTATTGCCAAGGCTGGAGTGCAGTGGCATGATCTAAGGCTCACTGTAACCTCCATCTCCCGGGTTCAAGCAATTCTCTGCCTCAGCCTCCCGAGTAGCTGGGATTACAGGTGCCTGCCACCATGCCTGGCTAATTTTTGTATTTTTAGTACAGATGGGGTTTCACCATGTTGGCCAGGCTGGTCTTGAACTCCTGACCTCGTGATCCACCTGCCCCGCCCTCCCCAAAGTGCTGAGATTTCAGGCGTGAGCCACCACGCCCAGCTGAAATCAAATAATATTTTAAGGAAAATCATGATTATCTTTCCTAAAGTCAAATACATACCTGGCTTCTTTCAATAATCCACTAAACTGCTATTATCTATTAATTTAGCTAAACTCACCTTAATTCTATATATTTTTACTTAGCACACTGTATGAGAATAGAGTCCTAAAATTTATAATTCCCATGGACAATACTGAAGATAATCTTAACCTTTTAATTGATCCAAGCCAATTAAAAATTTAAAGTATAATAAAAATCCATGTCAGGAATTTATGCAACAGAATAACTTTCATGTTGAAATACCAAGAGGTTTTTCTCTTTTCCCTTCCTCCCTCCCCCTCCCTCCCTCTCCCTCCCCCTCCCTCTCCCTTCCCTTCCTTTCCTTCCTTCCTCCCTCCCTTCTTTCCTCCCTTCCTTCCTCTCTTTTTCCCGCCCTCCCTCCCTCCCTTCTTTCCTTCCTTCTTTCCCTCCCTCCTGCCCTCCCTCCTCTTCTTCTGTCTTTTTGTGAGACAGAGTCTCACTCTGTCACCCAGATTGGAGAGCACTGGCGCAATCTCAGCTCATTGTAGCCTCAGCCTCCCAGGTTTAAGCAATTCTCTACCTCAGCCTCCTGAGTAGCAGGGATTACGAATCCCCATCACCATTCCTAGCTAATTTTTGTATTTTTAGTAGAGACAGGGTTTCATCATGTTGGTCTTGAACTCCTGACCTCAAGTGATCCGCCCGCCTCAGCCTCCCAAAGTGCTGGGATTACAGACATGAGCCACTGCGTCTGGCCTTTTCTCAATTTTCTATACCTTCTATATGTTTCTAGCACCATACAACTACAACCTATAATCAGAATGATGACCCAATGGAATTTCAGAATCTTAGTTACTAAAGAAAAATGTTTAATAGTGCTTAGACAAGAAAGTGTACTAATTTAAGCCAGGCACAGTAGCTCACGCCTGTAATCCAGCACTTTGGGAGGCCAAGGCAGGCGGATCATGAGGTCAGGAGATCGAGACCATTCTGGCTAACACGGTGAAACCCCATCTCTACTAAAAATACAAAAAATTAGCTGGGCGTGGTGGCACGCGCCTGTAGTCCCAGGTACTCGGGAGGCTGAGGCAGGAGAATTGCTTGCACCCAGGAGGCAGAAGTTGCGGTGAGTTGCGATTGTGCCACTGCACCCCAGCCTGGGTGACAGAGCGAGACTCCATCTCAAAAAAAGAAAAAAAAAAGAAAGTGGACTAATTTAGAGAATTTTATTCGTGTAAGTTAAAAAAAAAAAGGATTTTATGAATCTTTAAATGCAATAATGCAATAAATAAATCCAGTAACATTCCATATTCCAAATAATTCATGATTTACTTTTTTCTCCTCCACAATTTATCTTTTTCAGTCATCAAGAACTCAGGATCCCACACCAGAGTTTTTTTTTTTCTTATGTCTAAGCCGTTAGCCATGTTTTCTCCTGTATTTAGAGGAAAGTCTTGACAGGTGCCTACATAAAACTTTAAGAGGTGGCTCAAATATCATTCTTCTCAGACAAGTAATACCTCAGTCCCTCCTACTTCTGCATTATGGGTATCTCTTTGAAGGGCAGAAAACAACATTTAACTCAACTTGTAAATTTTATTCTTTTTGTAGTTATAATACCTGTAAAAACTTTAATAGCAGATATATACCTGTTATTTCATATACAGTAAATGTCCCATTCTAATGCTGGAATTCCTACTAGCGGTTAATGGGAAGAAGAGGCAATAAAAAAATGTAAATGAACAAATTATCAAGAAAAACAAAGGAAAAAACCCTCTGTAAACTATTCCTAGAAGGGTTTGAGTTTTCTTTTCATCATAAAATAAAGACATATCCAAGGAATAAAAGGATATATTACTCAATTCTCTGTTAAATAATGTGTTTCAGAATATTCTTCAAACAATTGGAAAAGGCAACACAAGTTCCAATCAGATGAGTGGAGGCAGAAATATAACATTAGTCTTCTAAAATTAAGAGATGATTAACTATTTGAACTACTCTAATAAATCAAGCCCTTACCATTTGTATCCTACCAAATGTGTCTTAGAATTTAAGGCAGTGTGGAGATTGTACATTTTTAAAAACAACAACAAAAATCAAAATAACATAAACTAAAAATGAGACAAAATGCATTTTAAATACTAGAAAGAGGTACAAACAAAATAGAACCTAGATCACACCATCACTAGCCTCTCTATTCTCTGTGGAATTCTTCACCCACCTATTAATAATATTCTTTACTAGCTTTTCACATCCCTGGCCCAACCTAAGAAGCCCCTAGGTTTTCCCCTCTCCTTCTCCTGGGCAGCAGAGCATAATTCAAGAAAAATCAAATAATCACATTTACTTATGCACTAAACATTCTTGCTACACAGCCTCAGCAAGTCAGTTTGATTTTTCCACAGTAAGTTGTTACCAACCATCTGCTGTCTTCTCAAGAGCCCATCATCATCCCAGGTCTCTTCCCTCTCAACAGACTCCTATATCACTGAAATATCTGAGCCTGTCCAAGGTGAATTCACTCAACTTCCCTACCTTCCACCAATAATTACTTCTGTATCTGTATCCATCTTTTCTTTGATGTCACATGTCTTAACCTGCCCAGCACAGTCCACAGAACTCTGGGATGGACTGAAGAAAGCATCCAAATCTAGAACTAGTGTCTCCTTGAAAACAGTGCTGGTACTGGAAGAAAAGGCTGGATAGCAAGTGCTTAAAATAGTTATTAGAGTAGAATATGATATCTGAGAAGGCAACAGATTGTATAGTAATTAATTCTAGGTACAGTTTGCTTACAGGGTATTTAGTAGTAAGGGTGCTACCACAGGCTTGCAAAACATAAAGACAGCAAAAATAAACCGGCCATTCAGAAATATTATACCAGAGGGACCTGTGGAAGTTCAAGCTGCAGACTAAGGCACAGTCATGAAATAAGAGTCCAGTAACAGGACCCTAGTGATCAAAGGAAATTTGATCACTAGAAACAAGGAGAAATTAAAGGACCCTTTCCCTAATGAAAGGACTAGTAAGAACAAGGTAGAGTCTAAAGCAGACATCAGTCAGTGATATGCTAGTAAATGTCTAACACTTGACCCTCTGGGGGAAAGCCCTGTTATGTAGTATTTAGTAATTTCTACAGTACAAATACTCCTAACTATGGCAATTTCAATTTCAAATTATCAACATGGCATCACAGAATGTAGGATGGGGAAAAGGGTGTGTAGTAGCAACTATCATAGGTTGAGCATCCCAAATCCAAAAATCCAAAATCTGAAGTGCTCCAAAATCCAAATGTTTTTTGAGCACTGACATTACAGTCAAAGAAAATGTTCATTGGAGCATTGCAGATTTCAGATTTTCAGATTTGGGATACTCGACCAGTAGGTACAATGCAAATATTCCAAAACAAATACAAAAACAAAATCCAAATCACTTCTGGTCCCCAGCACTTTGGATAAGGGATACTCAACCTGCGTTTATCATTTTTTTTCTACCATCCAGATGCAATAGACTTAAATAACCTCTAGAGCATAGATAATAGTAAAATGTGACAAAATATTTAGAAAGTGTTAAGTTTTGAGTATTTATTATCTTTAGTATAACTTCAAAAATAAACTGAAAATGTTAAAAAGCAAAAAGTAAAAACTGCCTCCCACATTTGAGGTACACTAAAGAAAAAACAATTCTCTGAATCTTGCACACTCCAAAATTAATACACCCAGTTAACTGCTAACCAAAGCTAAGTTGATCTTAGAGGCCAAAGGAAATGTTATCACTAGAAACAAGGAGAAATTAAAGGCTTCACTGTGCTACAACATTAACTTCTACTTTTACTTAAAAACCACTAACAACAATGAAAAGGCTCTAAGTTGTTTACGCCCTTTTAGAAGTGCTCTCACTAAAACACCTCAGGCTATGTACATTACTTCTTTTCTTTTTTTTTTAATTTCAACTTTTATTTTAGATCAGGGGGTATATGCACAGGTTTGTTACATGGGTATACTGCATGATACTGAGGTTTGGAATATGAATGATCCCTATCACCCAGGTAGTGAGTATACTACCCAACAGTTTTTCAAACCTTGCTCCCCTCCCTCCCCATTCTAGTAGGCCCCATCTTTATGTCCATGACTATCCAGTGTTTAGCTTCCACCTGTAAGTGAGAACATGCAGTATTTGGTTTTCTTTTCCTGGGTTAATTCACTGAGTATAATGGCCTCCAGCTGCCTCCTTGTTGCTACAAAGAACATGATTTCCCTTTTTTTGTGTGTGTTTTTTTTTAGCTGCAGAAACTCTCACATGCTGGAAACCAGAGCTCTGCAGGCTGAGCAGTATCAGGAGGGTCCATAACTTCATTTAAGGAGAGAACTGCATAACTCTATATAAGTTCATGGCAAAACATCCTGGCTCTGGAGACTATCAAACTAGCTTTCAATTTAAAAACTCACCCAGGATGCTTATTAACATTGTTGGGATTTGAATATGCTATAGCAGTTTCTGAAGCACATAAAAACCATAATAAATACATTCCACTGCATTTCAAAAGAACAGGCCAGTATGAATATCTCAAAACAAACTGATACAAAGAACACTATAAAAAAGCAATCATGTGAAAATAGTGAAAAAATTTCAGCTTCCTAATCAAATGAACAGAGGTAGCCTTAAGTGATAAAACAATGAGGTCAAAAAATATGCCTAATGTATTTGAGGAACACACACAACCTCTTGTAGAGATTACCATTTAAAAATTTGGGGTTCACTCTTTTCTAAAACTGGAAAGGTAACTTGTATAAAAAGAATATTCATGTTCATTCCAAAGTTTTCCTTTTCCTATATTCTCCTTCCTATGAGAAATCATTCTATTAAAATCTGAACATCTGTCCCTTTCTTGGAGTAAAATTAAGAAAAGGATAAAACTCATTATAGATACTATAACCTTTATCAAATGTAGTGATTCGATATGCCTAAGTTAATAAAAAAAAAAATCAGAAATGTTTATCAAATGTTTCTAGATGTCAAAGAATGGTTGAATTTAAATGACTAGCACAAATACCAAATACCAGAAGTAAAGCCTTTGACTCTAATCCAAAAATAAAATATTAAATTGCAAGTAAAAGCATAATATGATGGCAAATTTTAGATAAATTCAATTTCAAAATAACAATAAAGCATTTGAGAAATTCTGAACAATAAAACAAGAGAATTATAAGCAATGGACAGAATTCATGCCTTAAAGAAGAATCTATTGCTAAGATAATAGCCACAATTAATGAAAAACTCATTTCTCAAAAAAGCTGTTATAGATTTAGTCACATAATGCTATAATAAATATTGATGACAGTCAATTTTAAAATGTGCCAAATACTTTATTATGAACAAATATAGTATTTCATCTTATACTGCTGAAACTAAGAGTAAATCAATTCAAACATCTAAATCTCCTCTATTTTACTCACCAATAACTGTTTTTGGTCTTTCTTGGCATCCTTGTAAGAGGAGGATCCAGACATCCAAGATGGTAATGTAGTTTACAGGTATCACACAATAAAAGAAGATGCTGATCATGGTTCTTCTTACAAATCCCACAACTTTTAATAAAGGCAGCAAGTAAAGATTTCAATAATAATTATCATAGTGAAACAGTTTACTTATAGCATATTTTTCAACTTACAAAATTTCATCTTGATTTAACTTACTATTTCTTCTGTTGAGATAGACAATTTCTTTCATTAACACATCTTTTTACAATGTCAGTAACTGTTAGTTCTAAATACTTTTGAGAATGTTAAAAATAGCTTGGATCTGGTAAAAATTTAAATACTACTAGAGTCAAACCTTCTAAAGAATTACATATATAAGGTATTTATCCTCAACATCATATTCATTTTAATTTTAGTTATTACTTAAAACCCATTTCACATTAGTTCATTTTTTCTCTAGACACATAAATTATAGAACAAAGTAATTTTCCAATTTTCTAAAACTATAAAAAAATTACTTCACAAACAGAAGGTAGTTTATTTCCTACCATTAGTTGTAAACCTTTCAAACAGTCTTCAACATGTAGATATACTGCAAGTATACATGAGTCTCTTTTCAATACTGAATTTTGCGTTTTAAAAATATACTAATTAAATTCAAAAGTAAAAAAATTAAAAACGCACACATCAATTGATATTTATTGCAAAGATTGTGGAATTTTGTGATTGCTACTATTATTTTAGGATCTTTTGGTTTCTCAGAAATCTAACTTCTCTTATGCAAAAAGGCAATTTAACTACACCTGCGTACACAAGCACCATCACCTGAAAATCTAAAGTATATTTATATTTGGAAAGTACAGAAAGCAATGATGGTTAGGTTTTTTTTTTAAATACTCCTAGAAAAAAGTCACACACACACACACACACTTAAAAAGCCAAAATAAATAAATAAATAACCAGTACCTGGTCTCAGTAAAAAAGAAAAATCACTTAAAATATATTCTGAAACAAAAATGAATTGTAGTCATAAAAGTCAGAAGCATAGTGATATTGCCTGATGGTTCCAAATGAACCAACCGTGTTTGAAAAAGCTGGCCTGAGAATGTGCTAATGTTCACATTGTACACTAAGACAATGTAGGCTTTTCCCACACTTCAAGGAAGTTATTTGCTATTACTTGTAGAGGGAGCCTCCAACAAAAAAACAGAAGGTAGTTATGGAGATTGATATTGTTGTTATTGCTACTATTTCTGAGAAAGAAATTTTGAGAAGAATATTTATGTATTTACACATGCATAACATATATGTATGCATATACATAGATAAATATACACACACATACATACACACACACACACACACAAAAACACCAGCATCTTCTAAACTTCTCCCACTTAATATAATTATTTGGGAAAAAGTGAGATCGTAACCTATTTATTTATGGAAAGAAGTCTTGACTATAATAAAATTACTATAATGGTGAACACCGAAAATATTGAGCAAAGAAAGTAAAAAACAAAAATACTTATGCGAACAAAGTGATTGCAACTGAGCATCAAGAGAAAAAAAGTGTAGAAACTCAAAACTAAAACTTATCTTCATTATCCACTGCCTACAAAGGCAATAGATTCATTCTATATATATACATATATGATACCCATCACTATCTAAAAAACAAACTCTACAATTCATTCAAGTAAAATAAAATATAAATGCTCATCTTTTATATTGTTTAAATTATTTAAGACAATAACTATAATGTTATCTAAAGTAATTTTCCAGTTCCCCAAAGGGTACTGCTCATTTCCATAGAGTTTAGGTTAAAACAGCAACAAAAATCTCCTCTATCATTCAAACTGGAATGCATCTTTTGAGAAAATGAACTTCAAATGCACTTAAATTCTGGTATGGACATAATTCATTCTCAAATATTTGCAGGATCTTCTTTCTAATAAGTATCAGTTTAAAAAAATACACAACATTATTCTATCATTATTAATTTCATTACTTGCCTATAAAGTACTGCAGGAAGAGTAGATGTCTTTTGTGTGCCTCCTTCTTTTTTACTTGGTTTTCTCTCCTTGGGTGCTCGCAAAATTGCCGGTATATTCAACTTCTATTGATTTGAACAAATGTAGTATATATTGTTTTAAGAAAGAAATAAAAGCAACATTTTCCTCTAATTGCCACTCAAGCCAAGTAAATATAGTAGGATTGTTAGGGGGAAATCTGCTTTATCAGATTTTACATTGGCAAAAAGGATTAAAATGAGCTTTTTTCTAATAGTTATTTCCATTAGAAATCTATAATTACAGACTTTCATCAATTTTCAGTGGTACACTAAAACATAAAAATTAAACTTCTATTTCAGCTTTCAAAGACAAAGACACATACGTAGGAGGTTTAAAAAAAACAAAACACAGTACACTTGACAAAAAGAATATTGAGGCCATTTATTTTCTTCAGCACCCCAGCTATATTGGTGTTCCATAGGTTAATTAGAAAAATTATCTTATTGGACCAAACTCTCCAACAAAGCAAGTGAGATTCTCTTTGGGTTTCTACTAATCTGTAGTATGCTGGCTTCTCAGACAGCAACCATCTATCAAAGTCATTTCTCAGTGGCCTGGTGGGCCCACATCTGTTCAACCAACTGAAAAAAAAAGTGTCATGCAAGCAGTATAAATGAATTCTACTTCTGCTGTGTATTTTACATTTGCAAAAGGAAATTTGCAAACCTCTGTTAAAAGTCTTTTAATAAATGAAAATGTCTTTTATGGTAGATAGTATTTTAAACAGGAGATTCTTATGAGAAAAACTTGCAAATCAAGCCAAAAGATAATGCTAGCTTGGCAAATAAACTAAAGCCTTATACTCAACATTAACTCCTCTAAATATTAAGTATAAAACATAATCTTCCAAAAATCCATCAACCAACCTATTAACAGGAACAAAGGCTGATCCTCCCAGAGGCGACTACTAATTCTCACCTTTTAAAACATTCTTTAGGATACAAGCCACACACATTCTTTTCACATAAAGCATCTTCAAAGCTGGTATAGCACAGTACAAATCAGTATGTATCACTTCTTAAAATATTTAAATAAGCTGTGTGATGAATTTGACTCTCCATAAACCTCTAAAACAAGTATAATGAAAAATATCTGTTCGAAAAGCTCCTTCACAAATAAAACTACTTTTTAGTGAAAGGACCACAAACAGTGGGTCTCCATCATCCTTAAAAAATAAAAAATATTTGCGAAAACTGTAATTTATCAATTATATACACAGTACTAAAAAAGGCATTCAAAGAAATCCATCTAACAATAATTATTCAACACCAAAAACTTTAACAGACTAAAGGTGTTCATGAATAAAGTTTTTTTTAATAACTACGATCACAGCTACTGTTAAAGGGGAAAAATACATTTTAACATTAAAGTTTAAAAAACCATCTCTTATACAGCTGAAAACCAAATTAACATAAAAATGAATATCTCTAGTTTGCCTTTTTTAATTTTAAATTATACATCCAAAGAATAGAAAAAAAAATACAGCATAAGGACAGGAAAGAAAAAAATGTGGCAGGGAATCTAAAACTGCTAAATTAAAGGAAAGAAGAATGTAGTAGGAAAAACTCATGCTTCAAGTCTTAAGCTTCATCACAAATGACAGGTCAATCAGTTAGAGCAAATGAAAAAATTTTGCACACAAGATAGCTGTTGAAACAACCAAATTAAACTAGAGGTTCTCAGTAGGCAGCTTCCAATGCTCTAGGTGTATTTCAAGCAGAAATCATTATCCCAAAGGATTAGGCCCTGATCAAACAGAATTCTTCGGTTAGTCAAATGACAGTTGTATCAAAAATCTGTTCTTTGAAAATCATATAGGGAGCAAGAACTGAAGGAGACAGCAATTGGAAAGAAACTAACCTGCCCTGTGATTCTGCCTAGTAAAGCCCATATTCCTTGTCCTTCACTTCGAAGTTTTCCATTCAGGTTTTGTAGTTCTTCTAAAGATTCACATAGCTACAAAGTAAGCCAAATTAGTAAACTTCATTAAAATATCTGACAATTTAAGAAATATCTACATTTCTATTCCACATATATATATATAATTTTTTTTTTTTTTGAGACAGAGTCTCACTCTGTCACCAGGCTGGAGTGCGGTGACACGATTTCGGCTCACTACAACCTCCGCCTCTGGGGTTCAAGCGATTCTCCTGCTGCAGTTTCCCGAGTAGGTGGGACTACAGGTGTGCACCACCACATCCAGCTAATTTTTGTATTTTTAGTAGAGACAGGGTTTCACCATGTTGGCCAGGATGGTCTCGATCTATTTTTTTTTTTTTTTTTTTGAGATGGAGTCTCACTCTGTCGCCCAGGCTAGAGTGCAGTAGCACGATCTTGTGTCACTGCAACCACCACCTCCTGGGTTCAAGCAATTCTCCTGCCTCAGCCTCTCGAGTAGCTGGGATTACAGGCACCCTCCACCACGCCCAGCTAACTTTTGTATTTTTAGTAGAGACGGGGTTTTGCCATGTTGGCCAGGCTGGTCTCAAACTCCTAGGATGGTCTCGATCTCTTGACCTCGTGATCCACCTGCCTTGGCCTCCCAAAGTGCTGGGATTACAGGCATGAGCCACTGCGCTCGGCCTCCATATATTTTTAATATATTCAAGCCACAATACCACTGAGAGACAAGGCTATCCAATTATTCAGCAGTATTTGTTGCTGTAAGCATTTTGTTTTCTGCTGGCATTTTTACTAATAATGGTAACTACGTTTATACCTTCTTTTACAGTTTGTTATATAACATCATGTTCTGCTAACTAATCCTTGTGACTCTCTCAAGATGTATTTCCACTATTTTCCCAATGAAAAAAACTAAGGATCATAGAGTTTTTGTGAGTTGGCCAAGATCACAGAACTAGCAAGAATCCCCAGGTCCTCTGAATCTAATTCCAAGTACTCTTTTTACTACACAGTGTAGCTGATTATTGGAAACGTACTTCCTACTATTTTTTTATGACTTAAAATGTTTTCTAACAATAAGTCAATACCCGTTTTATATGTCAAGTTATACTTGGTATAACATTTTAACCACATTTTGCTTTTATAAGATACTTCTTTTTGAATCTTTTCTCATTACGATGAAGAGGTACATGAAAATTCAAATTTGGAAATTTTTATTCCAAACATTATAATATAATTCAAGATAAATAATAATTTAAAGAAAAGTTTCTAAATTTTCTACAAACTTAGAAAGTGAAGCTCTATAGCAATGTTTATTGATTAGAAATAGAGAACAGAGTCACATGAGTTGGCCTCACACCAACTGACTTCATTTGTCAAGTCTGTGACTTGACTACTTGTGTGAACCTGGGCAAATTATTTAACTTCTTCAGGATTCAGTTTTCTCCCTGAAAATGGAAGCAATGATTATAACCTACACTATAAAGTTAAGCTGGGAATTAAATAATACATGTAAAGAGATCAAAATTATGCCTGGCACACAAAGTGCTCAGTAAGAGACAGTGATGATAATGAAGCTAATGAGGAGTAGGAGTTATAGGGAAGAGCCAAAGAGCTCCAGAAGAAATTAAAAACAAAACATAAAAGAAA
The DNA here is from genome assembly GCF_000001405.40 of Homo sapiens. NCBI lineage: Eukaryota > Metazoa > Chordata > Mammalia > Primates > Hominidae > Homo > Homo sapiens. The sequence continues at coordinate 11,037,163 of NC_000007.14, read as the reverse complement.
TGCCATACATTCACAAAAGAAATCATCAGTAAGATCTATCACATTATGTTGCATATTTTGTAGCTAACTTACCTTATTATATTCTACATGAAGCTTTTCTTGTTCATTCTCTAATTTATCTTTTATATTCTTTTGTTCAGCCATATTTTCCTGAATTTGAATCATGCGCATATTTCTCTCTATTTAAATGAAATATCGAATTTTACTTTAGTAGGAAGTAAAAACTGACATAGGAAGAAACTAGCTATAAAGATGATCACATTGATAAACCTACATAGTTTAAAACTTTTAAGTATATTTACAAATAAATGAACCTAGCATTTTGTAAAAACCCACAACATATTAGGAAAATAAACATCCCTCTATGATATATGCAGCATGGCTAATAAATTTCTAAAAATTAACAGTATATCAAACATTTTCATTAACAAATTGTTCTCAGTGAAAATGTGCATGTACCAGTGTCTATACTGACCAAAATAATAATTCACAAAATCTGCAGTGAGAGCTGGTTGCTTATGTTTTCTCCTTCCATCCACACTAGAACTAGTATCTGAATTGTCCACTGGAAAGATATCTGTACTGATCCCCATGAGTTCTGCTTTCCGCATAAGTTTACGAATAGCTGAAGCACTGCTGGTGAGTGGTCTGGGCAATTTTTCCCTTGGAACCCAGGCCTGGGGTCTGGTAGATCGAGCTAGTTCTGCTTTGGCACGATACTGCTGAAGCCGGGCATTGATCCTTGCCTATAAAAGAAATGTATTCAAATTTTAAAAGATAATAAAATGAAACATGTTCCTTAAGATTTTTACATTGATTTTTATTCCCATGTTCACAGAAAGATAATCAGAACTTCTCACACCAAAGCAAATTATAGGTATGAATGATCCTTAAGGTATACTGTATAATTTTTGAGTTACAATAAACTATATCTGCCCCTAGTAACAACTGTCCTAACTTATAATCAGAGTTTTGAGAAACTAATTAAGCTGAAGTTTCTCTTCTTAATAACTGCTATTGTCTCCATAGGTTTAATGTATATAAAATTATATTTTAAATATAGGCAAACTGACTAAATCCTTTGAACAAACTGAAACAAGATGTAATAAATATATTGCACTGATAGAGTAATTTCCTCACAGTCACATTTTTCAATGTGAAAATTTACTTTATAAAGGACTGCTCTGTTTGACTAAATGAGGAGTACTGTATTCAGCCAAAAATTATACTCACTATTTACCTTAATCACAATCCATTTCCTAGGTAACTAACCAAACTTCCTATTATACGTCACATGTCACTGGAAGCCACACGAGACGTAAAATCCTTACATAACCTTAAAACAAAAACATACGGGTTTTGACATGAATCCCATACCTGTGCTTCTGGTGATAGTTGCTTCTCTCTCTCTTGCAAAGACATTTTACAATAGGACTGTAGAGCCAAGTAGTTTTTTCTCTTCCACTTTCTGTCTAACCTATCTGCATGTTGCTTACAATAAGCAAAGAATGGATCTGCTATATCCTATACAAAGAAAGCACAGAAAAATAGTGAACATTTGTACTCCCAAGAGTCATAAAAGACCTAACACAAAAGAATATTACTTCCTTTTCAAAGAATCTACTAGTGCTAGTTACATCTAATAAATTACAAAAATAATTTTTGTACATAATGACAAAAATTACTTCTTTAGAAACTTGATCTTGTATGTCAACTTCAAATTACCAACAACGTTTTTCTTTAAAGGGCCTGCAGGTTTAAAGATATTGAAATCAAATATAATGTATTATTTGGGTGTACTTGTATAGTAGCCCTTCAATATCCATGGGGGACTGGTTCCAGGACCCCCCAAGGATACCAAAATCTGTGGATGCTCAAGCGTCTTATGTTAAATGGTGTGGTATTTGCATCTAGTTTACATGCATTCTCCCACATATTTTAAGCAGTCTCTACATTACTTATAATACCTAATACACAAATGTAAATGTGCAAATAGTTGTTACACTGTATTGGTTTTATATTTGTATTCTTTTTTATTACGCTTTTTTTTTTTCAAACATTTTCGATCTGCAGTTGGTTGAATCTAAGAATGTGTAATCCACAGACACGGAGGGCCGGCTGTATTTTTTTAAAAAGTCACTGTTTAAAACAAATAGGATTTTAATAATCTTAAGTAGAAATAATCATTAAATATTAAAGTTATGCATAAACTAATATTGCAAAACAACAACATTCAACTAGCCAACAAGATAAGTGTGGCATTTCTAACTGGCTAACAATGGACAGATTCTACTGAGGATAAAAATAGAATTAAGGGCCAGGCGTGGTGGCACATGCCTGTAATCCCAGCACTTTGGGAGACCGAGGCAAGCAGATCACTTGAGGTTGGGAGTTCGAGACTAGCCTGGCCAACACGGCAAAAGCCTGTCTCTACTAAAAGTACAAAAATTAGCCAGGCACAGTGGCATGTGCCTGTAATCCCAGCTACTCAGGAGGCTGAGGTAGGAGAATTGCTTGAATACAGGAGGGAGATGTTGTAATTAACCGAGATCGCGCCACTGCACTCCAGCCTGGGTGACAGAGCGACAGTCTGTCTCAAAAAAAAAAAAAAAAAAAAAAAAAAATAGAATTAAGAAATTCTAAGCCCTGTCAATAAAAAAATTTAAGTTATGCCCTTAACTCTTTCCCTAAAAACTCAAGTGGAATTACAGCTCTCTCATAGCCTAACAGTACATTTTCATTCATAAAAAGTAGTGTACAAAAAAGAATATTTATTCTATCAAAAACAACTTGTAAAGATGTAGTACAAAAAAGTAATTTACAATGTAATTGCTAACAAAACAACAGGCTGTTCATTCTTTATGTCTGTCCCAAAAAGGAACAGTAAACATAAGCTATTAGTTTTTCTCTAAGTTATGTCAAAAGTGTCTCTAAGTAGAGTTTTACAACCCAAAGAGAAATGACAACACTACCGAGGAGAGACATATAAGAACAGAAAGAAAAAAAAATCTAATGTGTCCTTAATATTAAAAAAAAAGCATATGAGGCAATTCTGTAGTGTGATATCTATAGATGTCACAGTACAGCAATGTGTATCACAGAATTTGAAGACATAAAAACCCGGATACAAATCTTGGCTCTATCATTTACAGGCTATGGGACTTCAAAAAATTGCTTAACATCTCTGGGCCTCAGTTACCACATTAGTAAAACAGGGTTTACTTACAATTACTTCATATAGCTTTAAAAATTAAATACAAAAATTAATTAGGAGACTACATTAACACATACAAACAGCTGCTTTCTCATGACATGCTCTAAATCTTGGTGACAGAGATGTTAAATGGAAATAAAGATTATACCGAACCTCAGCCCAAATACCCAGATCTAGATAATTATTCTAATGTTTCAAAGTAAATGAGGTTGAAATTGAGTCATTAGAGATAGGATTCATGCTTGCATAGGTGAGTTAAGCATTTGGACCAAGACTCTGACTTAAGAAAAACACCAATACTTACTATGGCAGAAACTACTAATTGTCTTACAATATCCATTCTTCCCATTAGTACTAGACCCCTATGAGTTTTTACTGGGCATATGGCTACCCTGCTAGAAACTATCTGATCCAGCCTCCCCACAGCTAGATGTGGCCATGTGATTAAGTTCTGGCCAATAAGTTGTATGAAATGCCCAGACCATGCCCTTGAAAGGAAGCTGCCTACTCTTAACCTCCTCTTTGCTACTTCCAATGAGGAAGAATCCAGTCAAGATGGTGATAAACCATCTTTGACTGTGTAGGAGAGTGCAATAGACTAAAGGAAGGTGAAGCAAGAAGAAAGAAGGGAACTGATCCCTGGAACCAAACTCCCCTCAGTATCCAATCCGCCTGGAATTGTATATTAGAGTGAATTCAACTTCTTCGTTTAAGCAACTCGTTACTTGGTTTTGTTAAACCAGTCAAAATAATGTCCTAATTAATGCATTGGTTGACATGGAATATCCCTTCAACCTGCTTGGAGAAATGGAGCTTTCAAGATCCTACTCCCAGTGGAAGACAGAAAGGGAAAAACATGTTTCTGAATATCTACCATGAAATAAGCACATGCGCTTTTGTATATACTATCTCTTTAACCTTCACCACTACCACATGAGGTGGGTTCTACCATTTTAATATCAATTTTATGGATAGAAAACTGAAAGCCAGAGAGGTTAAGTTGCTGAACCAAGACCTATGTCCAGTATGTAAGATCCATCTTCCTTAACCATTACCTGACTGTCATCAGATTCATTTAAGGAGATTTCTAAATAGAGGTAACTAGAGCCCAACTCTGCAAATTCTGACTTAGCAGAGCTGAGGCAAGGGCCTTAAATACAAATGCCTTGAGAAGCAGTAATAGTCAACATAAATGGGTGAAGGAGACCTAAAAGATGCCAGAAAAATATAAGACAAAAATGAATGATGAGAAGCAGTTAGTAAATGCTGGGGCCTGTGAGAACTTAGAGCCTGTGGCAAACTGGAATGCCCCATCTAAAGTCATTTAAATTCAAGGTTTTCTTTTTTAACTCTACTCCTAACAAACAAAATCCATCTATGGATTAAGTTTAGCTTGTGGTCCTCTAGATGCCATGATTTGGTCTAGAATCTTAAAATCTTTTTTTTTTTTTTAAACAAAGCTCCCTGGGTAAAACTGACATAGCAGATCAAAGTTATATAAACTGAAAGAAGACACAACTTCGGTCTTGTACATTGAGAACCTTACCTGGCACTTGTAAAAACAGTGTATTTGAAGAACGTACCTACGCTTTACTGGTATCTTAATAGTAAAATTGATGTGTTTACTGAAACCAGAAACATTTAAATACAATAATAACCTAATGGCATATCAAACTTATCTTCTTAATTATGCATTATCAATATTCTTGTCCACCCCACCTCAGCCATATATGCTCTAATAGAATGAAATCTTGAACTTCTGGGCTCAGCAATCCTCCCACCTCAGCCTCCTGAGCAGTTAGGACTATAGGCACACACCACCACACCTGGCTAATTTTTACATTTTGTGTAGAGATTGGGTCTTGCTATGTTGCCCAGGCTCATCTCAAAATCCTCTTGAGGCCAGCCTCAAGAGATCCTCCTTGGCTTGGCCTCCCAAAGTACTGGGATTACAGGCGTGTGCCACCACACCCGGTTTTATATTGTTTCAAATATAATTTTCTACAGAACAGAGTACAGCAATGTTCAATAGCACCAAATTATACTTTAATTACAGAAGAAACTACCATATGGCTTACTTGGACTATAAGTAACTTTAGACTATATAATGTAAAACATAGTAACATAAGTTGTAGTCAGCATAACTGAGCCTGCACAATAGCTCGGTATTTTTTTACTTATTTATTTAAAATTTTTAGAGGTAGGGTCTCACTCTATTCTCCAGGCTGAGTGCAGTGGTGAGAACATAGTTCAATGCAGCCTCAAACTCCCGGGTATATGTGATCCTCTCACCTCGGCCTCTCTAGTAGCTCAGACTACAGGCAACATCACACCCAGCTAATTTTTTTTTTTTTTTTTTGGTAGAGATGGGGTCCTGCTATGTTGCCCAAACTGGCCTCAAACTCCTGGCCTCAAGCAATCCTCTGGCCTTGGCCTCCCAAAGTGTTGAGATTACAGGCATGAGCCACTGCACCCAGCCCTATAGTCCAGTTTTAAAAATAAGATGTTGTGTCATAACATGGTTTTAAATATCCTTCTAATAAAGCATGTTGTGTCATAACATGCTTTGACTATTCTTAATAAATCTGGAATATTCACAAAGTAGATGAAAAAGAATAGAAATGTCACATGGATTCTCACCAATGAGATAAAGGACTATGTCAGAAGGCTATACAAAGTCATAAAAAATACAGAAAGGTACACAATGTCATTAGATGAAACTGATATGTTTATTCTATTTTTCAACCTTTTTTTTTTAACAGCCTATATAAAACCACCATGAAAAAGTAGTAAATCCAACTTGATATAGTCTTTTGAAAAGTTCCCTAGAATGTCTAAAGAGTATAAAATGGAAATAGAAGGCAAGATATGCTCACAAACATAGATCTATTTTAGTTTAAAATGTGTTTCTTAATTTTAAATGCTATTACATTACATAAATCCTTATGTACATAAGTACAACCATCTAGAAATAGACAAGACAGAATGATTACTGTCAAATGCAAACTTCATTAATATTGATTCATGCAATATTCTGGGTTTTGAAATATCGTTCAGAAAACATTTAGAATTTTCTAATTCTCTGTTTATAACAAGAAACCAGTAACATATATATGTAAATATGCTTTAAATCATTTCCCCCCAAAACAACAGCACACTGAGTAAGGTAGTGAATAGGGAGAAAAGTTGCATTTTATTATTCCAGCATCCAGGGCTCCCACCTAATTAATCAAGGGACACAGCAAGGCAAGGAAGATGCCTCAGGGCTAATTCTCACATCCTAATGTATCTGTTTCCCTGTAAATTTCCTCAAATTAGCTTATAGGTAAGATACACAGACCACAGAATGTAAACTATGTAGCTTAATATTATGTTTAGTTTCATTTAATTTGCATGCCTTTAGACGGAGATGCACTCTCCAAATCCCATAACTCCATTACACCCCACTGTCCCAAACATGGCTGCTTCACACATTTTTGTTAATTAGCTGCCATCTTGCCAAAAATGATGACATATGATGCTGTGCAAAGGAATCCAAACTACCATAGTAAAAAAGAAAGCTCTCCACTGGCTCCAAAAGCACCCTACTAACCGCAAAGCTCAAAGTTTTCCAGAAGTAGACAACTAACCTTATCCTATAGATTCCCTGATCCAAGTATTTACGTAGTATTTATCTGGTCCTCTAACTCTTACCTGTATTGCCCTCTCGTACTTTTGCCCACCATCCTGAGTTGTAGCTATGAGGAATCCAGACTACCTTTACCGTATAATTATAACTCTATGTCTACCTAGTAGCTGAGAAGATGCTCACTGTTCATCTAGTAGCCTTCATCAAAGTACAATTCCTTAAAATCAAGAGACTGGAACAGCTATATAAATGAAGAGATTGGAACAGCTATATGTATCAAAAACAGCTACATGTATCAAAAATACAATTCCTATAAGATCTGTTTATTCATAAAATATATCCTTCAAATTTTTTTCTACAATTTTTCTTCATCAGAGTATCTTTGCTCACTTTCTGGAAATGAAATAAATGTACTAAGATAAAATCTCAGCACAATAAACAAAATTTACCCAATAAAAGAAAAAACATAACAAGGAGAGGCTTAGACTATTACCATAAAGCCATCATGAATGTGCAATAAAAATTACTAAATAAACATTCATTACTATGTAAGCTTAAGGAATGAACTGAACCTGCTCACAATTTGTTAACATTCTTAAAAATTACTGAGGACTCCAAAGGGTTTATGTGAGTTATATTTTAGACAGTTACCCTATTAAAAATTAAAACTGAAAATTTTTTGCAATATTCATTAATTTATTTTAAATAATGGGTCCATTACCGAAGTATACACTTTTACTAAATACAATTCACATACACACAAAAATTGAGTGAGGAGAGTGGCACTGTTTTACATTTTACATACTAATGTCTAGATAACTGACATAAAAAAAGGTAGCTGGATTCTCAAAATTGTTTCTATATTCGGTGGGTTCTGTTATACTGTATGTAATCTCTGGAAGTCTCCACTAATACTCATGAAAGAACAGAGTTCAGAAAAGTAAGTAACATTTTTATAGTGTAATGAAAATAGTTTTAAACTCAGAATACTTGAACGAATCTTAACCAGTCCCCAAACACTGAAAACAACTGATTTTTTAACGTAAAGCCAATAAATCTGAAAGGAATATTATGGAATTAAAAGTAACAGTAAAGAGATAGTAACAGAGATACTAAAGACACAGTAATGATTTTATTTAAAGAAAAATAGAGCAAGGTTACCCAAATACAGTTTCAGCTTCTCGTATAAAATATGCTATTTTTTTTTAACTATAATTCATGGGGCTGAAATGCCGACATTTTAATGCTTTAAGACAACTTGGATTATCTTTCATTTTATCTGTCAGATCTCACTATAAAAATTATGTTTTCTGAACGTCTGACTAGCTTTAAAACTGACAAAACTCATAGGCATTTACTCTTAAAGTTTTAGAACAGTGATCTTGGCAAGAACTTTAAGAATAAATGTTAAAATTTCTTTTATTATTTACACTTATTATAGGACATAGAGTCAAAAGATATCTTGTGAACATGTTCACCAACTATGGGTTTAAATAAACCTACCTCTTCCGCCGCTGCCTCTGAAAGCAGACCTTCCTTTTGAGCACAGGTCACATGGAAATAGGCTCTGCACATCCCTGCATCACAGCTAATGCAAACCCCAGTTCTAGCAAAGCGAGGGTCTTCACAAAAGCTACACTCCTACAACAAAGTAACAGAAAAATTCTCAAAGCAAACTTATTTCCAGACTAAAGACTGCATTCTCATACAAAGTGTCCACTAAATATTTAAAATGCTAAATACAAATAATGAACCAATTATGTACCAATACAAACAATAATCATAGGCGAGCCAAGAGTTTATATGAAAAAACGTAATTACCTATATGGTTCAAATAAATCAAAATTCAACTAATTTAATGATAATAAATAATAATACAACCATAATTAAAATTATTTGAGGACTTACTATGTGCCAGTCACTATTCTAAGCACTTTACATATACAGACAGTCCCCAGTTTACAACAGTTCCACTTCTAATTTTTTAACTTTACAATGTTGCAAAAACAATACACGCTCAGCAGAATCCACACTTTCAGTACCCATACGACCATTCTGTTTTCCACTTTCAGTAGGGTATTCAATAAATTACATGAGATAGTTAACATTTTATTATAAAATAAAGTTTTGTGTCAGATGATTGTGTTCAAGTGTAGGCTAATGTAAATGTTCCAAGCATATTAAAGGTAGGCAACACTAAGCTGTGCTCAGTAAGTTAGGTGTATTAAATTAATCTCAACTTAAAATATTTTAAACTTACAATGGATTTATCAGGATGTAAACCCATCATAAGTCAAGGACTATATGTATAAATATATGTAATCATTAAACACAACTACTATGAAGAAGAGATACTATAACTATTCCCATTTTACACATGAGGAAATTAAAGTAAAGACAAGTTAAGAAATCTGCTTGCCAAAAATAACAAAGAAAGTAAATGTAAGGCTTCAAACCAGGACAATCTTACTTTAAAGCCCACCATCAAGCTATACTAATTCTTAAACAATATAAAATTGCTTGGAAAAGGAAACAAGAGACCAGAGAAAATCCAACAAAAAATCTAGGCATTACAACCTAGAAATCATGCATGTTTTAAATATCTTTAAGACAACTAAAAGTAATTTTAGGTTAATAATCAGGTGAAATTGGTAGTAATATACAACACAGTCAATTATGTACATTCTTTCTGTATAAAAAGAGAAAATTTATAAAACCAAGGTATGAACTGTTGAAATTACCGCAAATCCTCTCAGATTTATTTATTTTTTTATTCCTTTAACTATCTCTTAAAAGAAAAAGGGGGAATTAGCTAGTCTAAAAGTTTAAACTACTCTGGTAACAGAAATCTTCATAAAAGAAAAAGATGTTAAATTATGAAAGACTGACAATGGACAATTAAAGAATTGTTTAATATAAGTATTCAAAGTGAACTACATAAGAAGGAAACAAATACAAGGAAAACTTAAAAACTTCAATAGTCAAATCCTGACATCCTACTGCCTAGTTAATATAATTTCTCTAATAACAGTAGAACATAAATGGTATAATATACTGGCAAATAGCAATCTAAACATGAGATTGAGCAAGAGAGATAAAGAGAAATTAAATTATTTAAAGGATGTCCACACTGTGAACAGAGACATATTGTTTAGATTATCTGGATAATTTCATGTAATATGTTGAAATTGAGCAAGGGATTTCAGAGTGAATATAAGGAAAATATTCCTGACAGCCTTTTTAGACTATAAAACAATCTATCAAAGAAAACAGAATCTTCCTCAATCGCCTGAATCATTTAAAATGCTAGTGAACTAAGCAACTGAGAACACAGGAGAACATAATTCAGATTGGAAAATGAGTAGACAATGAGGTCTAGAAGGCTGTCCCAGTCATGATTTACAACATTGTATCTGATTTTGCAGAGAAGCCAGAGAGTACCTAATTTTCAACTCAGTTTCCCAGTGATGTTTTCTTAAAGCAAAATAAGCAAGAGGAAATTAGCCTGGACCTGTTTCTGTACATGGAACTTTACACAAGGTGAAATTTAATTTAGAAAAATTCCTTGTAATAAATTAAATTTAAAAAAAAAAAAAAAACAAGCTTCAACTAACCACAACAGCCAACTAGACATCAGATAACGTAACTGGACACTTTCTACTAAATCATACCCATACAGAAAAACAACACAGCTGTAGTCAATTAAGTAATTTCCTTACTTTGGTTCCACATTCAGCCAATAGAAGCCCACTGCTCACACTATTGAAGTGGGCATCTCTGAGCCTTTTCTAGTTCTAAGTGCTGCCCAATAAATACATCTGTTAATGCTCAAATAACCTCTGTTAAATTTACAAGCATACATCAGAGATAACCCAAGTTCAGCTCCAGACCACTTCAATAAAGTATCACAATAAAACAAATCACGAGAATTTTTTAGTTTCTCCATGTATTTTCAAGTTAGGTTTATACTATCTGTAGTCTATTAAATGCATAATAACATTATGTATTTTTAAAATGTTAAGTACATTAATTTAAGAATACTTTATTGCTAAAAAATGTTAATGATCACTTGAGCCTTCAGCAAGTCATAATCTTTTTGCTGGTGAAAGATGTTGCTTTGATGTGGATGGCCACTGACGGATGGGGGTGGTGGTGGTTGCTGAAAGTTGGAGTGGCTGTGGCAATTTCTCTCTCTTTTTTTTTTTTTTTTTTGATGGAGTCTCACACTGTCACCCAGGCTGGAGTGCAGTGGTGCAATCTCGGCTCACTGTAACCTACACCTACTGGGTTCAAGTGATTCTCCTGCCTCAGCTTCCTGAGTAGCTGGGGTTACAGGCACGTGCCACCACGCCCAGCTAATTTTTGTATTTTTAGTAGATACAGGGTTTTGCCACTTTGGCCAGGCTGGTCTCGAACTCCTGACCTCAGGTGACCCACCCAACTCGGCCTCCCAAAGTGTCGGGATTACAGGCGTGAGCCACCGCACCCAGCCTGGCAATTTCTTTCTTTTTCTTTTTCTTTTTTTTTGAGACGGAGTCTCGCTCTGTCACCTAGGCTGGAGGGCAATGGCACGATCTCGGCTCACTGCAAGCTCTGCCTCCCGGGTTCACGCCATTCTCCTGCCTCAGCCTCCCAAGTAGCTGAGACTACAGGCACCTGCTACCATGCCCGGCTAATTTTTTGTATTTTTTTAGGAGAGACGGGGTTTCACCGTGTTACCCGGGATGGTCTTGATCTCCTGATCTCGTGATCCACCCACCTCGGCCTCCCAAAGTGCTGGGATTACAGGTGTGAGCCACCGTGCCCGGCTGGCAAGTTCTTAAAATAAAACAATGAAGTTTGCTGCATAGATTCATCCTTCCTTTTATGAAAGATTTCTCTGTGGCACGTGATGCTATTTGACAGCATTTTACCCATGGTAGAACTTCCTTCAAAATTGGAGTCAATCCTCTCAAACCCTCTTCCTGCTTAATCAATCAAGTTTATGTAATATCCTAAGTCTTTTGTTGTAATTTTAACAATGTTCATAGCATCTTCACCAGGAGTAGATTCCAACTCGAGAAACCACTTTCTTCACTCATCCATGAGAAGTAACTTCTCATCTGTTCAAATTTTTATCATGAGATCGCAGCAGTTCAGTCACCTTTGGCTACACTTCTAATTCTAGTTATCTTGTTATTTCTGCCACATCTGCAGTGACTTCCTCCACTGAATTCTTCAACCCCTTCAAAGTTATCCATGAAGGCTGCAATCAACTTCTTCCAAACTCCTGTTAATATGGATATTTTGACCTCCTCCCATGAATCATAAATATTCTTAATGACATCTAAAAAAGTGACCCCTTTCTAGAAGGTTTTCAATTTACTTTGCCCAGATCCATCAGAGGAATCACTATGTATGGCAGCTATAGCCTTATGAAATGTATTTCTTAAATAATCAGACTTTAAAGTCAAAATGACTCCTTGATCCATGGGCTTCAGAATGGCTGTTGTGACAGCAGGCAGGAAAACACATTAATCTCCTTGTACTTCATCAGAGCTCTTGGGTGACCACCAGGTGCACTGTCGATAAGCAGTAATCTTTTGAAAGGAATCTTTTTTCTGAGCAGTAAGTCTCAACAAGGGGCTTAAAATATCCAGTAAACCATGCGGTACACAGATGTGCTGTGCACAGGCTTTGTTGTTCCATTTACAGAGCACAGGCAGAGTAGATTTAACATAATTCTTAAGGGCTCTAGGATTTTCACAATAGTATAGGAGCACTGGCTTCAACTTAAAGTCACCAGCCGCATTCACCTCTAAACAAGAGAGACAGCCTGCCCTTAGAAGCCAGATAGTGACTTCTCCTCTCTAGCTATGGTAAGTCCTAGATGGCATCTTCTTCCAATAGAAGACTGTTTCATCTACATTGAAAATCTTTGTTGAATGTACAAATCTTCATCATTTGTCTTAGCTAAATCTTCTGAATAACTTGCTGATGCTTCTCCATCAGTACCTGCTGCATCTTCTTCATCTTTTATATTACGGAGATGGCTTCTTTCCTTAAACCTCATGAACCAACCTCTGCTACCTTTCAACCTTTCTTCTGCAGCTTCCTCACCTCTCTCAGCCTTCACAATATTGAACAGTTAGGGTCATGCTCTGGATGAGGTTTTGGCTTAAGGGAATGTTGTGGCTGCTATGATCTATCCCTACTATTAAAATTTTCTCCATTATCAGCAATAAGGCAGCTTCACTTTCTTATCATTCATGTGTTTGCTGGAGTAGCACTTTCAATTTCCTTCAAGAGCTTTTCCTTTGCACTGACATACTGGCTATTCGGCAGAAGAGGCCCAGCTTTTGGCCTACCTAGGCTTTCGACATGCCTTCCTCACTAAGCTTAATCATTTCTAGCTTTTAATTTAAAGTGACAGATGTATGACTCTTCCTTTCACTTGAACACTTAGAGGCCACTGTAGAATTATTAATTGGCCAAATTTCTTTTTCTTTTTTTTTGAGATGGAGTCTCACTCTGTCGCCCAGGCTGGAGTGCCGTGGCGCAATCTCAGCTCACTGCAACCTCCACCTCCTGGGTTCAAGCGATTCTCCTGCCTCAGCCTCCTGAGTGGCTGGGATTACAGGCACGCGCCACCACGCCCAGCTAATTTGTTGTATTTTTAGTAGAGACGAGGTTTCGCCATGTTGGCCAGGCTGGTCTCGAACTCCTAATCTCAGGTGATCTGCCCACCTTGGCCTCCCGAAGTGCTGGGATAACAGGCGTGAGCACCCAGCCCTAATTGGCCAAATTTCAATTTCACTGTGTCTCAGCGAACAGAGAGGCCCCAACCAAGTCAGGGAGAAAGATAGGGGAACACCAGGTTGGTGAAGCAGTCAGAACACACATAACATATATCAATTAAGTTCACCATCTATTAAGGGCATGTTAACGGCACGCCCCAAAACAATTACAGTAACAGCATCAAAGATCACTTCTAATATTCTTTTTCATAATTTTGACAAATTCCACTTCAAAAGTAAAGTCAGAAATTAGGCTTATATTTGATCCATCTAATTGTAAATAAGGTTTTGGTCTATGTATTAGGCATTGTGAACACTGCCAGGGAAATGGTAGTAGTACCAATTATCATTTTACCTCATACGTTACTCTAAATTAAGAATGTATAGAAGAATTTATGCATTATTGGCTTTCTAGGAAAACTACTATCAATAATAAATGATTTAGTGCTAAATAGAATGATTCCTAGTAAGCATTTCTGCAGTCAACATAATACAAATAAAAAGCCAGGTAAACTAACAAGTAAAACCTTTCTCTTTCAAGCAATCAAAAATGCTTTGTGTCTCACCTTGGCACCATATTTGGAATAGTTCATTTCCGTTAGTGTTACTGGTCGTAATTTGTCAATATCTCCAAAGGCTACTCCAGGAACATACAGGGCACAAACAATATGAACCCATCTAAGAAGAGAAGATATGATTTTGCTATCAAATCTTTTAATAAAATTCCCACACACAAAACAAACATATAAAACGCTTGCCATCTCAAAATACTACCAAGAGAATTCTGTAATCAAATGTTAAAATCTCGCAATCTCAGGCACATCATTAAAAAATATGAAACACCTACAGAATAACACTTAGTTACAAAAAAGGGGACTGAAATTACTTTTCCAGCAGCTTAGCCAAAACTGAGAGCTAACAACTATAATTGCCTTTCACTTAAAATTCACTCACTGCACTTTGCACTTATCTATTCTTAAATATTTGCATAAAACTACTATTCAAATGAAACAAAACATCATTTTCATATGCAAGGAAAGGTAGTCACGTTCATTATTTCAAACCCTTTGAGAATTAAGGATACTAATTTAATAACTGTGAATTTACTCTGCAGTAATTAGGTAAAATTTCTCTTATTACTCTTTTCCAAAAGCTGCTGGGGTAATAATCTTTAAGGACATATTTTACAATTTTTGTATACAGTTTTAACTTCCTTTCCAGATTAAAACTGCTGGGAAAAGGTACAGAATAAGCAATTCACATTTTTATTCATCTTATCTGTTTACCATACAATCTATATACTAAAATTTATATGCCCCAAATATAAATATTTATTAAAGTTTGAATGATGCTATAAGACTAAAACAAAGAATGCTCAGAGTTTCAGTACACTGAAAAAAATTGCAGTTGTTTCTAATTTCATTTTTTAAAAACTGCTCTGAACCTTTTTTAATATATTAGGCACTCTTTCTGCTTGCTTACAACAAAACAAAATGTGGCATCACTGACTTTGAAATTTAAACAGTAGATCTTAGCACTTTTGTAAGAAAGAGGGTCACAGCAGCAAATCTCTATTAACCCTGTGAATATATTAACAACAAATTCTGCTTTATCACAACTTCAGAGGCTATGCATGCTACATGGTTCTGGTTTTTGTGGTGCATTATGAGTTTTAGAGGACTAAGACCAAAAATTATTCTCTAGAGGCACTGGGAAAAATAGTTCTAAATCTTTTTAAAAAATTATCTTTTTTATTGGGGAAAAAAGCCAAGGTTTTGAGATTTTCTTGATAGAATGTTTTAATCCAACCTCCCAAATACATCCTATGGAGTTCAATATAAAGATACACATCTTCAACAAGCAGCTGCTTTCTCAATTTAATTTGTTCAGTTTTTTCATGCTCCACTGATGTATTAAATGTCGCTATACTCTGTAGGAGTTTATCTCTGATAAACCTAACAGCTGGCTGCTTGCTTCATACTGACCTTCTTAAAATGTAGTACACAAGTACTACAGATTTAAACTGCCATTTCAATGTGACTGGCATACAAGTATATCATTCTCCCAACCACTCATGTGAGGATACCAACTTGAGTCCTCATTAAAATACCTATCAAAGTCAATGAAAATCATGGCCGAGACAACTATGGTCCCTTTTAATACCAGCTGTAAATAGTTTCTTGCTCATCTGTTTAGATGCACATTATTTATAACTTTGTAATTAAGACAAATCTACAATTTAAAAAAAAATCTTCCTTGTTACTTTACCATTAATTTTGCTTGGAGCTATTATGACAGATGCTGACTGGGGAAAGGAACAGGAAATAAGCATCACATAAAACCACCAAAAAACAGTCAGAATTGTCATCCTAGCACAAACTATTAACAGATTATTGTAAATTCATATATTTTAATAAAGCAGACTAAGTAGAGTGATACTTCTCAAAAGACTCATTTAAGAATGAAAACTATATTAATCAATAAAATTGGAGTTTGAAGTGCTCTGTATCAGTAATGCCTTTACAGCATGTAAAACAAATTCACGTCAAGTACGTTATTTTCATTCCTTCATTCAGTAATCAATTATAAGTGTCTACTAGGCACAGAGCACCATAAAGGTAGTTTGGAAGTTATAAAGATGTATGTGAAGTGCTTACAGCAGAGTGTGGCTCACTGTCTTCACTCAAGAAATGTTAACTACAAGGAAAAAAAAGCCTAAAAGCTTCTGTTGAGTAGGAGGTTGTTCATTTACATATGAAGAATTGGTTTCAGAAAAATTAACTGATTTTCAAATATAACAAGTCTAGCAAGGGACAGAACTAAGACTTACTAAATCTAGAATTTTAAAGAAAAAAAAAGAAAGAAGTGGTCAGGCACAGTGGCTCATGCCTGTAATCCCAGCACTTTGGGAGGCAGAGGTAGGAGGATCACTTAAGCTCAGGAGTTTGAGACCAGCCTGCGCAACATGGTGAAACCCCATCGCTACAAAAAATACAAAATTTAGCCAGGTGTCGTGGCATGCCCCTGTAGTCCCAGCTACTTGGGAGGCTGAGGTAGGAGGACTGCTTGAGCCTAGGAGGCGGGGGTTTACAATGAGCCAAGATCATGCCACTGCACTCCAGTCAGGGTGACAAAGCCAGACGTTCTCTCCAGAAAAAAAGAAAAAATTGGCCAGGTACAGTAATCCTAACAGTTTGGAAGGCTGAGGTGGGAGGACTGCTTGAGCCCAGGAGCTCAAGACCAGCCTGGGCAACAGGTTGAAACCTCGTCTCTACAGAAAAATACAAACATTAGCCTGGTGTGGTGGCGCACACCTATAACCTGCACTACTCAGGAAGCTTCAGTGGGAGGATCACCTGAGCCCAGGAGGCAGAGGTTACAGTGAGCCAATATCGTGCCACTGCACTTTAGCCTGGGGAACAGAGCCAGGCCCCGTCTGATTGGAAAAAAAAAAAGAAAGAACTGAGACATAAAGATTTCAATGCTGCCTTCTATTGCAACATAAAGCTTATTTTTAAAAATTAAGGAATTTAGTTCAAAGCCATATTTCATTTCAGAACAGCTGGGAGGACACCCAACAAAGGACATAAAGAAGAAGAGTATGACGAATAGTAATGGAAACACAACATACCAAAATCTATGGGATACAGCAAAAGCCCTACTAAGAGGGAGGTTTATAGCTATAGGTACCTACATCAAAAGAGAAAAAACTTCAAATAAACAATCCAATGACATATCTTAAAGAACTAGGAAAGCAAGAGCAAACCAAACCCAAAATTAGTAGATTAATAAAGATCAGAGCAGAAATAAATAAAATTGAAATAAAAAACATATACAAAAGATCAATGAAACAAAATGTTAGTATTTTGAAAAGGTAAACAACACTGACAAACCTTTAGCCAGGCTGAGGAAAAAAGAGAGAAGATACAAGTAAATAAAATTAGAAATAAAAAAGGAGACATTATAACTGATATTGCAGAAATTCAAAGGATCATTAGCAGCTACTATGAGCAACTATATGCCAATAAATTAGAAAATCTAAAAGAAATGGATGAACTCCTAGACACATACAACCTACCAAGATTGAACCATGAAGAAATCCAAAGCCTGTACAGACCAATAACAAGTAACGAGATTGAAGCCATAATAAAGTCTCCCGGTAAAGAAAAGCCTGGGACTGCTTGACCTGATGGCTTCGCTGCTGAATTTTACCAAACACTTAAAGAAGAACTAATACCAATCTTACTCAAACTATTCCAAAAAACAGAGGAAGAGGGAATATTTCCAAACTCATTCTATGAGGCCAGTGTTACTCTGATACCAAAACCAGCCAAAGGCACATCAAAAAAAGAAAACTACAGGCCAGTATCTCTGATGAACACTGACGCAAAGATCCTCAACAAAATACCAGCAAACCGAATTTAACAATACGTTAGAAAGATCATTATGACCAAGTAGGATTTATCCCTGGGTTGCAAGCATGGTTCAACATAAGCAAGTCAATCAACATGATATATCACATCAACAGGATGAAGGATAAAAACCATATGATCATTTCAACTGATGCTGAAAAAGCATTTAATAAAATTCAACATCCCTTCATCATAAAAACTCCCCAAAAACGGGATAGAAAGACATACCTCAACATAATAAAAGCGATATATGACAGACCCACAGCTAGTATCGTACTGAATGGGAAAAACTGTAAGCTTTTCCTCTAAGATCTGGAACACGACAAGCAGGCCCACTGTCACCACTGTTATTCAACATAGTACTGGAAGCCCTAGCTTCCGGCAATCAGACAACAGAAAGATAAAAAGGGCATCCAAATTGGAAAGAAAGAAGTCAAATTATTCTTGTTAGCAGGTAATATAATGTTGTATTTGGAAAAACCTAAAGACCTCATAAGAAAACTATTAGAACCGATAAATTCAGTAAAGTTGCAAAAGACAAAAGCAACATACAAAAATCAGGAGCATGTCTACGTGACAACAGTGAATAATCTGAAAAAGAAATTTTAAAAGTAATGGCATTTACAATAGCCACACATAAGATTAAATACCTAGGAATTAACTTAAAGAAGTAAAAGATTTCTATAATAACAACTATAAAACACTGATGAAAGAAATTGAAGACGACACCAAAAAATGGAAAAATATTCCATGTTCACAAACTGGAAGAATCAATATTGTTAAAATGCCCATACTACCCAAAGCAATCTACAGATTCAATGCAATCCCTATCAAAATACCAATGACATTCTTCACAGAAATAGAAAAAATAATCCTAAAATGTATACGGAACCACAAAAGACCCAGAAGAGCCAAAGCTATCCTAAGCAAAAAAGAATCATACTACCTGACTTCAAATTATACCACAAACCTACAGTAGCCAAAACAGCATGGTACTGTCATAAAACAAATACACAGAACAAAGGAACAAAATACAGAACTCAGAAACAAATCCACGCACCTAAGTGAACTTAGTGCCTAACAAAGGTGCCAGGAACATATATATGGGAAAAGACAGTTTCTTCAACAAATGGTGCTGGAAAAACTGCATATCCATATGCAGAAGAAGGAAACTAGACGCCATCTCTTGCCATATACAAAAATCAAATCAAAATGGATTAAAGACTTAAATCTAAGACCTCAAACTATGAAAATACTACAAGAAAACATTGGGGAATCCAGGACATTGCTCTGGGTAAAATTTCTTGAGCGAAACTCCACAAGCACAAGCAACCGAAGCAAAAACAGACGAAAGATATCATATCAGGTTTTTTTAAAAAGCAGGATCACAACAAGCTGGGCAAAGAATACATCATCAAACTGAAGAGACAACCCACAGAATGGGAGAAAATATTTGCAAATTACCCAACTAACAAGGGATAAATAACCAGAATATACAAGGAGTTCAAATAACTCCACAGGAAAAAATCTAATAATCTGATTAAAAACAGACAAAAGATTTGAATAGACATTTCTCAAAAAAAGACATATAAAAAGAAGCTCATATGCTAAAACAGGCATATGAAAAGGGACTCAAAATCCTTGATCATCAGAGAAATGCAAATCAAAACTATCATGAAATATCATCTCACCCCAGTTAAAATAGCTTATATCCAAAAGACAGGCAATAACAAATGTTGGCAAGAATGTGGAGAAAAGGGAACCCTTGTACACTGTTGCATGAAATGTATATTAGTACAACCATGATGAAGAAAACTTTGGAGGTTCCTAAAAATTGAGCTGCCATATAATCCAGCAACTGCACTGTTGGGTATACATCCGAAAGAAAGGAAATCAGTACATTAAAGAGATATCTGCACTCCTATATTTGTCGCAGCACTGTTTACAATAGCTAAGATTTGGAAGCAACCTAAGTTTCCACCAACAGACGAATCCGATAAAGAAATTGTGGTACACAATACACAATGGAGTACTAAGCCATAAAAAAGAATGAGAGCCAGTCATTTGCAACAACTTGGGTGGAACTAGAGATCATTATGTTAGGTGAAATAAGCCAGGCACAGCAAGACAAACATCACATGTTCTCACTTATTTGTGGGATCTAAAAACCAAACAACTGAACTCATGGACACAGACAGGAGAAGGATGGTTACTAGACGTTGGGAAGGATAGTGCAGGGAAAGGGTGAAATGGTGGGGGGAGGTGGGAGATGGTTAATGAGTCGAAAAAGTGGAAAGACTAAGACCTACTGTTTAATAGCACAACAGGGTGACTACAGTCAAGAAAAACTAAATTGTACACTTAAAAATAACTTAAAGAGGGTAACTGGATTGTTTGTAACTCAAAAGACAAGTGTTTGAGAAATGGATACCCCATTCTCCATGATGTGCTTATTTCACATTGCATGCCTGTATCAAAACATCTCATGTACCCCATGAATATACATATCTACTATGTACCCACAAATAGTAAAACTATAAATAAAAAATAAAAAAGGAGAGCATGCCAAAAAATTTCCCACAGTCAGGTTTATAAGTCTTACTCTCCATAAGATATAAAATAAAAATTTAATGACAAGAATGTACTGGTTTTCTTACATTAAATCACATCATTTTCTATGTAGAACTTGTGGCTCCCATCAAGAATAGAAGGAAAAAAGTCTAATTAATCTCATGTGATGGTGAACTTCAAAACCTTTTTTATTCTTTATATACAATATTCTTTCTTTTTCCCTGTTTTCCATTTGAAGCTCATATACTAAAAGGCTTCTCGAATTTTCTTGGCTTTTTATACCTTTAATCAAACTAGTATTACGTCCTTGGAAATATTGTGAAGGCCTATAATTTCCAGTACAGCCTACAGGTAAGTGTAGACATTAGCACAAGTGTTCAAATAGTATATAAAAGAATTTTTGCCAGATTGCACCATCACAGGAGGTGTCTACTTATGTAACGTCCACAGTATCCAAAAAAAAATCCCTCAGTAAACCTAAATGGTAAAGAGGCCTCAGTTTTCTTCATTCAGAAACAACTTTGCCAGTTGTTTTGTCTATTATGATAGCATGAAGTAACCACTACTTGACAGTGTCCTAACAGAACTTTTAAATTATCAACAAGAAAAACAGTAAAATAAATTCTCTTCCCTAAAAGGAAGTTCTGTCTTTCCAAAACTGCCTTACTTATTCACCACAATTTATCACCAAAAATTTCAATTCTCAGGACTGGAAGAGTTACCAAAAAAAAAAAAAAAAAATCTATGCATGAGCTAATACTCCATGATTACCTAAAATAAGTGGAGCAATAATGGTAATAAGAAAGCACTAGTAGCAGCAGTAACGGCAGTAGTAAGAGTAAGGAGACATTTACTGACCACTTATTATGTTACAGAAACTGCTAGTTGTTTCTCATGGATCATCTCATTTAGTCTTCTCAACACTGCTAAGGAAACTGAGGCATAAAAAGGTTACATCACTTGCCTAAAATTATAGCTATTAAAAAAAAAAGACTAGAATCCAAACATAGACAGTCCAACTTGAAGGTGCACACTTAATGCTTACTAAACTCCCTAATACTAGGCCACTCTCAGGCCCAACTTAGAGTAATGCCTATGCCTATGATACAGACCACAGATTCATGTCAATACATCAAATCATTTGTTATATATTTTATTTTTGGATAGACAATAAGGAAGAAGAGGTAAGATTCTTTAGTCATTTGTCCTGAACATCAACACATGGGATTCTCCAAGATTCAATGGTAGATTCTACGCTATCCCAGCAATCTTGTATGGCAACATTTCTCAAGGATCAGTCCACCAATTGAGGCAAAAATGATAAAAATAAGAGAAAATTTGTTTTACTTTACTAAAGTAAAATTTATTAAATTTAAAAGCCTATCCTTTATTTTAGGACATAATATACCCTAGTTTTTATGTTAAAATATGGGAAATGATGGTGATAATTTATATAGGTTGCTTTGCTGTTAATCTTGTTTTTAATATAAAGCATGTTTAATAAAATACTAAAACATCCTTATGTGACAAAATAAAAATTTAAGTACCCACCCCCCCTCTTATATTGGAGAGGAAGAGGCAGAGCGTGATCTCCACGAAATACAAAAGGTTGAAAATTACTCTTAATTTTAGTCACCAACCCTAGATGGTAGTCTCCTGTAAAAAAAAAAAAAACATGGAAGATGGCAACACCGTTATGATGACAAGTGCTCAAATGTGTTAACAAACATGAGTGTGAATGTAGTAAAAAGAACACAGGTCTTTGTGCCACTTATTAATTGCCTCTCACGCATGCTTCAATACCTACTCTGCAATAATGGACAGAATTTCTTCAGCATTTCTTCTCAGAGTGAGCATAACACTAAGCTCAATGGTAGAGGGAGCTATAAACTCAATGGCAGGAGGTCTCGTAGAACGGAGGGGCTTTTCAGCAGGTATGGGTGGAGTACTTCCTCCTGTGCTCTGCCCCAGCTATATACACAGTCCCTCAGTGACCTCACAGCCCTGGCCCAACATGAAGATCATTTTTCCATGGCCCTCTCAACACAGAGGGCCTTCTCTCCATCCAGTAGGGTTTAACTATAATTTCTCCAACAAAGCCTGAACCCCAACCTAGGGTAGGAGGTCATCATTCCAATTTTGTCATTCCTTGGATAATCTCCCTCAGGCCCAGAGCATCCTTTAGAGTTTTTTTATACCTTATAGTGACTCTTTTATCACAGCTTAAAAATTCTTTATACTAAACTTCTTTTTAAATCACTGTATTAAGTTCTATCTCCTGATATAAAGTTATACAGATCTAGGTTCAAAATTGACCATTCACCAGTTTGTGGTCTTGAACGAATAAGTTATTTAAATAATCTGAGCCCTGGGTACTATACACCTATAAAATGAGAAACGTTACCACCTGCCTCATCATAGGGTCAATTATTAAGATTAATTAAGATTATGGATGTAAAGGCAAATGCAGGTACTCAATAAATGGTCTTTCCTCTCACCCTTCTCCATCTGTATCCCACTGGTCATTTATTCTATGCCAAGAAGATACAAAGAAGCAATCAAATGAAAGTGTGTAATCATAAACAGAAGAACAGGGAAGTCAAAGGCAGACACATTATAAAGCAAACATATGAACCAACATAATTAGGACATTAACCTTCCAGCATCTGTCTCCTTGAAAATTCCATCCTGATTAGGACACAGTTCACAGCTAGGAGAAACACCACATTTACAGGCATCACAAAACCAAGGTTCAGTGGAGTTTTCAGAAGCTGAACTCATAATAGAGTCACTCTCTCCATCAACTCCATAACAACCTAAAAAAAACAAAAACACTATGATTAAATAGGGTTTATTTTGTTAAAGTCACATAAAATCACAAAAGAAAAAGAATAGCAAAGAGATGAGGAAAAAGATATGAAACACCAATGGTTTATAAGAAACGTATTAAAATACAGAAATAAACTCATTTTATATACTTTTTCACCTAATGTAGTATACACAATGAAATAAATGACATTTTAAAAATAGTTTTAGTCCTACTGTAAAAGCATTAAAGGTGGGAAAACAATAAATTTTTAATTTAAAAAATATAAAAATTAGGCTGGGTGCAGTGGCTCATGCCTGTATTCCCAGCACTTTGGGAGGCCGAGGTGGGCAGATCACCTGAGGTGAGGAGTTCGAGACCAGCCTGGCCAACACGGTGAAACCTCATCTCTCCTAAAAACACAAAAATTATCCAGGCGTGGTGGCAGGCGCCCAGAATCCCAGCTACTCGAGAAGCCGAGGCAGGAGAATCACTTGAACCCTGGAGGCAAAGGTTGCAGTGAGCCAAGATTGCGCCACTGCACTCCAGCCTGGGTGCCAAGAGCAAAATTCCATCTCATAAAAAATAAAAATATAAAATATAAAAAATACAAGTTGTCATTAAAGAATTTAGATTAATTATTGGTTGGCAAACACTTACTGAGGTCCCTTTGTAGCAGGTACTAAAATATATATATAAAAGATCAAACTCATGCAAAACAAAGATACAAACCAAAAAGTCTTTGATCTAATTTTGGAGGTGGCAGATTATAATACAAACAGGTATAATACAATTGTAAAAGCAAAGTTATGCACCTAAAGCTATAGAACAGTTTGAAAAGTTCAGAGTAGTAACATTAGACAGACTGAGTTCCATGCACAACTGAGCCAATCTCTAACTCTATGATGTATTTAATCTGTTCAAAAATTTTAAATTATTCTTTCTGTGAAAATTTGTCTATAACTGAAATGGATGAAAACAATATGTCATTCTCTTTTTTCCTCTTATCACTCACAAAACTCAACATTCTGAGAGGAGTTCATCATATTATTTAGGCAGCTAATGTAATAAAAATCCTTAAAGATTCTCATGAACACACCCAACAGACAAGATAACTTGGCAATGCTCTTTACACTTTAGAGTAGGACATGTCATACTTCAATTCAATTGCCCTCCAATTATCAAAAGCAAAGTTGCCTTAGATACATCTCTGGAATTACAAGTTACAGTTGACAATGGAACAACACAGGTTTGAACTGGTCAGGTGCACTTATATGCAGATTTCTTTCAACACAACACAGAGTGAAAATACACTTGTGGGATACAAAACTCACATAAACAAAGCATCAACTTTTCATAACCCAAGTTCCCCAGGTCCGACTGTGGGACTTGAATATGTGCTAATTTTGGTATCTGCAGGGGTCCTGGAACCAATTCCCTAGGTATACTGAGGGGTGACTGTATATTTAAAGTTTCTATTTAGGCTTCCAGATCTGCCTAAAATTTTTAAAGTATTTTCCCTGATTTTGAGTTTAAAAGAGTAGATTATTTATCAAAGCTGCAATAAGAAGTTCAGGCAGGACTTCATTGACAATATCTTGGTAAATCAGGTTTTGATCATTAAAATTCCTACAACTCAATTTTGTCTGTGAACTCAGTCAGCATTGATGAGGCTGCCGGTATCTTAGAAACCAACAAAATCTGCTGGTAAGCAATGTCACATCCATAATCATAAATAACTTTCTCAGCATCAAGATGCCTAAAAGTTTGTTATTACTACCACCAAAGTATAATAAACATGGAATCTGATAAATGGAAATTGAAAAGTTCTGAGAGAGTATTTCATTCAGACTATAAAAAACCATGCTGAACTACTTACTGATAACCAACAATGAAGTACACTTCTCTACTGATGATAGTCATGACTCCTAAATAGATTTCTTTTTCCCAAATGGTAGTGGACATACACTAACTTATTATCAAATTTCCCTTCCTCTAAAAAGGAAGGCACTGCCCTAATGTAAAACATCCTTCAAAGAAACAATCTAAAGCATATATAATAATGAACACATTGCAACTTAATTCTTGTCCTGAAGTATCACCTTTAGGTTTGGGCATTTCTCCAGTCTCCTGAGACACATTTATTACATCTCAAAATAGGTCATTTCTAAAGATAAAATAGCAACCATCCCAACATCCTTTTGACCAGGTTTATTCTAAGAGGGTAGGTCTTGGTGCCAAGTTCTAAGGGGCATCCAAAGTAACACGCAATAAACTGATGACATTAAATAAGCCACAGTGAGAAACATTTAACATGATCGTCTCCTAAAAGACTTCACCATATGGGTAAGTTTATATATATCCAATGTAAGATCATGTGATTATTTGAACTGGTAAACACTAACCAGACAACCAGGAGCCTAAATTGGAGCGTGACCTCTCACAACCATCAAAGAAATTCAAACTAAAATAAATAACTACAGTATATAAATGAATGAATACTGAGTTAAACAAATCACCCACGAGAAAGGAAAAGAGCCATATACAATTAGTAAATAATTTTAAATTACCAACATTAATTAACTAGACGTCATTATATGTCAGTGGTTACATGTAAGTATTTCATTAAAACACTACTTACCAAATATAGATCATAACTAAAATAGCCTAATAGTAAGCAAAAAACTAAAAAGTTGGTTTGCAGCTATGACTTACACAAGCTGCTTCAAGCAACTGTTTAATTGTTATCCTTATGCTATTCAAAGGTTTTATAACAGTGAATTTTAATAAAATCTGAAAGTCAGCCAAGGCGTGTAGTTCATGCCTGCAATCCCAATGCTTTGGGAGGCTGAGGCAGGATGATCGCTTGAGCCCAGGAGTTTCAGATCAGCCTGGGCAACATAGTAAGGCCCTGTCTCTACAAAAAATACAAAAAAGAGTTTAGCCAAGCATGGTGGCACACACGGTAGTCTCAGGTGCTAGAAAGGCTGAGGTGGGAGAATCACTTGAGCCTGGGATGTGGAGGGTGCCAGTGAACCAGCCTGGGCAACAGAGCAAAATCTCGTCTCAAAAAAGTATATATATTTTTTCAGATTATGCATGTGTGTGTGTATATATATATGTATATATGGATTTCATATATACTATGTTAATAGTTATGCTAAATATAGTTAATATTAATAGTTACAAATTAAACTATATAATTAATTTCATTTAATTAACATTTTTAATTAACATACTTTAATACATAATTATATGTATCATATATACGCACACAATCTGAAAGTCATATAAAATGTCAAAGAACAGATTTAAAAGGAGTTAGACTATAACACACAAGATAAGCAAAGGAATCAAAACTCATTAATTTCTTTAATGTCATTAAATTGTGGTTGGCAATCATCATCTTCATCACCTTGGGTAGATATACATTACTTTAAATGCACTATCATAAAATTAAAAGGAAATATAATTTTATTCTTGGGGTCAGTTTTATTTCCAATAAAAGAACAAAACATTATATTCAAAGAAAAATCATAAAATGAAACGGTATCATCAATCTATTTTCTCCATGTGCTATGCAATACCACATGGGAAAAAATATATATTTTATTTACAAAATAATGTTCCTTTGAAACAAATTCAAACTAGATAAAATGTGCATCCACACAAGTAGGCAATTACCAAGAGAATAAAGCCCTTAAGGAGCTATCCAATTTATTAACTTCATTCAGCCAAATCAAGGTAAATCACAGCAGTTCACTTTTTCAGAATAAAGAAAATTTTCAATTATATTTTTAAAGAATATTCCACACACATAGCAAACGTGCACATTTGCACAGAGTTTTAAACCTCCTACAGTTAATCTTAGGAATGATTCTGAAATCCATTCCCAGGAAATTCTTCCTTTGTAATCTGGAAGAATGGTGTTGTGCAAGCTCAAAGAACAACCAGCAAGTCTGTATGTATTTTTTCTTCAGCTTCACTGTCCCTGAAAAATGATCCATACTGTGTCATTACCTTTATAGAGTTCTTTACTTGCCACTTTTACCTGCCACTTATCCCATATTTCTCTGTCATACCTGTTGGGTTTACTGAGCTCTAGACCAAAGTTCTAGCACTGTATATCTGCTCCAATTCATTTTAATTAGTGACTAAATACGTTCTAAAATCTTTCTCTCTTCCATATAAAACATGAGTATGGGAAACATATTTTCTTTTTCATATGGGTAAACAAAATAAACAATGTATAAACACATAAAACTCATATGTGCTCAGTGTGTTTCCAATGGGTAACACAGAAGACATGTTTCTATGGCCATTTAATTAGCATCAATCTTTGACTAATATATGCAATGTACACAACTCATATTTAAGAAAATAAAAATATGTGTTTACAATTGTTTTGAGTTGTACAAAGGTATGGATAATTCAAATCAGTGGAAATGTTCCCCATTCAGCTTTTCACACAGGGGCCAGTGGACTTTCAGTCTTCCATCTTCTAGCTGTGTAACTTTGAACAAACCAAATCTCTGAAGCTTAGTTATTTCATCTGCAGTATGTGTTTAATAATATCTATCCTAATTATATTTCGGTATATATAAAACAGGTATATAAAAGTTGCCATTTAAAAACTTAAAACACTTTTTCTGTACTTAATATATCATTAGACTTTTGACTATGAAACTCATCAATAAAAAAGACTTTTTTTTTTTTTTTTTGAGACAGAGTCTCACTCTGTCGCCCAGGCTGGAGTACAGTGGCATGATCTCAGCTCACTGCAAGCTCCACCTCCCAGGTTCAAGCCATTCTCCTGCCTCAGCCTCCCGAGTAGCTGGGACTACAGGCGCCCACCACCATGCCCGGCTAATTTTTTTGTATTTTTAGTAGAGACGGGGTTTCACCATGTTAGTCAGGATGGTCTCGATCTCCTGACCTCGTGATCCACCCACCTCAGCCTCCCAAAGTGCTGGGATTACAGGCGTGAGCCACCGCGCCCGGCCAAAAAAGATTTTAAAATGAGTAATATTGTTTACGAGAAAGACAGTACCTACAACATGCATAATACTTGTCAGAAATATATCCCAAAGCATTGGTCCCCAACCTTTTTGGCACCAGGGGCTGGTTTCGTGGAAAACAATTTTTCCATGGATGGGACAGGGGGATTATTTTGGATGAAACTGTTCCACCTCAGATCATCAGGCATCACATTCTCATAAGAAGTATGAAACCTAGATCCCTCATATGTGCAGTTCACAATAGTGTTCGCGCTTCCAGGAGAATCCAATGCTGCCACTGATCCGACAGGAGGTGGAGTTCAGGCAGTAATGCTCCCTCACCAGCCGCTCACCCCCTGCTGTGAGGCCCAGTTCCTAACAGGCCAAGGACCAGTACCACCTGGTTGGGGACCCCTGTCCTAAAGCACAAAAGAAGTAAAGTACCAAATGGTTGTAACTTGAACATATTCTACTATCCAGTGAACACTCCTAAGGATATCTTTTTGCATACACTAAAAAACAAAAATGGCCTTGGGCTAGGCTAACAGTAAACTGAAAAATAAATAGGGGGAAACATCTCTTAGTAAGCCTTATCTCATTTAATGAATAGCAACTAAACCTGAGGGCAACTGCTGGTAAGTACACTACCTAACTTCTGTCAAGTACTAACATATACCTGACATTCTCCTGAATTCAGACACACTACAATCAGGATATCAGGATAAGTGACATCACGGTCAGAGGTACCCTAATATTAGAAGATCTTCCCACAAAGATATTTATACTAAGTGACACACTGCAGCCCTCAAATTTCAAAAAGAAAAGAGATTTAGATGAAGTGAGCACTCTGAAAAGTAATTACAGTAAACAATTATAAATTCAATAAGCGAAATTTGGCATACTATCTTTTAGCAAAATCTCAACTTAAAGATCCTTATGCAATTACTTGAGAATAAGCATATTTCTCAAAAAAAAGGAGATAAAAGAAATGCAACAAAATACTATGGCTGTCTGGATATGAGGACAATTAGAAATGTTTTTTTCTTCTCTCTGTTCTATATTTTCCACATTTTATTTAATATTCATGTATTATGATAGGCAAATAGTTTTCTCTAAATAAAGTATTCATGAAGTTCATATTTAACCATGTTTTTTAAAAATTGCATGGCTGAATTACAATATGGAAGTCTGTCACTGTAAGCAACCATATTTAAAAACAAAAGACTCTAGCAATACTAGCTACTTATTACACTTTTAAAAATGTCCCTTTCTTTGGATTGAGTTTTAGATAAAAATTCATTTTGAAACTTAAAAACTAGTCCCAAAAGAGTTAAGGGGGAAAAAAAATCTACAGGTGTTAACTGTACAGAAAATTGTAAACAATAAAAAATCACAAAGTTAAAGGATACAGAACAGGATGGAAAACATAAAAAACATTTGCAAGGATGGAAAATATTTGCAACACATATAACAGACAAAGACCATTAAAAAAAGAATTCCAATAAGTCAATGAGAAAAAAAGAGAACCTAATAACTAAGCTTTTCTTTTCTTTCTTTTTTTTTTGTGAGACGGAGTTTCGCTCTTGTTACCCGGGCTGGAGTGCAATGGCGCGATCTCGGCTCACTGCAATCTCCGCCTCCTGGGTTCAAGCCCTCCTGGGTTCAAGCGATTCTCCTGCCTCAGCCTCCCAAGTAGCTGGGATTACAGGTGCCCACTACCACACCTGGCAAATTTTTTGTATTTTTAGTAGAGAAGGGAGTTTCACCACATTAACCAGGCTGGTATCAAACTCCTGACTTCAGGTGATCCACATGCCTCAGCCTCCCAACATGCTGGGATTAAAGGTGTGAGCCACCGCGCCAGGACAAGAAATGACTATGCTTTTCACAAGACAGTGCCGAAAGTGAAGGAAGCTCCTGTCCCTCCTAAAGCTGAAGCCAAACCGAAGGCTTTCAAGGCCAAGAAGGCAGTGTTGAAAGGTGTCCACAGCCACCAAAAAAGAAGATCCGCATGTCACCCACCTTCCAGCAGCCCAAGACACTGAGACTCTGGAGGCAGCCCAGATATCCTCGGAAGAGCTCCCCCAGGAGAAACAAGCTTGACTACTATACCATCATCAAGTTTCTGCTGACCACTGAGTCTGCCATGAAGAAGATAGAAGACAACAACATGCTTGTGTTCACTGAGGAAGTTAAAGCCAACAAGCACCAGATCAAACAGGCTGTGAAGGAGCTCTGTGACATTGATGTGGCCAAGGTGTCAACACCCTAATTCGGCCTGATGGAGAAAAGAAGGCATATGTTCGACTGGCTCCTGATTACAATGCTTTGAATCTTGCCAACAAAATTGGGATCATCTAAACTGAGTCCAGCTGGCTAATTCTAAATATATGTGTATGTTTTCACCAGAAAAAAAAAGAAAAGAAATGACTAAGAAAATGACAGGCAAGTAACAGAAAACAAAATGTGGCAAATGGCCACAAGATGCCAAACTTCATTCTTAATAAGGTGAATGCACATTGTAATAAAGAGATTATATCCAAAAGAATAAAAGAAAATTTACAAATATGCAATGTTATCAAGTAGTTTGTGCATTGTTGGTAATTAGTACAGTCCTTTTGGTAGTCAATCTGGAAATGGTTTTTAGAAGTTTAAATACACTTATCTTTTGACTAAGAAATTTTACTTCCCTGTAATCCCAGCACTTTGGGAGGCCGAGGTGGGCAGATCATGAGGTCTGGAGATCGAGACCAACCTGGCCAACATGGTGAAACCCCGTCTCTACTCAAAATACAAAAATATAGCCGGGTGAGGTGGCGCATGCCTGTAGTCCCAGCTACTCAGGAGGCTGAGGCGGGAGAATCGCTTGAACCCAGGAGGCAGAGGTTGCAGTGAGCCGAGATCTCACCTTTGCACTGTAGCCTGGTGAAAGAACGAGACTCCGTCTCAAAAAAAAAAAAAAAAAAAAAAAAGAATTTTTACTTCTAGGTATCTATCCCACAGAAATTATTACATATATATACATGGCACATGTTTGTCAGCACTATATATAAGTGAAAAACTTGAAACAAAAAAATAAGTACATTATGGTTGAGCCATTCTATGTATCATTAAAAAGAATGAAATATCCCACATACACTGACATGAGAAGAATTACAGAATTAACAGATGAGTGAAACAAAGCAAGTTGTAGAAAAATATCTTAGGGATTTATCCAGTTTATTTAGAGGTAGAGACAGAAAAGTGGTGGACAAAACAGAGAAACAGTGAGAGAAAGAGAGAGAAGTGTTTGTGTATACACAAGGGCCTTCTTAAAGGACTCTCACTGGTCAAACTTGGACAATGTAATAAGTAACAGAAACAGCAATCAGTTAATAGATTATAACATATGAGCTCACAGTAATACTGAAAAGGAAAAAAAGGGGAAGAGAATTTCTTTACACAGTAAATGCTTCCTAATAAATGTAGGAGGAATTAGAATTGGAATTAGCAAATTTCCATCTTGCAGCCTACATATGTAATCAGTGTAATTGTAATCAGTGACTTTGACAAGGATGCTAAAACTATTAAGTGGAAAGTTGCTAGAGAATGGCATATTAACAGAGTCTCAAAGTTATTACCCCACAGATTTATCATTAATTACAAATAGAAAAAAAAAACCTTTAAAATTAAGAGGTCTGTGGTTGACATCACCTAAACTATCACCAATAATGCAATAAATTGACATTATACATTTTTTTTTTGAGACGGAATCTCGCTCTATTGCCCAGGCTGGAGTGCAGTGACAGAATCTTGGCTTACTGTAACCTCCGCCTCCCAGGTTCAAGCTATTCTTGTGCCTCAGCCTCCCAACCAGCTGGGATTACAGGCTAATTTTTGTATTTTTAGTAGAGACGGGATTTCACCATGTTGACCAAGCTGGTCTCGAACTCCTGACTTCAAGTAATCCACCCACCTCGGCCTCCCAAAGTGCTGGGATTACAGGCATGAGCCACCGCACCCAGCCACATTATACGTCTTTTGATGTGATATAATGGGAACTAAACACCAGCACAATACTCTTACAAAAAAAAAAAAAAATTTAAACTGAATCTAATCACAAGAAAACAATCAGATATATCCAGACTGAGAGATATTCAATATGACATTATAAAAACTAAGATTCTTCAATATGTCAACATCATGAACACCACAAAATGGCAGAAAAATTGTTCTAGATTAATGGAGACTAAAGAGATATAACACAAGTGCAACTCATGGTACCTGAATGGATCCTGTGGGGTGTGGAGAAACCATAGTGACAATAGAGGTATACAGATTATAAGAAGAGTGTGCATATTATTGGCTATTAAATTAAAAATATATATTTGTGTATATGTATGAGCAAGCAACCAAAAAAAAAAAAAAAGCCTGGAAGAACAAACACTAAAGTTTTAAGCATATTTACCTCTAGGTGGTATGATTATGAGAGATGTTTTCTTTTTCTTTTCTTTTTTTTTTTTTTTTTTTTTTTGAGACAAAGTCTTCCTCTGTAGCCCATACTGGAATGCAGTGGTGCAATCTTGGTTCACTGCAGCCTTGAACTCCCTGGCTCAAGCGATCCTCTGCCTCAGCCCCTCAAGTAGTTGGGACTACAGGCGCAAGCCACCACACCTGGCTGATTTTTCTGTATTTTGTAGAGACAGGGTTTCACCACATTGCCCAGGCTGGTCTCAAACTCCTGAGCTCAAGCGATCCACCCACCTCAACCTCCCAGAGTGCTGGGATTACAAGCGTGAGCCACCAAGCCCAACTGGGAGATGTTTTCTTAGCTTATTTCTACTGATGTTTTCCACAGAGGACATATATCTACATAATAAAATAAAGTTAAAAAACCCCTGGTACACAAGGTACAACAGATGGGGTAGATACATACCAAATTGTTAACAGTGATTCCCTATGCAAAGAGAAGTAGAGTTGAGACAGACAGCATAACTATTTTTACATATCTACTCATATGTCACTTATAATTAAGAATATTTTAATGAATTAATTCAAGGTAATAAACTTGTACTGTGTATGGGATTCATGTTAAATGTAAATTTTAGCTGTTCTTGTCACAAAAACAAAAAAATAGGTAATTTCTGCAGAAGGATGGACTTGGTAAACTTTTTAAAAATTGGGTAATTATGTGAGATGATGGATATGTTCATTTCCTTCACTACAGTAACCTTTTTACTATCTATATGTATCCCATAACAACATATTGTATACCTGAAATATACACAATAAAATATTTAAAAATAAAATTAAAAGTAAGATTTTTCAAATCTCCAAATAACAGGAAGACAAACGGTAAACACTGGCTTAACACCTATGTATTTAGGTTATATTTGTGGAACAAGAGGAATCTGGGTAAAAGGAAAAGCATATATGAAAGCCCCCAAACACTGGAGAAAAAGACAAGTCATTCAAATGGTCAGGGTATGGGATCTCAGAGAGTCCTGCTATTAGCGTGAACTTTATTTTAAGGGACTGATTTTAAGCAGAAAATAATATGAACAGATATGCACCAGCACTTTGGGAGGCCAAGGCGGGCGGACCACGAGGTCAGGAGATCAAGACCATCCTGGCCAACATGGTGAAACCCCATCTCTACTAAAAATACAGAAATTAGCTGGGTGTGGTGGCACACGCCTGTAATCCCAGCTACTTGGGAGGCTGAGGCAGGAGAATTCCTTGAAGCTGGGAGGCGACAGTGAGCGGAGATCATGCCACTGCACTCCAGCCTGGTGACAGAGCGAGACTCCGTCTCAAAAAAAAAAGAAAGAAAAATCACCCTGAAGACAGTAGAAGAGCTGGAGCAAGAGGTGGCACATCTCTTTAGCAGATACTACCCAAGCTTCCATCTGCATTGACCCTCAACCTTCTATTGGTGCTCACACCGTTAATTTTTGTCATCAGCATTTCATTTTTGCCTCTTCTTTCCTGTGTTTGCCCTAACCATTATTAAGAGGATTAAGAAGTCTTAATTTTTGGCCGGGCGCGGTGGCTCACGTCTGTAATCCCAGCACTTTGGGAGGCAGAGGCGAGTGGATCACCAGAGGCGGGGGAGTTCAAGACCAGCCTGACCAACATGGAGAAATCCCGTCTCTAATAAAAATACAAAAAATTAGCTGGGCGTGGTGGCGCATATGCCTGTAGTCCCAGCTACTCTGGGAGGCTGAGACAGGAGAATTGCTTGAACCCAGGAGGTGGAGGTTGCAGTGAGTCGAGATTGCTCCATTGCACTCCAGCCTGGACAACAAGAGCAAAACTCCGTCTCAAAAATAAATAAATAAATAAAATAAAAAGTCTTAATTTTTAGAAACCTCACTGTCAACCTGATATTTGCCTTATACCAGGAACCATACTTCATTCTACATTGCTCTGGCTCCCCCCTTGACCTACACCTGTGGCTGTCTAAGCTCCAGCATGACATCGTCCACATTGCAGAGTTCCTTTTATCCCCCCATTTTTACTTTCTTCTAAACCAATGTCTCTCAAAGGATGATCCTTCCCATCT
This sequence comes from Homo sapiens, assembly GCF_000001405.40. Classification (NCBI taxonomy): domain Eukaryota; kingdom Metazoa; phylum Chordata; class Mammalia; order Primates; family Hominidae; genus Homo; species Homo sapiens. Next base: position 11,002,215 of record NC_000007.14, on the reverse strand, counting down.
CCTGCATGAGGAATCTTGAGGCACCTTTTAAAATTATACACATTAGGGGAGGCTGAGGCAGGAGAATCACTTGAACTCAGGAGGTAGAGGTTGCAGTGAGCCGAAATTGCGCCACTGCACTCCAGCCTGGGCAGCAGAGTGAGACTCTGTCTCAAAACAAACAAGTAAAAAAAAAACACAAACAGAAATAAGGAGTAATTTCCTCAACTAGAGCATAAAGAAACTACAAAAAAAACCTATAGCTAACATCATACTTAACGATGAGAAACTAGAAGCTTGCCCACAAAGATGAGGTATGAGGCAAGGATGTTCTCTGTCAGTACTGCTTTCAACATCAGGTAATAAGACAAGAAAGGGAAACAAAAATATACACACTGGAAAGAAAGAAATAAAATTATCTTTGCTTTCAGATGACATGACTGTCTAAGTAGAAAATCTGGAAGAGTAGCCAAAAATTTCCTGGAACTAAAAAGCAATTATAGCAAGACTGCAGCATACAAACTTAATATACAAAAGCCAATTGCTTTCTTATGAAAGCAATGAACAAGTAGAATTGAAATTAAAAACAAAATTCCATTTACATTAGCACCCCCCAAAAAATAAAATAATATTGCCAAGATCTCTATGAAGAAAACTGCAAAACTCTGATGAAAGAAATCAAAGAACTAAATAAATAAATGTTTATTATGTTCATGAATAAAAAAGCTCAATATTGTCAAGATGTCATTTCTTCCCAACTTGATCTATAGATTCAATAAAATCCCAATCAAAATTCCAGGATGTAATTTTGTAGATACTGCAAACTGACTCTAAAGTTTACATGGAGAGGCAAAAAACCCAGAAGAGCTAACATAATATTGAAGGAAAAAAAACAAGTCAAAGGAGTAACACTACTCAACTTCAAGACTTACTATGAAGCTGCAGTAATCAAGACAGTGTGGTATTAATCAAAGAATAGATATATAGGTCAGTTGATGAACAAACTGAGCCCAGAAAAAGACCCAAAGAAATATAGTCAACTGATCTTTGACAAAGGAGCAAAGGCAATATAAGGGAGCACAGACAGCTTTTTTAACAAATGGTGATAGAAAAATTGAACACACACATGCAAAATAATGAATTCCGAGACAGACCGTATACTCGTAACAAAAATAAATTCAGACCCAAATGTGAAATGCAAATTTATAAAAATTTTTAAATTTTTAATTAAGAAAATTTATAATTAAAAAATTATAGAACTAGAAAATAACACGGGAGAAAATCTAGATAACCTCAGGCATAGTAACGACTTTTTAGATACAAGACCAAAAGCGTAATAAACAAGAGAAATAATTTATAAGTTGGACTCCATTAAAATGTAAAACTTCTGCTCTGTGAGAGATACCTTCAAGAGAATAAAAAGACAAACTACAGACTGGGAGAAAGTATTTGCAAAAGACCTATCTGATAAAGAACTGATATCCAAAATATACAAGGAACTCTTAAAACTTAACAATAAGAAAACAAACCAATTTTTAAAAATGGGCAAAAGATCTGAATAGACACCTCATCCAAGAAGATATACAAAAGGTAAATAAGGGTGGGTGTGGTGGCTCACGCCTGTAATCCCAGCACTTTGGGAGACCAAGGCAGGTGGATCACTTGAGGTCTGGAGTTTGAGACCAGCCTGGCCAACATGGCAAAACCCCATCTCTACTAAAAATAAAAAATTAGTCAGGTGTAGTGGTGTGTGCCTGTAATCCCAGCTACACAGGAAGCTGAGGCACGAGAATCGCAGGAACCTGGGAGACAGAGGTTGCAGTGAGCCAAGATCCCACCACTGCACTCCAGCCAGAACAACAGAGCAAGACTCCATCTCAAAAAAAAAAAAAAAAAAAAAAAGGCAAATAAGCATATGAAAAGATACTCCACATCATACAACAGAAAGTCTAATAATACAACATACAAAATCAATCATACAACAGAAACTCCAAAATTAAAAAGGGAAATGGGAAATTATTTAAACTAGAGGATGAAAGTAGTAGCGTAATTTTTTAAGTCAAAACGTATTTTTGACCTTTTTGCATCTTTTGCATCTTTACTTGGAACATATATAAAGTTCACAGAATTCAAATTACTACCAATAAATTAATTATACAAAATAAAGATTCACCTAAAGTGGTCAAAGACTATTCAGCTTCCCTATTTATGCATCAATTTCCCTCTCCTTCTCTACTTTCTTCCTTCTCTGTAACAAAAATAGGTCTCCAATTCTAATGAATTAGTTTTAGGAATTAAATGAGTTATCATTAGCAAAGTCTCAAAAATATTTATAACTTGGACTGCCATCAAAGTCAGTTAAATCAATTACACAAGAAGAGTTGTTACATGACTTTATATAGACACAACATCCTGTTGACTTAATTGGCATTACCACTCAGCTTGATCATCTCATTTGTCTGCCTTGATTCAGACTTTTTAAATGTTTCTGAAAATCAAAGCTACTTTGGAAAGAAGGTAGATTTTCCAGTACCGAGGCTATTCATCTGAAGCAGGGGTCGTATTATGAACTTTCAATAGCTGTAAGCATGTCAGTGGAACTAATGTTGTGCCCTTACAGAAATCTATGTTTATCTGAACAATGAATCTACTGGGAAAGAACTCATCCTAAGTTAAGAGTCCAAGGAGCAAAACATGACTCAAAAACAACAAAATAGAGAGCGAGGGTCATTTTGAAATGTACATGGAACTAGTCCCCAGTGGACTCAAGCTTGTGTCCTAAAGTAAAAGCTATAGTAAAAGAGTTGCTTTACTATTATAGATGTGAGACATTGAGACCACAAGGCATCAGCAGCCCAAATATCAGCAACAAGAGACAGTACCCTCAAAGCAGATAAGGAACTATATATTCAAATATCTCCAGGGACTAGGCAACTAACAAAAATGAGTAAGTGGTTTGAGAGAGGACTGGAGTGAACTGGAGACCACAGGCCTTACTATCAGGGGGCAGCCTTATTCAGCTCCAGCAGATTGTGCTAGAAGAAAGTGAAAACTACTGCAAGGGCAGGCATATGCCTTTAATGCCTTTAGTCACAGCTACTCAGGAAGCTGAAACAAGAAGATTGTTTGAGCCCAGGAGTTTGAGGCAAGCCTGGGGCACTCCATCACTTAACAACAACAACAACAGCAAAAAACCCTAGTGCCGCCAGAACTTTGCAAAAGAAGCTTGAAATCCTAAATGTGTACGATTTCCCAATGTCTAAATGTTAGCAACCAATTCAATTACTCAAAACTACTGTGCTGGCCTAAAAAAATACATCCATAGTCAATGACCACAATCTAAGAAGTAGACCTAAGAATGACTTAAGAAGTAGAGATGGTACTCAGCATTATAATGAAGCAGAGAAAAATAGAGATAGTGCCCTCAGCATCATAAGAGAATCACCAAAACTGACAGAACTCATCATGACTGTATCACACATCAGCAATGACATTCATGGATATAAGCAGCAGTAACATGTTTGTGATCATCAGTGATCAATGTAACAAACACTGCCAAAGTAGCTGCTACTCCTGAGTTAACATATTCTTTACCTACTCCCAGGAATCTGAACCACACCTGGAGAAGAAAAATACACATATATTCAACCATGTTTACTTTTCTCAGTAACAGTATTCATTACCACTAATATCATATTCATATGAATATATTTATATTAATGAGCTCTTTATATTCATTACCACTAATATCAAGTGGTCTTATTGCTGTGTATGTGTGTGTATATATACATATATGTGTCTGTGTGTGTATACATATATATTTTAGGTATATGTTTCCTTATTCAGTTTATTCTCCCAAATAAATTTATACAACTCTGCCTCCCCAAATCTCTAACTCCCCACTGTCCCACTCTCTGCTAATGGCTTTGCTTCCTATTTCACTGAGAAAACAAGAAACATTTTAAAAATAACTTACACATGCTCCAACTACCACATCTAACAACCTAGCTACATCTGGACCCATATATCCTTTTTTCCCTAATTACTATGGTTACTCTTATCTACTCAATCTCTCTACTTGGTACTGGATCTCATCCCCTCTAATCTTGCACTCAAAACCTTTGTTCCAGCAATTGTTCCCCCTTCTTTCCTCACTATTTTCCTTATATCACCAATTCTCCCTTTCCACTGGGTCACTTCCATGAGCACACAACATGCTATATAATCTCTGCACATGTGGTAGGCAGCCTCTAAGATAGCCCTTAATAATCAGTGCCTCCTGGTATTTACACTCTTAGAATGCCCCCACCTACATCTGACTAGGGTTGGCTTGTGTGAACAGCGGAATATGGCAGAAATGGTTGTATGCACTACCAATATTAGATTATAAAATATACTAGCACTCTGATACAACTGCTTCCGTCTCTTTCTCTCTTTGATCACTTACTCTGAAGCCAGCTGCCCTTCATGAAGACATTCATGCAGCTTATGAGGGAGGTCCATGCAGTAGGAAACTGAGGTCTCTGGCCAACAGCCATCAAAGAACTGAAGCCTACCAACAACTATTTGACTTAGCTTAGAAGCAAATCCTCCAGGTCCAGCCAAATCTTAAAATGACTACAGCCCAGGCTATGGCTTTGACCTGCAACTTCATGAGAGACTCTAAGCCAGAACAACCCAACCAACTGCTCCCAGCTTCTTACCCCTTAGAAATCATGTGAAATAATAAATGTTTGTTGTTTTAAGCTGCTATGTTTTGGGATAATTTGTTCCACTGCAGCAGATAATCAATACAGCATCTAAAATAAGAAAGAAAAAAACCCTCCCTCAATTTCACATCCCTTGTCCCATCTCCTGGCTTCTCTATATAAAAACTCATCACAGGAATTGCATTTGGTCACTTTTTGCACTTTCCCTTCTTTTATTCTCACTTTGAACTCTCTCAGGTCAAGATGGCCAATGACCCTCATGTTACTAAATTCAGTGATATATTCTCAGTAATAATGTCTTTTTGCTCTGCTTGAGGATATTAAACTCTACTATAGAGAAACAAAATGAGATCAATAAAACTTATATGTGTATGTATAGATAAAAAGTAAGTAAAGCACGTATGCATTAAATACAGACAGAAAGGGATAGAAGGACCAAGATGTATCTAATATTCTTGAGGCAAATATGCAAAAGGCACCAAAGAGTCAGAATACATTAAACATATATGCGACACTTAGAACTCAATATTCCTGAGGCCTTAATTTGGCCACCCATTGGTGATACCTACTCTGTCCACTAACAAATAAAAATAAAACCTACGGCTGTTGAGTAGATTAACTGGAGAGCTAACGCCATGACCAGGCATACTTGCTCCTGTATGTTCCTGAGAGTGTGCCTATCTTTGGCCCTGGGCACCTATCTTGTGGGCTCTGGTTCTCACAACCGCAGCATTAGCAAAGAAGGTTGATAAGCCAAAACATATCAACACTATGTACCCCAGGATTTATTTAGGTAGTGTGGTCCTTCTATCCTACTTAAACCCCAGCCTAAATGAGTTAACTTATCCTCTATCTTTCCCCTTGCTTCTGTGTATTTTATATTTATTTAATGAATCATGTGATATAAACATTTTATCAATTAGTTTTTTTTTTCAATAACCTCTGGGATAGCTTGCCTGGTGGTGTACTTGAAGTCCAGCATTGAATTAGGGTGATTTCCCACTCTTAAAAACATTATTTGACACATTTACTGACTCTCTTTTTGAAACAGTTTTCTCTGGGTCATCACCCATGGTCCTCATATCTCACTGGCCATGTGTTCCCCATCTCCTCTAAAGTACTAGGATGACTTTGTTACAAGCATTTAGTCTTACATCTTTGCATAACATCTTCAGGCTGATAAGTCCCAAATTTAAATTTCTAGTCCTAACATCTTACATAAACAGAGTTTAAAACCAAACTTTTACTATCTACCTCAAAACCAATTCCTCTCTTAGATAATTGCAATGGTCTCCTAAATATTTTCCTAGTTTCCCACCTTAGATTCACTTCAGTCTACTCCCAACCCAGCAGTCTGAGTGATCCTTCCAAAACATGAATCAAACCATATTAATCCTCTGCTGAAAAGCCATGTTATGGCTTCCCACATCCATCATAATGATAGGTGACAGCGTGCTGGCAGCCCTCACAGCCCTCGCTCACTCTTGGCACCTCCTCGGCCTTGGCGCCCACTCTGGCCGCACTTGAGGAGCCTTCAGCCTGCAGCTGCACTGTGGGAGCCCCTCTCTGGGCTGGCCGAGGGTGGAGCCAGCTCCCTCAGCTTGCGGGGAGGTGTGGAGGGAGAGGCACGGGTGGGAACCGGGGCTGTGCAAGGCGCTTGCGGGCCAGCGCGAGTTCCGGGTGGGCATGGGCTTGGCGGGCACTGCCAGCCCCGGGCAGTGAGGGGCTTAGCACCTGGGCCAGCAGCTGTGGAGGGTGCACCGGGTCCCCCAGCAGTGCTGGCCCGCCGGCGCTGCTCTCAAATTCTCGCCGGGCCTCAGCTGCCTCCCTGCGGGGCAGGGCTCGGAACCTGCAGCCCACCATGCCTGAGCCTTACCCACCCCGCCATGGGCTCCTGCGTGGCCTGAGCCTCCCTTATGAGTGCTGCCCCCGCTCTGTGGCGCGGTCCCATCGACCACCCAAGGGCTGAGGAATGCGGGCACACGGCATGGGACTGGCGGGCAGCTCCACATGTGGCCCTGGTGCGGGATCCACTGGGTGAAGCCAGCTAGGCTCCCGAGTCTAGTGGGGACTTGGAGAACCTTTATGTCTAGCTAAGGGATTGTAAATACACCAATCAGCACTCTGTGTCTAGCTCAAGGTTTGTAAATACACCAATCAGCACTCTGTGTCTAGCGCAAGGCTTGTAAATGCACCAATCAGCACTCTGTATCTAGCTAATCTGGTGGGGACTTGGAGAACCTTTATGTCTAGCTAAGGGATTGTAAATATACCAATCAGCACTCTGTATCTAGCTAATCTGGTGGGGACTTGGAGAACCTTTATGTCTAGCTAAGGGATTGTAAATACACCAATCAGCACTCTGTGTCTAGCTCAAGGTTTGTAACACACCAATCTGCACCCTGTGTCTAGCTCAAGGTTTGTAAATGCACCAATCAGTGCTCTGTGCGGACTTGGAGAACTTTTGTGTCTATCTCAGGGATTGTAAACACACCAATCAGCACCCTGTCAAAACAGACCAATCAGCTCTCTGTAAAATGGACCTATCAGCAGGATGTGGGTGGGGCCAGAGAAGGGGATAAGAGCAAGCTGCCCCAGCCAGCAATGGCAACCCGCTCGGGTCCCCTTCCACACTGTGGAAGCTTTGTTCTTTCGCTCTTTGCAATAAATCTTGCTGCTGCTCACTCTTCGGGTACGCGCTGCCTTTATGAGCTGTAACACTCACCGCGAAGGTCTGCAGCTTCACTCCTGAGCCAGCGAGACCACGAACCCACCAGAAAGAAGAAACTCCGAACACATCCGAACATCAGAAGGAGCAAACTCCGGACACGCCGCCTTTAAAAACTGTTAACACTCACCGCGAGGATCCACAGCTTCATTCTTGAAGTTAGTGAAACCAAGAACCCACCAATTCCGGACACAATAATAAAATCTAAAATCAGTACCGGAATCTGCAAGACCCCAGCTGGATTACTCCCATCTCTACTCCCACCACTAACCAGCTTGCTCACCCAGTTCTAGCCATACAAACTTCTGTGCCATTATACAAACACTCTTAAGCATGCTACCACTTCAAGATCTTTTTTTTTGAGACGGAGTCTCACTCTGTTGCCCAGACTGGAGTGCAGTGGCTCGACCTCAGCTCACTGCAACCTCTGCCTCCTGGGTTCAAGCCATTCTCCTGCCTCAGACTCCTGAGTAACTAGGACTACAGGCACATGCCACCATGCCCAGCTAATTTTTTGTATTTTTAGTAGAGATGGGGTTTCACCATGTTGGACAGGCTGGCCTTGAACTTCTGACCTCAAGTGATTCACTGCCTCGGCCTCCCAAAGTGCTGGGATTACAGGCGTGGGCCATTGTGCTTGGCTGAGATCTTTACATTCACTACTCCCTCCACTTGCAGTGCTCGTTCCCAATATATTTAAGTGACTTGCTCCTTTACTTCCTTCAGGTCACTGCTCAAATATCCTCTTATCAGAGTGGATTTCCCTTAACAACTTTTTTTTTTTTTTTTTTGAGACAGAGTCACCCTCTGTCACCCAGGCCAAAGTGCACTGGCGCAATCTTGGCTCACTGCAGCCTCCACCTCCTAGGTTCCAGCAAATCTCCTGCCTTAGCCTCCAGAGTAGCTGGGATTACAGGCACGTGCCACCATGCCGGATTAATTTTTGTACTTTTAGCAGAGACGTCGTTTCACCATTTTGGCCAGGCTGATATCAAACTCCTGACCTCAGGTGATCCGCTTGCCTTGGCCTCCCAAAGTGCTGGGATTTACAGGCATGAGCCACCGTACCCAGCCCCTTATCAATTTTTACAAATACAAACTTCTGCAACTCACCCAACCACCCTCACACACAGCATTCCTATACTCCTTGTCCTACTTCATTTTTCTTCAGAATCTGGGCCACCAACTAAGAGATATTTATTGGTTTGTTTACTGCCTGTCTGTCCAGACATTAAGTTCCACCAGGTCAACAATGTGTACATTCTATTTCATATGCCTAAAATTTACAGAATACCAAGCACATAGAAGGTACTCAACAAACATTACTAAAAATATAAATGAATAACAGTAACTGGAGATATTCCCACAGTGAGTGTTAGCAGCAAAAAAAGGGCAGCTCCACATGAAGATCAGAGCATTAGCTAGAGAATCACAGATCATGCAAAGTCCCACAAGTCCAGCAGACTCCCAGAATTACTTGGGACAAGGGCTGTAATACCAGAAAAGCAGGTAAGAGAAAGGCCATAGAAATACTGTTTTGTGGTAGTCACAGCCCTGATTAAAAAATAATAATAATAATAATAATTAATTGGTAAGAAAAAATAACTTTACCACAGATAAACCAGAAAGACACCCTCTCAACCAAGTGATCAAAATATCACCAGTATTCTAAATTGGTAGGCTTATGCAATAAAAATGAGAAAAAAAGTAATAGTAATATCACCAGTAACTGCACAAATAAATATCATATGCTTCCTAATACGATGCACTAAGAACACTATATAACTTCCGTGGTATTCCGGCCAAAAGCATATAACCCAAATCTAATCATATTAGGAACATTCTGTAAAAACAAACCAAAATAAAAAAAACTGGACTATATATTTAAAAATGTCTATGAGACAGAAACTCAAGGACTGTTCTACATTAAAGGTGACTAAACAGACATGACGATTAAATGCAATACATGATCCTGGCTTTGATTTTGTTAGAAATGACATTGTTGGGACAATTGGCAACATCTGAATACAATCTATATAAATTAGATAAAACAGCATTTCATCAATGCTAACTTCCTGACTTTGATAATTATGTGGTTATGTAAGAGAATGCCTTTTTTTGTTTGTTTGTTTAAATTTTGAGACAGTCTTCCTCTGTCGCCCAGGCTGGAGTACAGTGGCACCATCTCGGCTCACTGCAACCTCCACCTCCTGGGTTCCAGTGATTCTCCTGCCTCAGCCTCTCGAGTAACTGGGATTACAGGTATAAGCCACCACGCCCGGCTAATTTTTGTATTTTTAGTAGAGATGGGGTTTCGCCATGTTGGCCAGGCTGGTCTCAAACTCCTGACCTCAGGTGATCCGCCCGCCTCGGCCTCCCAAAGTGCTGGGATTACAGGCGTGAGCCACTGCACCCGGCCCTTTGCTCTTAACAAATACATACTGTCAGCCAGGCACGGTGGCTCATGCCTGTAATCCCAGCACTTTGGGAAGCTGAGTCGGGTGGATCACTTGAGGCCAGGAAATCGAGACCAGCCTGGCCAACATGGTGAAACCCCATCTCTACTAAAAATACAAAAATTAGCCAGGCATGGTGGCAGGCACCTGTAATCCCAGCTACTCGGGAGGCTGAGGCAGGAGAATCGCTTGAACCTGGGAGGCAGAGGTTGCAGTGACCTGAGATTGTGTCGCTGCACTCCAGCCTGGACAAGAGCAAGACTCTGTCTCAAAAATAAAAATACAACTATGAAAGAAGAAGCTACAAAAAATTGATAGAATATAAATTTTTTAAGAATGTTTTCTATCAGACTAAAATAGTCAACTTTTTCCTACTTCTGAATTTTATTTAAAAACTAGAAATAATTTTTAAAAATTTAAAATTAAAAAAAAAAAACTGGAAATAAGGCCTGGCACACTGGTTCATGCCTGTAATCTCAGCACTTTGAGAGGCCGAGGCAGGCAGATTGCTTGAGGCCAGGAGTTCAAGATCAGCCTGGGCAACATAGCAAAACCCTGTCTCTACCAAAAAAAAAAAAAAAAAATTAAAAAATTAAAAAATTAAAAAAAAACAAACAAGAAACAGTACCATAAAATACAATACCAGAACACCGACCTTTAAAGAAACACTGATTTTCATATAGCATTTCTATTTTCATTATTTAAAATTTTTTTTTTAATTAAGATGACTGGGGGACCAGGTGCGGTGGCTTACGCCTGTAATCCCAGCACTTTGGGAGGCTGAGGCAGGCGGATCACTTAAAGTCAGGAGTTTGAGACCAGCCTGGCCAATATGGTGAAACCCCATCTCTACTAAGAACACAAAAATTGGCCGGGCGCGGTAGTTCACGCCTGTAATCCAACACCTTGGGTGGCCAAGGCGGGTGGATCACGAGGTCAGGAGTTCAAGACCAGCCTGACCAATATGGTGAAACTCCATCTCTACTAAAAATACAAAAATTAGCCAGGCATGGTGGCTCGTGCCTGTAATCCCAGCTACTTAAGAGGCTGAGGCAGAATAGTTTGAACCCAGGAGGCGGAGGATGAAGTGAGCTAAGATAGCACCACTGCACTCCAGCCTGGGCAACAGTGCGAGACATCATCTCAAAAATAATAAATAAATAAAAATAAAATAAAAAAGAACACAAAAATTAGGTGTGGTGGTGGGCGCCTGTAGTCCCAGCTACCCAGGAGGCTGAGGCAGCAGAATCGCTTGAACCTGGGAGGTGGAGGTTGCAGTGAACCGAGATTGTGCCACTGCACTCCAGCCTGGGCGACACAGTGAGACTCCATCTCAAAATAAAAGAAAAGATAACCTGAAAAATAGCATCCATACTTTGATGATTTAGCATTATTTCAACCGAAACACCATGAAATATTGTAGAACCACCTTAGTACAAATGTAAAAGAGCCACAGTCAGCCATTTCTAAAAAGAGAGAAAAGAAAGCAACATTACCTTCATGGACTGTAATGCCACAATTGTCACACTGAATTATTTCATCAGCGTCCTCACTATTATCTCCCAGACAAACACAGCAAATCAGAATATGGTCCATTTTTTGAGAGCTCCAGTTTTGACTCTTCTCAAGAATCAGCGAGTCCTAATATTAAAATATTAACATATATCAGAAAATCACATTTAAAGTAAAAAAAAAACTTAATCACTAAAATTCTTTATTACTTAAACATTATTATATGCATTTCCAAATGTATGCCCCATTTTCCATTCTTTTATTAACTTCAAAGTACATTATATTTGAGAAATATATACTTGACCTCTTTATCAAAGAACCCTGTAAGCACCCTCTTATTTAATTTTTCACTTCTCTGCAAGCTTCGTATTCTCTCTCCTCTAGGATATGAAAAAGCACGCATGCAACTAACTACTGTTGATCTGCTTTGCTATTCTGCTTTGCCCCTTAAACTAGGAAAAACGAAAAATGAATCCACAAGTAATCAAAGTAATCATTGATCCTATACATGTGTTTTAAAAGCACAAGACATGATTCTTACACTTTAGGAGCTTATAATCCTACCTAGAGAAGACAAGACGCACATATACAAAATAGGAAAAAATCAATTCAAAATAACATATAAGCAAGTATGTATGTGATGGCACACTTAAGGACTCTATACTCCTTAAGTACCGGGAAATTCAGAAATTCCAGCATTATCAAACTACTGTAAGACAGATCCATGAGAGCCTGCGTAGGTATATGAATACACAGAGATACAGAAAATAATCTAAAAAAGGATCCAGATTGACTAGCTGCTAGAAGGGTCAGAGAACTCTATTAAGTAGGTCTCTATCAAGAAATATCCAGTGTAAACTGGTAATAAATACATCTAGCTAGTGATACTATAAAAAGAGAGGATGGGCACAGTGGCTCACACCGGTAATCCCAAATACAGTGGGAGGTTGAAGCAGGAGGATCACTTGAGGCCAGGAGTTTGAGACCAGCCTGGGCAACACAGTGAGATCCTGTCTCTACAAAATATTTTAAAATTAGCTGGGCGTGGTGATGCATGCCCTTAGTCCCAGGTACTCAGGTGGCTAAGGCGGGAAGATCACTTGAGCCCAGGAATTCAATGCTGCAGCAAGCTATTATCTCGCCACTGCACTTCAGCCTGGGGGACAGCACAAGACCCTGTCTCAAAAAGAAAAAGTATAGGAAGACGTATTAATAAACTAATATTTAAAAGATAAAATTTCAGAAGAGGGTCTGCTTGTTTGCATTTAAACCTTCTGCATTATAGATTTAAACTTTAAGTAAGTTAAGAAAATGATTCTTGCATATTTAATAGATTGTGCTTAACATTACATATAATAAAAGATGGCACTTGGGTCCATACATTTTTATTTATGAACCTAACAATATTCAGAAATAAATTTAATAAATTAGTTTCATACAATACACAATATATATTTTTCATAAATATGTTTTATTATTTTTTATATTTTTATATTCTTTTAAACTCAACCAATATCCAAAAGTAACATTTGGAGCCATCATTTCAACAGCAATTTGTAACTGACACTTGAATACACTTGAAGGTCACAATTAATAATTCTTCCAATATACTTTGTGTATAACATCTAAAATTGCGGCAGATTTGTAAAACAATCAGAAAAGAATGCAAACATCAACAAGAATATAGTATCATTTCTCTTTAGAATTCTAGTATTTCTAAGTTCTGTATTTTGCTTCTCTGTGTTATAAAACCAAATAAAATAGGTCTGGGGCTGACAAATGGCTGGCAAATAAAACTGAAAACATCCTAAAGAAAACTCATCTGGTTTTACAGTACCAGAGTAAGCAAACAAAAATCTGCCCAGATTTTCATACTACTAGCCATGCTTCAAAGTTGACTTGAAATCAAACATTCCTAAGTTTCTTTCTCACCTCTCGCTTATTCCCTACTGAACCTCGAAGCTGTAATTTCTTTATCTGCAAAATGGCGATAAAAATAATATCTACTTCAGGAGGTTATAAGAATTAACAATATATGGCAAGAATGTTCCTGGCACAAACTAGACACTCAATAAATGGTCAATGCCTTTTCCTTTCCGCTGTATCTCTTGTTAAGGTGGTTCAAAAAGAGGAACATGAACTGATAATTTATTACACTGAGGATCTTCCTTGTACCCCCAAAAGAAAAGTTGCAAGCTCCAATGAGCACTACTACTTTAAATATCATCCCCACGGTAAGTCCAAAAAAGACTTTCCTTGGAATACCACATCTAGGTTAAAAAAAAAAAAAAAAAAAACAGACTAGAAACTAATTTAGCAAACAATCACAGTTTGAAAATTAGGATGCTACATGTCTTTATGGACTGTGTGGTAATTTCTCTGGTGGAATTAAAATTATTCAGCCCTGGAAAAAAGGTTTACCCATATGGGAAACAAGTAAATTTCTAAAGGTCAGAAAAAGTTGTATCAAAATGCAGTTCTAATTCCTCTATTTTCCTATTTTTCCATTTTGCTCAGAAAAACCATAAATGCCTAAATCATATCTCTACGCCAATTTCTCTCCACATCTATTATCATTTAGAGGCAGAGAAAACAACATTAACTAATGTTTCTGGCCCTCTGATCCTCATGACTTGAGGCTCTTAATAGAAATGTAACGCAAAGAGGGAAATAGGGAAAACTAGAGATAAAATATTTCCCTAACTAAATGGCTAGCAGACAATGTTTCAACTGGAAAATCTAAGTAACACATCCTCCTTAAAAAAAATTAGGATCTCAGTTTTCTTTTTTTTCTTTTTCTTTTTTTTTTTTTTTTGAGAAGGAGTTTCGCTCTTGTTGCCCAGGCTGGAGTGCAATGGTGGGATCTCGGCTCACCGCAACCTCCACCTCCCGGGTTCAAGCGATTCTCCTGCCTCAGCCTCCCGAGTAGCTGGGATTACAGGTATGTACCACCACGCCCAGCTAGATCTGTTTTAACAGATCAAACACAAGTTTAAGCACACTTATGATTAGATCAATACAAAACCTGATTTATTATCAACTGTTGTTAGTATATTTCTGAAGACGTATATCATCTTTCAAGGTTTCAGAGAAAGTAGTTAAGCTGAAGCTTTTAACATAAAATTTCTAAAATATGGTTTTACATAAAAATAGACATCAGGAAAATAGGTTTTGAATGGCAAAAAAGTACCACCTAGAAAATAACTTTATTATGATGGAATAATTTAATGGAATCCAATGTAATTATAGGAAGAATAAATGACAGTATATGAATAAATCAATCACTACTTATAGTAAATTATTGCATTCTTTCCATCAGGATTTAAAACTTACCCCCAAAATGATAATACTGATCAATGTTCTCCACAGGCTCTAAAATATACTTACTGTTCATTTATATATATATATTCCACATATGACTGTAAATGATATATACAATAGGCTAAATTTTATCTAAATCACATGTGTTTAATACAAGGAAATTCCAGCACATTTCCTGTAAAATTAGAATTAAAAGAATCCTACTGCCCTGAAGATAAGAAAAAATTATTATAACAAAAAGCTTGACCAATCATACTTCCTCTACATTTTTAGAAAAGGTTAAATTCTCATGAATCTCGATATTTATAAATGTTACAGAACTAACCTTTTTTTAGGACTCAGAGCAATTTGTTTCATTTTGCAATGTGTAAAAAGACAACTGATTAATAAGTTAGAAGTCCCAAATAGAAGTGGATATTTATAAATTTTGGCAAAACATTTACATTTTAATTCACAAAAATCAGGTGACAATTGCCATTTCTCAACATGACATCTAATGTACTTAACGGAGACTTTTATGGAAAAAAAATTCTACTCAGCAAAGAACATAAAGTTACATTTATAAAGCAGTAATCCAAAATCCAAACTGTCTCTAATTTTAAATATTTTCTGTGAGAACAGAGCTCTTCTTTCTTTTACAAAACAAAAATGCCAATTCTATTGATATAATTTACGGTCATGGATTAATTCTCATGCAAAACTTTAGTTTCAAAATCTTGAAAATGGGAACCATTTCTGAAAATAGTACACTGCCGTCCCCAAAAAACTTACCTCAGAAAACTAAAGGGCAAGATAATCTTAAGGAATCTCAAAGCTGCAAGATTAACGGCTGAAAAAGACATACAACCACATTTCAAGGGGATTCTTCAGGCTGCACTAAATTTAAAAAATGCCATAAGGTTATTGACAAAAACAGGTGTCCGTTTGCGGAAAATGCAGTTTATCTAATGCCCAGTTCTAGAGCAGCAGTTCTCAAGGTGTGGTCCAGTGAACTCTCTTTCAGTAGGTATAAAAGGTAAAGGCAGTTTTCATAATGATACTAAGACATTATTTCTCTTTTTCACTCTTTCTCTCATGGGAGTACCATGAAGTTTTCCAGACACTACATGAAATGGGATCTGATAACTTGTGTGCTTCCTCAGTTTTAATTTGAAGTGGTAAATATCAACAGATATAATCTACACAAATATTAATGGTTGTCCTCAATAATTTTTAAAACTGTAAAGGGGCTATGTGTGGTGGCTCACACCTGTAATCCCAACACTTTGGAAGGCAGAAGCAGGAGGACTGCTTGTGGTCAAGAATTTGACACCAACCTGGGCAACATAGTGATATACCATCTCTACAAAAAAAAAAAAAAAATCAAAAATAAAAGCATTAGCCAGTCGTTGTCGTACACCTGTAGTCTCAGCTACTCCAAAGGCTGAGGTGGGAGAATTGCCTGAGCCTGGGAGATCAAAGCTGCAGTTAGCCATGATCACACCACTGCACCCCAGTCCAGGAAACAAAGCGAGAATCTGTCTCAAAAAAAATAAACATTTAAAAAATTTTAAAATGAGACCAGGTGTGGTGGCTCATGCCTGTAATCCCAGCACTTTGGGAGGCCAAGGCAGGTGGATCACTTGAGGTCAGGAGTTGGAGAACAGCCTGGCCAACATGGTGAAACCCCACCTCTACTAAAAATACAAAAATGTGCTGGGCATGGTGGCATGCACCTGTAGTCCCAGCTACTTGGGAGACTGAGGCAGAAGAATTGCTTGAACCCATGAGGCGGAGGTTGCAGTGAGCCGAGATCATGCCACTGTACTCCAGCCTAGGCAACAGAGTGAGACCCTGTCTCCAAAAAAAAAAAAAAAAAAAAAAAAAAAAAAACAGTTTGAGAATCACTGCTAGAGAGTATTTCAGGGTCTGCAGCATGTTGTTAAGGCCATTAAGCATATGTTAAGGCCATTAAGAGCAGTAATTATAAAAGGGCCCTGCTAAAATAAATATCAAGTTCCCTTAAGAAACTTCAAAATTATGAAAGTTTCAGGTCATTATTTTGCTACAAATGAACTTAGCAGCTAAGAAAAATGTCTGCCTGCTTATAAACTAAATATGGTATAATTATATATTTCTATTATGTATTTCTAAAGCTACATTTTCACCTAACTCTACTACAAAGTAGTTTCTGAAAACAAAGTAAAAGCAGGGAAAATCAAACTTCAAATATAATCAAATATATACTTAACTATGTATTGGACACAGAAATTATCACTAGCTAAAATAACCAGGAAGATTAAGACCCAAACATTGGCCACAGGCAACAAGGACTAGCTTTAATCATCTTTTCACAAAATTAAGATCATACAAATAAGAAAACTAGAAATATAACTAATAATCACAATTGATTAGTTTTTTAATTAAAATGTAATTATCTAATTTGAGGGACATAATTTAAATAAACTAAAATCATCAAAAAACTACTGTAGAGCTTGAATAATAGAATTGAGGGGAAAATGACTCAAGCTTTTAAGGAGAATTATTCTGGAGAAAAAGTACCTTTTTATAATCTCTTCTACATGGGCACTTTTCGAAGAAGCACTTTGGAATCTCATTCCTGGAATGTGTTTGTGTTTGGGACTATTAACCTAAACATAAAAGGTCCCTTTATTTACTAAAGTGTCTTCTAGTGGGGAAAAAAAACTAAACAACCAACACATGGACTTTAAATGCATCATAAATGTTAGTCTACAACCTCTTAGGCAGTATTTATGAAGTACAGGTTTAATAAACAGATACTACACACACTTTACGTGGCAAATTCCTAAACACATGCAGGTGTCCCCCACATTTTAGCATAAATCTAATCGACACTGCCTCTATCATTAGCTAGACTACTTCTAAGAATATCAACCTAATAAAAATGAAGAAAGTGATGTGGTCAAAAGTAAACTTATTCATTATATATAGAGTATTAACTGCTATAACGTAAACTGCATGCATGCCTCAATTAAATACAAACAATTAGATTTTTCCATGCCTGTTTAAGATAGCATTGATAATATGGAACTGCCTGTGCTATATCATTAAAAATATTACACTATTTCCCAAATGACAACTTTCCTTTAAAGGTAAGAATTAGAATGACATTGAAGGCAGGCAATATTTTTTCATATAAAATATTGGTTTCAGAAGTTAACCAATGTTTATAATCCAAATATAAACTGCTGTCTCATCTCCACTGATAACCTCACAGCCTGCTATAGATTATTTTGGTAACGAAATCACCAAATTTTTAAGCAAAGCAATTAAAATAGATAATCACTGCTATGTAAAACTTGTAGGCAGAAAAATGTGAAAGAACAAATAAAGCATAAGAGGAAAAATCTTTCTACCCGTTTAACTTACTTCAGTGATATGGAAAAAAATAAGTGTTTGGTAAAGAAATAAATTTTGGTGAATATAAACACATTAACAGAAATCACAGAATTATTACAGTTCTACATGTGATGTAACAGATACATCTACATGTAAGACAACAACTCAATCTTTCTTTTGAAGAAAAACATATACAAAAACACACAGACAAAGAGACACAAATGTGTTTGACTGAAGAGTCTTGAATGATGCATCTCTGAGATCAATGAATAAACCTAACTTTCAGTAGTAGAACTTCAAGTAGAAGCACTGAGCCATTACTGCAGTTTTGTGACAAAAATGTCTGTTTTATGATGGAAATGTTTGGGTTTTTATTCCATTTCTTTGTAGAGAGAATTTATTTACTAAATATATGTAAAAATAGTTCATACTTATGTGTATGTCCCATACACATAAAGCAAAGATTTGGTGACTAAAAAGATGATGAGTGCTACAACTGGTAAAGGAATTAATATTTAAAACGAATCTCTAAAGGTTTCAGAAAATCATTAGACTGTTGCCCTGCTCTAAGGTATTCTAAAGGCCTATATTTTAATATGGATATGGACACAACTAAGTTGAAAGAAAGGTGACCTTTGTTTTCATAATGCACTCAGCACCATTCAGCAGTCCTGTGAACAAAGGAGTAAAGGGATAAAAAGGAGAATGGAAAACTTTGTCATTTCCCAAGTCTATGGATATAAAAATATTTCTCTAAATATTTCTCCTTGAGGACAGAGATTGTGAGCTCCTTGAGAACGGTGACAAATAGTAGATATTTAATAAAAGTCTGTTGGCCAAATGAAAAAATGTTACAGTTAGGGTGCTCATTCATCCCACAGCCGTCTATAAATAGGATTTCAAGGAAGCCACTTAATACAATGTGTAGAGTGATTTAGAGAAGAATTCCCTTTTCCCCAGACAGACAGATATAAAAATTGGGTTGATCTACCTCATTACTCTTGCTTTGAGATAGGGTCAGGCTATCATTGGTCAGTTCCTCATCATCAGCACTGTTTCTGCTAAGAACTTTACTCTTCTTCTTCTTGCAACCCCCTTCACTGGCAGGGCTACTATGATCTTCATCATTGCCTTCATCATTCTCGTCTTCATCACTCCCGCTTCCCTCATCTTCATCATCCTCATTGTCTCCATCACTTCCCTCTTTCTGAGACGCAGATCTCCCTTTTCTCTTTACTACAGTAGGTCGCCAATCATTGTCATCCTCACTGTCATAGTCATCCATGTCATTCAGCTCTTCCATGGACACAAAATCCAGAAGTGGTCGGTTTCGTCGAAGGTTCCATTTTTTTGGCTCGCTGACTTGTTCCTCTGTAGCGGTTGTCGTAGTGGGAACAGAAGGGGATGTGTTAACAGCAGGAGGACTTGTGGCTGGTGTGGTGGCAGCAGCAGAAGCAGCCACATTCTCAGATACTGTTGCTTTTTCTTTTTCCTTCTCTCTTTCCTTCTCTTTCTCCTTTTCCTTTTCTTTTTCCTTCTCTTTCTCCTTTTTCTTTCTAGGTCTTTCTCCATTTTCTTCTTCTTCCTTCTTTTCCATTTTAATTAATTGTTTTTCTGATGATAGTACTTCTTCCTCTGCAGAATTTTTAAGTTGTTCTTCTTTTACTTTAATATCTTCATTCAGTTCTTCTTCTAAAATATTTTCTTCAGAATCACTACAGGAACCTTCTCCACTGTCCTTTGAAGCATCTTCACTTCCATTACCACTCCCTTCAGAATCTGTTGAAAATATGAGAAAAAAAAAACCACACATATGTATATACATACACACACACACACACAACGCTGACACAAATGAAACCACCAAAATTTGTGAATAACTTGCAAAACAATATAAACAAATTTAAGTCAAAGAATGGTAGACATTCCCAACCTGATCAAATAATAAATCAATGAAGTTGATACAATGGTTTTAGTTCAGTATAGTGCTAATGAAGATGAATATAGATAACCCTAAATTAAAATATGCTTTAAAAAGAGAAGCACTAATTTGTGTCATATGGCAATATTTGGTACTGAAAAGGCAATTATTTTTTAAAGTAAATGTGCTTCTTTTAAGATTGGGCACTTGATTTTAATTTTACTGATAATACAGACAAAATTCTTCCTCCCTTAAACATCTTTTATAAACTATATGGACTTGTAAGTATTGAGTCAAAACCAAAACAAGATAAATCTAACCCATAAAACTGCTTCATTTATTTTACTCTTTACCCAGTAAAATAAGCATAGATATTTATGATAGTCAACTTATACTACAACTCTAATATACCAAACAAATTTTAGGAATACCAAGAACACAGGTGAAAAGAGACAACAGCAATGGCACAGAAAAAGGAAGTTGCAAGAGAAATTATCAATCTTCCTGTTTATTAGGATACTGTTCGTATCAATAAAAGAAGAGTCACTACACTTTCAAAACTTCTACGCAGTAACTACTATATGCTCTAGAATGGAAGAAATTGATGAATAAAGCAGTCCATCCTGAAAATGAGCAGTCACAGAGGTTACTAAAAAGTTAGGCTGAAGACATTAAAGAGCTCACAGGACTGTAAGCTTTCTAGCAGGTTTCTTCCACTCCTGCCTAGGGCAGCCCAGTCCCTCTCAACCCAACACTACTTAGTAACTCAGTAATCATTACTCAGTAAGTACTCAGTAATCATTCTTTTTGTACCCAATTAAGTAAATAACAATCTAAAATCTTTGAAGCGAGAAATAAATGGGAGGAGGGAAAGAGGACAGGGAGCAGTAGGAGATGGGGAAGAAACCAGTTAAGTCTTAGCCAGTAAAATCCACAGGATGATGAATTTTTTTGCACCTATAGCCAAGAAAAAGGTAATGATAAAATGGTGGAAAAAGTAAAGTGTTTCCACATCATTTTAATTTCTATTAACTCAACTAGGCTTAACCTCTGTAATTAACTAAGCACTAAAATTGAAGGAAGCTGTCTGTAATTAGTATCTGGTATCTAGTGAACCCCACAAGTCACATACAAATGACTGCTAACAAAAACATCCTGCAAGCAAAATTGCATAAAAAATAAACACTAACATTTAACAGATACTGACTGACCCTATGAAATCATTATCAATCTCACAACTGTCATGTAGGTATCCATAGCTTACTTGGGACTGTTCTGAAAAAAACACTCTTATCCTAAACAACCTTGCATAGGATACAAGAGCAATATCATACGGGTCAGCAATTCCCTATCTGAAACTTTAAGAACCAGATGTGTTTCAGAATTCATAATTTCTCAGATTTTCAAGGGTAACATGGAACATGCACCATATATTACACTAATACCCCCAGTGAAGTCCATGGTATTATCCTATAATCAAACATTATTTCTGCGGAGAAAAGTATAAATCCTATTTACAGAGTATGAGAAATAAATACTACAAATAAACTCCTACCAGTTCCGTTAGGCTTTGCCATCAAGTAAGTTTGTGTGAACCTTACAAAACACTTGGATTTTTAAGCTTCTTGGATTTCAAGAGTGTGGACCCAATATTACTCACAAACAAGTGACTTCTTTTCAGTCTCTAAAGCATTAAGAAAATTATGATTTTGTAAACCACTCACAGCAATTAAACCCAACCTACCAAGAAAAATCACATCTGGTAAAAATAACAATAATAGTAATCTCTTGACATTTTAAAATTATGATTTAATAAATAATAACCAGAGTTGACTCAACACTTCTAAGACACAGAAAGATTTTTTATGCACACTGACTAAAGAAAACTGAAACACCTTAGGCTCTAGAAGGGAAGCAATGCCATAATTAAGAGAGCTAGGAGATGAAGATGAAAGAAAAGGTACTTTTCTTCTGGATCAACCTTCTAGAAGGCTTTTTATCAATCAAAACTTCACGATAGACGCAAAAGTAAGATTAACTGGGGCAGAAGTGTGGGTAGCTGATCAAAATTGAGACCAATCCAACTTTGCTATTACTTGGTAAATTTTACAAAATGTCAGAGATTTTTGTGATTTTGTTTTGGTAGTTGCCAATGCCAATTAATTAATTATTTTTTCAAATGAGAGGTAAATTGAGACTCCTTGATTCTGTTTTTGATTTATAACCATGCCTGAATAGAAAGCAATTTTTTAAAAAATTTTTAATGTTTTATGTTTGTTAACTATTATTAGAAGAATGGACATTTTTCCACAAAACCAACTCCTAATAGCTTACCCAACCCCTCATTCTCCAAATATAGTACATTAGTCAGACTCCAACTACAGGGATCAGCAATATATCAAATTTTATCTTTCTATAGGGATCAGCAATACATCAAATCTTATCTTTCTCTGATATCTGAAAAATAACTTCTTCATCTAATTAGTCACTATTTCTTTTTTGTACATATGCACTGGAGGAATGGAGATAAACCATATTTATTTACAACCATAGCTGGGTAATAATGACAATGAGAAAAATCAAGGCCCTTGGCTATTTTTTCCATAGGCTGCAAAGACAAAATTTCCTAGTCATCAAAGAATGACTCTGTGCTATGTTCCAAAAAAAAAAAAAAAAGAGAGAGAAAGGAAAGGAAAAAAAGAAATATACTGGAGAAATTATCTTAGGCAGAAAGAGTTAATTTCAAGTCTACAATAAACCTTTCTTACGTTTGAAAAAAATATATCTTTAAAATTGAAATCCTACTTCCCATTTGGTTAAATAAAAGATAACCTTTCTCAAACATACAATATATCAGAATCTCTCCAAGCAACAGCTATTTCAACTAACAGACAGTTAAGAAATTTTTTACCATTACAGAATTTTTAAAAACTCCTCTGAGTGGTAATGGCCAGACAAAAAAATAAAATAAATTTTAAAATTAGAATTTAAAACACCAACCTTCAAGAATCCCTTTACAATATCAAATAATAAAATAAAAATTAATTTAATTAATATCAACCATCAATACCATTATATCCAATGTTCTCCCCATAACAAAATCAATATGATTTAATTTAGTTTTATGCTAATATACAATATATGCAATATAAATTTGTTCATCAATTTCATCAATCTAATTCTGTTCATTGATCTGGTACAACAGTGTTAGTACTATAAATATACACAATAGATAACAGATCAATCACTATTCTACTAGTTATTTACAGCTATCCCAGGGCTATGTTTGACCAAAACCGTATATGTCTTGAAGACAGCCAATCAGTCAACACAACTCATCCTCCACTTCCGATTCTAGTTCCAGCTATGTCATCTTGGTTTGTATGAGCCAGTGGTACTCAAACGGGAACATTTTTTTCCCCCAGAGGACAACTGGCAATGTCTGGAAACAATAGTTGCCACAACAGTGGAAGTGGAGGTGGAGGTGAGGCTGGGGCAGGTAGGAAAGATGCTACTGGCATCTAGTAGAGGAAAAGGTTGTTGTTGCTAAACATCCTACTGGGTACAGGACAAGCCTCCACAACAAAAAATTATCCAACACAAAATGCCAATAGCGCCAAGGTTGAGAAACCATTAACTCGTATATACAGCCACAATTTGACCTTATTCTATTTTTCCAGGCTTATCTCTTCTACTTTTACTCAACACTGATCCCCAAATATAAAAAAACAATTCCAAGTCTCAACACTTTTAATTTTTGCCTCACCAAGATTGCTGTTTATCTAAATCCTTCTGTTCATAGTTCCACTCTTACCTCCTCTCCTCAATGAAATTGTTCTACATCAATCTAATCTCATTTCCTATTAAAGACTTGAACTACACAAGTGATCAACCATCCTTTGTATCAACTATTTTATTTAATTATTCTAATTTTTATTTTACTTACATGTTATTTTACTTACTTATTCTAATATTATTACTACTGTTTTGTAAATTCACCATAACATCTAGCAAAGGGCTAAACTACGGACAATCAATGAACACATCTTGGTCCACTTATTCAAAGTCAGATTAAGCACAAAATACCACCAAAGTCTCAGGCTGACACTTCTCATTAAATTATTTCCTGGCAATATGGCCTAACTAAACTAACTTTTGATCAAGATCTAAAGTTAACCCCATTTTACTTTGCCTGGTGGGGGATAGGGGTAGAGAGCATGGCTAATCTGTCTGGTTAATAGAAGTAATACATGTCTGCATCTTTAAAAAGATGTAAACATTCTTTAAAACATTCAATTAATGTAGCAGATAACCAAATGTAAATAAGTCTCCTATCATACACCCAACCCTATGCCCAAGTCTCAAATATCAACACTTTAACTAGGTAAAACCATGAAATTGCTAATATTTGACTGTGTGTTTTGGACCTACAAAACTGGTAATTCCATATAGTTCAACCTAACATTTCTACATATGGTTCTTCTGGTGGTTATCACCATAATTCTAATAATGCATATATATCCTATTTTAGGACTTACTCATTTCAAACTTTATTGACTGCTTTCAATCAAAAATGAGAAGCTTACTTTTGCTTTTGCATTAAAAATAAAATATAAACTATCTTCAGTTTCATAATTTTCTAAAGGTACAGGCTCGTAATCACTTGCCAATCTTATGGGTGGGTCATTCTTTACCAATGTTGATTTGTTTCTATTTTATGATAGAGTTAAATTATGTTTATCTGCAAATGTTTTCTATATTTATTCTTAAAACCAAACAGAAATATAAAAAGTTTTATAGTCAGAATTTCAGATTTCAAGATGAAGGTAAGAAGAAATTGATCCACGGAATCCAGTTAGCCAAAATTAAGGCCAACGAATCTAACCACTTTAATATTAAGTTCTAAGGAAGTCCGTAGTTCATTCAATGAGTCATTTCTAGAAGTTGTTTTGAAAGAAGATATGATCAGACAGATGTTTAGCTACCATTTCTCTACTTCCAATTTAATCTCCTATTCGTAAGTAGGGCTGGGAATCCACAACTTCAACATGTTTGGAAACCAGTGATAGGACTAATGTCTTATTCTCTACAAGACTCCAACTAAATATATACTATCTCAGGCACAGAAAAGATTCAAATGGAAAACAATGGTAATCTAGAGTAAGCGAATATCTCAGCTATGCAGAGCATCAATGCACCTAAAACAAGAGTCAAAAATATGATTCAATTTCTGTTGACTACTAATCATTTTAAATACAATCATTTTCTTCTAAATTCCCTTTTACAATAAATACCAAGAACTATACATACAAATTTGTGACCTGAGACCACAGATCACAAATTTAAGCTCCCCAGGGGGCCAGGAAGGTAAATTATGAGTGCAGCATACTAGATATTATATTACAAGAGGGAACAGAAAGTAAATATTTTTAGTGTGTTTAAGGGATATATAGATATATCAACCTAACAAAACTCATCCTATCATTTTTCACAAATAACAGTTCTCTTCAACTATAATTAGGATTTAACAAGGTCAGAAATCTCTACTTAGCTCGATATCATAAAATATTTTGAGAAAGTACTTTATGTTTGTATCAGATTGTTTTACCACTTGAAAAAGAAGTGATACCTGTGAATATTCCATCTCAATGAACAAACCTTGGAAACAAATTGTCCATAAAGTCAAGATTTATTGTCACATAATAATGTAATACTTAATGTAAGTTTTAGAATTGTTCCCATATTCAAAGAATTCGTAACTTCCACGACCCAACTATGTTTGTCAAAGTTTACAACCACAACCATAACAAACCAAAACTACATCCTAGCCAGGAATATTCTTATCTGCCAAGGTCTTTACCAAGAGAACTAAGATTTAAATTTTACCTCCTTTCCCTTCCCCTTCCCTTCTTTGGAAATACCAAATATCAGCAAACCAACTAAATGGGAGATAAAGAGCTGAGAAGCAAAGGATAAAAAAACAGTTAATCAAGATAAACTTATCAATTTTTGATTGCTGCGGATGAATTCAATTAGTAACCAAATAGTCAGTTTCTGTTTAAGATTCCGTCCATCAACTCTTGGGATCCAAGCAGATAAACAGACTAAATTCTGAAGTCAAATCCATTGGATCCGTTACTGCCTGAGTGACCTCATGCCAGTTCTTTAAACTCAATACCCCTGTTACCTGTAAAATGGTATCTCCTTCACTAAGTTACTGTGAAAATTAAGTGAGATTATGCAAACAAAAAGTTATCAGTAAATCACAATGCAAATTCTGCTGTTGATGCTACTAAAAGTAGCAACAGTAATATAATTTCGTTCATCCCTTCCTACTATCCCTAGCAGGAAAAAGACAAGGGAAAACCAGAAGAAGGAGAGATGTGACTAACCACGGCAAACTCTCTGGAAGTATATTTAAAAACTGTTGAAGAGATGAAACTGGAAAGGCTTTTACTTCTCATTTTATTTAAATTTTCATCTCACTTTATTAAAATTTTCAAAAGAGGTGGAATTACACATAATTTTCATTGTTCATGTTTATCAGTATTTTTCCCATAAAACATTTAAATTAAACATAATTTTTGTTTCTCAGATTCCTTCAATTGAAACTGTATATATACATAAGGTACACTGAACAGAAAATACAAAGGAAAATCATACTTTTCTGTTTTCCAGTTTAGTACAATGTGAATATACGACCTTTAAAAAAAGTTTTTAAAATTACTAAATATAGTGAGCAAGCATGCATGACTTATACTTCAGAGACATCTGAAAGGCCCAATCCACAAGGTCCAGCACCTACTATAATTTGAAGTGCAACTCTTACTCTGGTCAATTTTATTCTAGTAAAAGAGCTAATACACAAAAAAAGCAAAACTCCCCTAAGAGATTGTCAAGTGATCTGAAAAAAGAAGAACCCTGCTCAGGGACTATTAATGGTCCACACACCTCTCAGGATACTTTTCTACTTCGGGATATCTTTCAGTTTTTTCCTCTATAATATAAGCATAAATATATTTTAAGGTGTAAAACAGAGAAATCCTTTTGCATCTTTGGAAAAAGTCCTTCCCCTGACTGCTAATTATCTCTGAGGAAAACAGAAGCAATTATAGGTCTAGTGACAGGATCTAAAGGCAAAATGGGAAATCAAATGGACAAAATAAATGAAGTTTACGTGCTTTCACTTAAAATTGGCATTTTAATCAAAACCGATTTAAAAAGTCTAAAAATAAGCCTAACTCCAGAAAGCTGGGAAAGGGGAAGAGAGAAGGAAATATTTACCTGAGGCATCTCCAACTTTAAAATCACTGTCATCTGAACTATCATAATCAAGAGCTTCCAGCAGAGAAGCTGCCAAAGGCTTCACCTGCCTCCTCTTGGAGCTGCGATCCACTGTGAAGAGAAAAAAATTACATTGTCATTCATAATCACACCAAACACAGGGGAGAGTTGTGGTGCTAAGAGAACATAAAGATGACCTCGCACAAGGAATTTTTGTCTAACTGAGTTCTCAGCAAAAGGGGTCAGGAGAAGGTTGGGGTGCAGAAGCAGGGTGGGGAGGGCTGGACAGCTCCACGGGCAGTTTCAAAGGCAGCTCCAGCCCTGATGCTGCCAACGCCAACTCAGACCAGCTAAAATCGAAGCTGACCCTCTTGCTCATCTTTTCGAGATGTTTCTGCACCTTCCTCGTAATCCCCCACTTAGACATCGTAACAGTCAATAAAAACGGCAAAAATCAGGGAATAAAACAAGCGGGCTTCATTCCCGCGGACCATGGAGGGCGAGGGTCCACCAATCCTGCTTTCCCGCAGGACTCTCCCACCCCTGCCCTGCTCCCACCGGCCCTGACTTCTAGAATGGCTGAAATGGACCTCTCGCCGCAGAGGCCTCGGATACACTTACTAAGGAATCCGTGAGGTGGTCGTTTGGAGAAGACTTAGGGAGAGGCTGCAGGAGCCCAGGCAGCGCCGAGGTCGGGGACTGGGGCCGCGAAGACAAGTCCGAAAGATGCTATTTAAAACCGGCGCGCAGCCAGCCGGACAGGGGCGCTCCCAAGAGTAGCCCCGCGGTCCCCTAACCCCCCGCCCCCCCGGCCTCGCCTGGCCCTGGCCGCTCGAGCCCCTTCCCACAGCGCTCCCTGGCCGGAGAAGACCTCCGGCCCAGGCAGCGCAGTCAACCCGGCGGCCCCGGGGAGTTAATTTCTCCCGTTAAAACTAGAAGAAAAAAAATTAAAGAAAGAAAAACTTTATTAGCCTGGACCAGAAGCAACGAAAGACCAGAAATTGCACAGCGCGAGGGCGGCTGCCTCAGACAATAGGGAAAGCAGCGACCCGGATACAGCTCTGAAAAGGAAGTGAAAACACGAGGCTGAGCGCAGCCCTGAGAGCAGCAGGAATTGAGGGCGCATGCGCAGGACTCGCCCCCGCGCACCCTTCCCGAGCAGGAGCCGAACAGAGCCGAGTGAAAGCCCAGGGAGCCGCGCGGAGGCGAGCGGAGCCGAGTAGTGCCAAGGCGGAGCAGAGATCCCCGCCAAACCCTGTGCAATTCCGCCCATAAACCCCAAAGGCTCCGCCCTCTCCGCGCCTAATTCACCTCCTGAGTCCAAATCCCTGGGAGGCCAGTTTTTGTTTCTGATCTGTTTTTTAAGGATTTACTGAGTAAACGTTCCACAAAGGGATGTTTGCTACCTTAAGCCACTACCAATATTTAAATGATATTGTCACCGGTAGAGGATCGTGACTGCAAGTTGTCCAGGTTCTTGGCGTTTTTAACAAAGAATTGGACAAAACGCCCAGCAAAGCAAAGAAAGAATGAAGCAACAAAACAACAAAAGCAGGGACTTATTGAAAATTAAAGCACGCTCTGTACGGAAGCGACCTGAGCAGCGGCTCAAGGGCCCGGATACAGAATCTTGAGTCCAAATACCCTCTAGAAGCTTCCTATTGGCCACCTAATGCTCACCTCATGTAAATGAAGTAACGCGCAATCAGTCTGATTGGTTGCAGAAAGCAGCCAACCAGAGGCTGAAGTGAAGTTACAAAGGTCATGCTCCTGTGCAAACATTGGTGCAAAAAGCAATCAATCAGAGGCTAGGGTGAAGTTACAAAGTGGTATACCTCTATGCAAAGGAAGATTTCCCCTGCAATCAGTTTGATTTCTTGCAGATGGTGAAGTTACAAAGTGATACTTCTATGCAAAGGAAGACTCTCCTGCAATCAGTCTGATTTGCTGCCCACAGCCAATTTCCCATCTGCCCTGCAGAAAAAGTGGGGGTTTGCAAAGGGAGTAGCCTCTGGTCCTTTTGTTACTTAGGCATGGAAAGTTAGGGGTTTCCTTTCAATTTAGTTCTTAGGAAGTCGGAGTGACACATCCTTAGGTTCCCTGCCTCCACACCCTATTCTCCTGCCTCACTCTCACCCAAACTATCATTGCCATGTGACCTCTCAAACTTTTCTATTGTGCTATAGAAACTTCTATTCCAAAATGTATAACCTACTTAGTAAACATTTTTCCTTTTCAATGCCCATTCTTTTTACCTCCTCATCTGAAATAGAAACAGTTACCCTGCAGCCCTCTCAAATGAAAACCACTCATCCTTCCATACTTCATTTTCTCAAGGTGCAGAAGTGGCATCCCATGCTTAATACTCCTCATTGCCTTTCAGATATTTATTCTTCCAGTTAAAATCCTAGGAACTTGGTTATTTTAAAAACTCCACTCTGGGAATTTCACTTCCATTCTACTTTAAACACCAACCATATCATGGACTGATAGTCTTATCTATGAAATTATAAATCCAAATATTCCACTGTTTGACAATAGCCTTTTAGATTTATTTGGAGCAATTATGCTGAATCATCTAAAAGAGAAATTCAAAATCTGGCATTCGTGTTTATGTAAAACTAATTTCTAGAAGGAGATTTTCAGAATCAAAATGTATTAATTCATTTACTTTAATAAATAACACCTAGTTGCTCTAGAAAAACTGTACTGCCGGGTGCGGTGGCTCACGCCTGTAATCCCAACACTTTGGGAGGCTGAGGCGGGTGGATCACTTGAGGTTGGGAGTTCGAGACCAGCCTGCCCAACATGATGAAACCCCGTGTCTACTAAAAATACAAAAATTAGCTGGGCGTGGTGGCACATACCTGTAATTCCAGCTACTTGGGAGGCTGAGGCAGGAGAATCACTTGAACCTGGGAGGCAGAGGTTGCAGTGAGCAGAGATCACGCCACTGCATTCCAGCCTGGGTGACAAGAGTGAAACTCCGTCTCAAAAAAAAAAAAAAAAAAGTCTGTACTAATATATATACCACCAAGAGTGGATAAGAATTCTTTCTAGTTTTCCAAACCTGTGGCCATTGGATATCAGCAATCATTTTTTTTTAACTTTTAATTTTGAAGTAATTTCAGATTTACCAAAAAGTGCAATAATAATACTGAGTTTTTGTACATCCTTCACCTAGCTACCACTAATATCAGTATCTTATATAACCATAATACATTTATCAAAACTAAGAAACTAACATGAGTACAGTTTTGTTGACTAAACACTTTATTTATATTTCACTAATTTTCCTACTAATGTCCTTTTTTCTGTTCCAAGATCCAATCCAGAAGACAATATTGCATTTAGGTTATTAATCTTTTGCAATTCATGTATTGAAAGAAAGTAAGAGAAGGAAAGAAGGAGAAAAGGAGGGAAGGAAGAGAGGGAGGGAAAAAGGAAGAAGAAAAGTAGGGTAAAAAGAAAAGAAAAAAATTACCTAATTCCTTTTTTTGACCTGCATTCAATAAACATGGAAAGAACTGCTGGTTGTTTCCCAATACCCATTATCTCCTTTTTCTTCAAAAATGGAAGCTCCAAATTTTAACTGGGCATAAGTTTTCAAAGAATAAAGACATAATATACCAACTTTCTTGATGTTGCTTGGAGTTATGCAGTTAAGTTCTGGCCAATTGCATGTCAGCAGAAACAGTACGTGCAACTTCCAGGAAATGATATTAAATGAAGGGGCTTGAACTTTTCCCTCCCTTTTGTGAATGCTTGTTATTGCTTTTTCTTGCCTAATTGCTCTGCCTAGAACCTGCAGAACATTGTTGAATAAATGTGGTGAGGGAAAGACTTCTTTGTCTTGTTTCTGACTTTAGGAAGAAAACTTTCAGTCTTCCACTTAGTCTTATGTTATCTATAGTTTTTCAAAGATGCCCTTTTTCAGGTGGAGGAACTTTCCTGTTCCTAGTTTGCCAACTGTTTTTATCATGAAAGAGCTTCGAATTTTATTAAATACTCTTTCTCTGTCTATTGAGATGATCATGTGATTTTTGTACTTTATTTTTTCAATATAGTATATTACTATATTGCTTGATTTTTATTTGTTTAATCAACCTTGCACTTCTAGTATAAATTCTACTTAGTCATGTTGTATAAATCTTTTTATAGATGCTAGATTCAGTTTGCTAGTATTTTGTTGATTTTTGCACCCATATTTATAAAGGAAATTACATTTTGATGTCATATAAAGAATTTGTCTTTATTGGTTGTAAACTGGCTATAATAGCATCTCCAATAATATTCTGCTGAACATCTTTAAGGCGTATGTGATAAATTACTCTTGGCATTCTTAACTCAGAATTTTTTGGGGGAGCTGTAGGGGGATGGAGTATTGCTTTGTTGCCCCGGCTGGAGTGTGTAGTGGCAGCAATCTCAGCTCACTGCAACCTCCGCCTCCCAGGTTCAAGTGATTCTCCTGCCTCAGCCTCCCTGGTAACTGGGATTACAGATGCCTGCTACCATCCCTGGCTAAGTTTTATAATTTTAGTAGAGACAGGGTTTCACCATGTTGGCCAGGCTGGCCTTCAACTCCTGACCTCAACTGATCGCCCACCTCAGCCTCTCAAAGTACTGGGATTACAAGTGTGAGCCACTGCACCCAGCCTTAACTCAGAAAATTTTGAGTCTCCTAATGCTCTGCCATCTTCTTGGTAGAATATTTATGTTATGTAATCCATCATGTTTCTCTTTTATTCTAGTTGCCAGGTATTCAAATTCAAGATATTTATGCATGACTACACAAAGAAGAAGAATTATATAATAATTATCATTTCCAAAAAACAGCGAGCACAAACTGCCTCAATGTAGGATTTTGCCAAATAATATTCTTAATGTCCACAATTCTGTCTAATTAAGCAAACTAAATATGACTGCACAAGCATCAGTAATAATTATGAAAAGCAGAGTTCTATATTCAGAAATGGTCTTTCAAACTACTCCAACAAAAGATAGTAAAATAAATAGCTTGTTGTGGACACCTACTGTAAGAAAAAGAAACAAATATGTATACAAAAGACAGCAAACTTAAGAGTCTGGAGATCCGAATTTTGGTCTAGGCTTGGCCACTGAATTTGTGTTACCCTAAAAAAAGGCAACATTGAGCCTCTGATTCATCACCCAGAATCTGGAAATAATATTAATAACCTGTCTGGTTACTTAAAGTTTTGAGAAGCAGATAACAGTGTACCCTATTTCCAAAATTACTCTAAGAAAAAAGTCTTTTAAATCCAAGAAATTAGAGGACATGCAATGAAAAAATGATGTAAGAGAAAAAGAAAATAAGTTAGAATTAATTGTGAATAATTGTCAACACTGAGATTGTGGGATTTAATACAGTTTTATTAAGCAAGGATATGCAAACTAGAGGGGTCATAATTCTAAATTACGGTAACCAAATCCAAGATGTAGGGGGTAAAGAGATGAAGTGCCTAGGGAAAGTAAAATAAGATAAATGAAGAAAAAAATGAATTGTCTTATTTTGTTGAGAGAGAAACTGCAGATCCTGATTAATTTTTTAAGAAACCAAGAAAGTAAAATTAGTTTGCTGTAAATCTAAGGATAATAGTGCTGGTTCACAACTAATTAAACTAATTGAACTTGTGAATTACCTCACTACCCTCCCCAAAATACACAGAAATCACAGAAGAAATATACAAATAGAAATAAATCCATAAAATCATAGCATTGCTATAAACCTGAGAGTAATGTCACCAGCAGACTTTTGAGGGCTATGGAGGAATTTTGACAGTTCTGGAAGTAGGTCCACATTGCCAACAAAATCCAACAGACTAAGGAGCTAATAAATTCATCCAGGTGATGAATCATCAAAGAGAAGAATCACTAAAGTGAGTTTTTCCAATACATTCTCTGCATAACGCTTAGGTAAGAGACAATGAGGGTTGTGAGAAGGGCTGAGACTTGGACAATAGACTGGATAATTCATTAGAAGGAAAAGAGCCACATAGTAATTCTGTTGTCAGAGGAGCTGAAAATAGCATTTCTCTCCTGAATAAAACTTCAAATACAGCTCTACTAAGGGGGAAGTCTAACTTCAGAGATTACCAGAATGGAAAACAGGTTTATAGGAAGGAGACTGATAGTAACCTCACTGACTTTCAGTTGTCTTAATAGCTGAAATAGGAAGATCCAGCATAGAAACTACTCATAAATCATAAAGAAGAGCCTACTCACATGTAACCTCCCTATACCACCAACTTCCTCAACCCTACAAACAAACACACAACCATCAGAACCAGTATACCTATAATGAAAACTTGCATTTATTCTCTGCCAGGTGAATAGGGCTTCTTATTTGGACAAAGTACATCAATTCTGGCCATCAACACTACGTATTATATACTATGAACACAAATATATATAGACAACCAAGAATCATTAAATATTTAAATAAAACTAACAACATTGGAGAAACCAAATTTTTAAAAACTTTAAACAATTACTTAACTCAGATGTATTAGGTATCCCATGGGCATCTTGATATGTAGAAAATGTAAGGGAGGCAGAGGCCATGTTCGTGTAGCTGTAACAGCAGAAAAGAAGCTCAATCATCTATAAGAATAGAATCCATATTCACTAGCTTAATTCAAAGGTATAAGGGCAAGATGGAGGAGCAGTTGTGGAGAGGGTTAGCAGCAACAGCTGCACTAGTTTTCTGACCTCCAGATCATAGCTACAGTTATATGATCTTGAAACTGAAAATTTCCTTGAATCTCTGACTTTCACTCCTTCAGTCTTTTAAATGATTTTATACATACCAAAATATTTTTCTACATGAAATATATGTAGTGTTTTCTATTTGCTATACTAATTTTGTCTGATACAATAGTTGGTATATAAAGATGTTCAAAAAATAAAGAAATAAAACTTCAACACTGGGAATTTGATATTTATTATTTGACCCAGTTTGGATTTAAAGGCAATGATATCTTGATTACCAGTGGAAAATAAGATATTGGTAGTCCAAGACATGCAGTGGTAATACATTTACTTAAATTATCATATGTCATCAACTGAAATAAGGTGCCTGTTGAACACAAGATCTGTTAGCAATTGTTTGTTATGATAGAACACTAAAATGCAAATAAGCAATAAATGGACTGGGGTGGGCTGAGGTGGCAGTTCTGACAGCCTTTGAAAAATTAGAGAACAATGATGACAAGCCCAGGGTTTTAACTTTTTAAAAAAATTTCTAAATGTGACATGGGACCTCGCTACGTTGCCAAGGCTGGGCTTGAACTCCTGAGCTCAACTGATCCTCCTGCCTCAGCCTCTCAAAGTGCTGGGGGTACAGGTGTGAGTGACTACATCCAGCTGACGTTAACTGCTTGACTCAAAACTTGTTCCAACACACAGAGAGCTTCTGTGATTTCTTATCTTTGTCCTTATTGATGGGCCAGATAATTCTTTGGCCCTGTGGCAAAAGGCTGAGGAAGGCTGTCCTATGCATTGTAGGATATCTCAGTACCTCTGGACTCTATCCACTAGATGCCACTAACAGCTCTCCCTAACCCAAATTGTGACAACTCAAAATGGACATACATTGCCAAATATCCACTGGGGAGCCAAATCACTACCAACAACAGTGGCACCACCATCACTCAGCCCTCCAATGAAAACTACTACTCTAAATTAATTTCATCCCATGTCATCATAGGACTGATATCATTAACAATTGATAAATCTGAATACACAAGTTGCAGGTTTTAGGCAACTTTGTAAGAATTTAGGATATTTATTGGGATAGAATGGTACCTTGAGAATTGAAAACCAAGCCTCAAAATCTCAGAGCATCATTTTCTTAGTAGAATTAGACCCTTCTTTCTTGGTGAAGCTACCTGCCTTGTTGAAGACACTGTAATGAATGGACTCAACTGAGTTCATTACTTTGCAAAGGGATGCTGATTCTCCTCATGCCCATCTCTCTCACTGCATCCCTATAAATGGAATCAGATCCCAGTATGTTCGAAGGGGCAAGGACAAATTCTGACCCTGAAGGAGACAGTGTTTTCATCTATATTAGGAAGAGTTACCTTATGTTTGGTGGTAGTGGTTTTATTGCTATTGTGATTGTGGGGAGGTTTACGGATAGAAGGGTGTATCTGGTTGCTGAGTAGACAAAGCATAAAATTGGGCTAGATATTGTCCACTAGCAGGTGACTTTCATTCTCACCTCTTCCTCTGTATTACAGATCATGTTAGAATAAAAACTACGTTTCTCAGACTCACTTAAAACTAGGATTATAGATATGATTTAGATTCCACCAATTAGATGGGCTTTCAAGGTTTTGATGGTGGTGGGAGGCAGACAGGTTCCTACGCGGGAAAGGGTAGGTCCCCA
Source organism: Homo sapiens (assembly GCF_000001405.40). Lineage (NCBI taxonomy): Eukaryota > Metazoa > Chordata > Mammalia > Primates > Hominidae > Homo > Homo sapiens. Next base: position 10,966,535 of record NC_000007.14, on the reverse strand, counting down.
GTGAGGACCAACCTTCAAGCCAGGGATGGCCTGAAGCCTGTGGGCCAGGCTACCTGTTCTGGGTAGAGTCCATGACCAGGAGTGAGAAGTTCTTTGATGCCTTTTGGCCAATCAGATGGTGCTTTTTCTGGGCCCACCCATAGACCAATCAGCATGCACTTTCTACATTCTGAGCCCATAAAAACCTCAGACTCAGCCAGACTCAGACACATTTCAGGACTACCTGCCTGAGGATGGGAGCTAGGTATTTTGGGTCTCCTCTTCACTGAGAGCTGTTCTGTCTCTCAATAAAGCTCCTTGGGGGGCACTTCCAAGATGGCCCAATAGAAACAGCTCCGGTCTACAGCTCCCTGCAAGATCGATGCAGAAGATGGGTGATTTCTGCATTTCCAACTGAGGTACCTGGTTCATCCCACTGGAACTGGTTGGACAGTGGGTGCAGCCCATGGAGGACAAGCCAAAGCAGGGTGGGGTGTCACCTCACCCAGAAAGCTCAAGGGGTCAGAGGATTTCCCTTTTCTAAACAAGGGAAGCTGTGAATGACTGTACCTGGAGGAACTGTACACTCCTGCCCAAATACTGCACTTTTCCCACAGTCTTCACAGCAGGCAGACCAGGGGATTCCCTCCCGTGCCTGGCTCGGCAAGGCCAACACACACAGAGCCTTGCTCGTTGCTAGTGCAGCAGTCTGAGATCAACCTGGGACGCTGGAGCATGGTGGGGGGAAGGGAGTCCACCATTGCTGAGACTTGAGTAGGCAGTTCTATGCTCACAGTGTAAACAAAGAGGCAGGGAGGCTCGAACTAGGCAGAGCCCACCACAGCTCAACAATGCCTACTACCTCTCTAGATTCCACCTCTTAGGGCAGGGCATATCTGAACAAAAGGCAGCAGCAGACAACTTCTACAGACTTAAACATCCTGCCTGACAGCTCTGAAGAGAGCAGTGGTTCCCCCAGCATGGTGTTAGAGATCCATTAACAGACAGACGGCCTCCTCAAGTGGGTCCCTGACCCCCCAGTAGCCTGACTGGGAGACATCTCCCAGTAGGGGCCGATAGACACCTCATACAGGTGGGTGCCCCTCTGGGACAAAGCTTCTAGAGGAAAGATCAGTCAGCAATATTTGCTGTTCTGCAGCCTCCGCTGGTGATACCCAGGCAAACAAGGTCTGGAGAGGACCTCCAGCAAACTCCAGCAGACCTGCAGCTGAGGGGCCTGTCTGTTAGAAGGTAAAATAAGAACAGAAAGGAATAGCATCAACATCAACAAAAAGGACATCCACACCAAAACCACATCCGTAGGTCACCAACATCAAAGACAAAGGAAGATAAAACCACTAAGATGAGGAGAAACCACAGCAAAAAGGCTGAAAATTCCAAAAGCCAGAACACCTCTTCTCCTCCAAAGGAACACAGCTCCTCTCCAGCAAGGGTATAAAACTGGATGGAGAATGAGTTTGAGAGTTGACAGAAAAAGGCTTCAGAAGGTCGGTAATAACAAACTTCTCCGAGCTAAAGGAGCATGTTCTAACCCATCGCAAAGAAGGTAGAAACCTAGAAAAAAGGTTAGATGAATGGCTAACTAGAATAACCAGTGTAGAGAAGAGCTTAAATGACCTAATGGAGCTGAAAACCACAGCACAAGAACTGCGTGAAGCATACACAAGCTTCAATAACCAATTCGATCAAGCAGAAGGAAGGATATCAGCGATTGTAGATCAAATGGTTAAAATAGAGAAGACAAGATTAGAGAAAAAAGAGTGAAAAGAAATGAACAAAGCCTCCAAGAACTATGTGAAAAGACCAAATCTATGTTTGATTGGTGTATTTGAGAGTGATGGGGAGAATGGAACCAAGTTAGAAAACACTCTTCAGAATTTTATTCAGGAGATCTTCCCCAACCTGGCAAGACAGGCCAACATTCAAATTCAGGAAATACAGAGAACACCACAAAGATACTCCTTGAGAAGAGCAACCCCAAGACACATAATTGTCAGATTCACCAAGGTTGAAATAAAGGAAAAAAATGTTAAGGGCAGCCAGAGAGAAAGGTCTGGTTACCCACAAAGGGAAGCCCATCAGACCAAGAGTGGATCTCTCAACAGAAACACTACAAGCCAGAAGATAGTGGGGGCCAATAGTCAACATTCTTAAAGAAAAGAATTTTCAACCCAGAATTTCATATCCAGCCAAACTAAGCTTCATAAGTGAAGGAGAAATAAAATTATTTACAGAGAAGCAAATGCTGAGAGATTTTGTCACCACCAGGCCTGCATTACCAGAGCTCCTGAAGGAAGCACTAAACATGGAAAGGAATAACTGATACAAGCCACTGCAAAAACATGCCAAATGGTAAACACCATCGACAGTATGAAGAAACTGCATCAACTAACAGGTGAAATAACCAGCTAGCATCATAATGACAGGATCACATTCACACATAACAATATTAGCCAACATGTAAATGGGCTAAATGCCCCAATTAAAAAACACAGACTGGAAAATTGGATAAAGAGTCAAGACCTATCAGTGTGCTGTATTCAGGAGACCCATCTCATTTGCAAAGACACACATAGGCTCAAAATAAAGGGATGGAGGAAGATCTACCAAGCAAATGGAAAGAAAAAAAAAAGCAGGGGTTGCAATCCTTGTCTCTCATAAGACAGACTTTAAACCAACAAAGATCAAAAGAGACAAAGAAGGCCATTACATAACGGTAAAGGGATCAATTCAACAAGAAGAGCTAACTGTCCTAAATATATATGCACACAATACAGGAGCACCCAGATTCATAAAGCAAGTCCTTAGAGACCTACAAAGAGACTTAGAGTCCTACACAATAATAATGCAAGACTTTAACACCGCACTGTCAATATTAAACAGATCAAGGAGACAGAAAATTAACAAGGATAACCAGGACTTGGACTCAGCTCTGCACCAAGCAAACCTAAAACACATCTACAGAACTCCCCACCCCAAATCAACAGAATATACATTCTTCTCAGCACCACATTGCACTTATTCTAAATTGACCACATAATTGCAAGTAAAACACTCCTCAGCAAATGTAAAAGAATAGAAATCACAACAAACTGTCTCTCAGACCACACTGCAATCAAATTAGAACTCAGGATTAAGAAACTCACTCAAAACAACTACATGGAGACTGAACAACTTGCCCCTGAATGACTACTGGGTAAATAACAAAATGAAGGCAGAAATAAAGATGTTCTTTGAAACCAATAAGAACAAAGACACAATGTACCAGAATCTCTGGGACACATTTAAAGCAGTGTGTAGAGGGAAATTTGTAACCCTAAATGCCCACAAGAGAAAGCAGAAAAGATCTAATATCGACACCCTAACATCACAATTAAAAGAACTAGAGAAGCAAGAGCAAACAAACTCAAAAGCTAGCAGAAGACAAGAAATAACTAAGATCAGAGCAGAACTGAAGAAGATAGAGACACAAAAAACTCTTCAAGAAAAAAATCAATGAATCCAGGAGCTGTTTTTTTAAAAGATCAACAAAATAGATAGACTGCTAGCAAGATTAATAAAGAAGAAAAGAGGGAAGAATCAAATAGATGCAATAAAAAATTATAAAGGGGATATCACCGCTGATCCCACAGAAATATAAACTACCATCAGAGAATACTATAAACACCTCTGTGCAAATAAACTAGAAAATCTAGAAGAAATGGATACATTCCTGGAAACATACCCCTCCCAAGACTAAACCAGGAAGAAGTTGAATCTCTGAATAGACCAATAACAGGTTCTGAAATTGACACAATAATTAATAAGCTACCAACCAAAAAAAAGTCCAGGACCAGACAGATTCACAGCCAAATTCTACCAGAGGTACAAAGAGGAGCTGGTACCATTCCTTCTGAAACTATTCCAATCAATAGAAAAAGAGGGAATCCTCCCTAACTCATTTTATGAGGCCAGCATCATCCTGATACCAAAGCCTGGCAGAGATACAACAAAAAGAATTGCAGGCCAATATCCCCAATGAACATTGATGCAAAAATCCTCAATAATATACTGGCAAACTGAATCCAGCAGCACATTGAAAAGCTTATCCACCATGATCAAGTTGGCTTCATCCCTGGGATGCAAGGCTGGTTCAACATACACAAATCAATAAACATAATCCATCACATAAACAGAACCAATGGCAAAAACCACATGATTATCTCAATAGATGCAGAAAAGGCTGACAAAATTCAACAGCCTTTCATGCTAAAAATTCTCAGTAAACTAGGTATTGATGGAACATATCTCAAAATAATAAAAGCCATTTATGACAAACTCACACCCAATATCATACTGAATAGGCAAAAACTGGAAGCATTCCCTTTGAAAAGCTGCACAACACAAGGATGCCCTCTCTCACCTCTCCTATTCAACATAGTATTGAAAGTTCTGGCCAGGGCAATCAGGCAAGAGAAAGCAATAAAAGGTATTCAATTAGGAAAAGAGGAAGTCAAATTGCCCCTGTTTGCAGATGACATGATTGTATATTTAGAAAACCCCATCATCTCAGCCCAAAATCTCCTTTTGGGCTGAAGTTTGCTGACAAGCAACTTCAGCAAAGTCTCAGGATACAAAATCAAGGTGCAAAAATGACAAGCATTCCTATACACCAAGAACAGAAAAACAGAGATCCAAATCACAAGTGAACTCCCGTTCACAATTACTACAAAGAGAATAAAATACCTAGGAATGCAACTTACAAGGGATGTGAAGGACCTCTTCATGGAGAACTACAAACCACTGCTCAACAAAATAAAAGAGGACACAAACAAATGGAAGAACATTCCATGCTCATGGATAGGAAGAATCAATATTGTGAAAATGGCCATACTGCCCAAAGTAATTTATAGATTCAATGCTATCCCCATAAAGCTACCACTGATTTTTTTCACAGAATTGGAAAAAGCTACTTTAAATTTCATATGGCACCAAAAACAGCCCGCATAGCCAAGACAATCCTAAGCAAAAAGAACAAACATGGAGGCATACCTGACTTCAGACTATACCACAAGCCTACAGTAACCAAAACAGCTTGGTACTGGTACCAAAACAGATAAATAGACAAATGGAACAGAACAGAAGCCTCAGAAATAACACCATACATCTACAACCATCTGATCTTTGACAAACCTGACAAAAACAAGCAATGGGAAAAGGATTCCCTATTTAATAAATGTTGCTGGGAAAACTGGCTAGCCATATGTAGAAAGCTGATACTGGACCCTGTCCTTACACTTACACAAAAATTAACTCAAGATGGATTAAAGACTTAAATGTAACACCTAAAACCATAAAAACCTTAGAAGAAAACATGGGCAATACCATTCAGGACCCAGGCATGGGCAAAGACTTCATGACTAAAACACCAAAAGCAATGGCAACAAAAGCCAAAATTGACAAATGGGATATAATTAAACTAAAGAACTTCTGCACAGAAAAAGAAACTATCATCAGAGTGAACAGGCAATCTACAAAATGGGAGAAAATTTTTCAATCTTTCCATCTGACAATGGGCAAATATCCAGAATCTACAAAGAACTTAAATTTACAAGAAAAAAAAAACCCATCAAAAAGTGGGCAAAGGATATGAACAGACACTTCTCAAAAGAAGACATTTATGCAGCCAACAGACACATGAAAAAATGCTCATCATCACTGGTCATCAGAGAAATGAAAATCAAAACCACAAGGAGATACAACCTCATGCCAGTTACAATGGCAATCATTAAAAAAGTCAGGAAACAACAGATGCTGGAGAGGATGTGGAGAAATAGGAACGCTTTTATACTGTTGGTGAGACTGTAAACTAGTTCAACCATTGTGGAAGACAGTGTGGCGATTCTTCAAGGATCTAGAACTAGAAATACCATTTGACACAGCAATCCCATTACTGGGTATATACCCAAAGGATTATAAATCATTCTATAAAGACACATGCACATGTGTGTTTATTGCAGCACTATTCACAATAGCAAAGACTTGGAGCCAACCCAAATGTCCATCAATAATAGACTGGATAAAGAAAATGTGGCACATATACACCGTGGAATACTATGCAGTCATAAAAAAGGATGAGTTCATGTCCTTTGCAGGGACATGGATGAAGTTGGAACCATCATTCTCAGCAAACTATCACAAGGACAGAAAACCAAACACCACCTGTTCTCAGTCATAAGTGGGAGTTGAACAAGGAGAACACATGGACACAGGATGGGGAACATCTCACACTGAGGCCTGTAGGGGGGTGGGGTGCTGGAGAAGGGATAGTGTTGGGAGAAATACCTAATGTAAATGACGAGTTGATGGGTGCAGCAAACCAACATGGCACATGTATACCTATGTAACAAACCTGCACGTTGTGTACATGTACCCTAGAACTTTAAGTATAATAATAATTTTTTTAAAATCCACTTGTAACTACTGCTTGTTGGAGTATATTCAGGGCAACTTGAATCTGTGCTCCTGCATTGCAATCTGCAAGCTTGGCCCAGATAAACTTTCTATGTATATTAAAAAATAAAAATTAAAAAAAATAAATAAAGCTCTTCTCTGCCTTGCTCACCCTCCAGTTGTCCACATAACCTCATTCTTCCTGGATGTGGGACAAGAACTCAGGACTCACTGAATGGCTGAAACACCACTTTCCTGGCTGGCTCGCTGTGCCATGGATGGCAGGAACAAGAGATCTGTAATATCCCCTCCCCAACTCTTGGGGCTCTGCCATTGCTGGCATCTCCAAGTTTTGGGGCACCATCGTGTTCCCCTCATCCAGATGCCGGTACCCACAGCATAAACCACTTGCAGTACGCCTGGTCCAGCTACAGCCTCACAGAGAGCCGGTGCCTATGCTGGCACCTGGAACTGCCCACCCCACATGCAGCAGTTGGTGCGCCTGGCTATGCGCAGTGGCCAGACCCCACACTCACTCACTCACATACCTCTCACCACTCTGCTTGGCTCATCCTCAGTGGGCATGGGATCTGAGCCAGTAGCATGAGCTGAGTGCAGCCTGACAGGCTGAATGGGCAGAATGAGCCCAGCAGGCATGAACAAAACTCAAGCAGAGTTGCATCGCCGCTGCCCATAGAGGTTTCCAGCTGGTGAGGCAACACACAAGGGATCCTGTGATATTTAGAAAATAGGAGGGAGGTAATAGCAAACTTTCTGCAGGTGTAGATGTGGACAAACAAACTCCAATAGGCATGAGTTCCAATATGGAATGACTAGCTGACTTGTTCCAGTGTCTAGATATGAGTGTTGTGGCTGTTAGGTGGTTATGGTTTGGGCAGCCACAAAAACATTAACAGCATCAGCTTTCTGACATTTGGATTGCAAATACAGTTGTGTAGCCTCAGAGCCAAAATTCAGGAAGCAGCTCCCTAACTTCTTCTCCAGGTTAGACATTGAGTTTATATCTAACTCCATCTACTAAATTTTTTCTGCTCAAAAAAAGAGTGGTTTTGGTTTCTACTATACTGTACTTTGACTGATACGCGTTTTAAAAAGACTCCTACATCGTCCAAAGGAATTCCTTCTTACCTTGCAGAGTTAACCTGGCAATCCACAAGTATGGCAGTAACCCTGGGCAACATAGTGAGACCCCATCTCTACAAAAAAAGAAAAAAAATCAGTTAGCAGGGCATGGTGATGCTCACCTGAAGTCCCAGCTACTAGGGAGACTGAGGTGAGAAGGTCACTTGAGCCCAGGTGTTTGAGGACACAGTGAGATGCAATGGTACCACTGTACTCCAGCCTGGGTGACAAAATGAGACCCTGTCTCTAGAAAATAAAATAAAACTACAGAAGTAAGCAGTTGGCCAAACAGCTAACATTTATGATCACTTAAAGAGATCATAAATCCTTTGTTATGGAGAATGGCTCATTTTATCTTGCTGTAGTTCATATTTTCAGAGATATCCAAGAGAAAAGAGTATTGATAAAGCAAGAAAACATTGTGCTGAAATTTCTGAACTTCAGGAAAATCATAAGTACTCCCAGAAAGAAAAGTCAGGATATTTACAAAGGAATAGGAATCAGAATTCTCAACTACAACTCTGGATGGCTGGCAACTTCTAAAATCATTTCAATATTTTCTAATAAAGAGTTCATTGATAATCTGTTTTCAAATTATGTTAAAATACTGACTACAGAATTTTCTTCAATATTTAGGTAGCATGGATTGACTTTGGTATTACATGAGTAAAAACTTTCCACATATTTAGCAAATGGATAATATTAAAAATTGTTTTAAGTTAATTAATTTTTATAGATAATATGTATACATGGTATAAAATGTTTAAATGCACAAAAGAGTACCATGAAAGCGAAATTTTCATTCTACCTTTGTGCCCTAGCCAGTCAGTCATCTCTCTAGACATAGCAACAAGATGAGCTTTTTTTTTTTAAAGTGATTGGCTCAGGGCTGAGTTTTTATAACAGCTTTATTGAGATATAATTCACATACCATAAAATTTACCCTTTCATGGTTTACAATTCAGTGATTTTTAGTATATAAAAAATGTACAACCATCACCACTATCTAATTCCAGAACACTTACATCAACCTCAAAAGAAACCCCATATCCATTCGCAGTTACTCCTCATTTCCCCTACACGTAGACCTTGATAATCACTAATCTATGTTCTGTCTTGAGGAATTTTCGTATTGTAGATATTTCATTTAAATGAAATAAAAAATAAGTGGTCTTATGCGTCTGGTTTCTTTCACTTAGCATAATGTTTCCATGGCTCATCCATGTTGTAATACAACTTGTTTTTAAATAAACACAATACTGTGAGATGCCATCAGTATTTGTTCTGCATGGAGAAAAGACAAAAGTGGCAAGTGAGTACTTCAATTTTTGCTACAATAGCAGTTTATTAGACAGATCTCCTAGACAAGCTGAGGTATTTACTCATGTTTCAGTGCATATGAATGGCAGGCTTTGGAGACGTTTTTCACAAGGGGCAAGTCCCAAGAAAGCAAAACAGATGGGCAAAGACAGCATCAGTAGAGCAACGTCGTAAAGCATACAATATTATATATTAGACAGACAAATAAGGTTAGTTAGGAACAGGAGGTTTCATGTCATCAACTGAAAAGGTGGAGAAGCTTTCAAACAAACAAAAATGCACAGTGATACCTTCTGCTCTTTTAAATCAATCAGATCTCTAAGTGACAAATCATAAGCAAACTCCTTAACATTGTTCTAAATCTATACAACAGTTTTTAAAAATTTATTGGAAAATATAACAGAAAAAAATGAAAAACAAATAAGTAAATGTATAGATCAAATAATCATCATGAAGTAAACACCCTTATAAACACCATCCACATCAACACCAAAGAAGCCTCTCTTGAGCCCCTCTTGCTTACCTAAGGGTAGTCATTATCTTGAATCTAAGCCTATTTTCAAATTTGTGTCCAACAACATGTTCATTTATTTCTGAGACCTTCCCAGATGCACGTTAACATTTATATTTCTACCAACTCATGTTTAGGTATCTGTTAACAGCAGCAAATCACTTCTGATACCGAAATCTACATTTGTTTTCTAGGACTGCTGTAAAAATCATTACAAACTGGGTGGCTTAAAACAACAGGAATTTATTTTCTCACAGTTTTGGAAGTCAGAAATCTGAAACAAAGGCGTGAACAGGACCACACTCCCTCCAAAGGCTCTAGAGGGGAATTCTTCTTTCTATCTTCCAGTTCCTACTGGCTTCTGGTGTTCCTGGGCTTGTGGTAGCATAACTCCAGTCTCGGCCTCTGTCTTCACTTGGCTTTCTCTGTGTGTGTCTGTGTCTGTGTGTCCCTCCCTCTTCTTATAAGGATACCAAGTCATTTGATTCAGGGCCCACCCCAATCCAGTATGAACTCACCGGATTAATTACGTATGCAAAGACCCTATTTCCAAATAAGTTCACATTCTGAGGTTCTAGGTGTTCATGAATTTTGGAAGGACACTATTCAACTCATTACACTTTCCCAATGTCTTTGAACAAAAAACCATGGTCTGAACCATTTGAATAACCTAGCCTGTCAATTCTGAAAGTGAAAGTCCGTGCACAGTTTTAAAATCAAGTAATTTTTTAAAATCTTCCTCAAATTAAATCTTTTAATTTAAAAGTAAACTTTACTGTCGAAAATGCAAACTTAGGGAGGGCAGAAAGATCCCACACAGAGCTGCCACTTCACACCTAGAGGGTTGCACGGCAGCCAGCAGCTGGGCCGAGGCGCTCCCCACTTCCCAGACGGAAAATCAAGTAATTTTAACTCACAATATTTCATAGGGCCTCACATTTTGAGAGATCTGATATTTATTTGATAAAACTGCTGCAACTAATCTGGTTGAGATTAAAGAAAGCATAGTTTGTCTATTCTTGTCAAGTTTTGTTATGACCTTTGTAATGTGAATTTGGAAAGTTACTTTTTCAATGTTTTGAGATAGATTTAATAGCATAGGAATTATCTATACCTTGAAGATACAGCACTTTGCTTATGAAACCATTTTGACAAATACTCTTAAACATTATTTGAGTGTTCTCAATTTCTTCCATTATTGATTTAATTTATTTAACCTCACCATGGGCCAACTATGTTTACGTGTATTTTCTTATAAAAGTGTTATTTTATAAAAATGTCATTAGATGCATCATAACTTTTAAAAATTTCTTCTGTGCCTTTTATTATACCATCCTTAGTTTTTTTTAATAGATGAGTTAATTAAACTCATTTACTTATTTATTTGTTTGTTTTTTTAAGACGGGGTCTTGCTATGTTGCCCAGGCTGGATTTGAATTCCTGGGCTTAGGCAACCCTTCCACCTCAGCCTCCTCAGTAACTGGGCTACAGGCATGTGCCACCATGCCCAGACACTCAGTTTTTATTAAGATTTATCTGTAGCTTTATTTTTTATTACCTTTACCTTATTGTAAGTTGTCTTCCTTAGCCTTAATTGAATGACTATTTGCTGTCACAGAACATTTTAGTGGATAAAAGGCTATAATGGAGTTGCTTATAAGTGTTCTCCAGCACTCAGAAGTAAGAAAGAATGGGCTCAAAGGCCCTATAAATGACCTGAAATCTTCTTAGACTTTTCTAAAAGAAATCTTTATATCTTATAGCCATAGAAATTGTATTATAGAAAACCAAACTCAAAATCTAACCAAACCAAAATCTAAACTCTATGGATGGCTGAAACATTGCAAATTAAATTTCCAGCCTTGTAGAGTTTACTTTTTTTTTTTTAAGATGGAGTTTCACTCTTGTCACCCAGGCTGGAGTGCAATGGCATGATCTCAGCTCACTGCAACCTCTGCCTCCTAGGTTCAAGCGATTCTCCTGACTTGGCCTCCCGAGTAGCTGGGATTACAGGCACCCACCACCATGCCCGGCAAATTTTTTTTGTATTTTTAGTAGAGACGGGGTTTCACCCTGTTGACCAGGTTGGTCTCAAACTCCTGACCTCAGGTGATCCACCTGCCTTGGCCTCCCAAAGTGCTGGGATTACAGGCACAAGCCACCACGCCTGGCCTAGAGTTTGCTTTTAATGGCAAAAACTGCCATTACTTTTGCACCAACCTAATAAAATTAAGACATCCCTGAAAATTGGGATGGGGACATATGAGTAGATTCTGATGAAGGCGATAATTTTGAGCCTGAAATTCTGGGCAAGTTGTCAGTCTACCCCTGCCTGAAGAACTGTATTAGCTTCCCCTGAGATAGTTGCCTTACAAGGGACTACTATTCCTTCTGACAATCTACCTTTACCACCTCTCATTGCTTCCAAATCTGTAATCAGACTCAGGTGAAAGTAGACTCCAATGTGTGAGACACAAACTTAGGACGAACAATACACACCAAAAGAATTGGCTGATTTTGTCAATTTTCACAGATACTGGTGAAACTGTATGGGGATGGATCTTAAGAGTGTGATATCAGCTGGGCGCAGTGGCTCAAGCCTGTAATCCCAGCACTTTGGGAGGCCGAGGTGGGCGGATCACGAGGTCAGGAGATCGAGACCATCCTGGCTAACATGGTGAAACCCCATCTCTACTAAAAATACAAAAAATTAGCCAGGCGAGGTGGCGGGCACCTGTAATCCCAGCTACTCAGGAGGCTGAGGTACCCGGGAGGTGGAGCTTGCAGTGAGCCGAGATCATGCCACTGCACTCCAGCCTGGGTGACAGAGCGAGACCCTGTCTCAAAAAAAAAAAAAGAGTGTGGTATCAGGGTGGAGGGAATATAAACTTGCATTAAACTCAGTTTATTAACATGGCTTCACTAGCAGAGATTCCAGATTTAGTGTGTTTGTCTGAGGGGTTGGGAGTGACTCTAACAGTTTATTTGTTGATTAACTAAAACCTGGGCTAAAAGGTAGCCTACACTTAAGGGAGTTAAATTGCCAAAACTTTCCTGGTGCCACAGAAAGGATGGTATCAAATGACTCAGGAATATTACCTAGAATCTACAAGGAACTCAACAACTCAACAACAAAAGAAACAAACAGCCCCATTAAAAAGTGGGCAATAGGCCAGGTGCAGTGGCTCATGCCTGTAATCCCAGCACCTTGGGAGGCCGAGGCAGGCGGATCACAAGGTCAGGAGATCGAGACCATCCTGGCTAACACGGTGAAACCCCGTCTCTACTAAAAATACAAAAAAATTAGCCAGGCATGGTGGCGGGCGCCTGTAGTCCCAGCTACTCGGGAGGCTACTCAGGAGGCAGAAGAATGGCATGAACCCGGGAGGTGGAGCTTGCAGTGAGCAGAGATCACACTACTGCATTCCAGCCTGGGTGACAGAGCGAGATTCTGTCTCAAAAAAAAAAAAAAAGTGGGCAATAAACACGAACAGACATTTTTCAAAAGAAGACATACAAATGGCTAACAAGCATAGGAAAAAATACTCAACACCACTGATCATCAAAGAAATGCAAATTAAAACCACAATGAGATATCATCTTACACCAGTCAGAATGGCTATTATTAGAAAGTAAAAAAATAACATACATTGGCAAAGAGGAGAAAAGGGAACACTTATACACTGTTAGTGGGAATATAAATCAGTATAACCTCTATGGAAAACAGTATGGAGATTTCTCAAAGAACTAAACATAGAATTACAATTCAATCTAGTAGTCCCACTATGGGGTATTTACCCAAAGGAAAAGAAATCATTACATGAAAATGATACCTGCAGCCGGTCATGGTGGCTCATGAGAGGCCAAGGCAGGCAATCACCTGAGGTCAGGAGTGTGAGACCAACCTGGCCAATATAGTGAAACCCCTTCTGTACTAAAAATACAAAAATTAGCCAGGCATGGTGGCAGGTGCCTGTAATCCCAGCTCCTCAGGAGGCTGAGGTAGGAGAATCACTGGAACCCAAGAGGTGGAGCTTGCAGTGAGCTGAGATTGTGCTATTGCACTCCAGCCTGGGAGACGAGAGTGAAACTCTGTCTCAAAAGGAAAAAAAAAGATACCTGCACTTACATGTTTATTGCAGCACTATTTATAACAGCAAAGATATGGAAACAACCTAAGTGTCCATCAAAAGATACTTGGATAAAGAAAATGTGAGATTATATATATATATATCTCCATGTAATTCCACTCAGCCCTAAAAAAAATGAGCACAGGTATTAATATTTTGCAGCAACATGGATGGAACTAGAGGCCACTATCTTAAGTAAATAACTCAGAAACAGAAAGTCAAATATCACATGCTTTCACTTATAAGTGGGAGCTAAATAAGTGTATACATGGACATGGAGAGTGAAATAATAGACTCTGGAGACTCAGAAGGATGGGAAGGTAAAGTTGAGGGGGGCATGAAGGTTAAAAAATTACCTATTGAGTACAATGTTCACTATTTGGGTGATGGGTACACTAGAAGCCCAAACTTTGCTATTACATAACAAAACTGCACTTGTACCCCTTCAATCTTCAAGAACAAACAAAGCAACCAAAAGACTCAGGAACATTAGAATGATAAAGTGGATTTACCATGTAAGACATGTAACACTTGCTTGCCCATTCACTGAATATTTCCCCTGTGAGGGTCCAGAGGGCACTCAAAGTTTTAAGAAATATGATTTGTGAGAGAAGCCCTGGACTAGGCTCTCTGAATTCAGTGGAGGAATCACTCCTGTTGATGAGATCAGATGGTGGTAGGCACCATGTGGTGACATATAAATTATTAAATACAAGGTAGGCATGGTTATTGTATTAGGCCACAGAGCCAAAGCAGTAATAAGAATAGTAGCTGCAAAATGTACAGCATTGGCTAGTTGATTGTGGAGTTTCTAGAACCAAAATAGATGGTAAACCTACTAAAATCTTGATGTATAAGCAGAAAGTTTTAGGACTGGAAGACTGAAAGGATTAATGCTGCCATCATGAATTTAAAAGACACAGGGTAGCAATTCTTAGGTCGACCACATTTAACTTTCTTACTGGGGCTGTGAAAAAGAAACACGGATCTTGGAGAATGACAGTGAATTACTGTAAACTTAATCAGGTGACAATTTTCATTGCAGCTGCAATTCTTTTTTTTTTAATTTTGAGACAACATCTCGCTCTGTCATCCAGACTGGAGTGCAATGGTGCAATCTCAGCTCACTGCAACCTCCACCTCCCAGTTTCAAGCAATTCTCCTGCCTCAGCTTCCCAAGTAACTAGGATTACAGGCACCTGCCACCAAGCCCAGCTAATTTTTGTATTTTTAATAGAGACGGGGTTTCACCGTCTTGGTCAGGCTGGTCTCAAACTCCTGACTTCAGGTGATCTACCCGCCTTGGCTTCCCAAAATGTGGGATTACAGGCATGAGCCACTGCACCCAGCCCTGCAGCTGCAATTCTAGATGTGGTTTCGTTGCTGGAGAAAATCAACACATACCATGGCTTCTGGTGTTCAATAATTGCACTGGCAAAGGCTTTTATCTATAGCTGTCATTAAGGACCATCAAAAGTAGTTTGCTTTCTGTTAGTTAGTAACACACCTTGACTGTCTAGTCTCAGGACTATGCCAGTCAGGCTCTTTTGCAGAGCCTTCACTGTGTCTTTATTTCACAGAAAATCATGCTGGCCAGTTACATGGATGATGTCATTGATATGGTTTGGCTGTGTCTCCACCCAAATCTCATCTTGAATTTCCACATGTTGTGGAAGGGACCCGGTGGAAGGTAATTGAACCATGGGGGCAGGTCTTTCCCATGGTGTTCTCATGATAGTAAATAAGTCTTACGAGATCTGATGGTTTTATACGAGGGAGTTTCCCTGCACAAGTTCTCTCTCTTTGCCTGCTGCCATCCATGTAAGACATGACTTGCTCCTCCTTGCCTTCCACCATGATTGTGAGGCCTCCCCAGCCATCTGGAACTGTAAGTCCATTAAACCTCTTTGTTTTGTAAATTGCCCACTCTTGGGTATGCCTTTATGATGTTAATTGGACCTAGTAAGAAGGAAGTTAACAACTACTCTAGACGTGTTGGTAAGATACATGTAGGACAGGTGGTGGGAAGCAAATCTGACAAATAATCAGGTTTCTACCATCTCAGGGAAATGTCTAGGTCCCATTGGTCTGATGAGGGAGAAGAAAAGGAAACATCAGTTAAGGCTGTTCCTTGGAGAAGCAGCCTGCCTGAAAAATCACAGCTACAGGCAAAAATAGAGCAGCCTGAGGAAAACTCAGAATGCACCTGCACAGATAAGCAGGCAAGGCAGACGAGTTCCAACACAGAGGCCTTTTGTTCTTTGTGTGATTAGCAGGTTCCCAGGAAAAGCTTCCTCCCCTTCTCAGGCATATACACCATGGGCTCCAATGGGAACTTGCACAGGGATCGGGGGCACTTACCTAAAACAAACCAGCAGTTATACAAACAAGTGAAGCAGCACTTTGTGCTTGCCTAGAGTCATATGCACAACTATATAGATGAGGAGGAGTTGTGCAGATAGCTTTTCAGATAAGAGAAGTTACTCAGACAGCTACAGAGAGGAGTTTCTTTTAAAAGCTTTTGAATTTGACTGTAAAAACAGCAACCCACTTGGGCTCCCCTCTCTGCTATGGAGAGCTTTCTTCTTTTGCTTATTAAACTTTTGCTCCAGCCTCACCATTTGTGTCCATGCTCCTTAATTCTCTTGGTCATGTAATGACCAGCTCAGATAACACCTTAGACGAGACCAGTGACGCTGACCTGTTTCACTGGGACATGTCAGTATGTCCTTTTTATTTTTATTTATTTATTTTTGAGACAGAGTCTCACTCTGTCACCCAGGCTGGTGCAGTGGCATGATCTTGGCTCACTGCAACCTCCACCTCCCAGGTTCAAGTGATTTTCCTGTTTCAGCCTCCTGAGTAACTGGGATCATAGGTATGTGCCACCACGCCTGACTAATTTTTGTGTTTTTAGTAGAGACAGGGTTTCACCATGTTGGCCAGGCTGGTCTTTAACTCCTGACCTCAAGTGATTCGCCTGCCTTGTTCTCCCAAAGTGCTGGGATTGCAGGCATGAGCCACTGTGCCTGGCCCAATACGTCCTTTTTAAAGTGAAGGACAAGTTACTGCATCTGGCTTCTCTCAACCTTGAAGGGGCATAATACCATTTAGGCCTCTTTGGATTTGGGAGGCAACATTTACTTCATTGAGTGTGCTACTCTTATGCATTTACTGAGCAACCTGAAAAGCTGCTAGTTTTGGGTGGGACCCAGAACAAAACAAAGATCTGCAACAAGTCTAGGCTGCCATGCAAATTGCTTTTCAGCTGAGATACATAACACAGCATATCTGTTGGTGCTTGAAGCAAGTTCATCATGAACTGGGTCTTTTCTGACAAACAAAGCCATAAGATTGTACGTGAACAGCCACATTACATCACCAATTGGAAATAGCAGAAACTAGGATTTGAGCAGGTCCTGAAGGCATAAGTAAGTTGCAGGAGTAAGTGTCACAAATGCCTACGGTCCAGATTCCTGCAATAGTGCCTCCTCCCCTCTCAACATGCATGTATGATTCCATGGAGTGTTCTCCATTCCCATTTAATTGAAGAACCAATATGTGAAGTTGGTTTACAGATGGTTTTATATGAAATGTTATCAATACCCCAAAGTAGACAGTTGTAGCACTATAGTCCCACTCTGGATTGGCCCTGAAAGACAGTAGTAAAAGATAATCATCCCAGAAGGTGGAACTTTTAGCAGTTCTCCTTGATATTCAGTTTGTTTGGAAGGAAGGATGGCCAGAGGTATGGCTCTACGTTTACTAGTGGGTGTGGCTAATATTTCCATTGGATGACCAGGGATTTGGAAGGAATATAATTGGAAAATTGGTAACAAGATCTGAGAAAGAGATATATGGATAGATGTTTCTGAGTTGGCACAGCATGTGAAGATATTTGTATTCCAAATGGATGCTAATCAAAGAGCTGTTGCAGTAGAGGAGGATATGAATAATCATGGAAGGGAAAATGTTTTGTTGTCATTGGCATAGACACTGTGGGCATGAATTTGCCTTCCTTGCCTGCAGTGCATCCATGGACTTATAAAATGCTTTACTATAATAATATTCTACATAGTATTGCTTCTAACAAACTCAATTTCTAGCAAATGTAATATGGTGATGGACTCATAGTCATTCACTGGTCTTATTACATGCTCCATCACTCTGGAACAATTGACCTAACAGAATTATTAGGCTCAGTTACAGGGCCAGTTGAGAGCAACACCTTGGAGAGCTGCAATAATATCTTCTAGTATATGGTGTATACTCTAAATTCATGAGCAATATATGCTGCTATTTTCAATGAAAATAGCAGGAGAATCAAGGAGTATATATGGCAGTGCACTTCTTACTATTACTTCTAGTGATTCACTGGTGAAATTCCCAACCTAGCAACTTTGGGCTTTGCTGGTCTAGAAATCTTAGTTTTAAGGAATAAATCCTTTTATTAGGAGATATGGCAATGATTCCATTACACTAGAAGTTGAGACTGGTCACTTTGGGGTCCTCAAGTCACTCAATCAATAGGCAAATAAGAGGTTATTCCATTAACTTGGGTGACTGATCCTGATTATTAAGGAGAATTTGGGGTATACAACTTAATGGGGTTTCAAAAGAGTATGTCTGGAATGCATGAAATCCTTTGACACCTCTTAGGACTCCTGTTCTTGCCAAATTCTTCTTTTAATTTCTATACTTCTGGACCTGGTTTGTATTTAGTTCTGTAACAAGGAGCTGTAGCTTCTCCTGAAGGACACCCACATCACTGAGGTTGGGAGTTTGAAAGTAACAAGAGACCAATGGGGTCTTTGTGTCCTCATGGATCCCACTATCCCCACAGGTTCTGATGTGTTTTTGCTCCTCTGTTTTATGTGCTGCTTCCCTTTTTGACTGTGTCCCCTAATGACTGCAGGCTGTAAAGGAAACATATCTCCCACAATTGCATAATGTCAATTCTTTATAATAAATCTCTAATTATATATGTATACATCCTAGGAGCTCTGCTTCTCTGGTTGAGCCCTGACTAATATAAGTGCTTACATTTCTGACTTGTTCTAACTTTTCTTTACTTACTCTTCCTAGCCTGGTCCTCATTTGTTCATGTTCTCTCTAGGGTTTGAGCATTCAGCCTCTTCTCTTCTTACACTTTCCATTTTACACATTCTTTACAAACATGCTCATGAATTTCCATTGTATTAACTCTCACTTACATGCTATTTATGTTTAAATTGTAACCCCAGCCTAAACTTCTCTCACGAGCTTGAGTGATGTTTCTGCCTGCCTTCAGAGTATCTCTAATTGAGGATATTCCACAGCTATCCTAGACTCAACATTTCCAAAAATGACTTCATATTCCTGATCTTGGTAAGTAGCACCACTATATACCCATAACCTAAGTCATATACAAGTGCCTATTGCACGGCTTATCCTAAACCTTTGTAATATTTATGTACCTCCCCACTAGACTAAAAGTGTTGAAGGAAGACACCAGTGAGTTAATCTCCTTATCCTGAGCACTCAACATAATGAACAGTATATAGTAGGCACTCAATATATGTTTAATAAGTGAATAAGATAAGTGAACAAATGACTGAATGAATGGATGGATTTTTTTTAAAAAGATAAAAATTGCAGAGAAATAATAAGTGGCATCATAGAAGAGGAATAGAACATAGGTAATCTAAAAAGCCTATAAACTGAAGACCTAGGTCTTTGGTATAATATTCCAAAATTCATAGACAGAGTTTTCCTAAAATACTATTTAACCAGAAGGTTTCAGTGAAAAGAAGTACCACTACTTAAAATTGCTAGAGTCTCTACGCTTTTTAGTATTCATTGAATTTTGTACATCAAGTGCTTCAGGTATTTAATTTAAATTCATGACAATGTGTGAAGCTTTGAGATTTATGATGGTAGAAGTAAACTTCCACGGACCAAAAAATGTTTTCATTTTTCTAATAGAAATTTTATAATTAAATACAGTTTATGCCAAATAACCACAATACTAGTGGAAGAACATATTTGTTTTTAGATTAAGGATAGCTGTAGAATCTTTATTAACAAGTGAAGGTATAATTTGTATTTGTGTTATCAGTAAAACAACCAGTTGTCAATTTATCTACTAGAAAAATAATTAAGTGCTTAAATGCAAACAGAATAAAAAATATAAGATACTGTCTTCAATTTGCATTAATATAATTATACTCCATGACTCACTTATCAAATGACTTCTCTCTACAGAAACTAATTCTTCACTGTCACACACTGATAGTAACACATAATCACCATACCTTGTAGAATTTTCTAGGCCTGAAACATCAGGAAAAGTATGCAAGACAAATACTTTACCTTGGGTGCTACTGATATACTGCATAGGATTTTTAGAGCTATTTGCCATGTCTTACATTTAATTTGGACAACTAATATTTATATATTTTTTGTATTTTAAAATTATTCACAAAATTAAATCAAACACAAGAAGAAGAAATCCAGAGAGCACAAGTCCAAGTCTCAGAGGAGATGGGGCAAAGATATCTCCAATTTATGTCCTGCAGTTGTTTTATTCTGTGCTTAGATGCAAAATGTTTTATAAGTCTTTGCTGCCTAATGGATAAAGCCCCAAATCTATTTTTTTTGAGACCGAGTCTTGCTCTGTTGCTCAGAGCTAGGGTGCATTGGCACGATCTTGGCTCACCGCAACCTCTGCCTCCCGAGTTCAAGCGACTCTCCTCCCTCAGCCTCCTGAGTAGCTGGGACTACAGTCGCATGCCACCACACCTGGCTAATTTTTGTATTTTTAGTAGAGACAGGGATTCACTATGTTGGCCAGGCTGGTCTCAAACTCCTGACCTCAAGTGATCCACCTGCCTCAGCCTCCCAAAGTGCTGGGATTACAGGTGTGAGCCATTGTGCCTGGCTTCAGTTTCATTTCTTACAACTACTTCCTATGCAATCCACACCCCCATCACACTGAACTCATCTCAATTTCTTCCACACACTATGCACTTATATTATGAACTTCATTTCTCTGCCTTGTTCAGACTGTTTCATCCTATGAAATTCAATTCCCCTTCTTTTTTGGCCTGATCATTCTGCACAGCCCAGTACAACGTCACAGTCTTCATTAAACTCTTCACAGGCCCCACAGTCTTAATTCTTTCTGTATTATCAATTTTTGTTGTTGTTGTTGTTGTTTGAGGCAAAGTCTTGGTCTGTTGCCTAGGCTGGAGTGCAGTGGTATGATCTCGGCTCACTGCAACCTCCCCCTCCCAGGTTCAAGTGATTCTTCTGCCTCAGCCTCCCAAGTAGCTGGGACTATAGGCATGCACCACCATGCTTGGCTAATTTTTGTATTTTTAGTAGAGATTGGATTTCACTATGTTGGCCAGGCTGGTCTTGAACCCTTGACCTCAGGTGATCCACCCACTTTGGCCTCCCTAAGTGCTGGGATTACAGGCAGGAGTCACAGCAC
Organism: Homo sapiens; assembly: GCF_000001405.40. Taxonomy (NCBI): domain Eukaryota; kingdom Metazoa; phylum Chordata; class Mammalia; order Primates; family Hominidae; genus Homo; species Homo sapiens. The sequence goes on along the minus strand of NC_000007.14, from coordinate 10,945,525 downwards.
CCGGCCTCTGTATTATCAATATTTTTACTTTTGTTTTCTTCGTTACTCAAATCAAATCACTTTGGTTAAGCCTGGTGTCAAAAGAGAGAGAAAATATAATCTTTTACCAGTAAAAATATTAAATATTTGCAAGCAAAAGAAAATCTACCACAGTCTGTCCTTCTGATTACAATCATTCAGGTCTTTTTCCTCCCTCAAAATACACTCACCAAGTTGGAGATAACTTAAAAGCCCTATACTGTCATTATTTCCTGCTCAAAGTCGACAATCTATGAATAATGCTATAGTCTTTATGTTTGTTCTTGATATATCTCCTCTTGATCTGGAGATCTATGAAGAACAAAGACAAGTTATTTGCCCACAACACCCAAAATACAATGGTGAAATGGGAACTGGATAACTACAATGAATGATACTACTCAGAAAGTAAAGAATGGTCCTGAAATTTCACTGTCTTGAAGTTGCTGCTAACTTAAAGTGGGGAACAGTCCTTGTTTAGGCCCTGATTTTGCCATTTTGGGATTTTTTTTCGGGATTAGTTCCAGTCGAATTTTCTCTGTGGCTCTTGCCTCACACTCTGGCAAGTCTTGTCTTAGAGCTGTTTAAGAAAGCCATTAGAGAACAGACCCTCCTCGGAATATGAGTATGTCTCTCTACCGGCTTCCTACCTGCAAAAGATGGAGGAGCTCAAGTGTCTTTTCATATTTCAAACCATGAAGTTTCTTTAATCCAATGCTGATCATTCTTTTCACAGTACTTACTCTACTTCTATTTGATTTCAGTCAACTCCATGCGCCAATGCCACAGCCACAATTCTTTTTGAGACATACCTCTGTCTTTCTTTAGACTTAATGTCAGTCACCTTAATCCTATCACGCTTTGGTTGGAGAGCTACATCCTTACCTGTTTGTCCAGACTTTAAAATTGTTCAGCTGAAAGGATTTACTGAAGGCATCTTAATTTACTGAAATGTTTTAACAAAGGTATGATGGCCACATTCTTGATTGGGCCATTATCTTCCTATCAATTCATCTTTGTAGCCCAAATGCCTTCCCATCTTTATTTTAGACAGCTAGATATGAGAATCAATCAGATCTTCCAACTCTGCATGTCTCTAAATTTCTGAATGTTTTACTCCCTGTCATTACAGTTTGCAAACTGACCAATTATTTTGAGTCCATATCTTTATTGTACTACCTTGTCAACTGTAGCCAATAGTAACTGATACATGCTAATATACTCTTTGCCTGCTGTTTCACTGAAAGCTACCAGCTCACTGGGAACATTAACTGCCTTCCAATTAATTGAAATAAGTGTTTCACCAAATGTTCCAATACTGCATTACATATAGATAGCCATCCTTCTAGTCCCTGGTAACAGTTACTTTGTCACCTACTGCCAGGACCTAAATCCTATGCCACATATTTTAGGATTTTTATTATGGTAACATGTCACCACACTTTCAGTGTCAAATTATTTACTTGTCAGGGTAGGCTAGGTTATGCCACATTAAGAAACTACTCCCAAATCCAGTCACTTGCAACAATAGAGGTTTATTTCTCTATTTTTTTTTTCAAGACAGAGTTTCACTCTTGTTGCCCAGGCTGGAGTGCAACGGCATGATCTCGGCTCACTGCAACCTCCGCCTCCCGGTTCAAGCGATCCTCCTGCCTCAGCCTCCCGAAGTAGCTAGGATTACAGACACCCGCCACCATGCCCAGCTAATTTTTCTGTATTTTTAGTTGAGACAGAGTTTTACCATGTTGGCCAGGCTGGTCTTGCACTCCTGACTTCAGGTGATCCACCTGCCTCAGCCTCCCAAAGTGCTGGGATTACGGGCATGAGCCACCAGGCCCAGCCTATTTCTCATTCTTAATACATGTACACTGCAGGTCAGTAGTGGCTCTGTTCCAGGTAGTTCTTACCCTGACACCTAAGCTGATAAGCAGGCTGTATCTAGAATATTGCTAGTCTTGTGGCAGAGGGAAAACTGACAACATGGCACATGTTGGCTCTTAAAGTTTTTGCTTGTGCATGGCATGTGCTACTTCTCACTTCGCATTTGCTAATAAGGCAAGTCTTCTTATTAAGCTTGACCCTCATGAGGCAAGTGATATCTCCTTCTAGGTAGAGGCTGAAGCTATCTGCATACAATTTAATCTACAACACATACCAATTCCACTTCTGCAGCTCAGGAATTTTGCGTTGTTTCTTCTACCATGGCTTCTTTTTCCAGACTGTCACCTCTACCTGTCCCTACTTAAAATATAGGTGACATACTCTTTCCACTAACTTCAATGTGCAAAATTTAAACTTTCACAATTTGACATTTTGGTTAATATTTAATGAAATTTATATTTGTAACCTTGCTTTGTTAACATCTCTAAAGGCATCACTTAGGCCAGGTGCGGTGGCTCACACCTGTAATCCCAGCACTTTGGGAGGCCGAGGTGGGCAGATCACGAGGTCCAGAGATCGAGACCATCCTGACTAACACGGTGAAACCCCATCTCTACTAAAAATACAAAAAATTAACCGGGTGTGGTGGCATGTGCCTGTAGTCCCAGCTATTGGGGAGGCTGAGGCAGGAGAATCGCTTGAACCTGGGAGGCAGAGGTTGCAGTGAGCCGAGATCGTGCCACCACACTCCAGGTTGGGCCACAGAGCGAGACTCCATCTCAAAAAAATAAACAAACAAAAATAAATAAATAAAGGCATCACTTAGCTATCTATATTATTGTTGTCTCTAGAAGCTAGGTCAATGACAAAAAAAAGTTAAGTCTCGCGCCACTGCATTCCAGCCTGGGCGACAGAGTGAGACTCCGTCTCAAAAAGAAAAAAAGTTAAGTCACTGGATTTTAGTTTCTTTTTAATAATGGCATTTCTACATACCTACTTATTATCAACTGTTATTATTCAAAATAAAATATTGGAAGAAGAGGTCTCCCTTCTTCTAATTTATTTGCTGAAAGCCTATCTACACTCACTAAGGTTTCTTTGTTCACTTCTAAGTATTTTCCATGTTTTTGTGCTGATCTTTTAACACAGCCATGCTCCTTACCATAGCCTATAAGGTCCATGTCAGAGAATTGGACATAGACTTTACAGACTCCACTGTTTGCTCTCATTTTCCTCTTTTTCTCCTTAGTTATGGATCAACCACACTGATACTTTTTTAAGCACTCTTCTTCTTCTTCTTCTTTTTTTAAATCTCAAAGCCATTTCTCTTACTAATTTAGTGTTCTTCCCACATCTTTACCAGGTTACTTCCTTCCTTTCATTTAGGTTTCAACTCAGAAATCCTCAGACGGACCTTCCCTGTCCTGTCTACTTAAAGTAACCTCCTCTCCTCCACCTCTTCCATGTCATTGTCTGTCTCATTATTCTATTTTATTGGCTTGTCACTGTCTAAAAATTATCTCATTTGTTTATTGTTTGTCTTCCTCAATTAGTATGTAAGCTCCATTAGCAACGCAGAGTAATTTTCTTGTTCACTGCTATAACTCTAGTGGCTAGAACAGTGCCTAGTGGAGAGTAGGTACTTAAGAAAGATTTGCTGAATGAATGAAAAAAGACACCAGTCTTGATAAGCTTCATGACATATCACCTTAACAGTTACCATCTATTTTTTTTTTCCTACCTACTGGCCATACCTCCTCTTCTAAGCATTGCATGTTGGAATTCCTCGGCTCTGTGTCCTCTGTCTAAATTCTCAGTCAACTTTCTCTCCCTAAGTAATCTCATTCAGTCACATGGGTTCATTTCTTATCAGTAAACTGAGTCCTAAATTTATACTTATAGTGTAGTTCTCTTCTGCCCCATAGAGATCCACTTGAATTTTACATAGGCACTTATACATCATTCTCTACGGCTTATTTCAATAACTGGCATCAACAACCACAGAGCTGCTCAAAACTGAACCTCTGAAATTATTCTTAACTTCTCTCTCCTCACTCCTGGAGAGCCAACCACCAAGTCCTGTTGGTGCCACCTTCTAAACATCTCTGGAATCTTTTTTTCTCATCATTACATTCTCTACACTAGTTCAAGCTACCATTATCTGTCACACAGATTATGGACTATTGCAATGGCCCCTTGATAGGTCTTTCCCCTCTCACGCTTATCCCTTCTAATCAATTATTCACAAAGCAATCATTTAAAAACACAACCTTCCCAAGCTCTCAACATAAAACCCATGATGTTTAAGCGGTTATTGGCCCAGCAGATCTGATCCCCACCTTGCTCTCCCTTTTACTTTCCAGCCACACTAGACCTCATACAGCTCCCTCGGGTTTTCAATAGCTTCAGACCTTCACGTGTTATTACCTCCGCCCTGTACACCTGCATCCTCCGTTTTCACCTGGTTAATGTCCGCTCCTCCTTCAGAGCTAGTGTAACTTCCGGTGGAGCCTTCTCCTATGATTTCTAGTCCCAATTATTAATACTTGCTTGATCATTTGATTAATGCTTTAAGCTACGTATGAGATTGGAGAGGGTTCAGAGTGTACATTTTATCCCAATCCCCCCACCCTCCCCCGCAAAGCCTGTCCTATGGAAGTCCTTCGGGTAAAAAAAACAACGAAGAAAACAAAACAAAAGACAAATGAAAATTCGACTGGGGTAGTGGGAAAGATTATCTGTAGCTACACGACCATTGAAAACACATTTTAAAGATGCAATTTGGGACCAGGGACGGGGGATAGTGGCGTGTTGGAAAGGTCTTTGTGGCGACGAACTTTCAACCGAGGGCCAGGATCTGAGGGTTCAGAAATACACTGCCAGGACTATTATCACCTTTAAGTCATTTACTAGTTTTTAACTTCTGCTTGTCTGCGACAGCGTAACACAGGAAGCAGCTGCAGTCTTCTCAAACCGCAGCCGCTGACCTTAGCGGCAAGAGGCCCGACCTGCCCTCCAGGCGCCCGGCGCTCGGCTCCCAGAGGCGCCGCGCAGCTCCCTCAGCGGCAGTCACAGCTGGCCAGCGCGCACCCGGCACGCGCGCCCCCAGGGCCTCTGCGCGCGGACCCGGCTCTCAGGCGCCGCGGGAGAGGCCCCCTACTCACGGAGCGCGCGGCCCGTGCGCCCACGCTCCGACCGCATTCCTCAGTACGTGGCACCCTTGGAAAGTGCCTGTCTGGTCAATCGAAGAGTCCTCGTTTCGACCAAAAAAATTCCCCTCAGAAATATGCATGGCACGGCAATGAAGGCATTTCACTATGAAGTGGAATGATGATGGTCCGACCAGGTCAGGACGAACATATGAGGGGTTAGATCTAAGCAGGCACTATTAAAGACAGTCGCATCCGGGCCCTCCTGCCGCAAGCTGCCCTCCCAGCCAAGGGTCCTTCAGGTAGGAGGTCCTGGGTGACTTTGGAAGTCCGTAGTGTCTCATTGCAGATAATTTTTAGCTTAGGGCCTGGTGGCTAGGTCGGTTCTCTCCTTTCCAGTCGGAGACCTCTGCCGCAAACATGCTCCGCCAGATCATCGGTCAGGCCAAGAAGCATCCGAGCGTAAGTTCGTGACCGCTCTCCTAATGTTTTCCCTTGTCCTTCTTGCGTCGGGGTGCGCCTCTTTCTGTTCCCTGGGAACGTCCTCATTTACAGCCACTTACCGTCCGTCAGACCAGACCCTGCCTCGCCTAGTGTTTGTCATCTTAGTTGTCCCAGGCCTCTGTGACCCTCTACGCCATGCATTGTGGGGTTTTGTCTGACAGGAGGAAGGAGACGGACACTGCTCGGAAAAAAAACCTAGTTTTTTCTAGTTAGTGAATATTGGAACAGTCTGGTGGCCGCTCTCTTTTGCAGGTTGTGCGGTCCAGGAGGGATAGATGTGCGCTGTGTGGGTCAGAGACTAGCATAGGTCAGGTTCCCTATGTGTTATACCATCTCTGGAGGTTCTTGTATTCGCCGCATTGCACCACCAGGCCTTTTGGTAAATAAGAGGGGTCCGTGATCTTGGAATCCTCACTTTGTCTGGACGTCGTTGCTTTTGGGAAAATTTCGAAGTGTGGAAATTGCAGTTAAGTTCTTTGGCATCTCATTTTTCCTCAGCACATCAATGTGCTGTAGAGCTAAAAGTCTATGCAATCTTTAATCTGTCTTAAATCCGGTTCCCTAAATACGCAGCAAGCATTGGTAGCATTACGTTTTCAGAGATAATGCTTAAAGCCAGTATTTGTAATAGATACGTTTACTTATTCAGATTCTATTTTTCATACATCTTTATAGAGGCACCCTTAAATAATTTGCAAAGAATTTGTTTTTCAAGCCCCAGGATAAAGGAAGCCAGAAAATTTAATGGGAATGACATGTAAATATTAGAGAGGTGAAGAAGACTCGATACATTTTCTTGGAAATTTAAAAATGTACCTATAATTTGCTCCACATTAAAAAGTAAGACACTTAAACCAGAGTCATCTTAACATCCTTTCCAAATTCCATTTCTTTCTTTAGAACACAGTTATAAGAAATCTTACCTCAATGTAAGATCTACTTTATTTAAATTTTAAGACAAAACAGTCCAATAACAGTTTGAGACTTGGAAATCAATGTGCAGAAACTACTGTAATCTCTCGTTGGCCAGTGTTTTAAGTATTTGAAGATGGTTATTCTATTTTGTGTTTGGTTTAGTTGATCCCCCTCTTTGTATTTATTGGAACTGGAGCTACTGGAGCAACACTGTATCTCTTGCGTCTGGCATTGTTCAATCCAGATGTTTGGTAAGTACTTAAAAATGTTTAAAACTTTGATAGCTGATCAAGGCAGTTTAGGAGCCACAGTCTCTGTAGGGCGATAACATTAGGGTAGTAGAAAGAATGTTACATTTACAGTCATACAATAAGTTCAGATCTCAAATCTGCTGTTTTCATTTACTTTTTTTGGTTCATGAAATTATCTAATTTCTCTGAGTCTCGTTTTCTCTTTGGTAAAGTAGAACTGCTAATACCAAATCTTGTAATGTTTTGAGGATTGACATAAAAATAATTGTTTTTATAAAATAATCATGGTTCTCGGCACATGTAAATGTTTTTTGCCTTCACTTGCACATTTGCAGTTGAAAAACAATAGACAATCAAAAGATTGATTCATCATTATTCTATGCACTTTTCTGTATATCACTTTATTAATTAAATGGAAAGGTTTTGTGAAAGCCAGATAAAAAGTATCTTGTGATAGGGATTCTGTGTTCTACCTTTTTTCTAATTGATTACATGAGATTGCTTATTATAGATCCTCTACCTGTTTCAACTTCATAATGAAATAACACCATACCTCATCTAATAGAAAATAAGATTGATCTGTTCAAAAATGTATTCTTAGTACAAAACACTAAATAGTGCTTTATTATTATAACAGTCGTAATGTTTTATTTCTTTTAGTTGGGACAGAAATAACCCAGAGCCCTGGAACAAACTGGGTCCCAATGATCAATACAAGGTAAACTACAAAATTGTTTTAAAGTTGTTAGAAATTGTGTTGTAATAAGTTTTGTCATGGGGTGGGTTTTCTTGAAACTGGATATACGAGTAAAATTCCATTATATTGAACTTTAAAGAGCTGTTAGGTAGTTCTGTGAAATGAAAATGGTATATTGCTCTAATAAATATTTTTTGCTAGGTATTTAATTGCTAGTATAAGAAAAGAAGGAAAAATAGTATAGCTATCATTTACCATTTTCTTAGTTCTTAGGTAGTCTAACACAGTGTTCTCAAACTTCATTATACATAGAGCTTGTTGAAACACAGATTCTTCAGCCTTATCCCCAGAGATTCTGATTCAGCTGGTCTTTTGTGGGGCATGAGAATTTAGAGTAGTCTGTGGAACTACTCTTCTAGAGAATGATTTCATGGACTGAGACCATTTATTGATTCCCCAAACATAACCTTCCTTATGTGTAAAAAATTTTGCATACAAAGACCCTGCACAGCATCAAAACCAAGGGCAGGCCAGGCACGGTGGCTTATGCCTGTAATCCCAGCACTTTGGGAGGCTGAGGCGGGCAGATCACTTGAGATCAGGAGCTGGAAATCAGCCTGGCCAATATGGTGAAACCCCATCTCTACTAAAAATACAAAAATTAGCTGGGCATGGTAGTAGGTACCTGTAATCACAGCTGCTCGGGAGGCTGAGGCAGGAGAATCGCTTGAACCTGGGAGGTGGAGGTTGCAGTGAGCCAGGATCACGCCACTGCACTCCAACCTGGGCAACAGAACCAGACTCTGTCTAAAAAAAAAAACCCAAAAAACCAAGGGCGGCTTCATTAAGATACCATACCATTCACATACCATACAGTTGACGTGTTTAAAGTTTATAACTCACTCAATGCACTTTCCATAATATCAAGCCATTTCATCAAAAGAGAGTAACTGGCTGTTTGATTTATCACTCTGAAGAACAGGGTCCCCGATCAGTGTGTGTCCAGCACTGCTTGACAGGTGTACATCTATGATGGATTATTACTCATAGCAACGTTTTTTTGTTGTTGTTGTTGGAGACAGAGTCTCACTCTGTCGCCCAGGCTGGAGTGCAGTGCCATTATCTTGGCTCACTACAGCCTCCACTTCCCAGGCTCAAGTGATTCTCTTGCCTCACTCTCCTGAGTAGCTGGAACTATGGCACGCACAACCACACCCAGCTGATTTTTTGTGTTTTTAGTAGAGATGGGGTTTTGCCGTGTTGGCCAGGCTGGTCTTGAACCCCTGGCTTCAAGTTGATCCGTCTGTCTCAACCCCCCAGTGCTGGTATTACAGACGTGAGCCACTGTGCCCGCAGCCTGATAGCAACTTTTAACATCACCCTTTGTGGATTTCACGTTTTCCCCTTAACCTGATTATAATTTGGCTTCTAAATCCTTCAGTAAATCTCCTTACAAGAAGAAAATAAAAATGCAATGGCTAAGCTGAAACATCGATCTCATCTGTGTTATATTTTGCCTCTAAAAAGATAAACGGGCATCCTGATTTGTTTTTATGTCTTATGACATTGTTTATGAATTTGTTTAAACTAAGTCCATTCCAGAGAAAATAATTCCACATACAAGAAACTTTTAAAAAGTAAACAAACAAACAAAAAAACTAGCAGGCTTTGATTCTTCCACCAAAGAGCGTATTGGAATCTATGGGTATGTGTAGTTCAAAAAGTGTAACAGATGATTCCGATAATGCAGCCAGTCTACTAATGTTCTGAAATATCACAACACATGCCAATATGAGGCCTTGGGAACCGAAAATGAAATGTTGCTGTAACAACATAGCTGTTAATAGCTATGACACTGATAGCAGAGTCTGGAAAGATGAAGAGTGTCATGTTATGAAATGACAGAAATGAAAAGGAACCAAATCCAGAAACTTGAGAAGCTGGAGTAAATGAAACCTACTTAATACTTTTTCTAAACCCATTCAGGTAGACTAGATTATTATCTCCATCATTCACAATCTCTCACCTAAGAGAATATGTTTTTCTGGCCCACTGACATCAGATTTGATTTGTGACTTGCTGTGGGAAATTATGAGTTGGAGGAAATGATACCTGCCACTCTTGGACCATTATGTGGTCCCTCCGTTCTTTTGCTTCTCTCATGAGACCAAAATTGACAAGTAAGGGCTACTTATTCACCTTAGAATTGGAATGAAACAAATATGGAGCAATCAGCATACAGATGGCATATAATGTGAGTGAAAAGTGAACTTTTGTCGTTGTAAGCCGCTAAGATTTGAATGTGTTAATTTGGGCTGCCGTAACAAGATACTGTAGACCAGGTGGCTTAAACAACAAATTTATTCCTCAGTCCGGAGGCTGGGAAGTCCAGATCAAGGTGCCAACCAATTCTGTTCCTCATGAGGGCCCAATCCAGTTGTGTCCTCACAATATGGAAGGAGAGGAGTGAGCCCTCCTGTAAAGGCACTAGTTAGAGTGTTCCACCCTCATGACCTAATTACCTCTCAAAGGCCCAGCCTCCAAATACCATCACCATTGGCGTTTGAGGTTACAACATGAATTTTGGGAGGACATAAACATTCAGTCCGTAGCAGAGGATTATTTGTTGCCATGCTATAATCTAGCAAAAGCTATGAATAAAACAGCAAGAGACAGGACCAAAATAAGATTTGAGCATTAAAGGCCCAGCAATACTTCTCAACTGAATAACAGTTGAAGCTCCCCAAAGCTAAGATCAGAATATGTTGTGCCTTCCCAACTATTGTTTCAGAGACTCTAAAAGTAGCCAGCATTAAACTGAGAAAAAGAATAGAGGTAGGGAAGTTGAAAGCAGGTTTTAAAATTCTAGAGAGAATTTTGGATATGAAGCAAGTAAATCAGGAGCCTGCTTAGTTTTAAGAAAATTGGCAACAATGCCATGAATGTGCTTTTGACTCTGCGTGGGTGTAGGGCCTTGATCCTGCAAATCGTAGAACTTGATCTCAATTACCTCTTTTATAAATTAAGAATCAGAAGGGTTATTGTGATGATTAACTAAGATATACATAAAGCATCTAGCCCGGTGCCTGGGCAGGAGCCCAACAAGTGTTTATTTTCCTGTCCTTAATATATACCTGCAGACCCTTCTGTAAATTATTTCTGATATTTTGTTAATATGTTAGAGGATAGCACAAGTAGTTTCTTTTTCTTTTTTTAACCTTATTGTCTAGGTTAATTGTTTCTTAAAAGAACACTGTCAGAACAAAGAATACTGCTTTATGGATTATTTATAATTTTCTGTCCATAAAAGTCTGTATCTGTCTGTATCTCAACGATAACTTGGTAATAAGCTTTACAACCTGAGGATTTTTTTTGTCAGTAAAATACTTAAGAGTTTTTCAGAAATAAATAAGTTCGGGTATATTTGAAGAAATAAAAGGGGTTTGAAGAAAGAATGAATATAGATTTGTGAACTTCATGCTTAAAAACCCTGAAGAAAATGTTTATCATTCTGAAATTGTGGTTCTTTTGGAGATAAATAACATAGTCTTCAAGTAATTATAGCACAACCTCTTTAGCATTCTTTGGCACAAGAATGAGTAAACCCAAGATTTTAGCCTTATTTGGGCTTGTGTACAAGCATTAATATGTCCTTAGTAGAAACTCTGGACCAGTTTCAAATATGTCATTTTTTTTTAAGTTACTGAGAGAGGGAGTTTTTTTTTTTTTTTTTTAAAGCAATCACAGTAAGATTTATTTCTAAAAATTAATATTAATTGATTATAAAGAAATGTTGGAAATGTAAACAGCAAAAATACCGTATTATTTAAAAGCCATTACCAGAGTTGAAGTGTCAGTTTGATATTGAATATAGTCTGGATTAGGAAATTAGTGAGAGAGAGAAAATATCTTAGAAGTTATGTAAACCACAAAACAAAGCAGTACCTTATATTACTAGCCTCTTTTTGTTGCAGGATCTCTCCCTCTAAATTACAGCAGTTCATTCAGCAAGTAGGGAAGGTAATTCTTGTTAATCCTCTATTCTGTTGGCGATTCTTCCACGTACTTAGTAGAGTTAAGGCAAAAACTTACCGAATTGGAAGTATGTATCAGAAGGAATTCTTAATTATTCACTTTGAAATAAAAGAATTTTCCTTATAGGTTCCAAGTAGTAGACTGTACTATAATACTGCTCTTCTGAAATAAATTGAATATTTTTACCTTGCCAAAACTATCATTGAAGGCTGGAATTTTAGGTACAGTATTTTTCTGTGAATGATTTTATGTTGTTAAATATTCTTTTAAAAATTCATATCTGTAATTGTTACTGTAGAAAACCAAATACAAAGAATTCTAAAACCTTTGTACCGTCTCTGTGTATTTGAGATTACTTAAAATATCTTTTTTTCTGTTCCAAGTTCTACTCAGTGAATGTGGATTACAGCAAGCTGAAGAAGGAACGTCCAGATTTCTAAATGAAATGTTTCACTATAACGCTGCTTTAGAATGAAGGTCTTCCAGAAGCCACATCCGCACAATTTTCCACTTAACCAGGAAATATTTCTCCTCTAAATGCATGAAATCATGTTGGAGATCTCTATTGTAATCTCTATTGGAGATTACAATGATTAAATCAATAAATAACTGAAACTTGATATGTGTCACTTTTTTATGCTGAAAGTATGCTCTGAACTTTAGAGTATAGGAAATTAACTATTAGAATTTAAAGAATTTCTTGAATTTCTGTAGTTTGAAAATACGACTTTAAGCTGCTTTAGTAAAACACTTCCATTTTGTGTATAGACTGTTGGTAACTTCACTAGAGCATACATAACAACTGGAACTGGAAATTATACAAAAGTAAATTGGGAAGGATACTCCAGCATCTGACACTGGCAAAATGGAAACCTTTGAGTTTCTCTTACTGGCTGTTGAAGTGTGTGCAGTTTTTAACAATGGTTTTTACTTGGCATCTCTTTGTTGTGATTTTCAAGGTTATAAGTTGCTTTGGTCCTAGGATTGAAGTTGAAATCTGAGTTTATCAGTGCTAACCATGGTGCTAGTAGTCAAGAGATCTTGAGAATTTTGGCTGCTGAGTCTTGGTGCAGGGTGCAGGTTTTCTTTTCTTTTTTCTTTTTTTTTTTTTTGAGATAGTCTCTGTCACCCAGGCTGGAGTGCAGTGGTACAAACATGGATCACTGCAGCCTCTACCTCCCGGGCTTAAGTGATCCTCCTGCCTCAGCCCCTAAGTAGCCGGGACTACAGGTATGTGCCACCATGCCCAGTTAATTTTTGTAATTTTTTTTAGAGACAGGGTTTTGCCATGTTGCCCAGGCTGGTCTCAAACTCTTGAGCTCAAGCGATCCATTCTCCTCAGCCTCCCAGGGTGCTGGGATTACAGGCGTGAGCCATTGCGCTTAGCCATGGTGCAGGTTTTCAAAGGCCAGGAAGTATATTCATAATTTTAAGATGGGGAATATAGCAAGTTTTCACATAGGTGTGTGTAAGTCATCACATCATAGAAACTTGAGGAATTCAGTGACATTAATTTTGGATTTTCATACGTAAGTATACAATTAAATGTTTACAGGGTAGTAGAAGCACATTTTAAATGTCAGGAACTGAACTAAGTATTTGAATTACGTGGATTATCTCAAAAATTTTGAAATTGTTAAACGAGTTGAATTACTTGAATTCATTCTGTTAGTCAAATGGTGGATATTTACACCCATGTAGTTTTGAATTTAGAGTGTGTAGAGTGTTTTCAGTTACCAGACTCCATGCTTTTACCTCCTATGTGTCAGGTATAATTTGAACCTCTAAGAACAGGGTTTCTCAACCTTGCCACTGTTGACTATTTCTGAAAGACAGTTTGGTTTAGCAGACCATCCCATGCGCTTTAGCTTGTTTAGTAGCTAACTTGGGCTCTGCCACTACAGACAAAAAGCACTCTTTCCCTCCAATTCCCACAGGCTATGAGAAGAATGGAGACATTACCAAATGTCCATTGGTGGGCAAAATTGCTTCATTCCTACCTCTGTTGAGAATTACTCTAGATCCTTTGGCACAAATTACCTCAAAGTTTAAAATTGTGTAAACAAACAGTGTGTCATGTAATTGAAAAACATTAAGCAACTCCAAATAAATGCTACATTAAGAAATTAGTAATAACGTTTTCTAGAATTGAGGATCATTTTATGCATCCTTAAAAATTCTTTGAGTAGTATCTTTCTACTTTGTGTCTATCCTTGGACTTTGCAATGTAAGAATACATATGAAGTTTGGCATGAAATAGGATATGTCTTAATGAAGAAACTATTACTGCTATTTAAGAAACTTCAATGGCAATCTAAAGAAATTGTCATTTACAAATGCATCAGATACCAATGCTGCCACGAAAGATAACACACTTTTTTTCTTTGAATGTTTAGAATTGTGCTTGTGCTTTTTTTTTTTTTTTTTTTTTTTTTTTTGAGACTGAGTCTTGTTCTGTCACCCAGGCTGGAGTGCCGTGGCGTGATCTTGGCTCACTGCTCACTGCAACCTCTGCCTCCTGAGTTCAAGCTATTCTGCCTCAGCCTCCTGAATAGCTGGGATTACAGGTGCCCACCACAATGCCTGGCTAATTTTTGTATTTTTGGTAGACAGTTTCGCCATGTTGGCCAGGCTGGTCTCAAACTGCCGACCACAGGCGATCCGCCTGCCTTGGCCTCTCCAAGTGTTGGGATTACAGGCGAGAGTCACTACTCCTGGCCCTACTATGCTTCATTCAGAAAACAGACTGCTGCCTTTGTTTCTCATGTTAATGAAGTCTGCAGGCAAAGCTGCATTTAAATACAGATATCCTTGGGTAGTATTTACATGTATTTAAAAATTTGCAGTTTTCATAATTTATATATGCTTCCCAGTAGGTACTTGTCTTACTCTGTTGCTATAAATGAATACCTGAAACTGCGTAATTTATACATTAAAAAAAGGGTTATTTTGCTCGTGATTCTGTTGGCTGGAAGATTGGACATCTGGTGAAAGCCTCAGGCTGCTTCCACTCATGATAGAAGGCGAAGGGTAGCTGGTGTGTGCAGAGATCACATAGACAAGAAGCAAGAGAGAAGGGGGAAGTGGTAGGTTCTTTTTAATGACCAGCTCTTTTGGGAGCAAATAGAGTGAGAACTCACTCATTACTGAGAGGACTACATGAAACCATTCATGAGGAATCTGTTTTATTACCCAAACACCTCCCATTAAGCACCACCTCCAACATTAGGGATCAAATTTCTTTTTCCTTTTTTTTTAATCCGCTTTTAGACACTGAGTCCTGCTATGTTGCCCAGGCTGTAGTGCAGTGGCTATTCAAAGGCACAAACAGTGCACTGCAGCCTCCTGGCCTCAAGTAATCCTCCCCGTTGAGCCTTCCTAGTAGCTGGGATTACAGACATGCCTCTGTGCCCAGTGGGGATTAAATTTCATGAGGTTTGCGGGGGACATACATTCAAACTAGAGCAGTTCCCCCCCAAAAAAGCTAAAAATAATTATACTAAATTTTACTTCTTTCAAGTTTATTACCCAACTCTGGTCAGATTTTATCCTCACCACTCCACTAAAAACGCTTCTGTTAAGGTTTTATCAGTGACCTCTGTTTGTGAATTCAAGTTGATCATCAGTATCACTTTGACCTAACAGTTGATACAGCTCCTTGAAACACTCTTCCTGGGTCCCTAGAACACCATACTGTTTTTGTTAACCTACATCACTGGCTTTTCTAGTCAGTCTCTTGCTCATGCCCCTTTGTTTCCTGAGCTATTTTCTGTTCCATTTATTTATTTAGAAAGGGTCTCTCTCACCCAGGCTGCAGTGCAGTGGCACATTCATGGCTCACTGCAGCCTCCACCTCCCAGGCTCAAGTCATCCTCCCACTTCAGCCTCCCAGGTAGCTGGGACTACAGATGTGTGCCACCACACCCAGCTAGTTGTTAATTTTTTTGTAGAGGCAGCATCTCACTATGTTGCCCAAGTTGATCTGGAACTCTCAGCCTCAAGCAATCCTCCTGCCTTGGCCTCCCAAAGTGTTGGGATTACAGGTGTGAGCCACCACATCTGGCTAAATGAGCTTTTTTAGGTAAGGGGATTAGTATATGTCATGGCAGAATACATGTTACTTAGTTATTATAAACATTGGAATTCATTTATCCTTTTCCTTTAGAAACTTTAACTGGAATTTTTTTTTTTTTTTTTTTTTTTTTTTGAGATGGAGTCTTGCTCTGTTGCCAGGCTGGAGTGCAGTGGCACCATCTCGGCTCACTGCAACCTCTGTCTCCCGGGTTCAAGCAATTCTCCTGCCTCAGCCTCCCGAGTAGCTGGGACTACAGGTGCATGCCACCACACTGGGGTAATTTTTTGTATTTTTGGTAGAGACGAGTTTTCACCATATTGGCCAGGATGGTCTCAGTCTCTTCACGTCGTGATCTTCCTGCCTTGACCTCCTGAAGTACTGGGATTACAGGCGTGAGCCACCATGCCTGGCGGGGAAAATTCTAAAAGCCATATTATATAAAACTTGGAAAGAAAAGGACTATTTGGTAAAAGCTTATTCAGCTGTTAACAATCTGATTAAATAATCTTTTTATTGCAAATATCATTGATTTCAACACATGAACAAGGTGACTGGCTTTTACACCAGAGCTGTAAGTCTTAAGAAGTGGGATGATTTTATTTCTCCCTAGGTTTGCTAAAGCAATGCCTGTCCACATAGCGTGCCATAATGTTCTACCCTCTCTGATTTGCATTGTGACTCAATGAATTAAAATCTTGATATGCAGGTCATCTCTCCTAGGTTGGAAATGATACTGAGTTAAACCATGCCTGATGTTCAAAGAATTATTTTATGCTATGTGAATGACAAACAGCATCTGGAAAAATGTATCTCAGGTCTCTTCCCCTGCTGTTGTTTTTAAATCGTAAAATGCAGCAGCTTGTATACTCTATAATAACCTTTTTCTGTTTGTTCCTAAGCAGAAAAAGAAAGGAATTAATTCTACAAGATTTTCAGACCTCCATCCTAAGTGAAGATACATTGCAAGCTTCTTTTTAAAACTTTGCTAAAGAGTCATTTAATCTTCCCTGTTATATGCAGACAGTCCCAACTTATGTTAGCTCTTCTTATGATTTTTTGACATTACAATGGTGCAAAAGTGATATGCATATTATGACATGATCATTTATTGAATAAATTACATGAGATATTCAACACTTTATTATAAAATATGCTTCTATATTTTATAATATAGATGTGTTAGATGATTTTGCCCAACTGTAGGCTAATGTAATTGTTCTGAAAATGTTTTTAGGCTCAACTATGATGTTTGGTAGGTTAGATGTATTAAATGCATTTTCTTTTTTTTTAATTTCCTTTTTTTAAAAAAAATTTCTTTTTAATTCTCAGCAAGGCAAGGTACTTCTACAGAAGAGTGTGCCCTTACAGATGGAGCAATGGTGAGCGCACACTTGGACAAGGGAGTGGGAGCGGTTCTTATCCCTGAGGCACATGGACCCTGCTGCTGTGTCGTTCCCCTACTGGCTAGGGTTAGACCACACAGGCTAAACTAATTCCGATTGGCTAACTTAAAGAGAGTGATGGGGTGAGTGGTTTGGCAGGAAAAATGGTTATGCAGGGTGGAGAATGAGTTAGGGTGGGGCAGGTAGCAGGTAATCAGAATGAGGGTGGAACAGGTAATTAGAATGAACCAGGGTGGAGCAGGTAATCAAAAAAGTTGCTTTATGAGGAAGTTAAGTTTAAAACTAGAAGGCAAAGAATTGAACATACTGACATATTGATTCTTTGAAAAGAATTTAGAACTCATATCTAACAACCCTTCCTCTTGCATTTTCTTACAGCTCTTTCTTTTCAAACTTTTTTTTAACATGTCTTGGCTTAGTTGTTTTGCTTGATTTTCCAAAAGAAGAAGCTCTGGATAAGGCGGAGGATAGCTGAGGGAGGTTTTAGTAGCTGCCATTTTTATGAGCCTCTGCACCAACCCACAGATGCATGGTGTGACACAGCACCTGACAAGAATAAGTACACCCATTACAGCTATGAGGGGAGTAAGAATTGAGGCTATTATTCTTTTTCATTTATTGAACCACTTTTCTAGCCTGTAAAGGGGTCATTTACCCCTGAGTTGTTGGTTAACTCATTGGACAGAGCAGTCAGACCTTCCAATGTCTTTGTTATACTTCCATCAGGGGTGGCGGTGTTTGGGATGAAGGTACAACATTGAGTTTTAATCATGATGCAAACATCTCCTCTTTCTGCTAATATCATGTCTAAGGCTGTCCTATTTTCCCAAGCCATCTGGCTTGTAGCCCCTAATTGCTCAGCTATTCCTTTAACAGCATCTCTAGTGTAGTTAATAAATCACTGTTGGTTGTAGTAGATGCAGTTTATCCATTTACATTTTTATTAATTGTCATCCACCAAAATATTGACTCAAATCCTGCAGCTATTTGATTTTGGGCTTTAAATTGACCTGGTATTCCCCGTGGGACTCTAATTGTGTCTAAATAGACGTGAGAGTCGAGAGACCCTTAAGGGGCTTCTCTTGCCTTATGATGTCTTATTTTTCTTTCCTCTGGTTGATGAAATGCCAGGGTGAAAGGGATGGCCAGCTGGACTAAAGCACAAGTGCCACTCCAGTTATTTGGCAGAGTGTCCAGTAAAGGTCCACCACAATACCACCAGACATCCACTCAGGGATGAACAAGGGCTGACTGATTGATAAGCTCTTGAAAATTCTTAAGCTCACTGCATCCCTTCAGGTCTCCAAGGAACGCTAAGTTTCCTCCTTGTTGTGAGAGACACAAAGTGAACTGAGTGTTGGGAGACAGAAGCTGGATGACCCTCAGGGGCTGACCCACAGGGTGCTGGACTTTGGGATATAGCAGAGAGAGAGCTTGGCACAACTTGTTACTCCAGGCCGTAGAATCCTGGAAATCCACATGTGATCGACTGGAGGACCACCCTGGTGGAAAGGGGACAGTCTGGGCCTCTGGCCTGCTGTGCACACAAGCATAACAATTGCTTTTGTTTAACGTGTGGATGGAATATTTGATCCATTCCAACCAGGCATTTGAATCTTGGTATCCTGTCTTAATTGCCAAAGTTTGTTTTAAGTCTTTAACTTCTACGATCCTCTAGGGAAATGAATGTATGGTTTTAGGAAATTACAAAAACTGGTTGGGGCAGTCCATCCTTGCCCACTGATTGCTGGACCAACTACAGCATAAAAGCTCTACATCGGGGGGGCAAGACTCCTGGTTGACACTGGAGTCTTTATCGAAATCTCCCCAGATTAAATGGTCCCAATTTACTAAGGCCCAGTCTGAGGAGAGTCAGGAGGGACAGCGGTACTTTTCTGAAGTAGAGAGCTGTCTTTGACTTGGCAAGTCCCCACAGGGTATAACAAGGCAAGCATCAAATGTAATAGTTTGAGGAGAAATTGACTTGGTTATGTTATAACTAGATGGTCAGCAATAGAGCGAGGGAAGAAGAAAGAGTAATAGAATAGATGAAAGAGAGTTAAATTTTTCTTAGCTTTAGTTTGGTAGGGTTTTCCCCAGGGACCATGGCCCACGACTCTGGAGGGGGTGGCGCTTTCTTGACTCAGGTGTGATGAGTCCATCCCCTTTCCACTGTACAAACAGTAGTCTTGGTGGTTAGCAGCACAAGGTAGGGTCCTTCCCAGGCTGGCTCGAGTTTTCCTTCTTTCCATCCTTTGATGAGAACGTGATCCTCAGGCTGGTGCTCGTTTACCAGAAATTCTAGGGGTGGTACATGTGCTAAAAGACTTTTAGTTTTGAGGGAAAGGAAAGTGGAAGATAAACCAAGTATATAATTTCTAAGAAATTGATATTTTGTTTTAAATGTGGGGACATCAGCAGTGGACTTTATAGTTCTTGGTGCCTTCTTACTGAGAAATTTCCTTTAGCACCTATTTTTATTAGTTTTTAGACCAAAGAAAGCCAAACACCATTTTATATTTCACAATGCTTCCTGTATGATTTTTATACCAGATAAGCTAAATGTCACCTTTATATTAGTGTGGTTTATTTTATTTTATTTTTTATTTTTTGAGACGGAGTCTTGCTCTGTCGCCCAGGCTGGAGTGCAGTGGCGCTATCTTGGCTCACTGCAAGCTCCGCCTCCCAGGTTCACGCCATTCTCCTGCCTCAGCCTCCCGAGTAGCTGGGACTACAGGCGCCCGCCACTACGCCTGGCTAATTTTTTGTATTTTTAGTAGAGACGGGGTTTCACCGTGTTAGCTGGGATGGTCTCGATCTCCTGACCTCATGATCCACCCACCTCAGCCTCCCAAAGTGCTGGGATTACAGGGGTGAGTCACTGCGCCCGGCCATATTAGTGTGTTATTAATATTAAACTCAATTTTAATAAAACCTTATAGACATATTTATCCAATTTTAACGTCTGACCATAAGGTAAGATTTTTATAGACTCTTTTTAACTTTTTATAATTTTTGTTAAAAAGCAGGTTAGTGCTTTAAGAAAAACCCGTTATGCTTTTATTTTAATGTCCAGTTCACAGAAAAACTGGATGATACCCTAACTTAAAGCAATATGTTTACACAGAGAATTTCCTTTATAATTAACATTTCAAAACTTGCTTAAACCTTCAAAACAAAAAAAATTTTTTTAACCCTTTAATGTAGGTAAAAATCCATACATTCTTATGCCTCCTTATAATCCTTTTACCAAAAGTATATTTTACTTTCCTTATACACTTTGCACATAAACTGTTTCTTCAATAGTTTTACATTCTGGAGGCCTGATTACTTTTAAATTATACAACATTTCTTGCATAAATTCCCTTTTATAACACACTTTTTTTTTCATGACTTTCACAGACAATTCTTTGACAGGCCTCAACTTTCTGACTTGTTGCGAACATCCCTTTCTTTAAACAACCAGTTACTTTACTTCAGGACAAGAATTTACCATATAACATTCTTTTTACATAAATTCTCCCTACCCCCACTTTTTTTTTTTCAAAGATGATAACCATTCTTTTCCAAAACAAACTTCCTTCATGTCTGCGGTCTAGAGTGTCTAAGGCCACAAGATTAGAGGTTAGGATAATACATGTTACACTGTTAACTTTTAGCAAACTTTACTTTTGTTGAAAACCTTGTAAGTTTGGGATTTCAATTATCGTTTGCTATTAATAAGACCTTGTTTAGTCCAACTTAACTTAGAATTGGTATAGATGGTTCCTTCCTGGTTCTGTAAATACTTTAAGGCTTGGCTAAGTGCAGACATCCTCCAGGAACCTCCAGGTATTCAGTTATCCAGAAGCTCCCTGAAACCAGTCCTCTGAGACCTTTTATGGAGACTTCATTTGATAGGCATGATTGACAACCATGTAGAAATGTGATTGGACAAAAAAGATATGATCTAATATTAATGGGCTGAGTGGGGAAACCCAGCAAGTCCTGTCTGTTCACATTCTTACTGGCTTCTCTGTGCAGCTTTCCTTCCTTCAGGGGATGGGGCATAACCCCTTCTGAAATGAGGGTCTTATGACCTGCGATCAGATTAGAGTCCTGCCTTGAGCTGGTGAAAGAAGGGCCAGGGAAGTTAAGAGAGAGAGAGTTTCTGTTTTCTGAGGCCTGCTTCTGAGGCTTAAAGTGCCCCAACGTCATAACAAAGGACTGTAACAAGGGCTATGGGAATTATTAGCCAGGAACAATGGACAAAAACCAATGTGTGTACATGCCATAATATCACAGCTTTAAGACTTTTCACAAATATGAAAAAATGAGTTTATTTTTATTTTTATTTTTATTTTTATTTTGGAGTCCATGTCTCACTCTGTTGCCCAGGCTGGAGTGCAGTGGCATAATCATAGCTCACTGCAGCCTCAACTCAAGTGATCCTCCTAACTCAGCCTCCCAAGTAGCTGGGACTACAGCAATTTTTTAAATTATTTATTTATTTATTTTTGTAGATACAGAGGTCTTACTATGTTGACTAGGTTTTGTCTTGAACTCTTGGCCTGAAACGATCCTCCAGGTGTGGCCTCCCAAAGTGCTGGAATTGTAGGTATGAGCCACCACACCTATCCCCTCAAAAGATGGTTTAAGATTTTTGCACAAATAAGAAAGCTGCTGTTTTTTAATAAATTTTTATTTTTAAAGTTTTTACTTTTTTTTTTTTTTTAACTCAACTGACATAATGTGCTGAGTTTTGTGCTGGGCACAGGAATACAAAGATGAGAGCCACTTTAAGAACTTACAGTTAAGTTGGGAAAATAAACAATGATCTTTCATAGTGATAAGTTCAAAGCAGTAGTTAAAAGCCACAGTTCAGAGGAAGGATTTTTTGTTTAACTGGTGTGTGTGTGTGTGTATGTGTGTGTGTGTTTCTGTGTGTGTAGAGTGATAGAGTTGTTGGGCAGGAAAATTTTCCCTGAGCAAATGACAGGTAAATTTGGCTTTGAAGAAGCAAATCTGCCAGAAAGATGAGGGCTAGACTGGGACAACATCAGATGTTGAATTTATGGGCCCCAGTGCAAAATGGCAACTTGGAGTACCTTGTAATATTAAGAATTACAAGACAGTGACAGCACAACATTAAACCAAGTTTGGGGTCTTGCAAACACAAGAGCCTACACGCAAATCTCATGCCGATCAAGTTGGCCCTGGTTAAGGGTAAGAAATTCCAGACCGAAGAAGTAGTCTATACAAAAGCATAGAGGCATGTGTTTGGGGTCTTGTTAGATTATGGTGTGTGTATATGGGTATATCGTGGACACAGGTTTGCAGGTGCTACTATGGAGAAGGGCAACACAACAAAAGAGTTAGTATGGTGGGTTTGTATTGTGTCAATTTAGTTAAGCAGGTACTGGCTTTCTGAGGATTCCCTATTCTGCATATTCAGGAATACTGTGGGCCACAAGAGGTATTTCACATGAGATTTGAAAAAAAAAAAGAAATGTGACAGCAACCATGATCTGTTTAAACTTGGAAGGTCTGTGGAGGGCACCAGGAAAATTTTTCCTGAGACAGATGAGTTTGGCTTTGAAGAAAGCCACAGATAATCCACGTTGTTCCTTATCTCCTAGTTTACCTTGTGGCCTGGGGCAGCAGCAGCCCCGTAGCTCCTTCATCTCCTTTCAGCCCTCTTTCTTAAGCTTCTCAAGCTTCCCGTAACAGAGTGCACCAGCTTCTCCTGCAGATCACCTACACATCCCATCACATTTTGAAGCTTGAAGGTATTGAGAGTCCCACACAGGTTCACCTTCATCCTTGTGCGTTCTGGTTTGTCTTCTCAGGTTCCACTTTGTCCTTTTTCTACTCAACTTCACATTTATTTCTTCTTTTCTGTTTAAGCTGTTTTGACCTTTTTTCTGTTTTAATTTTTTAAAAAATTCTATATATTTGTGGAGTACAAGTGCAATTTTGCTGCATTGATACATTGCATTATGGTGAAGTCAGGGCCCTCAGTGCATCCATCACTGGAGCAGTGCACATTGTACCCACCGATCAACCTCCCATCATCTACCCCTTCTCCACCTACCACCCCCGTGAGTCTCCACTGTCTATTATTCCACACTCTGCTTCTGTGTGTACACGTTATTTAGCTCCCATAAGATTAAAAAGTTTTGGCCAGGAACTAGAGTAATTTTCTTAATCAAAAAGTAAAAATCATGTAGAAAAAAGGACATGGGGTTTGGAATCATATACTTTGGTTTGAGTCCCTGTACAGTCACTCATTAGGTGTTTGTCCCTGGCAGTGTCTTACTCAGAGCTCTCTAGAACACAGAGCCTAAGACAAAGTCTTGCAGGCATGGTAGTTCATTTGGGATCAGGAGTGGTGAAGAGGAGTGGTGAAACAAGGAAGAAAGACAAGCCAGCACAAAGATGGTTTGTTGTGTTGTCCATCACAATGGGTGACTGGGGTTTCGTGTTGTAAGACTTCTGAGAAACCTTATGAAATGCATCACAGAACTCTCTGCCTAAAGAATGAAGGGGATGGGAATCTTTATCTTTTGGCTCCTGTCTTCCATTGGTCAAGGATGGTGTCACAGGCATTAATTCCCCTGGACTTGGGAGTTGTACATGTATGAGTGCCAAGTGCATCACAGAGTCAGAGAAGTGAGGGGTGCTTAGCACCTGCCCAAGGTGAGATGCACAAGATGCTGTCAGGTTGCACTTGCATGAAGCTGGTTGAAGCCTGCCTAGAACTGGTTGCTGTAGCAGTGGCTGGAATAAGAGATGAAGCTGAGAGAATTTGAAGTGGCATGCTAGAGGTATCTGATATAACCATTTTACACAGTTTTGAGACTCACTCTACATCTGTACAATGATATCTGTCTCACGGATTTGTGGTGGCAATATTGAGTAAATTAATATATGCAAAACTTGAAAGAGTTGCCTTTATTTTCTCTTCTTCCTCACTACTCATGTGGCTTATGTCTCCATCACCCTGCTGATACTGCCCTCCCTGAGGTCGTTATTGATCTCCTTATTGCTAAATCGAATGGTCATTACTAATTTTTTGGATCCTGTCTTATGTAATGTCTCCACTGCATTTGGTACTATAGAGCTCTCTTTTTTTTTTCCTCAAAGGTGCTTGTCCTGGATTCTGTGGCACTTTGTTCCTTGTTTTTCCATTGTCCTGGGGGACA
Source organism: Homo sapiens (assembly GCF_000001405.40). Lineage (NCBI taxonomy): Eukaryota > Metazoa > Chordata > Mammalia > Primates > Hominidae > Homo > Homo sapiens. Next base: position 10,921,413 of record NC_000007.14, on the reverse strand, counting down.
CACTCATTTTCTATTTTGCCTTGCATGGTCACTCAATAATTGTTTTCTGATAGAATTAATAAATGACAAAAAGCACATAAAAGTGAGTAATCAGTGAATGATTTTTCCTTCATCTTTTCCTTAATTTCACTGGTCTATATTATGAGTATGTGGGTGTATGTGTGTGTTTTCTGATATTATAACATAAGACTGGCCATGTTTTGCCACACCAATTGTCCAATTTATTCTTAGTTTAACTCACAAATACTGTCTTTCTGTGAGAAAACAGATTGTTTCCTATAATTTCAACCTCCAAGAATTCCAAATTTTTCTTACATCCTGTTGCAAATCTGTAATCTTGAAATTTCCTTAAGCATTCTAAAATATGTTAATAAGATATTATTCTAATATATTTGCTAGATATTCAATCTCAGCTAAAATTGCCATTTTAAAAGATATGATACAATTCTTGCATACGTATTTCATAAATAAAAAAATTTCTATCAAAAAAAGGTACATCTGAATAAGCATGCTGCCATGTTAGGCATAATCAACTGATACATCAGACCATTCGGATTAGAAGTAGTACTTAGGCAGAAAGACACAAATCTTGGGACATCTGGCCAGAGGAGAGAGGAAAATGATTGCTACTCTCAACTCAGAAATTTCACAAGTGTTGTGAAAACATAGAAGGGGTGGCAGGGAGAGGGGAATATATAAAGTGGGTAATATTTTATGAATTTATTCTTTGCTTTTATGGGGGGAGTGCTTTATCTATTTGTAGTTCTGTTTCTATTTTAACATCTGGAGTGTGACTTCCAGACAATCTACAAACTCCTTTTTCCCTTGCACCTCCCACAACACATGGCCATGGATTTACTGTTTATGATGTCTCCAAAAACGTTACGTGTAAATCCTATTTCCCTGGCCAGGCGTGGTGGCTCATGCCTGTAATCCCAACACTTTGGGAGGCTGAGGGGGGTGGATTTCTTGGAGTGCAGGAGTTTGAGACCAGCCTGGCCAACAAAGTGAAACCCCATCTCTACAAAAAATACAAAAATTAACCAGGCGTGGTGGTGCTTGCCTGTAGTCTTAGCTACTCTGTAGGCTGAGGTGGAAAGATCACCTGAGCCCGGGAAGTCGAGGTTGCAGTGATCCAGGATTGTGCCACTGCACTCCAGCCTGGATGACAGAGTGAGACCCTGTCTTAAAAAAAAAAAAATTCCTATTTCTCTATTACACACATCTTGAGTGCAGCACTTAGGTTTTCTATATATACATGTAGACAAGGTCTGTTTCTATTTTGCTTATCACTGTATCACCAGGGCCTGACAGTACCTGGTATGTAATAGGCCTACAAGTATTCAGTGATTGAGTATATTGAACATAAAGCAATTGCAGAGGCTTTGATATATAGACATTTTCTCAGTGATAGTATAATTTAATTTGTAGTTGGTAACTGAATTTTGAATGAATGTTTAGAAGTGGAAACTGAAGTACTTATAGGTTATTAAAATGAAAATAAAATGTAGTAAACTGTTATTTTATAAGCACCTAAGGGATCATATATATAACAGCAATAAAATAGCTGTTGAAGAAACCCTAATTACTGATAATTGTTTACCATGTAGACACCTTATGTGATGTTTCTAGATGGAAGCTATTAATTTGAATTACTCTAGAAAAAATGATATATATAGGCATTTATACTTTATCATTATAATGTGGCAATATACACCCTCTTTTTTTTTTTAACTAGAATCCCACAGTGCCTAACAGTCATGACTAAATTTATAGACTTGTTTTTCATAATGAAGCAAAATAACTATGAGCATGAAATGTCCTCTTCTTTTAGTTTCATTACTGCAGGCAAATAAAACAAAGAACCTAGTGGATAGGGAGAATAAGTTATGCCATGGAGAAATAAGAAATAGATGCCTATTATTAATTTTCAGATTCAGAAACAAGTAAACAAAATGGATCATATTATCAGCTTGTATTGGTACAAAAAAATGATTGTAATTCTAGTTTTGTGCTCAAGTTTCAAATAAGTATAATTTTGAGTTCAAATAAATGTTTCCAGGAAAAGGAAATGAGTATGGTATTTGCTGGTATATCAATATGTAGACATGATCACAGATCATAAACAAGTGCAGGAAATACAGTGCAATTTATTTATTAGAATGCAGTGAGAATTTGTTCACCAGAAAGAAAACAGAAGCACATTTTAGCTAATTTATATTGCTTCTTAATAGCACACACCGAATGAAAGATTGTATTAGGAAAGAAATGCTTAGAAAGCAAAGAACATGGGGAAACATTGAATAATCAGATTGCTAGGGATAAAAAAGGAAGCTTAAGGAATTAGAAGGATTAATTTTGCTCTTGCTTCTGTAATGAATAGGGAGGGGGAGAGAAAGGACTTGTGTTTAAATGTGCAAGTCTATTTACAGGGGTTATCTCACTTTTTATCCTCCCATCAGTCCTATTGAACTTCTATTTTTTCCCCATTTTCATATAAGAAAAATAAGGTTCAGGAAGGCAAACAGAATAAATTTTTCAAAGTCATGCTATTAGCTTTAAGAGCAAGTATTTGAATCCAAGTCTACATAGCTTCCCAAATTAATTCTTTTCCCACTATATTATGCCTCTTCTCTGGCAAGCTCCTCTCTACTTGTAGCAATGCTTGTTGGGGCAGACCACAAAAAAGTGTCAATTATTTTGAGTCCCAAAGTCATTGGCAAAATAATCTAGCTTTACAAATCTGCAACCAGATGGGAGTGGCTTAGCGTGCCTTAACTGTAGCTTGCTTTGTTCTTTGCTTTTGGGTTATTTTTATTCATCTTTAACAGTTGAGAAAGTTAGAGTTAAGTAAATTACCTATGGTTACAGAGACCAGAAATTACTGAACTAGGATTTGAAACCATCAGGCAGGGTAACTCCAGAGCACAAACACTTAACCACTGTGCTAAAATGCCAGTCCTCATAGAGGAGGAAATGTAATCTTTCCTCGCTACCAAAGATTTCATTATCTTCTGGTGATTTACGTTGCTTGTGGAAAAGTGGCTGGGGAGGTATATATGTGAATGGGCACGGAGGGAGTGGAGAGGAAAGGGAACTCAAACGCAGTTACTTCATTACCTTGGTGATTGGTTTATGGCTCACATCTGCTTTCTGCATATGTTGTGGGAAGTGGGAAAACAAAAGGTATATAATGGTAAATAGGGATACAAGGTTTATAAGGTACACAGTTTGTAACATAGGATATGTAATCTGATGGCAAGAGATAAGACTGAAAGTATGTGTTGAGGACAGATCAAGAAAGGAATGAAAGATAAGATTGGATTTTGGGATTTTATGTGGGAGCTGAAGAGGAATATTTATAATGGACACAATCAGAGATTTGCTTTTGGGAGATTCATCTGGCATAGTTGTACATGGTGAATTGCACAGAAGAGACACAGGAGTTAGGAAGTCCAACTGAAAGGCCATTTAAAAAATAACTTATATTACATGTATTTATTAGGGAAACATTAATTGTTAAAAGAAATAAATCTTCCTGTGTTAGTTAGCTTGGGTTGGCATAACAAAATACATAGACTGGGTGACTTAAACAACAGAAATTTATTTTCTCACAGTTCTGGAGGCTGGAATCCAAGATTAAGTTCAGTTTCTGGTGAGGGCTCTTTTCCTGGCTTGCAGATGGCCACCTTCTCTATGTGTTATCACATGACAGAGAGAGATAGAGATAGAGAGAGAACTCTCTGGTGTTCCTTTTTACAAGGGCACTCATCCCAGCATGAGGGACACACCCTCATGACTCCATCTTACCCTAATTACCCCCCAAATGCTCCATCTTAATTGCCACAACTTTGGGGGGTAGGGCTTCAACATATGAATTTTGGGGGAATTCATTCAGTCCATAATACCCCCAAATCTCCATGGTTTAACACAATAGAATTTAGTGAAGTTCAAAACAGGTGTTTTTGATTGGCAGAAAGCTTTCAATAGGGGATTCTTCAGGCAACTTTCTGTGGTGTGGTTCTACCCTCTTGTAGGGCTTAGAATTCTGTCCATTAATTTGGCAATTCATTAAAGAGAATGGAAGATCATGCATAGGAGGTGTTTCTTGTTGTTGTTGGTTTTTTTTGTGTGTGTTTTTCTTTTTGTTTTTTTGAGACACAGTCTCGCTCTGTCACCCAGGCTGGAGTGCAATAGTGTTATCTCAGCACACTGCAACCTCCGCCTCCCAGGTTCAAGCTATTCTCCTGCCGAGTAGCTGGGATTGCAGGCACCCATCACCATGCCTGGCTAATTTTTGTATTTTTAGTAGATATGGGATTTCGCCATGTTGGCCAGGCTGGTCTCAAACTCCTGACCTCAGATGATCCACCTGCCTCAGCCTCCCAAAGTGCTGGGATTACAGGCATGAGCCACCTCGCCCAGCCTCCCTACATGGGAGGTTTTATAGACCATGTCTGAAATTGGTTCATTCATATCACTTCTGTCATACCCCTTAGACGATAACTCATTCATATGTCTAAAGCTGACTGCAAGGGAGACTGGAATATGTTCTTTAGTTGTATCAGTCAAGTTGGCTAGGTTATGCTACAGTAAAAAGCAACAACAAAACTTCACTGGCTTCAGTAACAGAATTTTATCTATAGGGAGTGATGTGCAGTAATTTCTAAGTTTGGTCTAGATAAAGTTCCTCTTGATCCAGAGACTTAAGAACTATAGTAAAAGCTGTTTACATCCCATAAACTCAATATACAGGGGTATGAGAGGGACAGGATAACCATAATAAACATTCCCATTTAGAAAGAGGAAAAATGGGACCACACAGTAGTCCCTGGTCCATGAAATCTCTCCATGTGATAAGCAGATTCCCTACCTTAGGCATAGCTTAATGTTCCTTGATTAGGTCAATCTGCTTTCCAGGAGGTGCCACCCAGTTCTTTGTTCTCTGTGGCTCTCAGGTCTCTTTTTTTTTTTTCCTTAGTTTTTATTTTAAATTCGGGGGTACAAGTACAGGTTTGTTACATAGGTACACTTGTGTTATGGGGGTTTTTTGTACAGATTATTTCATCACTCAGGTATTGCCTAGTACCCATTAGTTATTTTTCCTGATCCTCTCCCTCTTCCTACCCTCCACTTCCCAGTGTCTGTTGTTTCCCTCTATGTGTTCATGTGTTCTCATCATTTAACTTCCACTTATAAATGAGGACATGCAGCATTTGGTTTTCTGTTCCTGTGTTAGTTTGCTAAGGATATTGGCTTCCAGCTCCATCCATGTCCCTGCAAAGGATATGATCTCGTTCTCTTTTATGGCTGCATAGTATTCTATGGTGTATATGTACCACATTTTCTTTATCCAGTCTATCATTTATGTGCATTTAGGTTGATTCCATGTCTTTGCTATTGTGAATTATGCTGCAATGAACATACACATACACGTCTTTTTTTTTTTTTTTTTTTTTTTTTTTGAGGCAGGGTCTTGCTCTGTCACCCAGGCTGGAGTGCAGTGGCACAATCTCGGCTCACTGCAATCTCCGTCTCCTGGGTTCAAGAGATTCTTGTGCCTCAACCTCCTAAGTAACTGAGATTACAGGTGTGTGCCACCATGCCAGACTAATTTTTGTATTTTTAGTAGATGTGTTTTCACCACGTTGGCCAGGCTGATCTTGAACTCACGGCCTCAAATGATCTGCTGGCCTCATGTGATTCACCTGCCTTGGCCTCCCAAAATGCTGGGATTACAGGTGTGAGTCACCGCACCTAGCCCATACATGTGTCTGTATAATAGAATGATTTATACTCCTTTAGGTATATACCCAGTGGATTGATGGGTCGAATGGTATTTCTGTCTTTAGGTCTTGGAGGAATTGCCAGACTGTCTTCCACAATGGCTGAAGTAATTTACACTCCTACCAACAGTGTATAACTGTTCCTTTTTCTCCACAACCTCGTCAGCAACAAAGGTCTAATATCAAGTGTCTATAAGGAACTTAAACAAATTTACAAGGAGAAAAATCCCATAAAAAAGTGGGCAAAGGACACGAACAGACACTTTTCAAAAGAAGACATAAGTGTGGCCAACAGTCACAGGAAAAAAAGTTCAACGTCATTGACCATTAGAGGTCTTCCTCTTTAAAGATTTTTCTGGCCAGGCAAATCCCAGAAGTTTTGGAGGCCAAGGTGAGAGGATTGCTGGAGCCCAGGATTTCGAGACCAGCCTGGACAATGAAGTGAGACCCTGTCTCTACAAAAAAAATTTAAATATTAGCCAGACATGGTGGCACATGCCTGTAGTCCCAGATACTTGGGAAGCTAAGGCAGGAGGATATCTTGAGCCTAGGTGGTCAAGGCTGCAGTGAGCTGTGTTCATGCCACAGCAATCCAGCCTGGGTGACACAGTGAGACTCTGTCTCAAAAAAAAAAATTCTTCCTTACTATTATTCTTCCTGATTTCATCTAAAATTGACATTGGAGAACATGCCCTTCTTGGAGTCTGAATAGTTTTTTTTTTAACCTGCTTGCTGTTCAAAGAAGGTGGAGGTCAAGGGTCAGTCTAAGTTTCAAATAATCACAGATATTTCTAGTCTTGTTTCATAATTTATTTGACAGAAAAATGCTCTTGTAAGCTTAATAGAATTTTAATCAGATTCCAGTTATTTCCATGTGTCAATGACATACTCACAGTTCTTTTGAAGCATACTTAGATGTATTATATATCTTTTCTTTCTCATCCATATGTGCTTTTTCTCCATCTCTCTATTACTCTATCACTCTCATCATTCTCTCTTTGTGTCTTAACTTAATTGGAGTACCTTGGATTTATCAGACTTCAGGGGCAAAAGCACACCTTTAATTTATTTTCCTTGAGTCAGGGAAAATTATTTACAACTCTTAGGTTCGATCTCTCTTCCAAAGGCTGAGTTTCAATCATTCTTTCTTACTCAAAGATCTTTTCTGTTTTACCTTTCACAACTTGTATTTGAAGAGAGTTACTTCTTCTGACCCTACAAATTACTGAATTTGTGCGTTCTCTCTAAATTGTATATTCCTACTTATTACCAGCCGATTATTTCCATGAGCTTTTCATTTTTTGTAATACCTCATTGAATATAGTCAGCTGCAACCAACACACTGCTAAACTTCTCTGTTCTACCTTTTCCCTTAAGGCCACAAGTTCAGTAGGTATATCATCTTTCAGTTATTTCAGTTGGCAACATTATCAAAGTTTTGCCATGGGATAGTATTGAAAAACCATGTTTTCAACCTCTGAAAAGACTTCCTCATCACCTGCTGCCTGGACCTAATGCCACATGTATTAGGTTTTGTTGTTATGGCAGCACCTGTCCAGTTAGTACCTATTTATGCATTTCTTAAGGGAGGTCAGATTATGATATAGAATCAAAAACTACCAGATCTCAGTGGTTCACTCAACCAAAATTTATTTTTCTTTGATGCTACATGCTTAGTGTGGGTTGAGTGAGAGTTTCTCTTCATATTCACTCTGGAATCAAGGCTATTGTAAATTTCATCTAAATACCTTTTCCAGAATCACAGAGTAAATAAATAATTCCAGTTTGCTTGGATCTTTCCCAGGTTTACTCTTGAAAACCCTGTATCCTGGAAACCCCCATTAGTTCCAATCAAACCAGGGCAGTTTTTTCTGGAACTGTTTTGGTTTTAAAACAAAAAGTCCTGTGTCCCAGGAACTCTCTCTGTCCTGCCCCCACACCGTCACTGCAGCAGTGGGAAGGAAATTTGACTCTTAAGGCATCTGCCCAATAATGGCAACTGCTACTTCCTCTTTCTTTCATTGGCCAGTGCAAGTTATATGGCTATGCCTAAAATCAAAGTGCCGAGAAAGAGCAACTGACCCTATGTCTGTAAGTCAGAGAGTCATAAATATTTAATGAACACCACAAAAGACTGACACACTAGCTCTATGCCTAAGAAGACAAACTGGTTTTATAAGCAGCTGGTCAGACTTTTCATTTATAAAAGATATTGTGGGGGCTTAAGGTACTAAAATATAGAAAAAGTTGAACAAACAAAATCAATATAAAAATTATAAAAGTAGATGTTTGGAAAGAGATCCAGAAAATAAATCAGATCCAAAGGATAACAGGATCTGCCTTTGAACTATACATTTAACAACAAATGCCTTCTTGGTTTTAGTGAGTATATATATGTATCTAGATGTGCATGTGGTAGTAGAGGTAATGCGTAAGATAAAGTTACTTCCTGAGAATGAAATTTTGAAGAACATATAGGCAATGAATGCAAATTAGCCACAAGTAGAAATTACTGTCTCTGAACTTAGTGAATGTGAGAATGAGCTTTAAGAATTTCCAAGTCTGTCAGTTACAGACTTGGAAGGGTTTGGGCTCAGAATGGCATTCATTTATTTATTCATCTATTCATTTAGTCAATGAAGATTTATTGAATGGCAAGCACTGTGATAGAGACTAGGGATGTACAATGATAAGACATGATGTCCCTGTTATTCGGGGAGTCAGATAAACAGATAGTTATAGGTTGTGACAAGTACTATGAAGGAGATGTGCAAGATGATAAGATGGAGTACAACACAGAGGGCAAAGAAGAGGTAGGAAGACTTATGAATTTGGTCATAAGGGTCATTTTTTGTAAAGGGAGTCATATAAGCTGAAACCTAAAGGGCAGAAATTAGCTGCCAAAGGGAAAAGCTGGTGGAATAGCTTTATAGCCACAAGTGTCAGCAAATGCAAAGACGTTGCAGCTTGGAAGAGGAACCAAATGGGCTGGGTGCGGTGGCTCACACCTGTAATCCTAGCACTTTGGGAGGTTGAGGCAGGTGAATCACTTGAGACCAGGAGTTTGAGATCAGCCTGGCCAACATGGTGAAACCTTGTCTCTACTGAAAATACGAAAAAAAAAAAAAAAAAAAAAGAAGAGGAACCAAAGGAAGCCCATGTGATTAGAATGCAGCAGCCACAAGGAAAACTGCAACAAAAAGAAGTGGGAAAGGAAGTAGGAGCCAAACCAGGATAACGAGTTTGAATTTTATGCTGCCAATAAAAACCTTTGTATTCAGGAAGTGATATTATCTGCTCCTCTATTTTTCAGAGAACAACCTGATTGCTGTTTGGAGAATGGATGGGAGAGGTCAAGAGTGAAAGCAAGGAAACTAGCTAGGAGCACTTTTAACACTCTTGACTACACAATGACACTTGGACTAGGGTGATGTCAGTGGAGGTGGAGAGAAGAGGGTGGATTTTAGATATAATATGAAACTAGCAGCAATAGGACTTGATGATGAATGGAAGGGAGAAAGAAAGAGAAAGATCAATGATGATGTAATTGCCTGATTGGTTCTTTCTGCCTGCTTCACAAAATCAATTCACTGAGACCATGGCATTGTAGTAGAGAAGAGTTTAATTGGCATGCGGCTGGCCGCAGCCATGTGAACTAGAGTTTTCACTCGAATAAGTCTCCCTGAAGGCTCAGAAGTTAGGGTTATTTTTGGACAATTTGGTGGGAAGGGGGCTAGGGAATGGGTGCTGCTGATTGGTTGGGAATGAAATCATAGGGGTGTGGAAAACTGTCTTCATATGCTAAGTCTACCTCTGGGTTGGGCCACAGAATCAGTTGAGTCATGAGTCATGAATCCAGGTGGGGGTCAGTCTGAAAGCTTGAAAAACCAATCTTAGGTTCTACAATAGTGATGTTATCTATGGGAACAATTGGGGAAGTCACAAATCTTGTGACTTCTGGCCACATAACTCCTGAGCAGTAAGGGGTTATAGAAAATATGACTACTTCTTAGCATAATTCAGACACCTCTCATAATTTTATACTTGTGGCCTTTCATTAGTCCTATGAAGGCAGTTTTTGGTCCTTGAGCAAGGAGGAAGTTAGTTTTAGGGAGGAACTGTTATTAACCTTGATTTCAAGGTAAACCCCAAACTAAATTTTTCCCAAAGTTAGCTTGGTCTACACCCAGGAATGACCAAGCATAGCTTGGAAGTCAGAAACAAGATGGAGTCAACTGTCTGATTTATCTTACTGTTATAATTTTGCAAAGGTGTTTTCCATCACTCTTTAGTTTCTGGCTTGAGCAACTGAATGAATGGATGTACCATGTTACTGACCTATTGAAAACTTGGAAGGAACAAGATTAGCGGGAAAATGAAGAATTCTGCTCAGAGGTAGTTGGATATACTTGTTAGATGTCCAAGTAAGCACTTGGTATGTGGGTATGGTGCCATGGAGGGGCTGCTGGGATGGAGATAAACATTTGTGAGACATCCACATATTGATGGCATTTAAGAGAAGGAGGTTGGTTAAGGTCGCCTAGGGGGAGTGTAGATACAGAATAGAAGAAGGTCCTGCACAGATCTGGAAATGCTCCAACATTTAGAGATTTTTGTTGAGAAGGAAGAACAGAAAAGGAGACCAAGAAGGTGCTGCTAGAGACATAGTGTTGTGTAATGGATACCAAGTGGGAAACCGCTTTAAGGAGATAAAGTGGTTGACATTTTGGATGGAACGAAATAAAAGGAGAAAAAACAAAGAAAAAAAGAAGGTAAAGTGGCGGTGGGTAATTGTGCTATTGCTGCTGAAAAGTTCAACAAGCAAAGGACAGAAAATAACCACCAAACCTTGCAACGTGCAGATTATAACAAGAGCTATGTCTGTGGAGTGAGTTGAGGAATGAGTGGAAAATCAGGAAATAGAGACAATGAGTATAGATAAGGGTCTCCAGGCATAAATAAATCATATTAGATAGTAAACAGCTGTAACATAATTAAATTGCAACTTCATATACTAGAGTAAATGGAAAATTTTTACCAGTTATAATTATATTACTTATCTCTAGATGAAAATTAATTAACAGAAGGTGACAATAAACATAGATCCTAGACAAGACCAAAGTCCAGGAATCTAGTACTGTTGGTGCAGTGGGCTCAAAAGGAGCTTGACAAAGAACCTGGAGGGAAAGACTGCTTTCATAACCACACAACTGACTTTGTTGTGTGGTAATGAAATAGGAGAATTCTTCAGATTTTGTATTGTGTGAACAAAAATTTTCTCAAGACTCTCCATCTCTCTTCACTTTGATTTCTTGCCTACTGTACAACCTTTTCACTAATAATTCAGTGTCCTAAAGTAACTTGATACCAGAAAGAAAGGAAAGAGTGGGAAAGAGAAACAGAGAGGACTTTAAATGGGAAGAGGTGGTAGGAAGGCTACAGACAAACGGATTTATTTTGGAGATAAGAGGCTGTTGTTGGGCCGGTGGTAGCTCATACCTGTAATCCCAGCACTTTGGGAGGCCAAGGTGAGAGGATGACTTAAGGCCAGGAGTTGAAGGCCAGCACAGCCCTGGTGACTTAGCAAGATCCCATTTTACATACATATATATATATATTTAAGGAGCTTCTTTTTCTAAGATGCATGTAAAGATTATAAGATGTAATCAGATGCAGCAAAATATGTAGCAGGTGACTAAGTGTGGAGTTCCTTCAGGATGGTGTATTTGTCACCTAGGGCAGCTGTAACAGAAAACCACAGGCTTAAACAGCATGATTTTTCCCCCCTCACAGTTATAGAGGCTAGAAGTCCAATATCAAGGTGTCAGCAAACTTGCTTCCTTTGGGGAGACCTCTTTCCTGGCTTGCAGACTGCCGCCTTCTCCTTGTGTCCTCACAGGACATTCATTTTGTGCATGTGGAGAGAGAGAGAAAGAGAAAGGGAGATAGAGATATCTCTGGTGTCTCTTCCTCTTCTTATAAAGACACCAATCCTAACAGATTAGGGCTCCACCCTTATGACCTCACTTAACCATAATTACCTCCCTAAAGGCAATATATTGAGGAATTGAGAAACATAGTCATATTGGAGTTCAGGGGTTCAACATATGAATTTTGCAGGGACACAATTCAGTCCATAATAGATGATTTTACTTGTCTTACAAAGGCAGGATGCATCCCCAACTAATTTTAGGTAATAAGAAATGGAAGGACTGTGTATCAATTTATTGTAGTTGTATTACAGTCCCAAGCAAGGCAGGGCATCCTGGGAATGGGAATTTGTAAAAATGCCAGGGTAAACAGGATTGGGAATTGGAGTGATAGACAAAGACAAGACTGTTTGGGAGCGTGGGGGTAGTGATAGGAAACAGACATAATTGAAATGGTTGGCCATTAGATTTAAACTAATGCTTTCCTAACTTTTTTCATGTCATGGCAGGAAAAGGACATAGATATGATAGTTTTTGTGGCATCTGGAGGCATCTATATGGGATGTGATGGGAAAATTTTTTTAAATTATTTTTTAGGAATATATACTATAATATAGCAAATATTATGTAAGATATTGAAAGGGCTCCATTGTCTGGGGGTATATATCCTGGCTCTTGGTCGTGGTTGAGAAATAATTCAGGACACTGACACACATGAGGAGTGGGTTCAGGAGCAGAAAGTTTAATAGAAAAAGAAAAGAGAGAGAAAAAGCTTTCTCATATTGAGAAAGTCGGTAGCCTGAGGGTCTTCCGTTTGCAGCGGAATGCAGTTGGTTTTGTAAAGAGGCTTGAGGAGGCGGTGATTGATTTACATGGGGCCAGGGGACTGGTTTTACCAGGTGTGCCATTTACACATCCCACGAAAAGACTGGCCCTCCCACCCTAGTCTTTTATTATGTAAACTTGGCCTCCACGTGGCTGGTCGCCATGATGCCTGTACACGTGGTGTCATCTGGAGGCTGCCATGACAGCTGGCACACGTGGTGATAAGAAAAAGAGGGCAGGAGATGCCACATTGAATGTACCTGGCTTCCAGGTACAGCTGCCTGCATTTACATATAAAAGCTTCCAGTTTGCATATCTATGCCTGACTTCTCAGGCCGCTTTCTATTAGAGAAGAAATGGTTTGGGGTTGCTTTTTATTAAAGGAAAATTGCGCGGAGAAGTTTAACCTTCTCTAGCTGCCTAAAAATAATTTCTTAATAACTCCTGTATTAATATTAACTATTGAATTTGCATACTATCCTAAATAAAATCTTAATTTTTTTTTGAGGCAGAGTTTTGCTCTTGTTGCCCAGGCTGGAATGCAATGGAGCGATCTCGGCTAACCGCAACCTCCGCCTCCCGGGTTCAAGCGATTCTCCTGCCTCAGCCTCCCGAGTAGCTGGGATTACAGGCATGCACCACCATGCCCGGCTAATTTTTGTATTTTTAGTAGAGATGGGGTTTCTTCATGTTGGTCAGGCTGGTCTCAAACTCCTGACCTCAGGTGATCCGCCTGCCTTGGCCTCCCAAATTGCTGGGATTACAGGTGTGAGCCACCACGCCCGGCCTAAAATGTTTTAATGAAAAAAACCTGAGTTTCTTTTCATAAGCATACTTAATTGTTGCTGTTGTTGTTGTTGAGGCAGAGTCTTGCTCTCTCACCCAGGCTGGGGTACAGTGGTGCGATCTCGGCTCACTGCAACCTCCGCATCCTGAGTTCAAGCGATTCTCCTGCCTCAGCTGCCCAAGTAGCTGGGACTACAGGTACGTGCCACCATGCCTGGCTAATTTTTGTATTTTTAGTAGGATGGGGGGGTTCAGTATGTTGGCAAGCCTGTTCTCAAACTCCTGACCTCAGGTGATCCACCCACCTTGGCCTCCCAAAGTGCTGGGATTACAGGTGTGAGTCACTGCGCCTGGCTGCATACCATTTTTAATGCCAGCATTATTACTTCCCTAGGATGACCATATGCAATTCCTTATCAAGACTTCTAAATGATAATACCTTTAAATTCTCAACAGTCATTATTGATAAGAAATGTTATTCACATAAGTATGTAATAAAAAAATTAAAACAAATTTTATAGGACAATTCAATTTTAGAAGAGTTGAAATCAGTTTCAAAAACTTTTTAAAAAGCAGCTTTTCCTTTCTTTCCATGGACAAATGTAATGTTAGAATTTTTTTTTTTCCATCAGGTGATTTCACATATAATTAAGCTTTTTCAGACCAAGCATTTAAATGCATGTGCATTGTTAGAGGAATCATCCTATAGTTAGCTTGGTGGCTACCAAAAGGGTAAATTAGCCATGAATATTAATTATTTATAATGACAGATTTTCGGGATGCAGCCTCCAGCTCTGCCTGTCTGACTTCCTCACCCCCAGCTTTCTGGAGTGTGGGCTGTTATAACTTGGCTGTGTGGAACAGAAGCTTCTTCAACAGCTTCCTGGCTCATTGTGTGTAATGGGCAGTGGCTGCATGCTGACATTGATTTTGTGGACATCCAGATGATAAAACACACCCTTGTCTACTCTTATCATTTTAAGACAGAACAGGAGACAGCAGATGTTACTCATCACTTCTTGTGGGCATCAATTGGGCTGCCCTCTGAGGAGCCCTAGAGAAGGCTGCTTTCTGCCAGAGGTGACAGGTGGTGCCCTGGTAGATCCAGGTCCCAGTGTGCCACCTCCAAGATTAAAGATGGCATTGTTTCAGGGAGCTCTGCTTACGTTTTATAAAGAGGCTAGTAATATCAGAAGTGGAATAACGGTTAAAGTCAGAAGAGAGATGATAGTTTGTCTCTTGAAGAACCAAGAAAAATTTTGATAAAATGAGCAGGCTCATTAATTCGGAGCTTAAATTCTGAAAACTATCTCTTTTTTTCTTTTTATCATATAAAAACAGTGCCATATTTATTTAGGCCACTAGATCATTCAGCTCTGTCTTCTTTGAATACTGCCACCAATAAATATTTTCTAGGGAAGCAATTTTTTTCAAGCAAGGACTAAAACCAAATTTGCTAACTTTTCTGGATAATCTATTATGGATTAGTCATCTGTGCATTTGTGTTAATCTTCTTGAATCTACTGCAATACTGTTCTTGATAGTAGCCCATATATAATTTTAGATAGCTTTATTGGGAAATGATTCTTATAGCGTATACTTCACCTACTTAAAATGTGCAATTCAGCGGTGTTTCACATATTCACAGATATGTGCAATTATCACTACAGCCAACTTTAGAACATTTTAATCACCATCAGGGTTGCACAAGAAAGAACAAGCAGGGGCATGGAGGTTAGGTTTTGTAGTAATGAAAAGATGAGGTAATTCTTGGTACCCATGAGAGGATGTGATTGGCTTGTTTGAATTTCATGGAGTGGCAGGAAAGTAAAACTTACTAGGTTGAGGGCTAGCTGGGGTGTAGCAGGTACAGCTGATAGGGGAACTAGCCAGGTGGGAAGCCTTTGCTGTTAGTTGGGAGAACGTAATAAGAGCGAGGGGTCCCGTTGTTAGAACTTTGGAACTTAAACTTGTCTATGAAGCTTAAACTTGTCAAAGTAGCACATGAAATGTTATACCTCACAATACGAAGGGTCCAGCTTCATTCTTTTGCATGTGGCTGTCCAGTTATCTCAGAACCATTTGTTGAAAAGCCTCTTCTTCCCCTACTGGAGAGACTTGCCATCTTTGTCAAAAATTGGTGAATTCACTGATGTATAGGCTAATTTCTAGACTCTTAACTCTATTGCATTTACCTTTATGTCTATCATTGTTTCATTACACAGTCTTGATCTGCATTGCTTTGTAGTACGTTTGGAAATCAGAAAGTATGAGTCCTCCTGCTTTTTTTTTTTTTTTCAGGGTTGTTTTGGCTAAAGAGCCAATATTCTTTTGGAGGTCATATTAGAAGTGAATTGAGATCGATGTAGAAGAAGAACATAGCTATTGTAGACTAAGGAAGGGTTTGCTTTTGCTTAATAAATGTTCCTTTTTAAGAGAGGCAACTTTAAAAAGGAGGTAAGTAGAATGAGAGAGGAGAATCCTTCCATAAGGCGGAATTAGCCCTGGATAAGGTGATAGTAAAGTGGGAGATGTCTAAATAATATAGCATTTACATCCTTACATATTGAACTCAATAACAGTTGAGAGAGTAATTAGCTCTACTCACTAAATATTTCCAGATGCAGGTAGGATTGCACTCTCCTGTACCTTGAGGTGACTTGCACTGGATAACGATATATGGACAGAAGTAATGCTAGTCACTTCTACACAGAAAATATGAGTCAGTGCACATTTTACCGTTTGTTCTTCCTCTTACCCTGAAACATGGAAACAGGCAGATGAACTTTCCTTAGTTGGAATTCCTGAGTGAGGAGAATATAGGGCTAACTTCACCCCCTAACTCCCACCCAAGCTTACTCATAATGGACATGTAGCATGAGTAACAGACCACTGTTGTTCTAAGACACTGGGTTTGATTGTTACCAAATTTGTTACCAAAGCATAATCAAGTCTATCCAATAGAAAATTGATACCAGAAGTAGGGAACATCATAAGTCTAAAATTTGTGGCATTGGCTTAGGGATTTGAAGATAGCCTGCAAAAAATGGTTAGTGAAGACTGGAAGGATAGCAATCCATGTATTGTGATACAATTCTTGGGGGAAATATTACATGCAATGACTTAGAAGGAGAATTATGATCCAAATGAATTTGTAACTCTTAGGAAAGAGGTTTTAAGCAAAGTATTAGAAATGTAAGCTGGCTTCTATTGATTGCATTTGGCAGGGTATTACAAGACAGAGACAAGCTCAGAAAAGAATTAGTCTACTTATAAGCAAGGATTAAAGGGAATGGAGTAAGTCCGGAAATTCAGAAATGTTCAAATCTGGACAAGGCAGCTGCTTCACAATCTCAACTAGTAAATACAAAGTGACAAGGCCATTAAAATTCAACTGTATGTATGATAAGGATCAAACCAAGTGTTTGCTCATTATATCCGTTGCTAAAACTCGTGAATGACTTCAGGGAGCATTCAGTAAATCTTTTCAATTGAACAACGTAGCTTAGCAAAAAGAGATTGAAGCAGTTATCCTCTAGTCTTGATAGGCTCATGGAATACATAATTACATTAGAGATGGGTGTGGTATGGTGACAAGAAAGCGGAACAAAGAAATAACAAAACAAATCAAGGAAGTGTGTCCAGAAATGAGTGATGGCTGTGGCTATTGGCACATAGAAATAAGTGGAATCAGATAGACAGAAAGTTTGCTATGTTTGTAGTAAAGTGATACTGGTAAACCATTAGATTGGAGTAAAAATAATTGTGACTGTTTGAGCCTTAAAATAATGCCATCTATGGGCAGGAGAAAGCAGCTCGAACTCCAAAGAGGGTATATATTTTGGTGCCCCTTCACGTGTGGCCAAAGAAACTATGGGAAAGGAAGACTCTCTCAGAGGGTGGAGCCAGGCACCATGAAGAAAAATGGGAAGGGTGTTACTTTCGGGAAGTAAAATCAGGGCCTAATCAAAAGTTATTTTTCACCTCATGTAATGGGATCCTCATAATTTTGCCCTGTAGATTTCAGAATTGCTAAGGATCAATGTCTCCTAGAGTGTTTCTTTCATTTTTCCACCTTCTGAATGGTTATCTTGGTTATCCTGTCCTGCTTCACTATTGTATAATGTGTTTGTGGGACAGATAACTTGCTTTTCTAGTTCTTAGACTTAAGATCAAGAGAAGCCACTGCCAGGGCTTTATATTAACCCCAGATGTAAGAGACTTTTGCATATGACCCAGAGATCCTGAACTCTGAGCTTGATGCCATTTTGGATTGTCTCTATGGAGAGGTAATAAGTATATTTTGCCTGTGGAAGAATAACGAATAGGATATTTGGTCAGGTGTAGGGCATATTATGGTGGTCATTATTGCCACTCACCAAATCTTCCCTGTTCACGCCTTTTTTGGTACACGGTAGGATTACATTTCCTTGTTCCTTTGCAGTTAGATGAAACAATGTGTCTTGCTTTTACCAGTGAAATGTAAGTGGTAATATGCCATTTCTGGTTATAATTTTAAGAGCTAATGTGTAACTTGCTACTCTTTCTTCTTCTTGGCTTGTAATATGGAGATGGAGCCTCTTTCTGCCTGCAGGCTGGTGGGACAGCAACCCAAGCCGACCTGTGATAAACTGTAGTGAGAGTATTACTGTATTGTAGGACAACCTAGCCTACTCTGACTGATACAACAATCTTTGGTTTGGCAGCTTCTGGAAATTTTTTGGAAAATATGAATATATAAGGTAAGTTGATCTAAAGTTTACTACAAGCTTAATTGTTCCTCCAGAAATGTCTAAACTATGGTAGACAACTTAGCTAAAATGGAAGTAACATTACATTGAGCTTGTGAGTTGTAGCTTCTGAGGTATTTGCTGACCATCCTGGCTTCTGAGGTATTTGCTGACCATCCTTGTATCATCAATCAATGTAAGCTTTCCTGCCATTAGCTGAGTTTAGCGTAAGACAGAAGATCTGAAACTCAAGACCAGCCCTGGGCAAGGCACAGTGGCTCATGCCTGTAATGCCAGCAGTTTGGGAGGCCACAGTGGGAGGACTGCTTGAACCCAGGAGTCTAAGACCAGCCTGGGCAATATAGCCAGACCCTATCTCTACAAAAAGTAAGAAAAATTAGCCAGACGTCGTGGCATGTGCCTGTGGTCCCAACTACTTGGGAGGCTGAGGTGGGAGGATCACTTGAGCCCAGGAGGTCAAGTCTGTAGTGAACCATGATCATACCACTGCACTCCAGCTAGGCAACAGAGGGAGAACCTTTCTTAAAAACAAAGACAAGAACAAACAAGGTCTGAGAACTGGAAACATTTTGCCACCTAACTTTAGAGTTAAGTGAATTAGGAACAAGTGGGGCTAGCTTTACAAAACTAGATTCATTATGAAACTAGGGATAAGTTATCAACATAATTAAAAATGAGAAAACAGCAGCCCATGTAACAATTGCTTTGTTTTTATTATGCTAAAATTAAATGTTTTAAATACAAATGCATACAGATCACATAAGTAATTTACATTGCTAAATTCTTTAGCATTTAATAGAACTAATATTTATATCTGATACTTTATACAGAAGAGGAATTCTACTATACTTACTATGTAAATTAGTTCAAAAACAATTTGGTTGTTACCCTCAGCTATAAACAGAGATGATAAGTTCAAGCTGATTTGGGAAATTATTTAATCAGTAAGGGCCAAATGTGTGCAAATGAAAATAGAACATCATATTGTACAAATCAACTTCAATATGAAATAATATAATTTCTACATACAATTTGACTGTCCTGTAAACATTAACAGTGCAAAGTCAAAGCCACATTTTTACATTTATATCACACAATGGCATAATTTTTCAAGGATATGTTAACATGAATTACAGAAAATGAGACCTCCTGTGTAAAACTTTACCAGAATGAAAGTTGGAAGAAAAAGCCACAACTTTGTGTAATTTCCTTCAGTTAGGTTTATTACATATTTATATTTTACATATATTTTACAATTTCTTCAAGGCTAGTCAAGTGAAGCAGTGAGAATGGAGAAGGAACAAAGAAATCTGTAACTGGTTGTGATCAATTAGTTATAAACACCACTTGGACCAGTCTGATTTATTTATTTATTTATTTATTTATTTAGAGATGGAGTCTCACTTTGTCACCTAGACTGAAGTGCAGTGGTGTGATCTCAGCTCACTGCAACCTCAGCCTCCCAGGTTCAAGCGATTCTCCCGCCTCAGCCTCCAGTGTAGCTGGGATTACAGGTGCGTGCCACCACGCCCGGCCAATGTTTTTTTGTAATTTTAGTAAAGTCAGGGTTTCACCATGTTGGTCAGGCTGGTCTCGAACTCCTGACCTCAGGTGATCCACTCGCCTCGGCCTCCCAATTTCTGGGATTACAGGTGTGAGCCACTGCTCCCGGCCTGATTTTTTTATATATGTTTTTAAAATTTAAGTTACACATATAAAAATTAAAGGTTATCATTTATGTGTGTCGCTATGTGCTAGCCCTGTGCCAAGTGCTTTATTATTATTTTTTATCTTTATGATTGGCCTATGAGGTAGGCACTAGCATTATTATACCAGTTTTATAATAAGAAAACAAGAACATAGGTTAAATAACTGTCCAAGATTATAATGCTAATAATTGGCGAAGCTGGAATGAAGCCCTGTCTTTCTGACTATAAAACTCACATGCTTGGTAGGGCATGGTGGCTCACGCCTGTAAGGCCAGCACTTTGGGAGGCTGAGGCAGGTGGATCACTTGAGGTCAGGAGTTTGAGACCAGTCTGGTCAACATGGTGAAATCCTGTCTCTCCTAAAAAAAATACAAAAATTAGCCAGGCATGGTGGCAGGTTCCTGTAATCCCAGCTACATGGGAGGCTGAGGCACTAGAATCCTTTGAACCCTAAAGGCAGAGGTTGCAGTGAGCTGAGATAGTGCCACTGCACTCCAGCCTGAGCAACAGAGAGATTCTTGCCTCCAAAAAAAAAAAAAAAAAAAGACTCATACTTTTATGCTGAATACTCCTCTGCCTCCCATAACATTTTTATATTAATTTAACAGAATTCTAGAGAACTCTATGACTAATAAAATGGATTCAAAAAAGTAAAAACTTACTTTGGATTAATTCTGCTCTGCTCTTTCAAATGGAAATATTCTATGACTCTTTTCCTGGCGTACATTTTAAAATGTCAATAGATGATTTAACAAGATGTCTTGTCTTAGATTTGCCCAAAGAACGTTGAAAACTTTGATAAGATTAGAGGAAGCTAGAAAAATTATCCATTCAAACTCAGAAGATTTTTTTTTTATATTAAACTTGACTTGAAAGAGGGGTAACCAGAATTGACTTGGAAGCACACTATTTCTTTTTGTTCTGGAAAACTGCTTTGGGCTATTTCATTACATACAACTACCAACAAAATTGGAGGAGTTTGGAAATCTGGAGCTCTAAGGGGCTAAACTGTCCTTTACAGTAAATCTGTGTTTGTCTAGGAGTGGTAACATTGCATTTCTGCAGAAAGTGTTACCTTTGGACAAGAGAGTCTACTCCATGTATGTCATTAAGTGAAACTGTGCTGAAAATTCCATATAGTTTATATTCTGGTAGAGAGAGGCAGACAATAACAAATACGTAAAATATATGTCAGATGTTGATAAGTGCTCTGGAGAAAAATTAAGTGGAGAAGGGGATAGGGTAGGCCTTGCATGGATTTACAATTTTATTTATTTATTTATTATTATTTTTTGAGATGGAGTCTCGCTGTCTCACCCAGGCTAGAGTGCAGTGGTGCAATCTTGGCTCACTGCAACCTCCGCCTCCCAGGTTCAAGTGATTCTCCCACCTCAGCCTCCTGAGTAGCTAGCATTACAGGCGTGTGCCCCTGGGCTTGGCTAGTTTTTTTTTTTTTTTTGTATTTTTAGTAGAGACGGGGTTTTACCATGTTGGCCAGGCTGGGCTCAAACTCTTGACATCAAGTGATCCACCTGCCTTGGTCTCCCAAAGTGCTGAGATTACAGGTGTGAGCCACTGCCCAGGGCCAGCAATTTTATTTATTTAGAAATAACTTCAAACTTATGAAAAAATGCAAGAATAGTACAAAAAACTTCTGTTTTCATTAACCATTTTAAGGTAAGTTGCTATCACTCCTGAATGCTACCATCAAGGACTTTCTCCTACATAACCATAACACAACCATCAAAATCGGGAAATTAGTACTGATTCTTTACTGCCATCCCATTCAGTTTCAAAAGTTGTCCTAGTAATGTTCTTATTAACAAGAGATTTATATTTGGCATCATGCATTGCATTTAATTATCTTTTTGATGTCCTTCAATCAAAACCAGTTTTTCAGTGTTTCTTTGACTTTCAACCTTGACACTTTGGAAGATTACCAGCCAATTATTTTGTAGAATATTTCTCTACGTGGATTTGTTTGATGTTTCTCACAGTTAGATGTCAGTTATACATTTTTGGCAAGGATGCATATCGGTGATGTTGTGTTCTTATTGCATCCTATCAAGTGATAGATGATTTCAATTTGTTTCATAACTGGTAACTTTGATCATTTCAGTAAGAAGGAGTCTATTGGGCACCTTCACTGTAAAGTTTCTCTTTTTTTCCTTTGTAATTAAAAAGCATTTTATCGGGAGGTATTTTGAGAGTATGTAAATATTCCATGCCACTTAGACTTTCATCCGCTAGTTTTAGTATCTGTGGATGTTTCCTGATTGATTATTTCTTTTGTGGTCCGTTATGTTCACTACATTTATATGTCATCATTCTGCTACAGAGAAAATCTCTTTTTTTCAGTTATTTATTATTCAAAAAATTTATATCAGGATGAATTTATAGGTTTTATTTTATTCAATAAGTTCTTTTTTAGTATTATTAAATTCAATGCTCATATTTTCTCAGATTTTGTCAGTGGGGGCCTCTTCAAGCTGACGTAAGTGACATTTTGATAAAGCTCCCATCTTTGAGCACTTCCTTTTTTTCTGTCATAAGATTCAGGCTCATCTGTAATTTCCTTGCCCCAGTCCTAGAATCAGTCATTTCTCAAGAATCCCTGGATCCCTTCAGTGGAAAATGGCATTTGATATTTGGAAACCAAGTTTTAAGTGCTAGGTATGCTTGTTTCTAATGAGATATTTATTTTTCTTTACTTTTTTCTCTTGGAGATAGGGGTCTCCCTGTGTTGCCTAGGGTGATCTTGAACTCCTGGGCTCGGGTGATCCTCTTTTTTCTCTCTTTTCAGCCTTTCACGTAGCTGACTACAGGTTCATGCTACCATGCTTGGCTATAGGTACATGCCACCACACCTAGCTGCTAATAGGGTATTTCTGTTACCATAACTTTTTAAAAAAATTTTTTATTTATTATTGTTTTTTAATTTTTTGTGGGTACATAGGTGTATATATTTATGGGGTACATGAGGTACTTTGATACAGGCATGCAATGAGTAATGATCACATCAAAGAAAATGGATATTCATCACCTCAAGCACTTAACTTTTGTGTAACAAACAATCCAATTATACACTTTTAGTTATTTTATTTTGTTTATTTATTTATTTTTGAGACAGAGTCTTGCTCTGTTGCCCAGGCTAGAATGCAGTGGTGCTATCTCAGCTCACTGCAATCTCCACCTCCTGGCTTCAAGTGATTCTCATGCCTCAGCCTCCCGAGTAGCTGGGATTATAGGCATGCGTCACCAAGCCTTGCTAATTTTTGTATTTTTAGTAGAGACAGGGCTTCACCATGTTCACCATGCTGGCCTTGAACTACTGAACACAAGTGATTGGGCCACCTTGGCCTCCCAAAGTGCTGGGATTACAGGCATGGGCCACCAGCCAACTTTTAGTTATTTTATAAAGTACAATTAAATTATTATTGACTATAGTCACCATGTTGTTTTGTAAATACTAGGTCGTACTCATTTTTTCTAAATTT
Source organism: Homo sapiens (assembly GCF_000001405.40). Taxonomy (NCBI): domain Eukaryota; kingdom Metazoa; phylum Chordata; class Mammalia; order Primates; family Hominidae; genus Homo; species Homo sapiens. The sequence continues at coordinate 10,898,129 of NC_000007.14, read as the reverse complement.
TTTTTGTACCCATTAATCATCCCAACCTTTCCCCAATCGTCCAGTACGCTTTCCAGCCTCCGTTAACCATCCTTTTATACTCTATCTTTATGAATTCAATTGTTTTCATTTTTAGCTCACACAAATAACTAAGAACATGCAAAGCTTGTCTTTTTATACCTGGCTTACTTCACTTAATGACCTCCAGTTCCACCATGTTGTTGCAGATGACAGGATCTCATTCTTTTTTACAGCTGAATACTACTCCATTGTGTATATATGTCACATTTTATTTATCCATTAATCTGTTGTTTCCACATCTTGGCTATTGTGAGCAGTGCTGCAACACATATGGGAGTGCAGATATCTCTTCAATATACTGATTTCCTTTCTTTTGGGTATATATGAAGCAGTAGGTAGCTCTATTTTTAGTTTTTTGAGGAACCTCCAAAGTGTTCTCTGTAGTGGTTTTACAAATTCACATTTCCACCAACAATGTATAAGGGTGTCCCTTTCTCACCAACATTTTTCATTGCTTGTCTTTTGGATATAAGCCACTTTAACTGGGTTGAGATACTATCTCATTGTAGTTTTGATTTGCATTTCTCTAATGATCAAGGATGTTGAGCATCTTTTCATATGTCTGCTGTTTGTATATTTTATTTTGAGAAATGCGTATTCAAATTTTTTGCTCTTTTTTTTTTTTTTTTGAGACGGAGTCTTGCTCTGTTGCTCTAGCTGAAGTACAGTGGTGTGATCTCGGCTCACCACAACCTCCACCTCCTGGGTTCAAGTGATTCTCCTGCCTCAGCCTCCCTAGTAACTGGAGGTAGCTACCAGCATGCGCCACCATGCCGGGCTAATTTTTGTATTTTTAGTAGAGATGGGGTTTCACTATGTTGGTCAGGCTGGTCTTGAACTCCTGACCTCAGGTGATCCACCCGCCTCGGCCTCCCAAAGTACCGGGATTACAGACATGAGCCACCGCACCGGGCCTCTTTTGCTCATTTTTAAAACTAGATTATTAGATCTTTTCCTATAGAAATGTTTGATTAACCCTTTGGATTAATCCATGGTTATTAATCCTTTGTCAGATGGGGAATTTGAAAATATTTTCTCCCAATTTGTGGGTTGTCTTTTAACTTTGTTGATTGTTTCCTTTGCTATGCAGAAGCTTTTAAACTTGATATGATCCAATTTGTCCATTTTTGCTTTAATTGCCTGTGCTCGTGGGGTATTACTTGAGAAATTTTTGCCCAGATCAACGTCCTGAAGAGTTTCCCCAATGTTTTTTTTAGTAGTTTCATAGTTCAAAGTCTTAATTTTAAGTCTTTAATCCATTTGATTTGATTTTTGTACAAGGCGAGAGATAGGGGTCAAGTTTCATTTTTCTGCCTGTGGATATCCAGTTTTTCTAGCACCATTTATTGAAGAGACTGTCTTTTCCTCAATGTATGTTCTTGGCACCTTTGTTGAAAATGAGTTCACTGTAGGTGTGTGGATTTGTTTGTGTATTCTCCATTCTGTTCCATTGGTCTATGTGTCTGTTTTTATGCCAGTACCATGCTGTTGGTCACTATAGCTCTGTAGTATAATTTGAAGGTAGGTAATGTGATTTCTCCAGTTTTCTTCTTTTTGCTCAGGGTGGCTTTGGCTATTCTGGGTCTTTTGTGGTTCCACATAAATTGTAGGATTGTTTTTTTCTATTTCTGTGATGAATGTCATTGGTATTTTTATAGGGATTGCATTGAATCTATAGATTGCTTTGGGTTGCAGGGACATTATAACAGTATTGATTCTTCCAAGCCATGAACGTGGGCTATCATTCCATTTTCTGGTATCCTCTTCAATTTCTTTCATCAGTCTTTTATAATTTTCATTGTAGAGACCTTTCACTTCTTTGGTTAGCTCCTAGGGATTTAATTTATGTGTGGTTGTTTTAAATGGGATTGCTTTTTTGATTTCTCTTTCGGAGTTTTCACTATTGGCCTGTAGAAATGCTACTGATTTTTGTATGTTGATTTTGTATCCTGCAACTTTGCTGAATTTGTTCTAATAGTTTTGTTTTGTTTTAAACTCATGTTGTTTAATTAACAGTTTTTTGGTGGAGTCTTTAGGTTTTTCCAAATATGAAATTATATCATCTGCAAAAATAGATAATTTGACTTCTTCCTTCCCAACTTAGATGCCCTTTATTTCTCCCATATATTTTTATTGGACAGAGCTGGAATTATATGTATAAATATACATATGAATACATTAATTTGTATGTATGTATATATATATGCTCATATACATATACACATGCACATATTTATTTACATATTCATTTTTATATTTATATATACTGAAAACATGAATAAATATCTATATCCTCCAATTCCAATCCAAAACCACAGGATTCATCATCGGTTTTTTTTCTTTATTTTTTTTTTTGAGATGGAATTTCACTCTTGTTACCCAGGCTGGAGTGCAATGGCGTGATCCTGGCTTACTGCAACCTCTGCCTCCTGGGTTCAAGCGATTCTCCTGCCTCATCCTCCTGAGTAGCTGGGATTACAGGTACCCTCCACCATGCCTGGCTAATTTTTGTATTTTTAGTAGAGACAGGGTTTCACTGTGTTGGCCAGGCTGGTCTCGAACTCCTGACTTCAGGTGATCCACCTGCCTTGGCCTCCCGAAGTGTTGGTATTACAGGCATTAGCCACTCATCATAGTTTTCTATCTCTCCATATTGTAACTCCCTTTTCCCACAGTGAGAAACTGGGCTACCATCCCCCTTAACATATTTATGCATTAGATGAGTCCCTTCTGAATGGAACCAATTTCCTGATTCTCCTACCAGCACCCTTCCTCGACAGGACTGAGCTCTTTATCCTCTTTCTACCTTATCCTGTTTAGGTACTGACAGCCTGCTTCATGCTCCCTCTGCCAGAGCCCCCTGTACTGATGGCCTCCTTGCCTTGTGCAGCACAATGCACAGGTGTGTCACCCCACCCCAACCCTGCATAAATGACTACCTTGCTGGGCCTTTGAACTAAATTATTTAGGAAGGCAGGAAGAATATGAAGTTAACAATTTTAAATGGAATGCTAGGGTAACACCTTGCTAAGATGACATTTGAGATTATAGATCTGAAAATACGAAGTTGATGCAGGCATGGGTGGGTCATGTGGATATTTAGGGAAGAGTATTCTGGCAGAGAGAGTAACATGTGCAAGAGCTGTGAGGCAAAAAGTTGCCTGCATGTATAAAGTAGAGAGGCCACCATCATTGGAGTACCGTGAGCAAGGAAGAAAGTAGTAGATGAAGTCAGAGAAGTGCTGGGGGACCAAGTAGTAGATGAGGTCAGAGAAGTGCTGGCGGATCAGACTTTGTAGGGTCTTGTAGACCATTGTACAGTCTTGGCTTTTTCTTTAAGTGAGCTGGAGAACCATGGGAGGATTTTGAACAGTGGAGTGATGTAGTTTGACACGTGTTTTGAAAGGATTACTTTGGTTCCTGTGTCGAGAGTAGATGGTGTATGTGTGGGGTGGCAGGATGTAGGGGAGAGGGAAGTTGAAAACAGGGGAACAGCTAAGATACTATTGAGATAATTAGAAGAGAAATTAGACTAAGTGTGGTTGCTGTGGAGGTGGTGAGCATTGGTCAGACTCTGAACATATTTTGAAGGTAGAGCTGATGGGATTTGCTGATGGATTAGATGTAGAGTGTAAAAACCAAAGAGCCAATGATAGCTCCAAAGTTTTGCTGACTGGTAGGATGGTTACCATTCACTGAAATGGGTTAGCCTGTGGGAAAAGCAAGTTTGAGCAAAAATATTATGAGTTTTGTGCTAAGCATATTAAGTTTGGGTGTATATTGGACATCAAAAGGGACATATTTAATAGGTAATTAAATATATGTGTCTGGAGGCTGGGGGAGAGACTTGGGTTGGAGGTAAAACTTTGGGAAGTTTCATCATATAGAGAGTATTCAAAGCCTTGTGGTAGATGAAAGGGTGTAAAATATGAATAGAAGAGAACTAAGGAATGAACCCTGGGGCATGGCAACAATATGAAAAAAAAAAAACCAACAAAGCATAAAAGATGGTTAGAAGTAACTAGTGAGGTAGGGGAAGCCCGGGGACATGTTCTGGAAGCAGAATAAACAAAATATTCAAGGAGAAGGGAAATACCAAGTAAGGTAAGGACCGAGATATAGGAACATAGAGGCCATTCCTGAAGAGAGCTGTTTCAGTGGAGTGATGAGAACAAAAGCCTGATTGAAATAGGTGCAAGAGAGAACGGAAACACTAGAACTGGATTAAGCAAGTCACCGGCAACCTTTTAGGGAGTTCTGATATAAAGAGAGCAGAGAAGTGGGGAAGTAACTGGTAAAGGAAGTTGAAACAAGAGAGTTTATTTTGCCAAGATGAGAAATATTATAGTTCATTTTTATGCTGATGGAAAAGTCTCAGTAGAAAGGGAAAATTGATAATGCATGAGAGAGGAGAAAATAGCTAGAGCTATGTCCTTAAGTAGATGTATTAGTTTGCTTTCACACTGCTATAAAGAACTACCTGAGACTGGGTAATTTATAAAGAAAAGAGGTTTAATTGACTCACAGTTCTGCATGGCTGGGGAAGCCTCATGAAACTTACAATCATGGCAGAAGATGAAGGGGAAGCAAGGTACATCTTACATGGCTGCAGAAGAGAGAGAGAGAGAGGAGAGAGAGAGGAAAGAGAAAGAGAGAGAGAGAGAGAAGGGGGAAGTGCCACACACTTTCAAACAACCAGATCTTGTGAGAACTCACTAACTATCACGAGAACAGCAAAGGGGAACTCTGCCCCATGATTCAATCACCTCCCACAAGGCCCCTCCCCAATACATGGGGATTACAATTCGAGATGAGATTTGGGTGGGGACACAGAGCCAAACCATATCAGTAGGTGACAGGGAATATGTTCAGGACTTGACCTAACTAGAAGCATGGCAAATGCCTTCATAGCAGTAAAACAGAAGGCAGAGTATTGGACACGGAAGAAGGCAGGTGGTTATACATGGTGGTTAAGAGTTTGTGGATATTCTCTTCTGATTTGCTTTCAGTTTTTTTTAAGGAAATAGGAAAAAAATATCATTAGCTGAGATTGAGGATGGTGGAAAAGGTGATGATAGATGCCTATGAAAGAAGAAAGCATGAAATAGTGGTCTATGAGAGAGGGAGAAAGAATAAACTAGAAGAGACAAAGTATAATTGCTTGGCAGCAAAGCACCTTTACTTAGTGGTTATGAATTCAAAGCAAGAGACCAACTGGAATGATTTGGGGTGTGTGTGCATTTTTTTCTCCCCATTCACATTCCATTGAGTGAATGCAGGTGCAGAATGTGGAGGCTAGTATAGAGACAGTGAGAAAAGAGCAAGGGAGTTGATAGTATACTTAAAGGATGAATATAAAGATGCAATGATGCAATTAATCTGGGAAGATAAGAAAATGAAGATTTCAGTTGAGTTAGGAACACTGAAAGGTGATAAGATCAATGGACTATAGGTCTCTATGAGATCAAAGAATTGTTACAGTCAGAAAACTGGAAAGAGTGAGCTGGAGAGATAAAAAGATCATGGTTAGTGAATGGAATGTCTGAAATAAAAATTATGGGTAGCTGCAATTATCAGTAATAACAATACTTAGGTGTGACTATGGGGAGTCATTGCCTGAGATAGGATAGAGGATAAGACCATTGATTGGAAAAGAGGAGATCAAGTAATTAAGAATGCAGAGTATTAGGACCATTGATCAGATCAGGACATTAAAATAATCATGAATTATGACCCAAGTAGTGTTGGAGACAGTACTAGAAGTGGGCGCAAAGCCCAAATATCCAAGGCATTAAAGGAAGTGATCTGGAGGTGAACAGATGACTACAACAAGGAGGGTAGAGGGTGATATGGCTTGATGAAGAGAATAAGGTTAGGTTTCTTTCTTAAAAGGAATAGGAGAATGGTCTGGAAGTAACAGCGGAGGAGCAAGAAGGACAATTATACCGTGAAGAGCTGTGGGTAAAATTTTATCCTGAAATTTCATTACAAAATAGCTTTGGTTCAGAAATGTCTAAATCTGAATTTATTATGGATAGCAAATACTTAAGAGAAAAAAATCATGAAATATAAGCTTAACGAGATCAGGGATTTTTTTTTTGGTCATTTTCATTTACTGTTATAGTCCCAATTCCTACAATAATGCCTAGCATATAACAGATATTCAACAAATGGTTGTTAAATTGTGAATGAATAATAAGAAGTAAAGATGAAATCTAGTTTTTGTGTTTTTGGGGAAATTCACATCTTACTTTTTAATGATGGCCATAGAAATTACCACTGAAAAATATTGGGAAACCTAGTATTTAGTTAACAGATAGAATGTGAGGGAAGTACAATGAAAGGAACTCAGAAATGCCAACAAAATACAATTTTAAATGTTTTCTTTTTACCAAAAGTACTTTCTAAAAATGAAAACAAGGAAAATGTAAGGATTCTGATTGTACTCTGTAAGTACTCACTCCAGGGCAGCAGCACGTGCTCTGGTGGCATCTGGTCCTCATTGTGGGTAGCAAATTTCTTGTATTTGCCATGACACAATGTATTATTGTGCATATGTGTTGAGTGGCAAGAAGTTTGCTACTCTCAGTGGGGAAGAATCAAAATTTGAGTAGAATTTACTTAAAGAAATAATCTAAGAACACATGTCATGATTATTCTTATAACAGCCTTTCTGTGTTTTTGAAAGAGAGAAACCAGATTTGCAGCAAGTATGCTACAAGATGTACATAATCTGCAGCCTATCTTATGTACTCCACACCTGTAGTGTCAATTGGTATAAACTTTCTAGAAGGAAATTGACTGTAGATAGGAAATCTTCACCATATTTATGAAAGTTGATACCGCAATTCCACTTCTATGATAGTATCAGTGTTGTTTATGTAAATGGTGAAAAATCCTATTTCACCAGCCTGGTTATATAAAAAGTCACATTTAGTTTAAAAAACATATAGTTATGTAAATTGCTCATGATTCTGCCTTCTCAAAGTAGAAAAACAGCTGGTAATGCACTTTGAAGCCACACTCTTGTAAACTGTTGAAAAACGTAGGGGGCTTAATTTGCTAAAAGGGATCATCTTCCAAACCCTAGGCAGAGAGGCAAGAGAATGTGACTAACACTCTAGTTTGTCTTGCCATTGTAACATTTTACCTTACTCAAACGAATATGTCTTTGGCTATCGTGATGCCGCTGTCATCACTATGACCACCTGTATGGGCCACAGTAGTTCTTTTTGGAGATCTTACTCTCTCAGTCTTATACTCAGGCATGAGTGACCCACAGTTTAGCATTTACAGGTGCAGATTTTATGACTGTAAAATGTAACACATGCTTATTGGATAATACAAACAACAACTAGTAACATTTCAGACCATTTCTTTCTCTATTATTGGGATGTTACAGTAATTCTTTTTTTTTTTTTTTTTGAGACGGAGTTTCCCTCTTGTCACCCAGGCTGGAGTGCAATGGCACGACCTCGGCTCACTGCAACCTCCCGGGTTCAAGTGATTCTCCTGCCTCAGCCTCCCGAGTAGCTAGGATTACAGGTGCCCGCCACCATGCCCCACTAATTTTTTGTATTTTTTGTAGAGATGAGGCTTCACCACATTGGCCAGGCTGGTCTCGAACTCCTGACCTCAGGTGATTCACCTGCCTCGGTCTCCCAAGGTGTTGGGATTACAGGCGTGAGCCACCACACCTGGCCTACAGTAATTCTTTTTTTTTTTTTTTAATGTTTAGCTATTGCATTTAATATTACATTGTAAGCATTTCCACATAATTTTGGATTTTTTTTTAAACCTAATAGTTAATAGTCACAAAATAAACTATTGTAAGGTGTACCACAATTTATTTAAGTAATCCTTGATTGCTAGATATTTAAGTTGTTTTTATTGCTTCTTTATTTGCAGGGTTCCTATGCCAAGATTTCAAATGAGCAGGCGAAAGGCTTAAAGAATTGACTCTTGAGGCCGGGCCCGGTGGCTCACGCCTGTAATCCCAGCACTTTGGGAGGCCAAGGCGGGTGGATCACGAGGTCAGGAGATTGAGGCCATCCTGGCTAACATGGTGAAACCCCGTCTCTACTAAAAATACAAAAAATTAGCCAGGCCTGGTGGCGGGCACCAGTAGTCCCAGCTACTAGGGAGGCTGCAGCAGGAGAATGGCGTGAACCCGGGAGGTGGAGCTTGCAGCGAGCCGAGATGGCGCCACTGCACTCCAGCCCGGGAGACAGAGCAAGACTCCGTCTTAAAAAAAAAAAAAAAAAAAAAAATTTTGACTCTTGAAAGGAACTCTTGATGAGCGTCAGAGTTGGGCAAGTAAACTGAGGCATAAACTAATCTATTGAATACCTAGATATTATTATCAGTCGCATTATAGCCCTGCCCTTAAAACCAGGCTCTGACTTAGGCCTGGGGGCAGGAGAATCACAGAACAGTAGCAGTATTATATGTCACAGGTTTTCTTTTTTTAAATCTGTATTTGCATGAAGCAAAAATAACCCATCAAGTAATTCATTTCAGTAAAAATATGACTTTATTGTTTCAAGTCCTGCCATGCTACTAATGGATGCTAGAGGGCAGCAGAAGCCAGGAACTGGCAGGAAAAGCACTAGCTTCGATAGGCTAAAGAGGCTCTGCCACGTCTGGGGAACCATCTGTTCAGGGCAGAGACAGAAGTTTGGGTTCAAGGAATCTGCAATAAAGGTTCTATTCAGTAACTTGAGAGGCCAACAAAATAGAGGAGTAACAAGATTGCTAAAAAGGGCTAGGTGCTTAACAGGCACTTACCTTAAACCTTTTGGAGGATTGAAACAGACAAAGGAAGACTTGGAAGCATCACCAACTTAATAAGCCAAAAGCCATGGGTTACCAGGTTATCCATTTGAAGGAAAGGATAGAATTAAGCTGTAGTAAAGTTTGAAGCACACATATTAGGGAAGCACGATGTCTGTACAAGAACTGGGGTTGTCAGAGAGTCATGACAACATGGCTCTGACATCCTCTGAATACACGCTCCATTGAAAGGACCACTTGTCAGGGTAAGAAGTGGGTAGGGCGTGAGGAAGTGGGTAGCGCGTGGGGAAGTGGGTAGGGCGTGAGGAAGTGGGTAGCTCGTAAGCTATGGGAAGAGGCAACATTTTGGTAAAACAGTTTCTGACTTCTGATGGTAGAAAGGACACTAGTTAGGAGTCCTGAGAACTGGATTCTAGGTCTATCTACCAATTACTTATATGACCTTCAGCAAGTCACTCCCACTTACTTGGGATTCTGGTTTCTCACGGACAAATTAGGTAGTTGAAGACTGGATGAATTCTTAAATGTCTAAGATGTCTGAAATTCCAGGGCTGGATTGATTGGTTTGATCTATTTAATCAAAACTATAACCCAGTAACACTGTGCAGACAGAGTGAGATAACAGCCTACCGTCATTACTTCCTTTGTCTCTACAAATTGTCCTAATGCAGCTAGGCTAACAGCGTTGCGATCCCACCATTTAGTTTTACACATGTGAAGAGCAGAAGGGAGAGTATTTGACGTTTCATATTGTGTATTAACGTAAGAGGAAAAAGAAGGAGCACGATTTCCCAGGATTCTTTGATCCTGTTTTAAATAGACTAGTATATATCTGTAAAATCTTCAGAGGATTTGTAAGATAATATAAAAAGACTCATTATTGCAGTTTAAACTTTTTGGTTGCTGATCCTTGGGTCATGGAGGTAGGAAGAATTTAAAGGATCTAAGGGATAGTTTAGATTTCTGTAACCAAAGCTTGTATTTTTGAATTTTAAAGTAGTAGATAATGATAAGCACATTGGCAAAATGTTCATTATTTCCTTTTCTCTAACTATCACTGTATGATTACAAATAACTTTTTTTGTTTTTGTTTTCAAATTTCTTTTAAATTTATTTATAAACCTATTTCAAGGCCGGGCGTGGTGGCTCAAGCCTGTAATCCCAGCACTTTGGGAGGCCGAGGTGCGCGGATCACGAGGTCAGGAGATCGAGACCATCCTGGCTAACATGGTGAAACCCCACCTTTACTAAAAATACAAAAAACAATTAGCCGGGCGTGATGGCGGGCGCCTGTAGTCCCAGCTACTCGGGAGGCTGAGGCAGGAGAATGGCGTGAACCCGGGAGGCGGAGCTTGCAGTGAGCCGAGATCATGCCACTGCACTCCAGCCTGGGCGACAGAGCGAGACTCTGTCTCAAAAAAAAAAAAAAAAAAAACCTATTTCAAAGTGAAAGTTATTGCTATTTGAATTTTATACCTTTATGTAAAAATTTAATAAGTAGATAAATTGGAAGAGGCTGTTTATGGTTATTAGACTACAAACTTTTTTTTGATAAACTACTTTCTTATGAATAGACATGGAGAAATGTAAAATACAGACATTTAAAAATATCAAACAACTTTAAAACTGCTTGGAAGTAAAATCTGATCTGATTTTTCATTTAATTTTATGCAAAAAATTAAAAAATGTGATTTAAAGTGATGCACAGTCAAACTGATTTTTAAAGCTAGACAATATCATAGACATCATCTAGTGCAAGTGGTCCTTGATCTTTTTACTGCCAAGTGCCCTTTTAATTGTTTTTGTCTCTAGTGATTCAACATTTTGAAATATTTTGGCTATTTTTTTCACCAAAAGCATTTCTTAAATTATAATTAGGTTTTTCATCTTAAATTAGTCTGAAACACATATAACTGCTTATCTTTTTAGCGTGGGTTTAGCAATAACACCATCCTGAGATGATGAATTCCAACCAAATTTAAAAAATCCTAGCATTTAGTGCAGATTCACTGTGAAAAAATGTGTTAATTATATTATAGTTTGGAAAAATTGAAAATAGGGCCTGGACTCCTGTGGACTCTGGGAAACTATTTCTTTTCCCTCAATTTGCCAATGAATAGCTTAATCACTTGTTTAATGTCACACTGATTCAAGTCCAATGTTCTATCTGCAATTCTGAGTATTCTTTCTTCTTTAGGATTAATCATTACAGCTGATGGTAATGACTGAAGTTAAGTTCATACTTCTCTCAAGAGGAGAATCTAGAAATTTGGGTTGGTTGGTTTTTTAGTTTGTTTTTTCTTAGATGACACTTAAACTGAAAATAATCTAAGTTTAGGAGACATTTCAGGTACCAGATTCACAGAACTAAATTCTGTATATTTCCTGGAAAATAGGTATGATAATCTGTCTTACTGTTGTTTTCTTTCTGGAATCCTTCAAGAATAAGAAACAAGAGGTTATTTTGTTTTAGCAGTGTGCCTGTGTGACTGTTATTTCATCACTTAAACTTTACTAGATGCTAATTTACTTGCAAAATAGAAAATCATTAATTTCCAATTCTGTAGGAGTCAAATAGCAACATTGTGTGTGTGTGTGTGTGTGTGTGTGTGTGTTTGCTGATTACAGTCACAGTTCTCCCTGCCCAAGCCCATAAACATGTTACACATGTATAACATTTTTAGAGTTGAGGGAGGAAACCCATTTTGAGTACTCCTGAAATACCCAAGTATACGTTACCTACTTCTCCTACTCACAGAGACAACTCTGATTCTTCTTCTCTTCCTGCGTATACACAGCCAAAACTATCTCTTGCCACCTCTGCTATCCTGCCGTGATTCCTGGAAGGTCTGTAGCAATATATATATATATATATATATTTTTTAATTTTAAGAGATGGGGTCTTGCTCAGTTGTTCAGGCTTGAGGGCAGTGGCAGTGGCTATTCACAAGCATGATCATTGCACACTACGGCCTCCAACTCCTGGGCTCAAGTCATCCTCCTGGTTCAGGGTCTTCAGGTGTGTGCCATAGAACCTGGCTCAAATAAGGTTCTGGTTTTTTTTTTTTTTTTTTTTTTTTTCAGATCAAAATGTATGAACATGTCATCTTGGAGGGTTAACACAATGATTTATTATCAGCATAACCAAGTTCATATGAGTTATTCTAACTGAGTTAACTAGCAGAGAGTAGGGATTAGAAGTAAGAAAGAAAATTTGGAGGAGTGGTTAGATGAAGGATGATGGAACTCAGAATACCCAAGGGACAAGGTATGCCAATGACAGTTATTATGAATGTACCAGGAGCTTGAAGTTGAAATTAAAGAAAGATGAGGCTGGTGGAGGGATGATAGAATGATAGAGAAAGAAATGTTTTCTTATTCATAATTTTGTATGCAGAATTTGTATTCTAAGAAAAGCCAAGTCTTTACCAATGTTATTTGAAAGGGCTTTGGCTGGCCACGGTGGCTCACGCCTGTAATTCCAGCATTTTGGGAGGCTAAGGTGGGTGGATCACCTGAGGTCAGGAGTTTGAGACCAGCCTGGCCAACATGGTAAAACCCCATCTCCATTAAAAAAAAAAAAGGCTGGGCATAGTGGCTCACACCTGTAATCCCAGCACTTTGGGAAGCTGAGGTGGGAGGATCACCTGAGGTCAGGAGTTCAAGACCAGCTTGGCCAACATGGTGAAACCCCATCTCTACTAAAAATACAAAAATTAGCCAGGCCATCAGAGAAATGCAAATCAAAACCACAATGAGATACCATCTCACACCAGTTAGAATGGCAATCATTAAAAAGTAAGGAAACAACAGGTGCTGGAGAGGATGTGGAGAAATAGGAACACTTTTACACTGTTGGTGGGACTGTAAACTAGTTCAACCATTGTGGAAGTCAGTGTGGCGACTCCTCAGGGATCTAGAACTAGAAATACCATTTGACCCAGCCATCCCATTACTGGGTATATACCCAAGGGACTATAAATCATGCTGCTATAAAGACACATGCACACGTATGTTTATTGCGGCACTATTCACAATAGCAAAGACTTGGAACCAAACCAAATGTCCAACAATGATAGACTGGATTAAGAAAATGTGGCACATATACACCATGGAATTCTATGCAGCCATAAAAAATGATGAGTTCATGTCCTTTGTAGGGACATGGATGAAATTGGAAATCATCATTCTCAGTAAACTATCACAAGAACAAAAAACCAAACACCGCATATTCTCACTCCTAGGTGGGAATTGAACAATGAGAACACATGGACACAGGAAGGGGAACATCACACTCTGGGGACTGTTGTGGGGTGGGGGGAGGGGGGAGGGATAGCACTGGGAGATATACTTAATGCTAGATGATGAGTTAGTGGGTGCAGCACACCAGCATGGTACATGTATACATATGTAACTAACCTGCACATTGTGCACATGTACCCTAAAACTTAAAGTATAATAATAATAATAAAAAAAAAGAAAAAAAATTTGCCAGGCATGGTGGCAGGCTCCTGTAATCCCAGCTACTTGGGAGGCTGAGGCAGGAGAATCGCTTGAACCCAGGAGTTGGAGGTTGCAGTGAGTGAGCTGAGATCGTGCCACTGCACTCCAGCCTGGGCAACAAGAGTGAAACTCCATCTAAAAAAAAAAAAAAAACAAAAAAAAAAAAAAAAGAAGGGGCCTTATTTTGGCTGGGTTCATGCCTGTAATCCCGCAACTTTATGAGGCTGAGGCAGGAGAATCACTTGAGCCTAGGAGTTTGAGTCCAGCCTGGGCAACATGGTGAAACCTCATCTCTACAAAAAATACAAAAATTAGCTGGGCGTGGTGGTGCATACCTGTAGTCCCAGCTACTTGGGAGGCTGAGGTGGGAGGAGCACTTGAGCCCAGGGTGGTGGAGGCTGCGGTGAGCTGTGATCACACCACTGCACTCCAGCCTGGGTGTCAAAGTGGGACCCTGTGTCAAAGAAAAAAAAAAAAAGAAAAAAAAGAAAGTGTCATATTTTTATACCTGCTTCCAGCACTGACTTAGCAGTGGAATCATCTCTGTTAGACTTTGCTTTTAATATTGCAATCATCACTAGAATAAAATGAAATTTCAATTTTATGTTTTTTAATGATAAACAATTAAAAATACTTCAATAGTCCATGAAATATTCATTGTATTTTAAGTTTGCATCCAGAGAATATTTAGAGATCACCTTTTAAAACAACATCAAATAATTTTGACTAGAAAACACTTAGACCTCTTTAGGAAAGAGAGCATTGTAGGGTTTTATAGAATTGTGCAGCTCATACTTGCATAGTTGGTCAGTGGCAAAGTCTGGCCCAAAAGCAAATTACCTGTTCCCCCTGAGATGCTCATTTCTTAAGTATGAGGTTCCTGAGGAACTGAAAATAAACGAAAGTTGAAAATGTTTTAATAGATGAATGCACAGCTGAATTCTACTAGACATGTAAAGAATAGCTGATACCATTCCTGCTGATACTATTCCCAAAAAATCGAGGAGGAAGGACTCCTTCCTAACTCATTACATAGGTCAGCATAATTCTAATACAAAACCTGGCAGAGACACAAAGAAAAAAATTTCAAGCCAATATCCCTGATGAGCATAGATACAAAAGTCCTCAACAGAATACTAGCAAACTGAATCCAGCAGTACATCAAAAAAGCTAGTCTGCTATGATCAAGTAGGCTTTATTCCTGAGATGCAAGTCTGGTTCAGCATACACAAATCATTAAATCTGATTTATGACATAAACAGAACAACAAACAAAAATCACATAATCATCTCAATAGATTCAGAAAAAGGCTTTTGATAAAATTCAACATCCTTTCATGTTAAAAACCCTCAACAAACTAGGCACTGAAGAAATATACCTTAAAATAAAAGCCATTTATGACAAGCCCACAGCCAATGTCCTACTGAATAGGCAAAAGTTGGAAGCATTTCCCTTGAGAACCAGAACAAGACAAGATTGCCTACTCTCACCACTTCTATTCAACATAGTACTGGAGGTCCTAGCCAGAGCAATCAGGCAAGAGAGATAAATAAAAGGAACCCAGATGGGAAGAGAGGAAATCAAACTATCTCTCTTCACAGATGAGTTAAGTCTATAGCTGGAAAAACCTCATATTCTCTACCCGAAGGATCCTAGATCTGATAAACAACTTCAGTACAGTTTCAGGATACAAAATCAATGTACAAAAACAGTAGCTTTCCTTTAAAATTTTTTTTTTCACAACTTTTAAGTTCAGGAATACATGTGCAGGATGTGCAGGTTTGTTACATAGGTAAACACGTGCCATGGTGGTTTGCTGCACTGATCGTCCCATCACATAGGTAATAAGTCTAGCATCCATTAGCTATTCTTCTTGATGCTCTCCCTCCACCAAGCCCCCATCTTCCAACAGGCCCCAGTGTGTGTCGTTCCCCTACAAGTGTTCTCATCATTGAGCCCCCACTTATGAGTGAGAACATGTGGTATTTGGTTTTCTGTTCCTGCGTTAATTTGCTGAGGATAATGGCTTGCAGCTCCATCCATGTCCCTACAAAGGACATGACCTCATTCTTTTTATGGCTGCATAGTATTCCTGGTTGTATATGTGATATGGCTCCAATGACTGGAGGAACACCAGGATCCTTGGTCTTGTGCCAATTTAAATAAAATGACACGGACACAAGTGGAGTGGTTTTAAGGTATGGAGAGTTTAATAGGCAAGAAAGAAGGAAGAAGCTCCCCACTACAGAGACAGAGGGAGAGGTCTCCAAGCCAAGAGAGGAAACCCTGAGGGGGTGGGGTGGAAACAGCCAGTTATATGAGGAGGCTAGAGGAGGTGGTGTCTGATATTTGCATAGGGCCCAGGGGATTCGTTTGACCAGGTATGTCATTCAAGTAGCCCACAAAAAAACTGGCTCTCCCACCCTAGACTTTTAATATGCAAATGCAGGGCACCATGATGTCCTACACATGCAGGGATATGTGGGGGCAGCCATGTTGCTAGGCACATGTGGGGACAAGAAGAGGACTTTGGGAATCGCCATGTTTGGGTGGACCCAGTTCTAATGGCTAGCATTTGCATATTGAAGTTTGCCAGCCTGGCTCTTAGAGCCAGGGCTTTTCTGCTAGACAAGAAATGTTTCTGGAGCTGCTTTAAAAAAAGAAAAAACCTTCCCAAGGACCCCTTTTCCTCTCTATCTGCTAAAATAATTTCTTAATAACTCCTATAACATATGCACCACATTTTCTTTATCCAGTATATCATTGATGGGCAGGTAGGTTGATTCCATGTCTTTGCTATTGTAAGTAGTGCTGCAATGAACATACATGTGCATACATCTTTATAATGGAATAATTTATATTTCTTTGGGTATATGCCCAGCAATGAGATTGCTGGGTGAAATGATATTTCTTCCTCTAGGTCCTTGAGGAATTGACACACTGTCTTCCACTATGGTTGAACTAATTTATACTCCCACCAACAGCATAAAAGTGTTCCTTTTTTCTTCACAACCTCATCAACATCTGCTGCTTTTTGACTTTTTAAGAATAGCCATTCTAATTGGTATGAAACGGTATCTCATTATGGTTTTGATTTGTATTTCTCTAATGATCGGTGATGTTGAGCTTTTTTCATATATTTGCGGTCGCATGTATGTGTTCTTTTGAGAAGTGTCTGTTGATGTCCTTTGCTCACTTTTTAATGGGGTTTTTTTAATGAATTTAAGTTTCTTGTAGATTCTGGATATTAGACCTTTGTCAGATGCATAGTTTGCAAATATGTTCTCTAATTCTGTAGGTTTTCTGTTCATTCTGATGATAGTTTCTTTTGCTGTGCAGAAGCTCTTTAATCAGATCCCGTTTGTCAATTTTGGCTTTTGTTGCAATTGCTTTTGGCATCTTCATCATGAAATCTTTGCCAGTGTAGATTTTCTTCTATGGTTTTTGTAGTTTTAGGTTTTACATTTGAGTCTTCAATCCATCTTGAGATTTTTATATACGGCGTAAGGAAGTGGTCCAATTTCAATTTTCTGCATATGCCTAGCGAGTTCTCCCAGCACCATTTATTAAATAGGGCATCCTTTCCCCATTGCTTGTTTTTGTCAGGTTTGTTGAAGACCAGATGGTTGTAGGTGTGCAGTTTTATTTCTGGGTTCTCTATTTTGTTCCATTGGTCTACGTGTCTGTTCTTGTATCAATACCATGCTGTTTTGGTTACTGTAGGCTTGTGCTTGGTACCATGTTAGTTACTGGGAATGTTGTAATGAATATATTTGAAGTGAACTCTGCCCAGCTGGAGCAGCAAGGGCAAGAGAGTAAAATGATAAGTGATTTGAAGGAGATGAAGAGTGTAAGGATAAAGAATGTTGCTTCTTACCTTGGGTGAATGAGTTGAGAATACTTAGAGAGGGTAGCCAGGAAAGATGTCTGAGCTAATATCATTTAGACTGAAACCATTGCGAACAGAGTTGACCCCCTGGACCTCAGGGTTCAGTATGGGTAGCACTATCACAGGTGATGTGCCTGTCAATGACCTTTCTTCGTCTCTAGGACTTCTGAGTTTGAGTAATACAATGTGGTCTTATTTTCTTTTCCTTTATGAAGGCATTTGGCTTTTATCTTTGTTTTCTGAGACAGCTGTTTCATTTTATTGATAGATGTTATGTCATCCTATAGCAAGCCAGTGCCTATTTCATCTTATGAGGATTGCTTTCTTCTACACATTTTTTAAAACTTTTTATGTTTCTTATTTTTATTTTTTATTATACTTTAAGTTCTAGGGTACGTGTGCACAACGTGCTGGCTCATTACATAGGTATACATGTGCCATGCTGGCCTGCTGCACCCATCAACCTGTCATTTACATTAGGTATTTCTCCCAGTGCTATCCCTCCTTCTACCTCCCACCCCACAACAGGCCCTGGTGTGATTTTCATTTCAACCTGTGTCTTTTTATATAAATGATGAGCTCTTTAAAAATAAGGATATTTGTTGGTGCAGATCAGAGAGGAGCTGCAATCCACAAGTTAGAGTGGGATTGTTCCATTTTGCAGGTTTGTTTTCCTATATCTCAATGACTAGTTTCTCATAAACAATTGAATATTGCCTAAAAAGTAATTTAGAAGGTCATTTATGTAATATTTAATTCCTTCACTGTCACAGAATTTCAACTCTTTCAACGTATGATATTTATTTTTCTATCCATGAGCATGGGACTGTTTTTCTATTTGTTTGTGTCCTCTCTAACTTTTTTGAGCAGTGGTTTGTAGTTCTCGTTGAAGAAGTCTTTCATTTCCCTTGTTAGCTGTATTCCTAGGAATTTTATTCTTTCTGTGGCAATTGTGAATGGGTGTTCATTCATGATTTGACTCTCTGCTTCCCTATTGTTGGTGTATAGGAATGCTTGTAACTTTTTGCACATTGATTTTGTATCCTGAGACTTTCCTGAAGTTGCTTATCAGCTTAAGAAGCTTTTGGCTGAGACGATGGAGTTTTCTAGATATAGGATTATGTCATCTGCAAAAAAAGATAGTTTGACTTCTTCCCTTCATATTTAAATAAACTATTTCTTTCTCTTGACTGATTGCCCTGGCCAGAACTTCCAATACTACGTTGAATAGGAGTGGTGAAAGAGGGCATCTTTGTCTTGTGCCAGTTTTCAAGGGGAATGCTTCCACCTTTTCCCCATTCAGGATGATATTGACTGTGGGTTTGTCATACATGGCTCTTATTATTTTGAGGTATGTTTCTTCAATACCTAGTTTATTGAGAGTTTTCAACATGAAGGGATGTTGAATTGTATCAAAGGTTTTTTCTGCATCTATTGAGATAATTATGTGGTTTTTGGCTTTAGTTCCATTTATGTATGACCCACATTTATTGATTTGTGTATGTTAAACCAAGCTTGCATCCAGGGGATGAAGCCTACTTGATCATGGTGGATAAGCTTTTTGATGTACTGCTAGATTTGGTTTGCCAGCATTTTATTGAGGACTTTTGCATCGATGTTCATCAAGATATTGGCCTGAAGTTTTCTTTTTTTGTTGTAGCTCTGCCAGATTTTGGCATCAGGATGATGCTGGCCTCATACAATGAGTTAGCGAGGAGTCCCTCCTTTTCAATTTTTGGGGAATAGTTTCAGTAGAAATGGTACCAGCTCTTCTTTGTATCTCTGGTAGAATTTAACTGTAAATTCATCTGGTTCTGGACTTTATTTTTGGTTGGTAGGCTATTTATTACTGCCTCAATTTCAGAACTTGTTGTTGGTTCATTTAGGGATTGAATTTCTTCCTGGTTTGGGAGGGTGTATGTGTCCAGGAATTTATCAATTTCTTCTAGATTTTCTAATTTATGTGCATAGAGGTGTTTATAGTATTCTGTCATGGTTGTTTGATTTTTTATGGGGTCAGTAGTGATATCCCCCTTATCATTTCTTTTTTATTTTATTTTATTTTTGAGACAGAGTTTTGTGCTTGTGGCCCAGACTGGAGTGCAATGGTGTGATCCCGGCTCACAGCAACTTCTTCCTCCCAGGTTCAAGAGATTCTCCTGCCTCAGCCTCCAAAGTAGCTGGAACTGTAGGCATGTGCCACCACGCCCAGCTAATTTTTTGTATTTTTAGGAGAGACGGGGTTTCACCATGTTGGCCAGGCTGTTCTCAAACTCTTCCCCTCAGGTGATCTGCCCACCTTGGCCTCCCAAAGTGCTGGGATTACAGGCATGAGCCACCTCGCCCAGTCCCCCTTATCATTTCTGATTGTGTTTATTTGAATTTTCTCTCTATTTTTTTTAAGTTAGTGTAGCTCATGATCTATCTATTTTATTATTTTTTTCAGAAAACCAGCTCCTGTGTTTGTTGACTTTTTAAAGGGGTTTTCATGCCTCTGTCTTCTTCAGTTCAGCTCTGATCTTGGTTGTTTCTTGTCTCTGCTAGCTTTGGGGTTTGTTTGCTCTTGGTTCTCTAGCTCTTTTTGTTGTGGTGTTAGGTTGCTAACTTGAGATCTTTCTAGCTTTTTTAATGTGGGTATTTAGCGCTATAAGTTTCCCTCTTAATACTGCTATAGCTGCATCCCAGAGAGTCTGGTACATTGTATCTTTGTTCTCATCAGTTTCAAAGAACTTCTTGATTTTTGCTTTAATTTCATTATTTACCAAGAGATATTCAGGAGCAGGTTGTTTAGTTTTCATGTAATTGTATGGTTTTGAGTGAATTTCTTAATCTTGAATTCTAATTTGATTTCACTGTGGTCTGAGAGACTGTTATGATTTCAGCTCTTTTGCATTTGCTGAGGAGTGTTTTTACTTTCAATTATGTGGTCAATTTTAGAGTAAGTGCTATGTGGTGATGAGAAGAATGTATATTCTGTTGTTTTGGGATGGACAGTTCTGCAGACATCTATCAAGTCCACTTGATCCAGAGCTGAGTTCAGGTCCTGAGTAGCATTTCTATATACCAATAATGCCCAAGCTGAGAACCAAATCAGGAATGCAATCCTAGTCACAATAGGTACAAAAGAGTGACATACTTAGGAATATAGCTAACCAAGGAGGTGAAAGATTTCTACATGGAGAACTACAAGACACTGCTGAAAGAAATCATAGGTGACATAAATGGAAAAGCATTTCATGCTCATGGATTGGAAGAATCAGTATCATTAAAATGACTATACTGCCCAAGCAATTTACAGATTCAGTGCTATTCCTACCAAACTACCAACAACATTTCTTCAGAGAAGTAGAAAAAACTATTCCAAAATTCATATGGAACCAAAAAAAAAAAAAAAAAAAAAAAAGCCCAAGTCCCCAAAGCAATCCTAAGCAAAAGCAACAAAGCCAGAGGCATCACATTATTCAACTTCAAACTATACTACAAGGCTGCAGTAACCAAAACAGCATGGTACTGGTATAAAAACAGACACATAGACCATAATGGAACAGATTAGATAACCCAGAAATAAAGCTGCACACCTACAACCACCTGATCTTCAACAATGTTGACAAAAACAAGCAATGGGGAAAGGACTTATAATTCAATAAATGATGCTGGGATAACTGACTAGTCATATGAAGACAACTGAAACTGGACCCCTTCCTTTCACCATATACAAAAATCAACTGAAGGTAGATTAAATACTTAATTGTAACACCTAAAACTATTAAAAACTCCAGAAGAAAACATAGGAAATACCATTCTGGACATTGGCCCTCTCAAAGATTTCATGACAAAGACTCCAGAAGAAATTGCAATAAAAACAAAAATTGACAAATGGGATCTAATTTAAAAAATTGCTTCTACACAGCAAAAGAAACTATTAACAGTGTAAACAAACAACCCACAGGATGGAAAAAATGTTTGCAGACTATGCATCCAACAAAGGTCTAATATTCAGAATCTATAAAGAACTTGAGCAAATTAACAAGCAAAAAAGAAGCAACCTCTTTAAAAAGTAGCCAAAGGACATGAAGAGACACTTCTTAAAAGAAGACATACAATTGTCCAACAAACATATGAAAAAATGCTCAACATCATTAATCATTAGAGAAATGCCAATTGAAACTACAATGTGATACCATCTCACACCAGTCAGAATGGCCATTATTAAAAAGTCAAAATATTGAGCTTGTCTTGAAGGTAAAAAAAATGTCAAAACAACTGATACTGGTGAGACTGCAGAGAAAAGGAAATAGTTATGCACTGCCGATGGGAATGTAAATTAGTTCAGCCACCATGGAAAGCAGTTTGGAGATTTCTCAAAGAACTTAAAACAGAACTATCATTTGACCCAGCAATCCCATTACTGAGTATATACCCAAAGGAATATAAATCATTCTACCATAAGGTAGAATGTTCATTGCCACACTATTCACAATAGCAAAGACACGGAATCAAGCTAGATGCCTATCAAGAGTGAACTGGATAAGAAAAATGTGGTACACGTATACCATGGAATACTACACAGCCATAAAAAAGAATGAAATCATGTCCTTTGCTGCAACATGGATGCAGTTGGAGGCCATATTCCTAAGCAAATTAATGCAAGAACAGAAAAATATTGCATGTTCTCTCTTTAAGTGAATGCTAAACATTGAGTGCCTGTGAACACAAAGAAGGGAACAATAGACACCAGGGACTACTTGAGGGTAGAGGGTGGAGGGTGGGAGGAGGGTGAGGGTCAAAAAACTACCTATTGGATACTATGCTCATTACTTGGATGATGAAATAATCTGTATACCAAACACCTGTGACACACAATTTACCCAGGTAACAAACCTGCACGTGTACCTCCTGAACCTAAAACAAAAGTTGAAAAAGAAGTTTTAGTTTTTCTGATTAATAATAATAGAAGCCCAATTTTTTTTTTTGTTCAAAGTCTTGTCATGAGCCAGGCATGTGCATACATCATCTGCAACCTTCACAAGCATCCTATAATGTGAAGATTACTAACACTTAGAAGTCTAATAGCATAGAGGTGAGGAATCAGTGTCTAGTACATATCTGGATTCAAATTCCACACTTGTCATTTAATAGCCGAGTGGGCACTGTTTCTTCATCTTTAAGATCTAGATATGGTGTGAAGTCAGGGGCTGGGGGAAAGGTGGGGTTGGGGAGATGTTGGTTAAAAGATATAAAATTTCAGTTAGATAGGAGGAAAAAGTTAGAGATACCTATTGTTTAACATGATGACTATAGTTAAGAGCAGTGTAATTGCTAAGAGAGTAGAGTTTAAATGTTTTCACCACAAAAAACCCTATGCATGTGAGGTAATACATATGCTAATTAGCTTAATTTAGTCATTCCACAATGTTTACATATTTTAAAACAGCATGTTGTACACAATAAGTATATACTATTTTTATTTGTTAATTTAAAAATCTGTACAAATAATGCTTATCTAATAGGGTTGCTGTGAGTGAGAAGGGAAAGAAAGCAGTGCCTGACAGCCAGGAGCTGGCCTGGCTCTATCATCTAGATCATGGCGTTCCTGGAAACTGGACAGACACTGGCAGCTAGGTTGCCATGTTTGCCTGCTGAGTGTAAATAAGCTCTTAGAACATCAACATCAGACAAGGCCACTCTGTGATTGTGGTGAGTGAAGACAAAAATGAGACCAGACCACTGTATAATTATGTCTGAACATAGACAAAAACAAGAGCTACAAAAATGACCAAGCATCCCCGTATCTTGGCTAGAATGAGTGACGATAACTGCTTTCCCAATTATAAATCTAGCCTTATTCTACTCTTCCTGCATTCTAGATAACAATTAATTTACCAATTATAGAATTACCCTCACTTTCTGACTGTTGTAAATCCAGAGCAAGGTTCCACTTTCATACTCTCCTTAAACCACCTAAACTGAAGCCTGAATCCCAGTCCTTTGTAACAACCACTTGCCGAGATGCCACATAGTTTTCAGATGTGTCATCTTTCTTGTTGTCACAAGTCAATAAACCCAACCTTGTTTAACTATAGGTGTGCTCCTGGTGGTCCTCATCTAGAGGACATGAACATGAGGAATCAATGAGTTAATTCATGTAAACCATCTAGAAGGGATCTGGTACCTAGGAAGTGCTCAATGAATACTATCTATATAGGGTTTTATATTTTTGTAGATGAAAATATGGAAACTTAGAGAGGATCCGCAGCTGGGAGGTGGTAGTGCTGACATTCCACTTCAGGTTCTATGCTCCAGAGCCCATGTTTTCACAACACCACACACTTCTTTGCTTTGAGTCA
This sequence comes from Homo sapiens, assembly GCF_000001405.40. Classification (NCBI taxonomy): domain Eukaryota; kingdom Metazoa; phylum Chordata; class Mammalia; order Primates; family Hominidae; genus Homo; species Homo sapiens. Next base: position 10,874,537 of record NC_000007.14, on the reverse strand, counting down.
TCTCTGTTCTTCTCCCATGTCTCTTGTCAGGAGGTGCCTTTATTGGCCCCTGGGATTCTGATTCTGTTTTGATCTATGTTTAAGTAAAAATGATTTCCCTTTAAATGGCATTAAAAATCAACCCTTAATCCTTTTCATTTATATAGAGGCTTGTTAGGTGAAAGACTTTCAAATTTTCTTTCTTTTACTACAACTTTAGCCTTTTGATCATGATTAAATTCTCTTTTATCCTTCAAGGTGTCATTGAGTGAAAAGGCTATAATAAAGAATGTTAGCTTAGATCTTTTGCAAGATAAGGTAGCTAAAAAACAAGAGTGGCAACAGTTCTATGCTAGCCCCAGGGTAGAAAAGTCGGAAGATAGGAGTCCAGGATTTGGCCTCATGTAAAACCATCCAGCCAACAGCTAAAGTGATAAGAGAATATTGGGGACCTCAAGGAAAGACAACATTAACATCCAAACCATTCTTGACCTCCAGAGCCAAAGGTAAAAGAGATATTGGTAATAAATTAGGCCATGATAGAAGTGCCTTTTGCATCCACTCACTTTTCAGTTCATCAGTCATGGGAATTTGTGTGTGTTCTGGGGCGGGTGGAGAGAGGTCTTCTACATATGTTTGCTTTAGACAAGAACTTCTAATTGAGTTCTTCCCAAACTGTGTTTCTGGGAGTGCTGGCATTCTAGGAGATATTAATATGTGTTCTGTGAAAGTTTGAAGGTCAAGTTTTGGAATTGTTCCAACTGTATCTACTTCTCATAGATTCACATAAGCATATTAGCAGCATGGTAAAAGCTCTGAACATGTAGTGAAATACCTGTTTAACCTTGTAAGTCAGGTATTTTTCAAATTTACTTGAGTTTAATAATTTTTTCTTAAATGATATCATTATTACTTTTATAGCTAATGCTTTTGGTTACCACACACTAGACATTTTTCTAAGCACTTGATATGTATTCACTCACTGTCAAAACAGTTTTAGTATGGCTAAAGAGACTGAGGCATGGAATAGGTGACCTATTCATAGTAGCATAGCTAGTACATCAGCACAGAATATTTCTTTAACCACTAACATCTTGGGAGACAAAGTAGAGGGTACTCTTTTGACTTAGAGAGTTAACAAAGAGAAGTAAACTAGATTTATTCAGGTATTCTGTGAACATTTGTTGAGAGACTAATTTGAACAAATGCTATTCAAAGTGCTGGAAATGCAGCATTTAGTAAGACAGACAAGATCTCAATTCTTAGGGAGCTTACGTTGCTATGTGGGGATAGACAATAACAAATAAACACATAAATGAACCAAAACCAGGCAGTGACAGATACTATGATAAAAACAAAACAATGATGTGACAGGATTTGGATTAAGGGTAGCTTAATTATTCTTGAAAATTAATTGCAGTGCCTTATCAAGTAACTTAATGTAACTCTAATTAGAGCAGACCAATCAGTTTAATCATTTCCTCTTATTACTAATCTTACCAATTCATTGATAAAGTATATTTTTCCCCATTGGAAAAGTCATCAGTTTGGCTTTTATATTGTCAGAGCAGTGTTTCCCAAAATGGGATCAATGAATTACTAGTTCCTGGGAATTTTAATAGTTGTGTGTGTCAAAATGACTTTCACATTTGTGTGTAGTCAAAGAAGTTAAATTTCTTTACTACACCAATTACACAGAGCCTTCAATATACCAATGTTTTTAGTATTTTTTTTTTTTTTTGAGAGGAATATAGTACGCAACATCCTAAACTTATTGGACCATGGGACTCTTTTTTGTTAAAGCTGCTCATAGGGGCAGTGTTCTGTGGAGTGCACTTTGGAATGCATTGCATTAGAGTATCTCTCTTTCTTTACTGCATGATACAATTATGGTGCTTGTGCATTCTGACAATTAGGTCACTTAAAAGAAGTTTTGGTCTTTTGCATTGATTTAGAATAATTCCTTATTAAATTTTCCTTTGCTGTTAGAACTATAAAAAGCCAGGTTTCAGACCTAAGAGAAATAATATTTCATAGAAAAGTACTATTCTTTAATATTCTGAAATCTTGTTAATTCTGTTTGCTGGCGTTTGGGTTAGAAGATTGGAATATAAACCAGATAATATAAGTTTTTCCCCTTAGTTCCTTGCTTTCTTATTGTAAATCAGTCTTTCTTGATATAAGCCTGTGTAACTCTTGGGTCTAGTGAGCACTATGTATTATGTGCTCTTTCTATATCAATAAGTAAAAGAAACTGTATATCTTTCTCTCTCTGTCATCACACATGAGCAGAACAAAAAGAGAAACAAAGTTTTCCTATTAAGATGGTTTGCCTGGATGTGCAGTAAAAAAATTAGCCTCTTGTCTACCCATATCTTCCAGTGTCCAAAGGCAAAAATTGTTTCCAGTTCATGTATTCTTCTAGAAATATTTTATATGTATGTATGTGTATATAACATATCATATACATGCGATATTTATACTCATATACATATATAAAACTCCTCTTTTTGAACACAAATGCATCATGTCCCTTACTTTATTCTACCCTCCAGTTTATTCACCTTTCAATTCATTTTGGGAATGTTTCCATACTAGTACATAGAGATTTACATCATTAACAGGAGGGAAGAAGAAACTGAAGCAGAGGATTCTTGTATAGATTGTTAAATTTATTTAACTATAGTCCACTGTATAGATTACTATAATTTTTTAAAATAGTCTCCATTTCATAGACAGTGATTTTTAAATTATTTTCTAAAACAAAATAATCCCTTAAACATTAATCTTGTAACTGCAGTGGATTTTACCTTGATATTATTATTTTTTTAACTTTATGTTTTTAAAATGGACTTTTTACAATTTCAAAAGGTTTTTCACTTGTTATTTTCTTTAGTGTAAAAAAAGAATAGTTTTCCAAAACATCAAAATTCCTAAACTTATGATAAAAGCAGTAGGCTTACAAAATTCTTACTGAAATTTTCTTTTTTAAGATTCTTCTTAATTTTTACCTTTATGATATTCTAAGTTTTCATATTCATTACATACTAATATTAACCTCATATTCCCAACCCCAAATTATGTCTTAAAAGCTTTTCAATTCTTCATTTTCTAATTTTAGATCCAAGACCTTTCTGCATAGATTATAGTTCTGAGGTACAATACCACTACATATTTGGTTGACTTCTTTCTACACAAACAAGTCATGAATAATATAAATGAGCTTAGATTAGATCAGATGTGATGAGGGTTGAAGAGTGATGGTTGATGCAAACAAGAGGGTGATTAGTATTGTTCTTGCTGCATGATGAATTACACTATATCATGCATTAAAACAATGGATTGTCCTTCAGGATCAAAGACTTTTTAGCAGACAATACAATGGGAAAGATATAGTCCTTTATCATGTAGCAAAAAGTGAAACTTGCAATAACAATGTTGAGACTTCTTTTCAAGTCTCAAAGAATACAATGGTGTCAGTGCTGATGAGAATGTACACACCTTGTCCTTGGTAACAGGCACAGTGTATTTTATCGTTCTTTTACTCTGCAGGACTGTTCTGTGATGATGTGTAAGCTCTTTTGATCTCTGAGTACTTAGAGTGGACCAGGAACTCTTCTACCCTTGGAGCTGTTAGTAGGATTCTAATGATTCTGTTTGATCTACCATGTTAAACACAAATGAAATAAATCAAGAGAAATACACATAGTGAGTATATCAAAGAGTTATTTCTACTTCTGGGCATAAGGCAGTTGCTAAGCAACCTATGTCAGACTTCATGGTCATCTGTTAGGAAGGACACAAAGTCAATGCTCACTCAAGACACATAAAATTGTAAATGAAAAAAACTATTTTGTTGGATTCAAGAAAAAGCTACTTGAATGAACGTATAGTAGTTGCAGGACATAAGGCATCTATTTGTATCCTGCTTGGGATAGAAATTAAATTGGCAAAAAAAATTCTATATTCAATCTAAGCAGGGTAGGAGGATAGAGAAAATAAAATTTTGCATGAATTGTCTTCCACATTCCAGGATCCACCTTCAGAATGTGAGATTGTCTGTGGGATGTAACAGCATTAATAGGCTATGCTGTGAACTTCCAACAATAGTAGCAACCACAGGGAACCTTTGGAATTTGGAGTTTTATGGGTAATAATATCACTTATCATCTTCTTTCACATATTTTTAATACCATATTTTAAGATACAAAGCCTGTAACTTAGAAGGATTTCCTTTTTTAAAATTAAAAGTATTTTTTTTAAGAGAGATGAGCTCTCATTATGTTGGCCAGGCTTGCCTCGAACTCCTGGGCTCAAGGGGTCCTCCTACCTCAGCTTCCTGAGTAGTTGCAACTACAGGTGTATACCGCAATGCCTGGCTGAAGAATTTATTTTTCAGCGTCTTGCTCTGTTACCCAGCCTTGAGCGCAGTGGTGAGATCATGGCTCACTGCAGCCTTGACTTCTGGGATCAATGGGTCCTCCTGCTTGAGCCTTCCAAGTAGCTGGGACTAGAGGTGCCACCATGCCTGGCTAATTTTTTAGATTTTTTTTTTTTTTTGGTATAGATAGGGGTCTTGCTATGTTGCCAAGGCTGGTCTTGAATTCCTGGGCTCAAGTGATCCTCCTGCCTTGTCCTCCCAGAGTACAGGCATGAGTCACCATGCTTGGCCCAAAGAGATTTTCTTTCAAGAAGAGAGACGTATAGGATAGGTTTCAGAATGATTTAGAATAATTATTTTAAGAAATTTACCCAAGGCACAATGTGTGAAGGAAATGATATTTTTTGGCTTTGCAGAACCTATATATTCAATATCTTAAAATGATCATTTTTCTTCTTTTTTTTTTCTAGATGAAGATTCTTCTTCTGATATTAGAATATTGCTTGGCTGATCAAAACATTTCTTTGTGCTTTTCATTGTCCATAGAGTAATGCTTAACTGCAAGGTTTATGTGGTTATCATTACTAGCCACTTGACTTTAGAGAAAGTTTTTTAATCTTTCTGAGCCTCAAGTCGCTCAAATGTAAAACAGGGCTATAAATAGTTATTACCTGAAATGAAATAATACTTATAAAATGCCTAATAGACAGTATGAGTTCATTTTATGATAATCGTTACTATGCTATGGTGTAGATTACTAGGGCATAGTACTCTAAATAGAATTAATGCATTTTATCTACTAAAGGCATAATAAACATTTTAAAATGTGAAAGTATATTAATTTATGGCTTCTATTGAGATTTAATGTTTTTGAGAAATTAGTCACTTTCAAGATTAGGATTTAAATCATTATTGTTATGTTGAAGTTTTAAAAATACTATGTCTACACTTGAAGTACAGATGGTAGCCTGTATTAGAGTTCTCCAGAGAAACAGAACTAACAGGATACAATGTATATGGAGATTTATTATAGGAATTGGCTGACATGATTACAGAGGGCAAGAAGTCCCACAATCTGCTGTCTGCAAGCTTGGAACTGGGAAAGCTAGAGGTGTAATTCAGCCTGAGTCCAAAGGCCTGAGAATTGGGAGAGCCCGTGGTGTAACTCCCAGCCTACATCTGAAGGCCTGAGAAGCGGGGGCAGGGCATCCAATGGTGTTAAGTCTTATCCTAGTCCAACGGCCTGAGAACCAGGATTGCCCATGTTCGAGGGCAGGATGGATATCCCAGCTCAAACAGGAAGCAAATTGCGCTTTCTTCACCTTTTAGTTCTATTCAGGCCCTCAGTAGATTGGATGATGCCCATCTGTAAAAGTGAGGGCAGTCTTTATCTGCTCTACCCATTCAAACTAATCTCTTCCAGAAATAATACTTTTTCAGCTATCAGGGCATCCTTGAGCCCAGTCAAGTTGATACATAAAATTAACCATCACCTAGCCCATTTCCTTTTTGTTTCTACAGCAAGTATAAAGTACCTAAAGTTTGTCAGTAAATGAATGTTTCTTTCCATAACATAATGATAATGTGTAGCATAAACATGACACAAAAACTCCACAACTTGCAGATCTGACCTCTCTCACAGACTTGACCTCTCTCTTCCCCTTGGTAGCAGAGCCTAGCCTTTTCACAATAAAAGGGGAAGAATTTCTGGGTTTAATTTTGGGAGCCTGTTAATGATCTGTTAACATTTTTCACAATGATGAGTTCAGTAGCACTATAAAGTCAGTTGGGAAGAACACTACAATGATGAAGTGAAAGCTGCAGAATCCATCCTTAGAGGGTTATAGCTTACCTTTGTGGGACTGGTTTGACCTAGGTGTACTCTCTGTGGCAGTGGAACAGTTGTTAATTTGTTCTGTAACAAATACCCACTATGTTCTCGGCACTATGGATGCCTACTATGTGCTTGGTACCATGTTAGTTACTGGGAATGTTGTAATGAATATATTTGAAGTGAACTCTGCCCTCCTGGAGCAGCAAAGGCAAGAAAGTAAAGTGATAAGTGCCTTGAAGGAAATGACAAGTGTGAGGATAAGGAATGTTGCTGCTGACTTGGGTGAATGAGTAGAGAACACTTAGAGAGAGTGGCCAGGAAAGATGTCCGAACAGATATCATTTAGACTGAAACCATTGCGAACAGGGTTGACCCCCTGGACTTCAGCGTTCAGTATAGGTACCACTATCAGAGCTGATGTGCCTGTCAATGACATTTCTTTGTCTCCAGGACTTCTGAGTTTGAATAATACAGAATGGTCTTATTTTCTTTTCCTTTATGAAGGCATTTGGCTTTTATCTTTGTTTTCTGAGACAGCTGTTTCATTTTATTGATAGATGTTATGTCACCATATAGCAAGCCAGTGCTTATTTCATCTTATGAGGATTGTTTTCTTCTACACATTTTCATTTCAACCAGTGTCTTTTTATATAAACGATGAGCTCTTTAAAGATAAAGTTATTTGTTGGTGCAGATCAGGGAGGAGTGGTAACCCACAAGTTAGACTGGGATTGTTCCATTTTGCAGGTTTGTTTTCCTATATCTCAATGACTAGTTTCTCATGAACAATTAAATATTGTTTAAAAAGTAATTTAGAAGGTCATTTATGTAGTACTAATTACTCCATTGTATAATTTCAACTCTTTTAAATTATTATGTTATATATATTTAGTGACAAAACTCTGCTTTAACACCAATAATAAAAGCATCCTTGCATTGGCAGGAGTGGTGTTTTCAATTTGGTTACCTTTCAAAACACCCATGAGTTGTAACAGTAGGAGTGTATTAATCTACACAATTTAAATGTGAATAGACTAGCAATCATATTTGTATACTTATATGATTAAAGCCTAAAGTGCACAATTTCTGTTTTAATATAAATTAGTGTCTACCTGTCTGTTTGGATGATTGGGAGTTTTCAAAATTCATAATTAGCATCTAACGATTGCTAGAAAGGTATTATAAGAAAAGAGGGCAAACAATATGAAACTTCAAACAGAATGCTATATTATAATAACATCTGTAACCCATGTTTTATCTGGATTCTATAAAATTCACTATAGGTGAGCTACTTCTAAATCTTACCCAGGAGATTGTCTTACCTAGAAGATCCTTACCTAGGATGTGAATCAGTTGTTTACATAAAATAATTGGTTAGAATTTATTTTTCCTAAGGATTTTTTATTGCTCAGCTTTAATTAAAAAAACAATGGAAAACTAAGCTGTTTTACAATAAATTTTTCTTTTCTTTCTTTCTTTCTTTTTTTTTTTTTTTTTTGAGACATAGTCTTGCTCTGCCACCCAGGCTGGTGTACAGTGATGTGATCTTGGCTCACTGCAACCTCCGATTCCCGGGTTCAAGCGATTTTCCTGCCTCAACCTCCTGGGTAGCTGGAATTACAGGTGTGAGACACCATGTCCGGCTAATTTTTATATTTTCAGTAGAGATGGGGGTTTCACCATGTTGGCCAGGCCGGTCTCGAACTCCTGACCTCAAGTGATCCACCTGCCTCAGCCTCCCAAAGTGCTAGGATTACAGGTGTGAGACACCATGCCCGGCCCTTTATTTGTAAAGATTAGAAATAACCAAAATTATAAAACATAAAATAAGGATTTCAACTATACTGATTAAATAACCATTTTCCAGCCTATATATATATTTTAATAAATAAATTTTCAGACTATCTGTATTTTTTCTAAGGCATACATATGCTGTATATTATCTCCATAAATATCCATGAATCCTTTTTTAGATTCTCTTTTCTTATATATATACCTGCAAGTATACTAACTCCAAATCATTTGGGAACAAACATGAAAATAATTTAATTTGTAGAATGGTGTTTTGAAGAATATTTAAAAACACTTCAGGGATTTTTTGTGTGTGTGTGGCTCAACTGGCATTTTGGCTGTGGTTATGAAAACTTGAATTTACACCTTTGCAGCAACATAGATGTAATTGGAGGCCAATTAAGCAAATTAATGCAGAAACAGAAAACCAAATACCTCATGTTCTCACTTAAAAGTGGGAGCTAAACACTGAATACTCATGACCATTAATATGGGAACACTAGACACTGGAGAGTACTAGAAGCAGGAGGGAAGGAGGGAAGAAAGAGTTGAAAAACTACCTATTTGGTGCTATGCTCACTACCTGGGTGATGGGATCATTTGTATCCCAAACCTCAGCATCACTTAATATACCCATGTAACAAGCCTGCACATGCTCCCCATGAATCCAAAATGAAAGTTGAAATTATTAAAAAAAAGACTTGGACTTATAGCAAAAATTTAATTACATTTGATTAAAAGGCTGTGTTTACCTTTGACTGACTGATAGGATCACAAAATACTAATGTATTCAACTTGACATTCTTAGTGATTCAAATCAATTACTCTATATTTTTTTCTAGTCATCTCATTAATGGCTTTGCTGAGGTACCCCCCCATTTTCTGAGAATAGACCTAGCTTTATTCCGATGACTCACTCTGCCTCTGCTTAATGAATTCATTAAAAACCAAAAATACTGCTATCTTTTAAAGGATGGTTAGACAGAGGATGAAGGTGCCCCTGTTGTGGCTCAGCCCCCGCTCCTTTGCAGGGGTACATCAGTTCTCTGTAAATGTAATATATTGAATGGGTGCATGGGAGAAGATCTGGCCTGGATAACAGCTCTCTTTTTATCATAATTCTTCTGGGTCTGAACTTTGGAGCACTGGTCTATAAAATCAGGCTTTATGTCTAAAGAGGAGAAAACATAAAGAATATTTGCTTTCCCCTCGATTCTCCTCAGTTGCAAACTCATTAAAAATACTGGGCTGGGCATGGTGTAACCCCAGCACTTTGGGAAGCTGAGGCTGGAGGATCCCTTGAGTTCAGGAGTTCAAGATCAGCCTGGGCAACATAGTGAGACCCCTGTCTATAAAAAATACAGAAATTAGCATTTTAATTAAAAAACTCTGTTATACTATGCTTATGCTACCCCATTTCTTGACGTTAAGGGAGTTAATAAGACATAATTAATCAAGTATTTTATTTAAGTACTTATTTATTGTTGTGCATTTCTGTGTCTCCTTTCAGCTCACAGGGGAAGTATTTGTGTATATACTTTGCTTATACATAATTTTCTACCCTTCTTATTTGTGTATGGATCCTACCACCTCATGGTCATTTCAGTAGCTATAATCCACACACCTTGAATTAAATAGCACGTGAGAGGGTTCCTGGGTAAATGAGCATTTAATCACTTTTCATACCCTTTTTATTGTCAAGGGAATGAACAGGGTCTGGAAAAGTGGTGAGGTATTTTGTTTTACTGCAGTTGCTATTTAGATTCATGGAAGTTTGAATAATGACTATTACTGAAAAAGATTGCTTTGGCCAGTTTAGATATTAAGAAAAAAACTGCAGAAAGATTATGGAGTAATAATGGAAGTATATGTGATTTTAAAAGTTCAAGATAAAATTATTAACATTGTTTTTCTGTATTCTTCTAGAGGTTCTTTATAAATATATGAACAAATTTAAATATATTTAATTTTTCTCCTTTAAAAAGTATCATGCTACAGCATTATTTGTGCATCATGTGTTTTAAATGTTTCTGTGTGTGTTAAAAAACAGTATGAACATATTTGAATATCAGAATAATTTTTGATTGCCTGTAGAACAATTCCCTAGTGCTCAAAGTGCAAAAAGAAGCCTATAATTTCTTTTTCGTGCACAAATATGTAATTTTTAAGTGCTTAGTGATGTGGTAGGCATATTAACAGTTACACACCTTTATTTTTCTCTTCAAAAAATAATCTAATTCTGAAAATGAGATATACATGATTTAAGAAAGTTAAGGTTCATCACAATACATGTTACTTTCAAATTTATGTATGCAGAAAACATTATTATGGCTGTGGAACTCATTTTTGTCAAATAACACCAAAGTTTTTTTTCACAGAAAAATTACTCTTATTTTTGCAATAAAGAACTTAAGAAATTCAGAAATTACAGAAAACAAAGTAATAAAAGTGATCTCCAATCTCACTGCCTCAAAACAACCATCATATTAAGTGAACATTTTCCCATTATCTTTTTATGTACATATGCAAATACAGGCTAGAAAGAAATCTTTGAAGTATTTTTTATGAAATAGGATCATATTATAAGTGATATTTTGAAAACAAAATAAATTTCATTTTATACAAATTAGCAGGAACAAACAAAAATGAGGTAAGATAGAGGAAACTGCTGAAACTCAAAATGTTTTTTCACCACAAGAATTATTTTCTAAAAGATCCTTTAAAAGTTCAGTAAAAAGGGGCTGGGTGCGGTGGCTGACACCTGTAATCCTAGCACTTTGGGAGGCTGAGGCAGGCAGGTCACTTGAGGTGAAGAGTTCAAGACCTGCCTGGCAACATGGTGAAACCCAGTCTCTACGAAAAATGCAAAAATTATCGGGGCATGATGGCGTGTGCCTGTAGTAATCCCAGCTACTCGGGAGGCTGAGGCGAGAGGATTGCTTGAACCTGGGAGGCAGAAGTTACAGTGAGCCGAGATCTCACCTCTGCACTATAGCCTGGGCAGCAGAGTAAGATTCTGTCTCAAAAAAAAAATTAGATAAAAGGATTATGGAAAATATTAAGAGTTTAGAGTTTAGAGCCTTTTTAAAATATGCATCTTTAAGATGGTGTTGATTGACTTTTTGCTTTCAGGATTGGGCATTAGTACTCTCACATTTCTTTTTACTTTTCTTCCTTAAGCTTCTAATTTTTGTTAGTAACATTATTATTTTCATACTGTCAAAGTTTATAGCACTTATATACCACCCTATAGACATAATCTACACAAGTCTCTTAGTATACTATACGTAAATGGAGCCAATACTCGTTATTTGTTGTTTTTACATTGTTTCACCATTCCTGAGGTCTTTTTAAATTTCATTCATCCTATAAAAATCGTTTTACATTTTGATTTGTCTCTTAAATCAGGCATAGTGGCTTACACAGGTAATCTCAGCACTTTGAGAGGCCAAGGTGGGAAGATTGCTTGAGCTTAGGAGTTGGAGACTAGCCTGGGCAACATAGCGTGATCTTGTCTCTACTTAAAAATACAAAATTTTAAAAAATGAAATTTTAAAAAAGTAGTTTTTGAAGAAAGGCTTGTGAGTTCTGTGGTCTCCAAATTCTTTTTTTTTTTTGGAATGACTGCCTGCTGTCTTTATATTTGACTAATATGATGGCTGTGTGCTAGGTTATCTTCCCTTTGGAATTCTGCAGGTATTGCTCCTATGCTTACGGCATTAAAAAATGTTGTGTGTAGAAATCTGAGGCCAGCTTGATTTTTAAAAAAATCTGGCGAATTGTTTCTTTAGTTCTTGAGGTTGAAAAACTTGACTAGGATATGTCTTAATATTTAGCATTCTGCATCAATTTTTTTCCCTGAAATCTGGCATGTTTTGTTGATTTATAGAATAATTTTGTTTTTGTCCACGGAAATTTATGTTTTTTGAGTTTTCTACTTCTATTTTGGATCATCCCTTGCTGTCCTTCATATTATGTACTTTATCTTTGTTGCTTTACTATACTTGGATTTTAAAGACAAAACATAATTTTGTCAAGCTTTTTTTCTGTGTTAGTAATTTGACTGTTAGCTACATTTATTCTGTTTCTCTTAGTTTCTCATTTAGCTACTATCTTTTAAAATTTTTTTTATCTTGCAAATCCTTCTAATTATCTTAATTATGTTGCTTTGACCCTCAATTTATTTTTTTAGGCTTGCAACCTCAATATCTCTCTGTCTCTCATCTCTCTTTCTTTCTCTCTGAAGGTTAATTTTATGTATTTACTTGGCTAGGTTATGGCACTCCATGTTTGGTAAAACATAAGTCTAGCTGTTACTGTGAAGGTATTTTTAGATGGGATTAATATTTAAATCCGTAGGTTCTGAGTAATGCAGATTATCCTTCATAATCTGAGTGGGCCTAATCAAATCAGTTGAAGGTCTTAAGAGAAAAGACAAGGGTCCCCTGAAGAGGAAGGATTCTGCCTCCACACTGCCTTTGTACTAAAGACTGCAACATTAATTCCTGCAGGAATTTCCAGAATGCCCTAGAAATCTCAGACTTGCCTGTCCCATAATCATGAATCCAGTTTCTTAGAATAAAATTTGGTATCTCCTTCTTTCTCTCTGTCTCTCTGTCTCTGTCTCTGTCTCTGTCTCTCTCTCTCTATGTACATGCACATCCTATTGAATAAATATGCATACATCCTATTCGTTCTGTTTCTCTAGAGAACTCTAACTAATACACTTTTTTTTCTTATCTCATTGTGTTCTTTAGTCATCCAATCTTTGAACTTTTGTTGTCTTGAACCGATGGCTATTAAATTGATTTTAAAATTATTCGGAATTTTCTTCTGTAGGCCATGTGTTCTTATTAGGCTGGATTCTTTGACAATTTTTTCATGTAGTCTTCCCTTCCATTTCTTCCCTTTCTTCCTGTAGCCCTCGCTGTCTTCCTTTTCTCCTTTTTTGTGTAGTGTGTAGTGTGTGTGTTTGTGTATGTGTGTGTGCGTGCGCACATGTGCATGCACTTGTGGTAGCTTCATACAAAACTTGCATTTGCAGCCGGGCGTGGTGGCTCACGCTTGTAACTCCAGCACTTTGGGAGGCCGAGGCGGGTGAATCACCTGAGGTCAGGAGTTGGAGACCAGCCTGGCCAACATGGTGAAACCCCGTCTTTACTAAAAATACAAAAATTGGCTGGGCATGGTGGCATGCACCTGTAATCCCAGCTACTTGCGAGGCTGAGGCAGGAGAATCGCTTGAACCTGGGAGGTGGAGGTTGCAGTGAGGTGAGTCCACGCCACTGCACTCCAGCCTGGATGATAAGAGCAAGACTTCATCTCAAAAAACAAAACAAAACAAAACAAAAACTTGTATTTGCGAAGTGACTCCCTTTTAATTCTATGGGAAACTTTTTGGATTTCTTCACCAAATCACAGTGGATTGCTGTGTATTTCTTATGTCTTCAATGGTGAAGGTCTGTGGGGAGGGAAATTAGGAAGAGTTGAGCTAAATTCCATGCAGTGTCTATTAGAATATTTTGGCTCTATTTTCACTTCTGAGATTTTGTTAAACATCTCATCCTAGGCTTCCTGGAAAGTAATTGGAATACATGTCCTATTCTCATTGAGGGAACAAAGAAATGGATCTGCCCTTTTGCTTATTATATTTGTAGCCTGGGGGCCTTTGCTTCCATTAGAGGGACTCACGTTCTTAGTGTCATTATTCATTTCCCAAACTTTACCTCTTTCTTCCCTGTAGCTCTTTCCACTTTTCCCCACTGGAACATCACACAGTTCCTTTTTCCTCACATTTGGGGTATTAGGAGATGACTCAGATTCCCTGACTCACTATTTGGCCTCTGAGTGATAGTGACGGGGGAGGGGTTAGGTGCTTCCCTGTTAAATACCTTCCACCTTGCTCCAGAATCTCATCTTTTTTTCCCTCTTGACTGTCACTTTTTGAGCTTCATGGCATTGGATTGATTAATTGCTGCTGTCAAAATTTTCCTGGATTTTGCTATTTGTTTGTTCCACTAAATTTTATGCTCTCTGTCTCTGTCTGTCTCTGTCTTTCTGAATCTCCCTCTCTCTCAGTCTCTGTCTCTCTCTGTCTCTATCTCTTTCTATCTCTCTGTCTCTTTCTCCATCTGTCTCTGTCTTTGTCTCTCTCTGACTCCCTCTGTGTCTCTTCCTCTCTCTCTCTCTCTATCGCTGTCTTTCTCTCTGTCTCTCCTTCTCTGCCCTCTCTTTTCTCCTCAAGGTCTCTTCCTTTACCTGCTGTCTAGTTCCTCAGAGACAGAGTTTCATCTTTGATGTGGGGAACCATGCCTTATATTGTATTAATGACCCCTTTCTCGTCTTTAAAAAAAATTTTATGTTGGGAGAGGAAATTCTGTTTTATTCTACCATCTCAGCTCAGAAGTCCCCAAAGCTTTTTGTTAGCCAGAAAAGTATTTCTACTTGTGCAGAAATAAAAATTTGCAAATAGAAGATGAGGTAGGACACACCATCATGTGAACAAGTACTGAATTACATAAGGATGCAAATGTTTTTTGAGATTATACTTTTGTAAACAAGATGATCTTGTTATAATGGAGGATTTGTGATAACTGCAATGTAAGGGAGCCTCAGAGGAAAAATTAAGAAAACTGACTATGCAAATTATTTATTGCCTGAGTTAGTAGTGTGCACAAAATGCAATGAATATCAAAGACTGTGCAAAATCACAACACGGTACATTCTGTAACCCCGTCTTATTCTGTTCTTTTAAATGACTAGATTGCTTTTCATTTCTCGTAACTGAACTGAAGAAATGTGGTCTCAGATTGACATACTTCTGAACATTTTAAATCTGTAACAATCAAAAACACACTTGGCAGAGAACTAATTTCACACCTCAGGCATTAAAACACAGAGTCTGTATTCATTGTTTGTTTTACATAATGTAAAACAGCATGAAGCGTGATATATTATACAATGGATGAATGGGGATTTTAGAAAATGGGAATCATTTTACATTTACACCTGGTAGTTGACGTTTTATATGCTGGAAGTCATCCTGATATATCAAATATGATGATTTTGTCAACTAACTGAATTTTTGTCACTAGCATACATTAAAGAATAAAGGATTTCTATTATTATTTGATTATATTTTTCTGGAATATAGTGATAATTTTATGAGCTATTGTGATATCAGTATCAATATCTAAAAAAACTCATCCTTGCTCATGCCTGTAATCCTAGCACTTTGGGAGGTCGAGGTGGGCGGATCACAAGGTCAAGAGATTGAGACCATCCTAGCCAACATGGTGAAACCCCATCTCTACTGAAAATACAAAAATTAGCTGGGTGTGGTGGCATGCACCTGTAGTCCCAGCTACTCGGGAGGCTGAGGCAGGAGAATTGCTTGAACCCGGGAGGTGGGGGTTGCAGTGAGCCAAGATCATGCCACTGCACTCCAGCCTGGCGACAGAGCGAGACTCCGTCTCAAAACAAACAAACAAAAAACTCAGCCTTTGTACTAATATGAAATTTGTAATTTATAGATCACCACTCTAGATTAATAAAATTATAACACATTTACCATTTAACAAATTTTATTTGGCTGGGCCAATTAAAAATAAACCTTCAGCAATATAATGATTTATTTCTTATTATACATCTTTTGAATCATTGTTGAGTATATGAATAATCAGTGGTTTAACTGCTGGAGCCAAATAGTAATATATTGGTGTACTTCCTATAATTTAAAGGTGTTTAAATCATGTCAGGTACAGTTAATTGTTAAGTTAGTGTCAGTGAAATAAATAGTTTGGTAGTATGCTACTTTTTGTCCATGGGGAGTAAAACTCAAATTGTTGTTATTATGAAGGCTAAATCACATTATATAGAATCATATCTATCAACCAACAGTCGGTGGTATTTTGGTTCATACTAGGAATTCTGGTTTAGAGTTCATTGGAATTGACCATCGCCTGGAGCTGCAATTTCAGGTGAACTGTTACGTTTTATTAGAAAGACTAAAGTGGTAGAAGTCAGCTCAGCACTGAATCTGCTGGCTTCTGCTCAGTTTTTGATCCCTGACTTACATTCCTCCAAATAACAACTTGTTATAAGGAAGTTAATATGAATAGAAGAGAATGGATGCTAAATAGTTAAAGAGATGTATAGCATTGTCCGTTTGCTGCTTAGTTCCACTCCTGCCCTTCCATGCCTTACTCTGTATCTCAGTAAGCTGGACTCCTGCAAACTTCATTTTCTAGCCTTTTTGGCCTGGTAGCTTCCAGTTAGAGTTGGCTAATGGGAGGGCACCTGTGGGAGACTGAAGGCAGGAAGAGGGATGTAGCCTATGCTTTGGTGGCATTTCCAACAGCAGAATACAGCTCTAAGTGTAATGTCCCTTGGCAGTTCCAGCAGTGGCAGATGTGGCTCCTGTGGTTTGAATGGTAAAAGCTCTGAGGGTAAGGGTAACTACTAACCCCAGGGGCTTTTGGCGGTGCAGGCAGGGGTGAAAGAGGTTTCAGTGGCCACAGCAGTCTCTAGCAGCTTCAGAGTCATTGTGTTCCAGGTTCTAGCATTTCCTTCTCCCATCTGTTATTGCAGCCCAAGAGGTGGTAGCAGCTTCCATGGTTCTTACTCTCTGGTTTACCTCATCTTACCTCAACCTTTTTGATACTTAAGCCCTTCCATCATTTTCATAAAGTCTCTTTGTAGTAAATACTCTGTGCTTGAACTATTTAAGGTGGTTTCTGTTTTCCTGATGAGACCTTACTGATTCTGTCCTGACAGTATTTTTCTGGCATTAACTTAAACTGTTCTAAACTGGGCCATCTTTAGCCTGGAGTGGGCATTCTCATTGCATCTGTGTGGCTGTTAATTTGTTTTGGGCTCCCGAGATCAGAGGTGCACTGTAGCTTTGTTAATGAGTGTGATGTGATGGTGAGTATTATTTCAGTAACATGTGTTGGCGTTTCCTGGGGTCTGCATATTTTGATATAGCTCATTCTTTTTTTTTTTGAGATGGAGTTTCACTTTTGTCGACCCGGCTGGAGTGCAATGGCGTGATCTCAGCTCACTGCAACCTCCGCCTCCCAGGTTGAAGCCATTCTGCTGCCTCAGCCTCCTGAGTAGCTGGGATTACAAGCGTGCACCACCAGGCCGGATAATTTTTGTATTTTTAGTAGAGACGGGGTTTCACCACATTGGCCAGGCTGGTCTTGAACTTCTAACCTCAGGTGATCTGCCTGCCTTGGCCTTCCAAACTGTTGGGATTACACGCGTGAACCACTGCACCTGGCCAAGATAGCTCATTCTTAAAGGAAATGCAGACAATACATACAAGACTTATTTTGGACAAAATGACTTTTTCTCTATTATAGCATTTCGCACACTGTATTGGAATTGCCTTTAGTCTTTTAGGCATCTTTTCAGTAGACTGTAAGCTTCATGCGGTAAGCTTCACATTTGTCTCATTTACTGTTATGTCACTAGTTCTTAGACAGGATCAAGGACTTAGTGGCTTCTTGTTAGATGTTTTAACAAATGAATAAACAGCTTCCTCTGTGTGTGTGTGTATGTGTGTGCATGCGTGCGTGTGCTCATGTGCTTGGGTGTGGTATTTGGGGAGGTGAGGGGGTGCACTCTAGAGCATATAGCCTTCATATCTCTTCCACTGTTATAGTTGATCTCTCAATTCCTCTTAGTTATTCCTCTGTCAGTTTATGCTTTATGCTAAATATTTACTGTCTGTTTTCTGTTCTCCTACATTCCGCTGCTCTTTTCCCCCATTCCTTACCGTTAGTTAGAATGATAAAGTTTCATTTATTCTTTCTCTTTCCCCTCTTAAAAAAAAAAAACCAAAAACTTCTGAGCTACTTTGGAACTATAAATTGCACTTCCAGTCTTATTTATTAGGACTCCTGAGAATTCTACCACTTTGGCACAAAAGTTACACAGTTATATTCCCTTTGCTAATATGTTGTTGAAGAACTCTTTAGATTTTAAATTTCTAAAAATACTGTTTAAATCACACTTAAGAAAACTTTTTATTATGAAAAATTTTACACACACCTGTTTTTAGACCAGTATAATAATCTCTCTTGTGCTTGTTACCAGCCTTAATGATTACAATTAAAACAAAACAATCAACCGTTTTATTAATACTACCCATTTCGTAACATTCCTTTTGTAACCATTTCAGCCTTTGTTTCAAAATGGTAAAGACTTCAAAAAAATATAATCTCACTGCCATTTTTACTCCTAAATATTTATTTAATGTCACCCAATATCCAGTGTCCAAATATTCCTAATCTCATATATTAATTTTTTTTGCAATTTATTTGTTCAAATCAGTATCCAAATGGGGCCCATGTGTGGCAATCAATTGAAGTCTCATTCTTGAAATATAATTTAGTTTACATTTCCCTCTCCTTTCTCTCTTTTTCCATTGCAATTTATTCCATAAATTTTTCTACAGTGTGGATTTGTGTATTGCATCCTGTGATTTTCTTAAACGCATCCCCCTTATTTTATATAAATTAGTAGTTAGATTTAGAGGCTTGATCTTGATCTACGGGATCTTTGGTGTGTCGCTTTTTCTGGCTGGAAAACTCTGTGGCCAGTGGAACCTTTGCCTGAATTTTGCTTGGGCCTGTTAGGCTTGTTCTGCCCACTTGGCCTGGCAGGCTGCACTCGGCTCATGCTACTGGCCTGGATCCCACGCCTCCAAGGGAGACTGCGAGTCAGGCGTGGAGTGGCGGCGGGTGTGTGAGCAAGCGTCGGGTCCAGCCACTGCACACAGACATGCCAGCTGCTGCCGTAGGGCAGGCAGCTCCAGGTGTTGACATGGGTGCGGGCTTTCTGCGACGCTGTGGCTGGACCAGGTGCACTGCAAGCAACTTCCTCAGCTGGCACCAGGGAATGTGGTGGCGCCCGGAAGCTTGGAGACACCAGGAACCGCAGTGCCCTACAGAGGAGTCACAGCCATGGCTTGGGGAACTCCCAGGTCTGGGCTCTCTGGAGGGCCGCAGCTCTTCTCTCTCTTCACTTGCAATATGGCGAGCAAGGGGCATGTTTCAGCCATGTTTGTGTTACAGCTCTTTTAGCCTCACCATTTGGTGGGTCCCGAATTCTTGTCCTGCATCCAGGAAGAATGAGGTACGCAGACAAGTGGAAGACAAACAAGACAAAGAGGAGCTTTATTGAGCAATAGAATAGCTCAGAGGAGACCCGCAGTGGGCAGCTCTTCTCTGTAGCTAGGGTGTCCCGAAGAATGTTCAGCTCTCAGCAAAGAGGGTAGCTTCTTTCTGCAGTTGGTCATTCTATTGTCTTTTCAGCTCTCAGCAGAGAGGTAGCTCCTCTCTGCCCCTGGTCATCCCTTCCCTTCTCTATCGTCTCTTTGGCTGAGTTGGGGTCGGGGAGGATGGGGTGGGGAGGGGTGGCTTATGGGCCTCAGAGGGGAAGAAGTGCATGCTGATTGGTTCATGGGTGGCCATGGGCAGGTCCAGGGAAAAGTACCACACGTTCCCACTCCAGTCTCCTGGACCGGCAGCCTGGCCCCCTGGCTTCAGGCCCTCCCTGGCTTGAAGGTGGGGCTTCACCAGGGACCTGTCCCTTCCACCCAGGAGCCTGTCTACCTCCTGCGGTGGTTCATGGTGCCCAGGCTGTTCATGCCAAGGAGCACCTGCAGGCCAGCACCCAGCTGTCTTCAGCCACCTCTCGGCCTCCCTCCTGTGCTCTTTGATGTCCAAAGTCTGGAGGGGGCCAATGCAGCAGGGGGCTGGTGTGTCAGTGCTGTCCTGAGCGTGCACACACCCGGCCAGGCTGCGACAGCACCTGGGCTCAGCTCCATCGTTGGTCATCGTTGCTGTTCATTCTCTCTCTCTCTCTCTCTCTCTCTCTCTCTCTCTCTCTGTGTGTGTGTGTGTGTGTGTGTGTGTGTGTGTGTATTAAAAATAAAGATGGCCAGGCGCCGTGGCTCACACCTGTAATCCCAGCACTTTGGGAGGCTGAGGCAGGTGGATCACCTGAGGTCAGGAGTTCAAGACCAGCCTGGCCAACATGGCGAAACCCCGTCTCTACTAAATATATAAAAATTAGCTGGGCGTGGTGGTGCGTGCCCGTAGTCCCAGCTACTCAGGAGGCTGAGGCAGGAGAATTGCTTGAACCCGGGAGGTGGTGGTTGCAGTGAACTGAGATCACGTCAGTGCACTCCAATCTGGGTGACAGAGCGATACTCTGTCTCAGAAAAAAAAAAAAAGAAACGATAAAATACATCATAATTTATGTTAATTTCAATTCAAATTCAAGAACCTAGAGTACTTAACCTCTTGAGTCTTATATTTGATTCTCTTTATATTCTTGTTAAAAATTCTGGTTCTCATACCAACAGAATTACTTATTTGCTTTATTTTGTAATAAATTCAGAATAAAAATACCAACACTACCTCCAGTGGTATGATTAGTGAACATAATTTAAGATTTTTGTTGTGAAGCTCTTTTTAGTATATTTGAAGCTTTTAGTGTATACCGTATTTCACTAGACATGTAGGACAAAATTATTGTGTTTTAAGATCACTTAATGCCACTGTGTGGTTTTGCTGCTAGCTTGTTACACTATATGGTTTATTAATTTATTTTTGGTTTTGATTTTTTTTAGTGATTGTTTTTTAAAAATTTTATTTTATAATTACATAAAGTATTTTTATGGTCCCAAAATTAAATAAATAAAGCAAGATATAATCTGAGAAGCCTAGCTTTATTCTTACCCCCTTTTGCTTGTTCCTTCTCTTCCCCTATAGGTGAACATTTTCTTTTTTGTTTTATTTTTAATCTTTCCATTCGAAAGAAAGTATATGCAAATATGTATCTCTCTTTATTAGTTATGTGGTAGCATACTATTGACATTTTTCTCCAACTTGCTTTTTTAAAAATCATGTAGTTTGGAGATCATTCCATGTTAGTAAATGTAGATATTTCCCATTTCTTTCTATATGTATGTTATGCTCCATTATGCAAATGTATCCTGTTTATTCAATTAGTCCTGCATTAATGAGGATTTAGTTGTTTCCAGCCTGTAGATATCACAAATAATTCTAATTCTGCAGTGGATAGCTTTATGCCTACTTTTTTTTTTTTTTTTTTTGATGGTGTCTCACTCTGTCACTCCGGCTGGAATACAGTGGCACAATCTTGGATCACTGCAGCCTCTACCTCCAGGCTCAAGCGATCCTCCTGCCTCAGCCTCCTGAGTGATTGGGACCACAGGCATGCATCACCACACCCGCCTAATTTTTGTACTTTTTTTGTAGAGACAGGTTACACACCATCTTACCCAGGCTGGTCTCCAACTCCTGAGCTCAGGCAATCCACCTGTCTTGGACTCTCAAAGTGCTGGGATTACACATGTGAGCCCCCACAACTGGATTATGCCTGCTCTTTTTTTTTTTTTTTTAATATTTTCACCAGTGTATATTTGGAATAGATTCTTGAATCATTTGTATCTATCCTTAGTAGTCTTTGATAGGAATTTCTAGGTGAAAGGATAAATGCATATGTAATTTTTCTAGGTACTGCCAAGTCTTCTTAGAGATTGTACTATTTTGTGTCATTTCTGTGTGCCTTTTCCCTATGGTCTCACCAACAAAATATGTTATCAAATGTTAGATTTTTCTTCTACCTGAAGGTGAGAGATGGTGCAGTTTTAATTTGCTTTTCTCTTTTTAAAAAACCCAAGTTTATTAAGTTATAATTTACAAATACTAAAAATGTACATAATTTAAGTATACAGTTCAATGAGTTTGGACAAATGTGTATATCAGGGTGACCACAGCCTAATTAAGATAGAATGTTTTCATCATCTTTTTCATTTTGGCTTCTGATTCTTTCAACCAACCTCTATCCCTTCATTGAAAACTTCCTTGCCTTTTGATATCACAAGCTTTTGCAGAAAGTTCTTGTGTATTTTTCTGTCTCAGCTATGAAATTTTTTTTATTGGAGAATGATGTTTAGAAAATAAGATCTGGGTGCTAGTTGTAACCATTGCTAATGGAGTGTAATTGGTTCTAGGTAAGGTTGCCAGATAAAATATAAAAACCCCAGTTACATTTAAGTTTCAGCTAATTAATGGATAATTTTTTAGTATGTCACAAATAGTGCATGAAACATATTTATACTAAAAATTGTTTTTTTTCTGAAATTCAAATTTAACTGGTGTCTTATATTTTTATTTGCTAAATCTGGCAACCCTACTTCCAGGCTCTTTTAGAAGAAAGAAGTAAGAAATCATCTTTCTCTCTCTATCATTTATATATCCACCTAATCTACCTACCTGTCTAGTCTGTCATATCATGAGTTTATACTAATATTTCTGATTTCAGTTCAATGCCACAAGGTTTATTTTAGCCTACTCCCTTTTCATATTTGTAGTCTCTTTTTCCAACACTGAGAAATTTGACCGTCCTTATCTATAAAATATTTCAATATTCATTCAATTCTGGGATGCACATAGTTTCAAAATGACTAAATCATATCCCTGTGAGAAACATATTTATTAACTAGATTGCAGCATTTATGTACATTTCTTTTTGTCTTTAGCTATACAGTTTCTAGTTAAAATACTATTTTTCAAAGTTATGTAGGTTATTCTTTTATTTTCCATCACTGTCAATGTATTGATGCTATCCATTTGTAATACATTAGGGTGATTTGTTAGCATTTGTATTCCCTTTGGGTCCCCCTCATCCACCATCACCACCGCCACCACTGTATCTAACTGGTGTTGTTTTATTTTTTAATTTTCTGTGGTATGTAAAACATTACTATATTTTGACAGTCTGAGCCACACACAAAATATATATCCTCAAGATGTGTCACTTCGTCATCATCTCTGCTACTCCAATTCCAATTCTTCCTCTTCTTTTTACTGATTTTTCACTTATCTCCATAGGTTACCAGTCTCTTAAGTTTCAGATTTATCTTTCCTGTATTTCCTTTGCATACATGAACAGATACATGTGCATTTTCTTTTATCCTCACCTTTCTTACATAAAAGATAGTATGCTATAGATATTATTTTATGACTTTTCCCTATGGTCTCACCAACAAACAATGTTATCAAACTTCTATATTTTTGCTCACCTGAAGGTGAGAAATGCTTTTTGCACTATGTCCTGACTATCATTCCATACCAGCTCAATAGAGATCTTCATTCTTTTTATACAGCTATATAGTACTCCATTGTGTATACATATGTTATTCAACCATTCTCCTACGTATGTGCATTTAGGTTGTTTCTGTTTACAAGTGAAGCAACAATAAATAACTCTCTGCATATATATTTTTGTATAGTTAAAGGGATATTATTTTCGGGGCAGATTCTTAGAAGTGGAATTGCTGGATCAAAAGATGGGTGCATTTTTTAAAAGGTATTGCCAAATTACCCTCCATAACTGTTGTATATCAATCTGAGTTCCCACCAGCAATGTATGAGAGTGCCTCTTTCCCCATAAATTGGCGTCAGAATACACTGTCATATATATTTTTAATTTTTTGTCAGTCTTACAGTGTTTTAGTGTTGTTTTAATTTGCATTTCTCTGTGAACGAGTTTGAGTATTTTCCGTTTATTTGAGGGACATTTTTATACCTTTTCTTTGTGAATTGTCATGTCTTTCCCCTGTTTTTCTGTTAGATTTTGTTTATTTCTCAATTTTAGGATTTTCTTTTCTTCTTTTTTTTGTTTTTTGAGACAGAGTCTCACTCTGTCTCCCAGGCTGGAGTGCAGTGGCACAATCTCTGCTCACTGCAACCTCTGCCTCCCAGGTTCAAGAGATTCTCCTGCCTCAGCCTCCCGACTAGCTGGGATTACCTGTGTGAGCCACCATGCCCAGCTAATTTTTATATTTTTAGTAGAGACAGGATTTCACCATGTTGTTCAGGCTGATCTCAAACTCCTGACCTCAACTGATCCACCGGCCTCGGCCTCCCAAAGTGCTGGGACTACAGACATAAGCCACCATGCCTGGCCTTTAAGGAGTTCTTTATATATTAGAGATATTAGCTCTTTATCTATGGAATATGTTACAAATATTCCACACACCCCCCCCCCCCGCCCCGTCAGTTTGTCAGTTACTTTTAATTTCCTTTGTCATTATGCAAATTTTATTTTTATTTTTATGTAGTTAAATTTATCAATATTTTCTTTTATTGCCTCTGACTATTGAGTCATAGCTAGAAATCTTTTTCCCTACACAAAGATTAAAGAGGAATTCACTCTTGTTTTCTTCTAGTATTTAGTTTCATTTTTAAATATTTGTATCCCTCGTACATTAGGATTTCATTTCTGTATGTAGCATAAAAAAAGAATCTAATTTTATTTTTTTTCCAAATGGCATCCCATTTCTCCAGAACAATGTACTGAAAAATTTACCTTTACCCCAGTAATTTGGGATGCCACCATTGTCATATGGTATATATTCATATACATTGGGTCTATTTCTGTGCATTCTATTCCATTCCACTGGTATACTTGTCTAGTCATGCAACACACCATACTATTTTAACTATAGAGTCATAGACTATGTTTAGCATCGATTTAGGCTAGTTCTCTCTTTCAGTTTTCCTGGCTATTCCTGCATGTTTCTAACCTGCCTTTCTTTTCTTTTCTTTTTTTTTTTTTTGATAAAAGTTGAGCATCTTTTCCTATACTTTCGAGCCATTTATGCATACTTTTTCTGTCATCTGTCTATATTTATCACCCTTTTAAAAAGGGGCTTTTGGTCCTTTCTATATTTGAAAATGTAAAGAAAACATATTAGGGATATTAACACTTAAACTGTGATATACTACAAATATTTTTTCTCAGTTTTTCCAACTGACTTTTTATTTTGCTCATGAAAGTTTTTGATATTTAATTTTAAAAGCTTGTATATAATAAAATTTACCTTTTTTTTTTTTTTTTTGCTTTACTGCTTCTGTATTTGGAGTCATGTTTGGTAAAGTTTTTTCTGCTTCCAGATTACAGAGGAATTCTCCGGTGGTTACTTCTATTACTCATGTAATTTTGTTTTATAACATGAAAATCTTTCATCATTTGGGGACTTATTGTAGCTATGGAGTGAGGAACAGATCCAGTTTTGTTTTTTTCCATATTCCCACTCATGCTGGAATGATAGATAGTTGTATAGAGTATTGTAGGAAATCAGTTTATTCCTTCAACAATGTGAAAATATCATTCTTTGTTTTCTGGCATTGATTGTTGTTAATGGGAAGTTGGCTCTCTTTTCATTGACTTTCGCTTTTATTTTTTTCTTACTGGCTTTTCACTAGTATCTTTTAAGAATTTTCACTCTGTCTTTGCTATTCTGCAATACTGCTTCAACATATCCAGGTGTGGATTTGTTTTTCTTTAATTGATTGGTACTCAATGTGAGCGCTCATTTTGAGGGCTTGGTTTTTCTTCAGTTGAGAAATATTGCTTTTATTGTTCTATTTATTCTCTACTTCTGCATGTGTTTTTAGACAAATCATGGTGCCTCAGCCTATCTTCCATATTTCATGGCTTCTTTTTAAAGATGATATGTATTCTAGATGAATTCCTCAAAACCACTTTCTAATTAAATTCTTTTATTGTTTCCATCTTGATTTACCTTGACTATTGTGTTGTGTTTCATTTCAAATGTTCTAAAGTAGCCTACTTGTCTTTCAGGTTATGAGACTGACTCACTGCACACTGCATTGAGAGGATGATCTACTTGCCTTTTGTATTTCAAATCTGCTTTTCCCCCACTACCAGTGTACTATGGTTTTATTTATTTATTATTTTATTCTGAAAAGGTTACATGTAGTTTAGTAGTTCTAATTTGTTCTTGAGTCACTTTGGTCTGTTTTTGTTCCCAAAAGTCATATTACTTTGATGAATGTTATTTCTTTATCCCTCCTTGAATATCTTAACTATACTTACATTAAAGCCATTTAAAAGAGTAGGGAGTAAATGTATCTCCCTAATGTTGAATTTGTTAGTTGAGTTTCTTTTAGTGTTATTTTTCTTCCTGTGCTTTTGAGTTTTAGGTTTCAGGCTTATTCTTAAAGTTAATTTAAAATTTTTTTCTCTTTGTATCCACCTCATCTTTTCTGGCTCCTTTGCAGACAAGGCCTTAAGCCCGGAACATATTTTATTTTATCTGTTTTGGGACCGCTATTCTTTGCTGATGTCAGTGTTATCACAACTCCAATCACTGAGTCAGTACTGGTGTTTTAGCACTGTTTTTTCTTTCTTTTTTAAATGACCTGTATGCTAAGCTAACATTAAATATTGAGAAAGTGATATTTCTTATTGGGGAATACTGTTATTTCATGTACTGATCAGCAGTTTTGTTGACATGTTGTGGCTCTCTCTCCCGTCCTTTCACCTTCCCTTTCTTGCCTCCGCTTCCCTCTCCTAACACCGTTACCAAAACTCCCTCAGCCCCTTTTTGCAGTTCATGTCTTGTATCTCTCTTCTGCTCCACCTTGGCCATCAATGAGACAATCAAACAAACTAGACATTAAACACTGGCAGGCAGAGGAGATGATTTAAATCACAGATACGTGATATCTGGTTTGGCTGGAGATAAGTCCGAATTGCTGCAAAACTCAGAGTGCTGGTCTGACAGTAGGAGTTGTACAGAGGTGAGTACCAAAGCATCTCTTTGGGTAGCTACACTCAGGAGGGATGTATTGATGTTCTGACTCCACCTGCAACATCAGAAACAGTAGTTTTGGGAGTGGCTTGGGCTAGAGGGGACTGAATCCAAAAAGGCAACAGAACTAGTAGTTGCCAGAGGGGTGAAGAAACCTGACTCTTTTGTATTTTGACATCATGATCAATGACATAGATATTCAGTTCATAGCGGAGAAGAAAAACTTACTGGACACCTCCTTCACTTTTTAAAAAAATTTAACTAGTAGCCATAATAGTAAAAATGTGAACTGAACAAAGGCACATTCTTTTAGAAAATGAGTTCTTCTAAACCTTCACAATTCTCATGAAGCAGATGAAAATGACAGTTTGACAAAGCCAAGTTTTCTCTGCAAGACTAATTCATACCCTAAAAATATTTCCAAACAAGTAAGATATGAACATGAGAGCACTGAAATTATATCAGTGTCTCAGTCCAGGGATCTCCAGCTATACAATTTGAAAGTAAAGGTGATGACGTGGAATGTGAAATGCTTTATTTGAATAAAAATCTATGCCTTGCTATCAAAGAAAGAAAGTCTAGTTCCTGCAAAAACTTCTCAAAAAGAAAAGTGTAGTTCTGCAAAAACTTTTCAAAAAGAGCTCTCCAAAGTTATTGATATTTTTATCAAGTTACAAAAAGATAACATTTTTTGAAGATAGAAGAATCAGAGAAAAATTCTTAGAAATATTATCGCTTATACTCATCTCTTTACCATTTTTTTTTCTGGTCAGGGCTGAGTCAGAAAGAGCTTTTATTACAGCTGGAAAAATTTTTATAAAAATGTATTTACGACTAGTGATGTTTGACACACTTTGCTTTTAAAACTGAATAATATTGCCAGGTGCGCTAGCTCATGTCTGTAATCCCAGCACTTTGAGAGGCTGAGGCAGGTGGATCATCTGAGGTTGGAGCTCAAGACCAACCTGGCGAACATAGTGAAACCCTGTCTCTACTAAAAATACAAAAATTAGTCAGGTGTGGTGGCGCATGCCTGTAGTCCACTACTCAGGATGCTGAGGCAGGAGAATTACTTGAACCCGGGAGGCAGAGGTTGCAGTGGGTCGAGATCATGCCACTGCACTCCAGCTTGGGTGACAAAGCAGGACTCTGTCTCAAGAAAACAGACAAACAAAGCAAAACTAAATAATATTAATGTTTCTCCATTTTATATAATTTAATTTTAGTCATTTTAATGTATTTCAGTATTTTTGATTAATATTTTACTTCTGTTAGTTTAGGTGCCAGTAATTTTTATTAGAATAAGAATATATAGGAAGTATATTTAATAAACTTACATTTTTATTGATATCTTGTAAAAGTAAATATTTTAAATATTTGAAATGGATTGAAATTGTAGACAGCCCACAGAGTGGGAGAAAATCTTTGCAATCTGTACATCTGACAAAGGACTAATATTCAGAATCTACAATGAACTCAAACAAATCAGCAAGAAAAAACTCCCGTGAAAAAGTGGGCTAAAGACATGAATAGACAGTTCTCAAAAGAAGATATACAAATGGCCAACAAACATATGAAAAAATGCTCAATATCACTAATTATCAGGGAAATGCAAATCAAAACCACAATGTGATACCACCTTACTCCTGCAAGAATGTCCCTAATCAAAAAATCAAAAAATAATAGTTGTTGTCATGGATGTAGTGAAAAGGGAACACTTCTACACTGCTGGTCGGAATGTAAACTACTACAACCACTGTGGAAAACAGTGTGGAGATTCCTTAAAGAACTAAAAGTAGATCAGTTATTTGATCCAGCAATCCCTGTCCTGGGTCTCTATGCAGAGGAAAAGAAGTCATATATGAAAAGATACTTGCATACACATGCTTATAGCAGCACAATTTGCAATTGCAAAAATAAGCAACTAGCCCAAATGCCCATCAGTCAATGAGTGGATAAAGAAATGTGGTATATATACAAGACGGTATACTACTCAGCCATAAAAAGGAAGGAAATAATGCCATTTGCAGCAACCTGGATGGAATTGGAGAACACGATTCTAAGTGAAGTAACTCAGGAATGAAAAACCAAACATCATATGTTCTCACTTATAAGTGGGAGCTCAGCTATGAGGACACAAAGGCCTAAGAATGATACAATGGACTTTGGGGACTAGGGCGAAAGGGTGGGAGGGGGTGAGGGACAAAAGACTACACTTTGGGTACAATGTACACTGCTCGGGTGATGGGTGCACCAAAATCTCAGAAATCGCCATTAAATAACTTATTCATGTAGGCAAACACCATTTGTTCCTCAGAAAACCTATTGAAATAAATCAGTTTAATAAATTGTGAACATATTCAATAAAATACCAATATTGATACTAGTACTTCAGTGTTATTAAAAGAAATAGAGAAATATGATGATGTCATTGTTTCATTCCAACCAGGAGAATCATTTACTTTTCTTCAAGCTATGACAAGTTCACAGAAGCTTCATTCAGGTAGTGCCCGTAATATGCTGGAGTCAAGTTTTACTAGCTTGCAAGAGTCAATTGTTAAAGTTTCAAGGAATATTTTAAGTGAGTTGTTAAAGACAGCCATTATAAAACTAAATTATATAAAATAATAACTAAATACATTATATTAAAAACAAAGGTAATACATATTAAAGACATCACTTCCTAATTACTTTACTATTGTCTATGCTGTTAGAGTTATTTATGTCTATTGTATTTTAGGGTGGAAATTCCTATATAGTGGTGTGATACTGTACATCTCCCCCAAATCTCTGTTCAGTTACACTTTGGTACTTCGCAATTGGCCATGGTGGAAGTATTTTCCCAAAGAAATTGGCAAATGCTATAAATCAGGGCTTGATTTATTGTTTTTTTGTTCATCTAGACTTAAGTTAGTGATGGAGAGCATATTAATAATTCAGATTAAATTTAAAAGTGTGCTGAGTTGAGCCGTTAGTGAATAGCACAAAAATGAGGAAATATTCTTCTCGTATTAAGAAACTACTTTCAAAGGAGTTCTTCACATCATTGATGAGTAAGTCAAGTTTTGACATACATCCTCGTTATTTTATCTTATTTATTAATGTAAAGGGGGACTATCAATCAACATGCATGTTGTGAGTATAGTGGTTTGTCAGTTGCAACTACAGGTTGGCTATGCATACAAGACTTTAGCAAAAATCAACAAAAGTCCAGCCTGGGCAATGTGGTGAAAACTTGTCTTTACAAAAATTACAAAAACATTAGCAGGGTGTGGTGGTGCACACCTGTGGTCCCAGCTATTTGGGAGGCTGAGGTGGGAGAATCACTTGAACCCAGGAGGCAGAGGTTGCAGAGAGCCAAGATCACACCACTGCACTGCAGCCTGGGCGACAGAGACTCTGTCATAAAACAACAGCAACAACAACGACAACAACAAAATTATGTGAGAATCAATTGGCTATATGGAATTTACAACAAAGGGTATTGTATATATTATTATTTATAAATTGCTATACATCCTTTATATTAATAAAATTTATAATAAATGTATAAGTTTATATAGGCATACACTCCCCTAACCCCAGAAAACTATTAAAAAATAGATTTAGGGGGTAAAAATGCTGTTTTATTATATGGATATATTGTGTAGTGGTGAAATCTGGGCTTCTAGTGTACCCAACACCTGAAAAGTGAACATTGTATCCAATAGGTAATTTCTCATTCCTCACCCCTGACCTACCTTTTACCTTTTGGAGTCTCCCATATCTGTTCTTCCACTCTGTATTTTCATGTGTACCCATTGTTTTTAAACATTTATCAGTACACCACTGGCAGTAGGTCTGGGCAATCACAGGATTTGCAGCTTCCTTTTCTGGATAAGGAGCCCTTCCCCAACATCTATCTCTACAGAGTGAGCTTGGCTATGCCTGGGTAACCTTTAGTCTCTGTTAACCCCCAGGTTTTCTGAGGGACTTTGAATGCACCAGGTTCATGGCTCTAGTACTGCTATAATTTTCTGTTCTATTTCTGGTCCATAATGATGCTTATCTTGATTTTGTGGGTGGTTATATCAAAGAAGCTTAAAAATATATTTTATTTATAATTGTTAGGGGTTTAAAGCAAGTTGGGGAATACAGGACAGGAAGGCATTGTGCATTTTGTCACTGATTATCGTTATGACTACTGGGGTCTATAGTAGCAAGGGTGAGTGAATGATGGGACAATGACTTACCTGAGCAAGTCCGCCTCACCCTTTAACTTTAGTATCACCCTTTCTCTAAATCCTCATTTGTCTCTCTGTCTATACAGAATTAATTAATCTGTTTCTTCCTTTTATATAATTAATTCTTTCATTCAACAAATATGTACTGTTTCCAGTATGTTTTCATGTGCTAGGCCCTGGGCCCCACAATGAAGACTAAAACCAGACATGGTCTTGGCCTTTGCCAAACTTACGCTTTAGTGGAGAGACAAATGTTAATTAAGTAATCACATAAATTTCAAACTGTGATAAAAGCTATGATTAAAAATATATGGAGCTTTGATTACTTATAATAAGAGCACCAGATATAGTCTAGCATTCTAGCAAAGACTTCCCGGAGGCTGTGATATTTTAACTATAATTTGAAGGTTGAGTAGAAATTAATGGTACAAAACAAGAGAAAGCATTGGGTAATGAAGATAGGGAAGAAGACTGATGTGTTTGGGTTGCAAACTCTAAGGGCGGAAAGTGGCCAGAAATGAGTGGGAAGACATGCAGAGGCCAGAGCATGTAGAGCTTTGGGAAGCCATTGAAGTGTTTGAGTAGTTGAATGGTTTGATCTGATACATATTTTTAAGAAATCACTTTGTCAATGGTGGTTTAGAAGGAAGCCATAATGTGGGTCATTCTTTAGAAGGCTATTAATGCAGCAATCCAGTGAGAAATCTTGGAAGCATAGACTTAGGAGTGGTGGTGATGTTGGAAAGAAGAATGATTACAGAGAGATTCAGGAGGCAAGACTGATAAGACTTGGTGATGTATTGGCTATTGGGAGTGAGAAGGAGGGCAGTGTCAAGAATATCTTACTGGCTTCTGTCATGAACAAGTGGAAGAGTGGTGCCAATTGTTGACTTAGAGAAAATTGACAGAAGACCCAGGCCTAGTTTTGGAGATTCTAAGTTTGAAGTATCTTTGAGTCCTCACAGTGGAGATGTTGATTGGTAATTAGACATACCATATTTATGCCTTTATATGGTGTCATCGTTGGCATCTCTTTTGAGATGTTAACTCTTTCAGACTAGGAAACATGTTGTATCACTCAAACTTCTTATTTTGAGGCAGGAGGTGTGGACTCCAATTGAACAGAAAGGAGTTTATTGAAAATATATTCGGTATTTACCAGCTATAATGGAAGGCTGGAGCACTAGTCATGAGAAAATGTTTCTAGAAACAAAGCTCCAAATTCCACATTGGAATTGGTCTGATGAGTAAACCACGGCAGAGCACCAGGTGCTACACTTGCACTCCTGCCTCTTTGGTGCCAATACCTCACCTTCCTACAACTGCTACTTCATATCATTTCTGTGCCTTGACCTTGAAGCCTCCACTGCTGATACTGTCTTCAGTTAGCGTGCATGAGTCAGATATGGTTGTACTGATGGCCAGAGCCTAAAATTATTCTCCATCTACAAGAATGACTAGCTATCGGAGTGTCTAACACTTTCAGCTCTGATGAGGAAAGAAGCTTTTACCCCTCCACCAAGATAATAAAGTGAAGAGTGAAGAACCCCCACACAAATGTAAGGGAGTTCAGATTTTGAATTACTTAACGCAAGTGGCAGATTTCCACTTGCATATATCTTATTCATGTTTGTATACTTAACAACTCATACAGTAGTAGTAGCACAAGAGAAGTAATAAATAATTCTGAATTCTGAATGGAATTTTAAAATTGTTTTAACAACGAGTTAGAGTAATTCAGATAAAAATTGCCCCCTTCATTTTGGTCATGTAGACAGTGTACTACTAGCTTATTATGCCTCATTTTAATTTGTTTTTGTGAACTGACCTCACTGTGAAATTCTATGATTACTATTATAATTTATTCTTTAGAGAATCATGTATTTTTTCCAAAACAATAACAATGGCCTTGTATCTCATTAGGGGATATAGGGCACATTTCAATGCCCAAAATATTTTAGACATTTTATTTAAGAAAAACATCTTTCCATTTCTTTTTTCCTACCTGTGCCTTATGATCCTAAGGAAATAAATAATATTTGACATTTCCTATTGTTCCGTGGCACATTTTTGTCCTAGAACTTATTTCACATTCCATCAGTCCCACTCAGATTGATGGAGTACCATCATTTAGCATTTCTCTTGCCTTCTTCCTTTTTAATGTTTCAGGCCCTTAAGTTTTGTTTTTCCCTTCACAAATTTGAAAATTTTTTTTGAAAAATTCTGCATTGTTTTCATAAGCTATGATACATGAGCAACAAAGATTCTAGGTGAATCTTGTTTAATGGTGGTGATGATTAATGAGGAAACAATTTCTTATTCAATTGAAAGAGTAATCTTACTATATCATTTCTCCTCCAGACATGCAAATTAGACAATTTTACTTGCTTATTTCCATTTCACCTCTCATGTTTTGGTGTCAAAGGAAGTTTTTGCCCTTTTTTCCCCCTCACTAATGTTGCAGTTTTCCCTGATGTTGGCATCTTGACTTTTTTATTTTTATGAAAGCAAGAACTGTTGTTAGAAGAGGCATACTGTGTTACAATGCTGATTACCTGTCCATTTAATCCAAACTCTTGTGGTGGTTTGTACTGTGTCAGTTATGCAAGAAACCATGTGTGTTGGAACACTGTTCCCTGCATAATTTTAGCCTAGCATTGGCCAGAAAAAAGACTTCGACAAGATTTGGAAGGCAGAAGCGAGGCAGTAACTATTACCCTGGAAGCTGGCTTGGTTAGGCGGACAGGAAGATGCAGAGGTGCCAGCAGGTTTCAGCTGGTCTTTACTCAGTACCCAGCTTTTCTTCCTGACTGCTGACCGTGTTGAGCCACCATAGCTCTAATCCTACACCCAGACTCTCTGGCGTGGGCTTCCTGAAATGGTAGCTGCACTTCCCATAGACCTCCCCGTGAGCTTTCCTTTTACAGCCCCATTTTAGTGGCCTGATGTGCTTGGTTTCTCAGATTGGTTGGTGGTCTGATTCTCCAACTTCCCTCCTGGACCCCAACTTGCCCAGTCCTTTTTCTGATTGCGTAAGGTCTAATTCCTATAATACATCCCTTATTCCATAACTCATGGTGGGCCAGCTTCCTGGTTAAATGTTGACTGATTAAATTCTCTGTGCCGAAACTTATTCGGATGACTTTTCCTTTGCCACTTTCTTCTGTTATAAATTACTATATTTTTTTCAAATTTAAGACTTCTCTCTTGACTTATGTAAGTTTGATTTCCATTATTAACAAGAAGTCTAAATTTATTCTTCTAGAGTTATTCAGTTTCTAATTCTAGTATATTTTCTGCATAACCAAAACTATAATTATACCTTAACTACTGTTTCTAGAGCTGATCATGCTGAAGACTTTGTGTAAAGTCACATTGGGCTGTGGTATCAGTTAATAATCAGATGATCTTATTTGAACAGTATAAAACATTTGTTTTGTACTGCACACTTCCTATTGGACATTTAGCTAGATCAGTTCATTTGAGTCCTTAGCAAATGTTAGTAATTTGAGTATGGGTTGATTAAGTAATCTGCTGTATAATTTTTTAGATTGTGGGTAACGGTTTTGAGATGTGGCTTTGTTTCATATTTACTCATAATGGATAATGAAATGTATATTTTCTACCTGAGAGTGAGGAAATATAGAAAACTGTTGAATTAAAAACAATGTTAATTGAGTGTATGGAAACAAGCTTACAGGTAAAAAAGAAATGCAGACATTAACGGTGTTCTTAATAAACTGAACTTTCTCAATTACTTCTCGGAACAAACCTATACTAGGTTTAATAACCAATATCTTTATCAGAGTTTCAAATGATTAGAAAACTGAAGTGCAGAGAGGATAAGAAATTTACACAAGTTCACAGACAGAATAATCAGAAGTGGGTTCTGGGCCAAGGCTGTAGGATTCAAGTGCTCATGGTCGCAACAACTGCAGAGTCCAGCGCCCCCAGCTTCCTGCCCAGCACAATATGGCGAGAAGAGGGTGGACTTTGAAGTCAGAAAGGTAAGAGGTGACATGTCAGCCCCATAACTTTCTAACTGTCTGAACTTGAGTAGGACACTTAAACTCATTTAGCTATAATTTATGAATTTAAAAATTGAGATAATAATTACACATACTCCCAGGGTGGTTGTTATAATGTTGGTAAATTGCAAAACATGTTATATAATTGGTAGTCATTAATTTGTTCTCTGGATGTATGTAAATTTTCTATATATTGTCCTTAGTAATAGATGAGGTGCTTAAAAAAAGCATTTTTGGGGGGTATTATCTCACCATTTCCAGATGGAAGAAATATTGCTTAATTTAGAAATAGAAAAGTTCAAGTTATCAAAAATAAGATATACATATATAAACAGGGATGTGAAATAATGATATTATAATAATAAAAAATTGTATAACATCTAAATATCTGATGATGGACAAATGTCATATCAACTTTGTTATATATTATATTATTCATGGACTGTTATGTAGTCATTAAAATGTTTATGAAGAGTTTATAACATGAGAAATGTTTAAATACCGGGAAAAAGTAAGAGACAGAATATTACATGTAAAAATACATTAAAAACTGCAAGAAAATACTTTAAAATATAAATATTAGTGGGTCAATAAGTGAATTTTTTGTTTTATTTTCTTATGTTTTCTAAATTTTCTCTGTTACCTTTAAAAGAAAGTATAAGCTTTATTTTAGAAGTTGTGAACTGCTATTGAGAATAGTGCTCTGCTATTTATTTATAGGTGTGAATCCCACAATAAAATGATAGAGAAGCTAATAAATTGCATTTTATTTCATTGGCAAAGCTAAAGAGGTATCTGAGCAAACTTATTTTCTTAAATGGTTGGCATAGATTTTCTTCCTCCTTTTTCTTTTTTTCACAGTTGTTGCTAGATGTAAAGGTGCTGGCACCAGTACAGCATTTAATTTTCTGCAGAGGAGTGCATGCAATATTTACATATTATATATCATTGCTTTGAAATCAGTTTATGATAAAGGGAGCCAGAAATCTTCTATGAGGGCACTTTTTTCTGTTTAAAGAGGCATCCTTTCATTGGATTGTAGTAATGTCCATAGTACTTAAGCAAATAGCTGTAAAACATGAAAATGTCCTCCTTTCTTATATTAATCCATCAGGAAGCTTTCAGAAATTCTTCTTGTCTAAAATATTCATAGGCAGCAAAATGTCCTGAATGCCCTACAGAATTTGTGCAGAGCCAGGCAGATGATTGATAGTGAAGTTCTGTTCTGAGTCACTCACAGTATGTAATTCTATTTGTCTTGCCAAATACAG
Source organism: Homo sapiens (assembly GCF_000001405.40). NCBI lineage: Eukaryota > Metazoa > Chordata > Mammalia > Primates > Hominidae > Homo > Homo sapiens. Next base: position 10,838,366 of record NC_000007.14, on the reverse strand, counting down.
GAGAGCAGGCAACTCATAAAAGGTAAAGGTAACAGACACTGTATTTTCTTACATTTAAAAAAGAACTTGGTGTCTCCACTTCACTGTACTCTACTGAATAAAACAAATTTTTATTATATAAAATAAAAGGCAGGCGAGCTATTCTTTGTAAAGTAAAATAAAGTTTTATTAAACAGATGTCATTTATTATATTGCATATTTCTCTTTGGCATATATTTGGTTGTATGGGCATATCTTAAGTAAAGGGTGTGTAAATGTTGTCTAATTAAAGAAAAACTAGTCAGGGTGCAAGCAAGGTATAAACTAGATGCTCTGTAGATTACTTAATGAATAAAATTTCATTTCCACCTTCCAGTGTTTTTGCCATTAGTATTTCATTTTTCCATGAAATTGATGTTAAAACTGAAGTTATGATCAGGTTAATCTTATGAAGTCAGGTAAAGCGATAGATGGGCATTAGATGATATTGCAGTTGCTAGCCAGATTTAGCACTTTGAACTACTCTTATTTCCTGAGGGCATGATTCTGTCATTCATACTTGTACACAAGTCCCTGACTTTTGGTAGAGTCAGGAATTTGGAATCAGGTCTAGAGGATTTGCTTTTGGTTTACATGATTCAGTACATAAACTATCATCGTTCATGACAGATACTATGCTGCTCTATATCCAAAATGAATTGCAATGTACAGGTAAGATAGAACAAATTAATTACAGTAGTTACTTTTTTATTTTTTGAGACAGAGTCTCTCTGTTTCTCAGGCTGGAGTGCAGTGGCATGATTTCGGCTCACTGCAACCTCCACCTCCCAGGTTCAAGTGATTCTCTTGCCTCAACCTCCCGAGTAGCTAGGATTATAGGTACACACCACCGCATCCGGCTAATTTTAGTATTTTCAGTAGAGAGGGGGTTTCGCCGTGTTGGCCAGCCTAGTTCTGAACTCCTGGCCTCTAGTGACCCACCTGCCTCAGCCTCCCAAAGTGCTGGAATTACAGGGTGAGCCACTGTGCCCAGCTAAATTATAGTACTTTTTTTTCCCCTGCAGTGAAAGGATTTTAGAAATATAGAAATACAGCATCACAATGAAGAACTTGTTGATAAGTCTGTTCAAGTCAGCTGGGGCCTGCCACATATGAGGAGGATATATTTGAGCCAGTGGTTGGCTATGGTGTCCTTAACTGATTATAGGCAGACTATAACCAGTTAAAGAGCAGGGGCCATATTTCAACATTATTCGGCTTTCAGTCACATCTATTGCTTTGTACATACCTGTAGTAAGAAATCAACAAATGTTTCATTAAGCAAGAACCCAGAAGAGTCTTAGATTGTAGGCAACAATAATTTAGGTAGAAATGACCAATTGATGGTTTTTCACAGGAGGTTTCTCTGACCTTGAAATTAAATTTTAAAACAATATTTATTATTATTTTTTTAGGGATGTAGTTTCATTTTGTTGCCCAGACTGGACTTGAACGCTTGGGATCTATCAGTCTTTCCACCTCAGCCTTCAAGTTGCTGGAACTGCAAGTGTGTGCCACGGCACCAGGCTTAGACCTTGGGATTTGAGTATCACTTTGACCAGTTTGCTTCACATTTCTCACTGATTTCTCTTCCTACAATATTTTCATGCTTTAGCATATTCCTTACATGTCTTTATTCCTGGCATAAAAACATGGTTACCTTTCAATTTTTGAGACAGACAATAAGTTTGCACAGAAATTTGCCCACTAGGCAAGGAAAAATATTTGCTGACACAGGTAACCAGAGATATATATATACATGTGTTAACACATCCTGAAAACGTCTTGTTGATTGTGATTTGTTGAGAATTTTTACATTCTTTCCGATGAGGTTATGAAAAGTTGCTTTTTTTTGAGAATTGAAACTATTAATATATATAGAAATATTTTTCTTTATAGTTGCTAAATTTACCATTGGAAATTTTATTTTTCTTAAGCCTTGAATAAAATGTTTTACCTGTTACAGTCTTTTCTAATGAAATACATTGTTTACTGCCATAATAACCACCTTAGAGGGACTCCTGGTTTCTCTCTAGTTATTTTATTAACTGATATTTCCCTGGAGAGTCTGATTCCCTAAGTGTGGTCTGAATTGACAACATGGACTTAAAGATGAGATGATCAGTGCCACTTATTTATTGATATTGCCACATGGGAGGTTCTGGCAATGGAGTGGGTCATTTCTGTCTGCCTTTATAGCTGCCCCTTTGAGCAGTCCTTTGGAGCAGGAGCAGTATTGATGGGAGGCAGCCTCATTAGTGTTGCAGCCATCATCAATTAAAACTAGTCCTTGCCAAAGATAGTCTCTCTTCCCTCTCATTTCTTTGTAGAGCAAGTGCCTATTGTTAAAGAATAACTTGACTTGGCTGTCTTTTCCCATGGTTGACACAGAAACCATGGTTCTATTTCAATCAATAGAAACAGTGTTTGCAACAACAACAAAAACAGCCATGAACACTTATTGAGGACTTATCTGCTTTATATCAACATTACATATTCAACCTTGATGACTCTTGAAAAAGTGAGGAGAAATTGCTCAGATAGACAAGTAAGTAGCATGCTCCTGCCCTCTGCCACTCATTTGTTCAGCTTTTGTTTCTCCTTATTCTGCATCTAAGAGCTCAGAGAGCGTTCCGAACATGCAGCTGGGGAAACGTGTTTGGGTTTTGGCTTGAGAAGGCAGTAGATGGAGGAAGCATGGGCATATTTTGATAGGAGGGGTAATGGGGACAGAAGCCTCTACAGGCATATATAGAGTTGTCTTTAGATAGTCCCATTGTGTTTATGTATGGAACCAAACAACTCTGATTTCAGTGTACCAATGTAAACTTCTGCTATGAAGTTAATTTAAGGCTGAGCAGCAAAGCAGAACCAGAATTGTATATAACCTGGGTACACTCTATGCCATCAAGAATCCAGGTGTGACATTCTCTTCTAAATTGAGAATTTATGGCCATCGGTGCATTTACTCAGGTAAATGATATGGTGACAAGACTGAATGAGCCATTAGTTCAGTGGCCAGCGTTCAAATGAGAACTGTTATCTATATCTGTGTCTATATCTGTCTATATACGTATGTATGTATATATCCTCTATCTACCTACATAAGTATGTATATGTCATCTATTCTCTATCATCTATCTATCTATCTATCTATCTATCTATCTATCTATCTATCTATCTATCTATCTATCATCTATCTATATCTATCTATCTATCTATCTATCTATCTATCTATCTATCTATCTATCTATCTATCTATCATCTATGCCTTTTAGGGACATGGAAATACTCTTTACATGGGGTTTAGTTAACCCCTGGGACTTCATTTAATGGAAGCTGTTTGGAATGCTACTGGACTTTTGTTTTGCTGAGTAGAGTCTATCAGCTGGAGGATTTTGAATTTCTGTGTGAAAAGAAGATGGAGAGGTAGCAGGATTTGTTGGGGTTGTGAGAAATTTTTTCTCTGTAATATAATATAACTTTTCTACTGCCTACTGATGAAAATTTGAAAAAATTTCAATTTTAGGATTGAATTTTTGTCTAATTTTGAGTGTACTATACACTAAGATAGGTTCTGGGAGAGCACAGGATGAGAACCAAGATTGTAAAGCTGTTCCCACATACACAGTTTACATAGCAAAGGAAAAGGGGGAGATTGCAAACTGCTTACCATTCCGCTGAGTACAACAAAGAGGAGAGGCTCAGAAAACATTCATCCATGCAGTGTAATGCCATTTGCAATGCCTGATATGATAGACATTCAAGAAATACTTCTTGAACAAACTTTTGTATTTTAGAATGAATGAAAAGAAGGTGGCAGAAGAGTGGACAGTATTCCTCAGTAGTGGAAGTAGAAAAGAAATATGCCCATGTTCACTCTGTAAGTGAAATGCTTAAAAGGTGTGTGTATGTGTGTTTGTGTTTGCGTTTTAAGGATTAAAAATAAGCAGGAACTCTTCAAGAAATTCTATTTTTGTGTGTTTTAAAAATAAAACCAGCAAGCCAGTGTACTGGCAGCACTTGAAACTTTAATATTAACTATGTCTATTTGAAAGAACCTGTTCATTATAGATATGTGGTGGGTGGAGGAGGAGTTATTTGGTTAATAAGAAACAGAATAAGAATAATCCACATAGACTATATTTGATTATTAGTAGATTGCTTTCTTTTGAAGACCATGAAATGAGTCATGGCTCATAATTTTCTTTTCATTATTGCTATTGTTATTATCATTATTATTTCAACTTTTAGATTCAGGGGAACATGTGCCGGTTTGTTACATGGTTATGTTGTGTGATGCTGAGGCTTGAGGTATGATTGATCCCATCACCCAGGTACTGAGCATAGTGCTCAATAGTTAGTTTTTCAACTTTTGACCCCTTTCTCCATCCCCCAAGTAGTATCCAGTGAATATTGTTGCCATCTTTATGTCCATGAGTACCCAATGTTTAGCTCCCACTTATAAGTGAGAACATGCAGTATTTGCTTTTCTGTTCTTGCATTAATTCACTTAGGAAAATGGCCTGCAACTTCATCCATGTTCCTGCAAAGGACATGGTTTTGTTCTTTTCCTCTGGCTGCATGGTATTCCATGGTGAATATGTACCACACTTTCTTTATCCAATCCATACTGATGGGCATCTAGATTGGTTCCATGTCTTTGTTATTGTGAATAGTGCTCTGACGAAAGTACGAATGCATGTGTCTTTTTGGTAGAACAATTTATTTTCTTTGGATATATACCCTGTAATGGGATTGCTGGGTCAAATGGTAGTTCTGTTTTAAGTTCTTTGAGAAATCTCCAAACTGCTTTCCATAGTGGCTGAACAAATTTACTTTCTCATCAACAATGTATAAGCATTTTCTGCAAATCAAAACCACAACGCGACACTAACTTACTCTGCAAGAATGACCATAATCAAATACTCAAAAAATAATAGATGTTGGCATGGATGTGGTGTAAAGGGAACATTGCTCCACTGCTAGTGAGAACGTAAACTAGTACAACCACTATGGAAAACAGTGTGGAAATTCCTTGAAGAACTAAAAGTAGAATTACCATTTGATCCAGTGATTCCACTACTGGGTATCTACCCAGAGGAAAAGGAGTCATTATACAAAAAAAGATACTTGCACATGCATGTTTATAGCAGCACAATTCACAATTGCAAAAATATGGAACTAGCCCAAATGCCCATCAATCAACGAGTGGATAAATAAACTGTAATATATATATACATATATACACATATATATATACACGTATATATATGTGTATATATACGTGTATATATATATACATATGATGGAATACTACTCAATCATAAAAAGGAATGAATTAATGGCATTCACAGCAACCTGGGTGGGATTGGAGTCTATTATTCTAAATAAAGTAATTCAGGATCAAAAACCAAACATTGTATGTTCTCACTTATAAGTAGGAGCTAAGCTATGAGGATGCAAAGGCATAAGAATGATACAATGGACTTTGGGGGCTTGGGAGGAAATGGTGGGAAGGGAGTGAGGGATAAAAGACTACAAATTGGGTTCAGTGTATACTGCTCGGGTGATGGGTGCAACAAAATCTCACAAATCACCACTAAAGAGCTGACTCATGTAACGAAATACCACTTGTTCCCCAAAAACCTATGGAAATAAAAATTATTTTTTAAAAAACAAGGTATAAGCATTTTCTCTTCACAACCTTGCCAGTATCTACTGTTTTTTTGATATTTTAATGACAACCATTTTCACTGGTGTGAGATGGTATCTCATTGTCGTTTTGATTTGGATTTTGCTGACGATTGGTCGTGCTGAGCATTTTTTTAATGTTTGTTGGCTACTTGTATGTCTTCTTCTTTTTTTTTTTTTTTTTTTTTTTTCTGAGATGGAGTCTTGCTCTGTTGCCCAGGCTGGAGTGTAGTGGCATGATCTTGACTCACCGAAACCTCTGCCTCCCGGATTCAAGTGGTTCTCAATTCTTGTGCTTCAGCTTCCTGGGTAGTAGCTGGGATTATAGGCATGTGCCATCACACCTGGCTAATTTTTGTATTTTTAGTAGAGACAGAATTTCACAGGTTGGCTAGGCTGGTCTCGAACTCCTGACCACAAGTGATCCGCCTGCCTCAGCCTCCCAAAGTGCTGGGATTACAGGCATAAGCCACTGCACCCAGCCTGAATGTCTTCTTTTCAGAAGTGTCTGTTTGTGTCTTTTTTTTTTGGGTTTCTTTTTTTGGTTGTTTTTTTGACAGAGTCTCACTCTGTTGCCCAGGCTGGAGTGCAGTGCAGTGGTGCAATCTTGGCTCACTGCAACTTTCTGCCTCCTGGGATCAGGCAATTCTGGTGCCTCAGCCTCCCAAGTAACTGGGATTACAGGTGTGTGCCACCACACCCAACCAATTTTTTGTATTTTTAGTAGAGAGGGAGTTCCACCATATTGCCCAGGCTGGTCTTGAACTCCTGAGCTCAGGTGATCCACCTGCCTTGGCCTCCCAAAGTGCTGGGATTACAGGCATGAGCCACCACGCCCATAAACATAAAAAAAGTTTATGTCTTTTACACATTTTTTTAAACGGAGTTATTTGGTTTTTTTTGTGTTGAATTGTTTAAATTCCGTATAGATTCTGGATATTTTACCTTTGTTGGATGCATAGTTTGTGAATATTTTCTCCTATTTTGTAGGATGTATGTTTATTCTCTTGATAGGTTATTTTGCTGTGCAGAAGCTCAGAAAAGAAAAAAAAGTTTAATTAGGTCCCATTTGTCAATTTTTGTTTTTGTTGCAATTGCTTTTGAAGACTAAGTCATAAATTCTTTCTCAAGACTAATGTCCAGGATGGTGTTTCCTAGGTTTTCTTCTAGGATTCTTATAGTTTGATGTCTTACATTTAAATTTTTAATTCATTTTGAGTTGATTTTTGTATGTGGTGTAAGGCAGGTGTCCAGTTTCAATCATCCTCATGTGGCTGGCTGGCTGTCATAGCACCATTTATTAAACAGGGAGTCTTTTCCCCATTGCTTACTTTTGTCAACTTTGTTGCATATCTGATGGCTGTAGATGTGCAGCTTTATTTCTGGGTTCTCTATTCTGTTCCATTGGTCTATGTGTCAGCTTTTGTACAAGTACTATGTGTTTTTGGCTACTGTAACCTTATAGTATAGTTTGAAGTCAGGCAATGTGACGCCTCCAGCTTTTTTTTTTTTTTTTTTGCTTAGGATTGCTTTAGCTATTTGGACTCTCTTTTGGTTCCACATGAATTTTGGAATCATTTTTTTCTAGTTCTGTGAAAAATAATTTTGGTAGTTTGATAGGAATATCATTTTAATGATATTGAGTCTTCCAATCCAGATCATGGAATGCTTTTTCACTTGTTTGTGTTAAAAGGAAAACGTTAGCTGAAATAAATTTAAAGGAGTTTAACTGAGCAATGAATGATTCACGAATCAGGTATCCCTCAGAATCACAACAGATCCAGAGAGACTCCAGTGCAGTTATGTGGTAGAGGAAGACTTACAGACAGAAAAAGGGAAATGAGGTACAGAAACCAGAAGCGAGGTACAGAAACAACTGGATTGGTTACAGCTCAGCGTTTGCCTTATTTGAACACTTAGCAGTGTATGAGTGGTTGAAGTATGGCTGCTGGGATTGGTCAAGACTCAGCTATTGTTACAGGCACATATTAAGTTAGGTTTTCAATTTTGTCTACCTATTAAGTTAAGTTACAGTTCATCCACAAAGACTGAAATACAGAAGTACAGAGACCTTCTCAGGCCATATTTAGTTCGGTTTAACAATTCCCCCATTTTGGTCGTTTTCTCAATTTTGGGAGATTGGCTAAAATTTTAGTCTTTGATATCACTACCGTCATCGTAAATATAATTCTTTGGTCTTGAAACCCTCTGGAAAACAGTGCAACCGTGGGTTTTGCAAGATGGGATCAAGGACTGAGTAGAGGGTAACTTATGCTGGAACATCCTGTTTGTAGGAGAAAAATAAAACCTGGTCTGTTCTAGGATATATGCGCTTCCTTAAAGTCTTAGTTTGATTATGTCACATTTAGCATGAGCAGCTCCATTTTTATTTGATTTGGTCTGTTGGGGCCTAATGCATGAGCTCAGTCTAAAACAATGGCCTCCCATAATTTTGTTTAAAAATTCCCCCTTTGTGGTCAGGTTCTCACTTAAGAGAGAATGTGACCAAAATTTAGGGCCTTAGTGCCACTCTCAGTTACCATCATTTTGGGTTTCCTGTCTTAGCATGTGATTCATATGTTACAGTGTCCTCATGGTCACACATTTTTTTCAGCTCATGCCATTTCAGTTGAAGTGAGACCATTTGACATTCTAGAGATGGCTGCATGCAAGCATTTAAAACTTTTGAGGGAATACGGCACACCAGGGAGACTGCTATTATGACTATTAGGAGGATAATACCAAGCATTTGGAGTATGCTCCTTAGCCAGCATCCCCATAAACCAGACCACCTAAAATTAAATAGATCAAAGAATGAGCTAGATAAAGAGTCTACTCGCTTAACTAAGCAGTCTTTCATTAATCCCCTACAACTGAATTTCTATAATCTATATTTGATTTATTTCTCCATAGTCCACAAAGGCCAGCAATTGCACAGATACTTTTCTGTTTAGCCAATTCTATTATTTAGCATAACTTTCACAAGAGAATTGAAAGTCTGTTATGTAACAATAGCCTTTACAGTAGAATCTGCTACAGAGCTTATCATGAGGAATACATTTCTAGTCATTGCTTCTTTTGCTCCAAACCATGGAAAAAGGACCTAACAAATGATGGCCTTCTAGAAGAGTGAAGGCCTCCTGGCATGGTTCTCTTTAACCCATGATGTGAGTTAAGAGGAGTGAACCAATGTTCTGTTTCTGACTGATTATGAGGTAACGTATGTACCATTAAAGTTTTTCATTTACGTTGGGCCTTCATCTTTTATCTATGAAAATATAAGATTATCCATGCATAAGGCTGGCTACAAAATCCTTTACAAATAAAAATATACCCCGTTAAGTGCACGCAACAGACCATCTTTTTACTTCTATTGTTCATAGAGGTATAAGTAAGGAAAAAAATATTTAAAGACAAGAGTCTCATGATAGTAGAGAAGTCTTGACCTGTGATCTTGGGAAAAGCTGTTCACATTAAGGATGCTGCCTTCTTCTGGGGAGAAACTTCCCTGGTTAGCTTTACCTTAAGAGTTCCAATGGGCGTACAGTTCCAAGAGTGTGGAGTGACCCTTCTCAGTTGTGAGATTATGAACCCAAAGTTTAATGTCCCGAAGTTTTGCTGTAGTGTAGATGGCAAGGACAGTCTTTCTCTGCTGTTCTCAGAAGATCCAATCTTCAGGTTCTAGATTATGAAGGGGTTGATTGTCTTCAGCCAGTGAACCGTAAAAAGCTTTCTTTACCTGGTGAAAATACACTGTAGCATAATAATCTACTGTTATAACATCAGCCTTTTTGCATGGGAAAGCTTTTATACAACCAGAAAACATGCACTGAAAATCACAATGGAATGAAAGCCCTTTATAAAAATGTTTAAATGGTCCCTCAGGTAACCAAATATACCTGAAGCTTTGACTGTTTTCCCAGGAATATGGGTTTGACAAAGCAAATGTTGGTCATAAATTATTTTAGCAATTTAGAAGTCACGACACCAATATATATTTAATTTGAATCATTTTATCTTTTCCATGATGACTCATGGAATGCAAAACCTTTAATAATAAAAGCTTAAAGGACTCTGGAAGGACAAGGTGGCCATCCTGATTCTCCGTGAGTCCATGCTTAATCCATGCTTAATTAACATTAGACTTATGTCCTCTTGAATACCAGTTGTTTCTCCAAATTAGGTGCATAGCACTGATAACTGATGGGTTATCATAGGTAATTTGACTTAGACCATGGAGTTCATTCAAAGTGTATATCTAAACAATTTCAGTATTGGCCGATTTAGCATACAAATCTGGCAAAATATTTGCTTGGTATTCAATTAATTTTTGTTCTACTTGACTTAGCAGTTTTATAAACCAGTCAGTCTTTTCATTAAAGTTTCAGGAATTCTTACCCAGTACAAATGATAGGATTTTAAAGTTATTAGAAACCTGTATTCAAGAGGGCTTGTCAGGGTCCTTTTTATCCTTTCACGAACCTCCTAAAAGACGCCATATTCTAGGATTTTGTGTGCTTGTGAAGTTGTCAGAAACTGCATCAGCATTAAACAATTAATTGTGGAAATGACTTTAAATGGTCAAAGTTAAAAACACAATTGACAAGAAAATTTGATTATTTCTGTGGTCTGAAATAACATAATAACCATAATTATGATTGATAGCTTATACTCAGACATATTAGAATTTTAGGAATCCCATACAATTTTAAAACATATATTAATAGCATTCATTAAAATATAACCTGAGGAAGGTTAAACATTATTTTTTATTTTGACAATGCTTTCCATGTAACTTAATATGTCAAATAATCCTGTTTACCTCTCTTTTGGATGTGTCAGGGGCCCTCTGTAGCATCTGAAAGTTAGAGGTCAGAAAAGATAATTTTGAAGCTGAATTTGATTTTGAGAAGCCTATCAAATGTGTTAAAGGTTTAAAACACCTGATATTTTAAAATAGAATTCTAGATCACCATAAGTCATTAATTTAGCCAAAATGATGATCCCAAAATTTTAAAAAGGCAAAAACCTTGACTCATTGATAGAGGGAAGACAGCTTCCCAAACAACCTATCTCTTATCTTTCCCTTCTTTGCTAGTTTATTAAAAAGGCAAACAAAAATCTTGCATTATTTTTAAGATTACATAAAAATCTTATTGAAGAGAAAAAGACAAATTTCACCCTTACATTACTGTACCATTAATGCCAACCCCAATTCTTAATAAAACTTTATAGACAAATTGATTCAATCTTAATCAATTTGACCATAAGGTGAGATTCTCATAAACCTTTTATAACCCTTTACAAATTTTTGTTAAATAGCAAATCTGTGCTCTAAGAAAACCCTGTTGTGCTTTTTTTTCAATGTTCAATTTGTGGGAAAAAAAAATCCCTTTAAATTTAGTCATGTTCACAGACAGAATTTCTTTTACAAGATTGATTTTTAGAAATCTACAACTTGCTCAGTCTTTTAGCTTTATCTTATCTAATTTAAAACAATCCTTTAACACTCTATGCAAAAATTTACATTCCCATGCCTTCTTATAATCTTTTACCAAAAACACATTTCATTATCTTCACACACCTTGCATGTAAAACTGTTTTTTCAATAGTCTTTATTACCTGTTATAGTGGTAATTCTCAGCAATTTTCATTTAAGTCAAAAAATCTGGTAAGTGATTTTAACTATGTACTAGGTTTGGAGCCTAGGAAATCAGAAGTGAGATACGAGGCTGGGCATGGTGGCTCATGCCTGCAATCCTAGCACTTTGGGAGGCCGAGATGGGAGGGCTGCTTGAGGCCAGGAGTCTGAAAAGTGCAGGTAAGTTCTGACTCTTTGCAGCATAGAGATGGGTGTGGCTAACTCCACATGTCCCCAGGCCTTACCTAGCTGTAAAATATGCAAGTTGAATGGTTTTCAAAAGCCAAAGAGGCAGTTTATGGACCTTAAAGCATTTAGTAAAGCTAATATCTCATCTGCCTAATTTAGACTAAATGTCTTTATTTTACTAATAATCTTTAAAGCTGTTTTTATTTCACAAAGATTACTAAAGTCGTGTGAACTAAAAGGCATTACAGTTTTTATTTTTCTTTCAAAATATTTGATTTAAGTGCTTATTTTTTTATTTAAGCCAATTAATTAGAGCTCTTTTATATAAACATCACACACACGACACATGTATAACTAAACAGACAGACAGACAGAAGATCCAGTAGTTGTAAGATTTTTCATTTGCCAGTTTTAAGTTTCTTAATTGGATTACTGGCTTCAGGATGGAGCCCTTGGAGAAAAAGAGCCAGGAAAGCATGCAGTTTCTACAACCTAATTTAAAGCAGGCACAGCTGGAAGGCAAAACAGATTTTTCCCCCATCTCATCTCCCATGAGAGTCTTATCTCTCAGTGGGGTAGGGATGTTGCCATACCTTTTAGGTGGCCAAGACCATGCTTCTCTGATCCGAATGTGCGAAGAGCTGTGTACTCCCCCAAAATGCCATTAGCTGTCCCCCAAAGTATATTTCCTACCTAGTTATTACGCATCAAAGCTCTGTCATAATTTGAAGTAATTTATGATACCCCCAAAAGTAAAAAATGTCAGATAATCCAATGCAAAACAGAACATAGCCTTTGATTTTGAGAGGGACTTATTTGCTTTCAATTCCTGGGGTTTCATGAGGAAAAGAGAGGTCTCTCCCCAAAAGCGCTCTGTGACACCTCCTCTGTCCAGGCCATTAGAGCTTGAATATCCACTTCTAATTAAGCTGACTTTTAACCATAGTGCTCTTAAAAAAGTCCTTTTAAATTTCTTATTACTTGACTTTAGTCAGTCGAAATGCCCAATATTTCTGGCTCATTCTCTCAGCTGAGAATTGAACCCTAAACCTGGGTTGTCATTGTAAAATGTTGAAGACTTAGCTACTGAGCTACAGAATTAGGAAGGTTTCGTTGCTCTAGGAGTGTAGAGCAGTCAATTTTGAGCTTGCAATAGTTTTTAACTGCTTGAGATAATTTTTAGAGGTAACTATAACATAAACCCCCAAATTTCTGTTTACTGGATGGGAGACCAAGAGAAAGTACCACCACTGGGTTACAAGGTCAAGCTCCCAAGGACATAACTGACCAGTTTGTTGGGCCATCTTGAACAGTGGGCTTATGGGGTCCTAAGGCCATGTTCTATCCTAAGGTACCCCTCTTTCTGACAGAAAGATACAGAAAGACAAAATCATAGTACAAAGCACACCAGATTCACTATAGCTTGACTAGCCTCACAAATCTTTTTTTCCATTAATCCAAACTTTACATGATATAAACAATGATTTTTGCCATTCATTCAACTAGTTTGTACAGAGAGAGCAAGGCCAGAAGTCTGACTGGTAAGAAATTCTTGCCCTTTTGCCAGCATGCCAGGTTTCTGGGTTCTCTTTCTGTGAGTGGCCTTAGTGACCCTGTTAGCTGTATCAAAGCCCTGGGGGCCAAGCTGCAACATAAAGGAAAATCATCTTTTGTCTATTTTTATGGAACCACAAGAAAAAGCCTTAGTTTTATAAGTTGCTGCCCAACTGGCTGCATGGGGGACCTAAATTAATATTTCCCATTCCAGCCAGAGCAAAATACATGTGCTTTAAATAAAAATATTGAAATCTATTTTTTGGAAGCTTCTGCATGTCGATAGGCATCCCTAGATGAGACTAATTTGGTAGCTCCATTATTTTAAATGTACTTCAGTGTGTTGTTGTTCATTTGGAATATTCCACTGTAAATTATCTTTAGTAAGATTTTTCCATTCCCCACAAATTTCCAAAAGCCAAATTTTAAAACCCCTACAATATTAACATTTACTACCAGTTTCTTTCTGACCCAGTCAGATGTAAGAGGCCTCTAACTGAATCCAAGCCGGTTAATTACCAGATCAAATCTTTTCTTGAACCCAGTCCAGTTTCTGTCGTGACTTCCAAACCCAGTTTGGATCAGAAATTTGCTCAAAGAAACTCAGAGAGCTCAAAACACAAATCCCTGGAGCTCTGCAATCCAAGAGAGAACTTACCAAGATCCCCAGCCACTCTGAGAGATCAAGGGACACAAGTGAGTCCTTGCGTGTTCACTCAGCACTCCTGGGGGTCATTAGACGCACTACTTTGGATCCTACTTCTGACACCATCTGTTAAAAGAAAAACTTAATCTGATTTAAATTTAAAGGAGTGTAATTGAGCAATAAATGATATGTGAATTGGACAGCCCTCAGAATCACAGCAGATTCAGAGAGACTCCACCACAGCCACATGTTGGAAGAAGATTTATAGACAAAAAAGGGAAGTGATGTACAGAAATCAGAAGTGAGGTACAGAAACAACTGGATTGGTTACAGCTCAGTGTTTGCCTTATCTGAACACAGTCTGAACACTCAGCAGTATATGAGTGGTTGAAGTATGGCTGCTTGGATTGGCCAAGACTCAGCTACTGTTACAGGCACATACTCTTAAGTTACCTTTAAAACCTTGTCCACCTATTAAGTTAGGTTACAGTTCGCCCACAAGGACTCGAATATAGAAGTATGGAGTCCTTCTCAGGCCCTATATAGTTCGCTCTAACATTTGTATCATCAGTGATTTCTTTAAGCAGTGTTTTCTATTTCTCTTTGTAGAGATCTTTCCTCTCCTTGATTAGATGTATTCTTAGGTATTTTGTTTTTTTGTGGCTATCGTAAATGGGATTGCATTCTTGATTTGGCTCTCAGCTTGAACACTATTAATGTATAGAAATCCTACTTATTTTTGTACATTGAATTGTAACCGAAACATCACTGAAGTTATCAGTTCCAGGAGCCTTTTGGAGGAGTCTTTAGGGTTTTCTAGGTACGGAATCATATCCTCAGTGAAGAAGGATAGTTTGACATCTTTTTTTCCTATTTAAATGTCTTTTATTTCTTTCTCTTGCTTGATTGGTCTGGCTACAGCTTCCTCTTTTCATTATAAAGCAAGCTCAGTTTCTTCCAAGGATCTTCATCACAAGTAAAAAACAAACAAAGAGTAATAAAACAGAGGCTATTATTTTTATTTTTTCATTGATACTCCTTTTGGCTACACTGATGAAATAATAGGTTGGAATCTAGTTGATTTTTTAATTTAACCCTGATCAATGTAGATTGCTGCAGGACTGGTTAAATTAATGAGAAAAGCGACCAAAATGAATGAATTTGAATAGCCAAGTCTACATCATTTACCTTAACACTGATTTACTTTTGTTTTGAACAATCAGTTTGGCAGTGAAGCAGGTAATGTTAAAAGGCAATGTCCATTTTCTCATTTTCATAAACTTTGCCACTTTAATTCTAATTTTTTTGTGTTCAAACAAGATAGATTGTTGTTTGAAACTTTTTGTTTCCTGAAATACAGCTAGAAATATTGAGGTTGATATAAATATAAGTGAAATCAAACAAAGTTTTAACAAATAGTATCTCTCGAAAATTTTAAGCTTTCACAAAAATGTACAATGGAGAATGAAGTAAGGATAATTTTGTTCATATTCTGATTACCAGTGTTATCCTTTTATTTTTTTTTGAGACAGAGTCTCGCTCTGTCGCCCAGGCTGGAGTGCAGTGGTGCAATCTTGGCTCACTGCAGCCTCCGCCTCCTGGGTTCAAGAGATTCTCTTGCCTCAGCCACCTATGTAGCTTAGATTACAGGCATAAGCCACCATGCCTGGCTAATTTTTGTATTTTGAGTAGAGACAGGGTTTTACCATGTTGGCCAGGCTGGTCTCAAACTCCTGACCTCAAGTGACCTGCCCGCCTCAGCCTTCCAAAATGCTGGGGCTACAGGCATAAGCCACCATGCCTGGCCCCAATGTTATGCTTTTAAGGAGAAACTGTGTGTGTGTGTGTGTGTGTGTGTGTGTGTGTGTGTGTGTTCATGTGCACATATATGTACATATATACAGTGATCTAAAATAACATTGATTTGAAATCAGTAACGTGGCAAAGAAAACTTTTTCATCTGATGTCTTTAATAGAGTAAAATTCACTTCTTTGAAATTGTATCAAACATAAGTGAAGCATTATCTATTCATCTTCTGTGATATTTTCTAGCCTAGGTATAGTATCTGTCAGCATTCTATTTTGATAACCTCTCTTTGATGTTTTCCTTCTTCTACAAAGTTTGTTACATTTTGGTATAACTTGTAATAAGAATTTATAGATGTATTTTCACCTTCTTGCCAGGGAGCATTGTTATCTTTTAGCAACTCTTTTGTTGGATACAGCAGAAAGAAACTTGCCATATTTATCTTTTAAGGGGATTCAATTTACAAAGCAGTCTACTAGTGATTTATAGCAGAAAAATATGAAATAGAAGGAACACCTTTATAAAAGAATTTCTCACTCTCCAAGAAAAGGAATCCCACACTTTGACAGTGTATAACTCCCTCGAGATCATGATGCAATATCATTTGTATAGCTATATGGACATTCTGTTTCTTTTGTTTAAGCCTGTACCTATGTGGTGTAGACAAAATTCTTTTTCTGTGAAAGTAGGGAAAGATTGATAGAGAAAATTGGAATAATCCTGATAGCTTCAGACTATTAGATGTTGTCAAAAGAGACTGAGAAACTATTTATATTAGTTGCTCCACAAAATAACCAGGTAGAAACATGTCTAACAACATGTTGTAAGGTGATGGATTACCCAAGAAGTTTCTCAAGGAGAACTGATCTCCAGGCGATCAGAAACATTTAGTACTAATTACAATAAAATGAGTAATAAGGCATGATGAAGTAAATAGTATTATTTGATTAGGGCTTAATGGACAGGGGCATGATAGAAAGGAGAGAATTGAAGGAAGACAGTGCAGCTTTGTAGTTTTGATGAACCGTGCTCCTTCCAATTTCATTGAGCTTTAGTCAGATTATAGCTGCCTATTGGCTTCCTTGAGAGGCAAGTGCCTTAAGTGGGAAATTAACTGATGACCCTTTTATCATTATGAATTGTCTGTCTTGATCTCTGATAAAACTCTTTACCTTGAAGTCTGTTTTATGTGATAATACCATAGGAACTCCAATCTTCCTACAGTTGGTGTTTGCATGGTAAATCTTTGATATAGTTTGGATATTTGTTCCCACCCAAATCTTACGTTGAATTGTAATTGGAGGTGGGGCTTGGTGGGAGGAGTTTGGATCATGGGGCCGATCTCTTGTGGCTTGGTGCTGTCTTCACAATAGTGAGTAAGTTCTTGTGAGATGTGGTCATTTAAAAGTGTTCAGTACTCCCCCTGCCCCCCCTACTTTCTTGTCCCTGCTTTGGCCCTGCGACATGCCTACTCCCCTTGTGCCTTCAACCATGACTATAAGCTTCTTTAAGCCTCCCTGGAAGCTGAACAGATGCCAGTACCATACTTTGCGTAAAGCCTGCAGAACCATGAGCCAATTAAACCTCTTTTCTTTATAAAGTGCCCAGTCTCAGGTATTTCTTTATAGCAATGCAAGAATAGCCTAATACAATTCTTTTCCATCTATATACTTTCAATCTAGTTTCTTCATATTAAAGTAGAACTCTTGCAGAAAACTTATAGTTAGGTCTTTCTTTCTTTCCATCCTCATAACTTCTGCCTTCTAATAAGTGTGTTTAGCTCATTAACACATTTACAATCATTTTGGTTTGGATTGGATTTAGGTATATTTTCAAGTATATTTTCTGAATAATATGTTTACCTCCTCTTGTTGTCACAGATACTAATTTCAATCCCTTTGCAAATCATGTTGGTTCTACTTTGAAAATCAATTAAGAATCTAAATATATATATATTTTATCACCTCCACTACTGCCACCTATTCCAAATCACTGTCCTATCTCACTTGGATGATGATGATAATGATGATTTTTAAAGACAGGGTCTTGCTCAATCACCCAGGCTGGTCTGCAGTGGTGTAATCATAGCTCACTGTAGGCTCAAACTCCTGGATTCAAGGGATCCTCCTGCCACAGCTCCCAAATAACTCAGACTACAGGTGCACACCACCATGCCTGGCTTTAATTGTTTTATTTTTGTAGATATGGGGTCTTACTATGTTGCCCAGGATTTCATGTAGCCGTTTCTTGTAAGAAACTGAAAAAAAAGTCAAATACAGGCTCTAAAAAAGGTGATTTAATTATGTTTAAAGACTATCGTCTAAGTATGTAGAATATGATGGTCTAATCACACAAAAAAATAGAGTTGGACTGTCTAGAGGAGGCCTTTCCTACCCAAATCTGCCAGGCACAGTATCAGTTACATCAAGCCCTGCTTCTCTGTTTATCAGTTACCACAGAAAGCTCCAAGCCCACTTGAATTGGTTTTTGAATTCTCATTCTGATATGGCTCTGTGTAGTTTCTAAGCTGGATTCCATTACCCACCTTTCCTCATTTCTTAAAATACATCTCTTCTGCTCTCTAGAATGCATTTGTTATAAGCAAAAATACCCCAGCTTTAAAGCTCAATATTTTCTCCATCTCTTTCACTTTTTTTTTCTCTTGAGCCATTAACATTTCTTTTGGTCAATAACTGAAATCAAATACTATAAACACTTTGTCGCCATCCTTCTAGATCAGTGACTACCTTCTTTCACATACTCTTTGAACTACTGGGCAGGAAAGTCATATAGATATGCTGCTTGCTCTTCATTGTTGTTATCAATTTTTTTCTTTCAGCCTTCTAAAGAGCCACAGCTTTAAAACACATACCATTGGATCATACTACTCACCTGCACCCCATGCACAGTCATCGATAGACCCCAGGTTGCTTCTCTTAATTCTTAGAAGACTACAATATGTGGCTTGCTGGCATTTTCTCCATATTACTCCAGCCAGAATTTTTTGGGGGATCACTATCCCAAGTGGAAGATCTCTTTAATACCCTTGTCTTCTTGATTTTTTTCTTCTCCAATGATCTTGTCTCCTTCCTACTTCAGCTATTCCTCCCCATGATTGCACCTTAGACTTTTTCACTACCAGTAACTACTTTCTTTCTTAAATCTTAATTTCAGGCTTTTTGCCTCCTATCTATCCAGCGCACTCTTTCTAATATATTATTTCCAAAAAATTATTTGTACATATTGAGACCCATAATTTTTGATTCTATCGTGTTTTAACTGTTGCTTACTTGTGGCCATGAGAATGCACCTTGCAGACTTCCTACTACAGGGAGTGAATTGACCAAGGACCCCTGTGGCTGCATTTGTGCTAAGGCCAATGACAGTGTAGTGAACATTCTAAGGAAGACCCATTCCCGGGAGACACGGGACTCCTTTGTCTGCCAGCTTTGGCTCAAAGACTCTCCAGTGGCTTGTTGAACTTTCCTTAGATTTCATGACAGGTTAGGATGCTTACACTCAACTTACTTTCCTTTGAATTTTTCACTCGTGTTCAGATTTGCATTATGGTCTGGCAGTTCTCACCCTCTGTGGCTCCATTTTTATGTCCCTTCATACAGACATTTCCCCTAATAAAATTTTTGTGCTTTCAACCCCATTTTGTATCTGCTTCTTGGAGGAGCAAAACTAAACACTTACCCTGTTCATATCCTTACTATCATTCTTACCCATGATTAAACTCTATGATTCACTCGCTTTATACTCCTCTGACCCTGTACATCCTTTTTATGTTGTCATACTTGCCTATAAATCCCCCAATTTTGCTTATATCTATCCATATGCCTTCCTTGGGCCTGCAGCTCTGTAACTCAGTGTGGCTGGACACAATACAATCTGATCATCTTATTTAAAATTCAAGACTAGCAATGTTCAGGGGAAATTCTACTACTCTTTTCTACTTCATTCACATTTTCTCTTTTGTAGATACCATTTTAGATCTTCCCCTCCACTGTCAAACCTTCAGCATTTTCTTACCCTCTTCTGTGATGAAGCTGCTTCCTACTTCACTAAGGAAATAGAAGCAACCAGAAGAGAACATCTATACATCCTCAAAACCACATAAATGTATGACTTGCAGCTGTATGTATTTAATTTGGTTTCTCCTGGTACCAGGATAAACACTTATTTAAGATGAACGCCTCTACTCATGTATTAGATTCTGTTCCTTCTGACCTACTTAAGGATATCACCTCACTAACTGTCTTCACTCTCTCCTGCACTTGTCATCTCCCATATGAATATGGAATCATGAACATAAAATGATACCACATTAAAAACAAAACAACTGGCTGGACATGGTGGCTCATGCCTGCAATCCCAGCACTTTGGGTGGCTGAAGTGGGAGGATTCGTTGAGTCTAGGGATTTGAGACCAGCCTGGGTAACATAGTGAGACCTTGACTCTATAAACAGACAAAAAGGAATTAAAAAAAACAACAAACAGAAACTTCCATTTATACCATATAATTCTCTAGATACCATCTGATTTTTTTGCTTCTTGTTATGTCAAAATTTCTCAAAATTGCATATTTTTTACTGTTCACTTAACCTCTTCTATTCTTTCTTGAATCTACTCTAATAACATTTTCCCCTCATTACTAATCTACCAGATATTGCTTTGTCAATGTTATCAATGGCTTTAGCGTCAATCTTTTAGTCTTCTTACTGGAACCATCAGCAGCATTTGACATACTCATTTCCTTCTTTTAAAATATTTTATTTATGTGGCTTCCAGAACATTATTTTCTTGTCCTCTTACTTAACTGTTGATAGTTTCTCAGTCTCCTTTGCTGGCACCTCTTCATTGCCCCAACATCTAAACTTTGATTTAGTCTTTAAACTTTATTTTTCTTCAACTGTACTCCCTCTCTAGGGGATCCCATCCATGCATGTAGGTTTCAATCGTATCTCTAAATGTTGATTCCTAAATTTACATGTACATCTCTGACTTCTGCCTTGAGTCTAGGCTCATGTTTCTATTTGATGTTCAGTAGGCATCTCAAGTTCAATATGTCTAAAACTGAACTCTTGATATACCTTCTCTCTATATCTCTACCACAAACCTGTTCTTTTCCCATTCTTCCCCATTTTAGTAAGGGCCAATTGCCTTCTAGTTGCTCAGGCCAATAATCTTGGGCATATACTTACCTCCTCTCATTATTATAGATAGTAATTTTAATCCATTTGCAAATCATGTTGGTTCTACTTTGAAAATCAATTTAGAATCTGAGTATTTTTTATCACTTCCACTACTGCCACCTAATGAAAGCCACTCTCCTCTCTTACTTGGATCATGATGATGATAATAATAATAGTAATAATTATTATTTTTAGAGACAGAGTCTTGCTCTGTTGCCTAGGCTTGAGTGCATGGTGCAATCATAGCTCACTGCAGCCTTGAACTCCTGGGCTCAAGGGATCCTCCTGTCATAGCCTCCCAAGTAGTTAGGACCATAGGTACATGCCACCATGCCTGGCTTTAATTTTTTTAATTTTTGTGGAGATGGTGTCTCGCTATGTTGCCCAGGCTATTCTTGAACTCCTGGCCACAAGCAATACTCCTGTCTTGACTTCCTGAGGTACTGGGATTATAAGAATTAGCCACTAGGGTCAGCCTCATTTGGATTATTGAAATGGCCTTGTAATAGTCTTTTTGTTTCCTCACTTCCTCTAGTGTCAGTTAGGATTTTGTGTTGCTATATATGAAAGAACTTCACCAACAGTACAACCTTAAATGAGATAGAAGTTTATTTTTCTTACATATAAAATAGTCCAGGTAGAGATAGTTCAGGATTGGTTTGTTGTTCTATATCAGTGACTCAGACTTTTTCTACCTTGTTGATCTGCAATGAAGAGGTCTAAGATGGTCATAGTCTAAGCTGGACACTGGAGACATAAATTCCATATCTAATTCAGCACATAGGCAGGAAAGTTGAGGAAAACAAAATGCTTCCTCTTTTAAAAGTCAATTTCTGAAAACTTCACTTACCATTTCCAGTTTCTACCCCTAGGGATGTTTTGTTGCTACACATAGGTGCAATGGAGGCTGGAAAATGCAGTCTTTATTCTAGGTGGCCAGCTGATCAGATGAATATTATAGTCTTCATAAATAAATATATATAGTCTTCATAAATAAATATAGTCTTCTAAATAAATATTTAGAAAGTAAATATTTTGGGGGTTTGAAACTGTCTTTGTTAACCCCAATAGAGATATTCATCCATCCAGCAGCCAGAGAAATCCTCTTAGAGTATAAGTTATCTGCTCAAATTTTCCAAGATTCCTCAACAGCCCATAAGACTCTATATTTGAGTACATACTCTGGTTCTTGGCTCCCTCTCTGACATCACTTTTTTCTACTCTCTCCCTTATTTACTGTATTCCAGCCACATTGTCCACCTTGCTGTCAGCCAGATACTCAATTCAATTTATTCTCTCACAGCTCTGCAGGCCGAAAGCCTGAAATCCAGACACCGGCAGAGCCATCCTCCTTTTAGTTACTCTAGGGACACTCCTTTCTTGCCTCTTTCAGTTTCTGATGGTTCCTGATATTCCTGGGCTTGTGGGAGCATCACTCCAATCTCTGCTTCTGTCTTTATATCACCTTCTTCCCTATGTCTCTCTGTCCTCTCTCTTATAAGAATGCTAGTCATTAAAGTTAGGGCCCACTCTAAATCCAGGTTTATTTTATCATGAAGTCCTTAACTAATTACATCTGCAAAGACCCTATTTCCAAATAAGGTCACATTCTGAAGTTCCGGGTTGATATGAATTTTGGGAGAACTCTATTGAACCAACTACAGGCATATGTGGAAGTCTGGAGAACGATTGTTCCGAGCAGAGCAAGCAGCAGTGCAAAGGACATGAGAGAGTAATGTGCTCAGAATATCCGGTTTTAAGCCACACAGTTTGTGCTCATTTATTATGGCAGCCCTAGGAAATAAATACAATGCCAAGGCTTGTTTCTTTACTCCTATCAGATTACTGCTCAGATGATCCCAGCCCAACCAATATAAATAGCCACTCCTTTTCCTCTTGGCACTCACTACTCCCTTCTACTAATTAATTTTCTCCCATAGTACTTACCACAGTGTTGTGTATGATATAATCAGTTTGTTTATTCTCTCCTTCTCTCTCCCTAAGAACCATGAAGACTTTGTCTATCTTGCTTACCAATGTATTTCCTGGCCCTAGAGGAGTGCTAGGCACATAACAAGCACTCAATAAATATAGTAAGTAAATTAATGAGTGTCATATCTCTTAGAATATTTTCCACACATAATTATTTTATCTGGGTTTTGGAATGGAGTATGGGAGTGGCATGTTGGTATTCTTCATAACAGATTGAGGTAGACTCATATGTTTTGCTAGTAGAGATTTTCGTCAATAACCTATTTATGTTTGCTCCAGTATTTGGATTTGCCTTATGAAAATCTAGAATTTCCCAGAGAGTAAAGAGTACAGGAAAGATGATTTTTACCTGGAAAGCTTTTCCACTTCAAGTAGGAGAAACCTCAGAAATCTTCCTGGGGTATGTCTGATTCTGACAGAGGTAGCCTTCTGATATGCCCATTAGAGAGCTGGCAAATATCTTCCAGAGTTACCGAGTGAACTGGCTGAATTCATAGTATTTAATATCAAACCATTAAATTTTAGAGACTTGAGCACCAAAGTGAATCATTTTAGTTTCTCTTGTCGTTAGCTGTAGTACTATTTCCGTGTTTGCCATAATTAAAAATCAGCATCAACATTTTCATTTCATTGGCAGTAGAAAGTATTTCAGGGGTTTTGAAGGGAATGGAAGTAATTTGCAAAATGGATTTTAATGGATTGAAAAAAATTAGAAAAGGAATTGGAAGGTGATTTCAAGAGTTTAGACAAGAGTTGATAGAGCCAAAGGTGTGGTCTTGGGTAACTGGTGGTGAAACAAACAAAAAATGAGACCACGAGAGGAAAAATAGGTTAGGAAGGAAAAAGGATAAACTTACTTTAGACACCATTGTTCCCTTGAGAGGCACAGAGCTTCTCAAGATTTCTAAAACATTCCCATATAGATCTGGGGATTATTCACATAGTGCTGACTGGTAGTCGCAAAAGCATACAGGTTAAGGCAAGAGGAAAGGAGAGACAGCCCAAGACACAATACTGTGAACTAGTTCTCTAACAATGTTTCCATAGTTAGAAAGCTTTCCTTGGTATTGAAGTGCACTAGGAAAAGATACACTGGCCTTACTATCACTGACACTGTAAAGTTAGATACCGATTGCCTTGTGTGGCCTTGTTTCCCTACTTTAAAAGACCTTGTTCCTAAGTTTTCTTTATTTATGAAGGGGCCGAATCCAAATTCTGTTGGATGAAATTATTTCGGTAACTTTGGCTGAGTTTTATGTGGCCTAAAGGTTATATCACAAAATTACCACACATTTGGCACAACTGTTCAGAAAAGCCTTTTATGCAAAAGGCCAAAATTAGCATAGGAACGGATGAAGAATGTAGCACATCCTCTTTTCGTACCCAAGGAGTAATCTTTCTTTGTAGATACATTGGCAAAATAATGCTTGCATATAGGCCTACTTTGAAAATTAAAGCAAAAAGGAGCTTTCCTTTTGGAAATAAAAAGTGTAGCTTTGAAGTAATTTTTTTCAAAAAAAATTTCTCTCCTTGAACATAAATGAGATTCTTATATTGTTTACTGACAATAGTGATCTGGCACAGAGTAGAGTGAAATATGAAGCCTTTATATGTTCCAGAATTCTTTTTTGATGTTCTGCTATTGGATTACTAAATTTTAGAAACAAATTTACAAATAAGAGGTGACAAATAATTTTGGGGCATTTGTGATTTTTTTGTTCAGTAGAGGCAGCATGTCGAGGTGAAAAGAGCATGAACTTGGTCATTGAGCAGATGCAGCTCTCAATATTGCTCTGCCGCTTACTGCCAGTGTGACTGTTTCGATTTGTTTATCTGTGAAATGAAGACAAGCACTTCTATGTTATAGGATTGTAGGATTAAATGAGGTCATGGATATAAAGTGTCGAGCCTTATAATCATGATGAATATATTTTGGATACAATGTGGAATAACTTCTGGATTATTTTTCTTTTATGTGTCAATGGAAAACTTTCAATAATACATGACAAGTTAATTTGTAACAAGGCAATAGAGTTTAGGAATCAAAAATGTATTATACTCTTTTTAGCTCTTAAAATTCACCTCTTTATTATTCTGGAGAGGGTAATGTATATGACATGCTTCTGATTTCTTGGAGTCATCTTATTGTTTCATTTGGCTCAATTATGAAACAGCTTTGATTGCATGGGCCAAAGGTAAGAACACAGGTGGCTGCACAGATATTTCCAATGCACCATAAGGGATGGGAAAATACCACAAACTGCCACCATCCTAGTAGCCTTAGGATTTTGGAGACATCTGTTGGTTATGTTATTTGGAATAAAAATCTGCTCTTTTAGGACAATGGAAACATTTCTTTTCAAGGAGCCACTAGAGCATTAAGGAAGGCAATGTCCCTGAGAGATTGGTAATAGGTCATTTAATCAACCATGTTTGAGAGCTGCCTTCTGCAAAAGATTACTCTGTGCTCTGGGGCAAGGCTCGGGGCATAGGGGCAGATTTATAGGGGCATGAATAGGCAGGGTCCCTTCAGTAAGTACTATTTTCCTGATTTTCCAGGCAGTTCTAATTAAAGTGATGTTTAATTTGTTTACACCTGAATTATTTACAACTGTAATAAGAAATTTTCCTAGGTAACAAATTTATAGAATAAGCACAGATCATCTTTGGGTTCTGAGACTTTTCCTGAGTAGTGTGCCTTTTCCAATACTGGATACTCTCTGTCTGCACCATCCCCAGATAATTAGTTGATATCTTATTTCTAAGGAGTTTTGCTGAAAGCTTGTCTATTAAACTAGCATTGCTACTTATATCTAAATTCTGAAAATCTTGACGGATGAGGAAGCTTCAAAATGCCACATGCCAATAGCACAATCACACTTTATCCCAATAAGGTAGAAACAAGGGAACATTTAAATATACCAACGTGGCCACAAAATCTAAATTTTAAAAGAGTATATACAAAAGGTGAAAAGAGGAAAGCCATGAGAGAATATGAAACTAGCAGATACCTACAGGTCATGTTAAGAAGAACAAACTTGGCACCAAAAACATGGTGGGACTATAAAAAGGCCTTTTAAGATATTACTAGAACTGAAAGAAGACCAAAGAAGCGATAAGCTCAATGTCGGCAGCAAAGGGGTGACAGGAACACAGGTCCTATGCCACTTGTGTCGAGTGGTTGTTTCTCTCTCCAGGAAAACTACAAGGCTTCACAGTACCCACCATCAGCCGGGAGTAGTGGCTTCTTGGCTCTTGGTTGGAAGATTCCCTGAGGGAACTGGAGCTGCCAGATACGTGCGGCCAGCACTGGGCAATTAACTGCTAAATTTAAGCTGGGTAGGACCACTTCAGACTAACTCTTTTACTAGCACCATTTAACCTCCCTGCTTCCAGAATTGTGTTTGGGTGTAAATTTCGTATTTTGACCTGACCAAATATGAACTTTTGTTTTTCTTTGTGGAGACATACAATGTACTGAAAAAGCACCCCATAGATCTAAAACTGAATATTTTTCAAAACACTTGAATGGGAAATAGATAAGTAATAAAAATCATATTTAAATTACTAGAGAGTTGAGGGTGGAGCCAAGATGGCAGAATAGGAACAGCTCCAGTCTACAGCTCCCAGCGTGAGTGACGCAGAAGACGGGTGATTTCTGCATTTCCAACTGAGGTACCAGGTTCATCTCACTGGGGAGTGGCGGACAGTGGGTGCAGGACAGTGGGTGCAGCACACTGTGCATGAGCCAAAGCAGGGCGAGGCATCGCCTCACCTGGGAAGTTCAAGGGGTCTAGGAATTCCCTTTCCTAGTCAAAGAAAGAGGTGACAGACAGCACCTGGAAAATCGGGTCACTCCCACCCTAATACTGCGCTTTTCCAAAAGGCTTAACAAACGGCACACCAGGAGATTATATCCTGCCCCTGGCTTGGAGGGTCCTATGCCCATGGAGTCTTGCTCATTGCTAGCACAGCAGTCTGAGATCAAACTGCAAGGCGGCAGCGAGGCTGGGGGAGGGGCACCCACCATTGCTCAGGCTTGAGTAGGTAAACAAAGTGGCTGGGAAGCTTGAACTGGGTGGAGCCCAACACAGCTCAAGGAGGCCTGCCTGCCTCTGTAGGCTCCACCTCTGGGGGTAGGGCACAGACAAACAAAAGGCAGCAGTAACCTCTGCAGACTTAAATGTCCCTGTCTGACAAATTTGAAGAGAGTAGTGGTTCTCCCAGCATGCAGTTTGAGATCTGAGAACGGGCACACTGCCTCCTCAAGTGGGTCCCTGACCTCCTAGCAGCCTAAATGGGAGGCACCCCCCAGTAGGGGCGGACAGACACCTCACACGGCCAGGTACTCCTCTAAGACAAAACTTCCAGAGGAACGATCAGGCAGCAGCGTTTGCGGTTCACCAATATCCGCTGTTCTGCAGCCACTGCTGCTGATATCCAGGCAAACAGGGTCTGGAGAGGACCTCCAGCAAACTCCAACAGACCTGCAGCTGAGGGTCCTGACTGTTAGAAGGAAAACTAACAAACAGAAAGGACATCCACACCAAAAACCCATCTGTACATCACCATCATCAAACACCAAAGGTAGATAAAACCACAAAGATGGGGAAAAAACAGAGCAGAAAAACAGGAAACTAAAAATCAGAGTGCCTCTACTCCTCCAAAGGAATGCAGCTTGTCACAAGCAACGGAACAAAGCTGGACGGAGAATGACTTTGACGAGTTGAGAGAAGAAGGCTTCAGAAGATCAAACTACTCCAAGCTAAAGGAGGAAGTTCGAACCAATGGCAAAGAAGTTAAAAACTTTGAAAAAAAATTAGATGAATGTCTAACTGGAATAACCAATGCAGAGAAGTCCTTAAAGGACCTGATGAGCTGAAAACCATGGCACGAGACCTACGTGATGAATGCACAAGCCTGAGTAGCCGATGCGATCAACTGGAAGAAAGGGTATCAGTGATGGAAGTCAAAATGAATGAAATGAAGTGAGAAGAGAAGTTCAGAGAAAAAAGAATAAAAAGAAACTAAACAAAGCCTCCAAGAAATATGGGACTATGTGAAAAGACCAAATCTACGTCTGATTGGTGTACCTGAAAGTGACGGGGAGAATGGAACCAAGTTGGAAAACACTCTGCAAGGTATGATCCAGGAGAACTTCCCCAATCTAGCAAGGCAGGCCAACATTCAAATTCAGGAAATACAGAGAACGCCACAAAGATACTCCTCAAGAAGAGCAACTCCAAGACACTTAATTGTCAGATTCACCAAAGTTGAAATGGAGGAAAAAATGTTAGGGGCAGCCAGGGAGAAAGGTCGGGTTACCCACAAAGGGAAGCCCATCAGGCTAACAGCTGATCTCTTGGCAGAAACTCTACAAGCCAGAAGAGAGTGGGGGCCAATATTCAACATCCTTAAAGAAAAGAACTTTCAACTCAGAATTTCATATCCAGCCAAACTAAGCATCATAAGTGAAGGAGAAATAAAATCCTTTACAGACAAGAAATGCTGAGAGATTTTGTCACCACCAGGCCTGCCCTAAAAGAGCTCCTGAAGGAAGCACTAAACATGGAAAGAGCAACTGGTACCAGCCACTGCAAAAACATGCCAAATTGTAAAGACCGTCAAGGCTAGGAAGTAACTGCATCAACTAATGAGCAAAATAACCAGCTCACATCATAATGACAGGATCAAATACACACATAACAATATCAACCTTAAATGTAAATGGGCTAAATGCTCCACTTAAAAGTCACAGACAGGCAAAATGGATAAAGAGTCAAAACCCATCAGTGTGCTGTATTCAGGAAACCCATCTCACGTGCAGAGACACACATAGGCTCAAAATAAAGGGATGGAGGAAGATCTACCAAGCAAATGGAAAACAAAAAAAGGCAGGGGTTGCAATCCTAGTCTCAGATAAAACAGACTTTAAACCAACAAAGATCAAAAGAGACAAAGAAGGCCATTACATAGTGGTAAAGGGATCAATTCAACAAGAAGAGCTAACTATCCTAAATATATATGCACCCAATACAGGAGCACCCAGATTCATAAAGCAAGTCCTTAGTGACCTACAAAGACACTTAGACTCCCACACAATAATAATGGGAGACTTTAACACCCCACTGTCAACAGTGGACAGACCAATGAGACAGAAAGTTAACAAAGATATCCAGGAATTGAACTCAGCTCTGCACCAAGCGGACCTAATAGACATCTACAGAACTCTCCACCCTTAATCAACAGAATACACATTCTTTTCAGCACCACACCACACCTATTCCAAAATTGACCACATAGTTGGAAGTAAAGCTCTCCTCAGCAAAGGTAGAAAGAATAGAAATTATAACAAACTGTGCAATCAAACCACAGTGCAATCAAACTAGAACTCAGGATTAAGAAACTCACTCAAAATCGCTCAACTATGTGGAAACTGAACAATCTGCTCCTGAATGACTACTGGGTACATAACGAAATGAAGGCAGAAATAAAGATGTTCTTTGAAACCAATGAGAACAAAGACACAATATACCAGAATCTCTGGGACACATTCAAAGCAGTGTGTAGAGGGAAATTTATAGCACTAAATGCCCACAAGAGAAAGCAGGAAATATCTAAAATTGACACCCTAACATCACAATGAAAAGAACTAGAGAAGCAAGAGCAAACACATTCAAAAGCTAGCAGAAGGCAAGAAATAACTAAGATCAGAGCAGGACTGAAGGCAAAAGAGACACAAAAAAACCCTTCAAAAAATCAATGAATCCAGGAGCTGGTTTTTTGAAAAGCTCAACAAAATTGATAGACTGCTAGCAAGACTAATAAAGAAGAAAAGAGAGAAGAATCAAATAGACGCAATAAAAAATGACCAAGGGGATATCACCACCGATCCCACAGAAATACAAACTACCATCAGAGAATACTATAAACACCTCTATGCAAATAAACTAGAAAATGCAGAAGAAAGAGATAAATTCCTCAACATATACACCCTCCCAAGACTAAACCAGAAAGAAGTTGAATCTCTGAATAGACCAATAACAGGCTCTGAAATTGAGGCAATAATTAAGAGCTTACCAACCAAAAAAAGTCCAGGACCAGATGGATTCACAGCCAAATTCTACCAGAGGTACAAGGAGGAGCTGGTACCATTCCTTCTGAAACTATTCCAATCAATAGAAAAAGAGGGAATCCTCCCTAACTCATTTTATGAGGCCAGCATCATCCTGATACCAAAGCCTGGCAGAGACACAACCAAAAAAGAGAATTTTAGACCAATATCCTTGATGAACATTGATGCAAGAATCCTCAATAAAATACTGGCAAACCTAATCCAGCAGCACATCAAAAAGCTTATCCACCATGATCAAGTGGGCTTCATCCCTGGGATGCAAGGCTGGTTCAACATATGCAAATCAATAAACATAATCCAGCATATGAACAGAACCAAAGACAAAAACCACATGATTATCTCAATAGATGCAGAAAAGCCCTTTGACAAAATTCAACAACCTTTCATGCTAAAAACTCTCAATAAATTAGATATTGATGGGACGTATCTCAAAATAGTAAGAGCTAAATATGACAAACCCACAGCCAATATCATACTGAATGGGCAAAAACTGGAAGCATTCCCTTTGAAAACGGGCACAAGACAGGGATGCCCTCTCTCACCACTCCTATTCAACATAGTGTTGGAAGTTCTGGCCAGGGAAATCAGGCAGGAGAAGGAAATAAAGGGCATTCAATTAGGAAAAGAGGAAGTTAAATTGTCCCTGTTTGTAGATGACATGATTATATATTTAGAAAACCCCATTGTCTCAGCCCAAAATCTCCTTAAGCTGATAAGCAACTTCAGCAAAGTCTCAGGATACAAAATCAGTGTGCAAAAATCACAAGCATTCTTATACACCAATAACAGACAAACAGAGAGCCAAACCATGAGTGAACTCCCATTCACAATTGCTTCAAAGAGAATAAAATACCTAGGAATCCAACTTACAAGGGATGTGAAGGACCGCTTCAAGGAGAACTACAAATCACTGCTCAGTGAAATAAAAGAGGATACAAACAAATGGAAGAACATTCCATGCTCATGGGTAGGAAGAATCAATATCGTGAAAATGGCCATACTGCCCAAGGTAATTTATAGATTCAATGCCATTCCCATCAAGCTACCAATGACTTTCTTCACAGAATTGGAAAAAACTACTTTAAAGTTCATACGGAACCAAAAAAGAGCCCGCATCGCCAAGTCAATCCTAAGCCAAAAGAACAAAGCTGGAGGCATCACACTACTTGACTTCAAACTATACTACAAGGCTACAGTAACCAAAACAGCATGGTACTGGTACCAAAACAGACATGTAGACCAATGGAACAGAACAGAGCCCTCAGAAATAATGCTGCATATCTACAACTATCTGATCTTTGAGAAACCTGACATAAACAAGCAATGGGGAAAGGATTCCCTATTTAATAAATGGTGCTGGGAAAACTGGCTAGCCATATGTAGAAAGTTGAAACTGGATCCCTTCCTTACATCTTATACAAAAATTAATTCAAGATGGATTAAAGACTTAAATGTTAGACCTAAAACCATAAAAACCCTAGAAGAAAACCTAGGCAATACCATTCAGGACATAGGCATGGGCAAGGACTTCATGTCTAAAACACCAAAAGCAATGGCAACAAAAGCCAAACTTGACAAATGGGATCTAATTAAACTAAAGAGCTTCTGCACAGCAAAAGAAACTACCATCAGAGTGAACAGGCAACCTACAGGATGGGAGAAAATTTTTGCAACCTACTCATCTGACAAAGGGCTAATATCCAGAATCTACAATGAACACAAACAAATTTACAAGAAAAAAACAAACAACCCCATCAAAAAGTGGGCAAAGGATATGAACGGACACTTCTCAAAAGAAGACATTTATGCAGCCAACAGACACATGAAAAAATGCTCATCATCACTGGCCATCAGAGAAATGCAAATGAAAACCACAATGAGATAGCATCTCACACCAGTTAGAAGGGCAATCATTAAAAAGTCAGGAAACAACAGGTGCTGGAGAGGATGTGGAGAAATAGGAACACTTTTACACTGTTGGTGGGACTGTAAACCAGTTCAACCATTGTGGAAGTCGGTGTGGCAATTCCTCAGGGATCTAGAACTAGAAATATCATTTGACCCAGCCATCCCATTACTGGGTATATACCAAAAGGATTATAAATCATGCTGCTATAAAGACTCATGCACACGTATGTTTATTGCGGCACTATTCACAATAGCAAAGACTTGGAATCAACCCAAATGTCCAACAGTGATAGACTGGATTAAGAAAATGTGGCACATATACACCATGTGGTATACTATGCAGCCATAAAAAATGATGAGTTCATGTCCTTTGCAGGGACACAGATGAAGTTGGAAACCATCATTCTCATCAAACTATCGCAAGGACAAAAAACCAAACACTGCATGTTCTCGCTCATAGGTGGGAATTGAACAATGAGAACACATGGACACAGGAAGGGGAACATCACACACCGGGGACTGTTGTGGGGTGGGAGGAGGGGGGAGGGATAGCATTAGGAGATATACCTAATGCTAAATGATGAGTTAATGGGTGCAGCACACCAACATGGCACATGTATACATATGTAACAAACCTGCACATTGTGCACATGTACCCTAAAACTTAAAGTATAATAATAATAAAATTAAAATAAATAAATAAATAAATTACTAGAGAGTTTACATTTTCTAAAATAAAAATATAAAATAGTATTTCTATTTAGAATTTTCACAAAGAAATATTTCTTTTCCTGAGTGTCAATGAATTTCTCTATTTGAAGTACTGGTGACCCATTTATACTCCCTTTAATAATAATACATTCAGTGTACTTAATAGTTTTAGAAAGCCCATTTTCTTCTGTGATTCTTGACTCTTATTTTTGAATCTTAGTTGAAGGAACTCATGAGTTTTACAGTCACACCTGGCTTTACATTCCAGCTCCACTAGTTTCTGCATGTATGTTTTTGGGCAAGTTATTTACACTTTATGTTTTATTTTCTTTGTACTTAAAAAAATATAATAAAAGATAATAGACTTTTGATAGATGCAAAAGCTTAAATGAATTTCAAAGTCATCACGCTGTGTGAAAAAATCCAATCTCAAAAGGTTATATATCCTATATGATTCCATTTGTATGACATTCTTGAGAAGACAAAAATGTAGTGACAGATACAGATCAGTGATTACCAGAGTTTAGCAGTGAGGGGTTTATGTGTGTGACTGTAAATGGGTAGTATAGGGGAGGGTAATGGAGTGTTGGAACTATTTTGTGTTTGATTGTGGTGGTGGTTCTATGAATCTATACATGAATCAGAATTGATGGAACTGTAGATCTAAAAAAAAGTAAATTTTACTGTATGACAATTGAAAAAAAGAAAATTGCAAAGTAAAACTTAGCAGAGACAAAAAGGGGTATGATAATACTAGGCCATGTAGCAGTTGGTAAGATTAACTGAGCTCGCGTGATTGTGTGTGTGCATGTAAAGCACTTAGCACATTCGTTGTTGGTGTTCAAAACCCGTAGCTGTCTTTTTACTTTTGCTTTAAGATAAGTCATTTGCTCCCCCTATACCTCAAGTTCCTTATTCTTTCTTGAAAAAAGGAAAAAAATAAATCACCCTGTATTTTGACATACAGCAGAGAGTTTTTGTGTGAAGTTGAAAGATGCATTAAAGCACTGTTTTAGATTTTTTGGATAGATTTAATATACAGCAGGGATTTATCTCAGCCAGTGGAATATTGCCTTCTAGGAGATCTCATGAGGTGGTTACGGGGATTAAATGAGGTAATGTATGTAAAGCATAGAACATACAGTAAACACTCAATAAATGACAGCCAATTGGCATTGGAAGCTAATTCCAGTACTAGCCATATCCATATGACAGCATTATGAAAAATATATGCCAATGTGTTATAAACTGTGAAGTATTATTTGAATATCATATCATCATTATAGCTTATTTTCCTTTAAATTCTGTGATTCTATCCACTGCATCATCTATTTAAATTCCTCACAGTGATTTATCTTTAAGATAATACCTGTCTTAATATCATAATTTTTTCCTTTGAAACAATTTGTGGTGCTAAAATAACATAAATAATAAACAATTTTTCTAAGCAGAAGGAAAAGCAATTTTTTTTTTGCAGGGAAAGTGTTTGTCTTCCTCAGTGATAACTATTTCATTTTAAAAGCATTGGAAAACTTAATGAGAATTTTCAATGTGGGATTGTGACATGTTTCTCTCTTGGCCATTCCTTGATTTATTCTATGCTCTGCTATAAAATAAATTGTCCTAACCCTAAGGATAGGCAAACCATCCTCTTCTTGAATTATAGTGATGTCTATTTCAAAGCCAAGGTTTAAAAATATTCCTTTAGATCTATCATGCTTAGTGAAAAAAAAGTAAATAAAAGCAAGATCTTTTTTAAAAAAGTAGCTTGTATGTCTTCACTATAAAAAAAATCAAGCTATATTTTCAGAACACTGGAGAGCTTTCTGCGAGAGTTGGCAAATGCATCAAGGCATTGTTTGTAGATATTACTTTTGATAGGTTTGATATACAGCATAGTTTTCTTTGCCAGTGGAATATTGTCTTCTTACAAATCTCATCAGGCCAGCAGTGCTGCTGCCATGGGCTGGCTTATCAGCTCCAGCCAGAGTGTGCTGCACTTGCATGCACCTTCGTAGCCTGAGAGGAAAATAAATTGTACCCAAGCAGTTAATAAGAAAGAATTATTGTGAGTGAGATGCATGACATTATGAGTGAGCGTCGTTTTACAGACTAAATGTTGATTTGCCAAAGGAGAAAAAAAAGCCCTTCCTGTACATAAAGTGAGAATTTTATTTCAAAATTATTAAAAATTATTTGCTGGTTTCCCTGTTCAAGAAGTAAATATTATCTATTTTTGCTGTGTTTTGGGATAGTATTGAATAGGTAATTCCCATTTTCTGTGGTTTGCTAATGAACATTTTTATCCATATTTACTATGTTTTTTCTATGAAGTAGATATACAGTACCTATAGGTACATAGAATGTATGTTTTAAAGCACCAAACATATGAGTATGATCTCCAGTAGCATGTGAATTGCTTGTCGGGAGTCAAAGGTCGTTGTTTAATTTTGTACTTGTTTGGGTTAGCAGTTGCAATGCCAAAGGATTTGTACTTGAAGAGCATAAATAGTTAAATTTAAGAGAGGTTAACTACTAATATAAAGTATCTTTGCTAAAAAGGGAGATGAAGTCTTAGTCCTTCTATTGTAATTAGGCCCCAGAAGTTTGTTGATCACAAGGAGGTGAAATAGCTTTTGTAAGGCTACAGAATGATTATGTGGAGGAACTGGACTTTAGACTGAGAGTTGTCCAATTCCACTCAGAAAATGCATATTTTGAATTAATTTTGCTTACTCTATATTTAGAAACAGAAGAAACAAGATATCTAGCATAATAGTGTTATTTTCCGTACCAAATCAATCCTAAATATTTAGTAGCTTAACCCAATACAAATATATTTCTTGCCTATTAACAGTCTGGTGTAGATGTCCCTTGTCTGTGAACAGCTTTCTTCCACCTGGTGATTCAGGAACCCAAGCACCTTTACCTTGTGGCTCCACCATCCCTTAGGGGCTTGAAGTCCTTAACATTCATCTGAAAATGGGGAGAGAGGTACTAAAGAAGAAATGCCTGACTTAAAATCTCTGGCCTGGAAGAGACACCACTCTTGCTATGTTATTGGTGAGAACTAGTCAGCACATCGGAATGTAAGGGAAACTGAGTGGGTAGGCAGAAGTTGTTAAGGCCTTACAACCCCAAAGTCTAGCCCACAGATGACGCTCTATGATCTCATTTTCTTAGGGATGAAGGAAGGATTGTCACATGGAAAATGGCCAGAAGTCTCTGCCTACCACTGTGTAAACCTCAGCTTTCCTGGCACATCTAGTAAAACTTTGAGGTCATGTGGGAACATGTTGAAGAGATTTTTTTCTTTATTATTAATTTAATAATCAAAATATGAAGGGGAAATTTTGTGCTCATAAAGACATTAACAGCATAGTAGAAATAGAAAAATAGACAAGGGGTGAATGCCTGGTTGAAAGCCTCTTAAGGCAGTGATTCTCAAACTTTAGTGGGAATAAAACTTAACTGGGGTGCTTGTTAAAAAGGGAAGATTTCAGGATCCCACCTCCCAGAGAATCTGATTCTGCTGATCTAAAGTGCAGTCCGGAAATCTGCATTTTTCACAAACATGTTAAGTGATTTCACTTGAAGGTAATACAAGAACCACACTTTGAGAAAAAACTGCTCCAGGGCAATGGTTTAACAAAAAAAGGTAGCCTGTAAGCTATAAACTATTCAGAGGGAAGCCCCTTATTCAAGATAAAACTTGCCAGAGTTGGCTTCTAGTGTCTGGATTGGAGTCCAGGGAAGCTCCACTTTTAAAGATTTTCGCCACGTGAGTCTGGAGCACATTGTGTTTAGGAATCACTGTCCTAAGTCTTATGGCGTCCCCATCTCTGAGACCAGGCCTTGGCAGTCCCAAATTTTAAAATTTAAAAAGGCCTGCCTGCTAGAAAGTCATCTGAGAAGGTGCCACCCAAGCATTGCTTCTCTTTTTTCTCTCTAATGCTAGAGCAGTATGGCTTTCCTTAATTTGTGTAGATAATAAGGAATATGGTTCTGTTTTTGTGAAAAGCTGATTTTTTTTCTGAACCTTCCTAAAAACATTAACGCTCACCATGTAATGAAATATGCTTTTATTTGAAGACAGAAAATGAAGGAAAGAAACAAACAATAATTAAATCCCCTAAATAATGTGAGCTTTGTGGTTAAATCTCCATGCTACTCCTTGAAAATTTAATAAGGGAATAAAGGCTGTTTTCCATTTGTGAATACAGTGCCACATTTCTCTTTTCTATGCAGTTGTCTCCGGTTAAAGTGTGCCTCACAATTTAGGTGGCTGAGTATCTAGCTTGAGAGAATTTTATGCGTCTATTTTTTAACTCAAGTCACTCATGTACAACCATATTATCTCACATCATAGTAAGATATAAAACCAGGAGACTAGGTGAGGGGAAAAAAGTCAGGGATGAATGTCATATTATACGATCCAATTACACACAGTCTCTGACTTACATATGCCTGACTTATAAACATCCTTGCATTTACAAATGGGTTCTCCAGAGAGGGCCAGCTGAATTCTTCTTTTCTTTCACCCCTTCTCTTTCTGCTGCATTCATCAGTCCAGCGCTTTCGAGGCTGTGGCAAAAAGGTCTGTACCTGTCAGGCTCTTACTGCTGCCCCTATCTTCACACTTCACACTATCTTTAAATACATAAAAAAAAATTTTAAAATATATATTTTAAACATGGTACTCACATTAGAAGTAATAATAACTAGGATAAAAGAGAGGAAACGTAAGGGGAAAAAACATACAAACTTCATTGTCACATTATTTCTTACAGCCCTTTCCTTTTCCTTGGCCCTTATAATGCCTTTTTACTTAAAAAAAAAAAAAAACCCGAAATAGTGAGTTTACTTTTGCCAACTGCCTACTTCTCATGTCTGTACTTCACCCCAGATCCTCTCTCAGGCTGTGGGCATTGTATCACTTGTGGTGTCGAGTTGGACCTGCCCCACTGATCTACAAAAAACATGGGGAGAGGAAGGAAGTGTAGTTAGTGCTTCCATTGGGGGAAGATGTACTATGAACAGCCCATGCTGGAACTTGAAATATACTTTTCTATAGAAACAATGATTTGTATGATGGTTATCATCCATTTTATTTTGGATGCTGTGAATCTATATTTTGATTTTAATAAGAAATTGATAGCTATTTTTGGAGCCCAATCATAATGTATGTACCACCTTATGATCAATAACTTGCTTAGGGAATTGGTGAATGAATGAATTGAAATTAAAAAATGAATTTGAAGTTCTTATCCGTGTGCTTAATGTAGTAGGCAATCATTATTTATTTGTCTTTTCTTTGATTTTTTTTCTATGGAAAAAAGTTCTAAAAATTCCATGACTGACTCCCAAATAAACTTTTGAAACATGTCTATCTAGTAGGTTTATTGACTTATCTATTAGATCAGGCATGTCACCCACAGTGCCTGTTGAGTTGGCAGGGTCCATGTGGAATCAGGACTGAGCTGTCAATTTTGGTACAATTCATAGTTTGGGAGTTACAGCATGCTGTAGTAGAAAAGGCTTTCATTAAAACAGCTGGGATGAACCAATCAGATACTTTTTTTTTTCACAAAAATGTGAAGTAAGAAACCATTATTAATCAGTAAAGTTTGCTGGAGCTGAGGTACATGGTAACCAGTTGAGGACGGCAGCCATCCTGGGCCCTACTCAGGGGGAGCCTGGCTGAGGGGATTGCTGAGAGAGAAGAGACGATGCAGGCAAAGTTCCAGAGAGAAGCACAGGCAGGGACCATGGGGCTGCTGAGGGATAAGTACAACAGCCTTGGTTCAAGACTTTCCAAGTCTTAGTTCCTATTTTTCTGAGACCTGACTATATTTTGCCTCAATTCTTGGATCAAGAGCTTACAGTTTCTTCCTATTCTATGTGCCCCTTCCCCCTTGGCCCTGTTCTTTGTGACTGGAAGAGATTTGACTCAAGCAGGAGTTGTACTATATTCTGTTACGTTCTCAGTCCACCACTTTTCGTTTTTCGTGGAGTCTCCTGACATAATAACTTTTAGACTCATCGAAAGAGACTGCAATTGGTGAATCCATGTTAATTATGTGATTGACAATATGCCCTATGTTAAAGCTAGACTTTAATAGAAAGAATACATATCTTCCTTTTAAAATTGTGCCTTGATTGTCCCCATTTATTTAAGAAGCATCACTCTTTCCAGAGCTCACGTTGATTTCACAATCCTAGAAAACCATGTCTATGTGCCCTTAACAAAATCCTTGAGTTCTCAAACTCTGCTGTAGAAAATCTTATAGGTAAATTATGAAATTAGGAAAATCAAGACCAAGGTTGGCAAAATGAAGAAACAATCTTAAATTTGTAATAAGGTTGAATGAACGAACATATTTCTAAGAGTGTATGGCATTGGACATTAGCTTTTATTTTGTTATTGTCGAAGTGGAAAAGGTTACCTTACTTCATATCTCTTTCCATTTCTTTTTAGGTTTGTTTTATCTTGAGTGAACCACTAAATCTATAAAAAATAAATTGATTTTAAAGCAACAGCTTCTTCTGGAGACCGGTGCTGTGGTGTTTTGGAGTCAGGCATGAATCTAAGCTCATGTTGACCACCTCCTAGTTGTCTCAGGAGGGTCAATTCGTTAACTTACTTAAGAGCAATGAGCTTTTGTTTCCACAGCTGTAAAATACACAATTCCTTCTTAACTGAATTTATAAAAGTTACAAAACTAATAAATACAAACTAATAAATACAAAATATAAACTGTCAAAAAAATACAGATGTGTATGAAGAGTTGTTATTCTTACCTGTCCCCTTGTCATTCTGGCCATCCTGACGTAATTAATATTTTGATGTGAATCCTCATTTGTCTTTCTCTATATACTTTCAAGTTTATAGCAATATAGCATCTTACCACATATTGAGAGCTCAAAAAATCTATGCTGAGTGAATAAAATAAGATATATATATATAATACAGAGGGGTTTTTCCTTTTTATAAAAATAAGATCAGACTGTATGTATTATTCTGCAACATGCTTTTATTGATGTGATTTCTGATTGATTCATTTTTTTTTTTTTTTGCCTGTAAAACACTGCAGTAATGAACCTCCTTGTACATACACGATTATGTACTGGTGCTTTTGTTTTTAAAAATATTCTTCAATGTAGGATTGTGGGGTCTAAAAGTAGGCACTTTAAATTTTTGAATAGATATTGTCAGTTACTTTCCAAAACTGGTTGTAGTAGTGTACATGTTTACCATCAATATATGGACTTTTCATTTCTTAAAATGGGAATTCTAATGCTTATGTGGTAGGATTATTAAGAAGACATGATAGCTTGCTTTCCCTCTGTCTTTATAGATACGGTGCCTGACATACAGTTGTGCCAAAAGGCTTTTTTTTTTTCCATTTTCATTTCCATGCTTTCTTGTTACTGGATATGTCTCATGAAAACTCTGACATTTTTCTGCCTTTCTCATTGACTGTCATAAGGAATGTGAAATGTGTGGGAAATAGGATCCAAGTACAGTCAAAATAGTTTCTGCTTATGTAAGTGCTCTTCGGACTGACCTTACCAGTTAGGGGAATATCTTTCTGTTGGCCACAAAGCGAACCCTAGGCAAGGTGACTGTGTACCTCGCAGCTGGCCCAGCGCAGTCTCTGTTTTTCCCCGTCGTTGCAGTGTCTTTTCTGTTTAGTGCCTCTTGTGACTTTCAAAAGTGCCCCTATTTATGTGGTTACCCTGTCTAAAGCTAAAAATAATCTATTTAAACCAGCAGGAAAAAGAACAGACTAAAGCTTATAGATGAAATTAGAGGGAAAAAAAAAAAACTTAAAGACTTTACCGTAGAGGTACTAAGTCACCCAATAGGCAGCAAGACTTAAAAAGCTTAAGACATTAAGGAAGAACAAAATGGAAATAATCAATTAAACTTTTTCTCCTCTTTTTCCTGGATGAGTGAAAATGAAAGCTTCCAGTTGAGTATGTCTGAGAGATTATCCCAGTTAATGTTAGGATGAAGATTTATATAGTGTGCACATTATTGCTTTGCCTTGGGAACCAGAAATGTGGAGTGTTTTTTAAGTAGGTTTCTGTTTTTGTTGAACAGGTATTTTTCTCTTATGACCTGGTTTCACTATATGATTACATCTCTTTGCATAATTTGTATTTCATATATGCATAAATCCCCGTTTTGAGCAGACCATATGGAAAGCTCCACGAGTGCCCTGGGACCCAGGGGTATGCAGTGATTAACCATGGGTTCTGCTATTTGTGCGGCAGATGAGCAGAGCTGTGAAATAAAAGGCATCACACAATGGTTTCATCGCCCTTATTTTGTCCTTTGTTTGGTGATGCTTTACTAAGGATAAGAAAGTAAAACAAAATAAAAATAAATCCCAGACAAGCAAGGAAGAGAAATGGCAAACAGTTTTTCAGAACAGAATTGAAGAAGGTAGGCTATTCATGGTACAAACTTGACAGCCTGAAGAGTAAACTGTTTTGTGAAAACAAAACTAAAAATGAGGTTGCTGGTTTCTCAGGAACCCCAAAGAACTTCTAATGTGTGTGAGACAATGTGACTGGCAGCAACTGGTTTTGTAATTAAATTTGGTTTAACAAGTATTTGTTTAACAAGTGTTTTATGTGCATATGTTATGGAAGGGACTATTGTGGGGCATTCAAAAGAATGTAGCTGCTTATCTTTATAAAATTTGCAATCTGTTTGTGGAAATTCATCTGACACAGGAAATATTAATAAATATCTAGATAAAATGATAATTTGAAATTAAGTCCCTAGAAACATTTAACCAATCTGTAAGTTCTAAAATTCAATATCTGAACTTCAATTTTTAAAAAAATTTGTAACTAAATTATTTAGTAAGCATCGAAAAGAAGAAATAAATATGGGCTTAGTAAGACATGTTTTACCTTCTTAGTCCAGCATTATAAAACTTGGCTCCAGCTTTCTCTATAATAGTATTTTTAAAATTGTGCTAAAAATCAAAATTACCTGCGATGTTTGTTATCACAATAGGGTTCCAGGTTCTTTACTCATGAATCTGTGTTAGTGGCTGAGATTCCAGGACAATGAAAAGGTGAAGGATAGGTGTCTTGTCTGAAGATACTTTAGAACTCCTGGAGTTCATTCTGTCCACTGCCTTACTACTTGAGCAACCTTTTTCTAAAACTTATGTAAATGAGAATTCCCCAGTAAGCATCTTCTCCAATATTCCTCAAATTATTGCTCATCTTATAATAATCTGAGACACCATTCAGAAAAGGAGGGTTTGGGAATTTTAATAATGTAGGAGGCTTTTTAACTTTCCTCTTAGTGGCTTCTTTCAGTTTTTATTCTTTCCTTGTAAATGTTGGACCAACATGGCAATGGCACTACAATTTACCATTGTGAAAGGTTCAGCTGGATTCAGGGACTCCTGATTTTGGAACTCTTCTCAGAGTAAATCTCACTTAGCCAGACCATAGTATTTTTGAGGACTGGTGTTTTCTAGGCTGTGGTGAGAAGAAAGCCATTTTAAGCACCTGTGTATTGCTTGTAAGTGTGTAATGATGGATGTCCCATTTCCAGACACAGGACATTTTCTGGGATACAACCATCAAGCATGTTCTGCAATCCTCCTCCACCATATAAGTTTTCTACTTTTTAACACCTCCCTCACTTTTACTCATAGTCATTTGATACTTACTCACATTTATCCATTATTTTGGGGCTGTACATTTGCACCTACTATCTCATTTGATTTCCACAAATCCTAGTCATTGATGACTTCTCTGATATCCCAATCTAAACTTGGATACCTGGTTCTAACTCTCTCAAGTCATCCTATGCTTTTCCTCCATTTCACTTATCAAAGTTTGTAAGAGTACAAGACTTTCAGCTTTACACAAGCAGGAACTATTCTAATTCTTCACCAATGTATCATTTTACTCTTATACAAAGTACAGGACACAGTATGTACTTAATATATACTTGTAGAATGAGTAAGTGGAATTAAATTCAACTGTGTGATGCCTAGTTTACATCCTTAGAGAACTGAGACACATTGAACAGCAAGATTTTTTTTTTTTTTTTTGAGACAGAGTCTCACTCTGTTGACCAGGCTGGAGAGCAGTGGCATGATCCCAGCTCACTGCAACCTCCATCTCCCGGGTTCAAGCAATTCTCATGCCTCAGCATCCTGAGTAGCTGCGATTACAGGCATGTGCCACCATGCCCCGCTGATTTTTTTGTATTTTTAGTAGAGACAGGGTTTTTGTCATGTTGGCTAGGCTGGTCTTGAACTCCTGGCCTCAAGTGATCTGCCTGCCTTGGACTCCCAAAGTGCTGGGATTACTGGTGTTAGCCACTGCATCTGGTCAGCAAGATTTTTTTCTCATTCTATTACTCCAGCTATTTTTGGAGGGGTGTGTGTGTGTGTGTGTGTGTGTGTGTGTGTGTGGTGTATTTACAGACAAATCCCACTATGTTGTTGCCCAGGTTGACTTTGAACTCCTGGGTTCAAGCTATCCCCAACCTCAGCCTTCCGAGTGGCTGAGACTACAGCTATGCACCATTGCCCTGGGCTCAAGCAGTCATAAATTTTTCAAAATAATTGTGTATATACATATATACATGTATATACATATATGTATATACGTATATATATGTATATATACGTATATATACATGTATATACGTATATATACATGTATATATACGTATATATACATGTATATACGTATATATATGTATATATATATATGTAGCTAAATAAGAGTGGAACATGAAGTCATCCTAGTTTTATTGACAATCAGAAGGGCTTTCTTTCTTGTTTTCTGGGCTAGATAGATTGAAATAGAATCTGAACTTTTTTTTCATGGAAATGGTAAAGGTATTAATATTTTTTGAAAAATAAATCATTGAATATTATTATAGCATGATGAATGATTTAATATCTTTCTGTGAAGCATCTGGCATAAGATGTTAAGAACTGTAGCATACTAGCAAGATAGTTCCAGTTTGGTGAAAATTGCTTCTGTATTCTTGTTTTAGGGAAACAAAGTAATCAAGGAAGAAGCATCAATGAGAGGGCTAGGGAAAACCATTCCAGAATAGTCTCAATGAAAAAGTGGATAAGATTGGGAGATAAGTGTATAGTTAGTATTAGAGTGTAGATTGGAGGTTAAAATACAATTAGAGGCAAAGAGAAGGAAGGCAAGCAAAGCCAGAAAACATACTGCTTTGTAGAAGATCTCCTGGGAAAATAGAAATCAAAACCACGATGACACATCATCTCACACCAGTCAGAATGGCTACTGCTAAAAAGCCAAAAAACAACAGATGTTGGTGAGGCTGCGGAGAAAAGGGAACGCTTACACACTGTTGGGATATAAGCATGCTTATACGTTGGTGAGAATGTATATTAATTCAGCCACTGTGGAAAGCAGTTTAGAGATTTCTTCAATAACTTAAAACAGAATTACCTTTTGACTTGGCAATCCATTACTAGGTATATATTCAAAAGAAAACATATTTTTCTACCAAAAGACACATGTCTTTGTGTTTTTATTGCAGCACTATTCATAATAGCAAATACATGGAATCAACCTAGGTGCCCAAGAATGGTAGATTGGATAAAGAAAATATGGTGCATATACACCATGAAATACTATGCAGCCATAAAAAAGAATAAAACCATGTCTTTTGCAGTAACATGGGTACAGCTAGAGACCATTATCCTAAGCAAATTAACGTAGAAACAGAAAACAAAATACTGCGTGTTTTCACTTGTAAGTGGGAGCTAAACATTGGGTACTCATGGATCTAAAGATGGCAACAGTGGACACTGGGGACTGCTAGAGGTGGGAGGGAGAAAGGAAGGAAAGGGTTGAAAAACTGTCTATAGGGTACTATGCTCACTACCTGAGTGATGGGATCATTCACATCCCAAACCTCAGCATCACACAGTACACCCATAAAACATACCTGCATATGTACCCTCTGAATCCAAAATGAAAATTGAAATTATAAAAAAAAGAAAATCCCCTTTTCCAAAAAAAAAAAGAAAGATATCCTTGGGACAAGTGGTAGCTGTTTTTTCAAAACTGAAATCAAATATTTTGTTATGGGAGCAGGCAGGCATTTCCTCACTTTCTGCTTGTGGATGAGCAAGCATACATTCGATTTGGCTTCATAGAAAACTCTTAAGCATGATGACTAT
The DNA here is from genome assembly GCF_000001405.40 of Homo sapiens. Lineage (NCBI taxonomy): Eukaryota > Metazoa > Chordata > Mammalia > Primates > Hominidae > Homo > Homo sapiens. Next base: position 10,793,655 of record NC_000007.14, on the reverse strand, counting down.
ACAAAGGAACAACAGTTGTTAACTCTCTGTGGAGAAATAAGTTACCTTGTAAGTAATACAAGTGCCTATTTAGTCACTATTAAAGGACCTGATTTAAAATAATTGCCTGTGCCTAAGGCTGAAATTTAATTTGGTTACCTCACAGAACTACCTCAACAACCTCTGAATAAAGGTCACTTATGACATTGAGAAGGTATAAATTGCTAATTAATACTTTATATTGAAATTGAGTTACTTAAGATTTTGAAGAAATGTTCAATGAAATAGTAATGGGTACCAAGATTTCAAATTACTTTGATTTCAAAAGGTAATAAAACACAAGAAAGGAAATTTCAGCCACTAACTTTAAAAGTCTGTTTTAGAGAAAGTAGTGAGTGTTAATTAGATAAAAATTTCTATTAACCCTTAGAAGTGCATTACTTGATTAAATACAAAGAACTTAAAACCTGAGTTTGAGTAAATGAAAGAAGCAGAGAGGTTAGAATCTTCTGTTTTTTTTTTGTTACCTAAGAGTTTTAAATTTCTTTACTGGTGTGGTGAAGGAGATGTAATGTTGGTACCGGTTGGTGGCAAGGGAATGGTGCTTGGCTATTGGCTGGGGAGGAGCTGCGGGTTCCAGAGGCAGAGCCCTGTGGGCTGGAATTTTAGAGTAACCATTTTGTAGATATCAGATCCAAATGAAGCTGGATATACAGAGAAGTGTGCCGCAGAGAGAGGAAGAAAATGCACCACTTTTTGATGGCTACGATGTGCCATATTTTGTGACATGGACTTTCATATACATTTTCTACTTAATATGCACAGCGATCCTCAAAGACAAGTAAGGAGACTACATCTATCTATGAATCCGAGATATCTGATTATTTGCTTGAGATCAAGCGTGAGAGTCAGGTGTGCACTAAGTGCTGTGTAACTGTGGAGTCAAGGCTGTTTTCCAGGATATCATTCTGCCTTCTTTGCCGAAGTATGGGTATCTGAGATGTGATAGAGAAAATTATAAGAAGGTGCTTAAAGGGAGGCAATTTGCAATATGACTAATCTATTGTGGAAGGCTGTTAACATTAGTGAAAATAATTTTCAGGCATTAATTTATTAAATTTAATTTATTAAAATTTTTTATTGATACATAATGGATGTACATATTTCTAGGATACAAGTGGCAATTTAATGCATTTATATAATGTATAAAGGTCAACTCAGGGTAATTAGGATATCCATCATATTACATTTTCTATCCATTTAACAAGTTCATATTTATTAAATGTTTACTGTGTACTGGACACTGCCCTAAGCTCTGTCGTGAACAAAGCAGACATGTTCCTTATTTTCACCAGTGATATTGCCTAGAGTAAGAAGCTAACTTGCAATAGAAACTCACTATCAAGAAAAGGTATAAGAAAGTAGACGCTAATTGTTGGACCTAAAAAGAGTAATTTTTGATAATTACAATCATGAGATACAAACTTAAGAATTCCATAGATCGTAATCTCTGGTTTGTTTATTTTAGTTTAAACAGGCTGGTATTTAATTACTAAATGATATTAAAGTCAGATTTTAATTTCCTTCATTAGGCATGTCTATGAATTTCATAAGAAAAATCTCTGTTGTGTCTGTCATAGAAGGATAACAATCAGAGGCTCATGGACTGAAGAACAAAAAAGTGAGTTGTCAGTTAGCCAGTAAGCACTGATATTCTACTTCAGTGAAGCCTTCAGATTTAAAGGCAATTAAAGATGATTGTGACTCATCCCAAGTAGTCATATGCAAAATTCTATGTATTCTTTGCTAATTCGTTTAGTTTGTTGTATTATCGTATATAACATACCCATTTCCCTAGTGGCAGTGAAGGGTTCCTAGAAGCTGGCCATCTCTGCTCTGTGATGTAATTATCTTTTACATATATTATCTGGGTTAATGATCCATAGTTTTTTCATTTGTTTATTTGTTTTGTTTTTCTTGTGTAGATGGGGGACTAGAGCCTCATTCTCTTGGCTCCCTTTTTCCCCTTTTAACCTTTGAGGGGTTCTTTGAAGCACAGATTGAAAACCATCAACCTAGCTAAATAGCCCAATTGATCTGGTCATTCCAGGGTTAGCAAAGAGAAAGAAATCACAAATAGGTAACCAATCAAACTGATAAACATTTGTCAAATACCTACTTGCTTGTCATTGTGCTAAAGAGGCTTATAATCTATTTAAGGAGACAAGCCAAAAACACATCTAAACTTATGCGATGTAAGATTAATTTCAAAAAACTTGACATAGGTTCGGAAGCAGTTAGAGAACTCAGGGAAAGTTTCACTAAAAGTAAACAAGAACATGGCCTACTGTCTAACACCTGACACAACTTTTTGCTTTTCCTGTAGGGTAGTTCCCACTTATTTGCAGTTTCACTGTCCACAATTTCAGTTAGCCACAGTCAACTGAGATCCAAAAATATTAAGTGGAAAATTTCAGAAATAAACAATTCATAAATTTTAAATCGTGCTGTTCTGAGCAGTCTGATGAAATCTCACCCCATCCTGCTGTGTCCTGACTGGGACATAAATCACCCCTTGGTCCAGCATATCCACACTGTAGACTCAAAAACTAAGTTGCTCATTAGTAACTTAGTAGGGGGCTTAATTATCAGACGAATCCTTGGAATATCACAGTGCTTGCGTTCAAGTTACCCTTATTTTACTTAATAATGTCTCCAAAGTGCAAGATGCTGGCAGGTTGTTATAATTATTCCATTTTATTATTAATTATTGTTGTTAATCTCTTACTGTGCCTGATTTATAAATCAAATGTTATCATAGGTATGAAAGTATAGGATAAAACAGTATATAGTGCCTAATACTATCCAAGTTTTCACGCATCCACTGAGGATCTTGCAACGTATCCCCTGTGGATACCGGGGGATTAATACTGTCTTGGAATATTTAAGCCAGAAACTCTTTGTAAAAATCCCTCTTCCAATGTTTGGACTTCCAGTTAGGTAATACCTTAGTACCAATTGTAAAGAACCAGGTTTTACTGAATGCCATTATCTTGAAGGAGAAACAAATATTCCATAGGACATATTTTAATTATTCCCTCCATAATTTGCTATTTATAATTTATATCCAAAAACTTCCTCCATAAATCTTTAGTCTTTCTGTAAGAATTTAAATAAAGGGAGAAAATGGGCAAAGAAATTCCATAAATGTAAACCATTTAGAGATTTTGATGACTACCACTGATGCCCGGAGCTTCAATGATAGTAATGCTTCTGCAGTGCCAATGAGATTGCTAATCGTATTGAAACAGTTGCTGATTGTAGCTCAATAGGTTTAAAAAAAATTTAGGGGATTATTTAGAGAAATGCCATAAAAAATTTTCTGCTGTAATTATTTGTGTAGGTTTCTGAATTCTAAAACTAAAAATCTAAATTAGAAGCTGGACTTTGGAAATACTGTAAAATTACTTTTGATAACTTTACTCTGAGTCATTCTTGGCAAATAGTAATTTGGGACTATTTCCATAGACCTATCACTATTTTATACTCAATAGAGACTCCAGGCTGGTGTCTAATGTGGGGGAAAGATGATTCTGCCATTTATTGCTTAAAGAACAACAAAAGATTATTCTGTGATCTATTTTTTACCAAAAAAGTCAGTTTTTTTCTTTAAGCATTAAGACAGAACTCTCTTTACTTACCATAGTTTTCTGAGGCTGCACGTTTTTATTTTTTGATTATCTTTTCCCTTCAAACCTGTTCTTGATAATTGTTGCCTGTGAAGGAAGAATCAGTTTGTATTGCACATTGATGGAGGACGTGATGTGTGACTTGTACCAAGTGTTGCACCCAGCTAAGTATGGCTCCATCCCCACCATGGGTGCTCTGTTTCCTCAAGCTGCTCTTTGTAGCCCCAAAACACTATTTTTACATGCCATTTAGGCCTGCTCTTGCCAGTCTTGGTTTTTCCTTTACTGTTAAAATTTTGTGATTTCTTTCTCCTTAGAATGTCCCCAAACAATTTCTTCTGGAATATTAATGGAAGACTATCTAGTTCAGAGCTAGTTCAGACTAAGTCATAAATTACTGATAGTCTCTTAATTTTACCATGAGTGTTTATATTTTTAAGTTTTTTAATACAAATACATTTTTAATTGGTAGATTTTTAGCCAATTCCAAAAAGAGGTTTACAGCCAAGGACAGCCATAATTGGCATTCCTTTTCAAAAGTTTTAAATAGAATGACAACTCATTCTGTTTATACTTGACCCACCCTGATGGTGTCACATCAAAACTGCAAGTCATTCAACTCTATCACAGCTTCACTTTTCTCCTTACCTTACTAGCATTTGAGTCTAGTCTCTTTTCCAGTCCTTTCCTCATTTCTCTTGTCTCCCTTAGAATCGTCTTTTTAAAAGAGATGGAATCCTACAATTTTTTATTCGATAGCCCCTCTTGCATACACAACACAGTTTAAGCCAGGATCAGTCATTTCTAGCCTCATCATCCATAGCATCATCTTTTTCTCCGTAGTCAGAATGAATTGCTATATTCTCTGTGGTCACTCGTTCTAGTCCTATTAAAAAAATAGACTTTATTTATTAGGGCAGTTTTAGGTTCACAGCAAAATAAAGTAGAAGGTACAGATATTTCCTATATGTCCCCTGACTCCATCTGTGCACAGCCTCTTCCCACCACCAATGGTGTACAGCAGAGTGGCACATTTGTTACAACAAAGGGATCTACACTGATACCTCATTATCACTCAAAGTCCACAGTTTACATTAGGGTTCACTCTTAGGTTTGTATGTTCTATGGATTTGGAAAAATTTATAAGGACACAGATCTGCCATTCTGTTACCATACAGAGTAATTTCACTACCGTAAAAATCCTTTGTGCTCTATCTAGTCATTCCTCTCTTCTTTCTAACCCCTGGAAACCACTGATCTTTTTCCTCAAGTTTAAAGTTAAAAAGTTTAATTGGCACATAATAATTGTCCATCTTTGTGGGAAACCATGTGAGGTTTTAACGCAGGTATTCACTGTGTAATGATCAAATCAAGTCAGACTGACTCCATAGTTTTGCCTTTTCCAGAAAGTCATATGGTTGGAATCATATAGTATGTATAGAATCATACAGTCTGTATATTCAGACTAGTTTCTTTCACGTAGTAATATGCACTTAAATTTTCTCCATGCCTTTCACGGTTTGAACTCATTTCTTATTAGCACTGAATAATATTTCATTGTCTGGATTTTTGTGCAGGCTTAGGTTTTGAACTCCTTTGAGTAAATACGAAGAAGCATGATTGCTGGATCACATGGTAAGAGTACATTTGGTTTTGTAAGAAACTTCCAAAGTGGCTGTACCATTTAGCACTCCCATCTTCAACAAATGAAAGTTTGGTTCCTTTTTAAAAATGGCACAGTAGTTATATTTAAAATTTCATTTTGTAATTATTATTTTGATTTTGTTTTACCTATAGAAGCTAAACTCTTTGAGGACAAGAACCTTATCTTATTCATTTTTGTTTTTCCACAGCCTAATATTATATTTTAGGCAACTCAAAAATAGTTTATTGAATTTAATTTTTGATGAAGTGAGCTATTGTTATGATCTATAAAATTATTAGTATGTAAGAATGTAATTGAGGCTTTAAGGATAGGTGAAATCATGTTTGTGGAATCTTCTCTGGGTCAGTTATAAAATGAAAGGACAAGAAATACAAATATTGGAAGTATTTATAACGATTATGGTTGAGTTGGGAGTATTTAAGGAAGATAGCCTCAGTAGAGTGACGTAGAGAGCAGATTCTAGGTTCAGGCCTGAGAGAGAGCAGTAGAGGTGGACAGATCTGAGAGAGGTGGTTGGGGGAGAAGTTAAAAGTGAAATCCAAAGCAGGAAGTTTCTGATTTATGCTTTAACACTTGTGCTTATTTTATTAATGGAAGTTTTTTTGAAAAAAAATATCAATTGAGTTTAGGAATGAATTCTTTCTTCATCCTATTTTTAGATAGGATTTACAGTGAGATCCTAATGGGTTTACCTCTATATTAATAAGAAAGACATTATTCCTGGTTGTTAGGGCAAGTCTCCATCATGTCCTTTGCCCTCAAACCTGACAGCAAGCCTTCGATGTCTAATACATATGATTTCTGTCTAATGTATTTAGGTCTATAAAGTTGGGAGCCATTCTTAGGCTGTTTTGCCTTTTTCTGAGAGCCAAATACTTTGTTATGGTCACATTAATAATCAATGAAACATATGTTTATTAATACCATCTTAAATGTTATTTACAAGCTTGGTTTTCTAGAATTAAAGAGTTCTAAAGAATCAGTCTTTAAGAAATGACTATTAACTTCCTCTAAATCTTTGGGTAGGATTTATCACTGCTGGTTTGTGTAAATATTGAAGTAATTCTCTTGCCCCTTGGAGGCCCAGGCCTGGAAAATGAAGGGAAATCTAACCCAAAGCATAATTAAGAGAGACAACGTTGGGCTGGGCACACTGGCTAACGCCTGTAATCACAGCACTTTGGGAGGCTGAGGCGGTTGGATCACCTGAGGTCAGGAGTTCGAGATCAGCCTGGCCAACATGGTGAAATCCCATCTCTACAACAAATACAAAAATTAGCTGGGTGTGGTGGCACGCGCCTGTAGTCCCAACTACTCGGGAGACGGAGGCAGGAGAATCGCTTGAACCCAGGAGGCGGAGGTTGCAGTGAGCCGAGATCGCAGGCCTGGGTGACAAAGCGAGACGCCATCTAAAAAAATAAAAAAGGGAGAGAGAGACAACGTTAAAGAACTTTGACGTTAATGTAGATACAATAGACAGATGCATGAAACCCCGTCTCTACTAAAAATAAAATAAAAAAAAAATTAGTCGGGCGTGGTGGCCGGTGCCTGTAGTCCCAGCTACTCGGGAGGCTGAGGCAGGAGAATGGCGTGAACCCGGGAGGCGGAGCTTGCAGTGAGCTGAGATCGCGCCACTGCACTCCAACCCGGGCGACAGAGCGAGACTCCGTCTAAAAAAAAAAAAAAAAATTCCCTAGTATAAAATAAAATAAAAAAGCTAATTTGACCTCTTTTAAAAAAGCTAGTTTGACCAAGGGAAACTACAGTTGAGATCCCTGACTTTTGGTAAGTGGTGCTGATTTCAGAGAAACATTTCTCTAGTTTTTACTGATTCTCCGTAGCTTGCTCTGAGTTACACAGTTCAGATGGGAATAGGAGATAAATTAATTGGGTTCTAGAATGTTTTCCTTCTTGTGAGAATCTATAATTTTTTCTTTTAATTCTTTAATAGTTTAAAATTGGTATATTTCCTGGTTAGAAATATAATATAAAGGCCGGTCGCGTTGGCTCATGCCTGTAATCCCAGGACTTTGGGAGGCCGAGGCAGGCGGATCACCTGAGGTCAGGAGTTTGAGACCAGCCTGACCAACATGGTGAAACCTCGTCTCTACTAAAAATACAAAATTAGCTGGGCATGGTGGCGCATGCCTCTAATCCCAGTTATTCGGGAGGCTGAGGCAGGGGAATTGCTTGAACCCGGGAGGCAGAGGTTGCCGTGAGCCGAGATCATGCCACTGCACTCCAGCCTGGGCAACAAGAGCAAAATTCTGTCAAAAAAAAAAAAAAAAAAAAAAAAAAAAATATATATATATATATATATATATATATATTATATAAATAATGCATCTGGCATTAAAATATAAATCGCACTGTTGTTAAAAATAACCCTTAATTATTTTGTTTCTTGTAATTAAAAAATTCTCAGACAAAGCAGAAACTTTGAATTAGAGTTAGGTAAAGGAAATAGAAAATTGGAGCTGATAATAATCAAAGGTAAGTTAATCTCTTCCTCATTTGACGATTTCTTTTATCTGCATTCTCAGATTGAAATAATGATAGTAATCCAGAGATAGATGAATGGAACCCTTTTTAGAAAAATTCTGGGGTAATATGGAATTGGTGAAACTGAGACGAATAATTTTTTGGAAATCTCTACTGTGTAGCAGTAAAGTTGGCTAAAATAATTTTAAACCTATGAATGGTGAAAATATAGAGAAACTTGTTTACATTTTGCCAACTTTTTCGATGAGTTATGAAATCTGGACAATAAGAAAAGCAATATTTATTGTTTTCTTTTTTTTTTTTTTTGCTTGATTTTTAATGAAGTTTGTATTGGGGTGATAATGTGATGAGTTGAGTTGGGAGATGAGGCATCTGCAAGTAACTTTCTCCCTAGGAAATCAGCATGTCTCGAAGCTCTTATTGACTAGGTTAACAGCCCTCTACATTTTCCCAGATAATAATGGAACATCACCAATAATCCCAAAAACTTATTAAGCTTCAAGGTGGAAAAGAAAGGTTGAAAATTATGCAAGGGATGTAAAACGCTTCCTTCTCCAAGAGATTTCCTGCTTTTCCTCTGGTTTCTCTTTCCTCAGAAAATGATGTTCCCTAAAATTAATGCTTGCTGTTTTGATTACTCCAGTGGCACCTATATTCTGTCTTATCCTATAAAGTGGTTACATTTGTATTTTTCTTTTGCTTTCTATGTATACTTTATATACCCCTTGAATAGAGGCATTGTGTCTTAGCCTTAGCATTGTGTCATTTGAACCCAGATGAAATTATAATTATGTGAAGGTCTCCGGTAGAATAAATACCATTTCAAATTTGAGATTTTCTTTGGAGGGGGAATGGGGAAAGAATAGGCTTCTAAACCTGGTATTTATATTTTAATATATGTTAAAAGCATTTTCATAGAATCCCTTCTATGAAAGATTTAGTAGTCTGTTGTTATAGTTTAGGGTGAAATGTTCTGTTCATTACTGAAATAGTGAAGCATGTGATTCAAAATTTACTGCTATTAATTTTTTAAATTTAAATATACAATTTACTGATATAGAAAATTCAAGAAATATATACAGGTATACAAAAGAAAATGAAAAACACTCCCACTCTTCATAGGCAACAGCTATTAATTTTTCCATGATGATAAATACATATGTAATTTTAATCAAAGGGATTATACTGTGCATGTTGATCTGCAACTCTTTTATTCTGTCATAATTATGTATAGAATTTGTTCTTTAATTTTCTTTTTCCCTCCCATTTTATTTTCTTCCTATATATCTTACGGAAAGGGCTACAATATTTGAATTTCTTTGTGTCCTTTATATATATATATATAAGTACTTATATATATATATAAGTACTTTTTAGAAATGTTTGAAAGCCAATGTGGCATACCGGTATTTTTCATATTAATGATCATAAATATATATTGTCTTTTAAATTTATTGTTTAGATTCATCACAATTTACGGAGCCTAAATTTATTTATTAATAGGCCATTAAGTTGTTTCAACTTTTGACTGTTATGAACACTGCTAATTATTGCTAATTTTTCTGGGACCCAGTTTTCTAGAATTCGTTATCTTTGTGTAATTCTAGGATAAATTCTTAGAGATAGAATTGCTAGTTGACACCTATTGCCAGACTACCAAAAATATGAACCCATTTACAATTTCTCCAATAGTACATCAGGGTATATACTTTCCCTACATCTTTTCCAGCACTTGTAATTGTCCATCCATATAACAAAAGGCAAATTACTTTTTACAAATTAGTTATTATTTTTAACAAAGAAAAGAACAGTGGATCATATTTCCATAAAATAAAGGTTTTTGTTGACAATTATAAACTGGACATGCACATGATTAGAAAGTTCAAATGACACAAAAAGCTATACTTCTCCCCAAAGGAAATGACTGTGAACAGTTTCTTGACTATTCTAGAAAATTGAAATTTATACATACATATGTATCTCTTTTTATTTATAAAAAGAGTATACTAATATTACTACAATTCTGTACTTTATATTTTTCACTAAATATATTTGAGCATAATTCTGTAACAGCAACTATCTACTTCTGTCAAATGGCAACACCAATTCCCAATACATTTGTTCTCATTTATACAAGTTGTTTTTTATTATGAAAGGTCATTTAAATTATTTCTAGTTTTTCATTATTTATTTATTTTTGCTGTGATAATATCTTTTTACATATTTTGGGATACTTATGTTATAATTTCTGTAGAATAACTTGGTAGCTGCAGAATTGTTGTGTCAAAAGTACATTTACAATTTTGAGAGACATTGCCAAATTTCCTTCCACAAGTGTTTTACCAATTTATTTACTTTCCTCACATCTTGGTTAGAACAGGTATATGTTCACTTTTTAATTAGCCAGTAGAATAGGTGAAAAACAGCCTTTTATTGTAGTTTCATCTGCTTTTTAATATTAGAAGTAAGATTGGACATTTTTTTTATGATTTTTTTCCTACCCCTAATCTGTGGATTGCCTTTTCTACTTTTTTGTCCCACTGATTTTGTTTTTTTAGTTCTATTATTACTTCATTGCTTATTATTCATTTTCATGGATTGTTTTAGTTAAGAATAATAGTTTTTCATATGTATTAAAAAATTTCCCTAATTTGTCATCTGACTTTATATTTTTCACCATGCTCAAATGTTGAATTTATCTAAATTTATTAATTCACTTTCTCATGACTTCTGAATTATGTTTCCTATTAACAAATACCTGCTAAACTCTGAAATTACAAATATGTTTTTCATTTAATCTTTTTAAATTTCTATTACTCTTTGATGCATTTTGGACATTATGTTGGTGAATGAAATAAACAAGAAATCTAGATTTATGTTTTTTGAAAGAGCTAACCAGTTGTCTCAGTGTCATTTATTGAATAATATTTTTCCCTCCTCATTGAGAAATGATTTTTAATATCAATGATGTTTTCATATTATTTTATTTATTTATTTATTTATTTATTGAGACAGAGTCTCACTCCATCGCCCAAGGCTGCAGTGCAGTGGCACGATCTCGGCTCACTGCAACCTCTGCCTCCTGGGTTCAAGCAATTCTCCTGCCTCAGACTTCTGAGTAGCTGGGATTACAGGCACTCGCCATCATGCCCGGCTAATTTTTGTATTCTTAATAGAGAAGGAGTTTCGCCATGTTGGCCAGGCTGGTCTTTAACTCCTGACCTCAGGTGATCCACCCACCTCAGCCTCACACAGGGCTGGGATTACAGTCATGAGCCACCACACCCGGCCTCATATTATTTTAGATATATATTCATACAATATTTTTTGTCTGTTAAATATTCCCCTAGTACTAAAGTAAGTTAATTAATTGTAGCTTCAAAATATATGTTAATATCTGGTAGGACTAGTCACCTCTCATTAATATTCTTATTCAAGATTTTTCTGGATATTCTCACATTGTTTTTCTAAATGAACTTTAGTAGTATTTTGTAAAGTTAAAAAATAATTCTACATAATATATTAAATCTTTAGAATTTTGAGTATTACTAAGATAATTCTTTTATATTTCAGTACATTTTAAATGTTTTCTTTACATAAGTTCTTCATATTAAAAATTTTTTTTTGCTATTGTAAATGAGATACAGTTTTTAAATTATATTTTCTAGCTTCCCATTGATTATACATAGGAAAATGATTGATATTGAGTAATAATTTTATAACTAGCCACATTATTGAATTTTATTGGTTTTACATTATTTATTATAGTTTATATTTTTTATTATAATTTTGAGTCTATGTATACAAAAGTTCACCTGCAAGTAATGGTAATTTTACCTTTTCCTTTCATATATATACATATATATCTTATTTGTTTTCACTGAGTGAATTATTTAATAAATATTAATATTAATATAAAATATAATAAATAATATTAATATTTATTAAATAATAATTGTAAAAGTGGACATTCTTCTCTTGTGACTGTTGAAGTTTTCCAAGAGCTCTTATTTGGCATCTATTGATATAGATCTATTTTATTCTCTTCTAGCTTATTAATATGGTGTGGTATATGAATAGATTTTCTGATACCAAATCACCTTTAAGGCAAACGGATTTTAATGAAGCCAATTTAAAGGCCACATAACCAGTATCACATCTTAACAAATGAAAAGGAAATGTTTTGTTTTAAGAACTCTGTCCAAGGTGAAGCAGAAATGTCATTCTCAATAGTTGTAAGATTTAAGCATCCCTAGAGCTCTGTGTGTGAGGATCATTATCTCCTCTTTGTTGTCTTAAGAAACATTATTACCAAATCCTGGCCAATTAGCTACTTTCCTTTTATTTTTTTTCTTCAAAGAATTTTATGCTCTTATTTAAAGAATAATATTGTACATTTTCTTATTTGAGTCCGTTTGCAAACAATAATTATTTTTAATTTTTGTCATGGCTTTGGAATTCTGTAATTTAGATAAAACCTTTGTATAATCAAGATTTGCTCATCATAAAACATAATCAAAAGAGTCAGTCTGTAGCTTGTTTATTGTGGAAAAGGGAGTCTACTTTACTCTGTCATTATCTTCTTTCTTTCAAGTGTGGTATCAAAAGAATTTTATACAAATAAGAAGGCAAATTTGGGTCAAATTTCCCATAAAAAGAATGAAAATAATGCCAAATAATGTGTTATTAAAGGGAAAAAAAACCCTTTCAAATGTCTTAATATCATAGTATCAGACAAACCTACTTTCCAAAATAGGCTCTCAGAGTTGTAAATTGTAATGTATATTCATTTTGATGGAGAGATTTATTAGAATAACAAATTTCAGGATTTTTAAATTGAAGAGAAAGATCTTTATCAATTATCATTTTTACCCTTCTTTTGGTAAACAAAGTTAAGGAAAATAGCATGATATTTCAAAGTATAATTTCACAAAACACATCAAAGCAATACCTATTTTATAAAACATGAGGAAAAATGACAGTCTTTCCTTTCATCTAATTTTAGTTTGTCATATTCTTTTTTCAGGTTTTCTTTTTTCTTTTTTTAAAGATATTAAAATAATTTATTTCTGTCACAAAAGGTCTTTCTCAGACACATCCTCCACTAATGGTGACATGGGGACTGTCTGTTCCCAGTGTTTCTGGATGCATGAGAATGGTAGGGTAAGAGAGAGAACAAAGCCTCTTAGTCCCTTTCTTTCTGCTACAAACACCTTAGGGATGCGAGTCCGGGGTGAGAGGAGAGAGGGAAAACCGCGGCTGGCCTTGCATGTGCCTGACTCAGTGTGCATGCCCCTTGCTGCCCAAGTCCCTTGTTGTCCATGTGCCTTGCTGTCTGCCTTCTGTCCCCGCAGAGCTGTGCAAGGAGACATCGTGACTTCTTTCTGTGTTGCTGACTAGGAGTCAGCCACTAGGTCCGCAGATAAGTCCTCCCAGAGTTGAAGTGTGAGAGAGCGTGAGGAGAAGCCCGCGGCGCAGTCTATGGCCTCCTAGGGGGAAGGGCCTTGAGGTCCCTGTCCTTCTCCTAACAGGCGGCGACGCAGCCATGGCCTTGCTGTCGTGGGAGTCCCAGACAGGGTAGGAAGGAGGGCCATAGAAAGGAGGAGGGCCGAGTGAACATGGAGTTTTGAAGGGGGAAACCATTTGTGGTATTTGAGTCCCGGAGGCATATGAAACCGCCCACAGAAGACACATTCCAAAGTCTTCAGTGGGAACCTGGGAGAGGGCAGAGGACTGCGCGGCGCTGGATGGGGTAGAGCGAGGAGGGTCGAGGAGGGGCGCCACAGCCCACAGAGCAGGCACCGACCTCACTGCGCATGTGCCCTGGGCGTCTTCCCGTCGGCCCCTTTGCCCACGTGGTGAACGCGGCGGAGCTGTGAGGGTGTGAGGGTCGCGCTCCTGCTGTCTGGACTTTTTCTGTCCTACTGAGACACGGCCGGTAGGTCCGCAGGCCAGTCTTCCCAGGGGTTGAAGTGTGAGTGAGTGTGAGGAGGAGCCAGCGGCCGTCTGGAGCATGGGGCAGCGTGGTCCGTGGCCTCAGAGGCCGATGGGTCTCAAGGTGATCGTCCTTCTCCTCGTGAGGTGGCACCGCCATGGGCCTTGTTGTAGTGGGGTCAGAACGAGGGAAGAAGGTGGGCCGCGTAGTTGAGAAGGCTCAGGTGAAGATGGGGTAAGTGCTGGGGGTGCTGGAGCAGGTATCGGAGTCCGTGGAACCCTCGACAGAGGACAGATTCTGGACTCCTCCGTGGCGACCCAGGAAGGAGCGGGGTGGGCATTAAGGAAGGGAACTGGAAACGCTGCAGGTTGGTGATCGCGGCCCTGAGGTCTGTAGAGTGCCCCGCAGAGGTGTCCAGTGAGGAGTGCCCAGCAATGTGTGGCAACTTCTCAACTTCACCGTGGAGGTTTGAATGAGCGGGGCTCTGCGTTCCAACGAAACTTGATTTTATGGGGGAAATGGGCCTAGCAAATGGGTGTGTGATAAAAGCCTTGATCACTGCAGTTTTAATTCTCTGGCTGTATTTTCCTAAATGTCTCCACGGAGGAGAGTTCAGTTCTGAAACCAAACCTTATCAGAAATATCCTGTATCTTTTGCCAGGAGCCTTAAGACATATCTAGTCAAAAAATGTCATTGTTACAAGAAAAAAGTATTTAAATGGTATAAGTGATCTAAGATATAGGTCCCAGAAAAGTTCAGTTCATAAGTCCTGAATTTCATTATTGGTTGAAACTTCTGGACAGATTATCTAAGGATTTCTTTGATTTTCTCTTGTACAGCTCTGAATTACAGCCTTCACTCCCAGAAATTTGTCTCCTAACCTCCTCCATATTGTGAGCTGTAGGGAGATCTGTATTTTATAAATGTTTGGGTCTCCCACAATTCCTGACTCAGAATAATAATAAATAATGAATGCTTATAGTATAGTTATATGACCATATTATATATCATAAAATACCTTTTTTTCCCCTAGGAATGAAAGGTCAGGTTTCAGTGGCAGTGAAGGTAATAGGCAACTACCCAGATAAAGTAAATAGAAAATAATTTATAAAGTGTAAAAACCAGATTGTTGAGTTATCTCAATTATTTATTTATTTTTTATTATACTTTAAGTTCTAGGGTACATGTGCACAACGTGCAGGTTTGTTACACATCTATGCATGTGCCATATTGGTGTGCCGCACCCATTAACTCGTCATTTACATTAGGTGTATCTCCTAATGCTTTCCCTCCCCCTTTCCCCCACCCCACAACAGGCCCCAGTGTGTGATGTTCCCCTTCCTGTGTCCAAGTGTTCTCATTGTTCAATTCCCACCTATGAGTGAGAACATATGGTGTTTGGTTTTTTGTTCTTGCGATAGTTTGCTGAGAATAATGGTTTCCAGCTTCATCCATGTCCCTACAAAGGACATGAACTCATCCTTTTTTATGGCCTCATAGTATTCCATGGTGTATATGTGCCACATTTTCTTAATTCAGTCTATCATTGATGGACATTTGGGTTGGTTCCAAGTCTTTGCTATTGTGAATAGTGCCGCAATAAACATATGTGTGCATGTGCCTTTATAGCAGCATGATTTATAATCCTTTGGGTATATACCCAGTAATGGGATGGCTGGGTCAAATGGTACTTCTAGTTCTAGATCCTTGAAGAATCGCCACACTGTCTTCCACAATGGTTGAACTAGTTTACAGTCCCACCAACAGTGTAAAAGTGTTCCTATTTCTCCACATCCTCTCCAGCACCTGTTGTTTCCTGACTTTTTAATGATCGCCATTCTAACTGGTGTGAGATGCTATCTCATTGTGGTTTTGATTTGCATTTCTCTGATGGCCAGTGATGATGAGCATTTTTTCATGTGTCTGTTGGCTGCATAAATGTCTTCTTTTGAGAAGTGTCTGTTCATATCCTTCGCCCGCTTGTTGATGGGGTTGTTTGTTTTTTTCTTGTAAATTTGTTTGAGTTCTTTTTAGATTCTGGATATTAGCCCTTTGTCAGATGAGTAGACTGCAAAAATTTTCTCCCATTCTGTATTCTATTTAATAAATGGTGCTGGGAAAACTGGCTAGCCATATGTAGAAAGCTGAAACTGGATCCCTTCCTTATACCTTATACAAAAATTAATTCAAGGTGGATTAAAGACTTAAATGTTAGACCTAAAACCATAAAAACCCTAGAAGAAAACCTAGGCAATACCATTCAGGACATAGGCATGGGCAAGGACTTCATGTCTAAAACACCAAAAGCAATGGCAACAAAAGCCAAAATTGACAAATGGGATCTAATTAAACTAAGGAGCTTCTGCACAGCAAAAGAAATTACCATCAGAGTGAGTTATCTCAATTTTTAAGTAAACATTTAGCCTTGCTCAATTCCCAGATCTGACCCTTGCTGCAACTTTGGACTTCAAGATCCTAAGGGACTGCAGTATTTAAGTGGTTAATGGGGACCTTTCTGGCATACAGTTACTTTGGGTCTTCATGGCCCCAACTGATAACCAAGGTTTGGTTGAACTACACATATATGGGAAAAATACATAGAGCTTAAAGATTTGGCCTTAATAATCATATTTCATAAGGTAAAACTAAGCTACATGTTTTTTTTAAACTACATGTTTTATAAATGATCATGAGAATACAGAGGAAAAGAAAAAGTGTTGCTGACACCCATGAGAAAGTTTTCATTTCTGAATTCTCCTCCTTCAAGACAAGCAATGCCTATAGAAGTTTCTGTCATGTATCCTCTCAAACCTGTGTTCTTTGGAACATTAAATTAATATTTTATATCACATTTCAATTTTTGTTTATATGCAGCTTAGCTTTGTTGCTAATGTTTATTTAACTTTGTGTTTGGCTCAGACTATGTGTATATATAGTTCTTTAAAGATAGTTTGAAAGTTGCTTAATATTTTAAATGGTAACAATGGCGATCTATCAACACTAAATACAATTTAATAAATGGTGACAGGAAGAATATTTCAATTGTGACTTTTTATAGCCTTCCAAGTACCAGCATTGTTGGTTAGTATAGTAAATTGTTTTGATCCATGTAGGATATTTGAAATGGCCATTACACACACACCCCCCCCCCCCCCCACACACACATACATATATACACATATAATGCTA
Organism: Homo sapiens; assembly: GCF_000001405.40. NCBI lineage: Eukaryota > Metazoa > Chordata > Mammalia > Primates > Hominidae > Homo > Homo sapiens. The sequence continues at coordinate 10,776,694 of NC_000007.14, read as the reverse complement.
AAAGACTATCTTTTAAAGTTTTGTTTTGGTTTAATCTCAAGACAAAGGGCAGAATAATCAAGGACTGTCATTTGCTAAATAAAGCATCTAGCTCTTTTTAGTTTATAAGGGCTATTAGGGAGGCAGGAATCCAAACTTACTTGATGAAAAGTCTTGAGTTTGAGTTGATGGGGGCTGCAATGGGCCTAAGTAGGTTGATTTTTAAGGGCATTTTTGTTTTTATAAAAGTTATATGTGAAAATAATTTTAAACTCAAATTAAGCTGTTATGAATGACAACAGTCTCTTCCTGCACTGACACCCTCCCTCATTTTCTGCTCTCTGTAAGCAACTAGTTCCAACTTTTAAAATATTTTTTAATGTTTCCTGTCATTTTGTTAAATAATGGATAACTTTGGAAAATGAAGGTTCCTCTCTTTCACAGGATCACCACTGACCTTAGCACATACATGTACTTTTCCAGTGTAGTTGTTGTGTATATGTTGGTTGTGTTCAGATCAATTATTAGGGTTTACATTAAATGACAGAGTCATTGATATTTATAGCTGACCCATATAGCAAACTCTGATTTTTCTTTTGGATATGATCTTTGGTTTTCCTGGAGTTAATAATTATTTTGACTTTCATATGCTTATTTTTTTTTGTATTTATCACCAATTCAACCATAAAATCTTCTCCAGATGTATAAATAATCTCTCATATGTTGAAAATCATGAGAAATTCTATTGATTTCATCTTATTGAAGATTTCTCACTTGGAGTTTTTTGCAATGCTTAAATATGTATCCAATGTTATTTAAGCGTATTGTACATCACCATCCGTTTTATCCATTACTCTGAGCCCTTAGCCCTTTTCAATTTGGAAACTCATGTCTATCAGTTATGAAAAGTTTCTTGAATGATTTAGTCCATATTTGGTGATATCTCTGAAACTCCTACTATCATAATCTAATATGGATTTTTTCTTTAATTATGTTTTCTGTTATAGTTTCCACTTCTGTATTTTTGTGTTTTTTTTCTTCTGAGAGATTCTTTATGTAGAATTTTAGATTTCTGCTATTGCATTTTTAGTCTCCAAGAGCCATTTTTTTGTTTTCTGAAAGTTCTTTTACTCTGTCGCCTAGGCTGTAGTGCATTGGCGTGATCTTGGATCACTGCAACCTCCGCCTCGCAGGTTCAAGCAATCCTCGTGTCTCAGTCTCCAGAGTAGCTAGGATTACAGGCCTGTGCCACCATGCCTGGCTAATTTTTGTATTTGTATTAGGCACACGGTTTCACTATGTTGGCCAGGTTGGTCTCAAATTCCTGACCTCAGGTGATCCACCTGCCTCGGCCTCCAAAAGTGGTGGGATTATAGGCATGAGCCACTGTGCCTGGCTTGAATGTTCTTTTCTTATAGTAACATAGTCCTTACTTTTGGGGTGCAGAATAAATTTAATATTATTGATAACATAAAGTTTATCATTAACATCAGCTCAAACAATTACAGAATTTCATAGTATGAGCTTTATCTGAAAAAAATTGGCAAATATAGTCAAAGAACCTAGCTAATCTTTGTCCTGAAATATTTGTAATAGCACTTGAATTGTATAATACTATTCTCAATGTTTAGATGTGAATAGGAACACACAGGGCTTTTTAGTCAAATTTTGCCTCAATTTCCAATTGAACTGATAAGTACCTAACCTTAATTTGCTGAACATAGATTTCTAAACATTTATTAGCAATTTCTAATCAAGTTAGTGAATTAGCATCCTCCTCTGCTGCTTTGTCTACATTTTCTTGTGTAGCAATACTTCTTTTGCTGATTTTTGTGAATTCTTCAAAGTTTCATTCCATGGGATACAAGTGTGGTATATTTCCCGCCCTTGTCCAGACTTCAGGAAATAACTAAAACACAAGGCAGACCTCCTCATCACAAAGTTAAATTAGTACATTTATTGAACAGAACTGAACCTACGACATAACACATGTGCATTATGACATGTGAGGCATAGCATGTAGATGATGCATAGACAGCCGACCTGCAGAACCACTGACTCTTATCTATAGCTAGAATTCATTTAGGATGCCTGGTATCAGAATATGCACTGAAGTGCTGAATATATCAACCCATTTTCTGTGTTGCTTCTGTGAAAGCTTATACAACTTCTTTGACAAGGAGTTCTGTTTTGGGCAGTGTCAGAAAAGTTTGCTAGGCATCACTGGTACAAACAATAGGACCTCTCAGATGCAAAAGTTTCTGGTCGAAAGAGCTCAAATGGGGCTTCCATTGGAGTAGATTATTCACTGCCCCTACCCAGTCTTCTTGTCCTCTTCTCCCACATGGAGCTCTTTCTCTAACTCATTATATTTCTCACCCTATTTCTTTGCCCCTCTCCTTTTTTTTCCTGTCTTCCATGAAATATTATAAACTCCAAGTTCTTCACTTTATATTTGTCCTTATCTCTGAAATTTATAAATAATGCAATCTATTATTTACCTAATAATGAACTAGGTGCTTTGCAGTGTGTTATCTAATTTAATCCTTGCAACAACTTTGCAAGTTAAGTTATCCTCTTTTTAAGCCACCATCTATTTGTGTTTGAATGACTGTGTGTATGTTTAAGACAGAGTGATTTTCATAGACTAGCATTTATTAATAATTTGCAGTACCACCTTCTAATTGGATTGAAAAAGTGTAACATCTACTAGAATATCTTATGCATTTAGTGCCTAATCATTTAGATTCTATTTTAATTTGTATTTCTCAGTATAATGGGGGTTTCATTCTTATGCAGTTTTGAGAAGTTTATGTTAAATTGAATGTCCCAGAATGAAATAAAATCACAAAGATGACAGAGTACAGTGATTTATCATTCTTTTTCTGTATATACCTCTATGAAGTAAGAAGACATTGCATCTTCTGTTTTTAGGTAGCACTACTTATATTTTTTTTAGTAAAGAGTTGTCACCGTGAAAATCAAAAGCAGACACATCATTTAAAATCCCACAATTAAGTATATGCTTCTCAGCAGCACAGTGACATCTTTGATAGTGTGGGTAATGTATGTTTTCTTCTCAGCTATCGGAAGCTGTGGTAATGGAAGCCAAGCTCAAACATCAAAGAAAAGAGGTTTTCCTTTGTAGGAAAACATCATTACATTTTCACACCATTAGGGTGATAGAAGTGTAGCACCTCCTCTGCATGAAGTAGATGCTTTTGATTTTTTTTTTAAGTAAACATCGACTAAGAAGCATGTAATGTTGATCATTACTTGTGTATATATTAGTACCACAATGCCCCAATAATGCCTATTGACTACCACCTTATTAACATTTTTAGGAAGGGGGTGGGATATTAAATAACTCACTAATTGAAACTCACTTTAATTAATTATTAGCAGTTACTTAGGCATATCAGCATCTAATTTCCTGTCTTTTAAATGACATTCCTTTGAAAACTTGAAGGTTTCTTCATGATAGCCTCGTAAAAATCAGCCATAGCAATTATTAAAGTGAGGACATCAGGCAATTTAATCTCCAACTGAAATCAGGACTAGATGCCAAGAAATGACCGGAATGCCCATTATTCTACTTTTCTCCATATTGTTAATGAACCGTTTTACTTAACAAAGGGTATATATACTTTAGAAACTGAGCTTACTGAAGGAAAAGTTTTACTTGAATAAAGCCAACATTGCCAAGATGCTTATTATTTTCTTGTTTAAGGAGGGTGAATACAGGTGAACCAAATATACCTGAATTCTATAGGTATTATTTTCATTGTTGTTCATATAACTTTACCTTAAACAATGTACAGTACCCAAGATAACACTGCTAAAATAATAGCAACGTAATGGTAATGACAAAAGCATCTCAAATCCATAAGGAGAAAGCAAAAAGCTTCATTTACTGCACTATTTCACACATCCAAAAAGATGGCCAGTTGTAGAATGTAAGCTCTTCTACAGGGAACAAAAACAGCAAGAGAAACAACGTGTTTCAATGGTTAAACCATTTTCTGATTGGTTGAAATTTACCCATCTCTTTGTTAAAGCTGCTGAGAAGTTAGCAAGGCCAAAATGGTACCCTGAGCAGCTGTCATTTATTTAATTTTCACCTACCAATATTCCTCAGATTAAATAATGTCATCCCAAAATCTTAGCAGCTACCACTTAGTTCATAGTTGCCTATTAATATTCTTAATGCTAACTATAAAAACTTTGGGGCATATTATAGAAATAATGACATTGATTTAGTATCTTCCATTTAAGCAAAACAAGTTTTTGCTTTACTGTGGCACTGGTTTTTAAAAAATACAAAAAATTAGCCTTGATATTTATGTAAAGCAGGAAGCCATGTTCTTTTGAAAACATTCCCTTCTAGTGATGATATAAGATAATTTATTATTTTAGTGTCGTTCTCCAGGTGATTTGATAGCTTGTGGTAGCAATGTTGGGGACAACGGCAGCAAAGCTTGAAAGACAGAAAATGGTAGCATTTAGTCCTGCAATAGCTATACCTCTGTCTGATTTTCAGGTGTACTTCTATCTGCTTTTATTATTTATGCTACTGTTTTCTCTTTTTTTCCTGTTTATTATTAGTTTTACTGGTTGGTCCAGATTGCTGCTTATTTCCTTTCCCTTCTCGTGTAGTCTTCAAATAATTAGTAATTCCAGTGGTATTTGGCATAGAAAAATAAAAATGGATTAATGAAGCATACTAGTGTCCAGAAATATATCCCAGTAAATATGAGAACTTAATATATGATAGAGATTCAATTCAATAGGAAAATAATGGTTTATTTAACAAAGAATCTTGGCACAATTGTCTATTCATTTGGAAGGAAATAAGTTTAGAAGCATGCCTTACATCATATATGCAGACTTCAGATAGAATAAAATGTAAATTTAAACACTGAAAATCTTAGAAGGAAATATAGGTTACTTCATGTAAAGGTTAGGGATGGAGAGCTCCTATCAAATATAGGACTCAGAATCTATAAAAGAAAAGAGACATACATTCAGGTATTTATGAATTAATATCTATTGTATAAATAAATTTTCATCGCAAAATTAAATAGAAAATATAGATTTTTGGAAAAAATTAAATGCAAATGACAGAAAAAGGGACTAATCTTTAAAATAAACAGAACCCTTAAATAATAAGCAGAGCCCTGAATAATAAACAAAAACAACTCTATTTAAAATGTACAAAAAGATTTAACTCTGTAATTGATAGAACAAATCCAAACGGCTAATCACATTTTTCAAGAATCTGAAGTTCACTACTTAGAAAATGCAACTTAAAGTAGCAGTGAGATATCACTTTATACCCATCAGATTGTGCCATTTAAAAAGAGCAATTACATCTACTCTGATGGGGTTGAGGAGACAGGGGGTTCTTACATATTGCTGTTGAAATGTGACTCAGAATGCAGTCTGGAACGGTCTACTAAATATAGAGATAAACATACCCTTTAATCAGCAAACTTATTCCTGGGAATTGAGCCCATAGAAATAAAAGCATTGAGTGCATAAGATTTATGTAAAAGAAGTTTATTGCTGGAATATTTGTGGTGGGAACAAACTGGAGACAAAGTGAATGCCCGTGAATAGAATAATGCACAAATAGATTGTTACATCCTTACAATAGAATATTGTTTTTCATTAAAAAGTATAGATTGGATCTTTGGCAGTTAACTTGGAAATGTTTTCAAATGAGAAGAGCAAGAATACATTAAAAAATGGGCATAATAGTTTCAATTTTAGGGAATAAACACTGACCAAAAATGTACCAAATCTCTATGTAGGTGGCTATGTCTTTGTATATTATTCTTCTGGTGTGGATAAGGTTATGGAAGTCACATGACTTGGTGCTAACATTAGAGGTGTTGTTGTATAGTGATGAGAAACATGGACCTTGGAGTTAAAATTCTTACGTTCAAATCCTGGCTATGTAATTTACTCGCTGTATGACTTTGGGGAAGATTTTAATTTTTTTTTCTATGCTTTAGTTTTCTCTTTTATAAAACAGGGATGGTGCTAGAACCTATCTCATTGGATTGTTGTATTAAATGAGTTAATATACACAAAGCACTTTAAAACTGTGCTGGTTGTACAATGCTATCAACTTATCAGTTACACGAGCTTGGGTAATGTGAATGGGGAATAACAGAGAAGAGAAAATAAAGAAAAAATCACCATGGAAAGAAAGAAATTAGCAAGAGTCCTCTTTTCAGATGGTTTGTTTCTCTGGGTGCTCATGTTGGTTACCCAACCGTGTCTTTCACCAGCCTGCTCTATTCAACTGTCTGAAAGATCCTTTTGTTCCGAGCACCACTTTCAAATCCTTGTCCCCTAGTTTGCCAGAGATTGAGGCATGAGGGACAGGCCTGCGTAAGGATTGGGGTTGATTTCTCAGAGCAAAGATTAATTGACACTTTAATTCAAATTCATTGGATAATTACTTGATGTTCATGCCTACTTTGGTTGCACAGTTTGTTTTTTCTTTAAGCGTAATTAATACTGCTCTTGTTCTTTTCTTTGGTCATTAGCAGGGGATTGGTGGGGAGGGGAAAGAGAATAGTAGGTACTTCAATCTGATGTTTCTATTTTAGGACATAATTATCCATGGACTTCTTGCATTTCTGTATTTTTTATCAGCAGCAGCACTTATAGATGTCTTTCAAATTATTTTCAAGGATTTGTATAAGAAACAGCTTAAGAAGATAGTGTCTCCCTCTATAGCCAAGAGTAAGTTTGTTTTCCATCCAGTAAAATAAAAATAATGCCTCCTTCTGGGGCAAAGGGCAAGTTTGCTTTTAGCTCGTTATAAAAGATTGGGGGTTTACTAAGTTCAGTAACCCTCAGATGTGACATAGACTCACTGTATATGTAGCATGTATCTGGGCCCCTACCCATTGCCTCAAGAGACATGGAGACAGGAGAGCTGATATGAACATGAAACTCATGCTGCCTGCTGTGTTATAAATAACAAAATTCCTTGCCTCTGACCCAGGAGTCTCATGTCTTCTGCCAACATCTATAAAACTGTGGCAGGCTAACTTGTCACCTTAGAAGTAGGGCAAATTCTCAGACCTTTCACTCTTTGATACCATTTACTTTAAGACATTTTTGTACTTTTGAGGTGAGATATTGTGGGTAAAGTGCTCATATAGCCAAGTTATAAGAAACAACCTTATAGATTGTAATGAGATGGAGAAAAGTATATTTTCCCAGTTTTCTCAGGAAGAGTGTGGTTTGTACTTTGAAAGAAAAACTTGAATTTTGAAAACATTTGAATTCCTGCTGTGTTGAAGGGGAGACTGATATCCCTTAGGGTGTGCTTAGTTTTCAGTAACTAAAATATTACCTGAATGCAAAATCCAAATGTCCATACCTAACTGCACAGAAGACTTGGAAATGTGATCTTTGCATAGATGAGATGTTCCTGTACCTTTCTATCATTATGTAAAAATAGGAGAATGTGTGTTGGGAACAAACTGCAATCAAACTGGTAACTTCTGCTGTAAATTTGCCTCTGGTTTAGATTCATTAAGGAAAGCCTCTCAAAGTAAGTTGTCTCAGATGTAGTGTGGCTATTATAGTTGAAAGTCGTTTTGAACTCAGGATGAGTATTAGGAAGAAAAGAAATGTATTATTTTATAGTATGGCTTACTTGACAAGATTGGGAGGAATGGCTAAATTTTGGCAAGAGATAACATTGAGTGGATGGCAAAGAGAAATCTTGTGGAAGGACTTGAAGGTCATTGTATGTTTATTACTGGATCTGAAAACACTGGATCTAGTAAGTGACTTAGCAGTGAAATACTTTAAGCACTTCCCAATATTTTTTATATCATACAAAATAATAATATTAACATGGTATTCTAGGGCAAATAGAGGAGGCAGCATGTGGCCAGTGGCAACAGGCCAGATCATTTCAGCCCACTGTGTCCCAGCTGTCCACCCTGAAAGCATCAATCCTGCCATATAACATTGTCCTTTATCATCCTGCCTGGGAAGCTGTACACTCAAAAGCATGTGTAGAGATATATTCTTAGTCAAAGCTATGAAGACAGAAGACAGAAGAAATAACAGATTGGACATAAAATGACTAGGGCCATTGCTTTCCTGAATGGAAACGCATACACTCAGGTCAGGTTACCTTAGAGAATTCACCCACTCCTGGGCCTGGCCCTGGCCCTGGCCTGACAAGCTTAGAAACATCATTTGTCAGCTGACCAAGAACAAATCTACCTCAGGGGACAGATTTACACAGAACAAACTAATAGAGATTGGTAAATAAAAACCAGAACACCAATGTATTAATTTACATTGAGAACGGAAGGTGTTGAAAGGATCCAAAAATCGTGTTTGCTGATCAATACATTTTATCTGTGGGAAATCTCACAAGGGCAAATTATGATTAGAAGTTTGCTCAGTGAGCCTGGGATAAGACCAGGAGAATGGGTTGTATGATCTTTGGGCCTGAGTGGAGGGGTTGAGATGCTCTGTGTTTTGGGATCACTGGACCCCAAAGTGTTGGAGACATACTTCAATGTCAGATGTTGAATGCTCTTTCAGAGGGGCCATCTTGACAGTCTTCATTTGTTTTTCTCTTTCTTTTTTGTAGAGATTAATATGAAACTCTACTTGGACACAGTTATTCTTAGTTGCAAATGTAATGCAGACCTACTCTCCTGAAGGCTTGTACTCTGGTCACATTGATTGACCATGAGTCATTTCTACAAATGGATGATCTCATTCCTTGCATTTTGAATTTTCTGTGATTCGATGGCCTTGGGAAGGAAGTGGGGGAGGATACATTATTAGCGGTAGAAGCTATCTTTGAGACGTAGAAAAATAATTGTTAATACATTCCTGGATGCGAAATAAATTACATTAAATATATAAAGGCAAAACTTACAAATAAAATCAGCATTTCTTTTTTTTTAAGAAAACAGATTGTGGGCCGGATGCGGCAGCTCATGCCTGTAATCCCAATACTTTGGGAGCCTGAGGTGGGCAGATCCCTTGAGTCCAGGAGTTTGAGACCAGTCTGAGTAACATGACAAAACCCTATTTCTACAAAAAAATATGAAAATTAATCAGGCATAGTGGTGCATGCCTGTATTCCCAGCTACCTGGGAGGCTGAGCTAGGAGGATCATTTGAGCCCAGGATGCAGAGGTTGCAGTGAGCTGAGATCACGCTGTTGCACTCCAGCGTGGGGACAGAGTAAGACCTTGACTCAAAAACAAAAAACAAAAAAACCCCGTAAATTTTATAATAGCAATTATGAAAGCGGTGGCATTTATTTAGGAGAGGGCAAAAATGCAAGCATTATATTTTAATCTGAAATCCCTGACATCGGTAAAAATTGGGGAGGAAAAATCTTCAGTTAAAAAAATAGTAAAAAATGAATACCCTTACATCTATGCACTAGATGTTTCTTGTTTTGTAGAGTGATGTGGCTGCTTACTATTCACTAGCAGTATTCTTAATACAATGAGAAATTTGGCTTTAAAGAGGTAAAACGTCTGAGGTAGGGAGACCAGGGAAGATGTCTGATGGCTAGAATAGGCAACATGGAATATTCTTAAAATAGTAATAAGCAATTAATTCAGGAAATAATGAAGCACACTTTGTGAAACCTTAAAGTTATGAGACAGAGTGTGTGCTTAACTGCATATATAAGAATTTTGACTTGGTTTTCAGGTAACAAATTTAGCAAGTATTTATAGAGTGCTTACATTGGTCAGATGCTTTTCACATTTTAATCACATTTCACCCATATGCTCTCTTTTTGAAGCTGGCTTATTATACACATAAGGAAACTTATGTTTATAGATGTCAAATAAATTCTTCCAGTATCCAGCAATTATTTTCTGGGCCAGGCATGGTTCTGTGTGCTAGAGATACATCAATGAATAAGACAGACAAGGTCCTGATTTTGTGGAGCTTGGATTGTAGTAGACTCTACAGACAGAGCAGTGTCTCAAATACAGGACTGTTGGAAACAGTAACACGTGAGTTAACACAATAAACCACTTTGACTCCATAGAATAATAACCTACTTTTAAAAGATGAGGTTGAATATTTTAATTCCATCATTGTTTTTTTCCAGTGAAATGAAAGAACCTACATTTTCCTTTAGGAGGCAGTCAAAATGAATTGACATGAAGGAGATGTGATACACAGCACAAGGCTCTCCAAGGTCTATGGAAATCAATTCCACAAGCAGCAAATGTGTATACGGTGACATTTCTTTCCAAGTGATCCATTGCTCTGCCATGTCTTTTGGTTTCTTTTATTATGAAGTTCATTGGAGGTAGTCTTTCTTTCATGTGTAATTCATATTGAGTGTAATCCTTCTTGTAACATTTTTTCTTTATCTCTAGTGACTCTTTTTGAAAAGGGCTGCACTGCAAAAAGCAGTTAGAAACTACTCATAAGTAAGGATCTGCATGCCCAAATAATTCATTTCAGTTGTATTTAGCTTAAATCCCCAAATGCATCTCTCAAGTATATTAGTTATCTTGTAATATTTTCAAGAAGTATACCACCTTAACAGAAAAATTTACCTTGACTAGAGAACTGTCTGTTCATCTGAGAGTAAATGATCTTGAACTAAACTTTATATTGAAATGTAGGTATAATGGGTTTATTTCTATTAATGATTATATCTTCATGTCCCTGAAGTTAGTTCTAGATAAGGGCTGCTTTTTTATTTGAAGTGGATTTTTGGTTACAATTTACTATAAAATTGAAGCAATCACCTCCATGATTATATTATTTGTGAATGTTTTTATACTTCTAGATACTAAGGCATAATGGCATTTTAAAAAATATTGAACTTCAGTATCATCTTTGTGCCGTTTAATATATAAACAAGTTTTTGTTTACTGTATTTACCTAGAACCCAGCAATTTAGATTTTCTACACAGTACCATAGAACCACAGAAGCTGGTTGAAAAGTGGAAACTTCAGTTGAAACAGTATTTTGACATAACTTTTCACATGAATATTAAGTACTGATATGTAAGACAAATTATATGTATTCATCTTTTTGCTGTAAAAGAACTTGACTTCCTCCAAAGAAACCCAGAATTTCCTAATGCATCTATCTCCATAAGATAAATTTACATATTTAGTTCTGAGGTCCTCAACTCTCTGGACCATTCTCCAAGTGTGTGTATGATGTCCCTCCAAATTAATCTTATCTTTATTTCTTGATGTGTAAGATCAATAATGATTCAAAGACATCAAAACACGGTCTATACAAAATCAATATGAAGCAAAAAGGGATTGTTTTAGCCTTCTCATTTAAATTTTATTTGAGGTTTTTGGTATATCTGTGAATGTGCATTTTTAGGGGGAGAGGATTAGTAACTCTCTTCATGTTCTCAAAAGAATTTATAACTTCAAAATGTCAGATGTCAAAATCCAGGCAAATCAATCTGTAATGGCTTTTTCTTATGCTTTCCTCAACAGTGTATAAAATGAGTATCAACTGCAGCCTGTAGTGGCAATGAGGAGCTAGAGATGATGGAAATGAGAGAAGGGGAGACAGAATTTGTTGTTAAGCAGTCAGTCTCGATGTGGCCTGATATTGGAACAGATCTTAGATGTTGAGAATGTATGTGGATTCTTGAGTTCTTTCAGGGCTAACTACTTATGCTTTTTCCTGGGTTGTAGAAGCTCATCCTCTTTAGTTGAGAAAGCTCTTCACAACAAGAACTTCCCTGTTTTCATGGTCTGGGACAGTTTGAGAAGTTGTTCATACTGAAAGTGAGAAAATGATGAGTGCTCATGCAATCCACAGGTTGATCATAATATACCATAAAAAGTGGATCCACCCCATGTGTTTGAAAGACAATGGGCTTTGGAAGGTAAGAATCTTGGTTCAAATAACATGACATGCAGAGTCAATGTCTTTTAGCTTTAATTCCCTTAAAATAATAACCACTTTGAAGATTTATAGTAAGAATTAAATAACGTGATACATGGAAAGGAACTAGTACATTTTTCAGTACCTAAAATTGTGATTTTATGTTTCTTTTTAATCCTTGCATGTTAAATTTTTAGTACTTAAGGTGTAAGGCCATTTTAAAAACAAAAGACTGCTGTTTAGCTCTTAAAACTTAATTAATGTGGATAAATGAGAATTTTGGAAAAAACAATATTCATGGAAAGTCTGCAATGACCACAGTGCCCTGCACAGTGTAGTATTAAAATTAATCAATTTCCATCTGTCTTTATTTGGCCGTACCACTAGATCAGGCACCACATATTATATCCAGAGAGTGTCTCCTACTGCTGCTGCACTGTCTGCTGGTTTTATTGCTTGCCCTAGAGATAATACTTCCTTTGGAAATGAGAATGAATCAGTTGGAAAATGATCTACTTATAGCTGATTCTACAGGACAAGCTTACCTGATAATCATATGTGTTTGAGTTGCTTGAATCTATCAAGAGAAAAAAATTTAATATACTCATCACCTTATAAAGGTAGACATTTATCTTATTAAGGAATTTGCCAAATAATAATTATTAACAACTTCAAAAAGATGCAGTGTTTAATGTCTCTTTTGGCACCTACAGCATCCTGCTAACTTACATGAGAATTCATTCATTCACTCACTCATTTAACATTTATTGAGTGCCTACAGGGTGCAAGTCATTACTCTCTCTTCTTAGTATTTTGGGGCAATATTTGGAACAATCTAAATTGGAATATTGTTAACTAAAGCTTTGTGTGTGTGTGTGTGTGTGTGTGTGTGTGTGTATTTGTTTGTTTTCAACTCAACCAACTGATTTACATTCAGTCAATTCAGTTCAATGTATTGAACTGAACAGGCAAATTGCTAAATATTGTAGACATAGCTAGCAAATGAGATAGCAGCTCTTTCCTCATGGAATATTTAGTAAGAAAAAGAAAATTACAATACAGTACTGTGTATTACTTGTAAAATATGTGTGCAAATAGACAAAGAAAAGAAACTTGAAAAATGGAAGCTTTATGCTAAAATGGCAGAAATTAAGAGTATTATCTTAATTTTAAAATTTGGCAATGATGGTGTCATGGGTTAAATTGCATTCCCTCAAATTCATATATTGAAATTATAACCTCTTGAACCTCAGAATGTGACTGTATTTGGAGATAGGATCTTTAAAGTTTAATTAAGTTAAAATAAGGTGAGTAGGGTGGGCCCTAATCCAATATGACTGGTATCTTTATAAAAAGAGGAAATGCAGACACACCGAAGGAAGACCATGTGAAGACATAGGAGGAAGACTGCCATCTAAAAATTAAGGAAAGAGGCCTCAGAAGAAACCAACTCTGCCAAAAACTCTAATCTTAGACTTATGGCCCCTAGAACTGTGGAAAATAAATTTTTGTTGTTTAAGCCACCCAGTCTGTAGTAGTTTGTTATGGCAGCCCTAGCAAACTAATCCAGATGGCATAACAAATGATATGAAAAAAAAATCTTGACAAAAATCCTCACATTATCAGGTGTTGGCAGCTCTGGTTTCATCACTAATTCTCACATTTGCTCTGTGTCCTGCAAGTCACCTAGTTTTGATTAAAATCAATTTATTCCCTTATAAATCATTAAGGGTATCCTTCCCATTTATGTTATCTGATGGTTGTAAGGATTAAACGAAATTCTGATTTGAAAAGTCATTGATGACCATTAAGAACCATATAAAGATGAGAGATATTGACTTGGTAAAAGATAATCTCTTTGAATTTCATACAAATGTGCACACAGTATGCCCAAGTCAGTAATTTTATGGATTAACAGTTTTCAGGAAAGCCGAGGGTCATGAGTAGGCTAATAAACATTAGTTTTGTATCTTAGAATAAAAAGGCACCCCAATTATTCAATTTTGATTTTTCAAAATTTATTCAATTTTGGTTTTTCTGTTCATGAAATTTTTATGTCTGGACAGTGATAATAATATAACTTCAGGAAGGGGACTGTATTAGTCTGTTTTCATACTGCTATAAAGAACTGACTGAGACTGGGCTGACTTTATAATGGAAGGGGGTTTTCTTGATTCACAGTTCAACATGGCTGGGGAGGCCTCAGGAAACTTACAGTCATGGTGGAAGGTGAAGGGGGAAGCAAGGCATCTTTTTCACAAAGTGGCAGGAACAAGAAGTGCTGAGCAAAGGGGAAAGAGGCCCTTATAAAACTATCAGATCTCATGAGGACTCATTCACTAATCATGAGAACAGCATGGGGAAACCTCCCCTGTGATTCAATTACCTGCACCTTGTTTCTCACTTGACACGTGGGGATTATGGGGATTATGGGGATTACAATTTAAGATGAGATTTGGGTGAGGACACAAAGCCTAACCATATCAGAAACCATATTACTGAAGAGAAGTTCTCTTGCTCATCTCAACCATCTCTATCTTCTAGCAAGTTGGAATTTAAAAATTCCAGGCAGAATAGAGCTTTTTATTTTTTAAAAAAGAAAAAAGTCTATTAAAGGAACATCATCACAAAGTAAAGCCAACTTTAATTTGGATTTTACTTCCTCTACAAATATGAAATACAAAGGACATGTACAAGAAGTTTTATGAAAAGCAAGAAGAGTGAGAACTGTAGAACTTGCTGGAAGTGTTCAGTCAGTTGATTGAAATGATAAAGGAAAAAGAAGCACAGGGCAAACTAAAGTGATGCCTCAGTTATTGTTCATGGAGAAATGACCCAGGGCAAAATGAACATGATTTGAATGCTCACTCCAAATCAGAGTTAGTAACTGGATCACTTTGTATATATTTTTCTCTTAATCTTGTATTTTCTCTTTTATTCCTCCTCTGGTACACCTGCACTTTTATTTGAGAACTCTGCAGTTGGCCTTCATGGCTTCATTTTCCAATTCACACGCAACTATCACAAATTGAAAGACTAGCATCTGAACTCTAGTTCACAGAGAAGGAATTTTTTACTTTGGTGATTCAAATAGAACTGACTGTTAGCCACTGAAAGATATTTCATCCCTACAAGCAAGTCAGGTAGACCCAGAAAGTGACTTTTCAAAAAAACTGGGTAAGCAGAAATACCTTGCTGCTATTAAAGAGTGTGTTTTCACAAACTAAACACTACTATCTTTATAGGTTAAGTGACCTGCTAGTGACTTGCAATTTACCTAATAAAATCTATTAAATAGATAAAATCAGGAAATCAAGAAATCATTCAAGACAGAAAAATGCAAGTCTAATGCAAAGTAAATGTATTATCTCAGGTATCAACATGAATGTATCTTAAAAGGGTAAAGTTGACTGGCAAAAGCAAGTTATAAAATGATATATATGATGTGATTATATTTATGAAAATATTTATTTTTTAGAGACAGAGTATTCTCTGTTGCCCAGGCTAGAGTGCAGTGGTGCAGTCATAGCTCACTGTAGCCTTGAATCCCTTGGCTCAAGCAATCCTCCCACCTCAGCTTCCTGAGTAGCTAGGACTACAGGTGCATGCCACCATGCTGGGCTACTTAAAAAAATTTTTTTTTCGAGGCCTTGGTTTGGTGCTCTGGCTTGTTTTGGTGCTCTGGCTTGTTTCAAACTTGTGGCCTCAAGCAATCTGCCCACCTTGGCCTCTCAAAGTGCTGGGATTACAAGCATGAGCCACCATGCCCATACTGAAAATATTTAAAAATACATAAAAATATTTTAAAATATTACATATACATTTGTGATAAAAGTATAATAGTATGTATGAAAATGATAACAAATGTTAGGGTAGTGATTACTTCAGGGGAGAAAAAGTTGAGGGTAAGTGGGACTTTACAACTTTTTTTACATGAATATTAATATTTTATTGAGAATTAAAAATGTTCTAAAGTTATTAAGCTCAGAGGTAGAAATGACCTCTACCAATAAACTTTATAGTCAAAGACAATTTGTGCATTTTAGTAAGTTCCTAATTATGGTATAAAAATCATCAAGACTTGTAAAATCAAATATAAAACATCTATAAAAGGTTAAAATATGATAGGATGGTTTGTGACCAATACAGCACAATGTCTGCTTATTGGTGATAGAGTGCAAATTCTCCTGTAATGAAGCTATACTCTTTTCCTCAAACTTATTTTATATTACAAACTCTTGGTGCTCTTTAGCCAATTTGGCTGCCATCATTTCCACTCTTAAGTCAGGAGGAAGATATGAGGGATCTGTCACACACACTAAACTTGTCACCAAGTAGAGTAAGAATTGAACGTCTCAATGAGCAACTTGTCTTGTTGCAATAAGACGATATGTTATGCTCATTCTAGATGTCTGAAGAAAAGATTTTTCAATCAACCACCAGATATTTTGACTTTGCAAAGGTAGAGCCTGTGTTCTGATTCCATTTTTAGAAAGAAATACAATTCAAATGGAAATTGCTTCTGGAAAAGAAAACAACATTGATTTTTAACCCATTTCAGGAAAGTAAACATTACAGAAGAGACTTTTAACATTTCAGCTACATTCTACATGTGATAATTTAAGCTAAGTCAATACTGACAGTTACATGCAGATGCAACCTTTGTCTAAAATATTTCTCCACCATTAGGATTCATTTGTTTTTTAAAAGAGCTATCTGAAGCAAGTATGGCAGCATATTGTCATCTCTTATATCTAGACAGTATTTTCATAGATGTCTTTTTCATTATTTTCTGAATGTTTGGAATATTTTGAAATTAAAACTAGAATCTCTGTAACTTGTGTATTTTATGGTGCAGTTTGCAATATATACCCATTAATGTATAGGTTTGTTTTCAAAAAGGCCAAAGTAACACCCAAATACAGAGAATGTCATCTGTACATTTAGGTAGAGTATTTGTAAATGATATGCATTGCTATTAAGTGAAGCGACAAAGTATAGCAGAAACAGTATGAACATGGTCAGATATAGTAAGTTCCTCTTCAAAGGTTTAATGTCTTGACTTCCTTATTCTTTGTTCTTGAGATCAACTTCCTTCTCCCTTCTCCTAAGCCACCTGCTCTGTAAACAACTTTTCCCTCCAGTCCCAATCTGTAATTCACATCTCTTCCTTACTTGGGAAGAGTCCTCTTTTACTCCTGGCTACCCATTCTGTAAACTGCTCTTCTTCCCACCTTTGCTGCACCCTGACATGCCCAAACATGCCTTGTGCTGTAACAGACAGCCTTTCTCTTCCCACCTAAGTAGCCATATTCAATTTTAAACAGTAGCCAGTCAGGTCAGTTTAGATTTTGCGGTCTGACTCCAGTAAATGGGGACAGGACATAGAAGCAGGGACTAACCACATTAGGGATAAAAACCTTTTCCTTCCTTTGTTTGGTGTGCTGTCTCATTGGCCAGAAGTGTGAGCGGTGCCCTTCTGCAGAAGTAAATTTGCCTTGCTGAGAAATCCTTTGTTTGAGTGCTAGTTTTCCTCACAACTCTGAGCTCTTGTTTCTAACAACATGAGCCTTAGAATGTGATGAACCTAGGATTGAGTTCCAACTCCAACATTTAATAGCTTGAGAAAGTGGTCTTTAAGCTTCAGTAAAGTGGGAACAAAGTGACCTACCCCATGGGGTTATTGAGAGAACTAAATATAATAATATAGATTAAATGCTCAAAAAAGTGACTGATAGAGTAACTATTTAATAACTGGTAACTATCAATGAGTCTATTGTCATTATGGAATTTTTGCTTGTTTTTATACATTTTTGGAAGGACATTCAATTTTTATAGTTAGTGTTTTGTTTTTGATAAAATAGCAACATGGGAAGTTGATAGATGGTCAGGTCTTAGTAAGCCCTTCTCCAAAGGTGGTTACTGGCCTATGTATTTCTGTGACCCTTCTTGCTTTGTACCTACTTCTACATTGTCAAAATAATTGCTCTCTTCCTGATTTTTCAGGGAAAATGTAACATTCTCCAGAGCGCATAGAAGGATGGCATTATAAAAAGAGTTCCTCAGTTGTTACCAGCTATTATGCAGTGTTTCCATTACAGAGTATCTCCATGGGTGATTAGAAGTTTATGAATACAAATCTCATTAACAGTAGTCATCAGGCTTGAGGGAATGTTTAACATCTTTGTTTTAAAAGAATTCCAGAGAGGTCAATTGATTTGATAAATGTCACAAAATGAGTTACAGGTGAAGCTAGCTCTAGAGTTAGCGCTTCTTAGCACTTTAGGTTTCTTAACACTTTATTTGTTCTTTTTTTTGTATTAGGCTTTAAAAACAAGTATGTGTAAAAATAAGATTGTATATAAAAATGTGAATTATGGGCCATTACAACATCCTTTGTGAGAAATGTGAATTTCAAGGAAATAGAAGAATGGCTAGGTGCTAGCACTGATTCCAGGCTTTTGTGTGGTTTTGTAGGTAAAGAATTGGGACATTGGGAGGCCGAGGTGGGCAGGTCACCTGAGGTCAGGAGTTTGAGACCAGCCTGACCAACATGGAGAAACCATGTCTCTACTAAAAAATAATAAAATTCGCCATGCGTGGTGGTGCATGTCTGTAATCTCAGCTACTTTGGAGGCTGAGGCAGGAGAATCGCTTGAATTCGGGAGGCGGAGGTTGCGGTGAGCTGAGATCGCGCCTTTGCACTCCAGCCTGGGTGTCAAGAGTGAAACACTATTTCAAAAAAAAAAAAAGGACGAAATTAGTATGAGTGGGAATCTAAAAAAAAATAGTGATTTTGTGGAGCAATGTTTTTTGCATGGGTTGATTTTAATTCTTAGTGAGAGTTCCTTGTAAAGATAGTCCCCAAAACCTCAAGAGCTGTTGGTGGCCATTTTTCCACTGTGTGGAGAAAATTAGTCTACTTCAGGAGAAAAGAAAGAAGCCACGGTGGAGGGAGAGCTGAGAGAAGCAGACTGAATCCTAATGCTACTTAAGCCTCTCTGGTTCCAGCAATTTCTGGAGTCCAGCCTCAACCCTGCCCTTTTCATGACTTAGTTTTTCTGTGAAACTCTGTAGTGCCCTCTAAAAAATTTCCTTTCTGGCTTAAGGTAGTTTGCTTTGGCTTCAGTAGCTTGTGCCCCAAATAATTTTCATAAATACAGCTTATATAATGTTATATTTGTAAGAAAATGCTTTGTCTTTTTAATTTACTCATCTATTACAGATGGAAGAGACGTGTGTTCACTAAGAGATTACTGATTGTGTTCTCCTAGACAAATAAAACTGTAGGCAATAGGGAAGGAGCTTATTGTTAGGAAAGGCATCTCTTGGTGGGATGGCAGTGAGGACTTGATCAGGTTGGCTTGATCTATGAGTGTGTAGCCAATCACTATATTTTGGTTCCCAAACTTTCAAAAGTTATTTGCTGGATCCAACTAATCTCTCTGTTAGAATAAGCAAAAGTGTTGGAATTCTACTCCAGACACTCTATTGACCTGAAAATGAGGTGTGATGTGGCAAATTTAGTATAAACTATTTCACACAGGATTGACTCGGAGGAGCAGATGGCTTTGAGAAAGAACTTTTTGTCATCCAACCAGTATATTCACTGTTTAGCAAAATTGGCAAAGGGCCGTTAAACAAAGAGATACATTCTGTTAACAAAGCATTCTTTGTGGCCTCTTTCTGTCTTTCAGACACTCAAAGTTGATGCCTGTGTGTCTGATGTTTCTAGTAACTACCTGGTGTTTGTTTGTTGTTTGGAGTATAACTGAAAATATTTTTTTCATGGAAAAATTTGCTGAATATTTTTCTTTGGGAGCAAGAGAGGTCTTTGTATTCCATTTCAAGCAGTGGGGAATAGTAATGTAAATATTGGCTGAACAGATTTGCTTGATTTAAGTACTAATACTTTCATTTGCACAATAGGAACTGCATTACAGTATTTGTAGTCTCATTAAAAATGGACCACATTGGTGGTAATGTATAGTGATACACATATACCAAGGTAGAACATGTATGACCTAAGAAGATTTTTAAAAAAATTAATCTTTGTGAGACTTTGTCTTAAAATTCATCTTCTTTGGACTTTGATTCTGCTTCTGACAGATAAGAAACAAAGTCATATTCCCTTAAAAGGCAATTTCCTGGATATCTATTGGCCTATTGGTAAAATGTGTTTGCGTCTTTGGAATAAAGGTAATGAATAGTGACAAGGTGTTATTTATTAACTATTGGCTAGTATGAATTCATTAATTTGCTTGTGTATGTAGGTCGAAACAGATTAGTGTAGAGGAAAATATATCAGTGCCTGCTCTTCTTTGTTCAGATTTTTTTTATTGCCAGCATAATTAATTTGCAGTGAGGGGTATAATCTATAATTTAGATGCTGTATCTGGGAAGGCAATGCTTTGTATCTGTGGTACCAAATGTATCTGCTAAACATATGATCACTGTCACTAAGACTTTTAGTATAAAATGGGAAACTGAAAATAGCAATGGAGATTATATATTTATAATGTATTTCTTTTCTCTTCTATATTTCTGCAGTTGAAATGTTTGCCCATCACAACAGTCATCAACAGATACACCAAATTGATCTAATGGTAGTAGAGTTCAGAACATGCTAATGTACTCCTAGGGGTGTGGAGAGAAAGGCCGGCCTTTTCTCTTTATACTCATTTGAATTTTCCTTCTAATGGTTCTAACTTCGAAATTCTTTTCATGAGACATTTTGATGAGACTTTGTAGAATGGCAGAGATGTACTTAGCCTGTGGGTCAGACTGACCTGTGATCATCACGCAAATCACTTAGCCTCCTTGCCTCAGTTTCCAAGCCTGTGAAATGTAGATTAAAATACCTACCTTGCAGTGGTTTTGTAAAGATAGAATGATCATAATGTTTGTGAAGCATTTAAAACAGTGACAGCATATGGAAGTGCTACATGAAAGGCAGTCCTGATGATTCTGATGGAAATAATAATCAAGGTGATGATGGAAGAGAATATTCTTCCTGGAATTCAAGAATTCTTGCTGGAATTCTAAGAAAAGTTTGTAATATCATTTCAAAAGTGACTAGAGAATCAAACCAAATGTATTTTCCTAAGAAAGTGAAAAGGGCAGCTTAAAATACTTCCACATTTACTTATTTGCAAAAAGAAATCTAACCACTTGGTCTTAATTTTTACTTATCCATCTGATGTGAGGTTGCTATCTCTTACCATCATAAGACTTTTTGTGAGGTTCTGAAATTCAATGTATAAAAAACCTCTTGATCATATGAATTTGATATGAATTTGTCTGAATTACAGATAAGAGGATTTGTAGGATTTGAGAGGTATGACTGAAAGTAAGGGCATCTGTTCTTTTTAATTTTCTCCAGGTCTTGCCTCCCTGTGCAGAAGCAAGGGGATCAGAAACTCCCTTTTCACTACCTGCCCCCTGGTTTAGCTAAATGAATGCTCCCATCTGGGGTCACAGTCAGGGGCAAGAGATATAAGCAAAGGATTCATTTGTTTTTAGTTGCACCATCAGAGATGCCAAGTGGTAGAAATGGCCAGAAGGGACAGTGTGAAGTGGTGGCAGCATCCATGGCACTGGAGAAGATGACCAGCAGGGGAGACAGTAACTTAATCTCCTTGCTCCCCGCCCATGGCTTTTACCTACAGTCTAGTTGTCTGTGGTGCCTGCCCAATTTCTGGGCCTGGTTCTCTAAACTCTCTGTTGATTCTGAGAGCTACTTGATATCCTTCAAGAAAATCCTTTAAAAAAATATCTAACACAGAGTCATGCTCTTTTATTTACATGTAATATATTTTAAAATATACTCAGTATAATTTATGCATTTAAATAAGTGGTATCTTTTAAGATGGCCTATTAGGAAGTAATTTTTTTGAATTATCTTTTTGACTTCTGTAATGATATATGCTCTATTACCTTGTGACCAGAATTGGTTCTAAACTGTTTTGGATACTTAAAAAAAATTGAATCCATATGTATTTGGGAAAAACAAAGCTAAGTAAGAATGTTGGATAGAACATGCTATTGGCTCAGATAGGAATTCCAAACAAGAATTTTCAAGCTGTTTTGGTACTGGGTACATTCTCAAAATAAGCATAGATCTTCTTCAAGTTCCTACTTTTGAAGGTGACATTGTTTGTATGCTTTAATTCACACACACACACACACACACACACACACACACACACACACACACACACACACTGTATTCTTCTCCCAAACAAAATAGGGTATATAACTTTTCTTCCTTGAATTCTAAGAAAAAATTGTTATATCATTTCAAAAGTGACTAGAGAATCAAACCGAATGTGTTTCCTTAAAAAATAACTCAAGTAATTGGGAAAAATTAATGATCATGTTCATATCCAGTTACTTTTGCTACTACAGGGTTTTATTTTTATTTTTTTAAATTATACTTTAAGTTCTGAGATGTGCAGAACGTACAGGTTTGTTACATAGGTATACACGTGCCATGGTGGTTTGCTGCACCCATCAACCCGTCATCTACATTAGGTATTTTTCCTAATGCTATCCCTCCCCCAGACCCTCATCCACTGGGAGGCCCCAGTGTGTGATGTTCCCCTCCCTGTGTTCATGTGTTCTCATTGTTCAACTCCCACTTGAGTGAGAACATGCAGTGTTTGGTTTTCTGTTCCTGTGTTAGTTTGCTGAGAATGATGGTTTCCAGCTTCGTCCATGTCCCTCCAAAGAACATGAATTCATCCTTTTTTATGGCTGCATAGTATTCCATGGTGTATATGTGCCACATTTTCTTTATCCAGTCTATCATTCATGGGCATTTGGGTTGGTTCGAAGTCTTTGATATTGTGAATAGGGCTGGAGTAAGCATACATGTGCATGTGTCTTTATAGTAGAATGATTTATAATCCTTTGGGTATATACCCAGTAATGAGATTGCTGGGACAAATGGTATTTCTGGTTCTAGATCCTTGAGGAATCGCCACAATGTCTTTCACAATGGTTGAACTAATTTACACTCCCACCAACACTGTAAAAGCATTCCTATTTCTCCACATCCTCTCCAGCATCTGTTGTTTCCTGAGTTTTTAATGATCACCATTCTAACTGGTGTGAGATGGTATCTCATAGTAGTTTTGATTTGCATTTTTCAAATGACCAGTGATGATGAGCTGTTTTTCATATGTTTGTAGACCACATAAATGTCTTCTTTTGAGAAGTGTCTGTTCATATCCTTTGGCCACTTTTTGATGAGGTTGTCTAATTTTTTTCTTGTAAATTTAGGTTCCTTGTAGATTCTGGATATTATGCCTTTGTCAGATGGATAGATTGCAAAAATTTTCTCCCATTCTGTAGGTTGCCTGTTCACTCTGATGACAGTTTCTTTTGCTGTGCAGAAACTCTTCAGTTTTTTTTTTTTTGCTCTATGTGAAAACCTTTGATGTGATCGCCAATTAGTGCATCAGTCACTCTTAAGTATTTTTAAACCTTAGCAAAAATAAATCCCTTTAATCTTGCTCCCAGCTTTTATTTTTACAGTACTTTTATTTTTCATAGTATTTTCTGAATCTTCTCCAACATTTCCACATTTTCTTTTTTTTATTATTATTATACTTGAAGTTCTAGGGTACGTGTCAACAACGTGCAGGTTTGTTACATATGTATACACATGTCATGTTGGTGTACTGCACCCATTAACTCGTCATTTACATTAGGTATTTCTCCTAATGCTATCCCTTCCCACTTCCCCCACCCCATGACAGGCCCCAGTGTGTGATGTTCCCCACCCTGTGTCCAGGTGTTCTCATTGTTCAATTTCCACCTAAGAGTGAGAACATGCGGTGTTTGGTTTTCTGTCCTTGTGATAATTTGCTCAGAATGATGGTTTCCAGTTTCATCCATGTCCCTACAAAGGACATGAACTCATCCTTTTTTATGGCTGCATAGTATTCCATGGTGTATATGTGCCACATTTTCTTAATCCAGTCTATTATTGATGGACATTTGGGTTGGTTCCAAGTCTTTGCTATTGTGAATAGTGTGCAATAAACATACTTGTGCATGTGTCTTTATAGCAGGATGGTTTATAATCCTTTGGGTATATACCCGGTAATGAGATTGCTGGGTCAAATGGTATTTCTAGTTCTAGATCCTTGAGGAATCACAACACTGTCTTCCACAATGGTTAAATTAGTTTATAGTCCCACCAACAGTGTGAAAGTGTTCCTATTTCTCCACATCCTCTTCAGCACCTGTTTTTTCCTGACTTTTTAATGATTGCCATTCTAACTGGCATCAGGTGGTATCTCATTGTGGTTTTGATTTGCATTTCTTTGATGGCCAGTGATGATGGGCATTTTTCCATGTGTTTGTTGGCTGCATAAATGTCTTCTTTTGAGAAGTGTCTGTTCATATCCTTTGCCCACTTTTTGATGGGGTTGTTTGTTTTTTTCTTGTAAATTTGTGTGAGTTCTTTGTGGATTCTGGATATTAGCCCTTTGTCAGATGAGTAGGTTGCAAAAAATTTCTCCCATTCTGTAGGTTGCCTGTTCACTCTGATGGTGGTTTCTTTTGCTGTGCAGAAGCTCTTTAGTTTAATTACATCCCATTTGTCAATTTTGGCTTTTGTTGCCATTGCTTTTGGTGTTTTAGTCATGAAGTCCTTGCCCATGCCTATGTCCTGAATGGTAGGTTTTCTTCTAGGGTTTTTATGGGTTTAGGTCTAACATTTAAGTCTTTAATCCATCTTGAATTGATTTTTGTATAAGGTGTAAGGAAGGGATCCAGTTTCAGCTTTCTACATATGGCTAGCCAGTTTTCCCAGCACCATTTATTAAATAGGGAATCCTTTCTGCATTTCTTGTTTTTCTCAGGTTTGTCAAAGATCAGATGGTTGTAGATGTGTGGTATTATTTCTGAGGGCTCTGTTCTGTTCCATTGGTCTACATGTCTGTTTTGGTACCAGTACCCTGCTGTTTTGGTTACTGTAGTCATATAGTATAGTTTGAAGTCAGGTAGCATGATGCCCCCAGCTTTGTTCTTTTTGCTTAGGATTGTCTTGGCAATGCAGGCTCTTTTTTGGTTCCATACGAACTTTAAAGTAGTTTTTTCCAATTCTGTGAAGAAAGTCATTGGTAGCATGATGGGGATTGCATTGAATCTATAAATTACTTTGGGCAGTATGGCCATTTTCATGATATTGATTCTTCCTATCCATGAGCATGGAATGTTCTTCCATTTTTTTGTGTCCTCTTTTATTTCCTTGAGCAGTGATTTGTAGTTCTCCTTGAAGAGGTCCATCATGTCCCTTGTAAGTTGGATTCCTAGGTATTTTATTCTCTTTGAAGCAATTGGGAATGGGAGTTCACTCATGATTTGGCTCTCTGTTTGTCTGTTATTGGTGTATAGGAATGCTTGTGATTTTTGCCATTGATTTTGTATCCTGAGACTTTGCTAAAGTTGCTTATCAGCTTAAGGAGATTTTGGGCTCAGATGATGGGGTTTTCTAAATATACAGTCATGTCATCTGCAAACAGGGGCAATTTGACTTCCTCTTTTCCTAACTGAATACCCTTTATTTCTTTCTTTTGCCTGATTGCCCTGGCCAGAACTTCCGACACTATGTTGAATAGGAGTGGTGAGAGAGGGCATCCCTGTCTTGTGCCAGTTTTCAAAGAGAATGCTTCCAGTTTTTGCCCATTCAGTGTGATATTGGCTGTGGGTTTGTCATAAATAGCTCTAATGATTTTGAGATACATCCCATCAATACCTAATTTATTCACAGTTTTTTTAGCATGAATGGATGTTGAATTTTGTCAAAGGGCTTTTCTGCATCTATTGAGATAATCATGTGGTTTTTGTCTTTGGTTCTGTTCATATGCTGGATTATGTTTATTGATTTGTGTATGTTGAACCAGTCTTGCATCCCAGTGGTGAAGCTAATTTGATTGTGGTGGATAAGCTTTTTGATGTGCTGTTGGATTCAGTTTGCCAGTGTCTTATTGAGTATTTTTGCATCGATATTCATCAGGAATGTTGGCCTGAAATTTTCTTTTTTTATTGTATGTCTGCCTGGTGTCAGGGTGATGCTGGCCTCATAAAATGAGTTAGGGAGGAGCCCCTCTTTTTCTGTTGATTGGAATAGTTTCAGAAGGAATGGTACCAGCTCCTCTTTGTACCTCTCTTAGAATTTAGCTGTGAATCCCTCTGGTCCTGCACTTTTTTTGGTTGGTAGGCTATTAATTATTGCCTCAATTTCAGAGCCTCATATTGGTCTATTCAGGGATTCAACTTCTTCCTGGTTTAGTCTTGGGAGGGTGTATGTGTTGAGGAATTTATCAATTTCTTCTAGATTTTCTATTGTATTTGCATAAAGGTGTTTATAGTATTCTCTGATGGTAGTTTGTATTTCTGTGGGATCAGTGGTGGTATCCCCTTTATCATTTTTTATTGCATCTATTTGGTTCTTCTCTATTTTCTTCTTTATTAGTCTTGCTAGTGGTCTATCAATTTTGTTGATCTTTTCAAAAAACCAGTTCCTGGATTCATTGATTTTTTTGAAGGGTTTTTTGTGTCTGTATCTTCTTCAGTTGTGCTCTAATCTTAGTTATTTCTTGCCTTCTGCTAGCTTTTGAATGTGTTTGCTCTTGCTTCTCTAGTTCTTTTGATTGTGATGTTAGGGTGTCGATTTTAGATCTTTCCTGCTTTCTCTTGTGGGCATTTAGTGTTATATATTTCCTTCTACACACTGCTTTAAATGTGTCCCAGAGATTCTGGTATATTGTGTCTTTGTTCTCATTGGTTTCAAAGAACATCTTTATTTCTTGCTTCATTTCGTTATTTACCCAGTAGTCATTCAGGAGCAGGTTGTTCAGTTTCCATGTAGTTGTGCAGTTTTGAGTGAGTTTCTTAATCCTGAGTTCTAATTTGATTGCACTGTGGTCTGAGAGACAGTTTGTTGTAATTTCTGTTCTTTTACATTTGCTGAGGAGTGCTTTACTTTCAATTATGTGGTCAGTTTTGGAATAAGTGCGATGTGGTGCTGAGAAGAATGTATATTCTGTTGATTTGCATGGAGAGTTCTATAGAAGTCTATTAGGTCTGCTTGGTGCAGAGGTGAGTTCAAGTCATGAATATCCTTGTTAACTTTCTGTCTCGTTGATCTGTCTAATATTGATAGTGGGGTGTTAAAGTCTCCCATTATTATTGTGTAGGAGTCCAAGTCTCTTTGTAGGTCTCTAAGGACTTTTTTTATGAATCTGGGTGCTCCTGTATTGGGTGCATATATATTTAGGATAGTTAGCTCTTCTTGTTGAACTGATCCCTTTATCGTTATGTAATGGCCTTCTTTGTCTCTTTTGATCTTTGTTGGTTTAAAGTCTGTTTTATCAGAGACTAGGATTGCAACACCTGCTTTTTTTTTTTTTTTTTCCTGTTTGCTTGGTATATCTTCCTCCATCCCTTTATTTTGAGCCTATGTGTGTCTGCACGTGAGATGGGTCTCCTGCATACAGCACACTGATGGGTCTTGACTCTTTATCCAATTTTCCAGTCTGTGTCTTTTAATTGGGGCATTTAGCTCATTTACATTTAAGGTTAATATTGTTATGTGTGAATTTGATCCTGTCATTATAGTGTTAGCTGGTTATTTTGCTCGTTAGTTGATGTAGTTTCTTCCTAGCATTGATGGTCTTTACAATTTGGCATGTTTTTGCAGTGGCTGGTACTGGTTGTTCCTTTCCATGTATAGTGCTTCCTTCAGGAGCTCTTGTAAGGCAGGCCTGGTGGTGACAAAATCCCTCAGCATTTGCTTGTCTGTAAAGAATTTTATTTCTCCTTCACTTATGAAGCTTAGTTCGGCAGATTAGTTTTCTTTTCTTTAAGAATATTGAATACTGGCCCCCATGCTCTTCTGGCTTGTAGAGTTTCTGCTGAGAGATCTGCTGTTAGTCTGATGGGCTTCCCTTTGTGGGTAACCCGACCTTTCTCTCTGGCTGCATTTAATGTTTTTTCTTTCATTTCAACCTTGGTGAATCTTGACAATTATGTGTCTTGGGGTTGCTCTTCTCGAGGAGTATCTTTGTGGCATTCTCTGTATTTCTTGAATTTGAATGTTGGCCTGTCTTGCTAGGTTTGGGAAGTTTTCCTGGATAATATCCTGAAGAGTGTTTTCCAACTTGGTTCCATTCTCCCCATCACTTTCAGGTACACCAATCAGACGTAGATTTGGTCTTTTCACATCGTCCCATATTTCTTGGAGGCTTTGTTTGTTTCTTTTTACTCTTTTTTGTCTATACTTCTCTTCTTGCTTCATTTCATTCATTTGATCTTCAATCACTGATACTGTTTCTTCCACTTGATCGAATTGGCTACTGAAGCTTGTGTATGCATCATGTAGTTCTCTTGCCGTGGCTTTCAGCTCCATGAGGTCATTTAAGGTCTTCTCTACACTGTTTATTCTAGTTCGCCATTTGTCTTATCTTTTTCCAAGGTTTTAGCTTCTTTTGATGGGTTTGAACATCCTCCTTTAGCTCGGAGAAGTTTGTTATTACTGATCTTCTGAAGCCTACTTCTGTCAACTCGTCAAAGTCATTCTCCGTCCAGCTCTGTTCTGTTGCTGGTTAGGAGCCGTGTTCCTTTGAAGGAGAAGAAGAGCTCTGATTTTTAGAATTTTCAGCTTTTCTGCTGTGGTTCCTCCCCATCTTTGTTGTTTTATCTACCTTTGGTCTTTGATGATGGTGACCTACAGATGGGGTTTTGGTGTGGATGTCCTTTTTGTTGATGTTGATGCTATTCCTTTCTGTTTGTTAGTTTTCCTTCTAACACTCAGGACCCTCAGCTGCACGTCTTTTGGAGTTTGCTGGAGGTGAACTCCAGTCCCCGTTTGCCTGGGTATAACCAGTGGAGGGTGCAGAACAGCAAATATTGCAGAACAGCAAATGTTGCTGCCTCATCCTTCCTCTAAAAGCTTCATCTCAGAGGGGCACCCGGCTGAATGAGGTGTCAGTCAGCCCCTACTGGGCGGTGTCTTCCAGTTAGGCTACTTGGGGGTTAGGGACCCACTTAAGAAGGCGGTCTGTGTGTTCTGAGAGCTCAAACTCCATGCTGGGAGAACCACTACTCTCCTCAAAGCTGTCAGACAGGGACATTTAAGTCTGCAGAAGTTTCTGCTGCCTTTTGTTCACCTATGCCCTGCCGCCAGAGGTGGAGTCTACAGAGGCAGGCAGGCCTTGTTGAGCTGCAGTGGGCTTCACCCAGTTTGAGCTTCCGGCCACTTTGTTTACCTACTCAAACCTCAGCAATGGCGGATGCCCCTCCCCCAGCCTCGCTGCCGCCTTGCAGTTTGATCTTGGACTGCTGTGCTAGCAGTGAGCAAGGCTCTGTGGGCATGGTACCCTCTGAGCCAGGCATGGGGTATAATCTCCTGTTGTGCTGTTTGCTAAGACTGTTGGAAAAGCGCAGTATTAGGGTGGGAGTGTCCCGATTTTCCACGTACCGTTGTCTGTCATGGCTTTACTTGGCTAGGAAAGGGAATTCCCTGAACCCTTGCACTTCTCAGGTGAGGCGATGCCTGCCCTGCTTCAGCTCACACTCCGTGGGCTGCACCCACTGTCCAACAAATCCCAGTGGGATGAACCCACTACCTCAGTTGGAAATGCAGAAATCACCCGTCTTCTGTGTCGCTCACGCTGGGAGCTGCAGACTGGAGCTGTTCCTATTCTGCCATCTTGGAACCCAAGCCAACTCTTCAGTTTAATTAGATCCCGTTTGTCAATTCTGGCTTTTGTTGCCATTGCTTTTGGTGTTTTTGTCATGAAGTCTTTGCCCATAGGCCTGTGTTCCTGAATGGTATTGCCTAGGTTTTCTTCTAGGGTTTTTATGATTTTAGGTCTTACGTTTAAGTCTTTAATCCATCTTGAGTTAATTTTTGTATAAGTTGTAAGGAAGGGGTCCAGTTTCAGTTTTCTGCATATGGCTAGCCAGTTTTCCCAACACCATTTATTAAATAGGGAATCCTTTCCCCATTGCTTGTTTTTGTCAGTTTTGTCAGAGATCAGATGGTTGTAGATGTGTGACATTATTTCTGAGGCCTCTGTTCTGTTCCATTGGTCTATATATCTGTTTTGGTACCAGTACCATGCTGTTTTGGTTACTGTAGCCTTGTAGTATAGTTTTGAGGTCAGATAGCATGTTGCCTCCCACTTTGTTTTTCTTGCCCAGGATTGTCTTGGCTATACATGCTCTTTTTTGGTTCCTTATGAAATTCAAAGTAGTTTTTTATAATTCTTTGAAGAAAGTCAAGGGTGGATTGATGGGAGTAGCATTGAGTCTATTAATTACTTTGGCCAGTATGGCCATTTTCACCATACTGGTTCTTCCTATCCATGAGCAGGGAATGTTTTTCCATTTGTTTATGTCCTCTCTTATTTCCTTGACAGTGGTTTGTAGTTTTCCTTGAAGAGGTCTTTCACATCCCTTGTAAGTTGTATTCTTAGGTATTTTATTCTCTTACTGGCAGTTGTGAATGGGAGTTCACTCATGATTTGGCTCTCTGTGTATTATTGGTGTATAGCAATACTTGTGATTTTTGCACATTGAGTTTGTATTCTGAGACTTTGCTGAAGTTGTTTATCAGCTTAAGGAGACTTGGGGCTGAGACGATGGGGTTTTCTAAATATACAATCATGTCATCTTCAAACAGAGACAATTTGACTTCCCCTCTTCCTATTTGAATGCACTTTATTTCTTTCTCTTGCCTGATTGCCTTGGCCAGAACTTCCGATACTATATTGTATAGGAGTGGTGAGAGAGGGCATCCTTGTCTTGTGCCTGTTTTCAAATGGAATGCTTCCAGTTTTTGCCCATTCAGTATGATATTGGCTGTGGGTTTGTCATAAATAGCTCTTATTATTTTGAGATACATTCCATCGATAATGTAGTTTATTGAGTGTTTTTAGAATGAAGCAGTGTTGAATTTTGTCAGAGGCCTTTTCTGCATCTATTGAGATAACCATGTGGTTTTTGTCATTGATTCTGTTTATGTGATGGATTACGTTTCTTGGTTTGTGTATGTTGAACCAGCCTTTCATCCCAGGGATGAAGCCGACTTGATTGTGGTGGATAAGCTTTTTGATGTGCTGCTGGATTCAGTTTGCCAGTATTTTATTGAGGATTTTTGCATTGGTGTTAATCAGGGATATTGGCCTGAAATTTTGTTGTTGTTGTTGTTGTGTCTCTGCCGGGTTTTGGTAATCAAGATGATGCTGGCCTCATAAAATGAGTTAGGGAGGACTCCCTGTTTTTCTATTGTTTGGAATAGTTTCAGAAGAAATGGTACCAGCTCCTCTTTGTACCTCTGGTAGAATTTGGTTGTGAATCCATCTGGTTCTGGGCTTTGATTGGTAGGCTGTTAATTATTGCCTCAGTTTCAGAAGTTGTTATTTGTCTATTCTGGTATTCAACTTCTTTCTGGTTTAGTCTTGGGAGGGTGTATGTGTCAAGGAATTTATCCATTTCTTCCAGATTTTCTAGTTTATTTGCATAGAGGTATTTATATTATTCTCTGATGGTAGTTTTTATTTCTGTGTGATCAGTGGTGATACTCCTTTATCATTTTTTATTGTGTCTATTTGATTCTTCTCTCTCTTCTTCTTTATTAGTCTGGCTAGCGGTCTATCTATTTTGTTAATCTTTTCAAAATACCAGCCCTTGATTCATTGATTTTTTTGATGGGTTTTTTTGTGTCTCTATCTCCTTCAGTTCTGCTCTGATCTTAGTTATTTCTTGTCTTCTGCTAACTTTTGAATTTGCTTGCTCTTGCTTGTCTAGTTCTTTTGATTGTGATGTTAGGGTGTCGATTTAGATCTTTCCTGCTTTCTCCTGTGGGCATTTAGTGCTATAAGTTTCCCTCTAAATGCTGCTTTAGCTGTGTCCCAGAGATTCTGCTACATTGTATCTTTGTTCTCATTGGTTTGAAAAAACTTATTTATTTCTGCCTTAATTACATTATTTACCCAGTAGGCATTCAGGAGCAGATTGTTCAGTTTCCATGTAGTTGTGCAGTTTTGAGTGAGTTTCTTAACCCTGAGTTCTAATTTGATTGCACTGTGGTCTGAGAGACTGTTATGATTTCCATTCTTTTGCATTTACTGAGGAGTGTTTTACTTCCAATTATTTGGTCTATTTTAGAATTAGTGCAATGAGGTGCTGAGAAGAATCTATATTCTGTTGTTTTGGGGTGGAGAGTTCTGTAGATGTCTATTAGGTTTGTTTGGTCCAGAGCTGAGTTCAAGTCCTGAATATCCTTTATAATTTTCTGTCTTGTTGATCTGTCTAATATTGACAATGGGTGGTTAAAGTCTTCCACTATTATTGTGTGGCAGTCTAAGTCTCCTTGTAGGTCTCTAAGAACTTGCTTTATGAATCTGGGTGCTCCTGTGTTGGGTACATGTATACTTAGGATAGTTAGCTCTTCTTGTTGCATTGATCCCTTTACCATTATGTAATTCCCTTCTTTGTCTTTTTTGATCTTTGTTGGTTTAAAGTCTGTTTTATCAGAGACTAGGATTGCAACTCCTGGTTTTTTTTTTTTTTTTGCTTGCTAGGTATTCCTCTTCCCTTTATTTTGAGCCTATGTGTGTCTCTGCACGTGAGATGCGTCACCTAAATACAGCACAGCAATGAGTCTTGACTCTTTATCCAGTTTTCCAATCTGTGTCTT
Organism: Homo sapiens; assembly: GCF_000001405.40. Taxonomy (NCBI): domain Eukaryota; kingdom Metazoa; phylum Chordata; class Mammalia; order Primates; family Hominidae; genus Homo; species Homo sapiens. Next base: position 10,744,101 of record NC_000007.14, on the reverse strand, counting down.
TTAAGGTAACCCATTTACGTTTAAGCTTAATATTGTTATGTGTGAATTTGATCCTGTCATTATGATGCTAGCTGGTTATTTTGCCCATTAGTTGATGCAGTTTCTTCATGGTGTCGATGTTCTTTGCAATTTGGTATGTTTTTGCATTGCCTGGTACCGGTTATTCCTTTCCATGTTTAGTGCTTCCTTCAGGCCCTCTTGTAAGGCAGGCCTGGTGGTGACAAAATCTCTCAGCATTTGCTTGTCTGTCAAGGATTTTATTTCTCCTTCACTTATGAAGCTTAGTGTGGCTGGAAATGAAATTCTGGGTTGAAAATTCTTTTCTTTAAGAATGTTGACTATTGGCCCCCACTGTCTTCTGTCTTGTAGGGTTTCTGCAGAGAGTTCTGCTATTAGTCTGATGAGTGTCCCTTTGTGGGTAACCCAACCTTTCTCTGTGGCTGCCCTTAACATTTTTTCCTTCATTTCAGCCTTGGTGAATTTGATGATTATGTGTCTTGGGTTGCTCTTCTCAAGGAGTATCTTTATGGTTTTCTCTGTATTTCCTGAATTTGAATGTTGGCCTGTCTTGCTAGGTTGGGGAAGTTCTCCTGGATAATATCCTGAAGAGTGTTTTCCAACTTGGTTCCATTCTCCCCATGACTTTCAGGTATGCCAATCAGATGTAGATTTGGTCTTTTCACATAGTCCCATATCTCTTGGAGGCTTTGTTCATTCCTTTTTATTATTTTTTTCTCTAATCTTGTCTTCACGCTTTATTTCATTAAGTTGATCTTCAATCTCTGATCTCCTTTCTTCGTGTTCATCAATTCGGCTATTCATACTTGTGTATGCTTCACGAAGTTCCGTGATGTGCTTTTCAGCTCCATCAGGTCATTTATGTTCTTCTCTTAGCTGGTTATTCTAGTTAGCATTTTCTCTTCTCTTTTTTAAGGTTCTTAGCTTCCTTGCATTGGGTTAAAACATGCTCCTTTAGCTGGGAGGCATTTGTTTTTACCCACCTTCTGAAGCCTACTTCTGTCAATTCATCAAACTCATTCTCCATCCAGTTTTGTTCTCTTGCTGGCAAGGAGTTGTGATCCTTTGGCAGAGAAGAGGCGTTTTTGTTTTTGGAATTTTCAGCCTTTTTGCACTGTTTTTTCCTCATCTTTGTGGATTTATCTACCTTTGTTCTTTGATGTTGGTGATCTTTGGATGGGGTTTTTGTTTAGACATCTTTTTGTTTATGTTGATGCTATTTCTTTCTGTTTGTTAGTTTTGCTTCTGACAGGCCCCTCTGCTGCAGGTCTCCTGGAGTTTGCTGGACGTCCACTCCAGACCCTGTTTGCCTGGGTATCACCAGCAGAGGCTGCAGAACAGCAAAGATTGCTTCCTGTTCTTTCCTCTGGAAGCTTCATCCCAGGGGGGCATCCTCCAGATGCCAGCTAGAGGTGTCCTGTATGAGGTGTCTGTCGACCCCTGCTGGGAGGTGTCTCCCAGTCAGCAGGCACGGGGGTCAGGGACCCACTTGAGGAGGTAGTCTGTCCCTTAGCAGAGCTTCAGCGCTGTTCTGGGAGACCTGCTGCTCTCTTCAGAGCCAGCAGGCAGGAACATTTAAGTCTGCTGCAGCTGCACCCACAGCCGCCCCTTCCCCCAGGTGCTCTGTCCCAGGGAGGTGGGAGTTTTATCTATTAGCCCCTGACTGGAGCTGGTGTCTTTCTTTCAGAGATGCCCTGCCCAGAGAGGAGGAATCTAGAGAGGCAATCTGGCTCCAGCGGCTTTGCTGAGCTGCGATGGACTCTCCCCTGTTCACACTTCCTGGAGGCTTTTTTTACACTGTGAGGGGAAAACCGCCTACTCAAGCCTCAGTAATGGCAGATACCCCTACCCTTACCAAGCTCTAGCATCCCAGGTCGACTTCAGACTGCTGTGCTGGCAGCAAGAATTTCAAGCCAGTGGATCTTAGCTTGCTGGGCTCCTTTGGGGTGGAATCCACTGAGCTAGACCGCTTGGCTCCCTGGCTTCGGCCACTTTTTCAGGGGAGTGAGCGGTTCTGTTTCGTTCACGTTCTGGGTGCCTCTGGGGTATGAGAAAAAACTCCTGCAGCTAGCTTGGTGTCTGCCCAAATGGCCGCCCAGTTTTGTGCTTGAAACGCAGGGCCTTGATTCTGTAGGCACCCGAGGGAATCTCCTAGCCTGCAGGTTGCAAAGACCATGGGAAAAATGTAGTATCTGGGCATGAGGAAAGAAGCGCACCTTTCCTCACTGCACAGTCCCTCACAGCTTCCCTTGGCTAGGGGAGGGAGTTTCCCGACCCCTTGTGCTTCCTGTGTAAGGCAGTGCCCCACCCTGCTTCGGCTCGCCATGGGCTGCACCCACTGTCTAACCAGTCCTAATGAGATGAGATGAGTACCTCAGTTCGAAATGCAGAAATCACCCACCTTCTGCATTGATCTCACTGGGAGCTGAAGACCGGAGCTGTTCCTATTCGGCCATCAGGCCGGCCACCTCCAGGGTTTTATTTTTTAATGGAAATTTGAAGTTACTTTTAAACTTTGCAGTGCCTGGACCTTACTGAACACTGAATGCTGTAGTTCTCTTTTCAAAACCATTAGGTAGCCACTTTAACTTATAGCAATAATAAAATCTGTAGCTATGAGGACCAAACAGTTTCTTTTGAAATGTATAAATTGTCATTACCATGTGAAAACATTTCCTAATTTGTGATAAATTCATAGTGATGTATACACTCCCTCTCACCAAGTTGTCCTCATCATAGATATTTTTGAGATTGTTGAGGCTGTCTTGATATGGAATATATAAACCTCTGACATTTTCAGAGATGGAAGCTGTGCTCATTTCATCATATGCAGACTATGTTCCAGATCTAATCTCAGTAGATTGAATTATTTAGTCCAGTTCTTTACCTCTTTCTAGATCCATAGCTTTGCCAAGGAGACTTTACTGTTGTCCTTCCCCAACCTCACAGTGGCTAGTGTGCACCTTCTTTTCCCTTGCATTGGCAGATAAGCCTTGACATGTGCCAGCTTGCTCTCTTGAGCTTGTACCACCCCCAGGAGCCTGCTAGCCCACGATGAGGGAGAAACACATGAAGCAGAGCTCTTCTAGCTGACCTGAAACTCAAGAGTATTAAAAACAAAAACAATGTTTATTGTTTTATACCACTGAGGTTTTGAGGTTAGTTGTTTTACAGTATCATGTAGCAATAGCTAATGATTTCTGTGGGTTTGAGCAGCTTGTAGGAAAAGGTTAAATTAAAAGCTAATGAATACTAAAAAAGCAATCTCTAAAGAATCAGTCTTGAAATTTATGAATTTTATGTCTAAGTAAAGTTCATCTTATACATTTGATATACCAGAAGTTATAATAATGAACATATGGATAGATCATTGATTCATATTGTCCTATATATTCTAGTGATAAAATAAAAATGTAGAAATAATTAGAATATGAGTGATAGAGTTGCATGTGATAAAATAACCTAAGAAATTTTTTACTTGAATATTCACTTTCCTAAAATTATGCCAGATAGCCAAAAATTAAATTGGCCGTGAGATATCTGGAGTTGCCCCTTCACAATTACTTACATGAGAAAACAGAAAGAGGATTATGTAGGTCTCCCAATTTATGCTTCGAGATAAAAGAAAAATTCTAACTTGTAAGCTTTATTTATTGTTTGTTGCTATTAAATGAAGGACAAGTTATTTTAATCTTCCTTAATATTTTCTATTTTTAGAGAAAGAAGTCTATGAGATTTTTAAATAAGTATCAGCTCTAAATAACAGAGGCATATGAAAAAACAGTTTGATTGCATTGATATTTTCCTCTTGTGTCATTAGTATAAACAGTTTTAAATATATTTACCATTTTAAACCTACTATTCTTAAATCTCTTAGTCACTTTTACTTTGTAAATAAACTAATCTTCTTTGGTAAGTATAACTTCACTGAAAATGGAACTACGTAGGATTGCTAGGATGCAGGCTCAACGAGGGTAGAGATTTTGGTTTTGTTCACTAATATGTTGTTCCCATATCTCAAACACCAACAGGCACATCGCAGTCACTCAATTAAGTATTTGATGAATATAATGGGTCTCTCTTGGACTCACCTGAAGACAGTTTATTGTCTGAACTCACCCTTTGGAGGGCATTATACAATGATGCTCTGCACAATCCAATGTTTATGAGGACTAGCACCAGATTTTACTGATTAAATGACTAAGAGTACCTGAAAAAAGCCTATTTCCTGCCAGTTTTCTGTGTGCACACATGAGAACGTATCAGCCACTGCTATTTTTTTTTCTGAACTTCGAATCCTCCAGAACTCAACAGATAGTTCTCTTTTGCTGAGTAGAGATAGATACCAGCTATTCAGTATGTTACTGATATACTTTCTATCATGTAATCTGCTTATTTTCTTTTCTGTTGCTTCTCCACAATCACAGATAATTTGCCTAGGAGGAGTTTAACTTTTTCCTCAAAGTCTGATTTCATTTCAGAAGAAGAGTGAGTCACTTTGTGAGAGGAATGTGATAGTTGGCCACTTCTCACTACAGTCCATTTAAAGTTTTTTTTTTTTTTTTTTCTTTAATGGAGTCTTGCTTTTGTCCTCCCCCAGGCTGGAGTGCAATAGCATGAATTTGGTTCACTGCACCCTCCGCCTCCTGGGTTCAAGCGATTTTCCTGCCTCAGCCTCCCACGTAGGTGGGATTGCAGGCGCCTGCCACCATGCCCAGCTAATTTTTGTATTTTTAGTAGAGACGGGGTTTCACCATGTTGGCCAGGCTGGTCTTGATCTCCTGACCTCAGGTGATCCACCCTCCTCAGCCTCCCAAAGTGCTGGTATTACAGGCATGAGCCACCACCGCTCCTGGCCGGGTTCTTTTCACCTTCATCTGGCCTCCTTTCCAACCACCTCCATGTTGTTTGTGCATCTTACACGTACCTAAGAAAATATTGCACAGGCTTCATAGCCTAAAGTGTTATTTATACTATGAAGTATAAATAAATGACTATTTTAGCTTTTGTTAATAATAGCAACAATAATATTAGTAAATATTGATTATGTATTATGTACCAAACTCTATCCTAATCACTTTAAATAAATAGCATCATATAATCCTCATAACACCTCAGGAAAATGAGTCTCAGTGAGGTCATGTAACCTTTCTGAAGTCCCACTTAGATTGTCAAGCTGGCACTGGACATGTCTGGAGACTGGCATGTAAACTAAGGCCTTTCTACAGGATGCTATCCAGTAATAATTAATTGGTCACTGTATCCTTTAGCCCAGTGCTGTCCAATAGAACTTTCTGTGATGATGGAAATGTTCTATATCTGTGCTGTCTTACACAGTAACCACTAGCTGCATGGGGCTTTGGTGCACTTGAACTATTACTAGAAAAACTGAAGAGTTATTTTAATTTAAATTTTAATAGTCATAAGTGGCTAGTGGCTACAGTATTAGATAAGCAAAGCTCTAAGCACTATTATACTGTCTTGTATATAAAAACTTGAGTGCATACTTGTTTTAGAGGTTGCATTTAAGTTGGGTATACAAAGATAAAATTGATGCCTTCCCCCCTCAAATGAGATATATATTTTTTTCTTTACTTTTTCCTCCTTTAGGTGACTGTCTTTATCTTAAGCGTATAATATAGCCTTTTGGTTTGAAGGGCTTATTGAATTAGAAATGAAAGAGAGAGGTCACAGGTGATTTGGGGGCACATGGGGCTCTGGGAACCTTATGGACACCATGACTAGGTCAGTGCTGAGAATGATCACATTCAGAAAGCTTTGTTGGTTCAGTTGTTAAATATTGGAGGCCCCTGCCCAAACTAGGAATACTGGCAGCCTTGAACACATGGCTGAATTAATGGAGAAAAAACTGAGTCCAATAAGTATGCTTATATATATGCTAGGCATATATGAATATTAGTTATTTATTCATCTGTTTACTCATTCAATAGATATTATTAGGCATCTACAATATACAAGGCTGGGGATATTCCAGTGACCAAAGTTATTATCCTCATGGAGCTTACATAGTATTGTGAGGCAGGGTGTAGAGATGGTTGTGCAGAGAACGAACAGATAAACAAGTACATAATGAAGTATGTTTGATGATAATTGCTGTAGAAGAAAATACAGTGTAGTAAGAGGGATAAGGAGTACTGGGGATGGAAATTTTAGCAGGTTGGATCTATTTCATATATGGTGGCCAGAGAAGGCCTCATTTTAAGGAAAGAGCTGAAGAAGGTGAGAAAGTGCCATGCAAATATAGGGGTTTATGGCTGGATGTTCTAGGTGAAAAAAGGGCAATGGCAAAAGTCTTGAGTTGGGAGTCTGATTGATATGTCGGAACTACAGAAGATTCCAGTGCATTTGGTGACTGTGAGTGGAATAGGTGAGGTTGATGTGGCAGGAAGGGCAAGAGAAGCTTAGTGAGAGAAATCAAAGAGGTGTAAAGGGGCCATATTTTGTTGGGTCTTGTAAGGATTTTGGCTTTTACCCTAAGTAAATTTGAATAGAGAACTGACATGATCTGAGTTTGGATTGATAATCAGTGAAAAATCTATTCAAAATGAACAAATATAGCTATCCGCATTCCTTTGAGAGCACATCAACTGCTTATATGTCTGATAGATATCTCATGCACTTACTTGATAGTTTAATTTTGGTCCTAAGGAAATAGAAACAGCTACCGCAGTGGTTGGTGCTTGGAGAACTGAAGGGGCATAAAGCCTGTGCTGCTGCTAAGGAAGAGTGAGAACCAAATTCAAGTCCTCAGAGGAAAATATTCTAACAAGAGCTCTCTAAATGGCACAGAAACTCCCCTTCTATGTGTCATTCCTTTGGATCCACAGTTCTTTCTCTTGAGTAGTTTTTGGATTTAGTAAATATTTATTTAGTATTTAATACTTTCTAAGGGTTTTATAAATATGAACTAAATAATTCTCTTAACCTTTGAGATAGGTTCTACTCTTCTAGTTTTTCAGAGAGCAGGCTGAAGCACCAGTTTTTTGGGAGCTCAACGAGGTGTGTAGGGGTCATTAGAGGTAAATTCCTTCCTGAATGGGAGGCTGAACAAGACGGTCTTTAAGGTTCTACAATATCAACTGTTCTGTGATTACAAATGTGGCAGAATTATATGAGATATTTTCTAGGTAAAATAAAAGCCAAAAGATTGGATAAAACATTGCAGCTAGTGTATTAAAATGTGCCTGAAATTCTGATAGGAAATATTACTTTGAGCCATAATCGAAGCTCTAGTCTTCCTAAAGACCCGTTGTTATTACTGTTAATGATTAGCTTTTGACCAGTGAATTATATGAAAATTCAACTGTTTTGCCAACTCTCTCATTAGTTGGTCCTGCTTGCACACCTGTCATAATCCATGCTCCAAAACACAGTATAATTATAGGATTCAAGTGCTGCTCTCTGTCCAAACTCTTTAAGGTGCTAAGCTTAGAGCTTTGAAAATGCCACCACCTTCTCTGAAGCAAAGAAAATATTTCCTAATTGGGGCCTGACTGTTTCAAACAGAATCACTTCAAAAGGAGGCCCACAAAAAATAATAAAGGTTATGACTATGGGTCATAATAAAAATCTCTTAAGAAAATAAAATATCTGAACGTATATAGTACTGAATTTTCTGTCCCAAATGAAGACCTCAGTGATTAGTGTTCTGAGAACATAAGGAAGGCTGGCCTAATGAGAAGAAAACTGAAATGTATTACTTTCCTAAATGCCACTCAAAAGTGTGTAAGGTAGGCTGTAGTAAGTCTCAAAGGACCAGAATATGAGTAAAGAAATTCAATAATTTAAGTCAGTTTTATTGATAGAATTAAATTTATGACAAAATGACCTTTTCCTGTTTCTGGTCTGTGATTGGCTACTACTGAAATGGTAACACTTTCACATTGTCTGGTTTTGGCTCTAACCCTTCTTTTCAATGCCTTTCCTTAATTAACAACCATGATTGCTTTGTTATTGAAAGTGGGTGATGTATTGAGGGGATCTGTGATAGAGACTGCTAATTGTCCCCCCAATATCCAATTTTTCTCTTCTTCCTTTTAGCAATTAACTTCCACAAGTTTTAGTGATCATGTGTTTGCCCTGCTGGTGTCTACTCTTCTGCCTTCTTTGCATCTCAGGGTGACCATGGGACTGTGTTCTATAGAGTCCTAGTGAAATTATGTGTGTTACTTCCAGGTCATACCCTTGAGAGGAAACTTCTTGCTTTCTACTACCTTTCTCTCCTATCTGCAGAGGGAAAGATAGGTATGGGAGCAGTGAATTATCTTCAACTTCAAGCATGTGGATAAAGAAAACATGATAGGTATATCAGCCGGCATTCAGTTAAGGAAATGGAAACCAGTCTAGGTAGCCGAAGCAGAAAGGATGTAATGCAGTGAATTAGGTACTTACAAAATAATCATAAGGGCTGGAAGAATGGAAACCAGAGAACTGCCACAGGTCAATTGGCATTAAGATCAATCACTGTCCCTGTGAGGTGGAGGTCAGGCAGCTGCTGCAGCTCTTGTCCACTCTGCTGTCCCCTTGGCTGCCTCATGCCACAAAAGACTAGTGTTTAGAATGTGGCTTCTGTTAGAAATTGCTTGAAAGCCACCACTGTATCCACTGTTATAAGAAGGGAGTATTTACCTCTCTTCTGCCTTCCAAATCTCTCATGAATGCCTCTCATTGACACAACCAACATTACCTCCTAAACCGTAGCTGGTAGGGAATCTAGAAAGTATATTCATCTGCTTTCTGACCACTGTGATAAGGAGGTGAAAACGTGCTCTAGTTGTCAATAAACAAAATCCAGAACACTAAGAGTTGGTGGCAACAAGATAGAGGGAGTCTGGGTACCAGACCCTGTGGCGTACCCAACCAGTCCAGGACCATACACCAGGAGGTTAGATGAGAAAGAAGATTGTTGCCCTTTAAAATCTGCTGTTATTTTGAGTCTTCTGTCACTCATAGCGGAATCTAATATTAATTCAAGTGTTCTTAGAAATGGGATGCCACAATCAACTTTTGGTGTTGGATTAGTCTAAGTGGCCAGGTAACAGAACTCATTGCAGATTAGAAGTCTGGTGACCCCTATTTTGTCATTGCAAACATTTAAGAACACCATCCCCAAAGGTCTCTTAGAAGGTAGTCCGTGTGCCTGGTGAGGATAAACTTTAAAAAGAGAAAATGGTAAGAATAATTCAAAATGTTGGGTTTTGTTTTTGTTGTTGTTACTGCTTTCAACAAGGCTGTAGAAGTGAGATATTACTTGGGGGTAGAGTTGTCCAGGCTGCAAGCAGAGATAAAGGTAATATTACTATGCTGAGCTCAACCATCTCTGCCTCCAGCTGGAATACAAACTGACGAAGAGTTTGATATTTAAAAACTTGCAGGGTTGAAATAGCTGACTGATTCTATAACCCCAAACAAAGCAGCAACTTTAGCAGAAGGTAAAGCAATTTCCAAGCCAACTGTGATGGCAAAACTAGTGGCAAAGATCAGATCAAAAGTACTGCCTTTTCTCTCAAGCCTACAATGATGAAGTAAATTGTACTTCCCTTTCCATAAATCCATATATTGAAGCCCTAACCTCCAGTATATGATATTTGGAGATTGGACCTTTAAGGAGCTAATCAAAGTTAAATGAGGTCATAAGGGTAGGACCCTAATCCTATAGAACTGATGTCTTTAAAAGAAGAGGCAGAAATACCAGAAATCTCATTTTCTCCATGTGTATACACAGACGTGAGGATACAGCAAGATGGTGACTATCTGTAAGCTAGAAGAGAGGGTACCCGTCAGAAACCAACCCTGCTGACACCTGATCCTGAACTTCCAGCCTCCGGAACTGTGAGAAAATAAATTTCTGTTGTTTTAAGCCACCAAATATGCAGTATTTTGTTATGACAGCCTGAGAAGACTAATACACTGACTTTTAAAAATATCCCCAAGGTAATAACCTCATGGTCTGGCAATGGAAGAGAGAGAAATGGGCAGGACTAGAGCCTAGTAATTAAAAAACAAATTCCTTGGGCCTAAAAACTATGCCTAGATAAGATTTTTGGGTCTAGTCATTTGTACTTGGAATTGACTCAAAGTGAATACTCTTTGAGGGAACTGTAAATGCTGACCTTTGCACATCTCCATCTTAATTAACAAGATGGGACTGCAAAAGCTTATAATTGTTCTATCTCTAATAAAATCCTCAGATACACTAAGCTGCATCAGCAGGAAGCAGGCTGTGAAATCTACACAGCCACCCTAAAGCGTAAACTCTAATGCCTACCTTACATGTGAACATGGGACATAATACAGCAGGAAGAAGCTCCCAAAAGGAAGAATTGAGGTCCAAGACATTGGACAAGGATGTTGCCCCCAGAAAGCAAAACCAAACTTGCTAGATTACCTACTCAAAAAAGGGAGTCTTCATAATTCCTGGTCAGCAGGTTTTGATAATTGTAAAGTACAAGGGACTGCAATGAACTTCCAATTTTCTGCTTTTTCTAGCGGGGAAAGCCAATTATTGCTTCACCGTTGAATACCATGAAAGGCCAAATAATTTGTATTTTATCTTGTATTTTCTTTTCTCCTTTCGAGATGGGGTTCTTACTATGTTGCCCAGGCTGGACTTGAACTCCAGGGCTCAAGTGATCCTCCTGCCTCAACCTCCCGAGTAGCTAGGATTACAGATGTGAACCATACTATCTGGCTTTGTATTTTATTTTGTAAGTTGCTGGGCCATGAGCTATCATATCCAGACTTGATGCATCACATCACCCAGACATCCTAGACTTTGAGCCGGTTGCTGAAATTGGATAGGACTTTGGCACTGGGTCCCTTGGAGAGGGGCAGGATGAGTTCCATGTATGGGAAGAGTAAATCCGTGAGTGATGAAAGAGGCAGAGTTTGTCAGAGCCTGCTGATTGATAGGTGCTCCTTCTGTGATAGAGCCCTCAATTTTTGGCTCAGCATAACCTAACGTGGAGTGCATTTCCCAGTTTACCTTGTTATTGAATGATTTTCTAACTCAGGTCTGGCCAGTGGTATTTAAGTAGAAATGTGATGAAACGTCCTTAAAGATAATGTACATATGTGCTTTATTGCTTCTCTTTCACTTCCTTTATTCTATCACATACTCGTTGACAACCACCATCTTGGGCTATGAGAGCTCATTTTTTTTCCTCATTATTTATGGTTTTTTTTTGTTTGTTTTCTAAAGAATTTTAGAATTGAGAAAAACAGCATGTAAAGCTTCAATGATTAGCCTATTGGCAGCATTGTGAAAGTTAGATTTTGCCAAACTTGCAAAGACAGGCATAATTCAGGATTTTCTCCTGAATTCACAAAAGGAGAAAAAATCATTCATGATGTTTTTCTATTACCTTTAATTTTGGTTGATACAAGCATCTTAGTTTTATGCATTCTGGAAATGAGAGTAAATTTTCACTCAGTCATACAACTAGTATTTTATACCTGCCTTGTAAATACATGACTTTTATTCCATTAGAAAGAAGCAAAATAAATGTAGAGGAAGGATTTACTTATAATGCAAAATACTTCGTTCAGTTGTTTCAATTAAGAAAGAAATAATTCGATGTAACTATCTCAACCCCAGTTTATAGTCTTTATTTTTCTCTGGTTTCCTTTTTGCCTTAAGCAATGAAAAGGATTAATTCTGTGTAGTAATTTAAATAAAATTACTTGCTAAAAATCCTCTGCCAAGATCAGTGAAAGGGGGATTAGTTTTAAGCTGCCCTAATCAGAATATTTTTAAGAGAAAGACTATCAAGGAATAACTATTAACACTCTAGGTACATCCATTTTTATATAATTTGTAATATATGTTTTCTCTTTAAAATTACTTAACAATTATCTAGAGTTCTTGGCCCTAGATTTGAATGGCAAAATATACCACTAAAGATATTGAGTTCTTCAGTTTGTATGCTAGTATTCTATATCATTGTATAGAATATATTGTCTTTGGGTAAAACCAACTCATGAATATTATTAGTAAGTTCCTTTCATATTTCCATATTTCTTCACTGAGCTATTTTGGAGGTGATACTAACAGTTATGATTTGCTTTCTTTCATCCCAGTGCTGGCAAAAGTAGCCCAGATGCTCCTCATATTTGAAAGTGGCTTTGGGGATATATTAACCATAGTTGTGATAGAATATACTTGAGTTGTACAGAGTTGTGTAGAGTTGTATAGAGTTGAGTTGAGACTCAAGTGTATTCTATCCAGAGAGGAAAACAGAATAGGTAGGAAATAACGATACTTGGAACAGGGAATCAGCACAGAGATATCTTCAGTATATTTCTGGATTTATCCAGCAATTTCCCAAAGAAAACTCAAAATGTCAGAATATGTGTGGTTAAAAAAATAGTATTTGTGTTAGGCATTCTTGTGTTGCTACAAAGAAATACCTGAGGCTGGGTAATTTAGCATGTGACCCTGGTGAGGGACTCAGGAAGTTTGCAATCATGGCAGAAGGTGAAGGTGAAGCAGCCATGTCGCATGGCGAGAGAGGGAGCAAGAGAGCCAGGTGGTGGTGTAGGGGTAGACTTTTAAATGAGATCTCACATTAAGTGAGTGAGAACTCACTTATCACCAAGAGGATTGTGCTAAATCATTCGTGAGGGATCCACCCCCATGAGCTAATCATCTCCCACCAGGCCCCACCTCCAACATTGAAGATTACTTTTCAACATGAAATTTGGAGAGGACAACCATCCAAACCATATCAATGTTTCTTCTCTTATCCTTTAGGGTTTATGTCTTGAAACCACTAGTTTTAACATTTCGTGTCCCTATTCTCTACCTATCATATCACAATTGGCTCAGGGCTGTCTTTTTTTTTTTTTTTTAATCATTTACACCAAAGCTGAAACAGATCTCATGATTCCATGCCTCTCAATAGAGTCATATAAATTATTAGGCTCTATGTGTGTATTAGGCTACAGGGGCATGAGAATAGGTCTAGTCAGAAGAGGCCTAGAGGTATATTCAGGAAGGGCAATGTCTAGTCTTGAGAGCTGAAAAAAAATGAATACAGAATTCAGAGGCTGGGAAGCCAGAAGGAGTCATCAACTTCAATACTGCACATACAAGGCAAGCTCTTATTCTGTGGCAGGTGCTGCATGCTTTTTACCTTATTTTATATTATTTTCTGGGTGTTCTCTAAAAGGACTTTAGAGACTGCAGACAAATCCTCTCTGGCTAAGACAAGAATGGAATATTTAGTTACACAGAGATCTTCAGGGCATGTTCTAGCAGCTACTAAAAACAAAGGAGAATATCTGGGGTGAGGAATTTATTTTTGGAATTTCTGTCTGTTTGCAAATAACACATACTAAATGATTTACCTTATTAATCCCAGAATGAATAATATTCTTTCATACTTTTGGAATTTTCATTTCCCTATTATGCATTTTGACAATTTTCTGTTCATAGGCGTAAACATATGAGGCTGAGAGTATTAAAGAAATTGTGTTTTGGCCGGGCGTGGTAGCTCATGCTTGTAATCCCAGCACTTTGGGAGGCTGAGGTGGGCAGATCACGAGGTCAGGAGATTGAAACCATCTTGGCCAACATGGTGTAACCCCGTCCCTACTAAAAATACAAAAATTAGCTGGGCGTGGTGGTGCGTGCCTGTAATCTCAGCTACTCGGGAGGCAGGAGGTTGCAGTGAGCCGAGATTGTGCCATTGCACTCCAGCCTGGTGACAGAATGAGACTCTGTCTCAAAAAAAAAAAAATTGTGTTTCTATAGTATGAATTTGATATCTTTTCTTAGATTTTGGCTTTTCACCAACTGCATATTTCTTACAATGGTTGTAGAAAAGACATTCTACCTTTTAGAGTACTTGTGTCATGCATTTGCTTGTGGTTTTAATCAGCAGGAAGAGGGGAACTATACCTTTAGAAACACATTTCAGTAGAGGAAAGTAAGCTATTATTTATCCAAGTTTCTTTTAATTGATGATTGAGAAGTCATTTAAGCTGATTTCAGCCCTTTACTTTGCACTGTAAGCAGAGCTCATGGCTATGACTCTGTAATCTTGTTCTCTGGCAGTGAGTTAGGAAGAGAGCCCTGGTACCCTGAGGTGGGCCACTTAACCTTTAAAGGCTTTCGGTTTCTCATTGATAAAATGAAGGTAATAGTAGCACTTACCTCTTAGTATAATTGGGAGAATTGAGTTAATACATCTAAAATGCTTAAAAGGGTTGATAATACATACTAAGCACTCAAATGTTTTCTGTTCTTAAAATCTTACAAAAACCCTGTTCATTGGGGTAGTGTCAGCTTCATTTTATAGACGAGGAGACTGACATACAAGAAAATTTAAATGACTTATTCAAGCATTACCACTATTAGGTATGAAATCCAGGCCTTTGGTTTTTTGACTCCAATTTTTCAAATGATCCAATATCTTAATGTGCTCCTTATTAATTTTAAAACTCAGCTAGAAATACTTTGCAAATGCCAATCAATAATTTGTTTTTATATTATACTTTTCTAGTTTCATATAAACTATTCAACAAAAACCAAATTTTTTTTTATAAACAGACTCCTATTTCCTACATTGGTGGTAGTTAAAATGAAATAACTACTTTGGAGGCAGTATTTATATTAAAATAAAATACTGTGGTTTGTCATAATAATCTCATAAATACCTCAAGATTAGCCAGTCAGATTTTAAAAACACAATTGAATTTTTATGCATCTATGAATAAAAATAGTACTATGCGTTATTCAAACTTCTCCTATAGATAAAAAGGAAATTCTGAAGTACAGGTGATTTTGTTCCTAACATTGTGATTTATGTATATCACCTGAGCAATATCAATAAAAAATGACCTAAGCTCTGAGCCTTCACATTTTTGAAACAAGTAAATACACTTACATGATACAGGCACCCAAATAAACTTCCAATTAATAATCTTCTTAGCTGTGCTACCAAAAGTCTAGGAGTTTTTACAAAAAACTCTTGCTTACATATAAATGAGAAGCCAGTAGGTGACTGTCACAGTTGGTAAAATGGGACCATCCAGCAGAATCACCGGGCAATTGACATTTACTGTGATCTCATTATGCTTGGAATACAGAAAACGTCATGACAGGCATGATTCTTTTCTTAAATCTACTCGGAGCAGAATATAAAGGAAAATATTAAAGTATTTCTAAAGCAAGAAATATTTTTGAGATGTTTTGAAAATGGGTGTCTTGATTTCACATTAAATGAAACAGTAAGTGGAGGTGAAATTAATCAAGGAAAGTGAGGGAGTGAAGTCTTGAACCAGGTTTAGAATAATAGAAACATCTTCCATTTATGAACTCTATTTTTGACAATAGATGAATGGAAAGATCTTTTAAAAGTGTGACTTGGGAAAAAAATTTTGTAGATATTAGCATTTCTTTATCTGCTTTACGTTTTTTTTTCCCAGAAAAATTTCAGCTTTTATTTTTGATACGGGAGTACATGAGCAGATTTCTTACATAGGAATGTTTCATGATGCCGAGGTTTGGAGTAAGGATCCCACCACCCTGGTAGTGAGCTAAGCATTGAGCACACATGGACATAAATATGGGAACAATAGATACTGTGAACTACTAGTGGGTGGAGGGAAGGGAGGTGGGTTAAACAACTATCTATCAGGTACTATGCTTTATGTTTTATTAAATATAAGAAACTGTGGTTTGTCTTTCCCTTTAGAATGTGACCTACTTGAAGGCAGGGATCATGTCTTTAGCCCCAGCATCTAGCACAGTGCCAAGTACAAATTGAAAACTAAAGAAATATTTGTGGAATTGGTTGTTCAGTCTCAATCAGCTCAATTATACCAGATGTGGTACAAGATAAATTGTTTATATGGTGTGCATGCATAGGTTGTGTGTATGTATGTTTGGGGACACTTTTATAACAAGTGGGATACTGCGGGTTGTAGGGTCAGAGAACAAAATTCTAGTCATACAAATGGTACTTTGGGAACTAAAGAAAGCTTGACTTGTGCCCTAATGTTTTATTTCCTTCACTCAATTCCGAAATCCTCACTCCACATTGATGGTGCAGTGGGGACAAGATGAACTGAGAAATATCACTACGTAAATTATGATTGGAGAAAGTCTTGACCTGTATCTTAAAAGACACTTGGGAGTGGAAGAGTGGCCAGTGCAGACTGTGAGGCACAGGTGTTCCCTGCTCTGCGCTGGCAGTAGACCGTTTCTGACAGGCTGCCGCATTGGGCACAACCTGAGGCTCCCAGGTGGTCTTCAAGGACAGCCTGCACTGCAGCCAACTCATTCTGCTGAGGTCAAGGAGAGAGCTTGGGCACACAACCACGGATCCACAGCAGGTAGAAGTGAATTATTAGAGGGCAAGAGTTGGCATTTGGGAAAATGATTCCTGACTAGTGATAAAGAAATGATTAATTCTCTCAGGACAGCTGTGCTGTATTTAATTCTACTTTAAGGTCAGTGGGAACTTTGAATGAATATTAAAGAGGAAAGATTTTATTGCTAACACTTTAATATAATGTTTACTTAAACATTTAGCATATGAATGAATCTCTGCACCCAGAGATATACAACTTCTATGGCAGCTCACTACCTATGTTTTCTTTGAAATCTTAACAAAGACCATGGACAGACACAAATTAAGACAGTCATCAGGATGGTGACCCCTGCATCTTAACTTGTGCTGGGTTCTACAACTTCAGGCTATTGAAAGCCTGTGGGAATTATTAAACCTGGGCCAGACATTCCAGCCTGGCCTGGTACAAAAAGAACTTTAGCCCAGTGTTCCAATAAGAATGTGAGGTTACATCATTACCTCCATGCTTACTCTCCTTCCTACCCTGTGATGCCTCTTAATATGCAAGAGCATCCACATGACCTACTCTGACTTTTAATCGCATCCTCAAAATCTCTGGGACTTGTCTTCTCTCCTTCATCCCCAAACAGGTATATACACCGCTAATCCCTTTGCCTACCTCCTATGCTTTGTTGTTTGTAAATTTTGTTTTTTGATACACAAACTTTACATCTTTAAGCTCTTCCAATAATTGCCCCTCATCTATGCCTCACACAAATGACACTGTGATTAATATTTTTCACATTTTGCTGACTCTGAAATAGGAATACATATTAAATTCATGCCATTTTACAATTACGACTGGCAACTTTAAAAAGTACTTTCTTTTTTTTTTTTTGAGACGGAGTCTTACTGTGTCACCCAGACTGGAGTGCAGTGGTGTGATCTCGGCTCACTACAACCTCTGCCTCCCGGGTTCAAGTGATTCTCCTGCCTCAGCCTCCAGAGTAGCTGGGACTACAGGCACCTGCCACCACACTCGGCTAATTTTTTTTTTTTTGTATTTTTAGTAGAGACGGGATTTCACCATGTTGGCGAGGCTGGTCTTGAACTCCTGACCTCAAGTGATCTACTCACCTTGGCCTCCCAAAGTGTTGGGATTACAGGCATGAGCCATTGCACCAAGCCAAAAAGTACTTAATAGATTTAATATATTTCTGTTTAGTAGAAATAGAAACACATTACTTTATGTATAAAGTAATAGTGTATGTTAGCCCTGAGGGCATCATATATTAGATGACATGTGGTAGTTCTCTTGAAGAAAATCCTCTTATTACCTGTCTTTGAGTGAAGTCCTTTCACTTTTCCACATGGCTCCCAGTGTGCCTTGACTCCTTTCTGATGAGTTCAATTTCTGCTTTAAGCTCTACAGAACTCTGTGTAGACCATTATCACCCTAAAGAATTATAGGACATTGTAAGGATTTACTTATAAATCTGGTTGCAACTGTACAGTAAGTGTTGATTTACATCTATGAGCCATTTCTTATTGACCCATTTATTGTCTCTTAAATAAAATGAGGTTTAATAAAATTGGGAGAAACAAAAACGTATATTGCAAAAGTCAGTGACTTGAGAAATGATATGGCACTGAGTGAAAAAGTATTCATTTTAATAAATGTTACCAGCAAAACAACAACAACAAAAAACCCCAAACTCAAAAAACTAAAACAATAAATGTTATCAGCAGTTGTCTTTATTACTCATCATGCCTCTTAGGTGAGCACAGTTGAGTAGAATTGTATCTGTTGTATTTGTCATTATGAATAAAAAAATTAATCTGCATAGTTCTGATAATATCTTGCATATACATTATTGGTTAAATTCCAATGGTAGTCATATAAGAATTTACTTTGCACATTTATGTTGGTAAGCCTGATGAATTTACTCTTTTGTTTTCTGTTTTTTAATTCTGATAATTCTTAAAACAGTCTTGGGTTTGCTAAATCACTGTCAGTATATGTTAAGAGGAAGCTTAGAAGTCAATGCTATAATCCTTTTGGAAGACCTATTGAAATTTACTATGAAATCACACTTTTAATTATCAGGCTCTCTTTTCATCTTCTTCAGTGCCCTGCTGGGGTGATTGAAACATGAAACTTATTTTAATGAGAATGTTTGTATATGGAATATGAAACAAATTTTTAGATGGATATTTATATGAACCATTATATTTATCAATGGAAATACTGCTATCGTTTAAATGTCCCCTCTAAAACTCATGTTGAAATTTAATTGCCATTGTAACAGTGTTGAGAAGTGGGACTTTTAGGAGGCAATTAATGCTATTCCTGTGGGAGTTGGTTAGTTACTAAGAGAGTCTGGACCCTCTTTTCTCTTTGTCTCCCTTGCTTACCTCTGCCTTTTGCATTCCACCATGGGATGATCCTAGTCAGAGGCTGGCACCATGCTCTTGGACCTCCTAGCCTCCAGAACTATGAGCCAAATAAATCTCTTTTCTTTCTGAATTACTCAGTTTGTGGTATTCTGTTATAGCAGCAGAAAGCAGATGAAGACAAATACTTTTATTATAAAATTTCACACTAACTGTACATGGCAAGAATTAGAAAACTATATGAATCTGTAAAAATACTTCCTTGGAAATCAATGAATATTTGGATGGAGGAATATGTATTCATATTTTTGGCTTTGTTCAAAACCAAATGATTTGTTAAAACATATCATTGAAATGTCTGTATACCAATTTTGGGAAGCATGAAACCTTTCTCTGTGATTGGCCAACTTTCCATGTACCCTTAAAACCCAAAAATACTATCAATTATGTCAATAATAAATATTTATATTTCTGAAGTATAACATGAAGTTAAGTGTGTTTTTTCCTATACTTTTTTTTTTTGCAAGTGATGAAATGATGGCTTTTCCCATTCTAGAATGTTTGATGTCATCCAGAATGTTGTTGAGTCTCTGTTTTTCTACCCTCATCATTCTCTGTGGGTCACATCTCTGGGTCCAGTGATCTAGAAAGTGAGATCTGTAGTATTCATGACTGAACAGTTTATAATCCCTTGGCAGCCACTCTGTCTCGAAACAAATGGAAACTTTGTGACATCATATATGCTCAGACACATTTTCACAGAAGTTGGCACATCTTTCTGACTAGACCCAGTTATAAGTTGAATTGTACAAGTTAGGAAAAATTTGTTAACTCCAGAAAGATGAAAGAGAGTGCTGTATTAATTTCCTTGGGGCTACTGCTGTTACAATTCATGATTCTTTTAAAGTATAGGATCTGGAGGCTAACCATTTTTGAATGCAGAACATTTTTTTCTGAATTAGTGTTGTGTTTTCAACATTTTATATTTTTAAGAGGTTACCCAGGCTTTTGCAATATTTATTTGTTATAATTACATTTCTAATTTTCAGTTCTTTTTTCTTTTGAAATTAAATGTATTCTTTATTTAGTATGATTATGCGGTGCTTCATTTTTCTTTCAAAGAATGAAATAAATTCTTTTCTGTCTAGCTCATAGGCACAAATATATAGAGATAAAGAGTTTTATTTGGTAAGTTTTACACATCAGGTTTATATTCAACCCAGGCCTGAAATGATCAAAATGTGTTATTGACTGATAGTTGTTTCAGTGTCCTACAAGAAATATTGATAAAGTCAGACCAGCTCTTACTTTAATGGTATGTAGAGTGACAAAGCAAAAATATTGAAATGTTGGCTTCAGTTTGATGTCTTGAAAGGAAAAACATTGTAATGACTTTCTATTTCACTTCCCATATGGAGATGTGATCCATTCAGGTCAGGGCTCAGGGCTGGTTCACGGGGAGCTCCAAGGTCACCTCATGACTTGGGTCAGTGAAAATATGAATTGACTCTTTATTTCAGTCACTGGAGAAAAAAGAAATAATTTAAGTGCAGGAGATTTGCAAATAATTAAGAAATTTCTTAGTCCCACATGGTACATACACACACACACATGCACACACACACACATATTTTGTGTGTGTGTGTATGTGAGAGAGAGAGAGAGAGAGAGAGGGAAAGAGAAAGAGAGAGAAAGAGAGAGAGAGAGAGAGACAGACAGACAGACAGACAGACAGAGTCTCATTCTGTCACCCAGGCTGGAGTGCAGTGGTGTGATCTTGGCTCCTGCAACCTCTGCCTCCTGGGTTGAAGCAGTTCTTGTGGCTCAGCCTCCCAAGAAGCTGGGATTACAGGTGTGTGCCACCATGCCTGGCTAATGTTTTTGTATTTTTAGTAGAGACAGGGTTTCGCCATGTTGGCCAGGCTGGTCTCAAACTCCTGGCTTCCAGTAATCCACCCGCCTTGGCCTCCCAAAGTGCTGGGATTACAGACGTGAGCCACCACATCTGGGCCTCCCATCAATATTTATTCTCAGAAAGAAATAGTCACACTTGTCAGGTCATGTTTACCTGGTCACCCCCAGACACTCATATTTTAATTTTTACCCACTGGATAATTTTCATATTGCTTCCCCAATTTGTACTGCCTGTTTCTGTCCCCTCCAAATTCACACATTGAAGCTCTAGCCTTCAGTGTGACGTTATTTGGAGGAGGAGTTTTGGGGATGATTAGGTTTTAATTAGGTCATGAGGGTGGGATCCTCATGATAGGATTAATGCTCTTAAAAGAAGAGGAAGAGAAGGAGAATTTCCTACAAGCCAGGAAGACCCTCACCAGGAACCACATCTTCCAGCACCCACACTGTGGAACTTCTCAGCCTCAAGAATTGTGAGAAATAAATTTCTGTTGTTTAATACACCTAGTTCTTTGGTATTTTGTTGTAGCAGCCCCAGCAGACTAAGACAATGTTGACATCTATTGTCCATTGAAAAGCACCTTTACCCCACATTCTTGATTGTGTCTTTTCCTCAATGCTTTCAAATAGCCGGATTAGCACAAATCTTACATAATTAACCCATTAGACATTCAATATCATAGACTAAATAATATTTGGCACTAAAGTCTTACTCATTTTAAACATATTTTATGCTTCTAAAGATTTTTAAATGTAGGAAACATACCAAATTTTATATATTTTTTCTTTCCTGGGCAGTAAAATAGAAAGTGATGTGTATTATCTGCATCAGCTGGCACTTTTTACAAAGGGATTTTAATTGTCTGGATGAGATTTTTTTCAATTTAAGGATTAACATCTCAATGCTATTTTAAATGATGTAAAAAAATCTGGACGTGCTTTTCAAAAAGCAGTTTATTTCTTGGTACTGACTTAATAAAAATAAAGGTGAGGTGTTTTAGTCCTATTAACATATATTTGAAAGAGATATGCAGATTAAGATTTACGTCTACTGACATTGATGCTCTAGGAAGAGAAAAACTGATCCTCATCTCATCATATGTGTAGTGATGTAGGCCCTGAAATCTCAAACTAAGATGAAAACAGCAATCCCGGTCTTCAAGCACACTTTGATCTTTGCTCTCAGCAGTGCTAAACTTCACTGTTGCCTCACGTGAAGAAAAAAGAAAAAGAAAAGAAAGGGAAATAGCTTAATACAAAAGTTAATTTGTATTAAATCATTTGCCACTTTGCC
The DNA here is from genome assembly GCF_000001405.40 of Homo sapiens. Taxonomy (NCBI): domain Eukaryota; kingdom Metazoa; phylum Chordata; class Mammalia; order Primates; family Hominidae; genus Homo; species Homo sapiens. Next base: position 10,722,165 of record NC_000007.14, on the reverse strand, counting down.
GGTTTTTTTGCAACCTAAATTTTACATCCTCCATGTATTTTCTTTATGCATTAAAATGAAAAAATAAAACTTGATTTGTAAAGCACAGAAATAATGACAGCAAATGGGGATTTTTTATTTGTTCTTTGGTGTGAATTGGCATAGGCATTATGATGAAGTTAAAACGCAGAGGTTAATTGAAAAATGAGATAAACAAAGCCCCTTGAAGGTCTCTGAATAATTTCGCCTGGCAGCATTGACAGTCTACAACCATCAGGCACTAAAACCTACTCCGAACTGCTGGAGATTAAAAAAAAGTAGCTAAAGTTAATTGTCTTTCTGTTCCTTCCACCTCATTTCAGCCCAATTATAACTGGGAAAAGTCATTCTGCCTAATTTGCATTAATGCACATCCATGGAAAAATAGCTTAGACAGTGAATTCGATTTTTAAAAAATATTATGGACATATTTAAAATACCTAGCACAATTCCCAAATGTAAAATTCCTTGTGAAATTCCTGGATGACAGTTCTCAAATTCTCCTAAGATGCCTTTAAATTATAGGTGTTAAGAAAAATAGTTCACATATTGAGGGCTTATGAAATGCCAGAGCCTACCTTAAGGGCTGCATGGGGATTACTTAATTTAATCTGCACAACAACTCCATGATGTGGACCGTTTTACTGTCCCCACTTCAAAGATGAGAAAGCAGAGGTTTAGAGAGGTTAAGTAGCATATTCAAGGTCATGTAGCAGAGCTGAAATTTTAACTTAACGCAGTCTAACGTCAAATTCCTTGATATTATTGTAGATAGATGATACTTTATTATTATTACACTTATTTTGATTTCAATTTCATAGGTAAGTATCAATTAAACTGCCATTTCTTGAAGACAATATGAAGAGAGAAAAACTATCAGTACAGTGTGGTATTATTAGTTCATTTACTCAGGTTTCTTTCATGGCAACTTTACTAGGAAGCTCATGTTCTCATTTCTATTATTAAATGGAATCATATTTATGCTACTCCTGTTCAATAGTAAAATAGCCGCAAATCTGAAGAATGTTAGCCGTTTTATCTCTAGTGTAAAATCAAGCTAAGAGGTGTCAGTATTTTCAAGGGAATATTTTTTGTTTTAATAGTCATGCAACAGATATGATCCCAGTTAGAAAATTAGGTGTCTCCAGATATGCCTCATGTCTTGTTTTTTCATGGAATGGCATAGAAATATAATTTTTATTCCTGTTAATTGATAGACTTGGAGCAGAAGCTGAATCTGTTCAAAATCATTTATATTAATAGGTGCACTTATCCACAGAGGTCTTTATTTTGAAAGTGCTAGGTTTGTAGCCCCCTTTTGTGCCTGTTTCTGGTGCTAAAGTGTTCTTAATGATGAGGAGCATCTGGTTGAAAACTATTGTTTCTCATTAAAAGGACATGTCTCTGAAGCTTTTGGGAATTCTTTGTGCTGAACAGTGCAGACTGAGCATTTTGCTCTTTTCATAATTTGTAAATGTGTGTTGTTGCTACTGCTTCTAGCCTAAGGTGCATGCTTGCTTATTGCTGAGCTTCTGAGCATCTAAATATGAGGTGAGAATGCAATCACTGACTGCATGTCCTTCTTTTGTTTGGCTGGTATTTTGGTTTCTCTGCCTTTTCTGTTTTCTGTCATCAGTAAATATTGTGTAATGATATATGGTAATGATCTAAACCAACAATCACTCGGAGTGATTTTGGATATTCTGCATATTTAAATTCATTCTTAGAATGGTGGCTTCTTGACTGATGGCAGGTTAACTCAAGAGATGGAAAACTGAACTGGGAGTACAGATTCCTGTTTGAGTTGTAAATCTTCTTGGACATTAATTTCCTCATCACTGAAAAGAGGAGAATTATTTCCTGGTTGCTTCCATGAGGCTCTCATGAGCTTCTATCCAGGCACTAGGGGGAGTTTGGCTTACTAAATCAGTCTTGCCAATCATTAGAAAAATTTCTATTTGGCCTATACAGCATGTATTACCATTGGCCACATATAACTATACCATCTTGTCCTCTTAGATTTTGACCTTCTCTGCCAGCCTCTTAGATGAAAAGAACAGTGAAATCTGCCTAAATGAAGCATATTGTCTTTCCCCACAAACTGAATCATGTGAAAACGAGACTGAGAGAAAGATAGAGAGAAAGACAAAGAGAGAGATAGATAATATGAGAGAGAGGTGTACAAGAAAGTACACTTGTTCCTTGTAGGGCCATTGGATTTGGTTCCAGGCACTTGTATTTATTTTTGCCCTTAGGCCTGAGGACTGGGGTCAATTTTCATTTCTGTTGCTCCTCAAGAAGGAAAACCTTCAAATCAGAAGAGTTAATATGACTTCTTCATTAAGAAGAGAAAAACAAATTACTTAGAGTTGAAAACAGTACATTGTTTGCAGTTAAAAACAGTGGGAGGGAAGGGAAATGTGCCTTTATTCATGATAAATGCAAATTAAATCTCAGCCTGTGATAGCTATAGTAGCTGATTTTCAGAGAAACGGGTTTCCAATAAGAAAAGCAGTGTTAGATATAAAAGGGCAGATAGTAGAAGTGGAAACATAATTTCCTGTATAAAACACATATCAATCCCTAGAATACAGTTATTACCGTTTTTATTTTGTTGTTGTTTTTTAGGCATGTCTTGGGGCTGCCATGATAGTTTTCTCTACACATAATTGTGAGTAATTGTATACATAATTCTGTACAAATAGTTGTACATATAATTGCACACATAATTGTGAATTTGTTACACAGTAATTTTGTACACATAATTGTATACATATTTGCACACATAATTATGAGTTTGTTAGGATGAAATAAGTAAAGTGCTTTTCCTTCTGAGAGAAATTCCATGCATGAAAAAGAGTCTTAAGGGATTCATTAGGAGATGACACAAACTGGAAGGGATGGGGGCATAAGATAGATAAGAAAAAATAGTTGGGACCACCCAGAGATTGGGTTGACAGGAACAAAGCATGGCTGCTGAATAGTGACGAATTGGCTGAGGAGGGGGTCTTTGGGAAGGGTCAGAAAAGTATTCGGATTATTTTAAATGCGAAATAGTTGTCTGAATTGTTCTAAAGTCTGAGCCTGACCTTGCTCCTCTTCTGTTAGGTCACTTTATTAACTCTACTTTTTTGTTTCTTGTTTTCCATTTTCTTTAAGCAAGTTATATTTGGCTCCCTCATATCTGAAATTGAGAAATGTTAGTTCTCTGAACTAACCAACCAGCCTCATCTCAAAATGCGTTGTTCATTTCCTGTCATGATTTCTTTAAAAACAATATGTTTATTAGAGGGGTTACTGGCTATCTTAGCTCTTTATTTTAAAAGGTGGTAAGTAGGCCGGGTGCAGTTGCTCATGCCTGTAATCCCACCATTTTGGAAAGGCGAGATGGAAGGATCACTTGAAACCAGGAGTTCAAGACCAACCTGGGCACCATAGCAAGACTGACTCCAAAAAAAAAAAAAAAAAGGGAAAAAGGGTGTTAAGTCACTTAGAGCATGCTGTGTGTAAATTTCTGCATCTCCATTTACCCATTGTTTGTTCATCCTCCCATTTAGGAGAATATAGATCTCCCTGAAAGGGGTGCTTCATAGAATTTGAAATAAGCCATGGCGATTACATATGTTGAAACTCTGTGTTTACTAAAAATAAAAATATGAAGTAATGTAGAAATAGAGATTCAAAAATGGTGGTGAATTTTAAATGTTTATTTTAAACAAATTCACACTTAAAAATATAATGCATTGTTCAAATGGTAATTATAGAATTTATGAAGATACGCAGGTGTTGGTATAGTATATGTAGGTTGTGTGGTTGAAGATTGGACACAAGTTTAAATTCTATTGTGAGTATCTCTGTGATTGTCCATATAGCCTCATTCAGAGACATGGTTGAAGTCTAAAGTTGAGTCCCTTTGTGTGAAGGCCAGGGCCAAATGGCGCTTGTTATCCATCCATGAATTTGGCCCTACCTGGGACAAATCAGACGCTTCGCAAGAAGAACAAAGCTTGATCAGGATTTTGAAGTTTTATTCAGGAAAGAGGGAAGAGTGTTAGGTCTTACATAGTCAGCAATGGTAGCAGGAAGGCCTGGACTTTTGGGGAACCTCAGTAGCCAGCGGCCAGCAATGACATGTAGTCCCTACTGCGTGTGGCTGTGGGACGCAAACGGGAAGCAGAAGCAAGCTAAAGGCACATTTACTTACAAAGCAGTATTGGATTAGTGGTCAAAATACCCTAATTCAAATCCATTGGTAGTCAACCCAGTTTATCTATCTGAACTTCAATTTTTTCATCTGTATAGAGGAAATAGTAATTTCTATCCTTTCTAACTCTTGGGGTGGCTTGTTGTGAGTAAAACAATGTGTCTGAAACTGTGTTGTAAATACAATGTCATATATATATGCTCTCAAGTGGATGAATAGCAGTTCAAAAATCAGATAACATCCTTATCATCTCAAGGCAAAGAAGAGCAGTGTATCCACAGCTTGTGATCTTTTACTGTGAGGGCTGACAGTAAATAATTGAAGATTAAAAAAAAGTTAAAACCTAGTCCTCTTCTGCCTCTTTTCTTTGCTTCAGTAAGAGTTTTGTAGAATATAACAGGACCTAGTCTGAAAGAACATGCAAGGACACTTAAATAGGAATATAATGGTTTAAAAATGAAACATGAAAACTAGCTTTCCTTTGCCTTTTAATTCCTATATTTATTGCCCTGTGCTGCTTCTATTAGCATTGATAATTAAAGCAGTATAAGGAATGTCTTGCATTTGATGTTAATAGTGTCATGCTGGCTGCTGCAGGACCCTGGGCCTGATCTTTATCCCCTTTGCAGGTAAATCTTTGAGCTCACCTTTAGAAAGCACATTAAACATTCTGGAAGAGAATCTTTAAACTTGTGGATTCTCCAGTGATCTCTTAAGTATCAGAAGCTCACATTAGAGGACGACATCTTATAATCTTCTGACCACTGCCTGACCTATGTTAGCAAAAGAATGGTATAAATAGCCTTAGGATATGGATATCCCACGTCTTAATTTTGCTTTGAATTGACCTTAGGGATCCACTGAGGCCATAAAGAAAAATATCAGTATGCCAGAACTATGAAGTTCCACGCTTATTAACAATAGTGGCAATAAACTTTATTTTTGTAATATTTTATCTAATTAGTGTATGACCAAAAAATCACCATTTAAGAGATGGTAAATAAAATATATATTTAGATTTCTACTTTCTCACTATTTAGTTCATTTACATTATATATTTCTATGACACTTTGCAGATTTCTGTTAGTTTGTTTAGTTATATTACATTTAAACTCTAGACTTTATTCAATTTTTCCACTAATGTCCTTTTTCTGATCCAAGGTCCCATTCGGGATACCACATTACATTTAGTCATATGGCTCCTCAGACTCCTCTGGTCTGTGACAGTTCTTTTCTTCTTGATCATGATCTTGACAGTTTTGAGGAGTATTGGTCAGGCATTTAGTAGCACAGATCTCAATTTGGTCTTTCTAATATTCTTATTATGGTTAGACTAGGGTTATTTTATCCTTTGACTTACTTTTTTCAGCTTAATTCAACTATCACCTCCTTTCTGCCAAACCAATTTTATGTGATAACTGTTGTCTCCTGTATTCGTTTTCTATTGCCACATCACAATTACCACAAAATTAGTGGCTTAAAATAGCAGACCTTTGTCAGCTCCAGTTCTGTAGTTTAGAAGTCCAGGTAGGATTAATTGGGTCCTCTTTTGCTCAGGGTCTCATAAGCTAAAACCAGGGTTGGCTGGGCTACGTTGTTGGAGGCTCTGGGGAAGAATCCACTTCCACACTCATTCAGGTGTTGGAAGAATTCAGTTCCTTACAGTTGTAACCTCTATGTGGGTCCCACTTCCTTCAAGGCCAACGATAGCAAGTCTCCCTTGTGTTGAAATTCCTTCCACACTTCAATCTCTCTCACACATCTCTTTCACCAGGAAAAGCCCAGTCACTTTTAAGGACCATCTTATTAGATCATGTCCCTTTCTCACAGGCGATCATGCCACCTAATCTAAATTAATCATGGGAGAGACCATATCATATATACAGGTTGGCCACACCCAGGGGCTTCTATACAGGACTTGTACAACAGGGGGCAGAAATCTTGGGGCCATCTTAGAATTCTGTCTACAATATCCACCACACATAATCCTCAGTACTGGCAAATTGGATTGAGGGTATTCTGTTTATTTAGATGCTCCATATGCCAGGAACTTGGTAACATTATCCTAAACCCCTGTGCACTTATTACAAAGATAGCCAGATCCTTGCTTCTGGCCCTATTCAACACTTCTGAGAATTGGCACAAGTTTTTCTACATCCTGTAATTAGGATGAAGTTTTTTTTTCTTCCTTTGCTCTTTCAGATTCTTTGCAGGCAGTATTTTAGAGGGGCTTTGAGATTATTTTATTAATTTTTCATTTTTAATAAAAGGTATCAACAAACTGAATGGAAATTACCAGCAGGGCTTAGTATTTTAAGTTTTGAACTTCACTTGACAAACTCCCTTAGAAGATAAGCAAATCTTATTTTATTAACCGGAGAAACTATGATTCTGAGTTTATTTATACTACATTGACATGATTTGGCTTTGTGTCAGAATCCCAAGTGTAACTCCATGGTAAAGCCACTTTGTCTTACCAGGGTGCCCTGGTCCTAGGTATCTCCAAAACCCAACAGTGGACCTTGTGGCTGAAGTCAGCTTGTATCTCATTGTTAATTATAAGGCTTTCACCGAGTCCTGGCACTTTTCATCTTTATTGTAATGCAATTAAACTGATGCCTTTATATATCAATTGAAATCTCATCTTGAATTGTACTCCCATAATTCCCATGTGTTGTAGGAGGGAGATAATTGAATCATGGGGGCAGTTTCCCTCATACTGTTCTCATGGTAGTGAATAAGTCTTGTGAAATCTGTTGGTTTTATAAGGGGTTTCCACTTTTGCTTCTTTCTCATTCTCTCTTGTCACCGCCACATAGGAAGTCCCTTATCCTTTGGCCATATTGTGAGGCCTCCCAGCCACAGGGAAATGTGAGTCCATTAAACCTATTTTTCTTTCCCGTCTCAGGTATGTCTTGATCAGTAGTGTGAGAACGGACTAATAAATATATCATGCTTTGAGGTATATATTGTTAGTTTTCAATACGTATCAACTAATCAAAACAATAAGAAAGCAGATCTTTCTCTGGGGACAAATGCCATCTGATATTGGTGCCACTTCCAAAAAATACTTACCAAATGGAGAGCTAAGACATATTGTGAATATAAACAGGACTGAAATCAAAAGCACAATTTAAACAAGAAAGGTTTTAGGGGCTAAAAGCAAAGGGTAACTTTGTGACATGAGCAAGGAGGCTGTGAAACTTCTGTGGCAGTTCCCTCTCCTGTGCTCCATGCTTTGCTTTAAGGGCTCCAGGAAGTGCCTACACAGCTGTCAGAAGCAAACCTCAGGCCACTAGGCAGCTATCCTGCTATTACCTGTTACAGAGGATCTCAGGCTGAATGATATAAGGAGGTCTTTTTTTCATTCACCAGTTTTGTTTTTGTTTTTCTTTTATTTGGGAAATAATTTAATATATTCTCTATTGTTAAGTGCACCAGATGCCAGACTTCTGAAACAACAGTTATGCTTCAGCATAATAGCATTTTCTATGTATTTCTATTAACAATGCTTGTTCCTCTGATTTACCTGGAATCAGTGAACCTTTCCTGAACCTACTTAGGCCCAACAGCTTAAGTGGGCTGGAAGGCCAATGAGGCTCGAAACTCAGAAGGTGGTGGGCCCCCTGGCTCACGCCTGTAATCCCAGCACTTTGGGAGGCCCAGGCAAGAGGATCTCTTAAGGCCCAGGAGTTTGGGACCAGCCTGGGCAACATAGTGAGACTCTGTATCTAAGATGGGCAAGGCAGATGCCTGCCCCCCCAGCTCTGCTACCTGCCTGGAAATGGGCACCATGCAACTGTCCATCGTGTTGCCATGGCAATTCAGCCGACACTGGAACTGGAACATTCACCAGCTTTGAAATGGCTTTCCCATGCTCTTTTCCTTGAGATGCTATAATTTTATATCTCAGAGACACTAAATTGGAGGGCAGAATCCCAAGTGTAACTCCATGGTAAAGCCACTTTGTCTTACCAGGGTGCCCTGGTCCTAGGTATCTCCAAAACCCAACAGTGGACCTTGTGGCTGAAGTCAGCTTGTATCTCATTGTTAATTATAAGGCTTTCACCAAGTCCTGGCACTTTTCATCTTTATTGTAATGCAATTAAACTGATGCCTTTATATATCAATTGAAATGTGCCTCAACTTCATCCACTTCACCAGCCTGCCCCTTCAGAGCCTAGTAGTTTTATTTAAGGAGCTCTTAGATTTAAACTCCCGCATGGAATCTGAGTTGACCTTTCTATCCTGTGAAGACCTATTGTCAGCTAGGAGTCTGATTTAGTAAGGGCCCAGATATGAAGCAATTTTATTTTTCAATTACTATTTCAAACATAAACATGTTTGAATAAATGGTCAAACTTCCTCTTCCCTGTCATCTTTCATGTTATTTTGGGTGGATCCTAGGTTTTCTGGTATCTCTTGAGTATAGTAGACCCCACTTACACTTGGGGCACATACTCCAAGACCTCAGTGGATACCAGAAACCGCAGAGAGTACCAACTATATATATATACTGTTTTTTCTTATACATACGTATCTATGATAAACTTTAATTTATAAATTAGGCACAGAGATTGGCAACAACTAATAATAAAACAATTCTAACAATATACTATAATTACAGTTATGTCAGTGTAGTCTGTCTCAAAATATCTTGGGATATGGTACTCATGTATTTTTGTACCACAACTGAGAGTGGGTAACTGCAACTGTGAAAGTGAAACCGTGGATAAGGTGGGGGGACTACATATAAAAAAATTTAGCGCAGTCTAAATACTGAACTTAGGCCTTGTCATCATCACCTCAGCACTTGTGAGGATTCAGCCAGGACTTGGAGAGGGAAGAGTTGTGCTCTTCTCCTTCCTTTCCTCTCCCCTACCTCCTGGATCCCTCTGGTGTGTTTAGTGGTAGGAGTTAGAAGAGTTATAAATGTTTTCATTTACCTGACTGCTGTAGACCTGTCTGTTGAGGCTTCTGTGTTTAACATCAACTGGCTGTCACAGCTGTCTGCATAATGGGCATCTAAATCCCGTCTCTCATGTGAGAGTCATTTGTGAATTCTTCAGACGGTCAGTTGGAGCCTCATCACTCCACTGAATGTGATTCAAGCAAGCCTGCTCTGGTTTGAACTCTCGGGACCCCTCCAAATTCCTTCACTTGGGGTCTCCCTGCCTTCTGAAGTGTTCACGTGACCGACAGGAAACTCAAACATCTCTATCATGACCCAAAACTCTGCTATTTCATACGGCATGTCAACAACTCAGGTACATAACAAACTCATCCAACCCGGGGAAGGAGATGCTCCCACTTGATTTGCAGGGAGAGGTGAAAACTACCCTCTTCCTAGTCTGGAAATTCCTTATTTCCACATATTTCCCTACAGTAGTTTCTCCAACTCTCCAGAGTCGGGAGAGAGGTGCGTTGGATGTGTGAGTGATGGCTAGGGGTAGCACAGCCAGTTTGTCTTGGTTCCTCGTGAGTCTTGGAGGGAACTTCTGGCCCTCAATTGCTTGTAGGTCCTTTAAAAAGGTATGATATCATGACTTGTTTTCCTCCAACTTTGAATGCAGCTTGTAGAGCTGCCAGATAAAATTAATGTGCAGTTAAATTTGAATTTAAGATAAGGGGAAATTTTTAAGATAAGTATGTCCTAAATATTGCATGGGTCACACTTATACTGGAGAATTTATACCTAGTTATCTATAACTGAAATTAAACTTGGCATCCTGTATTGTTGTTTGTCAAATTTTGCAACCTTAAATGCAAATTAGCAATCTAGAGCAGCAGGAAAATCCCACTATGATTATATTCTAGGTGTCAGGCCCTATGTATGCTAGGCATTTTACATAGATTATGTATTATTTTTCCAGGTAGGTATTGTTAGCTTCTTTATGTAAGGAAAATCATTGAAGCTCAGAGAATGTTAGCTCAATGCTCAAGATTACTCACAAAAACACAACTGGTTAGGGCAAGAGGGAGGATTTGAGTCTGGGTTAGCTGGCTCTAGCATCTGATCTTTATTTACACTTTATCACATTTTACTACTATCTTTCTCTTCCTCTCCTTAGTCCCAGGAATCCCACATATATTCAAGACACCTCTCACTCCCACTGGCTACTTTCCTCCTACTTGGTTTCATTTTGCTCCTGCCATTGATACAACACTGGAATGTATTCCAACTTCCTCCCAGGAGTTAACCCTGATTAAGTGTGTAAGTGGATAATGCTTATTGCTTAGTAGCTACGGTTTCTTTCTCATTTTTTATCCTGGTAAATTGATTGGCCTTGAAAGTCTTCTCCCCTTTCTTTTTCCCTTAGTCATAAAATAAGCCCTATGCAAGTTGACCCTTGTTTTTTCACCGTATTTTCCAGGGCAAAGGTGTCTAAAAGGAAAGAGCCCTCAGAAAACTGAAGGAGAGGCTTGGCCACCACATCTAAAAATGCCTCCAGGTTCTTCCTGGCTTTCTTCTTGCTTAATGTCCCTGCCCCTGTGATGCCTTCATCTAAACTTAGGGAGAAGGAGGCATGACTCGCATTCTACTTTCATCTCTAGCTGATTTACTGAGATCAATCTCTAAATTCCAGCTTATTTAGCATTGCTGCAATGGTTCCTCTCTCCTGTTTTCCTTCACTACTCATCTGTGCTGCTTACCAGGGATACTTCTTGTGAAGGATTGGGTGAGTGAATGGTACATGGAACCTACAATATGATTGATGGGAAAATAACAAGAGTTCAATTTAAGACTTCAGCAGGTAAACATAAACAGAATGATTGAAAGAGAAATTAATAAGGAAGCATGTAAGAAGAATGTAACTAAAAGAGCAAATAAATGAGGAAGAAGGGAGATTTACAGCAAAATTTAGTAAAGGCAGATCTACTAAAGATTTACTTCTATTACTTATTTTAAATCAGTGTCTGAACATAATTGAACATGTGCTATATGATAATTTATTGATATTCTCACCACTTTTTCTTAAGTTGTCGCAGACAGTTTAGGAAAGACTTGCTGTCTTTTGGTAAGTATGAGATGGGTCAGTGGTTCTAGGTCTACTGCAGAGGTTAGTTATAGATTAACACATTATTTATGAGACCATTTTTAAAGGAGGCATGGAAATGTATTGCAACATGGCGTATCATATGTTATAATATGTTGGACATTATGAAAATGGTGCTTCGTTTTAATCCACTATCATGAAGACATGTGATATGTCTTGAATCTTTGGCCGTCTTTATGAAGCAATTTAAGGAGCAATGGAGAAGTCTTTTATTTTTAAATCTGGGAGTCAGATACACCAAGGAGGTGCTGTAATAGAATGTCACACTAGCTCTATGATGTTGGTTAAGTCACTCTTCTAAGACTTTGTTTTCTCATCAATAAAATGCAGATAATAAGAATTTCTATCTAAGTTATAAAAATTAAATGAAAGAATGCATATAAAGCATTAACATGGTGGCTCGCACATTGCAGTAGCTCTATGGTAGGATATAATCATCATCATGATTATTTTGATAAATGGCACATTTGGGTCATGGATAGTTTGGGTATATCCTTACTAATAAGGGAATGCAGACTATGCAGTCAGTTTCATTATTTATGTCATTGTTCAAGATAACACTAGCATGCTATGAGAACTACTTTAAAAATTTGTTTGAAAACTCATGCAATAAAAGTCACAAAAGTGGAAGTTTTCAGTCACACAAAGGGAAGTTGATTAAGGAGGGAGGGTATCTGCATTTTCATTCTGGTCTACTGCCCACTGCTTTGTGACTTTGCAAAGACATATTATCTACCCAAATTTAAAATTTCTGTCTGTAAGATGGAATAATTGGAGGAAATAATTTCAGAAGTCTACTCTAAAAGTTTTATTTTAGCTATGGTTATTTATATTCAGGACCAACTGCTAGAATGTACTTCCTTCAGAGTTAGGAATAGTCAAAACACAGATTTAAAAAAACCCATTGTTTATTTCTATGCTGTTTCAAATTCAGTATCTGAAGTCTTCAAAAAGCAGTCATGGTGAAAAAAAAAGTCCAAAATAAGGATTTGTTTATATTTTTAAGAAAAACTAATTTTTGTTGTTATAAAAGTTATTTATGTATATTACATAAAACATAGAAAACAGAGAAGTCTATCAAAAAAATAAAAATCACTGGTTAAATAAGCTCCCTCATCAAGCTCCCGCCCTTCTTTCCCCAGGATAATAATTCTTCATGTGAAAGCATGAATTTATTAGAATTTTAAATATACATAAAACATTAAAAAAACTTTATAATATTTAATATTTGCTTTTTCACTTAATAATTATATTCTGTACATTTAATGGAATCGTAAAGCATAGATGATATCATTGTATTTAATAGCTGCAAAGTATTAATTTGTAAAAATGGATTAATTTATTTACCAAATTTGAAACAATAAACATTTACTATTGCTTGCAATACTTCATTACTATAAGCAATACTTTTTGGATATTTGTTGCTTAGTTATGCTCACATGTTTGTCTGATAAATTTGTAGAGATTGCATTTCTGGTTAAAGGAATATGCCTATTTCAATTTTTATATATATTACTAGATTCCTCCCAGGCCCCCAGGAAACTTGCATGTGTAAATATACTCCTATGTATTAAAGTGTCTATTTCTGCATACTAAGCATTGGGCATTATTCTTTTAAATCTTAGCCAAGATGGTAGGTACATGAAAAAAAATACTATCTCATTGGTCTTTTAATTTGTAACTTTTATTCTTTATTACCAATAAAGTTTGATGTATCTTAGTGTGCTTATTAGCCAAAATGGTGTGTTGTTTCTTCCTTAAAAAAGTTTAAGAGCTCATTCTTTCATAAGTGTATGCGCTATTGGCCTGTTGTATATATCGCAATTTTGTTTTTCTTAGTTTTAATTTAGTTTAAGGAATTTAATTTAGGTGAAGTTTAGGAATTTTATGTGAAAAATCTAGTGGCATCTTTTATGGCTTGTGATTTTGATATCCTGTTTAGAAAGTCCTTCCCCAGTCAAATATAAAATTATCCATCAAAATTTCATTATATAATTTATTACATTTAAATCTTTAATCCATTTGGAATTTATTGTGGTTTCTATAAAATGCTTGCAGTTCTTTTTAATCACTTTTATCTAGACTCGTTGGGTTCTATAGTTACTTACCTGTGGTTGAAGGAGAACTGAGTCAATTAAATACCAATAATAAGATACAGCGAGTAATACTTCAAATGCTCACCTGACAGCCAGACAAGTCCCTGCTCCCTCCTGGCTGGTCACTTCGTATCACAAGGGGGAGCTTTCGTGCTTTAGTAAATACATCTTATGTTATTCAAGCCACTCCTTTCATTTGTAGCTTTTGTCCAACCTCGATTTGTTTTTCTCTTAATCATGCAAAAGCAGTGTGTTGAGGTGGTCAGGAAAAAAAGATATGAAAAAATTGAGCTGCATAGGATAAAAATCCTAAATATTAATCTGTATTAAAAATATTTTCCTTTGTGCATAGGAAAGAGATTTAAAATTTTCTTTCATTATTCTCTCATTTCCTAAATAATTATTGTAATACGCTTCCTTAACAATGGAATTTAGATCCGTATTTAAAATTAAGGGCTTGAATGAAAAGTAAAATTAGGTATCATTTATTATGGGGATTTTTTTTTTCTGCACTTGTGATGAAAGCCAATGTGTGTCAAAGATCATATAGTGGATGCTAGCAAGGATTTCTCCCTACTCCATATTTATCAATTGGTCAAATTGTTCAATTAGATAAATATGTTTCAATTTACCTCCCACCTCTTTTTGTCTCACCCCTTTGAGGAACTTTGTTATCTATACGTTTGAGTTCTAAGGTGAGTAGAGAGGGTAATCCTATTTGTGGCTAATTATCAGTAAATTTACATTTTTCTAATTTATTTCCTCAGTACAATCAGAATTGTATAGCATTGTGTCTTGAGTGGAGGCCACTTGCATGTGTCTGTCATTTGCACTTAATAAGAAAAGGGTGCTGTCAAATAGTCTCATTCTCTGGCTGTGAGCATATGCATTTATGAATGTTTGGATGATAGAGTGTAAATGCGAAGTCCTCTTAAAAGAGGGTAAAAAGGCTCCCAGCTACTCTTAGAGCACATATCCAAGGCTAAACATATGGCCTTGTCATCACAATTTCCCACATTCCCTTTTTTGTGGTTTTAACCTTCTACTTTATTTATTACCAGAAGGCCTTATCTCTCTAGCCTGCTGCTACAGACTGCTAGGCCAGGATGTAGTGAAAGCACAAAGTAATGAAACAGGGATGATCATAAAATAGAGGGGAAATGGCCATAGCCTCTGTCTGTGGTACAGCTGCCCAGGTTTTGTAACCTGAGCCAAACCATGCTAAAGAAACATAATGTTGCACAGTGCTGATGATGCTTCCATTCCTGTTACATTTGGTATCACCAGAAGACCTTAGATTTTGTGAATGTCAAGTCTTTTCACAAACTTTCAGCAGAATTGTCAGCCTAAGGAAAAGAAAGAAGACAGCTAGAGGACCTCAAATGCTAAGATGCCATTTAAAGGGCAAACAGCATCTCAAGTGAAGAAATGTCATGCAGGTGAAATATTTTGAGGGACTCAAGGTAGAGGACAGTGAAGAGGAGAAGCAGTGAGTACTGCTTGACAATATAGTGTTTTATGACTTTTTTTCTTCCTTGTGCAGCCCTTAGCAAAGTGATCAAACCAGAGCTTCATGCCCCCTGATGGGTGACTGACGGGTGGTTAACTGCAGCAAGTTGGATGACAGTTGAGTTAGTGTTTTCCAAAAGCTGGTCCAGGTCTGGCCAAACCCTGTGTGTGTTGTAGTTAGTGCCAGGGCTCCTTGGGGAGGTGTGCGTCCGTTCCTTCTTTCTGCAGGTGGAGCAGAAGGGGAAGTGAGAAAGAAGAATTTGACTCATCAACCCAGATGCCATACACAACCATCTCCAAAAAAATCAAATCTTTATAAGGCAACTTTAAGATTTCTATAACAATAATAGAGCAGTTTTGATTCTCTGGTTGAAAAAAATTTTTAAATGATAATATATGGTATTCATAAAGGATAAATAACTGATAATCCTAATACACAATTGATAATAGTGTGTCAATTGATACTCCTCTTATTGTGGAGGACAATTTGCCAATATCTGTTATAACTGAAATGTATTAAACCCTTTGAACTAGTGTTCCATATTTAGGAATTTATTGTATGGAAATACTAATATTAGTGAATAAAGTGACATGTAGAAGATGTTGCAACATTACTTCTGGTAGTAAAGTAACAAAATAATCCAAATGCCTATTAAAATAGGAATTGTTAACTTTACAAAATAGGAATGCTAACTAGTCATTAATAAGAATGAAGTAGAATCATATATATTTTGATTTCTGAGATCTGCCACTTAATTATCTGTGAGAAATTGAACAAAATACTTTATATCTGCACCTCAGCTTTTTCGTCTGTGTAATGGGCATAACAATAGTATCTACTTTATAGAGTTTCATAAAGCAAATGAATAATACCTTATAAAGTTTTTAGAACATTTTCTGGTATCTAGTAGACACTCAATAAATGTTATGTCTTTACAGTTATCCTTCTGTATTTGCATAGGAAAATGTGCGAGTTGGAAAGTTGCAAATGAGTATACATAATATAGTCTCACAAAAACAGTGGAGTGATATTAGTTATATTAACGATTTTTGTTGTGCCTGGGGAATGGAGTTACGGCCTTTAATATCTTATGTAATATATTTCTATATATTTGAATTTTTACCTCTCAATTTTTACAAGAAGCGTTACAGCCTGCAGTGAATAATTGTCCCTACCACCTCGTATTTCTTGGGTCTCACAAGGAGTTACCATGACATTTCATATGGTCAGAGGACCTGGTAGAGTTTGAGGTAGAAGAGTAATGAAAATAAAGCAGTATCACTTAAACAAATTGTGGGAAAGAACCAGCTTTTCTTTTCATAGACTTCAATTTTCGGTTCACAGAAAGATTCAGTGGAAGGTACAGAGATTTCCCATATTCCCTTATCCACATATACTCCCCAACCTTCAGACTTCCCCAGCCTTCAACATTCCACAGCAGAGAGGTGCATTTACTACAGTCGATGAACCCATCTTGATACATCATTATCACCCAAAGTCCATAGTTTACTCTTGGTGTTCACTCTTGATATTGGACATTTTATGGATTTTGTCAAGTGTATAATCACATGTATTCACTGTTATAATACCATACAGAATAGTTGCAGTGCCCTAAAAAATCCTTTATATACCATCTATTCATTCCTTCCTCCCTGTTAACCTCTGGCAACCACTGACCTTTTTACTGTCTTCATTGTTTTGCCTTTCCCAGAATGTCATATAGTTGGAATCATACAGTATGTAGCCTTTCAGATTGACTTCTTTCACATAATTATATGCATTTAAGTTTCCTCCATGTCTTTTCATGGCTTGTTAGTTTATTTCTTTTTAGCACTGAATAATATTCCATTGTCTGGATGTACCACAGTTTATTCATTCACTTACTGAAGGGCATTTGGTTGTTTCTAAGTTTTGGTAGTTAAGAATAAAACTGCTATAAACAATGTGTGCAGGTTTTTGTGTGGACACAAGTTTTCAGCAGAGATTTTTTTTAAGTTTTCAATTCATCACAGACCAATAGTTTGTTTTAATGAAATAAAATGAATTATTAGCCTAAAGAAACAGAAAAATGGATAGAAAATACAAACCCTAACTTTTTATTGCTAGATTCAACAGACTTATAAATACTCTATCAAATTGATATAAAAGGTTCTAAAGGCTTGCTCTTAATTTCTGTACTTAATGTTGAACCAGAAATAGTTGTTGGCAAGTCCCAGTCCACAGACCACACTTTTGAGCAGATTTGTATAGGGAATTCAGAGTATGTAGGGAGAGGAAGGTCAGATAACTCCATCCTTTCATCTTGAAAACTCCATGCTTAGCCTGCAAGAATCAGGCTTTTCTGACTTCTGTAGTCTGGTTGAGCTGCCCCTTCTTTGGCTCCAGAGTGATGCTTGCAGTGCTCTCTGGCGGTGCTGATTCCCACGCCTTCCCGCCTACAGAAGGCTACTTGAGTGCGGGTGCCAACTTCATAGTCCTAGTACCTACCACAGGCAGGCACACAGAAGACTTTCAATTTAGCTTAGTTAAATGACTAAACAGGAAAACAAGTTGAAATTGAAAAGAATAGTTATCTTTGCCATTGCAGATTGAAGACATCAAATAACCTTTAAATATGGATTAAAATTATATTATTTTGTATACTATAATGTGGATTTAGCTTTACATTGGGTCAATGTATGTCTCTCAAAATCTAATAACTACTAAATCTGTTAAACTACAGATATATATCTGTGCACATGTATTACATTAATGTGTGTCACTTAATAATGGGGATATGTTCTGACAAATGCATCATTGGGTAATTTCATGGTTGTGTGAACATCATAGGGTGTACTTACACAAATCTAGATGATTGAGCATACTACACACCTAGACAATATGGTATATAGCCTATTGCTCCTACACTACAAATCTATACAGCATGTTATTTTACTGAGTACTAGAGGCATTTGTAACATTATGGTAAGTATTTATCTAAACATATCTAAATACAGAAAAGGTACAGTAAAGTATGGTACGAAAGATAAAAAATGATACACCTGTCTCAGGCACTTACTATAAATGGAGCTTGCAGGACTGGAAATTTCCTTGGGTGAGTCAGTGAATGAGTGGGTGAGTGAATGTGAAGGCCTAGGACATTACTGTACACTGCTGTAGGCTTTATAAGCACTGTATACTTAGGCTACATTAAAATTATGAAAACAATTTTTTCTTTACAAATAAATTAACCTTAACTCACTGTAACATTTTTACTTTATAAACTTTAAAAATTTTTTAAACTTTTTGACTCTTTTATAATAACACTTAAAGCACAAACATATTGTATAGTTGTACAAAAATATTTTCTTTATATCCTTATTCTATAAACTTTTCTCTATTTAAAAATTTATCTATTTATTTATTTTACTTTTCAAACTTTTTAATTAAAAACCAAGACACAAACACACACATTAGCCTAGGTCTAACAGGGTCAGGATGATCAGTATCACTGTCTTCTGCCTCCACATCCTGTCCCAGTGAAAGGTCTTCAGGGGCAGTAACACACATAGAGCTGTCATCTCCTGTGGTAACAATGCGTTCTTCTGGAATACCTCCTGAAGGACTTGCCTGAGGCTCTTTTTGAGGAGATGTTACTCTTTTCAGAAATATGTCTATGGCAGTGATTTGTTTGATCTGTTTCTTTTTTTCATCATAGATTTGCTTGTAAGCAGATAATGTCCTCTTCAGGTAGCAGCCTTAAGAGCTGCTATTACTTCTTGATCCATTGGTTGGATCAAAGAGCTGGTGTTTAGAGGCGAAAACACCACTTTGACATTGTGATAATCACCAGTGAAAGGAAGATGTGCAGGAACATTATGAACAATAAGCAAAATCTTGAAAGGTATATTATCTCCAAACAGTACTCTTTTATTTAACTGGCATAGGAATTCAGGAGGCCATCTTGGAAGAGGAGCTGGGTCATCCGTTACTTCTTTTTGCTTTGTAGTACAAAGGCCATGTATGCTTATTGACATGCTGGAAGGCCCTCATGTTCTCACTGTGCCAGATTACGAAAGGTTTCAATTCGTGGCCTGCAACATTGCCCCCAGCAAGACTGTTATCTTGTCATAGAAAGCTTAAACCCTGGCACTGACTTAGTTTTCTCATGGATGAAAGTCCTCTCAGGCATTCATAAGCAGGTTTCATTCATATTGAAGATTTTCTCTGGTAAGTAATTTTCTTCCACAGTCAGCTTATGTAGTGTTTCCAAAAATTCTTCAGCTGCCTTTTCATTAACACTTGCAGACTCACCACTCATATTCACATTATGTAATAAATAATGATTCTTGAATCATTTAAACCACACAGAGCTAGCAGTAAATTCAACATCCTAGTCAGGCCCAGCCTTTTCTTTTAACATAGCAAACAAACTTTTTGCTGTAGACATGATTGTTATGGTCCTGAGAGGGATATGCTTTTCTGTCTGGTCCTTAATCCAGGTCATTACAAATTTCTTCTTACCTGATATAGGCCCTTCCTGAAATTTGTGTCTTGTTGCCTTCAGTGAAGCAGATCTTTTAACAGTTTCTGTTACTTTGTTCTTGTTCTTCAAGATCATAGCTATGGTGGAATAGAACGTGCTTGACTAGTGAGCAATAACCGCCACTGACTTTCCACCTTAATGGCCCTTAATCACTTGTAATTTTGTTTCCAAGTCAGACATTTGATGTGGCCTCTTACTGGCAACATCAGCAGTGGATTTTATATGCTTAGGAGCCACAACCAACAAAACAACACAAGATTAAATCAAGCAAAAGAGAAAATGTTGCAAACAAGAGATGCAATAAACATGAGCTGTATGAGGCTGCTGCTGGTGTAAGATGTCATACTGTTTTGCAGTAAACTGTTTTTTTAATAAGTAGGAGGAATGCACTCTAAAATAATGATAAAATATATAGTACTGTAAATATATAGACCAGTACATAGTCATTTATTATCAAGTATTATGTAGTGCATAATTGTATGTGCTATACTTTTATAAAACTGGCAGCACAATAGGTGTGTTTACACCAGCCACGACACAAACACATGAGTAATGTGTTGTGCTACAATCTTAAGATGGCTAGGATGTCAATAGGCAATAGGAATTTTTCAACTCCATTATAATCTTATGGAATCACCATCCTATATGCGGTCACTGGGTGAAACATCATTATGTAGTACATGACTACATGTACAATCTATAAGCAGTTTTGGCCCTCATGATAGTTTTAAGGTTCATCTTTTTTTTTATTATACTTTAAGTTCTGGGATACATGTGCAGAATGTGCAGTTTTGTTACATAGGTATATACTTGCCATGGTGGCTTGCTGCACCCATCAACCCGTCACCTACATTAGGTATTTCTCCTAATGTTATCCCTCCCCTAGCCCCCCACCCCACGACAGGCCCCGGTGTGTGATGCTCTCCTCCCTATGTCCATGTGTTCTCATTGTTCAGCTACCATTTATGCATAAGAACATGAGGTGTTTGGTTTTCTGTTCTTGTGATAATTTGCCGAGAATGATGGTTTCCAGCTTCATCCATGTCCCTGCAAAGGACATGAACTCATCCTTTTTTATGGCTGCATAGTATTCCGTGGTGTATATGTGCCACATTTTCTTTATCTAGTGTATTATTGATGGACATTTGGGTTGGCTCCAAGTCTTTGCTATTGTGAACAGTGCCACAATAAACATACATGTGCATGTGCCTTTATAGTAGAATGATTTATAATCCTTGGGGTATATACCCAGTAATGGGATTGCTGGGTCAAATGGTATCTCTGCTTCTAGATCCTTGAGGAATCGCCACACTGTCTTTCACAATGGTTGAACTAATTTACACTCCCACTGACAGTGTAAAAGCATTCCTATTTCTCCACATCCTCTCCAGCATCTGTTGTTTCCTGACTTTTTAAATGATTGCCATTCTAACTGGCATGAGGTGGTATCTCATTGTGGTTTTGATTTGATTTCTGTAATGGCCAGTGATGATGAGCATTTTTTCATATGTCAGCTACATAAATTTCTTCTTTTGAGAAGTGTCTCTTCATATCCTTTGACTACTTTTTGATGGGGTTGTTTTTTCTTGTAAATTTGTTTAAGTTCTTTGTAGATTCTGGATATTAGCCCTTTGTCAGATGGATAGATTGCAAAAATTTTCTGTCATTCTGTAGGTTGCCTGTTTACTCTGATGATAGTTTCTTTTGCCGTGCAGAAGCTGTTTAGTTTAATTAGATCCCATTTGTCAATTTTGGCTTTTGTTGCCATTGCTTTTGGTGTTTTAGACATGAAGTCTTTGCCCGTGCCTATGTCCTGAATGGTATTGCCCAGATTTTCTTCTAGGATTTTTATGGTCCTAGGTCTTACATTTAAGTCTTTGATCCATCTTGAGTCGATTTTTATATAAAGTGTAAGGAAGGTGTCCAGTTTGAGTTTTCTGCATATGGCTAGCCAGTTTTCCCAACACCTTTTATTAAATAGGGAATCTTTTCCCCATTGCTTGTTTGTGTCAGGTTGGCCAAAGATCAGATGGTTGTAGATGTGTGGTGTTATTTCTGAGGCCTCTATTCGGTTCCATTGGCCTATTTATCTGTTTTGGTACCAGTACCGTGCTGTTTTGTTTACTGTAGCTTTATAGTGTAGTTTGAAGTCAGGTAGCATGATGCCTCCAGCTTTGTTCTTTTTGCCCAGATTGTCTTGGCTATACACACTCTTTTTGGTTCCATATGAAGTTTAAAGTAGTTTTTTCCAATTCTCTGAAGAAAGTCAGTGATAGCTTGGTGGGGATAGCATTGAATCTCTAAATTACTTTGGGCAGTATGGCCATTTTCACAATATTGATTCTTCCTATCCATGAGCATGGAATGTTTTTCCATTTGTTTGTGTCTTCTCTTATTTGCTTGAGCAGTGGTTTGTAGTTCTCCTTGAAGAGGTCCTTCACATCCCTTGGAAGTTGTATTCTTAGGTACTTTATTCTCTTAGTAGCAATTGTGAATGGGAGTTCACTCATGATTTGGCTCTGTTTATCTGTTATTGGTGTATAGGAATGCTTGTGATTTTTGCACATTGATTTTGTATCCTGAGACTTTGCTGAAGTTGCTTATCAGCTTAAGGAGATTTGGGGTTGAGACTATGGGGTTTTCTAAATATACAATCATGTCATCTGCAAACAGCGACAATTTGACTTCCCCTCTTCCTATTTGAATACCCTTTATTTCTTTCTCTTGCCTGATTGCCCTGGCCAGAAAATCCAATACTATGTTGAGTAGGAGTGGTGAGAGAGGGCATCCTTGTCTTGTGCTGGTTTTCAAAGGGAATGCTTCCAGTTTTTGCCCATTCAGTATGGTATTGGCTGTGGGTTTGTCATAATTAGCTCTTATTA
Source organism: Homo sapiens (assembly GCF_000001405.40). NCBI lineage: Eukaryota > Metazoa > Chordata > Mammalia > Primates > Hominidae > Homo > Homo sapiens. The sequence goes on along the minus strand of NC_000007.14, from coordinate 10,699,872 downwards.
TTTTGAGGTACGTTCCATCGATACCTAGTTTATTGAGAGTTTTTAGCATGAAGCGGTGTTGAATTTTGTTGAAGGCCTTTTCTGCATCCATTGAGATAATCATGTGGTTTTTGTCATTGGTTCTGTTTATATGATGGATTACGTTTATTGATTTGCATATGTTGAACCAGCCTTGCATCACAGGAATGAAGCTGACTTGATTGTGGTGGATAAGCTTTTCGATGTGCTGCTGGTTTCAGTTTGCCCGTGTTTTATTGAGGATTTTCACATCATTGTTCATCAGGGATATTGGCCAGAAATTTTCTTTTCTTGCTGTGTCTCTGCCAGGTTTTGGTGTCAGGATGATGCTGGCCTCACAAAATGAGTTAGGAAGGATTCCCTGTTTTTCTATTGTTTGGAATAATTTCAGAAGGAATGGTACCGGCTCCTCTTTGTACCTCTGGTAGAATTTGGCTGTGAATCCATCTGGTCCTGGACTTTTTTTGGTTGGTATGCTATTAATTACTGCCTCAATTTCATAACTTGTTATTGGTTTATTCAGGGATTTGACTTCTTCCTGGTTTAGACTTGGTAGAGTGTATGTGTCCAGGATTTTATCCATTTCTTCTATTTTCTAGTTTATTTGCATAGAGGTGTTTCTAGTATTCTCTGATGGTGGTTTGTATTTCTGTGGGATCAGTGGTGATATCCCTTATATCATTTTTAATTGCATCTATTTGGTTCTTCTCTCTTTTCTTCAGTAGTCTGGCTAGCATTCTATCTATTTTGTTGATCTTTTTGAAAAATCCACTCCTGGATTCTTTGATTTTTTTTGAAGGGTTTTTTGTGTCTTTATGTCCTTCAGTTCTGCTCTGATCTTAGTTATTTCTTGTCTTCTGCTAGATTTTGAATTTGTTTGCTGTTGCTTCTCTAGTTTTTTAAATTTTGATGTTAGGGTGTCAATTTTAGATCTTTGCTGCTTTTCTCTTCTGGGCATTTAGTGCTATAAGTTTCTCTCTACACAATGCTTTCAATGTGTCTCAGAGATTCTGGTATGTTGTGTCTTCATTCTCATTGGTTTCACTGAACATCTTTATTTCTGCCTTAATTTCGTTATTTACCCAGTAATCACTCAGGAGCAGGTTGTTCAGTTTCCATGTAGTTGTGTGGTTTTGAGTGAGTTTCTTAATTCTGAGTTCTATTTTGATTGCTCTATGGTGTGAGATACTGTTTTTTATAATTTTTGTTCTTTTGCATTTGCTGAGGAGTGTTTTACTTCCATTTATGTGGTCAATTTTATAATCAGTGCGATGAGGTGCTGAGAAGGATATATATTCTGTTGATTTGGGGTGGAGAGTTCTGTAGCTGTTTATTAGGTCCACTTGGTCCAGAGCTGAGTTCAAGTCCTGAATATCATTGTTAATTTTCTGTCTTGTTGATCTGTCTAATATTGACAGTGCAGTGTTACAGTCTCCCACTATTGTTGTGTGGGAGTCTAAGTCTCTTTGTAGGTCTCTAAGAACTTGCTTTATGAATCTGGATGCTCCTGTCTTAGGTGCACATATATTTAGAATAGTTAGCTCTTCTTGCTGCATTGATCCCTTTACCATTATGTAATGGCCTTCTTTGTCTCTTTTGATCTTTGTTGGTTTAAAGTCTGTTTTATCAGAGATTAGGATCGCAACTCCTGCTTTTTTGCTCTCCATTTACTTGGTAAATATTCCTCCATTCCTTTATTTTGAGCCTGTGTGTGTCTTTGCTCATGAGATGGGTCTCCTGAATACAGCACACTGATGGGTCTTGACTCTTTATCAGATTTGCCAGTCTGCATCTTTTAATTGGGGCATTTAGCCCATTTACATTTAAGGTTAATATTGTTATGTGTGAATTTGATCCTGTCATTATGATGCTAGCTGGTTGTTTTGCCCATTAGTTGATGCAGTTTCTTCATAGTTTCGATGTTCTTTATAATTTGGTATGTTTTTGCCATGGTTGGTACCAGTTGTTTCTTTTCATGTTTAGTGTTTTCCCTCAGGAGCTCTTGTAAGGCAGGCCTGGTGGTGACAAAGTCTCTCAGCATTTGCTTGTCTGTAAAGGATTTTGTTTCTCCTTTGCTTATGAAGCTTAGTTTGGCTGGATATGAAATTCTGGGTTGAAAATTCTTTTCTTTAAGAATGTTGAATATTAACCCCCACTGTCTTCTGGCTTGTAGGGTTTCTGCAGAGAGATCTGCTGTTAGTCTGATGGGATTCCCTTTGTGCATATCCCGACCTTTCTCTTTGGCTGCCCTTAACATTTTTTCCTTCATTTCAACCTTGGTGAATCTGATGATTATTTCTCTTGGGGTTGCTCTTCTCGAGGAGTATCTTTGTGGTATTCTCTGTATTTCCTGAATTGGAATGTTGGCCTGTCTTGCTAGGTTGGGGAAGTTTTCCTGGATAATACGCTGAAGAGTGTTTTCCAACTTGGTTCCATTCTCCCCGTCACTTTCAGGTACACCAATCAAATGTAGATTTGGTCTTTTCACATAGTCCCATATTTCTTGGCGGCTGTGTTCGTTCCTTTTTATTCTTTTTTCTCTAATCTTGTCTTCTCTCTTTATTTCATTAAATTGATCTTCAATCACTGATATCCTTTCTTCCACTTGATCGATTTGCCTATTGGAACTTGTGTATGCTTCTTGAAGTTCTCATGCTGTGTTTTTCAGATCCATCAGGTCATTTATGTTCTTCTCTGCACTGGTCATATTCTAGTTAGCTATTTGTCTAACCTTTTTTCACAGTTCTTAGCTTCCTTGCATTGGGTTACAACATGCTCTTTTAGCTTGGAGGAGTTTATTATTACCCACCTTCTGAAGCCTACTTCTGTCAGTTCGTCAAACTCATTCTCCATCAAGTTGCATTTCCTTGCTGGCAAGGAGTTGTGATCCTTTAGAGGAGAAGAGGCATTCTGGTTTTTGGAATTTTCAGCCTTTTTGTGCTGGTTTCTCCCTATCTTTGTGGATTTTTCTACCTTTTGTCTTTGTTGATGACCTTTGGATGGGGTCTTTTTGAGGACATGCTATTCCTTTCCATTTATTAGTTATCATTCTGATAGTCCCCTCTGCTGCAGGTCTGCTGGAGTTTGCTGGAGGTCTACTCCCGATCCTGTTTTTCCTGGATACCACCAGTGGAGGCTGTGGAACAGCAAAGATTGCTGCCTGATCTCTCCTCTGGAAGCTTCGTCCCAGAGGGTCACCTGCTAGATGCCAGCCAGAGCTCTCCTGTATGAGGTGTTTGTCAGCCCCTACTGGGAGGTGTCTCCCAGGCAGGATACACAGGGGTCAGGGACCCAGTTGGGGAGGCAGTCTGACCCTTAGCAGAGCTTGAACACTGTGCTGGGAGGTCTGCTGCTCTCTTCAGAGCTGTTAGGTAGGAATGTTTAAGTCTGCTGAAGCTTTGCCTACAGTCACCCGTTTCCCCAGGTACTCTGTCCTAGGGAGATGGGGGTTTTATCTATAAGTCCCTGACTGGGGCTACTGCCATTTTTTTCAGAGATGTTCTGCTCAGAGAGGGGGAATCTAGAGAGGCAGTCTAGCTGCAGTCTTGCTGAGCTGCAGTAGGCTCCGTCCAGTTGGAACTTCCCAGTGGCTTTGTTTACGCTGTGAGCATAAAACTGCCTACTTAAGCCTCAGCAATGACAGACACCCTTTCCCCCACCAAGCTTGAAAATCCTGCATAGATCTTAGACTGCTGCTGTGCTGGCAGTGAGAATTTCAAGCCAGTGGATCTTAGTTTGCTGGGCTCTATGGTAGTGGGACCCGCCGAGCCAGACCATTTGGCTCCCTGGCTTCAGCACCCCTTTCCAGGGGAGTGAACAGTTCTGTCTCACTGGCGTTCCAGGCGCCACTGGGGTATGGAAAAAAAGAAATCCTGCAGCTAGTTCGGTGTCTGCCCAAATGGCCATCCAGTTTTGTGCTTGAAACCCAGGGCCCTGGTGGGGTAGGCACAGGAAGGAATCTCCTGGTTTGTGGGTTGCAAAGACCGAAGGACAAGTGCAGTATCTGTGCCAGAGTTCCTCAGGCTCAGACCCTCACAGCTTCCCTTGGGTAGGGGAGAAAATTCCCTGACCCCTTGCGCTTCCTGGATGAGGTGATGCCCCACTCTGCTGCTCACCTTCCGTTGGTTGCACCCTCTGTCCAACCAGTCCCAAAGAGATGAACCAGGTACCTCAGTTGGAAATGCAGAAATCACCCGCCTTCTGCGTCAATCTCACTGTGAGCTGCAGACCAGAGCTGTTCCTGTTCAGCCATCTTGCCAGCAATAGGTTCATCTTTTTTATTCAGGGTAGTTTTCTCATATCGTTTAAATCTTAGCTAGAAGTTATGTTTCTGGAATGCTTTGAAGTAGGTATGTTTTCCAAACAACAATATAAATAGCTACAAATGGAGTGAGAAAATTCTTACGTACTTAGAAGCACTTCAGCTATATTATTTGTGATATAATTTTATGGTATAATCTTTGCATGTTAACAGGTCCAAGTACTTTGATTTCCTTTGTGGTTAATGCCAAGCACAATGAATAAAATAATTAATTGTGATGATCCATGTCAACATTTAAATAATCTATGGGAACAGATTGGCCATCTGGGGATATACCAAGAAGAGAACGATTATGCAAGTTCTGTAATTTGACACACTTCCAGGCAGAGGAGGTCAAATACTCCAGAAGACGAATTCACTATAAGGTTAACTAATTTACCCTATTCAGTTATTTTTGTTTCTTATGTTGTTTTAGTACTTGCTTTTCTTTGCAGTGACTGTTGAAACCTTTGGCTTCTTCTTCAAACCTCCATTCATTTCTTCTGTCTCAGCAGATGTCCTAAGCACTGACTTTTGTCAACTCTCATCTCCCTTTGCTTACTCAAAATATTTCTCTATGAATGCCTTCAATTTATATAGTTTAGTCTTTTAAATTCTGTCTTGAACTCTTAGGCATCACCAACTTTTTTTCCTCAGCTTTCTTTCTTGACTTTCCTGGAGGTTTTTATCGAGTATTGTTTTCTACTTGAAACTCTCCTCTTGTTTGATTTTTGTGATAGTACCTTGTCTCTGATTCTTCCCCCAAAATTTCTATTTTATGATTTTATTCTCTTACTTTTGCTGCTCCTGTTACATTGGGTAGTATTTTAGATTAAGGTGGTAGCAGTGAAGGTGAAGAGGTGGAAATAATTGGATTTTAATGTGTTTTGGATGTAGAATTGACAAGACTCACTGATGGACTTGGTATGAGAATGAATGGAAGACAGGAATCACAGACAAACCCTAGTTCTTAGTTTGAGCAATTGAAAGAATGGCAGTGTCATTTACTGAGACAGAATGAGAGTACAGACTTGGGAGGAATGGAAAATCAAGAATTTTATTTAGGTGACAAGTTTGAGATACTTGGTGGCAACTAAGTGGACATGTCAAGTTAGCAGCTGGGTATACCATTTGGAGTCCAGGGGAGGAATCAGATAAGTGATAGACACTTAGGAGTTATAATCATACAGTGATATTGATGACTTGTGATTGGGTGAGATAACCCATAGCTTTGGTTTTCAAATGTTAGTGTGCATCATAATCATGTAGAGGGCTGGTTTGTCAAACAGATTGCTGGGTCCTATCTAAGAGTTTCTAATACAGTAGGGTTGAGATGGGCCCTAATAATTTTCATTTCTAATTTCTCCAAATGATACTGGTTTCAGGACCACATTTGTTGCTGGTTTGTTTTTTTTAAATTATACTTTAAGTTCTGGGGTACATGTGCAGAACGTGCAGGTTTGTTACACATGTATACATGTGCCATGTTGGTTTGCTGCACCCATTAACTCATCATTTACATTAGGTATTTCTCCTAATGCTATCCCTCCCCCATCCCCCTAACCCCATGACAGGCCCCAGTGTGTGATGTTCCCCACCCTGTGTCCAAATGTTCTCATTGTTCAATTCCACCTATGAGTGAGAACATGCGGTGTTTGGTTTTCTGTCCTTGCGTTAGTTTGCTCAGAATGATGGTTTCCAGCTTCATCCATGTCGCAACAAAGGACATGAACTCATCCTCTTTTATGGCTGCATAGTATTCCATGGTGTATATGTGCCACATTTTCTTAATTCAGTCTATCATTGATGGACATTTGGGTTGGTTCCAAGTCTGCTATTGTGAACAGTGCTGCAATAAACATACGTGTGCATGTGCCTTTATAGTAGCATGATTTATAATCCTTTGGGTGTATACCCAGTAATGGGATTGCTGGGTCAAATGGTATTTCTAGTTCTAGATCCTTGAGGAATTGCCACACTGTCTTCCACAATGGTTGAAATAGTGTACACTCCCACCAACAGTGTAAAAGTGTTTCAGGACCACATTTGAGAGGGAGATAGGGTGCGATTAAGAAAATAAAGAGAAGAGGGCTGAGAAATGAGGTCTGGATATACCAACGTTTAGAAATTGTATAGAGGAATTTGAGAAGAGCCATTGAGTTAGGAAGCAATTTAGAACACAGTGACATAGAAACTAAAAGAAAAGATGTCGCAGAAAGGAAGAAGCTTTTTGTGTGAGAAAAGGAAAGTGACTAGCTTAGTGAAGAATGGCTCTGCAAAGAATCTTGTCCCAATAGATTTGGGAGTCACTTGCAAATTCTGTGTCCACAAATAGCCTTTTTGATTGGTTGGAACAGTATTACATACTGATGTCTGAATCCATCTTGTCATTAAAATAATAGTATATAAGGTGTATAAACTCTGGTTATAACAGCTCCTTCCTCATCGCTATGTTGTGAACCAGGAGAGGTTGAATTGGGAGAGGAATCTCAAGATAGTGATAGTACTGTTGGTGTTACACTGGCATTGCCCAAAGATGGCCAAATAAACGTTGCTGGCCCTATCTTTAAGCCAACTTTCTTCCCACCTACCCATTGACAGTATGGTTTCTGCTTTATTTCTCAGGATGTTAGAATGATGTATTGGGTTATGGCTACTTATGAGTCCCTTCCTATATCAAAGGAACAAAAGAGTGCTAGATAGTCTCATTCCCTTCACTCAGTTTAGGTGTTTTTATTCTAAGCATATGTGGCTTTTCTTTTCAATGCTCCTGATTCCCTGCCCTGCCCACTGCCTCATAATTTTAGCTTTAGGTGGTCAAATTCTATGAAAATTCTATGAAATCATTAAGAATATGAATCTACAAGGCCCCGCAACCCTCCTTCTAAGTACTTTGCTAAGACTTATTTTCAGTTCTATGACAATTGGATTGATGTTTTTCTTGCATTCACACAGGTGTAGCTGACTAGATTTCAACTTTCTGGTTTTTAAAAGTAGTTTTATATGAATTTCAGTCTTTGAATCTTTGTTTGTACTTTCCCCCCAAACCCCCATTGGTTTGTTAACTCATCTTAAAAATTTTCAACCAAAGAGGAAAGGAAATACATCTTTCCGTGCACCTCAGTCCACCTCGAACCCCACTACCACTCCATTTACACCCCGTTCCCCAGTGTGCTGTGTACTTTCCCGTCTCCATGCCCTGCCTGACTATAGTGCTTCCTCAGCCTAAAAAGGAAACTTTGCCCTTTAAAAGAAAATTCAAAAGCTGTCCCTGCTTTCTGCAATGCCTCAGTCAGAATAACATTTTCCTTCCCTTGGTACTTCTTCCCCATTTTGCTTTAGCACTTATTCAGATTCATATGTACATAAACACACATCTATGTGAATGTATGTATGTGTGTGTGTATATATTTTCTTGGCTAGAACCAAATTTCCCAAATTTAGTTTAGAGTAGATTACTCAGGATCTTTGCCTCAGATAGCATATCAGAATCCCTAAGACAGGTTGGGAGGCCAAGGCGGGCAGATCACCTGAGGTCAGGAGTTCCTGACCAGCCTGGCCAACATGATGAAACCCCGTCTCTACTAAAAATACAAAAATTAGCCAGGCGTGGTGGTGTGTGCTGGTAGTCCCAGTTACTTGGGAGGCTGAGGCAGGAGAATTGCTTCAACCCGGGAGGTGGAGGTTGCAGTGAGCCAAGATCGTGCCACTGCACTCCAGCCTGGGCAATAGAGCAAGACTCCATCTCAAAAAAAAGAAAGAAAAAAAAGAATCCCTAAGACAGGGTGATTCTTATCAACTGAGAAATAGTGATCTGGCATGCTCTGAGAGCAGGATCCACGGCATATATTTTAATGGACACATGACGTACAGAGTTGGGCCTGTGGTCAGAGCCAACCTGTGAGTAGCCAGAGTAGGTGAATGAATGTCAGAATGAAAGCAGAACTGATGGATTTTGGACACTGCAGACAGATCTTTCTTTTTTTCCCCCTTTCTTTTCTTTCCTTTTTCTGTTTTTTTAAAGACAGAGTTTCACTTGGTTACCCAGGCTGGAGTGCAGTGAGGCAATCTTGGCTCACAGCAACCTCTGCCTCCCAGATTCAAGTGATTCTCCTCCCTCAGCCTTCCTAGTAGCTAGGATTACAGGCATGTGCCACAAAGCCTAGCTAATCTTTTTTATACTTTTAGTAGAGATTGGGTTTCGCTACGTTGGCCAGGCTGGTTTTGAACTCCTGGCCTCAAGTGATCCTCCCACCTCAGCCTCCCAAAGTGCTGGGATTACAGGCGTGAGCCACCGCACCCGGCCTCCCAAATGTTTTGCACACAATCGTATTATGTATATTTGAAGTAATCATCACAGAAGCCATTTCTTTCCATTGAAATCATGAGATCTTCAGAACGCTCTTACTTAAATGGAAATACAATGTTTCATCGTAGAGTTTCAGTTCAGATTAGTTACCAGATTAACCCCAAAGGAGTAGACTCAGGATGAGTAAACTTTAGAGTGCGGTGAGACCACTCGTCTGAGGGCAGAGGAGGTTGAGAGATGGGGTTCTACATGCCAGTGTAATGGCTTTAAAGTTATCCAAATTTGGAAGGAGCAACATTAGAAGGACAAATGTAGAACTTGATGGCCTATTAACAATGTTGTGAAGGGCCATCTCAAACTCTAATATTTGCTCCTAGCTTATGATACATAGCCTGTAAATGTGATCTTAGCTTCTTTCTTCTTTTCTTTTTTTTACATTTCTATTTTTTATTTTGTTATTTTTTTATTTCCGTAGGTTATTGGGGAATGGGTGGTGTTTGGTTACATGAGTAAATTCTTTAGTGGTGATTAGTGAGATTTAGGTGCATCCATCACCCGAGCAGTACACACTGAACCCTATGTGTAGTCTTTTATCCCTCTCCCCGTTCCCATCCTTTTTCCCTGAGTCCCCAAAGTTCATCGTGTCTTTCTTATGCCTTTGCATCCTCATAGCTTAGCTCCCACTTATGAACGAGAACATATGATATTTGGTTTACCATTCTTGAATCACTTAAGTTAGAATAATAGTTTCTAATTTCATCCAGGACACTGCAAATACCATTAATTCATTCCTTTTTATGGCTGAGTAGTTTTCCATTGTGTGTGTGTATATATATAAATCTCATAGTTTCTTTATCTACTCATTGATTGATGGGCATTTGAGTTGGTTTCACATTTTTGCAATTGTGAAGTGCTGCTATAAATATGCGTGTGCAAGTATCTTTTTCGTATAATGATCTCTTTTCCTCTGGGTAGATACCCAGTAATGGGATTGCTGGATGAAATGGTAGTTCTACTTTTAGTTCTTTAAGGAATCTCCACACTGTTTTCCATAGTGGTTGTACTAGTTTGCACTCCCACCAGCAGTATAGAAGTGCTCCCTGCTCACTGCATCCATGCCAATATCTACTATTTTTTTTATTATAGCCATTCTTGCAGGTGTCAGGTGGTAACGCATTGTAGTTTTGATTTGCATTTCCGTGATCATTAGTGATGTTGAGCATTTTTTCATGTTTGTTGGCCATTTGTATATCTTCTTTTGAGAGTTGTCTATTCATGTCCTTAGCCCACTTTTTTTTTTTTTTTTTTTTTGAGATGGAATCTCGTTCTGTCACCCAGGCTGGAATGCAGTGGCATGATCTCGTCCTTAGCCCACTTTTTGATGGGATTGTTTGTTTGTTTCTTGCTGATTTGTTTGAGTTCGTTGTAGATTCTGGATATTAGTCCTTTGTCATATGTATAGATTGTGAAGATTTTCTCCCACTCTGTGGGTTGTCTGTTTACTCTGCTAACTGTTCCTTTTGGCATGCAAAAGCTCTTTAGTTAAATTAAGTTCCATCTATTTATCTCTGTATTTATTGCATTTCCTTTTGGGTTCTTGGTCATGAAATCCTTGCCTAAGCCAGTGTCTGGAAGGGTTTTTCTGATGTTATTTTCTAGAATTTTTATAGTTTCAGGTCTTAGATTTAAGTCCTTAATCAATCTTGAGTTGATTTTTGTATAAGGTGAGAGATGAGGATCCATTTTCATTCTCCTACATGTGGCTAGCCAATTATCCCAGCACCAGTTGTTGAAAAGAGTGTCCTTTCTACACTTTACGTTTTTGTTTGCTTTGTCGAAAATGAGTTAGCTGTAAGTATTTGGGTTTCTTTCTGGGTTCTCTATTCTGTTCCATTGGTCTGTGTGCCTATTTTTTTTTACAAGTACCATGCTGTTTTGGTGACTATGGCCTTATAGTATAGTTTGAAATCAGGTAATGTGATACCTCCATATTTGTTCTTTTTGCTTAGTTTAGCTTTGGCTATGCAGGCTCTTTTTTGGTTCCATATGAATTTTAGAATTGTTTTTTCTAATTCTGTGAAGAATGATGATAATATTTTGATGGGGATTGCATTGAATTTGTAGATTGCTTTTGGCAGTATGGTCATTTTCACAATATTGATTCTACCCATCCGTGAAGATGGGATGTGTTTCCATTTGTTTGTGTTGTCTATAATTTCTTTCAGCAGTGTTTTGTAGTTTTGCTTGTAGAGGTCTTTTACCTGCTTTGTTAGGTATATTCCTAAGTATTTTATTTTTTTGCAGCTATTGTAAAAGGGGTTGAGGTCTTGATTTGATTCTCAGCTTGGTTGCTGTTATTGTATAGAAGAGCTACTGATTTGTGTACATTAATCTTGTATCCAGAAACTTTGCTGAATTCTTTTATCAGTTATAGGAGCTTTCTGGAAGAGACTTTAGGGTTTTCTAGGTAAACAATCATATCATCAACTAACAGCAACAGTTTGACTTCCTCTTTATTGATTTGGATGACTTTTTGTTTCTTTCTCTTGTCTGATTGCTGTGACTAGGACTTCCAGTGCTATGTTGAAGAGGAGTGGTGGGAGTGGACATCCTTGTCTTTTTCCAGTTCTCAGAGGGAATGATTTCAATTTTTCCCCATTCAATATTATGTTGGCTGTTGGTTTGTCATAGATGGCTTTTATTACACTGAATTATGTCCCTTGTATGCCAATGTTGCTGAGAGTTTTAATCATAAAGTGATGCTGGATTTTGTTGAATGCTTTTCTGCATCTATTGAGATGATCATGTGATTGTTGTTTTTAGTTCTGTTTATGTAGTGTGTCACATTTATTGACTTGCATATGTTAAACATCCTTGCCTACCTGGTATGAAACCCACTTGATCATGGTGGATTATCTGTTGGATTTGGTTAGCTAATGTTTTGTTAAGGATTTTAGCATCTATTTTTATCAAGGATATTGGTCTGTAGTTTTCCTTTTTGTTATGTCCTTCCCTGGTTTTGGTATTAGGGTGATACTGGCTTCATAGAATTATTTAGGGAAGGTTCCCTCTTTCTGTATCTTGTAGAATAGTGTCAATAGGATTGGTACCAATTCTTCTTTGAATGTCTGGTAGAATTCTGCTGTAAATCCATCTGGTCCTGGACTTTCTTTTGTTGGTAATTTTTAAATTATCATTTCAATCTCACTGCTTGTTATCGGTCTGTTAAGGGTATCTAATTCTTCCTGATTTAAGCTGGGAGGATTGTATCTTTCTAGGAATTTATCCATCTCCTCTAGATTGTCTAGTTTATGTATTTAAAGGTGTTCATAGTAGCCTTGAATTATCTTTTGTATTTCAGTGGTGTCAGTTGTAATATCTCCTGTTTTGTTTCTTATTGAGCTTATTTGGATTTTCTCTCTGCTTTTCTTGGTTAATCTTGCTAATGATCTATCAATTTTATTTATCTTTTCAAAGAACCAGCTTTTTGTTTCATTTATCTTTTTTGTTTGTTTGCTTCAATTTCATTTAGTTCTGCTCTGACCTTGGTTATTTCCTTGCATGTGGCAGGTTTGGGTTTGGTTTGTTCTTCTTTCTCGTTTCTTGGGGTGTGACTTTAGATTGTCTATTTGTATTCTTTCAGACTTTTTGATGTCGGTGTTTAGGGCTATGAACTTTCCTCTTAGCACTGCCTTTGCTGTATCCCAGAGGTTTTTATAGGTTATGTCATTATTTTTGTTCAGTTTGAAGAATTTTTAAATTTCTATCTTGATTTCATTTTTGATCCAATGATCATTCAGGAGCAGGTTATTTAATTTCCATGTATTTGCAGGGTTTTGAAGGTTCCTTTTGGAGTTGATTTCCAGTTTTACTCCACTGTGGTCTGAGAGAGTGCTTGGTAAAATTTCAATTTTCTTTAATTTATAGAGGCTCATTTTGTGGCTTATCATATGGTCTATTTTGGAGAAAGTTTCATGTGCTGTTGAATAGGATGTATATTCTGTGGTTGTTGGATGGAATGTTCTGTATATGTCTATTAAGTCCATTTGTTCCAGGGTATAGTTTAAATCCATTGTTTCTATGTTGACTTTCTGCCTTGATGACCTGTCTAGAGCTATCAGTGGAGTATTGAAGTCCCCTAGTATTATCGTGTTGCTGTCTGTCTCATTTCTTAGGCATATTAGTAATTGTTTTATAAATTTGGGGGCTCCAGTGTTAGGTGCACATATCTTTAGGATTGCAATATTTTCCTGTTGGAGAAGGCCTTTTATTATTATATAATGTCCCTCTTTGTCTTTTTTAACTGTTGTTGCTTTAAAGTTTGTTTTGTCTGATAAAATAATAGCTACTCCTGCTTGCTTTTGGTGTCCATTTTCATGAAATTTCCAACCATTTACCTTAAGTTTATATGAGTCCTTATGTGTTAGGTAAGTTTCTCGAAGGCAGCAGATAGTTGGTTGGTGAATTCTTATCCATTCTGCAATTCTGTATTTTTTAAGTGGAGCATTTAGGCTGTTTACATTCAATGTTAGTATTGAGATGTGAGGTATCATGTACTCATTGTGTTATTTGTTGTTGGTATACCTTGTTTTTTTTGTTTGTTTTTTAAATTGTATTTTTGTTTTATAGGTCCTGTAAGATTTATGCTTTAAAGAGGTTCTCTTTTGATGTGTTTCCAGGATTTGTTTCAAGATTTAGGGCTCCTTTTAGCAGTTCTTGTAGTGGTGGCTTGGTAGTGGCAAATTCTGTCAGCAATTTTTGTCTGAAAAAGACTGTATCTTTCCTTCATACATGAAGTTTAGTTTCACTGGAAACAAAATTCTTGGCTGATAATTGTTTTGTTTGAGGAGGCTGAAGATAGGGCCCCAATCACTTCTAGCTTGTAGGGTTTCTGCTGAGAATTCTGCTGTTAATCTGACAGGCTTTCTTTATAGGTTACCTGGTGCTTTTGTCTCGCAGCTCTTAAGATTCTTTCCTTCATTTTAACTTTAGATAACCTGAAGGCAATGTGCCTAGGTAATGATCTTTATGCAATGAATTGCCCAGAGGTTCTTTGTGCTTCTTATTTTAGGATGTCTAGGTCTCTAGCAAGGCTGGGGAAGTTTTCCTCAATTTTTCCCCCAAATATGTTTTCCAAACTTTTAGATTTGTCTTCTTCCTCAGGAACACCAATTATTCTAAGGTTTGGTTGTTTAACATAATCCCAGACTTCTTGGAGCCTTTGTTAATATTTTCTGATTTTTTTTCTTTGTCTTTGTTGGATTGGGTTAATTGAAGACCTTGTCTTTGAGCTCTGAATTTCTTTCTTTTACTTGTTTGACTCTATTGCTGAGATTTTCCAGAGCATTTTGCGTTTCTATAAGTGTGTCCATTGTTTCCTGAAGTTTTGATTGTTTATATTTATGCTATCTATTTTATTGACTATTTCTCCCTTCACTTCTTGTATCTTTTTTTTTATTTCCTTATGTTGGTATTTGCCTTTCTCTCGTTCCTCCTTGATTAGCTTAATAAGTAACCTCCTGAATTCTTTTTCAGGTAAATCAGGTATTTCATCTTGGTTTGGATCCATAGCTGGTGAGCCAGTGTGATTTTTGGGGGGTCTTAAAGAACCTTGTTTTGTCATATTACCAGAGCTGGTTTTCTGGTTCCTTCTCATTTGGGTAGGCTCTGTCAGAGGGAAGGTCTTGGGCTGAAGGCTGTTGTTCAGATTCTTTTGTCCCACATGGTGTTTCCTTGATGTAGTACTCTCCCCCTTTTCCTATGGATGTGGCTTCCTGAGAGCCGAGCTGCCATGATTGTTATCTCTCTTCTGGGTCTAGCCACTCAGCAAGTCTGCCAGGCTCTGGGCTAGTACTGGGGGTTGTCTGCACAGAGTCCTGTGATATGAACCTTCTATGGGTCTCTCAGCCATGGATATCAGCACCTGTTCCAGTGGAGGTGGCAGGGTAGTGAAATGGACTCTGTTTGTGTTCTTAGCTTTGATTGTTTAATGCACTATTTTTGTGCTGGTTGGCCTCCTGCCAGGAGGTGGCACTTTCCTGAGAGCATCAGCTGTGGTAGCATGGGGAGGAACAGGTGGTAGGTGGGGCCCTAGAACTCCCAAGAGTATATGCTCTTTTTCTTCAGTTATCAGGGAGGGTAGGGAAGGACCACTGGGTCAGGGCAGGGCTAGGTGTGTCTGAGCTCACACTTTCCTTGGGGCAGGTTTTGCTGAGGCTGCTGTGGGGGATGGGGGTGAGGTTCCCAAGTTAGTGGAGTTATGTTCCCAGGAGGATGATGGCTGTCTCTACTGTGTCATGCATGTTGTCAGAGAAGTCGGGGAAAGCTGGCAGTCACAGGCCTCACCCATCTCCTATGCAATCTGAAGGGACAGTCTCACTCCTACCAGGAACGCCCCCTGCCAACAGCATTGAATCTGTTTTCAGGCAGTGGGCAAGCAAGGCTGAGAACTTGCCCCAGGCTACCCGCCTCCCAGCTGTGAAAGAAAGTATGGCTTTCCTTTTTCCCCAACCTGTGGAGTTTGCACACGGGATTCATGCCCTCCCCCAAGTTCTGGCTAGGAGACTTCTCGATCAGTTCAAATTGTTACAAAGTTCAGCTGGAGATTTCCTTCTTCCTGTGTCCTTTTTCCAATGCC
This sequence comes from Homo sapiens, assembly GCF_000001405.40. Classification (NCBI taxonomy): domain Eukaryota; kingdom Metazoa; phylum Chordata; class Mammalia; order Primates; family Hominidae; genus Homo; species Homo sapiens. The sequence goes on along the minus strand of NC_000007.14, from coordinate 10,684,608 downwards.
TCTGGCTGCCCTCCTGAAGGATCCCTGTGAGGCCAGGTAGGAATGGCTTGCTAGGAGACCCAGCAAGCTCACAGGGCTTTTCCCACTGCTTCTTCTATTCCTGTATTTCGCTTGGCTGTCTAAATTGACTCAGCTCCTGCTAAGGTCAGAATCTTCTCCTGTAATCTAGACCAGTTTCCCCAGTGGGGCTGTGTGTTTGGGGACAGATGATCTCCCTTTTCCACTTCCACAGTTTGAAAGTGGAGTCCTTCAGAGGGTCTCTGGGTCTGTGGGTCCTCTTGGGTTTCCTGGTTTATTCCTGCAGTTGTTCTAGAGCAAAAATTTACAGTGTGAGCCTCCACATGCTTCTCTGTCTGTTGGAGCTGCAATCTAGTCCTGCCTCCCATCCACCATGATCCTCTGTGATCTAAGCTTCCAATTTCCTTGGTGCACATTAGTTTTCTTGTGATGAGATCAGGGTCTTTTTGCCAAAGATAGAAATATAACAGAGTCAACCTACTGTTTCTTTTATAATCCAATTAGCAAGAAGGTAATTGTGAATGAAAACCAGTAAAAAGAAGAGTTACCAAAGACATTACACACTTCTTTTTTTTTCTGATAATTTAGATGTATTTTTTAGTTGTGATGATAATTCTTACTGAATATTATTTACTAAGACTGTTATACATGTTCATAGAGTTAAACTTAGCTTGACAATCTACAAATTAACTGATGGAGCTAAAGTATAAATTGTAATTCAGTGATTGTAGACATTTGTGAGTTTTTTTTTTCCTTTAGCAAATTCCTTTCCACTTGAAGGTTAAAGTAGAGCACAGATAACAACAAGGAAGGTACAAAAAAAATTAACAGAAGCTTGAGAAAATATTTTGGGATTAAGCAAGATGAAGCAGGATAATATTCAAGAACAGAACTTTGTAAACTATAAAGCATCACATAAATATTTATTGTAAGAAAGTATAAAAGAGAAATTCCTTGTGTGATCATTTATTATTTGCATGACTCTGAGGCAGTCAGGAATGATACTCTTTAGTAAAAGTGATACCTTTTTGATGTAGAGGCCATACAGATGGTGATTAGAAGTTGACATGATTGTTACTGATTTTATTGCTGTGTAAATATTAATAAAATTTTTGGCATACTTGTAAGCCAGCTATTCCATCACACAAACTGAATGCACTTTATAGAACATCACAAGAGTACTGAACCAGGTACTGAAAATAAGTCAGTTATAATAGAAACCGACGCTATATTTCTGCCTTTTAATAGTTTGCAATTTAAGAAGAGAAAGCAGAAACAAAGCCCACAAAATGAGTATTAGAAGTACATATACTAACAATCACATAGTCAACTCTTGCTATTTAAAATTATACATTGAATTCTGTAAAAATAATTGTTTAAAACGTCTCCTTACTGGCACTGTAGCCATCCCCAATGTCAATACTAATCTGACTGTCTCTGTATTCAATTCATGGTCCCTACATTATGTCAGATTTCCTTATCAATCTCTTTTTTCTCCGTACAGATTATTATGTCTACCCTGAGGATGCTATCATTCAATCTTAATGTTTTACTCCTGAGTACCTGTAGTTGAATGTTGCAGTGATTTCAGAAGGAATTAGCTTATTAGGATTTGGGAACGATAAAATACCTTCTAGACCAGTAAAGCAGAAGTTTTGTGTCTGTTTATTTTGTCTTTTACTTGCTGGTTTTGTTACCAAGTTTATTTAGAGTTGTAGCTTAAAAACTACAGCATTTCTTGAAATAAATTATTGTATCTTATTTACAGTTTATACACAATCACAAAAAATTCAATGGCAGATTGTTGATTTCAGGAATAAATTTTAAAAGCTAATATTACCTCATTTTGATGAGTTTGCTTCCCTGTGTGTTTATATTTTAATATGCTTATAATTGGGTTGATTTGCTAAGCTGGAATTCCCTTTATTTTCTGTTAAAGATTATGATAAATGAGGTTTAAATCTTTCTAAAATTACAGAATATTCTTTCTCCCTAGGTTCCTTACTCCAGAATAAGCTGATTTTTTTCTCTCACTTTTGATGGTCCCTAGAAAATTATTATGCCAAATGAAAAGTGACTTTTTCTTTCCAAGTGAAAGGGGAAAATACAATAGTGTTATGGCTATGAAGAAGTGGGGTGTTTTAAAAACAGTTTTGGAGGAGACAAGTCTGTATTCTTCAACACTGAGAGCTGAGGGATTGCCAGCTGAAGTTTGTTTGATTGATCTGCCTAACACAAAAAATATGTTTTCTGACAAAGTGTTAATAAACTCTCTCCAGCAGTTGTAGGCTCCTTTCAAGATTCTGCCGTTTGTTTTTGAAGTAGGAAAATTTACAGAGAACTATTATAAGGTTCTAATTGAATTTCACAGAAATAGCCCTGGCATGACCCAAAATGGAAGGAAAAAAACCCAGCCCACAAAACCCCACACCATAAAGCAACTCTCTGCAGAATCATTGTTTAAGGACATGAAGTGGAAAAGAGAGGCCCAACTCTCAAATAGTTAGCCTCGGTTAATGAAGACTTTTAAGATATGGCAAGTTGATGTTGATAACTTCTTTGGGACATAGGGAGATGATGAAAAAGATTGGCAGCTATAAAAGAGAAGTGTTTATTAAAACACTTTTTAAATAGCCTGGGGATATAATAAAAAGCCATCTTTAAAGGAATTTATTAAAATAAAACCTAGATGGAATTGATAATTTCACCACTTGCAGCTTTCACAGAACTTTCTTGGCTTTCGTGAAAGCTTTTATAGACTTCATGGAAAGCTTAACATATAGTATCTAGATTTTACACTCTTTATTTTGGTGAATCATATTAAAAGAGGTTTATGGTTCATACTAACAGGAAAGTTTCCATATTTAAGCAAACAATGATGCTTGTAAAACACTTTTCTTCTCAACATGGCCAGTGATTAAGGGGTGGATACATAAACACCTTATCCTACAGATAGTGAAGTCATTTTTCTTGTGAGTTTATTACTTTATAGAATGCTTCCCATTTATTGTCTCTTACCTTCAAAGTAAGTCAATGGGGTATGGCAAGCAGGTAATGGGATTCTTAATTTTAATATGGAGAAAATGAGGCTAAGAGGTGAAGAGATTTGCACAAGGTCACACAGAGTTACAAAGGTCACACTATATTTAAGAGGGAGAATGGGAATATAAACTCAATATTTGAACTATAAGGTCAAAACTGTTTCTCTTACCTTATAGGAGTGTCATGAGGGTCAAATGAAATAATGTACCTGGCCCTTAGGCCAGGCTCTTTCACAAGCTAAGTGCTCAGTGCATGTTAGCTGTTATTATCACTACTATTCTTATTGGACAATGACTCTTTGCATATGAAAAACACCATTCAAATCTCTACACATTTAACTGGAAAGTTGCAGTGTAAATAATGCCCTCTATAGGTAATAGAACCACTGACAGTATTTTGGGTTCCTCAGCAAAGAAATTTGACAAATAACCAGGTCTATTTCTCTCTAAGCTTCTCTGTAATACTTTATTGGCTTTGTTAGCTTAAAATCAGACATTTGAAGAGAGGATATTCAGTATACCTCAAAATCCTCAAACATTTGACTTCTCTCAGGCTCTTCTTTTTCAGATCTGTCATCAGTCAAGGGTTTGAGGGCTTTGGGGAGGTATACAACTTGGTCTTCACAGTACTATGGGATTGTTGCATTGTCACAGTTGTGTCTCCCCGATGGTGTCTGTGAGTGCTCACCTGCTGTGTGCTATTTGCTATACAATATATGATTGTCTGGAGTTTTGAGTCCTGGTAAAGAGGCTGACATTTGTTTAGTCCCTGGACTTACAGATAGAGCATGAATTGAACAATACTATTCTGTGACAATAAATGGTATGGATGATAGTGCTAGGCTGATGTTTGCCTTGTAAACTGACCTGTGCTGAGCCATGGATGTATCTGACATGAGCCAAGCCTCAGTTCTTGAGGAACCAAAGGTGCAGAAGAGGCAGCCTTTGCTAGTTCATTAGCACAGATGATTACTATAAACAAAAAGTCTGATTGCTAAAATTCATTTACATATGCTTTAGGTCGAAATGAGACATCATGACCAAAAAAAAAAAATTCCATCAATTTCCTGTTTTTATATCATGTTGAAATAATAGGCAATGACTACTATTTTTGATTATCAGACTTGAGAAAACTACTACAACAAACAACTAGTGACTAGATCTCCTATTTTTTCCCCTGACTTCAATTTGAGCATTGGAATACTGATGATAGGGCCTAGTAGACACAGCTGTCATCAGGGCCCCAGGAATCCTGAGAGGGAAGAACAGAAAAGATGAGGCCAGGAGGGGCCTATTTGAAATATAAAAGCAGAATGGCACAGATCATCATAGAAACAGAAAAGAACAAAAGAGGACAGGAACGCAGGCTTTTCCTTCTTTGATTTTATAAAATTATATATATAAAATTATACCAATTTCACTATCATGACCTCAAAATGAAATCCAAGCTTTCCTTAGGGAGCAGAGACAGGCCAGAAAAAAAATTATTTGGGAGCTTCAGCCCTATTAACTCAAATTAGGATGAAGAAAGGAAAGTGCTTGGCATTACTTTTTACAAGAACAAACATTACTTCACCCAGAAAGACAATTGTTTCAAGTCATTTCATTGTTCTAAGCCTTGGCATGTATTTCTTTGTTCTAAAATATTGAAAATATATATTATTGAAAATGAATATTTCTAGTCAAAAGTAGAATTTAATGTGTAAGCTGAGGATGTGTAAGCACTGGTGGGAAATCTCCTTTGACCAATAATATATTTGTTTCCTTATTAGAGGAGAAGTCAATTTTAGCTCTTCTCATATTTTAAAACATATTTTCTGACTCTGTTAATGGATTCAGATTTCAGAGGCATTGTATAATTTGTGGAGCTGGTATGAATAGTAGGGATATCCATATCCAGTAACTGTTGAAGTGGTTCAGTCATGGCTCTGGGAAAGTCACCCTGGCTGTAGAGTGTTTTCATAAAGATTTGATCCTCATCAAACACTTTTAATGAAAATCTTTTCCAAATCATCACTTATCACCAAGTATTTACTTAGTGTCCGTTTGCAAATGAATCTGCAGTGGATAGTTTTCAAACAGGTTAAGCAGTCGTGGTCCGTACTGCCTACTGGAAATTTACAGGAAATAAGAGCCTGGGATAAAAGAAAAAAACACCCCAAGATAATTTTTATGCAAAGACAAATGATACCTTAATTGGCAGCCTTAAGATTGGATCTGAAATGCTGTGGCCTTTAAAATTTAAATGGCCTATGCAGACTCAGGTGCTGCAGACACACTAATAGAGACAATCTTGTATTCTCAGATAAATGCTTGGGAGCCTCTTGCCTGCTGTCATTTAAGGTTATGTGGCAAGTAGGGCAAGAAAACCAAAAGAAACCATGAAGCCTGCACATTCTAGGACTTGCAGGATGTTATTTCTGTTAGCTGTGGCAGGCATACTCATGATAAGCATTTCTAAATAAAGATTTTAGCCATAGAGATGATGAACTGATGAGAGCAGGCTCTAAATCTTTTGCCTTGTTCCTAAAATGTGTGGGCATCTGGTGCTAAAGAATCAGTTCCACTCATCACCTCCCACCTTGGCTATTTAGTGAGAAAAATGTGGTTTTGGTAATGGGATAAGCATGGCAGAATCTAAGTTTTATAGAGCATTCAATTAATGATTTCGGAGTCCTCTTTAAGAAAAAGAGTCTGAAGTATGTTGCTATTGCAAAATTTAAAAAAGAAATATGTGAAAACATTTTAGGGCCCCTCCCAGGCTTTGATCAGGACATAAGTGAAGAAAGGACACTGATATTCCAATTTTATTATCTCTATGGTAAAGCTGCCCCTGCTTCTGGTATGTTTGGGAAAGAGAAGGTCTGAAGACAATTTTTCTACTAGTCAACATTTTAGGGTCTCAGGTTAAGCTGTTGATTCATTCATTCATTTAATTTTTACTAAATTCTAACATGAAATGAATCACTATTTTGTCATCACAGATTGTGAGTCTTGAAGGATGGGTTACCTTTTGTTTTCTGAAAGTAGTCCTTTGCAATAGCAATAGTGGAATGGAAATAAAATGGTTTAGAAAAAAAATGAAATATCCCTTGATTGTAAGTTTCCTATAGATCATAATCAGCTATCTATAATTTGCTGGGATAAAAGTGAATTACATAGTTTCCAAATTCTCAGTTTCTCACTATTTTAATGAGGTTGGAATAGATCAGGCTAGTTTAGAACTCAAAAGTAGGTCTTATTTGTATACAGGCATGACAATGGTTATGATAATGCCATAATAATTAGGATAGCAAAAGTTAATGAGATATGTATAAAAAGCCTGTGAAGTCTCCTGCTGCCAAGACACTTTGGTGTCTTCTGAGATCCTCTTTACTAGGCTGGTGCTCCCATCTCCAGCTTCTGTGGTTGCTGAAAGCTCACAGGGGCACCTTTTCTGGAGGTTGGTTCTAGGCAGACAGGAGGTGCTTGGGAGGCCCACAGCCAATGACTGACTACTGTGGAGGAGTGGCAGCTCAGCCTCCTTCACTCTGGTTGGTACAACCTGTGAGATTCAATTCATGGTCCCAAGCTCCCTGGAGGACCAATCTGAGGCCAGGCTTCTGAAGCAACCTCATTATCCACCCTCTTTCCCTAATCTGCCTGCTTCCTCCAGCTTCTTAAAACCACTTCCTCAATAGACGATGTGCCCAAGAATACCCATATTAGTCTCTGCTTCTAGGGAATTTGACCTAGGACAGACTCTTAGCAAAGTCAGACTAGCTTGAGTGTTTTGTATGCTCAAAACACTTGAATGTTAGTGACAAAATATAGGAGAAAGGATAGAAGTAGGGAATATAGGAGAAAGGATAGAAGTAGGGAATACAATTCTATAATCTTAGTATCTAATGCCTGACTAGCAATCAACTAAGTGAACTTTAAAATTAAATATAGAATAATTTTATAAGTAGTTGGTATCAAACCCCCACAATGCCCTTCTCCTAAGAAATGTATTTTGCTAGTCATTTTGTAACCAAGCCACACTTTCTGGCATGGTTTGACATTTGCCCCCTGGTCAGGGTCAGGCATTCTGTGATACCAGACAGCCAATTTCAAGCATTGCTGGAGCCACAAAATGAACCATTCATATGACAACAGAAGAGGCAGGTGATGCAGGATGCTCGGGCTTCTCTTGGCAATTGCGCAGCAGGGCCAAAGCCAGATGCCAAGCTGCTTTTCCATCTGCTGTTGACTCCACTCTGAATTAGCTAAACAGGGCTCAACACTTGTTGATTAAAAACAGTTACAGCTTTGAAATGAGCAATTGGTCTTTTGTGAAGGCCAGACATGAACTCATAATAACCAGATAACTGATATTAATATATTTCTGATGTTCAACAGTCTTTCTCAGTATCTGCAGAACAGTTTGAACAGGTTTGGTAGTTGTGATTTATACTCCTAAAAGTCCATTTGGAGGCAAGTTTTGGAAGACCTTGCCTTGAAGTAGCAGATGTTTTGAAAAGATAGTTAAATTGACCTTTTCTCCTCCATTTCATATTTGAAAATGAAACTACTCAGTGAATTGGGCTAGCGTGCCTGGAATGTTGAGTGTCAGGAGGGAGATGCAGGAGATGAGGTGGATAGAAATGGGGCAAGATAATGAAGGACTTTGCAAGTATTTTGGACCTTAAAATAAACAACCAAATTTTAAAAATGAACCAAAGATCTGAACAGACCTCCTACCAAAGAAGATATACAGATGGCAAGCGAGTTCATGAAATGATATTCAACCTCATGTGTCATCAAGGACTGCAAATTAAAAAGAAACATATGACCACTACATACCTGTTAGGATGCCCAAAATTTAGTATGCTGACACTAAATTCTGCTGAAATCATGGAGCAACAGGAACTCTCATTTATTGCTATTGCAAATGCAAAATGGTGCACCACTTTGGAAGACAGTTTTGTAGTTTCTTTCAAAACTAAACATACTGTTACCCCGGTTGTGCTTCTTGATGTATATCCAAAGGAATTTAAAACTTATGTCTACACAAAAACATAAACACAAATGTTTATAGTCACTCTACTCATAATTGCCAAATGCAGGATAAAATATCTGGCAGTTTTAATTGTTCGAAGTGTAAACTATAATCCTTAAAGCTGGATCAATGTGAAAATATCAAAGCTAAATAACATATTTAGTCAAGGAGTTATATAAAAGCTTTCTTATATCAAAAGTAAATAACATTTAGTCAAGAAGTTATATAAATTGGATTTGAACTTCCAAATGAGAAGTCCATTAATAATAATTAATCTCATTTAGAAACTGTGTTAATTTACAGTGTTTTCTTATTTATAGCTAATTATTTCCCAATGATAGTTTTAAATAGCTTTTGTTAAACCATATTTAATCTACATATAACTAGGAAAGATTTTGTAGAAGACAAGCAAATGATATATTCCTATGAATCTTAAATATTTTTGGTATATCAAGTAATTCTCAGTGTATCATAAATACCTTTTTAACTAAGGCAAAAATTAAAAACATTCTCAGAATCCAAGTATAAAGGATGGTCTAAATTTTTTTTGAAATAATTGAAAGTAGTAGGAGTGCATAAAACAGGTCTGAGTCAACACCTAAGTCATAGTAAATAGGTTTCACTTCATTTGTTATTTAAGAACAATTAGTCAACAGTAGTTAATACATTGCTATATGTTTATGTCACAGATCAGGAGTTGATAACCATTTAGAAGTATTAAGCCAACGTTGCATGTGAGATAAGGTGGAGGTTGCTGATCTCTGAATGGTTGGGTGATTGTGGTATACCCCTATCTCAGGTGATGTATGGAGGCCATACTGACTGTAACGACAGTGAACAGGGAGGTATTATCATACTGCCTTTTGTCAGGAACTTTCAGTAAATGAATGAATCCCAAGTGACAAGCAAGAATTTTTGGGTCGATGATGGATCCACATCACCAAAAAAATATCTTTGAAGGGAATCTCTATTATTTATGCTTCTCCCACACCCTTTCTAATATTAGTTTTCTCCTTTTTGCTTGAGAAACCCATGCCATGTAGTTTAGTTGGTGCTGACTCCCCCAGGGTCACGTGGGTGGAAAGTCAGAATATCTCTGCCCCCACTCTACAACAATCACCCCACTCTACCACAGTACCTCATACAGAAATGGGTTCTAACCCTAACTGTGCCAGAATCCTGTCAGGACCATTCCCAGGCACTGCAAGTTGAAGTAGGTTGTAGCCGGTCTTATCTGTAACCAAAGTAGAATTTTCAAAGGTTGAAATAATTTTTTACTCTTATGCTTAATAATTTAGCCTCCGTTTACAATAAAATATAGGATGTTTCCTTACAATATGAAAATCATCAGAATTGTTTATGTTATGAGACCTTAAGAGAATACTTTCTGCCTCATGCAGGGAGTGAAAGAAATAATAGGTTTCTCCTCAAAAGAGCTAAAAATAATACAGCATAGGCATTTATCCCTAATGATTAGTTTTCTTGATGTGAGAACTGAACTGAAAGAACTCAGAGGCAGCATCCATTCATTGTGAAAAATGTTTTCCTCTCACCAGTCCCTTTACAGATGTCTCTTGGTAGGTGCTGGAATTGAACTTTCTGTGATTGAAAATGGCCACTTTTTCTCTCTCTTTAACAAAGGACCATTAGAATGTCAGAAAGTTCTACCTAAGGAATAAAAAACTCTAACATCCAATGTACTCTGCACAGTGAACTCTAGATTATTCCACTTGTAAGTAGACTTAAAATGGTTAGACATTGAAATATTAATTCCCTGTGTTGCTGTAGACAGGACAATGTCTGCTTTTGTTATTTTGGATGTAACAAAGTCTCTGATGCCCATTTGGTAAGAAAGACTTTTTCTGACAACACTCAAGATAAAAGGTGCTCTTTTTTCTCAAAAAGGAAAAAAAACCCAATAACTCCCCAAATAAATAAACAGAACCCAAACAGAATGGGAAATAAAATGTATACAGTGATAAAGTACCTATTTCTAGCTCGAAATATTGTCTGGTTGATGGTTTTTATGTCTGGGGAATTGAATAGTTTCACTTGGTCTTGCAGCAATTAGGAATGTGCTGGAGTTGTATCGGTTACTGCACATTTTGGTCAAGCAGGTGTCAAATATCCAGGGCCTTTAGCATAGTTGGAGGTAGGTGGAAGAATAGGCAGGTATTGAGAATCCTAAAGCAAAATCTTTACTCCAACCAGGTGATCACATTGTCAGCAAGGGGCATTGTGGAGCCTTGAGAACCTAGGAAGCTTATAGTTCCTGCTTTGCTTCCCTTTACTTCATGCAGTATGTTCTTGTATTCTTCATTTCCAGTAAAGTTACTTGTTTTCTTCACTTTATGTCAATCATTCCAGCATTACCTTTGTGACAACAGTCCAGTAGGCAGGTAACACTGTAAGAAGACATTTGTCAGGAAGCGCTTTAGAAAGCCATGAACTTCCTTAGTCTCAGGAGTTGTATAGATCTGTGCTATAGGCATTGGGAACAGTCATGGAAAGGGCATAGAGATATGATTAAGGACACTCTCTTAAATGGCTTTGTTGATCTATCACAAAAAGAGGGACAGGCTCTTCAGGATTTAGTAAAGAAGGCTTGCTGTAAGGAAGTCACCATTCTGACACTTTGTATGGGATATGAACCAATTTAGGACACTGGGGAAACATTAATGATGAAAAGGCTAGACTGGGGGAGATTAGAGTGAGATTTTCTTTATTGGATTTCACTAATTCCAAGATGCACGTTTTTCATACTATAACATTTCTAAAAATGAGATGTATCTTATTAATGAGACTGTGTCATCTTTAATTGGCAGTATTTTTTCATTCTAAGTAGAACATAAATACATCTTGTAACCAGTGTCATCTTAGAAATATGGTAACTACCTAACAAAACAGGTTTAGAATGACACCAACTTCACATTAACTTAAGACATAAAACCAAAGTCATATCTTATGTGAAATGTTTCATAAGCTACATATAGCATGTTATAGACTGGAGGTGGAATAATTCTTGAATAATAATTTCTGTTCTTTCTACAATGCCTTAAACACAGAGATGTGCTCTTGATATTGCTTTTCCTCTCATCAGGCTGCACTCTTTATAACATGCTGATGATCACGTGTTTCATTCACCAGTGAATTTCCAGCACTGATGTTACATGAAGTTATCCATTGCTAGGGAATCCTCTTTAAATCATCTTTGATTTAAAGTTATCCATTTCTAGGGGATCCTATTTAAATCATCTTTGATACCACAACTTTACAAGAAGTTATCCATTGCCAAGGGATCCTATTTAAATCATCTTTGATACCACACAAGAGATACTGACCTTGTGCTATAACTACTTTCCCTTGTATAAAGAACATTCCTTAGGTCAGTTTTCATAATTATTGTTAAAGAAAAGAATGTACACATTTTTAGCTGAGACAGAGCTTTAAGTTTAATTTTATAAAATAGTTACCTTAAAATGAATAATAGGAAGAAAAATTATTTTTAATTAAGGATAGAAGAGTTATAAAGGAATGTAGGGAATATTATATATGCTGGAATGCAATCTTAATAAAATAAAGATGTTTGAAAATTTCAGTGAGTTAAATGACACAGCCATCTAATGACTGAAAAAGGGTTTTTATAAATAATAATGGCTTTTGCTATTAAATATGTGTGGTATATAATACATAATTAGGGGAGCAGTGGCAAGATGGCCGACTAGAAGCAACCATGTTTGGAGGCTTCCATTGAAATAAACGATAATAAGCATGTGAATTCTTCACCAGCAACCAAGGTATCCCGGTTCTCTCAGCAAAATTGATGAGAAGGCTGGCGTGACCCACAGAAGGAAGAGCAGTGTGGTGCGGCAGCCTACCTGAGAGCCACAGGGGAAGAGGAACCCCCTCCCCCCAGCCAAGGAAGGCATTGAGTGCGCTACCCAGTTGGGGTGACTGTGCATTTTCCATGGAACTGTGCAATCCATGGATCAGAAGATCCCACTCACGAACTCACACCACTGGGGCCTAGCGTCCCAACCCTGGAATGCACGGATTCTTACACCCTCTCAGCTGGAATCTGCTTAAGCCTACCAAACTCCTGGGGGGAGAGGAGACCAGCACCAGCTGCCGCTGCCTGCTGTCTAAGTCATTTGAGCTCCTTGAGGGAGGGGCAGCAGCCAGCACTGGGACTCACAACGGCCTAACATGCTAATCTCCCTGGGCAGGGGAAAGGCAGCACCCATTTCCATAGCTCCAGGCTGTGCTTTTCCCCTGCTGGGGCCAGGGAGGCTGGAAGTCTTGGTCCCAAGACTTGTCCCCACAGCCTAATACACTGGCTGTGGCAATCTGTGGCCAGAGTGCCTCTTCAGGCCTAACCCTGACACATCCTTCGTCAGTGGGTGGAGCTTTCCCTCAGGATCTTCAATAACTCCAGCCAGAGGCTCAGGGACAAAATTCAGATCTCCCTGGGCCTGAGCCCCTAGGGGGAGGGGTGGCTGCAGTCTCTGTGGACCAGCAGACTTAGCCTCTCCTCCTGGTAGTTCTGAGGAATCTGGGCAGCCCAGACAAGTGGGTTCCCCCTAGCAAAACACACACCCCAATCCACCAAGGGACAAAGTGCTTTGTTAAATGGGTCCTGCTCCCTGTGCCACTCAACTGGACGGACCCTCCAACAGGGGTTGTCAGATGCCCTTTATAGGAACGATCCTACTGGCATCAGATTTGTGCCCCTCGAAATCAGAGGTCCCAAAAGGAGCAGGCACCCATCTTTGCTGCTCTCCAGCCTCCTTGAGTGACATCTCTGGGCATGGGAGCGAATCAGATGAATAGGGCCTGAAGTGAACCCCCAACAAACTGCAGCAGCCCAACAGAAGAGGGACCTGAATATTGAAAGAAAAACAAACAAGCAGAAGGCAACAACAAGCATCAACAACAACAAAAAGGCCCCTGCAAAAACCCCATCCAAGGATCAGCAGCCTCAAAGACTGAAACTAGACAAACTCATGAAGATGAGAAAGAAACAATGAAAAAGTGCTGAAAACTCAAAAGGCCAGAGTGATTCTTCTCCAAAAGATCACAACGTTTCTCTATCAAGGGCACAGAACTTGACTGAGGATCAAATGGACGAACTGACAGAATTAGGCTTCAGAAGATGCATGTTCTAACACAATGCAAAGAAGCTAAGAAACTTGATAAAAAATTAGAGGAATTGCTAACTAGAATAGCCAGTTCAGAGAGGAACATAAACGACCTGATGGAGCTGAAAAACACAGCATGAGAACTTCGTGAAACCTACACAAGTATCAACAGCCTAATTGACCAAGTGGAAGAAAGGATATCAGAGTTTGAAGACCACCTTGCTGAAATAAGGCATGCAGGCAAGAATAGATGAAAAAGAATGAAAAGGAATGAACAAAGCCTCCAAGAAACATGGGACTTCATAAAAAGACCAAACCTATGATTAATTGGAGTACCTGAAAGAGATGGGGAGAATGGAAACAAGCTGGAAAACACGCTTCAGGATATTATGCAGCAGAACTTTCCCAACCTACCAAGACAGGCCAACATGCAAATTCAGGAAATACAGAGAACACCATTAAGATACTCTACAAGAAGATCAACCCCAAGACACATAATCATCAGATTCTCCAAAGTTTAAATGAAGGAAAAACTTTTAAGAGCAGCCAGAGAGAAAGGCCAGGTTACCTACAAAGGCAAGCCCATCAAGACTAACAGTGGACCTCTCAGCAGAAACTCCACAAGCCAGAAGAGATCTGGGGCCAATATTCAACATTCTTAAAGAAAAGAATTTTCAACCCAGAATCTCATATCCAGCCAAACTCAGCTTCATAAGTGAAGGAGAAATAAATTCCTTTCCAGACAACCAAATGCTGAGGGATTTTGTTACCGCCAGGTCTGCCCTGCAAGAGCTCCTAAAAGAAGAAGTAAATAGGGAAAGGAAAAACCAGAACCAGCCACCACAAAAACACACCAAAATGTAAAGACCAATAACACTACAAAGAAACTGCATCAACTAGTATGCAAAATAATCAAATAGCATCATGAGACAGGATCAAATTCACACAATACTAACCTTAAATGTAAATGGGCTAAATGTTCCATTAAAAGACACAGACTGGCAAATTGGATAAGGAGTCAAAACTCATTGCTGTCTTCAGGAGACCATTCTTACATGCAAACACCCACAGGCTCAAAATAAAGAGATGGAGGAAAATTTACCAAGCAAATGGAAAGTGAAAAAATCAGGGGTTGAAATCCTAGTCTCTGACAAAACAGACTTTAAACAAACAAAGATCAAAAAAGACAAAGAAGGCCATTACATAATGGTAAAGGGAACAATTCAACAAGAAGTTAACTATTCTGATTATATATGCACCCAATACAGGAGCACCCAGATTCATAAAACAAGTTCTTAGAGACCTGCAAAGAAACTTAGACTCTCACACAATAATAGTGAGAGAGTTTAACACCCTGCTGTCACTATTAGATCAACGAGACAGAAAGTTAACAAGGATATTCAGGACTTGAACTCAGCTCTGGATCAAGTGAAACTTGTAGGTGTCTACAGAACTCTCTACCCCAAATCAACAGAATATACATTCTCCTCAGTGCCACAAGGCACTTAGTCTAAAACTGACCACATAATTGGAAGTAAAACACTCCTTAGCAAATGCAAAAGAACTGAAATCATAACAGTCTCTCAGACCACAGTGCAAATTAGAACTCAGAAATAAGAAACTCACTCAAAACCATACAATTTCATCAAAATTGAACAACCTGCCCCCGAATGACTGCTGGGTAAATAATGAAATTAAGGCAGAAATCCAACAGTTCTTTTAAACCACGAGAACAAAGAGACAACATACCAGAATCTCTGGGACACAGCTAAAGCAATGTTAAGAGGAAAATTTATAGCACTAAATGCCCACATCAGAAAGCTAGAAAGATCTCAGATCGACACCCTGACATCACAATTAAAACAGCTAGACAGGCAAGAGCAAACTAATCCAAAAGCAAGCAGAAGACAAGAAATAACTAAGATCAGAGAAGAATTGAAGGAGATGGAGACACAAAAAACCCTCCAAAAAATCAACAAATCCAGGAGCTGGCTTTTTGAAAAAAATTTATAAAATAGACTGCTAACTAGACTATATAGGAATAAGAGAGAAGAATCAAATAGACACAATAAAAATGATAAAGGGGATATTACCATTGACCCTACAAAAATATAAACTACATCAGAGAATACTATAAACACCTCTGCAAATAAACTAGAAAATCTAGAAGAAATGGATAAATTCCTGGATGCATACAACCTACCAAGATTAAACCAGGAAGAAGTTGAATCCCTGAATAGACCAATAACAAGTTTTGAAATTGAGACAGTAATCAATAGCCTACCAACCAAAAAAAGCCCAGGACTGGATGGGTTCACAGCCGAATTCTATCAGAGATACAAAGAGGAGCTGGTTCCATTTCTTCTGAAACTATCCAAGCAATTGAAAAGGCGGGACTCCTCCCTAACTCATTTTATGAAGCCAGCACCATCCTGATACCAAAGCCGAGAAGAGATGCAACAAAAAAAGAAAATTTCAGGCCAATATCCCTGATGAACAGCGATGTGAAAATCCTTAATAAAATACTGGAAAACCAAATCCAGCAGCACATCAAAAAATTTATTCAGCATGATCAAGTCGCTACATCCCTTGGATGGAAGGCTGGTTCAACATATGAAAATCAATAAATGTAATCCATCACATAAACAGAACCAAAGACAAAAAACACATGATTATCTTAATAGATGCAGAAAAGGCCTTTGATAAAATTCAACATCCCTTCATGTTAAAAACTCTCAATAAACTAGGTATTGATGGAACATGTCTCAAAATAATAAGAGCCATTTATGACAAACCCACAGCCAATATCATACTGAATGGGCAAAAACTGGAAGCATTCCCTTTGAAAACTGGTACGAGACAAGGATGCCCTCTCTCACCACTTCTATTCAACATAGCATTGGAAGTTCTGGCCAGGGCAATCAGGCAAGAGAAATAAATAAAGCGTGTTCAGACAGGAAGAGAGGAAGGCGAGTTGTCTCTGTTTGCAGACGACATGATTTTATATTCAGAAAACCCCATCATCTCAGCCCAAAAACTTCTTGAACTGATAAGCAACTTTAGCAAAGTCTCAGGATACAAAATCAATCTGCAAAAATTGCAAGCATTCCTTTACAATAACAATAGGCAAACAGAGAGCCAAATTAGGAATGAACTCTCATCCACAATAACTACAAAAAGAATAAAATACCTAGGAATAAAGCTAACAAGGGATGTGATGGACCTCTTCAAGGAGAATTAGAAACCACTGCTCAAGGAAATAAGAGAGGACACAAACAAATGGAAAAACATTTCATTCTCATGGATAGGGAGAATCGATGTTGTGAAAACAGCCATACTGCCCAAAGTAATTTATAGATTCAATGTTATCTTCATCAAGCAACCATTGACTTTCTTCACAGAATTGGAAAAAACTATTTTAAACTTCAATATGGAATCAAAGAAGACCCTGCATAGCCAAGACAATCCTAAGCAAAAACAAAGTTGGAGGCATCCTGCTACCTGACTTCAAGCTATACTACAAGACTACAGTAACCAAAACAGCATGGTACTGGTACCAAAACAGACATGTTGACAAATGGAGCAGAACAGAGACCTCAGAAATGACACCACACATCTACAACCATCTGATCTTTAACAAACCTGACAAAAACAAGCAATGGGGAAAGGATCTCCTATTCAGTAAATGCTGCTGGGAAAACTGGCTAGTCATATGCAGAAAACTGAAACTGAACCCCTTCCTTACACCTTACACAAAACTAATTCAAGATGGATTAAAGACTTAAAAGGTAAAATCCATAAGCATAAAAACCCTAGAAGAAAACCTAGGCAATACCATTCAAGACACAGGCAAAGACTTCATGACAAAAACGTTAAAAGCAATTGCTACAAATCCAAAGTTGACAAATGGAACCTAATTAAACCAAAGAGCTTCTGCACAGCAAAAGAAACTATCATCAGAGTGAACAGGCAACCTACAGAATGGGAGAACATTTTTGCAATCAAGCCATCTGACAAAGGTCTAATATCCAGAATTTACAAGGAACTTAAACGTATTTACAAGAAAGAAACAACCCCATCAAAAAGTGTGCAAAGGATATGAACAGACACTTCTCAAAAGAAGACATTTATGTAGCCAACAAACATAAAAAAAGCTCAATGCCACTGATCATCAGAGAAATGCAAATCAAAACCACAATGAGATACCATCTCATGCCAGTCAGAAAGGCAATTATTAAAAAGTCAGGAAACAATAGATGCTGGTGAGGCTGTGGAGGAATAGGAATGCTTTTACACTGTTGGTGGGAATGTAAATTAGTTCAACCATCGTGAAAGACAGTGTGGCAATTCCTCAGGGATCTAGAACCAGAAACACCATTTGACCCAGCAATCCCATTACTGGTATATAACCAAAGGATTATAAATCATTCTACTATAAAGACACATGCATACTTATGTTTATTGCAGCACTATTTACAATAGCAAAGAGATGGAACCAACCCAAATGCATATAAATGAAACACTGGATAAAGAAAATGCTGTACATATACACCATGGAATACTATGCAGTCATAAAAGGAATGAGATCATGTCCTTTGCAGGGACATGCATGAAGTTGGAAACCATCATCCTTAGCAAACTAACATAGGAACAGAAAACCAAATACTGCATGTTCTCACTTATAAGTGGGAGTTGAACATTGAGGACACATGGACACAGAGAGAGGAACAACACATACCAGGGCCTATTGGGGGGTGGGGATAAGGGGAGGGAACTTAGAGAATGGGTCAATAAGTGCAGCAAACCACCATGGCGTATGTATACCTATGCAACAAACCTGCACACTCTGCACATGTATCCTGTTTTTGTTTTTGTTTTTTTAGAAGAAGTAGAGAAAAAGAAAAAACTTAAATGAAATATATAAGAAAGGAAAAAACCACATAATTGTGTACTATATATACTATCTACCTACTTAATATTAAAAACTATCATTTTAGAAATAAATTATATAGTTATATAACAGTTAATCTTATTTATTCCTGCTTCTAATAATTTCCTAAAACATAATTTAGGTGATATTGCATTAATTAAAATACATATATGCTGTATATATTGTATCTTTATACTTTGTGTTACAATATGAGTCATTAAGCTATTATGGCCACATAAGGATCTGACATTTACTTTTCACTTTTTATCACTTCATTGTTAGATGTTGATCTCTGTAGCATATTAGTTTTAATGAAAAAGAAAGATAATATAATAAAATATGGGAACTTACTATTTGCCTTAGAAACTATAAATATTAATCTAAGAATATAAAGTTAGGCTTCTCATGAAGACTGCTCTAATAATGGAAATGTTTTGGTATTATGAAAAAGTTATAAGAAAGCTACTTTTAGATCAATGATAGGGCAATGCCAGCTATTCTTGATTATTTGGAGGCATTTTTCTCTTTCTCATTGTCAAATGTATTCCATGATCTCACTCTCACTTTTTCCTGATCATCTTTTTCTATTTCTTTTTCTCCCACTTCACTCCTTCCTGTCACCACAGTCTGTCATTCCTTGGTCTCCACATAGAATCCAGTCTGTCAGTATGAATAGACAAAGACCATAAGCTTCACAAGGTTAGAGACTGTGTCTGTTGACTCTCCACTTCATCCTGGTGCCTATCACATTGCTCTCACATGGCAGGCACCCCAAATTGCTTGATGACTGAAAGAATTCTGAATCTGTTATAGATGTGAAGTAGACACTGTATGAATTTTAGGCTATGTCCAAAGAGTGTTTATTACGTTAAATAGTGCTCATTTGGTTGTTGCTTTATTACCATTGTTATGCATTGTTTTATTAGATTTGAGTTGGTTCCTTGAAAGAGGGATAATGTATTCTTTTAATTCCTCTAGCTAAAACTAATTAACTTTTGCACTCCCTTTCTACAAAGGTATGAGTATTATATGATAGCTTGAGACCCATGAATAGTTTTACAAGTTAGAGAGGACTCCCAGGCACTAGTGTAGAAATTTGACACTCATGCAAGCTGAATTTTCAAAGTGTCACTGAGTATCTGATGATCATGTTGAAATCCTAGGCAGGGATTAGAAATGATTGTTTTGCCCATGGCCATAGGATTTGCTTTCTTTAACAGAAGATAATTCCTGAGAAAAGTCTCACAAATTCTGAAATGAAAATAATAATAATTAATAATAATAATAAAGCCAGAACTTTACTAATGACATATTTACCTTTTCATGTCTTGTGTATTACAGAAAATTGTTCCTGTTATGTGTATTGACTTAGTAAATGGGAACCTATTATTATAACATGTAATTTATAACATGCTAAAGGGTTTGTTTAAGATAATAAAATAAAAATAGAACATTTAAAAAATTTTCAATTATATTGGTATTTCTTTGACATTGTCTTTCTTATCAATAAGAAAAATCTTCCCAGTGTTTTTAAAAAATATATATTAAAAAATATATATATATGGCTGGGCACGGTGGCTCATGCCTGTAATCCCAGCGCTTTGGGAGGCTGAGGCGGGCAGATCAGGAGGTCAGGAGATCGAGACCATCCTGGCTACCACAGTGAAACCCCGTCTCAACTAAAAATACAAAAAATTAGCCGGGCGTGGTGGCGGGCGCCTGTAGTCCCAGATACTCAGGAGGCTGAGGCAGGAGAATGGCATGAATCCGGGAGGCGGAGCTTGCAGTGAGCCGAGATGGCGCCACTGCACTCCAGCCTGGGCGACAGAGCGAGACTCCGTCTCAAAAACAAACAAACAAACTCTATCTATCTATCTGTCTGTCTGTCTGTCCGTCTGTCTGTCTATCTATCTCAAATTGTACTGCTAAAAGGGTACCTAAACTAGCGCTAATAAAAGTGATTTTAGGCAGAATATGCTCCTTTTCATGGCTCTAACAGAAGATTTGTGCTTATATCAGCTCCATGGGGACATGAAGTGAGAAGAGAATCAGAAGGAACAACTCCTTTGGCAGACTCAGGTGTCACAGACGATTTCTGGTAGTATTACTGGCTAGTGTTTTAAGCATGCGTATTCTTGTGTTGCTTCCTAGGTCCTCACAGTTCTAGCTAGGGGAACTTTCTGTACCTTAAACTCTTCATCCTTACAGTGGGAATAATTAAAAATAACTATAATAATAATAACTTATTATTATATAGGATTGTTATGAGGCTGAAAGGAGTTAATATATATAAAACCTTTCCACCAATGCCTGTAACATATTAAGTACTCAGTTAGTACCTGGAACTTAATTTGTATCAATAAGTCTTAGCTAATTATCACCAGATAATTATCATCATCATTATAATTACACAAAATACTTTCTACTGGTGTTTCTAATAGTCTTTAGTTGCTTTCCAAAAATAAAAAATAAAACTAGTTCCTTAAAACCAAATCATCGTCTTGGTATTCTTTCATTTAAAAAAAAAATATCATGTGACTTATTATATGACTCATTTATTTATGTTGGGAGATCTATTTAGGCTAAATGTATTTATTTTAATATTCATGAATGAAAGTGATTTGTTTTAACTGCTCACTGCAACGCAAAAAAGCTCCTGAACAATTAACCTAGATTCATATAATTTGCAGTTTTTTGCTTTTTCTAATATTAATCTTTTTGCTGAACCTACAAAAATGTTCTTACTGTTGTGTGTTTCACTTTCATTTCATTGTCTTTTTGCTTTCAGGTGGAGACCAATTCAAAGCCACACATTTTATGCTGTGATAATACTTTTCCAGTGTCAAAAAGAAAGGAAGAAAATTAACATTGACTTCAATTTTACTTATATTCTTATTTAACAACCTCTTGAGGCAGATACTATCTTCACTTTATGAGGAAGTATGAACCTGCTAAGGTCACACAAATCATAAATGGTAGAGCGTGGTTAGAATTGAGGTCATCTGACTCTAAGGGAGTGATCATTTCTCCAAGTCACAGCACACAGTTCCCAGATATGGACAAACATTCATCCAAAGGAACATCAGAAAATTTTATTTGGTCAGAAATAAATTGCTAAAGCTTACTTTCTTGGTGATTGTCCTGGAGAAATAGCATCAACCATCTTAAGTGAATTTGCACCTTGGCAAGTGTATGAAAATATGTGTATCTATGTGTGGGAAGAGAGAACAGCATTGTTACCGACATACTTCGATGCTAATAAACATTTGGGCCACACCTCCCATTGTTCCTGCCCATGATGGCCCTTGGCAGGACTGGATCTGCCTTTCTGTGGTCTGAAAATAGCTCTGAAAATGTCACGATCTGGTGTTTTCCCCTCAGGTGGAGGCAGCCTGATCTACATAGGTAAATGAAGTGGAAGATTAAGTAATTATTTTCAGAATTTGATTAATGTGGAAAATCAACATGAAAAATTTTAGCATCTCGAGCTATTTTTTCCCTCAATTGTGCACGTTTAAACCTTAATTAAGTAAATATTTCCTTAGTCTTTTCTGTGATTTTAACACCAGGATTGAAGAGGACAGCATACAAGCAATTCTAAAAGGGGTTTTAAAAACTCCTGGAACAAAAGATGTAAGTGTGGGCCATACAACCATAGTGGTCTTCAGCCTGAGACAGTGAGGGTCAAGGAACACAGGCATTGGTCCCAAGGCCACACTATCATGTCTTCTGGCTCTCAGCCCCACTCTCCATCAGTGTTCCACTGCACCTGTTTACACAGCCGACTGCTCCATCTTTCAGACTGTGTGGAGTCACAGCCTTGTCTCTAGGACTGCTCAGCTTCTAAAAGGGCCATCCTTATTCAAAAAGCCTTGTACTCTCAAAGACTTTGTACTTTGCCCCTCAAGTGTAAATCCTTCACAGCAGCTAAGGAATAACTTTACTATTATAAATTAATAATAATAATTCAATAATTATCTGTGAAAATTTGTAATAATTTATATTGTTTTGAAGAGTTTAAGCTATATTCCTCCCTGTGCCTTCCCCTCTTGGTTGATGCCCTGGCTACCACTTCCTTGGGAGCCTCCATTCTCCGCTGTATCCTTTAGTTACTGAATGGGGCTCAGTCTAGGGTAGGAAGAGGGCGATACCCACAGGTCATTGTTTTGATCTTAGATTCTTGCCAGAGAATGAAACTCTTGGATCAAATCATCAGATGTCAGAGATGGAGCTGGTGGAGGAGATAGGCAAAGGAGGGGAGTTAAATGCAATAAAAAGGAGAATGTGTGCATATATGTGTGCCCACAAGTAATAACTGCTAATTTTATTCAATTTTGCAATCTAGGAGTACGGTAGTAGCCAGTAGCCTCAAGCCTCTTCCTTGTAGCCTTGTTTTTTTTTGGCCATGTATCTCTAAAACTAATTTTTAAAAAAGTTACCCTTTACACATTTTAGATCTTCATATTTTATAATAAATTGAAAAAAATTGAAAATAATGAGAAAGTATGTTAAGTTCAGTATGGTCTTCTCTCAGTATCCATCAGGGATTGGTTCCAGGACCCCCTTGGATACCAAAATCCACAGCTGCTCAAGTCCCTTATATGAAATGGTGTTGTATTTGCATATGACTTTTGCATATTCTCCTGTATATTTTAAGTCATCTCTAGACCACATGTAATATCTAAAACAATGTAAATACTATGTAAATAGTTGCTATACTATATTTTTTATTTGTATTATTTTTATTGCCATATTGTTATTTTTTATTTTTAATATTTTGATCCACAATTGGTTGGGTCCGTGGATATGAAGTCACAGATACAGAGGGCTGACAGTATATTATAAATACTGACAGCAAGAGGTAAAATTTTCCATTATTGTTTTACATGTATTCAAAGAAATACCAAAAAAATGCATAAGTAGTTTGATAACCATCATCTGTCTAAAATATTTATATATGTGGATTTATGTATATATGTGTACGTATACATATATGTAAAATCTAATGTAATAATTGAAACATTTACATTATTCTTTATTTTCCCTCAAATTTATACTCCCATTCCACTTTCTGCAAAAATTTTTGTCCCAATGTAATGTAATTTTATGTTTGCAGGATTTTTATTGATCACCCTATCATACTCCTGTACAACAAAAATTATTTATAAATTAATTTTTTATATAACCAAAGGCTTTAAGTATTAATCTTTTCTATTGAGTTATATTATAAATATTATCATATGATTGATCAAAATGATATAAACGATTACAAATTTTTGCAGATAATTATTGAATTATTATTATTAATTTATAATAGTAAGGTTGTTTCTTAGCAGCTGTGGAAGATTTACACTTTAGGGGGCAATGACCATGAGAGGGCTGTTTTGTAACATGGAAGGCTGGCGAATGGGAGAGGGAGAGAGGAAGGAGAACTTGCACCTCAGTGACTCTACAGGCAGATAAAGTTTCAGACAGAATATATACAGGAATTGAGGACCTTGAAATTATTTTTTAAAAATTCTGACTTTTTCAAAGTAATGTACCATAGTTTGAAGAGCCCTGCTGTAAGCTGTAGTTCTTGTGTTAGTTTTTCTTCTTTCTCTACACTGCAAGCAAAGGAGTTCCATTTGAGTCTCTTCCCAACCATCAGTGATAGAAACAATGTTCTTCTCTTGACTACATAATGGCTGAGAGAGCTTCTGTTTTTCCCCACAGTAGTTTACTGTCCATTCCTCATAGGTTTCCCAAATAGAGTCCCCTTAAATACTCTTTCCTCCCTCAGGGCTTCTGCATGTAATCCATGACTGTGAATTCACTAAGGTTACAAATATTAACATTTTTGCTATAAGACATTCTGAAAGATACTCCAAAATTAAGTCAATGTAACCAGGTCCTCAAAAAGCTTACAATGTAGTAGAAAAAATAAGATATATACACAAATCACTAGGCAGAGATGGGAAGCTAAGGTATTATAGATGGGTGGATGGGGAGGGGGCGGATGACAAGTGGAGATGGCCCAGAGCATCAAAGCACAAGGTGTCACCAGAAAATGGGAGTTGTCCAATCTGCCTGGAGCACAGACCAAGCTTAAGAACAGGATTTCTGTATCTGCAGTTTGAAGTGTATCTGTAGAACAAATGTTAGAAAGTGTTTTTGAAAAAGAACTAGTGACTATGTTAGTTTTGTTTGAATGTGTCAGTTTTGAAGTAAGTAAAGAAAATGCTAATATGCTAGATTTTAAAAAATCAGACTCCTTCATTATAGAATTTATTAATTCCCACGAGAGTTTCATACATTAGGGAAAGCCAGGAGAGATGGTAACACAAAATTATTTCCACCTCATTTTTTTTTCTTTTTTGAAGGATTTCTAGTCAAACAAGAGGCTGAGGAAGAGGCTTAGAAAGAGCAGTTTCAGAAATAGTTAGATGTAAGGAAGCAAAGATATTCTGGAGTCAGGTTGCTAAAGCTGTAATGTGTGGAATTGCTTTGATGGCTCTGGCAAGATTGCTCACAAGCAGAGTTGAGCTGTAATATGGGTAACCTGGTGGTCTGTTTGAGGTGAGGGCTGAACTAGCAGGGGGTACATAGGAAAAAAAAACCAAGGCAAGAAGTATTAAAAAATTGCACAAGGAAAAAGTGGAAATATGTATCTACAGTTGGGTAGTTTAAGTATAGTTGAAGTGGGAACAGAGAGAAATGTATACGTATGTGCACACACACACACACACACACACACAACCATTTGTAAAAGTTGAAACGTTTAGTTAACTTGATGTTGAGGCTTCTTTTTTTTCCAATTTACTTTTATTTTTGTGATGTTAAATCAGAAGTTTAACTTTCATCTCCTTCTGAGTTTATATTCAAATGAAACAAAACTTCTTATCTAAAAACACAAAACATCTGGACAAAAGAACTGTTTAATTTTTTTGATGTTTTCAATGTTGGTATTTTTTCCAAGAAGTAGAGAAATATCTCTGGATGGTTATCTAAAATGTATAATTTTTGAACTGATATGGTATATAGGGCAGTGTCATAGTTTTAATGTTGAAAAAGCATTCTTTTAAATTATAGCAAATTATAAAGTATTTATATATATAATATGGCAATATCACTTCAGGAATTCAGAATTTTACCAACTAAAATAAGAAAAAAAGTCAATTTAAATAAAACATTTAATTATTTAGGTGGTTTACCCTATCTCCCATTTATTTAGTCTGGTTGCTTTGGTATATCTTTAGATTGGATAAGATTTATTCTCTTCTTGTTATAGGACATCTACTCTAGCATTTTAGATATACATTCTTTAGCACATTGTTTATGTAATGGTTTAGCTAAAAATTATGGCTTTATCCCTATTAATATAAATCAGATTGATTAATCTAATTAGCCCAATCAAATATAAAAATGCAACCCTTAATTGGTTCTTATTGTAAATGACCCACAAACAAAAGTTTCAACCACCTTCAGAATAAGAAATAAAACACTTAAGCAAGTATAGTAACACTTAATACAGCACAGTAATTTGACAGCTAATGATTTGACCAATTGTATTAAGACTTGATATGACATTTTGATAGAAAACAGTGTAGCCTGTTTAATTATTGAGTAATGCATACCAAGGACTCTTAACAATGAACATTTATTTTCCTGTGATAAACTGACATTAAGTAAGAAATAGCGCAATGCTAAAATAAATTATCTTAAAATAAAATTCAGATCAATAATAATCATAACAATAATACATAATAATGGCCCCGATTTATGAGTATTTACTATGTGTCAGTAGCTTCAGATACAATAGCTTAATCCTCAAATAGTTTTGCCTGCTGGAAATTATCACCCGATTTACAGGTGGCAAAATGGGCTTAAATAATTTAAATGAATCACATAAGTCCCACAGTAGGTAGCCTTTCTAATATTCTGTGCTGCTCCCACACACTACAACTCATCATTGGTCTTGAGCTTAGGTATTATGTAAACTCTGACATAAGGTTAATAGATTGTGCTTTTATTTCAGCTCAAATTTTTCGTAAGAGATCATGAAAGTTTTTTTTACATTGTGTCCTTGTGTTTTTCAGTATTTTGTGTTTCATAAAAATATAATTGATTCAATCATGTGTGGGCTTAGCAGAAATCAGCATTTCTTAGATTGGAGAAGGAAATGATCTCCTTGATTTGGTTGACAAAGTTTAAATGTTTGACACATGGAGTGGGTTGTATACATGTATGTTTGATCTATGTATCTATTATCTGTGCAAAAAATAATTCTGGTTTTAGATTTCAAGGGTTTTTACAATTGCATAATTTCATAATTTCTGAGCAGAGTCAAATCACTTTGGTGCAAAAAAGCCCAATATAAGGTAAGAAAAATAAAAGCTTCAACTAATTGTGCTTAGAAAAGTGTGTAGGCACTTACTGGCTGATTGCCAAGAATTATATTCTGCAGATTCTTTTTAAAACTGAAATACACAAAGTTTGGACATATGCTACAAATTCTGAACATAGATAATATAAAAATACCTACTCAGTTTCTTGAGATTGATTATAATCTGCTCTAGGGGAAAAGGAAAAAAAAAGAAAAATCTTTGCTTCATCTGGTGTTTGAATAGGGGAGATAGGTTTATTTTTTATGACCAGTCTTGCCCTTCAGCCAAAGCTTATACATTTTTTTGCTTAAGATTAGCCTTGTTCCTAGACTTCTGGTAAGTAGCATCTTGTTATTGGGACTGATTTCCCCCCAAATGATGTATTTTTTGAAAGGCTTGTGTTCAAACTATAGGTATAATTACCATGTAAGAAACCCTAAAATGACAAGAAGTTCACAGAAGTTAAGGAGGTAGCACACAAGCTGAGAAATGTAGCTATTTCTTAGGGCAATAGGTCCTTTTGAGAAATGTTACTTGGTGATTTGGAATTTGCACATTGTGGAGTTACACATGTGCTTTACCATATTAAGCTTTCTCTAGCATTTGGAGCTTTCCCTACATAAAGCTTGGGGCTCTTATTTGCATTCTCCCCACTGCCAAATGGCTGCCTAGGGCTCCAATACACATCTTCCTCTATTTCAGTGATCTGTGGGATGGCGCTAGAGGCCTTAGAGGTCATTTGAAAGGACCTAAATACTATGTGGGAAAAAAGCAATTAGTCTGCTCATTTATTGATCTTAGGAGCCTAGGAAATGGAACTCAGGACTACTTGTCTTCACTTGGGGAAGAAATTTACCAAGTAGAAGAGGCAGTTGCTTAAGGGAGGGGCAAGTACCTACTATGTTTCAGGCATTGTTATACACTTTTTATATTAAATTTCCCTAACAGATATATGAAGAAATATCATTATCTACATTGATGTCTGTAGCTTTGATTTCTCCCCTGTGCTCTATGTCCACATACCCAACTGCCTAATGGATATTTATATTTGAATATCTTACAGGCATCCCAAATTAACAAGTCCAGATCTGACCCCACTCACCTCAGCCCCCTCACACACAACACAATCTATCTCTGACTCCTGCCAGTCATAACTTCTAAATGTTGCTCGATTTCTGTTCGTTTCCTCTGCTACCACTCTATTTTGAATGAATGTTGTTCTCAGTGGGACTGCTGCAATGGTTTCCCTGCATTTCTACCTACACTTCTCCCTTTTGAATCCACTCTTTTCACTATAGCCAGAGTAATCAGCCAAAGCTCTCAAAACACTTTATTGCCTAAATGACTAGTGGTTTCCCATTGCCCTGAGGATGGAAGTGAAAATACTAAACATATGCAAAGGCCCCACCTCCTTCTCCAGTCTCCCTACCACTCCCTCCTTCTCTGCACTTCCATTCCACCCGCCTTCTTAGTTCTCTGAAAAAGCAGAGATTCTTCCTGTTCTAGGGCCATTATCCCATTTGTTTCTTCTCTCAGGCCTCTCTTCCCCAGTATACATAGTTAATTTACTACCTATCGTTTCAAACTTATTTCAGATATCATTTCCTCCAGGAGCTTTTTCTAACTCTAGATAAGAGAGGTCAAGATTCCCTGTTAAATGGTTTTTTTCAGAGTTGCCACAATGATAATTAAACATGGTATTAATACAAATTAATATTTGTGTAATTAGCTATCTAATATTTGTTTTCCTAGCTACAGAGTAAGACCCAGGAGGGCAGGGGAAAAACGTTTTACACATACTGTATCGCCAGAGCTTTTCACAGTACTTTGCCAAAGAGGTTGCTAGGTGAATATTTTTTGAATGAATGAATAAATGAATGAGTAGATAGGTATTTTCCAGTGAAGAAATTTAAGGTTGGATGGGTAAGTGATAGAGTGAGAATGTGAGCTCAGGATGAATTCACCCTATAATTTGTGTTCTTTCTGCTTAAAATTTTCCAGTCAAAATCTTACAATTCACATTTATGTTATTTTTACCAATACTATTTCCATAATGAGTTTTTAAATAATATTATATATTTTACACGAGTGTTATGGGGCCAAAATACTAGAGACAAATATTACACTAGTGTTCTTTCCCTATTGTAGAATTTTCCATAATATTAAGTGATTTTTTTTTGTCACTTGGATTGTACAAATTTTTTTGAGTGACTTTAAGGTGCTCATTTCTAATGTAATAGAGTTGCCAGTTTGATTTGTCACTAGTATTTCTATCTTCTTTATTAAAAAAGTTTATCAAGTAGTAAGCAGCAAAAATGTAATTAGCAGCAAAAATGTATTAATTCGAAAGTTTATGAGGACTAGACAGCATAAATGGGTAAAGCAGCTTTACAGGACATTGGTAACTGGAAGAGACCACTGTTCTGTCTAAGGTGAGAGCCACCTGCTTGCCTCCCACCAATGGTGACAATGTGGGAATATAAATAGAGCATTGCCAGATTATATTTTGTGTTTTTTTTGTTTTTTCAAGAGAAGACCTCAACTGAATTTTTGTAAGCAATCATTTGTTTTTATCTGTTGAAAATTTATTAGATTAAAACAACAACAACCACTAAAAACTCTATTGGCCAAATAAAATGTATCTGTAGGCCTGTTCCAGCCTCTGGGTTGTCTATTTTCAGCCTTTCATGAAGACCATGTTTGATCTGTATTTTTGTTTAGGTCCTATAGAAGTTATTCTTACAACAATGATACTTGAGTTTTCTCCTGAGCTCCATTCTTTGAATAAGCACTTGTGAAATGTGTTCACATGATTTGGAATGAGGTGTTCTACACCTTTGACCTTTGACTTGTCTTTGTTGTCCTTTCACTTGGAGTTATAACTCAGATGACTGTGGTGTTTTCCTTCTGACTCTTTCAATAAGGAATCATTAACTGACCTATCACCTTCCAAACACCCTACAAAACAAGCAAATGAAATACTGAATTCATTTTGTTATTGAGAAAGGCAAATAAATGTTTTTGAGTATTTTATGGCTGATTTTAAAGACGTTTAGTCTGGTATTCTCAATAAGTAGTTGAAACAGCAGCTAAATCAGCACAAGGGTTGGGGAAGCAGTTCAGCCTATTCATTTCTACATTTCACAAGTAAATGACTATTTTTGGTCCTTTAATGGTAGACACTTCATAATGGGTATGACAAAATTAATTTTTTAAATGCTTGCTAATTGTTTTCAGAAAAAAAGAAACTTCAGATATTTTTGGAATCCTGCCCTAGATTTTTATATGGAAGCTTACTGCATCTTGAATGTGCACACCATATTAAATATTATTGAATTGTATACATAAATTAATTAAACAGTTGGGAAATTGAATTTCACAATGGATCACTGACTTTAAACTACAGAATTCTACCTTGGGCTAAATTAAAAAGTAACCACTTGGTGTTTTGACGTCTCAGTAGCAGCAATCTCTGCAAAGTCTTGTTCAGAAGAATGAAAACTAGAGAAGTTATTTTGTGAAAATAATGTTTTGGGAATTAATATTTTTAGATAATGAATGTGTAGATTTTTTAACAGCAATTAGTTAACTAAGAACCTTCTTGGTTATCTAAGTTTGTTTTTGCTTTCACTTCTTTAAAAGCTACTTCAGAGGATGTTTGTAATTATTTCTGTGACTACCCTAAAAACATTAAAAGCGAAGAAAAGAAAAACAAAGGAGGTGTGAAGTTTTACTATTAAATTGATTTTTCTCTTAATCCAGTCTGATTATGACCAAACATAGATCTGTTAGTGGGGATATGAGGAGTAAGACAAGAGCATAAACAGTTTCAGGAGTGATTCAACTATTTCTGCTGCAATGATCCTATTTTCTATGACCTCCTGCAGCCCAAAGTTCTCTATGCTGAATATCGACATAAAGAACTCTTTTTTTTTTTTTTTTTTTTTTTTTTTTGAGACGGAGTCTCGTTCTGTCGCCCAGGCGGGAGTGCTGTGGCGCGATCTCCGCTCACTGCAAGCTCCGCCTTCCGGGTTCACGCCATTCTCCTGCCTCAGCCTCCCGAGTAGCTGGGACTACAGGCGCCCGCCACTGCGCCCGGCTAATTTTTTGTATTTTTAGTAGAGACGGGGTTTCACCGTGGTCTCGATCTCCTGACCTCGTGATCCGCCCGCCTCGGCCTCCCAAAGTGCTGGGATTACAGGCGTGAGCCACCGCGCCCGGCCGACATAAAGAACTCTTAGCAGCTGTGTTGCAGCCAGAGTTGTTCAGTGGCAGTTGAATAACTCTCCTCCTTGTCTGTAAAGGTGCATGGCGTCACCTGCAAAGTGTAGAAAGGGGTATTTGCTTCATTACAATTTTATAGAAGTAATAAAACAAAAAATAATTGAAGACATTGTTCTTAACTTGCTTTCCTAAATTACCAGGATCAGGAAAGACTTGTCCAATTGTTTCATTTCTCTTTAGAGAAATTTCAACAGTGTTTAAATTCCCTGAAACATTAAAATACAAATTTGTGAATCTGAAAAGTGCAGTACTCAAAGTTTTTCTTATTAGATCATTGACAGTTTTTCCAAATATATTTATATATTTTAGTGGAAGCCAAAGTCAAGATTGAGTGGTGATAGAAGGGTATACATAATGTAGGAAGCTGGAACTAATAGCCAGAGCGAATTCTAAGGTCCCTGTGTAAGATACAGTGGGGTCAGCCACCATTGGGAAAATATCAAGGCTTTGCAAACAGTCAAAATTCATAGTAAATACTGGGTTAGAAGCAACAAAATGGTGAGAAGTAGGAGCCTGGAAGAACTCTTTCTAAGAAAAAAATAGTTAGCCACTCTAATAGTTAAAAACCCATGATAGGCTGGGAGTGGTGGCTCATGTCTGTAATCCCAGCAGTTTGGGAGGCCGAGGCAGGCAGAACACTTAAGGCCAGGAGTTCGAGACCAGTCTGGCCAACATGGAGAAACTGGTCTCTACAAAAAATACAAAAATTAGTCAGGCATGGTGGCTCATGCCTGTAATCCCAGCTACACACAAGGCTGAGGCACGAGAATAGTTTGAACCCAGGAGGCAGAGGTTGCAGTGAGCCAAGATCACACCATTCTGCACTCCAACTTGGGCAACAGAGCGACACTCTGTCTCAAAAAGAAAAACAAAATAAAACCAAAAACCCATGATGATTCTCTAATACCCCAAGACAAAATCTAAATTCCCCCAAAACATTAAAAGCCCCATACAACTTGATCTTGGTCTATTTTACTGACTTCACATTCTGCCACTCTATTTCACCTTTCTCTCCATTTCCATCTACCAACATCACCCATGCAATTCTCAGCCACACTAAGCCACCTGGTGGGTTTTAAGTTTCCTTGTTAACACCCGTGTCTCCATTATTTTATGTGACACACCCCTGAAGACAAGCCCTCAGCCCTGTCCATGTGAGTCATTTCAAGGATATATTTTTAAATATAACTGACGCTAAGCTTTTCCAAGTTATCTAGGCCAAGTCAGTGGGCCATTGGTGCTTTCATGTCACCTTGTTCACACGTCTACTATGTTACTTACCACAGTGGTTCTTCAGTTTATTTACAATTTTGTTTCCTCCAATACTCTGGGAGTGCTGAAATGAATCTAGAAGACAGTAAAATGTCCAGACTTGTGATCTGAAAATTAGGACATAGACCAAAATGACAGGTTCAAGGAAAAGTTTGAATAAAAGACATGAAACCAGAATTAAAAGATGATACCATGGGAAATTCTAGACCTAAATAGAGTTTTGCAAATTCCAGTAGAGATTAATTCCAGCTCCTAGTCTTCCTAAGTCCTGCAGAGGTAATCAAAGACACAAGGTCCCCCAGGGCTAGAGAATATGTGTGGCTAGGCTATAAAGGCTCACACTGACCATCTGTCTAATGTGCAAACTCATAATGACACAGATCTTCAAACCCAAAACCCAAGAGAAATCAGATTAACATTTTAAATAATAGAAGCTGACCTACCACTCTGTTTAGGCAGTAAAGGTTTATTTGTATAAACCTTCAAAAAGGTTAAGTAAACCTCTGCCTTCTTCCCCAATTTCTTCTCTATCAGATAGAAGGCTAAATACGGGGGATAAATATCTATTTTATTTAATTTGTTTTCTTTTTTTAAATAGGAGAAAAAGCATACAATTAGTAATAATCATTATTATTATTATTTTATATTAGATTCAAGGGATACATGTGTGCAGGTTTGTTACATAGGTATATTGGGTAATGCTGGGGTTTGGGTTTCTAGTGAACCTATCACCCAAATAGTGAACACAGTAACCAATAGGTAGTTTTCAACCATCACCCCCCTCCACCTTTTGGAGTCCCCAGTGCCTGTTGTCTTTATCTTTATGTCCATGTGTACCCGTTGTTTAGCTCCCACTTATAAGTGAGAACATTTGAAATTTGACTTTCTGTCTCTGCATTCATTCACTTAGGATAATGGCCTCCAGCTGCATCCATGTTGCTCCAAACGACATGATTTCACTCTTTTCTACCTCTGTGTAGCATTCCAATTAGAATCTGTTTTCTAGTTTTTTGGTGAGTGATGATAAAAGGACATTTTGCATGAACTTATTTTATGGTTATAGGAAGCTAAGTGAGGGGCATGCTACCAGGAATAACAGAATTGGGAGTGTCCATCTCTGTAAAGCTATGCATTTTTTTCAGTCATCTTCCTCTGTGGAAGTAGGAGAGTTTCAAGATTCCTATGAAGATAGGAAGGGACATTTATAGCCTCAATCTGGACCCCTGGTAGGAGTAAAGTTCAGTCCTCTGGGTAGAAGGTTTCCAAAGTTGATATTGTGTGAGTCTATCAGTAAAAAATTTCTGTGCATGGCTCCTGCTATTCATTTATTTATGTATAAATTATATGGCTGAGCTACTTCATGAATGTGCAGTGTATGTAAAAATAGAAAGTAAAAAGATAATAAAATTGAACTGAGCCATCTTTTAGAAGTCACTTTTTTAAAAAAAATCAGAATATAGTTGATTATAGAGTGGATATAAGCCCATCGCTCAAGTAGTCCTTATAACACTGGATGTTTTAGGCTGACATTTTGGCAGATGTGATTGGCATACTTTTGGTCTTGAACATGACTGATGGAGAGCTTGCACTGGGAGTAGGGGTGTGGGCCCATCTCTTACTGTCCACTTGGAATTGTAGCATTCTTAATTTGAGGATGATTGTATTAGTTTTTAAAATCCATATGTCCATATTATGATAGTTGACTATTTTATACTACAGAATCAATTAATGTAACAGAGTATGTAAACTGCAACTTGTCATAGTATGCTAAAAAGGAATGAAAAAGGGAAGGTAATACTACCACCCCTTCACATGATAGAACTCCTATGATTTCTTGAGGATACCTCACTGATATGGTTTGGCTATGTCCCCTCCCAAATCTCAACTTGAATTGTATCTCCCAGAATTCCCACTTGATGTGGGAGGGACCCAGGGGTAGGTAATTGAATCATGGGGGTTGGTCTTTTCTGTGCCATTCTCGTGATAGTAAATAAGTCTCATGAGATCTGGTGAGCTTATCAGGGGTTTCTGTTTTTGCTTCCTCCTCATTTTTCTCTTTCCGCTGCATGTAAGAAGTGGCTTTTGCTTCCCACCATGATTCTGAGGCCTCCGCAGCCATGTGGAACTTTAAATCCAACTAAACCTCTTTTTCTTCCCAATCTGATGTATGTCTTTATCAGCAGCATGAAAATGCACTAATACAATAAATTGGTACCAGTAGAGTGGGGCATTGCTGAAAAGATGCCCGAAAATGTGGAAGCAACTTTGGAACTGGGTATCAGGCAGAGGTTGGAACATGTTGGAGGGCTCAGAAGAAGACAGGAATGTAGGAAAGTATAGAACCTCTTAGAGACTTGTTAAATAGCTTTGACCAAAATGCTGACAGTGATATGAACAATAAAGTCCAGGCTGAGGTGGTCTCAGATGGAGATGAGGAACTTGGGAACTGGAGCAAAGGTGATTCTTGCTATGTTTTAGCAAAGAGACTGGCAGCATTTTGCCTCTGCCCTAGAGATTTGTGGATCTTTGAAATTGGTAGAGATGATTTAGGGTATTGGGTAGAAGAAATTTCTAAGCAGCAAAGCATTTAAAAGATGACTTGGGTGCTGTTAAAAGTATTCTATTTAAAAAGAGAAACAGAGAAGCATAAAAGTTCAGAACATTTGTAGCCTGACAATGCAGTAGAAAATAAAAACCCATTTTTCTGAGGAGAAATTCAAGCTGGCTGAAGAAATATGCATTAGTAACAAGGACCCAAAGGTTAATTCCCAAGACAATGGGGAAAATGTCTCCAGGGTATGTCATGGGTCTTCATGGCAGCGCCTCCCACCACAGACCCAGAAGCCTACGAGGAAAAAGTAGTTTTGTGGGCTGGGCCCAGGGTCCCCGTGCTGTGTGCAGCCTAGGGACTTGGTGCCCTATGTCCCAGTTGCTGTAGCCATGACTGAAAGGGGCCAACATAGAGCTTGGGCTGTGGCTTCAGAGGGTGGAAGCCCCAAGCCTTGGCATCTTACACATGGTGTTGAGCCTGTGGGTGCACAGAAGTCAAGAATTGAGGTTTGGGAACCTCCGCCTAGATTTTTAGAAGACGTATGAAACACCTGGATCCCCAGGCAAAATTTTGCTGCAGGGGCGGGGCCATAATTGAGAACCTCTGCTAGGACAATGTGGAAGTGAAATGTGGGGTCGGAGCCCCACACTGAGTCCCTACTGGGGCACCACCTAGTGGAGCTGTGAGAAGAGGGCCACCTTCCTCCAGACCCCAGAATGGTAGATCCACTGACGGCTTGCACTGTGTGCCTGGAAAAGCCACAGACACCCAACGCCAGCCCATGAAAGCAGCTGGGAGGGAGGCTGTACCCTGTAAAGCCACAGGGGAGGAGCTGACCAAAACCGTGGGAACCTACCTTTTGAATCAGTGTGACCTGGTTGTCAGACCTGGAGTCAAAGGAGATCATTTTGGAGCTTTAGAATTTGACTGCCCCGCTGGACTTCAGACTTTCATGCGCCCTGCCATCCCTTTGTTTGGGCTAATTTCTCTCATTTGGAACAGGTGTATTTACCCCCCTTGTATCTAGGAAGTAACTAGCTTGCTTTTGATTTTACAGGCTTATAGGCAGAAGGGTCTTGTCTTGTCTCAGATGAAACTTTGGACTATGGACTTTTCGGTTAATGCTGAAATAAGACTTTGGGGGACTGTTGGGAAGGCATGATTGGTTTTGAAATGTGAGGACATGAGATTTGGAGGGGCCAGGGGCAGAATGATATGGTTTAGCTGTATCCCCACCCAGATCTCAACTTGAATTGTATCTCCCAGAATTCCCACGTGTTGTGGGAGGGACCCAGGAGGAGGTAATTGAATTATGGGGGTAGGTCTTTCCCTTGCTGTTCTGGTGATGGTAAATAAGTCTCATGAGATCTGATGGCTTTATCAGGGGTTTCTACTTTTGCTTCCTCATTTTTCTCTCGCCTCTGCCATGTAAGAAGTGGCTTTCGCCTCCCACCATGATTCTGAGGCCTCCCCAGCCATGTGGAACTTTAGGTCCAATTAAACCTCTTTTTCCTTCCAGTCTCGGATAAGTCTTTATCAGCAAAGTGAACACAGACTAATACACTCGACCACTACATGGCAGTACTATCCTTTTGATATGTGGACTGAGGGAAGATACCAGTGTCGATCAGTATCTTAAAGGTTTGTGAACTTTAGTTGTTTTGATAAACATAAACACATATTGAATTAATAATATTGGCTTACTTGCACCCTAATAACCTAATCCTTTTGGACACATCTTGAGGAATGTGTACCAACTTTGGAGACTACTAGTCAGTATTACAGAGAATCAGAGAAATTGGAGCTATGTTCCTCAATATAATTATTGGCAATTGTTGAAGTTTTGAAAGAAGTAAAACAATGTATTTGTTCCAAAAGAAGGCACAGGAATAAGGGGTAGGTTTTTAAAGTGTATGATTTTCTTCAAAATGTATAAATTTATGTTTATATTCATGGGTTTCAGACCCTACTTTTGAAAAGATGTATAATTTCTTTTGTTAGTGTGCTTCTCTTCAAATACTTGGTTTGGTTATAACCGATTAAACTGGCAGTAAATTGTGACTTATGTTGCAAGTGAAGCAAAAATGAAACTTTGGGGAGTTTTATAGTTTTAAAATATATTTGAAGAACTTGGTTTCTATACACTGCATATACTTGGATTCCAAAATGATACTTATACAAGTTCTCCAGGATTCAGAAAGTCAATGAATATCACTCGGTCTGTGAGAGCAGTTATATCGGCAGTGTCATGCAAGGCACCAGTAGACAACCTGTGAATACTGATGGAATAGAAAGAGTAGATTGTCTTAATGAAAGACCATTTTGTTTAGCAAATTCCTGAAAATCCATGGTAGTCTAGGGAAGAGCTGTAAGTTTAATTTTAGTTTAGGAAATGTTGGTAAATTATAAGAGATGCCTTTAGAATAATTCAGAAAATGTAGGCTAAAAGACAAAAGTATTTTTTCAATTATGAGACAGTAGATATAATCATTAAAATCAAAGAAATGAAAATGAAAACCATATTCTGTGTAGCAAATGTGACATAAGATTAATGCACCCTTTTAGAAAAGCTGAACAAATAGAAAATACATGCACTTTATTTTATATACTAGGTGTGTTTCTTGAAATTTTCAAGTGCATCAAACTGTTAATTGAACTGTTTGAATTGTTCTTTCAATATATCACCATATTTTTACACTTTTAAAATTAGAATTGCTGAAATTGGATGAGAAGTGTGTGTATGGGGTGGAAGAAATGGGTGGAGGTGGGGATTAAAGGGGCAGGAGGAACTGGTGACAGTGGTTTTAGGTGTTTTACCCTTAAGACACCAGCAAGGAAACCCCAGAGCTTCTTGGGGTTACTGAAATGATAAAGCTTAGAGCTCCCTTTGAAAATTAAATAATTTAATTGTTTTTTGCCAGTCTATATGCTCATTCATTAATTCATTCATCTATCCACCATTCATGCATTTATTCAATCATACATTCATTTGGCCAGACTTTATTGTTTGTCGTGTATATTACAGACACTGCATTTGACCCCGGGGAATTACAGTGATTATATAGTGTCCCTGACCTTGAAGTACCTACAGTATTTTGGACAATTGCTGCCAGGTGGGAGCATTTACAGGGCTCTCTTCTGTTTTGTGTTGTTAAAGTGAATTGGGACTCTTTATAATCAGGCTAATTAACTTTTTAGAAATTGGTTGAAGTAGAAGATATCTTTTAAAAGTCAATTATAAAACCGTTTATTGGTAGGTTGGAGTATTGTGTAATGCATCTGTGTAGTTACTTTGTGACTTTGATTACCCACATAGCTGATATTTAATGCATTGTTATCTGTGATGATGTCTTTTTTCCAGTGACCTTCAAACTTAGCCTCAGTGTGTTTATTCAAATTATTCATTAAAATAAATTATATGTTAGCAGAAGTGCAGATAACACCATGATGGTTTGAGGGTTTACTGTGTTTATGTCTGTTACGTCTTTACTAATGTTATTGTGTAAGAGGAAGTTCTGCTTGGCACGACATTTCCGTATTTCAGCCAGAGTTTCTTAAATTTTTCAGTTCTCATAAAATGTAGTTTCAGTCTTTATGTATTATGTATGATTCTTTATGATATCTAATTCCCTCCCCCTTCCACCCTAGGGTGTAACTATAAATAGCCATAACATTTAGCCCTGGCGATTGAACAAGCGTGAGGAAAATTTAGATCCAAATGGGAGTCATTACTTCACATTTCATGATTCAGTGTGCAATCTATGTTATAAAATGGCTCTTTTATTATTATAAATATGTTCCTTTCTGCCTAATTGTGACATCCTCAAGAACAATTATTGCCAATCGAGTTCATGCCACTTTAAAATAAGTAACTCCTATGGTTTGAAATAAGTGAAACAGTAATTATATTGTAGATGGGATATTAAAAAAACTTTAAAGTTCAGCTCAGCCACTATCAATAGTCATGTGGGGCTTTTTATGGATATGTTACTAAAGCTGGTTGATATAAATTCACCTTGCAATTTAAAATTTGAAAAGATGGAAACCATTAATATTTGTATTATAAAGAAATTGGTCAAAGAAAGTTAAAATTATCTTTTGGATAAAAAGCCTTAAATCTTACCTCCAAACGATAGAGCTCCATTGATGCTTACATACTGTCATTGCTTTGAGAAATTTTGAAGTGGATTGGAAACACTGACATATAAAATCTTTACCTCTTGTGCTGGTGAAACTAGTGAAATACAAACAGGGATAACATGAGGATTAAATGAGAAAACACATGAAAATCATGCTGACTTCAGTAAATATTGATGGAATAAATGATTACATGATAAATAATAAGGTAAAGCTTTAACTGTGCTGTGTGAGATTAATTAATAGTGGGTGATCAAGGAAGGGTCTAAATCAGTGATAACTGTAATGACAGGCAAGACTTGGCTCCAACACTTCATTAAACTTCTATTTTTATGGGGATTTCTTCATTTCCACTGGAATGAACAAGTCAGTATGCATGACTTATTCTGCAATGAACTTTGATGAATTTTTCTAAGTACATTAAAAATGAGTGGCACCCTTCTCTTAATCCGAGAAACCCCTTATACCTACACTGATAAACCCTCTGATGCACATGTAAGAAGGCAGGATAATGGGCATGAAGGACAATCATCTATATGTGTATATAAAAAATATATTTTTGCTTGCCAGTAATAACTCTGAACTGCCTACAGCATTCATCGTGCTTCTTAAAAGTCAGGTATTATATTGAATTCAAAAATTCTCTTATGCTGAGCAGGGAAAGGAAAAAAAAAAATCAAACACTTTCTGAATTGGGCCCAAATATCCAAGGTTAATTTTCTGAGAAAGCTGCAGTGGCTAGATAAGGCCATCCCCTGCAAATTAGTTTTGCCTGCCTGGATTACAGCTAAATTTATGCAGCTTTCCTTATCCTTTCGGAAACGCCTCTGAAGTGTTGTAATTAACTGGCACACATAAAGTGAGCACATTTTCTGCTTGGTGGCGGCCATTCCTCATTTCATCTCAGTTCTAACCCACATGGAAAGGTAGTTTCTTATTTTTACTGTTAAAAACACACATGAATGCACTTGTGTATGTGTGTGCACACACACACAAATACACTCTCCAGTACTTTACCAGAAGCCTTTGAAAACAATCATAAAACAGCTTCAGAACAGAGTTTGGAAATTTAAAGGGGCAAAGAATACTGCTGAGAGAGCAGAAAGAAATTTTTTTTGCAGGAAATTGAAATAAAGAGTATAGGCACCCTTTGTGAAGTGGATGAATTTTTTTTTCTTTTACTAGAAAAATTAGGTTTTAACACATTTTCTTTATGTATTTCTTGGTCTAAATGGAAACTCAAAAATCACCAAGAAATGGTGAAAACAAGTATGATGAATGTCTCTTTAGTTTGTATTTTCTAATGTCATTTTAAAATACATCTTTTAATTTCCCCCTTATTTTTTTAAACTTAATAGTTCCATTAAAACTTAATCCTCCACCTCCCCCCACCCCAAAAAGCTCAAAGCAAACCATCATTAGACAACATTCTCAGAGATTTGGCTCTGTCTTCCTATTTGTTGTTACTTTGGCTAAAAATCTTTTTTCTTCTTTTTAAACATAAGGCTGAAGCAGTCAGTGTTTAATGAACTTCAGTGTTAGTCTTTGTTAGAATCATCCCTGGCATCGTATTTGACTTTGGTTATCTCCTGGAAAATACAGTAGATATTACAGTACTCCTTGCTTAACTTCTTCATTAAGGAGTTGTTTTTGTTTTGAAGACAAAACATTGGACTTGCAGCCTACAGAAAGTGATCAAGAATCCCACAATGTCCAGGTTCATGGAGTTCAATGTTGGGAATGACACCAGAGTAGTTACAATCCTTGAGGGGCCAGGAGAGATTTTCTGCCTTCCACCCTGTACTCTGTTCCCAGATTTGCTTTGGCTTCAGTTCCTCATAGAGTTATTATGAGGATTAAGTGTGTTAATACATGTAAAATGTTTAGAACTGTGCCTGGCACACTGCAAGTGTTCAATAAATGTTAGCTGTTATGATTCAATTCTCAGGAGGATGCTGCTCCAATGCTGGCTTCTGGCAGAATCCTTTCTTACTCATTTAAGTAGCAGTTGCCTTCTTCCTGGGCAAGTCCTTATTTTTAGCAGGTGAACTGTATCAGGCTTTCTTTTTTTTTTTTTTCAGTTTTTTTAACTTCTTTCCCTTCCAGGAAGCGGACAACACCACTTCCTGCCCACTCTGGTGACTTTTTCCTCTCAATCTTGCTTTCTTCTTCCCCTGTAAAGTTCAGGGCATCACTTTTCACCCTCTTTTCTGATGTCTGCTGTAGTGCTCTCTAGGAGCTTTTCTTCATTCTTCGTTACCATTCTTATAACCCTTACCCTTTGATTCTCCTTTTTAGAAATGTTTAAATTCCCCTCTCAAGTAACTACCTACAAGAAACAGATACGAAATTCTTTTGTGTAGGGGAAGCACTCAGTGGTGCCTGAAGGAAGATGTGATCTAATTGCGAAGTCATCTAATACAGTTTAGAAAATATTTCCCTTCCTTGATTATTTTATCCCATGGGAAAATTGTCATGCTGAGACTTCTTTACATGAAATAGATTATTCACTTTTCCTACTCTATTATATACTTAAAAGACAATCCACACTTTGCAAAATTCATCAGAGTTATACAGATTGATAGGCTCCTCTACTTACCTTCAAGATGCTTTCCAATTGATGGTGATTGATGGTGACTAGCCTTGAGACTTTCTCAGGAAAGTCAAATACATCTATATTCTTTTGGGGTATGATAGAGTGTGTGTGTGTGTGTGTGTGTGTGTGTGTGTGTGTGTGTGTGTGTGTGTAGAGGGGGTGGGGAAGGTGCTTCATCTTTTGGTGACATCTTAGAAGTGAGGGAGAGAATCAGCCAAAATATTTCCCAATGGGAAATGGACTTCTTTCGGACATCTGAGTTTTGATCCTGGTTCTAGTTTAAGCCATTAATTTTCTAAGTGACTGGAGAGTAAATATAATATAATTATTCTAAGACTGAGGCTAAATAGGATGTTCACTTTGAGGACAGCAAAAATGCCAGTCTCTTCAAGATCTAAGAGGTAGGCATCAAGTTTCTGGGCATAGATCTTTTTACTGAAGTAAGAGTGCTTGAATGATATCTTACTCAAAGGTACTGTCTGGAGGCAGCCTTGGTTGTGAGATGAAGACATTACTCAATTTTTGTTGACTTGATTAAAGCAGCTGGTTCCTGAGACACCTTTGTAATTCTGACCACCAGCATGTGTTGTTAACTTTTAATTAGGAGCCCAGAAGACTTATTTCAACTCCACCTCCTAAGAAGACTTGGGTCTAGGCAGAGCACAACTGCATCACCATATCATGAAGAAACAAGAAACAATGATAGTAACAGAATTTTCTCTTTCCTCCCACCCTTGGCCTTCTTTTAGATTTAAGTGTAAAATTTTGCTTAAATGGTTATTTAATGTTTTCAATTGATAATATGTTATATTTATATATTTTAGATAGATGTCTAATGTTTGATTATAAAATTATACATGTTCATTGTTTAAAATATGAAAAATGAAGGAATTTTTAAAAATTTATAATTTTACATTTTAAAAATGATGCTTGATATTCTTTGCTGTACTTACTCTTTTTTGTTGTTGTTAAGCTTGCGTTTCTCATGATGTACTTACTCTTATCACTTCAAATCTTCAGTGTGTGGTTTAGCACTTAAGTTATGTTATAGCTAAAATTGTTACATGGGCCTATCAAAAATATTTTACTACATGTGTTTAATAGTATTACACAGAGACCCCATGCCAGATCTTACTTTATGTATTCTCATCCCAAACTTCTAAAGCTAATAAAAGAGGGCTTTTAAATGCAACCAGTATGCCTAGACGGTCTTACTTTTATTGAGTGTATTACCATAGTAGAATGACTACCCAAGTTGATCAATAGCAAGATTTAAGCATAAAATCTTCAACTAGTGATCACCAACAAATATTAAGGAATACGTAATTTCTCTACCCATGTAAGAGGTAGAACTCTACTGTTTCCTCCTGAAATTTTATTAAATCCTGAGGTAGGAATGAGGGGAGGAATACCTAGCGAAAAAGAAAAAATATCCCCAGTGATGTATCTAGAATGCTATATAACCTCCTGACCTGAATCAGGCTTTGAGCTGAGCAGAGAAAAAATATATTTTAATCCAATAGCTCTCATCTTCTTTAAGTGTCTCTCTGTAATGTTTGCTTCAAAGAACAGTCATTCCTTTTTTTATACTTAAAAATATAGATTAAACTAATTTCCTAGAATTATGCTGCAAGCTTTCATGTCAAGTAAATCCTTACTCTCAATCTTAGTATTAAAATACATTTTCTATTTTAATTCATATATTTATATTTTAATATAGGAACAAATATTTATAATATTTGTGGTCATTTGTGGATGGACTTGAGTGTTGCTGTCAGATTTTCTTGTTTTTAGGTTCTGATGGAACTAAAACTCTCTCTGTTCGCTGCAAATTCAGTGAAAATTCCCAGCAGAGGTCATAGTCTGCACAGACTGGAAATACACTTAAAACATCTAACAGGTTTAGGCAGTTTTTTGAGGTGTATTAATTTAAATAAAACCAGGACTGATCAAAACTAGAAAGCAAAGATCTATATTCTAAAAACCTAAAGAAAGAAAAAAAGTCAATTATTTATAGAACTAGCACAGGATTAATTGGCCTTTAACAATAGCAATGACTACAGGAATATTACCGTCTGTGGAAAAGGTTGAGAATTCATTTTTATGTTCTTTCGAATTAAGAACAACTTACCTCAGTCTAGAGGCTTAGAAAAATAATGACGCTTAAAAAAAGGCATTCCAAAGCCTGTTCATTTTGAACTTGTTCTTCACACAATTGCATGTATGAGACTGTCTTTCCATGTCCCTCTTTCTTCTGGCTAGAAATGTGAGGGCTAGGTGATTTTCAGGTCTTTTTATTGGCATGAGTAATTTTTTTTTTTCTGTAGTAAGAAAGAAAATGAATAACAATTTCTACCTTCCCCTTAGATGGGGGAATAACTCCTTTTTCTCCCAAACGTAAACTTAAAGTAAAATCGTATGAGCTGGAGATTTCTGAACTGAAGGTGGTGCCCAGCGTGAAACTACCTGCTGCTTCAAGCAGTGCCCGGCAGCAAAGGTTTTTATTGTGTCACCCTCAGCAGCTACTCCCAGTACCAACTAGCAGCTGTTCCTTCAGTAGTGACCCTGGTGGAAAACAGTCCTTTTAGCAGTGGCTTCAGCTTCCAGTAGTTTTTTCATTTGGCAAGAGTGAATTCAACCAGCAGCTCTGCTCTGATAGAGGTTTCTGATCTTTCATGTGTGAGACAATTTAGGGTAATGAGAGTGATTCCTTTTGCATGTTCCTTAATATTCCTGTGGTACTTACATGTTAAGATCACTTAACAGCTCCCTCCGCCACCAGGCTGTGTGCTGCTTCAGTCTTTGGGAACGTGGCTGTTCCAGGGAGGGGAAAGTGAAGGAATCTAGGGCAGTATTTGGGTGGCCCAAAATTATCTAGAGTTTGTGTTTGTGTCAGTTATCAGGAACTGGGATCTTGCTTTGTTTGTGACTTCATCACTTACCTTCCCACTTACCTGTCCTAGCACATAGATGATGACACCTTGTTCTAGTTCCTTGACCCGCTCCTCATTCTCAAGTTGAGAATGCTTGTCCCCAGTGAAATGCTCCTGTTTGTCCCCAATGAAATGCTGCTGTTCTACCTTGCTTTTGCCCTTCTTGCAGGGTGAAGACTTCTTTCTCTCATGCTCCAAAGACACAGAGAGTTCCAGTAAGTGGATTCAGGCCTTTCCTTTAGGCCCTAAGTCCTGCTTCTGAACACTTACCCCAAAGACAGACAAAGGGAGGAGTCTTGCCAAGACTTCTAGGCAGTGTTAAACTGACTGTGGTTTTTGGAGCCTTGATTCCAATACAATCCACCAGGTCTGCTTTATGTTCGTGTAACCATCAGACAGACCTCCTAGAAAGAGAGAGCGTATTATCTTGAAGATACATTCTAGTCTCCATGTTTCCTAAACAGAAAATATCTGGAAGCTTTGTTTCACAGTTAACTCTCAAGGTAATGTAT
The DNA here is from genome assembly GCF_000001405.40 of Homo sapiens. Taxonomy (NCBI): domain Eukaryota; kingdom Metazoa; phylum Chordata; class Mammalia; order Primates; family Hominidae; genus Homo; species Homo sapiens. Next base: position 10,639,810 of record NC_000007.14, on the reverse strand, counting down.
GTTTTTCTATTCTCTCCGTCCCCTTCCTTCTCTGAAGTCTAAGCAATGAAATAGTTTTCTCTGAGCCTGGGATCTGGGAGGCATTCTGTTCTTGGAGAATAACGAGGAGGAGAATATCATTCACTTCAAATGATGATTGGCTCTTGTTAAGAGCACACTATCACATTTAACTCTTTCCTTAATGTATGGAAAAACTGAGTGCCAGGGAGTTTCTAAACTCTGGCATACATGGATTTGGAAAAACCTTCAATTTTTCTTTATATATCTCTTTTTTAAGATATTCTGGGTCAAAATGCCAATTAAATTCCTTGAGAAAACTTCCCAAAGGTAAATATGCAAATTTACCCTAATTATGGCCATTCATTGCATATGAATATGCCCTTTCTTGTAACAGAATTGGTTTCTGTTATTAGATATTTCCATGTATTAAGTATTTATCATTACTTTGATAAATTAACGTGATGCTAGATTACTGACCCTTTCTTTTACAATTTTTTTCCAGACTTAACAGTGGGAAGCCTACATAATCTGCTTTTAGCCATGTTTGGTTGAAAAAAAGTTTTAGTTATATCCTAGCTGTTAGTGTTGAAAATATTCATTGAAGAAATGTTAGAAACATTAACAAGTAAATAAGATGAAAGATGAATAGCTAAAAGATTATATATGTAGTAATTAAAAATTTAACAATAATCATGACAGTGAAGGTGTGGCATCCAAGGATGATAGTTTTACATACTTCAGGGATATTTTGGGAGGGTCAGCAAAGCAAAAATCCATGCCAGAAATTAATACCCTAGTGAAAGTCATAAAAATATATAAAAGTTATTAATAATCAGTGAAAAGGGCATGGGTTGTTTGATAAAATAGGAATTTGTGTTTCAACTTTTATTTCTTACACTTCACTATATCTGTGACTTCAGGAAATTTACTTATGTTACTGATTTCTCACCTTTCCTGTTTTATTAAATGGATCCAATAATGATAATATTTATGTCACAAGTTATTGTGAAGCAAAATATATGAAAGTGCCTTATAAATTGTAAAGCATTGTATAGATGCCAGTTTTATTTATTTATGCATTCATTTCATTATTTGCAAAGCAGTGCTGTAAGCAGGGTGGAGACTACAATAGTGTGCTGAACACAAGGGACAGAAGTCCCTGACATAAAAGAGCTGCATTTTATTTCAAAGCCAGAACTTTAAGGCTGACTTCTTTCTCTGTATTAAATCCACTGGAGTTTATTTATAACTTAGCTTCATCTAAGCTTGAGGAAAGGTTTAAAGGTTGAAGGTATTTGTGTTTATTTAGTCAAATTCTGTGTCACAAAAAGCTTCCACAATGTTTACTCTTAAGATTATTTGGATGATGTACATAAAGGGAACAAGGATTGGCTTTGGGGTATTTATAAATTAAGATAGTGAAGCCACTGAGAAGTTCTCAGTAGAACTATCTGTTTCTTTGCTTCTGGATATACACTGTACACATATATGACTGCTTTAAAAAAGTGTTATCTTGAAAAACAGACTTCGTATGACAGTCGAGGTCTCTCAAATTCTTTAAGATTTGATTAAAAATCTGTCTCCTTGAAGACATCACTTTGGCTGTAACTGAGAAACAACTATGATGTCATAGTTGGGTAGACTGTATCAGCAATGGTGCATTAATATTTCTGGTCCCACATGCTCTTTCTGTTACTCGTCCTTCAAGAGATAGAGTCAATTTCCATTTCCTTCAACTGAGAAGGGCCTTTGTGACTGCCTTGATGAACAGAATGAGGTGAAATTGAGGCTACACATGATTTCCAAGGTTAGGTCATAAAATAAGACAGCTCCTGCCTGCCTCTGTTCCTCTTGGGACATTCATCTTGTAAGAAGTCTAGCTACCCTTAATTCAGCATGCTGGAGAGACCCTGTGGAGAGGGCTCACAGGAATAGATGTCTCAGGAGCCTCAGCTGTGACAGTTCCCAGGTATTTGAGTTCTCCCTGAACACTGGGTTTTTGGATGGTGATATGGTTTGGATGTTTGTCCCTTTCAAATCTCATGTTGAAATGTTATCTCCATTGTTGGAGGTGAGGCCTGGTGGGAGGTGTTTGGGTTATGGGGGCAGATCCCTCATGTCTTGGTGCTATCCTCACAAAACAGTGAGTTCCCTCATGATCTGACTGTTTAAGAGTGTGTGGCACCTCCCCTCCCCTCTTGCTCCCAGTCTTGCCATGTGAGATGCCTACTTCCTCTTCACCTTCTGCCATAATTGTAAGCCTCCTGAGACCTCAACAGAAGCAGATGCCAGCACCATGCTTCTTGTATAGCCTGAAGAACTATGAGCTAATTAAAACCTCCTTTCTTTATAAATTGCTCAGCCTCAGGTATTTTTAAAAATTTTTTTTGAGACAGAGTCTCACTCTGTCACCCAGGCTGGAGTACAGTGGTGCAATCTTGATTCACTGCAACCTCCACATCCTGGGTTCAAACGATTCTCCTGCCTCAGCCTTCTGAGTAGCTGGGACTACAAGAGTGTACCACCTGTAGTGCACCACCTCCTGGCTAATTTTTGTATTTTTAGTAGAGACCGGGTTTCACCATGTTGGTCAGGCTGGTCTCAAACTCCTGACCTCAAGTGATCCACCTGCTTCTGCCTCCCAAAGTGTTGGGATTACAGGCATGACCCACCACGCCCAGCCAGGTATTTTTTTTTTTTATAGCAATGCAAGAACCGCCTAATACAGATGATTACAACATCCTGCCTTCAGATGCCCTGGCTGTTGCTGATAGACCAGAGACAAGCCATCCCTGCTGAGCACTACCCTTATTCCAACTTCATAAGTAAATAAATTTTGCTACTTTGGAGTGGCTGGTTTGAAACCATAGACATCCAGAACACATAGTAGCCCAACTGACCATTTGCTTATGTATTTAGATTGAGGCACTATTGATATAAGCTCTGTAGCTTTTATCTGTTTTTATTGTTTTCATTAACTTTATATAACCACTAGATAATAAATGCCTTGAGGACCTCTTTGCGTTGGATCTACTCTATATAAATCTTTTGCATGGGATACACTGCTATGTCTATGTTGAAACTAGTGGCATTTTTTGATATATGGGGTTATCCATTATGCTTCTTTATGTCTAGTTTATCCCGTTTATGTGGATTGAACCTCTTGTCTCATTGATTATGTGGAAGCTTTGATGGATTATTTTATTAATTAGGGAGATTTGGGCTGCAAGTAGCAAAAATACAACTGAAAGTGGCTAAGCAAAAAGACATGTAATATCTCATGTAATAAGACGCTTAGGGGCAGCATGCCTGCAGATTTTAGCACTGTCAACCTTGGCATGTTTGCTACATTTTAGGCTTGCCTCCTTAGGGTCACAAAAGGTCTCTTGGTCTTCTTGGAACCACATTTAGACTGGAAAACATCCAGTTAAAGAAGAATGGCTTTCCTCCTGTTCACTCCTCTTATTTTTGCAGAGGCCCACAGCAGGCTTGCCTTCAAGGGCCATTAGTTAGCATGAGTCAAATGATCTTGGAAGTGCCTTGAATAATCAAGCAATGCCACCAGAGATCTCCAGGATCCTATTAGATACTATTTTATATCATAGAAATGGTATCTGAAAAGTTGGGGATCTTATGAAGAAAATATTAGATTGCATCAAATTTAGTCATCTTTAGTGTTAGGGAAAACATTTGCACAGTATAAGAGCAAAAATGCAACATATAATTATGTAATAAATGTGTACAGAGATTCTGCAGACTTTGAGTCACTGAGACCTACTACTCCCTTAGTTTTAAAATTCTTCTCTTAGATTATAAAGGTAATTCAGAATACTCTAGCAAGGCTTGTGAAAAAAAAATCCAGTTAGTGATCCAGGTAACTTCTATGTTTTACATTTTTATTTATTTAATTTTAATTTTTTTATTGAGAGAGGGTCTCACTCTGTCACCCAGGCTGGAGTGCAGTGGTGCAACCTGCCTTCCAAGTTCAAGTGATTTTCATACCTCAGCCTCCCGAGTAGCTGTGATTACAGGTGTGTGCCACTATGCCTGGCTAATTTTTGTATTTTTCGTAGAGATGGGGTTTTGCCATATTGTCCAGGATGGTCTCGAACTCCTGGCTTCAAGTGAGCTGCCCATGTCAGCCTCCCAAAGTGTTGGGATTACAGACATTAGCCACAACACCCAGGCTAAAATCTATGTTATTTAAACAATTGCAACTGAGAGGGAAATTATTCCTTAAAATTGCCTGTTATGACATAAATATTACCTTAATAGTTAAGTGCCTTTCAACCTTGAGAAGACTGAGAATTCAGTGATTTCTAGTGTTTGAATGTATCCCCCAAAAAGCATGTGCTGGAAACTTAATCTTCAATGTAACAGTGTTGGGATGTGGGGCCTAATGGGAGGTGTTTAGATCATGATAGTGCCACCCTCATGAATGGATTAATGCCAATTATGAGAGGGCTTGAGGCTGTGAGTTTGATCTCTTGCCTTCACATGTTCTTGCCCTTCTGTCTTCTCCTGTGGGATGATATAGCATTAAGGTCCACACAAGATACTGGTACCTTGATATAGGACTTTCCAGCCTCAGGAACTATAAGATATAAATTTATTTTCTTTATAAATCACCCAGTCTGTGATATTCTGTTATAGCAACATGAAGCTGGCTAAGACAGTGATAAAAAGTTTAAGATAATCTAACCATCATGTTAACAGCATATTTGATGGTTTATATAATAATTCTTATGGAATTCGTTTCTGTAGAGTTACAAGTCAGCTTTGTTATTCCCCTTAAAATATAAAATAGTTATCAATTTTGGCTTGTGTTTTATGATAAAATCTTAATAGGTTTATAGACAATGTTGAAACATTCATGAGAATGTATGATTAATCCTGCTAATAAGTTTAATTTATTAAATATAAAGCTGTTTTAGAACTCAAGTTTTATAAGTAAAATAATTTAAATATTTTAAATTTTGAATACACTTAATTTATAAATACAGTTTGAAGTATTTAAAGTTGTTTAAGTTTGTAAGTGATGCCAAGCATTAATCAAAGGACCTTTAAAACCAATTATTAAAACATGCTAGGTTATTAGTAGAATTATCATAAACTCTATAACCTGAAAGTTTAAAGAGAACTGTTTTTTTATATATGTGATTTTAATAAAATGAATTTTAATTTTTTAAATAAAAGTAAATGTACAAATAGATTTTCTTTTCTGGACACAAAAATGCCCTTATGCTCACCAAGAAATTCGTATTTAACAGCAAGGACTTATTTACAAGTTCATTCCTAACCGGTCACTGCAAATGTAATGTGTCCACAATGATTAATTTAGACCTATTATTTCACCACAGGGACCTGAGGAGGGGCCTCCCTTAATCTCCTGGTATCCTAGCTCATGTTAACAAAATCAGCCCATCCATCATACACAGAACTTCACATGATGTTTGCTAAAAAATAAAGAACTCTTTTAACAAAGACATTCATAATTTTTATTTCCTGGGAGGAATACTGCCATCTCTTTGTAAATCTACAATATTTTTACTCTTCTAGACAAATGCAACCCCTTGATAATTTCTGCACGCTTGAGTGGATAAATACTATGACTTTCAAATTTGTTTTATACGTATCCTTTCAAATAGCTGTTTTGAAGTTTCTTTATTTATATCTTAAAGGTTTCTTTTCCCCAACCTGCTGAACATCCTGAGGTTTCATCTTCCCTACCTGATTGTCACAAGGATACTGCTTCCCTTCTGACCACATGAAACTTATGAAAGGTGCCTTGGGAATATGTCAGTATAAAAGACAGGCTATAATTGGGATACCTTCAGGAACTGGGGTGTGGGTGTTCTCAGTCCTTGTCCGGTGAACTCTTTCCCTCTTCTTTTCTGAAATGTGTTTCTTATGAACAGCAAAGTCTTACTTCTAAATTCTGAGTCTGTCGTCTAATTGCAACACAATTAAATTCAGAGTTCTGCTGGAAAGAAATAAAGGAGGGTGTGGGGAAGATGATGGCTGGTTAGGTAGCCACAGTGTCTGCCATAATCTTTCAAATGGATAAAACTTTGATCTTCTGACACTGTTCCTTTGGCTGCAAGTATATAAGATATTGATGATATCCTTTGATTAATATAAATGGTTGAGGTGGTTAAATTTCTGTTTCCTTACAGAGGTGCTAAATGATGTTTTATAATAAACACATATGTTTTAAGAATAAAGCTCTTGAGACATTTAATTATTTTAATGGGGGAACTAGGCCAGACAGTCCATTCCAGGGAACAGAGATGCTCAAGTATTTATTAGTAGAAACACTCAGATATGATGAATGTGAAATATATTAAAAAGAAACACAGAATGGCAAGAGTTTAACAGTCTCAATTAATGATGTAATTAGGCTAGAATAATCTATTTCCTTTGGATTATCCAATCATTAATCTAATAAATTTTTTTCTTGAATGCCTGCATCTACAAAGCACAAAAAGATCATAGTTAACAATTTTATGATCTAGGTGGGACACAATCTGTGAACTTGAAAAGATAATTAACAATATGATATTGAATTTGATCATTGGCAGATAAGCTGTCTAGGCACATGATGTATAGGAATTTGGGGGGAGAAAAACAGTTTCAGCTGAAGTGATATGGGATGGCTTACAATCTAAACCTCTTTTCTGAGATCTTGGTCATTTGGATCTGGCAGTTGTTTAACCACTGGCTCAAACTTCTGTCTAACAGTCAACCCAGTCACTTAAACAATACACGTTTAATTATCACTCATGCATGTAGTGCTTGGTTTCCATTTGAGCTTTTACAGGAGATCACAGGCTTAGAAGACAGCCTTAGCTTGAATACAATCTCATGAGAAATCTTGAGCCAGAGGCACCCAGCTAAGCCACACCCAGATTCCTGATACAGCATAACTGTAAGATAATGCCTGTTTGTTGTTTTAAGTTGCTAAGTTTTGGGGTAACTGGTTTTATTGTAATTTACAACAAATGCAGGAGTTTATTCAAATGATACTGTTAATTTGAGATTGAGTGTATTCATAGGCTTGAAATTATATGCCTTGAGGGGATAGTTGAAGCCTTCATAATGTGAATATATACATATATATTATGACTGAGCCACAGGGATACTCTATTTAAGGTGAAATCTAAGGAAAAGTGAAGTTTCAAGAAGGATATAGTAAACAATGCCAAGTAATAAGAATAAATCAAAAGTAATTAAAAAATTATTTTTTCCTTCAAAATTTCCAAATAATACATTTATGGGGATTACTCTGGCAACTGAACAAGCAATTCTCTAATCAATTACCATGCATAGTTTCATTAAAAAATATTAGCAAACTAACATGGATGTAAATATTACTTTCATGACAAACTTGCATAATTCATATAATTTAGATTGCTAGTTCCATTAAACTATATTAGTGATATAAAACAAAAAAAAACATGGTGAAGATTATAGATTTATTGAAATCTTGTAGTGGTATTATTCACCAAGTGCCAGAAGATATGACCTAATGTGTGTTTTGTGAAAATAAGTCACTTTATTCTATTTTACTTTTTTTTTAACTTTTATTTTAGGTCCTGAGGTACATTTGCATGTTTGTTATATAGGTAAATTGTGTGTCACAGGGGTTTGGTGTACAGATTATTTCATCACTTGGGTGATAAGCATAGTACTCGATAGATAGTTTTTAGATCCTCCCCTTCCTGTCATCCTCCACCCTGAGGAAGGCCCCAGTGTCTGTTCTTCCCTTCTTTGTGTCCATGTATTCTCAATATTTAACTCCCCCTTTTAAATAAGAACATGTGATATTTGGTTTTCTGTTCCTGTGTTAGTTCACTTAGACAGCTCTATGCAGGTTGCTACAAAGGACACGGTTTCATTCTTTTTTATGGCTGCTTAGTATTCCATAGTGTATATGTACCACATTTTCTTTCTTTTTTTTTCGTTTCTTAATTCATTTAAAAATAATTTTTTAATTATACTTTAAGTTCTGGGATACATGTGCAGAATGTGCAGGTTTGTTACATAGGTATATATGAGCCATGGTGGTTTGCTGCACCTATCAACCCATCATCTACATTAGGTATTTCTCTTAATGCTATCCCTCCCCTTGCCCCCCATGCCCAAACAGGCCCCAGTGTGTGATGTTCCCTTCCCTGTGCCTGTATGTTCTCATTGTTCAACTCCCACTTATGAATGAGAACATGCAGTGTTTGGTTTTCTGTTCCTGTGTTAATTTGCTGAGAATGATGGTTTCCAGCTTCATCTATGTCCCTGCAAAGGACATGAACTCATTCTTTTTTATGGCTGCATAGTATTCCATGGTGTATATGTGCCACATTTGCTTTATCCAGCCTATCATTGATGGGCATTTGGGTTGGTTCCAAGTCTTTGCTATTGTGAATAGTGCCGCAATAAACATACGTGTGCATGTGTCTTTATAGTAGAATGATTGATAATTCTTTGGGTATATGCCCAGTAAATGGATTGCTGGGTCAAATGATATTTCCTGTTCTAGATCCTTGAGGAATCACCACACTGTCTTCCACAATGGTTGAACTAATTTATATTCCCACCAACAGTGTAAAAGCATTCCTGTTTCTCCACACCCTCTCCAGCGTCTATTGTTTCCTGAATTTTTAATGGTTGCCATTCTAACTGGCGTGAGATGATATCTCATTGTGGTTTCGATTTGCATTTTTCAAATGACCAGTGATGATGAGCTTTTTTTCAATGTGTTTATTGGCTGCATAAATGTCTTCTTTTGAGAAATATCTGTTCATATCCTTTGCCCACTTTTTGTTGGGTTTGTTTGTTTTTTTCTTGTAAATTTGTTTACATTCCTTGTAGGTCCTGGATATTATCCCTTTGTCAGCTGGATAGGTTGCAAAAATTGTCTCCCATTCTGTCAGTTGCTTATTTAGTCTGTTGATAGTTTCTTTTGCTGTGCAGAAGCTCCTTAGTTTGATTAGATCCCATTTGTCACTTTTGGCTTTTGTTGCCATTGCTTTTGGTGTTTTAGTCACGAAGTCTTTGTCCATGCCTATGTCCTAAATGGTATTGCCTAGGTTTTCTTCTGGGGTTTTTATGGTTTTAGGTCCTACATTTAAGTCTTTAGTCCATCTTGAGTTAATTTTTGTATAAGGTATAAGGAAGGGGTCCAGTTTCAGTTTTCTGCATATGGCTAGCCAGTTTTCCCAACACCATTCATTAAATAGGGAATACTTTCCCCATTGCTTGTTTTTGTCAGGTTTGTCAAAGATCAGATGTTTGTAGGTGTGTGGTATTATTTCTGAGGCCTCTGTTCTGTTCCATTGGTCTATATATCTGTTTTGGTAGCAGTGCCATGCTGTTTTGGTTACTGTAGTCTTGTAGCATAGTTTGAAGTCAGGTAGCATGATGCCTCCATCTTTGTTCTTTTTGCTTAGGATTGTCTTGGCTATATGGGCTCTTTTTTTGGTTCCATATGAAATTTAAAGTAATTTTTGCTAATTCTGTGAAGAAAGTCAATGGTAGCTTGACAGGAATAGCATTGAATCTGTAAATTACTTTGGGCAGTATGGCCATTTTCATGATACTGATTCTTCCTATCCATGAGCATGGAATGTTTTTCCGTTTGTTTGTGTCCTCTCTTATTTCCTTGAGCAGTGGTTTGTAGTTCTCCTTGAAGAGGTCCTTCATGTCCCTTTAAGTTGTATTCCTGGATATTTTGTTCTCTTTGTAGCAATTGTGAATGGGAGTTCAGTCTTGATTTGGCTCTCTGTTTGTCTATTATTGGTGTATAGGAATGCTTGTGATTTTGGCACACTGATTTTGTATCCTGAGACTTTGCTGAAGTTGCTTATCAGCTTAAGGAGATTTAGGGCTGAATCAATGGGGTTTTCTAAATATACAATTATGTCCTCTGGCAACAGAGACAATTTGACTTCCTCTCTTCCTATTTGAATACACTTTATTTCTTTCTCTTGCCTTATTGCCCTGGCCAGAACTTCCAATACTATGTTGAGTAGGAGTGGTGAGAGAGGGCATCCTTGTCTTGTGCAGCTTTTCAAAGGGAACGCTTCCAGCTTTTGCCCATTCAGTATGATATTGGCTGTGGGTTTGTCATAAATAGCTCTTATTATTTTGAGATGCGTTTCATCAATACCTAGTTTATTGAGAGTTTTTAGCATGAAGCAGTGTTGAATTTTGTTGAAGGCCTTTTCTGCATCTATTGAGATAATCATGTCGTTTTTATTATTGGTTCTGTTTATGTGATGGATTATGTTTATTGATTTGCGTATGTTGAACCAGCCTTGCATCCCAGGGATGAAGCCAACTTGATCATTTTGGATAAGCTTTTTAATGTGCTGCTGGATTTGGTTTTCCAGTATTATTTTCAGGATTTGCATATCAATGTTTATCAGATATTGTCCTGAAATTTTCTTTTTCTGTTGTGTCTCTGCCAGGTTTTGGTATCAGGATGATGCTGGCCTCATAAAATGAATTAGGGAGGAGTCCCTCTTTTTCTATTGTTTGGAATAGTTTCAGAAAGAATGATACCAGCTCCTGTTTGTACCTCTGGTAGAAATCCCCTGTGAATCTGTCAGGTCCTGGGCTTTTTTGGTTGGTAGGCGATTTTCAGAACTTCTCATTGGTCTATTCAGGGATTCAACTTCTTTCTGGTTTAGTCTTGGGAGGGTGTATGTGTTGAGGAATGTATCTATTTCTTCTAGAATTTCTAGTTTATTTGTGTAGAGGTATTTATAGTATCCCTCATGGTAGTTTTTATTTCTGTGGGATCAGTGGTGATATCCCCTTTATCATTTTTTATTGTGTCTATTTGATTCTTCTCTCTTTTCTTTTTTGTAAGTCTGGCTAGTGGTCTATTTTGTTAATCTTTTCAAAAAACCAGCTCCTGGACTCATTGCTTTTTTGAAGGGTTTTTTCTGTCTCTATCTCCTTCAGTTCTGCTCTGATCTTAATTATTTCATGTCTTCTGCTAGCTTTTGAATTTGTTTGCTCTTGCTTCTCTAGTTGTTTTAATTGTGATGTTAGGGTGTAGATTTTAGATCTTTCCCGCTTTCTCATATGAGCAGTTAGTGCTATAAATTTCCCTCTAAACACTGTTTTAGCTGTGTCCCAGAGATTCTGGTACATTGTGTCTTTCTTCTCATTGGTTTCAAATAGCTTATTTATTTCTGCCTTAATTTTGTTATTTACCCCATAGTCATTCAGGAGCATGTTGTTCAGTTCCCATGTAGTTGTGCAGTTTTGAGTGACTTTCTTAACCCTGAGTTCTAATTTGATTGCAGTGTGGTCTGAGAGATTGTTTGTTGTGATTTCCATTCTTTTGCATTTGTTGAGGAGTGATTGACTTCCAATTATGTGGTCAGTTTTAGAATAAGTGCTATGTGGTACTGAGAAGAATGTATATTTTGTTCATTTGGGGTGGAGAGTTCTGCTGATGTCTATTAGGTCTGCTTGGTCCAGAGCTGAGTTAAAGTCTTGAATATCCTTGTTAATTTTCTGTCTCATTGATCTGTCTAATATTGACAGTGGGGTGTTAAAATCTCCCACTACTATTGTGTGGGAGTCTAAGTCTCTTTGTAGGTCTCCAAGAACTTGCTTTATGAACCTGGGACCTCCTGTATTGGGTGCATATATATTTAGGATAGTTAGCTTTTCTTGCTGCATTGATCCCTTTACCATTATGTAATGCCCTTCTTTGTCTTTTTTGATCTTTGTTGATTTAAAGTTCTGTTTTGTCAGAGAGTAGTATTGCAACCCCTGCTTTTTTTTTTTTTTTTTTTTTGCTTTCCATTTGCTAGGTAAATATTCCTTCATCCCTTTATTTTGAGCCTGTGTGTGTCTTTGCATGTGAGATGGGTCTCCTGAATACAGCACAACCATGGGTCTTGACTCCTTATTAAATTTGCTAGTCTGTGTCTTTTAATGGAGCATGTAGCCCATTTACATTTAAGGCTAATATTGTTATGTGTGTATTTGACCCTGTCATCTGATGCTAGCTGGTTATTTTGCCCATTAGTTGATGCAGTTTCTTCATAGTGTTGATGGTCTTTACATTGTGGCATGTTTTTTGCAGTGGCTGGTACCGGTTTTTCCTTTCCATATTTAGTGCTTCCTTCAGGAGCTCTTGTAAGGCAAGTTTGGTGGTGACAAAATCCCTCAGCATTTGCTTGCCTGTAAAGGATTTTATTTCTCCTTCACTTATGAAGCTTAGTTTGGCTGGAAATGAAATTCTGGGTTGAAAATTCTTTTCTTTAAGAATGTTGAATATTGGCCCCCACTCTCTTCTGGCTTGTAGGGTTTCTGCAGAGAGATCTGCTGTTAGTCTGATGGGATTCCCTTTGTGGACAACCCAACCTTTCTCTCTGGCTACCCTTAACATTTTTTCCTTCATTTCAACCTTGGTGAATCTGACAATTATGTGTCTTGGTGTTGCTCTTCTCCAGGAGTATCTTTGTGGTGTTTTCTGTATTTCCTGAATTTGAATGTTGGCCTGTCTTGCTAGGTTGGGGAAGTTCTCCTGGATAATATCCTGAAGTGTGTTTTCCATCTTGGTTCCATTCTCCCCATCACTTTTAGGTACACCAATCAAGCATAGGTTTGGTCTTTTCACATAGTCCCATATTTCTTGGAGGCTTTGTTCGTGCCTTTTCATTCTTTTTTCTCTCATCTTGTCTTCACGTTTGATCTTCAGTCTCTGACATTTTTTCTTCCACTTGATTGATTCGGCTATTGATACTTGTGTATGCTTCGCAAAGTTCTCGTGCTGTGTTTTTCAGCTCCATCAGGTCATTTATGTTCTTTTCTAAACTGATTATTCTAGTTAGCAGTTCCTGTAAGCTTTTATCAGGGTACTTGGCTTCCTTGCATTGTGTTAGAACATGCTCCTGTTGCTTGGAAGAGTCTGTTATAACCCACCTTCTTTTTTCTTTTTTGTTTTGGTGGCGGAGTCTCACTGTGTCACCAGGCTGGAGTGCAGTGGCACAATCTCGGCTCACTGCAACCTCCGCCTCCCAGGTTCAAGTGATTCTCCTGCCTCAGCCTCCCAAGTAGCTGGGAGTACTGTTGCGTGCCACTACACCCAGATAATTTTTGTATTTTTAGTAGATACAGGGTTTCACCATGTTGGCCAGGATGGTCTCGATCTCTTGACCTCATGATCTGCCCACCTTGGCCTCCCAGTGTTGGGATTACAGGCGTGAGCCACTGCTCACAGCCCTATTACCGACCTTCTGAAGCCTACTTCTGTCAATTTGTCAAACTCATTCTCTGTCCAGTTTTGTTCCCTTGGTGGTGTGGAGTTGTGATCCTTTGGAGGAGAAGAGGCATACTGGTTTTTGGGATTTTTGGCCTATTTGCACTGGTTTTTCCTGATCTTCGTGGTTTTATCTACATTTGGTCTTTGATGTCAGTGATCTTTGGATGGGGTTTTTGTCGGGGCATTTTTTTTGTTGATGTTAATGCTATGGCTTTCTGTTTGTTAGTCTGCCTTCTAACAGTCAGGCCCCTCTGCTGCAGGTCTGCTGGAGTTTGCTGGAGGTCCACTCCAGACCCTGTTTGTCTGAGTATTACCAGAGGTGGCTATAGAACAGCAAAGATTGCTGCCTGCTCCTTCCTCTGGAAGCTTTGTCCCAGAGGGGCACTCACCAGATGCCAGCCAGAGCTCTCCTGTATGAGGTGTCTGTCAATCCCTGCTGGGAGATATCTCCCAATCAGGAGGCACAGGGGTCAGTGATCCACTTGAGGAGGTAGTCTGATCCTTAGCAGAGCTCTAGCACTGTGCTGGGAGATCCACTGCTCTCTTCAGAGCCAGCAGGCAAGATCGTTTAAGTCTGCTGAAGCTGCACCCATAGCTGCCCCTTCCCCCAGGTGCTCTGTCTCAGGGAGATGGGAGTTTTATCTATAAGACCCTGACTGGGGCTGCACCTTTCTTTCAGAGATGTCCTGCCCTGAGAGGAGGAAATCTAGAAAGGCAGTCGGGCTACAGCAGCTTTGCCATGCTGCGGTGGGTTCTGCACCCAATTCGAACTTCCTGGCAGCTTTCTTTACACCGTGAGGGGAAAACTGCCTATTCATGCCTCAGTAATGGCAGACATCCCTCCTCCCACCAAACTTGAGCATCCCAGATTGACTTCAGACTGCTATGCTGGCAGCGAGAATTTCAAGCCAGTGGATCTTAGCTTGTTGAGCTCTGTGCGGGTGGGATCTGCTTAGTAATAGTACTAGGCTCCCTGGCTTCAGCTCCCTTTCCAGGAGAGTGAATGATTCTGTCTCACTGGCATTCCAGGTGCGACTGGGGTACGAAAAAACTAATGCAGCTAACTCGGTGTCTGCCCAAACAGCTGTGCAGTTTTGTGCTTGAAACCCAGGGCCCTGGTGGTGTAGGCACCTGAGGGAATCTCCTGGTGTGTGGGTTGCAAAGATCATGGTGAAAGCCTAGTATCTGGGCCAGATAGCACCGTCCCTCAAGGCAGAGTCCCTCATGGCTTCCCTTGGCTAGGGGAGGGAGTTCCCCGACCCCTTGCACTTCCTGGGTGAGGCGATGCCCCCCTCTGCTTCTGCTCGCCCTCTGTGGGCTGCACCCACTGCCTAACCAGTCCCAGTGAGATGAACCAGGTACCTCAGTTGGAAATGCAGAAATAACCCACCTTCTGTGTTGGTCTCGCTGGGAGCTGCAGACGAGAGTTGTTCCTATTTGGCCATCTTGAGCTCCATCCCCACATTTTCTTAATCTAATCTGATTTTGATGGGCATTTAGGTTGATTCTCTTTGCTCTTGTGAAAGTGCTGCAAAGAAAATAGGTATGCATGTGTCTTTATGGCAGAATGATTTACATTTATTTGGGTTTATACCCAATAATGGAATTGCTGAATCAAATGGTAATTCTAAGTTTTTTTTTTTTTTTTTGAGATGGAGTCTCACTTTGTCACCAGGCTGGAGTGCAGTGGCGTGAAGTCGGCTCACTGCAACCTCCAACTCCCTGGTTCAAGCAATTCTCCTGCCTCAGTGTTCCGAATAGCTGGGATTATAGGCATGTGCCACCACACCCAGCTAATTTTTGATTTTTACTAGAGATGGGGTTTCACCACGTTGTCCAGAATGGTCTCGATTTCCTGACCTCATGATCTGCCCACCTTGGCCTCCCAACATGCTGAGATTACAGGCTTGAGCCACAGCGCCCGGCTTATTTTAAGTTCTTTGAGAAATCACCACACTGCTTTCTACAATGGCTGAACTAATTTACATTCTCACCAACAGTGTTTAAGCATTCTCTTTGCTCTGCAACTTCATCATCATCTGTCATTTTTTGAAAATAAGCAGTTTTAGACCATGAGTGAGGAATTGGTTATTTTATGAGGTATTTTTTATTTCTTCTCACTGATCATAACTAGTATCCTACCAGTCCTGATATAGTTTGAGTCTGTGTTCCTGCCCAAATCTCGTGTCGAATTGCAATCCCCAATGTTAGAGGTGGGCCTGGTGGGAGGTGATTGGATCATGGGAGCAGATTTCCCCCTCAGTGCTGCTCTCATGATAGTGAGTGAGTGCTCATGAGATTTTGTTGTTTAAAAGTGTGTGGCACCTCCCCTCTCTCTCTCTTCCTCCTGCTCAGGCCATGTAAGATATGCCTGCTTCTCCTTCACTTTCCACCATGATTGTAACTTTCCCGAGGCCTATCCAGCCATGTTTCCTGTAGAGCCTGCAGAATCATGAGCCAATTAAACCTCTTTTCTTTATAAACTACCCAGTCTCAGGTAATTCTTTATAGCAGTGCAAGAACAGACTAATACAAGTCCTATAAAAACAAAACAAAACGAAACACCTCTTCAGTTGGTCTCTGATAGGAATTAAGCTCCCTTTGATGAGACCTCAGTGGACATTTTACGAACTTGAATCAGGGCTCACTAGTCCATAGCTCCAGAGACAATATTTTATTATAGCGATTTAAACAATGTATTTTGAATGTCATTTTATTAACAATCACATATCCTTCTAATTCAGCATAGTATTTTAGTGACTCTTCCATGGTATTCCATAAAATTGCAGGGCTAGTCTGAGCTTAAATCCATGAATTCAGTTATTTTCACCTTATATCTCCAGTATATTTTATGTAAAGACTACTCCTTCTACTCCTTTACATGATCCTTCTCTCAGATGTCTATGAGCTCTGGGCAAGACTTAATTAACATTAAACTGAAAGGACTAGACTTTTCATTTCATGCTGATCTTAAATAACAAGCACCATTGGATGCTTTTGCGTGTGGGAAAATTTTTTGATTGTTTAGTAATCTACAGCCATCTTTAAAAATGAGTATAATCTGTTAAAGTTTTATACTGAGAGATTAATAAAGTATAATCAAACCAAATAAACCAAACTAAAATAAAACCTTAGTTGGCCTTGTTAAACTGTAAAAGGAAAATTGCTTTCATGTAGAAGTGACAAACAAATCCTATGTACCATATAAATCTAATGAAGGCGAAGCTGATAAATCATCAGTCTCTGAAATACTTAAGAAAAGTTGCACCTTCTGGATGGTGGCTGAGTAGGCAATAGATATTACGTTGAGAATCTTTTATCTTCACTTTGAGGCAGCTTAGGAATTTTCTGTGAGAAATAGCTTCCAATAGATTAAATATGTTAAAATTGCCCAATCATGCCAAATCATTTGAAAGCAAAAATTTTGGTTTTACTATATATATTTCTTTGAAGAACTGAATTCAGTGGAAAGTATTTTTTAGACAACTAAATAAATACCTTATTTTTCTTTATTAATCATTTTACTTGGGATGGGGCAAAAGAAACACCCAACATGCCAATACCACTTTCAGTCAGTAGATAGATGTTATGATTTTTGGCCTCTTTCTTTCTTTTTCTTTCTTTCTTTCTTTCTTTCTTTCTTTCTTTCTTTCTTTCTTTCTTTCCTTCCTTCCTTCCTTCCTTCCTTCCTTCCTTCCTTTCTTTCTTTCTTTCTTTCTTTTTCTTTCTTTCTTCCTTTCTTCCTTTCTTTCTTTCTTTCTTTCTTCCTTTCTTCCTTTTTTCCTTTCTTTCTTTCTCTTTCTTTCTTTCTTTCTTTTCTTTTTTTTTTTTGAAGAGTCTTGCTCTGTCACCCAGGCTGGAGTGCAATGGCATGATCTCGGCTCACTGCAACCTCCGCCTCCCAGGTTCAAGTGATCCTCCTGCCTCAGCTTCCTGGGTAGCTGGGATTACAGGCATGCATCACCACACCCAGCTAAATTTTGTATTTTTAGTAGAGATGGGGTTTTGCCATGTTGGCCAGGATGGTCGAGAACTCCTGACCTCAGGTGATCCACCCACCTTGGCCTCCCAAAGTGCTGGGATTACAGGCCTCAGCCACCACGCCTGGCTGACCTCTTTACTGTCTGATTCCACAACCTTGGTACTACAATCAGAAGAGACACTTTTCTTCCTCATATGAATTGAAATCCTCTACAGACACTGAGAAAAACATTGGAAATGTTTAATAATCAATTCTTGAAATACATATGTGAGTAATATAAAAAGTTGTCTTCTTATTACCTATTCAGAGTGATCTGAGGAAAAGTAGTTGTGAGGTAGATCTTGAAAGTGAGAGAGAAAGGTCTTTAGATAGATAAAATATTCTAAGTGTTGAAGTTTAAAGAAGGAAATAAATGATTGATCATGTTAGAAAGTGAACAGTCAGGACAACTACCCATATGTTTTATTTGTGCAGATTAGAAAAAGACACCCATTTTTTTGCATAATAGTTCCATGGGCTTAAGTCTTGAAAAAAAGATGGTGTCTTTGTGTGTGTGTGTGTGTGTGTGTGTGTGTGTGTGTGTGTGTGTGTATATAAAAATATATCTATCTATTTATTATTATTATTATTATTTTTTTTTTTGGAGATGGAGTCTTCCTCTGTCTCCCAGGCTGGAGTGCAGCAAGCGGTGTGATCTTGGCTCGCTGCAACCTCTGCCTCCCAGGCTCAAGCGATTCTCCTACCTCAGCCTCCCAAGTAGCTGGGACTACATGAGCACACCACCACACCCAGCTGATTTTTGTATTTTTAGTAGAGACAGGGTTTCACCATTTAGCCAGGCTGGTCTTGAACTCCTGACCTCAGGTGATATACATGCCTTGGCCTCCCAGAGTTCTGGGATTACAGAAATTTTTTTTTTTTAAGTGTGTCTTCCTCTGGGCACATCAGTCGCATGCTATTTTACATTGTTTAACAGGAAGAGTGTAGGCTGAATTATAGTCTCCACTCCCTCCTTGGCTAAGGGCTCTGGGCAGTCAGTACTCTGCTCAGCCTTTCATTGTGGTCCTGTGGATGGAAGAGGAACATTTCAGTTGAGAAGGATGGAAGAGTTAATGGGAGGACATTTTTTTAAAAGTTAACATTTTTTGCTCAGTTTTCACCACTGTAACAATTAAGGCTCTTTGGTTGCAAGTGACAGAAACTGACTTTGACTAATGTAGACAATATTTATCAGAATAACATAGGGTATTTCACAATATTAAAGAAAAATCTGAAGAACCAGCCTTTGAAAAAAATATGAATCAGGCAGGGTGATATGGTTTGGCTGTGTCCCAAACCAAATCTCATCTTGAATTGTAGCTCCCATAATTCCCATATGTCATGGGAGGGACCCAGAGGAAGATAATTGAATCACAGGGGTGGGTCTTTCCCATGCTGTTCTCTTGATAGTGAATAAGTCTCACGAGATCTGATGGTTTTGTAATACACACGCTCTCTTGCCTGCCACCATGTAAGACGTGACTTTTCTCCTCATTTGCATTCTGCAGTGATTGTTCAGCCTCCCCAGCCAGTGGAATTGTGAGTCAATTAAACCTCTTTCCTTTATAAAATTACCCAGTCTCAGGTATGTCTTTATTAGCAGTGTGAGAACAGACTAGAACACAGGGCATCTTCACAGATCAAAGTAGACTAATAGAGAGTCTCTTTTGAACTGCAGAAGTGGTCCTTAGTTCTTGCTGAACTTTAAAATAAGGTGGGAAACTTTTAAAAGCCCTGATGCTTAGGCCACACCCAGACCAATTAAATCAGGATCCCTTGGGCGGACACAGGCAGCAATAGTTTTTTAATCTCCTCAGGTGAAACGTGCTTCATAATTTTACCTTTGGGATGATGAAAGCCAGCTGATTTCAGTCTTTATGTCATTATAATTAAGACTGAAATTCTGAATTTGTTGGAGGAGAATCTGGCTGTCCAAGTTTGGGCTTCGTACCTATCACTCCTTAGCTGGGAGAGGAGAGGTATCCTAAACTACAGTCTACCACACTGTATGTTAAAAGAGTAAAAATGAGCACCTGTAGCAAATCAAAGGGTTGTAGAGCCTGAGTATATAAAACCAACCGATGTTTCCCTACAACTACTTTTGCAGTTAAGTAATATATTGAACAAGAAAGAAGAATAATTGGAAAATTCTTTCATTGATGATTTCATATTAATATTTTTCCTAACTCTTCAATTATTATAATGGGAATATATTTGTTTATATAGTATGATCATTATTGTTACAGTAAACCTTGGAATCAATTTTTAGAAATAATGCATGGATTAGGGTATTATATAGTTTGGATGTGTGTTCCTGCTCAAGTCTCATATTGAAATGTAAACCTCAGTGTTGGAGGTGGGACCTGGTGGGAGGTGACTGGATCACGGGAGTGGATTTCTCATGAATTGTTTAGCGCCGTCCCCTGTGGTACTGTCTTTGTGATAGTGAGTTCTCGTGAGATCTGGTCCTTTAAAAGTGTGTAGCACCTCCCCCCTTTCCCTCTTGCTTCTGCTCTGGCCATTGTAACTTACCTGTTCTCCCTTCACTTTCCACCATGAAAGTTTCCTGAGACCGCCCCCCACTTCCTAGAAGCCAAGAAGATGTCAGCATCACACTTCCTGTACAGTCTGCAGAACTGTGAGCCAATTAAACCTCTTTTCTTTATAAATTACCTCGTCTCAGGTATTTCTTTATAGCAATGTGAGAACGGACTAATACAGGGCTTAAGCCTCTGAATCTTAACCTTACCCTATCATTTTTTAGAAAAGCTTCTCTAAGATCCCAAAAGTAATTTGTGTACTATGCAACTGAGACAACACAGGAACAAGCCAAGTGACAACTCAGGTCTGTTGAAAAGGAAAACCTCACAGATAATTTATGTAGTTTTTCATGTCTATATTATACTAGTTTCCCAAAATTCTTCCCAATTTAATTCCTTTATTGTAGAAACCTATAAAACATAATAGTCAAAAATCATAGAAAGTGAGACAAAAAAAAAGAGGAAGCTTTTGATGCTCCTCTTCAGGTTTCCATTTGAAGTCTTTCTCATCATCATTTGTAAAGTTTCACAAGCATTTGGAGATTCTAACTTGCGGGTGCCTGGCAGGACTCTAACCCTTCTCTACTGTCTCCTAGTTCACACCAGTTTTATATTAAAAGGCTAAATTAAATAAACTACATAGCAGATAGGGGAAAGGAGGTCACTGATTTACTGTATTCTTAACCACAAAATAAGCTGCAAATACAAAGCCGTCTAGCTGAAAGTGAGTGTCTCCAGAATCCCTGCTTTGAGAGGAAAAAAAGGGAGAATGTGTGGGATTCTCCAACATAAAGGCTTTTTAAGCAGGACAAAGGAAGCTCAGGAAGCGTTAGGCCTCAGAGAACATGTTATTCATCATGAAGGGTTCTGGCTAGGAGAAAAAAGAAAAAAGGCCCAGGCAGGCTTAAGGATCCCTTATGCCTCAAGCAGGCTAGAGCAGTTCACCCTAATTTCGTGTGAATTTTAGACCTCTCCAACAGTGAACACTGTTTTAAGTGTTATCAGTCACCTAGTTAGAAATCACAAGTCTTTTCAATAATCTTGCAATTGGTAACAATCTTTAGGGCAGGAGTAACTACACAATTGAAGTGACAGAGTCACCTTTTCAGACATATGAAGTGTTTTATACTTCTGGGTTTTACTTCTTTAGAGAATAATAGAGAAATGTGATGTTATTGTGCATAACTTTGTGTAATGTGATACACATATGACCAACTTATGGATAAAATAAAGCAAAATCCCTTATACATAAAAAATAAATCAAAACTGGTAAGGAAAAATAACTTGCAAATTACAAGGGGGCAAAAATTAAGGAAAAGAGGTATAACATCAAGCCATAAACCTCAAAAAATGGCAGATGAGGAAAGATAAAGAAGATTCTGGTAAGGCAGAACCTATCCCCTAACCCCTGAGACCTGCTTTTCATATGATGGAATAAAGCACACATAATGAAATTCCAAAAAATTTTACTAATGACCCAATTTGGAGAGAAGTAGCCTTTTAAGGTGAGTAGGCAGACTGGTGAAAAACTCTTGAAAGTAAAAAACCAAAAACCCCAAACATTTGAAAGTAGACATCCTTTTCTACCACTGAAAAAACATTCATTAGTGGGGCTGAAAGGTCTTAGAGACCAGACCCTTCACAATCTTGGAGAATGAGCTGAAGCCCATGAGAGTGAGAGAAGACCCTCACTATGTAAGTGGGCCTGAGTGTGAGTATTTATGGCATCTCTGATGAAAGAAACAAGTTCAGAAACCCAGCAAATGCTAAATGCCCTCTCAACTAAATGCTACCTCATCTCCATGCCTCTAGGCTTCGGCAAAATAGACAAGAAGTAGTAGCCAGCACTCCTACTGAAGTGTGCAGAAAGATGGGTCATAGAAAAAAAAAAAAACCAATGAAGACAGGATACAAGAGAATTCACTCATATTGATATTATTAAAGACAGTAGGTATTCTGAATAAAGACACCAATGTTAAGTCTCTCAGCAGGATGAAAAGAAAGGCATGGAGACTAGATCACTTATATTTTGTTGGAAAACAAACTACCATGATTCAGTGTTTTAAAATAATGAGTATTTATTTAATTCACAGTCCTGCAGGTTTGCAATTGATCTGTGCTCAGCTAGGCAGTTCTGGTTTCAGCTGGGCCCAGTCATAAGTCTGCAGTCAGCTGCCAGATCCTTTGGAGGCTGACTTACTGGGACTGTCCATTAACTCTTTGTGGTCTCTCATGCCCTAGCAGTCTAGCCCACGATTGTTCATGTTAGGGCTGGACAGAGTTCAAGAGAGGAGGCAGAAGTGCACAAAGTTTCTTTTTTCTGTATAGCGTTTTTGAGGTATGACTGACAAATAACAATTGTATATATTTAAAGCATTCAACATGAGATTTCGATACACATGTTTTGAAATGATTACCACAATATAATTAACATATTACCTAATACTGTAGTTACCTTTTTGTGTGTGTGTGGTGAGAACACTTAAGATCTACTCTCTTAGCAAATTTTTAGTATGCAATATGTTATTATTAACTGTGGTCGTCATGCTGTACATCAGGTCTCTGGAACTTATTCATCCTATAACTGAAGATTAGTACCCTTTGACCAACATCTCCCCATAGCCCCTGTTCTGGTAACCACTCTTCCACTCTCTGTTTCTGTGAGTTCAAATTTTTTAGAATTACATATAAGTGAGATTATGCAGTATTTGCCTTTCTGTGCCTAGCTTATTTCACTTAAGGTAATGTCTTTCAGATCCACCCAAGTTGTTGAAAATGGCAGAATTTTCCTTTTTTTTTTAGGCTGAATAATATTCCATTGTATATATACACTACATTTGCTTTATCCATTAATTCATCAGCAGGCACTTAGGTTGGTTACATATTTTGGCTATTGTGAATAATGCTGCAGGAAACATGGAAGTGTAAGTATCTCTTTGACATACTAATTTTATTTCCTTTGGAAGGAGTATACCCAGAGTGGGTTTGCTGGATAACATAATAGTTCTGTTTTTCATCTTTTGAGGGACCTCTGTACTGTTTTCCATAGTGGTTGTACCAGTTTGCATTCTCACCAGCACGGTACATAGGTTCCCTTCCTTCACGTCTTCACCAACTTTTGTTATCGCTTGTTTTTTTCTATAATAGTCATCCTAAAAAGTGCAAATTGATATCTCATTGTGGTTTTAATGAACTTTTCCCATATGATTAGTGATGTTTATCATCTTTTCACACCCTGGTTGCTCATATATATGCCTTTTTTTGACAAATGTTGATTCAAGTCCTTTTTCCATTTGAAAAATTGTGTTATTTATTTATTTTTTGCTATTGAGTTATATGAGTTCCTTAAATATTTCCCTTTTAGCCCCTTATGTATGTGGGTTGAAATGAAATGTTTTCTCCCATTTTGTAGACTGCCTTTTCATTTTGTTGGTTATTTCCTTTGCTGTGCAGAAACTTTTGTTTGATGTGCAGGCATGTGTGACATAATGATGTTTTGGTCAATGATGAACATATACAGTATAGTGGTCCCATGAGATTATAATGGAGCTGCCCTATACAGGTATGCAATTTTTAATCTTTTTTACAATGTTTTTATTGTAGCTTTTCTATGTTTAGATAGGCTTAGGTGCATAAATACCATTGTGTTACAGTTGCCTACAGTATTCAGTACAGTCACAGACAGGTTTATGGTCTAGGGGCAATAGGCCATACCATCTAGCCTAGGTGTATAGTGCCTATACTATCTAGGTTTGTGTAAGTATACTTTATGATGTTTGTACAGTGAACAAATCACCTAAAATGCATTTCTCAAAATGTAACCCCATCTTTAAGCTACACATGACTGTAGTTTCACTTTTTGTTTTTGCTTTTGGTGCCTGTGCTTTTAATCTCCTATCCAAAAAATCATTGCCAAGACCAATGTTAAGGATATTTTCCCCTGTTTTCTTTCTGCTGTTTTATGGTTTCAGGTCTTACATTTAAGTCTTTAATCTATTTTGAGTTGATTTTTGTGTTCGGTGTAAGATAAGTGTTCAGTTTCATTCTTTTGCATGTGGGTATCCAGTTTTCCCAGTATTATTTATTGAAGAGATTATTCCTTCCCCATAGTGCACTTTTGGTGACTTTGTTGAAGATTGGTTGACTGTATATGCATAGGTTTATTGTGTTGATA
This sequence comes from Homo sapiens, assembly GCF_000001405.40. Classification (NCBI taxonomy): domain Eukaryota; kingdom Metazoa; phylum Chordata; class Mammalia; order Primates; family Hominidae; genus Homo; species Homo sapiens. Next base: position 10,615,790 of record NC_000007.14, on the reverse strand, counting down.
TCTATATGTCTGAAGGGGCAAACACCTCTTCCTGTCTTTGCAGACTAGTTTTAGCAGGTAAAGACTTTCTCCTGCTAGATCCCTGCATTCATGGGACTACCTCTGTGATCACAGTCAGCTGGGGCTGGAGCCAGATCATGTAGCTGTTTTTGGCTATAGGTGAGTCAGAAGTTGGAAGACTTGTTACTGCACATGGTTGCCACTGGATTCCCAGGGGAACAAGCCTGCCTTTGGGACCATGGTAGACTGGGGCTGGAGCCAGGTCACAGGGCTGCTTCAGGGTCTTCAGTCAGGACCTAAGTCAGCAGGCCTGGCACTGGGGGCTTGGACAGGTGTGTGTCCCACAGGTTCTCTGGGCAGGAAGGACTGCCCCTGAACTGCTGCAGACTAGGGCTGGAATAGAGTCTCAGGGATACTTCAAGGTTGGTCCACAGTCAATTCATAGACTGACCTCAGGGTCCACAGCCAAGAGGAGGTAGGTGTGTATGCTACCAGGGACACAGATGGTCATTGCTGGGTCTTGAGGTGGGCAGGAGTAAGAATAGGGTGAGATGGGCCACAGGACCACTTCAGGATCCGTAGTTGGGCCTGAGGTTATCATTAGCAGGCCTGTACCCAGGGGCTCTCATCACGACCCTGTACAGGAAGGAATGACTCTGGACTGGTGGTAGAGCAGAGCTGGAGCTGGGTCACAAGGCTGTTTCGGGATTCACAGTGGTGTCCATGGCTGAAAGATGTGCACAGTGTTTCTTGGGGGTAGTCTTTGGACAAATACATCATATTTCTTTGGCTAAAAAAGTCACAAGGCTTGAATGAAGTTAAGAGATAGGAGATAGATTTTCTCTCTTCTTGGGAGGAGCTGCAGTCACATTGATCATAGCATTGATATAGGAAGAATGTGCAAACACACTATCACAAAAATTGAAAAAAGACATTCCAATAAAAGGGCAAATAAGTCAATCTATAAGAAAACTCAAGAAACAAAATTCCCAAAGATACAAATATAAATTCTGTTAAAAAAAAACTGTTAAACAGTAGAATGAGAAGGAATGTGAGATTGAAGAACAAGAGAAATAGCATGAGTACAACAACAGCAAACTCTGTTACAGATTTCACAAATATGCTACAAATACAAAAATAGAGTAAATAGCTTAAATGCAACTATTGACATACAGGAAAGATGGTCATAAAAAAAGAGGGGAAAAAAGCAACATAGCAAAGCAAGTGCAGAAACAGTTATAAAGGACAGACAGGAATAAATATAAGGATAATTGTATTCTTGAAGTAGACACGACAACAAATGAGTGAGAAAAAGTAGGTGTAGTTATAAAGGAAAATTTCCCTGATAATAGCTGCTTTCAGTCTTCTCCACAGTAGTGTCAGATGATAATGGAAGAATGTCTAACAATTTCTAAAGAGAAACTGTGATCAAAGAGTGTCCTTTATGTTCAGCTAAGTATTTATTTTGGAATTAATAAGGCAACAGAAAGGCATTCTCAAACATGGAAGAACTCAGGGGATATAGAAGCCCAAAATTATTCTAGAATAAATGAATAAACTGAAATTCAACTAATCAAGAGATAAATCTAAATAATGAACTCAGAAATGTGGAAGTAGCAGTAGAATGATTGGTCATGACTGTTGAATCCACTTAAATACAGACCACATATAACTGGGAAAATTTTTAATAAAAGATAAAAAAATCTTATAAATCTCGATAAAATAATAAAAATAGGCTGGACGCAGTGGCTCATGCCTGTAATTCCAGCACTTTGGGAGGTTCAGGCAGGTGGATCACCTGAGGTCAAGAGTTCTAGACCAGTCTGGCCAACATGGTGAAACCAACTCCATCTCTACTAAAAATACAAAAATTTGCTGGGCGTGGTGGTGGATACCTGTAACCTCAGCTACTTGGGAGGCTGAGGCAGGAAAATTGCTGGAACCTGGGAGGCGGAGGTTGCAGTGAGCCAATATCGCGCCATTGCACTCCAGCCTGGGCCCACAACAGCAAGACTCCATCTCAAATAAAATAAAGTAAAATGAAATAAAATAACTAACAAATATATCACTGCTTATCTTTACATCTTTTTTTTTTTCTTATTAACAAGCTATCAGTAATACTGTCTAAAAAGAAACATAACCAAAAGTAAGTCCAAAATATTGGTATCTTTTAACATCTTTCTTCTTGATTATAGAGATCTTTAGGGAGTAGCATTAAAGAAACATTAAGCCATTATTTCAGGTTTTTTCCTTCATAAAAGCCTTAAGAATAAAATACCTTTATCTACAACATAATTAACACTTATTGAATATGGGCTTTACACCTAATAATTAATTTAAATCTTACAACAACTGTATAAGAAAGGCCCTATTTTTATCTCAATTTTACTTATGAGAAAACTGAGACACAGAAAGATTTTTAACTTTCTTAGTTTACTCGACAATGTGGGGATTTGAACTCAAGCAAATCCAGTGCTTTTTATATAGCTCTGGTAAAATATCATTGTTACACATTGTTTTATCTATCTCACTATCAAGTTATTTAGCTAGCTGTTTTTCTCTTGATATAGTATATATGTCAGAAATCCTTGAGAGATAACTAGAATAAAGTTTCACAAATTGTTGATTATTGCTGAGTGGTAGTATTTCTTCTTTTTAAACAATTTCTTGAATTTAATTTTTTTATAATCAGCACACATTGATGTTATAAGAAGTCAATAATGTCATGATTTTTGGAAAAGATAATGATATGGTTATTTTCTTTGTATCAGATATAATGAGCAAACATAATGATAGACCTAATTTAAGAAAAACTGTGCTCTTAACCCTTTTGTCCTGACACTGTTGCAGAGCATTCTTTTAAAGTACAGAATGTGAGCATTACTGGAGCATAAGATGTGGGTATTCTCTTTAAAAAATATAATTTAGATATAGTGCACTGGGCAAATCTTAAGTTTTATACCTTAATATTTATATATGTATTCATCCCAAAGCATGAAGTTTCTTATTATATGGATAGTCTGCATAAATTTCCCTTTTTTATTTGGAGGAACAATGAAGCTGTACTGGTGAGATCACCATGCGACCAAGACAGGAGAAAAGGAGACCTAAAATTGAGGAAGATTTTACAGTCCAAAGTTATGCAGGAAGTTGGAGTTTAATGGTCACCAAACCATTAGGATTGGGACACTGTATAAGATTTAAAATGAGGAAATATGGCAGTTAAGTAGTCCAGAATCACAAGTACCTGCTGTTGTGCTTTGCCTCTGAAAATAAATGAGGTTATTCCAAGCTAGCTGACCTATATATGATTATTAATATTATATAATGTCCTGTGATATTAGAGACAGTTTTTGTTTTCAGTGACTATAGGTTAAGGTATATGGTTGAGATTCTGATTTATCAGTCGAGGCTCAATTGGAAAAGTAGACCATTAGGAGATATGTATGCATATATTAAGGGATTTGGGTTTGTTATAGAGATTTGACCCTTCAGAATTGTTAGAGCTGGTTAAGAAATTTCTGTAAGGTCTTTGTCTTCCTAACCCTGGAGTATGAAGTCCACAAGGCGGGCAGTTGTGAGGGAATATGGATATAAAGAAAGGTTGATGAAGAGCAAACTAAAACTTACAAACGTGAGCTAGAGACCATGAAGATGGATTGAAACATGAGTTCTTGTCTCCAATTTTGGTAGTATGGGGGGGGTCCTGCAGAAGCTGGGGCCCTAAACTCACACACCTGGCCCAGGAAGTAAAGAGGCTAATGGAGCATCCAGAGAAAGGCACAGAAGTTACAGGCTCAGCTGCTGCCTCACATCTACAAGGTGAGTCAGGTAATAAGCAAAGATGTAGAAGAGCTACAAAATGGTTGCTCTTTACTTGGGCCATCCCAAGTGAATCTGTCACAGGAAACATACAGAATGGGGAACTCCGGGAAATGTAGTTTAGCTTAGCTAAGTTGACATAATATAAAACCACCACATGATATAAATTGCTGTTTATGGCAGGCAGAGAAATTTCACTTAAAGACTTAATCTTTTTAAATCACTTACCTAAGGCATTAAATTGATTGAGGTCCTGCTTTCTGTTTTTGAAATAAATGATGCACCTAAAGCTATATTTTCATTGCATAATTATTTTGAGTTACTGGATTTTGAGCTGCCCTGGGAAGTTTCTGTATTGTGTAAAAAAATTACCATACGAGTGAGGTCATGATTGTACTGCTCTTCTATATCAGTTAACATTGTGTGTACAAAATGTAGACCCCATGCTTGACTTTCTAATATCTGAAAAGAATAAAAATACTAATACATAATCTTTGAAATGTGTGGAAATTGTGGCTAGATAATGTGATATAAAGATGAAAAGGAAAGAATGATGGATGGCAGTTCTGCTTTTTCTTTTCTCCTTCATAATATTAGGTTTCAGGGAAACCCAGACACAGGTAATCCTTTCAGTTGCTCACGTTTCTTTTCATTCAAATGGTGTTTAAGAATCACCCTTGAAGATGTAAAATGCCCACTCTTATCAACAGCTAAGCGTATAAGGGAAACAGAATGCTAACATTTATTACATTGTTTCTTTTCGATAATGTTTTGTCATTTATCTAACAACTAATGGGACAGTGTCACCTCATATCCTCCCAGCTGATTCCCTCCATCTCCTCCCTGATTTCTTTCTATGACAATTTTGTTCCAACTGAGCCTCATCTTCTCTGAATAATTTCAGCCTTTACTTCTGAAAGGCTTTGGCAAGGGTTGTTTGCTTTTCTATATGAGAAAATGACTATCAATGGCCTGAAAGGTTTAGGAGTGGTTGGTTTATGAAGTTCCTATTCCAGATAGCAGGTCTCTGTCACAATGGTGAAATCAGTCAGCTGTCTTAAAACACATTTAAAAGGTAAAGATTAATATTAAATAATAATGAATAATCAATTATATTTTAAGAGGCCGGGTGCGGTGGCTCATGCCTGTAATCCTGGGACTTTGGGAGGCCGAGACGGGCGGATCACGAGGTCAGGAGATTGAGACCATCCTGGCTAACACGGTGAAACCCCGTCTCTACTAAAAATACAAAAAAAAATTAGCTGGGCATAGTTGGCGGGCGCCTGTAGTCCCAGCTACTCCCGAGGCTGAGGCGGGAGAATGGCGTGAACCCGGGAGGCAGAGCTTGCAGTGAGCCGATATCGCGCCACTGCGCTCCAGTCTGGGCAACAGAGCGAGACTGCGTCTGGGAAAAAAAAAAAAAAAAAATTTAAGAAAAGTGGAGCCTTTCTGTGTGGTGAAGAAGTGCCAAGTTGTCACCTATAGATAGATTGTCAGCCTTGAATTCAAGCCCCTACTTCTTGCTAAGTATTTTGGCAATCATATTTACCCATTCCAGCCACTAGATTTTAATTTTATTTGTGTAGTTATCTCAGCACTATTCCACAAAGAATTTTAGGTGTTCCACAAAAATACAGTCACATAAAAAGATATAATAAGTAATGGAGAGAATGAGCACTATAAGAACATAGCAAAATAATGAGGGGAAGGATGAGATCAGCACATAGAAATGCACATGGTGGAATTCCATACTACTGCTAAAGTTGTTACTGCAAAAAGCCAACATGACAAGTTACATCTTCATATGTTCTGTAAAGAAAGATATCCAGTTTATAGCAGTGCCCCAGAGATGTAGAAGAGTTATGTGGAATGTTCAATTTATAGATACGTGTGGAAGTAATATATATGACACCTTGTTTGAGTATCTAGGAATTGTTTAGCCTCTTACCTCACAGTTAAGTTCACAGATGGAAAGGATATGTATATGCCCTTGGAACTCCTAAGTCTGGTGGGTTTCATTCCTTACTTAGCTATTCCAGTATACTTACTCAGGTAAGGGGCTGCTGTGCGCAAACTAGTGCTCTGCATTTGGTAATCTCTGAGGTGTTTACAAAATGGAAGGCTGACAGTGAATGGGTGGGACACTGAATGATAAATGGAATTATGGTTATATTTTTGCTTAAAATCTCATTTTTTAACAGAACGTGCTTTATATTTGATTCAGATTAATGTGTTATTGCTGGTTGAAGAGAGGTAAGGGGTATAATTGAATGAAAAATTAGTCAACTTTCCCACCATGTCAAGGAACATTTGACTGTTCAAGTCAAGAGACCATGTTCAAAGCATAACTTGCCCTCCAGGTATAACGCAGTATAATTCAGTCACAAAGTTCCTATCTGGGGAGAAATGTGCTATCTTTTATGGGTTAGTGTGGTCAGAAGTTGCCCACAGAACCTTCTATAAGTTTTACATGATATTTTTACTTACATCCTATTGGTGCAACCTTAGTAACATAACCACGTCTAACTGCAAGGAAGAAATGTAGTCTTTATTCCAACTAGCCATATGCCCTCTTGAAAATTTGAGGATCTTTTACTAAAGGAAAAAAAATAATGGTTATTTGGGAACTACTAGTAGCCTCTGTCGTAAGGGATAAAATGAAGAGTTTGGTTTTAGTTTTGTTAAGTTTGATCTAAGTAGAGAGGGAAAGAGGTGATTGACTATTCAACTAGGGAAAATATGGGACTGGAAATTAGAGAGTCATCTTATTTAGATCTTACTTGAAACCATGAGATTGAATGAGATTAATTAGAGAATTATTTTATAGATAGTAGAGAATACCCAAAACTGTTGAGATGTGGGACACTCTAATAATTGATGTTGAGAAGAAAAGAATCCACACCATGAGAATGAAGAGGATTGGTAAGTGTGCTTTGCAAGAAAAACTGTGGGAAGCGATATCCTAGAAGTCATATGAACAAGATGTTTCAAGAAAGAAAAGACGGTCAGTAGTGTCAGCTCCTGCCAAGAGGTGAGATATGGTGGAAACAAATAATTGAACATTGGATTTAATGAGGTAGAGGTCACTGGTCATCAAGAAGAGAGTGATTTCAATGAAAGAAAAGGGACAACAACATGATTACAGTGAGTTAAGGGAGGTAAAGATGAGATAGCAGGTATAGAAATTTTCTTTTGAGGGGACAACATGATTACAGTGAGTTGAGAGAGAAAGATGAAGAGATAGTAAGTACAGAAATTTTCATTTGAGCCTAGGCATGGTGGCTCACGCCTGTAATCCCAGCACTTTGGGAGGCCGAGGCAGGCAGATTGCTTGAACTCGGGAGTTTGAGACCAGCCAGGGCAACATGGCAAAACCCTGTCTCTACTAAAAATACAAACAATTAGCCAGGCATGTTCGCATTCACCTGTGGTCCCAGCTACTCAGGAGGCTGAGGTGGGAGGATTGATGAGCCTGGGAGGTGGAGGTTGCAGTGAGCTGAGACTGCGACACTGTACTCCAACCTGGGTTACAGAGTGAGATCCCATCTCAGAAAAAGTAAAAAAATAAAAAAAATTATCTTTTGAGAAAATTTTCTGTAAATGGGAATAAAAATTGGGTGATTAAGGGAAAGTATCATTAAGATGAGTGATTATACACCAGGCTGGTATTATGACTGGTGTGATATAGATGAGTGGAGAGGCCTACTGTTGGAGGGGCCATCCTCAAATAAGAAAAGGGAAGGAGAAGAGAAAATTCATCAACTGTAGGGAAGTAAAACATGTAGGCTGTAGGTTACATATGATGATGGTAATATGATGATAATTCCCTTTTAGTTGCCTCAATTTTTTTCAGTGAAATTGGAAACAAGATCATCTGCTGAGAAGGAATTAGGGAGGAGAGTTTGGAGGTTTGTGGAGAGTGGAGAATATGTGAAATAGTTGTCTTGAAGAGTAGAATACTGAATTTACAACAAATACATAGTGGGTTGCTGGCATACATGGACTAAAATGCAATTTATGCTATTAATTCTGGTATGTTTTTCTCCACTTATGCTCAGTTTGTTAGATACAGGTGTAGAATTGGAGTAAAGTTGCTGTTAGCCAGAATTAGGATTTTTCTAGACAAATAAGATAGAAGGAAAGGGATAAAGTGAAAGAGGAATTTTATGAAGGGTGAACTGTTGTGATATTTCATGAAATCTAAACTGGGTAAGAAGTGAAAGAAGAGGAGACCAGGGGAATTATGGGCAGTAAAAAGTGATGTGGTGGGCATAATAATGCCCTCCCAAAGACACCCAACTCCTAATCTCCAGAACTGTGAATATGTTATGTTATGTAGCAAAGGCATCTTGCAGGTATGATTAAGGTTACAGACTTTGGGATGGGGAGATTTTCCTGAATTACCTGGGTGGGTACAATCTAATCATATGAGTCTTTCGAAGTGGAGAACCTTCTCTAGATGGAAGCAGAGGAGAGATGAGGCAGAAGGGAGGTTAGAGAGATTTGAAGCATACAAGGACTTGATCTGTAATTACTAGCTTTGAAGATTAGAAAGTAGACCATAAGCCAGTGAATATGGGTGGATTTCAAAAGCTGAGAGCAACCTCTGATAACAGCCAGCAGGAAACTCAGACCCAAGTCTTAGAACTACATTTGGAATTTTTGGAACTGAATTCTGCCAGCAACCTAAATGAGCTTGGAAGTTGAAGCATCCCCACAGCCTTTAGGAAAGCAAGTACCTTGATTTGGGTCTTGTGAGACTCTAAGCAGAGAACCAGTTGAGCCATACTGTGCCTGGACTTCTGACCTACAGAAACTATAAAATAACAAATGGATGTTATTTTAACTCCAAAGTTTGTGGTAATTTATTATAGCAGCAATAGGAAACTAATACAAATAAGAATTGTCATATGATTGGAAGTACCATTGGGGATAAAGATGGCTGTGAGGGTACTAAAGTAAAACAACTGGAAAGTTAGGAAGTTTTGGTGAGAAAATGGGATGCTAGAAATATACATTTTGTGGGTGGTACGTTTATTAGTGAAAAATGTTAGCTGAGACGGGGTAGAATATTTGAGTGCTAGAAGTGAATAGTTGAATACGTAATTTTATATGGATGATGACAAGCAGAGTAAGATAGTAATCTAGGTGCTAAAATGGTCACAAATGAGTGTTTGTGACCAGGAGTAATTACAGAAGCACAACAAGGGAGACTAGTAGTGTGTGTGAGTGTTTGTGGGGTGCAGGGTTGATGGAATGCCCTGCAAGGATGCCCAAACTTTTATGAATAAAATACCAATTACTGGGAAGAAAGCAACAAGCAGTACACTTCCAGGAGGGCCCATCTGGGTGGCATAGCATGGAAATATGGGAGGAAGAAAAAGAGTCACAATTCAGGGCAAGGCTAAAAGGCAAATAAAGTTTTCATAGATAGGTTTCAGTTATGAGTGTGAGGAGAAGCTTAGAGAAGATATTTAGAATACAGTGTAGCCCAGTGGTAGAGTTTGAAAGGAAGGGAAAGGCAAAAATTGGGTCAGTTTAGAGAGTGTGCAGATATGATTGTGAATGAAGGATGATCTGAAAGATTTGGACTTCTTGTCATGACTGAATCAAATAAAGAAGTAAGGCTTGATGAGATGCAAGCTTTGATAGTCCTTTTGAAAAAGTTGGGCAAGCATTCTAATTATATTCTTTAAGATTAGTTTTTTAGGCAGTGAACTCATGTACGTTGTTAGTGGGAATGTAAGTTAGTTAAGCCATTATGGAAAACAGTATGGAGGTTCCTAAAAAAATTAAAAATAGAATTTCCATATGATCCAGCAATCCCAGTTTTGGTATATATCCAAAGGAAATGCAATCAGTATTTTGAAGAGATAATCTGCATTCCTATGCTCATTGCAGCATTATTCACAATGGCCAAGATATGGAATCAGCCTAAGTGTTTATTGACAAATGAATGCATGAAGAAAGTATGTAACAGACACACAAAGAAATATTATTCAGCCTTAAAAAGAAGGAAATCTTGTCGTTTATGGCAACATGGATGAATCTGGAGAACATTATACTAAGTGAAATAAGCCAGACACCGAAAGACAAATACTGCATGATCTTACTTATATGTAGAATCTAAAAAAGTTGAACTTATAGAAACAGAGAGTGGAATGGTGTTTACCAAAGACTGGGAAGAGGGGTTGTTGGGGGCACCCGTTTGTAAAATGGAACAAAGTTTCAGTTAGAAAGGATGAATAGGTTCTGGAGATAAAATGTGCAGCATAGTGATCACAGTTAATCATAATGTGTTGCACACTTGAAATGAGAGAGTAGATCTTAAATGTTCTTACCACAAAAAATGTTAAGTGTGTGAAGGAGGTAATGTATATGTTAATTAACTTGATTTAATCATTCCATAATGTATACATATATTAAAATCACGTTGTACACCATAAATATATACATTTTTGTTAGTCAATTACCTTAATAAAGCTGAGAAAAAAAGAATTTGTTTTTTAGGCAATTTAGTGCTGAGTAGGGCCGCCATGCAATCTAGAGCAGCTCTGCCTTATAATAGCATGTGTGACCACTTAGATTTGGTGTCCCTACTTAGAGATGGCAGCAGGCAGTTATACTGTTGTTAAAGACCTTGGGAAGTCAACATCAGATACACCATATGACTTGATGTAAGCATGGGAAATTAGATTGCCTTACACTCTCTTGACTTTTTGACTAATCAAGAATGAAAATCTTGCTTTGTAATTCTGTACACAAAATGATAAAATAATATTTTAAAATGTACATATCTGTTTTTAGAAAGTGCTATGGGTTTTAAATGCAAAGGAGATCTGTCCTACCACTTACAGCCATCTTTCTTTACATCAATACTTTCATCCTTTATTGACTTTCTGAAGAAGCAAGTTAAAATAGATTAATCACATATGCTTTCTGTCCTAAGGAGAAAGTTTTTTTTCTTTAATTTAAGAAAAGCTATTTTCTAAATTTTATTTTCCCTTAGTAGTGATGAAGCTCAGTGGGGAAGAATATAATTTAATATTAGTAGATGTTAATTCTTTAAATAGAGTGCTTAAAAGTTTGTAGGAGCTTATTATTTGATTTGTAACTTCCAAAGACTATCTCTCTCCTAGGATGTTATACCCTCTGTTAAAATTGTGATGAATAACTCTATAAAAGTGTAGTTGGGGAATAAAGAAGAGACAAAATTCATATTCATCAGCAAATCCTTAGTCTGAAATCACCATACTGATTACTTAAAGTGAATAGCAATATAACTGGTGTATAACTTAAATAGTACAGAATCTTACAGATGATGACACTATGATGGTGTGGTTTTAAAGGCGTATGATTTGGAAAGAAATGAAGTAATAGAAGATTAGATATTAGCATGTAATGTACTGTTTTTACTCTACAAATCCATGTTAGTGTTAATACAGAGTATTCAGAAAAATATAATTTGTGAGCAAAACTAAGACAAGTTGTTTAGAGAAAGATCAGGCTATGAATAAAATATGTCCTATCATCTGGCCATGACACATCAAAGTGGTCACATCATGGGACAGTCTGTTGCTCTCAGAGTGCAGATGGTCACTAATGTGGTAGAGAAGCTGAGTGCTTCAGGGCTACCATCAAGAAAGTATGACTTGACTGTCTTTCATCTGGTGAGGAAAGTGCTTCTCACTTCTGTGTTGCACTAGGATGAGGTAAGTCATTTACTGCCCCAGAAATAACCCCATGCAATTACTTTACTTCTTAAATGATGTATCTGGCTTACTACTGTTACTCACATTTCATTTAGAGCCATAAGTTCAGGCCCATTAATAATAAATTCTTATTAACCTTTTCTAAAGGACAAGAGTAAAACTCTCCTGACAGCTGGATTGATTTCCATACTTGAATATCTTTCCATTGATCAACCTCTTCAGAGAGCCTTTCAAGTAAAGACCGAGTGTTTTGATTCTACTTCCTTTTGTTTCAACATTTAACCTCTAACATTGTTCAATTTTATTAGGATTAAGTATGTTATCCAACACAGATGTGTAATCTTTTTAAATTCATAATATCATGGACAGGTATTTCTAAAGAACAATGTACAAAGATGTATGCCATAAATATTTTATGTTGAATTTTCAGAGATAATATATTTTACTTATTTATGTTTTAGGAGAAAAGAGATTTTGAGAGCGAGAGAGATACATGGAGAGAGCATCCTTTATTTAATTACAAATTTTCATGTCTCAGGTTCCCTCTCTTCTAAAGTATAAACTAAGTTTCTGGTCTATAGAGCTTATTCCTTATCTTTTTACTTCCTTAGAGGTTGAGCAGCTCAACCATGATAGGCTGGAGCTAAATCAGTACAAGCATCTACCTCGCCTACATTGTGCTTGTGGGTCTATCTTTGGATAACTAGTTATCTGACCGTGAACGATTTCTAAGCCTCTTGGAGGAGAGAGTAAAATGTACAGTAAGTAGACTGGATGAGCTGGAACATCCTGCTTCAACTGGTGATGTGGTAAATTGTTTTTCTGCTTCAATTCAGCCAAGACTTTTTTCTGGAGCCGGTAATGGGACTGTAAAGATGCCAGATTTTCTGTGCCACCCTTATCATATTTTCTCAGGAAGAGTGCACACTGCCACTTAGTTCTTATTAATGGCCCAATTACAAGCCTGCAGTCAAGATGATCTGTACATCTATTTATGTGGTGCCCATCATGCTTTCAAGCAGCTCAGACAAGTAAAGAAGGCAAAATTTTGGAAGTTATTTGATAAGATACGCATTCGATCTATATCTGCTTCTGAGTAATAGTTTATTAGAAAGGGCTATTGGAGTCATTCTTTTTAAGAATGAAACTTGGATGTCATTTGTTTTTATTTTAAAAACCTAAAGTAAGTCTTTCCGAAGGTGACAAAGTAACATAGTAGGGGGCTCTATGGAAGTACTGGCTTACAGACAAGGAACTTAACATTTTATGTACCAATTTACTAAGAGTCATGCAAGAGCTTTAGCTCTTTTAGCAAGATTGTAGATTAAAGATAATCTCCATGGCCTTCTAAACATTTTAATATTTTTTTCTGAAAGTGCGAAACGTGTTTTAATGTTTTACAGAATTCTGAGCAACAGAATTCTCAGTGTAGAGTGCTACAATAAATTGGATTACATATTAGAGGTGACTCAGCCTGTGGCTCTAGGAACAAGATCAAATTGGATGAGATGAAAGTCTGACTTGCCATAGCAAGTGTTTGTGGTTGTGCTGTGCCCAAGCAAAGAAGTACCTGCCTCATTGTGCTACAATAGCCTTATGTAAGTTGGTGTTAATCCGATTTGGACATGTTCATTATACCTTGGCCTAGGTAATTTTCAGTAATGTAAATCACTTCATAATTCCAGTATTTTTCCAGGATAGGTACTTAAGAATCTTAAATAATTTTTACCATATACTGTAAGAATATCAATCATGCCTCTCGCCGCCATATAAAAAATTCTCTCACATTATCAAGGTTGATATGAATTCATTCATCAGGTATTTATTGAGTATTCACTGAGTGCCAGCCACTCTTCCAGGCATTGGGGATAAAATGAAGAGCAGAAATAAATCATATCTCTCTCCTCCAGTACTTATAGTTCCAAAGGAAAGACAGGGACAACATACCCAGCCCATTAAATAAATAGCTAGAGTGACCATACTTCCTTGTATAATTAACCTACAGATACCTCTTTTAGTTTCAAAAAATGTTCTGGTTTAGACAATAGTCATCCTAAAAAATGATTTCATAAGTGTTATGAAGGTAAAAAGCAGAGTTAATGAGTGAGGGTCCCAGGGAGATCCTAGAGGTAACTCTTAAGAGTAATCTGGTCAAGAGGAGAAGGGGAAGGTTCTCAGAGTTAGGGAACAGCATGGTGTTGGAAACAGCAGACTGGGTACCTCTAATACCAACATTGGAGACCCCAGGTAGCAGAGACATTTGTATTTTTCCAAAGTTGTGTTGATACAATATCAGTGGATAACTTTAGATAAATTTTCATATGAACTAAAATATAATTTTAATATTTTAATTGATAAAAGGGAGGAAGACACTTAGATAAGAAAAGCACAGGCACATAGCATCTAATTCCTCCCTCGGCTGCAAATTGAAATGAGAAGCAATGTAGTGCCACTAAGAGACTGGGTTTCAAATTCAGAAGACCTTGGTTTCAATTATAGTTCTACTAATGACCACTTTCTCTGTGATCTTGGGTAAGTTGCTAAAACCCCTAAGCCTCAAATTTTTCTTTGGTGAAAAAGAGAATTAATGTATGTACAGTGCCCAGAAAAGTGTCTGCATATTGGAAACATTCAGTTAATATTAGTTGTTATTCTGTACAATGACTCAATCCCTTTACTTGGCTCCAACCTTAAACCGTATTTAAAGAAATAGGGGTTGGTAGCTAAAGTATAATTAAAAATACCTCAAATTCTTACCACATCCCTTGAAAATTGTCAACAAATATATTATTGTATTGATTTTGAGAATGCATTATTGTGTTCATTTTGGGGGTCTGCCTTACCAAATTTCCACTAACTCGGTAGCTTACAGCAATTGATTCTCTCAGTTATAGAGGCTAAACATCTGAAATTAAGGTGTCAGTAGAGCAGCACTCCATCTGAGGGGTCTAGAAGAGAATTTTTTTTTTCTTTTTTTTGACTCTTCTAGCTTCTGGTGGCTTCGGGTATTCTTTGGCTTGTGGATGAATTACTCCAGTCTCTGCCTGCATCTTCACATTGCCTTCTGCGTGTTGTGTAATTTCTTACTCCCTTTCTCTTATAAGGACACTTGTGATGGCATTTAGAGTCCACCCAGGTAATCCAAGATAGTCTTCTTATCTCAAGATCCTTAACTTAATTATATCTACAAAGACTCTTTTTCAAAATCAGGTAACAGTCGCAGGGATTAGGACATGCACATATCTTTTGGAGAACACAATTCAGCCCGTTACAATTATTAATGTAAAATTCCTCCTACCTGTAACTACCAGTCTTTATACCCTATCCAATGATGCCAGTCATTCCTCAAAACTCTCTTTTACACTCTCAAATTCTAATTCTAGAAGCTTCCTTGATACCAATTCATGAGAATCTTTTCTGATTCTCTAGCTAATGTTTTCTTTGGCCTTTTTTGTTGTTCTTGTTTTATTTTCTCTTCACTCTCTTACACAGATTTTGCATGATAAAATTAACTCAGAAGGTGACCCCAAATGTAAGAATGTTTGCCTCTGAGAAGCCAGAGAAGGGATGAGGGCATATAAGTTGTTAATATCTTAATACTTTTTTACTTTGTAACTCATTAATAGTGGTTTTCAGAGCCCTGCATACTATTAAATAACTGACTTTTGCCAGAGAGGACTCAGATCCCCCTTAATGAAAGAAATTCTTATAGACTGAATGTTTGTGTCCCCTCAAAATTCATATATTGAAATCCTGTTCCCCATTGTGATGGTATTTGTAGATACTACCTTGGAGCGGGAGGTGGATAAGTGACAAGGGTGGAGCCCTTATGGTGAGATTAGTGTCCTTATAAGAAGATACAGAAGAGGGCTTACCCTCACCCCTCCCTTGAGAGGATACAGCAAGAAGGTAGATATCTGCAAGTCAGGAAGCAGGTCCTCCTGACAAGAAACCAGGCCTTGATCTTGGACTTTCCAGCTTCCAGAACTATAAGAATTAAGTGTTTGTTGTCTAAACTACCCAGTTTCTGGTATTTTTACTCCAGCAGCCTGAGCTAACTAAGACGGAACTCTATGTGTATTATTTAGCAGCTCCTCTTTACTATCTCTGCTTTGAAAATGATGCAGGAGTCAGGCATGACTTAACAAATTTGGGGAATCATTTTCTCTATATGTAAATGAAGATTATCTGGAAGGACATTTGGATATTCTTTTTCTCTATATGTAAATGAAGATTATCTGGAAGGACATTTGGAGATTCTTTTTCTCTGTAGATAAACAAAGATTAATAAAGTGTTCATAATAAACCCAAGTTTTTCCCACTGAACACTATAAGGAGAAAGTCAGCAGCAGATGGAGGTTTATTTCTGACAATATAGGTGACAGCATCAGGAAAAGTGCCAGTCAGAAGCATCACTAGAGAAGAAATAGTATTGAAATCAGTTTCCAGTGCTGGTAATTCCCAGAGCCTACATTCTCACCTCTTCTCACAGACTGCCAAATTATTGAAATAATTGATGCAGGATTTTTTTGCTCCTTAGGTTAGCTAAAATCCAGGTACTTGTCTCACAGCCAGGAAAAATTAGGCACATGGACACTTTAAAGGGTGAGGAGGTGGGTTTATTAGGTGAAAAGGAAACTCTCAGCAAAGAAAGAGGGGGTCTTGCCAATAGGCTCCCGCCTCACAGATTGAATACCAGGACACCACTCAGGAGCTGAAGGGGCCAGGCTCCTCCCTGCTGCATAAAGCATGAATTTCTGGTGCCCACCCCATTCTCCCAGTGTGCAGGTGGACCCCAGTTCATTGTGGGCATGCCCAGACAAAACCCTGGGCAGGTTCCCTCATCTGCAAAAAATCATCTAATGTAAACACTTGTGGGGCAGGTCGGAGATTCTCTGGGGACCCTCCTTTATCTGCCTCCTGCATCTATCATAATGATATATGAAATAATGATATAAACTTATATTGGCCAAACTTTTGGCTTAACATCTATTGGGAGAATTCTGAAACAACAAGGTGGAAAAGGAGGGAAATCTTAAAGAATGCTGCCTCTGGTTTAATTCTTGGTTTGGAGAGAAGACTTCCGTTCATCACTTCTGAGGAAGCAGAAAGTCAAACAGCAATATTATGCCTATGAAATACTTGTCAGTAAAAGTGAGGATAGTACTCAAGGTGGAGATAGAGTATTCTTTAAGTTAAAATTTATTACCAAAAAGCATGAAGAAACTTTAGAAAGCATTTGTTTTGTATAGTTAATAATGGATTGCACATATAGATGCTCTAAAAGAAAATATAGTGAAGTCAGTGCCAGTTTGCTATCTTTGTACTGCAATAACCTGTGCAATTTATTTTTTAAATTTAATTTTTATTTTTTAAAGTTATGAATGTACTTTGTTTAAATAGTGAAATGGTCCTACAAGTTTTTGTCATAAAATATTGAAGTTCTTTTTCTCTTTTCTCATATTATATTCCCAACTTACATTTTTAAGTTGATTTATTTTCTGGCTTTTGCATCTACATCTCTAAGTAGTATTTGGACATTGCTATTTCTACTTTTTCATTTTCAGAAGTTATCTACTGATTTTTCATAGAATGAAGTGAATTTAGCTTTCTGTCCCTACAGTCCCACTGTCCCCATAATAAGCATGTGCAATTCTTCCTCCATTTTCCAGTTTTGTTATAATTTTGGTTAGATCTGTTGATAGATATTAACAGAATAAATATTATCAATGTTTATTTTTTAATATCTAAGATTTATTTTTCTATTTTTAATTATTAAAGGAACACAAGTTAAAACAAATAACATTCTCTAAAATTCCAATTATATGACAAAATGAGGAAGTGATTTGAAATAAAAGAGCTAATTTTCTTCTGTAACATAGGTGCAAATTAACAGATGTGATTACATTATTAACACTGATAATTAGGGACATTTAGATTCAAGTGGTTTTAAAAAGGGAAAGTAATAACTATTTCAAATAAATGAACACAATTTCTGAATAGCTAAAGGAAAATAAACTAAAAATTTTAAAGGAGAAAATAAATGTCAAGTAAACATTTTTTAAAAAGCAAAAAACCAAGATGACAGTATTATGCCAAGTTTAGCAGCATTGATAATAAATGTGAATGGACTAAAATCCCATCATAAAAGTTTCAGAAAGTCTCAAATTTGATTAATCAGATAAAAACTCCACTGCCTAGTGTTTACAATGCTTTGACCATATTTAAAACAAAAGATATAGTATGTTTAAAAACAAGACAGGATAAGTCAAACAAAAATATGGTTATATCATTAGTACCAGATAAATTAAAGACATTACCTGAAAAGAGGCAGAAGAGCAATAATAAAAATAAAATCAGAAAGTAACATTAAAACATAGGAACAAGAATAGAAACGTTCCATCTTGAAGGTAGTTCCTTGAAAGAAAAAAATTCCCACTTTTCTAAAATTCTGCACTGATTAAACAAACAACCAAAATTCTGTTAGGAATAGTACACATGAGTTATGAATAAGGAATGCAATACATTGGAATGGATAAGATTGTTCGCTAAGTGCTTGTTTCAAAATGACCGTTGAAACAATAAAAACAATGGCTGTAAAGAGCAATAACCATATACTAACAATATTGTATGGAAGATAATGGAAAAAGATCCAGCCAAGAGGCAAACTAAAAAACAAACTAAAAATAAGAACTATATAGTCTAGACCAATATAGTGAAAACTAAATAACTTTACTTAAATATGTAAAATAAGACTTTTAGTAGATTAGAAAATATATCAGAGGTTCCATGTTTGTACCAAACTTAGTTCACTTAAAATAGGAAAGCAAGATTTCATAGTCAATTGTGGAGAAAAAAATGTAATAACAAAAATCTGAAAATTGGTTTATTTTATGAATTGGGAATTATGTTTCTGAAATGTATTTTCTCTTTGCTCATCTAGGAGCAAAGTCTGCATATAGGCTAAAGTCTGCATATAGGCTATGTCTGCATATAGGCTAAAGCATGAAGTTTATTGTCCAGACATGGGAGAGTAGTATCAAAGATCATAAAATAAAAAAGAAGAAAATATCACCTAGAGCAGTGCTTCTCCAACTTCAATGTGCCTTCACTTGAAAATCTTGTTTAAATGCAGGCTCTGGCTCTGTAGGTCTGTGTGGGTTCTGAGACTCTGAATTTCTAAACCATGCCTCAGTGATGCTCATCTATTTGGCCATGAACTACACCTTGAGCAGCAAGGCCCAGTGCCCTGGTTCTCTAAGCACAGTCCCCAGAACAGCAGCACCCATATCAATGTGCGTGCTTGTTAGTCTGCAGATTCTCCGGCTCTGCCCCAGCCATACTGGATTAGAAACTCTGGGAATGGGGTCCAGTGATCTGTGCTTTAAGAAGCCCTCCAGATGATTCTGATGTTCCCTGAGGCTGGAGAGTCACTGACCTGGAGCAACTCCTACCAGACATGAAGATAAAATAGAAAGTCATTTTGTGGCTGAGTCTGTGTGCATGTATGTGTGTAAGACCTAAGCATTTTACTTCTGTCAAAAGGAATGACTCTCTGAAGGGGAGTGGGTAAGTAATTGCACGCTTACAGGAATACCAGATGGGTTTGATAGAAAATTTTCAGTGAAAATCTATCACCTGTGCTTCTTAGAGAATTTCTAAACCCCTCCAGAGAAACCCAACACAGTGCAGGCTTGTAGATGGAAGTCTATGGATTGTTGGGACTGACTTAACACGATTTAATTCCCGTAGACTATGTAGATATCATGGAATATTCTGAAGCTACCAGTATCTGTCCCTCTTCTTTCCCATGGAGGTCATGAAGGGAGCCACGAAAGACAATTATTGACTTCGGGTAGAAAATGTTGCTTCAGAGAGGAAAAAAGGGACCTTGTAGAAAAAAGGTGGCCCTCCTAAACTGAGATGATAACCAGAGTGGCAGCCAAACTCAGTTTCTGCTGGGACTGTTACTACAGAGAGAGGTGCATTATTCCTTGGGGTGGCTGAGCTCCCACGGAACCATACAATACTTTGTAGACCTGACCAAAGTTATTCAGACATTTAGGGTCAATCTATAAGCTCAGAGATGGAGGCCGTGGGGAGAGAAGGGCACAAGGAGATAGTTCTTGGTACTGGTTTCCTTTTCTAATTCCTTGAGGTTGAGGATACAGAAGCTTCTCTCTGCAAAATCGCTAACTTGGGAAAGGAAAAAGGTCTGGAAAGAAAACCAAAATGGAGAGAAATAGATGCATAGTGTATGAACTTAGAGTTTAGTGAATATTTACAAAAAAAGAGATTGTTTCTTAAACAAAATGAGATGTAGTTACCTTTAACTGGCAGTTCATCTTTTTTCTCTTTTAGTAGATTTGTGGAATATAGAACAATAAAAAAGCTACGTTTATCTTTATGTATGAGTTTAGAGTGCAAATTTCAACCCCAGTATTTTCATACAAAAAAAGGTTGTAATAATAACTATGCATCAGTTCATGAAGGAACAAAACATGTTTGGTGTGTTTTTTTGCCTAATTTTCCCTATAAAATTGACATTTCAATTGTGCATTTTTTGGAACCATCATAAATTTGTTTGAAAATTCACTGAGAAGAATAAATGGGGGAGAGAGAATACATAAAGTTTGGTCTCTGAGGTGTGCTATTGTGGGTAAATTTTTTTTTCTTTTTTTTTTTTTTTTGAGACGGAGTCTCGCTCTGTTGCTCAGGCTGGAGTGCAGTGGCGCAATCTTGGCTCACTGCAAGCTCCACCTCCCGGGTTCAGGCCATTCTCCTGCCTCAGCCTCCTGAGTAGCTAGGACTTCAGGCATCCGCCACCACGCCCGGCTAATTTTTTTTTGTATGTTTAGTAGAGATGGGGTTTCACCATGTTAGCCAGGATGGTCTTGATCTCCTGACCTCATGATCTGCCCGCCTTGGCCTCCCGAAGTGCTGGGATTACAGGCGTGAGCCATCGCACCCTGGCCTATTGTGGGTAAATTTTAACTTTTAATTCTGTGTGAATCCTGGAGCCAGGTTGTTTGAGTTTGAGTCCCACACATGCTACTTTCTATATCAGTTTTTACATTATATAAATGGTGATAATAACAGTACCAAACATGAAGAATTGTGTCAAGTATTAAGTGAGTTAATACAGTTACTTCATTACTTGATACTAGGGTTAAGTATTTGTTAGTTATTGCTATTTTTGTTCTGCTTTTCCCCAAAACTTTTAACAATAATTATTTTTATTTTCAAAAAAAAGTGTTATAAAAGTGAAGTGAGATGACCAGCAGAGATTCTGATTTACCATGTGGATTTTAGATATTTATGCCTTGAGATGTTTCTATAAAAGATAGTGATGAGTTTCTGTATTTTAATTTTTTTCTTGAAAAGAAATAGAAGATTGTTGAGATTTATGGTTTTTTTTTCCTGATAAACTGTGTCTGGCAATTTTGTGGATACGCCATCCCCAGAATCTCACTGGCATCTTCTGTTTCATTTTTGATGATCATTTGAAGGAAATTAATTTTAAAGGACTGTGGCTGCAACTGGTTAATATGAAGGAAACACCCAGCAGAAAACAATCTGAGCATTTCAGTGACTTTGAGGTGATTTGGTGGCTTACCTTTTCACTATCTTTCAATCATAATTAAAAATTAAAGCTTTATGTAATTAAAAGAACTTGGCTTTGACTGTAGTTCCAATAATGCATGGAGGTTAAAAAAAAAAAGTGCAGTTGGCAACTTGAGATAGTACGGAGTTTGCATTTGTCATTCAAAACAGATAATCGTATAGACTCTCTTGTCAGGGACAGGAAATAGATTTTTGATGCTATCTAACATTGATTGAACTGCCAGAGAACTGATGGGACAAGATTTGAAGGGTACTGCTTTAAACAAGCTTGAAGTATTCTTTTCATATGGTTTAATCATGCAAGAATGAAAAATAAAACAATTATGAAAGGAGGGGTTTCATTGACTTCCTTAAGGGCAACTCTCGCCTACTAAAACCACTGATTATTTAAGGTTATTTGCAAGTGTTTTTTTTGGAAGTGTGGTGAAGAGATAACATGAAGATTGGGAGACCTGCTTTTTTTCCTCTCCCTGAGTCAATTTGCATCTAATCTGTACAGTCTGTGGAACATGATGGCTTTATGCTATTCTTATCTCCTTATTGATATTTTACTCATAATGGACCTAACAATAGTTTTAACTCAAGAAAAATAGACCATAGGAAAATAACAGTAATTCAGCCTTATGGAAAAATTATTTAAATTATTCAGATGTAAAAATATTTATTTTAACATTGAAAGAATGAGAAAAGCTAATACAAAGAACTCTAATTGAAGTAATATTTCTAGATAACTTCCTATACAAATAGAAGAATAAATAAACTCCAGAAGTCAATTGCTTTTGGCTTAGTGTTTAATGGAATCCTGCAGTCTCTTTCCTTAAATAAGTGACCTGATTAGATTTCACATATAATTAAGTGGCAGCTTTAAGGACAGTGTTTCACAAATACAATTTTAGTACAAGAAATGTTCATCGAAAATAGCACTGAATTTTATTACTAAGAACATTTTTAACATTTATAATTGTTCTTTTTTACATTCCTTAAAGACCATGGGATGAGGATCTGCTATTTTTGTTTATAGCAGAAATATTTTTATATTCATTTAAGAATATGTATATTACTCTGTCAAAAATAATTTCTTATCAGTAGAAAGAACAACTAAATTGATATGCAGTAAAAGCCTACTAGTGTGGAATATAGTCATTATTTTTAGATTTCTGAAAGTGTTATTTTGAGTGCTTTTAGTATGTAATATAAACTGTATAATTTTTAAAAAGACTTTATATAAAGCCCTGTGTTGCTCTCAATCTGTTTTCCTGCCACTGACAACCTTCATAAACTTGTCCACAGAGGATGCCATAGCCCCAGGGGGCAGGTGGAGAAATCATGGTCAAATTAAAAACAACGTTCCCATTGCGTAATAATGCAGGGTCCTAAAACAAGTAACGGCGTCCTTATTAGAAAATCTGTATTTTTTTCATCATGGATTAGTTTTAATCTTTTACAAATATTGCACTTAAACACTGTTTATCTTGATTACTGCCATTTTTGCTGCCCACTTAAATTTTGTCCCTGAAAGAATGCCTCATCCACCTCACTCTAACCCAGGCCCTGTTACACACCCTTCTGAGGATGGTTTTATTTATTTTATGATGTGAATCTAAGACTATTCGTTTTATTTTTCTGTACTGCATTTTTATTTTGTAAAAAAAAAAAAAAAACCCACAATTTTTTCAGCAATGAGCTTAAGAAATAAAAGTACAGATTTAAGGATAAATTAAATATTGATTTTCTATTAATGTTTTACAAAATGTTGGTGGGTATTCACCATCTGGCATTGGAGCTATGGTGATATCACTGATTACATGAAAACCGGAAGACCAATACCTGCTGAAGAAGCATTGGCATCTACTTCCAAAGTGAATGGTTTCTTTTAGGAGTTGCCAAAAGGGATGATTTAACTCCAAGCAAGCAGCTGCGGAAACTGTATCTACATGTTACTCTTTGAAGCATGCATTGTATTTAGACCTAATGAGTCTTCTTTTAAATTAATTTTGCTCTTTTTCAAATTCAAGTTTTCTTGTGCATATTTGAAAACTAAAGTGAAAACTGTTACTATTTTGGTCCTGTTAGCAGAACTTCAGACATAGTTAAATGATGCCAATTTTATATCTGTGCTATTAGATGCTTCAGTTGGAAATTAGAAAATTAGAAATTAGTCAACTACCCTAATGAAACCTTCTTTTTTTTAAAATTTATTTTATTTTATTTTTTTTTTGAGACGGAATCTCACTCTGTTGCCCAGGCTGAAGTGCAGTGGTGCGATCTCGGCTCACTGCAAGCTCCACCTCCTGGGTTCACGCCATTCTCCTGCCTCAGCCTCCCGAGTGGCTGGGACTACAGGCGCCCGCCACTGTGCCTGGCTAGTTTTTTTTTTTTTTTTGTATTTTTAGTAGAGACGGGGTTTCACCGTGTTAGCCAGGATGGTCTCGATCTCCTGACCTCGTGATCCTCCCGCCTCGGCCTCCCAAAGTGCTGGGTTTACAGGCGTGAGCCACCGCGCCTGGCCTGAAACCTTCTTTTCCCTATTCAATTCATAGAGCCAAAGTAAAGAATTTAGAAATACTGTTAAAGGAAAATATCTGATATTATTGTGAATGCTCTTAAAATTCAGTTAAAAAAGTTCTACATACATTAAAGATTAAATAATTTTTTTGCAGTAAAATTATAAATACCAAGTTTGGAACACAACATCATGGTAAATGCAGTGTTTCTTAATAAATTAGAAGCTTATGATGCGGCTATGTATTGGTGTGGTGCCACAGAATTCATAATTGCATTCAAATATTTGATATAGAGTAAAATTCACCCATTTTAGTGTAGTTCTGAAAGTTTGGAGAGACAGCCATATATCCATGAAGAATTTTTAATTGTCAATATAATAGCTGAAAATGAATAAATTGACCCTCTTTGATGCTTATAAAAGGAATATGTGACTAACACATAAATCATAGAAAACTCCAAGGAAAATATAAAAGATAACTCTTTCCCTCTCTCTCTCTCTCTCTCTCTCTCTCTCTCTATATATATATATATATATATATATCCCCAAGATATATATATATCTCCCCAAGATATCTACTGTTAATAATTTGGTGTCTGTACCTCCAATTTTTTTTAATGTGCATTTTATAGTCTACCAAATGGTACTGTAATGTGCATGGTGTTCTGTGGGGTTTTCACAAAAGGCTTTTTTTTTTCAACTTTTATATTTAGGGGGTACATGTATAGGTTTGTTATAAGGGTATATCACATGATGCTGAGGTCTGGGTTATGGATGATCCCATCACCCATGTACTGAGTATAGCACTCAATAGGTGGTTCTTCAGCACTTTCCCCCCTCTCTCCCTCCCGCTTCTAGTAGTTCCCAGTTTCTACTGTTGTCATGTGTATGTCCATGAGTACCAAATGTTTAGCTCCCACTTATAAGTGAGGACATGTGTTTGGTGTTCTGTTTTTGCATTAAGTTGCTTAGGATAATAGCCTTCAGTTGGATTCATTTTGCTGCAAAGGGCATAATTTTGTTTTTTTTTATGGCTGTATAGTATTCCAAAGTGTATATGTACAGCATTTTCTTCATCCAAACCACCATTGATGGGCACCTGGGTTGATTCCATGTCTCCAGTATTGGGAATAGTGCTGTGGTGAACATGTGAGTGCGTGTATCTTTCTGGTAGATTTGTTTACTTTTGGATATATACCCAGTAATGAGATTGCTGGGCTGAGTAGTAGTTCTGTTTTAAGTTCTTTGATTAATCTCCAAACTGCTTTCCACAGTGGCTGAACTAACTCACATTTCCATCAATAGTGTATAAGCGTTCCCTCTTCTCCACAGTCTTGCCGGTATTTGTTTTTTTTTTTTTAACTTGTTAATAGCCATTCTGACTGGTGTGAAATAATATCCATTGTGGTTTTGATTTGTGTTTCTCTGATGATTAGTGATGTGGAGCTTTTTTAATGTTTGTTGGCTGCTTCTATGTAGTGTTTTCACAAAATATTTTGATTACTTTTCTTGCACATAAATTTTACTCTTTAACATTACTTTTAATGGCTAAAGCTGCAATTACTTTTGCACCAACCTATAAAAAAATGCTGTATAACATTTCCCAATATGTCAGGATTATAGTTTATCTAGTCCCTTCCCTATTATTGGAGAATTGCATTGTTTCTAATATTTTCCTATCAAAATCTGTACCGGTTGCACACACATCTTGGTGTCTGTTTATTTTCTTATGATATATTTAAAGAAATAAAATATTTTGGCTAAAGCATGTACACACAGTGGTTAAGCATTTTATACTTCCTTTGAAAATTTGTTCTAATTAAAAATATTTACTATTATAATTCTGAAGGAAGACGGTGAATACGGGCTTGATGAGAGGGGGAAAAAACACTTTCCCTAACCTAAGTAGAAAGGGAGATCTCAAATTGAAGGATTTTTTTTTACTTTCCCTAACCTAAGTAGAAAGGGAGATCTCAAATTGAAGGATTTTTTTTACTTTCCCTAACCTAAGTAGAAAGGGAGATCTCAAATTGAAGGATTTTTTTTACTTTCCCTAACCTAAGTAGAAAGGGAGATCTCAAATTGAAGGATTTTTTTTTACTTTCCCTAACCTAAGTAGAAAGGGAGATCTCAAATTGAAGGATTTTTTTTTACTTTCCCTAACCTAAGTAGAAAGGGAGATCTCAAATTGAAGGATTTTTTTTACTTTCCCTAACCTAAGTAGAAAGGGAGATCTCAAATTGAAGGATTTTTTTTTACTTTCCCTAACCTAAGTAGAAAGGGAGATCTCAAATTGAAGGATTTTTTTAACTTTCCCTAACCTAAGTAGAAAGGGAGATCTCAAATTGAAGGATTTTTTTTTAACTTTCCCTAACCTAAGTAGAAAGGGAGATCTCAAATTGAAGGATTTTTTTTTTTACTTTCCCTAACCTAAGTAGAAAGGGAGATCTCAAATTGAAGGATTTTTTTTACTTTCCCTAACCTAAGTAGAAAGGGAGATCTCAAATTGAAGGATTTTTTTTACTTTCCCTAACCTAAGTAGAAAGGGAGATCTCAAATTGAAGGATTTTTTTTTTAACTTTCCCTAACCTAAGTAGAAAGGGAGATCTCAAATTGAAGGATTTTTTTTTTTTAACTTTCCCTAACCTAAGTAGAAAGGGAGATCTCAAATTGAAGGATTTTTTTTTAACTTTCCCTAACCTAAGTAGAAAGGGAGATCTCAAATTGAAGGATTTTTTTTTTTACTTTCCCTAACCTAAGTAGAAAGGGAGTTCTCAAATTGAAGGATTTTTTTTACTTTCCCTAACCTAAGTAGAAAGGGAGATTTCAAATTGAAGGATTTTTTTTTTCAGGTTAAAATCCGAAAAAAATAACTGATAGGGCTATATTTAAAAATCAATTGAAGGCTCTATCACAGTGGTTTTCAACCAGGAATGATTTTTCCCTCTCCCAGTGCCCTCAGCCTCAGTCCCGGGACATGTGGAAATGTCTGGAGGAGTTTTGGTTGTCATGAAAAGGAGGGAGGTTGAGGCCAGGGATGCTGCCAAACATTTTATACAGCATAAGACACTCCACCTCCTTTCTTTCCACTCCCATCCCACCAAATATTCTCCTAACCACCCCCCCGCCTCAAAAAAAAATGAAATGTCACAAAATTGTCTGGCCCCAAATGTTAATATGTAATATTGAAGCTGAGAAACCTTACTTTATCAGAAACTGAATCAAAGATGAGAAAAAAAAAACAGGAAAAATGTTATCAAATCTTTCTCAGAGGGAAAGTATCTCGAAAGCCTTAGGTACTGAAGCTTCAAGTGCGGACATAAGCAATTAGAAACTGAATTGATGTATAAACAAATAGGTGGAAGTTCTGATCTCTAATCAGGAACCATTATTTGTTTAAATAGAGATAGTTCATAACAATAATTTAGAAAGAAATAAACAATAGTCTTTACTTTCACTGGTTAGCTCACCTAACATTTCAGTGTTAGTATGTTTGTTTTGTTAGTAAGTTTGTTTTAATATGTTAGTATGTTTTATTAATATATATAAATATAAAACACCCCATGTTTTATATCTATAGGATTATTTTATAGAAAACTTAAAAATTCAGTTGTAAAAGCATGGAGTACATAATGTTTTAATCATTAATTTCTAAATGACTGATTTGTGTGTCAAAATCAGCTGTTTGTAGCTATTGATATTTCAGATAGAGTGATGTTCTTTTAGCTAGCTGGTAGGTGCTATGCCATGAAAATCTAACTTATTTCAGTGATGATTGCATTACATAAAGGGTGAGGCCATAGAAGAATGTTTTATGAGGATGTTATAGATCATATGTGTGTCTTGGCAGGGTTTCATCAGTAGCCTTGGGCCAGGGATTTGACACTTTATGAAATAAGAAATATTTTTAATTCTCTTGTGATGATACCATCTACTATTACATGAAGTAAACAAAAACATGTGTCATATGCTCAGATGAATAATTCTTACAAATAATAGATGACTGATATTCTCAATGCAAGTTAAGCTTTCATTGTTTCTTCGGGAAGGAGAAGCATGATCATTACTATTTTCATTTTAAAGGTGGGAAATAGAGATAAAAGACTAAAACAAGTAGAAGTCTTTTTATTATTGCTTGTTTTATGTTATCTTTTACAGGTAATTCAGACTTGTAGTCTATGGATGGGTGTATTGAGGTATGTAGTTGGAAATGTTTAGAGAACATATTTATGATGTTCTTTTATCTCATTGCACTTTAGCAGAAGTCACCTATAGAACTAGTTGCATAAGATCAGCATAGATTGGCAGAGCCTTCTTATAATCAGTGGGAGGGGATTGTTGTCCTGACTCACCAAATATAACTCTCAGTTGGTGCAAAATTGTGTCTTCGACCATCTCTCCTTAAATTGTATCCTGATGCCTTGATGATGTACAGCAGATGATATGGATGAATACTCTACCTAGATGGGAAGTAGGGAGACTGATCTTCTTCTCATATTGATTACATTAATGAATTAGAATTGGCCAGGAGAAGAAAACATTTCCATTGTTTAATTATTGTGGGAATGAATAAGTCAGTATTCATTCCCACAATAATTCATTCCCACAGACCAAGTCTGTCAATCCGAAGTATTCTAACTCTCTAGGGTGGACATTTTCAAAATTCAAATAGACAATATTAAATAATTCCATTATTAGTTTAGATCAATTTGTTTAATTATAGTAAGATGAATTTTGTAGGCAGGCAGTTTGGAAAGCAATGCTGTTTAAAGCATTCAGAGCAATAAGAATAATGCTGAAGAGTCTTCTGTTATCAAAGAGAAAACTATTTACAGTTGCTCTAAATTTTTACATGTGAAATAATCTCTGCTGTGCTCTGTAGTGTTAAAATGAAATCTTAGTCAAGATTTAGTTCAGGAACTTTTTAATCAAACAGAACATTTGGTCTCTATAGTATTAATGATTCTATTAATACAGAAATAGTGATTCTGTATATTTACATGGCTCCAAAATTACTAACGCGAACTTAGCCTATTTTAATGTATTAATTTTTCAAGCGGAATAAGAAGTTCTCTTAAAATAAATAAAAACATTAAATAACTTGTTCAAATAATATATCAAGCTCTTTGCCTTGATGGCTTTTTAAGAAATTTCAAGAACATTTTCCCAAATCTTAATGAAAGACTAATAGATTTTTTTATTATTATACTTTAAGTTCTAGGGTACATGTGCACAACGTGCAGGTTTGTTACATAGGTATACACGCGCCATGTTCGTTTGCTGCACCCATCAACTCGTCATTTACGTTAGGTATTTCTCCTAATGCTATCCCCCGCCAGCCCCCAAACCCACGACAGGCTCCAGTGTGTGATGTTCCCCACCCTGCGTCCAAGTGTTCTCATTGTTCAAATCCCACCTATTAGTGAGAACATGCGGTGTTTGGTTTTCTGCCTTTGTGATAGTTTGCTGAGAATGATGGTTTCCAGCTTCATCCATGTCCCTGAAAAGGACATGAACTCATCCTTTTTTATGGCTGCACAGTATTCCATGGTGTATATGTGCCACATTTTCTTAATCCAGTCTATCATTGATGGACATTTGGGTTGGTTCCAAGTCTTTGCTACTGTGAATAGTGCTACAATAAACATACGTGTGCATGTGTCTTTATTGTAGCATGATTTATAATCTTTTGGGTATATACCCAGTACTGGGATTGCTGGGTCAAATGGTATTTCTAGTTCTAGATCCTTGAGGAATCGCCACACTGTCTTCCACAATGGTTGAACTAATTGAATAGAACAGATTTTTAATGACATAGGTAACCTTTCTCTTTTCTACCATATCTTGAAAATTTATTACATTTTCAGTTTTGGAAGTTCAATAATGACACAAATATTAAGTAATACAGAGCTTATAGTAAATGTAATATCTTGTGAAAGGGTATATTCATATCCATATAATTATCACATATATATTAAAATGAATGCATCTTTTAAAAGCAGTGAATATTTTTTCTTTTTTTTATTCAGTTAGCCAGAGGCTACGCAATAGTTCTTTAAAAAAGTGTAATGGAAGATCTCACTTTATATTTCAAAACTACTTTAAAGTAATGAACAAATTTTTCTCTCTCTCTTGTTTCATATTTTCCTGAAAAATTAGTACCTGGGGTGATATAATATATATAGAAACCTGCAACCTACATTATTTAATAATTCAATATTTCTCCCAAGAAGGGAGCTTTTGCTAACGAAGCAAATGTTGATATCAATATTAAAAGCCAGAAAACACTAACGTTTCCTTTGTGTAAAGATGCTGCAGTATTTGGTGGTATGCTTAGCAGCCCCCAGTTGCTGATGGTAATTTGATATTGAAAATGGTCATGTAGGTTAGCATTAGCTCTACATTGTATTTAAAGTGTGGGTTCTGTGCACTCTAATGTGTAAGAGATCTCATCTGTTTTACTCTTGTCCTCTTAAAGAAGATGTAGTTAAAAGATATATTTAGTGTCTGTCTATTGTCGACACTTGTGTCATTTTGCCTGTGCAGAAGTGCTTAGATACTAGATGCTAGAAGACACTGGAAAGCAAAAAAAAAAAAAGAAAAAAAAAAAAGCCCTGACGACAAGTGATTTTTTGGCATTTATATAGATACTGACTTTTAAAAGAATGACTGACAGTGTAGAATTGAACCTAATAAAGCCACATGATTATGCTAATGCTTAAAAGCAATCAAAATGATCTTAGATTAAATGTTGATACTTTAAGTGTAACACTTCTTAAGTAATAAAAAGTTAAGAAAGAAAATGAGACTGAATACCTTTAGATGTTTTAACAGGACACTTAATGAAATAGAAGATAATTTACGAGAAAATTGGAAGATTCTTCAATGTAATCTGATAACAGCATTGAAACTTTCTCAGCTTTACTTTAAAAGTGTGGAGGACACAATATAAAATGGCCTTTCAGAACATAACTTTTTATTTTTTACTTATTTTTTTAATGGTGAGGAAAAAAGGGCAATCTTCCAGCAAAGCTGACCTTCTAAAGTGAATTCAAATTCTTAGCATGCTTTGTTTTAGTGCAATGCAGCACGGCTCAGTAGAGCAAGTCAGATGAAAAGTTAAAGGATCAGAAGTTCGATTCCAGACCCTGTAACTAAATTGCAATATAATCTTGGGGGTAGGGAATAACATTCTGGAAACCTGATTGCCTTCTCAAACTGACTATGAAAGATAAACTTCCGATATCAATGAAGATGACCTATTAAAATAATTTTAGTTTTTGAAAATGTTAAGATGTTGATATGCAAAATAATACACTTTATTTTGAAAACTTTTGCAATCAGTGTGCACAGTTTCCACAAAGTCATGAATAGCAGTTACAAAATATATATGCTTGTGATGAGTGTACAATTAAAAGATAATGGTACATGTATTCCTTACATTGTTTGAAAGTTCAGGTTTCAAATGTCGTTGTCATGAGCTTTAATCCTAGCATTGTTTCTGTGCTTTTAATAACATGGCTTAATCTCTAGTCTCACATCAAGATGATGACTACGGCAGTTCCCAGTCTCAGAGAAGTAATGTAAGTCTTAATTAATGTTTGTAAAACTATCTAGGAGCCATGGATGAGAAGAGTTATGAACAGCGGAGCTGGAGTTGTTATTGTAAGAGGTGACTGCATATTGCCTTGCATTACACTAATGTGACAACAATAGGTATTATTCCATTATTAATAATAGGTGTAACTCGGCTGCTATTCAACATGATTAGCATGTTTAACATTTTCATGTTAATGAATTCACAGATAATAAATGCTGCCACTGGCTGTGTCTATGTGCAAAGGAACCAAGTTATTACATGGTCTTTCTCTACTGTAACTCTTTCCTGAATGAATGCATTACAATTATTAATGGAGTAAAATAATCAGAATATTTCCTGTTTGGAAATTTGTGGCTCCACGTAGACACAATTGGCCTGTCAGTTTAAACCATGTTTAGAATGCTTTCGTGTCAATACTAGTGTACTCTTTTGGCTGTAAGACTGTGATATGGCTATAAATGTACAGGGATACTGTGGGAAAATTGAGGGTTTGTTCCATACCACTGCAATAAAGTGAGTATCACAATAAAGTGAATTACACAATTTTCTTGTTTTCCCAGTGCATATAAAAGTAATGTTTACATTATATTGTAGACTATTTAATGTGCAA
Organism: Homo sapiens; assembly: GCF_000001405.40. NCBI lineage: Eukaryota > Metazoa > Chordata > Mammalia > Primates > Hominidae > Homo > Homo sapiens. The sequence goes on along the minus strand of NC_000007.14, from coordinate 10,583,919 downwards.
TAGCATTATCTCTAAAAACAATGTAGATACCTTAATTTAAAAATACTTTGTTGCTTAAAAAATGCTAATGATAATCTGAGCCTTCAATGAGTCATAATCTGTTTGCCTTAATGTGGATGGCTGCTGACTGATCAGGGCGGTAGTTTCTAAAGTTTGCAGTGGCTGTGGCAGTTTCTTCAAATTTTGCCATGTCAGTTGACTCTTCACAAAAAATTCTTCTCCCAAACTCCTGTTAATGTTGTTATTTTGACCTCCCCCCATGAATCCTGAATGTTCTTAATGCCACCTAGAAGGTGGCATTTCCAGAAGCTTTTCAATTTACTTTGCCAAGATCTATCAGAAGCATCACTATATGAAAGCTATTGCCTTACAAAATATGTTTCTTAAATAAGACTGGAAATTTGAAATTACTCCTTGATCCATGGGCTGCAGAATAGATATTTTGTTAATAGGCATGAAAACAACATGAATCTCCTTGTACATCTGCATCAGAGCTCTTGGCTGACCAAGTACATTGTCAATGAGCAGTAATACTTTGTAAAGGCATCTTTCTTTTGAAGCAGTGGGTCTTACCAAGTGGGCTTAAAATTTCTTGTCATCCATGGTGTAAACAGATGTTCTGTCATCCAGGCTTTGTTGTTCCATTTACAGAGCTCAGGCAGAGTAGATTTAGCACAATTCTTAAGGGCCTTACTGTTTACAGAATGGTAGATAACCATTGACTTCAATTTAAGTCACCAGCTGCATTAGCCAGTAACAAGAGAGTCAGCCTGCCCTTTGAAGATTTGAAACCAGGAGTTGACTTCTCTCTAGTTATGAAAGTCCTACATGTCATCTTTTTTCCAACATGAGGCTGTTTTGTCTACAATGGAAATCTGTTTTCAGTGTAACGACTTTTATCAGCTAGCTAGATCTCCTGGATAACTTGTTATAGCTTCTGCATCAGCGCTTGCTGTTTCATCTTGCACTTTCATGTTATAGAGAGGGCTTCTTTTCTTAAACCTAATGAACCATCCTCTGCTAGCTTCCCACTTTTCTTTTGCAGCTTGCCTACATCTCTCAGGCTTCATAGAGTTGAAGAGAGTTAGGGCCCTGCTATTAATTAGGTTTTGGCTTAAGAAAATGTTGTGGCTGATTTGATCTTCTATCCAGACCCTTGAAACTTTCTTCGTATCAGCAGTAAGGCTATTTAGACTTCTTATCATTCATGTGTTCACTGGAGTAGCACTATTAATTTCTATTAACTTTTCCTGTGCATTAATCACTTGGCTGTTTGTTGCAAGAGGCCTAGCTTTCAGCCTACATCAGCTTTTGACATCTATCTCTCACTGAGCTTAATCATTTCTACCTTTTGACTTAAAGTGAGAGACATGTGACTCTTCTTTCACTTGATCACTTAGAAGCTATTATAGAGTTATTAACTGACCTAATTTCAATATTCTTGTGCCTCAGGGAATAGGGAAGACTGAGTAGAGGGAGAGAGATGGGGAACAGCCGGTTGGTGGAATAGTCAGAGCACACTCAACACTTATCAATTAAGTTTGTCATCTTATATGAACACAGTTTGAGGCACCCCAAAACCATTACAACAGTAACATCAAAGATCACTGATTACAGATCATCATAACAGATATAATAATGAAAAAATTTGAAATATAGGTATTACTAAAATGTAATACAGACGTACTAAGTTAGCACATGCTGTTGAAAAAATTGTTTTGATAGACTTGCCCAATGCATGGTTGCCACAAACCTTCAATTTGTAAAAAGTACAATATCTGCACAGTACAGTAAAAAGAAGCACATTTAAATGAAGTATGCCTGTATAGCCTCCTTTCCAAATAGTTGTACTTTCTCTGGTAGCTTCCAAAAGGATCAAAGTTATCCCTGAAAATTATGTAGCCAAAATCGGCTTGGCATTAGAAAATCTGATTTGGCATCTCCATGAACCTTAGTTTTGTTCACTATAAAGTATTCTTTATGATTTTAAGGATTTTATAAAGCTCAGATTTTACAGTGCATGTGAGTTGTAACTCATGACATAAAAATGAACTATTCATTATATTAGAAAGAAAGGCTAATAGGATTTCAAACTATACCCATAATCTGACCACTTCTCACCAGCTCTACTGTTGGTATCCTGGCTAACAGCACCATACTCTTCTTCTAGGTATCTGAAATTGACTCCTAAGTGATTTTCTAGCTTCCCCCCTTACCCAGTCACAGTCTTAGCACTGTAGCCAATGATTTTTAAAATCAGTTATGTTACACCACACCATTTGAAATGATACCAAAGTTCTTGGATATTCATTTTCCCCCATTCCTTTCTGTCTTTGCATTTCACTTTTGGAAGTTTCTGTTGACCTATCTTCAAGCTCACTGACTCCTTGTTCAGCTCTGTCCAGTCTATGGATGAGCCCATAAAAAGTAGACTTAGTTTCAGTTTATGGCTCCTGTGGCTTCTGCTTCAGGTAATACCTCAGCTTAGAATCTCTCTGGATTCACCAGTCTCTCTGGATTCAGCGTGGCAGTTGACCCTGTAATCTTGTTATTCTGATGGGTTCAAGAAAAGTTCTGATTTTATTTTGTTCAGCTTTTTCTTGTTGTAAACAGGAGAATGACAGTTTCTAAGCTCTTTGCATATCAGAGCTAAAAGCAGAAGTCCAGAGTGATTCATTTAAAATTTAAATAAAATTATGTTTCCAGCAATGACCCTCAATTTACTCAAAGAAAAAGCTAAAGTTCTACAATAAGCTATAGGGTCTTACATGATCTGATTCTGCTGACATTCAATCCCAATACCCACTGTGTTGCCCAATTTTTCTTTTCTTTTCTGTAATACTCACTTATCACCCTATAACCAATTAAACAATGTATTTCTTTATCATGTCAGTTGTTTATGCCTGTTTCCATGATTGGAATGCATGAGCTTCATGAGGCAGGGTTCTCTGGTTTCTTTCTAGATCACACTAAGGGCCTAGAACAGAGTTTGGCACACAGTACAAAGCCAATCTTTGTTGAATCAATACATTTATTACATCTTAAGCATCCTCAGAAATCAGACACATATACCAGGTGAATTAGATGATTGGTCTCAATTTGTGAATGATTTTTCACTTCCTTCTAAGGTGCCTCAGTAAGGATGCACATAAGAATGAGCTGGGAATCTTTTTTGATGCCACATACTCCGTTTTGAGAGATTCTAATTTCATGGTTTCAGCTTAGGCCCCAGCAGGTTTCTAAGGAAATAAAAACAAGCAATAAACAAAAACCTTCCATATTGGTGGGAGATATAAACCCATTACTATGGTTTTTCTGAAGAGAGGTTATTCCCCCTAAATATTTTTTTTTTTTATTTTTTGAGACGGAGTTTTGCTGTTTCGCCAGGCTGCAGTGCAGTGGCATGATCTTGGCTCACTGCACCCTCCATCTGTCGGGTTCAAGCGATTCTCCTGCCTCAGCCTCCTGAGTAGCTGGGACTACAGGTGCACACCACCACACCCAGCTAATTTTTGTGTATATATATATATATATATATTTTTTTTTTTTTTTTACACGGAGTCTCTCTCTGTCCTCCAGTCTGGAGTGCAGTGGTATGATATCAGCTCACTGCAACCTCTGCCTCCCAGGTTCAAGTGATTCTCTGCCTCAGCCTCCCCAGTAGCTGAGATTACGGGCGTGTGCCACCATGCCCGGCTAATTTTTTTTGTATTTTTAGTAGAGGCAGGGTTTCACCATGTTGGCCAAGCTAGTTTGGAACTCCTGACCTCAGATGACCTGCCTGCCTCGGCCTCCCAAAGTGCTGGGATTACAGGTATGAGCCACTGCACCTGGCCTAAATTTTGTATTTTTAGTAGAGAAGGGATTTCACTATGTTGGCCAGGATGGTCTCAATCTCTTGACCTCGTGATCTGCCTGCCTCGGCCTCCCAAAGTGCTGGGATTATAGGCGTGAGCCACCATGCCCCGCCCCCTCTAAATACTTTTAACCTCGTACGTACTCTTTCCTCTCCTAAGAGAAGTGGAGTGAGTTACTTCACTGGTGAGCTGAGTAGAGTCTCAATCTCTTCTCCACCTCACCCCTCCTCTTTAGAGTTTGACTTCTGTTCTGCTGTGGTCAGCTCTGTGCCTGATAGCAAAAAGCCCTGGAGGCCTCATTCCTGCCTGAGTGGTTAGGGAGCCCATTGTTAATACACAATTAGGCCACTTATTTCAATCTGGACTTTATCTGTCCTGAAGGTACTTTTCTCCTTTCTCTTTCAAGTTGGTTCAGAACTTTGATAAGGGGAAAATGTTGATCTCTTGAAAACCCAGCACTACCCAGCTGTTTCTAATGTGCTACAACCACAGTGTAATTTGAAGAGCAGCATCTAAGTCCAAAAATTCGCTGTGTATTTGCAGCCAGTCTTTCTAGAGTGAGCATGAAGTAAGTGAAGTAGTAAATTTAAAGTGTTTATCATCTTCATTAATTATAAATATTTTAGCTAAGGACGCATATATAAATTGAGTTAAAATTCAGAAATTTTAGAAAATATACGTGTGTTTAACTGTACATAAATATGCACTTTGATAGATTTGTTACATTTTGTTTATGTTTATTATTTAGAAAGAATCACCTCTTTTTCACACAATAATATGAAGAGTAATTAAAACACAATTGAAGTAGGTATTTGCTCATTTCATTTTACATTGTATATAACCTAGATTTGCTCCCCCCATTTTAAACATGAGACCACTGTTTAATTTTTGTTGTTCAGTGGGTCTCCTGTATTGTTTTTGCCTCTCATCTGCCATCTTTCAAAAGCTTCTTTTCATCCTTGGTGTTTTGAAACTTCTCGGTGATGTCTTGGGGAAGAGAGATTAAAATTCATTTTGCTTCACCCTCTTGTAACCTTTCAATATGATGTTTCACATATCCCTTCGCTTATGAAAATGTCCTTGCATTTTTTTTTTAATGAATTTCTTCACTACTTTTTCTGTTTTGGGAACTCATGTTAATTGAATGAATCTAGGTTGATCCTTGGATCTATACTTTAGGAGATATCCCTGATTTTATGTTCTAGATTTTCCATTGAAATGTTTTATTTCAGGAGTCACATTTTTTTAGATTAACATGTTCTTTGAAACAACAACAACAACAACAAAATGAGTCAAATTTGTGTAAAGACGGACGTTGAGAAGTACAGGGAATAGGGGCAGGAAGGAAATAGAAATACCTACTGATTTTGCTAATGTCAGTAAACAAGACCATATGTTTTATCCCATAGACAATCACACATAATAAGTCACAAATGCAACCTCTCCTATAAGATCTATCACTCTACTTTGAGATAGCGAGAAACAAGACCGGAATTTGGGGCAGGAGGCTTTTATTTTCTGGGGAAATAGGGACAGATCCTCTCAGTCAATATTAGATATTGCTACTCTGTTAATAACACTGTATCTATGTAAAATGTTACAAATTTTTCTATACATGAGATGAATGAAGGCTTAGTTAATGTACTTCCAAATACAGAGTTATCCATTCCCTGTGCTTCTCCTGTTACTTTCTGGATCAGTGTGCCCTTCTGTTTGTAAGCCTCTATTGACATTTTTTTTTCAGAGTTAAATTTCTTTAAAGCCTAATTCTGGGACCCGCATATTCCACTAGTATACTATGTACAATGGGATGACATTCACCCCTAGTGTTAGATTTGCGATGCTGAGTAAACTAACAGGCCACTGTCACCATGTAGCCATCAAGCATGGCTAACTGCAGCCACCCTGACTCCACACTTTCATCTACTACTCATTAGGATTCACTTATTACTAAGGTTTGGGTTATCTTCTTGGTCCCACTGTCATTAAAGTACCTCTTATCGGTATCTGTATCTTGAAGATATGAATAAGTATGGGGCTTTGTGAAGCTGTGGTGATTGGTTTCAGTTTTATTGAAGAAAAGTTGGAGAAGATGAGGGTTGAGGCTCAAACTGGCTTATAATCTGCAGTTTTGGATTTGAGCTCATAGAATTTAGGGAAACCCCATTTTAGTTTGAAACTGTGAGGACTTAGGCCACTCAAAGACAGAGCGGTCTGTCTTCCCACGATAAGTGGAGACTGTATCAGAGAAGAGTTGAACTCAGCAGCTGGTCCAGTTGTGTGTCCTTCCCTGCATCCTTCTAGCTTGACTTCCCCAGTAATTACATTTTAAATTTTCTTATCAAAGAACAATTATCTACTTGTTCCTTTTTCATAGCTACTAATTCTTGTTTTATGGATGCAACATCTTTTTACGTTTATCTGAGTAAACACATTTCTACTACTTTTGTTTCCTGAATTGTTACTTTGCTCTGGGATCAATTTTTCTTTTTGTAAATGGTGGCACTCGGCTGTCCAACGGTGTTTTAAAATGAGCCATTAGAAAAGCATCCATGAGTTCTGTGTAACTTTGTGAGTTTGTCAGCTGGCAAGTTTAGTTTTAGGGTGATTGATTGGGAAGGGAGCTTGTCATTTTCATGGGGTTAGCCAAAATGCCAGATTGTGGTAGGGTTTACTGTGGAGCATTGACATTCACACTGCTTGCCTTCACTTTCCCTTAGACGGTTAATTCGATTCCTTTAAAAAGTAAATTTCCCAGTCCCCTTTTTAATATCTGACTACCACTTATTCTCTGATTAGGAAAGATTTCAGAGTGGTAAATGGTTTAGTATATAACACTTCAGCTAACACTGTCTTTAGCTTTACTTCTGACTCTTTCCTTCACAGCATCTCCCAGAGATTCTCAAGATTCTGCTCAGTAGTTCAGCTGCTTCTCTCCTCATAGATACTAGATTGTAGCTTTCTTCATGCTGCTTCCTTACTCAGTATTTTTCCATCAGAAATATGCTGTGCTGTTTGAAAAATAACTTCAGTGGTGTAATTTAATGGTGTCTTGGGAAAGATTAATTATTACATAGTTTTTCTTATAACCACAAAAACTTGGTGCTTTTCAATTATTTTCTTGTGGCAAAAATGATCACTTGATTGTCTCGTGTTTGCTGAGGATTAAAATCCTTTCATAGGGCAGTAGTGGAAGGAAAGGGGGCAGATGACTATCAGTTATTGAGTATCTGCTCTATGCATTTTGTTGGATATAAGGTGTGGGGAATATATAGCCAGACTTAGTGTTATATTTTAACTTTCCATATCAGTTAACTGAAGTTTTGAGAGATTAGCCACCCTGGTAATTTCATATACTAACAGGTTACACAAGGATTCACACCTTAACTTAAAAACTTATTGGTCTTCCCACTACTCATTGATGTCTTCACATTTTGCATTATCTGTGAGTCTAGACTGACTTTATACTGGTTTGGTTTATTTCCCATATAATTGCAACATACTTCCTTCAAAACATGAGTTCAAAGATTTCTATAGCAAATTAATGCAGTAAAGATAAAACCATTTTAGAAATGAATGAATATAAAATATCACCAAAAAACTTAAAAGCATAGACAGTTTTAATATTAAACATCATATCAATTTTCTAGAATGCTTTGCAATAATATAAGCAAGCCATTTTTCTCTTAATAACTATGTTAATATTGCTATTTCCAATTTAAAAGTGAAATTGAGTCATCACCCTATACCTCATGTTCCCCCAGCTGTCTTCATAAATTAAATTCAGCAAATTTCTTTGCTGGTTGTTGTCTTTTTCCAGTGTTTTCAGGAGTTCTGGGCCATAACTGCATTTTCTTTAGCCTCAGCTCCTCTATCTTGCTCCATGAAAATACAGGTAATTTTATGAGACAGTGCCTTACTTTTTATGAAAGTCACATAATACTGACATGGAAATCAAAAGAGAAAGGTATGATGCGGCACGTGCTGTGACCTCTGCGTCTTTTCTCAATTCAAATTCCACTTTGAATTAACTCTGAATGGGTTTTAAACATTCTTTCATTATACCCAGGGCTGTAGAAAGGTAAAAATACTGAAATTTGAAAGCCCTATCTCAGGGTGACCATAAGCTATTTGATCATATTGGTAATAGAATTTTTTTTTTTTTTTTTTTTTAATCTTGGAACAATTTAAAATAGTTTTATGCTAATTTGCTCAGTAGTTTTGAACAATGAAGTCATAAGACTTTACCTTGTTTTCTAGTATTACTTAACTAGATTTGTCATGGCTAGATTTTTTTTCCTGAGGTTTCCTTAGAGATCTCAGCATTTTCTCTCAATATTTAATCCTTTGTCACCAATGTAAATAGTGAAACACTTGAAGAGCTCATTAAGTTTTAAGTTGTCTTAAAAGCAGTACAAATCAGTGCAATTATCACTTCTATTTAATAATCCTCTTTGCTTCTCCTCCCTCCGTTAATGCTAGATCTAAAATTTACTGTCTAATTAGTATTAAATCTTTTACACAGGCACTCCCGCAAGAGAGCAAAGTGTAATTTCACCAGCTAGGCTAAAATCCAATAAAATATGAGATTTTATTAGCTATTATTTGAAGGGTTGTAGTGTAACTCAATTTCCTTCAAATTTTTATAAAATATTTTAGTGGGGAAGGATGTAAGGGAACCAATTGACCCTGCACTCAATACAATCATTCATTTTTCAGCATCCTTGCTAGTTGACATCTAGCCTTTGCTTGACTATTTATGGTGTTTATTGCCTTTCCCTCAACGTGGGCTTTCCCATTATGGGCAACTCTCATAGTTAGAAAAGTCATAAGCTAAATCTGCCTCTCTATCACTGCTTTCTGTTAATTAAGCTTTCATTCTATACCATGAAGCCACATCAAATGTTTTATCACATTCTATACCTTGAAGCCACATAAAATGTTTGTTTTATCATATTTTATTACATATGACAATTATTCATGATAGTATAAAGGAGGGAAGACAAATACATGGGTGGTTACTTGAAAGAAAATAAAGAGAGTGTAGTAAAGTTTTGGAACAGGAAGCAAAGGCAGAAACTGTATGATTTTCTCCCAATGAAGTGTCAGAGAAGAAGGAATATTGATCTTGAGCTAGTTTAAATACACTTCCAGAGGATATATTTCTGAAGTATTTAGGCTAATGAAGGTAGAGGAGAGGGTTCTGCCACTGAGATAACATATGCTAAAGAAGAAAATAAAGAAAATACAGAGACCAAGATTGGGAATGTTAATTATGGGCATTGCGCATCAAACCAGAGTTTACCATAATTTCATGAAATCCTTTCAGGGAACAGAGCCAAATAAAATTGAATAAATTAGACAGATGTGATACCTAGTAGTTTAGAATTTTTCTTATTAGTTTTTTACTACATGTATCAAATTTACATTTCATAATGAAGTAGGAAATTTTAAATTTTAAGTGATTAGAAGACCGTTTATTAAATCAGCAATAGAATCCTGTTTATGAGATTTATGCCCCTTTATATGTTTCTTATGGAGTCAATAAGTGTTCCTTCTAATCTAAAGATGCCATCTTTTGTTTAGTGGCTTTAGCTAAGAGATACTTTCTTAAGAAGGTATTAAGAAGCCTTACTGGTAATTGTCTAATTTTCAGTGGTAGAAACCGCTAGTTGTTGGTATAGCATCTAATACTTTACCCTTATACTTTACTAATAGAAGTCTGCCCAGCTGAACGACTACATTTTTCAGCCTTCCTTGAGGTTATGGGATGTGAGTGTAAGATAAGATGTGAGTGAAAGATGTGCTGCACTTACCACATCTTGAAGAGTTTTTTTTTTTTTTTTATTTAAAGCATGTGGACTCTCTTGGGAAAGGTTATTCCTCTTGCTTTTCTTCCTCTTCCTTTTTCCTGACTCAAACTAGATGGCCAGCACTTAAGCAGCCATCTCATACCGTGAAGCAATATTGACAATGGAAACATTTTCTAAAGATTAAAAAGCATAGACTAAGCTTGCATCCCTGATTCCTTCGGAATTACCATATCAGCTCTGAATTCTAGACATCTGAACAACTTCTACTTTAAGAAAAATAAACATCTATCTTGCTGAAACCATTATTATTTTGGGACAAGGGATTCTGTAATGGGGAGACTAAACTAATTCTACCTAACACACCCCAAATCAAAATTATTGACATGAGGAAATGGCACATGGGAGTCAAGGCATTGCTTTTGTTTTTTAAATGTTAGGTAAGAATTTCTGGCTCCTAGAACGAGATATGCCACATTATTCAGAGATATTTGACATTGCGAGGTTGAAAGTTGATAGAAGGCTGTGCAGTGTCATGCGGAAGCCCACAGGCTCAGGATTGAGGCTGTGGTTGAATTCCATCTTTGTCACTTTTGGATAACTGGGAAAGTTGCATAACCTCTCTTAGCCTCATTTTATTCATCTATAAATTGGGCATAATAATTTCTACCTTTTAGGTTTGTTATGAACAACTAATGTGTGTAAGCTAATGTGTGTAAACAATTTAGTAAAGTGCCCAGCACTTATTAGATAGAGGTTAGATGTTATTATCATTGCTGTTGTTTTTGGTATCAGCTAAAGGTGGATGATTCATTTTTCTTCCTGATTTAATTGTTTTACATCTTCTTTCTTAACATTATTATCTATGTATCAAGTATCTATGATATTCAGCATTGCTTCTGTTCTAACCTACTTCTTTTTAGTCAGAAAATCAATAAGTGGTATTTAATAGTTTTGAGATTTTTCTTTCTGTCAAATTCAGGGAGAAAATATATACTTAAAACTTTAAAATTATTAAAGACTTGTGTTCTTGTTTTTTTCTCAGTTGCTAGGAATTAGTTATGAGTTATAAGATTCAAGATGTGAAATACCTACCTTTATTGTAAAAATATAAAATTTTATGTTTTTGCAAGTCATAAAACTTGAAGAAACTTTTTTTTTCTTTTGCGCATCTTGTTGATGCATTCTCCTTAAGGCCAGATTTAAAGTTTTATATAAATCAGTCTTTATTGAGTTATTTTATGGCCTAAGTTAGATAATTTCCTGAGATATTGATACTCAAATTTGGGTTTGATCATTAGATTTCTTGCCCCTTCCTCTGACCTAACCTGACCAGTGAATAGGGCCCTTGCACCTCCACATTAAAAGTTGTGGAGTCATGGAATATCCTGAATGAACTGGATTCAATATTTGTTAGCTGGAGTTAGTGTTGCTATTATTATTATTATTATTATTATTATTATTATTATTTTAAATTTCTGGCTTCAAATCAGAGTCGAGGTTAGAAACAATGAACATGGGCTCCCATAGGATTGAAAGTGACAGTAGTGTCTCAAACTGCTTTCATCTGTCACTGACTGAGATATATAACTGGATGGTATATAACTGAGATATATAACTGACTGAGATATATAACTGGTAGGTAAGGTTTGTTTTAAGAATTAAAACATGTTTTAATTCTAGTTATTCAATTGTCAACCCAATACGATTTGAATTTTTTTTTTTTTTTGAGATGGAGTCTCCCTCTGTCGCCCAGTCTGGAATGCAGTGCTGCCATCTTACTCACTGCAACCTCCACCTTCTAGGTTTAAGCTTTTCTCCTGCCAAGTAGCTGAGATTACAGGTAACTGCCTGTATTTTTATTAATTTTATATTTTTAGTAGTGACGGGGTTTCACCATGTTGGCCAGACTGGTCTTGAACTCCTGACTTCAAGTGATCTGCCTACCTCGGCCACTCAAAGTGCTGGGATTACATGCATGAGCCACCGTGCTTGGCCAAGATTTGAAAATTTTAAATTAACGATTTGGTTACTGGTAACCTTCTTAGATTTATTAGAGAGATGCAGTTTTATTAAAATATTCCTTCAAGAAACCTGTTTATTTCAATGACAGTCACTGTTCTCTGTGAGAACCTCAAAATCAGAAATTGTGAAATGAAGATTCTTACAACCTTGCTAGTTCTATAAGAAAAGTTTTGATAGTTTTTTTATTTTATTTTATCAAAGCAACACTTTGAAGCACATTCAGAAGTTAGATCTGGATATGTGATAAACAAATCGCTTTCCAACATCAGCAGGGACTTCCTCTTTTGTCTGAAGTTGCTAGGATACTATCTTAAAGAAATAACTCATTTGATTAACTGCAAATAGAAATTGCTTTTTTTTTAAAAAAGTTCATACATTTATAATAGCCTAGGTCAGGCATAAATCTATACTACCTAAATGTTAAGCATATGATCTTGATGACCCTCTTGAATATTGGAAGAAAAGCCATTATTTTTCTTCATCTAATGCATGACACAGATGACTTTTAGCTCTGTTTCACCATAAAAATGAAAATATTATTGGTAAAGGGATACTTTATTTTGCTTTATTCTTGATTTTATTTCACATTGTGAGGGTCAAAATGCCACATGCAAAACCACTTTGAACCTATAAAATAAATATACAAATCTAATAATTTTAGAAAAGTTATGTCATTACTGACAAGTGAAAGTCTTGTCTGTTACTCATGTCTGTTACCTATTACCTATACCTGTGCATTAGCATTTGATTCCATATTTTATTCTGCAATAAAAAAGTTTCATAATATCATGGCAGTGGGCATTATTATATATGAAAAAAGTCATGTCTGAGGGGCAGTGAAAAATCTTCCTTTGGTCACAGTTTGTTTATAGAATGATACTAGTCTTGGTCTTAATATGAACATTGCAAAGCAACTCTATTATGTAATAATCTTGCCTTGTTTTTATATCTTGTGGAACTCAAATACCAAATACCACCTATGGACATGTAAGACAAAAGCCAAAAAGGTTACTTAAAACAGTATTTATGGTAGAATCATTTATCCAAATAAACTAAAAACTGTCAATTTACTTGTTAGCTGTTCCCTCATGAGAAACAAGAATTTCAAATGCCCTACACTATGTAGATTTTCCAAAAGCATCGTTGGCTTGCTCTATCCTGAGAGAAGAGTGATGAACAGTAGTAGTGTCCCCTTATATGCAATTTCACTTTCTGTGGTTTCAGTTATCTGTGGTCAACCATGGCCTAAAAATATTAAATATAAAATTTCTGAAATAAGCAATTCATCAACTTTAAATTGCTTGCCATTCTGAGTACCATAATGAAATCTTATCTGTCTTCCTCTGTACTGCCCTGGATATGGATCCTCCCTTTGCCCAGCATATCCACGCTGTCTACCCAAACTGTACTATTAGTAACTTAGCAGTTGTCTCCCTTACCAGATTCACTGTCATGGGATTGCAATGCTTGTCTTAAGTAGCCTTTATTTTATTTAATAATATCCCCAAAATACAAGAGTGGTGATGCTGGCATATTGTTTTACTTGTTCTATTCTTTCATTAGTTATTGTTGTTTATCTCTTACTATGCCTTATTTATGAATTAAACTTCACTATAGGTATGTATGTACAGGAGAAAGCAGTACATTTAGAGTTTTAGGCATCCACTGGGGGTCTTGGAAAGTGTCTCCCTCATGTAAAGGAGGACTACTGTGTTCTACCAGGGTGTTTCCTGCAGGTGTAGCACTGACAAGGGTGAAATTTGTAGCTTGTGATTATAAAATACAGCTTGAAAGCATTGAGACCATAGAAAATCCACATGCATAAACTGCAGAAGCATATAGAGAATAAATGTCCAGGGCTTAACTTTCCTGTGGCTATTTTTCAGCTGAAGATCCAGGCAAAAGTTGGAAATAAATGCAATTTTCAAGTTCTGTTCTAGGGTAACTTAAGTTGAGAGTGAGGAGAGAGCGAAAGAGATAGAAATAAGACTAAATAAACAAATTTGTAGTAGTGGAAGTACAGGCTTTCTGAACAATGTGTTCGTGAGTGTGTCTGAGCTAGACAGGAGTGCAGCTGTGTACCTGCAGGGTACAGTTCCTTGATATTCTGTCTCCAACTTTGGGTGAGTAGTTAAGGAGGAATGGCATATCTGTGCATGCTAGTTTGTATCAAAACTTTTTTAAGATTAAGGAAAAGTCTTCTATCTAATATTTAATTATTAAAGTGATATTGGAAATTTGCATCCCTGAAATATGAATGTATTTTATAATTTATCTCTGATACTTATTTACAAAGCCATATGAAAAATCAGTGTTGGATCATAACCATAATAGTGCATTTTGGTTTGGTTAACAAAATGCTGCTAATTACCTGTGTAATCTGGGCAACTTTTCTGAACTTTAATTTTCTAATCCATAAAATGAAGTAATGCTGCCAACTTTGTGGATTTGTTGAAGACTTAAATGAGAACACATGAATAAAATGCCTAGAATGATGCCTGACATGTGGTATTTTTAATGCAGTCATGTGTTTCAGAGCGGGCCTCCTGGGGCACTGTTTCCAAAATTGTCTTACCTCCGACCACTCATTCTCTATAGAAATATACATTAGAGTCACCTTATTGTCTACAACCATTCAATGGTTCTTATCGCTCTCCCAACTCTTAGTCATGCCCCTGTAGCCCCGTAAATCTGGTCTCTGCCCCAGTTCTCTAAACTCACTTTTTTCTGCTCTCCCCATTGCTGTCACACAGACCTCCAGTTTGTTTCTTGAGCGTGCAGAGCATTTGCTTGGTCTTTAGGCCTTTGCAGCCACTCTTCTCTAAACCTAGAAGTCTGGTGCCCGCCAAGTTCTTCATATGGCTGCTGCCTCTAAAATATCACCTTGGAGAATCTTTCCCCAGCCATCCATTAAAGTATTTTCCCCTCTTTAATCACTCTTTAAAAATATCACCTTGGAGAATCTTTCCCCAACCATCCATTAAAGTACTTTTCCCCTCTTTAATCACTCTTTATCACATGGCCCTTGTTATTTCATTTATAGTAATCATGACAATCTGAAATGACCTTGTTTTGTGTTTACTATGTTTTATCTGTCTCCTTCCACTAGAATGTAAATGTCAAAAGGGCAATGACCTTGTCTGTGTATTCACTGCTGTTTTGCTGGGGCCTAGGATAGCAGTTGGCACCTGATAAAAATGGAATAAATATTTGTTGAACATTTCACTAATGATACACATTTCAGGAGAAACAGAATGGGTGATTGGCAGCAACATATTTGTGAAAGAGAAATTCTAAAGGTTTATTCTGAAACAGGATCTTGTAGCAAACTACAAATACCGTAAAGCATATCTTTGCTTTGTCAGGTAGATCCAAGTCCTTCATATACTTGTAGTTTTTTGAAAACAACTTTATTGAGATATAATTCACATGCCAAAAAATTTGCCTGTTTAAAGTATATAGTTCAGTTGTTTTTAGTATATTCACAAATATGTGCAATCATCGCTACAATTTTAGAACACTTTCATCACCTCAGAATGAAGTCCTGTATTCTTTACTTATCACCCTTCTATTCCTCCACACTCTACCCCAGCCCCTAGTTGCAAGCAACCACTAATCTACTTTCTGCCTCTATAGATTTCTTTATTCTGAATTTTATATAAATGGAATCACATAATATGTGACATTTTGTGACTTGCTTCTTTTTTTTTTTTGAGACGGAGTCTCGCTCTTTTCGCCCAGGCTGGAGTGCAGTGGCGCTATCTTAGCTCACTGCAAGCGCCGCCTCCCGGATTCACGCCATTCTCCTGCCTCAGCCTCCCGGGTAGCTGGGACTACAGGTGCCCGCCACCGTGCCTGGCTAATTTTTTTGTATTTTTAGTAGAGACAGGGTTTCACCGTGTTAGCCAGGATGGTGTCAATCTCCTGACCTCGTGATCCGCCCGCCTCGGCCTCCCAAAGTGCTGGGATTACAGGCGTGAGCCACCGTGCGCGGCCGTGACTTGCTTCTTTACTTAGCCTAATGATTTGAAAGTCTGTTCATATTGTGCCATGTTATCAGTACTTTATTTTTTATAGCTGAATAATATTCCATTGTATGAATATGCCATGTTTTGTTCATTATTTCTCTGTTGACGAGCATTTGGATTGTTTCCATCTTTTAGTTATTATGAATAATTCTGCTATGAGAATTTATGTACAATTATTTTATTTTATTTTATTATTATTATACTTTAAGTTTTAGGGTACATGTGCACAATGTGCAGGTTATTACATATGTATACATGTGCCATGCTGGTGTGCTGCACCCATTAACTCGTCATTGGTATATCTTCCAATGCTATCCCTCCCCCCCTCCCCCCACCCCACAACAGTCCCCAGAGTGTGATGTTCCCCTTCCTGTGTCCATGTGTTCTCATTGTTCAATTCCCACCTAGGAGTGAGAACATGCAGTGTTTGGTTTTTTGTCCTTGCGATAGTTTACTGAGAATGATGGTTTCCAATTTCATCCATGTCCCTACAAAGGACATGAACTCTTCATTTTTTATGGCTGCATAGTATTCCATGGTGTATATGTGCCACATTTTCTTAATCCAGTCTATCATTGTTGGACATTTGGCTTGGTTCCAAGTCTTTGCTATTGTGAATAGTGCCGCAATAAACATACGTGTGCATGTGTCTTTATAGCAGCATGATTTATAATCCTTTGGGTATATACCCAGTAATGGGATGGCTGGGTAGAATGGTATTTCTAGTTCTGGATCCCTGAGGAATCGCCACACTGACTTCTGCAATGGTTGAACTAGTTTACAGTCCCACCAACAGTGTAAAAGTGTTCCTATTTCTCCACATCCTCTCCAGCACCTGTTGTTTCCTGACTTTTTAATGATCGCCATTCTAACTGGTGTGAGATGGTATCTCATTGTGGTTTTCATTTGCATTTCTCTAATGGCCAGTGATGGTGAGCATTTTTTCATGTGTTTTTTGGCTGCATAAATGTCTTCTTTTGAGAAGTGTCTGTTCATGTCCTTCGCCCACTTTTTGATGGGGTTGTTTGTTTTTTTCTTGTAAATTTGTTTGAGTTCATTGTAGATTCTGGATATTAGCCCTTTGTCAGATGAGTAGGTTGCGAAAATTTTCTCCCATTCTGTAGGTTGCCTGTTCACTCTGATGGTAGTTTCTTTTGCTGTGCAGAAGCTCTTTAGTTTAATTAGATCCCATTTGTCAATTTTGGCTTCTGTTGCCATTGCTTTTGGTGTTTTAGACATGAAGTCCTTGCCCATGCCTATGTCCTGAATGGTAATGCCTAGGTTTTCTTCTAGGGTTTTTATGGTTTTAGGTCTAACGTTTAAGACTTTAATCCATCTTGAATTAATTTTTGTATACAGTGTAAGGAAGGGATCCAGTTTCAGCTTTCTACATATGGCTAGCCAATTTTCCCAGCACCATTTATTAAATAGGGAATCCTTTCCCCATTGCTTGTTTTTCTCAGGTTTGTCAAAGAGCAGATAGTTGTAGACATGCGGCGTTATTTCTGAGGGCTCTGTTCTGTTCCATTCATCTATATCTCTGTTTTGGTACCAGTAGCATGCTGTTTTGGTTACTGTAGCCTTGTAGTATAGTTTGAAATCAGGTGGCATGATGCCTCCAGCTTTGTTCTTTTGGCTTAGGATTGACTTGGCGATGCGTGCTCTTTTTTGATTCCATATGAACTTTAAAGTAGTTTTTTCCAATTCTGTGAAGAAAGTCATTGGTAGCTTGATGGGGATGGCATTGAATCTATGTCCGAGATAATTTATAGATTCAATGTACAATTTTTGTGTAGGACATATTTTTATTTCTCTTGGGTATATTCCTAGAGTGGAATTGCTGGATCGTCTGGTTACTATATGTGTGTTTTAGAAACTGACAGACTATTTTCCAAAGTCATCTCTCTTTTTAAAAACATTTTGGTCAATCTAGCTAAATGTCAATTTTCTTGATCTATTCAGAGAAACAGCTTTCAGTTTCATTGATATGTTTTTCTATTTTCTATTTCATTAATTTCTGCTCTAATTTTTGTTATTTTTTGCTTCTGCTTGCTTTAGGTTCAGTCCCTACTCCCCCACCCGCCTTTTTTTTAGTATCCTAAGGTGGTAGGTTGGGTTATTGATTTGAGATCACTCTTTCATCTTAATAGCTTTAAATTTTCCTCTAAATGTTGCTTTACCTGCAATCCATAAATTTTGGTATATTATGTCTTCATTTTTATTCATCTGAAAGTATTTTCTGAACTTTCTTTTGGTTTCTTCTTTGACCTATTGGTTATTTAGGAGTGTGCTGTTCACATATTTGTAAGTTTCCTCCATTTTTTCTAATTTCATTCTTTGGTGGTCAAGACATATACTTTGTATTATATCTATCCTTTTCTATTTGTTGAGATTTGTTTTATGGCTTATCATATGGCCTATCCTAGAGAATTGTCCATGTGCTTTTGAGATGAGTGTATATATTATTGTTGTCGGATGGGGTGTTCTCTAGATGCTTGTTAGGTCTAGTTGATTTATAGTAGTAAGTCTTTAATTTCCTTGTTGATTTTCTGTCTAGTTATTCCGTCTGTTCTTGAAAGTCAGGTAGTGAGGTCTCCAACTATTGTTGTTGAGTTTCATTTCTCCTTTTATTTCTGTAAGTTTTTGCTTCATGTATTTTGATGCTTCATTATTTGATGCGTATATACTTATAATGGCTATATCTTCCTGAAGGACTGAAACTTTTGATTATAAAATGTCCCTGTTTATCTCTAGTACCACTTATTGTTCTCAACTCTATTTTGTCTGATATTAGTATCACAATTCATTTCCAGCTTGCTTGTGGTTGAATTTGCATGATATTTCTTTATTCATTCTTTTAATTTACTTATGTCATTAAATCTAGAATGTGTTTCCTATAGACAGAATATAGTTGGGTCATTTTTTTTTTTTGTAGTCTTACAACCCCTGCGTTTTTATTGAGTTGTGTAATGTATTCATACTTAATGTTGTTTATTATTATTGTAGTTGTATTTACATCTACCCTTTTACTTTTCATTTCTATATGTCTCATGCCTTTTTTGTTGATCTGCTCTTCTTTTTCATTAAGTAAATGTTTTTTATCTGGCATTTTAATTTCTTTAATGATTTTTTTCACTATATTTTTTGATATTTTTATTTTAGCGGTTATTCTCGGGCTTGCCATATACATCTTAATTTATCAGAATCATCTTTTGGTATGTACTAGCTTAATTCCAGTGGTATATAGATATAGAAATATTACCCCTATAAGGCTATATTCTCTTATCCCCCTTTTTTGTGGCATAACTGCTATACATTTATACCAATTAATATTGCAAACCAAATGACACATTATCATTATTATTTTGTTATATTTAATTAGTTCCATAGCTTAATATACCTTCGCTACCACACATCTCCTTTGTGCTGATGTTGGTAAATATATTACACATATATTACAATTCTTTAAGTTATAAGTCCGACATTATGTTGTATACGTAGTTATTTTATACCATTGCTTTTTAAATCAGTGATAAGAAGAAAGAAACTTAAGCATGTATACTTTTATTTTTGTTCCTAATTACTTTTACCAGTAGTTTTCTTTGGTCTTATGGATTTAAATTACTAGCTGGGGTAACTTGCTTTCAGCCTGAAGAACTTCCTTTAGTATTTCTTTTAAGGTAAATCTACCTGCAATGAATTGCTTTTGTTTGGTTGTAATATTTAAAGTGAACTGTAACATTTATGCACACATTTCATAAGAGTAATAATTTAGAAGTCTCCACAACAAATTGAAATTTTTATTGACACATAATAATCTAGCCATGTCCAAGATTTATAGTAATTCAGATATTTGAATTTACAAGTACATTTTAATTGGCTGAAGTTTTTGCATACATTGGGCCGGTAAACATATTTGGATCCTGATTCATCCTACTTCTTTAGGCCACAGAAATGTCTCACTGGCAAGGAAAGGAAAGAGAAATGAATCTTGTAGAGAGGGCTCCATTTAAAAATAAGTCTCAATTTCTCATTTGATTTTGATAGAAATGTGTTAAAGCTGGATGATGGAATTAACACCAAGTCCGATGTGAGAAAAAACAAACAAACAAAAAACAACTTTTAAGGCTGGGTGCGGTGGCTCATGCCTGTAATCCCAGCAATTTGAGAGGCTGAGGCGGGTGGATCACCTGAGGTCAGGAGTTTGAGACCAACCTGGCCAACATGGTGTAACCCTGTCTCTACTAAAAATACAAAAATTAGCTGGATGTGGTGTTGGGTACCTGTAATCTCAGCTACTTGGGAGGCTGAGGCAGGAGAATTGCTTGAACCCGGGAGGCAGAATTTGCAGTGAGCTGAGATTGTGCCACACTCCAGCCTGGGCAACGTGAGCGAAACTCCATTTAAAAAAAAAAACCTTTATCCGTGAAATGTGAATCCTTTAAAATTTTCAGGCCCAGAGAGGCCTTATGATGAGATAGCAATCAAGTCCTACTCCCCCAGACCCCACACCTTTTGAGCTATGTACTATGTATTCATCCCTTGAAACTGCTATTTCCACAAGTAGCTGTAAATTAACCTAATAATGCTGTACTGGGCACTATAACCCAAACCCTATAGCTTAACAATGTATAGCCAATCAATAGTATATGTTATTTAATGTAAATTCTTTGTAAACAACTCAGAAACTGCTTCTTTTTGTTTAAAAATCTGCTGGTGACTACTGTTAATAGAAATGTATATTCAGAGAAACTTGAATCTATGCCCCTGGGTTACAATCTTCAAGCTTGGCCCAAATAAACTCTGTACTTTTATTTAAAAAAAAAAAATGCCTCATTGAAATTAATACACAGATCTTTTTACATAGAGTTTGTGTCTCTGATGACTGTGCAGAAGTGGGTAGCATCAAAAGTATACCCAAAAGCATTTAAAACACTTGTTTTATTTTGCTAAAGGTTAGATTTCTGACTTTGACAGTTTATATATTTTTTCAGACCAAAAAAGACACATTAAAAAGTTATATACTTATCAAATTTATATATTTGATTTCAGGTAGTATTATATCATTTCTAGTAATTATTCAGTTGGTACTGATAGGATTATTTAAGAAGTCAAATGGAAAGTCTAGAGCTGTGAATACTTTCTATTGTGTTGTGGAGTATTGTATGTGAAGACAAATCTACATGTGCCTGAAGGCAAATTTAGTCTTTTATTTGTTATCTGAGAACTCTGAGTTTGTTGGTATGCATGGAGTACTGCTTTAATACTTATATTTAGTAATTTTATTAATGAAAGGCAATATCCTGAGGGGCAATGATTCTTATATCCTCTTTTTAATATTAATTGATTTAATATATTGCCAACTCTAATACTGATCCTTCCAATCCCTTGAGTGGCCTTTCTGAAGTAATCTGACATGTTTAATACATTATAATGATAATAATGACAATTACTTGGTTTTCTTTTATGCATTTCTTCTGAGGAGCTCAAAGCACCTTAGGCCTTTTTTATATAATTAATTTTTATAAAATATTTATAATTTGGTAAAACTCACATAGGAGAGGATATACACTTAAGAAAGAGCAGTATTTCTATAACCCAGAGCTAAGATACCATGGTCTAATATTAAAAACATATTGAAATATTTAAGTTGTATTTTCATGTGAGTCTCTGGGTTCCACATAGGCTCTAGGCTAAAATTTTGTACCCATTTTCTACTTATTTTTTCTTTATCTACCTCTTGCAAACTGAGATTTCCAACTCAACTGACCAATTCCAGTAAACATTTTTGTTAGTCAATAGACAATTGTCCAATAGAAAATTTCATTCAAACATGTTAATTCTATAGTAACATTAAGAATCAGTCCTTACTATACCTAATTTTGAGATACTGTGAGTAAATAAGATTAATATATATATGAAGTCACACATATACACAGATACACATAGGCTTAGAGATAGTTCAGTAAAGGGAGGATAAAGATTCTTTTCTAGACTCAGTGATACAGGAGGTAGACAGAAATTATTTAGGCAGATAGTGAGGGTAAGAGTCCTCAGCAAAGCTTCTCTTCTCACAAAAAGCAGCACAAGAGATTATTTTTTTCCTAGCAAAGAGCAGCCTGAAAAGTTGAACTGCAAACATAGAGAAACAAGCTGGGAGCTTGGATGGGCAAATGCTGCCAGCTGTGCCAACAGAAAAGGGCTACCTGGGGGCCAGGCATATCCAGTGTGGAGGGTCCATCTTCCCTTTTTTTGTTACCACATGTACAGTAAATGAATGGCAACATGTTGCTGGCCAGGCAGATAATCCATCTGCATAATAAAAGACTAGGGTGGGGGTGGCCAGAAATTCACACCCTGTACAAATAGCATGCCTAGTCCTAACCAGTTTTTTGAGCCTTATGCAAATGGTATACCTGGTCTAACCAATCTTTTGTGCCCTATATAAATTAGACACTGCCTTCTCAAGCTCATCTATAAAACCTCCTGTATTTCACCACAGAACTGGCAACCCATTTCTCTGGGACCCCTCTCTGCTGCAGAGAGCTCTTCTCTTTATTTCACCTATTAAACTTCCACTCCTAACCTCACTCTCTGTGTGTCCACATCCTTGATTTCCTAGACATGAGATGATGAACCTCAAGTACCACCCCAGACAACAAGGCTGCTTCATCAGGACACAAACCTGCCTGTACCAGGACCTCTGACCTGTGTGCAGGTATGTGAATGTATAGATAAATGCATTTTTGCTTTAAGAAATTGGTGTGCTACATGGCAAGATATATGTAAGTTTTGGTGGAAAATAATCATTTCAATATATAATGGTAAGGAAATACAACATATTATAAAGAGAAGATTTAGTCAGATATATGATCATGAAGACTTTGACAAATCAGATTTCATAATTTAAGAGAAAATGTAACTATGTTACTTTTATGGGATGAATAATGTTCCCCCCAAACCTATATGTTGAGGGTCTAACTTCTAGTACCTCAAAAACTGACTGTATTTGGTGATAAATCTTTTAAAGGAAATTAAGTTAAAACAGGGTCATTAGGATGGGTCCTAATCCAATACGACTGATATCCTCATTAGAAAAGGACACACAGACAAAGGGATGACCATTTAAGGGCACAATGAGAAGGTAGCCCTCTGCAAGCCAT
This sequence comes from Homo sapiens, assembly GCF_000001405.40. Classification (NCBI taxonomy): domain Eukaryota; kingdom Metazoa; phylum Chordata; class Mammalia; order Primates; family Hominidae; genus Homo; species Homo sapiens. The sequence goes on along the minus strand of NC_000007.14, from coordinate 10,561,036 downwards.
GGAAAAAACCAAACCTGCTGATACCTTGATCTTGAACTTGAATCCTCCAGAATGGTGAGAAAATAAATTTCAGTTGTCTGAGCTACCCAGTCTGTGATAATTCATATGACAACCCTCTCAAACAAATACAGTTACTAAGATGACAGTTTGTTTAAGGAAATTCAGCTCAAAAAGAATGGAAGACTCCAACAAGTACAATTGTCAACAATCTCAGAAGGAAGTGTAAGTAGTTAATTCTATATATCAGCTTGACTGGGCTAGTGGGGCCCAGATTAAACACTAATTCTAGGTATTTCTGTGAGGGTGTTTCTGGATGGGATTAGCATTAGAATTGGTTGACTCAGCAAAGTAGATTGTCCTCCCCAATGTGGGTGGACTTCATTGAATTTGTTGAGAAGGAGAAGAATTCTCTCCTTTTTGCCTCCTGCCTTCCTGTAGAGTTGGGACATTAGTCTTCACTTCCTCACTTGGATTGAAATTTACACCATAGGCTTCTTGGTTCTCAGGCCTTTGGACCCAACCTGGAATTATACCACTAGCTTTCCTGGGTCTCCAGCTTGCAGATTGTGGGATTCTCAGCCTCCATAATTGTGTGAGCTAATTTTGTATAGTAAATATCTTCATATATATGTGTCTATGTGTTTGTGTGTGTGTGTGTATATATAAATATATGTGTGTATATTTATATATCCATATCCTATTGGGGATCCTGTATATATATCCTATTATATAGATACACGTATGTATTATATACATGTTGTATATGTATATACAATATATCTATACACACATACACTCACACATACATACACACATACATATATACTTTATTTGTTCTATTTCTCTGGAGAACCCTGACTAATAAAGAAAGAAAGCTCTAAATCTAACAAAAGCAGAAAAAAGTACAGTAAGAGAAGCATAATTCATATGAAAATATTCCACAATTACAGTTTTATTATATCCTGTGTTTTTTCTGTGTGCTGTTACTAGTGTGTTTTGTAACTTCAGATGATTTCTTATTGTTCACTAACATCCTTTTCTTTCAGACTGAAGAACTCCCTTTAGCGTTTCTTGTAAAACAGGTTTGGTGTTGATGAAATCCCTCAGCTTTTGTTTTTCTGAGAAGGTCTTGATTTCTTCTTCATGCTTAAAGAATATTTTCATCAGATACACTACTCTAGGGTAAAAGTTTTTTTCCTTCAGCATATTGAATATGTCATGCCACTCTTTCCTGGCCTGTAAGATTTCCACTGAATAGTCTGCTGCCAGACATATTGGAGCTCCATTGTATGTTATTTGTTTCTCTTCTCTTTCTGCTTTTAGTATCCTTTCTTTATATTTGACCTTTAGCAGTCTGATTATTAAATGCCTTGAGGTGGTCTTTGTTGGGTTAAATCTGCTTGGTGTTCTATAATCTTTTCGTAATTGAATATTGGTATCTTTCTCAAGGTTTGGGAGGTTTTCTGATATCCCATTGAGTAAACTTTCTACCCCATCTCTCTCTACCTCCTGTTTAAGGCCAATAACTCTTAGATTTGCCCTTTTTGAGGCTATTATCTAGATCTTGTAGGCATGTTTTATTGTTTTTTATTATTTTTTCATTTTGTTTCCTCTGACTGTGTATTTTCAAATAGCCTGTCTTCAAGCTCATTAATTCTTTATTCTGCTTGATCAATTCTGCTATTAAGAGACTCTGATGCATTCTTCAGTGTGATGGTTGCATTTTTCAATACCAGAGTTTCTGCTTTATTCCTTTTTATTAATTCTATCTCTTCGTCAAATTTATCTGATAGAATCCTGAATTCCTTCTCTATGGTATCTTGAATTTCTTTGAGTTTCCTCAATACAGCTATTTTGAATTCTCTGTCTAAAAGGTCATGTATCTTTGTTTCTCCAGGATTTGTCCCTGGTGCCTTATTTAGTTCAATTGCTGAGGTCATGTTTTCCTGGAGGGTTGTTTGTCTGCATCTGGGCATTGAAGAGTTAGGCATTTACTGTAGTCTTCATAGTCTGGGCTTGTTTGTGCCTGCCTTTCCTAAAAAGGGTTTCCAGGTGTTCAAAGGGACTTGAGCCCCAATACCCTAATATCACTGTGGTTCTTGCAGACTCATAGAGGTACCACCTTGGTGGTCTCTGATAAGATCTGGAAGAATTCTCTGGACTATGAGGCAGAGACTGTTCTTCTTTTCCCTTACTTTCTCCCAAACAGAGTCTCTGTCTCTATGTTCAACTTCCTGGAACTGGGGATAGGGGGACACAAGCACCCCTGTGGCCACCAACATTGGAACTGCACTGGTTAAGACCTGAAGCCAGCACAGCATGGGTCTCATCCAAGGCCTGCTGAAATCACTACCTGGCTACCACTTAAGTTCACTCAAGACCCTAGGGCTCTACAATCAGCAGGTGGCAAACAGCCAGGTTTATGTCCCTCCCTTTAGGGCTGTGAATTCCCCTAGGTCCTGCTTGGGTCCAGAGATGCTGTCTGGGTGCCAGGGATTGAAGTCAAGAACCGTAGAAATTTACCTGGCCTCTATTCTATTGCAGCTAAGCTGGCATTCAAACTACAAGACAAAGTCCTTCCCTCTCTTCCTTTCCCTTTCCACAGCCAGCGGAGCCTCTCTTTGTGGCTACCACCACCACTAACCCATGGGTGGTTCTGCCAAGCCACTGCCAGTGTTCACTTAAAACCAAGAGCTCTTCAGTCATCTTAGGGTGAATGTTGGCAGGCCTGGGACTCACCCTTCAGGGCAGTGGGCTCCCTTTTGGCCAAGGGCAGGTCCAGAAATGGTGACCAAAAGCCTAGGCCTGGACTCAGGTACCCAAGAGCCTGCTTGATGCTCTATCGTACTGTGGCTGAACTGGTACCTAAGGTACATGACAGAGTTTTCTTTACTTTTCCACCGCTTTTCTCAAACAGAAGGAGTCTTTCACTGTAGCCATTGCAGCTGTGTTGGGGTACATATGGAGCTAGCACATCTCAGAGCCCATCGCCCATGGTGTACTGCTTGGGTATCATTGTTGGCTATTCAGGGCCCAGAGGCTCTTTAGTCAGCAGGTAATGAATCCTGTCAGGTCTCTATTGCGACAGGGCAGCATTGCGTTCAATGTGAAGTCCCCCAGTTGCTGTGCTTTCCCTTTTCCAAGTGAACAGATTTCTCCACTTTGTGTGGTGCCTGCTGGGTGATGGGGAAGGGATGGCACAAGCACTCCCTTAACCATCCTGACTGGTACCTCATTAGGATGCATTCCCCTGCCCCCTACCACCACCCAGTCTACTGTCTATGTTCCCAGCCCAGAATTAGAACTTGTTTAGGAATTACAGTCCTTGTAGCCTAGACTGCCCTTCAAGTTTACTTAGGGCCCGAGAATAATCCAGCCCTTGGTGGCAAGGCTTCCTGGAAATCAAGCTCCAGCAATTGGGGTGGATGATTCCCCTCTGGCTAGGGCCAGTCCAAATGCTCCCGCGGTGGGCGGACGTCAGCTCAATACAGCCTGGTCCTGCTTTCTGCTATGTCAGGGCAGCACTGAGTTCAATGCAAAGCCTCACAATTGCTGTGCTCTTCCTCTCCCAAGTGCCCAGATTCTTTGAGGTGCCCAGTCTCACCCTGGGGATTGGGGAAGGATAGAGTTGGTGATTCAATGTCTCTTTCAGTGATGTGAAGTTAAAACCAGGTACTGTGATTGCTCAAGTGATTTTTGGTTCTTGTGATGGTGCTTTTTGTTTGTAGTTGTTAAAATTTGGTGTTCCTGGCCGGGTGCGGTGGCTCACGCCTGTAATCCCAGTACTTTGGGAGGCCGAGGCAGGCGGATCACAAGGTCAGGATTTCTAGACCAGTCTGGCCAACATAGTGAAACCCTGTCTCTACTAAAAATACAAAAAAATTAGCTGGGCGTGGTGGTGTGCGTCTGTAATCCAAGCTACTCGGGAGTTTGGGGCAGGAGAATTGCATGAACCCTGGAGTCAGAGGTTGCAGTGAGCTGAGATCGCGCCATTGCACTCCAGCCTGGGCGACAGAGTAAGACTCCGTCTCAAAAAAAAAAAAAAAAACCAAAAAAAAAATCTGGTGTTCCTGCAGCGGGGACAAACAGTGTAGGCTTCTATTCAGTCATCTTGCTCTGCCTCCTCAATTTGTTTATTAGTTCTTACAATTGTTGGTGGAGTCTTTAGGTTTTTCTATATATAAGATTATGTCATCAACAAATTGTGACAATCTCACTTCTTTCTTTTCTATTTGAATGCCTTTCAGTTTTCTTTTGCTTAACTGTTCTGGCCAAGAATTTCAGTATGTTAAACTTGATCTTTGTCGTGTTCCCAATGTCATAGGAATGGCCTTTAACTCTTCACCATTAAGATTTTAACTGTGTGCTTGTCATATATGGCCTTTATTGTGTTGAGGACCGTTCCTTTTGCACCTACTTTGTTGAGAGTTTTTACCATGAAATAACGTTGAATTTTGTCATATGCCTTTTCTAAATATATTGAGATGATGATATGGTTTCTGTCCTTTTTGTTCTGTTAATGCGATATATCAAATGTATCAATTTATGTGTGTTGCACTAGTCTTGCATTTTAGAAATAGAGTCCTCTTGATCATGGTGAATGATCCTTTTAATGTGCAGACACATGGTTTGCTAGTATTTCGTTGAGGATTTTTGCATCTATGTTTATCATTGGTATTGACTGTAATTTTTTTTTAAACATGTACATTTACATTTCCAACTATAAACTTCTCCTTAGTACTCTTTACTGGATCCCATTAATTTTGGTGTGTTTTTATTTTCATTTGTCTCAAGGTATTTTTAAAATTTTCTTGTTACTTATTTGACTCACTGGTTGTTTAAGAGTGTGTTAATTTTCTTATGTATTTGCGGATTTTCCAGTTTCCTTGTACTATTGATTTCTAGTTTCATTTCATTGTCATTGGAAAAGATACTTGTGTGATTTCAATCTTTTTGTATTTGTTAAGACCTGTTTTGTGTCCTTACATGTGGTCTATCCTAGAAAATATTCTGTGTATACTATAAAAGAATGTATACTTTGCTGTTATTGGGTGGATTATTCTGTACATATCTGTTGGGTTCTATTGGTATATAATGTTGTTCAGGTCCCTATTTCCTTGTTGATTTTCCAGTTGTTGTTCTTTCTATTGTTGAAAGTGGTGTACTGAAGTCTCCTATTAGTATTGGGTTGCTGTCTATTTCTCCTTCAATTCTGTCAAAGTTTGTTTTATATATTTAGGAGCTCTGGTTTAGTACATAAATATTTATAATTGTTAGATCTTCTTGGTGAATTGACCCTTTTATCATTATATAATATCCTTGTTCATGTCTTATAATAGTTTTCAAATTAAAATCTGATTTTATCTGATATTATTATAGTTATTCCTACCGTCTTTCAAGGTATTTGGTCACTTCAGACAATTTGATTGTAATGTACCATTTTCACAGAATACCTTTTTTTATCCTTTCACTTTCAGCCTATGTGTGTCCTTGGATCTAAAATAAGTCTCTTGTAGAAAATATATAGTTGAATCCTGGTTTTACATTTATCAATCTGTAGCTTTTGATTGGGGAGTTTTATCCATTTAGATTTAAATTAATTACTGATAGGGAAGGAGTTACTATTTCCATTTTTAATTGTTTATTGTCTGTCTCGTAGATTTTGTCTTTTCCTTTCTCACTACCTTTCTTTGTGTTTCATTGATTTTTTTGTGGCAATATGCTTTGATTTTCTTTTCATTTTCTCTCATGTATATTTTAAACATATTTTCTTTGTTGTAACCATTGCATTTACATAAAACATCTTCAAGTTATAACAGTCTATTTTAAACTGATAACAACTTAACTTCAATTACATACAAAAACTCTACTCCTCTACAGCACCATACCCTCACTTTATGTAATTGATGTCACAAATTACATTTTTATATAATTTTTACACAATATCATAGATTTATAATTTCTTCAAAATGTTTTTGTCATTTAAAACAGTAGCCCAAGTTATATCTTTCTTGTTTAAAGTCAAGGGGAAAAAAGCATGATATCTCTGTATAATATTAGCAAATATCCGCAGATTCTCTCCATGTTTGGTTCTCATGCCCAATGCTAAAACTATTACTGTGCCCAGGGAAACTGGGATCCTCCAGTTGTCCATTCATCACTCACATGCTCTCCCTGAGACTCAGCTGTTTTTAAAGCACATAGAAAGAAATAAAGAAAATAGAGTTGACTGCTCCTCTCAAGTAAAATAAGAATACTTTAACCAAAGAATGGGAGTTGGTGCTTGATTTTCAAAAAATTCTGACTATAAGCAGAAATATTTGTGACTGAGTTTTGACACCTTTAACCTAGGGATACCAAAATTGATTTCAAAATCTATAACCTTTCCAGTCATAGTCTTGTTTTATGTTCAGCAGTTTAAGGGAGTGACTTTTGACCAAGGGTGTAAGTTTTATATTTTGGACTAATCAGTGTTTCTGTCTTGCTCACTATAGTGTTACCTCAAGTGACTTCTCCTGACTTAGGTCTGCCTCTATTAATGACCTATCAAGAACAGTCACTGTTCACAGTTTGAAATATAATGTACTTCTTTAAGGATAAACATCAAATTATATGTTAATTTTTAAAAAACCAAATTTGCCCAATTACAGAATGGAAAAGGTAGAATGAAGAAAATATCACAAATATCTTCAAATAGTTAAAAAAATTGTTCCAGGAAAAAGGCTGGCTAATTTTATACAGAAGCATATATTATTTGACTTGCTATAAATAAAAGCTTCCTAATAATTAGAACTGTTCAATCAGAAACTGAAATTGATTGCAGCGGTGTGAACTAGAATTTATTGCAGTGGTTTCTCTCAATGGGAAGTTTTAGAAACAATAGAGAAGATCTTTCAGGATTTTATGGAGGAAGAGTCTTTCACTGTATGGTTTGGGTAATATGACTTCTGGGCTTTCCTTTAAAATTGTGTGATTGTCCATGCCAATTTTCAAACTAAGCTACATGTTTTAAATGAAATACAGCATAGGGCTGATATGTTTCTACATTCAAATTTTATTCATATCTGCTTATATTCTGAACAAAAAGATAGCTTCTAAGTTCTAGAAATTTAAACATTAAAACTTCAAAAGGTAGGGTTTTTTTTTTTTACAATCTCATAATCAACAGCCAGTATATACAAATGAAAAGAAAATTATAAATTGGTAAAAATAAAGTGTGGGCTTATATGGGTTAGCACTTTATTAAAATGTTAATAGTAATTCTGAAGTTTTAGTAAGGGAATAAAAGTACTGACTATGATATAATATGTTGACTTCCATTGAATAAGTGATTTTACTGGATCTAGATGGCAATGTAAATATAATAAAATTTTTGATTTTATTCCTGCTTCCTCAAAGCCTAAAATTTATTCTGGTAGAAATATTCCTTAAAAAATTTACAATTTTATTTGTTTTTCTGTAGTCAAGATTTCCAAATTTCTAATGTGGAGTTTTCATTATTCACTGTGAGTGTTATATTGACTCTTTAGTGGAAAGCATACCTATTGAATGAATAGGTCTTTGTTAACAGCATGAAGATTTCTGGTGATACACTACATGCTACTAGAAAAAGTCAAAGCATGGATAAGATACTAAATATTGAAACTAATGGCATATATTACCCTAGGCAAGGAAAAAAGCAAATGAAAAATTAGCTTTTTATTTCTGACACAAAACTATCATTGAATTTAAATCATGTTGTGATGGAGACTATATAATGAATATCTTAATGACAATGCTTATAATGCTATTTTGTTTGATTGTGTTTATTTGTTGAATTAATAAGCCTTTGAGAGCACTCTATTAGTATCTAGGGTTCATTAGAAGTACATTTTGCAATTTCTGGGTTGTAAATTCTTTATAATAATTTGACATGTAAATAGAATTTATATAGAGAGATTTAGATCCAATTTAACACCTGTTGAATAAATGGTTCTGTGATTTAAAAATTATTTTAGCATATATCTACTTTTAGTTTCATATAATTAGTTTGATAAATAAACACTGAACTGAATTAACTGTATAACTGAATTTCATTATATTTATCTGAGCTCTGCTGTGCTGTATAAATCACATAGAAAGTTAATGTATCAGATATGTTTTCTGTTTCATAGTTCTTGTTTCTGTTTCTTGACAGTCAAAACTTGTAAAAAGTAATTGAAACAGTAGTAGCCTTTTACTAGAGATAATTCTAATTTGTAGCTATTAACTCTTACTTGAGAATTTTTAAGGCCAAACAGTGTTTCCAAATATAAAATTTATTCCTGTGACAATGTTTTCTTTGTTAAATTATTTCCTGGTACATCTAAGTTTTACAACAATTAGTAAATACTTTCATTATTTAAGAGTATTGGCTTGTTTGGGGAAAATATTAGTATTGTGTTTCTTAGGAAAGAATAGTTCTCTCAACTCAATAGAGAACAGCTTCAAAAGTGTTCTATATCTCCTATACCAACACTGAAAGCTAATTATGATTCTTTTCCTAGGGCAAGTGGTATCTTACCTAATTTTCTACTATCTTCTAAGTTTATGAAAAGTTAGATTCTATTTTAATTTGTTGGTATGTCTCTTTCAAAAATTTCATATTAAGTATCTAAAATTGGGTTTTGCTATGTTTAAGCTATGAGAACAGAGATAATTTGATGCGAATACCTTTAGTTTGTGTTTAAATTCTTTATATTCAAATTATGTCAATTTAAAGAAGTATTTTTCAAGCTTGATGTTAATTTGAATCTTGGTTTTAGACATTCAGATTGATATTTCTCCTTTATCTTCTGAATGTTCTGGTGCTTACTGTAGTCAATCCTCTTGATATTTTTTTCATTTATATTTTTCTACAACAGATAGCTTGACTTCTTTCTATTGTTCTTTTAATTGCCAGGGTGGAAAAAGAAGAGGATGTAGCATTTTTATTGTAAATACATTGAGTCTATTGTTGATTAGGTTTGGCTACTGAACTTCCTCATACAGGTTCTTTTTGTGAAATTGGTAATTACAAAATATCTGTCTATGCTTCTAAACTCAATGCCATTTTTTAAAAGTTTTTAATTTTCTTCAGTTTCTGAAAATACCATTAGACTAATGGATTTTATATAGGTAGCTTCAATGTCTTTCTTGTCTATGAATATATTCCTTTGAATGAGGAAAACTTACTTTTGTTAGACACTTATCTCAGACAATAATTTGTAAACTTGACCATGCTAAATTTATATTTTGCCCCAGAGTTGGTATTTTTATGATAACTCTGTTTTGTTTACACATATTATTTCTCAATACTCCATGCAATTTTTTTTTTTTGTAAGTATGGCATCAAAATAAAAGTTATACCATACAAAGTGAAACAGGTAAGGAATGCTTTATTTAAGACTACCGCAACAGGGGAGAAAGGCCAGAGCTAAGTTTGACCTCAACGTCACTAAAGCAGAGAGGATAGGGTTTTATGAGTGCTGGGGTGAGCTAGTGCAAAAGTCCTGTAGGACATTAGGGGAAAGTCATAAGCCATCTGTATTAGTCAGGGTTCTCTAGAGGGACAGGACTAATAGGATAGATGTATATATGAAGGGGAGTTTATTAAGGAGTATTGACTCATGATCACAAGGTGAAATCCCACAACAGGCTGTCTGCAAGCTGAGGAGCAAGGAAGCCAGTCTGAGTCCCAAAACCTCAAAAGTAGGGAAGCCGACAGTGCAGCTTTCAGTCAGTGGCTGAAGGCTGAGCACTCCTGGCAAACCACTGGTGTAAGTCCAAGAGTCCAAAAGCTGAAGAACTTGGAGTCTGGTGTTCCAGGGCAGGAAAACATCCAGCATGGGAGAAAGATGAAGGCTGGAAGACTCAGCATGTCTAGTCCTTCCATGTTTTCTTGCTTTATTCTAGCTGCACTGGCAGCTGATTAGATGGTGCCCGCCCAGATTGAGGGTGGGTCTACCTCTCCCAGTACACTGACACAAATATTAGTTTCCTTTGGCAACACCCTCACAGATACACCCAAGAACAATACTTTGCATCCTTTAATCCAATCAAGTTGACACTCAATATTAACTATCACACCATCTGTGTTTTCTCATTGGCTTTATGTGAAGGTAAAATGAAACTCTTATATCTTTATGACAAAATGTAGTTTTATGACATAGCCAGACACCCATTGAAATTAGACTCCTTCCCTCTCACAGAAAATAGGAGACTGAGTGCTATCTTCTTTGATGATGACATGTCGAAGACATGACTCTCAGGTCCTTGAAAAAAAATTTCTGGGTTATAAAACTGTCAGGAAGCTTTTAAAAAGATCTATATCTCAAAGGGTCAGAGAAATAATTTACAATTTAAAGTTTTCTAAAAGAAACACTCTGAGAAAAGGGAGGTAAGAACCTACGGTGAAGAATAAGCCTATGTAAAGTTTAGTCAAACTGAGGCAAATATTAGGACCATGTTGGTCAGTGGCATTATTAATTAAATACATAGTGCATCTTCAAATTTTTATAGGTTTAAAAACTTATAAAAGTACTTCTTTATTTACTACAGGAATTAAGCCATTCTCATGAACCTTAAGATTTGTATATGCATATATCAGTTATTATTTTAAGGATAATTTATTTAAACATCATTTAATTATAAAAGCAGTATATAAATTTATAATGATAGAAATCTAAGATAACATCTTGCAGAGTTTGTTTGAAAAACAAATTACAGCTATAAGCACAAACCAGAAAGCTGCTACTGCTGTTTCTTGTGAACACTGTATAGGTTGACACATTAGTGTTTGAATTTACAGAGCATTTTCATTCTCTCTTTATTCTTTCAACAAAACTCCTAGCTAAAGTTTGTACTAAGTTTGTAACCTTGGGCAAGTTTTCTAGCATCTTGGGACTTCATTTTAGAATTAGATTTTCTGTTTAAACATAATATTTAATAATACAATTATCTTTCAGGGCAGTTTTATTGCTGAAATGAGGTAATTTCTTTATTGAGGAAATATTTTTTAAGCAGTAAGGTTGTAGGAGCTATTGCAGTAGCTGGAAAAGAAAACATTGTACCATTTAGGTGGGTTGCAATCCAATTTTTGTCAAAATAAATATGTAGCTTCTGTTGGATACTAATAAGGGCAACACATAAATGCACTGGAATGGAAGTTACAGAGGGACAGGCACCTGACCATCTTGTTCACATGTGAATTCTCAATAGTAAACAATAAATAATCTGTTTATTTAAAATTTTGTGCAAATTTTTGCAGTGCAGTGGAGCTCAGTGAAGGACAATGGAGGATATCATTATATTCTATCTGAAACTTTGACTAGCTACTATACTTTCTAGAGCCTTGACTAGCTGCACATTCGGTAACTATACTCCATAACCCCATTACCCAGGTTTACTGCATTTGTAATTTGCTTATGTTTTTATCTCTTATCAAATGATAAACAATTTGAAAACTCCACATATTTTAGCTACTCATCTAGAGGTAAAATAACAGATGTTTTCCTAATTGGTTAGTGTTTGAATATCTTCAAGTGCTTTAAATACAGTTGTGTGTTGTTTAATCATAGGGATACATTTTGAGAAATACATCTTTAGGGAATTTCATCATTGTACATTGTAGAGCATACTTATGTAAACCTAGATGGTATAACCTACTACATACCTAGACAATATGGTATTTCCCATTTTTCCTAGGCTACTAACCTGTACAGCATGTCACTGTATTGAATACTTTAGGCAATTATAACACAATGATAAGTATTTGTCTGTGTAAACACAACTAAGCAGAAAAGATAATGCATTGTGCTACAGCATTACAATGGCTACGATGTCACTAGGCAACAGAAATTTTTCTGCTCGATTATAATCTTATGAAATCACCATTCTATATCTTTTCAGTTGTTGACCAAAATATCATTGACCAAAATGTCATTGTGTAATTTATAATATTTTCCAGGTATATCAACTACTTTGAAAGCATCATTTACAAATAACCAAAGATTAGCCATTAGATTGTTAACAAAGGTATCTTTTTTAAAAAAAATTGTAACTTTTAGGGCCTTTTACAGTGTCCAAAATTATGGCAGTCACTAAACTACTATAATTTATTAGCTACTAATTTTTATTGAGCAAATAAACACAATTAATGTTTTTTTTTCTAATAAGGTAGTTACAAGGAAGCATTGAGTTGGTCTGATTTCAGATATTAGCATGCAGAAAATTAGTGAAACTACATTTTAATAATAAGTCATAATTTAAACTTGTATTTTCAAATGGCCTTAGGCTTGGTTTGAGCAGTGATGAAAACTTAACAATTTTCAGTAGGGTTTTTAATGTAGCCGACATGGGGTTTATTGAATGAAGACTTTTTGCTATCTAGACTTATGAAACTGAATTGCACAAATATGGACTCAATGATCAGAGTAGGAGAGGGTGTTGTTCTTTCTCTCCTCTACTGCTGAGTACTAAAGACAGGATACTTGAAATTCAGAAATCCTCCTGCTGCAGAAAGAGTCAATGAGGGTAAAGGGTTTCTGCTCAGCCTGATCTTTACAGTCTGGACGGTTTTGGGGCCCCATAAATGTGAGCGAATGAGAGAGGCAGGAATAAAGCAGTGGAGAAAAACTGAAATCATTTAAGACTCTGAAGGTTTCAGAAGAAGACCTGCCAACCACACCAGTTGTATCAGTTTTTGCTGTTGGAAGGGGGTTTTGTATTCTGTTGCTTGCTTCTGTAAGTCAGAGGTGGATAACAGTTTTAGACAAATTATTCTTTATTCAAGTCCTGTGCACCACAGAGGACGGTACCAGAAAAAGTTCTTCTGTATCTTTGGAATATCTTTGTTCTACTTCCATATTATCTAAAAACATATCATTAAACATTTCTTCAACACAAATTTCTTTAACCTTCATGATATCAGGTCAATAAAGGACCTTAGAATACAGTTCCTTGACTTTTCCAAGCCATGGCATATATAAGTAGTTAACTTCATATTACCACTAACCAATTCATTCTTGGAGTCAAAGCTTTTTGAATCAATATAATAGGAAGATAACTGCAGAGAATATTAATAGAACAAATAATAAGCCTAATTTGGATGGTAAATGTTCTTAAGGATTGTCTTATCTTCAAACAGTCTGTTAATAACAAACACAGTGTTACTTAGTTGAAAACTGAGTTTTTATTCTGCTTTAAAATCTAAAGTTCAAATCAAGATTTCAAGTTATACTAGGCACATGATAATATCAATACCATTTTATTTTTTTGTGATATTACTGGTAGAATAGTAATAGGACTGGCTTGTGTCTTCCCTAAAAAAGAACATTGCTTAATTACAAGACAAGTAAAACAGAACTATGTCACTATACATTATTAAAACTGCTATTTGCTTTCAGAATGTGTGTTGTATGTATGTTTGGGTGTGAGAGAGAGAGGGAGAGAGAAGGGTAATCTGAGGAAAAATTTTCAGAAAGCAGGCTAGTAGAACTGGACTTACTTGTTTATTTAAATGTTTATTACCTTTCTCTTCTGCTGGATTATATACATGAATCAGGCTAATGTCTATTTGGTTCACCACTGAATATCTAGTAATTCCCACAGTGCTGAACATATATGCTCAATAAATGTTTGCTGAATTTAAGAATGATTTTGCTTAATTTTTACTCTTTCAGATTACTCAGACCCAGAGAGAGCCTCTCTCCTCATTGAGACCAAGGTCTGAAAAAACCTATCTGCTCCCTTGATAGGGTTGCCAGATGAAACCCAGAACACCTACTTAAATTTGAATTTCAGATAAACGATGAATAATCTTTCACAAGTATTTCTCAAATATTGCAAATGTGTTCCATGCAATATTCGAGCTATATTTATAAACAATTATTTATTGTTTATCAAAATTCAAATTTCATAAGGAATCCTATACTTTTATTTGTTAAATCTGTCAACCATCCCTCTTGGGTAAGAGAGAAAGAACACTGGGCTGACCCTTACCCTGAAGCTCCCTTGTCAAGGTAGAGTTACAAGTCATCATAACGTCATGCGTCCTACTTAAGATGGAGTGGATGGAACAGGGCCAATAGAGCAAGAGTAATTCAAGAATATTTAGAGATAGTCTAAGTGTTAAGGCCACAGACCATCAGTTTTTAAAAGAGAGAGATTTTTAAGTGTTTGATGTGGACAGAGACAGGGTGGAAGTCAAAGACAGTGAAAAAAATTTGAGTTAGTAGTAGAGTGAAGCCAATGAGATTCTACAGCTCTTTAGTCTAACAGATATACCAAATCTGGCTTAAACAGAGATGGGACAGCAGGGGTTCTAGAGAAATCGTTTCCTTCTTTATGATCTAAAAAAGAAACTTCCAGTAAAATAATTTGATGAACTAATTTATGTGCTTTACATTTTTCTGGTTGATTCCTACCAAAGAAAATAATCTATAATAGTGGTTAGGATTTTAGGTAATAGTGACATTTTTTAAGGTCATGTAACTTTCAAATTACTCTACTTATCATTTATTTATTTATTTATTTATTCATTCCCTAACACATTAATCAGATATTTATTATACGCTAGACACTATTCTGGGCTTCAGAAATAGAGGATTTGAGTTTATAATTTAGTCATAAAACAGTAAACAAAGTTATTTCAGATTGTGATAAATGTGTTGAAGAAATAAACAGAATGGTATAAAGGTTAATAACTGGGTTTGGAGGGTGGGGAAGACAGCTTTAGGTAAGGTGCTCCTGGAAAACCTCTCTGAGGTGGTGCTATTTGCAGTGAGTCTTGAAGAATAAGAAGCTAGCCATGCAAAGTTCTTTAGGAAAATCATGTTATGCAGAGGAACATGTTCAAAAGCTCTTTTCTTGGAAAGAGGTCACTGTCACTATTTTCATGAAAAGAAATGAGGCATGAGTGGTTGGAGAGTGGAAGATGAAATTGGCAAGGCAGGGAAGGGCCTGATCATGGTTGGACCTTATAAACCTTCATAAGGTGTTTGATTACTTTTTCAAACTACTTTGGGGAAGCTTTGAGGGGGTTAAGTAGAGAAATACTATGCTTTGATTTGCCTTTTAAAGAGATCATGCTTGCTGATGGGTGGAAAATAAATAGGGGGTGGAAAGAATAACAGTCGAAGTAGAAAGGCTGCTGAATTTAGGAGGCCTTTGTAGAAAATGATCTCACCAAAGGTAGTGACTTGGACTAGAGTGTTGGCAATGAAGATAAAGTGGCTAGACTTGGCTTACTTTGTAAGTAGCACTGATAATTTGCTTATGGATTTTATGGAGGTAAAATTGGGAAAAATGTTAGGTTTATGGAGATTTGGAAAAAGGGGGGTGAAGGTTAAGACCTGTAGTTTTTGACTTGAACAGTTCGGTAGATAGGGATATCATTTGCTGATATAGAAAAGACTAATTGGAAAACCAAGTTGAAGGAATAAAGAGATCCCTTTGAATATGTTAAATGTGAGATGGCTTTAGTCATGCAAATAGCAATGTCATGTAGGCCATTGCCTACATGAGTAAGGATCTCAGAAAACTTAGGGCTGGAGATATAAATTTGAATGTTATCTGTATGTGAATAATATTTGTAGCCTTGGGAATGAATGAGATTATTTAAAGAATATTAGTAAAGAAGACGAGAGGACTGAGAACTGAATTCTGAAAGAGAAATTTGAATAAAAAATTGAACGATTGTGTACAAATTATATAAGAATTTGGGTAAAAACAAAAACAGAGAAGCATTCATTGGATTTGTAACATGGAAACTATTAAAGATTGATGAAGAGTGTCTTTTTAATGCAGGGTAGGAAGTCAGATTGGAATGGATGGAAGAATATATAGGAGGTAACAGTGTGATTAATGAACTAGTAATACATTTTCTTTGAGATGTTTTGATGTAACAAGGACAAAAAATGTAACGCAATAGCTAGAATGATATGTAGGGTCAATGGAGAATTTCGAAAAGTTGGAGACAAAAGAAGTTCATCTAATATGGAGAAAGAAATTGATAATACAGAAAGGCAAGATAGGTTAATGTAGAAACAAAGGCCCCTGAGAAGATGGGACAGGCGTGTCTTCCAGTTTGTTCGTTCTGAAAACATTTTTTTAACATCTGCAATTAGACAGGTACTGGAATGGACACTGAAAGCACAAAGAAAATCTGTTACTCAGAAATGATTATAATCTAGGAGAAGAGATATACAATTAAAGAAAAAATATGTGCAGAAATAAGTTATGGAAGTTATATGAAGCCCTAAGAAAAACTGATAACTTTATGATTGACAATAGAACCAACCATTTTGGCTTTCTTGTGGATCTTTGGAATACGGCTATTTGCCACCTTACTTTTCCTGGTATTTTATTAGAAGTAACTAATTGATGATTTGCTTGGCCCCAGGACATTGAAAATATTAGATATTAAAATATTAATTAAAAATGTGCTAATGAAAACAACAAAATGGAACATCATTCTGCGAAGATTTTTGAGGAAAGATAACAAGCATCTTAGATTGGACTGCTTTTGCAGTTCTAGTTTGTTGTGCCAAAAAAACAGCTTTCAACTTGAAAACTGCAAGATTCCTCCGCAGAATGCCTTTGAAATGACAGTTCATTTCTTTTCTTGTGCTTCCGTATTATACGTGTCTATTTATTCCAAATTATTTTAGTGATTTCTCAATTCTTTGACCACAGGGAACAGCTATTTATTATGATTATCCCAAAGGAAAAAGTATGGGCAGAGGGGGCACCTAAATTCATTTTTCAATGATCAGTGTCATTAGCATTAACCTTTTTAGACTGTCTGTCTCTGGTATTTGCAAAAGCTAGAAAAAAGGTTTATCCAGGCAGAATTACAGTTTTGCTCTTTTGCCCTTATCACCCTTGACTCTTACCGATATTAATGGTGGAGATATGACCTGATCATCTTTTAGACAGACATCTCTCAACCTGAAATAAGCATTGCTCCTCTCACTGTCCCCTGAGTTTAAACATCAGGCAGTCATTGGCCTAGTTGATGTCCCCTGAGTTTAAAGATCAGGCAGTCATTGGCCTAGTTGCAATTTTTTAATTGCTCCTATTTTAGCCTGCAAGAAAAGACCACTCATTAGCCTATTTTGAATGTGTTACCTTCACTTCCTAGTTTCCAAAAATGCCATTCCAGTGACACTTCTTCAGGGCTCTCCAAGAGACACTTGATGGCCGTATCAATTCTGTGGATTCTTACTCCATGCTAAACAGCCTTGATTAACTCAACACTATGGTTAGCTGCTGGTCAACACATTAGAATACTTGGCCAAGAACAGGCTCCCGAGCCTTGTGGTCAAGGCCCCAGCTGCTTCTCTAGAGATATATTCAAAACCAGAGTTCCCAATGATTCCTTTGTCTTTACTGTGGTACATGATGACTCTGGAAAATATGGAAAACTAATACACTATAACCATTTTGAGGGAATATATTATTGTGGCTTTGGCTCTGATAAAGCCACAATTATTAGCTGAGAGATGAGGAAGAGATCATTTTATTGTCCTGCTTCCCATGGATGCCCTGAGAATCAGCACACAGTAGGTAACTTTAACTGGAGGGAATTAATTGTGGGTTGAGGGTAACCTATGGAATAGAAGACTCATTATGAATAACGTACCTGACCAGATGTATTGAATATTTTGTTCTGTTTCCACCAGACTTCAAAAATTCTGTGTACCAGTTTTGATATGATAGTATCAAAAGAAAAAGTTATGGTGCATAGTTGCCTTGTATTATTCTCCATCCACGTTATAATTGTTGAAGAATCAGTGCTTTCTATAGGGCAATATCCAGCACTACAAAGAGCTTAGGCCTTAGGAGATATAGAAAACTTCAAACTTCCTGCAGTAACAGCATCTTTTCAGATAACATTGAGATTTTCACATAATATAGTAGATAAATTTATTTCCATTATTGCTTTCCAGGTTCTTTTCCCTCTCTCTTTTTCTAATATCTATGTCTATTTTCCAGATCTTTGCCATTTAAAATTAATCTAATTTTGATATGTAAGTACCCACTATTTTTTTCTAATGACTTTATTATTCTTTCCTAATATTTGTACATTTGAATAATCTGCTCATTATCACTTTTAGATCTTTAATGAAGATGTGAAAAAAACCCAATTTTAACCTCTGTAGACATCTTTCTATTGTTCTACCATTTCTTTGCTTATAACCTTATATTTCTATTGCTAATGAAATTTTCAGTGGATATAAAAGTGCTTGTTTCCAAACTAATTTGAATTAATTTTTCAAAGTATATGGCATGATATCATAAACTTAAAATTTCATAGCAGTTCCAAAAGTCTTAAACATCACTGTGTTAGTGATTATATAAATAACCTTTAATTTTGAATATCTGTTCTAGTTAAGCTGTTTTCTTAACTCTGAAATCAAATGTTCATAAAGCAAATGTCAAGCTGAAATTAATATGTTTAGAAATAAGCAGCATGATGGTGAAGTTCAGTCATCAATAACTAAATGCCACCCAGGAAAGACTTCTGCACCATGAGTATTTAAAGACAACCCCCCACCCACACAAAACACACACACACACACACACACACACACACACACACACACACACAACAACCACTGAGTTCCAATAATCTTAGCTTGTTTACCTTTCCTAGTCCTATGGACATGATGCTGCCTCATTGGGCCCAGGACAATCCTTTATTTTCTCTAAATTATAAATACATACATTTTTAAGTCGTTCAATCTAAAACATATGCCATTTTTATACTTTATAAGTTATAAATTATACTTCTTAGCTCAGTGTTCAATGTAGAGGTCCAGTAAGATCAGGGAGGCCTATCACTTCCACCAGTAAACCTGTACTCTTTTGAATGAAATACCAGAAATAATACAGAAATAATACAACAATAATAAAATATTACAAATTTTAATAGCCTTTCTTTGTTTTTTCACTCTGTGGGCAGATATTTGTTATATTTTACTGTTACTACAGACCCTAGGCTGCACTGAGCCAAGAGAATGTTGGTAAAAATGCTGTGTTGATACTTTAAACAATAATTTCAGAAATGATTAAAAATAATATGTATTTAAGTTCCCCTTCCCATCTCTTTAATCTGTTCCTCAGTAATTTGATTTCATGTTCAGATATTCTAGAAACATGCTTGTCTTCAGGAGTGAAGTTAGCCATGCATTCTGTCATAATGAAGAGGGTGAAATGTTAGCATCAAAATCTAGGAGTGGCTTGAATAAAAGAGTAATTCCGCTCTCTAATCCTAGAAGACAGAAGGCTTATAGATCAACTACTTTAAAATCAAAGTTTTCATCAGTGAGGGTTCTCTAATTTTAACTGGTTTATGAATAATAATCTAATATTTAGCTGTATAGAAATGTGTTTTGAAATAAATTTATATGGGGTGTTTAATAGGAAGCTATTTTACTTGAAGCTATGGATGTTTCAGTAAAAACAAAACAAATATTGGTTGAGAAGTATACTCAATTATACTAAATATCCAAATCTCTCTCCATGTTAAAATGAGATTGACCTTGCTATACGAGCAGGATTTTGGATATACATCTGTTTGTCTGTCTGTCTCCCTGTCATCTATCTGTTTATCTGTATGCTACCTCTTTGGTCAGGAACCACCACAATTAGTTTTTAAGTAAATGTTGGATACAGGCAGTTGCTTGGTTTATCTCTTCCGTTCAGGCAAACATCTTTGTTAAACTCCTTAATTGTTTTAAACGGGTATAACATCTAGCCTCACATTTATTAATTGTTAAATCTAAAATCTACATTAAAATCAACATTTAGAGTAGACACGCTATAGGTACTTGTCAGAATATAATCTTGAACTATTTAGTGCCTTTCTAAAAGTCAATTGAGAGAAACAATAGAGAGAAGATTGCTTAAATGCCCTAAAGTCCACTAAATCAGTAATTATCAAGAGGGAAATATATATTCCTTGTATTCTTCAGAATAAGTATATATTTGCTGTAATAACAAAGGACCACAATTCTCAGTGCTTAGAGTTTCAAATTTCTCATGTATGCAAGAAATACAAGTCTGCCATGGGTCATCTATGAATTTGCTTCCACATTTTTTTTTCACTCTGTGACCTGGTAAAACAGAGCAACCTCTATGTTGAGCATTTCGGTTATCATGGTATAGATGAGAGATATGGAGAACAACAAAATGGCTGTTAAAGCTCATGTCCCCAAATATCACATATCACTTCTGTTCACCTTTTGTTGGCCAAAGCAGGTCACCTGGGCATTTTTGAATTCTATACTGTGGGGATATTTAATCCTTCCCAAGAGATGGTTACTGCATGAAGAAAAATCAGAATATTTTGTAAAGGGCAACATAATTTCCTATACTCCCCTTTGGGGGCATATCTCTTGAGAAGAAGAGGATATATTTTTCAATAGTTAAGTCATCTACTGGAATCTGATATGCTCCACAAGGTGAACATGCCCCCATGCCAGTATGTGGAGAATCTGGGTATTACTGACCTACTGCTCTTGATAGGTATGTAATTCCTATGTGTTGGCTTGACCAGGAAAAACAAGAAGTATTACCATTCTAGATATATTAGTTGTAATCACTTGGTGAATTAGTTCAAGTCAAAATATGAATCTGCACTTAAAAATATCTGCCTGAACATGGCGTATGTCATATATACTCATATCCCAAATGTCACAGCAAGTGCTATAATAAGCCCAGTTCAATAGGGCAGGGATATACAGTTGTTTTACAGTGAAGGAGGAAGTGAGTAATTGTCAAAAATAAATCTATTATGCTATCTTTAGCTCAGTATTTCTCTTGTTAAGTCTTGATTACTTATGAAAGAAAGGCTAAGCATGGTACTTCTAGTTTCTCACAAATATGCATGCAACAAATATTTGCTAATGTGCGCTAGAAGGCTTCCTAGAAATATGTAAGCTAAATAATTCCCTCAATCCATGGAAATTCACAGATCTTGTGTAAAGACACTGCATAATCCCAGGGGTATTGATTTCCATTGTCTATCTCTTTAGATATTCTTTCCTTCATTTGGGAAGATATTGTGTTTACCATAGACAATACAGTTTTGTTGGGAGCGGTTTCTTTTTGGTAACTTTTCATATACAAAAAGAAAAAGAGTATAGATTTTGGATTCAGACAAAACTGATGTGACATTCTAGCTCTACCACTTTTTAGCTCATGACTGGTCTCTTTAAGGTTGCATTTCGTTACCTAGGAATTGGGTGAAATACTTAAAATCATTGAGTTGTTGTGAAGATAGAAAGAGCTTATTTGTAGGATACCTGGTATATTATTGTAGCAAGCACTTAATATGTGCTAGTTTCTCTTCCTCTCTAAAGTTGCACAACTGGAAGAATAAATAGAATTGGCTATCTTTGTGGGGAGCATGTCGAGACATTGACATAGAGTTGTACTAGTACCATCCACTGTGATAAAAAACTTATAAAACTTTGAAAGTGACAAATTTCCTTCTTCCTACTCACAGAAATTGATTTAGAGAAAATTTACATCTATTTTAAAATTGTCTTTCTGATATCTTACAGGAAGAAGTAATTTAGTAGAAAACTAGGAGTTTTTCTACAACGTTGAGTAAAGCAGCAGATAATGTAGATGGAGAGTCTTTTGCATTGTGGCCCTATAAGAAAAATGATAGTAGATAATCACTAAGGTAGTTTTCAACTCCATGATTCGATGGAAAGAATATATTTGTATGTGTGTATGCATATATATATATATATATAAATATTGTTTATATTTAGTAGATGTATATATATGTATACAGTTTTTAATTAGTAAATATAAATATAAAGCAATAAATATAAAGCCAGATTAAACCAAAGCAGAAGCCATTGTTCCTGATTCACCCTTCATTATGATGAAGGCTGTTTCAACTCACCCTTTGACTGCCAACTTAAACAGAGATTACTGATCACCCAGAATTGTCATCTTCAACCTCTAAGGCTACCATTTATTCTCTCATTAAATGATGATTTATTGATATCCAAACTATTCTGAGAGCTGAGGTACATCCTTGAGGAAGAGACAAGCACTGCTATAATTCTGAGTTCTGTTCCTCTATTTCAAAATGTCAAGCCCAGTGAAAGTTGGGCTTGACAAAAATCAAGTTCTAATTTCAAGCTTAATAGAATGTTAAAGAAAGTCCCAATTTCTGCTTCCTTACCAAATTTTAGAATTATAACACATCTACCTCTTAGGCTATCTACTAGCTCCTTAGGCTCCTAGAATCTTAGAATTTTAGTTTCTTCCAGAGAGATCCTAAAATGAAATAATTTTCTTTGAGATGGTTTGGAGAATAGGGGCAGAACATGAATGACACTTGTATTTCTCTGCTTTCCTGAAACAGGAAATAGAGACAATTCTTGAAGAAGTGATATCCTTGTTTCAACTCCTGAATCAAATAAAATATTCAGGGTAGCAATTGTGTGTAGGGAAACACTGAGGTGTTTGCTCTGGATGGCTATTTATGTTCTCTAAGCTTAGTGATCAAGAGAGCAGATAGGGTAGAAATGGGAGGAATATAGAAAAGCAGGCATAACTGGCATTGGCAGTTTTGCTTGGGTGAATCCCTTGGTGTAATAAGGATTTCTTGTCTCTCCCTGCAAATGTATGAAAATGAGAGAACATAATTTTCCTTATACATTTCCAGGAAGCAGACTTGAGAAATCTTGTGGCTTCTCAGTGGTTTATGGGAATAGCGCAGTTTATTTAGACAAGGGGAGAAGGGAGGAGTGGGGAAGAGAGAGAACAAATGAGAAATCAGGGTCAGTGTGGATCTGTGTTCTGCAAAGATGGGGCCATTTTTTCCCCCCAGATTTTAGTAGATCTACTAGTTACTGAGATTGTCCCGTGGGCTTCCTCTTGACATGTCAGAACACTCAGACAAAAACTGACCAGGAAAGGGAGGAGAGAAAATGTGTCCTTCTACTGCTACAAAGTGGAAAGATGGAACTAGTGCATATAGCCCAATCTCTCAGGCCAAAGACCAGGTATCAGTTCCTCCTCCCCAAATCAAAGCCTGGAGCAGCAGCAGCAGCTGAAACCACTTATTCTGACCATCAGCTTTTAACACAGAACTTGCTTTCGACTTTGCAAAAAGTCCAGTGGCAAGATGAGCAGAACTGGGGAGGCTGGAGGAGAACTGTGCCTTCTGTGACACGTTTAAATATAAAGGATCTCTGGAGGAAATAAAGTTTATAAAATTCTTAAAGCTTAAAAATTTTGGCATGTAGGATTCTGCCTTGAACGTTTGATGTAAGTCCTTTTTTACCCTCTTTTCTCTTTCTTTTCATTGTAAATTCTTCTCTCATTCTCATATTCTCTTCTTGCTGAACTCTTCAGCTCTGGGTAACCACTACTAGCCCTTAAGGCTCTTAGAATCTTAGAATTTTAGTTTCTCCCTGAGGGAGTCCAAAATGAAATAATTTTCTTTGAGAGAGTTTGGAGAATAGGGACAGAAAATGAATCACACTTGTATTTTTCTGTCTTGCTCTGAAGGAATCCTCCAAATTTTATGCATTTTAGGGATAGAACATGTTGGTAACTATTGTCTTTCAGAAAGCAGAGCTCTGCTTTGGATCCTATGGAAAACGTGTAACAGATGAAGTACTCAGGCAGTGTGGCACAGAAAATAAAACAGTATACAATGATGGGATTGTGAAACATTGCACTTTAAAGAGCCCGTTGTGCATCATGTACCTGAGATAATCCTGTCACTACAATTGACAGAGTTGTAGGGGGTGGAAAGGGGTGTCAGGGGAAGATGGGTGTCCTGTTGCTGGCTAGAACTTGAAACAAATGACAGATGCAGAGACCTGACCATCCATACTCTTCCCTGCCATGCCTTTAAAACCCAATTCTAAATTCCACTTTCCAGGACATCTTCCATTTATAATGCTCCTTTATTATGAAAAAAATTAATCTCACATTTCTTTCTTGTGGTTGTGCTTTCTTGACAGCATGATCATTTGTATCCATTTACACATTGCTTTGAGAACTTTTCACATTTTTCATTTTTATTTCTTTCCTGTATATATGCTGTGGGTAACCAATTGTTTTGTACCTTTCTACAGAGAGAAAGCATGCCTTTAATTTGTTTTGTCTCCCTCCTGATATCTGTAGACAGTGCCCAGCACCACAAAGTTGATGATTAAGTGATAAGCAGAAATATTCAATCTCATGAAAAATGACAAGGGAGCCTTTGTTTGCAGGCTCTCATAATGAGTTCATATGTCGTCCATATTGTCTGAATGTTACAGATTCCCTTTCAAAAGGAGGCATTGACTTCTCTTTCAGCATTTGTACTATATAAGGAAACGAGAGTAGGGAGAATGTGGGGAGAGAAGGAGGAAAGTGTTCCTAATCAGCCTCTTTCCATGTTTGCACCACTTTTTGCAATGCCATTGGTACACAACTCTGAAGCCCTTCTTTCTCTTTTTATTCTGATACAATAAGGTATGACAAGAAATAGCCTCTTTATTTTTATTTTTTTCTTTATCCTGAAAAAAAGGGATACGTGTGCAGAATACGCAGGTTTGTTACATAAGTATACATGTGCTGTGGTGGTTGGCTGCACCTATTGACCCATCCTCTAAGTTTCCTCCCTTCCACTCCACCCTCCGACAGGCCCTGGTATGTTTTGTTCCCCTCTGTGTGTCCATGTGTCCTCAATGTTCAACTCCCACTTATGAGTGAGAACATGCGGTGTTTGGTTTTCTGTTCCATGTTAGTTTGCTGAGGATGATGGCTTCTAGCTTCATCCATGTCACTGCAAAGGACATGATCTCATTCCTTCTTATGGCTTCATAGTATTCCATGGTGTATATGTACCATATTTTCTTAATCACTCTATCATTGATAAGCATTTGGGTTGGTTCCATGTCTTTGCTATTGTAAATAGTGCTGCTATAAACATACATGTGCATGTGTCTTTATAGTAGAATGATTTATATTCCTTTAGGTATATACTCATATAGGGATTGCTAGGTCAAATGGTATTTCTGAAGGACAGTTTGTTATAATTTCTGTTCTTTTACATTTGCTGAGGAGTGCTTTACTTCCAACTATGTGGTCAATTTTGGAATAAGTGCAGTGTGGTGCTGAGAAGAATGTGTATTCCATTGATTTGGGGTGGAGAGTTCTGTAGATGTCTATTAGGTCTGCTTGGTGCAGAGCTGAGTTCAAGTCCTGGATATCCTTGTTAACTTTCTGTCTCGTTGATCTGTCTAATGTTGACAGTGGGGTGTTAAAGTCTCCCATTATTACTGTGTGGGAGTCTAAGTCTCTTTGTAGTTCTCTAAGGACTTGCTTTATGAATCTGGGTGCTCCTGTATTGGGTGCATATATATTTAGGATAGTTAGCTCTTCTTGTTGAATTGATCCCTTTACCATTATGTAATGGCCTTCTTTGTCTCTTTTGATCTTTGCTGGTTTAACATTTGTTTTGTCAGAGACTAGGATTGCAACCCCTGCCTTTTTTTGTTTTCCATTTGCTTCGTAGATCTTCTTCCATCCCTTTATTTTGAGCCTATGTGTGTCTCTGCACATGTGATAGGTCTCCTGAATACATCACACTGATGGGTCTTGACTTTTTATCCAATTTGCCAGTCTGTGTCTTTTAATTGGAGCATTTGGCCCATTCACATTTAAGGTTAGTATTGTTATGTGTGAATTTGATCCTGTCATTATGATGTTAGCTGGTTATTTTGCTCATTAGTTGATGCAGTTTCTTCCTAGCATTTATGGTCTTTACAATTTGGCATGTTTTTGCAGTGGCAGGTACCAGTTATTCCTTTCCATGTTTAGTGCCTTCTTCAGGAGCTCTTTTAGGGCAGGCCTGATGGTGACAAAATCTCTCAGCATTTGCTTGTCTGTAAAGGATTTTATTTCTCCTTCACTCCTGAAGCTTTGTTTGGCTGGATATGAAATTCTGAGTTGAAAATTCTTTTCTTTAAGAATGTTGAATATTGGCCCTCACTCTCTTCTGGCTTGTAGAGTTTCTGCCAAGAGATCCACTGTTAGTCTGATGGGCTTCCCTTTGTGGGTGACCCAGCCTTTCTCTCTGGCTACCCTTAACATTTTTTCCTTCATTTCAACTTTGGTGAATGTGACAATTATGTGTCTTGGAGTTGCTCTTCTCAAGGAGTATCTTTGTGGCATTCTCTGTATTTCCTCAATCAGAATGTTGGCCTGCCTTGCTAGGTTGGGGAAGTTCTCCTGGATAATATCTTGCAGAGTGTTTTCCAACTTGGTTCCATTCTCTCCGTCACTTTCAGGTACACCAATCAGACATAGATTTGGTCTTTTCACATAGTACCATATTTCTTGGAGGCTTTGTTCATTTCTTTTTACTCTTTTTTCTCTAAACTTCTGTTCTTGTTTCATTTCATTCATTTGATCTTCAATCACTGATACACTTTCTTCCAGTTGATCGAATCAGCTACTGAAGCTTGTGCATTTGTCAGGTAGTTCTCTTGTCATGGTTTTCAGCTCCATCAGGTCATTTAAGGACTTCTCTACACTAGTTATTCTAGTTAGCCATTCGTCTAATCTTTTTTAAAGGTTTTTAGCTTCTTTGCCATGGGTTTGAATTTCCTCCTTTAGCTCGGAGAAGT
This sequence comes from Homo sapiens, assembly GCF_000001405.40. Taxonomy (NCBI): domain Eukaryota; kingdom Metazoa; phylum Chordata; class Mammalia; order Primates; family Hominidae; genus Homo; species Homo sapiens. The sequence goes on along the minus strand of NC_000007.14, from coordinate 10,534,379 downwards.
TTGATTGTCTGAAGCCTTCTTCTCTCAACTTGTCAAAGTCATTCTCCATCCAGCTTTGTTCCATTGCTGGTGAGGAGCTGCGTTCCTTTGGAGGGGGAGCAGTGCTCTGATCTTCAGAATTTTCAGCTTTTCTTCTGTTTTTTTTCCCCATCTTTGTGGTTTTATCTACCTTTGGTCTTTGATGATGGTGACATACAGATGGGGTTTTGGTGTGGATGTCCTTTCTGTTTGTTAGTTTTCCTTCTTGCAATCAGGACCCTCAGCTGCCAGTCTGTTGGAGTTTCCCCTCCAGACCTGTTTGCCTGGGTATCAGCAGTGGAGGCTACAGAACAGCGAATATTGGTGAACAGCAAATGTTGCTGCCTGATCGTTCCTCTGGAAGCTTCATCTCAGAGGGGTACCCAGCCGTGTGAGGTTTTAGTCTGCCCCTACTGGGGAGTGCCTCTCAGCCTACTCGGGGGTCAGGGACCCACCTGAGGAGGCAGTCTGTCCGTTCTTAGATCTCAAACTCTGTGCTGGGAGAACCACTACTCTCTTCAAAGCTGTCAGACAGGGTTATTTAAGTCTGGAGAGATTTTGACTGCCTTTTGTTCAGCTACGCCCTGCCCCGAGAGGTGGAGTCTACAGAGGCAGGCAGGCCTCCTTGAGCTGTGGTGGGCTCCACCCAGTTTGAGCTTCCCGGCCATTTTGTTTACCTGCTCAAGCCTTAGCAATGGCGGGCACCCCTCCCCCAGCCTCGCTGCCACCTTCCAGTTCGATCTTAGACTGCTGTGCTAGCAATGAGCGAGGCTCCGTGGGCGTGGGACCCTCTGAGCCAGGCGCGGGATATAATCTCCTGGTGTGTCGTTTGCTAAGACTTTTGGAAAAGTGCAGTATTAGGGTGGGAGTGACCCGATTTTCCAGGTGCAATCTGTCACCCCTTTCCTTGGCTAGGAAAGGGAATTCCCTGACCCCTTGTGCTTCCCAGGTGAGGCGATGCCTCGCCCTGCTTTGGCTCATGCTCGGTGGGCTGCATCCACTGTCCTGCCCCCACTGTCCGAGGAGCCCCAGTGAGATGAACCCAGTACCTCAGCTGGAAATGCAGAAATCACCTGTCTTCTGTGTCACTCACACTGGGAGCTGTAGACTGGAGCTGTTCCTCTTTGGCCATCGGTTCTACATCCTTGAGGAATAGCCATACTGTCTTCCACAGTGGCTGAACTACTTTACAGTCCCACCAACAGTGTAAAAGTGTTCCTATTTCTCCACAGCCTCACTAGCATCTATTGTTTCCTGACTTTTTAATAATTGCCATTCTGACTGGCATGAGATGGTATCTCATTGTGGTTTTGATTTGCATTTCTGTGATGGCTAGTGATGATGAGCATTTTTTCATGTGTCTGTTGGCTGCATAAATGTTTTGTTTTGAGAAGTGTCTGTTCATATCCTTTGTCTACTTTTTGATGGGATTGCTTTTTTTTTCTTGTAAATATGTTTAAGTTCCTTGTAAATTCTTGATATCGGACCTTTGTCAGATGGGTAGATTGCAAAAATTTTCTCCCATTCTGTAGGTTGCCTGTTCACTCTGTTTAATTAGATTCCTTTTGTCAGTTTTGGCTTTTGTTGCAATTGCTTTTGGCATTTTTGTCATGAAGTCTTTGCTCATGCCTATGTCCTGAATGGTGTTGCCTAGCTTTTCTTCCAGGGTTTTTATGGTTTTGTGTTTTACATTTAAGTCTTTAATCCATCTTGAGTTAATTTTTGTATAAGGTATGAGGAAGGGGTCCAGTTTCAGTTTTCTGCATAGGGCTAGCCAATTTTCCCAGCATGATTTACTGAATAGGAGATCCTTGCCGCATTGCTTGTTTTTGTCAGATTCATCAAAGATCAGATGGTTGTAGATGTGTGGTGTTATTTTTGAGGCCTCTGTTCTGTTCCATTGGTCTATATATCCGTTTTGGTACCAGTAACATGCTGTTTTGGTTACTGTAGCCTTGTAGTATAGTTTGAAGTCAGGTAGCATGATGCCTCCAACTTTGTTCTTTTTGCTTAGGATTGTCTTGGCTATACGGGATCTTCTTAGATTCCATATGAAATTTAAAATAGTTTTTTCTAATATGTGAAGAATGTCAATGGTAGTCTGATGGGAATAGCATTGAATCTATAAATTGCTTTGTGTGGTATGACCATTTGCACAATATTGATTCTTCCTATCCATGAGGATGGAATGTTTTTCCATTTGTTTGTGTCCTCTCTTATTTCCTTGAGGAGTAGTTTGTAGTTTTCCTTGAAGAGGTCATTCACATCTCTTGTTAGCTGTATTCCTAGGTATTTTATTCTCTTTGTAGTGATTGTGAATGGGAGTTTATTCATGATTTGGCTCTCTGCTTGCCTTTTGTTGGCATAAAGGAATGCTTGTGATTTTTGCACATTGATTTTGTATCTTGAGACTTTGCTGAAGTTGCTTATCAGTTTGAGAAGTTTCTGGGCTGAGATGATGGGGTTTTCTAAATATAAAATCATGTCTTCTGCAAACAGAGACAACTTGACTTACTCTCTTTCTATTTAAATATCCTTTATTTCTTTCTCTTGCCTGATTGCCCTGGCCAGAACTTCCAATACTATGTTGAATAGGAGTGGTAAGAGAGGCCATCCTTGTCTTGTGCTGGTTTTCAATGGGAATGCTTCCAGCTTTTGCCCATTCAATATGTTATTGGCTATGGGTTTGTCATAAATAGCTCTTATTATTTTGAGATATGTTCCATTAATACATGGTTTATTGAGAGTTTTTAACATGAAGTTGTTCAATTTTATCAAAGGCCTTTTCTCCATCTATTGAGATAATCATGTGGTTTTTGTCATTGGTTCTGTTCATGTGATGGATTACATTTATTGATTTATGTATGTTGAACCAGCCTTGCATCCCAGGGAGGAAGCTGACTTGATTGTGGTGGATAAGTTTTTTGATGTGTTGCTGGATTCGGTTTGCCAGTATTTTATTGAGGATTTTCACATCGGTGTTCATCAGGAATATCATCTGATTGGCTACCGTGCCTGGCCTGAAGTTTTCTTTTTTTGTTGTACCTCCTCCCGGTTTTGGTATCAGGATGGTGCTGGCTTCATAAAATGAGTTAGGGAAGGGTCCCTCCTTTCAGTTGTTTGGAGTAGTTTCAGAATGAATGGTACCAGCTCCTCTCTGTATTTCTGGTACAATTTACCTGTGAATCTGTCTGGTCCTGGGCTTTTTTGGTTGGTAGGCTATTAATTACAGCCTCAATTTCAGAAGTTGTTATTGGTCTATTCAAGGATTCAACTTCTTGGTTTAGTCTTGGTAGGGTGTATGTGTCCAGGAATTTATTCATTTCTTCTAGATATTCTAGTTTATTTTCGTAGAGGTAATTACAATATTCTCTGATGGTAGTTTGTATTTCTGTGGGGTCAGTGGTGACAGTCCTTTTATCATTTTTTATGGTGTCTATTTAATTCTTTTCTCTCTCCTTTATTAGTCTAGCTAGTGGTCTATTTTGTTAATTTTTTCAAAAAACCACCTCCTGGATTCGTTGATTTTTTGGAGGGTTTTTTATGTCCCTATCTCCTTCAGTTCTTCTCTGACCTTAGCTATTTCTTGTCTTCTGCTAGCTTTTGGATTACTTTGCTCTTGCTTATCTAGCTCTTTTAATTCTGATGTTAGGGTGTTTATTTGAGATCTTTCTAGCTTTCCGATATGGGCATTTAGTGCTGTAAATTTCTCTCTTAACACTGCTTTAGCTGCATCCCAGAGATTCTTGTATGTTGTCTCTTTGTTCTCACTGGTTTCAAAGAACTTCTTGATTTCTGCCTTAATTTCATTATTTAGCCAGGAATCATTGAAGAGCAGGTTGTTGAATTTCCATGAAATCGTGTGGTGTTCAGTGAGTTTCTTAATCCTGAATTCTAATTTGATTACACAGTGGTCTGACAGACTGTTTGCTATGATTTTAGCTCTTTTACATTTGCTGAACATTGCTTTACTTCCAATTATGTGTTTAATTTTAAAATAAGTGCCAGGTGGCCATGAAAAGAATGTATATTCTCTGTTGGTTTGGGATAGAGAGTTCTGTAGACATCTACTCGGTCCACTTGATGAAGAGCTGACTTTAAGTCCTGAATATTTTCTGTCTCATTGATCTGTCTAATACTGTCTGAATTTTCTGTCTCATTGATCTGTCTAATACTGACAGTGGGGTGTTAAGGTCTATCACTATTATTATGTGGGAGTCTAAGTCTCTTTGTAGGTCTCTAAGAAACTTGTTTTATGAATCTGGGTGCTCCTGTATTGGGTGCATATATATTCACAATAGTTAGCTCTTCTTGTCAAATTGTTCCCTTTATCATCATGTAATGCCCTTCTTTCTGTTTTTTGATCTTTGTTTGTTTAAAGTTTGTTTTGTCAGCGACTAGTATTGCAACCCTTGCTTTTTTTTTTGCTTTCCATTGGTTTGGTACATTTTTCTCTATCCGTTTATTTTTAGCCTGTGTGTGTCTTTGCACGTAAGATGGGTCTCCTGAATACAGTACACCAATGGGTCTTGATTCCTTATCCAATTTGTCAGTCTGTGTCTTTTAGTTAGGGCATTTAGCCCATTTACATTTAAGGTTAGTATTGTTACGTGTGAATTTGATCCTGTTATCATGATGCTATTTGGTTATTTTGCACACTAGTTGATGCAGTTTCTTCATAGTGTCATTGGTCTTCATATTTTGGTGTGTTTTTGCAGTGGCTGGTACTGGTTTTTCCTTTCCACATTTAGTGCTTCTTTCAAGAGCTCTTTCAGGGCAGGCCTGGTGGTAATGAAATCCCTTGGCATTTGCTTGTCTGTAAAGGATTTTATTTCTCCTTCGCTTATGAAGCTGAATTTGGCTGGATACGGATTGTGGGTTGAAAATTATTTTCTTTAAGAATGTTGAATATTGGCCCCCAGTCTCTTCTGGCTTATAGAGTTTCTGCTGAGAGTTCTGCTGTTAGTCTGATGGGCTTCCCTTTGTAGGTGACCTGGCCTTTATCTCTGACTGCCCTTAACAGTTTTTCCTTCATTTTGACCTTGGAGAATCTGATGATTATATATCTTGGGGTTCATCTTCTTGTGGAGTATCTGAATGGTGTTCTCTGTATTTCCCGAATTTGCATGTGGCCTGCCTTGCTAGGCTGGGGAAGTTCTCCTGGATAATATCCTGAAACATGTTTTGCAGCTTGTTTCCATTCTCCCTGTCTCCTTCTGGTACTCCAATCAATCGTAGGTTTGGTCTTTTTATGAAGTCCTATATTTCTTGGAGGGTTGGTTTATCCTTTTTCATTCTTTTTTCTCTATTCATGTCTGCATGTCTTATTTCAGTAAGGTGGTCCTCAAACTCTGATATCCTTTCTTAGACTTGGTCGATTCGGCTGTTGATACTTGTGTATGCTTCACAAAGTTCTCGTGCTGTGTATTTCAGCTCCACCAGGTTGTTTATGTTCCTCTCTAAACTGGTTATTCTAGGGAGCTATTCCTCTAATCTTTTATCAAGATTCTTATTTTCTTTGCATTGGGTTATGACATGTTCCTTTAGCTCATTATAGTTTTTTATTACCCATCTTGTGAAGCCTACTTCTGTCAATTCATCCAACTGATCCTCTGACCAGTTCTGCGCCCTTGATGGAGAGATGTTGCGATCATTTGGAGAAGAAAAGGGACTCTGGCCTTTGGGTTTTCAGCATTTTTTCATTGATTCTTTCTCATCTTAGTGAGTTTGTCTAGTTTTAGTCTTTGAGGCTGCTGACACTGGATGGGGTTTTTGTGGGGGCCTTTTTTTTTCTTACTGTTGATGCTGTTGTTGTCACTTTGTGCATGTTTGGTTTTTTTCAGTAGTCAGGTCCCTCTTCTGTAGGACTGTTACAGTTTGCTGTTTCACTTCAGGCCCTATTCATCTGATTCGCTCCCATGCCTGGAGATGTCACTCAAGGAGGCTGGAGAGCAGCAAAGATGGATGCCTGCTCCTTCTTCTGTGACATCTGACCTCAAGGGCCACCAACCTGATGCCATAGGATTGCTCCTGTATAGGGTGTGTGACTACCCATGTTGGAGGGTCTTACCCAGTTGGGTGGCATGACGAACAGGACCTGTTTAATGAAGCACTTTGTCCGTAGGTGGAGAGGGTGTGTTTTGCTGGGGGGAAACCCACTCATCTGGGCTACCTGGATTCCCCATAACTACCAGGAGGAGAGGCCAAGTCTGCTGGTCCACAGAGACTGCAGCCACCCTTCCCCCTAGGGGCTCAGGACCAGGGAGATCTGAATTCTGTCCCTGAGCCTCTGGCTGTCGTTAGCCTCTTCCCTGTAGAGATCCTGCAGGGAAGCCCCACCCACTGATGGGTGATGGACAAGGGTTAGACCTGAAGAGGCACTCTGGCCACAGACTGCCATAGCTGGTGTGTTGGGCTGTGGGGACAAGTCTTGGGACCAAGCCATCCAGTCTCCCTGGCTCCAGCAGGGGAAAAGCACAGCCTAGAGCTATAGAAATGGGTGCTGCCCTTCCTCCGCCCAGGGAGCTTAGCCTGTTAGGCAGTTGTGAGTCCCAGTGCTGGCTGCTGCCCCTCCCCCAAAGAGCTCAAATGGCTTAACAGGCAGCCACAATTGGTACTGGTTGCCCCTTCCCTAGAAGTTCGGTAGGCTTAAGCAGATTTCAGCTGAGAGGCTGTAAGAACTTGTGCATTCTGGCGGGATGCTAGGCCCTGGTGGCGTGGATTATCTGATCCATGGGTTGCACAGTTCCATGGGAAAAGCTTTTTCCCTGGATGGGTAGTGCACTTGCTCACCGACTCCTTTGGCTGCCGGGAGGGAGTTTCCCTTCCCCGTGTGGCTCTCAGGTGGGCTGCCGCACCACAATGCTCTTCCTTTTCTCTGGTTCACGCCAGCCTTTAAGTCAGTTTTTTTGTTTTTTTTTTTTTAATTTTATTATTATTATACTTTAAGTTTTAGGATACATGTGCACAACGTGCAGGTTTGTTACATATGTATACATGTGCCATGTTGGTGTGCTGCATCCATTAACTCGTCATTTAGCATTAGGTATATCTCCTAATGCTATTTCTCCCCCCTCCCCTCACCCCACAACAGTCCCTGGTGTGTGATGTTCCCCTTCCTGTGTCCATGTGTTCTCATTGTTCAATTCCCACCTAGGAGTGAGAACATGCGGTGTTTGGTTTTTTGTCCTTGCCATAGTTTGTTGAGAATGATGGTTTCCAGTTTCATCCATGTTCCTACAAAGGACATGAACTCTTCATTTTTTATGGCTGCATAGTATTCCATGGTATATATGTGCCACATTTTCTTAATCCAGTCTATCATTGTTGGACATTTAGGTTGGTTCCAAGTCTTTGCTATTGTGAATAGTGCTGCTATAAACATACGTGTGCATGTGTCTTTATAGCAGCATGATTTATAATCCTTTGGGTATATACCCAGTAATGGGATGGCTGGGTGAAATGGTATTTCTAGTTCTGGATCCCTGAGGAATCGCCACGCTGACTTCCACAATGGTTGAACTAGTTTACAGTCCCACCAACAGTGTAAAAGTGTTCCTATTTCTCCACATCCTCTCCAGCACCTGTTGTTTCCTGACTTTTTAATGATCGCCATTCTAACTGGTGTGAGATGGTATCTCATTGTGGTTTTGATTTGCATTTCTCTGATGGCCAGTGATGATGAGCATTTTTTCATGTGTCTGTTGGCTGCATAAATGTCTTCTTTTGAGAAGTGTCTGTTCATATCCTTTGCCCACTTTTTGATAGGGTTGTTTGTTTTTTTCTTGTAAATTTGTGTGAGTTCATTGTAGCTTCTGGATATTAGCCCTTTGTCAGATAAGTAGATTGCAAAAATTTTCTCCCATTTTGTAGGTTGCCTGTTCACTCTGATGGTAGTTTCTTTTGCTGTGCAGAAGCTCTTTAGTTTAATTAGCTGCACTAACCAAAACAGCATGGTAGGGGTACCAAAACAGAGATATAGACCAATGGAACAGTACAGAGCCCTCAGAAATAATGCCACATATCTACAACTATCTGATCTTTGACAAACCTGACAAAAACAAGCAATGGGGAAAGGATTCCCTATTTAATAAATGGTGCTGGGAAAACTGGCTAGCCGTATGTAGAAAGCTGAAGCTGGATCCCTTCCTTACACCTTATACAAAAACTAGTTCAAGGTGGATTAGAGACTTAAATGTTAGACCTAAAACCATAAAAACCCTAGAAGAAAACCTAGGCAATACCATTCAGGACATAGGCATGGGCAAGGACTTCATGTCTAAAACACCAAAAGCAATGGCAGCAAAAGGCAAAATTGACAAATGGGATCTAATTAGCCTTTAAGTCAGTTTTGATGATAGAACCTGGATACCTTGGTTGATAGTGAAGGATTCATATGCTTATTATGGTTTTTTTTCAATGGAAGCCTCCAAATGCGGTTGCTTCTAGTCGGCCATCTTGGCCCTGTCCCAATTCTTTATTTTAATCCAGGCCCCATCACTTACTAATGGTAGCATTGTAGAAATTACTTAAAATTTCAATGCCTCTGATTCCCCGTATCAAAACGGCATGACGATAGCTTCTACTGTATAGTGATATCACGATGAGTAAATGAGTTTGTATATGTAAAACTCTTAGAGCATTGCTGGGTAATACAATGTAGTAAGTGATTAGTAATCATCAATATCATTATGAGTTGGTAAAGGAGAAGGATATAAGGACTGATCAAGATGACAACCATAGGTCATCCTAACTGATGGGGAAAATAGGTATTATGTGGGATAAGAGTAAAATAATCACTGAACAAATTTCTGACTTTCATTCCTGCCTTGTCAATGAGAGGCAAAGTTTAATCTTAAAATTATCAGTTGCTGGTCATCTTTAAGCTTTATAAACAATAATAATAATGAAAATTACTTTTTAGGCCATACTTGGTGGCTCATGCCTGTAATCCCAGGGCTTTGGTGGGTGGAAGAAGGAGGGTCACTTGAGGCCAGGAGTTCACGGCTGCAGTGAGATATGATACAGCCTGGCTGATAGAACGAGACCCTGTCTCTAAAACCAAAATTAAAAAAGAGAAAATGATTTTTAACAAACATTTACCAAAGGAAGTACTTGACAGTTATTCTGCTGCATCACTGATCCATTTTTCTCTCCATCCACTATTGCCATTGATTATGTGGAGGTTGCTATCAGATTAAGGTCTTATCTCCAACTTATTATGTAATTGAGGGAAATAAAGTTTGACCTGGGAAGAATGAAGACTTTAAGAAGGCACGGTATTGTTATTGGACAATAGCAAAGGGACAAGCCGTGCTGAGTTGTTTGCTTGAGATGAAACACTGCTCAGCACAGAGAGGTGTTCTGCTGTGGTACAAAAATGAATCTGTACTCCAAAAATACTCCAGATTAATGGAGACTGTGGTAAAGCATACTGGACTGCACTGTAGTATTTATTGATTTATTCAAGTTTCTTGGAGATAGTGTGTAAGAGATAGTGTATAAAAATATAAGAGAATCCATAAAAATATCAAGAGAATAATATCATCCTTTACATTTTTATCTTATGTATGAATCTGCAAGAAGTTACTAGGTAAGTATTAATGTCATATATTAGAATATCATGGTAGCTTTAAAATGAACCTCACAGGTTCTTGGAGAGATCTAAAATATCAGATGATAACTGAAGCAATAAGAAAATTGAGAGGGAAATGGTAAAACAAACAAAGAAACAAATAAACAAAAAACCCAAATAGTAATGTCACTGAGGTAAACATTATCCAGACAGCAGTATGCTACATGATCGTTATATTCTACAAGGAGACTCAACCTGGACTGAACTTCAACTCAATCATTAATGTGGCCCAGCTGGCCCAGTTAATTCTCATTTGTAACTGAAAGCCAATCATTAATTCAAGGCTTTATAAAGATAATAAAAGAATTATTTGAAGATGATAACCCTTTATTGTGGAAGAAGAATTGTATAGCTTATATGATTAACCTGAATACCTACACATTTTCGGTTTCGAGCTAAGCATAGGATGTCTTTGGGTATATTTTAAGATTTCTTTGCTAATTCCTTTTTTAAAGTAGTTTTTATATTGAGAATAAAATATACATATATAAGTTATCATCTTTATTATTTTTAAGTGTACAGTTCAGTGGTAATAAATACATTTATATTATTTTTCCCCCCATCAGGTCTCCTCCTCCCTCTCCTTCCTGGCCTCTGGTAACCACCAATCTCCTCTCTATATTCATGACATCTATTTTTTTAAGCTCCCACATGTGAGTGAGAACAGGTGATGCTTTTCTCTATGTGCTTGACTTATTTCACTTAACGTAATAGCCTCCAGTTCCATCCATGTTGTTGCAAATGACAGGATTTCATTCTTTCTATGGCCGAATAGTATTCCATTGTGTATATGTACTACATTTTCTTTATTCATTCATCTATTGTTGGGCACTTAGGTTGATTCCATATTTCGGCTATTATAAATGCTTCTGCAATTAACAAGGGGGTGTAGATGTGTCTTTGATATATTAATTTTGTTTCTCTTGCATATATGCAATAGTGGAATTGCTGGATCATATGGTAGTTATATTTTTAGTTTTTTGAGGAACCTCCATATCCCTATCCTTCTCCATAATGTTGTTTTCATTTTGTTACTTCACTTGGCAAATAAAAATTGTATATATTCATCTAGTACAATATGTTATTTTATGCTAATTCTTAAATTTATTTTTTCCTAATGTAAATACTTAAGGCTATGCATTTTCTTCAAATAATCACTTTCAGTTTATCCCACAAGATTTATATGCAGAATTTTAATTAATTAAAGTTACCTGTTACTTCAAACTTGATGGCTCTGAGATTAGAGAATGCGATTTATGTAATTCTCATTTTTCAAAATTCATTAAGACTTGCTGCTACCTACTGAGATATAAAAACTGTTTTAATATCTCATTATTTAGTGAGTCAGAATTTTAGATAGGATTCATCCGTGTGATTGTTTTCTTCCATTGGCATCAGTGGATGGGCTGGTCTGGATGGCTTCACTCATATGTCTGGTGGTTTGACAAGGATGATTAGAAGACTGGACTCAGTTGGGACTGAGTCCTTCTTCTTCAACTTGGTGAACTGAGGGTGGGTAGACTTCTCATCTTGAGGCTCGGGAATCTAAAAGCAGATAAGCAGAACTGGCATGCTACTTTGTAAGTTAGCCTTGAAAGTCACATAGTGTTATTTCCATTGTATTCTACTGGTCAAAGCAGTTACAACCACTCCCAGATTCAAGAGGATGTGACATAGAATTCACATATCCATGGGATATATGTCAAGTTATTTGTAGGTGTTATATTGTTATATTAAAGTGTATATTCTCTTCACCCTACCCCAGGATCTAGTTGATATGCAGTCTTGGGGCCTTATTATATGAGCTCCAAGTGAAGAAACATCTTCCATTTTTTTTTTTATCAGAAACAAGAACCCTATGATACAAAAACATTAAATTTTTCCTTGGGTGTAACAGCTTGCAAGTTCACCCTTTTTATACCCATTTATTTCAAAGAAGTTACATCTACTGCCTTCTGCTATTTATGGCAGGGCTTAGAAACTGAGAATCCATTTCCTGAGACCATTAGTTTGAGAGACTTTGGCTTCTCTAGGAAAATATACCAGCCAGTCCTTCAGAGAATATCTGAAAAGTCAACTAGGAGCTTCCTGAACTAGTTGAGCAATTCCCCTGCTTGTAAATGTCCAATTTAAATAGAGTTTAATCAAGGACAGCAGACCCTGATAAAAGACCATTTCCAGGTGTGCAGATGGTGTGCTGCCAAAGGCAATCAAGGGAATTAGTCATGAGAATGATGAGCAGACTTAGACGGGATCTGAGGTTGTGTGCACTGATGGACAAATTGTTGTTCAATGCAAATGAGGAAAAATAGGCTGCTTCTCTGGAATAGGGCAAGGGCTTCCTAAAATGGGAGCTGAGAAATTTCCATGTGGTAGCAATTGGTTAAGAACCAATAGGGTTTGTAGTTAAATTTTCCCCTTTCAGCTCCAACAATGTTGGGCCTCTACCTGTTTTTATTTGCAGCCCCAATATGAAAGATACTTTTTTTGATACAATAATTATTATACAACTTGGATTTGATGAGAAGACTATATGCAGTAAGTAATGCAATTAACCTAGACACAAGCCAGTGACCAATTTCCAGGTCTGTTGAAAAATTAGTATAAAAGATTGTTCTTCAGCAAGTCATACTACATTAAAACAAAAGCATTAACAATAAAAATCTGTATAGTGAAAAATGTAGTAAGCTCTAGTTGATATGACTTATTTCAATAAATAATGTATACAATTAAATGCTAATATAAAAATGTTTTAGCTGTCTTTTGAAAAATTTTTTCTTTATTTGTCAAATACTTATTGAATTCTTATGTGTGAGGCCCTGTTATAGAATTCAGGAATATAACTTTGTGTGGATCAGAAAAAATTTCCCCTTTCAGAGGTACATTGTAATGAGACATAGTAAACAAATAAACACATGCTATATTAGTTAGTAATAACTACTATGGAGGAAAATGAAGCAGAATAATAAAAGAAGGATCGTTTGGAAGTATGTGAGTGCGTGTGTGTGGGAAGTTTTAGATACACTTGTCTCCTAAAAATTTTCTAATAAAGTGACATTGGATTAGACCTAATTCTGAAAGAAGAAAGGAAAAGAGATTTAAAGATATGCAGAATGCTCCAGGCTAAGGAATTAGCAGGTATGTATTCCCTAAAATAGAAACATGTTCAGTGCGTTCAAGCAACAGCTGGAGTACAGAATAAGGGTGTTTGTTGTATTCTCTGTCAGACAGGGGGCCATTCATTCCGTGGTTGTCATGTGATTTTCACAGAAATTCTAAGCAATAGCAGTCTTATAGCAGTAACACTCTTTAAAGATTAAACATATACTTTATGTAGGTTGTAATTATTTCCTGATAATTGATTTATCAATATTCATCTAGCATATAGCACTATGCTGAGTTTTAAGATTTTGTCTCTGTTCATAAAGAACTCACAATATAATTCCGAAGATAACTTTTTTGGTTTGCTCCTTATTTCTTCAAACCACTTTCCCATTTCTTTTCTAAAATGATTCACTTGGAGTACGTGTGTGTGTGTGTGTGTGTGTGTGTGTGTGTGTGTTTAAATGCCTGAAGGCTTTTCTTCTTTCTGTATCTTTATACACCTCTTGATGCTCCCCCAATTCTCCATGGCTTGCAAAGACTTGAGGATCTGCCTTAGTTTCATCTGAATAGGAAAGTCCCCAGTGGGTTTTATCAAGTACAATCTCCCCTGATTTCCCCTCACTCCTTCTGTCCTTCCAACACACAATTAAAATTAGGGGCTAGGGAAGAGGACTTCTTTTTTCTAGCTACTCGTTTTACTTCTTTCAGATTTTTCTTCTGCCTCAGACCTGATCAAACTCTGGAAGTCAGTTATCAGTTAGCATAATCTTTCATACAGTCTTTTTCCAATCCTTTATTTATATACTAAACTTTATACCTGCCTTCCTTTAGATTTATATTTGACACCCCAAATCGAAGTTTTGGAACACAAGTCCTATTCTTTCTCTAAAAATGTAGCTTTTAAGATTAAAAATCTTTGGCTTCCTAAATATTATTTCTTCCATAAATTTTATAAAGTCTACTTAGAAACTCAAAAGCTAACAAATTGGTTTCTGCTCTCAAGTTTTGGCTATACAGGCCCTTTGCTGAGAAAAAAAGCTTGGAATGCCTTGACTTCAAAGGCAGATTTTAACTGGGAATGAAGAACTTGTCTGTTAGCATACTTAAATCTTATTTCAGCATAAAGCAAATAAATAGTTGAGTTACATACATGGTATGGTTATGTGGTTAATGAGAACCATTTTCATAAGTGACAAACAGAATACCTCCATTTAGCAAACATTTCCCTCCAAACTGCCATCTCTGGCACTTCTGGATCCAAAGTTGGGACCATTAAAAAAATTCATTAACTTAGGCAACAAATGCATATTGGATTTCTTCTCTGTGTATATTACTAAAAGGGAAAAATAAAAATGACTATGAAGAACTTCTACTGTAATATGAGAAATAAGGCATATATACCAATGCCCGTGATGTTCCTGACCACTGAAATAGTTTTGGCCCAAGAGAGATGATTGGATTAGGCAATTAGGATGGCTTGTCTTTGGTGCCCTGTCATTGCCAAACAGTTATCTCTTTTGAAATTTAGCTTATTTGACCTTTAATTTTTGTATTTATTTTGCCTCTTTGTTTTCAAATATCTAGTTGATACCAATATATGAATCTACATTTTCAGCCCTGATCTGTCACCTGAGTGACAGACGTATATAATCTTCTCTGGTTGGATGTCTTACAGGTGCCTCAAATGCAAAATTGAACTACTTCTCCCCACACCCACACCCCCAACCTTACACCTTTTCTTTCCACATATATCACTGAAGTCTGTCAATTTTATTGCCTGAATAGCTTTCATAATTTTATTCTCATATCTATTCACTGCTACTTCCTTAGACCAGCTCTGTAATTATCTTCCTTGAACTATGTAAATGGACTCTTGCAAATGTCTCTTAACTTGTTTCCCACTAAAAGTCATCCTCACTTGACTTTTTATAGGATTTTCCTAGCTGATGCAATCTTCCCTAAAATTTTTCAGTGCCTTCCCCATTACTTTTAGGATTAAAAATAAAACATCTTAAGCTAATATAAAAGGCCCTTATTATCACACAAATGGTTTTCAAAAATAATATATTTAGAACTTGTTGAGGTACAAATTCTAGAATCTAATTCTCAGAGATTCTGGTTTGTTGGTTCTGGGGTAAGGCCCAATAATTTTTATTTTTAACAAGGATGCAAGAGTATCCTGATGGAGTCTTTAGAGCATCCTTAGGAAAGCACTGCCTAAGATTGTAAGCTCTGTGGAGGAAGGGGCCATCTTCTTTTCTGGTTTTCTCTCAGAATCTAGCACAGTGCCTAATCCGCAGTAGGCTCTTAATTCATGTCTACTGAATGAATGAATTAATCTGCACCTGTATTCCTTTTAAGACTCAGTTACAACTCTCTATCAGCTGTAATGGCTGAGGAAAACAAAACATGCAAGTCTGTTTCCCTTCACACACGTTTGCATATTGCACATGCTCCTAGGGTGCTTCATGCTTAAAAACAGAACACCGTCAAGAACTCTACCTAGGTTTTCTGATTCATTTGAACACAGCATAAAATTCAGGTCCCATGATAAAAGTCAAAGATTGTGTTTGCAATTAAACTCCTAGAAAGCAAAAGAATCAATGAGACCATATCTTAAAAGACATTAATGTATGTGTTTTTATATGTTTCTGTTATATGTCTTGATATTTTTGTAAAATTTTCTGTTTTATCTCTTTAAAACAAGGGTATATGTAATTTGTATACAAAGACATGTCTTTTGGATTAAAAATATAGGTTTCCAAGATTATAAATCTGTGTGGCAAACTCTACCAGAGATCCAAATTTAGAAATCTGGAAAAAGTCTATAGTCTGTAGCTTATATACAAACATATCACCTTGATTTCTCACCCCTTAACATGGCATTGCAAGTCCCTCCATGATCTGATACCTGTATTCTTTTATAGCCTTATATAATCAGGTCCCTCATTTGCTTAAAACCCTTAAATGGTTTCCACTGCTCTTAGGACAAAACCAAAGACTTAAAAAAACTGCCTGTAAAGACCTGAATAACCCCACTCCTCTCTTTGTACTTCTCTCCTTTTCTACTCTTCTCCTCTCCTTTTCTAGTCTTCAGTTATTTCAATATGCTATATTCTGTCTAACCCCAAGGCTGTTTAAAACACCACCTTCACCTTCGTACTACTTTAACCTGAAGTCCCATCTATTTTAAGATCTCAGCTCAAATTTTACTTTTTTTTTTTTTTAAGAAATGCTTAGAATGATTTCCCTTCCTTTCTTTATTAAAGGTCAGTTCTCTTTATATTGATTCTTGCGGCTCTATGTCTAAAAAGTTTATACCATTTGTTTTGATTATTTGATTGATATCTCTGTCCCTCACTGAACTGTAAGCTCCATAAGGATAGTGGTGGTCTGATTCACTCACAATAAAACCTTCAGTACCTAGCAGAGTACTTAGCATGTAATAAATCTTCAGTTGATGTTACTGACTTCAGCAGAATAAATAAAAATAATTGCTTGTAACATGCACCCTCCCCAAACTTTAAGCCACGTGGTTTAACAACCCTCTGGTTTTGCACAAATTTCTTGTTTACTGAAACACAGTTACATAAAATTTAAGATTCAGTTTAAGAATCAAATGAGCTTCTAGTGATTCTCTTACAACCTCCTAACCCATTTTAAAAAATATTCTATCACCAAGAACTGGTCAATTCTACTGTAATAACAAATCTTACCTCCACCCAACATCATTGCTTTGGCTCTAAGTCCAAATCATTACGATATTAGCAACAGGAAGTAGAAGTCTTCTTTCTAGTCTTAACCATGCCTGTCCCTCCACCACTACCCATTTTTTACATGATGGTCAAAGTGAGTTTTTAAAGAGTGTACCACATCACTTATGATTCAATTGCTTCGCATTTCACGGATTATATCTAAGCTCTGTAACATAGTCTTAAAGCATTTGGCCCCATTCTGTGAGCCAAATAGAGAGATGTTGCGATCATTTGGAGAGAAGAGGGACTCTGGCCTTTGGGTTTTCAGCATTTTTTTGTTGATTCTTTCTCATCTTAGTGAGTTTGTCTAGTTTCAGTCTTTGAGGCTGCTGACACTGGATGGGGTTTTTGTGGGGGCCTTTTTTTTTCTTATTGTTGATGCTGTTGTTGTCACTTTGTGCATGTTTGGTTTTCTTTCAATAGTCAGGTCCTTCTTCTGTAGGACTGTTACAGTTTGCTGTTTCACTTCAGGCCCTATTCATCTGATTCGCTCCCATGCCTGGAGATGTCACTCAAGGAGGCTGGAGAGCAGCAAAGATGGATGCCTGCTCCTTCTTCTGTGACATCTGACCTCAAGGGCCACCAACCTGATGCCATAGGATTGCTCCTGTATAGGGTGTGTGACTACCCATGTTGGAGGGTCTTACCCAGTTGGGTGGCATGAGGAACAGTACCCATTTAATGAAGCACTTTGTCCTTTGGTGGAGAGGGTGTGTTTTGCTGGGGGAAACCCACTCATCTGGGCTCAACAAGTACTGCTGTGCTCTAAACTCATAGACATTCTTTTAGTTCTCTGAAAGAGCGGTGCTCACTCTTGTCTCAGATAATCCACACATTGTTTTCTACTCTCTATCTGACCAATTCCAACTCATGTTTCAGATCTCAGTTCAGATGTCATTTTCTCAGAGAATTTTCCGTGACAGCTTCTATCTAAATTAAGTCTTTTTTGTTATTCTTTTCCATAGTACTCCTTTACATTTCTTTGTGGCACTTATCAAGCTTTAGTGTTGTGAGGGCGTGCATGTGTGTATCTGTGTGTCTGTGTTTATTTGCTCAACTCTACTCTTTACTTCACTACTTACCTCTTAGTCCATAGGCTCCATGAAGGCAGGAATCATTTCTGTCTTGTTCAGCATTATAGTGCAAGATGTCAGTATGATCTTTTGCTCATAGTAGGCACCTAATAAATGTTTTTTTGGATGAATAAATAAACAGCCATTTTCTTCTTTGTATCAGTTATCAAGCTTATGACACTTTATTACACATATTTGTTTTATATAATGTGATTCTCCCTAGACGATAGTAATTTCTTTCTCAAGGTAATTATGGGTTTTTTAGAATTTATCTTTGCTTTTTTTAAGCACATAATAAAGTACCAGAAACATAGTAGATGTCTGATGATTATTCATTGAATAAATACATGAATATAATATTAATGTGAATTGTAAGCAGTTCAATATGATTGGAGAATATGGTTGGCAAAGGTTAGGTACAATAGGAAGAAAATCAGACTGACTACTTGGAAATTGACCATTATAAACCTGTATTTTATACAGTGAATAATTAAAAGGAAAGAAATTCAGAGCAAATGAATTTGGCCATATTGAGTAATGGCACATGATGTTAAAACGTTTTCCAGCTTTGGGTGTGCCATTTGCATTGGAGATCATTCTTACACATATCCCACAAATAGACAGAAAGCCATGGCCCTTCACCCTCAACATATTTGTATTAAAGCTACAGCCACCTTGGAGAAGAAAGTTTCAGGATGTTTACCTGCTTTCCACTAAAAACAGCTGGTAGAAAACAGGTCACATGCCATCTCTTGAGAAGCAGTAGCTATAGATGGGGTTGGCTTATATGAGGTAGACAATTTCAAACAACTTTCTATTCAGAAAACTCTATCATAAATTACCTTGACTTATGCCCTCTGACATTTAATATTATGTGGATCCAACTCCATGGGCTGGTATAAATCTGTTGGAAGGATCAATCTTAAGTTGGGGAACAATATTAAGTTGAGGGAAGCCTAAGGCCAAGTCAGACTTGGTGAGCAAAAATGTGAAATGGGAGCCAAATGTATATCTGAGGTCAGTGCTTATTGCTATACCTCATAGAAGGGAAGAGAGAAAGAAAGTAGACTACTTAACTATGATGTCAAGCTAGAACAACCAAGAGCTAGGCTACATCATGACAAACTAGACAAAATAAGTAGAGACAATTGATTCAGTGCTATTAAGTGGTGTTCTACTTTAACGTAGTTCCTAAAGTGTGGGATAGAGAAAGACAGGCAAGCAAAGTACCCTTAAAAATTATGTCAGAATTGTATTGAAATGAAGTATATATACATAACATATACTTTTTTCTCTTGTGTATAGAATCTCTCCTAATGTTAATGCATAGTAGGATATTGGATATTATGTGTGTATTGAGAGCAATACCACTAAGATGGCAGAGTAGGAGATAACACCCCTCATCTCTCCACAAAAATTTAAGTATAGAAAGCCACTCACAAGCCAAAATAGCCCAGATAGGGATTAACAGCCCATTAAAGACTCTATAGCAATATAGTAGAGCAAGAAAACCAGACAACATCTGTGTAGAAAGGATTGCTAGTGAGACTGATATACCTGAGATGCCAGGAGATAGCTAGGAGCAAGGAAAAAAGGCAGAGGCTATTGGTATGAGCCAGATGTTGGAAATAACTGTGGACCCCAGTAGTCTGCTCTTCAGAGAACAACAGCATCTCTTGCCACTGAGGTAACCAATGACCATTGGTTGTTGGTTTCTCTGAGGAAACCCACAGAGAAAGACTCGGCTGCACACCCAGCCCCACCTGCAAGAAGTGGCCAATGTCGAGTAGCTTTGGGAAGGAAGCAGCCATGTCTCCCAACCTCTCACATGCCCTGACCCTATATCTGCAACCACTCCATGAGTACCTACACTCAGACCCAGGCTCTGTGTCTGTGTCGGGCCTACCTTGTTGCAGACATTGGAACTATCACCATGGAAAACTAGTTTGTACTTTGGGCCCCAAGCCAAGCCCTCATTATGGATACTCAGGTTTTAGGCACTGGCATAGTTACCGTAGAAATCTAGACTCCACCCCAATCCAGCAGCTGCTGTAAATTTGTGCACACCTGTGTTCCCATCAGTGGCTCCCCAGCCACTTTGCAAGCATCCATGCCTCACATTCTGTTGTTAATGTGGAAGCAAGAGAGTCTGCATCTTGGGCAGCAGTGTCATTATTGCCCCAGATTCCAGAGCCATAGTCCCTTCATGCATGCTTATGCTTCAGGTGTTAGCTCCATAGCTACTCCACAGGTGCTACTCATCAGACATTGGTGTGATCAACACTGCAAGTGAACCTAAAAGGCAGATCCAATGCTAAGAGGGATTCTCTTAGCCACAACATTCCTCTTGGGAGACAAAGAGATGAGGGGGACCTTAGTAGCCATCACCACCAAAGACCCCCAACAACCCTCAGGACCATTATGGACATCTACAGCTTTGGCTGTTGAGGACCTCTGCATTATTTGTTAACACTGTTCTCAACTGACTGAACTGCATGCAGACTCTATAGCTAGCACCCTCACTGATGCTGGAACTGCTGGACCACACACAGGAAGAACCCTCACACTCCTCCTCCTCGTAGGAAAAGATATTTCTACAATGAAACTAACCCATAAAGTCTGCAAGAGGTGACTGTTCCATCAAATATGCAGACATCAATATAATACAATAAGAAGTATATAAAAAACAATGGGATATACCACCAAAAGAACATAGTAATCTTCTGGTAGCTGATCCTAAAGAAAATGAGATATATAAATGATCTGATAAAGAATTTAAAATATTTGTTTTAGGAAATCTTATTGAGCTTTAATAAAAAACAGAGAAACAATTCAATGAAATCAGGAAAATGAACACCCAATAGTAGAAACCTGACAAGAAAAGTTGAAATTATTTAAGAAATCAAACAAATTTTGGAGCTGAAGTATACAATAAATGTAAAATGCAATACAGAGCATGGACAGCAGAATTTTTCAAGCAGAAGAAAGAATCTATGAAGACAGTTTATATAAAAATATGCAATCGGAGAAAAAGAAAAAAATGAAAATGAATAAAGATTTCAGGATTTATGGGACAGCATCAAAAGAGCAAACATTCAATTTATAGGAGTTAAAAAGAGGAGGGGAGAGACCAATGGCAGAAAGCTTAAAGAGATAACATCAATATACTTTCCAAATATGAGGAAAGATATAAAATATCCTGGCACAGGAAAGTCAAGTCTCCAGATAAAATCCAAATAAGATGACACCAAAACATTATATTCAAACTGTCAAAAATAAAAAACATAAAGAAGATTTTGAAAGCAGCAAGAGAAAGAAGCAAATGACAGGTAAGAGAGTTTCAATAAGGCTAGCAGCAGATTTATCAGCAGAAATTCTACAGTCCAGGAAATAAAAGGATGATAGAGTCGTCACTCAGCATCCATGTGGGGTTGGTTCAAGGCCCTCCCATGGATACCAAAATCCATAGATGCTCAAGTACCAATATAAACTGGCATAGTATTTGCATATAACCTATGCATATACTACCGTATACTTTAAATAATCTCTGGATTATTTATAGTAACTAATACAGTGTAAATACTGTCTAAATAGATATTACACTGTACTGTTTAGTAACAATGACAAGAAAAACATTTGTAGGTTTTCAGTACAGATGCAGTTTTGCAGGGGAATGTTTTTGATCTGTGGTTGGTTGAATGCACAGATGGGGAACTCACAAATATGGAGGGCTGACTGTATGTTCAAAGTTCTGAAGGAAAAAAAAATTCCTACCAATCAAGAACACTATACTGAGCAAAGCTATTTTTCAGATTTGAAGGAGAGTTAAAGACTGTTCCAGACATGCACAATCTGATAGACTTCTTCACTACTAGACCTCTCTTATGAGAAATGCTAAACGGAGTTCTTCAAGCTAAAATTAAAATGTGAATTTTTAACATGAAAACATATGAAAGTATTAAACTACCTGAAAAAGAAAGTACACAGTCAAATTTAAAATACTCTAAAACTGTAAAGGTGTGTGTAAATAATTTATATCTCCAGTATAGTATTAAGATTAAAAGATAAAACTATTAAAAATCATAACTACCATAATTTGTTAAAGGATATACAATATAAAAATATATGAGTTGTGAATCAAGAACTTAAAATGGGGAGTGGGGTGGAGTAAAATGTAGAGTTGTTTTATGTGATCAAAGTTAAGTTGTCATCAGATTAAAATAGCCTATTATAACTATAAATTCTTTTAGGTAATCCTCATAGTATCCACAAAGCATAAACCTGTAATAAGTACACAAAACATAAGAAGTAAGAAATCAAAGCATATCACTGGACAAAATCATCTATTCTGAAAGGAAGATAGCCAGAGAAGAAAAAAGGAATGAAGGATCTACAAAGCAACCAGAAAACAATTAACAAAATGGCAACAGTAAATCCTTAGCTACCAATATTTACTTGGCATATAAATGGATTGTATTCTCCATCAGAAAACATATAGTAATTGAAAGGATAATGAAACAAGGCTCAACTATATGCTTTCTACAAGAGACTCAATTCAGCTTTGAGGACACATAGATTGAAAGTGAAAAGATGGAAAAAAGCTATTGTATGCTAATGGAAAACAGAAAAGAACAGAATACACTATATTGATATCAGATAAAATAGACTAAGTCAAAAACTGTATAACAAAAGCAGGAAAGTCATTATATAACAATGAAGGGATTAATTTATCAAAAGATACAACAACTGTAAACATATATGTACCCAACATCAGAATACCTGAATATATGAAGCAAATAATAATATATCTGAAGAAAGAGATAGACAATAATACAATAGTAGTAGAGGAACTCAGTAACACACTTTTAACAATATACAGATCATCCAGAATGGAAATAAATAAGGAAACATTGAAGGTGAACTACACGTTAGACCAAGTTGACCTAACAGACATATTATAGAATATTCCATCCAACAGCAGCAGAACACATATACTTTTCAAGTGCTCATGAAAATTTCTCCAGAATAGATTATATGTTACACCACAAAACAAGTCTTAACAAATTTAAGAAGATTGAAATTGTATCAATTATCTTCTCCAACCATAATTTTGTGAAAATACAAATAGGAATTTCATAATACTCACAAATATGTAAAAACATGTAAAAATAAAGCAATAAGCCCCTAAATGATCAATGAATCAGAGAAAAAATTAGAAGAGAAATTAAAAAATATTTTGAGACAAATCAATATGGGAATACAACATACCAAAACTTTTTAGGATACAGCAAAATCAGTTATAAAAGATATGTTTATAGCAATGCCTACATCAAAAAAGAAAGATTTCAAACAATCAAAAATTACACCTCAAGGAAATAGAGAAAGAAAACTAAGCTCAAAGTTAGTAGAAGGAAGGAAGTAATAAAAATCAGAACATAAATAAATTAAGTAGAAAATGGAAAAACAATAGAAAAGATAAATGAAACTAAGAGTTGGTTTTCTGTAAAGATAAAATCAACGAAGCTTTAGCTAGATTAAGTAAAAAAGAGAAGACTCAGAAAAGAAGGAGGAAACATTAAAACTGATAACAGAAATACAAAGTATCCCAAGACAATACTATGAACAATTGTACACAAACACACTGAATAACCTAGAAGAAATGGATGAATTCCTTGAATGTACAGCCTACCCAAACTGAATAAGTAAACAACATGAACAGAAAAATAATGAGTAAGGAGATTGAATCAGTAATAAAAAGTCTCCCAACCATGAAAAGCCCAAGACCTTATAGCTTCACTGTGAAATTCTGCCAAATATTCAAATAATTAATACCAATTTTTCTCAAACTCTTCCAAAAAACTGAAGAGGAAGAAAAATGATGAAACTCATTTACCAAGGCCAGCATTACCCTAATACCAAAGCCCGATAAGGACACTATAAGAAATTACAAGCTCATATATCTGATGAATGTAGGTGCAAAAATTCTCAACAGAATACTAGTAAACCAAATTTAATAGCACATTAAAAAGATTATTCGTCATGATTAAGAGGGACTTATCACTGGGATGCATGGATGGTTCAACATATCTAAATCAATAAGTGTGATGCACCACACTAATGAAATGAAGAACAGAAAACATATCATTATCTCAACAGATGCTGAAAGGGGATATGACAAAATTTAACATCCTTTCATTATAAAAACTCTCAACGAACTAGGTAGAGAAGAAGCATGTCTCAAAGGCTATGTATGACAGCCCGTAGCTAACATCATACTGAACGGTGAAAATTTAACAGGTTTTCACCTAAGATTAGAAACAGAGCAAAGATGCCAACTCCCATCAATTCTGTTCCACATAGTACTAGATGTCCTAGAAAGAGCAGTTAGGCAAGGGAATGAAATAAGGCATCCAAATTGTAAAGGAAGAAGTGCAGTTGTCACTGTTTGCAGACAACATGATCTTATTTATAGAAAATCCTAAAAACTCCACTGGAAATCTGTCAGAACCATAAACAAATTTAGTAATATTGCAGGATACAAAATCAACACACAAAAATCAGTAGTGATTCTATATACTAACAATAAACTACATAATTTTTTAAAATCTCATTTACAATAGCTGTATAAATATAAAATATTAGGAATGAGTTTAACCAAGGAGAAGAAAAATTTATTCACTGAAAATTATAAAACATTGATGACAGAGATTGAAGAAAATGCAAATCTCATGTTAGTGGATTGGGAGAGTTAATGTTTAAATTTTCATATTACCCAATGTGATCTACAGATTTAATATAATCCCTACCAAAATTTCAATAATATTTTTTCACAGAAATATAAAGAAATTCTAAATTTTGCATAAAACAACAAAAGATCCAAAATGGCCAAAGCTCTTTGAGAAATCTCCAAACTGCTTTCCACAGTGACTGAACTAATTTACATTTCCACCAACAATATATAAACATTCCCTTTTTTTCCACAGCCTTGCCAACATCTGTTATTTTTGACTTTTTAATACTAGCCCTACTGATTGGTTTGAGGCATTATCTAATTGGGGTTTTGATGTGCATTTCTCTAATGATTAGTGATTTGGAGTATTTTTTGTTAGTTTGTTGGCCACTTGTATGTCTTCCTTTGAGAATTGTCTGTTCATGTCTATT
Source organism: Homo sapiens (assembly GCF_000001405.40). Lineage (NCBI taxonomy): Eukaryota > Metazoa > Chordata > Mammalia > Primates > Hominidae > Homo > Homo sapiens. The sequence continues at coordinate 10,509,633 of NC_000007.14, read as the reverse complement.
GCCCAATTTTTAATGGGTTATTTTATTTTATGTTTGTTGAATTGTTTAAGTTCCTTAAAGATTCTGGATATTAGACCTTTGTATTGCATTATTTGTGAATATTTTCTCCCATTCTGTAGATTGTTTATTTACTTTGTTATTTACTATCAAGTTTCTTTTGCTGTGCGGAAGCACTTTAGTTTAATTATTTCCCACTTGTGATTTTTTGTTTCTTTGCAATTTTTAGGACTTAGTCAGAAATTCTTTCTGAAAGCTATGTTCACAATTATATTTCCTAGGTTTTATCCTAAGATTTTTATAGTTTGATGTCTTACATTTAAATCTTTAATCTATCTTGAGTTAATTTTTGCATATGGTAAAATGTAAGTGTCCAGTTTCATTCTGGCTAGTCAGTTATCCCAGCACCATTTTTTTTCCTTCAACTTTTATTTTAAGTTCCAGGGTACACGTGCAGAGTGTGCAGGTTTGTTACATAGATAAATGTATGCTATAGTGGTTTGCCGCACAGATCAACCTATCACCTAGGTATTAAGCCCAGCATGCATTAGCTATTTTTCCTGAGGCTCTCCTTCCCTGAGTACCCCTGAGAAGTCCCAGTGTGTGTTGTCCCCCATTCTCTGTGTTCATGTGTTCTCATTGTTCAGCTGCCACTTATAAGTGAGAACACGTAGTGTTTGGTTTTGTTTCTGTGTTTGCTGAGGATAATGGCTTCCAGCTCCATCTGTGTCCCTGCAAAGGACATGATCGCGTTCCTTTTTATGGCTGCATAGAATTCCATGGTGTATATGTACCACATTTTCTTTATCCAGTATACCATTGATAGGCATTTGGATTAATCCATGCCTTTGCTATTGTGAATAGTACTGCAATGAACATATGTGTGCATGTATCTTTATAATAGAATGATTTATATTTCTTTTGGTATATACCCAGTAATAAGATTGCTGGGTCAAATGTTATTTCTGCTTCTAGATCTTTGAGGAATCACCACACTGTCTTCCACAATGGTTGAATTAATGTACATTCTCACCAACAGTGTAAAACCGTTCCTAATTAATTTATATTCCCACCAACAGTGTAAAACCGTTCCTTTTTTTCCACAACCCCCAGCATCTGTTATTTCTTGATTTTGTAATAATCGCCATTCTGACTGGTGTGAGATGGTATCTCATTGTGGTTTTGATTTGCATTTCTCTGATAATCAGTGATGTTAAGCATTTTTTCATGTCTGTTGGCCACATAAATATCTTCTTTTGAGAAGTGACTGTTCATGTTCTTTGCTCGACCTTTTAATGGGGTTGGTTTTTTTTTTTTTTTTTTTTTTGTAAATTTGTTTGAGTTCCTTGTAGACTTTGGATATTAGACCTTTGTCAGATGGATAGATTGCAAAAATATTCTTCCATTCTGTAGGTTGTCTGTTCACTCTGATGATAGTTTGTTTTGCTGTGTAGAAGCTCTATGGTTTAATCAGATCCAATTTGTCAATTTTTGCTTTTGTTGTAACTGCAAAAATTGACAAATTGGATTTCATGATGAAATCTTTGCCTGTGCCTGTGTCCTAAATGGTAATGCCTAGATTTTCTACTAGGGTTTTTATAGTTTTGGGTTTTACATATAAGTCTGTAATCCATCTTGAGTTAATTTTTGTATAAGGTTTAAGGAAGGGGTCCAGTTTCAATTTTCTGCATATGGCTAGCCAGTTTTCCTAGCACCATTTATTAAATAGGGAATTCTTTCCCCATTGTTTGTTTTTGTCGGGTTTGACAAAGATCAGGTGGTTGTAGGAGTGTGGTCTTATTTGTGAGTTCTCTATTTTGTTCCATTGGTCTATGTGTCTCTTTCTGTACCTGTACCATGGTGTTTTGGTTACTATAGCCTTGCAGTATAGTTTGAAGTCAGGTAGTGTGATGACTCTGGCTTTTTTTTTTTTTTTTTTGCTTAGGATTGTCTTAGCTCCTTTTTGGTTTTATGTCAGTTTAGAAATTGTTTTTTTTTAAAATTCTGTGAAGAATGTCAATGTTTGTTTAATGGGAATAGCATTGAACCTGTAAATTACTTTGGGCAGTATGGCCATTTTCATGATATTGATTCTTCCCATCCGTGAGCATGGAATGTTATTTCATTTGTTTGTGTCTTCTCTTATTTCCTTGAACAGTGGTTTGTAGTTCTAATTGAAGAAGTCATTCACTTCCCTTATAGGCTGTATTCCTAGGTATTTTATTCTCTGTGCAGCAATTGTGAATGGGAGTTCATTCATTATTTGGCTTTTTGCTTGTCTGTTGTTGATGTATAGGAATGCTTGTGATTTTTGCACATTGATTTTGTATCCTGAGACTTTACTGAAGTTTCTTATCAGCTTAAGAAGCTTTAGAACTGAGACAATAGGATTTTCTAGATATACGATGATGTCATCTGCATAGATAACTTGACTTTTTCCTCTTTCTATTTGGATATGTTTTTTTTTTTAACATTGAGATAACTTTTATTTTTTATTTTTTATTTTTTTTACCTTTTTTCATTTTATTATTATTATTATTATTTTTCATTATACTTTAAGTTCTAGGGTACATGTGCACAACTTGCAGGTTTGTCACATACGTATACATGTGCCATGTTGGTGTGCTGCACCCATTAACTCGTCATTTACATTAGGTATATCTCCTAATGCTCTCCCTCCCCCCTCCCCCCACCCCACAGCAGGCCCCAGTGTGTGATGTCCCCCTTCCTGTGTCCATGTGTTCTCATTGTTCAATTCCCACCTAGGAATGAGAACATGAGATGTTTAGTTTTTTGCCCTTGCGATGGTTTACTGAGAATGATGGTTTCCAGCTTCATCCATGTCCCTACAAAGGACATGAACTCATCATTTTTTATGGCTAGATAGTATTCCATGGTGTATATCTGCCATTTTCTTAATCCGGTCTATACATTGTTGGACATTTATGTTGGTTCCAAGTCTTTGCTATTGTGAATAGTGCCGCAGTAAACGTAAGTGTGCATGTGTCTTCATAGCAGCATGATTTATAATCCTTTGGGTATATACCCAGTAATGGGATGGCTGGGTCAAATGGTATTTCTAGTTCTAGATCCCTGAGGAATCGGCACACTGTCTTCCACAATGGTTGAACCAGTTTACAGTCCCACCAACAGTGTAAAAGTGTTCCTATTTCTCCACATCCTCTCCAGCACCTGTTGTTTCCTGACTTTTTAATGATCGCCATTCTAACTGGTGTGAGATGCTATCTCATTGTGGTTTCGATTTGCATTTCTCTGATGGCCAGTCATGATGAGCATTTTTTCATGTGTCTATTGGCTGCATAAATGTCTTCTTTTGAGAAGTGTCTGTTCATATCCTTTGCCTGCTTGTTGATGGGGTTGTTTGTTTTTTTCTTGTAAATTTGTTTGAGTTCTTTGTAGATTCTGGGTATTAGCCCTTTGTCAGATGAGTAGATTGCAAAAATTTTCTCCCATTTTGTAGGTTGCCTGTTCACTCTGATGGTAGTTTCTTTTGCTGTGCAGAAGCTCTTTAGTTTAATTAGATCCCATTTGTCAATTTTGACTTCTGTTGCCATTGCTTTTGGTGTTTTAGACATGAAGTCCTTGCCCATACCTATGCCCTGAATGGTATTGCTTAGGTTTTCTTCTAGGGTTTTTATGGTTTTAGGTCTAACGTTTAAGTCTTTAATCCATCTTGAATTAATTTTTGTATAAGGTGTAAGGAAGGGATCCAGTTTCAGCTTTCTACATATGGCTAGCCAGCTTTCCCAGCACCATTTGTTAAATAGGGAATCCTTTCCCCATTTCTTGTTTTTGTCAGGTTTGTCAAAGATCAGATAGTTGTAGACGTGTGGCATTATTTCTGAGGGCTCTGTTCTGTTCCATTGGTCTATATATTTGTTTTGGTACCAGTATCATGCTGTTTTGGTTACTGTAGCCTTGTAGTATAGTTTGAAGTTAGGAAGTGTGATGCCTCCAGCTTTGTTCTTTTGGCTTAGGATTGACTTGGCAATGCGGGCTCTTTTTTGGTTCCATATGAACTTTAAAGTAGTTTTTTCCAATTCTGTGAAGAAAGTCATTGGTAGCTTCATGGGGATGGTATTGAATCTATAAATTACCTTGGGCAGTATGGCCATTTTCACGATATTTATTCTTCATATCCATGAGCATGGAGTGTTCTTCAATTTGTTTGTGTCCTCTTTTATTTTATTGAGCAATGATTTGTAGTTCTCCTTGAAGAGATCCTTTACATCCCTTGTATGTTGGATTCCTAGGTATTTTATTCTCTTTGAAGCAATTGTGAATGGGAGTTCACACATGATTTGGATCTCTGTTTGTCTGTTATTGGTGTATAAGAATGCTTGTGATTTTTGCACATTGATTTTGTATCCTGAGACTTTGCTGAAGTTGCTTATCAGCTTAAGGAGATTTGGGGCTGAGATGATGAGGTTTTCTAAATATACAATCATGTCATCTGCAAACAGGGACAATTTGACTTCCTCTTTTCCTAATTGAATACCCTTTATTTCTTTCTCCTGCCTGATTGCCCTGGCCAGAACTTCCAGCACTATGTTGAATAGGAGTGGTGAGAGAGGGCATCCCTGTCTTGTGCCAGTTTCAAAGGGAATGCTTCCAGTTTTTGCCCATTCAGTATGATATTTGCTGTGGGTTTGTCATGGATAGCTGTTATTATTTTGAGATACGTCCCATCAATACCTAATTTATTGAGAATTTTTAGCATGAAGGGCTGTTGAATTTTGTCAAAGGGCTTTTCTGCATCTATTGAGATAATCATGTGGTTTTTGTCGTTGGTTCTGTTTATATGCTGGTTTACATTTATTGATTTGCGTATGTTGAACTGGCCTTGCATCCCAGGGATGAAGCCCACTTGATCATGGTGGAGAAGCTTTTTGATGTGCTGCTGGATTCGGTTTGCCAGTATTTTATTGAGGATTTTTGCATAAATGTTCATCACGGATATTGGTCTAAAATTCTCTTTTTTGGTTGTTTCTCTGCCAGGCTTTGGTATCATGATGATGCTGGCCTCATAAAATGAGTTAGGGAGGATTCCCTCTTTTTCTATTGATTGGAATAGTTTCAGAAGGAATGGTACCAGCTCCTCCTTGTACCTCTGGTAGAATTCGGCTGTGAATCCATCTGGTCTTGGCCTTTTTTTGGTTGGTAAGCTGTTAATTATTGCCTCAATTTCAGAGCCTGTTATTGGTCTATTCAGAGATTCAACTTCTTCCTGGTTTAGTCTTGGGAGAGTGTATGTGTTGAGGAATTTATCCATTTCTTCTAGATTTTCTAGTTTATTTGCATAGAGGTGTTTATAGTATTCTCTGATGGTAGTTTGTATTTCTGTGGGATCGGTGGTGATATCCCCTGTATCATTTTTTGTTGCATCTATTTGATTCTTCTCTCTTTTCTTCTTTATTAGTCTTGCTAGCGGTCTATCAATTTTGTTGATCGTTTCAAAAAACCAGCTCCTGGATTCATTGATTTTTTGAAGGGTTTTGTGTTTCTCTATCTCCTCCAGTTCTGCTCTGATCTTAGTTATTTCTTGCCTTCTGCCAGCTTTTGAATGTATTTGCTCTTGCTTCTCTAGTTCTTTTAATTGTGATGTTAGGGTGTCAATTTTAGATCTTTCCTGTTTTCTCTTGTGGGCATTCAATGCTGTAAATTTCCCTCTACACATTGCTTTAAATGTGACCCAGATATTTTGGTATGTTGTGTCTTTGTTCTTGTTGGTTTCAAAGAACATCTTTATTTCTGCCTTCATTTCATTATGTACCCAGTAGTCATTCAGGAGCAGGTTGTTCAGTTTCCATGTAGTTGAGCAGTTTTGAGTGAGTTTCTTAATCCTGAGTTCTAATTTGATTGCACTGTGGTCGGAGAGACAGTTTGTTATAATTTCTGTTCTTTTACATTTGCTGAGGAGTGCTTTACTTCCAACTGTGTGGTCAATTTTGGAGTAAGTGCGGTGTGGTGCTGAGAAGAATGTATATTCTGTTGATTTGGGGTGGAGAGTTCTGTAGATGTCTATTAGGTCCACTTGGTGCAGAGCTGAAATCAATTCCTGGATATCCTCGTTAACTTTCTGTCTCGTTGATCTGTCCAATGTTGACAGTGGGGTGTTAAGGTCTCCCATTATTATTGTGTGGGAATCTAAGTCTGTTTGTAGGCCTCTAAGGACTTGCTTTATGAATCTGGGTGCTCCTGTATTGGGTGCATGTATATTTAAGATAGTTGGCTCTTCTTGTTGAATTGATCCCTTTACCATTATGTAATGGCCTTCTTTGTCTCTTTTGATCTTTGTTGGTTTAAAGTCTGTTTTATCTGAGACTGGGATTGCAACCCCTGCCTTTTTTTGTTTTCCATTTGCTTGGTAGATCTTCCTCCATCCCTTTATTTTGAGCCTATGTGCGTCTCTGCACATGAGTTGGGTCTCCTGAATACAGCACACTGATGGGTCTTGACTCTTTATCCAATTTGCCAGTCTGTGTCTTTTAATTGGAGCTTTCAGCCCATTTACATTTAAGGTTAATATTGTTATGTGTGAATTTGATCCTGTCATTATGATGTTAGCTGGTTATTTTGCTCATTAGTTGATGCAGTTTCTTCCTTGCATTGATGGTCTTTACAATTTGGCATGTTTTTGCAGTGGCTGGTACCAGTTGTTCCTTTCCTTGTTTAGTGCTTTCTTCAGGAGCTCTTGTAGGGCAGGCATGATGGTGACAAAATCTCTCAGCATTTGCTTGTCTGTAAAGGATTTTATTTCTCCTTCACTTATGAAGCTTAGTTTGGCTGGATATGAAATTCTGGATTGAAAATTCTTTTCTTTAAGAATGTTGAATATTGGCCCCCACTCTCTTCTGGCTTGTAGAGTTTCTGCTGAGAGATCCACTGTTAGTCTGATGGGCTTCCCTTTGTGGGTGACCCAACCTTTATCTCTGGCTGCCCTTAATAATTTTTCCTTCATTTCAACTTTGGTGAATGTGACAATTATGTGTCTTGGAGTTGCTCTTCTTGTGGAGTATGTTTGTGGCATTCTCTGTATTTCCTGAATCAGAATGTTGGCCTGCCTTGCTAGGTTGGGGCATTTCTCCTGGATAATATCTCGCAGAGTGTTTTCCAACTTGGTTCCATTCTCCCCATCACTTTCAGGTACACCAGTCAGACGTAGATTTGGTCTTTTCACATAGTCCCATATTTCTTCGAGGCTTTGTTTATTTGTTTTTATTCTTTTTTCTGTAAACTTCTGTTCTTGCTTCATTTCATTCATTTGATCTTCAATCACTGATACCCTTTCTTCCACTTGATTGAGTCTGCTACTGAGGCTTGTGCATTCATCACGTCGTTCTCCTGCCATGGTTTTCAGCTCCATCAAGTCCATTAAGGACTTCTCTGCATTGGTTATTCTAGTTAGCCATTCGTCTAATCTTTTTCCAAGGGTTTTAACTTCTTTGCCATGGGTTCAAACTTCCTCCTTTAGCCCGGAGAAGTTTGATCATCTGTAGCCTTCTTCTCTCAACTCATCAAAGTCATTCTGCATCCAGCTTTGTTCTGTTGCTTGTGAGGAGCTGCGTTCCTTTGGAGTTGGAGAGGCACTCTGATTTTAAGAATTTTCAGTTTTTCTGCTCTGTTTTTTCCCCGTCTTTGTGGTTTTATCTACCTTTGGTCTTTGATGATGGTGACGTACAGATGGGGTTTTGGTGTGGATGTCCTTTCTGTTTGTTAGTTTTCCTTCTAACAGTGAGGACCCTCAGCTGCAGGTCTCTTGGAGTTTGCTGGAGGTCCACTCCAGACCGTTTGCCTGGGTGTCAGCAGCAGAGGCTGCAGAACAGCGAATATTGGTGAACAGCAAATGTTGCTGCCTGATCGCTCCTCTGGAAGTTTTGTCTCAGAGGGGTACCCAGCCATGTGAGGTGTCAGTCCTCCCCTCCTGGGGGGTGCCTCCCAGTTAGGCTACTCGGAGGTCAAGGACCCACTTGAGGAGGCAGTCTGTCCGTTCTCAGATCTCCGGCTGCGTGTTGGAAGTAACAGTACTCTCTTCCAAGCTGTCAAACAGGGACATGTAATTCTGCAAAGGTTTCTGCTGCCTTTTGTTCAGCTATGCCCTGCCCTCAGAGGTGGAGTCTACAGAGGCAGGCAGGCCTCCTTGAGCTGTGCTGGGCTCCACCCGGTTCAAGCTTCCAGGCTGCTTTGTTTACCTACTCAAGCCTCAGCAATGGCAGGCGCCCCTCCCCCAGCCTCGCTGCCGTGTTGCAGTTCGATCTCAGACTCCTGTGCTAGCAATGAGCGAGGCTCCTTGGGTGTATGACCCTCCGAGCCAGGCGTGGGATATAATCTTCTGGTGTGCCATTTGCTAAGAACATTGGAAAAGCGCAGTATTAGAGTGGGAGTGACCCGATTTTCCAGGTGCCGTTTGTCCCCCCTTCCCATGGCTAGGAAAGGGAATTCCCTGATCCCTTGCACTTCCTGGGTGAGGTGATGCCTCGCCTTGCTTCAGCTCATGCTTGGTGTGCTGCACCCACTGTCCTGCACCCACTGTCCGACAATCCCCAGTGAGAGGAACCCGGTACCTCAGTTGGAAATGCAGAAACCACCCGTCTTCTGTGTTGCTCATGCTGGGAGCTGTAGACTGGATTTGTTCCTATTTGGCCCACCTATTTGAATACCTTTATTTCTTTCTGTCGCCTGATTGTGCTGGCCAGAACTTCCAATACTCTGTTATATAGGAGTGGTGAAAGAGGGCATCCTTTTCTTGTGCTGGTTTTCAAGGGGATTTCTTCCAGCCTTGCCCCTTCAGTATGATATTTTCTGTGGGTTTGTCATATATGGCTGTTATTATTTTGAGATATGTTCCTTCAACACTTAGTTTACTGAGAGTTTTTACATGAAGGGATGTTGAATTTTATTGAAGGCCTTTTTGCTTCTATTGAGATAATCATGTGTTTTTTTGTGTTTAGTTCTGTTTTGTGATGAATTACATCTATTGATTTGTGTATGTTCAACTAACTTTGCTTCACAGAGATGGAGCCAACTTGATCATGGTGGATAAGCTTTTTGATGTGCTGCTGGTTTTGGTTTACCTGTATTTTATTGAGGATTTTTGCATTGATGATCATCAGGGATATTGGCCTGAAGTTTTGTTTGTTTGCCTTTCTGTTTGTTTTGTGTCTCTTGCAGGTTTTGGTCTCAGGATGATGCTGTTGTCATAAAATGAGTTAGGGAGGAGTCCCCTCTTTTCAGTTGTTTAGAATAGTTTCAGAAGAAGTGATACCAGCTTCGCTTCATACCTCTGGTAAAATTCAGCTGTAAATCCATGTGGTCCTTGGCTAGTTTTGGTTGGTAGGCTATGTATTACTGCCTCAATTTCAGAACATGTTATTAGTCTATTCAAGGCTTCAGCTTCTTCATGGTTCAGTCTTAGGAGGGTGTATGTGTCCAGGAATGTATCAATTTATTCTAGATTTTCTAGTTTATGTGCATAGAGGTGTTTACAGTATTCTCTAATGGTTGTTTGCGTTTCTGTGTGGTCAGCGGTGATATCCCCTTTATCATTTCTGATTGTGTTTATTTGAATCTTCTATCTTTTTTTCTTTATTAGTCTAGCTCGTGGTCTATTTCATTAATTTTCTCAAAAAACCAGCTACTAAATGAATTAACCTTTTGAAAGGTTTTTTATGTCTCCATCTCTTTCAGTTTCACTCTGATCTTGGTTATTTATCTTCTGCTAGCTTTGGGGTTTGATCTTGGTTCTCTAGTGCTTTTAGTTGTGATGTTAGGTTGTTAGTTTGAGCTCTTTATAGTTTTTTGATGTGGACATTTAGTGCTATAAATTTCCCTCTTAACACTGCTTTAGCTGCATCCCAGAGATTCTGGTACATTGTCTCTTGGTTCTCATTAGTTTTAAAGAACTTCTCAATTTCTGCCTTAATTTTATTATTTACCCAAGTGTCACTCAGGAGCAGGTTGTTCAATTTCCATGTATGTTTAGTGGTTTTTAGTGAGTTTCTTATTCTTGAGTTCTAATTTGATTGTGTGTGGCCTGAGAGACTGTTATAATTTCAATTCTTTTGCATTTAGTGAGGAGTATTTTACTTCCAATTTTGTGATCAATTTTAGAGTAAGTGCCATGTGGTGATGAGAAGAATGTATAGTCTGTTGTTTTTGGGTGAAGAGTTCTGTAGGTATCAATCAGGTCCACTTGATCCAGAGCTGAGTTCAGGTCCTGAATAGCTTTGTTAATTTTCTGTCTCATTAATCTGTCTGATATTGACAGTGAAGTGTTAAAGCCTATCATTATTATTGTGTGGCAGTCTAAGTCTCTTTGAAGGTCTCTAAGAACTTGCTTTACTAGCCTGTGTGCTCCTGTATTGGGTGCATGTATATTTAGGATAGTTAGCTCTTCTTGTTGAATTGAACCCTTTACCATTATGTAATACCCTTCTTTGTCTTTTTTGATGTCTGTTGGTTTAAAGTCTGTTTTTTCAGAAAGTTTGATTGCAACCCGTGTTTTTTCTGTTTTCCATTTGCTTGGTAAAATTTCCTCTATCCTTTCTTTTGACCCTATGTATGTCTTTTCACGTGAGATGGTTCTCTTGAATACAGCACACTAATGGGTCTTGACTCTTTATCCAGCTTGCCATTCTGTGTCTTTTTTTTTTTTTTTTGGAGATGAAGTCTCGCTCTGCCACCCAGGCTGGCACGATCTTGGCTCACTGCAACCTCCACCTCCCAGGTTCAAGTGATTCTCCTGCCTCAGACCCCTGTGTAGCTGGGATTACAGGTGCCTGCCACCAGGCCTGGCTAATTTTTGTATTTTTAGTATAGACAGGGTTTCACCATGTTGGTCAGGCTGGTCTCGAACTGCTGACCTCGTGATCCACCTGCCTCAGCCTCCCAAAGTGCTGGGATTACAGGCATGAGCCAGCGCCGGGCTCTGTGTCTTTTAATTGGAGCATTTAGCCCATTGACATTTAAGGCTAATATTGTTATGTGTGAATTTGATCCTGTCATCATAATGCCAGCTGGTTATTTTGAAGACTTGTTTATGGAGTTGCTTCATGGTGTCACTAGTCTCTCTACTTCAATGTGTTTTTGTAGTGGGTGGTAATGATTTTTCCTTTCCATATTTAGTCTTTCCTTCAGGAGCTCTTGCAAGGCAGGCCTGGTGGTGACAAATTCCTTCAGCATTTGCTTGCTTGAAAAGGAACTTATTTCTCTTTCAATTATGGAAGCTTAGTTTGGCCAGATACAAAATTCTGGGCTAGAAATTATTTTCCTTAAGAATGTTGAATATTAGTCCCCAATCTCTTCTGACTTGCTGGGTTTCCACTGAGAGTTCCACTGTTAGTCTTATGGGCTTCCCTTTGTAGGTGACCTGGCCTTTCTCTCTTGTTTTTCTTAATATTTTTTCTTTCGTGTCTATCTTGAGGAATCTGATGATTATGTGTCTTAGGGTTGATCTTTTCATGGAGTATCTTACTGGAGTTTTCTGCATTTCCTGGATTTGAATGTGCCTGTTTTGCTAGGTTGGGGAAGTTCTCTGGGATGATATTCTGGAGTATGTTTTTCAACTTGGTTTTGTTCTTTCTGTCTCTTTCTGGTACTTCAGTAAGTCATAGGTTCAGTCTTTTTGTATAATTCCATATTTCTCAGAGGTTTTGTTTTTTTCCTTTTCATTTTTTTTCTTTAGTCTTGTCTGCCTTTCTTATTTCAGCAAGACAGTCTTAAAGCTCTGAGATTCTTTCCTCCACTTGGTCTATTCTGCTATTGATACTTGTGATTGCATTGTGAATTTCTCGTGTTGTGTTTTTTAGATTTATCAGGTCATTTATGTTCCTCTCTAAACTGGTTATTCTGGTTATCAGCTCCTGTAATGTTTTTATCATGGTTTTTAGCTTCTTTGCATTGGGTTAGAACATGCTCCTTTAGTTCAGCAAAGTTCATTATTACCCACCTTCTGAAGCCTACTTCTGTCAATTCATCCATCTAAGCCTCCGCTCAGTTCTGTGCCCTTGGTGGAGAGGTGTTGCAATCATTTGGAGGAGAAGAGGCACTCTGGCTTTTTGAGTGTTTGGTGTTTTGCATTGATTTTTTTTCTTATCTTTGTGGGCTTATCTACCTTTGATCTTTGAGGATGCAGACCTTTGAATGGAATTTTTGTGGGGTCTTTTATTGGTGATGTTGTTGTTGCTTTCTATTTGTTTTTAACAGTCAGACCCCTCTTTCACAGGGTTGCTGTGGTTTGCTGGGGTTCCACTCCAGACCCTATTCACCTGCATCCCTCCTGCACCTGGAGGTATCACAAGTGGAGGTGGCAAAACAACAAAGATGGCAGCCTGCTCCTTCTTCTGGGAGCTTTGTCGCAGAGGGTCACCAACCTGATGCTAGCCCCAATGCTTCTGTATGAGGTGTCTGAAGATCCCTGTTGGGACATTTCATCCAATCAGGAGGACCCAGTTTGGGGACCCATGTGAAAAAGCAGCCTGGCTGCCTCTTGGCAGAGTGGGGGTGCTGTACTAGAGGGAACCCCCCTCATTTAGACTGCCGGAACTCTCCAGAGCCTGCAGGCGGAAAAGGCTATTGGCCCCTCTCGCCAGGGGCTTCCTCCCAGGGAAATCAGAGTTCTTTTGTAAAATCCTGCCTGAAGTTGCTGAAATTCCCACAGGGAGGCCCTGCCTGGTGAAGAGGAATGGGTTAGGGTACTACTTAAATAAGCAGTCTGGCCACAATCTGCTGTAGATGCTGTGCTGCACTGTGGGGAATTCCTCCTGGTTCAAAACGCCAAGTTTCCCCAGCATGGCAGGGCAAAATGGCAGACTGGAGCCACAGAGATGTTGGCCGCCAATTCCCTCCGGGAACTCAGTTGTCTCAGGCAACTGCTGCTGCTGGCTGGTGGAGATTCCAAGCCAGTGGGTCTTAGCTTGTGAGGTTCCATGGGAATGGGGCCTGCTGAACAATGCCACTTGGCTCCCTGGCTTCAACCCCCTTCCTATGGGAATGAACAGATGTCCTGCCTTACTGGAATTCCCCAGGCTGGAGTATGCAAAAACTCCTGCATCTCTGAACCTGCCCAAGTGGCTGCAGACCTCAGCAGCCACTGAGTCTGCATAGCAGGCTGGGTGCAGTGGCTCATGCCTGTAATCCTAGCACTTTGGGAGGCTGAGATGAGCAGGTCACTTGAGGTATGGAGTTTGAGACCAGCCTGGCCAACATGGTGAAACCTTGCCTACTAAAAATAAAAAAGTAGCCAGGCGTGGTAGTGGGTGCCTGTAATCCTAGCTACTCGGGAGGCTGAGGCAGGAAAATTGCTTGAACCCAGGAAGCAGAGATTGTAGTGAGCTGAGATCTCGCCACTTCACTGTATCTTGGGTGACAAAATGAGACTCCGTCTCCAAAAAAAAAAAAAAAAAAAAAAATTCTGCATAGCTTTGTGTTTGGGACCCAAGGCCCTGGTGGCATGGGCTCAGGAGGGCTGCCCGATCCATGTGTTGCAAAGATCCGTGAGAAAAGTGGTAGTTTCCTGGGAGGGGTAGCACTCACTACCTCCCTTGTCTGGCAGGGGGAGCTCCTCTTGTTCTGTGCCACTTCAGGGTGGGCTGTCACCACATGCTGCTTTTCTTTGCTTTCCATGGGTCATGCCAACTACCTAGTCAGTCCCAATATGAGAATATGGATACCTCCATTGAAGGTGCAGAATTCACTCACCAGTTTTCGTTTTTCTTGGTGAGAGCTGTGGACTGCAGGCTGCTTCTAATTAGCCATCTTGGCTCCTCCCACACCATTTATTTAATAGGGATTGCATTTCTCATTGCTTGTTTTTGTTGATTTAGTTGAAGATCAGATGGTTGTGGCTGTATTTCTAGGTTCTCTATCCTGTTCCACTGGTCTATGTGTCTGTTTCTATATCGGTACCATGTGTCTGTTTCTATATCAGTACCATACTGTTTTGATTACCGTAGCCTTATAATATTTTTTGAAATCAGGTAATGTGATGCATCTAGCTTTGCTCTTTTTGTTAAGGATTGCTTTGGCTATTTGGGCCCATTTTTGGCTCCATATACCCAATACCACATATTCTCAGTTATAGGTGGGAACTAAACATTGAGTACATGGATATAAAGATGGGAACAAAAGACATTGAGGACTACTAGAGTGGGGAGGGAGGGATAGAGATTGTGAGGGCTGAAAAATTACCTATTGGATACTATACTCACTACCTGAGTGACAGAACCATTTGTACCCCAAACCCAGCATCACTCAATTTACCCAGGTAAAAAACTTGCATATGTATCCCATTAATCTAAAAGCTGAAATTTTAAAAAATGGCCAAAGCAATCTTAAGCAGAAAAGAACAAAGTTGGAAGCGTCACACTACCTGATTTCAAAATCTACTACTAAACTATAGTAATTAAAACAGTATGGTACTGGAATAAAAATAGACACATTAACTGGGAACTGGATATTCACATGCAGAAGAACAAATTGAACTCTCATTTCACACCATATACAAGAATCAACTTAAAATGGATTGAAGACCTATAAAGGTCGTTCCTGAAACTGTAAAAAACTAGATAAAAACACAGGGGAAAAGCTCCATAGCATTTGTCTGGGCAATGGGATTAGATAAAATAAAAAAATTTTGCACAGCAAAGGAAACAATCTACAGAGTTTGAGACAACCCAAGGAATGACAAAATATATTTGCAAATCATATAGCTGATAAGTGGTTAAATTCCAAGGTATGTAAGGAATTAAAACAATTAAAGAGTGAGAAAACAAATAAGCTGCTTAAAAAGAAATGGACCTGAATAGATGTTGCACCAAAGAAGACATACAAATGGCCACAGGTGTATGAAAAAATGCCCAATATCAGAAATCATCAGGGAATCGTACATGAAAACCACAATGGGATATCACCTCATACCTCTTAGGATGGCTATTATAAAAAAGACAATATATAATGTATTAGTCAGGGGTCTCTAGAGGGACAGAACTAACAGGATATATATTATATATTATGTATATATTATATATATTATATATTTTATATATAAATTATACATATATTAGATACACACACACACACACACACACACATATATGTAAAGGGGAGTTTATTAATCACAAGGTCCCACAATAGGCTGTCTGCAAGCTTGAGGAGCAAGGAGAGCCAATTCGAGTCTCTCAAAACTGAAGAAATTGGTGTCTGATGTTTGAGGGCAGGAAGCATCCAGCACGGGCAAAAGATGTAGGATGGGAGTCTAGGCCAGTCTCGCCTCTTCATGTTTTTCTGCCTGCTTTATATTCACTGGCAGCTGATTAGATGTTGCCCACCTGATTAAGGGTAGGTCTGCCTTTCCTAGCCCACTGATTCAAATGTTAATCTCTTTTGGCATCACCCTCACAGACACTCCCAGGATCAATATTGCATCCTTCAATCCAATCATGTTGACATTTACTATTAACCATCACAAATAACAAGTGTTGGTAAGGATGGTAAAGAAAAGAAGACCCTTGTACCCTGTTGATGGGAATGTAAATCAGTACAGCCGTTGTGGAAAACCAATATGGAGGGTCCTAAGAAAGTAAAGTAGAACTACCATATGATCCAGCAATCTAACTTCTGGGTGTATATCCAGTGAAAATAAAACTACTATCTTGAAGAGATATCTGCATTCCCATGTTAATTGCAGCATTTTTCACAGTAGCCAAGATATGCATTCAACCTAAGTGTTCATCAGTGGATGAATAAATAAAGAAAATGTAGCATATATACAAATGGAATACTGTTCAGACTCAAAAAACAACATAATCTTTTCATTTGCAAAAACATGGATGAAACTGGAGGACATTTGTTAAGTGTAATAAACCAGGCACAAAAAGAAAAATATGGCACAATCTCAGGTATATGTAGACTGTAAAAAAGTTGACCTCATGGAAACAGAGCAAAATTGTGATTACTAGAAGCTGGAGGGTGAAGAGATTGGGGAGATATTGGACAAAAGACACAAAATTTCGGTTAGGAAGAATAGGCTTAAAGTCCTATTGTACATTATAATGACTACAGTTAATAACAATATATTGTGTATTTGAAAATTGTTGAGAGTAGAGTTTAAGCATTCTCACCACAAAAAATACACATGTAAGGTAATATATATGTTAAATAGCTTAATTTATTCATTCCAGAATGTATACAAATGTTGAAACATCATTTGTATATAATAAATATATAAAACTTTTACTTGCAAATTGAAATAACTAAATCAGTAATTATATAATTATTCATTCATTTAATGAGTATATATTGTTTTATTTTCATTTTATTGATGAGGAAACTGACTTTAGGAAAGGCTATATAACTATCCTTAGAGATGGAGATGAAACGATGTTCTAGTACTCCCGGAGTCTCAGTCTATAAAATATCAAACATGTGAAAATATGTAGAATTTGTGGCTATTCATATTAATATACTACATTTAGAACTTTAGTAATATAAAAAGAATGACTCCAAGTGATGTCAAAGTATAATTGAATTTCTATCAAGACTGAATGGAAAAGAATCTCATTTTCTACCTTCTTTTTAGTTCATCCTCCTCCTGCTCTATTTAATTCTTCTCCATTTCAGGACTTAACCTTATGATCATAGTTATCTTTTTTTTTTTTTTTTTTTACCCTTTACTCTCACATCCCACATACTTTATATATAAATAATCTGTTATTAACAAGGTTTATTTTTAGATTTACAGAAAAATTAGTGTAGTAGTTTCCATATACCCTAAACCTAGTTTCCCCTATTATTAACATCTTATATTAATATGAAACATTAGATATAATTAATGTACCAATATTAATAAATTATTATTAAATAAAATCAATAAAGTATCATATACCTTTTGTTTTCACCTAATATTCTTTGCTGGTTCTACAATTCTATATAGAATATTATATATAGTTATGTCTCTTTAGGTTCTTCTTGACTTTGGCAGTCTCTGAGACATTCCTTGTTTTTCATGACTTTCATAGCTTTGAAGCGTTACCAATTCAGTATCTCACAGTATACTCCACTGTTGCAGTTTGTGATGCTTTCTTATGATATGACTGGGGTTGGGGTTACTAGGAAGTAGACCATAGTGCAAAAGTGCCATCACCACATCATATGGAGGGTATATACTATCAACATGACTTATCACTGTTGATGTTGACCTTGATCACTTGGCTGAGGTAATGCTTGTCAGGTTTCTCTACTGCAAAGTTACGTTTCCCCATTCTTTCTAGTACTCTTTAAAAATAAGTGATTATGTAGAGACCACATCTAAGGAGTGGGAGTTAGGCTGCTTGAGGACAAAGTAACTGCATTGATTATTTGAAATTCTTCTATAAGAACCCGGGAGGTGGAGGTTCTTTGACAAGATAAGAGTGCTTATCTTGTCTCTGTCATTTATTTATAAATAAATAAATATTATATTTATTTTTATCAATATTGACATTTATTATATATTTTGAGTTGTAAAAATACTACTTAATTTGTTTTGTTGATTCAATTGTTTCAGATTTGGCAATTGGGAGCTCTTAGCTACTGCCCTCCTTTGACATACCCTATCAATGTGGGATGTGTGTTTGGGTATGTGTACACTTGTATGTGTGTTTGAGCATTTCCATACTTTCTGGTGCTACAAGATGCTCCAGGTTCATCCCGTGTATTTTTTTCCCCAATCCTAGAATCAGCCATTTTTGCAAAGATCTTGATTCCTTTATTGAAGGGTGGTACTAGAAACCAAGATCTGGCCAGCCTGGTGTGTTTATTGCTACTGGTCATTTCTTTTAGTTCCTCTCAGACAGTAGAGCAAATATATATGTTTATACCAACCCATGTATATACACGTACCTGTGGATATTTCTATATGTATTCATTTGTATCTGTATTAAGACAAACATGAGTTAATACTTACATCTCCAAGTCTAATCCATGACCACTCTTATACTTGTTTTGCTGTAAACTCATACTCCAACAGTGAGAAACTTTACGAATTGTTCCATTCCAGTTTGTTTAAATTTTATAGCTTCTCCATTCAGAGCACATCATTCCAGTTTAAATGTATAGTAGCATCAGAATTGTTAACCCACAACCCCGTTGGAAATAACATTATTAACTGACTACATTGCTTATGTGTTCCTTTTGCCTTTAGTCTTACAGACTCCACTCCTTTCCAAAGAT
Source organism: Homo sapiens (assembly GCF_000001405.40). NCBI lineage: Eukaryota > Metazoa > Chordata > Mammalia > Primates > Hominidae > Homo > Homo sapiens. Next base: position 10,491,408 of record NC_000007.14, on the reverse strand, counting down.
ACTTAGATCAGCACCATTTCCCCATCCTCTTCAGTGCGGTTGTTTTCTGCATTTGTAATACAGCTAGATTCTTTTGTCACAGTCTGCATTCCTTCCTGAGATCCTCCTCATCTCATGAGTTATTTAAAAAATCTTAATTAAGGTTTATTCTTTGTGCTGTAAAATAATGTCTTGTATTCATCATTAATATTCCATTTGAAATAATTTTACTGCTTGAAAAATCCCCTGTACTTTACCTATACCTTTTAGAAACTGGTCATGACACCCCTAGACTTTTTATCTTCATGTTCCCTTACCCTCAGTTCCCAAGTGCTTTTCAAAGGCATGTATCTTTAATCCTTTTCTATACTCTGTGCCTTAAATTGGCCTATAGGTAGCTCATCTTCCTGTGGTTTCAATATGGAATTAATAATGGAAAACATATCACCCTTGTTTAGCACTTCTTATTTGGTACCTCAGAGCACTTTATCAATTAAACAAACTTCCAAACCTGAGTGAATGAGATTTTTATCGATGATTATGTTGACAGAGAAAAACCTTTTCCAAGGTCATTGAAAACTGCCCAAATCATGTCCATGGAAAGAGTATGTCATTTCCTCGTGCCATTTGCTCAGACAAGGTTGTCTCTTACAATAATGAGTGATAAAAACAAAATCATATTTCCCCATGTTCCTCCTTTCTCTCCCCTGGGAACCAGGTATTTTTGGGAAGCAAGAAACTTGGATAGCACCCAGATACATTTGGGAGTCTTTCAATGGCACAATTTTAATCCAATCTAGCTTCTGGTATTTAGGAAACCAGACATATAATCTCTGTCTCTGTAGGGGATCTAAGCACACACATGCTTTTCTCCCCAATGCTGTCTGCCTATTTTTGCCCAAAGACATAATAACTATTTTAGGTAGCTTCATACTGTGACAAGTCTTGTGTTATGTAAATGAAATGAAGACATTTTAGGCTGAATTAACAGATTTTTTTTTAAGGCAAGACAATTCAGGAGAGAATGTCTAAGTAATTTGGGTAGAATTTAAAACTTCCTTTACAATATTGACTCTAGCACCCACGTGAGAAGCTATTTTTTCTCAGCTTACAGTCTTGCTCTTTCTTAATAAGTCTAATACTTAGTTATTTACACGTACTAATTACCTGAGCAAAGTGTGGGTCTGTTTATTTGAAACTTTTAATGCAAAGACAAAGAATTACTTTGGATAAATTAGGATAAGCATTAGCTTTGACATGCTTTAAAGGTATTTCTAACACATAGTAGGTATACCTATGAGATACGTTCTGCATAATAAAGAAACAATAAATATTTTATTAACTTACAAAACATGGGCTGGGCATGGTGGGCTCATGCCTGTAATCCCAGCACTTTGGGAGCCCAAGGCAGACAGATTACATGAGGCCAGGAGTTCAAGACCAACCTGGCCAGTATGGAGAAACCCCATCTCTACTAAAAACACAAAAATTAACCAGGGGTCGTGGTGCATGTCTGTAATCTCAGCTACTCTGGAGGCTGAGACACGAGAATGACTTGAACCCCAGAGGCGGAGGTTGCAGTGAGCCCAGATAGCACCACTGTACTCCAGCCTGGGTGACAGAGTAAGCCTGTCTTAAAAAAATAAAATAAGTAAACAAATTAATTAATTAATAAATGATTGAATAAAGTATGTTTTAACAGCATTAGATTTCTCATGGAAAGTTAAAAATCATGAAACTTTTCTACTTCAGAAAAATAAAATATCTTAAAGCATTTTCTTTACAAGGATGCAGCTATAGAAGTGTTAACATTTATATACACAAAGCTTTCTTTTAAAAAGAAGTAGAATAAGAAATTCACTGTGTTAAAAACCCCAGATATTTCCTTCGTTTCCTGGCTGTCATTGGCATCAGGAGTCTACCAGGAACCACGCTCAACATCTCATTATCTACTTTGTCTTATATTCCACCTCTGATATCTTATCATTTGTCATATTCTGCAGAGTTTACTTCATTACATTTTGAATCCCATTGCTGTCCTTGCTTCCACCTCATGCTGCATCACTACATGGTTTTTATTTGGGGTACTGAGGGAAAAATGCAGCCTCCCCTTCTGATTCCCTTTTTCTCCTTGTTCCAGTGTGTTGCACATAAGGCTGACAAACTGATCCATGTAAAGCATTGAACAATCATAATTTCTGCTTACTCTATTGATGATTTCCTGCCACACACTACCTAATTTTCTTACCTGTCGCCATTTCAATTTTAACTGAAATGTGTTTGGTAGCAAAAAGTCCAATGAGATACTCTAAACAGGGGAGGGCATTGTTCCATGATTATGTAAGTTCAGGAAGTGTATACAGCGTGTATCCTTCTTCGAAAACAATGGATCATCACATATGAAAGCCCACAATGGCCTGCAATAAAGAAATTTGTTTAGTTTTGACCAGATTTTCCAAACTCATTGGACCATACAATTCGTTTTAGTGCAAACAATTCCTTAATATGATGCATGCTTCTGTTCAGGGTGTTCCTTCTGCCTGGCTTAAACTTGTTGCCTCTGCTTCCCTGTGTAATTGACAGCATCTATCTCTTCTTGAAAACTTATCTCAAATGCTCCCTCTTTTACAAATATCATGTTGAATCACTATCAAACACAGGTCTCCTTGATGAAAACTTTGTCATAATTCTTGAGTAACTTTCTTATGATACCTGCCTTACTGTGACTTTTGTTCAGTTATTAGTATTTTTGGTTTTAACTATCTTATCAAAGTTGTAAACTCCTAAAGATAATGTGTTTATTTCTCTCAGTATCATTTCTAGAGACTAACGTTGTTTCTTGTACATGGTAAGAGTTCAATATATTTATTGTATTGAACGTTATAATAATAACAGTATCTCTTTCTATAAATGTCAATCTTCTTTGATCCTTATTACTCTGGGACTGGGCAGAGATTATCACACTGTCATATTAGAGAACTGAAACCAATGCAATTTATCGTCCCATGTTAAAAAGATACTGAACACAAACATACTTTCCTTTCCCAATATTGAGAATAACTTAGCTACCTACTCCAGGGTACACCAAATTGAAGAGGATAATACTGTGAACCAACTAAAACAGTATTTTTTTTTAAAAAATCAAGACTAACAGTTTACTCAGCAAGACTTTCTTCAAGACCTTCACCTCAGGCTGAGCATGGTGGCTTATGCCAGCAATCCCAGCACTTTGGGAGGACAAAGCAAGAGAATTGCTTGAATTCAGGAATTGCAGACCAGCTTGGGAAAGGAAGTGTTATGCTAGCTCCACAAAAAATTTTTAAAAATTAGCCCAGCTCTGTAGTATGTGCCTGTAGTCCTATTTACTTGGAAGTCAGAGATGGGAGGATTTTTTTAGCCCGGGTGTTTGAGGCTGCAGTGGGCTATGATTGTGCCACTGGATTCCAGCCTGGGTGACAAAGTGAGACATTGTCTCTTAAAAAAATAAAAAAGAACTTCACCTCACTGGGGCAACCAATCCAAAAGTATTACATTATAAATCCTTCCCCATCTTAATTCTTGAAAGACCTGTTCTAAAACTAGGCAGGTCCTAAAACAATACTAATGTCGTTTTCTGACTTCTCAGATCTGAGATACTGCAAAGATCCTGCCATGTTCTCTCCTACTGCAGTTAAGTGTGGTGGAATTGGTGGTTGGTACTTATAAGTGAAAAATTTGATGCATAAAGGATTAAGAATGGACCCCACACTGCATAGTTAGAAAATGGCAGAGCTGGGTTTAATAGCCAGACTCTGAAATCGTTATCCACAAAGACTTTTCTCCATTTTTCCTCTGTATTATGTAATTTCTCTGGAACAGTATAAACATCAGATAGCTGTAAATAGTAGTATAAGATTAATTTTCCCATAGCCTCTTTTTCTTATAAGTATGTTTCATTCATTTATTCCTTAATTCAAACAAAATACTTCTTGAGTCTCTGTTACACAGCAGGCATCGGGAGTACATCAGTGATAAAACAAAATTTCTGCTTTCAAAGATGTCTCACTTTATTTGGGGTAGGGTGGGGAGCAGACAGCAAACAAATAAATGACAGTTAAAGTGGAAAATTGACAGAATGATTGCAAATTTTTATGGGATTGTCAGAGAAAGGCCATCTTAAAGGGTTACTTCTCAAAGAAGTGAGTGAGAGCTGTTCAGGTATCAGTGGGAAAACGTTCTATGTGCTCCTTGAACAAAGACTAAACTTAACAGGCCATGACATTTATGTTTAAATAATGCTACACTGATTGAGCAATCATTGTTGAATAAAATATTTGTGGATTGAATTAATGGTATAAGTGGTTTAAGGCTATACCAATTGTACATACCACTTTATATTCTGGTGCTGTTTTGATTGTAAACAATACCCCCGCTTGCTTTTTCATTTTCAAGCCTTCTTTAATTCCTCATAGGTGATAGGTGACCCTCTCTTCCAATTAATTTTTCTGGATGATTCCTATGTAAATTTCTTGTGTGATATGAAGTGCTTAAAAATCCACTTTATTTCTGAAAGCCCAGGAAATCATAACATTTGTTTCCAGAGCCATCAAGGATAATTGGAAGGAAAAAAACCAAACAGAATATGTTTAGCCATTCATTTGGTTCATTTATTGTGAAATAACTTTCTTTTAGATGATTTAATACAAAGAAGTTTCAGTCCTATGGAAATATTGAGAAGTCTTGAGAGTAAACTCTTTAAGCTGTGTAATTCAACCAAAACATGTCCTTTTCTTTAAGAGTAATTTCTCCCAATATTTCTGAAGGATTTTAATGAGGCTAGACACATAGAAGTTCTTTGCCAAGAAAATTTTTGTTGGGTATTCAAATACAAAAAATACTGAAAACCAAAATAGCAGCCTTCACTATTTAATGTCATTAGAAATACTGTTTCTCTAAAACTTGGCACTTAATCCATTTAGCCCATTTGACTCTATTTTTCATCCTGGAGTCTTCAGGGTCCCCGATCTATACTTTAGTATCCCTAATAAGTCACACAAAACCTGTGGATCCTGGCCCTCTTCAGCATTGACTCTATCCCTCAATACAACAATACTTGTTTCCCAGTAAACTTCAAACAGGTTAGAGTTGCCTGCTCACCTGTGCTGCCTCTTATCTGTTGTCCTTTATTTCCCTTCCCTTCACTGGGGAATTCTCCTTTCCTGGCTTCATGTCTGTGTTGGAGTCCTTCAAGTTTCCACGTGATGCTCCTCTCTGTTCTCAATGTGTACTGTCTCCCTTGGGGATCTCATCCATCTTTTGTAGTTTCAATTATATCTCTACACAAGTGAACCTCAAACTTATATCCACATCTCAGTTTTTCTTCTGAGCTACAGATCATGCATCTAGTGCTCTTAACATTCCAACTCAATCTCCAGCACCAAGTCAATAATTTTTAATCGAAACATATTGTTTTTGGAGTCTTCCTGAGCTCCTTGAATGTCATTATAATACAACTGATTGTATAAAACATACACTTATATATTTATTTGTTCATTCACTACCATATGCCAGACACAGTTCTAGGCTTTGGAGACACAACCGTAGATAAAACAAACTATTTGTTCTTAGGAAGTTGACAGTTGATTTGGTGGAAGCAAGAACTAATAAACAAATACATAGTATGCCAAATAGCAGTAAATGCTGAGAAGAACATAGGGTAAAGGAAGTATGGAGCTTTGCAAGTGTAAGACTTTTCGGTCAGTTCGAAGTTTGGCTCTTAGGTGGAGAATCTGAGGAACATCAAGGAGGTCAGCATGATTACAGTAATCAATAGTATGAATAGTAGGATTTTTTTTTTAAATCTTATTGGCTCCTCAAAGATTGAGCCAGGTCACTTGTAGCCTTGAGGCCATGGTAAGGGCCTTGACCTATATTCTAAGTGAATGTAAAACTACAGGAGGGTTTTGGGCAGATAAGGAATATAATTTTAATATGGTCACTCTGGCTGCTGTATTGAAAACTGATTTTAAGGGGTTAAGAGTAGAATCAGTGAAATCAGTTGTCAACCTGAAGAAATAATTAGGATGAGAGATATCAACCTTATACTAAGACTTAGATTCAGGTTTTATTAATGGAAATGATGAGAAACTATGAAAGTCCCGATGTATTTTGAAAGCAGAACTAAAAATTTGTTGATGGGGTTGGCCGTAGGTATAAAAGAAAGAATAACTTCCAGTTTTCTCCCAAACATGTTTAAGGATAGAATTGATATTTAGTGAAATAGAGAAGACTGTAGAAGCATATTGTTTTTGGAAGGAAATCAAGATTTCAGATTTTAAAAAGTCAAGTGGATGCCTCATAATAATAATGCACATCATTTACTGAGTGTTACAATATGCTGGGCACTGTTTTAGGCACTTTGCATATTTATTCACTCATTTAGTCCTCAAAGTATCTTTGTAAATTCACTATTGTTAGCCCCATTTTATGGATGAGAACACTGAGGCAAGAATACTAATTTGCTCAGGACCACTTTGCTAGTAACTGGCAGAGTAGAGTACAAGACACTCTCTTCCAGAGCTTGAGATTTTTTTCCACTACACTGTACCACATCTAAAATGACATACATTCTAGTGGAAGTATAGTGACATTTGAAAGCATATCTTATAAGATAATTAAAATCCTGAGCAAAAGTAGATTGTTTGAGGAGTGAGAATAAATAGAGAAGATACCTATGAACCAGACCCTAGAATACACCAATGTTGTAGTGTAAAGAGATGAAGAGGACCTCATAATGGGGGTTGAGAAAGGATGACCACAGGTAGGAGGGGACTCTTAAGATAAACTTGTGTCTAGAAACCAAGTGAAGAAAGTGTTTCAACATAAGGAAGTGAGCAACTACCCCAAATTCTGCTGCTATGTTAGGTATGGAGAAGGCTCTGATTAAACTGATTTTGGCCAGTGAGTCTTGCACATTTCTGGTCTTCAGAACTGTAAGATAACTTGTGTTGTTTTAAGCCCCCAAGTTTGTGGTAATTTGTTATGGCAGCAACAGGAAACTAATAGAGTTACTAGAGGAAATGAGCTGAAAAGGTAGGAATTGATGGCCAGAGAGTGAGAATGAGGTTCTTGAGACTGAGATTATGGTGGGAGTGCCATGGTTGGTAATGACAAGGCCCACTTTCAGACCAGTAGTGTTTCAAGTAGGGTGAATGAGAAGAGCACTGAGAAGAGATGAAGGAACTGTGTGACCAAGCTATTAGAAGTGTTACCTATGTAGGTGATAAATTTGGAGGGATAGTATCAAAGACAGAGATACTGAGCCAAGTACATCCATGTTTGCCTTTCTCCAAACCATTCTCCATTCTCTTTGAAGTTCACCTTCTATTATCCTTTTCCCTTGCTTGAAAGAAACTTTTCCGTATCTTCTCATTAATCTTAGGATAAAAGCCAAAATCTGTAATATGGTCCAGAGAGCTATGCATAATCTGGCCTCTGCCTCTTCTCTCTGTGTTACTTTCCCCCAGGCTCGGTGTTTCAGCAACACTGACTTTCCTTCAGTTCCAGGCATGAGTCATGCTCCCCACTTCCTCGGGGGCTTTGTGCTTGCGTACTTTCTGCTTGGCACACCTCTTTATGCCTGCCACCATTGTCTACACTTAGTAAAATTATCCTCATTTTTATCATGTTGGTTCAAATGCTGTGCCTTTAAGGAATTTGTCCGTAATCCAGTGGATTATATCAGACTTTTTATGTTATGCTTTCACAACATTGCATACATTTTTAAATTCATGTATCTCTTTCTTGCTCTGCATATGTGTGTGCATGTATGTGATTGCTTAACTTTTCCAATGAATTGTAAACTCATTGAGAGTAGGGACCTTGTCAGTCTGCTTAATGTTGAAAAAGTAAGAATTTCTCTCTGACAATATTTTTTTACTCCCTTGTTATGAAAACTTCAATTATCAATTCTCACATTGCTATAAGTAATATAATATTTTTAAATCCATCAAAATTCACATCTATTAGAAAATAATAATTTGAAGCTATGATGAGAAACTTTTTTTTTTTTTTTGAGATGGAGTCTCTCTTTATTGCCCAGGCTGGAGTGAAGTAGCGTGATCTCATCTCACTGCAACCTCTACCTGCCGGGTTCAAGCGATTCTCCAGCCTCAGCCTCCCAAGTAACTGGGACTACAGCTGTGCACCACCATGCCTGGCTAATTTTTTCATATTTTTAGTAGAGACAGGGTTTCACCATGTTGGCCAAGCTGTTCTCAAACTCCTGACCTCAAGTGATCCTCCAGCCTCGACCTCTCAAGGTGCTCACCATGCCCGGCATGAGCAATGTTCTTTAGTTGACACTTCATCTATTCAAGGTTATTAAGAACAAGAGATCATTTTAAAATGGTCTCTATTGTAATTTTGATATAAAGAACTTAAACATGGGGTTGTATAGCCCTCATGTTTCATTTCAGTTTAAAAATAGTTCTTTCTATGGCTGTTCATTTATTCCCCATTCCCCATGATTTTATCTGATATGTCTGTGCCAGAAAAATTTGAGATACAATTCTGAAGAAGTATACTTGTTCAGGAAATCTAAACTTTCCTCCTAGAAAATTTTCAGGTCTGAATCAGAGTAGCCGAAATTGCTGGCAAATCCACTGTCTCCACACCATGTCATGGTCTCCAATATCAGCTTTATCAACAACAAAAGTGAAGAATGACAAAGAAAAATGGGGTAGGAGGAATCTAAGGATAAATGTTTCGATGACATATAACCAAATGCAACATAAGAAACTTGTTTGGATTCTGATTCAAGCAACCCAACTGTAAAAAATCATGTACAAGACGATCACAGAATTTGAGCATTGACTGAATATTTAATGATACTGTATTATGCATATATGGTCATATAACAAATTACTCCAAAACATAGCTTAAAATAACAAACACACTATCTCACAGTGTCTGTGGGCCAGGCATCTAGGCATGGCTTATCTAGGTGCCTCCATCTCAAGGTCTCTCGTAAGACTGCAATCAAGGTATCCTCTAGGACTGCAGATATCTGAAGACTTGACTGAGATATCCTGGCTGAGGATCTGCTTCCAAGCTCGCTTATGTGGCTTGTCAGGCTTCAGCTATAATCTGGCTCAGGGACAGAGTCATTAGCCTGCTACACAGGCCTCTCCATAGGGCTTCTCACAATAAGACGGGTTGCTTCTCCCAGAGTTAGGGCTCAGAAAGAGATAGAAAAAATGTGTGTGTGTGTGTGTGAGAGAGAGAGAGACAGAGAGAGAGAGAGAGAAAATATGAATGAGAATGATCAACTATGGCCCATGGAAAGATGTGGAAAATGAGAAATTGAGAGAACAAGAGAAGGTGAGAGAGAAAAAATTCTCAAGATGAAATTTTCAGTCTTTGTAACCTAATCTCAGAGTGATATCCCATTGCATTAGCCATATCTTATTCATTTAGAGGTTCAGGTAACACTCAAGGGGAAGAACAACAACAAAAAGTCTTCGATACCAGGAGGTGAGGATCACTGGGGACCATCTTAGAGGGTTACCTGTGAGATACATTAAAGAATTATTGTTAAATTTTTCCTTAGGTATGATAATAATGTGGTTAAGATATTTTTTATCTTTTATTGATAAATACTAAAATATTTATGGATGAAGTAATATTAAACATTTGTTTCAAAATAATACAATAGGAAGTGGCAAAGTAGATGGGGGTATAAATCAAACAAATAGGGCCAAAAACTGAAGAACATTGAAGCTGGATGTTGAGGATTAATTCTATTATTCCTTTTAATTTTGTGTTTGCTTGAAATTTTTTAAAATAATTTTTTAAATAAAAATATTTTAGTTTACAGCTACTGAATTTCTGTGTTTATTATGCAATAGCTGTTATCTGGGTCAAAGAAAAACAAGTTTATTTAATATGCCCCCTAAACTTCAATAGTAATAAAGTCAACATGCCATGATTTTATAATTGATCTTTATGTTGCTTTATATTTATTCAATCAATGCCGAGTCCAGAAATTTATGATATTTCAACCTATTTACATTAAGGTCTAATCTGTTTAAATAAAAGTTCTGCAGCTGTCATAGCAACTTGAGATGACTACCCTATATTAAAAGCCCCATAAGGCTGAATACTCAGAGTAATGTCATCTTAGAAGAAAATTCGCCAAGTGGTGTTATAATTATTCCCCAAAGTAATTACAAATTAAATTTACATACTACCAGTTAAAGTTGGCTGCATCCTTTAGAGTAAAGAAGTTGAGTGATAACATGTAAAGAATGCTTATTTTAAAAACCCATATATGGTTAGGGTAGAAAAAGATGCATATTTTGATTCTTTAATTCATTTGGTAGATAGACAGGATGTGCTAGTTTTTAATAACACATATTTTTCAGCAGAGTATATAAAGTGACCTTTCTCATAACCCAGAGGCACTAATACTAGAAATATTAGGTTAATAAATCAAAAGAAGTATAAGACTTAAAAAATAGGAGACAAGGCACCTGCTCCTAAAATATATTAACATTTGTCTAAGCAGAATATATTCACAAAAAGACCATATGTGTCACGGCATACCTGTCAACTTTTGCATCACCATTTTGGAATTTGCCTGTCTTCATGATGTTCCTCAAGTTCTCTATGACGCCTTCCCTTATCCGTCAACCAATGGGAATATCTCTCTTCCATATTCCTTCATTGAACTCCATGTCTGTGTCACACATTTATGCGGCAGCATAGTCAATATTTTTTGCTTTGTGTCCTTCTCTAAGAGTATTTTTAATATCTTCTCAGGTCATGGATTAGACTTTTGAAAGCCTGGGCCAGGTCTCTTAACTTTTTGTACCCCTGAAAGGCCTTGTAATATGGGTTCTCAATACATGCGTGTTGAAGGAGTAATGAAATAAAATGATTTGCAAAGCTTTGATATTTATTGACTGAGTTTTATTCCACTGTAGAGTGTGTTCCTGTGTAGTCTGCTCAGTGATGTGTGTTGAACTGTTCTGCACGGGCTCTGTTCAGTTTCTTGGGGAAGATATGTTAGTTGTTAACTCATTTACTTGAAGAGCTCTTTCCTGAGAAATCTTACAGGCTTTTGGGAGCAACATGGGATTAAAATGTTTTAGGCCTCTCTTCCCTCAGTACTTTGCAGGTACTTACTGTGTTGTTGTCTCAGTCTAATTGCTTTAATGCTTTCTCTTAAGATGCTGTGTGAATGAACAATCTGAGATGTATCGGTAAAAATGGTGCAATCTGGTGAGGCAGAGGTGATACTAGAATTATGTTATCAAAGTGACCTTTAAGTGTTCTTTCAAAATTTTCTGTTAGGTAATTTAGTAATAAGTTGAGTTCATTGAGTTCACATGAATTTTTGTTAATTCTTTTTAAAATGATTAACATTTGAATAGTATGTGTTGATATAGCATTTCTACATTGCCTTTATAATTTAAAATATATTTATTATATCTGATGCACTTTATGAGCAGACATTAAAGCATGCTCAATGAACTTACAGATCATTTTAAATTCAGAGTCTTAATAACTGCATGCTTTAATATCTTCTCATAAGAAAATGTGTCAATGTCTGAATATGCAGCTGCTTTTTAAAAAATAAGTAAATATAAAGCAAAAAAAAAATAAATGAACATAAATGCTTTGAAAATATCCTTAAACATTAAAGAAAAATATTGAACCTGAGCTCTTTGGAAAAATGCAGAGAAGCTGTACTCTTTCCATTTGGTTCATGGTTGGAAAAGGCTTGGAGAATGACTGAGAAGCTTCCCTGGGGCTGGAAGAACATCAGGCAGAAGCCTCTAGACTAGGGGGCTGAAGCAAGTGCACTGAGAAGACCCATATTAGAGTCTCCTTGCTATTCTTGAGGAGGACTCTCTCCTGAGGTACTCCCCTGGGGGAAGTCTTGCGGCTTCCAGCCTGTGCAGGCTGGTCAGAGAATCACCCAGTGTCTTGAAGACCGCCATATCTTCATATGTCCAGGAAGTGACTTCCGAGGAATTCACACAGAAGAGCTTATTCAGGCACAGCAAGGTTTGATTCAGGTTCTTCTCATACCATGGAAGCCTTTTTGGCATCCAGGTTATTCTTCCATCAGTGATGGCCTATGAGCTGCTTGGAAGATGGTACAGCTGCCCTGCATGCTTTGGAGCTTCGGGAAACACTCTGACTTTGCTTTTGCCAGCTAACAACTGTCCCTAGACCTCCAGGCATGATGTTGAAATAAAAGCTTAGGGAAGAAATATAGGAGGCCCTCTCTTCCTTTTCAGGCAAGCACATTACATGAGTTTCACTCTCAGGTATATCTAACAATATTCTGGTCAGAGTTCCACTTCCAGGATTATCTAACAATATTCTGAAGACAAACACAATCAACTTTCTACTCTAGATTTAGAATTAGAGCCTTCTACTAGCTAAGGATGGACAGACAGAAATGGAGCTCCTAACCGAAAGTGCTATTTCAAATATAATAATAGGCTAACCAGGATTCTAATACATTTATTGAGTCAAGGGGGTATTGCAATTTTTTTTTCTAGCTAATTACATATCTTGAACACATTCATTTCATCAATGAAAATCATTATTTTATGCTAATTAATAGATGTTCTGGGGATCTATTTGGATAAGTTTGAATCACTTGTATAGCTACCCTGAGCACAGATTTTGAATAAAGATACTTTCAAAAATAAGTAACTCTTCAGCACCACCATGGCCAGTGTAATTATAATATATAAATATTTTAAAGTATAAGACTGACAATATTACATTTGAGTAAATGACTTATAAAAGACATTCAGCCAAAAGAACAAAGTTTGTTGCAAGTTAGGGCTTTTGATTGATAGACTACTCTCTAGTCTCCTCATCTTGATTAGATGTCTTTTTCCCCACTATCTTAAGAACTTACATAGGTACATATCTAGTGAGCTCTTTCACTCTTATTCCTTAGGTCTGTGCTCTGACTACTACCAGCCCACTCAAATGGATCTTATCAAGGTCAATAAGGACTACTATTAATATATTGATAAGTCATTGACCCATACTTGACTCTTATGTTAACCTATCAGTAACACATGACACAGTGAAATTTTTACTCAAATGTCATCTCTTTGAGGCCTTTCTCAGCCACTTGATCTAGAATTCTAAGTCACTGCCTTATTACTTCTCTTCCCACTTCTTTGCCTCTTCTTCTTAGCTGTTATGTGCATTTAATATGCTACAGGTTTTACATATCAGTCCTAGTTATTTTCTTTCTCCTCCCAACCAGAGCATGAGCTCCACGAGGGCTGTAATTTCTGTCTGTTTTGTTCATTGTTTTATCCCTGGTGCCTAGAACAATGCATGACACAAAGGAAGTGATCATTATGCATTTGTTGATTGACTGGATGAATGAAAAATATCATTTGTGGAAACCTAAACCAACATGAACTTGTGGAAAGCAATGTGAGAATGTTTATGTATGTATATAAAGAGGGTTTCAAAAAACTTGTTCATACATTTTTTATTCCAGTGAATTTATATTTAGGAGTCTATCATAAGTAAATGATCAGAGACAAGATGCAAATTCTCAGTCCCTTAAGTATTATCACCACAGCCTACTGGAACACATCCGATAGCCACATGAAAGTGTTTACTACTAACCTGAGATTTGACTACAAACCATTGTTGTATTCCCCATCTCTACAGATGCCATGTGTTGTTTTGCATTATGCTGTGTGTGATAAGATGTTTCACTTTGGTGGGGGTGACGTAAGATGGAGAGCTTCATTCACAGCCTTTGGGAGTTTATGTTTATACAATTTTACGAAAGCAATTTTTAAATCTGTAACAAAAGACTTACAAATATTAAAATTTTTAACACACAAATCCCACTTAGAATTAATCATAAAGCAATACTCATACAGGCAAAAATTTACATACAAGGATAGTCATATAATTATTGATAATGGTTAAAAGTTGAAACCTCAATGTTCAGAAATTAAATGTTATATTTATTCAATGGAATATTTGGTTTCACAGACTAATAATCTGCAAAATGTTCTTGATAAGTGAAAAATCACATTTTTTTTGAGAGCACAACTCCAAATAATCTTTTATTAATATGAAAAGGGCATATTTAGCAAAAGACACACTGAGAAAACAGTCACTGTGGCTCAGGACATAGGGCAGAGAGGTGCCAGGCCTGAGCCCCTGCTGGGAGAGAAGGAGGCTCGGGACAAAGTGGGAGAAGTGCTGGGAAGAGCTGCGTGGTGAGACCACAGAAAGATCCAGTGGGCAACAATGTTGGCAGGTCATGGGTGGGACTCACCGGGACCTACCTGCTAACTCTTGTTTTTAGGGTAGCCGGACCTACCTGCTACCTGCTGCCACCTGGAGTGAGAGCCGCCCCTTGGTTCCTGGAGGGAACCCACCAAGGGACACAGGACTGGAAGCCCAGGATGGCTAGCGCAGCTCGGGATGAAGGCCAGGGAGAAGCGGGTGCTCTGCAGTGGCCAGGAAAGGTCCAGCCCCTGAGGCCGAGGGGCTTCCTGTTTCGTGCGGGCATTGCACTCTGTCTCTGCCAGGCACTCTCTGACTAGGGCCCGGGCATGGATGATACCTCTCTTCAGGCGCTCCATGGTGCTCTTGCTGCCAGCATAGGCAGGCCGGATCTCTTTGCCCTTCTCCTCTATGACCGACAGCAGGTCGTTGTAGGTGCTCTGGGAGCCCTGGGCGCCGGTGGCTTCATCGCCTGCACATAGCCCATGGAAGGCTGTCCAAAGTTGTTAAACAGCGGTCTGAAAGGGGCAACGGCACCTGACACTGAGCCCGACGGAGATGAGACGCTTCGTGACTATGCCCACTTCACGGGCCAGCAAACTGAGGCTCAGGGAGGGTAGGCGGCAGGCCCAGTATTGCAGAACTCATGCTGTCTTCATTTCGAGGTCTCCACCGCCTGGCAGGCGAGCAGGGGTGGAGCTGGATCCTCACCTGTAGGGACCGGGTTGCACGGCCCAGGGGTGCTGGAGCCGGTGGCGAAAAATCACATATCTAAACAAGGAATCCAATTTTATATTAACAATATACATCTTTTAAAAAATATATGTATAGAGAAAGGGGATGAAATCAATAAGTTACAATGTTATCTGTGGAATTTGACATGGGTGATTTTCCTCACTAGAATATTAAGGTAGAATAAAAAATAGAATGGGACAGTAAAAGTCAGGTTCTTGATTGAAAATCTCCAGGTTTCCTTGCCCGACCTTTTACATTTGCACAACACTTGCATGCCACCTTCTGTCAATCGATTGTCCTAACCGCCCTGTGAGGTTGGTAGGTCAAGAATCATTATCTCCAGTTCTTACACATGAGATAATATAGACCCAGAGAGATTAAGTGACTTGCCCAAGGTAACCCCGTTAGAACATGATAGAGCTAAAATTAAAAAAAAAACTCCATCTCTTCCAGTCATATGCTTTCCCCGACATTGTTCTAAACTAATGTGCTAAAAAATTAGAAAAGAGAAAGACAGTGATTGTGTTCTCCTGAAAGCTATTTGAGTGCGCTTCTATTAGTGCCAGACAGCTTTGAAGTCATTGATTGCCCCTGCGAGATGATGAGATTGTGCTATACGGAACTTGGCCATCATTACCATGTGATTTTCAATTAAGAAGCAAATCAAAAGTATCCCAGTGTCATGGTCATAACCTGAAGGGTTCAGACAAGCTACTAGCTGCATACAAATCAGGGAGGACAAATCATTTGTCTGTGTGTGCTGACTGTCGTTTTTCAGAAGAAATGGTCTTTCACACTTGTGGCCAGGCTATTTTATTTTTCATACTATGGATGTTGTCATTTGTGAATTAGGTCTTTAACTTAATTTTGACTCTTGGGAAAACTTATTCCAGAATGTTCATTGAACAATCACTACAATGATACAGAATGTGAAAGTGTATTATTGAGAACAGAACAACTTTGAGAAGTTCAGTAAGAAGGGTGCTGGGGAAAGTATAAAAAACTGTGGACTTAAAGATATGGGATCAATACAGCCAAGCTGAGGGTCCAACTGTCTAACCTTCAGCAAGTCACAGCCACTAAACTTCATAATTCATAAATCAGTGCTATTAATCTCTATCTCATAAAGTAGTGAAGACTAAAATAAAATAACTTATGCCAAAGGATCTAGCCCTATAATAAAGTATAAATTTGCTGAATACATTTTTGTTTTGTTTTGTTTCAATGTAGTGATATAGAAACAGTATCCTCTAGGATGACATTAGCTGGAGACTTTAAGGGTCAGCACCTTACTGTGAGAAAGGGCAACTTCATGAAGTAAATGTGATTGGTGCTATGTGATGTGCCCTTATGAATTGGCCACTAAGGAGGACGTGAAGGAGCCACTTTGACTTTTATTTTTGAGTGATGCACTTGACATAATTTAGTTTCAGGGTCTCCCTGGGTGTCATGAATGAAATAATTTGATGACCATGATGTCATGCTCAGTAATCATTCATGAATCCTCCTTTAGGACATCTAGAAACTCTTACCCAAAAATCAAAGAAGACAAGTGATTATCAATTTCTCAGAATGAATTAACTTTTAATATTCATACTAATGTCACAGCACATAAAGATGCTTCTTGTGGTTAAGTTTGAAGATGCAGAAATCCTTGTCAAGTTACTGAGCCAGAGATGTGCTGTGATCATCTGCTCTTTGTCTTTGTTCTCAGTGCTATGCCTACTGGCTACTTGGCAGGGTGTATCCTAGGTATTCCTTTGTAGAGTATATGTCCTAGCTCTGTGTTCTAGGTTCATTCGCTCACTCGTTCATTTAACAAATAGCTCTTGGGTGCCTACTATATACTAGGCACAGTTTTCTGAACTGGGGATACATAAAAAAAAAAATCCATAGCTTTATGGAGCTTATATTCTAGTATGAGTGACTAAAAGTTAGCAAGTAAAATAACCAGGATGTTAGCAAAGGTGTCCAGGTTAGTGTTGCCAAACCAGTAAACATAGCCATATAAGAGACTTGCCTCAAAAAGTTATTTAATGATAAAATGTTTGAAAATCCTCATGTAAAACAAATATTTTCATGTCAAAATTCTACCACTGTCAACATGTTGAAACATGACGCGATTCTAATTTGTATCCAGAAGGCGTGGTTTAGGACTGGTCACAAGTGAAATATCTTAAGTATTTGTGTGGATAACCTTGGCTTTAGTCACTATCATTTTGTACATAGTGTATAATAAAGCAAGCTCTTTTTCTGCAGCTTCCAGTTGACCTTCTACAGAGCTTCTACAGAGTTGTTCCAAAAATGTTTGAATAGTGGAAGTCTCATTAGAAGCAGCATGTGACATCATCTTAAAAGCTGACCACTTTCCAGGGTATTTGGACATTTGTTTAAAACAACAAAATTAATATCTATCTTATGGTGTTATCATCATCGAATGAATGTCATCAAATGTCAATCTTACGATAGCAGCCCCATTCAGTAGATGGTAATACTGGGGCAGTGTTGTTCCTAAGCTCATAGTCATCAATGTAAACATTGCCAATATTCCAAGGGTTTGGGAAGATTAATATTAGATGAGGCTAAGAAGCGTGGGCTGAACTATAAAAATATCTTGTTTATAACAAGGTCCGATAACAGGACCTGGCCTTGACTCACTTGGAATGTCTGGGTGGACATCAGAACAAATTGCACTATTAGAATTTGATTAAAAAGGCTCATTTGCTGCTTAAATTTGAACATTACCCAGATGACTAGAAAATAGTGTGGAAAAATATTCAACTCTCTGCTTTTGCAATATCTCCCATTGAATGTCATAATGGATGAATGAGCATTTCAGGAACAAATACTGGCAGTTAGAAATACTGTGTCCTATAAGTCATTTGAGCTATTTGTGGGAGGTGTGAGTACCTAAAAAAATTCAGGTTTTGGTAAGAAGGAGGAAGGGTTAACAGATGGTAGGTAAACAACACACCCAGCTGCACACTCCAAATTAAAATTGAAGCCATCACACATTTTGTTTGCGTATGCTACTAATAGTTGTTTTGAAATATAATAAATTGTCCTGCAGGGTCAGCATAACAATCTAGTTGGCACAATTTGGACTTAGTTGTATTAATTATGTGTTTGTTGATGTTTCATATATATATATGTGATATATATGATATATATGATATATAGATATATATGATATATATGATATATATATGATATATGTGATATATATATGATATATATGATATATATATGATAAAGGACAAATAAGAGAAAACATCAGGCTTTTTATAAGTTCTGAGTTAGGTGATTACCTTTCCTATCATGTTTCCTAAATGAAGCTGCAATATTATTTTGCTGCACGCATTCTCGAATGAGCTCCGTTGTTGGGATATATATATATATGCTTTGAAGAAAAGACTCAAGTACTAGTGTTTACTCAGTAATAGAAAGCCCTATTCACAACACCAACAAACACATAATTAATAACCAGGATGATGCTAAGGAATTAAAGACATTTTCTATTCCCTTGACTATATTTACTAATACCATTCTTGTTCTGTTGCTATTTGTTATGTAACAGATCAAATATATGACTTAGCCCCCGTATATGTTTCTAACTTAAAAAAGAGTGTGAACAAAGTCAAGTGATTGCGATTTGCTGCTTTAAGTGTTGAGCATTTTCTGCTGGTTCTTCTTCTCTTTCACAGTGTTTCTGGGCACTAAAGTAAAATTCTGACTGAGTTCATGTTGCTGAGAATAGCCTCTAATTATTTGTTTTTATTATGTCTCTCACACCTGACATTGTAACAAGTATTTTGAGGTTATAATGATGCCACTATTGAAAATTATAGTTTCAGGGCCAAGACAAAGGGTTGAGAGCTGTTAAATCCCTGAGCCACAAAGAAACAGTATTAATGAAGATATCCCCACTTGCAATATTACTAAATTTTATCTAATAGACTGTGTTTTTCCAGTGTTTCCTAATGATGGCCCTTGCACACTTTTATAACACTTGGAATGAACCTTATACTCACTGCCAGGGAAAGCCAGGTGAGCCGCTGTGTGCAGAGCAGAATGAGGTACTACAGTTGACTGTCACAACTGCTGTGATTTCCTCTGGAAATGATGGCTTCCTAGTTGCACAAACTGACATACTGTGTCACACAAAATTATAATGTCTTCCCTGTCTAGCCAACTACATACCTGTCACCTCTAAAACCGTTAAAATCTGTATTTATGTAGGGTATTCAGTTTTACTTTTTGCTTTGTAATGTGTCTCGACTGTATAGAGCTGTAAAACAAGGTTCCAGTGTATCCATTGGTAATTTTTATTTTCCATCTGTTGAAGCCATTTGAAAAAGCCGATGGTCTCTTACTAGCTCAAACTCAGAGCTTGGAAAATAATAGTTTATAACATTCCCATGGTGCTTTTTAAGAGTCTTTTTCTTCCTTGGTACTTAATTTTTTTCCTTCTCTGGGTGACAGTTTTTTACTTCCAGCATAGAACTGTATGTGTTTGGCTGTCTCTTTTTTAGATTTAATGCCACACGCTGCATTCCACTGCTACAACATGTGTGTACAATAAATTTTCTTGTAAACTGAGGATTTCAAGGCTAGAATTCTGTCAAGCTTATATTTTCAGAGCTCTTGAAATATTTTCCACTTAGCAACCTCTTTGCATTACTTGGAAAGCTTTTATGGGGTTTGTCAGTCAAAAGGATGACTCTAACCAAAGAAAGAACAATTCAGAGAATGATTTTGAGAATTAGTATTAGCTTCACAGATGATTCAATGGCTGTAACAACTTGCATTGGAAGTGTTCAAAAGGCAAATATTTTGCCTCCATTTACATCGTGTATGCTAAGGGAGATAATTGCTTATCACATATCCAGATTTTGTCTATTTTCTAAAACTCAGTGTTACAGTTACTATTTACCCCATTTTGAGCTGATTTTTACAGGAACAGAATATAAAACATGGATTAGTGGTGACAAGATGACATAAAGGTGGTTGAGTACAGATATATGTGTATATACCCAAATCCTGCTCTGAGTCATTGTGTTCTTTTTTTTTTTTTTTTTAAATCTAACTAAAAGACTGAAGTGAGAATAATGTTTTCAAAGATAACTGTATCTCTGTCTGTGTTTCAGAATTACTTGGGTCACTTTCTACATTGACACTGGCTTGCCCAGAATCCAGGAGCACATACTGCTGATCCTATCAGTAGTTATGGAAGCAATATTAATGGGAACATTATTAATTTATGAAGATTTCCAGTGACACATATGCACTCTTTGGCCAACAAAGAGTGTGTGTGTGTGTGTGTGTGTGTGTGTGTGTGTGTGTGTGTAAGAAAGAGAAAAAGAAAGAGGCAGAGAGATGGAGAGGCAGAGAATACAGCATTGCTGGCTGCACTCAGCCAGTTGACCAGGGTAATGGTGGCTCTGTAAGGGGCATCAAGACCTGGCCTTATACCTGAAATGATGCCTGACTATGAATAAGGTGTAGGACAAGATTCAGTGTTTTCCCCTGGATGTTTAAACTGCATCTTAGTTTTTTTCTTGGTCCCCATTCCTATAATGGGGATTCCTATAATGCAAGCTCCCCATTCATATCCACCTTGGGTATTTTATTTAAGTAGCTCTCCACCTTCATCTCAATCCTGAATTGCTATTTGGAAACTTGTCAATGATAATGGCTAATATTTACAGAACACGTTTTGAATGACAAGGATAGCTCTAGATCATTTATATGCATTGTTTTATTTCATTGTCTCAATTATCTTGTGAGTTTCCTACAAGGAACTTTTCTAAAGGTCTCAAGAGACAGTAATTGGCAGAATATGGAATTAATGTCGTGAATGTCTTCATGAACTTTTTATTTAGACCACAAGCCCTAGTGTTCCTAAGATGTGAAGTGTATTTTAATTTTAATCAGTATCTCTTATGTCAGACTGAAGTCTTGCTGCTGAGCCTATGTTGATTAGATAAATATTTTCTAGCCATGAAGGGATCTGGAGTGACTATTTCCCTGGAATTTTGAGTATTAACCATTGCCTACCCATGTCTTGAGCTCCCATCATGCCTTCTTACACCTCAAGTCTATGTTAATCTGTGCTACTCCATGCTTTGCCTTCTTTGATCATCAGTGTTAGCTCCTACCCCAATCGATTTCCCTCAAAGTCACATTTCCGTATCTATGGTCACACACAGGTGAGAGCCAACAAATATGTCATTTGTGTAATACAATTTATTTAGCATTCTGAATGAAAACCCATGGATGCACATGTGACATTATATTCTAATTCAGAGCACATCAAGTATAATCTTTTTTGTACACAAGTTATCCTTTCATAAGAAATTCTAAGACAGAATTTTAGATGAGATAGTGCATACCACCATCCTATTTTGACTCCAAAAGTCTTTATTATAATGTTCCATTTTTATTTTAACTAATATAGATATTTATCTACAATTGTCTCAATTTTATATTTGGAAAAACCATTTACATGTGATAAAGAACAATTACTGAATACTTGACTACTCACATATATACGTGTTTCTTATTTAGGGAACATATATTACTCTGGTGACAGGGTCCAGTGCCACTGTGACCAGTCCTCTTGTCTCGTTCGTCTTACCGAGAGTAGACTGCCGTGATTCTGTTGAAATATGTCACATTCCTTATACCCTTATTTTGAGGGAGAAAGCAGAATTCCTTAAAGTACATTTCATAGATCACTAGTAGAGGTGCCTGAGGGAAGATGTGTCATGGCGATATATTCAGAAATTCTTGTATAATATATCCACAGTCTTCTTAGAGATTCCCAGATAACTTTAATATTTTAAAGGCTCTGAGAAGTCCTGATGAATGAAATATCTTCACTGTTCAGTATACTTATTTGGTCACAGAATTCTCTTTTCATATGATAAGCGTTATCCTGTAGAACTGAGGTTGCATATAGCATATTTTGATAAGATAAATGCTATTCTAGAAACTTTATATTAATTGGATTAAGCTGGAAAACTTAACTAGTCTCTAGGTTCTTCTACTTGACTGGCACAAGTGTAGGAAAAAGGCTGTGAGTTGTACATCAATAAAATTACTCATAATGCTACTCAATGCTTACTGTTATAATTTTCAAAATTTAAAAAGACCACGTGGATTCCATTTCAGCCAAACAGAATGATAATTGAAAAATTAAATTTACTGGAGATTAAATTGATTCTGGGAAATCTTGGTTTGATACTTCCATCCTAGAGCACTTACAGGATGTACATAGAAACCCGCATAGTTGCAAGTAGAGTGCACCGACCAGTCGACGGCCTCCAGCCATTCAGGTGAGAAACAGGCCTGTGTACCCTTGGTGTTCCACTTCAGCTGTTATTATGATTCTCTTAGGCTGGTGGTTATCAGGTCAAAGAAGCAATACGGCTGTAAGTCATACTCAAATAAGTTGAAAGATTATAGACAGAAATAAATTTTAGCTCACAGGGAAAAATTTGATGAAGCATTAGGAAAATAAAGCTCGTAACTACTGAGTGATTTGGTTTTTCTCCTCCCCCTTTATTAATCTATAGTTTTCCTCTGAGTTAAATCCTGTGATACTTTAACAAATATTATTGATTCTTATTGCTAGTTTAGCATGTTTATTTATCAGTCAACATTTAATACATATTTATAAAACACCTCCTATGTACCTTGCAAAGAGATACAATAATAATCAAGACACAGCCTCTGTCCTCTCTCATGAAACACACAGTCTACTAGGAAGACAACCAGTTGTCAATACTCCCTCTGTTGACGTGATATGCATGTGGAAGGTACGGGCAGGACAAAGGAGGGATTATTAACCCTGTCCTACATTTGGAAATTTAAAATACTTGATTGTAAAGGATGAGGATGACTAAGCCAGGTAAACAAAGGAGAAAGAAACATTTTATGTGTGGAAAGCAACACTTGCTGAGGCATTGCTGTACTGAAGAGCAAAGTGTTAAGCGATCAGCAAGTATCATAGTATTGCTGAAGCCTCAGGAGTGCTGATAGGAGTGAAAGTAGATAAAGCTGGAGCCAAATTATGAAGGCTCTTTCCTGTTAAGCAAAGCAGTTTTCACTTTACTGCAGGTGATGGGGGAGCTTCTGATGGGTTTTAAACTTTGAAGGCAGTCTGGATGTTTGGTACCCTCTTAGCCTTCCCCAAAATTATAATCTATACTCTACTATTTCATGTATCTATGCCTTCCAATACTAAATTGTCTTCTGTTTTTTTCTTCCACAAATGACAACAGCATAGGAGAGCTGCTTTTCTACTACTTAAACTTTCAGTGTGTAATATCATCTTTGCCTTCTTTCTGTTGTGGTATATCTACTTGCCCTTCTAATAAATTGATTTGTTAGCATAACTGAGATGGTTATTTGACATGCAAGTGATAAACAATAAGAGATGATAAAATATTTCTCACAGGATTTAAGGTCCTTATCTCAAATGTCCTCAATTTCACTTTAAGAATCTTATTAAACTTGGATGCTAGACCATGCATGAAGGATAATATGTCTTGCTGTTAGTAAAATGAGTGCTGTTTCCGTGGTAATCACCTTAGATTGGCTCAGAACAGCGTACCCACTTCTGTGGCTGCATGGAGAGAACACTGTTGCTTAGTATGACAATGTCAATGGAATATGCCATTCTATTAATCTCCAGCCCTGGGATACAAAATTTCCTACATAATGTGGTGATCAGCCATTTCTGTTATGATTTTATGGCAAAGGCCAACTGGCTAATGCTTTAATTATTGAGGTGATATTTTCACAAGGTTACAGCACAGAATCCTTAGGAGGATGTTTTTTCATATCTCAAGGACAATAAGACTGTCTTGGGGGACATTGGGATGTTTGAGATTTGGGGTAGTAGCCATTTAAAAATTTTTTTTCAAAATTTAAGTTGTTTTGATTATTAAAATCTTTGAGGAAATGTGCAAAACAAAGCAAGTATTTAAAAACTACCTATAATCCTACCACCCAGAGAAAACCATTATTAAAATATTTAGTACTTTCCTCTATTAATGCACATATCCAGTTCCATGCCAATATTCATATTTTATTCTTGTGGCCATGTCCGGTAAAATAAGAAGAATGACACAAATGTTATTGAGCCCACAATATGTCTAAAGTATTATTCTCAAATCTCTCTGTGTATTTTCTCATAGAGTCCTCACAAAACTATTTCTTATATATTATTATTACATTTTACACATGAGGAACTCAGAAAAAGATTAAGTGATCTACCGCAGTCACGCAGCTTGTCAAGTGATGGAGCCACATTCAAACTCAAGCTTCAAAGCCCAAGCCATAAGGAACATGCTTTGTTTCTATGTATTCACAAGTAAATATACATAGGGGCAGTAGAACGTTTTATTTTATTTATTTATTTATTTTTTTATAATTCCATCTTTGTTTTTTTTTCTTTTATTATTATACTTTAAGTTTTAGGGTACATGTGCTCATTGTGCAGGTTAGTTACATATGTATACATGTGCCACGCTCGTTTTAAAAGCATATATTTAAAACTAATGGCAATTTTATACTACACAGTTTCATTCAGCTGTTTAATTCCTCCTTGCTAGTAGTTGAAAGTTGCATGTCCCTAGAAATGCTGTGTAATGATTTACTGTCATGGAACTCTGCTTGACGTACACAATAAGGATATAAATATGTTGCCTAACCTACTATTTTTAATACTGGAATTTGCTTAAAATAAATTTCTAACCTTGTACATTTTCATTATTATATTAACCTGGGGAAAAATTCTTTGTAAAGATATTTAATTAAAATCCTTATACTAGACAGTATTATTCCATTCTTACATAGCTGTAAAGAAATACCCGAGACTGGGTAATTTATAAAGAAAAGAGGTTTAAGTCTTTGCCGCCGCGCCAGCGAGCGCCGCCCGGGAGGCAGCGGCTGGAGGAGCGGACGGGCCCCGCGGGGCCCGAGGGCAAGGAGCAGCCGCCTGCCTTGGCCTCCCAAAGTGCCGAGATTGCAGCCTCTGCCCGGCTGCCACCCCGTCTGGGAGGTGAGGAGTGTCTCTGCCTGGCCGCCCATCGTCTGGGATGTGAGGAGCCCCTCTGCCTGGCTGCCCAGTCTGGAAAGTGAGGAGCGTCTCTGCCCGGCCGCCATCCCATCTAGGAAGTGAGGAGCGCCTCTTCCCAGCCGCCATCACATCTAGGAAGTGAGGAGCGTCTCTGCCCGGCCGCCCATCGTCTGAGATGTGGGGAGCGCCTCTGCCCCGCCGCCCCATCTGGGATGTGAGGAGCGCCTCTGCCCGGCCGAGACCCCGTCTGAGAAGTGAGGAGCCTCTCCGCCCGGCAGCCACCCCATCTGGGAAGTGAGGAGCGTCTCCGCCCGGCAGCCACCCCGTCCGGGAGGGAGGTGGGGGGGGGGTCAGCCCCCCGCCCGGCCAGCCGCCCCATCCGGGAGGGAGGTGGGGGGTCAGCCCCCCCGCCCGGCCAGCCGTGCCATCCGGGAGGGAGGTGGGGGGGTCAGCCCCCCGCCTGGCCAGCCGTGCCATCCGGGAGGGAGGTGGGGGGGTCAGCCCCCCGCCCGGCCAGCCCCTCCGTCCGGGAGGTGAGGGGCGCCTCTGCCCGGCCGCCCCTACTGGGAAGTGAGGAGCCCCTCAGCCCGGCCAGCCACCCCGTCCGGGAGGGAGATGGGGGGGTCAGCCCCCCCACCCGGCCAGCCGCCCCGTCGGGTAGGGAGGTAGGGGGGTCAGCCCCCCGCCTGGCCAGCCGCCCCGTCTGGGAGGGAGGTGGGGGGGTCAGCCCTCCGCCCGGCCAGCCGCCCCGTCTGGGAGGTGAGGGGCGCCTCTGCCCAGCCGCCCCTACTGGGAAGTGAGGAGCCCCTCTGCCCGGCCAGCCGCCCCGTCCGGGAGGGAGGTGGGGGGGTCAGCCCTCCGCCCGGCCAGCCGCCCCGTCTGGGAGGTGAGGGGCGCCTCTGCCCGGCCGCCCCTACTGGGAAGTGAGGAGCCCCTCTGCCCGGCCAGCCGCCCTGTCCGGGAGGGAGGTGGGGGGGTCAGCCCTCCGCCCGGCCAGCCGCCCCGTCTGGGAGGTGAGGGGCGCCTCTGCCCGGCCGCCCCTACTGGGAAGTGAGGAGCCCCTCTGCCTGGCCACCACCCCGTCTGGGAGGTGTGCCCAACAGCTCATTGAGAACGGGCCAGGATGACAATGGCGGCTTTGTGGAATAGAAAGGCGGGAAAGGTGGGGAAAAGATTGAGAAATCGGGTGGTTGCCGTGTCTGTGTAGAAAGAAGTAGACATGGGAGACTTTTCATTTTGTTCTGCACTAAGAAAAATTCCTCTGCCTTGGGATCCTGTTGATCTGTGACCTTACCCCCAACCCTGTGCTCTCTGAAACATGTGCTGTGTCCACTCAGGGTTAAATGGATTAAGGGCGGTGCAAGATGTGCTTTGTTAAACAGATGCTTGAAGGCAGCATGCTCGTTAAGAGTCATCACCAATCCCTAATCTCAAGTAATCAGGGACACAAACACTGCGGAAGGCCGCAGGGTCCTCTGCCTAGGAAAACCAGAGACCTTTGTTCACTTGTTTATCTGCTGACCTTCCCTCCACTATTGTCCCATGACCCTGCGAAATCCCCCTCTGTGAGAAACACCCAAGAATTATCAATAAAAAAATAAATTTAAAAAAAAAAAAAAAAAACAACCAAAAAAAAAAAAAAAAAAAGAAAAGAGGTTTAATTGGTTCATGGTTACATAGGCTATACAGGAAGCACAATGCTGGCATGTGCTTGGCTTCTGGGGGGCCTCAGGAAGCTTCCAATCATGGCGGAAGGCAAAGGGGAGCAGGTACTTCACATGGCTGGAGCAGGAGGAAGAGAGGGTGGAGGTGCCACACACTTTTAAACAATCAGATCTTTTGAGAACTTATATTGTGTGAACAGCACTAAGGGGATGGTGCCAAACCATTCATGAGAACTGCCCCCGCCCCGCCCCGCCCCACAATTCAATCACTTTCCACCAGGCCCCACCTCCAACACTGAGGATTACAATTCGACATGACATTTGGAGGGGACACAGTTCCAAATCGTATCACAGACCATATTTAGATAATAGGCAAAACAGAAATTGTGAACTCTAAAAATTAGTATCAGTATCAATTATTTTATGTGATGGGGTTCACTTTTGAGTTATTTTCATTGAGGCATAATCTGAGTTTTAAAAATGTAAACATGCATGCAACCACTTGCATATGAATTCCATCATCCAAGTAGGTTCCTTTGTGCCTATTCCCAGGCAATCCCCTACACATCCTCCAGAAGTAATCACATCCTGATGTCAATTACTGTGGATTAGTTTTGTCTGTTCTAACATGGAGTCACACAGCAGGCACTCTTTTGTGTATTTAATGTCTTGGTGTTATGTTGAAGAATCAGTAAGTACTATAACAGGAGTCATGAACTACACACAGGTTGTAGGCCAAATTCTGTCATTTGCCTTCTTTTGTAAATAAGTTTTATTGAAAAACAGCCAAACTCATTCCTTGATATATTTTCTGTGGTTTCTTGTACATTTCAACAGGAGAGTTAAGTATGTGAGACAGAGATCATTGGTCTGCAAAGTTTAAAGTATTTATTTATTATCTGTGTCTTTACAGAAAAGTTTCCAAATCCCTATAATGACTAAAACACAAGAGTGCTGAGAGAAGTACTGGCAGATACAACTTGAACCTGATTATGGTCCTTGCCTGCTAGCATTTTTCACTTTATCCTAAAGGCAACTGGAAGTTTCTGATGGATTTTAAGTGCAAAGATGAGGCTTTGTTTCACTAAGCATGTTTTGAGACTCATTAATGTTGTTCCTTATATCACTAATTAGTTTCTTTTTATTGCTGAATAGTGTTCCATTATATGAGTATATTATTCTTTGTCAATTGATATTTGCATTGCTTCACCATTTTTACTATCATAAATAACCCTACTGTGAGCATTCTTGTATAAAATGATTTTGTGGACATATGTTTTCATTATTTCAGTAAATACCCAGGAATGGAATTGCTGCATTATAGGATAAGTAGATGTGTAACTTTATGAGAAATTTCTAAGTCATTTTACAAAGTGGCTTTACCATTTTACACTTTTATCAACAATACATGAAAGCTCCACATTTTTTCTAAAATGTGATGGTAGTGTCAGTATTTAATTTTACTAATTCTGGTGAATGTGTAGTGGTACCTTATGAGAGTTTCTATTTATATTTTATTGATATCTGATGATGCTGAACACATTTTAATGTGTTCATTGGCTGTTTGTACATATTATTTTGTGAAGTGTCTGGTCATGTCTTTTACTCATTTTCTTTATTATTACTAAAATATTTACTAGGTTTTATTTACTTGCAATAGGTATTATTTGTTTTAAATTTTAGTTTTTTAATTGGAAATTGTCAAATTATAGTTGTGTATATTTACAGGGTACAAAGCAATGTCATAATTTATGAATACAATGTAGAAAAATTAAATCAAGCTAATTAACACATTCACTTAAAATATTTATCTTTTTTGTGGTGATAATATTTGAAATTTACTCTCAGCAATTTTGAAATGTGGAATATATTATTAGTTATGATATCACGCTGTGTAATATATCTCAAAGTAAAAAAAAATACTTATTTTTCTGTCTAATGAAGTTTTTCTACCCTTTCACCGTCATCTCCTTATCCCTCTCATCCCCCTCACTCCGTAGTCTCTGATAACAAAAAATTTGCTCTGCTTCTTTGAGTTCAATTGTTTCAGATTCTACATGTAAGTGAGAACATGCAGTATAGTGTTTGTATTTCCGTGCCTGGCCTATGTCACTTCGCATAATGTTCTCCAATTCTAACCGTATTGTCACAAATGACAAAATTTTTTTCTTTTCTAAGGCTAAATGGTATTCCATTGCATGTATATATATGACATTTTCTTTTTCCATTCATTTGTTGATGAATACTTAGGTTGATCCCACAACTTAGCTGTTGTAAATAGTGCTGCAATAAATATGGGTGTGCAAATATCTCTTCAACATACTAATTTTAAGTCTTTTGCATAAATACTCAGAAATGAAAGTGCTAGATTATATGGTCATTCTATTTTTAGTGTTTTTGTGGAGCTTCCTTATAATTTTCCATAATGGCTGTCCAGTCTACATTGTTTAGTGATGGGGATATGTTATGACAAATGTATTGGTAGATGATTCTGTCATTGTGTAGACATCACAGAGTGTACTTACAAAAACCTCGATAGTACAGCCGACTTCACACTTGGCTATGTGGTACAGCCTATTGTTCCTAGCTATAAACCAATACAGAATATTACTGTACTGAATACTGTGGACAATTGTAACACAGTGGAAAGTGTTTGTGTATCTAAATAATCTAAACAGCAATGATACAGTAAACATATGGTATATAAGATAAAAAACAGGATACATCTACATAGGGCACTTACCATAAATTTAGTTTGCAGGACTGAAAGTTGCTCTGGATGTCAGTGAGTGATGAGAGAGTGTGAAGGTTTAGAACATTACTGTCCACTGCTGTACACTTTATACACACTCACTTATGCAAATCTAAATTTATATTAAAATTTTCTTTCTTCAATAATACCTTAACAGCTTGCTATAAATTTTTACTGTATAAACTTTTAATTTTGATCATCCTTTTGACTGCTTTGTAATGACATGGTTCAAAACACAAATCGTACAGCTGTACAAAAATATTTCTATCTTCATAATCTTATTCTGCAAGCTTTTATCTATTTTAAATTTATTGTATTTTTAAAAATTTACTTTCTAAATGTTTTTGTTAAAAACTAAGACATAAACACACACACATTAGGTTAATCCTCCACATGGTTAGGATTATTAAGATGTCACTAGGCGATTGGAATTTTTCAGCTTCATTATAATCATACAGGAACCTTACCACATATGCTCTCTGTAGTTGACTGAAACGTCGGCATGCAGTGCACGACTGTGCTAATTTATGTTCCCAACAGTGTAAAAGGGTTCACTTTTCTCCATGTCCTCACTTATACTTATCTGTCTTTTTGATAACAGCCATTCTGACGGGTGTGAGGTGATATCTTACTGTGCTTTTCATTTGCATTTCCCTAATGATTAACAATTTTGAACATTTTTTCATATATCTGTTGGCCATATCTTCTTTTGAAAAGTCTATTCATATCCTTTTCTCATTTTTAAATTAGAATAATTATTTTCTTTCTACAGAGTAATTTGAGTTTTTAAATATATTTTGAATATTAACCCCTCAACAAACATCTGGCTTGCAAATATTTTCTCCCAATCCATAGGCTGTCTCTTCACTCTGTTGTTTTCCCTGTTGTGCAGAAACTTTTTATTTGAGATTTTATTTTTATGTAATCCCATTTGTCTATTTTTACTTTTTTTTTTTTTGTCTGCGCTTTGGGGGTCAAATCTAAGAAAGTCATAACTTATTTGTTTTTCCTTATGTTCTTTTAGTAGTCTCACAGTTTCAGGTCTTACGTTTAAGTCTAATCCATTTTGAGTTGATTTTTGTATATGGTGTGAGATAAGAGTCCAATTTAATTCTTCTGCATGTGGATATTCAGTTTTCAAACAACATTTACTGAAGAAACTGTCCTTTTTTCATTGTGTTTTCTTGGCACTTTGGCAAAAATCAATTGACTAGGCAAGCATGGGCTCATCTTTGGACTCTCGACTCTGTTCCATTGGTCAATGGGTCTATTTTTATGCCACCACCATGCTGTTTTAATTACTATCTGTTTATGATAGTATGTTTATGTTGAAGACAGTTAGTGTGATGTCCCCAGCTTTGTTCTTTTTTACTTACCTGTTTGGGTTTTTTTGGTGGTTCCATATGAATTTTAGATTTTTTTTTTTTATTTCTGTGAAAAATGACATTCAAATTTTAATACGAATTGCATTGAACCTGTAGATTGCTTCTGGTCGTATGAACATTCATTCAAATTGTCTATTTATTCTCGAGTTATATAAAGTCTTTATACATTCTAGATACAAATCCCTTGTCAAATGTGTGTATCACAAATATATTCATCCAACCTATGGCTTAAAAATTTAGTTTTTAAATGGTGTTTTTGATAAACTTTTGAATTTCATGAAATATAGTTTACAAATGTTTTCCTTTATTCTTATTACTTTTCTTTATATCATCTAAGAGGTTGTGAAGATATTCTCTCTCTCTCTGTGTGTGTGTGTTTGTGTGTGTGTGATTTAGGAGCATTATACTTTTAGCTTTCACATTTAGTTTGATAGCCCATATGAAATAATTTTTGTGCAGGGTTTATGAGATATAGGTCTAGCTTTTTTTTCCAGTTTATATATTAAGATTTCTATTTGTTGAAAAGATTTTTCTTTCTCTGTTAAGCTACTTTGGTATATTTGTTGAAAAGGCCATATAAGCATTTGCTTATTTTTGTTCTCCTGAGCTCTTCACTTATTCTTATATTAATATTGTACTGCTAAAACTGCTGTAGCTTATCGTAAGCCTTAAAGTCAGGTATTGTAAATCTTTTAATTTTGTTCTTTCTCAAGATAAGTTTGGCTATTGTGAATCTTCTGCATTACCATATAAACTTTAAAATCAACTTGTCAGTTTCTACAAAAAAGCTGCCAAGAACACACAATGGAAAAAGGACAATATTGTCAATAAATGGTGTTGGAAAACCTGGAAATCCATATGCAAAGGAATGGAAGTGGACCCTTATCTCACACTATATACAAAAATTAACTCAAAATGAATTAAAGACTTAATAGACAGCATTGAACCTATATGTCAATTTGGTAATTGATATCTTAATAATATTGAGTTTTCTGTTTTAGATACATGGCACATCATTTAACTAAGGTGTTTAATTTTTCTCAGCAATGTTTTGTTGCTGTCAGGTTAGTACTTTTACTAATTTTAATTAAATTTATTATTATTAGATTTTGATTATTCTGATTTTTAGTTTATCTATTTTTCTCATACATAGAAACATGACTTATTTTTGTTTATTGACCTTTTATTATACAATCTTGTTAAATTTACTCATTAGTTCTAGTAGTTTTCTTAATTTTTAAGATTTCTTAGTATTCCATGTACATTATCATGTTATCTGTGAATAAAGACAGTTTTATATTTTCCTTGTGCCTCCAGATGATTTTACTTTGTTTTCTTTCTATTCACATTGGCTTGGACCTCCAGTACAATTTTGTGTTGCGGGAAGTCACGTACTCTGAACGGAGGGACTGGCTGAAACTGTGGCAGAAGAACATAAATTGTGAAGATTTCATGGACATTTATTAGCTCCCCAAATTAATACTTTTATAATTTCTTGCGCCTGTCTTTACTGCAGTCTCTGAACATAAATTGTGAAGATTTCATGGACATTTATCACTTCCCCAGTCAATATTCTTGTGATTTCCTATGCCTGTCTTTACTTTAATCTCTTAATCCCATCATCTTCGCAGGTAAGGAGGATGTATGTCACCTCAAGACCCTGTGATGATTGTGTTAACTGCACAAATTGTTTGTAGAGCATGTGTGTTTGAACAATATCAAATCTGGGCACCTTAAGAACAGGATAACAGCGATGTTCAGGGAACAAGAGAGATAACCTTAAAGTCTGGCTGCCTGTGGGCTGGGCGGAACAGAGCCATATTTCTCTTCTTTCAAAAGCAAATAGGAGAAATAACGCTGAATTCTTTTTCTCAGCAAGGAAAAGCCCTGAGAAAGAGAATGCGTGCCTAGTGGTAGGCCTCTAAAATGGCTGCTCTGGGGACGTCTGTCTTTAATGGTTGTGGATAAGGGATGAAATAAGCCCCAGTCTCCCATAGCGCTCCCAGGCTTATTAGGACAAGGAAATTCCCACCTAATAAATTTTGGTCAGACCAGTTGTCTGCTCTCAAACCCTGTCTCCTGATAAGATGTTATCAGTGACAATGCATGCCTGAAACTTCATTAGCAATTTTAATTTCGCCCTGGTCCTGTGATCTCACTCTGCCTCCATTTGCCTTGTAATGTCTTATTACCTTGAAAAGCATGTGATCTCTGTGACCCACACCCTATTCGTACACTCCCTCCCCTTTTGAAAATCACTAATAAAAAGTTGCTGGTTTTGCGGCTTTGGGGGCATCACAGAACCTGCCGACATGTGATGTCTCCCCCGGACATCCAGCTTTAAAATTTCTCTCTTTTTTACCCTTTCCCTTTATTTCTCAGACTGGCTGACACTTAGGGAAAATAGAAAAGAACCTACGTGAATTATCAGGGGCGGGTTCCCCCGATAATTTTGACTGAAGTAGAGTCAGTCAAATATTCTTGACTTGGTTCCAATTTTAAAGAAGAAACATTCAGTTTCTCACCAATAAGTGTAATATTTGTAGCTTTCTAAATAAATGCTGTGTATCAGTTTAAGGAAGTATTCTATTCCTTGGTTGCTGAAGCTGTCATAAATAAGAATTGAATTATATTAAATATTTTTTGATTATATGATGAACATATAATTTTGCCTTTTTAATGTGAAACACTAGATTAAATTAATTTTCAAAATGATTGCCTAATTTTGCATATTGGGATACAATCTAGGCAATCATGATTCTTTTGGTTTATTGCTGGATTCAATTTGCTAATATTTTGTTAAGGGTTTTTGGCTATGTTCATAAGGAGTATTTATTTTCTTGCCTTGTGCTTTTCCTGGCTTAGGTATGGGTTAGGTTACTTCATAAAATGATTTGGGAAATGTCCCCATCTCCTTTATATCACGAAACATTTTGCACAATATTAGCAGGATATTTTCCTTAAGTTTTGCTAGAATTTAACAGTGTAGTCATTTATTTGACTGAATTTTCTTTATGAGAAGTATATTTTAACTACAAATTAAAATTTTTAACAGATATAGAACTATATAGGGCTATTCAGATTTTCCATTTATTTTGCCTAAGTATTGATAAATTAGTGTCTTATAAGGAATTTGTCCACTTCATTAAAATTCTAAAATGTATTGGCATAAAGTTGTTTATAATATTCTCTTATATTTCCTTTGAGGTCTCCTGTATCTGTAGCTTTGTCCTGTCTCTCTTTCTTCCATTGTTGACATGAGCAGTCTGTATTTTTTTTCCTATTTTTTTTCTTGATAAGTCTATCTAGGTGCATATTAATTATATTGTGGCTGTCAGAACACCAACTTTAGATTTTATTAATTTTTTTCTGAACTGTTTTAAAATTTTATTGATTTCCAATACTATCTCCTATACTTCTTTTCTTCTACTTACTTTGAGATCAATTTACTCTACTTTTCTACATTCTTAAGATAAATGTTTTTTGGTCCCTTATTTTAAATCCTTCTTCCTTGCTAATATATGCATCAAAAGCTATAAATTTTCCTGTAATTATATCCCACAAATTTTGATATATGGTGTTATTATTATTTAGTTCAAAATATTTTCTAATTTTGCCATAATTAATTCTTTGATTCATGGATTATTTTTAAGTGTGCTCTTTAACTTAAAACTATTTGGGAATTTCTCACATATTTCTATTAAATTGGGGATTGCTCAAGTTTTACTTTGTTGTTGATTTTTAATTTGTTCCTGTTTTAAGGAATATATTCTTTATGATCTCAGATCGTTAAAATGAATTTAGACTTTTTAATGGCCTGGCATCTAGTTTTTCCTGGTAAACATTCCATGTGCACTTGAAAAGAATTCCATGGAGATTGTAGTTTTTAAGTATAATTTACCATAGCTATATATCTATATGTATCAATTTGGTTATATTGGTTGATAGTGTTTACATTTTCTCTATCCTTGCTTATTTTCTTTCTACTCCTAAATCAGTTAATATTGAGAGAATTATCAATAGAAAAGTTAAAATTTCCTGCAATTTTTGGGAATTTTATATATTTTCTTAGGATCAGTCAGCTTCTCTTTTATGTATTTTGAAAATCTGTCATTTGGTGCAAGCATATTTATGTCTTCTTAATAAAATGACCTTTTATTACTATAAAATGTCCCTCATTATCTTTGGTAATATTTCTTATCTTGAAGTCTTTGTCTGATACTAACATAGGCACTCAAGACTTGATTTAAGTGTTTGCATGTTATATTTTGTCCATTATTTCATTTTTACTATTTGTGCTTTTATACTTATATGTATCTCTTGTAAACAGTATGCAAATAATGTTATTTTATTTTATCTAGTCTGACAATCTCTGTCTTTTAATTAGTATGTTTAGTCCATTTATGTTTAATGTAATTGTTAATCTGGCTAGGTTTAACTTGCTATTTCATTTCTAGTTCTTCAATTTTGGTTTTGTTCTCTTTCCTCCTCTTATACTGCCTTGTTTTGTATTAGCTGAGTATTTTAAAAATACTCAATTGTATCTATTTACTTTATTGGCTAAATATGCTAAATTCCTTTATTGTATCATCTCAGTAGCTGCTTTTAGCACTATTATATGTATTCTTAATTTATTTTAGTCTACCATAAATATGTGACAGTATGGTTTCATTGTTTTTATACATTTTACTTCTACATATGATATAAATAATGTAACATTTTGTTTTTACTTTGCTTAGTCAATTAACTTTTAATAAAAAAGTATTTTCTATATATTCTTCCCTATTTATGCATTAACTTCTCTGTTTTTTTTTTAGCCAAAAACCTTCCATCAATTTTACCTGTAATGTAATTTTGCTGGTGATATAATCAATAATTTTCTTCCCTCTCTACATGTGTAGTAACTTTTTGTTATTGCTGAACATTGTGGTTGCTACATTGTTGAGAATCTGAGTTTTGTAATCTTAATTTAAAAAGTGTTAAATTTTATCATGACAGTTAATTACTGGTACATCAGCTTTAACTTTTCACTCTTGTTTTTCAACTTTGTTAGGATGGGTCTGGAGTAGTTTTTACTTCTAAGGTATAACCTGTGTGGCTTTCAATAGACTATCCAGGATACTAGGTGAGGTCTCTCAACTCTGGCTTGTAAGAGCTCCTATGTATCTTAACGTTGCTCAGCCTCTTAAATATATGTTTAGCTTACAGACCTCAAATTATTTTCTGCCAGGCCTTGTGGATTCTTGCTGTATGCATGCAAAACCTAATATTTAACAAAAGACTTATAGAGATCCCTAAGAAGAATTTTAGAACTGCTTCTCTGCATAATTTTCTTATCTCTGGCACCATGCCCTACAATAGTCAGCTGCCTAAGTAGTCTCATCCTCAACTCTCTGCCTCTTCATTTCACTGAAATTTCCATACTCTGCTTGGGCTTTATCTCTTTGGATGATGATTTAGGAAATATTCTCAACTGAATGGAGTAGTCACTGGGCTCACTTGTTTCTCTTTTGCAAAGATCAACATCCTGTGCTATCTGTTGTACCAAAACTAAAAACAATTGCCTTATATGTTTTGTGCAGCTTTACATTTGTATATGGCAAGAAGGTCATGATCTCAGTTGCTCTGTTATGATTAAAGCTGAAAATCAAGCTAAAATGTTTTTGAAAAAAAATCAGTTGCAGACCATAAGGTCTTTCTCCCAATGCAATACAGTAAATATTTACTTACTGTCAATAGATTCATAGAAAGTGCAACTGTAAGCAAAACAGTGTATAATGATACCAATTTTAACATAGGCTAATTTATATATACGAGTTAAAGTGAGGAGAGGGGCTAAGATAGAAGCAGTAAACAATTAATTCAAAGAATGACAGATAGCAATAAGTTAATGACCTACATATCTGGATACGGAGATGGAGAAAAAGGGGGTGGAATGGGATGGGGATGATTAGATTCTGAGAACATATTTTAGATAGAGATGAAAGTGAAGGTCTTTCTAACAAAGGAGAAATTTCAACTGAGATAGGAACAATGAAAAGGAACTTGTCCTGCAGAGAAAAGGGTGAAGAACACTCTTGATAGAGAAAACAGCATGTCCAAATGTGAGGAAGAGAGAAATGTTTGGCACATATGAGAAAATATGCTTAACAGGAGTAAGGAAGAAGTCAATAGGATTGGCGAAATCTATAATTTCAGATCAAATTATGTTATGTCAATTTTAAAAATATTTTTCAAATTAACACTAAAGAAACTTAGAAGGGTTTTAATCAGATGCATGCAGGATTTATTAACATTTTAAAGAATTACTTCTGCCACTATGTGGAAAGCAAGCTACAGAAAAGTCAGAACAGAAAAAATAGAAAAGAGTATTTTGAAGCTATTTAAAAATTGATAGGGGCTGGGCACAATGGCTCATGCTTATAAACCCAGCACTTTGGGAGGCCAAGGAGAGAGAATGGCTTGAAGCCAGGGGGTGGAGACCAGCATGGGCAACATAGTGAGACCCTGTCTCTACAATAAATAAATCGATAAATAAATAGCATATAGATAGATAGTGAGCATGGTGGCACATACCTGTAGTCTCAGCTACTTGGGAGACAGAGGCAGGAGGATCGCTTAAACCCAGGAATTCCAGGCTCCAGTAAGCTATGATCACAGCACTCCACTCCAGCCTGGGCTACAGAGTGAGACTCTGTCTCAAATAAAAACAAGGGAGATAGATTATAATTTCATGTCTATTTTAGATAACTGATAACATGTATTGGTGGATTATGGGAAACAGGTAAATCCATAGTGATTTCTAGCTGTAAGTACTTGGATGCATTGTGACTGTGTTTAGGGATATGGAAAATCTTTGGGACAGAGGAGGTTTGAAGTAACAGGGCAGAAAATCAGGGGCTTAGTTTTGAGCCAAAATTTGTCCAATTGTAATCTTCATTTTATCATTTTAGTTTGAAAGTTGAATCGTTTTTGATAACTTTGGTATAATCAAAGTTATTGATAATCGAATGAAATCATTTTTAAGGTTTCTTTTTTTATGGTGCCAATTTTAAATAGTTTTATTTAAGACATTGCATTTTCCACTTACAATACAGTGTTTATAAAGTGCAATGTTATTTCCTTCCCCTGTGCATATGTTCCATATTCAAGTATTGAGAATGCCCAGTAACTTACTATAGCAGCTTAACTTTTTAAAACTGCCACAGAATTTGCTACAAATTTAGGTCCTTCAAATGTTTTAAATGTGTGGAACAATGCTACATCTATACTTGGGTTGGCTTAATCAACCTCTTCGATGGTGGGCCCTAAGGAAGCACCACCAGAAGGAGGAGCTCCACCAACAGGGAATCCCCCAGGCATTCTTCCTGGCATGCCTTCTGCACTCTGGTACAGCTTGGTGATGATTGGGTTGCAAAGTTCCTCCAGCTCTTTCTGCTGATGTTCAAATTCTTCCTTCTTGGCAGTCCGATTCTTATTGTGCCAGTTGATAATTTCATTACACCTGTCCAGAATCTTCTGTTTGTCCTCATCATTAATCTTGTCTTGAAGTTTCTCATCTTCGACAGTTGCTTTCATGTTGAATGCATAGGACTCAAGTGAATTCTTGGATGACGCCTTGTCCCTCTGCTTCTCATCTTCAGCTTTTTAATTCTCAGCTTCCTGGACCATACGTTCAATGTCTTCCTTGCTCAAATGGCCCTTATTATTAGTGATAGTAATTTTATTCTCTTTTCCTGTACTTTTGTCCACAGCAGAGACACTGAGGATACCATTGGCATCAATGTCAAAAGTGACTTCAATCTGAGGAACACCTTGGGGTTCAGGAGGTATGCCCGTGAATTCAAACTTGCCAAGCAGGTTGTTATCCTTGGACATGGCACGCTCACCTTCATAAACCTGAATAAGCACACCAGGCTGGTTGTCAGAATAGGTAATGAAGGTCTGTGTCTGCTTGGTAGGAATGGTGGTATTACAGTTGATGAGGATGGTCATGACTCCACTAGCAGTTTCAATACCAAGGGAAAGAGGAGTGACGTCCAAGAGCAGCAAATCTTGAACATTTTCAGACTTGTCTCCAGACAGGATGGCTGCCTGGACAGCCATAAGCAACAGCTTCATCATGGCTGATGCTCTTATTCAGTTCTTTTCCATTGAAGAAGTCTTGGAGAAGCTTCTGAATCTTGGGGATACTAATAGAACCACCAACCAGGACAATATCATGAATTTGTGACTTGTCTGGTTTGGCATCTCGAAGGGCTTTCTCTACTGGGTCCAGGGTGCCACAGAACAGGTCAGCATTCAATTCTTCAAACTGGGCACAGGTAATGGAGGTATAGAAGTCAATTCCTACATAGAGAGAATCGATCTCAATACTGACTTGGGTGCTGGAAGAGAGAGTACGCTTAGCATGTTCACAAGCAGTACGGAGGCATCTTACAGCTCTCTTGCTCTCACTGATGTCCTTCTTATGCTTGCGCTTGAGCTCAGCAATAAAATGGTTGACCATTCGGTTGTCAAAATCTTCTCCACCCAAGTGGTTGTCTCTGGCTGTAGACTTGACCTCAAAGATTCCATCCTCAATAGTGAGGATTGACACACCGAAAGTGCCACCCCCCAGGTCAAAGATAAGCACGTTTCTTTGTGCTCCAACCTTTTTGTCTGAACTTTTGTAAACAATAGCAGCAACAGTTGGCTCATTAATAATTCTAAGTACATTGAGACCAGCAATAGTTCCAGCATCTTTGGTAACCTGAAACTGAGAGTCATTAAAGTAAGCTGGCACTGTGACCACAGCACTGGTAACAGTCTTCCCAAGGTAGGCTTCTGCAATTTCCTTCATCTTTGTCAGAACAATAGAGGATACCTCCTCTGGATAGAAGCTTTTGGTCTCTCCCTTGTATTCTACTTGGACCTGGGGCCTGTCAGCATCATTCACTACCATGAAGGGCCAATGCTTCATATCAGACTGGACAACAGCATCATCAAATCTGCGTCCAATCAGACGTTTGGCATCAAAAACTGTGTTGGTGGGGTTCATTGCAACTTGATGCTTTGCGGCATCACCAATCAACTGTTTAGTGTCCATAAAGGCGACATAGCTTGGAGTGGTTCAGTTTCCCTGATCATTGGCAATTATCTCTACTTTTCCGTGCTGGAAAACACCCACGTAAGAGTAGGTGGTGCTAAGATCAATACCAACTGCAGGTCCCTTGGACATGGTTGCTGGCATGTAGCCCTGGCTCCGATAAAGAAGAAAGCCACAGGAACCCGAGAGCTGCAGGCGAGTTCAATGAGCTAGGATTTCTTAATATATATGTGATAATGTTTTAACTTTGATAATTGACTTTTATAATGACTTGAGTAGTCTTAAATTGTCTTTCATTTAAAACTTTTGTTCTTTTAAAAAAGCACCAAGTCTATGCTACTAACAAAAATTTCCTTTTACCATGTAGACTACTTGGGATGAAAATAACTTTTCATAATTACTATCATGAAGGGAGGAGAGTGGAAAGTTGCCAGATACTGCAGCAAGATATAAAGATGAATTCTTCAAATGAGGAAGCAAACTTTATCAAGTGGTTGAATTTCTTAGATCACCTTGTTGGACATAATTTCTTGTAAACAAATTATGCAGTCAGTGTCACGTTCATGCAGAGTCTTTTAACTTAAAATTCATTACAGGTAACACTTTCAAAAAGAAGTTCTGTAGTCTTGCATACTATTTACCACACCATATTTACTGCACTTAGCTTCATTATGGAGGAAAGAACAATAGTAAACTATCAATAACTGAGACAATAATCATATTCATTAGTGATGAGTCAAACAGGTTATACTTATTTTTTAAAATAAAAACATTTGTAAATTTTTCTCTACGTTTTTAAAACAACAGTTTAACAATAGCAGTTCTGTTATTTTAGCTTTAATTTTTTGTACCAACAGTTAATTTGCTCATGCCCAAAGATTTACATTTATAAAAAATGTTCTGCCATGCAAGTTTTAAGAGATTTTTGAATTGTTGACAATACTCAGCACAGTCACATGTCTCTCATAAATCCACCCAGACTTAAGAACCAATTTTCAGTGCAACTCATGAAGACAAAGAATAGCCATTATAAACACATTGTTGAAAATCATTTAAAAAATCATTAAATTTTTTTGCATTTAATATTTTTTCAGCTTTCTTAAGATATAATTAACAAAAATTGTATATATTCAAGTTGTGTTATGTGAGGTTTTGATACATGTATACATAGTAAAATAATTACCACAGTTAAGCTAATTATACTATACATAGTAAAATAATTACCACAATCAAGCTAATTAATATATTTATTATCACACATAATTCTTTTTCTTGTTGTGGTGAGAATACTTAAGATCTACTCTCTTAGAAAATTTCAGGTATATAATACATTATTATTAACCATAGTTGCCATGCTATACATTAGGGCTCCAGAACTTATTCATTTCATAACTTCAAGTTATAAAAGTCACGATAAAAGTTTGTGCCTTTTGCAAGTTTGTACCTTTTGATGAACATCTTCCCATATCTTCCCATTTTCCTCAGTCCCCTGCACCTGGAAACCACCCTTCTAAACTGTTTATATGAGTTCACCTTTTTTCAGATTCCACATATAAGTGAGATCATGCAGTGCTTGTGTTTCTGTGTCTGGCTTATTTCACTTAGCATAAAGTCTTCCAAGTTCATTCATGTTGTCATAAATGGATTTCCTTTTTTAAGGCTTAATAATATTCCATTGTATATATATTCCATACATATGTGTGTGTGTGTGTGTGTATGTATATATATATATATATATATATATATATATATATATATATATATATATGTATTTCATCTGAATTTCATCTGATGACTTACACTTAGGTTGTTTCCAAATCTTGGCAATTGTGTTGCAGTGAAATGAGAATCCAGATGCATCTTTGAGATGGTTTTGTTTCCTTTGGATATATGTTCAGAAGCCAGAAGTGAGATTGCTGGATCATATGAGTTTTATTTTTAATTTTTTGAGGGATTCGTATACTGTGTTCCATTATTACTGTATAATTTACATGTCCACTGACAATGTACATGGGTTTCCTTTACTCCTCATCTTTGTCAACATCTGTTATCTTTTGACTTCTTGGTAATAGCCATCCTAACAGGTGTGAGGTGATAGCTCATTGTGGTTTTGATTGACGTTACCCTTATGATTAGTGATGCTGAACACTTTTAAAAATATCTGTTTGCCATTCGTATGTCCTTTTTAGAAAAATGTTTATTCAGATCCTTTTCTCACAGATTTTTCAATCTGTGCCTTGTTTTATTTTTCATTATTGAGTTGTATGAGTTCTTTTTGTATTTCGGATATTAACTCCTTATGGATACATGGCTTACAAATATTTTCTCTCATTCCATAGTTTGCCTTTTGATTTTGCTGATTATTTCCTCTGCTATGAAGAAACATTTTTGTTTCATGCGGTGCAATTGTTTATTTTTGCTTTTGCTGCTTGTGCTCTGAAAAATTATTGTAGAGACCAATGAATATCAAAGAACTTTTCTCTTTTTTTTTAGGAGCTTCTCAGTTTTAGGTATTGCATTTAAGTCTTCGATTGATTTTAAGTTGATTTTTGTGTGTGGTTTAAGAGAAAGGTTCAGTTTCATTTATTTTGTTTTTGCATGTTGATATCCAGTGTTTGGAAAAACCATTTACTAAAGAGACTGCCTTTTCCTCATCTTGTATTCTTAGTCTTTTGTCACAAATTAGTTGACCATACCTGTGTGGGTTTATTTCTGGGGTACATGTGCAGAACATGCAGGTTTGTTACATAGGTATACATGTGTTTGCTGCACCCATCAGCCATCACCTACATTAGATATTTCTCCTAACGCTATCCCTCCCCTAGCATCCCACCCCCTGACAGGTCCTGGTATGTGATGTTCCTCTCCCTGTGTCTATGTGTTCTCACTGTTCAGCTCCCACTTATGAGTGAGAACATGCAGTCTTTGGTTTTCTGTTCCTGTGTTAGTTTGGTGAGATTGATGGTTTCCAGCTTCATCCATGTCCCTGAAAAGGACATGAACTCATCCTTTTTTTATGGCTGCATAGTATTCCATGGTATATATGTGCCACATTTTCTCTATCCAGTCTATCATTGATGGGATTTTGGGTTGGTTCCAAGTCTTTGCAATTGTGAATAGTGCTGCAGTAAACATACATGTGCATGTGTCTTTATAGCAGAATGATTTATAATCCTTTGGGTGTATACTCAGTAATGGGATTGCTGGGTCACATGGTATTTCTGGTTCTCGATCCTTGAGGAATTGCCATACTGTCTTCCGCAGTGGTTGCACTAATTTACATTCCCACCAACAGTATAAAAGCATTCCTACTTCTCCACATCCTCTCCAGCATCTGTTGTTTCCTGAGTTTTTAATGATCACCATTCTAACTGCCATGAGATGGTATCTCATTGCTGTTTTGATTTGTTTTTCTCTAATGACCAGTGATGATGAGCTTTTTTTCATATGTTTGTTGGCTGCATAAATGTCTTCTTTTGAGAAGTGTCTGTTCATATCCTTCGCCCACTTTTTGATGGGGTTTTTTTTTTTTTTCTTGTAAATTTGTTTAAGTTCCTTGTAGATTCTGGATATTAGCCCTTTGTCAGATGGGTAGATTGCAACAATTTTCTCCCATTCTGTAGGTTGCCTGTTCACTCTGCTGGTAGTTTCTTTTGCTGTGCAGAAGCTCTTTCATTTAATTAGACCCCATTTGTCAATTTTGGCTTTTGTTGCCATTGCTTTTGGTGTTTTAGTCATGAAGTCTTTGCCCATGCCTAGGTCCTGAATTGTATTGCCTAGGTTTTCTTCTAGGGTTTTTATGGTTTTAGATCTTATGTTTTAAGTCTTTAATCCATCTTGAGTTAATTTTTGTATAAGGTGTAAGGAAGGGGTCCAGTTTCAGTTTTCTGCATACAGCTAGGCAGTTTTCCCAACACCATTTA
This sequence comes from Homo sapiens, assembly GCF_000001405.40. Classification (NCBI taxonomy): domain Eukaryota; kingdom Metazoa; phylum Chordata; class Mammalia; order Primates; family Hominidae; genus Homo; species Homo sapiens. The sequence continues at coordinate 10,447,521 of NC_000007.14, read as the reverse complement.
TTAAGTAGGGAATCATTTCCCCACTGCTTGTTTTGTCAGGTTTGTGAAAGATCAGATAATTGTAGATGTGTGGTGTTATTTCTGAGGTCTCTGGTCTGTTCCATTGGTTTATATATCTGTTTTGGTAGCAGTACCATGTTGTTTTGGTTATTTTAGCCTTGTAGTATAGTTTGAAGGCAGGTAGCGTGATGCCTCCAGCTTTGTTTCTTTTGCTTAGGATTGTCTTGGGTACATGGGCTCTTTTTTGGTTCCATATGAAATTTAAAGTAGTTTTTGCTAATTCCGTGAAGAAAGTCAATGGTAGCTTGATGGGAATAGCATTGAGTCTATAAATTACTTTGGGCAGTATGGCCATTTTCATGATATTGATTCTTCCTATCCATAAGCATGGAATGTTTTGATTATTCTAGCCTTTTAATATAATTTGAAATCAGGAGATGCCTGCAGTTTCATTCTTCTTACTCAAGACTACATTAGCTATTTAGGGTCTTTTGTAGTTCTATATAAATTTTAGGGTAGTCTTTTTTTATTTTTGTGAAAAATTCATTGTAATTTTGATGAGATTTGCACTGAATTTGTAGGTCACTTCAGGCAGAATGGATAATTTGGCAATATTGATTCCATTTATTTATGTTTTGTTTAATTATTTTATCAGACTTTTATAATTTTCAGTGTAACAGATCTTTCACTTCCTTGGCTAAATTTATTCTTAGATATTTATTCTTTTTGATGCCTTTGGAAATAGGATTGTTTTCTTAATTTCTGTTTTGAGTAGTTGTTAGAGTATTAAAATTCTGACTTTTATGTTGATTTTTCATGCTGTAACTGAATTCATTTATTAGTTTTAACAGTTTTTTGTGGAGTCTTTGTGCATATAATGTACTCTCAAAGAGAAGTAACTTTACTTCTTTCCTTCTTTTATTTATCCCTCTGACTCTTTAATTGCATGCCTTTTGTTTCTTTTTCTTGCTGAATTGCTCTGGCTAGGACTTCCAGAATTATGTTGAATAGCAGTGGAAAGAGTGGGCATTCTTATCTTGTTTCTGATCTTAATGGAAAAGCTTATAGTGGGCTTGTGGTATATGCCCTTTAGTATGTTGAGGAACGTTCCTTTTATACCTAATTTGTGGAGAGTTTTTATTATTAAAGGATGTTGAATATTATGAAATGCTTTTTCTGCATCTATTGAGATGATCATATTATTTTTGTCTTTCATTTTGTTAATGTGTTGTATCACATTAATTGAATGCATATGTTGAACCATCCCTACATCACAAGGATAAATCCCACTTGATCATGGTGTATGATTCTTTTAATATTCTTTTACTTTAGATTTGCTAGTATTTGGGGAGGAGATATTTGCATTTGTGTTGATCAGGGATATTGGCTTGAATTTTGTTTTCTTGTAGTGTTCTTGCCTGGCTTTGGTATCAAGGTAATGCTGGCCTCATAAGATGATTTTGAAAATTTTTCTCCTCTTCAATTTTTTGGAAGAGTTTGAGAAGTATTGGTATTAGTTTTGTTTTTTTTTTAATGTTTGGTAGAATTTACCAGTGAAGCTATCAAGTCCTGGACTTTTCCTTAATAATAGATTTTTTTTAAATTACTGATTTAATCTTCTTACTCATTGATCTATTCAGATTTTCTGTTTCTTCATGATTCCATTTTGGTAGTCTGTATGTTTCTAAGATTTAATCCATTAAGTCTTTTAGATTATCCAATTTGTTGGTATATAATCATTCATGATAGTCTCTTAAGATCTCTTGTATTTCTCTGATATCAGTTGTAATGTCTCCTCTTTCATTTCTAATGTCACTTAATTAAATTTTTTTTTAGTCTAGTTAGATTTATCTATATGGTATATCTTTTCAAAAAAAAGTTAGTTTTGTTGACCTTTCCATTGGATTTTCTCACTTCTGTTTCATATTTTGTGGTTTCCTTCCTTTTACTGATTATGAGTTTAGTTTGTCCTTCTTTTTGTAGTTCCTTAAGATATAATATTTTATTGTTTATTTAAGACCTTTCTTTTTTTTAATGTGTTTTCTATGATGAAATTTCCTCTTCATACTGCTTTTGCTACATCTCATAAGTTTTGGTATGTATGTTTCCATTTTGGTATGTCTGAAGGTGTTTATATTTCTCCTTTAACCTATTGGTTGTTCAAGAGAGTATTGTTTGATTTGCATATATTTGTAAGTTTTCCAGTTTCCTTCTATTATTGATTTATAGTTTCATGCCATTATGTTTGAAAAAGATACTTGATATTATTCCAATCTTCTTAAAAATTTTAAGACTTATTTTGTGGCCTAACATATTATTATCCTGGGGAATGTTCCATGTACTCCTGTGAGAAATGTGTATTCTGCTGCTCTTGGATAAAATGTTGCATGCATATATGTCTGTTACGTTCATTTGGTCTAAACTGTTGTCCAAGTCCAATATATCCTTGTTTTTGTATGATATCTATACATTATTGAAAATGAGGTATTGAAATCATTTATTATTATTGTACTGCTGTCAATTTCTCCTTCAAGTTCTGATAATATTTGCTTTATATATTTAGGTGCTCCAACATTGAATGCATGTATATTTATCATCACTGTATCTTCTTAATGAATTAACTTCTTTATCATTATATAATTATTTTCTTTGTCTCTGGTTAAAGTTTTCAACATAAGGTCTTTTTTGTCTGTTATAAGCATAGCTAACCCTGCTTTTTTTTGGTTTCCATTTGTATAGACTATCTTTTTCCATCTCTTTGCTTTTAGTGTATGTGTGTTTTTAAAGCTGTAGTGAGTCCTCGTAGTCGGCATGTAGTTTGGCCTTTTTCTTTAAAAAAATTATCCATTCAAGTCACTCTTTGTCTTTTGATTGGAGGATTTAATTATTTTACATTCAAGGTAACTATTGATAGGTGAAAACTTAGTGTTGCCATTTTGTTAATTATTTTCTGCCTATTTTCTAGATTCTTGGTTTCTTTCTTTCTCTCTTGCTGTATCTTTTGTGGCTTGATTTATTTTTAGAGGCCTGTTTTCATTTTTTTCTCTTTATTTTTTGTATATTTACTGTATTTTTTTCTTTGTTATGATGAGTCTTATATAAGACAGGTTATAAACGTTTATTTTAAGCTAATAACAACTTAACTTTAATCATATACGCAACCTCTGCCCTCTTACTCATCTCCTCCTGCATTTATGTCTTTGATGCCATAATTTACATATTTTATACTATATATCCATTAACAAATTATTATAGTTACTTTTAGCCCTTTTGTCTTTTAACTTTTTTACTAGAATTATAAGTGATTTTCAAACTATCATTTACAATGTTATTCTGAATTTGCCAAAGTATTATTTACTTTTACTCATTAGTTTTTTCTTTTTTTTTCTTTGAGACGGAGTCTCACTGTCGGCCAGGCTGGAGTGCAGTGGCTTGATCTCGGTTCACTGCAAGCTCCGCCTGCCGGGTTCACACCATTCTCCTGCCTCAGCCTCTCAAGTAGCTGGGACTACAGGTGCCCGCCACCACGCCCGGCTAATTTTTTGTATTTTTAGTGGAGACAGGGTTTCACCGTGTTAGCCAGGATGGTCTCGATCTCTGGACCTCGTGATCCGCCTGCCTCAGCCTCCCAAAGTGCTGGGATTACAGGCGTGAGCCACCATGTCCGGCCTACTCGTTAGTTTTATAATCCTGTTTTTTTTTTGTTGTTGTTACTAATTAATGCCCTTTATTTTCGGCTTGAAGCTGAATTTCATTAGCAATTCTTGTAAGGCAGTTCTAATGGTAATAAACGTCCTCTTTTGTTTCTGTTTTGTTTTTCTGGGAATGTGTTTATCTTTTCTTCATTTTGAAGGACAGATTTTCCAGGAAAGGTATTCTTGGTTGGCAGTTTTTTTTTTTTTTTTTTTTTCATTCAGCACTTTGACTGTATCATCCTACTGTTTCTGGACCTGCAAAATTTCTCCTGAGAAATCTACTCTACCCTTGTGGAATTTCTCTTATATAACATAATTTTCTTTTCTCTTCTGCTTTGAACATTGTCTTTGATTTTTGATAGTTTGATTAATATATCTCCATGAATTTTTGAGGGGGTTGAATCTATACTGGACCTATGAGCTTCAGAAGTACCTGAATATCAATATATCTCCTCAGATTTGGGAAGTGTTCAGCCATTATTTCTTTGGATAATCTTTGTGCCTCCTTTTCTCTCTTTGGTAATTGAGACTCCTATAATGCAGACATTAGCTCTCTGGATGATTCCCCGTAACTCCTGTAGCTTTTTTTAGTCTTTTTCCTTCTTTTTTTTTCTTTTATCTCCTCTAACTAGATATTTTACTTGACCATTTTTGAGTCTACAGATTCTTCTGCTTCATAAATTCTATTGATGCTCTCAATTGCATTTTTTACTTTATTCACTGTATTCTTCATCTGTAGGACTTCTGTTTATTATTATTATTATTTCTATTTATTTCTTGACCTATTTATTTTGTTTAAGTTTTGTTCGTGTTTCTAATATCATTGACTTGTCGGTCTGTTTTCTTGTATCTTGCTGAGTTTCTTTAAAACATTTATTTTGCATCCTTTGTCAGGTAATTTGTATATCTCTGTTTGGGGCTAGTTACTGGAAAATTATTGTGTTCTGTTGATGATGTCATGTTTTCTTGGCATTTCATGTTTCTTATTGCTTTGTGTAGATGTCTGAACATTTGATAGAGCAGTCACCTCTTCAAGAATTTATAGATCGGTTTCATTGGAGAAAGACCTTTACCTATAGGTGGGTGTGAGGATGCTGGCTGGATAAGGTGTAGCAATCCTGGCTCTAGTAGGGGTGCAGAGACATAGTCTGCATGAAGTTTCATTCACTGAGATCAGCATTGTCAAAGGTTACAGGTCCCAGGCTGTGGATGTATGCAGCAGAGAGTGTTGTTGGAATATTTGGTGGCAAAGCCTGCTGGGATCCTCTTGATATCCTTTTCTCCCACAGAGGAAATTGTGGCCAAGAGTTTCTCTCTTAGCATGGCTCAAGCTCGCTCCTGGGTGCACTTTAAGTGGCAGTAGTGCCAGTATCTGATGTATAGCACCCATGGAGCAGCCTTGGAGCTGAGGTCTGGATTATAAGTACACATAAAGGGACTTCAGGATCCGAGGTGGTAGTTGCACCAGTCCCTGGGGTACAAGTACACCTGCTGCAGTGTCGGTAATGGTGTGCAAGGCACAGGTGCTTGTGTAACAGCTGGAAATCTGGGGTTCAGGGTGCAGGCAATGTGCAGCACTTCGTTAACACTAATGTCCAAGACACAGGTACTTATGGCACAGTCATAGAGACAGGGTCTGGAGCACAGGCATGTGCAGACTACTTTTTTAGGTCTGCAGTGTATATGTGCCTGCTGGAGTGGCATCTATGTTGTTTGTGGTGCAGGTTTTCACAGAGTGGTTGTGGAGCTGGAGTCTAGCTTGCAGATACATGTGGAGTGACAGCGGCTCTAGAGTCTAGGGTATGGGCTCATGTGTTGTGCTGGTGGCTTTAATTTCCAAGGTGTGGGTGCTTGTAGTGTGGCCACAGAGCTGGGACTGGAGCATGGGAATCTGTGGAGCATCCATGTTTCCAGGGTCTGAGGTATGTGCAGGGTTGGTGGAGGTGGAGGCCCTTTTTCTAGGATGGCACAGCAGCAGCTCCTTCTAGGTGGCAGGGAGCACAGAAGCATCTCCCACTTTTGGGGTTCTGTGACAGTGATGGCTGCTGGTTATCTCAGTGATGAAAGCTCTTGATGTCCTCTGAGGAGGAGGCTGCTAGCATCTTTGTTGCTGAACACTAAGGGGATCTTTACTGTGAAAGCTATGAGGAGTGCATGGCTGAAATGGGTTGTTGAGGTCCTCAGTGGCAAAGTCTTCTAGGGCCTTCCACATAGTAGGCCGCTGGGGACTGTGGTGGCACATGCTGCATGTTCATATGGAGGATTATGACAGGCACCATCTTTTTTCTTCGTTCTTAGACATCTCCAGATATCTCAAGTATGCTAATTACTGATCTTCCAGCAAATCTTTTTATGCAGTTACTCTCCATTTTTTGCTCCCCTGTGTTATGGCAGGTTATTAATTAGACTCTTGATCCCTCTCTGGGCTATTTTTATTGGTGCATGACTGTCTAATTTTTTGTGTGTAGTATCTGGGCTAGTATCTTCTATTCTGTTATCTTATTAACATCAACCTTACATTTAATCAGTCATTTAAAGAAGACAAACTAAACATTTTGCATGGCCCATTTTACTGTGCCAGTTTTTACATAAATTGATTTTTCTTGAATTTACCTTGGAATAAACAATTCAATTGCTCCATCAAATGTATTAATGCAATTTTGTTTAGTTACTTCATTCATATTTTAACCTAATGCTAAATAGCTAAACAGCCTTTTGTTTTAAAATTTTTTCAAACCTAAACTTTTTTATATTTTGAAATCAACCATTGTTTTTTCCTCAAGTTCTCTGATGAGGTTTTGCTGTACTTGTCGTGGGGTAAATTTTCGTGGAGGAGGAGCACTGGATCAAGAACTGAGGGATTGATCCTAGCTTTGACTTGTGGTTACAGAATTGTTTGACCTTGGGTAAGTCACTGAAATGTATTCAACCCCAGTTTCCTCATCTGAAAAAGGCAACCATATCTAAAAAGACACTCTGCTTAAAATTATACAGATTCATGCTACCATATTCTGCACACTGTTACATTGGGCCAAATATATCTAACTACTTAAAAGACTATAGGTCTTGTATATGATGCAAGACAACTTTTTAGGACTGGGAAGTGAACCATGTGAAAATAAATATTGGTTGAATTGCTTTGTTTCTATTTAATATTAAACTATAATGACACATTGTTCCATATAATATTATAGCTACAGTCTGAACGTTTGTGTCTCCCCAGATTTATATGTTGAAGTCCTAGTCCCCAACATGATGGTATTTTGAGTTGAGGCTTTTGGGAGGTAATTAGGTCATGAGGGTAGGACCCTTATGAATGGGATTAGTACTCTTAAAAGAATATACAGGAGAGCCGGGCACGGTGGCTCATGCCTGTAATCCCAGCACTTTGGGAGGCCGAGGTGGGAGGATCATGAGGTCAGGAGATGGAGACCATCCTGGCTAACACGGTGAAACCCCGTCTCTACTAAAAATACAAAAAAAATTAGCCGGGCATGGTGGTGGGTGCCTGTAATCCCAGCTACTCGGGAGGCTGAGGCAGGAGAATGGGGTGAACCTGGGGGCGGAGCTTGCAGTGAGCTGAGATCGCACCACTTGACTCCAGCTTGGGTGACAGACGACAGAGTGAGACTCCGTCTAAAAAAAAAAAAAAGAGTATACAGGAGAGACACAATCTTTCTCTCTTTCTACAATGTGAGGATACAGCAAGATGGTTACCCTCTGTAGGCCAGGAAGAGGGCCCTCACCAAGAACCGAATCGGTTGGCACCTTGATGTTGGACTTCCAAGCTCCTAGAACTGTGAGAAATAAATGCCTGTTGTGGTAAGCTACCCACTCTATATGGCACTTGTTGTAGCAACTCATGCTGACTAAAATAATTATCTATAAAACATCAAAATAACTATGATAGAAAAAAAGACCTGTGATAATTTAAATAGAAATTATTTATTTATATTAGAAATGCAATAAAATTGGCTTCTACAGAATGTTCTAAGTTTGTATAGTACCCTTTTCTTATTAGGTGAGACATAAAAGGTGAGTAATTACTGCCTTATTCTGTACCTTTTGCTCCTGTCATTATTGGCAAGAGACATTTTAACATTAAAGGTGAGATAACCAATCCTCCAATGCACAGCTAGCTTTCCTCACTTGACTCTTTTGATAGCCTTAGATGAATCAAGTAAGAACATTTGCTAATTTAGCTTCACGAGTATAGGCTTGTTAAAAAGGGGAAAAAGGAAGTGAAATCATGGGCTAGTTAGTGTCTTTTTGCAGTGACTTGAAATACTAGATTAAAACAAAGTAAAAGTTATTTTACTTACATAATTGTTTTAAGTTAATTAGTTTGACATCACTGCCCTGTATTTTTTTCCAGGAGAAGAATTTATTCATTCCATAAATAATTATTTATTAGACACAGGATAAGATATGACTTGACTAGGCTCTTAGAATAAAATGTATAAACCTATGCTCATTCTTATTTAACAGAGGAGATTTATTTCAGCACTCTCTTAAGAAGTCAGGGCTTGCAGCATTCTCTGAGGAACAAGGGAGCAGTGATGGCCTGCATAAGTCGCCTTGGCAGCACTGATCATCTCTTGTCATAGCTCTAAGGAAAGAATGTGCAATCACTCTGAGTGCTTCTCTCTGAGTAGTTTTGCCTCCTGGCAAGAGAATACAAGGTCCTTGTCAGTAACAGTGATAACTCCAATAGCAGACGCTGAGAAAAGTAGGGCGGAACACCTCTATGACTTCTAAGTAGAAGTTTCATACTATGTTTAATAATGGCTGCAAGCCTTGTCTGATTTGGGATAAAAAAAAGCTTGAGAAGGTGGCAAAGATTTCAGATCTCTTTAGGCCTTTGTTTTCAGGTTGAGAGTGCTGCCTACTGTTTAAGGGCCTGTGTCTGTAAAGAAAAGTAAAAGAGGTCTCTCTCTCTCTATGTCTCTCAACTTAACTCTTCTGATGGTTCCAGTGTGTGACTCATTCATTCATCCATGAAACAGATGTACAAGGTACATTAGCATACATTAGGCACCCATTCCAGAAACCTTGACATGTTAACATCCAATAAAAATACGGGTTGCCACAGTGCTGTTCTATCCTGTGTGGTCTTCAGGCAGCAATGAGCTTTGAAGGTATCTGCCTTCTGGTTTAACCTAATACCTAGAGATGATACAAATCTCATTTTTGTTTGTTATATTTTGGTGTTGTAGGTGGGTTGAAAATAGATTTTAGAGAATATTTGAAGAGTCCCAAATATATCTAATATTTTTAAAGTCTCATTCTGTGAAAGGAATCCTTTTCACTATTTAAATAGAATTCTTTGGAGGAAGAACAGAGGCGTGACCTAAAGCCTGGCTTGCTGAGAAGTACTCTTCAAAACTATTCTTGGATTCACCAAGTTTGCAGTAAAAATAATGTGTGTGTGTGTGTGTGTGTGTTTGTGTGTGTGTGTGGAGGAATAGGGCATGTAACCTTCCTTTCACGAAGGGTCAAGATGAGCCTCTTATGTCTGGTGGAATCCTCTCTCTGTGCAGGTGGCCTCCGGAGCAGTGATATTTCTTCCAGGGGAACTTTGGAGTGTTGTGATGGGCCTTACTAGTCTGGGGGCATATTGCACCCAATTCTCCTTCTTTGAATTGTCATCTCCAAACAGATATTTTCTTTTTCTTTGCCAGGGAAGTCCAGGTTGTGTGGTGCCTGAAGCTTATGCAATTTTGGGAGCCCTTCTTATAGAAAAAGAAAGTAAAATTGTGAATACAAAAATACCTAATCGTATAAAGTAGTTAAATACACTATAAATTTTAAAAGCTGATAAATACTACAAGTATCACAAATCTCAGAAAAATTACACATTTACAGTCTTTGTTTTTCCTACTTCTGTGGCCTCATGGTCTCTGACCACCTCTTTATGTAGCAATGATTCATGTAGTTATTTTTCTGAGAGAATAAAAAGTCAATCTTTTCTGTAATATGGTCAATTTAATTATTTTTAATTATTGATAATTTTTAAAAGTGTATATTGTTGTTATTACTTGTTATTGGTGATACCATGTACCTTCTTGGGATTTTTGTCAAATTTGGGAAAACCTCTATCAAGAGTCTTTCATATACACATTTTAAGATCTAGAATTACCTGCAGATCATCTTCTGGATACATCATTTCAAACTTTCTTTCTTCTCTACTAGGTTTTGTTGCTATCCTCAAACCTTGCTCACCCTACATAATCTAGCTCCAGGTATCAGAGTGTCATTTCATGATGTGCCCCTGACCATGCCCTTTTGTGTCATCTAAAGAGTAAGTCAGTATAGACATTAGAGGGAGGATTCCTGAAAACTATTTCTATACCAGAATTGTTGGCACTAATTAAACTATACTTGGAAGTAATGGCAAACCATATAAATATATATTCCACTAAAAACTTCTATCTTTAAATCAACTGCCTCCTATTCCTACATTCTCATGGCTACTGCAACAGCATCTTATAAGGGGAGTTGTGACAGAGAGGAAGTGGAAATCAGCGTTGCTCTTAGAACTGGAAAACTAGGGCCTCTACTGTAGGCCCTGGGTTTTAGAGAGTCTCTCTTGAGTCCTTCCCCATCCATGCCACTCCCCACAGGTTAAGGAGTCTGAAGGGCCATGGGATATGTCCACTTAGAGCCAGTGCCTAACCCCACTCTTACCCCCTGCACTCCTTACCACCATGATCCAGATATCTGGGAACCTAGAACTTCCTGCCCTGCATAGCCTCAAGCCTATTTCCAAGGAATCACTGAGCATCTCTCCCAGCCATATCCTGTCATTCTTCACTCCTGCTATACAACTCCTTAGACCTGTAGAAGTCTGGGGTGGGGTGTTTGCAGGAATGGAGGTGGGTAGAGTATAGATGGAGTGAAGATGGAGGTAGTTAGAGTGACATACATGTCCAAGACCTTTACCTAGTAAGATGGAGTCTGTAGTATTAAGGGAGGTGGGCTGCAGGATGGAGACCTTCATCTATATTTTTTCACAAGTCCCACAAATATTAGAAGTGAATCTTATTGGAGAGAAATAACAGGGATATGAACCACTTGAGGTAAAACAGCTTGCTTTTTCATTGTATACAAAAATATGACCACAGGAATGCATTGCTAGCATCTCTCAGGGACTTGGAAGGGGTCTATGCAATTGTGCGGTTCTGAAGATTACACTGCATTAGCTTCTCAGCAAATCTCCTGTGTTCTTTGCCATTAATAAAACTGTACATCAAAACAATGGGCCTATTGGCATCTCCCCATCAATGACATCATCTTCCTATTGAAAAGTCACTCAAGGGCCTTATGTATTATTCTTGAAAATCATTAGTACTAATCATTGTCATACGTCACTTATCCCAAATTCTTTTATCTAGTTAAATTAACTACATTTAAACAATATCAAGAAATTCTGCAATATGTAACAGCATGGATGAACCCTGAGGACATTATGCTAAGTAAAATAAGCCAGTCTGAAAGATAAATACTTTATGATTCCAATTATATGAGTTATCAAAAACAGTCAAATTCATAAAATCATAGTGAAATAGTGATTGCTAAGGGCTGGAGGAAGGGAAATGAGGAATTACTAATCAACAGGCATAAAGTTTTGGTGGAGCAAGATGAGTAAGTTCTAGAGATCTACTGCACAACACTATACCTATATTTAACAGCGCTGTGTTTTACACTTAAAAATTTGCTAAGAGATTAGAGCTCATGTTAAATGTTTCTACCACAATAAAAAATATTGAGAAACCAAAATCAAAAAGAAAAAAAAAAATTTTGTTAGCTAAAATCAAAAACAAAATTTATTCAGGTTCATACATTCTAGTTACTGTAGAGTTCTCCAGTCATTAACATAGTGACTATATGTGTCTTCTGTAGCAAGGTTTTAACACCATTATCTTTTGACCCATTTCATAGTATCAGAAGTAACATATTAGAAAGGAATGGAGTCAGCATGCTAGAGGCAGCCACACAGAAAGTGGAAACAAATGATGGCTAAAGACTGACAGAGATAGAAATTATTCATTCAGCAAATATTTGCTGGGTACTATGCGCCAAAAACTGGTTTTGGTCACAGAGATATGGATGTAGAAAAAAAAAAAAAAAACGCACAAAATTACTGCCATCTTGGTGCCTATGCTTCATTAACAGATAATGACTTAAGGTGTCAATTTCTCCAGCAAAACAAGTATAATGAAACCTATCGGGTTTGGAAATGTGAAGTTTACTGATAACCTAGACATGAGCCTGATTATAGTGCATTTAAATAAAAATGGCAGGGACAAAATTGAAAACACTTTTCAAATGGTTGGCTCTTGAGTAAGCTTGTCTAACCCACGGCCCACAGGCTGGAGGCAATCCAGGATGGCTTTGAATGTGGCCCAACACAAACTTGTAAACTTTCTTAAAACATTATGAGATTTTTTTTTTTTGTATTTTTTTAACTCATCAGCTATTGTTGGTGTTAGTGTATTTTATGTGTGGCCCAAGACAATTCTTCTTCCAATATAACCCAGAGAAGCCAAAAGATTGGACACCCCTGTTTTAGAGGAATGGAAAGTAATGGGGCAGTACCTGTAGGGAAAAGAAGGGTTGTTTATCTCATTAATGAAAGAAGTGTTATATTTTATACTGAGGGAGAAAATTCAGTAAAAAGGAAAAAAATGATTAGGCAGAGGGAATAGAGAGTTTTTTGGGTTGTATTTTTGATCAAGTGGGAGGTAATAAGATCTAATGGAGGAGTAGGTGTATTGTTCTTAGGAAGAGCAATGATATTCCATTAATGGGAGCAGGCGAAAAGGCAGGGAATATGAGACAGATGCAATTGGTTGGCTAATGGGATAGTAGGAATTTTGGAAGCTTTATTTTCTTTTTCAGAAAAATAAATACAAAGCAAGGTCATCAGTTGAAGAGCAAGAGTGAAAAAGAAAATATTGGAAGTTTGAGAAAAGTTTAGATAACATAAAATAGTTGTTTATCAAAGTAGAGGAATGGCTAGACAGGAGAAATGTAGTAGAGATGAGAACTGGGTAGTATTAAAGTCTCACTTGAGGTTAGTGCTTATGAATTTAATGTTAGACCAGCCTGAGAGAGTGAGTGAGTGTGTGTATGTGTATTTCCTGAAATTTTTATCTGCCGGGACATGTATGAAATGGGCAAAGAGAGGGATTCCATCATGATTGAAGCAAGAAGAAGAAAGTAAACAAAACGAGTCTGGGTGTGGTGGCTCACGCCTGTAATCCCAGCACTTTGGGAGGCCGAGGCAGGCGGATCACGAGGTCAGGAGATCGAGACCATCCCGGCTAACACAGTGAAATCCCGTCTCTACTAAAAATATAAAAAAATTAGCCGGGCGCGGTGGCGGGCGCCTGTAGTCCCAGCTACTCGTGAGGCTGAGGCAGAAGAATGGCGTGAACCCGGCAGGCGGAGCTTGCAGTGAGCCGAGATTGCGCCACTGCACTCCAGGCTGGGCGACAGAGCCAGACTCTGTCTCAAAAAAGAAAGAAAATAAACAAAACGAGTAGGGGAATTGAGAGTGTGTGCAAGCAAATGGTAATTCCTGAGAGAATTCAAGGAAGGCAAGTAAGACATGAGGGTGAGAAGAACAATATAATGGTTATGGGATGAATTGATTGCGTCTTAATTTGGATTCAAAAATTGTAGAAGTTACAGTACAAGAAGAGGACAGTTGGAATAGCGAAAGATTATTGATGGAGAGTGGAGAACTTACAAAATGGAGAGTAGGACAAGGCTCCAGCATTCGCTAATAACAAGATCAAGGGCTTTGCTGAAGTAAGTAAGGAGAGGTCAAGGAACTAAGGGTGCTTGGTAGGAAAAGCATCACATATGTGATTACTACTCCAGGAGCTATGATAGCTGTTATGTTGAAGGGAGTGACAATAAACTAGGAAACTAAAATCTTCAAGGAATGAGATGGAGTGACCTGGGGGTTGGTAGAGGACTTCAAGAGGCAGTTAGAAGGTGTTGTAGACTGATGATATGAGATTCAAACATGGGGAAAGAGGAAGAAAGAAAAATATTGGCTGTTTCTAGAATTGCTTATTATATATTTTCTAATTACCCTGAATAATTATGAAACACTTTCATATCTTTTAGCATATTTTATTTTACAAGGCAGAGGAATGTAGAATATGTTTTAGAAGGATTTTGTTCAATAGCTATATATGTATATGTTTCTTTACTATTTCGTGCTTAAAAGTGTACTAGATGTGAGCTAAAATATAATTATACTGATATAGTGAAAAAATCATTAATCTACATTACCTTTAAAATTACTTTGCAATAGAAAAACCAGTTGATCACTAAATAGAGAAATATAATTTAATAAAGTAAAACACCTTTTAATGATAAACTTTTATCAAAATAGAATTGGAGGAAGTTTATTTAAATTTGTAAAAGGTCTCTTCCAAAAACTTATAGGAAGTAGTATACTTAATAATAAAATTTTAGAATAATTATTTCAAAGTCAAGATGCAATTTTAAATGCCTGCTACTACTACTTTTATTTCATATTGTATTTGAAATTTCATCCAGCACAGTAAGAAAGCAAAATAAATACAAGAATTGGAAAGGAAGAAACAAAAACTCTCTTTACCTGCAGATCATATAATTACCCACCTAGAAAATTCAAGAAAATTTAGAATATTGACTTTATTTGGATTTCATGTCTCTGAATTCCCATTTGAATTTCCATCAAAACCAGTACTGTAACATCTTCAAATGTCACAGTAAATATTATTGTAAATAGAATTAGTAGAAAAAAGTATTTGCATTCTATATAACATCTTAAAACAATAAAGATAACTTCAAGGTAGGGAAGAATTCCTTGAACCACCAAAACTACAAACTAGAAAGTGATAAATTTGACTATATTAAAACAAAAACAGCTTTACAAACAACATCACTTCTGAATTAAAGGCACTAAAAGAAAAAGACAAGTCACAGCCTTGGAGATGTTATTTTAAATACATATAATTTACCAAGGGTTGAAAGCTTAAAAATACAAAGAATTTTGGCAAATTTTATAAAAAAGCAAAAATTCAATGAAAAAAATGGGAATTAACAGACATGAAATCCAGATCAAGTCAATAAATATTATAAAAATATCTTCAATTGTAGGCAGGATAGTACAATGTTAAACATTATGGCCATCAAAATTATCACCCCCAAAGATGTCCCCAGAAACTGTGAATTAAAGTTGCAAATAGAATTAGATTGCTAATTAATTGGCTTTGAGATGGGGAGATTATATAGCGTATGGTACGGTCATCGACCTACTGGGCCGGGTGCAGTGGCTCATGGAAGGAGGCCGAGGTGGGTGGATCACCTGAGGTCAGGAGTTCGAGACCAACCTAACTAACTTAGAGAAACGCTGTCTCTACTAAAAATGCAAAATTAACCGGGCTTGGTGGCGCATGCCTGTAATCCCAGCTATTCGGGAGGCTGAGGCAGGAGAATCACTTGAACCCAGGAGGTGGAGGTTGCAGTGAGTCGAGATCGCACCACTGCACTCCAGCCTGGGTAACAAGAGTGAAAATCTGTCTCAAGGAAAAAAAAAAAAAAAAAAATCCGAGTCATTAAATTTTAAGATGTCACAGCACTGGTTTTAAAGATAGAAAAAGGGACCATGAGCCAGGGAATGAGGCAGCTGCTCTTCTGGAAGCCCTGGAAGGAATGCAGCCCTGTAGCCTCTTGACTTTAGACCCATTTTGGACTTCTGGCTTCCATAAGTGGGAAATAATAAAGTTATGCTGTTATTGATTTGTGCTGTGCTGTGGTCATTTGTTATGGCAAAATAAAAAAACTAATATAAGCACAAATGAAATACCATGACAAATATTTAAAAGTCACCAGGATGGCAATCATTTAAAAGTCTGACAATGCCATATGTTAAGAATATGATAAAATGGAAAGTCTCATACAATGCTGGTGACAGGTGATAAATCAATACATCTTCTTCAGAGGGCAATTCCACAGTGTCGAAAATGTTTATACCCTCAGCATCAGCAATTTTATTTCTAGGTTTATTTTAGAAAAATTATTACACTTGTGGACAAAGAGACACAAACAAGGATTGCTTGAGAGAGCTGTTGTAGTATGAAAATTTGGAATCAATATAAATTTTCATCAGTTAGAGAATGGATAAATCTGATGGAATAGTGTATAGCAGATGAATGGACTACAACTACTTATATCAGCCCTGGTAAATTGCAAATATGTAATTTTGAGTCAAAAAAGCAAGTTTCAGAAGGTATGTGTGTGTGCACGTGTGTGTATACACATATATACACACATATATTCAGTATACACACATATATAATATTACTTATGTACATTTTCAAATGTAGAAAATTTTTATATAGTTTTCAAATACATAATTATTGGTACAACTATAAGAAACGTCTATGGGAATCTAAATGCCAAGATCAGAATTTCGATGACATCTAACAGAGTTTGGAAATTGAACAGAAAGCTTTCAATTCTACCTATAATGAGTATATGGATGTTTCTTACTCTACATACTTTCTAATATGGCTAAAATATTTATTTTTTTAAAATAAAGACAAAACACATGTATACTTGCTTACTTCTGGTGAATACCTTCTTCCCAAACGATATTAGAAAATTAATACCATAATGTACATGATAAACAATTATATATTTATACAATTTTAGTTTAGAAAAACCAACAGGTTGCATAGTAGATGCCAACCTTTGTTATGATTAACAAAAATAATGTTGTTATACTGGAATTATATTCTCATTTTCACAAATACTTTTTTTCGCAAATACTTTTTATTATAACTTGAGGGTTAGAAAAAGAGATGATCCTTACCAGAATGACAACCATTTTCTTACATCAAATTTCAAATGAGGCAGACTATAAATCAATCAATTCCAATGGATGTGAGATATTAGTAGTACAGTATAATTTTTACCCATCTTTGTGAGTATATGAATTGCTGTACTTGAATTTTTAAAAGATTGAGTGATATCTACTCCAGACCCACCCACTAATTTGGGAAAAAAAATCAGTTTCTGTCATTCTGTCATATTAGCAGCAGCTCTCCTTTCTAAGGTCATCTGATACTTGGGGTAGTCCCCTTTTTTCTCCCATATTAATCACTTCTGTTTGCTCATTGTCCAAGCCCAGTGGTTAGCTTTACTGCTTTCAAATCAACTTGGTTATGAGAGATTTAGTCTAAGCTGTGAGCTGAGGACATGGTGTCTGGCTTCTCAGACTTACCATACACTATTTCTTTCTTTGTATCCTACAAATTCCCAGGGGCATCTTGAGGGAACAAGGTGGAGCTCTCTACCATTTGAAGGACCCATCAAAATAAACCCCCTTGGTCTTGGGGAACCATAGCTTTGGGGCTTTTATTTTCACCTCAACTACTTTCCTAAATAGCTCCTCTACCCCCAACCTCGCCACAGTAGCTGCAGTTCAACCTTCAGTTTAATAAGTGTGGACATAATCTTGCTCAGTGAATCTCTAAAAGCAGATACTGGATTTTCATTTTTGAGTGTGTAGGATGCTGACATCAGTTAGCGTCATGTTTTTATCTTTTAAGTATATGCAGAAAAATAATGCATAATTTGGCAGAATTCCTTGTCTGTTCCTCAGAGTAAACTGTGGTGGATTATACTTTTCAGAAATTTGAGCTCTCTGAAAGTTTGCCTACATTCATACAAATTTGCCTTAGCAATTTTAACATTTTATGTGTTTCTAAGTGTGCCAAATCTAATGACAGAAAGCATCATTGTCCCACTGAGGGCACACTTTAAAGGGACGGAGGTAAGAAAAGATTGTGGTCTTGCCCTGGATCAGTCTCAGAGGCTGGGGTACAGAGCCAAGCCTGCTAATCCTTCAGGGGGTCATTTTCTCTGTCCAAAGCCTTGTCTGGAGGATGCACGATCCTGTGATTACAAGGATGATCTAAATAATGTTGGCAGAGTCAAATGGCAGCTCACATTGTTAATTCTTCTTCAGTCCCCTGGAATCTCTAGTGTGCCTGCATTTTTGTGATTGTAGTGAAGTCAAATGGGCCCTTGTGCCTGCCTAGAATTGCAGCTTTGCAGAGTCCACTGGGTGCTTGGGCTGAATTCACAGGCTTTGTTTGAATTGCCAAAACAATCAAAGAGCATTCATTTCCTTAAATGGTTATATATCCTTGATAGATTTGTGTCCTAATGACTCTATCATTCTGCTCAGCAAAATGCACTAGGACACCAATAGCCAATTAATATGTGACTTAAAATTAGACAAGTGGCCATTTTATATAATAGTGATATTATTGTCACTATTATTTGAAGAAATCACACACACAGAATGAGAGCAGATGTTTTCCACTCCCACCATTGACAGATCAGGATACAGAAGACTTAAACTTAGGAATTTAGGTCAATGTGAGGAAATCAGTGTGATTTTTAAAAACTCTTTATGTATGTTTAAAATATGTTATAATGTTTTAAGAAACAGGCCTTCCTTTTAAAATGCTGTTAGAGAGCTTCTGTTGAGAGCTGCAGCTGTCTGGGTGCATTCAGTGGAGATGATTCAGCTGGGCAGACTGTCATCCCAGGGGGATAAATAGTTCAGAGGAGTGTGGGTATATGTTTAAATAATTTTTAGAACCAAGATTCGTTTTCTAGAACAGTAGTATCTGAAGTGGGGATGTATTTTTCAATGATTAGACACGAGTTTCCACTGGGGGCCAGGAAAAATAGATAAGAACTACCACTCTTTTTTAAGTTTATCATTTGTATTATTGTATTGATATTATGTTATATTATCATGTTTTACAATATATAATAGATTCATTTGTTAAAACATGAATATAACATTAAAAAGCTACTGTATATGTCTAGAGTGCTGACAACTTTTTGATTTTACTGAGAAGGGGGCAGCTTCAAAAAAATTTAGAGACTCCTATAAATCTATTAAAATATCCAATATGGGAGCAGAAACCCGAATGCCACCTTGATGATGACAAACAGCTTCTAAGGCCAAGGCTGCAGCTGGCCATGTAGGACCTTGGTGAGAACTGAAAAGAGGCAGCCCTCTCATTGGATATATTCCTGGGCAGCCACTGGCTGGGCAAACAGAATATGGTCTGGATGTCAGCCAGACCATATTCTCTTCTGAGCACTTTTGTGCAGAGCACAACGCATATATCCTCAGGTGGAAGCCTGTCTAAGGCAGACCAAGGACACCAGGGAGGGAGCAGGTGAGAGACCCTTGTATTCTTTCTGCTTCCTTCCCCAGATGAATCGCAGAACTTAAAAAATAACAATTAAAAAAACACCTAAATCTTCAGGTCTAATGAGATGGTCAGCTTTGATACAAATTTGGGCACCAGAAGGAGAAAGCAGTGAGAACATTTAAATGCCAAAATACATCATGGTTGTTCAGGGACACATACAGCCTAGATTAGAATTTTGGTTATTATTGTTAAAGGGTTTCCAATAGAATAATTAAAAAATTGAGGTTTACTTAAAAAAATTAACAAAGTTAGATAAATATAAATTCAATCAAAGGCTTTATGAATCTGGATTTTCTCTTATGTGTACACTTGCATTAAATGAGTATTCTCTATTTCCATGTAAAATAAGGAAAAATCATTAGAGCTGATTTTTAAATTAATATGTTTAAAGAGCAACAGGTTAAATGCCAGCAGGCTTGAAGTTAGAGTGCATAAACAAATCGCTATTTCTGAATTTTAATTTTCTCATTTTTAAAGTAACGGATCAAACTATATAATTTATAATTTTTTTTCAAATAAAATTCTAGATTGTGTACATAGGAATTTTTCAGCATTTCAGTCCCTAGTAAAATGAAGTAATTAAAGCAAGTAAAAATTTCTTTAGAATCTCATAAACAACAAACTAATTCATTTTCCACCGGTGGCAATAAAGGATTAACTCAGCAAGTTGACCTTCTGCCTGATAGGAGTGTATTTGCTTACCTGAGGCCTTGGCCCATGCCAGATACTCTATTACTAAAATGTGATTGTGGGGGCCTTGGATCGTATAGATGAGCTTGACTTTTTGACCTCCAGGTGGGTCCGAAGACCCATGAGAGTGGTCAGCTATGGCTATGTGACCAAGTCCCATTAAAGATCCTGGACACCAAGGCTCAGGGGAGCCTCCCTGATTAGTAATACTTTATGTGTGCTATAACATTTCTTAAAGAAGAGTTGAATGGTGTAGGCGTGACTCCACTGACAGAAGATAACTGGGAGCTTGCACCTAGTTTCTCCTGGACTTTGCCTGATATGCTTTTGGGGTGATTTTAATTTGTATATTTCCACTATAATAAGCCATATCTGTCACTATAAGCTCTTTTTAAAATTCTATGTGTCAAGATGGCAGAATAGGAAGCTCCACCTTGTACCCATCTCCCGTCCGGCAAGGACACCAAGTTAATAACAGCTATCTACACGGAAAAAAACACTTTCATAGAACAAAAAATTAGGTGAGCACTCATAGTACGTGGCTTTAACTTCACGTTGCTGAAAGAGGCACTGAAGGGATGGAAAAAACAGTTGTAAATCACCTATGCTACCCCCCCACCCCCCCCAATCCCACTGATGGGCATGGTGTGAAGAGTGTCTCTGGGTGCTGGGGTGAGAACACAGCAGTTGTGAGGCATTAAACTCAGTGCTTTCCTGTTAGAGCAGAAAGGAAAACTGGACCAAACTCAGCTGAGGCTCACCCATGGAGAGAGCATTTGAACCAGCCCTAGCCAGAGGGGCATTGACAGTCCCAGTGGTCGAAACTTGAGTGCGTGCAAAGCTCACCGCTGAGGGCTACAGCACTCTGTGTCTCAAATAAGTTTAAAAGGCAGTCTAGGCCTTAAGGTCTGCAACTTTTAGGCAAGTTCTAGGGCTAAACTAGGCCCAGAGACAGTGGACTGGGGGGGGTTTGGTAGGGAGCATGTGACCTACTGAGACACCAGCTGGAGCAGCCAAGGGAGTGCTGGTATCATCCCTCCCTTAATCCCATGCTGCACAGCTTGTGATTCTGAAAGAGACTCTTCCTGCCTGAGGACAGTAGAGGGAATTGTGGAGAGGACTTTGTCTTACATCCAGGATACCAGCTCAGCCACAGCAGGATCAGGTACTGGTCAGAGTTGTAAGGTTCTCTTCCAGGCTCTAGCTCCCAGATGAGATTTCTAGACACATCCTTGTCCAGAAGGTAATTTCCTGCCTTGAAGGAAAGGACTCCATCCTTGCAGCATTCATCACCTACTAACTAAAGAGCCCTTGGGCTCTGAATAACAAGTAGTGATACCCAGGTACTATACTGAGTGCCTTGGGTAAACCTCTGAGACTTGCTGGCTTCAGGTGGGACTCAGCACATTACCAGCTGTAATGGCTATGGGGCAAAACGTCTTCTGCTTGAGAAAAGCAGAGGAAAAAGTAAACGGGAGTTTGTCTTGCACGTTAGGTACCAGTACAGTCACAGTGGGATAGAGCACCAAGTGGGCTCTTGAGGTCTCTGATTCCAGGACTTGGCTCTTGGATGGCATTTCTGGACCTTCCCTGGGCCAGAAAGGAAGCTCATAATCCTGAAGGATGAGTCCAAGGCTAGGCAGCATTCACAACAAGCTGTGTTGAGGAAACTCAGAGAAATTCAAGGTAACACAGAGAAGGAATTCAGAATTCTATCAGGCAAATTTAACAAAGAGATTGAAATAATTAAAAAGAATCAAGCAGAAATTCTGGAGCTGAAAATGCAATTGGCATACTGAAGAATGCATCAGAGCCTCTCAGTAGCAGAACTGATTAAGCGGAAGAAATCACTTAGTGAACCTGAAGATAGGCTATTTGAAAATACAAAGAGGAGACCAAAGAAAAGGAATAAAAAGCAATGAAGCATGGCTATAGGATCTAGAAAATAGCCTGAAAAGTGAAAATCTAAGAGTTACTGGTCTTAAAGAGGAGGTAGAGAAAGAGATAGGGGTAGAAAGTTTATTCAAAGAGATAATATCAGAAAACTTCCCAAACCTAGAGAAAAATATTAATATCCAAGTACAAGAAGATTATAGGACACCAAGCAGATTTAACCCAAAGAAGACTATATCAAAGCATTTAATAATCAAACTCCCAAAGGTCAAGATAAAGAAAGGATCCTAAAAGGGGCAAAATAAAAGAAAAAACATACAATGGAGCTCCAATACATCTGGCAGCAGACTTCTCAGTGGAAACCTTACAGGCCAGGAGAGAGTGGCATGATATATTCAAAGTGCTGAAGGAAAAAAAAAAAAAACTCTTACTCTAGAATAGTATATCCAGTGAAAATATCATTTAAACATGAAGGAGACATAAAGACTTTCCCAGACAAATAAAAGCTGAGGGATTTCATCAATATTAGACTTGTCCTTTAAGAAATGCTAAAGGAAGTACTTTAATCAGAGAAAAGGATGTTAAGAAGCAATAAACAATCACCTGAAGATACAAAACTCACTGGTAATAGCAACTACAGAGAAAAACACAGAATATTATATCATTGTAACTGTGGTATGTAACCTATTCTTAAAGTAGAAAGACTAAACAATGAACCAATCAAAAATAATAACTACAACAGCTTTTTATAGTCAGTACCATAAGATAGAAATGACAGAGTTAAAAAGCAAGGGGACAAAGTTAAGGTTTAGAGTTTTTATTAGTTTTCTTCTTGATGTTAGTTTATGCAAATAGTGGTAAGTTGTTATCAGGTTAAAATAATGGGTTATTTGCAAGCCTTATGTTAACCTCACATCAAAGAACATACAAAGGATACACAAAAAACAAAAAGCAAGAAACTAAATCACTTTCACTAAAGGAAGGCAGGAAGGAAAGAAAGAAGAGAAGATCATGAAACAACCATAAAACAAATAACAAAATGGCAGCAGTAAGTCCTTACTTAACAATAGCATTGAATGTAAATGGACTAAACGCTCCAATCAAAAGACATAGACTGGCTAAATGGATGACTAAACAAGATTCATTGATCTGTTTCCTACACGAAACACATTTAACCGTGAAGACACACATAAACTGAAAATAGAGGGATGAAAAAATGTATTCCATGCAAATAGAAACAAGAAAAAGCAGTAACATCAATAAAAGAAAGCTACAGGTCATTATCTCTGATGAATATTGATGCAAATATCCTCAGCAAAATACTAGAAAACTGAATTCAACAATACATTAGAACAATCATTCATCATGACTAAGTGGGACTCATCCCGGGGATGTGAGGATGATTCAACATACCGAAGTCTGTTAATCAATGTAATTCATCATTCATCAGAATGAAGGATAAAATACATATGATCATTTCAATTGATGCTGAAAAAGCATTTGATAAGTTTAAATATCCCTTCATAATAAAATTAAATATTCCTTCATAATAAAAACCCTTAAAAAACTGGGGATAGGAGGAATATACTTCAACATAATAAAAGTCATTTATGACAGATCCACAGCTAGTATCATACTGAATGGGGAAAACCTGAAAGCCTTTCCTTTAAGATTTGGAACAGGAAAAGGATGCCCACTCCCACCAGTATTATTCACCATAAGTACTGAAAATCCTAGCTAGAGCCGTTAGACAAGAGACGGTTATAAAGGGCATCCAAATTGGAAAGGAAGAAGTAAAGTTACCCTTGTTTGCAAATGATATAATCTTATATTTGGAAAATCTAAAGACTTCACCAAAAAACTGATAAACAAATTCAGTAAAGTTGCAGGATATAAAATCAACATACAAAAATCAGTAGCATTTCTATATGCCAACGGTGAACCATCTGAAAAATAATAAAAAAGTAATCCCATTTACAATAGCCACAAGTAAAATTAAATATCTAGGAATTAACCAAAATCTCTATAATGAAAACTATAAAACATTAATGAAAAAAAATTAAAGAGGACACCAAAAAAATGGAAAAATATTCCATGTTCATGGATTGGAAGAATCAATATTGCTTCAATGCCTGTGCTACCCAAAGCAAGCTATAGAGTTAGTGCAATCCATGTCAAAGTATCAATGACATTCTTCACAGAAATAGAAAAATACAATAGTTAAGATTTGGAAGCAACCCATGTGTCTGTCAACAGATGAATGGATAAAGAAAACGTGATACATATAAACAACAGAGTACTATTCAGCCATAAAAAGAATGAGATCCAGTTATTTGCAACAACATGGTTGGCACTGGAGATCACTATGTGAAGTGAAATAAGTCACAGAAAGACAAACATTGCATGTTCTCACTGATTTGTGGGATCTAAAAGTCAAAACAATTGAACTCATGGACATAGAAAGTAGAAGAATGGTTACCAGAGGCTGGGAAGGGTAGTGGGAAGCTTGAAGGGAGGTGGGGACGGTTAATGGGTACCAAAAAAAGCAGAAAAAATAAATAAGAGCTACTATTTGATAGAACAATAGAGTGACTATAGTCAATAATAACTTACGTGTACATTTTAAAATAAAGAGCGTAATTGGATTGTTTGTAACTCAAAGGATAAATGATTGAAGAGATGGATACTCCATTGTCCATAATGTTATTATTTCCAATTGCATGCCTGTATCAAAACGTCTCATGTACCCCATTAATATATACACCTGTTATGTACCCACAAATATAATAAAAATTCAGTGTCTTTCTAACAAATCATTGAATCCAAGGGTTGTCTTAGGGAGCCCCAAAGAAAACTATCCCTGGCTGTAAGTGGGATCCCTGGATATTGTCTTTAACATTGCTGTTTTCCTTTATTTTCATCCATGTGATTCTTGGATTCCTGGTCCTGAAAGGAGAAGTATTGCCCCATTCTAATGGATCTCTGCTGTCACAGTCATCTGGAAAATCTACCTACAGCCCATGCAGCCAGTACACTGCCATTTTTTTTTTCATTTGGAAACTGAGATTTATTTACACAAAAATAAGTCAACAGAAACAGGAACTTGTCTGACAATCCTAATAATGAAAGTTTTTCAGAATTTGGAATGAGATTGGTGAATGAGGCCTACCCATTGCTCAGGAAGCTCAGCTTATCTGCTCTGGGAAGGCTGGTGGCTTCAGCTTCTAACTCAGACAATAGCCTTCGACATGAGTTATTTTTTTCAAACTAATTCGTCTTTTCCTTTGGTTGCCCCAAAAGGCAGTAATGCTGCATGAGCTTCTCCAGAAGCTAGAGAATTCATAGGCCAGTGCAAAATGCTGCCTCTTCATCTGCATTTTGCTACAAAGTATTACTGCCTTATGTGCCCTAGTTTTGAAAGAAAGTCTAGTGGCAAAGCTTTTATTTTATTTCCTCTCTCAAGGCTTATGATAAATTCTTCCTGCGGAAACAATATCAAAGCATCTCAATGGGCCAGATAGCTCCCTCCCAAAATACATAAGTCCCATCCATGTCAGATTTAATGCCTTGATACTTCCTCCCATTGATATAAACTTCCCTCTGTGTAGTATCTCGGAGTAAGGAGTAGGGGCAAAAGAGGGGCCTTTGTTCCTCTTAGTATAGAGAGCTAGCTGTCAGCTACTAGATGACATAATTTTTTCATCCAAGAAACCACCCAATTTCTTTACACAAAAGACCCCTGGCCCTACCAAACCCTCTAGCAATCTCTAGCTTTCCCAAATTGTGTGGCTAGGCTGAGTCACACAACTTGGGCTAACACACTGGAACACCATCACAACTTCCTCTTTTTAATTTAAATATAAACCTCTGGCATTAGATTAAAAAGGAAGCATCCAGAGTTTCTGTTGTCCTGGTGTGTACCAGTACAGCCATGCTGGTTGTTTATAGCTGGCATTCATTGTGATATGTCAGAAGATTTGATCTGTTTGGTTGGGCATATTCACAATAGTTCATAATATTTTGACTTTCAACCCTTAGATACAATGAAAATTAATGTCAAGTGCTTGGATTGTGAGATTTGCGTGTCCTCGTCTATTAAAAAGATAGAACTTTTTCTACTGTCTATGAAAGACAGAATATAGGTGTTTTTTTTTTTTTTCCTTCTGAGCGCTGGTTGATACATCGGTTTATTTCTTAAATGTAGCACTTTTTGTTGCCTCCTCATACCTATTCTCCTTTTCTTCCTGAATAAGGCTATTAGCTGAGCACATTGCCACAGCCAACGATTACGTTTCTCAGCTTTGTAGCAAGATTTGGACATGTTTTCATTTGGCAAATGAGATATCAGCAGTAGTTTTAGGAGTAAATTCCAGGAAGTTTTTAAAGACAGAGACTGAGCCCTTCTTCACTGCTTCTTTCACCATGCTTCCTTGAATGTAGATGTGATGGCAGGAGCACTGGGAGTAGTGTAGAATTACAAAGAAGAATCCAGTGTAGAACCACTACACCTAAGAATGGCAAACTAGTGAGATGAAAGGAGTCATGACCCTGAAAACTTCATGCAACATTCATATTGATGCTAAGTTGTCTTCCTGCAGATTTTCTTTGCTTGAAAGAGGAATAAATTTCTAACTTCAAGCCACTATTATTATAAGATGTTCTCTTATTTTCAGTTGAACTTAATTTAACTTGAACAAGGAAATTTCTTCCTAGTTCCATGATTCTAAGTATAGTTGGCTGTATTCATTCCTGTGAATCTAAATATGATAATGGGGCAAATAAGCAAGGAAAATTCTGATAATTTCTAACCATTAAATCATTGTGAACTACTTACCATAATTGTGTAGTAAATAGAGAATCAAAACAGAGATCTCTCTGATGCTTTTTCTCTGTGTCCTATAAAACCAGCTCATAGATTGCTGTGCTGATTAAATGAGAAGATGTTTATAAACTGCCTGCCACTCAAAGGTACTCTGTAAATATTAAGTACCTCTTACAATTCATCTTCTGGCAACCTGTAAGTTTATCTTTGTATCATTACTGGTTAGCACATTGCCTTGCACGGAATGCACACCAAATAAATTATTCTTTCATAAAATAAAGTTTCTACAGGACCTTACAAGTCAGATGTCACAGTTTATTCTTCTCATTGCTTTTTCACTCTTCAAATTATGTAAAATGTTATATTACTATTTAGAAAGATTGAGGGGCCACTTAAACTCCCAATTTACAACCAGAGAGTTAGTTTGGAATTGGGCAGAACCTGGCTTTTTATTTCCTAGTATATAGAAAATATAAAATTACACAGTGTACAAGATTCTGTTAGAGATGAAAATGAGCATTATAGCCGTTTTGAATGCAATGAGCACCATTTGTCTTAATGGCATATATAATTTGGAGTCAACACATAATAAGAAAAATTATTTCTGTATAATATTTTCAACAACACTCTCAAGAACCTACTGCAATGAACATATTTTTAACAAATTAGGTCATTTTATTTTCCTTAAATGTATAACTACTATCTTTGTGTGTTTGCATTTTCATCTCTCCCAGAAAGAGAATTATGGAACTGAGAAGAATTGACAGAGATCCTGTGGTGTAGCCCTCTGTATCGATGAAGGAGTTTGCCCAAACCAACTTGAAGACATAGTGAAAGAGAATTTTTCCTATTTAATGACCTGGATAATATATCATAATTTTTATATACAAGTAGTTTTATTAATTCTGCTTTTTTTTGTTATTTTCTCAGGAGTGTCCAGTAAAAAGATCTGGTGCCATCAAAAATGTTTTATGCACTTGTCTTCATATCCTATGATTCAGAGAGCATATTTCAGATGTTAGAGAGGGTAGGGTTGGAAAAAATAAAACAGTGACAAAATAGGTAAAAGGGAAGTGGAAAACTTTCTTCTTCGCCTCTATAAACTCTCTCTGAGAAATAGCAGACCTCTTCACCCAGTAGGTACATAGCAATTGAGTTATAACTGGTTTAATCCATCTTTAGTCTAGAGAAAAAGTAACTTTACTGATATAATGACATAATATTGGAGACTCTGTAAGAATGTATTACCACCAAACGACGAATCTCTGTGCATTCTCTTGTCCCTTTCCAGGATCCACTATAGACTAGGAAGGAGGCAACTCTAATACACTATACTGTATGGTGTATTTTGAAAATTGTTGGACAATTTAGAGGATATTAAGAAAAAATAGAACATGGAGAAAATTAGGAGAAAAGCAAGTGTTTTTCTTATGGATGTAGGAATTGAGAAAGGGGGCTGCATTTTTCAACTTACATAAGCCATCTTTGAAGTTGAGCATCTCATGTGAGTGAAACGCTACTAAAAGCATTCCACAGGCTTTTTATTGATTCCATGTCATGCACCTATCAAACTGGATTTGAATGACATCTAGATATTATTTCTATTGTAAGTGAAATCAATTGAGCTTTCAATGGCTTTATGATATTTCAGACAGGTATTTGTCAGGATTCTATCAACAAAAAGTGCCCTCAGGGAGGATGTGAGGAGCAAGGTGTCACAGGGAGGGAGGATAGGACCTGGGAGGCAGACCCCAGGTGAAACATTTCTGTGAAGATGGGTGTCTGAGGATATGCACTCAGTCAATACTTGTGCTATTCTGGCAGGGTCTGCCTCTTCTCTGTCGATGGTGAACAGATTCCATGGTATCAGCGTGACTGAGTGAGAGTGCAAACACTGCTCCTGAGGATAGGTTTTGTGAGTAATTTGCTGACACTGACAGATTTAGTTATTTTGTCTACACTTGTGCTCTCAAGGTCCTGGGTGAAATTCTTTCCCAGTTGTACCCTGACATGTACTACTGTCCTTTGTATTAGGAAATGATACTGCTTTTTGGAAGGATTGAGACTGTATATGCAAATATATACTCTATCTAAATTACTTTATGGGTGAAGCAGTTATCCCCATAAACATTTTTACCCTCCTGACTCACTGTAAACTCAAATCCTAAGTGTTGAAGTACTAGAAGGTCAGTGGATGCATATGTAAAACTGTTTCTACATATCTCTCCTATTTTTTTTTTTTTTTTACCATGGGGCATGTAATTGCTTTAATTTTCATTTATTTTTCCTCTAATATTTAATTTCTCATGACAGTTTGAGTTAGGAGCTTTGAAACCTGTCTTTGCTAAGCTTTTATGTTCAATGAAATGTACAGTACAGCAGGTAACATGCTAAAATTAAAGTCAACTTTAAGAGAAACATGTCTTTTGCTTTTAATAGTTTTTTAACATTTACATGTTTTTCTTCTTTCCATTGGAAATAAAGGAGCTTATTTTGGAAAGATCACAAAATGTGAAAAAAATCGAATCAGTTTTGAAGCCTAACTAGTTTTAAAAAATTGTGTATTTTAAGTGCTCAAGGGATACATTTTTCATCTTAAAGCATTTTAGATTTATGTTTCATCATAAACATTTTCTCTGTCACCTAGGTGGATTAGCATATAAAAAATTATTTTGACCCTGCAAGAAAATTACCAAAAGTTTTTCTAGTGGGATTTGGCTAATGAAATTATTTATTTTAAAATCAGTAATAAAATATATGTACATATTATTAAATGGTATATCTGTGGTATATAATAACAGTTTAATGTTCTACACATTACATGATTCAAAAGCCTTTTCATTTTTCGATATGCTAGTACTGAATATTTTTAACAAATAACTTTTGAAAGTTGTTGAAACAAAAGTCCCTAGGGCTTCGTAATTATCAAGAGTCTATGTATGTCTGTATACTCATGTGCATGTGTGTGAATACCTTTCTTTCACTAGATCATAAGCGTCCTGATGCAGGGACAATGTCTTTTATTGCTGACGGAACTACCTTATTTCATTTTTATCCTGAGGTACTATCACCTTGCCTGCCACATTGGAGGTAATCAATAAATATTTGATACAGAAATGAATGAACAAAAAAAAGCAAAAATAAAAACATAACCCTAAGGGTGAAGCATTTACAAACATCAGTATGAAAGGGTGATTGCTTCTTGTGTTGGGTAATTTTATAAACATTTCTGTAGAAATAAATGATTTCCTAGCATCAGTAGTGAATTGTAATAGATTGTTGTATGGAGGCTAAATCTAAAGTATTGTGTATTTCAAAAGGCATTTGCAGATTTTAATTGGAACTCATGCTAGTAGTGTTAAGTGATTAGAATCGTATTCTGAAAACTTGAAGCTAATCTTATCTTAAAGATCACACTTTATAGTTAAAGATTTCTACTTATGAAATTCCAGTTTCCCATAGATATTATAGTCTCAATCATGATAAATTGACAAAAATATTAGCACTATTTTGCATGTGAGGAATGTAGGAAAATATCATTCATTTCCAAAATCACTGCAAATCAACGTCATTAGAGAGTGCCATTGGCTCTACCTCGAAAATGTATTTTGGATCCGATTACTCCTTACCATCTGCATCTCTGCAACTTCATTCTTTAGTCATCATTAGTTCTATTGTCTAAGTAATCTCTGTAATCCTCTTCTTCCTTCTCATTCTCCCCTTAGCAGCCACAGTGATCTTTTAAAGCGTAAGTTAGATCATAATCATTCCCTGGTTGAAACACTTCCATGGCTTCATTGCAATTAGAACACAAGTCAGTCTCTGCCACCCCTCCCCTCTCCTCTACATGATCTGACTTTCATGTTCTGTGATCGCATCTTCTATACACTTGCCCTTCTCTAGTGCCATACCTGCACTGACTCTCTGCGTCCTCAGCCTCTTCCTATCCAAGACTGTTTGCATTTACTATATTCTGTGCTTGGGGGCTGCTTCCTCACATTTTCAAATGCCTGCTTCTCAACATTTTAATCTTAGTGTCCTTCATTTCATTCTCCAATCATATTTTCCCATTTTATTTTCTTTATGACTTTTTTTTTTTAAATTACCAGAGGTTAAGTGACTAACACACTGTATTTGTTTTCTTCCTTGACTATTGTTTGTTAGAATGTGAGCTTATTTAATGACTTGGACATTCTTGGACTTTTTTATTTTTATTTTTTGTCTCTGCTGCAGTTCTAGGCCTGAAACTGACTAGAGAGTCTTCTTTGAAAGAAAGATCTACATTTAAGACATTGACCTTTTGAGATTAATGTTCTAAAGTCAGTCTTGTATACCTTGCGGTTGAGCGAGTCATCAATAGAAAAAGACATAATTGTTTAAAGACCCCAGCTCCTGTCCATATTTGTTTATCATTTTTTCTCAAATTTGTTAATCTTTCACTTTAATTTTTTATGTCAGATAACTACACATATTGAGGAAATGTCTAGAGAACTGAGACAAAACAAGATCAAAGAATCAAATAAATTGTTGGAGGTTTTAAGGCTAAGAAGTAGATTCCTTTTGGAAACTGTCCTAGGGAAGCTGTATTGTAAGAGTTCCATTATTTTCTCTCTCTTCATGCTGCAGCTGGTAGCAGAAGTGAAGACCCATAATCTCGATGAGCATATCTTAGCCTTGGTTCTAACATGGGACATGTTAACATGTTCTAAACACAGTTAAGGACAGGAAAGAGTTTAAAAAAAATTACACAAAACAACGTATGGTAATTATGTGCTTTTGAGCAACATAAAAATAACTGAAAGATTGTAGATATTGATTTTATAATTAGCATTTTGATAAGAAACTAAAATAAATAGAAGGTAAATAAATACTCAAATGTATAATATATGTTCCTGAAACAAAGTTTCAAATCTTCATGTTAGAACAACCCAGGAAAAATTGATACACAGCGATTAGTATCAAGACATTCAGTGTTAAAATTAGTGGGCTTCAATAATAAAGAAAAATACTGTGGACATTCATACCGTAAATATAAATCACTCACATGGAAGACAAAACTTGGACTGAACTCAGATTCTCTCATAGCAACATTTGATGTCAGAAGACAGACGTGATACATGTGACAAGGTCAGGTAGCTTCTAAAGATCTAGTTGTCAGGAACAAGTTTAGACAGTCCCCATAAAGTTAGTGACTATTAGTTGCTATATCTTGCATCTCCCTTTTCTAACAAGGAAGCATTATGTTTGATGACATATACTACATTTGGACCTCCTACTCTGACCATAAGGCCTTGGGTGGTCCCAGAGAAAGAAATATCTTTACAACTGATTCAGGCTGGAAAGTGAGGGTAGGAGCACTGAACACTCATAACTCAGCAGATCCCGTGGGGATCTGAGGGCTGATAGAAAATCAGGATGCTTTATGTTTCCCCTGTCAAGCTCTACCAGGAAAGTCACAATGGATCATACTACTTCTTAAAAAATGAAGTTATGATTAATAATTGATTAGACTAGTGGAATATTATAGTTTAAAAGAAACTTAAGTATGTGTGCATCTAGTCTCCCCTTGTGTAATCCTCTTGATATGTAACAAAGAGAAAACAGTGCCTAAAATGTTAAGAGACTTGAGCAAGTTTCCAGCTTATGAGTGGTTAAATCATTAAGAGCTAGGTTTCTCATGAATTTTCACACTTTTCACCACTCTACCTCTCTGGATGGTGCTAATTTTTGATACTCTATCCATTTCTATCTGCATCCCTTAACCATAGCAAGGTAAGTCACAGGGTTCCAGTTTTTTCACAATTCTTCCAATTGTCACTTATTTTATTGAGAAAGGGAAATTGCTTTCATGAGAATCATCAGCAATTGAAATGAAAAGGCATTTGGATAAGTACCTTTTTTAAACAAGAGAAGTGCCTTTTTGGTATTTGTTACCTTAAGAAAGACCCTAGTACCTAACAGAGTACCTACCTAGAATGCAAAGCGTTTGCTTAAAAATATGTATTTATAGTGGATTTCATGGTAGTTCTATTTTCAATTTTTTAGAAACCTCCATACTGTTTTCTATAATGGCTGTACTAATTTACATTCCCACCAACAGTATATTAGGGTTCCCTTTTCCACATATCCTCTACATTTGTTATATTTCATCTTTTTGGTAATAACCATTCTAACAGTTGTCAGATAATATGTTGAGCATTTTTTCATATACCTGTTGCCCATTTGTATATTTTTTGAAAAATGTCTGTTCAGGTCCCTTGTCCATTTTTTTTCTATAGAGTTATTTGAGTTCCTTATATATTTTG
The DNA here is from genome assembly GCF_000001405.40 of Homo sapiens. NCBI lineage: Eukaryota > Metazoa > Chordata > Mammalia > Primates > Hominidae > Homo > Homo sapiens. The sequence continues at coordinate 10,414,808 of NC_000007.14, read as the reverse complement.
AATGTTAACCCCTTATCAGATTATAATTTGTAAATATTTTCCCCCATTCTTTAGGTTGTGTTTTCATTCTATTTATTGTTTCCATTGTTTTGCAAAAGCCTTTTAGTTTGATGTAACCACATTTATCTATTTTTGCTTTTGTTGCCTGTGGTTTTTGAGTTTTATATAAGAAATTACTGGCCATATCAATGTTGTGGCGATTTCCCCATGTTTCTTTCTAGTTGTTTTATAGCTTCAAGTCTTAAATTCAAGTGTTTAATCCATTTTGAGTTGATTTTCATCTATCACGTGAGATACAAGTGTAATTTTATTCTCCTGCATGTGAATATCCAGTTTTTCTGACACCATTTGCTGAAGAGGCTGTCCTTTCTCCATTGTATGTTCTTGGCACCTTTGTCAAAAATCAGTTGGCTATAAGTGCATGGATTTATTTCTGGGCTCAATTTTGTGACATTGCTCTATATATCTGTTTTTATGTCATTATCATGTTGTTTGATTATAGCTCTGTAGATTTTGAGATCAGGTAAGTAGAATGCCTCCAGCCTTGCTCGTTTTGCTCAAGATTTCTTTCAGAGTTTTTTGTGGCTCCATTTGAATTTTAGAGTTATTTTTCTGTTTCTATGAAACATGTCACTGATATTTTCATAGGGCTTGCATTGAATCTGTAGATTGTTTTGGGTAGCAATTCCATCTCTGGGTATATATCCAAAGGAATTGAAATCAGTGTGTCAGAGACACATCCGCACTCCCATATTTAGTGAAGCATTATTCACAATAGCCAAGATAGGAAAACAACTTAAGTGTCCATCAAGTAATGAATAAATACAGAAAATTGGTATATATATACAATAGAATACTACTCAGCCTCTAAAAAGAATGAAATCCTATCATTTGTGATGATATGGATGAATTTAGAGGACATTACGCTAAGTGAAATAAGCCGGACACAGTAAGACAAATATTATATGACTCACTTATATGTAGAATCTAAAATGTTAAATTCATAGAAGCAGAAAGTAGAATAGTGATTATCAGAGGTTTGGGGGTAGGAGGGAGTATTGGGAGATGTTGGTCAGATGGTACAAAGTTATAGTTAGGTAGGAGGGGTAAGTTCTGGAGATCTGTTGTATGAAATGATGATTATATTAGGTGTGTGCAAAAGTAATTGTGCTTTTTGCCATAGTTAATGTTATAGTAAATAATAATATGTTGTATACAGTACTTGAAAATTGCTAACAGAATAGATTTTAAGTATTCTCATCATACACAAAAAAGGTGAGGTGATGAATATGTTCACTAGCTTGATTTCATCATTTCCCAATGTGGTGTGTTTTTTTGTGTATGTGTGTGTGTATAGATATATATATATATGTCTATATAAACATCATGTTATATATTAAAATAATACACATAATTTTTCTGTCAATTTAAAAAATTAGAAAGTACATATAGAATAAATAACTGTATAACTTTAAAAGCAGTATTGTTATAATGGTTGACATTATTTCACAGTTTTATGGTAGATATTTTAGTTCTGAGATGGAAACAGATCCAAAGGGACATTTGACATTTAGCATCTTTCTTTGGGCTCTCCTTACAAATGATGTTATCCTGACATCTTGTCAGCTTTTTAAGGAACCCACTAAAATGTTTATTCTATTATTTTCATATGAAAGATCTTTTCTTCTGGTAACATATAGATCCTCAGTCTTGTTTATAGATACAGTTGGCTTTGGAATTTCTAATTTGTTTACATCCTTATATCTTTTTCCATAGCTAAGCTGTTAGTTTTGACAATTTCCTTCAGTCAAACAGTATTATCATTGTTGTGCCAGTTAACAAGATCTGATGTGTAGTAAACACTAACGAATTTCAAATGTCACTTGTAAAAATATTTTGTGACCCACTATACCACTTAGCTGTCTGATTTTTGAAACTAGCTAACTGCAAGCAAGATTTGACTCCATTTTAATATCAATAGTTTTTGAAGCAACTTTTTACAAGTTAAACCTTATAAAAACTGTGCAATAAATAAATATTATTTGTATTCAGAAAGTATGATTATACTCCAAGTGATAAAAATTATATTTATAAATATTGATAAGTTCAATGACAATAGAAATATTCTTAATGTATCTGAAAAATCTCTACCAGCTGGAGCCATGATCTGATGTATTGTAATCTATGACCAACAGGTGGCAGCAGTTCACAGAAGGTTCTCACTGGAGAGCATGTAAAATTCATAGTAACGGTTTAACTCTCTTATACTTTATTCTTCAACGGGGTTGTTTAAAACACAATGTATTTAAACTGATTGATAGACATCTCTGTTTGCTGCTTTAGAAACAAAATTACTTTATTCAACTGTGTTTAAAATTATATGTATAACGTACATTTATTTATTACACTACACTGAAATATATACAGTAAACCAATAACTGCTTTCCTTTGTGTTGAAGGAAGTTGAGAAGTAATGATGCATTTCGTACATTAACTGTTCTAACTCTTTATCCCTGGGGATGTTTTAAAGGATTGTGACTTTTTACAGATTTCTTTTTTTTTTCCCCCCTGAGACGGAGTGTTGCTCTTGTCGCCCAGGCTAGAGTGCAGTGGCACAATCTCGGCTCACTGCAACCTCCGCCTCCCGGGTTCAAGTGATTCTCCTGCCTCAGCCTCCCAAGTATCTGGGATTACAGGCGCCCACCACCATGCCCAGCTAATTTTTTGTATTTTTAGTAGAGACAGAATTTTGCCATGTTGGGCAGGCTGCTCTTGAACTCCTGTCCCCAGGTGATCCGTCTGCCTTGGCCTCCCAAAGTGCTGGGATTACAGGTGTGAGCCACTGCACCCAGCTGACTTTTTACAGATTTCTATTTGGCTACAATATAGGGCTGGATTTTTGTTGTTATGTCGAAGTAGGGCACAGCAAACTACAGGAGTTGGTAAAATTCAGAATAAGATATACTGACAATACCACATCTGATGGTTCCTTTGTGTTCTCTATTAAAGATAATCTTTTGTTTTTGTGTACTTTGTTGTGCTCTTGAAAATGTATGACCATATATTAATTGATTAGTTGATTTTGTTCTCATGTATCTTTCATCAAAGAACACATTAATACAATTAATAAAAACAAATCAATATATTTAATAGCAAAGCTATAAAACAAATCTGGGTAATTTGAAGATGTACTCTAATTCATCATCCAACAGAGTCATGTCTCCAAATTCCATCTGATGTTACACAGCCAATCAGTGTTAAAAATAGTCTTCTGATATCTGCTTCAATCCATGATTTATTAGAAATTTTGGCCCCGTCTAGTGATATTTTTGGTTGTCACAATTGAGGTGGGGGTATTGCTACTGGCATCTAATGGGTAGAGGCCAGGTATGCTGATAAACATTTTTGCAATGCACAGGCCAGCACCCCATGAAAAGAATTATCTGACCCAAAATGTCAATAGCGACAAGGCTGAAAAGCCCAGGTCCACACTAGATAGTCATCTAGAAAAATCAATTATATCTCTATCTTAAGAATGTGTACACAGGAAGACTTAGAAATTAGAATCCAGGTGCATAAGCTAAAAGGTGAAATTATAATTATAGCAGCCTTTTTAAGGAAAAAAATTCTAACCATCCTCTGATGCATCAAAAGATCAGAGTGTGAAAAGTGCCCTTTCCTAAAAACTATGAATGTGAAGTGATCTATTTCTGAAGCCCCAAGGGACAAGTTTATATTTTCAACCTTTTACAAAAAGAAATCCCTTCAGAGAACTTTGTTAACCATCCAGCAAAATTGAAAAACTCAGCCTATCAAACCTTTGTTCGCTAAACAAATTTTGTGCTGAATATAATCATCGAAGTATTACCCTGTATACAGCTGCCTTTGAACTTTTGATGTTTGCTCCAAAGACTAAATGCAGAGAAACAACCATTCTTTCCCTACCCATCTTGCTTCAAAACTTACAAAAACAAATTTTTCACCTTGTGAATTAAGGGGATATAGGAAAATCTCATGGAGTTACTTTTGCACTTTCAGTCTGATTTGTCCTTATACTGTGTGTGTGTGTATGTGTGTGTGTGTCTTCCATATGGAGACGTTCCAAATACTGGAGTCTTTCCCTGTACTAGAAAGCTCTAGTAAAAAAGCATTTTTTGAGGTTTATGACAACATAGACACTTAAAGAATATTTAGAATATTAACTCTGTCTACTACAAAAAGCTTTTTTGGTCCAATAAATAGAAAATATCACAGCACATATTTGAAGTTTACTGTAAGGCATCTAAAACAATAGCCTTTTAATAAAAGTATTGTATATCAGGGCCTTGAAAATTTGACTTGGCTTAAATGCTCATATTATTGCATCTAAATGTAAATATTTGAATATTAAACTACTGCTTTGATTCCTAAGCAGTTTAAATGTGGTATCTAATAAGTACCTTTCTGATTCAATTGAATACTCTTTGTAAAAAGAAAACAAAGAGCAAAACGAGAAGTGAAGAGGTTATACTGATACAATAAACAAGTTTAGTGTAACGATCCAAAGCTCAATATATCTGGGAGCATTGCTCTGTCATCGGCTTCTTAGATTTCCAGCAACTACACAAGCAGAAACTCAAGTTTCGCGTGATGTAAAGGCTTGACTTCCTCTGTATTATAATGAAAAGAGATGTGTCTCTGACTTTACAGATCAAGGATTGTGCTTTGGTTAAACTGATAAGCACTTTTCCATTTTCTGTGCAGGGCTTATTTGCTTCATGAGAGCTACGTTATATAAAAAACAAAAATGAGACGGGAAATACAACTTTGGCCAAATGACATTTTCACATATTTTAGAATACTATAAAAAGAAGGAAAAAAAGAAAGGTAGGTCAGATAATATCTGTGATCCTTTTATATTTAAAAGCATTGCTCCAAAATAAAAGTGTGTGACAAGTTGTTAACAAGTATTTGCATGTCTCTGAGGAATGTTTTGGGTAGTATATAAAATAATTCTGAGGAGAAGATACTGGTCCTCAGAGGTTTATTTTTTTCTCCGCAGGCACGCTCTATAATTGAAAACAGTTCTTTATTCTAAGTCTTATATAATAAAATTTGAATAAAGAAAAAAACTGCAATCTTTAAATGAGGCCACGATTTTTCTATCAGGTTGAATCAGAGACAGCCTAATTTGTCCAATATCTTTTACCATTATTACCAAAGAGAAAGCATGGCTTAGTGGCTCATTTCAGATTTCTTGTTAAGTTATTTAGTGACTGTAATAAAATAGAGTGTTTTGCTGTGTGTGAGGTGCTCTTCTGAGAGCTGAGAACGAAGCATTCAATGCAGCAGGCAGTGTCCCTGTCCTCACTTCTAATAATACCATCAAAATGGTGGAACCCATCATGTGCTATTCTCTTTTCACTCAGATGGACCACAGGTAAAATGGCTGAAAACCTGAAAAAACACTTGTGTTAATTAGAAGTAGTAAAGTGAAATTGTTATCATAAGAATCTATTTGGCCAGGTGCTGTGGCTCACGCCTGTAATCCCAGCACGTTAGGAGGCCGAGGTGAGCAGATGGCTTGACCTCAGGAGTTTGAGACTGGCCTGGCAACATGGCAAAACCCCGTCTCTACTACAAATACAAAAACTAGCCAGGTGTGGTGGTGCACGTCTGTAATCCCAGCTACTCAGGAGGTTGAAGCACAAGAATCACTTGAGCCCAGGAGGGGAGGTTGCAGTGAGCTGAGATCGTGCCACTGCACTTCAGCCTGGGTGACAGAGCAAGACCCTATATATCAAAACAAACAAACAAAAAAACTTCTTTAAATCCTAATAATATTCTAACACCAGCAGTGCAATGTATTATAAATATTTGCTTCCTGGCCATGAACATTTTAAAATCTTTAAGTTTAATATTTAGTATTTGTATTTTAATGTTACTACAGTTCCTTCATGAATGAATATGCTGATGATTTTTAGTAAAGTCACGTTAATTATTATTACAGTTCTCAAAGTACTTCTTTTCTTCCAAATGCAGTTATGAGCACTATTCTGCTTAGTGATTGGGCAAAACTATTTAGAAACACTTTTGTAGAACTCTGACATCTAGAAATCTGAAGATTACAGAAAAACCTGGATAAGTCAAAGTAGCATTTCATAAATGAAATTTCTCAAGTACTTTATAAACTATTTTATATAGTATTGATTTGTAAATAACCTAGACAAATGAAAACTTAGATACTTGAAGTGAGTCCATGTTTTGCCATTCAAAGCATTAAGTAACTATTGACTTTAGAATTTAGTTGATACTCAAATAACGCAAACATGACTCAGAATAGGGGCAGGTGGTGAATTAGAGGCATCAGTGAGTTATTTTCAAATCCATTGTCTTAATTTAACTAAAAGCTGCAGTATAGATAGTCATTTCTTGCTTCAACACAGTATGAAAAATTACTTTAGGTCACACATTTAGGAAATGGGACTATGGAAATCTGCTTTGCTTTAGGAGCCAGGATAAAGGTGAGAAGGGAAGCAAAGGATAAATGCCATTTGCTAAAAACAAACAAACAAAACAAAACAAAACAAAAAAAAAAGGAAAAGAAAGAAAATCAGTTTCACAATGTATATACAAACAAAACAAAACAAAACCCAACAACAACAAAAAACCCCAAACCATTAGTAGAATATCTCAGTAATGCAAGGCATGTTTTTTTTTTCTCACATATATCTTTCATGTTGAATGTTGCTATAATAAAATATACCACTATATTTGACCAACATCAATTCCCAAATCTGGGTTCCTAGGGTTTACCACCCTTGACGATCTGTTGAATATGACTACCACCATTAGGATGATCTCCCACTAGTGGCTAGTCTTAGTGGATTGATCCCACTACTGGTCACCACTTGAAAAGACTCCCTTAAAAGCAAAGTAAAATTCTCTAAGTTTTAAGATAGTGAGTTTGATCTTATCAGAAGTAGGCAAAGGGAAAGGAGAAATTCAGGACACAGGACTACAAGTTTATCTGCCTGTCCCTATGTTAACAACCTCTTGCCTTTCCATCGTCTGAAGTAGGTTTCCCCACATGGTTCATTTTTTTTTCTCATGCAGGGAAGTCTTGAGGGTTTTGGTAAACTTTCATCTGTATGAAATGTCTCGACTCAGGGATGAGACGGTGATAGAGGCAGAGCATCCATATTGTGGTATACTGAGTCCCAATAACTCCCCAGGGAAAGGAGTTACCTCTTCCCATTGATTAGTAAAGTAGGTTTGTGATCAATAAATATAGAATACAAACAAGGGTATTCAATGAACAAAGTGTATGCTTAGTAAATAATAATGTGGCTATTTTGCCATTATTACTAAAGAAGCAGCATGACCTTAAAGTACATATGAAGCCTTCCTAAAAGAGCACAAAAGAAAGATTTGACAAATACATTTGCTTTTCCATTGTCAAGAACGTTTCCCATGCCGTCTGTCATCAGGAGTTATTCACATTTAAAGATGGAAGTAAGCTATTGTTATTCCTAATGAACACACTGAAATCTATGCTGCCTGATTTTAACATTTGATACTAAGACTCCCTCCCCCACATGAAGAAGTTTTTTTTTTTTCAAAGTTGTCTTTTGGGGTAATAAAGTGGGATTTAGAAAGAGTAGTTGCTTGTACTGAAAATAAAAATCTTCAGTGATTACATCTGCTAGAAGAGAATTTTTGTCAATGTATACAGTGATTTTTTTTTAAAAAAGTTAATGTGTTATAAAGAAACCCAACTGAAAAATACTACTAAATTTAATATTTAATATCTCAAAATTTAAAAAACTAAACAAGTAAATCAGAGTAACACACTATGCCTTCAGATTTTATAAATAATATTCAATCGAAAATAAAATGAAATAGATATGTATATGATAAAGAAAATATAAATTCTTAAAGAGGTGAAAATACATGAACTTTTAAACTACAGAGAAAACTAAAAGTCTTATTTTTTAAAATAACATAATAAATGGACAAGTCCTCAAAAGTAGATGAGCTGAAATAAGACATTTAAAAATGATGTTCATTTTATGTAGCTTATTTAATATTAGTATATTCAATGTAAAAGGTTATCATAAAGTAAGGACATGATATTGTACTTAAAGTTTTATCAGGAAGTTGGATGATACACATTGTTTAATTCCTTTCAAAAATGACACAAGTATTAAATTTTACAGGCACTAAAGTGTCCAGCATTGTTCTGACGTAAGGAAAGCCAAACTTTCTTACAGTGAATAGGAAGAGGAACAAAAGAGGCGTCAGCGATGTAATAACATACACAGGGTTAAACAGTTATTTTTCAAAGAAATGTAGAACAAAAATATTCCTAAAGGTCACATGCCATCTCTTCAGCCCATTTAAGCCTTCTGAAATGCCACTCTGAGTAAAATAACTACCTCTCCAGAAGAGTCATTCCATTAGAGAGCCAACTAACATCAGTACAGAGATAAATGGGAGAACAGAAAATTGATTTTACACTTGTGCCGTAAGTGTGGTCAAATGTTATAGGCAAGCACATCAAATAGGATTCCAAAGAATTGCTGTGCCTGAAAAATAACAACATAAGAGGATGTGGTTAAATACAGCTTAATAATAGGTTTGATGGTCAGTGTGTAGTAAAATATTTATTTACTCTTTCTATTTGTTATACCATATGACACATTCCAATATCTTTTTTCTTTTTGTTAATAAATTTATTATCTCAATGTTCTTGCAACTGATACCTTTTATCCCAGCTCATTGCTATTACATGTACCCAGAACCATACACGTGTAGCAGCAATGATTTATATTTTGTTTGATTTAAAATGTATGGATTGTGTCCAATAAAGATATTTTAATTAAATGTTATTTTATAGGATGCCAAGTCTGTATGTAAATATTATCCAGATGAAAAATGTTTAAATACTATTTATTGAAACTATTGAAGTTCACTGTATCCACTGGAAAAAAGGAATGCCACCTCTCTATTTTCTATGATTCTTTTGCCTTCTCCAGTGCCACTTAAGTTACTAGAATGTTCAACTGGGACTCGCCATTTCTTTTCAGATGTTTTAGACCTCACTGTGGTTGAATAGAGTCAGGTAAGATAAACGTGAGACAGCATATTCCTTCCTCACCACACTAAAGAGTCTCAGGAGGTAAGTAGAAAACCAGGCAATGACATTTTAAAAGCCCTGGTGAGTTCTTGGCAGCTTAACAAGAAAGTCATAGCTAATATATTTTTTTTCTCATATATACATTTAGGTCTGTTCAAGACCAATATAGCCTTTCTCAACATATTGCTAGGCAAGTGATCAATTTCAGTATAGACTGAAGAGTGAATGAATTTCCAACAAAATAAAGATGGGGTGAAAAATTTAATTCTTCCTTAAAGATGGTTCTACAGAGCAGCCATTGTAATCTACTCTGTCTCTTCCTGCACTTTCCTTCACACTTTTCCTCCCTGTATCTACAGATTTTGTAATCTTCCACCACTCCCCACTACCCCAGTTTATTATCCGTACATTATTCTTGGATATGGGATGCTCTATGGAATTCACCTCTGTGCTCTAGAAAAAAAAATCACTTTGTCCAACTTCAAGTGTAATTTTGAAAGAGATAGAGATAGAGTTGTAGTCCCAGCATTCTCTTGCTAGAAATTCCACTTTAAATGCATTGCTTTCCACGTTGCTTCTTGAAATCAAGATCAAGTGTGAGAATTTAAAACACAGCTTTATCTTCTTAGGAAATAACGATAATGTAAAGAGTTAACACAGAAACAGTACTTTCGAACGTAAATGCTTTTGATAGTGATGGTAGAATTGTGGAACTTGGTAAATACTTAACATCTTACCATTCTTTAATACTTGGTCTCCTTGGTTAGATTAGGTACCTGAGGAATCAAGGGTTATCAAGTTACATAAAGATGACTGCTTCCCTCCTCGGTCTGGATTGTTTCTGTTGCCATGCCAGTGTTAGCCATCCCCAACCCCTGCCCTTTGCAGCTCTAACCTTCTTGGCACATAGTTTTGAAATTAGGGCAATGTAATGTTTAATGTCCATTTTCCTTGAGAAATAAAATGCCTTTCCTAATCTAAAAATATCCAGAAAGTAAATTGTATTTTTTTCATGTGCCTATCTATTGGAACTCCTATGCTCTCTTGAATCTAAAGGAATATGAAAAGAGATAATTCATTTTAATTTTATTTTCTTGCAATCATGGCTTAGACCCTCTTCATTTTGGAACACAGTGAAAATTATTTCCTCCCTCCTCCTCCCTCCCTCTCTTCCCCTCCCTTCCTTCCTTCCTTCTTTCTTTTTCTTTTCCTTTTTCTAAATCCATGCTTTCATTTTTCTTTTCAGCTTGCTTCATTTCAATATAGTTACATTTGAAAGTCAGTAATAGAATTTCAGGCCAGGCGCGGTGGCTCACGCCTGTAATCCCAGCACTTTGGGAGGCTGAAGCGGGGGTGGGTCACTTGAAGTCAGGAGTTTGAGACCAGCCTGGCCAACTTGGTGAAACCCTGCGTCTAGTAAAAATACAAAAATTAGTAGGGCATGGTGGCAGTTGCCTGTAATCCCAGCTACTCAGGAGGCTGAGGCAGGAGAATTCCTTGAACCAGGGAGGCAGAATCCGAAGTGAGCCGACATCGCACCACTGCACTCCAGCCTGGACGATAGAGTGAGACTGATTCTCACAAAAAAAGATTAAAAAAATTTTAAAAAGAATTTCAGAACTGAATCACCTAGTCTAACCTTAGAGATGTAGAAGTCAAGCTTAGAGTGGAGAGTGACCTGCTCCAGGTCTCACAACTGGCAGGGGAAAGAACTGGCCTTGGAAGAGTGCTTTTCTGAGTCCCAGTGGAGGCCCCTTTCCACTGCAGACCATAGCCTTTTAGAAATCCCAGACCAAGCATTCTCTTTTCTCTTCTCAAGGACAATATGATGTATTGTCACTGGTGTTTTTACCTCTATACTACACCCGAGGAAACACCAACCACTAGGCATTCATTGCCCTTTCTAAAATATTTTAATTGATGCAGTAGTTTTGTTGTTTTGTGCCAAAGAGGTATGATCATAAGATAGAAAACAGCTGAGCAATGTGTTCTGTTTTTTAAAAGTGTAGAATAAAATAACAAAACTTTTTGTGGTAAAAGCAACAAGTCACCATTTCATTATTAACCATCTGTTATTCTCAAGGCATTTCATTCCATTTTGGAGGCAAAAACTTAAGAAATATTATCCACCACCTAGGAACTTACATTCTTCTCTGGTGGAGGGGGGAGGGAGTAAGTTATCACAAAGATACAGTCTTATATTCTTATAGCTTTTGGTAATTTAAATATATATTTTCTGACTTGCACTTCAAAAAACTCTAGAAATAAACAAATCAGCTATCATTCACTTTAAGAATCAGAAAATTGAGGTGCAGAGAGACACTTGAAAAGTTACCTTCTTCCTTGATCAGCATATGATAAGTATCCTTCCTGATCTCGTTATGTTAAACCTCTACGTTTATGGCTGCGACATGTTTCAAATTCTGAGTAAATGGGGGACTATGACCTACTTTGAGACTTTCAGGTCTTGGTTATAGAACAAGATTGTTTATGCTACCTGGGTGGAAAACTGGTTGTCCATAAGCAAGCTGCGGCCTAGAGGCACATCTTGTTTGTCTCATAAAATGTTGATTCTTGAAGCATTTCTTAAAGTAGTCCCTGATGAGCAAAATCTGAAGAGCACTCAAAAATCTCTTGCACAGTGAGAACATCTGACAACATGAATTGCTTCTTGGTTGACAAAAATTGCTGGAAGTTAAAATGGCAGCCTCAGTCCCTTTGCTACAGCATCTTCTCACAGGTGACTTCTTTCATTTACAATACCTGCCAGTCTCTGAGGATGTTCAAGTTCACAACCTCTAAAGGAAGCATTTGAAATTTTAACAAGTTATTTCAAATTTTAGTTCACTGGTGGCTACCACCATGGTAAATAGAATACCTTAGCTCCATTTTCTTATTTATCAAATTAAAATAATATTAACTCCAACCATGAAAGATAAATTGAGCTTATTTATGCCATTTCCCCTTTACTCTTATTTCATTGGCGAAAAAATTTGTAATGTGCATTAGTTTTCGTTCTTTTCTTGGCTGTCATTATAGCTTGAAATCATTTACTCAAACTTTTTCCAAAACTTCAAGTATCTCTTGATAATTGACTATGAGAACTGATCCCTTGACACCCCTTCTCTCCTACACCCCTATATCCCAACTGCTTCCAGCTGTCTTAGTGCTTTTACAGTGTCAGAATTGATAACAGCTTCTTTTATATATTGTTTATAGGTTCATTCTGGAGATTTGAAAATAATAAACAGTGTTAAATCTATGGAAATGTTCATTGCAGAACCAATTACTGTAACTGAATCTTTCAAGGAGGAGATGTAATCTCCTATGTGATTTGTTCTGGCTTTGTGTCCCCAACCAAATCTTACTTTGAATTGTAATAATCCTCATGTGTCAAGGGCAGACCAAGTGGAGGTAATTGAATCATGGGGGGGTGGTTTCTTCCATGCTGTTCTTGTGAAAATGAGTGAGTCTCAAAAAATATGATGTATGATGATTTTATAAGTGTCTGGTATTTCCCCTGCTTGAACTTATTCTCTCTCCTGCCACTCTGTGAAGAAGTGCCTTCTGCCATAATTATAAGTTTCCTGAGGCCTTCCCAGCCATGTGGAACTGTGAATCTTTTCTTTATAAATTACCTAGTCTTGGGTATTTCTTCATGGCAGTGTGAGAATGGATTAATATAGAAAATTGGTACCAGGAGTGGGGTGCTGATGTAAAGATACCTGAAAATGTGGAAGCAACTTTGGAATTGGGTAACAGATAGAGGTTGGAACAGTTTGGAGGTCTCAGAAGAAGACAGGAAGATGTGAGAAAGTTTGAAACTTCCTAGGGGCTTGTTGGATGGCTTTGACAAAAATACTGTTAGTGATATGGTCAATGAAATCCAGGCTGAGGTGGTCTCAGATGGAAATGAGGAATGTGTTGGAAACTGGAGTATGGTCAGTCTTGCTATGCAAAGAAACTGGCAGCATTTTTCCCCTGCTCTAGAGATGTGTGGAATTTTAAACCTAAGAGAGATGAATTAGGGTATCTGGGGGGAAATACAAGCTGGCTACAGAAATTTGCATAAGTAATAAGGAGCCAAAGGTTAATCACCAAGACTATGGGGAAAATGTCTCTAGGGCATGTCAGAGACCTTTATGGCAGCCCCTCCCATCACGGGCCTGGAGGCCTATGAGGAAAAAATGGTTTCCTGGGCCAGGCCCATGGGCCCCCTGTGCTATGCAGCCTTGAGACATGGTGCAGTGTGTCCCAGCAGCTGCTTTAACTCCAGCCATGGCTAAATGGGGCCAAGGTACAGCTCGGGCCATTGCTTCAGAGGGTGCAAGCCCCAAGCCTTGACAGCTTATATTGATGTTGGGCTTATGGGTGCACAGAAGTCAAGAATTTAGGTTTGGGAACCTCCACCTAGATTTCATGAAATGTATGGAAATACCTGGATGTCCAGGCAGAAGTTTGCTGCAGGAGTGGAGACCTCATGGAGAACCTCTGCTAAGGCAATATGGAAGGCAAATGTGGGGTTGGAGCCGCCACACGGAGTCCCCACTGGGGCACTGCCTAGTGGTGCTGTGAGCCACTCTTCTCCAGACCCCAAAATGGTAGATCCACTGACAGCTTGCACCATGCACCTGGAAAAGTAACAGACACTCAGTGCCAGCCCATGAAAGCAGCCAGGAGTGGGGCAATACCCTGCAAAGCCATGGGGGTGGAGCTGCCCAGAGTCATGGGAGCCCACCTCTTGCATCAGCCTGACCTGGATGTGAGGCTTGGAGTCAAAGCAGATCATTTTGGAACTTTAAGATTTAATGAATGCCCTATTGGATTTTGGACTTGCATGGAAAGTGTAGCCCCTTTGTTTTGGCCAATTTCTCCCATTTGTAATGGGTGTACTTACCCAATGCATGTATCCCCATTGTATCTAGGAAGTAACTAGCTTACTTTTGATTTTACAGGCTCATAGGTGGAAGGGACTTGCCTTGTTTCTGAGACTTTGGACGTAGACTTTTTAATTAATGTTGGAATGAGTTAAGACGTTGGGGGACTGTGGGAAGGGCAAGAATGTGTTATGAAATGCAAGGACATGACATTTGGGAGGGGCTGGGGTGGAATAATATGGTTTGGCTCTGTGTTCCCTACCAAATCTCACCTTAAATTGTAATAATCCCCATGAGTCAAGGGTGGGACCAGGTAAAGGTAATTAAATAATGGGGGTGGTTTCCCCCATGTTGTTCTCATGATAGTGAGTCTCATGATATCTTATGGTTTTATAAGCATCTGACACCTCCCCTGCTTGCACTCATTCTCTCTCCTGCCACCCTGTGAAGAGCTGCCTTCTTCCATGATTGTAAGTATTCTGAGGCCTTCCCAGCCACGTGGAACTGTGAGTTAATTAAACCTCTTTTCTTTATATTTATAAAGAATATAAAGATATATATAAAGAATATAAAGAAATACCCAGTCTTGGGTATTTCTTCATAGCAGCATGAGAATGGACTAATACACTATGTCAGAGAGCCTCTGCCACTCAACACATACTGCTTCACTCTGTACCGTCAAATAGACTTTCATTTCTTAAATCCTATTCAGGGCTCAAAGTTAAGTTGTATTTTAGGAGATTGCGTATGTGAGCCATGACTTTCTTTTATGAATTTTTGTTACTCCTAGAGCTTCAAATTGCCTTTTAAAAAGTATATGAGAGGATCACACCAACTTTATCACTACTACTTTTTGAATGGAATCTATTTTATTCTTAAAGATGTTCTGCTGTCTGAGTCTTCTCATTGAGGTCAACTGCTTTGTACACTTTTGCTCGGCTATCTTTGCAATACTTATTTTCATTAAACTTCTGATTCAGTATCTCTGTTCTTTGCTGCAAATGTGTGTGTGCTTTTTTGTTTTTATTGTTCTTTTGTTTTTGCTGGAATAGATCTTCTTTTATTTTTTTCCAAAAACATATTTGAGAAAATAACTGTCATTGAGTCTCTTCATTGCTGAAACTAACTTTATTTTCCATCTATGTATTCATAGTTTATTGTTAAAATATATTTTCAAAATCACTTTACCTCATAGCTTAGGAAATATTGCTCCATTTGGGTCTTACATTCAGTGTAGCTGATGAGAAGTCTGAGATCAGTCTGTTTCATACTCTTTTTTGGGTCACTTGTTTCTGAACCCTGGACTTTTTTTCATATTCTCAAATTTTTTGAGGCTATGTCTAGGTATGGGTCCTCTGTCATTCCTTCTGCTACGCACTTGTGAAGACTTTTACATGAAAACTTATGTCTGGGAAGTAGCCCTTCATTAAATCTCTCAGAATAAAGATATCTCCTGAAAAAATTATTTTATTATATTTCTTCTCCATTTTTTTCTGTACTCTCTGTCTGAGACACATATTAAACTGATGGGATAACGAGAATTAAACCTCAGCGTGTTCTAAGTTTTCTCTTTTTATTCATCTTTACCTTGATTTGTTTTAAATTTCTAGATTTCCTAAAATATGTTCCACTCCTCCAGTTAGTTATTTCATCAATTGTAATTTAAATCCCAGGAATATTTCATTATTTGATTGATCTTTGGAAATTATATCGTTTTCTTGTTTATGTATTCAACATTTTTTCTGCTGCTTATTTTCTGTGTAACTTTGGGCAAATTATTTAACTGCTTTATGCCTCAATTTCTGTAGTAAAAATGTAGATAATTGACATACTTACTTTATAGGACTTTAATTGGGACCGAATGACTTAGTAAATATTTAGAAATGTAGCTGTTGATAGTATGTGATAAATAGTAGCTATTACAATACTATCCTTATTAAACAATGAATACTTATGAATATTTTAAGTCCTTGTGATTTTTTAAATTTTAATTGAGTTTGTTCCAGTTTCGTTTTTTAATTCATTTGGTCTTTGACTTTTGAGGGTTGAGTTTTCTTTTTCACTCAGATTTCTGATCTTATAAGGCTGTAAGTTAATAATGTAAGAATAGATTATAGAGTAATTTTCTGCCCAGTGATGTAGGTCTATTTTACCAACAGACTCTCCCAAAAATAAAGTGACCTATTTGGAAATTGAGGTATATGGGGATGTGTTAATAACCAGCAGGCTTATCTTCAAGATGCATGAGGAAGAGGCAGGCTGAAGAAACTCAAATACAAAAAGGTCTTTACTCTGGGATGCCAACATCCATATATGGTGCTCTGTCTTTCCCCTTATATATTTCTATTTTTATTTTCTTAATGTTAAGAGATAGGATAGTATAGTGGCTAGGGTCATGGGCTTTAAAGCTGCCCTACCTTAATTCTAGCCCTAGCTGTGGGACTTACTAAGCATATGGTTGGTTAACTCTCTGAGTTTTAGTTTCCTCTTCTGTAAATAGGGATAATATACACTTGGGATCCTGTAAATTTATTTGATAATTTATTTGTGTCTGGATATATTAAGCTCAGAGCATTAGTTATGAAGACAAAACAATGAATGACTAAATAATGCAGTGGCCTAAGGAGAAAGAAACACTTGGTGGAAGGCTTCTTCTACGTAGGGCTGTGAAGTTGGCACTCTTTCTTTTTAATATCTTACCACAACTATTCTTCTCTCCCTCAGATTTTATACAGCTTTTCTGAACAAATATTCTCCATGCTATTTCTCCTGATCCTACGTAACTAAATTGTTAGTTGGTAAGGTTTAGGATATAACCTCTCCCTAAGGTATCTGTATTTCTATCTAATAAGCAATTTGAATAATTTACATATTCAACAAACACTGATTTACTACCTTCCAAGAAATCTACTGGTGCAGGGAATTCATAGATTTAGAAAGACCAGTAAGTTATGGTTCCTTCAGTGAAAAAGCCTAAAATTTAGCAGATAAAAGCTGAAATATTTTTTATATTTACAGAAATGGGCTGGGAACATTTTTGGCTCTGAATTACCATCTCTTGGGTGTTGTCAATAGCTGTTACTATAATTTTTGCCATTTTCTCCTGCTAAAGATATGTATAGTCTGAACACATCATAGACCTATTAAAGGCGGAATACCTGCAGCATATTATATATTTAATAGTTTCATCTCTTATAAGCACAAACTCAGAAGATAATTCATTTATTTATTAAGCATTCATTTATTTATGAAGCAAATAAATGATTTATTGATCTCCTATCATGTTGTCAGATACTAAACACAGAGCAGCCAATAAGATGTAGCCTTTGACCTTAAAAAATGTCTAGTCTAAAGGGAGCATGGCCAGTAAAACACACAGAAAGTATAATACAAGGTTCTAGATGATGAGATGGAAGTAAAACGTTGGATATAATGGCAACACATTGAAGGTTGGGGCTAAAAAAGAAAATTCAAAATAGAGACTTGGTCAAAAGTTTCAACACATTAAGAAACCAAGTGTCAATATTAGGTCTGGCTAGGGCTTTGAAACTGTGGCTAGCGGTGGAGAGAGAGGAGAGAGATAAATTTGGAGAGGCAAGCTGTGGCAAGATAATGAAAGGCCTTTGTAAACAATTAACTACATTTGCTGTACCTTATTAAACAATTTCAACTTTGTATTTAGGCAAATGGTATACTTTTGAACAGTTACAAAGACCATGGTCAGATGTTTGTACTGTTGAGAATGAATTTTGTGGAGGTAGTGGCTAGAGTATATGTGTAAGGAGGCATCAATGATTGATGGACAACACGGGAAGCAGAGAGATCACGTAGGAGGCAGTTGATGCAATACAGGTAGCAGATGATTTTGGCCTGATCCCAATTGTAGCTTATGGAAATAGAAATTTAGGGAATGAAAATGTTCTTAAAAAGATAAAATTGAAAGAATGTGGCAATATGAGGTGGAGAAGATTGAAGTCAAGAATGAAATTAAGATAATTCCAGTCTGTACAACTGGATAGATGTTGAACATTTGCTAAGTCAGGAAACCCAGGAAGATAAGAAGGTCTGGGAAAAGGTACATGAACTAAAATACCAGGGACATTAGAACTACAAGGATTACATTTACTAGGAAAAAATGTGAAACAATGATTTTCTGACATTTGACAAGAGGAAACACAGGACAGTAATCGCTGAGAGAAGGTGGGAAAAGTGAGCCTAAAAAGTGCTTTAAGTTATAGTCTAGGGTTTTTCTAGATGGCAGCACAGAGACAAAAAATACAAATACAGCCTGATGGTTTCACTTAGTTGAGAAGAACACAATTTGGAGTTCAGAGGGCCAAGCTGACTAGCATGTTCAGGGCAGTATACTGAAGATGAGAGAGCTTCACAGAGAAAGACAGCTCTGGAGATCTCCCAAGGGGTGGCGTCAAACCTTGAGCTGAAGATTGATCAGTGCATACACATGAGACAACTACCAAGGCTGGTGGGGTTTGGGGCACAGGAAAGAGGTAAGCAAAGCAATCCTTGGTTTAAGAGAATTTGTGTTCTAAGCAGCCAAAGTAAACAGCTCTTCATACACAGGGGCATCAAGTAAAGTCACCAGTGTAATATCATATGATTATCCAATAAATATAGAAAAAACAGTGAACTAGACTCAATACCATTTATGATACAATCTCTCAGCACCTATTTCTGTTCCTAGGAATACAGATAAACTTCCTCAATCTGATATTGGCATCTCTGAAAAACCTACAGCCTTCATCACTGATACTTAATGAAAGTCTAAATGCTTTCTCCTTAGTATCTGGAACAAGACAAAGATACCCACTCTAACCACTTCTATTCAACATTGTACTAGATTTCCTATCATTTGCACTTAGCCAAGAAAAAGAAATTCAAAACACCCAGATTTGAAAGAATTAAACTGCATCCATAGATACCATGATTATCTATGTAGAAAATCCTAAGAAATCTACAGAAAAGCTTCTAGGGCTAATAAAGGAGTTTAGCAAGTTTGCAAGATACAAGGTAAATATACAAAAATTGATTGTATTCCTATATGCTGTAAGTAACTGGAGATTAAAATTTATAAAATACCATTTCAAAAGCGAAAAAAAATGAAATATTTACGAAAAATTTACCAAATTTCTCTATACTAAAAACTAATCATAGAGCAACATTAAGTAAAATCTTAATAAATTGGGAAATATCAAGTGTTCCTAAATTAGAGGATTTAATATTGTTAAGATATAAATTTTCCTAAATTAATCTGTGGATCAACAGCAATCTCAATAAAAATTCCAGAATGTTTTTGTTTTTAATACAATTTGGCAAGCTAATTCTAAAATTTATATGGAGATGCAAAGGTCTTGAAATAGACAAAACCAATTTGCAAAAGAGGAATAAAATTTAAAGAATCATTTTATCGGACTTCAAGACTTGTATAAAGTTACAGTACTCAAGACAGTGCATTTGCTATAAGTACACATATATAGATAATGAAATACAACATTTAGAAATAGACCTGCAGCCTGGGCATAGTGGCTCACGCCTGTAATCCTAGCACTTTGGGAGGCCGAGGTGGGCGGATTGCCTGAGCTCAGGAGTTCAAGACCAGCCTGGGTAACATGGTGAACCCTGTCTCTACTAAAAATACAAAAAAAAAAAAAAAAAAGAAAGAAAATTAGCCAGGTGCGGGAGCCCTCACCTGTAGTCCCATCTACTCAGTAGCCTGAGACATGAGAACCACTTGAACCCGGGAGGCGGACGTTGCAGTGAACTGAGATCGTGCCACTGCACTCCAGCCTGGGTGACACAGCGAGACTCTGGAAAAAAAAAAAAAATGGAAGAAAAGAAAGAAATACACCTGCAAATTTGTGGCCAATTAATTACTGACAACATTTCCAAGGGCATTCAATATGGAAGTGATCTTTGCAAATAATGGTGTTGAAACAATTGGATACACACATAAACACACCCACACACCCCTTTGATTCTTGCTTCACATCATGTACAAAAATTAACCTAAGTCATTAATCTAAAATGAGAGCAAAAGAACTAAAAATCTTCTAGAAGCAAACATAGAAGAAAATCTCTGTGACCTTGAGTTAGGCATTTTGTTTCTAATAGAACAATCATATAAACGCAAAATCTATACAATAAAAAATAATACATTGAAATTTATAGAAATTGAAATATTTTTTTCTTCAAAAGCACTTAAAAAATGAAATGTCAAACCATAGACTGGGTGAAAATATTTGCAATGTCTACATCCAACATATGTAAAGAACATTTATAGCTCAAAAATAGGAAGACAAGACAATAAGCTTGGGTGAAATACTTGAAGAGGGCATATGTTTGGCAAATAAATACACTTGTCACTAGGGAAATGCAAATTAAACCCATAATGTGATACCAAAACACATTAACTGAAATGGCTAACATGAAAAAATCTGACTATTTCAAGTGTTAACAAGGATATGCGGCAACTGGAACTTTCATGCATTGCTATTGGGAATGCAAGATGCAGTCGTCTTGGAAAACATGTGGACAGTGTCTTTTGAAGTTTAACATAATACTTACCATATTACCCAGTAATTTTACTCCTGGTTATTTACCCAAGATACATAAAAAGACCTGCATGTAAACATTTCTAGAAACTATATTCATAATAGTCAAAATCTGAAAAAAAAAAAACTTGTCAGTTGCTGAATGGATAAACAAACTGTAATTCATCCATGCAGTGGAATACTGCTTTTCAATACAAAGGAACGAACTGCAACTAAACACAACATTATGAATCTCAAAAGCATTATGTTACATGTAAGAAGTCATACAATAAAGACTACCTCCTGTATAATTCCATTCATATGAAATTCTGGAAGAGGTAACCTCTAATGATAGTAAGCAGATCCACAGTTGCCAGGGGATTGGGACAAGAAGGAACATTTTGGTGTCTTGAGAATGTTCTATATTATCATAATCTATATTTTTCTAAGCTCATCAAGTTACACACTTAAAATTGGTATATTTTATTATATATAATTATGTATAATATAACATATAATATATATCTGTTATATATTATAATATATTATTATGTAATAATATATTACGTATAACATATATATATTATATATATATATATATATATATATATATATATATAAAAAATAATACCTGAATAAAGCTGACCCCTCCTTCGAAGAAACCTGAGCTTTCCTTTGGACTAGTTGAGTTTGAGGTGTTTGTCAGACATGCTTGGGAAATTGTTTATTATGAAACTGAATGTAGGAGAGACATCCAAACTGAAGATTTTGATCTGTGAGTCATCAGCTTATAGATGATGAAGGTGAACATGCATCACATGGGGGAGAATATTTAAAATAAAAAGATGAAAGGTCAAGGATGTATAATGTTCACATTTTTGGGATGAATCATCACCCAATTTGACTAAACTGAATGGTTAGAGCTAATTACTATTAAGTTAATTTAGTCAAATTAGCAGTTGTAGAGAGGTTAATGATTATTCCACTCTGTTAAGTGCTGAAATTGGTGGCCATGCATTGACCTATGACTGTAAATGCCTTTCAGCAGTTTATATGGAGGGACATGGATAACAAGCTTATAACTGTACTGGTTATCCTTAGAAATGAGGCTATAAGTTCCAGATAAGTTAAAATAATTAGAAATAAATATGATACTGACAATAGAGTTCTTTTGCTTGCTAGGGCTTATCATAATTATTGAAGTTTGAATCCCTGTCATTCATTACTTTTCATAGGCTTTGGCTCTAAAGATTCCTGGCAACTTCCAAAGATAAAATATATATATATATGTGAACTATTTTCCAAATTTTATTTATTTTATTTACTTATTTATGCCTCTTCAGCTGTTAAAATACATAAAAATTTAGCAAAAATGTATAAGAATTACAAATAGATACATAAATTTAGGTACAATTATGATATTATAATTCACATCTTTAAATATAAGTGTTAAATAAGGCTATTTCAAATTGTCACACTTTGTGGACTCCAATTTCTGACTCCATTCAAGTTGATAAACTGCAGCTATACTATTTTATTTATGATCTTTACTGGAATTTTCAGTTCATTTACATTACTCATCCAATTTAATTTTACAAGTAAATTTCCTGAAGCTCTGAATTAAGTCTTTTAAATGGAAGCTAACAACTCAGCATTTGTTGTACTCATTTTCTTTAATTTTATGAATATATTAAAAGCAAGCAAATTGAATAGTCTACTTTTTTATATAAGAACATAATTTATGTATGTTTTGTATAATCATTTTTTCCTCCACTATCGTAAAAAACACGTGCTACTGGATTTTACGAAGAAGTGATAGTGAGCTTACTAGAAAATTATACTGAGGGCCTGTTTTCTTACTTCTGAAACATACTACTCTTGTTTCATGTGCTTTGCTACACTGCTGGATGTCCGCTATTCCTGAATATATTCAAGAAGCCAAAAGAAAAGCACACAAAGCCCAAGTTGCCATACACAGAATCACTCTTTAAGGAAGTGGCATTAACAATTTCTTTCCTTTATAAACTACTGTAACTCATAGAGAAATTGAAAAGAATCCTGCAACTTTAACCATAGCTGATTGAAACAGAGAATTGGTTCACAAGTGGGGAGAAGTTACCAACAGGCTGATTGTGAGGGAGATTTGGTATCTCAGTACAGCTTAGCATCAAATCTGCCCAATAATAGGGGTGCTGCCTACCAGACAGCACCCTACTGCCTCAGAACCAGTTATTTACCAGTGAATGGGAAAAAACAAGCAACCTGAAATCAAGTTCTTGCTTCACTTAGTGAATTACTTCTCCGCTTCTCAATGAAGCTAGCTGCACATACCCATGTTGGAAAAACTAGGAGCTAGTGTTAACTGATGAGATGACTTCCTGTATGGGTTTGGCATATATATCCTCCCAAGAAATCTTAATTACCCTAAGTAATTTGTGAAAGTCTCCTCCTTGAAGCCCTAAGGAAGCTGAGACATGGAGAGAATGATTAAAAGCAATTGAAACTAAACAAATAACAAAAACGGAAGAATGACAGTAGTGTTAATTGTAGCTAGGGCCCTTGATACACCAAAACTCTCAAGAAGGTATTTAAATATTGACATTTTTAGGTTATATGTTCACATGTTGAGACTTGCTATTTTTCTTAAATAATTCATCAAGAACATAACAAAAATGTCAGTTTTGGATATTCTTTATAATGTAAGAACCCCTGATGTAATCCAGCTCAGCATCAGGGCAATATAGTAGAAAATGTACACCGATTCATCAAACATGCATCTAACATTCCTAATTTGATATAATCTTCAAATAGGAACTTTATATTGAATGTTATTCCTGGAAAATAGAAACTTACAAAAAAGTCCAATGATTTAATTAAGTCCAAAATTAATCAATTTTATCTCTAATTTTTTTTTAAGTCTAAATGACTTACAATCTTTCTTTAAGGTTAGCTAATTGGGTAATTTTTTTTTTGTTTAGTGGCTGTACTTTAATTAAGTGTTGATGAAAAGAGTCAAACTCTGTGAAATATTTTGAGAGATTTATTCTGAGCCAAATATGAGTGACCATGACCCATGACACCGCCCTCAGGAGGTGGTGAGAACATGTGCCCAAGGTGGTCGGGGTACAGCTTAGTTTAATATACTCTAGGAAGGCATGAGACATCAATCAAATACATTTAAGAAATACTTTAGTTTCATTCAGAAAGGCGTGACAACTCAAGGGTGGGGTACTTCCAAGCTATAGGTAAATTTAAATATTTTCTGGTTGACAATTGGTTGAGTTTATATGAAGACCTTGGATCAAAGGAAATGTTCAGGATAAGAAAAAGGATTGTGGAGACCAAGTTTTATTGTTCAGAGGAGGCTCTTAGATAGCAGACTTCAGAGAGCAGGTTGTAAAATGTTTCTTATTGGACTTAAAAGGGTGCCTGGCTCTTAGTTGATTATCTCACAACAGACTTTGCAGGGCAACTCCAAGCTATGGCAAGGAAATATATTTTGGGGTAAAACACTTTGATTTTTTCGCTTGCTATGTCAGAGTCATATTGGAAAGTAAGTCACAATATACAGGGTTAAATAAAACCCATCTGATGAGAATTTATGGTTTGTAGGGCATGACTCCCCAGACCCCTTAAAAAGGAATTTGGGCAAGATAAAAAAAAATCAGAGCTTAGTCCTCATAAATAAAGATTATGTGAGAGTTTGAAATTCTAGAATTTGTCAAAAATAACAATTTTTTAAAAGGGTTGAATAAAGTAATCAGAAGATGATGATACTATGAGTTAATAGTAAGACAAGTTTTGTAGCATTTATGCAGTTCTAAAATTTAAACATTTTATTATTGGGCTTATAATAAAGATTAGTTGATTTTACATGAACTCATTATCCCCTAATGTTTAGCTTTTATGCTTGACGTAGACTGAATTGTGTCCCCCAACCCTAACCACCGCCAAAATTCATAATGTTGATGTCCTAACCCACAGGGCTTCAAAGTGTAACTGTAGATGGAGATAATGTCTTTAAAGAGGTAATTAAATTAAAATGAGGTAACGAGGGTGGGCCCTCATCCAATATGTCTGGTGTCCTTGTAAGAAAAGGAAATTTGGACACAGGTATGGTACATTGTTATGGTAGCCCTAGCAAACTAATACAATGTTCCTGTTGAAATCAGCTACAATGTAAGAGACAAACAACTAAGTGGGGATTTAATATTGAAAAAGATAAGTTATACAGATGTGAAATGACTTTTTAGAAATATTATATCCTCTCTCATAATAGTCGGAAAGTCTAAGCCAAAGGGATTAACATTTAACCAAAGAAACTAATTAATTGTGATATTAAGAACATTCTTGATACACCTAAATTCATCTTAACAACTTAAAAAACCTCCATGCACGGTGGCTCACGCCTGTAATCCCAGCACTTTGGGAAGCTGAGGCGGGTGGATCACTTGAGGTCAGCAGTTCAAGACCAGCCTGGCCAATGTGGTAAAACTGTGTATCTACTAAAAATACAAAAATTAGCAGCGTGGTGGTGTGCACCTGTAATTCCAGCTACTCGGGAGACTGAGGCAAAATTGCTGGAGCCTGGGACGTGGAGGTTGCAGTGACCCAAGATCACGCCACTGCACTCCAGCCTGGGAGACAGAGCCAGATTCCATTTAAAAAAAAAAAAAAATCCACACACAGCTCTCATTAGTTGATCTTTGAACTATAAGAGGTTTGAGATCCTCAAAATCCTGTAAATTACAACACCTCTCCTTGGTGTTGTAATTTACACTGTATTAATAAAAGAGAACTGTCTTAAATGAGTAAAGTGCTGTCACTTAGTTTCAACTGGCATTTTAATACACATGAGATTCATCTATTGAATTTTGAAGGATTTCAGTGTACTATCTTGTGCAGTAGATAAAAAATTAAATTTACCTGTAAGAAAAAGTGAAAATTCTAGTAGTAAATAGATTTGAAATTAGTTTTGTATTATTAATGAGGTATAATGGAGCAGTGTTTGGCAAATTTTTTCTGTAAAAGGACAGATACTAAATATTTTAGGCTTTGCAGATCTTACAGTCCCTGTTGCAACTACTTAGCTGTGAAGCAGCTATTGATATTATGTAAATAGATAGGTATTGCAGTATGCCAATAAAACTTCATTTACAAAAATAGGTGGTGGCTGGATTAAACTCATAACATGTAGTTGGTTAACACTGTGACAGAGGACAAAAGCTATAAAAAAAAAGAATACAAAAGAAAAATGACCTATTCTTGTGCTGGATTTTGTTTTGAAGAAACTTTTTTATTTTTAAAACTTGGGATTTCTTTTCCTAATATTGAGTGATTATAAATTTCTTTGGTGAAGTAAATTTATCCCACTGTGATTTGTCAAGACTTTGGAAAGGGGAAGACATCATTTAATAGATTTTTATGAATTAGTATACAATCTCTTAGCATATTTTAATACAATTTTGTCTATATTATGTACTCAGAAAAAAGTTATTTAACGAGATCAATGGTATAAGATATTTGGGTAACCTTTACTATGCTTAGTTACTGGTCACTCAAGACTCTATGTAGCTTTGTGTTATATGTCCCCATTACATTTCTAACAGTCAAATGCAAAAGTGCTATTTTTTTCTTGAATACTAGTTTCCATGTACAGAGTTTGACACTCCCGACAATTACATTAGTTTTTATTAGATGTCTCTGTTTTCTTTTTTGATGGTGAAAGCAAAAAAATACCAAATCATAAATTTTTACAATCCCATTGCCCTGAATTCTAACAGAAATGGAATGTGGACAGAAGCCTTTACTTTCAGAACAGACCAAGAGTGAAGGAGAAGAGACAGTTCATACAACCGGTTTGTCAAGGAGAAAGGGTCAGAAAAGCGGGAGATGTGGCAGCTGCACTAGAGAAAGGAAATTTGGGGAAAAAGAGATGTTTAATCAGTATTTGTAGGAAGTTATCCTATATTGTATGATGTAATCCCCCTTCTATGTCTTTAAGGGGAAAAAATCTTGAAAATCTATATTACCCCTATACTTGTAGAGAAGTCTGAATTCTCTTTTTATATTGGAAAAGATGACATTTTGAATTTGGCTGTACCTGGAGAACACAGTAGCTCAGTCCTGTTATTGCTGGATTTTTTTAGGTGGCGATGATTTGATGAATGAAAGTTTCCCTAAGCTGTTAGTCTCAAGGATCTTAGAGACTTATTTTGGCAAATCTCTTTTGTAATGGGCAAAACTACGGCGATAAAAGGATACTCCAAGAGGAATTACATTTCCCTTTTTCCTAGCTCAGAGAAAGAAGTCGCTAGCTGCCTTCCACATAAGCGGAGACAGGGAAACACCTGGAAAGAATTCTTGTTGCTCTACTTTATGATGCAAAAATATATTAGGAAGGTCTTAGTCCTAAGGAAAAAATAATGTAATGGGACATTTTCTTTGAGTTAACAAAACCAAACCCTTCTTGTGGTTTTCAGAGCTCTAATTTGTTTACAGTTAGGGGTCTTGACGATACCCCAGCCAGAGCTCCCTAATATTTGTATTTAGGGATATTAAATGACCTTTGTCAATACCCAGGGGCAGAGAAGGGTCATGTGATCTCTGATCAAAAATTAGCAAGGGGCTAGCACTTGGTTAAGAGGCAAAGAGGGCAGATGCCATAACCTGCTCTCACCCTGCTCTCAGAAAGTGGCAGTGTTTTTGAATGGAAAAACTTCTGGTTTTTCTTTTTTTTGGTAGTATTTGAAAACTCAGGTTTACTGTGGCATCCTCATCTGTCCTTAAACTCCACTGACAGGTTTGGTGGAAGTCAGTGAACAAGTTTACAGTTGAATGATAGAGTTGTCAGAAATGCAAATGTCTCATAAAAAAAGATAGAAGAAAAAGAGTAACAGAGTCTATTTTTTCCACATGTATTGTTAATGATATTTTTACAAAGTTAAGGATAGAGAATTTTTCTATTGTCGAATTTAACTTTAATGTAAATGTCAAGAGAAGCACATGGTGATCCCTCAGGCTCATATTTACAAAATTATTTTTAATTTTGTAAATTAGGAGAGGCACTTAACATGAGTTTAATAAATGTATTTCTACATAGATTGTTCTTTCAGACAGTACTAGACTTCTATTGCTGTGAATGAAATCGGATGACCAGTGATTGCATAATTGTCTATAACAACAGAAACTTGTTTTAAACCTATTTTTCTTGAAACAGTTTAATATTTTTAAATATCACCATACAATATAATTTTTAAATAGATTCATCCTGTATGTGCTTGTGTTAGTTCAAAGGACATGTTCCTTTTAAAGATTTGAGAAATAGTTTGGTACAGGAGACATTTATTACAAAACCATTTCTCATGGAACAAGAACATGTAGTTTCACAGTGCAAGACTGCCTGATGCTTCTCAGATTTAAATGGCCTAGGTAAGATAAAGGAAAATTTGTCAAAACAGAAGAGCAAACAGATTTATCCTTAAGTAGGAGAGATAACCGTGCCCAAGAGTACAGAAGGGGAAGAATTTAAGTATTTCTGGTAACCTCCTGCCTTTTCTCAAAAGGAGATTTTAGTAAGAAGAAACCATTAACTAATTAGGGGCAGTTTTGAGGCGTTAGTATCAGAAAAATAGATTCAGAGTCAACAGTTCTTATCTAGAAATGCTGAAGGGAACCTAATGAAAATGGTTGACTCTGTAAAACACAAGAATATTAAGAATTAATTATACTAAATAATATAAATAGTATATATGCTACGAAATAAAAATTCTCTGACCAAAGGTTTAAAGTTCCTATAATTCTCTGATTGTTTGAAAATTCTAAATAAGTTCTTGTACCTTGAAACACATTGTGTAAATAAGCTATGAAATCCCCTTGTAGTCCTTTTGCTACAGTGTTAGCATGACATTTGTCACTAATATGATGCAAATATATTGTTTATATACTTAGAACACCAGTACATTTGATATGACACTAAAATACGTAGCTGAATGCCCCTGGTGTCAGTTCTGGCTCATTTAGACACTGTCTTTGAATAAATAAATAGCTGAGTTGATAGAACCTTTTAATTTTTTCTTCTACTTGATTTTAATAGATTATTGCCTTTCTCAGAGTATTTGAAATGTTTTCCTTCATTCACTTACGGCATAAATTAACATGTCGTTTCTTCCCATGATTTTTTTGAAAGCAGGTAAGATAGTGACAGTACTTGTACAGTGTGCATCTGTATACACATTTCAAGGTTTTAAATAAGTCATTTGAAGAAGATTAGGCTCATACAAGAATCTGTCATTGCTAGGTGATTATTGTAAGCTAAAATTGCAATGTCACCATTAAAAAATGAAACAATGCCAGAGTCATGTTAAAACAAAAATCAATTCTGGAAACAGCAACTACTGCCTGTTATTTACTTTGTATATTCTGAATCTGGAGGTTATCATTTGACCTTGAGAGGAGATGTTTTTGTGAGTATTGATCAGTACAATTCCCAATAATCTTTCCACATTTGCAAAATACACTGACTCCTTCTGTTTTTTGGTGCTTAAGTAAAATAAAGATAATGAAATAAAAATATATATAATTATTTGACAGTTAGATAAAAATATAACCTTTTTGGTAAACGATATGATTCTCTTCTGCATATTATTATCCCATACCTTGACATTCGTTGCAATAGTTTCAAATACATGTTAATTCACCTGATCTTTCTCTTAGTATTTATGAATTCTATCATTCCATATTTTCATCAGTTGCAATTTTATTTGACTAAAGTCAAGCTTAAATTTTTTTGTGTGTGTCCCTCTTTAATGATCCATTTGTTATTACAATGAACCACTCTTTTTTTATTTTTTGACACGGAGTTTCACTCGGTCGTCAGGCTGGAGTGCAATGGCACAATCTCAGCTCACTACAACCTCCACCTCCCAGATTCAAGCGATTCTCCTGCCTCAGTCTCCTGAGTAGCTGGGACTACAGGTGCACGCCATCACACCCAGCTAATTTTTTTTTTTTTTTTTTTGAGACGAAGTCTCGCTGTCGCCCAGGCTGGAGTGCAGTGGCGCAATCTCGGCTCACTGCAGGCTCCGCCCCCTGGGGTTCACGCCATTCTCCTGCCTCAGCCTCCCGAGTAGCTGGGACTACAGGCGCCCGCCACCTCGCCCGGCTAATTTTTTGTATTTTTAGTAGAGACGGGGTTTCACCGTGTTAGCCAGGATGGTCTTGATCTCTTGATCCGCCCGCTTCAGCCTCCCAAACAATGAACCACTTTTACCCCTGAATTCAAATAGGAATCCATCTCAGAATCAACCAAAATCTATTATTTAACTCTATTATTTATGTTGTTCTGTTCAAGATACTTCAAATGACCATATCTAGCAATCCTTTCTCCAGAAATGAACTTTATTGCCAATCCTAGTCTGCAAACTTATCTAACTCAACCATTTAGCTTAATTTAATTGAATCTGCAGAGACATTCAGCAGAATAATGATACTTCTCATCATTACTATGAAGTTTTCATTATAAATACAATCTGAAAGACCTATGGTTGGATTACATAATAGAAGTAAGGATTTTCTTTAAATAAATAATTCTATAAGGAAGTATGCTACTTAACTACACTACTCGTATTGCTAAACTATATGAAATCACTTGTTTTCATTCATTGTGAACCTACAAAAACTGCAATTTTATGAGATATAATCTAAGTTAAACCCAGAAAAGCATTTTGAGAAAAAACACCCACTAAATATAACTGTAATTTCCCCACTCAGATATCCTTCTCTTATTTCTTGCTAGAGATTTTCCCCCGTGACCACACTTACACACTCAAAACCATGTAAATAAAATTGAGATCATATGTGAATCTGAATATTACTTTAAGTACTCTTCCTGATTTTTGTGAGACTAAATATAATTAAATACTTTCAAAATTATGTTCATGACTGTGTAGAGGCATAGAGGGTAGCAAAGTTGCTTACCTGCCCTCTCTTGTTTATTATTATTGTATCCTTAGCATTTAACACACTATCTGGCATACAGTAAACACTCAATAAATGTTTTCATTTGATTAGATTAGAATGATTAGATAGAAAGACTAATGCCGAGAACAATAATGGTTCTCAAAATACCAAATAAGTAAAACTCTGGTTATGGATCTCTTTTTTCCCTGTCTATACCTTATCTTTACTGTTGTTTGCTTGTTTATTTTTTTAGTTATTTGGCTATTTCCCCTACAATGTGAAGCCTCTGAGGTGACTCCTCAGAGGTTGTAGCTTTGGGCATGTTCACAGTCACCCTGGGATGGTAGTAGTTTTAGCAGACCTCTCTTTGTCTCTTTCTCTGCCTCTGTTGGTGTCACACCCAGATTTTAGACTCCACATATTATCAGCTGATTGCTGTATTTTTTGACAATGTCATGGGGCATACTTTCTCCAATATCTCATCCAGTTAAATTTGGACCCTTTTGCAGGGGTGGTGTTGCTGCCAGTCTTTGTGGGTATTTTGACCCAAGGTGGGCTCTGCCCAGCCCTCTCCCTGTTTCTCTCTGACAAACTAGTTGGTTTGTGATCAAACTTCTCTTTCATGGCACTACCTGCCTTCTCCTAATTGTGTACCACCAAATCATCATCATTTTTTACAGTTTCTTAATACTTGAACTTCTCCACACACTACTTCAAATAAAGTTAGTTCTTTGGGGGAAACTTTAAAGTTTCCTGTCTAATTGACTGCCATTTTCTCAGGGCACAGTCTCTGCTCCATTATTCTAGACCTTGGAGTGGAGAAAGTTGCCTGGTTCTCTCAGAGTGATTTCCCTGCTATATGGATAGCTAAATGAAGCTATTTTACGTACATATTACCTTATGTACTTTTAAATTTTTGTGGTAAGAGCACTTAAAATCTACTGTCTTAGGAATTTTCAAGAATACGGTATATTATTATTCAATGTAGTCACCATGATGTACAATAAATCTCTTGAACTTATTCAAGAGATTCACTGATTCTAAGTGAAATTTTGTGTCCTTTGACCAGCATCTGCTTAATTCACCCAACCTCCAGCCTCTGTTTCTATGAGCTCAACTTTTGTACAGTCGACATATGAAAGTGGTCATGCAGTATTTTTTTCTGTGCCTGGCTTACTACGCTTAACTAATGTCCTTCAGGTTCTTTCATATTGTCGCAAACGACAGAATTTCCTTTTTAAAGGCTGAATAGTACTTTACTGTGTGTATGTACCACATTTTCTTTGTCTAATTATCTGTCGATGAACATTTAGCTTGTTTCCATATCTTAGCTGTTGTGAATAGTGCTGCAGTGAACACGAGAATGCAGACACCTCCTCAACATACTGATTTTATTTCCTTTGGATGTATATTCAGTAGAGAGATTGCTGGATCATACACTAGTTCTATTTTTAATTTTTTGAGAAACTTTCATACTGTTTTTCCACAATGTTTAAGCTAATTTACCTTCCCATCAACAGTTTATAAAGATTCCCTTTTCTTCACACCCTTACTAATTCCTGTTCTCATCTTTTTAATAATAAAATTCTTGTCTTTTTTATTATAGCCATGCTAACAGCTGTGTGATGCTATTTTATTGTAGTTTTAATTTGCATTTTCTTGGTGTTTAGTGATGTTGAGCATAGTTGCATATGCCTGTTGGCCATTTGGATGTATTTATTTTTGAGAAATGTCTAATGAGGTCCATTGCCCATTTTTTAATTATTTATTTTCTTACTATTGGGTTGTTTGAGTTCCTTATGTATTTTGGATATTAGCCCCTTATCATATATATGGTTTGCAATTATATTCTCTAATGTTATAGGTTGTCTCTACACTCTGTTGATGGTTTCTTTGGCTGTGCAGAGTTTTTAGTTTTGTGTAATCTCCTTTGTTCATTTTTGCTTTTGGTCCCTAAGCTTTTGGGCTTCTATCAAAACGTATTTGCCTAGACTAATGTCACAGAGCTTTCCCCCCATATTGTATTCTAGTAGTATAAGTTTTGAATCTTAAACTTAACTCTTTAATCCATTTTGAGATTTTTCTTATGTGGT
Organism: Homo sapiens; assembly: GCF_000001405.40. NCBI lineage: Eukaryota > Metazoa > Chordata > Mammalia > Primates > Hominidae > Homo > Homo sapiens. Next base: position 10,382,212 of record NC_000007.14, on the reverse strand, counting down.
ATGAGATAAGGGTCTAATCTCATTCTTCTGCATGTGCATCATCAGTTTTTCCAGACCCTTTTACTGAAGAGACTGTCCTTACCCCAGTGTATGTTCTTAGCACCTTTGTCAAAAATGAGTTCACTGTAGCTGTATGGATTTATTTCTGGGTTCTCCTTTCTGTTCCATTGATCTATGTGTCTATTTTTATGCCATTGCCATGCTGTTTTAGTTAGTATAGCTCTGTAGCATAATTTGAAATCAGGTAATGTGATTCCTCCAGTTTTCTTCTTTTTGCTCAGTCTGGCTTTGGGTATTCTGCATCTTTTGTGGTTCCATGTAAATTTTAGGTTTTCTTTTTCTATTTCTGTGAAGAGTGTCATTGTTATTTTAGTAGGAACTGCATTGAATCTGTAGATTGCTTTGGGTAGTATGGGCATTTTAACAATATAGATTCTTTCAATCCATGAACGTGAAGTATATTCCCATTTTGGGGGGACCTTTTCAATTTTTTTCATCAATGTTTTATAGTTTTCATTGTAGAGAGCTTAAAAGCTCTTTGAGTTTAATTTTCTTTGTGGTTATTGTAGATGGGATTACTTTTTAAATGTCTTTTTCAGGTTGTTCACTGTTGGCATATAGAAATGCTACAGATTTTTGTGTGTTGATTTTGTATCCTGTAACTTTACTGAATTTATCAGTTCTAATAGTCTTTACATTGAGTCTTTAGGTTTTTTAAATAAAAGATCCTATAATCTACAAACAAGAATATTTTGATTTCTTCCTTTCAAATGTGGGTGCCCTTTATTTATTTCTTTTGTCTAATGCTTTAGCTGGGACTTCCAGTACCATGTAGAAAACACTGGAGAAAGTGGGCATTCTTGTCTTGTTCTAGATCTTAGAGGAAAGCCTTTCAGGTTTTCCTATTCATTATGATACCAACTGTGGATCTGCTTTTATAACTTTTATTGTATTGTATTTTATTGTGTTTCTTCCATATCAAGTGTGTTGAGGATTTTTATCATGAAGAGATGTTGAATTTTATTAAATGCTTTTTGAGCACTAATTGAAATGATCGTATGGTTTTTATCCTTCATTCTGTTGAGATGATGTATCACATTAATTGATTTGCATATGTTGAACCATCCTTGCATTACTGGGATAAATCCCAGTTGGTCATGATGATTGATCTTTTTAGTATGTTGTTACATTCCATTTTCTAGTGTTTTGTTGAGGATTTTTGCATCAAGGTTTATCAGGGATATTGGAGTGCAGTTTTCTTTTTTTAATGTGTCTGTCTGGTGTCAGTATCAGTACAATACTGGCCTCATAGAATGAGCCTGGAGGAGTTCTCTCCTCTTCTATTATTTGGACTAGTTTGAATACAATCAATATTAGTGCTTCTAAAAATGTTTGGTAAAATTCAGTCGTGATGCCACCAGGTCCCAGGCTTTTCTTTCATGGGACACTTTTTATTATGGCTTCAATTTCATTACTTGCTATTGGCATGTTCAAGTTTTACATTTCTTTCTGGTTCAATCTTGGCAGTTTCTATGTGTCTAGGAGTTTATCCATGTCTTCTAGATTTTCCAATTAGTTATCAGATAGTTGCTCATAGTAGCTGCTAATAATCCTTTGAATTTCTGTGGTATCAGTTGTAAAGCTTCTTTTTTTTTACCTCCAATTTTGTTTATTTAGATGTTCTCTCCTTTGATCTTAGTCTGGCTAAATTTTGTCAATTTTGTTTATCTTTTCAAAAAGCCGACTTTTTCTTTTATTGATTTTTGTGTTGTTTTCTTCATTTCAAATTCGTTTATTTCTGCTCTGATTTCTATCATTTCTTCTAACATCTTCTAGTCATTTTGGGTTTGGTTCACTCTTGCTTTTATAGTTCTTTAAGATCCATCATTAGGTTGTTTATTTGAAGATTTTTTTCCTCTTTTTTGATGTAGGCGCTTACAGTTGTAAATTTCCCTCTTGGTACAGCTTTTGCAGTATCCCATAGATTTTGTATGTTGTATTTCAATTATCATTTGGTTCAAGAAATTCTTGAATTTCCATATTAACTTTGTCATTGACCCACTGATCATTCAGAAGCATATTATTTAATTTCCATGTGTTTGTACAGTTCCCAAAATTATTTTACCTGTTGATTTGTAGTTTTATTCCATAGTACTCAGAGAAGATACTTGATATTATTTCAATTTTTTGAGTTTTTTAAGCCTTGTTTTATAAACTAACATATAGTCTATCCTTTAGAATGATTCATGTACTGAGGAGAAGAATGTGTATTCTGAAGCAATGTGTGAAATGTTCTGTAAATATCTATTTGGCCCATTTGGTCTATACAGAAGATTATGTCCGACTTTCTTTGTTGATTTTTTATCTGTCTAAACCTAATCTGTCCAGTGAATAAAATGGAGTGTTGACGTCTCCAGCTATTTTTGTACTGGGTCTATCTGTCTCTTTAGTTCTGATATTTGCTTTATATATCTTGGTGATCCAGTATGGGGTGCATATATTTTCTGTGTGTTGTGGAAATAGGCTTTATTTTATATTTCATCAATTTGCATAATATTGTATTGAATTACCTAGTAACAATAAATACAATTGGAATGAACAGTTTAGGATTAAGTAGACCTAATTCTTGGTAAGCAATAACTAATAATGAGTAAAAATAACTCAATTAGTGAGAGTGAAAGCCTACATACAAACAACAGTAGCTTCTTAGCTGCAAGAATTCCATATCCCATGGTTTTCAATCAGAACAGTTAAAGAAGAGATAGAGAGCCATAGTTTACCTGGTAAGGCAGTAACATGGTTAGTTAAGAGAACTTGTACTACAAAAACAGAAGGCACAGGAATGCATGTGGGGTTTTTTGGGGGAAAGATGAATAGAAGTGATATAGCAGCACTGCCAGAAGTGACCATGGCTGGGGAAAGAAATGCTTCGTAGACAGTTTCTTTCTTCTGGGCAATGATCACTTCTTGGACTAATCATGAGTGGGCAGTACCAATGCTAGTTACTATCAATCTGCCCTTTCCCAAAAGCTCAAGTGTTTTTATTAATATTATTATTATTATTTCAATAGTTTTGGTGGAACAGGTAGTTGGTTACATGGATAAGTTCTTTAGTGGTAATTCTGAGATTTTGGTGATTTTGGTGCTCCCACCACATGAGCAGTGTACACTGTACCCAGTATGTAGTCTTTTATTCCCTCACCCACCTCCCACCCTTCCCTGCGAGTCTCCAGAGCTCATTATATCCTTCTTATGCCTTTGCGTCCTCGTATCATAGCTCCCACTTATAAGTCAGAACATACGATGTTTGGTTTACCATTCCTGAGTTACTTCACTTGGAATAATTATCTCCTACTCCAGCCGGGTTGCTGTGAATGCCATTGTTTCAATACTTTTTATGGCTGAGTAGTATTCCATGGTACGTATGTATGTATGTGTGTACACACACACACACACACACACACACACACACACACACACATATATAACATTTTCTTTTTTCCTTTTTTTGCCTTTTTTATTATTATACTTTAAGTTCTAGGGTACATGTGCACAACATGCAGGTTTGATACATAGGTATACACGTGCCATGTTGGTTTGCTGCACCCATCTACTCATCATTTACATTAGGTATTTCTCCTAATGCTATCCCTCCCCCAGCCCCCACCCCCCGACAGGCCCCAGTGTGTGATATTCCACGCCCTGTGTCCAAGCGATCTCATTGTTCAATTCCCACCTATGAGTGAGAACATGCAGTGTTTTGTTTTCTATCCTTGTGATAGTTTGCTGAGAATGATGATTTCCAGCTTCATCCATGTCCCTGTAAAGGACATGAACTCATCCTTTTTTATGGCTGCATAGTATTCCATGGTGTATATGTGCCACATTTTCTTAATCCAGTCTATCATTGATGGACATTCGGGTTGGTTCCAAGTCTTTGCTATTGTGAATAGTGTCACAATAAACATACGTATGCATGTGTCTTTATCGTAGTAGGATTTATAATCCTTTGGATATATACCCAGTAATAGGATTGCTGGGTCAAATGGTAATTCTAGTTCTAGATGCTTGAGGAATCACCACACTGTCTTCCACAATGGTTGAACCAATTTACACTCCCACCAACAGTATAAAAGTGTTCCTTTTCCTCCACTTCCTCTGCAGCAGCATCTGTTGTTTCCTGACTTTTTAATGATTGCCATTCTAACAGGTGTAAGATGGTGTCTCATTGTGGTTTTGATTTGCATTTCTCTGATGACCAGTGATGATGAACATTTTTTCATGTGTCTTTTGGCTGCATAGATGTCTTCTTTTGAGAAGTGTCTGTTCAAATCCTTTTCCCACTGTTTGATGGGGTTGTTTGTTTTTTTCTTGTAAATTTGTTTGAGTTCCTTGTAGATTCTGGATATTAGCCCTTTGTCAGATGGGTAGATTGCAACAATTTTCTCCCATTCTATAGGTTGACTATTCACCCTGATGGTAGTTTCTTTTGCTGTGCAGAAGCTGTTTAGTTTAATTAGATCCCATTTGTCTATTTTGGCTTTTGTTGCCATTGCTTTTGGTGTTTTAGTCACAAACTCTTTGTCCATGCCTATGTCCTGAATGGTATTGCCTAGGTTTTCTTCCAGGGTTTTTATGGTTTTAGTCTAACATTTAAGTCTTTAATCAATCTTGAATTAATTTTTGTATAAGGTGTAAGGAAGGGATCCAGTTTCAGCTTTCTACATATGGCTCGCCAGTTGTCCCAGCACCATTCATTAAATAGGGAATCCTTTCTCCATTTCTTGTTTTTGTCAGGTTTGTCAAAAATCAGATGGTTGTAGATGTGTGGCATTATTTCTGAGGCCTCTGGTCTGTTCCATTGGTCTGTATATTTGTTTTGGTACCAGTACCATGCTGTTTTGGTTACTGTAGCCTTGTAGTATATTTTGAAGTCAGGTAGCATTATGCCTCCAGCTTTGTTCTTTTTGCTTAGGATTGTCTTGGCAATGAGGGCTCCTTTTTGATTCCATATAAACATTAGTTTTTTCCAATTCTGTGAAGAAAGTCATTGGTAGCTTGATGGGGATGGCATTGAATCTATAAATTACTTTGGGCAGTATGGCCATTTTCCAATATTGATTCTTCCTATCTATGAGCATGGAATATTCTTCCATTTGTTTGGGGCCTCTTTTATTTCATTGAGCAGTGGTTTGTTGTTCTCCTTGAAGACGTCCTTCACATCCCTTGTAAGTTGGATTCCTAGGTATCTTATTCTCTTAGTAGCAATTGTGAATGGGAGTTCACTCATGATTTGGCTCTCTGTTTGTCTGTTAATGGGGTATAGGAATCCTTGTGATTTTTGCACATTGATTTTGTATCTTGAGACTTTGCTGAAGTTGCTTATCAGCTTAAGGAGATTTGGGGCTGAGACGATGGGGTTTTCTAAATATATAATCATGTCATTTGCAAACAGGGACAATTTGACTTCCTCATTTCCTAATTGAATACCTTTTATTTCTTTCTCTTGCCTGATTGCCCTGGCCAGAACTTCCAACACTATCTTGAATAGGAGTGGTGAGAGAGGACATCCTTGTCTTTTGCCAGTTTGCAAAGGGAATGCTTCCCGTTATTGCCCATTCAGTATGATAGTGGCTGTGGGTTTGTCGTAAATAGCTCTTATTATTTTGAGATATGTTCCATCAATACCTAGTTTATTGAGAGTTTTTAGCATGAAGGGGTGTTGATTTTTTTTGAAGGCCTTTTCTGCATCTATTGAGATAATCATGTGGTTTTTATCATTGGTTCTGTTTATGTGATGGATTATGTTTATTGATTTGTGCATGTTGAACCAGCTTTGCATCCCAGGGATGAAGCCAACTTGATCGTGGTGGATAAGGTTTTTGATGTGCTGCTGGATTTGGTTTGCCAGTATTTTCTTTAGGATTTTTGCATCGATGTTCATCAGGGATATTGGTCTAAAATTCTCTTTCTCTTTGTTTGTTATTTCTCTGCCAGTCTTTGGTATCAGGATGATGTTGGCCTCATAAAATGAGTTAGGGAGGATTCCCTCTTTTTCTATGGATTGGAATAGTTTCAGAAGGAATGGTACCAGCTCCTCTTTGTACCTCTGGTAGAATTCGGCTATGAATCCATCTGGTCCTGGACTTTTTTTGGTTGGTAGGCTATTGTTGCCTCAATTTTAGAGACTGTTATTGGTCTATTCAGAGATTAAACTTCTTCCTGGTTTAGTCCTGGGAGAGTGTAAGTGTCCAGGAATTTATCCATTTCTTCTAGAATTTTCTAGTTTATTTGTGTAGAGATGTTTATAGTATATTCTAATGATAGTGTGTATTTCTGTGAGATCAGTGGTGATATCCCCTATATCATTTTTTATTGCATCTATTTGATTCTTCTCTCTTTTCTTCTTTATTAGTCTTGCTAGCAGTCTATCAATTTTGTTGATCTTTTCAAAAAACCAGCTCCTGGATTCTTCGATTTTTTGAAGGGTTTTTTGTTTCTCTATCTCTTTCAGTTCTGCTCTGATCTTAGTTATTTCTTGCCTTCTGCTAGCTTTTGAATTTGTTTGCTCCTTCTTCTCTAGTTCTTTTAATTGTGATGTTAGGGTGTCAATTTTAGATCTTTCCTGTTTTCTCTTGTGGGTATTCAGTGCTATTAATTTCCCACTACACACTGCTTTAAATGTGTCCCAGAGATTCTGGTATGTTGTGTCTTTGTTCTCATTGGTTTCAAAGAACATCTCTATTTCTGCCTTCATTTTGTTATTTACCCAGTAGCCATTTGGGAGCAAGTTGTTCAGTTTCCATGTAGTTGTGCAGTTTTGAGTGAGTTTCTTAATCCTCAGTTCTAATTTGATTGTACTGTGGTCTGAGAGACAATTTGTTGTGATTTCTGTTCTTTTACATTTGCTGAGAGGTGCTTTACTTCCAATTATGTGGTCAATTTTACAATTAGCGTGATGTGGTGCTGAGAAGAATGTATATTCTGTTGATTTAGGGTGGAGAGTTCTGTAGATGTCTATTAGGTCTGCTTGGTGCAGAGCTGAATTCAGGTCCTGGATATCTTTGTTAACCTTCTATCTCGTTGATCTGTCTAATATTGACAGTGGGGTGTTAAAGTCTCCCATAATTATTGTGTGGGAGTCTAAGTCTCTTTGTAAGTCTCTAAGAACTTGCTTTATGAATCTGGGTGCTCCTGTATTGGGTGCATATATATTTAGGATAGTTAGTTCTTCTTGCTGAATTGATCCCTTTACCAGTATGTAATGGCCTTCTTTGTCTCTTTTGATCTCTGTTGGTTTAAAGTCTGTTTTATCAGAGACTAGGATGGCAATCCCTGCTTTTTTTTGCTTTCCATTTGCTTGGTAGATCTTCCTCCATCCCTTTATTTTAAGCCTATGTGCGTCTTTGCAAGTGCGCTGGGTCTCCTGAATACAGCACACTGATGGGTCTTGACTCTTTATCCAATTTGCCAGTCTGTGTCTTTTAATTGGGGCATTTTAGCCCATTTCCGTTTAAGGTTAATATTGTTATTTGTGAATGTGATCCTGTCATTATGATATTCGCTGGTTGTTTTGCCCGTTAATTGATGCAGTTTCTTCCTAGCATCTATGGTCTTTACAATTTGGCATGTTTTTGCAGTGGTTGGTACCGGTTGTTTCTTTCCATGTTTAGTGCTTCCTTCAGGAGCTCTTGTAAGGCAGGCCTGGTGATGACAAAATCTCTCAGCTTTTGCTTATCTGTACAGGATTTTATTTCTCCTTCACTTATGAAGCTTAGTTTGGCTGGATATGAAATTCTGGGTTAAAAATTCTTTTCTTTAAGAATGTTGAATATTGGGCCACACTCTCTTCTGGCTTGTAGGGTTTCTGCCAAGAGATCCGCTGTTAGTCTGATGGGCTTCCCTTTGTGGGTAACTTGACATTTCTTGCTGGCTGCCCTTAACATTTTTTCCTTCATTTCAACCTTGGTGAATCTGACAATTATGTGTCTTGAGGTTGCTCTTCTCCAGGAGTATCTTTGTGGTGTTCTCTGTATTTTCTGAATTTGAATGTTGGCATGCCTTGCTAAGTTGGGGAAGTTCTCCTTGGTAATATCCTGCAAAGTGTTTTCCAACTTGGTTCCATTCTCCCCATCACTTTCAGGTACACCAATCAAGCATAGATTTGGTCTTTTCACATAGTCCCATATTTCTTGGAGGCTTTGTTCATTTCTTTTTACTCTTTTTTCTCTATACTTCTCTTCTTGTTTTATTTCATTAATTTGATCTTCAATCACTGATACCTTCTTCCACTTGATCAAATCGGCTACTGAAGCTTGTGCATGCGTCATGAAGTTCTTGTGCTGTGGTTTTCAGCTCCATCAGGTCATTTAAGGTCTTCTCTACACTGTTTATTCTAGTTAGCCATTCATTTAATCTTTTTTTAAAGGTTTTTAGCTTCCTTGTGATGGGTTTTAATATCCTCCTTTATCTTGGAGAAGTTTGTTATTACTGACATTCTGAAGCCTACTTCTGTCAGCTCATCAAAGTCATTCTCTGTCCAGCTTTGTTCCATTGCTGGCGAGGTGCTGTGATCCTTTGGAGGAGAAGAGGCACTCTGATTTTTAGAATTTTCAGCTTTTCTGCTCTGGTTTCTCCCCATCTTTGTTGTTTTATCTGCCTTTGGTCTTAGACGTTGGTGACCTACAGATGGGGTTTTGGTGTAGATGACCTTTTTGTTGATGTTGATGCTATTTCTTTCCGTTTGTTAGTTTTCCTTCTATCAGTCAGGTCCCTCGGCTGCAGGTCTGTTGGATTTTGCTGGAGTTCCACTCTAGACCCTGTTTGCCTGGGTATCACCAGTGGAGGCTGCAGAACAGCAAATATTGCTGTCTGATCTTTCCTCTGGAAGTTTGTCCCGGAGGGGTAGCTGCCTATATGAGGTGTCTGTCGGCCACTACTGGGAGGGTTCTCTCAGTTAGGCTACATGGGGGTCAGGGACCCACTTGAGGAGGCAGTCTCTTCGTTCTCAGAGCTCAAACGTCATGCTGGGAGAACCACTTCTCTCTTCAGAGCCGTCAGACAGGGATGTTTAAGCCTGCAGAAGTTGTCTGCTGCCTTTTGTTCAGCTATGCCCTGCCCTCAGAGGTGGAGTCTAGAGGTAGTAGGCCTTGTTGAGCTGCAGTGGGCTCCACCCAGTTTGAGCTTCCCTGGCTGCTTTGTTTACCTACTCAAATCTCAACAATGGCAGATGCCCCTTCTCCAGCCAGGCTGCCACCTCGCAGATTGATCTCAGACTGCTGCTTTAGCAGTGAGCAAAGCTCTGTGGGCATGGGACCCACCGAGCCAGGCATGGGAGAGAATCACCTTGTCTGCTGGTTGCTGAGACCTTTGGAAAAGCACAGTATTTGAGCAGGGAGTATCCCATTTTTCCAGGTAGTCTGTCACAGCTTCCCTTGGCTAGGAAAGGGAAATCCCTCGACCCCTTGCACTTCCCAGGTGAAGCGACGCCCCTCCCTACTTCAGCTTGCCCTCCTTGGGCTTCACCCACTGTCCAACCAGTCCCAATGAGATGAACCAGGTACCTCAGTTGGAAATGCAGACATCACCCATCTTCTGCGTCAATCATGCTGGGAGCTGCAGACTGGAGCTCTTCCTATTCGGCCATCTTGGATGTTCCCTGTATATACCACATTTTCTTTATCCCCTCAATTGATGGGCATTTAGGCTAGTTCCATATTTTTTCAATTGCAAGTTGTGCTGCTATAAATGTGCATGTGCAAGTGTCTTTTCCTATAATGACTTCTTTTCCTCTGGGTAGATACCCAGTGGTGGGATTGCTGAATCAAATGGTAGTTCTACTTTTACTTCTTTAAGAAATCTTCATACTGTTTTCCATAGTAGTTTTACTAGCTTATAGTCCCACCAACAGTGTAAAAGTGTCTCATTTTTGCCATATCCATGCCAAAATCTATTATTTTTTCATTTTTTAGTTATGGTGATTCTTGCAAGAGTGAGATGGTATCACACATTGTGGTTTTTATTTGGATTTCCCTAATAATTAGTGATGTAGAATGTTTTTCATATGTTTTTGGCCATTTGCATATCTTCTTTTGAGATTGTTTATTCATGTCCTTAGCCCACTTTTTGGTGAGATTTTTTTCCTGCTTATTTGTTTGAGTTTCTTGTAGATTCTGAATATTAGTCCTTTGTCAGATGCATAGTTTGAGAAGATTTTCTCCCACTCTGGGGGTTGTCCGTTTACTCTTCTGATTATTTTTCTTGGTGTGCAGAAGCTTTTTAGTTTAAGTCCCATCTATTTAGCTTTTTTTTGTTGCCTTTGTTTTGGGGTTCTTGATCATGAACTCTTTGCCTAAACCAATGTCTACAAGGGTTTTTTTCAATATTATCTTCTAGAATTTTTATGGTTTTAGGTCTTAGATTTGAGTCTTTGGTCCATGTTGAGTTGATTTTTGTATAAAGTTTGAGATGAGGATCCAGTTTAATTCTTCTACATATGGTTTGCCAATTATCCCAGCACCATTTGTTGAATAGGGTGTCTTTTCCCCACTTGAGGTTTTTGTTTCCTTTGTCTAAGATCAGTTGGCTGTAAGTATTTGACTTCATTTATGGGTTCTCTATCCTGTTCCATTGATCTACGTGCCTGTATTTATAGCAGTACCATGCTGTTTTGGTAACAACAGCCTTGTAGTATAGTTGGAAGTTGGGTAATGTGATGCTTCCAGGGTTGTTCTTTTTACTTAGTCTTGTTTTTGCTATGCGGACTCTTTTTTGTTTGTTTGTTTTATATGAATTTTAGGATTTTTTTTTTTTTTCTAGTTCAGTGAAGAATGATGGCATTTTGATGGGAATTCCATTGAATTTGTAGATTGCTTTTGGCAGTGGGGTCATTTTCACAAGATTGATTCTACCCATTCCTTAGCATGGAATGTGTTTCCATTTGTTTGTGTTGTCTATGATTTCTTTCAGCAGTGTTTTGTACTTTTCCTTGTAGAGGTCTTTCACCTCCTTCATTAAGTATATTCCTAAGTGTGGGGTTTTTTCTTTTGCAGCTGTTGTGAAAGGGGTTGAGTTCTTGATTTGATTTTCAGCTTGGTTGCTGTTGGTGTATAGCAGAACTACTGATTTGTGTCCATCAAATTTGTATTCTGAAACATTGCTGTATTAACTTACCAGTTCTAGGAGCTTTTTGGATGAATCTTCAGGATTTTCTAGGTGTACAATCATATCATCAGCAAACAGTGACAGTTTGGCCCCCTCTTTACTGATTTGGATGCCTTTATTTCTTTCTCTAGTCTGATTGCTTTGGTTAAGACTTCCAGTACTGTGTTGAATAGAAGTGGTGAAGGTGGGTATCCTTGTCTTATTCCAGTTCTCAGGGGACATGCTTTCAACTTTTGCCTGTTTAGTATGATAGTTGTGGGTTTGTCACAGATGGCTTTGATAACTTTGACGTATTTCCCTTCTATGCCAATTTTGCTGAGATTTTTTTTGTCATAAAGGGTGCGGAATTTTGTCAAAAGCTGTTTCTGCATCTATTGAGATGATCATGTGATTTTTATTTTCAATTATGTTTACATGGTTTATCACAATTATTGACTTGCCTATGTTAAACCATCCCTGCATCCCTGGTATGAAACTCACTGGATCATGATGTATGATCTTTTTGATATACTGTTGGATTTGGTTAGCTAGCATTTTGTGGAGTATTTTTTGCATCTATGTTCATCAGGGATATTGGTCTGTAGTTTTTTTTAGTTGTTGTTGTTGTTATATCCTTCCTTTATTTTGGTATTAGGGTAATACTGGCTTTATAGAACAATTTAGGGGTTTAGAGAAAGATATACTGTTTATCTTTTGGAATAGTGTCAATAAGATTGGTACCAACTCTACAATGAATGTCTGATAGAATTCAGCTATGAATCCCTTTGGTTCTGGATTGTTTTTTGTTTTTTTACAATTTTTCCATTACCATTTTAATCTTGCTGCTTGTTACTGGTCTGTTCAGTGACTCTATATCTTCCTGGTTTAAGCTAGGAGGTTGTATATTTCCAGGAATTCATCCATCTCCTTTAGGATTTCTAGTTTATGCTTGTAAAGGTGTTCATAGTGGCCTTGAATAATCTGTCATATTTTTGTGGTAGCAGTTGTACTGTCTCCCGTTTCATTTCTAATTGAGCTTATTTGGATTTTCTCTCTGCTTTTCTAGGTTAATCTCACTAATGGTCTATAGATCTTATCTTTTAGAAAACCAGATTTTTGTTTTAATTGTCTTTTTTTGTTTGTTTCAATTTCATTTAGTTCTGCTCTGATCTTTATTTCTTTTATTCTGTTGGGTTTGGGTTTGGTTTGTTCTTATGTCTCTAGTTTTTTAAGATGTGACCTTAGATTGTCTACTTGTGCTCTTTCAGACTTTTTGATGTAGTCATTTAATGCTATGAACTTCCCTCTTAGCACTTTTTTTGCTGCATACCAGAGGTTTTGATAGGTTGTGTTACTATTATTGTTCAGTACAAAGAATTTTTAAATTTCCATCTTGATTTCATTGTTGACCCAAAGATTATTCAGGAGCAGGTTATTTAATTTCCATGTATTTGTATAGTTCTGAGGGTTCCTTTTGGAGTTAATTTCCAGTTTTATTCCATTGTGATCTGAGGAAGTACTTGATATATTTTTGATTTTTAAAAATTTATTGATACTTGTTTTGTGGCCCATCATGAAGTCTATATCTGAGAATGTTCCATGTGCTGATGAAAAGAATGTAATTTCTGCATTTGTTGGGTAGAATGTTCTGTAAATATCTTTTAAATCCATTTGTTCTAGGGTATAATTTAAGTCCTTTGTTTCTTTGTTGACTTTCTGTCTTGATGAACTGTCTAGTGCTGTCAGTAGAGTATCGAATTCCCCCACTATTATTGTGTTGCCATCTGTCTCATTTCTTAGGTCTAGTATTAATTGTTTTATAAATTTGGGAGCTCCAGTGTTAGGTGCATATATATATATATATAATTATGATATTTTCCTGTTGGACTAATTGTTTTTATAATTATGTAATGTCCCTCTGTTTTGTAACTGTTGTTGCTTTAAAGTATTTTTATCTGCATATAAATACAGCTACTCCTGCTTGCTTTTGGTTCCTACTTTCATGGAGTATCTTTTCCCACCCCTTTATCTTATGTGAGTCCTTATGTGTTAGATGAGTCTCTTGAAGACAGCAAATAGTTGGTTGTTGAATTTTTATTCATCTGCCATTCTTCATCTTTTAAGTGGAGCATTTAGGCCATTTATATTCAATGTTAGTGTTGAGATGTGAGGTACTATTCTTTTCATCATGCTAGGTGTTGCCTGAATGCCTTGGATTTGTTTTTGTTTTTGTTTTTATTTTTTTTTCCTTTTCATTGTTTTATAGGCCTTATGAGATTTATGCTTTAGGGAGGTTCTATTTTGGTGTATTTTGAGGTTTTGTTTCAAGATTCAGAACTCCTGTAGTGCTGGCTTGGTGGTGGTGAATTCTCTCAGCATTTGTTTGCCTAAAAAATACTTTATCTTTTCTTCATTTATGAATCTTCATTTAGCTGGACACAAAGTTCCAGGCTAATAATTATTTTGTTTCAGGAGGCTAAAGATAAGACCCTAATCCCTGCTGGATTGTGGGGTTTCTTCTGAGAATCTGCTGCTAATCTGATAGATTTTCCTTTAAGGGTTACTTGATGCTTTTGCCACACAGCTCTTCAGATTCTTCCCTTCATCTTGATTTTAGATAACTGGATGACTATGTGCCTAGGTAATGATATTTTTGTGATAAATTTCCTGGATGTTCTTTGAGTTTCTTATATTTGGATGTCTAGATCTCTAGCAAGGCCAGGAAAATTTTCCTCAATTATTCCATCAAGTTATTTTTCCAAACTTTTAGATTTCTCTTCTTCCTCAGGAAAACAAATTATTCTTTGGTTTGGCTGTTTAACACAATCCCAAACTTCTTGGAGGCTTTGCTCATTTTTTAAAATTCTTTTTTCCTGGGGAGAGCGGGCAAGATGGCTGAATAGGAACAGCTCTGGTCTGCAGCTCCCATTGAGACCAATGCTGAAGGCAGCTTATTTCTGCATTTCCACTGAGGTACCCAGTTCATCTCACTGGGACTGGTTAGACAGTGGGTGCAACCCACAGAGGGTGAGCAGATGCAGGGTGGGGCGTTGGCTCACACAAGAAGTGCAAGGGGCTGGGGAATTACCTCCCCTAGCTAAGGGAAGCTGTGAGGGACTGTGCTATCTGACCCAGATACTACACTTTCCCCATGGTTTTTGCAATCCACAGACCAGGAGATTCTCTCATGTGCCTATACCACCAGGGCCCTGGGTTTCAAGCATAAAATTCGGCGGCAGTGTCTTCACACTAAGCTATCTGCAGGAGTTTTTTTTTTTTTTTTTTCATATTCCAGTGGTACCTGGAGCCTCAGTGAGACAGAACTGTTCACTTCCCTGGAAAGGGGACTGAAGCCAGGGAGCAAAGTGGTCTCACTCAGCAGGTCCCACTCCCACAGAGCCCAGCGAGCTAAGAACCACTGGCTTGAAATTCTCTCTGCCAGTGCAACAGTCTGAAGTCAACCTGGGACAAGCGAGCTTGGTCGGGCGAGGGGCATCCATCATTACCGAGGCTTGAGTAAGCGGTTTTCCTCTCACAGTGTTAAGGAAGCCGCCAGGAAGTTCGGACTGTATGGAACTCACCACAGTGCAGCAGAGTGGTTGGGGTCAGATTGCTTCTCTAGATTCCTCCTCACTGTGCAGGGCATCTCTGAAAGAAAGGCAGCAGGTCCAGTCAGGGGCTTATAGATAAATCTCCCATCTCCCTGGGACAGAGCACATGGGGGAAAGGGATGCTGTGGGTGCAGCTTCAGCAGACTTAAATGTTCCTGCCTGCCAGCTCTGAAGACAGCAGTGGATCTCCCAGCATAGCACTTGAGCTCTGCTAAGGGAAAGACTGTCTTCTCAAGTGGGTCCCAGACCCCCATGCGTCCTGACTGGGAGACATCTCTGAGCAGGGGTGGACAGACACCTCATACAGGAGAGCCACAGCTGGCATCAGGCTGGTGCCCCTCTGCGATGAGGCTTCCAGAGGAAGGAGCAGGCAGCAATCTTTGCTGTTCTGCAGCCTCTGCTGGTGATACCCAGGAAAACAGGGTTTGGAGCAGACCTCCAGCAAACTCCAACAGACTGCAGAAGAGGTACTTGACTGATAGAAAGAAAACTAACAAACAGAAAGCAATAACATCAACATCAACACGAGAGACACCTACACAAAAACCCCATCCAAAGGCCATCAGCATCAAAGATCAAAGGCATATAAATCTGTGAAGATTAGGAAAAACCAGTGCAAAAATGCTGAAAATTCCAAAAATCAGAATGCCTCTTCTCCTCCAAATGATCACAACTCCTCTCCAGCAAGAGCACAAAACTGAATGGAGAGTGAGTTTGATGAATTGACAGAAGTGGGCTTCAGAAGGTGCATAATAACAAACTCCTCGGAGCTAAAGGAGAATGTTCTAACCCAATGCAAGGAAGCTAACAACCTTGATAAAAGGTTACAGGAACTGCTAACTAGAAAAGCCAGTTTAGAGAAGAACACAAATGACCTGATGGAGCTGAAAAACACAGCAAGAGAACTTTGTGAAGCATACACAAGTATCAATAGCTGAATCAATCAAGCAGAAGAAAGGATAGCAGAGATTGAAGATCGACTTAATGAAATAAAGCGTGAAGACAAGATTCGAGAAAAAAGAATGAAAAGGAATGAATAAAGCTTCCATGAAATATGGGACAATTTGAAAAGACCAAACCTACAATTGATTGGTGTACCTGAAAATGATGGGGAGAATGGAACCAAGTTGGAAAACACTTCAGGATATTATCCAGGAGAACTTCCCCAACCTAGCAAGACAGGCCAACATTCAAATTCAGGAAATACAGAGAACACCACTGAGATGCTCCTTGAGAAGAGCAACCCCAAGACACATAATTGTCGTATTCTCCAAGGTTGAAATGAAGGAAAAAATGTTAAGGGCAGCCAGAGAGAAAGGACACGTTACCTACAAAGGGAAGCCCATCAGACTAATAGCAGATCTCTCTGCAGAAACACTACAAAACAGAAGAGAGTGGGGACTAATATTCAACATTCTTAAAGAAAAGAATTTTCAACCCAGAATTCCATATCAAGCCAAACTAAGCTTCATAAGCTAGAAGAAATAAAATTCTTTACAGACAAGCAAATGCTGAAAGATTTTGTCACCACCAGGCCTTTTTTATAAGAGCTCCTGAAAGAAGCACTAAATATGGAAAGGAAAAACTGGTTCCAGGCACTGCAAAAACATACCAAAATATAAAGACCAATGACACTATGAAGAAACTGCATCGACTAATGTGCAAAATAACCAGCTAGCATCATGAAGACAGGATCAAATTCACACATAACAACATTAACCTTAAATCTAAATGTACTAAATGCCCCAATTAAAAGACACCGACTGGCAAACTGGATAAAGTGACAAGACTCATCAATGTGTTTTATTCAGGAGACCCATCTGAAGTGCAAAGACACGCATAGGCTCAAAATAAAGGTGTGAAGGAAAATTTACCAAGTAAATGGAAAGCAAAAAAAAAGCAGGGGTTGCAATCCTAGTCTCTGATAAAACAGACTTTAAACCAACAAAGATCAAAAAAGACAAAGAAGGGCATTACATAATGGTAAAGAAATCAATGCAAAGAGAAGAGCTAAATATCCTAAGTATATATGCACCCAGTATATGCATCCAGATTCATAAAACAAGTTTTTAGATTCCCACATAGAGACTTAGATTCCCCCACAACAATAGTGGGAGACATTAACAACTCATTGTCAATATTAGACAGATCATCAAGTCAGAAAATTAACAAGTATATCCAGGACTTGAACTCAGCTCTGGACCAAGCAAACCTAATGGACATCTACAGAACTCTCCACCCCAAATCAACAGAATACACATTCTTCTCAGCACTACATAATACTTATTCTAAAATCGACCACATAATTGGAAGTAAACCACTCCTCGGCAAATGCAAAAGAATGAAAATCATAACAGTCTCTCAGACCACAGTACAATCAAATTAAAACTCAGGATTAAAAACTCCCTCAAAACCACACATACATGGAAACTGAACAACATGCTCCTGAATGACTACTGGGTAAATGATGAAATTAAGGCAGAAATAAATACGTTCTTTGAAACCAATGAGAACAAAGATACAATGTACCAGAATCTCTGGGACACAGCTAAAGTAGTGTTAAGAGGGAAATTTATAGCACTAAATGCCCACATCAGAAAGCGGGAAAGATCTAAAATTGTCACCCTAAATCACAATTGAAAGAACTAGAGAAGCAAGAGCAAACAAATACAAAAGCTAGCAGAAGACAACAAATAACTAAGATCAGAGCAGAACTGAAGGAGATAGAGACATGAAAAGCCCTTCAAAAAATCAACGAATCCAGGAGCTGGTTTTTTAGAAAGATTAACAAAATGGATAGACCACTAGACAGATGAATGAAGAAAAGAGAGAAGAATCAAGACACAATAAAACATGACAAAGGGGATATACCACTGATTCCAAAGAAATACAAACTACCATCAGAGAATGTTATAAACACCTCTATGCAAATAAACTAGAAAATTGAGAACAAATTCATAAATTCATGGACCCTCCCAAGACTAAACCAGGAAGAACTAGAGTCCCTGAATTGACCAATAACAAGTTGTGAAATTGAGGCAGTAATTAATAGCCTACCAACCAAAAAAAAAAGCCCCAAACCGACAAATTCACAGCCGAATTCTACCAGTGGAATAAAGAGGAGATGGTACCATTGCTTCTGAAACTATTCCAAACAATAGAAAAAGAGGGATTCCTCCCTAACCCATTTTATGAGGCTAGCATCATCCTGATACCCAAGCCTGGCAGAGACACAACAAAAAAAGAAAATTTCAGGCCAATATCCCTGATGAACATTGATGCAAAAATTCTCAATAAAATACTGGAAAACTAAATCCAGCAGCACATCAAAAAGCTTATCCACCACAATCAAGTCAGCTTCATACCTGGGATGCAAGGCTTGTTCAACACATGCAAATCAATAAATATAATCCATCACATAAACAGAACCAATAACAAAAATCACATGATTATATCAGTAGATGCAAAAAGGCCTTCAATACAATTCAACACCACTTCATGCTAAAAACACTCAATAAACTAGGTATTGATGGACCGTATCTCAAAACAATAAGAGTTATTTATGACACACCCACAGCCAACATCATACTGAATGGGCAAAAGCTGGAAGCATTCCCTTTGAAAACCAGCACAGCTGTGAAGAATTGCCCAGAGACTGGGTAGTTTATAAAGGAAAAAATTTTAATTGACTCACAGCTCAGCCTGACTGGGGAAACCTCAGGAAACTTACAATCATAGCAGAAGGTGAAGGGGAAGCGAGGCACCTTCTTCTCAAGGTGGCAGGAAAGAGAAGTGCCAATAGAAGAGGGAAGAGTGCCTTATAAAACCATCAGATCTTGTGAGAACTCATTCACTGTTATAAGAACAGAATAAGAGAAACCACCCCCATGATTCAATTACCTCCACCTGGTCTCTCCCTTGACATGTGGGGATTGTGGGAATTACAATTCAAGATGAGATTTGGGTGGAGACACAAAGCCTAACCATATCATTCTGCCCCTGGACCCTCCCTAATCTCATGCCCCTTTCATATTTCAAAACCAACCATGGCTTCCCAACAATTCTCCAGTGCCTTAATTCATTCCTGCATTAACCCAAAGTCCAAGTCCAAAGTCTCACCTGACACAAGGCAAGTCCCTTCTGCCTGTGAGCCTGTAAAACCAAAAGCAAATTAGTTACTTCCAGATACAATGGAGATACAGGCATTGGGTAAATACACCCTCTTTAAATGGGAGAAATTGGCCAAAATGAAGGGGCTACAGGCCCATGCAAGTCCTAAATCCAGCAAGGCAGTCAAATGTTAAAGCTTTGAAATGATCTGCTTTGACTCCATGTCTCACATCCAGTTTATACTGATGCAAGTGGTGGGTTCCCACAGCCTTGGACAACTCCACCCCTGTGGCTTTTCAGGGTACATCCCCCATCCTGGTTGCTTCTATGGGCTGACATTGAGTGTCTGCAGCTTTTCGAAGTGCATGGTGCAAGCAGAGTGCAAACTGTCAGTGAATCTACCATTCTGAGATCTGGAGGACATTTGCCCTCTTCTCACAGCTCCACTAGGTCGTGCCCTAGTGAGGACTGTGTGTGGGGGCTCTGACCCCACATTTCCCTTTCACACTGCTGTAGCAGAAGTTCTCCATGAGGGTTCCACTCCCACAGCAAACTTCTTTCTGGGCATCCAGGAATTTCCATACATCCTCTGAAATTTAGGTGGAGGTTTTCAAACCTCAAATCTTGACCTCTGTGCACCCATAGGCCTAACACCACATGTAAGTCACCAAGGCTTGAGGATTGTGCCCTCTGAAGCAACAGCCTGAGTTGTACGTTGGCCCCTTTTAGCCACAGCTGGCACATAGGGCACCAATACCCAAGACTGCACAAAGCAGCAGGGCCCTGGGCCTGGCCCACGAAACCATTTTTTTCTTCTAGGCATCTGGGTCTTTGCTGGGAGGGGTCACATGAAGACCTCTGACATGCCCTAGAGGCATTTTCCCCATTATCTTGGATAACATATGGTTCCTCGTTACTTATGCAAATTTCTGCAGCCAGCTTGAATTTCTCCTCTGATAATGGGTTTTTCTTTTCTATCACATCATCAGGCTGCATATTTTCTAACCCTTTATGCTCTGCTTCCTCTTTAAACATATGTTCCAATTCCAAACCATCTCTTTGTGAACGCATAAAACAGAGTGCTTTGATGAGCACAGCACCCAGGTCACACCTTAAATGCTTTGCTTCTTAGAAATTTCTTCCATCAGATACCCTAGATTATCTCCCTCAAGTTAAAAGTTCCACAGATCTCTAGGGCAGGGTCAAAATTCTAAAGCATAGCAAGAGTCTGACAAAGTAATCTGAACAGCAGCCCTTTAGTTCCAGATATTTCCATTGAAACAGTCTACCCAAATGAGAAGGAACCAGAAAAGTAATTCTGGTAATATGACAAAACAAGGTTCTATAACACCCCCAAAAGATCACACTAGCTCTCCAGCAATGGATCGAAACCAATAAGAAATTTCTGAAATGCCAGATAAAAAAATTCAAAAGGTTGATTGTTAAGCTACTCAAAGAGATACCAGAGAAAGGTGAAAACCAACAAATAAATTTTGAAAAACAATACAGAATATGGTTTGTAAAAGTCTCCATAGAAATATATATTATAAAGAAAAGACAATCACAATGTCTGGAAATGAAAGACACACTTAGAGAAATGCAAATTATACTGGAAAGTTTCAACAATATAATTAAACAAGTAGAAGAAAGAACTTGAGTACTCAAAGACAAGACTTTAGAATTAACCCAATCTGACAAAAACAAAGAAAAAAGAATTTTAAAAATTTATTTATAATACTTTCAGTTATGGGATATATATGCAGGACGTGTAGGTATACATGTGCCATGGTTATTTGCTGCACCCGTCAACCCATCATCTAGGTTTTAAGCCCCGCATGCATAAGTTATTTCTCCTAATGCTCTCCCTCCCCTTACCCCACAACCCCTACAGGCCCCAGTGTGTGATGTTCCCCTCCCTGTGTCCATGTGTTCTCATTGTTTAACTCCCACCTATGAGTGAGAACATGTGGTGTTTGGTTTTCTGTTCTTGTGTTAGTTTGGTGAGAATGATGGTTTCCAGCTTCATCCATGTCCCTGCAAAGGACATGAATTAATTCCTTTTTTGGCTGCATAGTATTTCATAATGTATATGTGCCACATAAAGGAATAAAGGTGACTAGCAAGAGTCACCTTTATTCTAGTTCCCAACAAGTTCCTCATCTCCATCTGAGACCACCTCAGCCTGGAGTTTATTGTCCATATCACTATCAGCATTTTGGTGAAAGCCATTTAAAAAGTCTCTAGGAAGTTCCAAACTTTCTCACATCTTCCTTTCTTCTTCTGAGCCCTCCAAATTGTTCCAAACTTTGCCTGTTAAGCAGTTCCAAAGTTGCTTCCACATTTTTGGGTATCTTTGCAGCAGCACCCCACTCTACTGGTACCAATTAACTGTATTAGTCTGTTTTCATAATGGTATAAAGAACTGCCTGAGACTGGGTAGTTTATAAAGGAAAGAATTTTAATTGACTCAAAGTTCAGCATGGCTTGGAAGACCTCAGGAAACTTACAGTCATGGCTGAAGGCAAAGGGGAAGCAAGGCCATCAAGTTTGTGGGAAAGAGAAGTGCTGAATGAAGGGGGAAGAGTGCCTTATAAAACCATCATATCTTGTGAGAACTCACTATCATGAGAACAGTATGGGATAAACTGCTCCCATGATTCAGTTACCTCCACCCGGCCTCTCCCTTGACATGTGGGGATTACAGGGATTACAATTCAAGATGAGATTTGGGTGGGGACACAAAGCCTAACCATATGAAGGGGAATGACTCCAGCCTTTGTGGAGCCCAGAAAGTTTGGGATGGGAATATCTGCAGTGAAGTACACCCAGGGATGCCCCATCACCTAAGGCTCATTATGTTCCCTTAGGAGACTTTAACTTTAGGGGAACTGTTGGAACTGAACAGAGCAGGGCAATCTTGCCCATGAGAAATGGTCAGTCAGATCTGAGCATCCTCTTGTTTGCTGGCCTCTTCTAAGGCTCCAGCACGGGCATGCCCTCTTGCAATGCAGCCTTCGATGCCCAATCAAGGTGCTTCTTGTGAGCCCACATCATAACACCTTCACTGGCAACCTGCACCTGGCCACTGGAGAACTCCAGCAGAGCAGCCCCCACTGAAGTGCACCAGGCCACCCACACCTTCCCCCCACCACAGTCCCCTCTGAGCCACTTTTCTAGCATGTACTCACCCATGGCCACCCCTCAGCCACTTTGCTGGTGTGCACACACGTGGGTAGACCTCCTCTCCCCTCCCCTACCAGAGCATGTGCATTCCACTGCACTACTGCTGCTGGCATGAGCACAAATCCCTGGCAGCTCTGCCATTGCTGCTGCAAATGCCTGAACACCGCCATGCTACTGCTGCTTCTGGCATGTGTGAATGACCCCAGATTCCACTGTCACTGCCTGTTTTGTGGCCAGTGGTCCAGAAACACTTCAGCACCTTCAGTGCAGCAGGATCCTAACCTTGAGAGGCCAAAGAACAAAGCCAGGGGCCTGATACCAGCCCTCCAGAGTTAGAGCATGCAACACAGAACTCCTGAGCTGAACCTTGGCCCCCTAAAATCTTTCAGAAATGAAGCCAGTTGATTGAACCAACATTATACCAAATCAAATCCTCAAGGACATGGAAGAAGATAAAAGCAAAAAAAAAAAAAAAATTCACAGGATGACAGCTTCAAAGTTGAAGGAACAGCAGTCCACACAGATGAGAAAAAACCAGCCCAAGAACGCTGGTGACTCAAAAAGCCAGAGTGTCTTTTTACTTCCAAACAAATGCACTTGTTCCTTAGCAATGGTTCTTATGCTGAAATAACAAAAATAAAATGCAGAATGTAAATAGGAAGGAAGATCATTGAGATTTAGAAGAAAGTCAAAACCCAATCCAAGGATACAGGAGATGAAAGATAAAATGGCCATTTTAAGAAACAACCAAGCTGATCTGATGGAGCTGAAAAACTGAAAACCTCACTTTAAGAATTTCAGAATCCAATATCAAGTATTAACAGCAAAATCAACCAAGCTGAGGAAAGACTGTACAAGCTCAAAGACCAATTTTGTGAAATAACTCAGCCAGACAAAAACAAGAACAAATATTAAAGAAGAATGAACAAAACCTTTGAAAAATATGGGATTATGTAAAGAGACCAAACCTATGACTCATTGGCATCCCTGAAAGAAAGGGAGAGAAAGTAAGCAATTTGAAAAACATATTTCAGTATATTGTACATGAAAAATTTTCCAACCTTGCTAGAAAGGCACACATTCAAATTCAGGAAATACAGAGAAACTTGTGAGATACTACACACACAAAAATTCCCAAGACACATTCTCCATGGTTACAATAAAAGAAAAAAGGCTAAAGACAGCTAGAGAGAACATGCAGGTCATCTACCAAAGGAAACCCGTCATGCTGACAGCAGACGTTTTAGCAGAAACCCTTCAAGCCATAAAAGGTCGGGGCCCATGTTTTGGCATGCTTAAATAAAAGAAATTCCAACCAAAAATTTCATATCCAGCCAAACTAAGCTTCATAAGCAAAGGAGAAATAATATCCTTTTCGGACAAGTAAATGTTGAGAGAATTTGCTGCCTTACCAGATCTGCCTTACAAAAGGTCCTAAAGGGAGTGCTAAATATGGAAAGGAAGATCATTACTGGCCACTACAAAAATACACATAATTACATAGACCATTGTCATTATAAAGCAATCACACAAACAACTTTGAATAATAACCAGCTAACAATATAATAACGGGATCAAATCTGCACTTATCAATATTAAACTTGAATATAAACAGTCAAAATTTTCCAATTAAAAAGCACAGAATGGCAAGTTGGATAAAGAAGCAAGACTCAATAGTATGCTGTCTTCAAGAGACCCATCTCACATGCAATGCCGCTACTAGCCTCAAAGTAAAGGGATGGAGAGACCCCTACCAAGCAAATGAAAAACAGAAAGCAGAGGTTGCTATTCTAATTTCAGACCAAACAGACTTTAAACCAACAAAGATCAAAAAGGACAAAGAAGGGTATTACAAAATGGTAAAGGGTTCAATTCGACAAGAAAACCTAACTATCCTAATTATATATGCACCAAACTCAGAACCACTCAGATTCATAAAGCAAGTTCTTAGAGACCTGTGAAAACACTTAGATAACTGCATAGTAATAGTGAGAGATTTCAACACCCCACTGATAGTATTAGATCACTGGGGAAGAAAGCTAACAAAGATATTCAAGATCTGAATTTGACACTTGAACAAATGGACCTAGTAGACATCTAAAGAACTCTTCACCCAAAACCAACAGAATGTCAATTCTTCTCATCTGCTCATGGCACATACCAATGATACCAAACACATTTTCAGACTATAGCACAATAAAAATAGAAATCAGGCAGAGGGCAGAGCAAGATTATAGAATAGAATCTTACCCTGTTTATCTCCCCCACTACAACAACAAATTTTAACAACTATCTGCACATAGAAAAGCACTGTTGTGGCAGGCCAGGTCTCACTAATTCAGGCCTCCATAACAACTGTTTCTGTACTGACTGAGGGGTTAAGTTAAATATTAAAAGCCCGTGCCCTTATGCAAAGACTGGGATGTAACAAAAGCCTATCAAGAATTTTGTCTAGGCCTTTCCTGGGCCTTAAAACATGACAGAATAATGAAAGAGTTCTTCATAGGACCCATTTAGGATTAAACAAGTTTTATTGTGGGTATGAAGAAACTCCCCAGGCCTCCATAAACAAGTTTATTGGGGGTTTGAAGGAACTCCTCAAACCTTTGTAATTTAGCAGGAGACAAGATAGGACCCCAGCACCTGGACCCATTTAGATAAAGTAAATTTACTAAGGTCCCAAGGAAGGTCTTCAGGTCTCAGACCTTAGTTATAGATTAAAAGAAGTTAATCACTTATGTCTTCAGATGAATGCACACTTACCCACAGACATATAGCTTAAAAGTTGTATAAGCTCTGGCAAACTTTGTAATTTTGAGTTGGTCTGGTGATAATTCCCAGGTCTTCTCCCTGTAACTGGTTGCATAAATAAAAACTCTCTTCCTTCCTGGTTCATCTGCATCTCATTACTGGGCCTCGAGAAATAGCAGCCCAACCCTCAGTTTGGTCCAGGAACACTCTCACAAGGACCAAAAATCAGATGTGCAATCACAGTACCTGGCTTTAAGTTCATATTTAAAAAGGCATTGAGGATGACAGGAGAGGCACTGGTGAATCATTAACATTGCTCCTCCCTCATCTCCTGGCAGTGGCCATGCAGAATGGAGAGAGAATCTGTACACTTTTGAGAGGAAAGTATAGTGACTAGGTACTGCCTGTCACAACTCAGTGCTGTCCTGTCATAGTTGAGAATAAAGCCCTGCTGGGTTCAGCTGGTACCAGTGCATGGAGGGAGCATTTGGAATAGCCTTGGCCATAGAGGATTCACCCATTCAAATCAGAACTTTAGTTTCTTGGCAAGCCTTGCCACCATGAACTGACATCCTCTGGGGTCCTAGGTACACTTCAAAGGGAGTCCAGGACACAAGAATTGTAATTCCTAGGTAACTCCTAGTGCTAGACTGGGATTACAACCAGTGAACTAAGGTGGCATGTGACCTAGGGAGATACCAGCTGGCATGACTAAGGGAATGCTTGCACCCTCCCTTGACTTCAGCTAGTGCAGCATGTAGCAACAAAAGTGACCTCTTCTTTCTGCTTAAGGAGAGGAGAGCAAAGAGTAAAGAGGACTTTGTCTTGCATCTTGGATACCAGCTCAGCTATAGTAGAACAGGGCACTGGGCAGAGTCAGGAGGTCCCCATTCCAGGTCCAGCTCCCAGGAGACACTTCTAGACGCATCATGGGCCAAAAGGTACCCCACTGCCTTGAAGAGAAAGACCAAGTCCTGGCGAGATTAATTATCTTCTGACTAAAGAGCTCTTGGGCCCTGAAATCCACCAGTAATACCCAAGAAGCACACTGTGGAAACTTGGGTTCTGAGACATACTGGTTTCAGGAGAGACTCAGCACATTCCCACCTAGCTATGGTGAAAGACTGTTTCTGTTTGAGGAAAGCAGAGGGAAAAGTCTTGCACCCTAGGTAACAGTTTGGCTACAATGGGGTAGAGTAACAAGCAGCTCTTGGAGTCCCAAGTTCAGGAATAGGCTCTTGGGTGGCATTTCTAGACCTATCCTAGGCTAGAAGGGAGCCCATTGCCCGGAATGGTGAGTCCTAGGCCTGGCAGCATTCACAAGCTGAGAGAAGAGCCCCTGGGCTTTAAGCTAACATTGGCAGTGGCCTGGCAGAACCCCCCATAAACCAGTAGTGGTTCTGGCCACAGGAAGAGGCTCCTCTGCCTGTAGAAAGGGGAAGAAAAAGTGAGAAAAACTTTGTAATGTGGTTTGAGTGCCAGCTTACCCAGTTGTATCGAATTTCTAACATTTTTGACTCCAAATTCTGGGTCCCACACAGCATCTCTAGATATGCCTGTGACCTGGGGAAACTTGCCACCCTGAAGGGGGAAGGGCTCTGGGCAAGGCCTAGTGCTGTGCTGGCCTCACATCTGACTAAGCATAGTCCCACTGGTGGGGGAAACAGGGTTGCTTGCATCATCACATCCCCAGTTCCAGGCAGCTCAGCACAGAAAGAAAACTCTGTATTATTATTATTGTTATTTTTATTGTTATTTTGGAAAAAGTAAGAGAAAAGAACATGAGTCTCTTCCAGATCTTTTCCAAGACCACCAAAATAATACCTCTACAAGTCTGCAAAAACCACAGCATTATTGGGCTTGTGGCCTAAGTCCCTCTGAATACCTGGAAAACCTTCCTGAGAAGAACGAGGACAAACAAGCCCAGACTATGAAGACTACAATAAATATCTAAGTCTTCAATTCTCAGATGCTGATGAGCATCTACAAGCATTAACACTATCCAGGAAAACATGACCTTACCACATAAACTGAATAAGGCACCAGGGACAAGTCCTGGAGAAACAGAGATATATGACATTTCAGACAGAGACTTCAGAGTAGTTTTGAGGAAACACAAAGAAGGAATTCAGAATCTATCCAATAAATTTAATAAAGAAATTGAAATAATTAAAAAGAACCAAGCAGAAATTCTAGAGTTGGAAAATGCAATTGACATTCTGAGGAATCCATCAGATTCTCTTAACAGCACAATTTTTCAAGAAGTAGAAACAAGTAGTGAGCCTGAAGACAGGCTGTTTGAAAATATACAATCAGAGGAGACAAAAGGAAAAAGAATAAAAAACACTGAAGCATGCATACAAAATCTAGAAAAGAGCCTCAAAAGGGCAAGTTTAAGAGTTAATAGCCTTAAATATCAGGTACAGAAAGAGATGTGGTGGACAGTTTATTCAAAGGGATAATGTCCAAGAACTTCCCAAACCTAGATAAAGATGTCAATATTTAAGTACAAGAAGTTTAAGTTTAACACTGTGCAGAGTTAAACCAAAGAACCCTACCTCAAGGTATGTAATAATCAAGCTCCCAAAGATCAAGGATAAAGAAACGATTCTAAAAGCAGCAAGAGAAAAGAAACAAATAGTATACAATTGAACTCTCGTATGTCTGCAGCAGACTTTTCAGTTCATTGTTCACAATAGCCAAGATTTGAAAGCAACCTAAATGTTCATCAACAGATGAATGGATAAAGAAAATCTGGCAGTAACACACAATGAAGTACTGTTCAACATAGAAAATAATGAGATTCTGTCATTTGCAACAACATGGATAAAACTGGAGGTCATCATGTTAAGTGAAATAAGCCAGGCACAGAAAGACACACATTGCATATTCTCACTTATTCATGGAATCTAAAAATTATAACAATTGAACTCATAGAGATGGCAAATATTAGAATGGTTACCAGAGGCTGGGAATTGTAATGGGGGAGTGGTAGGAAGGTGGGTATAGTTAATGGGTACAAAAAATCATTAAATAATAAGATCTAGTGTTTTCTAGCACAACAGGGTGACTATAGTTAATAATATAGTTGTACATTTAAAAATAACAGAGTCTAACTGGATTGTTTGTAACACAAAGATAAATGCTAGAGGGGATGGTTCCCTAATATTCCTTGATGTGATTATTAGTCATTGCATGCCTATACCAAAATATTGCATATATCCTATAAATATATACACCTACTCTGTATTGACAAAAATTAGAATTAAAAAATTATAATAAAAATAGAAATCAATGCTAATCCCTCAAAATAACAGAATTACGTGAAAATTAAACAACTTGCTTCTTCCTTTTTTTTTTCTTGTCTTTTTTTTTTTTTGAAATGGAGTCTTGCTCTGTTGCCCAGGCTGGAGTCCAGTGGTGCAATCTCAGCTCACTGCAACCTCTGCCTCTCAGGTTTAAGCAATTCTCTTGTCTCAGCTTCCCAAGTAGCTGGGACTACAGGCATATGCCACCACGCCTGGCTAATTTTTGCATTTTTAGTAGTAAGGGTTTTGACCATGTTGGTCAGTCTGGTCTCGAACTCCTGACCTCAAGTGATCCACCCGCCTCAGCCTCCCAAAGTGCTGGGATTACAAGCGTGAGCCACCCCACCTAGCCTAAACAACCTGCTTCTGAATGACTTTTGGGTAAACAATATAATCAAGGAATTCTTTGAAATGAACGAAAACAAAGATACAACATTCCCGAATGCTTGGGACACAGATAAAGCATGTTAAGAGGCAAGTTATATTTCTAAATGTCCACATCAAAAAGTTAGAAAGATCTCACATTTACAACCTAACATCATAACTAGAGGAACCAGAGAACCAAGAGCAAATGAATCCCAAAGCTAGCAGAAGACAATAAATAACCAAAATCAAACCTGAACTGAAGGAAATTGAATTGTGTAAAATTATACAAAAGATCAATGGCTCCAAGAGTTTGTTTTTTGAAAGAATAAATAAGATTGATTATCTGCTAACTTGACTAATAAAAAAAGAGAAAATTCAAATAGAATAAAAATGACAAAGGGGATGTTATCACTGACCCCACAGAAATACAAAAAGCTCTCAGAGATGACTATGAATACCTCTATGCACACAAACCAGAAACCTAGATGAAATGGATAATTTGCTGTGAACATAGACTCTCTCAAGGTTTAAATAGTAGAAATTGAATCCCTTAACAGACAAATAATGAGTTCCCAAATGAATCAGTAATAAAAAGCCTACCAACTAGAAAAATTCCAGGATTACATGAATTCACAGCCAAATTCTACCAGATGTATAAGGAAGAGCAGGTACCATTCCTACTAAAATTATTCCAAAAAACGATGAGGAGGGACTCCTCCCTAATTCATTTGATGAGGCCAGCATCATCTAGATGCTGGCAGAGACACAACAAAAAAGGAAAACTTTAGGCCTTGATGAACATAAAGGCAAAAATCTTCAGAAAAAATACTAACAAAGAAAGTGAATCCAGCATGCATCAAAAAGCTAATCTGCCACAATCGAATATGCTTTATCCCTGGGATAGAAGCTTTCTTCAGCAAATGCAAATCGATAAATGTGATTCATCACATAGAGCTAAAAGGCAAAAAGCACATGATCATTTCAGTAGATGCAGAAAAGTCTATTGATAATATTAAACATTCTGCATGTTATAAACCCACAACAAACCGGGAATTGAAGGAACATACTTCACAATAGTAAGAGATGTCTAACTCACAGCCAACATCATACTGAATGGGCAAAGGCTGAAAGCATTCCCCTTGAAAATCTGCACAAGACAAGGATGTCCTCTCTCACCACTCCTTTTCAACATAGTACTGGAAGTCCTAGACAGAGCAATCAGACAAAAGAAAGAAATAAAAGACATCTAAATAGGAAGAGAGAAAGCCAAACTATCTCTGTTTGCAGACAGTACGATTCTATACCTAGAAAACCCTATAGTCTTTGCCCAAAAGCTCCTTAATCTGTTAAAATACTTCAGCAAAGTTTCAGTATACAAAATCAATGTACAAAATAAGTAGCAGTCGTGTACACCAACAACATCCAAGCTGAGAGCCAAATCAATAAAGCAATCGTACTCAAAATAACCACTGAAGGAATAAAATGCCTAGAAATAACAGTTAACCAGCGATGTGAAAGATCTCTACACTGAAAATTGCAAAAGACCACTTAAAGAAATCAGAGATGACACAAACAAATGGAAAAACATTCCATGCTCATGGATAGGAAGAATCAATATTGTTAAAATGGCCATACTGACCAAAGTAATTTACAGATTCAATGCTATTCTTATAAAACTACCAATGACATTCTTCACAGAACTAGAAAAAGCTATTTTAAAATTCACATGGAACCAAAAAAGAGCCTGAATAGGCAAGGCAATCTTACACAAATGAACAAAGCAGGAGGCATCACATTACCCAACTTCAAACTACACTAGAATACTAGAATGATACAATAACCAAAACTGTATGTTACTGGTACAAAAACAGACATATAGACCAATGGAACAGAATAGAGGGCCCAGAAATAATGCCACACACCTAAATCCATGTGATTTTTAACAAAGTAGATAAAAACAAGCAATGGGGAACAGATTTCCTATTTAATAAATGGTGATGGGATAACTGGCTAGCCATATGCAGAAGATTAAAACTGGACCCCTTCCTTACATTATTTGCAAAAAACAACTCAAGATGAATTAAAGAGTTAAATATAAAACCTAAAACTATAAAGCTTTGGAAGATAGCCTAAGATATACTATTCTGGACATAAGACCTGGCAAAGATTTTATGACAAAGATACTGAAAGCAATTGCAACAAAAACAAAAATTGACAAATGGGACCTCATTAATCCTGAGGATGAGGATCAAAGAACTACCTATCACATTCTATGCTTATTAGGTGGGTGACGAAAAAATCTGTACAGCAAACCCCTGTCACATGCACAACTTCTGCACAGCAAAATGAAATATCAACAGAGTAAACAGACATCATACAATGTGGGTAAACATATTTGCAAACTATGCATCTGACAAAAGCCAAATATCCAAAATCTGTAAGGAACTTAAACCAATCAACAAGCACAAAACAAACAACTTCATTAAAAAGTGGACAAAGGACATGAACAGACACCTTTCAAAGACTTGCACACAGCCAACAAGCATATGAAAAAATGTTCAACATCACTAATTATTAGAGAAATGCAAATCAAAACCACAATGAGATACCATCTCACACCAGTTCAAATGGCTATTATTAAAAAGTAAAAAAGTAACAGATGCTAGTGAGGTTGCAGAGAAAAGGATACTGGTGAGAATGTAAGTTAATTCAGCTATTGTGGAAAGCAGTTTGGTGGTTTCTCAAAGAACTTAAAACAGAATTACCATTTGACCCAGAAAATCCATTATTCAGTATACACCCAAAGGAATATAAATCATTCTACCACAAAGAAACATGCATGTGTATGTTCATGACAGCACTACTCACAATAACAAAGACATGGAATCAATGTAAATGCCCTCAACAGAAGCCTGGATAAAGAAAGTGTGGTATATATACACCATGGAATACTACACAGCCATAAAAAAAACAGTATCATGTCCTTTGCAGCAACATGGATGGAGCCAGAGGCCATTTTCCTAAGTAAACTAACACAGAAATGTAAAACCAAATACTGCATGTTCTCACTTACACATGCAAGCTAAACACTGAGCACGTAGGTACACAAAGAAGAGAACAACAACCCAGGGGCCTGCTTGAGGGTGGAGGGTGCGAAGAGGGCAAGGATCAAAATACTACCTATCACATGCTATGCTTATTAGCTGGGTGATGAAATAATCTGTACAGCAAACCCCCGTCACATGCAACTTACCCATATAACAAATCTGCACGTGTACCGCTGAACCTAAAATAAAAGTGAAAAAAAATAAATAAATCTTTGTATGTCATAGGACAAAAACCTTATTTTAATGCAACGTGAAACAAATCACATAGAAAACAAAAGAACCAAGTTTGAGAAATGGTTAGTCAGATTTACTCATGTAAATTGATTTAGAGAAGCTTCAGATAAAACTTCCAACCCCATAAGGTTTATATAAACAAAGACTCTAGAGGTTTAAGTGGTATCATTATAATAACAATGAGTTATACTAAAATACACAGGTAAATAGCTTTTGACTGTCATTATTATAGATCATTACTTTCTAATCCTTAGAAAATGTTAATAAGCATATCAGAAATGGCATTCTTTTCTTTTGGCATTCTATCTGTTAAACTCAGAATAGAATTTAAAGCAATTATAATGAATAGATTTATCTCTTTGCAAAGCCAAAGTCATAGATAAATTCTTTTTTGTTGGATTAAGGAATGAACCAGTGTTTAACTATTTAATTTTTATATAGAAAATGATACAACAGATGCTGCCAAATTGATATAACAAGTATTACTCTCTTATGATGCTTTTAAAGGCTCCAGATGCATATTTCAAATGAGTAGATGTACTGTTAAAGTTACTGATAGAGCATATGCCAATTACAGCAGCAGTATTAAAAAATATGATTGATGAAATAGGTGCATCTTACAAGAAAATTGCTAGGCTTTTTGGTATCAAAGTGTACATTTTGAAATATGAATATATTTCAGCAATTGGTATTCAGGATTTTTAGACTACAACTTAACTTGAATCTTGAGTCAGGATTTAAATTTGTTTTAAAATGCCACATACCATTCCACCTATAGCTTTGATTAAGTAATAAGAAATTATGTACTCTCAAATTTCTGATGAAAAGATTCTCAAAATAATTGTTTCTAGCCAAGGGGCTAAAAAGAAGACTCTTGGGAATGATCTCAGAGCTTCTCAGTGGGCCACAGTGATATGTTTTCAGGAGAAATCCTCAGTGACTTTCACTTTCCAGCATTTATCTCAAGGACCTATATCATAGATCCTCCAAGAATGATCAGAAGTCTTATGCAGAGGAATAATTCAGTCATTCACACATTACTCATCTGATAACATTGAAGATTAAGAACACAGCCAAGAAATAAGCAGAGAATTATTTTAAAATGTTAAATTCTACAAGTACTTTATTGTCAGGCCAGAGCTACTTGTCTATTAATCACAAGTTACTTAATGTTTATAAACAATTCTAGTCAGCTTGAATATGTAGTGTACCAAGTTTTGAATGTTCTTAGTAAATCTTTAGAAGGTGTCTATGGAGAAGATATTCTTAGAGACAGGTATGTCAGCAACACCAAGAAGAGATAGCTGAGTGTGAAGCAAGACAAAAGTATTATTAAAGAACAGAGGACTGTGCCATGTTGTAAAAAACATAGTCACCCTTTCTTTCTCACCCTATTTGGTATTTTTGCTTGTATTTTGTTTCTCTCTCTCTTATTAATATCTTTACTGATATATCAGCCACCTACCCTCATACCATCTCAGTGATCCATTGAAATTTGTTTTGCTGAGGTCAAGATATGCAGATTGTTGCTAGATACAATGACATTTTTCCAACCCTAGTAATTGATTTGTTGTGTCCTTTCATTCCACACCACCTAAATAGTCATTCCATTGTTTTATGTTTAGGTTTGTTTTCTTTTTTTTGTTTTGTTTTCTGGAGCTTTTTATTAAAAAAAAAAAAACCTTTTGCCTTTTTAAAGTTTTTCATAACAATTGTAAATAGATTAATATCAAATTATTGAAGCAAGTGAAGAAGCAAAAGAAATAAATTTAAATGGAGTTAGTATGTTAATATTTTCTATTTGTAGCTCAACTTTGCTTTTCTCCATTCTTTATAGGTCTTGTAATAATCTCCTAAAGATCACTTAAAATGTTAATCACGAATAGATTTCTGAAGAGGTTTTTCATTTAATGTCAAAATATGCAATTTGAAGGTATTTTAATCAACCTCTTCGGGCTTTACTTGTTTATTATAAATAGTTCTTAGCACAGGGTTCACTTTATGCCTTTTTAAGGAGAAGGACAACAAATTATTATTGGGTTGCCTGGAAAGCTTTGAGCTAAGCTGACTTCCTCTAATATCATTCATTTTGTAGTTGGTAATATGTCTTAAGATTATGAGTCATATAATTTTCATTGAAAAAAATTATGTAGCAAGTGTGAGAAGAGAATATGATATTCTTCAGGCCTTTCATAATTTATTACATAGTTATAAGACAGATTCTCATGAGAACAGAAGAAATAAAAGAAACCTTCCTTCTTTTTTTATATCATTTCCATGGATAGTGAGGGCTTTTTTTTTCTACCCTGAGGATAATAAACACAGTAAGCTCCTTTTTAAGATTTTCTATGGTCCCCCATATTGAATGTATGCCTTTGCTGACAATTTGTGTGAAACTAAAGTTGTAACCCCCAAAAATGAGTAGATAATACTTTATACTACCCCAAAATAAAGCAGCATACTATTGTAAAAATAACTTAAAAGAAGTTTCAAGAAGCTTAAGACTTGTTTGGTTTTATACTCTGCTGGTCATGAGATGATGGCTGGGACACCAGTCATCAGTTGGGAGAAAAGAAAAGGCAAAGGGCAAAATGTGCCAGCTCTTCGGCACCGTTTTTAAAGATGCCTGAGAAACTTTAATGCTTCCATCTCACTGATAAGAATCTAGTCACATGGTGACCCTTATCCGCAAAGGAGTTGTGGTCTTTAATTATACACATGCCTATGTAGAGTGGTAAATGGTTACTGGATAGGCAACTAGCAGTTTGCCCAATAACACTAAGTATGTTTCTCAAGGTTAAGTCTACATAAATTTTTCTATTCATATTTCACAAGGATCCTCCCTATGAGGTAAATATTATAATTCTCATTTACAGGTAAGGAAACAGAGTATTAGATGGGTTTAATAACTTTCTTGCAGTAATATGGTTGGTAGGGACTGGATTGAGGAATTGAACTTATCTCTACTTGACACAGTTGCTGAGCTCTCCAGCACTATAACTCACTGCTTTTGAGCTGATGTTCTCTTGTTGGCTTTCTTTCAGGAAACCAGCACTGAATTCCAAGACAAAACAACCCTTCTTAAAGACATACAAGAAACCTTGCCTGATATACAAATATAATAACCTTAAAAAAAATTCACAGACCTGAGCTGTTTGTAAAGACCTTTGAATCTTCTTACTTTACTTTTTCTTCATTTTATTAAGGAGATAAGTCACCCTGACTCGACCTAATACTATGAAAGGTATTCAAAGATAGAAAGAACCTGTTTCCATGAAGTGATATTTTAAATCCTATGTTTCTAAGAGTTGAGGCGTTCTGGTTAACTTTTGTAATAAATAATAATAATTCTGGATCAGTTGATGGATAATTGGAGTAGCAGATGCTATTGGTCAATTAACCAAAAACCCATTCCCAATCCTCTTCTCCTTCCCTGCCTCTACTGTAAGGGTTGAAACAGCTTGAGACTTGCTCTTACAGTCTCCATTCACACTGTGGGTGCCCAGGTGGTACAGTTCTGGTCAAAGATATATTAAAAGTAGTCTCATGGGAATGTTTCTAGGAAATCTTTTGCTTTCCTGTTAAAAAGAACAGATGCAGCAGGCATCTTCCTTCCTTCTTGTTGCCTGGATTTAGACCCCAAATTAGGATTATCACAGCCATTTGCAACCACAGATATTCAGGGAAATACTGCCCTTGATGTCATTGAGTGGCTAAAACAATGCCTACTTTCAGATTTCTTATTTTCTTTATCTACTCTTAATTATGTTGTATTTTACTTTACTCAAGGTGATTTGTAACAAATATAATTAGCCATTGCTTTTCAACAGGGTGCACAACAACCACTGCATTGATTTATTTCAAAAATGAACAAAAACTTGAATGTATTGGCTTAGGATAGTGATATAAAAATTTCTTTGTAAGCTTTTTGGACCTGGAAAATAAATGTTATATATCAAATTTAGATCGCCACAAAAGAATTACAAATATGGCCCACTACTAAATGATTATTTTGTTTGGCAGGATTTTCATGTAGAGTCAACGTGAGCATGAGAAGATAACAAAAACTGGATTTTCTTCATAGCATGTTATCAGCTCTTAGCTGTCTAAGACTAAACAAACTAATTGCCTTAGTCTGTTCCAGTTGCCATAACAAAATACTCTAGACTGAGTGGCTTGAACTGCAAGAATTTATTTCCTCACAGTTCTGGAGCCTGAGAAGTCTAAGATCAATGTGCTAGGTAATTCTGTTCTAGTGAGGCCACTTTTTCTGGCTTATAGATGTCCAGTTTCTTGCTACATCCTCCCATGGGAGAGGGAGAAAGAAGAAGTATCTTCCTCTTCTTATAAGGACACTAATCCCCTTGTGGGAGCTCCACTCTCATGACCTCATCTAAACCTGCTTACCTCCCAAAGGCTCCATATCCAAGTGCCATCACAGCGGGGATTAAGGATTCATATATTAATTTCGGGAGGACACAGTCAGTCCACAGCACCAGCCTTCTAAAACACAAAGCCTTAACAGGGGTTGTTAGTTGAGCCATCTTAGAAAGAAAGAAATACCAGTGGCTCATGCCTGTAATCCCAGCACTTTGGGAGGCCAAGGCGGGCGGATCATGAGGTCAGGAGATCGAGACCATCCTGGCTAACACGGTGAAACCCTGTCTCTACTAAAAAAATACAAAAAAATTAGCCAGGTGTGGTGGCGGGCGCCATAGTCCCAGCTACTTGGGAGGCTGAGGCAGGAGAATGGCATGAACCCGGGAGGCGGAGCTTACAGTGAGCCAAAAAAAGAAACAAAGAAAGAAAGAAATCCAATTTACTGTGTGTTCACCAGAGGCCTGAGATTAATAATGACTCATCATGCCACTTTTTCTCCTCTCTTTTCAATCTGAGCTGTGTGAGTAATGAGACTTCTTCTAACTCAAAATTTCTTTGTCAGTACAAAACAAGAATTTGTAAGCAAAAAGCAAAGAATATTCTTTTGCCTTTATTTATTGATTTTTCTCATTATGAGAATTTTTTCATTCTTTTTCCATTTCAGATAATCTTTGGTTATAACTAAATTTCTTTTCAACTTTTAAATTATAATACATATAAATAAGTAGCCATATTATTTTAATTTACAAATGTAATTTTTGTTAATTTATACTATGTTTGTTCTCATTTTCTGTTTTATGTAGTTCATGTGAATAGTGGTTGAGAACTCAGTAATGAGACTACATTGATCTTGGTGAGAGAAGGATGAGATTTGAATAAAGACAGAGGGAATGACAGATGGTGAATGTGAATGATATTTAAGAGACAGCATTGAAAGTTCTTGGTAACATATTTTCTGTGGTGATGATGGTAGAGAGAGCACAGGAATAATTTAGTATATTTCCCAGATTACTGTTTTGCCTGATGGTGGAAGGCCTTGACGCTACTTTGCCTAGCTTTGGGTCAATTTAGATTATTGGTTCAATCTGTAGACATCTTCAGTTTAAAGTATTTGCAGGGTCATCTGATAAAGATGTCCAGTAAATAGTTATGTGGATTTAAGTTGGTAGTTTAGAAAAAACAAAAACGAAAACCAAGAACTAAGCTATATATCTCAATTTGAA
Organism: Homo sapiens; assembly: GCF_000001405.40. Taxonomy (NCBI): domain Eukaryota; kingdom Metazoa; phylum Chordata; class Mammalia; order Primates; family Hominidae; genus Homo; species Homo sapiens. The sequence continues at coordinate 10,344,797 of NC_000007.14, read as the reverse complement.
AAGCAGAGCAAAAAAAATGCTATAGATGAATCCATAGATGTAGATGGATTTTTCCAGAGATAGTGTATAGATTCAGAAAGAGACAAGAAGTGCACTTGTTAGGGATCCCGAGAAACTCCATCATCTCATAGGCAGATGCGTAGGTAGAGAGCGGGGAGAGTCATATAATAAAAGCCAAGGGGTGGATTTATTTAAAAAGAAAGAGACTAAAAATATCAAATCCTGTTGAGTACTTATAAAAGGTAAGTTCTAAATAATGCCTACTGAATTTGTTCATTAGAGGAACATTGCTTAACATAGCTGGTGGCACAGGCAATAAGGTGACAGAAAAAGCGAAATTATAGCAGTAATAGGGGAGTAAATGTAGGACTAATAGCTATAGAGAAACAGATGAAGGAAATACAAACAGTTTACATTTAAACTTATAATATGCATGTATCTATGCTGAAAAGTGGAGCTAATGGGGAGATATTGAAAATGCAAAAGAAATGGGAATAATGGAGGATTCTTGAAGAGGTAATAGAGGCCATGTGTGCTATGTATTGTGGGTAGGGTGGAGAAGGGCTGCATCAATAATTTTATGTGCACTTGTATGTCATGGTTAAGAAGTTGAATTATGTCCTTTATCCAATGGGACAATATTAAGTATTTTTAATTAAGATATCAAGTATATTTTCTTTATGTTTTTAAAAGATCATTTTAGTTAACAGTAAGGAGAATGAATTAGAGAAAGTAAGATTTGAGGCAAGAAGAATAAAGTAAAGTAAGGCAGAGGAGAATGGACAGCGGTAATAATTGTAAAAATATTAACCTGGGAAGATCAGCAGTGCTTAGTATTAATAATCTACTGGTGTTGGGAGTAGAAGGTGAAATAGATGGAAGATTTAAGAAGGATCTAAAGTTTCTAATATGGCTACCCAATGAAATCATGATAAAATTAACTGGGAAGAATTTGAAGTTTGAATTAAGAAGTGCTACTTTAAACATCCTTAATTTTGGCTGCCTATGGAATACACTAGAGGAAAAATCATTTATTTAGTTGAAAAAGTGGCATTGGAAAGTAGACGAACAGCAAAGCCGGACATCTCACTATCTGTGGCATTGTGATATAGATGATTGCTGAAAACACCCCAGGGTGGAGGAGTTTGCCTGGTGAGACTAAGTACACAGAGAAAATGAGGGCGTTGCATGGAACCTTGAGGAACACTAACATTTAGAGCCAAGTGGCAAAAAGGAAATCAGTCAGTGAGTGAAAATTATACTCAGAGGAGTAATAATTGAACCAGAAGAGAACGGAATCACAATAATTACATGCAATCAAAATCTGTTCAAATGCTAGAGTAAGATCAGGTTATATAATTTAAAAGTGTCCATTCAATTTGCCACTGGAAGGCCATTTGTGATCTGAAGTGAAGACATTTTAGTTGAATGATGAAAGAAAACACCAGATTTCATAAGGCTAAATCATTAACAGTAGAGGAAGTGCAGACAGAGTGCAAACCACTCTTTCAGGACTTTGGTTAATAAAAACAATGAAGGAGAACACAGGAATAGGAGAGGAGTTAGCTTTCTTCTTGTGTTAAGTCATTTTTCAGGAGAGTTTCGGGTAACTGCAGAAGCCTGTGTTTACTGTTTTCTGATAAGTGGCACATGCCTCAATATCAAGATCAATGATATTGCCTATTTGTGCTTCCCTCTTAGGATCTATGCTTCAAGGATTTAACAGTATTGAATTACAGATATTTATGCAATAGTTCAGTGAGGAAACTGTGGTCAAAATATTCATAATTTACATGTTATGACTTAAGACATATGCTAGTTTGTTAGTGAAAGATATTTGTAACTTTCTTCAGGGCTTTCTTTGTAGTCCCACAGGTAACTTAATTTGTTCGCCCTAAACAAGATTGAGTATTTTAATAAAGTCTTGACTACTGCTAAGTACACTGTGATGATAACATTTAAGAAATATCAGTTCTATCGTGGGAAATGATGAGTGTCCCGTAATTACTTGTTTTCATCAATATCTTATTATTTCTTGTTGTTGCTTGTTTTCATCTGCCTCTTATTATTTCTACCTATATTAGTGACTATTTTAGTTTAATTTTTCTTTTACTGGGTTACAAGTTAAGTTTAACAATTTTATTTTTGGCCAATCATGAAAACTAGAAAATCTTTAAATGATTATCTTTGAATATTCCAGCTGGAGATTTCATCCTTGCTCACAAACCTAACTATTCACAACTCAATTGTATCTTGAGATATTTGCTATCCGTATTAAAGTCCTTTTAAATGCCAGAAGTTCATCACAGTGAAAATATTATGCTATTCCCATTTCTTAGAACTATTAATTGCACATTCATTTTACATTGCTACTTAGAAACTGGTGATGTTTTTAAAATAGGTTGAAAGGAGCTAAAATATTTCCTTGGGGTTTTTACCCATTGAAAAAAAGGATTTTAAATGTGGTCCATATATAAATGCATTATGTATTTATATATACTATATGCTATCAATCATGTATGAAATACATATGAAATGTATATGTGAAGAATGTGTGGCAAACAACATGTAACTACATATTAATAGTATAAGAAAAATGTTTTATGTTCACTTAAAGTATAAATAGGGAAACAAAAAATAGAGCAATTTATTGTATCATACCTTTTTGAATAGTATTAAAATAAGCCATAAAACAATGCATTTTCAATGCTAAAATTCTTTGATATAAGCTGAATGTTAATATCAAATAAAAAACATTTGGGACAGAGATAAAACATGATTGATTTTCAAGACACATTATATATCTAAACAATGTAAATTCAGATAGAGGTGATAAGATTCTAGAAGCCATTTATCTCAGGTTGGTTGGTTTGTGTTGAAACTTGACTGTGAGCAGGCTCTGGATGTCTATGAAGCCCCATCCTGGGCTGACTGTGGAGACATATCGTTGCAGGGAGGCAGGACAAGGAATTGGGTAGGCCATGACCATTCCTACTGAAATCACACCAGCTGGGAATTTATTTCTGTTTGCATATTGAGCTTCTCCATGGGCTTTCATTAGTAGAAATAATTTTACAGGTTAAATGTGTGACAATGGAGCCTCTTACCTCTCCTTCACTGGTAGAAGATTAAGTAATCTTTTCAAGGTCACTCAAGTGAGTTGCAAAGCCAAGCATATAATGCAGGTCTGGTAACCAATACCCCCTCCCCCAGTTAACTAAAACCACATTATACATATAAAACTACTGATTTTTTCCATGTGTTTTTCCTTGAAATATGAACAAATTACATGGAGACTCAGGATTCACAGGATTTTAGCTTGAAGAAAATTTTTGAAATCAAGTCCAACGCCTCTCTTCAGGCAGGGATGGATAATTCTTACATCAGATAAAAGGGTAATGAACACTTACTTTAATGTGTCCAGGACAGGAAGCCTGGAGGGTTCACAATATTAGAAATGTTGCTAGTTAAACCCTTGTTCCTAGAACATCAACCTATCAGACCTCACTTTTCTCTTTAACATAATAATAAATTCAAACCATTTTCCACCTAGTAGCTGTTGGCTGTTTGAACGTAGACTCTCCCTATATAATTTTCTTCTCCAAGTTGAAAATTCCTTATTCTTCCAACTATTCATTAGGTTGTCTGACCAGGAAAGAATATATGAGATTGTTTCTTTCTGTTTTCTGTGCAATATATATTCAAGACTGCAGGCTAGGACTGTCATGAGGGAATACTTAGCAGTGAGAATGGGGATGTAGGCAGTTACACAAATGTTAAACTCTTACTACAAAGTCTTTTTTCTTTTCATGTGAAGTGTTAAACATTTTGCTGCCTGTCAACCTATGTTTGTCTAGCTGCTTTTATAACCTAAATATAGAAGTTCTTAGCTCTTTTTAATAAATTTAATCTTATTTGTTTCAGTTTGTGTGCCATGTTATACCTATTTTTTGAAATACAGCCATGACATTTATTATGTGTACTGTGTTTATATTTTTAATTCACCTTCAAATTTGGTAAGCTTGACTTTATTTTTTATACAAGTTGTAGATAAACATTGAAAAGCACCACTATGTTAAGAGTAAAACCTACACACACACACACAAACACACACACACACACACACACAGGCACACACGCACACACATACACACTATGTAGGAATAAAACCACTACTATTCATTCATTTTCTAAACTTTATGAATTAACCAAATTGTACTTTTGGGTGTCCTGTAAGACATCATCTTTTTCATTATCATATTTTAAAATACTTCATACATGTCATGGCTGAAATTAGAACACACAGAGTGTACTGTATAGCCCTGAACTGTTAATCTAGTTAACTTTAAAAGAAGAAATAATATTTTTGGTATATCACAATTATGTGAATAATTTTGACTTATTTGTTACAACCGTTCTCCCAATACTTCTTTAATGTAGATAAGCAGTTACTATAATTTTTATTTTTCAAACAGGCAGACTGGGTCTAAATTCCATTTTCTATAATAAAGAATACCAATACTATGATTATTTAAAATTAATTTTTGGTACTAGTGCTTAGCACAGCACATATATGATTGCTGAATGAATAAATATATACGTGCTTGTAGAATAAATTACTTACCTGTGACAGTATATATGATAAGGGGGTAAAATAAAAGCTAGATGTGTCCTCCAACACTTAAGGCATATCCACATTGGTGTTTCTCCTATCTTACATCAATAGGTATGTGTGTAATAGATCATTACGTAATTCAGGAGAGGTACTCATGCAATTATTGAACTAATGGGAACATCATGGATAACAGAAACTCTATATAAATATACCTTCTACCTAAAGCACTTAGGGCTACAAAATTTACCAATATCTCTCATCTTGGTCAAGTGGCCTTCAGTTATAAAGACTGTGAAAAGCCTCTGCAAACTTAATCAGACAAAGGATTTCTCTTCGTTTTGACTTCTTAACTTTTGTCCATATGTATTGGCTTGCTGAGGTTGATTCTCTTAGATTCATAATTTCATAGTATTGATAATGATACTATTTACAATGCAAAACAAAGAGGAGAGGAGGAGAATAAGAAGAAATACAAGGAAGAAAATGAGAAGAAATATGAGATAAAATTCTAGAACTTAGAGGGCTACCGTGTAATAAGCAATGTACTAAATGTTTTACACGTCTTACCTCTTTTTATCTTCAGAAAGCCTATCTCTCATTCCTACTTTTTCTACTTTCCATGCCCCTTGCTTTTTATCTTATTAGTTATATAATTTATACATTCAGCAATCATATATGTCTGTGATAAGCACTAGTAACAAAAAATTAATTGAAACTAATCACAATATTAGTACTCTTTATTACAGAAAATGGACTTTAGACAGTCTACATTATAGGAACATATAGCTTGTACTTCCATTCTGTCACTTTTACCCCAGCCTTTGAAATCTGCAGTTAAATATATTCACAGCTCACCACAGTCCTCTCTCTGGACAAAGAATAAAGTGATCTGAAAATACTACTTCTAGTGGTATTGCCAACCCCACTGAAATTAAAAAACTAATCTTTAATGGCCTAAGGTCACAAAATAATATCTTTTCTGGATTCTTACCATTCTGTTATAGGAAAAGAGAGAAGAGTTTGTATCACTAATTTAGGATGAGTTTATGCTTAAAGAAAATCGAAGAAGGGTAGAGGTACCAGAGAGTTGAGAGGATTGGAGATGGGGTAGTGCCACAGATGAACTGCAGCATTCAGGCAAGGTGGAGAAGGGAGGCCAGGAGGCCAGTAGCAGTCTGCTACGCTGCAAGAAAATGGAAGACCATAGAATCCCAGGTCTCAGTGAGATCATAGTACCAACATAGTGGCTTGAGGGATGTGGATGATTAGATGGTTGTGCCCAGAGAGTAGCATATTGAGGTTTAAGATATTTGACCTGCATGCATTCTGAATAATGAACAATCGAGGAGTGTTCGGGAATGTAAATGAAGACAACCAGATCTGAGGAGGTCAAATAACTAAAAGGCATGTGGATGTTGAAATAACATGTTGCTGAGTCGACATTCTGACAAACTTTTCTGTCTAGGCTTTTCGTTTGGTAGGTGTGGTAAATGAGAGCCTCCATTGCGGGGGCTGCATCAGAAGTGGCATCTTCATGGTGGAGTCCATGTTAGGTGGAGCAAGGAGGTGGCGATGGATGATGATTATAATAATAATAAAGATAAAACATTTTCTGTAGACTTACCGTGTATTAGGCTCCGTCCTAATTTCTCTGCACATATTTACCCATTTAATCCTCACAATACCTTGTGAGGTGAATACTATTATTATCCCAATATATACATGAAAGATTAAGTTGCCCAAACTCATGGAGTTAGTAAATAATAGAACACAGACTTGAAAACAGGAAGACTAATTTCAGAACATGCATTCTTAAGCTATATGTGCCCTGGTGACAGAATGGTCAGAGAAAAGACTGTGAAGAAAGTGTATTTGTTAATAAGATATAGAAAATTTCAGAGTGCACACTGGAAAGGGTCAAAGGTGAAGAAGAACAATGGAAATAGGTAAGAAGGAGGCTCAGACCAGTAAGACTGTGATTAGGGATGTGAGATGCCGAGTCACCTTGCCCTGGAGAGGATCTCAACTCCTTTGAGGGTATAGAGAAAAGATGAACACTGTTCCTACCAGGAGCTCTTGTGTTTTGTGTCATTCATCTTTTTGGTAATGGAATATGCCTTCGAACCTTCCACTATGGGCATAGGCTCAAAGCAAGGGTTCTTACACATCCTTGTTGAGGATATGGTGAAAGCTTTGCATCTCTCTAGGAAGAAAACTCAGAGGCATAAATACAGATGGACAATGTTTATTCTCCAACGTTGTAGGAGACCTGGAGAAGGCATATGATTTTAGAAGGGTCATATAGGAATGTAGGGACTGGACAATATTTCCCAGTGCTCTTTATAAGACAGGGAGAGCCCTATGTGGTGAACACAGAGATGTCAAGAGAATAAAATGTATGAATATTAACAAGAAGGAAGTGAAATAAATCCAGCGAAATTGTATGAGCTGCTTCTCTATGACCTCACAAATTTTATTACATCCATAAAACTCATGACGCATTTGCTGTGATTGAATTTCCCTGTGGAGGCAAATGGGAGCAGACAGAGCTTCACTTTTGGTCGAAGGTGTTGCAGCACAAAGCAGGCTGCCCTGATTCTGTATCAAAACAGAAAATGGCACAAGTTAGGCACACACATTATGGGTGGGGCTTTTTAGTGCCCCAGGCCCTGAACCAAAAGTTTGGTTGAAATTTATCTAAGGCTCTAAAGCCAGAGAATGTCTCAAGTGACATTTTTGTCACATGCACAAACTGGCATATTGGAAAAATTGTTTCCCTGTTATTTCAGGGACTTCTTGAACTCTCTGAAACATATCCACATAGCTTGGGCTAAAGTCTTGATCTGCAAAGATGTTTCTCTAATACTAAGCTGGCTTCAAATAATGAAAGTGTGACCTTAATCAATCACCAGCAGTCTCTCCAGTGTAGAGGAATCCAGGGATTTCTGTGAGTTTTCTTTTGTGTGTCTCTGTTTTTCTCTCATGCTTCACTGAAGATTGAACAAGTTCAGTATGAAGCCACTGCCTATACAGACTTGAGCACTAAGCGTGTCTTTCCTGTCATGTCAATTCTCTGCTGTTACCATTCTGCTCCCTTTGATGTGGAACCTGTGCTACAGGCATTCTGAGGGAGAATGTTCTGTGGTAAGTTTGAAAGTTAGGCCACCTCTGCTTCCCAGAGAAATGCAAAGCCCCAACACACACAGGGCTGAGTCCAGTTTTCTTCTGCTGGTAGAAGGGGAGTGTCATTTCACAGACATTTGTCTGCCTGATGTTGCTGAAGAAGCAGACGTCCTCAGAAAGAGCACTGTGATGTCGCTGACCTCAACTGGTTTTGAAGAAACTGTAGCTTCCAAGGCATTTTTGAGTTACCAGGTTGAAGCCTACATATATTTCTCTCTCTTTTTTTTTTTCTGACAAAGAACTAGAATATTCTTGTTAGAAATGACTAGGGACCAAATTATATAGACTTTTGTACAATATTTTAAACAAATATGAAATCTCCTCCTCTTAAGGGACATAGGAGATCCAAAGGTCAAACAAAGTAAATGACCTAAATTAAAGAGAATTAGAGATACGAACTGTTTAGTTGGGTGGGCCTTAATTAACTATTGAAATCAAGGCAGTTGGAATATAAAAGTGAATTTGGCACTCTCATTGCCCCCCACTAAGTTTACATTCTACCTATGAACAAAGATACAAAGATAAACACAATGCTGAACTTAAAAAATGCTACTTATTTAAAAAAAGAGAATGTACCTGCAAATGTATAATTTACCTGACCATCCGTATATGGACTTTAAAAAATAATTAACACAATAAGCTATTTGCTAGATAATAAACCTGGAGATACTTCCAGACTCCTGGGTTCATTTGGCTCACCCCCTCAAATGCAATTTCTGAGATCCCCAAAGTGATATGAGTTGAGAACTGAGCAAAACATTTAGTCTGGAGGTGCCCAGATGTGGTAGACAGACTATGGAAATGACCCCTAAGGAGCCATGACTTGGTATAATCTTCCACCTTGAGTGTGCATGGGACCCGTGAATACAGTGAGGTATCTCTTCCATAATGTTAACCATGTTAGTTATATGGCAAAGCAGAAGAGATTTTGCAGATATAATTAAGATCCATAATAAGTAGACTGAGTTAATCAAAAGGGAGGGTGTCTTGGATGGGTCTGACCTAATCAGGTAAGTCCTTTAAAAGAGGAACTGGAGCTCTTTTTGAATTGAGAAAGATTCTTTTGCTGGTCTTGAAAAATGAACCGACATGTGAGAGGAGGTCACCTGGCAAGGACTTGAGGGTGGCCTTTCGCAGTTGAGGGTGATCACTGGCTCACAGTTAGAAAGAAAATGGGAACATCATTTATACAACTGCAAGGAACTGAATTCTACCAAAACCACAGGATCTTAGAAAAAGACTCAGAGTTCCAGAAAGGACTGTAACACGACTGATACCTTGATGACAGCCTTGTGAGACCTAGAGCAGAGGCTTCAGCTAAGCCATACCTGGACTCTTCACTCACAGAAACTGAGAAGTAGAAAATACATTTTGTTCTAAGCTACTGAATAGTAATTTGTTGTACAGCAATAGAAAACAAATATACCAGAGTCAATCAGCTAACCAGGCAGTGAACATTTATTGAATGGTTACTTTGTATAGTAGCTATCCCTATTTAGAAAGCTCTGGAAAAGAGTAATTTAATACAACCTCAGTTTTATTCATAAGGGGGGTAAAGATCCCTTTAAAGTCTTGCAATGCTAAGGGCTGTGAATGGCAATTGGCTGGCTCTTTCCTTGGGTATAACAATTAATGGTATACTAGGACATTTTAGTTGCTTCTGGAAATGTTATATAGATTCCTGATTTTCTCTTAATAAAATACTTTAAAGACAATACATGATAATAAGAGTTGTAATAGTTAACAAGTATAGAGGCCTTACAAATTCCAGGGCACTAGGCCATGTATGTTATCATGAATAGGTCATTTCATTCTCATAATAACAATATAAGATCAGTACTATTATTTGCCACATGTTACACAAGTTGGATATTAAGATATGAAGTACATTAAGTTGCCCAAATTCACACAAAAGAATATGAAATTCCAGCTCAGTTTTGTGATTTTAAAGCTGGGGTTTGGACCACGTCTGTGGCTCTTGAAGCTGGAGTCTCCTTGCCATTTTACTGACTGCATCTACTTAATTCAAAAATATTACAAAATATATGCAAATTATGAGTGATTGTAATAGCACCTCTATCTTCTTTATGTAAAGTGCATGCCTGCTATAATTTTGGTTGTTATATCTATAATGCAAAAAAGTATGTGTATCATTTAAAATATTAAATTTCATGGTAATTAGTTTGCATTAGTTTCCTTTCAAAATATTGCTATTTCTGATAACATAAAAAAGAAAAGAGACTTCAAAAGGAAAACAAATATACCATGGATTAATATAAGTGATACAACACGTGTTAATGACTATTGTATCTATATTCTATAGTTTTATAGGGAAAATAAGATCTAGGACCATAGTTCTCAAGCTTCATAGAGTATGAATTCTTTTTGAGATCAATGAAACATATAGACTCTTCTGTCAGAAAAATAGACATATACATAAAGTTTCTGCACACAATTTCAGGAGGACCTTGTCAACTATTCATTGTTTCAGGCTTAGAATTACTGGTCCAAGAGAAATGGTATTCACTGCAAATTGTCAAAATCATAGCTATAAATTTTATCTTAATTTATCCATTGATCATTGCTCAGTGAGTTTAAACTATGAACTTAAAAACATCCTAGTGTTTCCATATGTGTTAGTTCGTTCTCACATTGCTATATAAAACTGCCTGAGACTGGGTAATTTATAAAGAGAAAAGGTTTAATCGACCCACAGTTTCGCAGGGATGGGGAGGCAACAGGAAACTTACAATTATGGTGGAAGGGGAAGCAAACATGTCCTTCTTCACGTGGCATCAGGAAGGGGAAGTGCTGAGCAAAGGAAGAAAAGTCCCCTATAAAACCATCAGATCTCGTGAGAACTCACTCACTATCATGAGAACACCATGAGGGTAACTGCCCCTAGGATTCAATTACCTCCCATCAGATCCCTTTCACAACATATGGGGATTATGGGAACTACAATTCAAGATGAGATTTGGGTAGAGACACAGTCAGAGCATATCACCATATATGAAAAAAATGATATGTTACCTACACATTTCACAGCATCTTGGTCATTGTAATATTCATTCCACAAGCATGTTTATTTTCCATACAATGCCCTCTCTCATGTTGTAGGATGCAAAGATGAAGAAGGCACTGTACAATACTTGCCTTTAAAGAGATCTCATACTAGTGCGAGATGAAAAACAAAACACAAACACTTGGAAATAGTAGAATAAATGGCATTAGTGAAGTTTACAGAAGATGATATTAGACCAAAGCAAATGGACTGCTCAGTTCTCCCCAGGTAACAGAGTCTGTCCCAGGAGAATTCTGTTGGCACTTGAGCTGAGCTCTGATGATGAGTAGGAATTTCCTAAGGGATACAGAGCGGGGGGAAATAACAGCTGAAGAGCAGAGGAGAACGTGGGAGTAACAGAAGATCCATATGAAGCAGCAAGAGATGAGCCTGGAAGCCGGCAAGGCCATAAAACCAATAGAGTTTTATGTCCTACTAAGAATGTTAAACTCCAATATACTCAACAGGAACTATTGAATGAATGTGATCAGATTTATTATTTTATTTATTTATTTATTTATTTATTTTGAGATGGAGTCTTGCTCTGTTGCCCAGGCTGGAGTGCAGTGGCATGATCTTGGCCCACTGCATCCTCCACCTCCTGAGTTGAAGTGATTCTCCTGCCTCAGCCTCCCAAGTAGCTGGGATTGCAGGCACCTGCCACCACACCCAGCTAATTTTTGTATTTTTAGTAGAGACGGGGTTTCACCATGTTGACCAGGGTGCTCTTGAACTCCCGACCTCAGGTGTTCTGCTCACTTCGGCTTCCCAAAGTGCTGAGATTACAGGTGTGAGCCACCACGCTGGGCCCAGATTTACTCTTTAAAAAATATTCTGAATAACAATGTAAAAGATGATTGGAAGGAAAAAAGGAAGACTGTAGTAAGGAGACAAATTAAAAGGCTCTCCCAATAGTCTAGGCAAAAAACCAAAACAACAAAAAAAGATGGTCTAACTCAAGACAGTGGCAATAATGATGAAGAGAAGATGATACATGTATTGGAGAATATTTAAGAAGTAAAATTGGTGGGATTTGGTGTTTGTATATTGTTTGGAAAGTGTGAAGTTGAGGTAAGTTTTTGGCCTTGCTGAGTTCAATTGAGTATCACCAACGCAGTGGGAGAAACTGGATTGTAATCAGGGGATGGCTGGAGGAAGAAAAGGGATATAACTTTTAGCTGATAATATGTTTTATTTCAGTTGTGGCAAGGTCTAGTAGACAGTTTGATTTATAGGACCTGTGGCATTGGAGAAGAGTCTGATCTGAAGACCAAAATTTAGGACTTGAGGATTTAGCTGATCCAATGGGCATGGATTAAATCATTCTGAGAGAGCATACAGAATGAGAGAAAGGGCATGAGCAACCAACCCTGGAGAAAACCAACATTTAAAGGGAAGACAGCATAAAAGCAGCTGAATATGTAAACCAGAAGCAGCCGTCAGAAACATGGTGGAGTTGTAAGTTCAAGTTGAACAAGAGAAAATTTCAAAATTGAAGAAAAGGTAAACTTTAGCATATGCTGCAGAGAGTTTGATTAAGCTAAGGACTAAAGGGTGTCCACTGATTTGTGTGTTATGGCATTTTTATATTTACTTCCAGCCACCACTCTCCTTTGCAGCATTGTTTGGAGAAACTTAACTTTTCCCATTCCTTGTTTATGTGCATCGGGTAAAGTTGACTCTACCCCAGGATCCACGGGTAAGGCACATGGCTTAACCTGATTAAACACCATGTACGAGCTTCCTGATAATAGTGTAAGGATTGGTTCAGGGAAGGCACATAACACAAGTTAGGCTAATCAAGGCCAATAAGATAATATTTCTTAAACTATAAGAAAATTTCTGTTTCTGGTGACGTGCAGAGTACATGTGGGAACTGGAGCTGATTGTGCCATATCGTGACCATGTTTACCCTGGTAATGAAGCCAATGCTGAAGAATCTTATTTGGGAAATGGAAGGAAGACACACTCTAGCTTGAAGCTAAGCTCAGCCGTACCGTTTAGTTACAGGATCTGATATATTCCTTTTGAACCCTTGAAGGAAGGCAGGGGTGTTGGTTCTCTTAGAATAAGTATACCTTGCCTGAGTGCGGTGGCTCATGCTGGTAATTACAGCACTTTGGGAGGCCAAGGCGGTTGGAAAACTTGAGGTCAGGAGTTCAAGACCAGCCTGGCTAACATGGTGAAACTCTGTCTCTACTAAAATTACAAAAATTAACCAGGCATGGCACACACCTGGAGTCCCAGCTACTTAGGAGGCTAAGGCAGGAGAATCGCCTGAACCTGGGGTGGGGAGGTGGCAGTGAGTCGAGATTGTGCCACTGCACTCCAGCCTGGGCGACAGAGTGAGACTCTATCAAAAAAAAAAAAAAAAAAAAAAAAGCATGCCTTTAATGTGCTGATTTTAGACTTCTCTGAGGACAATAAATTTATTTTTTTCATTCATTCAAGCAACATACGCTAAGAATCTACCATGTGCCCTGCACATTTCCAGACAGTAAGGATAGAGACCATAGCAGTAAGTGAGACAATGCCTTTATTTCCCTGGGACATACATTTTAATGGGAGATACAGAAATCAATGTAAGTAAAGACACATGAACACGTACAAAACATAATTCAGAGTATAATAAATTCCATAAAGAAAATAAGGAAGAATAAAAAAATTAACATGATTGTATGTATAGTCAAGGAAGAAAAGACGGGGAGGTCAGGAGAGAGAGAATTGCTTCACATCCTGTCAGTGAAAGGGAACATTTTATCAGAAAACTAAAGGGTTTAAATTCACTTCCCTTGATCTTGAGGAAAGGGACCTTCCCTTACCTCTTTCCTAACCCATACTCCCAGGAAAATTTGAAGGAACATCAGTGTTTCTCTTTTAGAACCTCAGACCCAACTTTAAAAAAATATTTAACTGTGCAATATGAATTGCCCCTGAAGAAGCATCTAAAGGACTTGGTTGAGGCCGTTCTGAGTTTTATGACCTTACATGATGAATACAATATTAATCTTAAAATACATCACCTGAATTGGACAGACTTTGGAATGAATACTCTATGAAAGGTGAATACTCAATCCCAGTCTTTGGTTTTTGTTTTTGAACGTGTTTCTTTAAAGCTGGGTTAAAGAGGATGGCCTGCCATAGGCTCACGAGAAAAGGAAAAAGGCAAGGAAAAAGACCCTAATCTGTGTCTCTTTCATCTGTCTTTAAAATTAAAGTGAGGTTCAGTGGATACCTTGAGAAAAGATATTAAATTGCAGATTGTACAGTTTTGTTGTGCCTGCAATTTCCCAATGTTGCTAGTGAGAAGCTGAGAAGGCCCTCAAAAGCCTTTGTACTTGGCACCTGCAGAAATCTAATTTCTGATGAATAGGGCCCTAATTGGGTCAATTATTCTATTATACTACACAAGAGTACTTCAAACTGCTGCTTCAGTAAGGAGAGGCGCTTCAGTCTCCCCATTGGTGTTCTCCAATTTGAACAGAACTCAGAATCCTGAATTTAACTTTTCCTTTCCCAGCGTCAATTTTGTCCTTCCAATCTCAGTTTATCATATACAAGTCAACTGCTGAGTTTAAGTGAAATTACTTTTTCACTCCTGAAACCATAGGTTAGATAACAAAGGAGATTGTTTTCACTCCTATAAAAATTGTTTCTCACACATTTACAGACATATGAGGCAACTACTTTAGATGATTGTATTCAAAGGGGGAATAGTCTTTTGATTAATTATTTATCTTTGGGGAGGAAAGAACAAAGAGAAGGGAAGTGGAGTTTGCATTTTATTTGTAGGTTGTATTATACTTTTGCACGTATGTAAGGCTCTAATTCTAATTTTATTTCCATATTATTTCAAAGGATTGCACCAGTTTCTTTTTCACAATCACCTATAACTTATGAGTTAGCCAGGAAAATAGAATTTTGAAGCTGACACATGATGACACTTATAGACTCATTATTTTAATGAGATGTATTTCTTAGACATTTCCTTTATGCTAAGTGTTCTAATTTGTGACTTAAAACCGAAACTTTTACAAATTAGTATGAATACTTTCATTCACGAGTTTGTTTTTGGGAAGATGGAATTATGCCATTAGTGGCTGTTTGTTAAAACTACTGCATTACTGTGCAATAACTTGTACCCTATGAAGAAGCTTTTTCTGGGGCCTGGGTGGAGTAGAGGAGATGTCATCTTAGCTTTTGCAAGAGGCCAAAGAGACTCACATCACTTTTAAAAAATTAAATTCAATAATGTATTTAATGAGATATTTTATAATAGACTCCAAGTTTAGTGTTTGGCATATATTAAAAACTCAAAACATTAATTTTCTTCTTTTTCTTAAGCTATGCTAAGGATTAGTTCCTGATGTTGGCATAACAGAAAATTGAACAGTGAAAAGATAAGCAAGGCATAGTCTTTATTTTTTTGTAGTTTGTGGTCTAAAAAGAGATTAAAAATTGCATGATTAATTGTAATATAAAGTATTCTATGGCGCATATCATCTGGGGTACAAACAAAGTGCCAGGAGGGCTTTAAAAAGTCCCATGAAAGTGGATATGTAAGTACACATATTTGTGTATGAATGTGTTTGTTTCCATTTTGTATCATCTTGGCATATTCATTTTGCAAATGTTGAGCAGATGCATGTCTGGACTTACAGATATCGATCCTGTATCTTTTCTAAGGTATGCGTTGATAATTCCCATACACTACACTGGAATGAATTTGTCTCTGCTTGCTCTGAAAATCATGAATCTAGCAAGGAACATAGTTTGATTGATTTTATGGTGAGTTAGAGGGAATAAAAATTAGTATGCAACATTTTATCGCTTCTTTCAAGTGGGGCTTGGAAGAAGTTATATGACTAGTGCTTTATGGGAATTCTTGATGTGTTAGCTTCCCTACAGAGACAGTCAATTGTGATTAACTCTTCTTCCTCAAAAAATTTTGAAAGTTTAAGATTTTTAAGTTTTTTTCATTAAATTTAATTAAGTATAATAATACCTTTTGATATTCTCCCATAAACATATTGGCACTCCTCTTTTAGGTAAAACAATATTTTAACTGTATTTTGCATTTTCTCCATTATCATATGTGATTCTTTGCTGTCTATTATTATTTAGTTTTGCAACGCCTTTAAACGATTACCTTACCAGAGAAATCTCATTACCTAATTGGTCATGCATTTAAACAAGTATTAAAATATTTGTCACATCTGCCATTGAAATAAATAAATTCTAGAGTGATTTATGACAACTATGCGTTACATATTTGAGGCATTCTTCTTAAGAGTTCTCAGTGAATTCGTATGAATCTCTGAAAGAGATATCAACATCCCCATTTTAAAGATGAAACTGAGGCCCAGAGAGATTAAGTTACTTGTTCAAATTCATGCAATTAATAAGTGAGCATGTTCATTTTGTCTGAGTCCAAAGCCCTTGTCCTTTTTGACATTCAACTCAGCTTCAGTCCCTAAGTTACTGCCTTTTATTATATCTACTTGTGGAATCATACCGTTTTAGAAAGTCTGACATGCTTTACTGAAGAGTTCCCTTTGAATATTCATTCCCACAAACTTAGAAAGAGTGACCTAAAGATTAACTTTTTTTCCCCTCATTTTTGAAGCTCAAACTTCAATGTAATGTTGTTCCCAAAATGAGTGGAACAGATATGGCCTTGATCATTAAATATGTTTCTTTGAAGATATAAAGTAAGAGGAGGCATGCCTCCTTCAGGCAAAGAAGCTTCTCCTACCATTATGAATATAGCTGAGCAGATTGGGTCAAACATGCTATTGGCTTGAAATGCTCATTTCTAGACTTCAAATGCTACCCCCACTCAATCACCTCTCCTGCATTCAGTCAGTAAGTCAGAGTCAGTCAGTAATTGTGTGAGAGAAGAAACAGTCTTTGCCTTCAGGGAGCTCTTAATCTCTTAGGTGAGGCCAGGCATGCACACAAATACTTATAAGGCAGAATGTGAAAGAAAACTCAAGAGGCAAAATAAGACTGATGGGAAATATGAGAAGCAGAAGAAAGTATCATAAAACAGAATGTCCTTTAATATTTTTTGACTATAAATGCCATGAGGGCTGGGACCGTGTCTGCTGATTAATGATTATGCCCTGACATACAGTTCAATGCCTGGCACATAGCATATTCACTATGTAAAATTAATTGAATGCATAGATAACCCATTATGCATGCCATAATGTCCAGGAAAGTGAGGAGGCCCAATCCCTTAGCCGATTATTCATGCACACTGAGTCCAGAGTAAGGTGCAAAATATATCCTTTCTTCCCTTATCAAGTCCCCAGTAGTCACGTAAAGTTCATCTTGGATAAATATCCACAAGTTCTCTTCACACTCTTTGATCTCTTCCTCTTGTTCCTTAAGATTTCCTTGATATTTTCTGCCCTCTCTCCACTGCCCTCCTTTATCATGGAGGGACAGGGTCTTATATTTCCTAAGGAAGTTTTCTATCTTTTAAATTTTTCACCATGAAACATCCTAAAAGGTAAATAAAATGCTTTCTTGCCTATTACTGACTGCCTTTCAAAGCATTACTCAGATGTGCTATTACAGGAATAAAGTCTTTTTCATTATTTTCTATTGTGTTAGTAAGATCTCCCCCTGGGATGGAAGAGGGGAGAAAAAGGCCTTGAGGGCCTTTCTGTGGCAAGGGGGTGAAGGTGGGGCAAGATGGCCTTTCCTAATCTACCAGCATGAATGAACAGTGGTAGAGAATCTCTTGACACAGTGGAAGGGAAGGGATTCTTGGTAGAGAGAATGGGATATGCAGAGAAAGGGATTTGTAGCACTTGGTTCGGTTTAGTGAATGGCACACTCATTCTGCTGGAGTCTACATATAGTAGTAATGTACTCAAGTTGCCAGTAAGGAGAGCATCCACTTTTTCATCTTCAGAGCTTTTAACCTTTGATGTCCTGCCCCAAATCCTCTCCATCAGCTCTGAGTTCACCTGCAGCTGCAGCAGACCATTATGAAGGAGTTGACAGCTTTCACTAACTAGCACCCTCTGCCTGAAGGCCTTCTCAGGGGCCACAGGAATTTCTTCAACCCAAATTCTGGCAAAAAGAAAGGTGGGAAAGGTTGTATTTAATGCTTCTGAGAACAACCTTCAGCCAACATAAGACAGAACTTGGTGGCTAAACGCCTCATCTTTCACCTTTGTGTAACAATTCTAAAGGGTGGTTTACGTGATTTCTTCAAGTGTCTCAAGAGTGTTGAACCCCCTTTAGTATGGTCATAAACACATGTTTTATTGTCTTTGTGTTTTCTGTAGCCAAATTCTTCTGCAGGGCCTGCTTTGGGAGGAGATTAAACTAAAACACCATCTTAAAATGTATTATTCACCTGGCCTTTATTTTCCTTAAGAAAAGAAAGAGTTTTATGTATATATGTAATTTTATGTCACACTTTGGGATCTTTTCCTCTTCTTCCCTAAGACCCCGTGGATCTTTTCTGCCCTCTCTCCACTGCCCTCCTCTATAATGGAGGGACATAGGCATCAGATATATATCTGTATTTGAATCAGGCACCTTTTTGTTCTTTTTTTCCCCAATTTCTTTTCTTCTATCTCCAGTCATTGTTACCATTATGATACCCTTGCTTTGCTAAGTCTTCAATTTTTCTCTTTGCTGGTTTCTTATCGGTTTACTCAAGCCACTTCTAGGCAAGAAAAGCAGAAACACACGCACGCACACACACACACACACACACACACACACACACACACACACACACACACACTAAAGCCTACTTCCTTTGATTCTGACCACACCAAAGGCTTCACTTTTATCTTTTCCATGTCCTTCTATTGTCTTCAAGGAACAATCTACGTATTTGTCTTAACTTTCCAGACACCATTTTACTTCTTGATTTGCAATAATCTAATAATCCCTACAACTGATTGAGCATATTTTTTGAAAAGTTACCAACAACTGCCAAACTGGAAAATCTAATGATTTCCTCTCAAATCTCATCTCATGTAGTTTCTTAGTGTCATGTGGTATTATCAAACATCCTTTTTTTCCTGAATGGTTTTCTCTTACTTATATTACACCCATTAATCTTTCCTGGTGTTTTCCTTCTTCTTGGCACTTCCAATAATCTCTGCTTAGTGATTCCAGTCCCTTCAATGTCTTTATCCTGATATTGATTTACATGTCTTTCACTCCTGAAAATTAGATTCCTTAAATGAATTGGCATGAAATTAAATTTTTTATCTTCTTTCCAAACCAAAACATTACTCATCCTCGAGGTTTTCCTGTAGTAGTCGATAGGATTACTGACTCTGCTCATTAAACTAGCAGCTTTCAGAATCTTTCTATATCCATTCTGCTTACTCACCACATCCTGATGGCCACCAATTCTCATCATTCTACTTGTGGAATTGCTTGAGTCCTACTCTACTATCACATTTCTGCTCTAACTTCTACTACTTCTTTGGCCTAACCTCCTAATAGATTTTCCTGATTCTAGTCTCTCCTCTCCAATCATTTTGTTTAGTATGCTAGAGATTACTAATGCTAGTAAAGCTAACACATGAGTATGATAATCTTGTAGTTAATTTGTCAGGGATACTATAACTTCACAACTCTATCCCCAACTTTGTTGGTATTTTTCTCTCTTTCTTTAAGATGAACTTTGAGTCATACATGCTGTATTAGTTCATTCTCAGGCTACTAATAAAGACATACCCAAGGCTGGGTAATTTATAAAGAAAAGAGGTTTAATTGATTTGCAGTTCCACATGGCTGGGGAAGCCTCAAGAAACTTACAATTCTGGTGGAAGGGGAAGCAAACAAGTCCTTCTTCGTATGGTGACAGCAAGGAGAAGTGCAGAGCGAAGTGGGGGAAAAGCCCCTTATACAACCATCAGATCTCGAGAACTCACTTACTATCAGGAGAACAGCATGGAGGTACTCACCCCCATGATTCAATTACCTGTCACCTGGTCCCTTCCATGAATCATGGGGATTATAGGAACTACAATTTAAGATGAGATTTGGATGGGCACACAGCCAAACCATATCAGATACTGTATTTGAAATCACCTAGTTCTTTCATTGCAGACAATTATCAAATGCTTTTGACTTTAAAATATTTACTAGTAGAAAAAGGTGCTTTTAAAATTTTTATTTCCTAATGTTAGAGGTGGTTTTCTAATTTATTCATTTTTAGATTATTCTGCCTGATACTGTAATAGGTAGAAAGGGATGGTCTTTTAGGATATCTGTTCGTTTTTTAGAGTATGAAATTTAGGTTGAGTTGCTAACTGACTTCCTGCTTTTAACCTTCCGTAGTAACCCTAACCTCCTTGGCAAGAGTAAAGGCAAAGAGGACCATCTAAATAGCACAATACTTCAATGGGTTTGAGCCCAGGCCTCAGCCTTTTCCTGATGCATGGTTTACTCTAAGCAGAGACATAGACTAGCAAGGGGAACCAGAGAGGGAACTGGATCCACAGCTTTTTGATTTGTCACCACACTGTTTGGGTCAGCAGGGAAAACCATACACTGTTCCACCTCAGATGTTCGAAACATACCTCCTTGAATTTACAAATATACACAAAATCTAAAGACCCTTTTTAAAATTTTCTCTATTGTCTTCATTTGAGTTCCTCTTTTTTTTAGGTGGCCTTGTAGTGCCAACTATTTGAGACCATTTTAAGCCTTTGCTTATAAATCTTTTGATTATCATATTATGGCAAATATTTTGAAGTCTTATAATATCACTTTAGTATCCACAGTCTTTCCTGACCCCAACTTAATGTGTGCAGAACATTGTATGTATTCATGTAAATAATATCCTACTTTTTATTCTATCATGTGGATGTTAGTAACTGTAAAATTAATCTACATTTTTTTCACCAGTGGTAATTTATTCTTCTTTTTCAGTATTAATTTGTTTTTTCCTCAGATTATTGTCTTCTATTACTAAACCACAATTTCAACCAGTAAATTTTTCTTTATTTTTATTACCAGTCTAATTCATCATTATTCAACACTTTCTAATAATTTACTGACTATACTACCTACAAATGGCTATATAGTTTATTACAATTCCATATATTATTATAAGGTATATATACCAAAGCATTTTTTATAATTAAATGACTTATAGATCTAAAACCAAACTTTAATAATGTAATTATTTTGTTAATAATGAAACAATTATTTTAGAATTAAAAGACTTTGCAAGGACTTAGAACAAAAAAGTTGTAAATGGAACATATAAATATTAATGCTATGTTGCTCCTAGTATCTTAAATCTGGACTTTTTAATATTAGGTTAGAAAGATAACTGAAGAATTTACAAAAAGAAAAAGATTAACCCAGCAAAGACCAAGAAGGCCAAGATAAATGGAGAAGCAAGACATGTTTAATCTAGGAAAGTAATGTTTTTCAAAAAGGATTTATTTAATTTCTAACATCCTATTACCCCTATCACAGTTTGGTCAGAGATGGAATTTATTCTGTGGTGGTGGAATAAGAATCAGGTTTAGAGGAAGTTACTTTTCTGTCAAATGGCTTATAGTCACCCAGGTTATACATACAATAACACCATATGCTCAAATGTGAAAATTTTATCAAGCTATGTATTAGGTGATCTTTGTATAAATTCAATTATTTGGGTTCACAGGGATACTCCTAAAACAAGCAAGTATAAAAGCTTATTGAGGTACATTAAAGTTAATAAAACCTAGAGTTTCTCAGCCTCATATATTGTATAAATTTTTTAAAATATCTCTAGAAATCATGTTTTCCAATGAGACATTTTAAGAAGTCCAAATAAAATATGTTACAACTATTCATTAATTCATAAGAACTGTAAGCATGTTTATATATAAACTATTGTTTAGCTGTAATTACATGGTTTCTAAAATTTTATACTATCTTACTTTCCTTACTCCACTGCATTACTTAGCAGTATGCTGAAACTTAAATTTTGGGGGAGAAATCAAAGCCAGTTTCTTGCAGAGAAAATGCTATATTTGGGTTCTGGAAGCAAATGGATATTTTTGATCTCTAAGTTTCCCCTGCAGGTGATTACAGTTCAAAGCATGATCTAAGCCTCTGGAAATTATATTAAAATGAGGATTCTCATTTTCACTGGTAAAGCGAATACTTTGCATAACATATACTGCCCCAGGTACAAATACTATTTCTGTAAACAGAAAGTGTTGGTACTTTTGCCGTCTAAACCATGGTTCTTCAAAACAGGAATTTTCAAATGAACAAAAAAGTTTGGTTTTACATAAGGACAGTTTCTTAAATGTACAAATAAATGCTACCAAGATGCATGTTAAAAAACTTCTTCAAATTGTTAGACCAAATCTAGACTCCCAAAGGAGGTGAGACTTGCCACATAATCTTACCTAATGCTGAATCATATTGGCTTTTGACAAAGTACAACTAATTGGGAATTGCTTCACTGGTATATCTACTTTTATATCAGTTATAGACTTCTTTGTGTTTATATTACATTCAATAATGTTCAATCTACTTTCACAAGCTTTATCTGCTTCAGGTTTCTCATTCGATCTGCTTTTTTTCCCACCATGTCAAAACTAGTTTAGAATAAAAATCATTAAAATGTACTTTGTTGCCTTAATTGATCCTGATACATGGTCAACTCAATGTGCAGGTAGATCAAATAGTCTCTTCAGTGTTGTGCTTTGTAGATATATTTGGTTTCTAAAATCTCTCTGGCCTGCTTCATCCCCAGAATGAATGAAATAAATAATTAATTTTTCTCTCTCTCTTTCTTTTTCTTGTCCATGGATTTAATCTTCAGATATTTATTGAGGTCTAATTTAGCACAATTCACTGCAATTCCAGTCAGAGTCTAAACCTTAGTACTTGACCCTATGCACTAAGTTCATTTTTTTCTCTGATGCTCTGATTGGAAGCATAAGTAACAAACACAGTCATCTACATTTAGGAGACATTGCTTAAGCAAAACGATATTTATTACACTAGAAATACTGTTCCTGTCAGAAGAAATGAGTTCCATTTTTTTTTTTTTACAGATTGTCAGTTTTCCAATTAAAGTCCCAGTTTTGTGATGTTTGCTATATGATTATCAAATAGGGTGACAGCTAATAATCAGAAAGAGACAAAAATGAATAGTAAACTGAGGTATCCTTAACCTCCCAGCAAGGATGTGATATTATTTCTTTGATTAGGTCAACTTTCTAGTTTACACAGAGTTGAAAGACTGTTTCCAAAATTATGCAAGCTAATTATTCATTAGATGGTCCAAATATGTGCTACAATGGCTCTTCCACTTGCTATTAAGCAAAGAAGGGAGGATGAATTTCTCTATTATTTGGGCTTCAGTGAGTAGCGTAAGGCTTGGATGGACTGATGCCATTTGGAGCACTGCTTGGTAAAACAAGTGAACTGTTTGCTGGGTGACAAAAATATAACACAAACAGAAATTAAATTGCATCTGCCTTTAAATATTCAGAGATAAGTGCAGATGAAACAGCCTAAAAGAGAGGATAAAATATAAGTAAAATGTTATGGAAAGTAGGAAGGAGGACATTGCTTTGGTTGATGATATTAGTAAAGCTTTATGAGCTATGTAACATTTAAGCTTTGTAGCATGGAGAATAATTGAATGTATGAATATCGGAGGGGGAAGGCATTAAGCCATGACATATAGAAGGAATAGTTTGAACAGAGATATGGGAGTAGAAAAAAGGACTAAAAAGGGGAGTAGCAAGTTGCTAAATTTTCCTGGAGTATAAGTTGTATATGGGGGTCGTAAAAAAAATGCACATTATCCTGCACATAGGTTAGTGATAAATTTTTTAGGTAGGATTCAGTTGCAGAAAGCAAATTCTACTCTAGCTAGCTCAAACAGAAAGGGGATTAAAGAGATGATTAAATATTTTATAGCATAATTGGGAAAGCCCAGGGAAGGTGTTCTCGGCTCTGATTCCAGAGTTATTTCACAGCCCCAGAATCTCATTACAAAATGGGCTTAGCAAGAAAACAACTGCCACAGTAGTCATTACAGGAAGCCACCTTGCTCACTCTAACATAATTAAGAAAGAGACTCAGGTAAAATGACCTGTCACTGCAGCTGAGTATCCACAAATGGGAATTGACTTTACCGTAGGGATTCTCCTACAGTTGCAGCATGCTACTGTCACATTATTTACTGAAGAACCACATGCCTACCATCTGATGTTCTCACTTCCTTCCAAATACTAAAAGGGCATCCCTTTCTTGAAGCTAACTAATATGCAGAGACAGCTGCAAGAAAATTTGAGGCATGTACTCTTTCTTTTCCAGTCCCTGACAAAAAGCTGCATGAAAAGTAGTGAGAGAAGCATTGTGTTAATCAATATGCATATATCTTAAAGAGAGTTTAAGTGGCAAGGCTAAATATACTGGACTTTGCTTGGTGCCCACTGGAAAACCATCAGAGTTTTTAAGTAAAAGAGGACCACATTAAAGACTGGGCTTTGGGAATACTAATCTGGTAGATAAAAAATAATGTTTAATAATTTATTTCATGTCTCTGACTAATATAAGTCATATAGTTTTCAGATGTCAAATGAATATGTGACATCTTTGACATTTAAAAATATCCTAGAAAAAATATCCTTCATGAAGAACCAGTTAGAGATTTTGATTTTCTTGTCACTGCATTTAAGAAATAATTGAGTATGGGCAGACAAAGAGATGGACAAGTAAGAGGAAAGTAAAAAATAAAAGTGAAAAAAAATCAACTGAGGAAAGAAATGTTGGAAACATTAATATTTAGGGGTTAGAATAAGCTATAGGAAATACAAAAGAAGAACTAAGAGGTAGGAAAATCCATCAGCACAGGCATTTAGGAAAAATGAGGAAATGGAGGGAGGGAGGTAGAGAAAGAGAAATAGCTGAATCAAGAATGGAATAATCAATAATGACACATACTATGTAGTTAAATTGAGTTTTGAAAATTGACAATTGGATAAAATGGAGCTGCTGTGTTTTAAAATATCAATTCCTGTACAGTGGTGAGGATATGAGTCTACTGGAAAGAATTAGAGATTGAGTGCCTTTGAGAAGTCAAGACAGGGAAATATAGTGAAGGCAGACATCTTGTAAATGAGAGAGAGAGAGAGAGAAATGGACACAGAAAGGGACAATCTCTGTCTTTTAATGGGAGTTTTAATCCACTAATGTTTATTATAATTATTGATATGATTGAATTTATATTTACCTTTTTATTATTTATTTTCATTTGTCCTTTTTGGTTTTTGTTTCTCTTTTTCTTATTAGTTTAAAATTAATTTTGGATTAAAATATTTTAGAAATATAGTTTATTTTGTTAGCTATTTAAATATATCTGTTTGAGCTATTGTATTATTTTTTACTTTGCCCCAGAGAAAATAATATACAGTCCTTACTCTTCATAGTCTATTTAGAATTGATATTTTACCAATTTACATAAAATGTAAGAGCTTAGCAACTACATATGTGCATCTACTTTTTTTTTTTTTTTTTTTTTTTGAGGTGAAGTCTCGCTCTATCACCCAGGTTGGAGTGCAATGGCATGATCTCAGGTCACTGCAACCTCTGCCTCCCAGATTCAAGCAGTTCTCCTGCCTCAGCCTCCCAAATAGCTAGGATTACAGGTGCCCACCACCACTCCCAGCTAATTTTTGTATTTCTAGTAGAGATGGGCTTCTACCTTTATTTCTATAATTTTTGTTATCATCATATACAATACATCTGCAAATTATAGAAGCCATGCAATATGTTAGAATATTTGCTTTAAACAGTCATATATTTTTTAATTAAGAGGAAAAACATAATACTTTATATGTGCCCATATATTTACAGTTTCAAAGCTCTTCATTCTTTCTGGTAGATGCAAATTACCATCTGGTATTATTTCCCCTCAGCTTGAAAAACTTTAGAATTTCCTGTAGTGAAGGACTGCTGGCAATGAATTCATCTAGTTGTCTTACCCTGAAAATGTCCTTATTTTCTCCTCATTTTAAATAATATTTTTGGTGAATATAGAATTCTTGGTTGAAATTTCACTTTATTTTTTTCCCAGCAATTTAAGGATGTCCCACTGTTTTCCAGTCCACAGTGTTTCTAATGAGAACTCAGCAATAATTAAGACTGTTGTTCTCAAAATATACTGAATGAGTTTTCTCTGGCTGCTTTTGAGATTTTTCAATTGCTCTTTAATTTTCACTAGTAAGTGTAATATGTCTAGGTTTAATTTTTTATGGATTTATTCTGTTTATATTTGGCTGAGTTTCTTGAATTTCTAAATTTAGATTCCTCTAGAAATTTGGGGAAAACATTTAGCTGCTATTCCTTATTTTTCTGCCTTCTTTCTTCTTTTCTTTCACAAATCTAATTACATGTATGTTATACTTTATAATATTTGTCCAAGGTGCTCGAGGCTCTGTATTTTAAAAATAAATTTTATATTTTAGAAAGTTGCAAGGCAGTACTCAGAGTTCCTGTATACTTCTCACCCAATTTGCTCCATGGCAAACATCTTTCATTACCATTATATATTTACTAAAACTAAGAGGACAACATTGGCACATTACTCTTAAAAAAACTGCAGGTTTTATTTGTATTTCACCAGTTGTTTTAAAATACTACTATCCGGCCGGGCGCGGTGGCTCACGCCTGTAATCCCAGCACTTTGGGAGGCTGAGGCGGACGGATCACGAGGTCAGGAGATCAAGACCATCCTGGCTAACACGGCGAAACCCCATCTCTACACTTAAAATACAAAAAATTAGCCGGGCACGGTTGCGGCCGCCTGTAGTCCCAGCTACTCGGGAGGCTGAGGCAGGAGAATGGCGTGAACCCGGGAAGAGGAGCTTGCAGTTAGCGGAGATCGCTCCACTGCACTCAAGCCTGGGCGACAGAGCGAGACTCCGTCTCAAAAAAAAAAAATAATAACGATAAATAAATAAAATAAAATACTAATATCCCCTTTCTCTTCCAGGATCCAATGCGGGTTACCACAATGCATTTAGTTGTCAAGTCTCCCAAGTCTTCTTTGGTCTGTGATAATTTCTTAGTGTTGCATGACGGTTGTGAGAATTACGATAAATACATATGGAATCTTCTTCAATTTGGTTTTGTCTGATACTTTTCTCATAATTGAACTGGGGTTATTGGCTTTTGAAATGAGAAGTACAGAGGTAAAGTGCCCTTCTCATCACATCAAATCAGGAGGTACATGATGTCCACGTGCTATCTGTAGTTACGTTAACTTCATCAATTATACAAGATTTTGTTTGCCAGATTTATCCGCAGCGAAGTTATGATTTTTTCCCTAATGTTTGGAAATAAATTAGTAAGCCCAACCCACCCTCAAGAGCAGAGAGATTAACCTTCAATTCCTAAAGGGGAAAGTAGCTACATATATTACTTGGAAATTTTCTATTAAATAAGTTTGTTTTTTTTTTTAAATTTTTTGAGGAAATTCCATACTGTTTTCCATAATGGCTGTGCTGATTTATGTTTGAACCAACAATATGCCAGGGTTTTCTTTTTTATATACTCCTTATCCTTCATCTTTTTGATAATAGCTATTCCAACAGGTGTAAGGTGATGTTTCATTGTGGTTCTGATTTGCATTTTCGTGGTGCTTGGTTGAGCGTTTTTTCACATACTTGTTGGCCATTTATATGTCTTTTGAGAAATATCTATTCAAATGGTCCTTTGCCCATTTTAAAATCAGGTTATTTGTTTTCATGCTATTGAATTATTTGAGTTCCTTGTATATTTTAGATATTATCCCCTTATCAGATGTATGGTTGCAAATATATTCTCACATTCCATAGGTTGTGTCTTCAGTCAGTTGATTGTTTCCTTTATTGGGCAGAAGCTTTCAGTTTGACGTAATCTCATTTGTCTATTTTTGCTTATGTTGCCTGTGCTTTTGGGGTCGTATCCAAAGAAGCATTGCCCAGACCAATGTTGTGGAGCTTTCCCCTCTGTTTTCTTCTACTAGGTTTATAATGTTGGGTCTGAAATTTAAGGTTTTAATACACTTTGAGTTTACTTTTGTATATGGTGTGAGATAAGGGTCTGATTTCATTCTTCTTTCTCATTTCTGTATTCAGTCAGTTATATATATATATCAGTATGAACTTATATATATTTATTGTATACTTTCGGTTATAATTTAATACCACATTATTTTGTTCCTCAAATTGTTCTAGAATTGACTACTGGGAGTACTTTCAGGTTGGTTTCTGTGTCACTTTGACATTTCCCAACCTGTTTTGTAAGCACTATATTACTTTTTGGTAGTATAAGGTGCTCTAGGGTCATCTTATATTTTCCCTGTTCTGGCCCTACAATCAGCCATTTCTCTGAAAATATCTGGTTTCTTTTATTGGAGAATAGTATTTGAGCACTGGCTGCTGTTCATATTTGTCATTTTTTTCCCCACTGTGTGATTCACATTGGGTCCTTTGTTTCCCTCTATCTTCATGTATTCTGACTCTTCTGACCTTTCTGTTTCACTGTTAAACCTGTTTACCTCTCAGAGATCTGGTCAGACTATATAGGGAATTTTCTCAATCCAGACTTCCAACTAGTTTACTTTTTATGTTTTTTTCTTCTCTACTGAGACTCTATGTTTGTTCATTCATTTAAAATATATTTTTCTTTTTTTAATTTCCTTGAACATAGTTATGGCTGCTTTAAAATTTTTGTTTACTACAACCAATATTTGCATCATCTTGAGGTTTGTCTCGTGTTGGAGGCTGAAGGACTGAGGGTCGTGATCAACTCAGTATACCACTGGAGGCTACATGAGTAAGCAGCAAGCTGTTTCTCATAAATGCAGAATGTTGGCAGACAGACAAACTGCCACCCAGAAGGGATGCTGAGGGCAGTCACCCCCCAAGCGCAGTGTTTCTTGTGATTAGATATATCTGAAGCCTGTTAGTAATAATATGAACCTATGATCAATTAAGCAGCTGACCAATCGTTACCTCCTCCTCCCTGCTCTTGCTACCCAATAAATATGAAGGGCTGTAGAAGGTCAGGAGCTGCCTTTGCTCACTAGAAGCAGGGAGCTCTCTTCTTCTTCCCCGGTTTCCCTTCCTTTAAAACAGTTTCTTTTGTCTTAAGTTTTCATTTCTACTTTCGTCCCTTTGTTCAGTCTTGTAATGATGGTCTCAAGTAGTAACCGTGGCAGTCAGCCACAGTCTCGGTTGACTTTCTTCTTTTGAGAAAGGATCATATTTTCCTGTAATTTTTAAATGTCAGCCTGCTTTAAATTGTGTCCTGGAAATTGTGAGTGACATATTGTAGATAATTTGGATTCTGTTGTGCTTCTTTAAGAATTAAGTTCCTTTTTGCATTGCCCCCACTTACCGACCCCTGATGTTTACACTATAATTTAGTTTGTTTACACTCAAATTACAAACTCTATATTTCTTAGTTTATGCAACTACTATGATCTGAGTGTTTGTATCTTCCTAAAATGCATGTGTTGAAATTCTAACTCTCAAGGTGATGCTCTTGGAAAGTGGGACTTTTGGAAGGTGATTAGGTCATAGAGCAAAATCCTCATGAATGCGATTAGTGCCTTTTTAAAAGAGACCCAGAGAGCTCTCTGGCCCCTTTCATCATGTGAAGTTACAATGAGAAGACAACTGTCTATCATAAAGAGGGCCCTGACTACATACTATATATAGCCCACACCTTGATCTTGGACTTGTCTGCCTCCAGGACGCTGAGAAATTTCTGTTGTTTATAAGACAGTGTAAGTCATTTTGTTATAGCAGCTTAAATGAACTAAGATAATAGCATCCTTAATTCTCATTTATTTTTCAGTCTTATATTGTAGCTTGGAGCCTACCTTACGCATGTAGTATGATTCAGGGAGCAGCCACGTGGGCAGAGTTTATGTGCAGAATTGGGACTCCACCTCAATGACTTGCTCCTTTCTTGAATTTTTCTTGTCTGGTTCTATAAAGCAGTAAGACCGTAGGTTTTCTATCAAAATCTTAGCTGCTTCACATGGTGCTGACAGGGTAAAATTCAGGCTAAAATTATTTAAAGTTAAAATTAAAAATTGACCCCCTGCTATTCTCTTATTCTAAGGCAGAATCCCCTCTTTTTAATCACTCTCTTGTGTCTTCAGGTAATTGTTTCTTTTCTATTTTGACCAGAATGTGTAGTTACTTTATGTGGTCTATTGGTCTAAGAGGACACTGGTAAAAACAGAAACATTAAGATGACACAATTTTAAAGAAAAAAGTACTTATTTTTGGAATATATTGGGAAATCATCAAATTTTACTTCCCAGACAAGGCATAATATAGTAAATTTACTAATTTGAGTTTAGAATTAACAGAAAATGAAACATACCAAGAAGAGTAAACCAGTGAAAATAGAAAGATATGCTAGAATTTTAAAATCCCTACTTCAATAAGAAAATTTGAGACTTCAAAGAATTATAATAAACCCATTTTCACTTTTTATGTTTCTCAATAATGTGGACCACTAATATATAGAATACATATCTGCATTATGGTAGAAATTTTAAACTATAAGGATAGTAGAACTACACATCTGGAAATATATCTGAAAAAAAACAATATCATTTTATTGCATGTTTTCTCTATTCTACTTCCTGGCTATGAAAGAAGAAAAATTTATAATTGTCTGTTCATTCTACCTATTTTTGTTATCTAAAAAAAAGTCTTGTTCATGAATAGCATTGCTTTAGAAAACTCAGAAGTTAAATATGTGGCTTTTTTTTTTTTTTTTTTTTTTGCCAGGTGTACTCAGTGTGGACATTGTCAGGACAGATTTTTTTTTGTTTTGTTTTGTTTTCCTTCCTTTTATAGCAGAATTTAGCTTTTATTAATAAAAGTGTATTCTTCTAAAATACTTGTTTTAATTTGGAATTCTCATTTAAGTGGAGAAAAGACCAACTCAACTCACCCTTTGCCAAGTATTCATGTTATAATTTTACCAAATTAATTTTTATAAGATGAAAAATGCTATAACTTTTTAAATGCTTACATGGAATTCAGTTTTTGTTAAAATTGAATTCAGGCAATATTGTTGCTTACATACTAAAATAAAAAATCAGATGATATTTGTTGCTTTCTTTTCCTGTCAAATTAATCAATGTCAGTTAATAATGGGAAATTCTCTTTATTTTGTAAAATGGAATGTTTTGTGCTTGCTCATTATTATGTATAATGCTTTTTGAAATATTATTAACATTTATCATTTGTATTGTGCTTTAGATTTTGCAAAATTAATTGTTATCATAATGTTATATCTCTTTTTACCAAAACAACCACATACAGACCTACATTACAGTGTTCTTTCTATTTTATATCATTGGAAGTGTGTGGCAGGGAGGCTGAGTAGATTGCACGCGTACACTTTTTGGAGGAGCATGTGAGAACAGCTTTTTATATTTTGATCTAAAAACTGATGTTAAATTTATTTCAGTTCTTAGTCTGTGCAGTTACAAATTCTATAATAATGAACATCAGAGAAAATTATAAAATAGCAGGCTTAGTAATGCATGGTTTTTAACTCCAAGAATTTTCTTTTGATTTTTCCTTAAGGATTCCTGCTTTCCAATACACATCCTGCCTAAAGTGGCTTTTCTGGTAATTGTTATTGTTTAATCAAAGAATTCTGTCATTTATTTGATTAAAGGAGACCTTCTAAATATGAAAGTAGAGTATGGTTGCATATTAATGCCTAAGCTTGCATTCCAGTTCCACCATTGATTGTGCAATCATTAGCAACTACCTCACTTTTCTCTTCTATTAAATGGAGCTAATATTAGTACTTACCAAATGGGTTTCTTAGGAAGATTAAATAATTAAGTGAAATATTCTGTGTAGAACTCTCAGACTGGCATCTCCCACACAGCAGTAGTATTATGCACTGATTCTATGTATTATGAATTTTCACGCTGATGCAACAACACGACATTACATAACCGTTAGATATGTTAGCATTTATGTAGAGTAAAAAATTCCCTTTTCCTTTGTTGAAAATATGAAATACTTCCATGTATGGTTTTTGCTATATGATTGTCTATTACGGTATGTGATCATCCCCCAGTGATAGAGAATTCCAACGCATCCCCCTAATAGAGAAATGAAATCTAAATGCAATGAGGGATATAGTATCCTTGTCTTTAAACTCATAAATAATTCCTATTTAAGATGAGAAGATTTATTTATAAGAGAAGAAAATAGTCCCTTCAGTGTAGATTTCTCTTTCTCCTCTCATGTCTTACAAGATCTCTGATATTTTGCACTAGCGATATGTTTCCAAACTGTGCTTTGCAAGACACCTAGTAATTTCTCTGTCCCTCTTAACACCAGGTAATTTTTAAAACTCTTCTCAGCAACATTGCTCCCAACTAGACACAACCCACTCTGCTTTCTCCATAAAATAGTGATAAATGAGTGGAGCAGTGACCTTTTATAATGAGAAATATCACAAGACTGCCTTTCTTACAGTATTTCAAGTGCATTTCCTCCTGAAAGATCATAAGAAACTACTTTTTATGTGCTTCTCACTGTAAAATTGGTCAGCTCTTGGGTTTTGTGCTGATTCTTTCATGTGTAAAAACAATTGGGATAGCATTCATCATATTCTCTTTAAATAATCAATGACTTTAGAAGCCTATTGATGTTTTTATTTAAGTGAACAGAATCATAAAAATCATATGGGAATATTTTCTTTATTATATTTCTAAATCTTAGTATTTTCTTATGTGTTTAGACTTCTGAGTTGTAAAATTCCATCTTAAATACCCTAAGGATTTAAGATAGTAAGAATAATATTATAAAAAATTGAGCCTTTGATAAAATGGGCTTCTGTTTCCACAAGTGTAAAAGCAGCATTCCTATTAAATGATAGTTTTATGTTCTTGATCAACCCAGGCAGAACTGAAGCATCTGGATTGAGTGAGGTTGTAAAAAGCTACCAGTCAATGTTTCATGGAAAAAGCCATGCTACTCCAGTCATTTTGGACCAATTGATGTAATTTTATTCTTTCAGGAAGGAAGTTATTCCTGAAATTTGCTTTAGTTATCCTTTGTAATATTGTGAATAAACTGTACTTAAGCCTCTGTGATAGACAATATGTACAAATTTAGAAAAAAACAGTAAATTCTTATCAGTGTTTCTGAATCTGGTAAGACACAATACTGCCACCATAATAATAGTAGGCAGTATGGGGTAAGTGCTTTTGATAAGAAGAAATGTACTGGAATTCAATGATGAAAGCTTTTTCTTCTGATTAGAGCTCTTGGAATTCAATGATGAAATCTTTTTCTTCTGATTAGAGAACACAAGATATAAGGCATGGATAAAGTAACTTTTCAGTTTGCAGTAAGACAAGGCAGAACTTTAATATGCTATTATGGGGAGCAATATTCAAGCTTGGGAACATTACAGGAACAAAGTAGGCATGTATGGAGAGGTGGTGAGTACACGTTCATAAAGTCACAATATGTGTATTGAGAAACAAGTTATTGGTGGGAGTAAGCATCCTAGAAGAATGCATGTGCCCCCTTAATCTCTTGGCATAATAGTGAAAAGGAGACTTATATTAAACATTGCTGGGTGTACCATGATTGTGCTCCAAAGAAGGGTCCTTGCCCCGTCTGTTCATACTTTTAGTACAAGCATGAGAACAACCTTATAAGTAGAAAAATAAATATTTAGATCTCAGCTATCAAAGAGTATGAGTTTAGATCCCAGCAATTTTTTTTAACATTATGAAAGTGATCTGTGCAAGCTTTGACGAGCTGGGGGACTGTGGAATGTTGCAGTCCCTCGTGCTGGTGGGAGAAGGTAAGTGGCATTTTGGAAATTGGCCTTTGAGTGCCATCTCTTATGCTGGAAGAAGACACAACTTCAATTCCTGTCAGTGCATTACTAACCACATCAGAGAAAGATCCTGGGGGCATTTGTTATATAAAATACATGTTTATAGGATAGCGACAGTCTAATTTGCATGAAGCATAGCATATGAGCAAGAAACTGACAGAAAACTAAGAGATAGTTTCAGGCTGGTTTGTAATTGGGAAAAAGGCTTTTTTATTTTGAAAGGGCGATCATGAGCCAGCAAAAAAGTTTTAAGCCCTAGAACATCGTAAGTGTTATGATCAAAGTGTTGTTTAGGAAATTAGTCTGGGAGTAATGTACAGGATGATATACATGAAGGAATGCCTGAAACCAGGATACCTACTTGGAAGCTACTCAAGGCTATCTATTAATAAGGGTTTGTACACACACAAAAAAAATTGACAGTGGAAACTGGGAAACAGATAAAATAAGGGAGGTTATAAATAATGAAATTATAGATGATTGATATGGGGGAGTAAAATATTCTTAGTTTTCAAGCTGGATTTATAAAATCCAATGGAAACACATTCTGAAGAAAGGCATTAGAGATAGACGAGATGCTTTGATTAGATGGATAATTTTATGAAGCTAATGGCTCACCTAGGAGACAATGCTCAGAAAACTGTTAAGTACATTGTACTAAACCTTAGAGAAAGATTGGAATTGAAGGTACAAATTAAAAGTCCCCTACCTACATACAATGACTTAGTCTAAAAAGTCTGCCTAATCCAATCTAGATTGACAAACCAAATAAATTAGCAATTGATGGACTAAGACTACCCTCAGTTTCTAATTGGAGAGTGGGGCAAAGTCTTTTTAAAAAAAATCTCCTTCATTGAAGGGCAAATAATTCTGGAGACTCCATCTAAATTATCCAGGTAGATACACTGACACTCTGGGAGAACTTGACAGAAAACATATGAGTGGACAGAAACTTTTAATGCACACTTTATTTGATGTGAATGCCTTGACAATGATTTCTAATATTGTGAAGCATTTTTTTTTTCTCTAGAGGCTACCACTTCTTCCTCTTTAGAGTAGGAGTGTACATTTGTTTAAGGTGACTATGTCATGTCTTTGCAATATAGCCTCCAACAACTTCACCTGGGTGATTATTGTGATGGAAATAAATGGAGTATGATTTCTGCAACTTTGGAATAGGGTCTTTTGAGAAGGAATTTTGACTGAGCACTTACTTAAGACAAGCTGGCTTCAGTTTCATAGTTTTGTCAGCATGGTTATAACATGCTTGCAGCACTTATAACATGCTTGCATCCTGTGTACTGTAGAGGCCAAAGGCAAATATTAAACAAGTTTGGCTTTCAGTCTTTGTCTTATCATGTAACAGTTATGTGACCTGAGGAAAAATTAATTTTCTGGGGGGTCTCTAAAATGAAGCTAGTAATATTTTTCTTCCAAATTTTTGTGAGGAAGAATGAGTTTGCAAGGAAAATAGCATAGAGAATGGTACATGTTGAACACTTGGTAAATACTTGTTTTCCTAATATTAATTAAGCTATATTATTATATGTTACAGCCTAGGGCTCTAATCACCTATGAATAACTAATTTTGATTATTTATTATCTTGGAGTTTCTAAGGGTCAGGAATACTGGCACAGCTTAACTGAGTCCTCTGCTCATGACTCACAAGGGTGCATCCAAGGTGTCACTGAGTCTGAATTTCCTACTGCAGCTCAGGGTTCTCTTCCAAATTCATGTGGTTGTTGAGAGAATTCAGTCATTGCAACTGTAGAACTCATGGTGTCTTTCTTCTTCAAAGATAACAGGAGAGGGAATTTTTAAATTGTATTCATCTCTGACCTCCAGACCCTCTTTAAAGGGCTCATCTGATTAGGTCCAGCCCACCCAGTGTAATTGCCTCTTAAGATTATTTAACTTTAGCTGATTAGAGACCTTAATTACATCTGCAAAATCCTTTTAACTTTGTCACATAATATAATGCAATCATGGGAATGATATTCTAAAATATTGCCATGTTTTATTGCTTAAAAGAAAGTTACATTTGAGATAGTCTAAGTTAAAAAGGCAATTTAGTAACTCTTGTAACCAAAGTAAGAAACCTGGGATAAAGAAAAAGAAAAACCCCACCAATTTCAAGGTTCTCCCCTCCCCTCCCCTCTCCTCTCTCTCCTCTCTCCTGTATGTCTCAACTTCAGGTTCTCAAACCAGCTATCTCCATAAAGCTAAAACTATGACTAAGGAAGCTTCTGAGCTCATGTAATTGCAAACTCGGAAGCTGGAAGAAAAGAACTCTTTCTCTTTTTTCCAGTTTGGAAAAATGCCAAAGGGATACTATGATTTGCTCCATCATGTGTCATATCCCCATCTCTTTGGAGACAGGTGAGTTACTGTGATTGGCAGCCCCATCAATACTATTTAGATAAGAGGAAGAGGAGAACTTTTCAAAAGAACAATGGATAGCATTGAAAATTGTTGCAAATTGAGGAACTACCTCTGAAATTTATAAGCCAATTTGTGTGCCAAAACTTTTCCTCTAAGGTTGAGAGGAATTACTGGAATTCAGATCCTGGAAAGGCATAAAAGAATTTGTGCCTGGTAGAAAGAAAAAGCACTGTGTTTGCTGGTGGAAGTAGCAAAATAATTGAAGTTGTTACTGATTCTACCTTGTGAACTGTTCTTGCAGCTTGTTAAATATTGGAAATCTATTACCCATTATGAAACCTTATGATTCTTTGAAATTAGAGTCAAAAGCTCTCCTTGTTCCAAAGCAAATAGCCCTACAACATAAATGTTTTTCTGCTCATATTTTTAAATTTACTGTTAGCTCACCTTGTCATTTTGAACAAACTACATAATTTATTTTTTGTCTCAATGTCTCTGTGTACCTGTGTGAGTAAAAGCAGAAAGGATGCAATATCAGCTATTTCTGACTTTCCAGCTTTCTGAAAATATCTCAGATAGAGTTACAGTAGTTTTATATTTTGGCAAGGACATTCTAGTTGAGCATACTTGAAACTATACTTTTTCAATTATTCAAACCTCCCCATATACTTATGAATATGGAGCAACAAATCCAGCGGTTACAAAGTAGGGTGTTTTAGTGTTAACAGTGCTTCCCTTTGGAATGGGAGCAAGTAGGGAGCAATACTGGGGAGATTATTGTCAACATAAAAACTTAAGAAAAGAAGTGAATTAAATTAATTTCACCAATAGGGACTATAAGATATATACCTTTTAGAAAAACCCTGCAGGTTTTTTTTTAACTCCAAATAAATATTATCTTTGAATTTCCAAGGATACAATGGATTCATGTTTCACTTAGTAAAATTCTCGAAGATGCTTGAGAAAATGGAGCAGTACCTAGAAGTAGGATGGTACCAAATCCATTATCCTCCACTAAACATGAAACAGGAATTTAGGACATATTAAACACAAAATGAAATACACAACTATCAGGGGAACCAGCCCCCAATAATTCAACATAGGTTCTTTTCTATTTTCCCTAAGTGTCAGCTGGTCTGAGAAATAAAGGGAAAGAGTACAAAAGAGAGAAATTTTAAAGCTGGCTGTATGGGGGAGACATCACATGTCGGCAGGTTCTGTGATGCCCCCTGAGCCACAAAACCAGCAAGTCTTTATTAGCAATTTTCAAAGGGGAGGGAGTGTGCGAATGGGGTGTGGGTCACAGAGATCACATGCTTCAAGGGCAATAAAATATCACATGGCAAATGGGTAGGGCAAGGTCACAAGGCCAGGGTGAAACTAGAATTGCTGATGAAGTTTCATGTCCCACTGTGCATGCGTTGTCGTTGATAAACATCTTAACAGTGTTCAAGAGCAGAGAACAAATCTGACTAGCATTCACCAGGCTGGAATTTCCTAATCCTAGCAAGCCTTGGGGTGCTGCAGGAGACCAGGGTGTGTTTCATCCCTATCTACAACTACATAAGGCAGACACTCCCAGAGCAGCCATTTGAGAGGTCCCCCAACTGGGAATGCATTCTTTTCCCAGGGCTGTTAATTATTAATATTCCTTACTGGGGAAAGAATTCAGCGATATTTCTCTTACATGTTTTCAGCAATAAGAGAAATATGGCTCTGTCCTGCCCAGCTCCCAGGCAGTCAGACCTAATGGTTATCTCCCTTGTTCCCTGAACATCACTGTTATCCTGTTCTTTTTTCAAGGTGCGCAGATTTCATATTGTTTAAACACACATGCTTTACGAACAATTTGTGCAGTTAACGCAATCATCACATGGTCCTGAGGTGACATACATCCTCAGCTTACAAAGATGATGGGATTAAGAGATTAAAGACAGGCATAGGAAATTATAAGAGTATTGACTGGGGAAAAATAAATGTCCATGAAATCTTCACAATTTATGTTCAGAGATTACAGTAAAGACAGGTGAAAGAAATTATAAAAGTATTAATTTGGAGAACTAACAAATGTCCATGAAATCTTCACAATTTATGTTCTTCTGTTACGGCTTCAGCACGTCCCTCCATTTGGGGTCCCTGGCTTCCCACAACACACAATGAATCTCTCTTTTACTTTTACTTTTTACTCTGTCTCTCTCTTGTTTCCTATGAACTTCCGAGTGCTTTGTTTCTAATCTTTAAACATGTCTATGAAGGAATCAGAGAACTGGTAATATTATTTCTGTTTTGCAAGTGGGAATGTGTAAATACATTTCCTAGAATTGTGGTGCTATTGGATTATAATTCAAACCTGTGTTGACCCCTGAGCTGGCGCTAAACCTGAGGACAACTATTAGGTTGGTGCAAAAGTCATTGTGGTTTTGCCATTACTTTAATGCAAAAAACGGCAATGACTTTTGTGCCAAACTAATACTTTGTGTCAATATTCCTGGCCCAGCCCTGACTTTGCCTCATGCCTTGTTCTGGTCACCACTTTGCTGTGGTTGGCTGTGCAATCTTTGGCATGCTAATTTCTGCCATCTCTCCATGCCTGTGAAGACTGGATTTTCCATATGATTTGGGTGGTTCATCTGTTTGATTAGGGTCTTTGTACTTGATGTTACCTTTTCTCCAAAAGCTATTCCCATAGATACTGCTATGAATTGCTACAGTTTTTACTCTAGAGCTCTTCCAAAATGGTGATTCCTGGGAGGGAGATCCTCTCTGAGCAGCCTATGAAAGACCACACCTGGATCATTCTCTATCCCACTACTTTGGTTTATTTCCTGTCACTGCACTCACTGTCTCCTGACATTATATCCTATGTTTATTTGTCTGTCTCTCCCCTGGGATATAAACTCCCTAATAAGAAGGACTTTGTTTTTTTGCCTCTCTGTTTATAGCATATAAAACTTTGGGAGTGAGGAGAAATTGGTTGTATAAATTGATACCACATCAAAGATAGCTATGAGGACTGGAATGTCCCTCAAGAATTATGAAAGAGAGAGAAAACTTTCTTCACACCCAGACAATGGCTGAATTAACATGTTTCTTGCTTAAATATGCGATGAGAACAAGAGACGATTCAAATACAGTATACCTGCCTAGTTATAAAATCCAGTGCGCCACTCTCACCATATTCCTTTTGTTTTGAGCCATCCCAAATTATCATGTCTGACTACTGAAGAAATTAATAGATGGTTATTAATAGGTGCAGAAAATGACAGAAAAGTAGGAAATGTGGAGAAAGTGTGTCAAGATTTAAGGCCAACTCACCTTTTTTTCTCTAATTTCACTGATTTTTTTTTAAAGGTCTCATAACCAGGTCTTGGAATATTTCCTATACTTCTTTTTTTATCCTTTGCATTTTCTTTATGTTTTTTAGTTGAGAAATAATGCATACTTGTTGCAACAAATAAAGTAATTCCAAAATATATAAAGAAAAAATAAGTTTACCCATTTATTTATTTACAAATATTATTATTATTATTATTTTGAGACGGAGTCTCACTCTGTTGCCCAGGCTGGAGTTCAGTGGGGCAATCTCAGTTCACTGTAACCTCTGCCTCCCAGGTTCAAGAGATTCTCCTGCCTCAGACCCCAAAGCAGCTAAGATGACAGGCACATACCACCAAGCCCAGCTAATTTTTGTATTTTTAGTGGAGACAGGGTTTTACCATGTTGGCCAGGCTGGTCTCAAGCTCTTGCCCTCCAGTAATCTGCCTGCCTTGGCTTGACAAAGTGCTGGGATTACAGGTGTGAGCCACTGCGCTCAGCCTATCCACTTATTTTATACATTATATCCATTATACCCTCTAATATCGCTCCATAATGCAATGTGGTATGATTCCCTTTATATTATTCTCCATGTTCTTAAGCAATTTTATGTACATCTATGTATAAAACTTGAATTATAACATGCATACTACTTGACAGTATGCTTTTTTAAGTTAATGATATATCATGGTCATCTTTCTAATTGAGGGATAAAAAACTATCTCTTATTAAAAGCTGAATGTTATTTCACATGGATACACTGTCATTTATTAAACCATTTTCTTCTTATTGATGGATATTATAGTTGATTCCAGATCTTTTCCATTACAAAAGCTTTAGTAAATACATTGTGCCTATATATTTTATTTCTGTATAGCATGTTCCCCAAAGTGGGATTATATATCAATGGCATTATGTGCTTCTAATTTTAAAAGATAATGAAAGTATTTTCCAAACAAATTGCAAAATAAAACATTTATATTTCTTTAAATTTACAAATATTGGCTAGCTACCTCTGAGCTTCCTGCTGTTTTATTAGGAATTCCAAATGATTTACCAATAATTTTCAAATTAAAAAAAAAGTCTGATATCAATAATCATTGGCATTACATGGACATATGCAAATATCCATACATGTTTTTCAAATGCTACCAAATTTCCTGACAGCAAGTTATTATATCATGAGCATATTAAACTTAAAAGTGTTTGCATAAACCAGCATCTTCAATTTCTCTCTATAGAAAATATTAAGGAGCAAAAATAAAGAATAAAAAATAAAATGAGCAGGCAAAATTTCTTATCTATAAAGGTTGTCAAAAACAGAGTAGTAGGGCATAAACTATATAATAGTACATAAGTTGTTGAGAAAATTCTCAGCAGTGTAGCAGCATGTGTCAAAAAGTCATGTGCATTACTCTCCCTAACAAGACAAGTGTGCTGTTCTCAAAATATATCTTTGCTTTCCCTGGTACTATAATTAGGATTAAGTCACAGCATAATCAAGTCAGAGCCAGGATTTTTAAAAAAGATGATAAAAAAGAAAAGGGTCTTTACTCCAAAGGAACTACAAAATCTAGTCTCAGGAGCTGGGGGATTATAGGCAGGATTAGATCCTAAGGATGCTTTATCAAAGGGGTCAGGATGTAAATCAAATAAGGGAGAATGTATTGAGTTCGGAGCACTTTCCTGAAATACAGGATTTAACATGTTGACAAAGATCACGGGACACAGGGACATATATGCTATGGCTGTGTTTAGTGAGTTCAAAATGCCAAATTTTTTAAATGTTAGACAGTGGAAGAGCGATGATAAACTCAGGGAAGTGTTCATGCTGGAGTATTTTTACTATGTAAAACTGGAGAACCCACCAGATTACTATGTACTAACTATGCACTATGAGAATGACCAAAGGATGCACTATTTACCAAGGTCATAAGGCTAGCACTGGTAAGAAAGGTACGAGGATCACTGGTAAGTACAGGAGTTGTTCTTTATTGCTCAGGAATAGTAGTAGGAGAGTCCATTACCTAATTAGACTCACCGATAGCAATAGGAATGATAGTCACAGACAGACCCCTGTGGAGCAGGTAGGTGGAGCTTACCTGTCCAAAGTATAATAGATGCAATCATTGTGGTGAGTGGCAAGGTCCAAATGGACTCATACACAGAAAATTATGGAGATTGTTAATCGAACATGGTGTCCCAAGGGGTGTAATATATAAACAGCCAAAAAGAGTACCAATCAATTAGTATCCTCAGATATATTTAAGAATGGATGGTTGAGGGCAATTGCCTCAGTTAAAACCCACAGTCCCAGCCTGGTTTACAAACATTAGCCAGTTTTCATACTTGGAATCTAATAATTAAATAAAAGACTATATCCCTTGAAGAAAGAACTCCGCGATACCATGACAAGTGTACAAAGTAGTAAATCCCCACATTCTTCCCTGAAATAACTTACAACTATTTACTTGAGTAACTGTACACTGGGGAAAGGGGAATATTTTAAGGACTCTGATACAAACTCCATGTTAACATCATACCCAGAGATCCAAATAGTTTTCATAGTCCCCTTGTTGTTAAAGAGAGGGGATGTGGGGAGAAGGTAATAAGTAGGGTCCTGGCCAATATTTGACTCACAGAGGGTCTATTGCAGACTGATGTTGTGATCATTTTCATGGTATCTGAATATGTGATTGGGACAGACATACTTGGTATTTGGTACAAATCCCACATTGGGCCTTTGGCTGCTGGATAAGAGCTGTAATAGTGTGGAAGGCCAAGTGAAATCCTCTGAAACTGACCCACCTCTGGCCAAGGTAGTCCAAGAAAGCAATATGATATCTGGGGTAGGGAGGATGGAGATTAATGCCATGTGCAAAGATTTAAAGGATGCATGAGTGGACATCTACATCATAATTGCCTTGAATTCACCAGTGGAAACCAATGGATCCTGGAGAATATCTCAAAGAATTGCAAAATAATAAAATAGAACAAACAGTTCCATACATTGTTCAAGAAAAGACTTTCTTGGGGGAGAAAAAAAGCTAAATTTACATAATTTACATATTGAGAAAGGGTATATGTCAGAGAAAATTGACCCAGGTGAACAACATGACATTTTCTAGTAAAATTTTGGGACACTAGAATAAGAAAAAAAAAAAAAAACTTTCAGCTTTCCAGAAGAAATATCAAATCTCTTGTAAGGACAAAATGTCAGTTTGGCTTCAGATTTCCTTTCAGCAACATTCAACATCAGCAGACAATAAAGAAGCATAGAAACAGAAAAAGAAAAAAGTATGTTCTGAAGAATACAAATATGTAAAGCTGCTCTTCCATTAGAAAGGTCACACTCATGCCACTCTAAACATGCAGGCTTAGGGAAATTTTTTGTACATCAGTTTTTCTTGAGAAATTGCTAGAGGTTACACTTTAAGTTAATAAAAGATAACTGGAGACTGCTGGGCAAAAAGACTGGCAATGAACATTTAAAATGTTTAACTCTAGAATTACAAAATATAGCAGGTGGATTAGGAGGCTAGAACAGGATGTAAGTGTTGTGTGTCTTGACAAAGTTGGTATTTCACGTCTAGAAATATTTGCTAGGAAGAAGGACTAAGAAGGTGTGAACTAAGTAGTTTCTCAGAATGCCTCACTTCAAATAGCTGAAATTTAAAATATATTATTTTAGTCTGACAAATCAAGCAATATAAGCATCTTCAAGATTACAAAGGTACTAAATTAGAAAGAAAATATTACTGATTGATATACATTGCTGAAGAATAGATATCGGAGCAATAAAAATATGATTTTATAATGGCAAATATTAAAATGCGAAATTATTATTTCATAAATAGAGAACAAAATGCATCATATAAAATTATAAAGCTAAACACACTAGGACAACAGTACTTTATAAATGTAAAAATTACACACACACTCCTACACACACATATTAAGAAGCAAAGAAACATTAAAATGAAAAAGAATGATTAAATGCACTATGCAAACAAAAAATTAAATTTAAAAAATTGCTGAAATCAGATGTGTTTGCCATGTTAACAAAGCATAAATGTTTTCAATCCTCTACTCAATGACAATCTCAGATTGGATTGAAATGAAACAGGTAACTCTGAACTGTATTCCACAGGACTAAAAAAAAGTAAAAGCAGAGTTCATGATCTTAATATCAGACAAAGTGGAGGTCAGGCCTAAAAGCAATAAATGGGTTTCACCTTCTGCCCATGGAGGATTAATTGCTATGGCAATTGCTGTTCACTGTAAACAACTAAAAAGCTGGGAAAATGTGAAATAGTGGTTTTCAGACAATGAACAGTAAGAAGGGGGCAGAGCTGTGATCTCTGAGATGTTAAATTAACTTTAGCCTAAAGCTGCCCCCTTAGGTATTTTTAAGTTCAGCCAGAGGTTTCTCCACGTATAGTGAACTGTAACCTAAATGGATGTGTAAAG
This sequence comes from Homo sapiens, assembly GCF_000001405.40. Lineage (NCBI taxonomy): Eukaryota > Metazoa > Chordata > Mammalia > Primates > Hominidae > Homo > Homo sapiens. The sequence goes on along the minus strand of NC_000007.14, from coordinate 10,300,859 downwards.
GATTGTAACCTACTCTTGTAACGAGTAGCCAGTTCTCAGCCTGTCACAGCAGCCAAGTTTCAATCACGGGGAGCCAACTGCTTAAACCATGTTTGAATAAGGCAAACACCAAGCTGTAACTAATCCAGCTGTTTCTGTACCTCACTTCCGTTTTCTGTATGTTACTTTTCTCTTGAGGTCTGTAAATGTTATTGGATCATGTGGCAGCCCCTGAGTTGCTCTGAACCTATTTTGGTTCTGTGGGCTGCCCAATTGGCGAATTGTTCTTTGCTCAGTTAAACTCTGTTCCATTTAATTTGTCTACAGTTTTTCTTTTAACAGAAGAGAAACAATTGGTTGGGCTAGTTTGCTGACTGGAGATTTCCTGATTATGATGCAGGGAGAGGAACCCAAACAAAGCTCAGCCAAATTGCAAAGACAGAGATGAAAATTCTGGTCCCCTCCTGAGGGGGCTAGAATTTGAACTTTTCAATGAGAGTGACATACAGGAGAGGACAGAGAAAAGAGAGTGAGAGAGGGAGAGATTGGGAAAGTGCATGCCTTGGAGAACTTCAGAGGGGCCCTCTGTTTTTGAGTACTGATATGTGCATGTGCATGCATGAGATGAAACACTCCGATGCAAAGGAGAGGACTACTGAAAAGAGTAAGCAAAAACAATTCACAGAGCTCTTACAGGTCCAGGAATAATTTGTGTTTTGTTTTGCAGAGTGGTGAAAACTTGTAATGCATGGAACATTGGGCAGAATCCTCAAGAGGCTGCTCTAAATCTACCATAACAAAGCTTAAAATCAAATCTCAAATGATCAATTGGATCCACAAGTAATTTAACTGTGCCAGTATAAAAACCAACACCCTTTATAGGAATACATCAAAATCTAAGGCCAGAAAATTTAAAATTTACAACATCAGTATTCAGTAAAAATGAATGAGCATGCAAATAAAATACAACCCATCACCAGGAGAAATATCAGACAATAAGAGGACTCAGAAATGACAAAATATGGTAAAATTTGTAGACAAGGATTTTAAAAGTTTATTATAACCTAAAAATATGTTCAAAAATTTAAAGAAAATATAATTAGAGAAAGGGAAAATAGGAGATACACTTAAATGGAACTTTTAGAGACAAATATACAATGTAAAAATAAATATACATTGAATGAATAACATCAGTTTTGATACTGAAGAAGAAAAGATCATGAAGTTGAAGACTAAACAATAGAAACGATCTAAAATGAAGCACTGAGAGGAATAAAAAAAACAGAAAAATGCTGACTTGCTTTTTAACGTGTTGGGATTGTCCATGATTGTGAGTTTGGTACTTGACCTTCATCTATGCAAATTGTATGGCTTAAATTAGATCACACTTTTTGTAGAGTTGATTTTTGTCTACTTCTGCTGAAATCTTTGATTTACTTCTGGACTTATAACAATTTCGGCCATCCTTGATGTCCTGGCTTAATTTGAGTTACAGTTAAAACACTAACACTTTGATGCTAGTTTAAGACTCAGTTTTCCTGTTATAGTGCTATTTCAAAAAAAAATCTAACTGCAGGGCAATCTGCATGCCCCTGTGTAGCCAAATATCATTACTACTAACTCTGTAATCAGCTCATGAATTTTGCTTTCTTCTGTCTACAGTCTAGCTGTTCTACCTTGGAAGAGTGTCTCAGAGTACCTAATGCCCTCCACACCAGACATTAAAGTTTTATTTTTACTTTTCAAATAAATAGTGATTATGTATATAGTGCATGATATTAAAGAATGTACAACAAAATGTTTATTTCCAGTGATTGGATTATGGATGATTTTTATGTATTTGTCTTTCACATTTTATTTTCTAATCTTTTTGTATTAAGCACAAATTACTTTTGTAAAAATATATCACTTTTGGAGTAAATAAAGCTAAAAAATGTGTAAAGCTTTCTTGATTCTCTGCTTCTTTATTTATAACTAGACCATCAGTAGCTATGTAATATTTGTTACTTAGAACCAACCAACCCTTCTCAGAATTTTAGCCTTTTGAGTGCTGTTATTTTCTCTCACCTGTGTCTTCAAGATTTACTCCATCTACTGAGAGTTCCTCTTATTGAAGAGAATCAATGAGCCATTTCTAACTGGCCTGTTTTATACCTTTTCCCATTTCTCTCAGTGGGGACTTCCAACCTTCTGGATGAGAGATTATGAATATTAATTCACCCTATCTGCCTATGCTACAGACCACTGGATCACTTCTGTAGTCATAGCAACCTGTTTTGAGACTTGTTCATGTCCTCTCTAATTAAAACTAGGTGCTGTCTTGTACAGACTAAAATAGTTTGAAGCACCAAGAGTAGAGGCTGTATTCTCTGGTTTTGTATCACTCTATTTTATATTTCATCTGATCCTTATGAACAATGATTCACTACATTAATGGGCTCATCTTTTCTTGACACATCATTTTGCTTAACCATGTTGATGCCTAGAATATTTGCATTCAGGAGTATTTTGACAGAAACTTAAAAATAAATTACTAGACTTTTAAACTTTTATTTATATGATCAGTTCTGTGTTTAGTAGACTTTATCTCCAAGTCTCTGATACTTACTCCAGAAGATGAGAGACGAGGTGAGAAATGCATTAAATTAATGCTTGGTGTGATGTTTGGGGATACATGGAGAATCAGAAGAGGCTTGAGGCTCAGGGATGAGTGAAGGATCAGAGCCGGGGTAAAGAGTGAGGTGATAATGGGGGATGAAGTGTTTATATTTTGAAGCAGGCATTTTGACTTAGTTGAGTTAAAAAACAGCCGTTTCAGTATTTCTACTATGCCTTAAAGATGGCTGAGTAGAACAAAGCCACCTAGCCCATATAGGGCTTTGCATCCCTTGAAACATGTTCTATCCAGCTCATAAAACTCTGAGGCAAACAGATTGGTGAACAGCAGAGTCCTGGTCCTGGGACCAAGAGACATGCTGTCTAACTTCTCAACCCTTTGAACTTGAACCACCTCTACTAATCATGACTGATTTGGTACTCTAAAGGGGCCATTACTGATGGCTATTCTGATTAATGCTGTGTGGCAGTAGTTCCAATTCCCTGTGACTTTCCATCTGGGTAAATAGCTGTCATCATTAGGTAATGGCTGCTTTGCTGGGCTATCAAATTACTAAGCAGTTACTACAATCTAGTGCTGATTTAACGTGATTTGATTTAATAATTAGTTATGATTTTCCCTTTTCTACTTCTAGATGATAACAGTTTAAAGTGTCCTCTTTTTGCCTTCTGTTCCTCACTCTTCTTGCATTTGTGTATTCCCTCACAGATATACTGTATCATTTTTGAGAATGAAGTAATAGAACCACTATAATAATATATAATAACAATGGCTACTATAATTTAACTGTCATGATTATCTTTCACAGTCAGAATATAACCTTTTCTCCCCTTCTTATTTGCATAATTTCAGGGGTATAGTGGCCTGTGAGAAATAAGGAGTGAAGTTTTATATGAAATCTCAGGAAAGAACCTGAACTGGTTTATGTGATTAGAAACTCTAATGCCACCTCTTATGCCCATTAGGATCAGGAATGGGAGATGGTTAAATCTATTTATAAAAAGATGTTATCTGTTCCTACTCTTTATCAAAATTATTGCTTCCATAAGTATTCCATAATATTGATTATTGACTTCCTGAAGAAATCACCATATAACCTATTGTTCAAGCAAAGACAAATGTATTGCTTACTGCAGAAAGAGAGGACACTACCTTGAAAGAATTCTACCAAAGGGGAAGTTTAAAGACAGAATATTTACAACTTTTGGGTGGTCTGGTTCAAGGCATATCTTTCTGTGTAAAATACTGAATGAGAGTGAGAAAATGCTATTGTATAGCAATTTAGAATTGTGGACACAGCAAAGTGAGATTTAGAAGGGAGTCCTTGAAGAGTAACCCATCAGGTGCTGAACCTGGTTGAGTTATCTGTTGGTTAGAGAATGGGTTATATTAACTAGTCCTAAAAGATAACCAGTTTAATAGTCTATAGTTCTGATAAATATATTTTCAGAAAAGTTATTTACAACTCCATGTTCCTGGGGAAACATTTTCTGGAATGGCAAAGTTATGCTAATGAAGACAATAAGTTAGTGGCTGTAAATGGTTTCTGTTTCCAATACATTGACAGAAAATAAGTTCATAAAAATTGAGAATAGACAGAAAGCGGAAAAGAAAGGCTACTTTTCAAAATGCTTATAGTCGCATCAGTTGTGTGATCCATATATCTTGTATTATCCTGTGGAAAGTATTTGAGATGAGGAGTATCAGTGAAAGCTTTAAAGTTTATCCTTTTGTTATATTTGGTAACATATGTTCTAGGTCATCTGTAATATTTGACTCTACTATCACTGCTGTATCTCACTTTGTATACAAAGTAATACTTCTTAACTATTAAAACCTACATGATGAAAATCTTTGAGTGAGTACACTTAAACAACAGCCATCTAAAATAAAAATTGAACTGGTAAGGATTTCTGTTTGTAAAAAATATAACCCAACTTTCGCTAACCTAAAGAAAAAGCTAATTTATTCTAACGGTTGTCTAAGACAAAATGCCCTGAAAAAAATCAAGGAGAGGATTTTATTCAGGTTATTGCAATAAGTAGAATATTTTTTAATGAGGGATATCTCAAGGAAAAGGAAGGAAGCCTGGGGTTTTACCAAGGCTGATTGGTAAAGAAGGAAGACGCTTGGAGTCAGTCATGACTTAAGGACATCTGATGCTACCACAGGAACCTTGAATGAACTCAGATTGATTCCAAAACCTCATATAACATTTTTGAAATTAAAAATACAGGGTATACAATTGGCCTAGCCTAGGGCATGTACTCACTCTCTATTTTCTAAGGAAGGGAGAGCATATAGTATGTATGCCCTTACAGCTTCCATGATGGAATAGGATCCCTGATTTTCTCTTTAGTGGAATTACTAGCAGAAAAGTTATTCTAGCACTGGAGCAGGCAAAACCAATATATAGTTATCTCTCAGTATCCATGGAGATTGGTTACAGGAAGCCCATGGATACCAAAATTTATGGATGCTCAGGTCCCTGATATAAAATGGTGCAGTATTTGCATATAACCCACACACATCCTTTCATATACTTTAAATCATGTCTAGATTACTTATAACACCTAATACAATGTAAATTTATGTAAATAGATTTTACCCTGTATTGTTTAGGGAATGACAGGTAAAGAAATCTGTATTTGCAAAGTTCAGACACAATCATTCATTTTTTTTCCTGAATATTATCTATATTTGATTGGTTTAATTCATTAATGCAGAACTCATAGATATGGAGGACTGACTACACATACATACTGATACATAAATGTGTGTGTGTTGTGTGTATGTGTGTAAGGAAAGAAGGAAGGAGAGAAAAAAGGAAGGAGAGAAGGAAGAAACTAGAAAACAATTGGTATAAAAATTGGCTCAGTTAATACTTCCTTAAAACAATGTAATCCAAGGGTCACTACTCTTAAGAAAGGTTTGTCTTGGGTTTGCTTCTGCATTATCTGCTGGCTGTTGGTTCTTCTCCATGTTCTCCACACATCTTTCACAGCTCCCAGGGGCCAACTTTTCCCTGTAGTTGTTCTCACTGTTTGGAGCTCCTGAAATTTGCCTCCTCCATAGGATTCTTCCTGCAGTGGGAACAACATGAAAGGGTGAATGAGGGACAGGATGCACTTCTCTTTATTGCTGCATGTGTTTTCCTCTATATTTGCGTAGATCCCTGGACTATACTGAGATTTTAGATGTTGCTGAGAGATTGTAGAAACTAAATACATTTACTGTCATAGGAGAGGCATATTAAAACTGTGCTCTTATATGATTGTCCTAATAGCTGAAAGTAAAATCAAAGACTTAAGTAAAATTCTTCAGATGGGTTATCTCATGAAGACACTCTAGGTCCTAGCCTCTCACCTACGCTCTCCACTCTAAAGAGTGTACATCTCTTACTGTTTTTTAGGAATACAATATGCAGGGCCACAGTATTCCCAGCAAGTTTTGGGGTTGAAATTTAGCGTTTTGTGTTAATTTCTTGTGGCTGTTATAACAAATTACCATAAATTTAGTATCTGAAAACAACAGAAATTTAGTTTCTCACAATTCTGGGAGCCAGAAATTCATCATCAGTATCACTGGGCCAAAATCAAGGCATTACCAGAGGCACACTTCCCCTGAAGGTTCCATGGGAGAATTCTTTCCCTTCTTCCAGCTTCTCATGGCTGGCAACATTCCTTTGCTTGTGTCTGTATCATGCAGACACAGAATGAAATTTCTGCCTTCATTCTCACATCACCTTCTCCTCTTCTTTGCCTGTGACCTTCTTTTGCCCCTCTGTTATAAAGATAATTGAAATTGGATTTAAGGCCCATCCAGATAATTAATCTCCTCATCTCAAGATCCTTAACTTAATCACATCTGCAAATACTCTCTTTCCTTATGAGGGAACTTTTATAGGTTCCAGGGTTTAGGACCTAATATTGGGTGGCCATTATTTAGCCTATTACATCCTTGCTCTGTTTACGAAGCCATACACTTCACTGTGACCCCTTTCCTATTTTGTTCTTCCAAAGGTGGTGCCTTTTTGAAATTCCTGATGCTGAAATTCATGATCTCTGTGGACTTCTAAACTGCACAAGTTAAAATCTCACTCTCCACTATTAATCTAGCCTTTGGGCCCATACATCAATTATTAAATTTGGAGATTGAATTATTTACTCTTGATTTGTTCTGCTCCAAATTCGGTCTGCTAATTTCTTTCATCACACCCCTTTTTTGAAGGCATATAAAAGTGTAATTCTTGTGCTCCACCCTAGATGTAAGAAATAAGAGTGCATTTTGAACAGATATCTCCAGTAATTCTTGTGAACAATAAATCTTGAAAATGAGTGGCTCTGAATGACAAGTGAGGTAGCTCTAGCTGAAGGGTTGAAGGAAGACATTGGCACCCTTATGTGGTTTTCCTTGAGATGTCATTGTTAATCGCCTCTGGTGAGCACTTCACACACACACACACACACACACTCATACACACAAACACACACACACCTAATTCAAAGACAATATTATCTCACAGATCTACCTAACTTTATCAGATTAGAGCTTTATGTCACAACAAAACTCTGTCTTCTTCACTCCTTCGTTTTTTCACCATTGTCTTACAGGCTATAGTGTGGGGCGACCCACCTAAGAAATGCGTAACAATGATTCAATTTTTGGGCCACCTATAAATTATTGCCTATATAAAGACAGGGCTGAAACTCTGAATGGTACACGTTTCCATGCTTTAGGTTAAATCAAATCCTCAAGGTAGAGAGTCCCTCTGTAAGTTGTGTCTAAAAAAAAAAAGGAAAGAAAACTTTATGAGGATTTGTAGTATATTGTGATTCTTCCATAACAGGATATGGGGAAATAGGGGAGGGGCAGAAGTTATTTTACTCCTCCAATGGCAAACCTAACTTTTCCATCACCTATATTTTAAGAAATTTTTTTCTATGTTGCTATTTTTAAGCAAACATTTAAAACTTTAGAATAGTTTTAGATGTACAGAAAAGTTGTAAAGATGTTACAGAGTTCTCACATACCATACGCCCATTTTCCACTATTGGCAACATCTTACATTACTATGGCACATTTACCACAGCTAAGAAACCAATATGTTACATTATTATTAACAGTCATCCATATTGTATTCAGATTTCCTTAGTTTTTACCTAATGGTCTGTCACAGGACCCCAACTAGAGTCCCACATTACATTTAGTCATTGCATCTCTTTAGGGTCTTCTTTGTGGTCACAGTTTCTCAGACTTTCCTTGTTTTGATAACCCATTTGAGAGTTTTGAGTACTGGTCAGAAATTTTGTACAATGTCCCTCAGTTTGCATTTGCTAATGTTTTCATAATAATTAGACTGGGGTTATGGGTTTTGGCAGGAGACCACTGTAAAGTGCCATTCTCATCACATTATTTCAAGAAGTACTGAGGCAGGAGAATGGGGTCTGGATGCAGGGAACCTAAGGCCGATTTGTGCTGACTTCCTAAAACTGCATCGAAAGGAAAACCCCAACTTTCTGCACCAAATAACAAAAGGATCAGAGGCGACTCCCCTTGCAAACCTCCCCCACCTTTTCTGCGTCATAGGTGAAAAATGGAAAGTACTCTGATTCCTCCCATCCCACAACAAATCAGACTGGTTGTGGGCCCAGTCTTTATTTGCATAGGGGTGGAACTTTGTAACTTCACTACAGCCTCTGATTGGTTGCCTTTTGTGACCACTCAGCCTGGTCACAGACCAATCCTTCATCTACATAGGGTGTAAACCAAGTAACCAGTAGGAAATCTCTGCAAAGTATTTAAACCCCAGAAAATTCTGTAACTAGTGCTCTTGAGCTGCTTTCTTGAGCCGCTTGCTTGGGCCCTCTCCTACTCTGTAGTGTGTACTTTCGTTTCAATAAATCTATGGTATTGTTGCTTCATTCTTTGATTGCATTGTGTGTTTTATCCAATTCTTTGTTCAAAATGCCAAGAACCTGGAAAACTAGCATTCAAGACACTCCACAGATAACAGTACCTGCTATCAACATGACTTGTCACTGTTGGCAGTAAGCCTGATGACCTAGCTAGTGTTTTTCAGGTTTCTCCACTGGAAAGTTACTCTCTTCCCCGTCTTCCTGTACTCTTTGGAAAAATGTCACTGTGTGGACCACATTTAATGGGGTGGGGGAGAGCAGTGCTCTACCTCCTGCAAGAGGCATTATTACTTAAACAATCTGGAATTCTGCATAGAAGAGTGTCCATTCTCTCCCCTTTTTTTAAATTCAATTATTTAGGTCAGTATGCAGTTACACTCTAATAATACAACATCGCTACTTTTACTGTATTCTCCTTGTCGTATCTTGATTTTCTAAATGCATGGAACATGAAGATTTTTCTGCACTAGTCTGTATTTATTTCTCTGACTTCCTTTCCTGTCACTGCTCTACTCATCAAATAAACTGAATTACATGAAATGCTTCAAACCAGCCATATTATCTGCCTCCTATGGCTTAAAGCCTACTTTCTACTTGGCTGGAATGTTGTTCCCTTTTGCATCCAGCTGTGTAACTTCTACGTATTCCTCAGGACTCAACCAAGCATCAGTGGGAAGCCATTTCTGTTACCTTCCATATCCACAGTCCCTTATGGAACACTTTCATCACTCTCATGGTATTCTTTTTAGCACCTGTAAAATTATCTTAATTATTGTTTTAAATTTCAATTATTTTTAAAAATTGTTTTAAATTATTGTTTTACTTGTGTTGTCTTTTATCAATGGAGAGAACCCAGAGAATAGGCATGTCTTGATTTCTATATCCTTATATTAGTATGTATCTGGTATGTTAAACTCTATAACCCGTCATCTGCAATTCCAAAATTGAAAAATTCCAAAATAGCTGTTAAACCCAAAACGTTTTTGTTATTCATTTGGTGGCAAAACTTGACTTGACATAAACTTTTGATGTTCAACTTTCTTTCAGATGGTTGAAAAACCATTTGCACTCGGGCTCGGTGTGGTGGCCCAAGCCTGTAGTCCCAGCACTTTGGGAGGCTGAGGCAGGCAGATCACCTGATGTCAGGAGTTTGAGACCAGCCTGAACAACATGGACAAACCCCGTCCCTACTAAAAATACAAAATTAGCCGGGGATGGTGGCACATGCCTGTAATCCCAGCTACTCGGGAAGCTGAGGCAGGAGAATTGCTTGAACCCGGGAGGCGGAGGTTGCAATGAGCCGAGATCACACCATTGCACTCCAGCCTGGGCAACAAGAGTGAAACTCTGTCTCAAAAAAAAAAAAAAAGAAAGAAAAAAAAAAGAAAAACTATCTGCACTCATGTGAGGCTATTGAGTCTTTGTTTTTGCCATTGTTTTGTTACAGAAATATTTTATTTGATTACTGAGTACTGATTCAGACTCCACTGTTGGTATTAGAATATTTGGTATGTTAGAATGTTTGGTACACGTACCTTTCTAAATTCGAAAAGTTCTGAATTTTTAAGTGCACAGCATCCCAACAATTTTGGATTATGTATGGTGGCCCTGTATTATTTTCTTAGAAAATGTTAATGTATTTGAATTTTAATAGCATAACAAAAAGTAACTTTCAGCCAACCCTGTAGAAAGATGAGACAACCCCATGATATCTGAAACAAAAGGCTGAAGTTATTACTTAAGTAATCAAGAGCTATGTTGGTTCAACTCAGTCTACTGAAAAAAAATTGATTTCAGATGGGGATTGGGAGTAACATTCTTTTGAATTTGTGTTGTTTACAGCAGAAGGAGTGGGTCAACATAGCTTCTGAAGAGCATTCATTGGAGTGAATCTGCCATTTATTGGCTGTTCTTCAAACCATAAGACTGATATTGATGGTCAGCTTACAGAGGTATGCTCTCTACAGGTAGGTGCCTGATTAATTATGCAGGCTTAAAGGCAGTTCTGGGTGATAAAACTGATACTGATTGATTAAAAGGGATTAAAACCAGATCTGTCAGATCTGCTTTAATGACTGACAGTCTTTGTAGAAGCCTGGGGACACTTTTTTAAAAATTCTCAATACAGACTAAAGTGTATTTTCTTTTCCTCACCAAGTACCTCTTTTAGAACATTATTCTTGAAAACCAAAAATTGGATCACAAAATATTTTGCAGTGTCCAATTGATGAAATAATCCCTCATTTTTATTAATTCCATGTTGAAATGGATGGAACTTGAATGTGGCAGCTCTGGTAAAAGTAATAGAAATATTCTGTTCTACTGGTCTATGTGCCTATTTTTATACCAGTACCATGCTGTTTTGGTGACTATGGCTTTATAGTATAGTTTGAAATCAGGTAATGTGATGCCTCCAGATTTATTCTTTTTGCTTAGTCTTGCTTGGGCTATGTGGGCTCTTTTTTGGTTCTGTACAAATTTTAGGATTGTGTTTTCTAGTTCTGTGAAGAATGATGGTGGCATTTTGATGGGAATTGCATTGAATTTGTAGATTGCTTTTTGGCAGTATGGTCATTTTCACAATATTGATTCTACTCATCCATGAGCATGGGATGTGTTTCCATTTGTTTGTGTCATCTATGATTTCTTTCAGCAATGTTTTGTAGTTTTCCTTGTAGAGGTCTTTCACCTCTTTGGTTAGGTGTATTCCTAAGCATTTTTTGTTGTTGTTGTTTGTTTGTGTGTTTGTTTTCAGCATTTGTAAAAGAGGTTGAGTGTTTGATTTGATTCTCAGCTTGGTCACTGTTGGTGTATAGGAGAGCTAGTGATTCGTGTACTTTAATTTTGTATCCAGAAACTTTGCTAAATTCTTTTATCAGTTCTAGGAGCTTTTTGGAGTCATTTAAGGTGTTCTAGGTAAAAAATTTTATCATCAGCAAACAGTGACAGTTTGACTTCCTCTTTACCAATTTCCATGCCCTTTATTTCTTTCTGTTATCTGATTGCTCTGGCTAGGACTTTCAGTATATGTTGAAGAGAGAGCCCAGAAATAAGCCCAAATACTTAAAGCCAACTGATCTTTGATAAAGCAAACAAAAACATTAAGTGGGGAAAGGACACCTATTTGGCAAATGGTGCTGGAATAATTGGCAAGCCATATGTAGGAGAATGAAAGTGGATCCTCATCTCTTATACAAAAATCACCTCAAGATGGGTTGATGAGTTAAATCTAATATCTGAAACTATAGAAATTCTAGAAGGTAACGTTGGAAAAACCCTTCTAGATGTTGGCTTAGGCAAGGATTTCATGACCAAGAACCCAAAAGCAAATGCAATAACAACAAAGATAAATAGCTGGAACTTAATTAAATTAAAGAGCTTTTGCATGGCAAAAGGAACAGTCAGCAGAGTAAACAGACAACCCACAGAGTGGGAGAAAATCTTCACAATCTATACATCTGACAAAGGACTAATATCCAGAATCTACAATGCATTCAAACAAAGTAGCAAGAAAAATCAAACAATCCTATCAAAAAGTAGGCTAAGGACATGAATAGACAATTCTCAAAATAATATATACAAATGGCCAACAAATATATGAAAAAATGCTCAACATCACTAATTATCAGGGAAATGCATGTAAAAACTACAATGCAGCACCACCTTACTACTTCAAGAAGGGCTATAATCAAAAAATTAAAAAATTAACAGACGTTGATGTGGATTCAGTGAATAGGGATCACTTCTACACTGCTGGTAGGAATGTAAACTAGTGAAACCACTGTGGAAAACAGTGTGGAGATTACTTAAAGAACTAAAAATAGATCTACCACATGATCCAGCAATCTTACTACTGGGTATCTACCCAGAGGAAAAGAAGTCATTATACGAAAAAGATACTTGCACACACATGTTTATAGCAGCACAATTCACAATTGCAAAAACGTGAAACCAACCCAAATGCCCATCAATCAATGAATGGATAAAGAAACTGTGATATATATGCATGAAACTGTGTTATATATGTGATATATATGATCATATATATAAATCATATATATCATATATATAAATCACATATATCATATAAATCATATATATCATATATAAATCACATATATGATATATATGATGGAATACTACTCAGCTATAAAAAGGAATGAATTAATGGCTTTCAAAGCAGCATGAATGAGGTTGGACACTATTATTCTAAGTGAAGTAGCTCAGGAATGGAAAACCAAACCTTATATGTTCTCACTCATAAGTGGGAGCTAAGCTATGAGGATGCAAAGGCATAAGAATGACACAATGGACTTTGGGGGCTCAGGGGAAAAGGGTGGGAAGGGGGTGAGGGATAAAAGCCTGCAAACTGGGTGCAGTGTATACTGCTCAGGTGATGGGTGCACCAAAATCTCACAAATCACCGCTAAAGAACTTACTCATGTAACCTATCACCACCTGTTCCTCAATATCTTATGTAAATAAAAAAAATAAATAAAAAATAATTAAAAGTTAAAAAATTAAAAAGTAATAGAAATAATTTGAATAACAATTTTGTGTCATTTCAAGATTCTTTATAAAAAGAACATTTAAGTCTACAATTTAGAAAGTCTATTCTTCAATATGTCTTGTCATATAGTTTCACTACTATCTTAGCTCTATTTATTGTAGAAATTATTACAGACATAGCAATCAAATCAATACTACTATTAATATTATTTTTGTTAGCAGTGAAAGAATCTCTACTGAGTCTGGTATCTCAGCCAATTAGAACTTGCAAGATATTTGCTAAATTCAAAGCTTTGAGTGCAGATGAGATGTCTAGGAGAATGAGAACATGAGGTAACATGACCAATGTGGACATTTCTAATTAAAATATTAAACAAGGCATCTTTAAAGAACGTTGAAACATTTAGTACTATAAACATCTATTGCTTTTTTCTAGTATGTCCTCAATTTCTCCTGACATTAAACTGTGGACATGAATGTAAAAGCCTACAGAATATAAAGTTGCTCTTCATTTCTATGTGATAAAAAGAATTTAAGAATAATCATATAATTTTAAATAATTTAAAAAATCTGTGTGGCAGGAAGGTATTTTATTACTTACTCCTCTCCCTTTCCTTTCTTATCCACTAATTACCTACAGGAAAAAGGTCTTTGGTAAGAAGTAAAATACAGTTGTAGATGTGATTAATCTATGATTATTGTGCTAAGAAACGATCAGTGTTAGAGAGGGTGGTGTGAAATGTATATATCCATCTGAAAGACTTAAAGCCTTCTCCTACAACACATTGTTGGGCTGTGCCTCACTGAAGGGAGTCTGGCAGGCATTTGGAATGTTAAGGATTGTGCCACTTCTTCAGAACCCTAGAGGAAGGACAGAAAAGTAGAAAAACACCAATGATTTCTGGGGAAAATGGCAGGAGGAGAGAATCCCTGAGTTCCAGCCTCAGCAAACTTTGAATGAAAGGTGAATAAACAAGAAAAGTAAATAAATATTTTGCATCACCTACACTCTGCATGTATTGGTGATTAGCAAGAAGTTGGGCGGCTTCCCAGAATGTACTTTTCCTGACTGCCTTCCCCATGCTGTTTTTTCTCTGTCTGGGATGCTCTTCCTCCAGCTAATTTTTATCCCTTAGTGCCTATGTCATCACGGAAAGCCATGCCTGCTCCACTTTAAGTAATCCTTTTCCAGTGAACCATCACCTGTTACCTTTCCTTTATAGCACTTATACCACAATATGTAATATCTTGTGCAATTTGTAGCATTCTCTTAAGAATTCTAAAATTATTAAATCTGCCTTTCCCAACAGAAGATGCTCCATGAAAGTCCAGTGGTATGGTGAATCCAGCTCGTTCTGGCCTTTAAAGGCTGATAGTTATCCTATGGTGTGATGGTGTGTTACCGTGCATGTTTTTCTGATTTCACCTTCTGTGATGTCACACTGGTAGTTTGAAATCAGCCATGGTGGAGTATTCATACTATGGACATTTGTTAAATGCTATAAAGCTGGACTTCCTTTTTCTTAGAGAGTTGATTGTTAATCATTTACCAGCACAGCACTGGTAAGAAAAATGGTATTCTTGGTTCCCAGCACAGTGGCTGGCATGTAGTGATGCTTAACAAATATATGTTGAAAGAATGCACAATAAGTTGAGGGGTTAAAATTATTTTCAACTGCAACAGATATATTTTTCTTAGGTTATAGGACCTTTCTCATTTAAAAAGTTCAATGATTGAATTTTTGATTAGCAACCAACAGGTAGGAAAACAATACAGTATTTATACTTTTAAACATTTCCTTACTTTAAATAAATATTTTTAATACTATGTTCTATGGGAATTTTTTTTGCATTTTGATACACGTATAAAGTAGTTTTGAGCTTATTAATTACATTGGATTACTGAGATTAACATTGTTTAGGGTAATTGGGTGAGGAAAAACATCAGCCCTCTGATTTTTTCTGGAGAGTTCAGTTGGGTATATCATAAAGAGCACTGGCCCAGTGAGTCAATTGATTCCAAGCTCTAACTCTGCTACTAACCAGTTCTGTGACTTGAAGCAAGTCATCACGTTTTTCTGAGCCTCATTTCCCTAATCTCAAAAATGATAAAATTGAATTAGACAATACTTAACTTCATCCAGCTTTAAGATCCTGTGTTTAATCTTCCTTGCATCCTTATCTTTAAGAAATGATTAAACCTGTATCTAAAAATTACTGAGAATATATGTCCTGGGCATATCTTGCCATTTATTAATTATGCCTTTCTCATTACTCTACATATCTCATCTCTGTGATATATACATTACATACGTACATCCCTTCTCCCAGTATCTTGCCACTGTACATGGTAAAACTTTGGTATCTAAATGTTTTTATAATCCTTCCACTTTCTTTCCAGAATCTGAACCTTCCCTTTCCTTAAGGCTTCCCAATACTTATCTTCAAATTCCTCCTTAATCTATTTTCTACCAAACTTGCTTGTAGAACCCATGATATGCTTCTGTTATGTATCATTTCTCCCATTTATTTTCTTCTTAAAAACTTTGTCTGTTTATGATCTTTTATATGAAATTGTATTTATCAAAATGTTCTTTTAGTGTGTTCCTTTATAAGTAATTTTAGTAGGCAACAGACTGTCCAAGCTTGACATTTTGTACTGTTGTAAAATTACCCTTCCTCAATGCAAACCTAAATTTCTTAGTGTTCCAAACACTAAGTTGTTTCTTTCTTTTTTTTTTTTTTTTTTTTTTGCCTAGGTATAAAATGCAACACAAAGCATTTCTTTGATAGAAAGTCTTTTCAACGTTTTATTTGATATTTCATTTGGAACACATTGTAGCTTATGTATTTTCCTTTTTAAAAAGAATCCTATAGATCTTCTTAGAGCAGTGGTAAAGGTTATGCTTTAATACAAATTCCAAACATCTATTGCTGCTCATGCATAGTATAGAAAGTTAGATAATTTTGCTCACACATTTTGGACATTAACTACATGTGGGATGTAGAAATGGGTTTTTAGTCTCTATCTTCCTTCTTTTGCCTCACTGCTTTGTCTGTGTAGCTTTCATCCCCCATTGGTTTAGCCACTTGCTCATCACATGCTCTAGTTACACTGAAATCTCTTTAGTCGCTGTTATGGATTTGAAACTTTTTGTTTTATACTCAGGTACTGAAAATCATTATCATCAGATTAATTTCTTTATGAAGGAGTGAAATGTGCTAGCTATATTCCTAGAGCTCATAAATCATTTAGGATTATTAACATTAATGTCTTACAACAGGACTTTGAGGTACGTACCCTTATGAACCACGTTTTAAACACCAAGAAACTAATGTCAGGATAAATTAAGTAACTAGGCCGAAGCCAGGCTAGTAATGGCAGATCTGAAATTTGAATCTAGTCTGTCTGGCTCCAGAGACCAAGTTCTTAACTGCTGTTCTATGCTTCTTTTTAAAGCTTCTTTTCTGAAATAAATCAATTAAAGAATCCTAAGAAAAGGTATCTGAAGTAAAAGAAATTTCTTGTGTTTTGAAATTTCATGCGTTTTGTCCAAGCATGACTGATCTCTTTCTTTTATAAAAAACTCAAAGCAGTGCTTTCAAAAGGAATGAATGCCAGGCTGCATGACTACCTTTGTTATAAGCTATTTTGCCACTTTATTTTATGAATACCTATCCTTTTCTGTACTGAATAGTGCACATTTTAAATAGTGAGGAGTCCTATTATAAAATACTTATTGAATTGATTTTTTGAAACTGTGGAATTATTTCAGTGCTTTAGATGCAGAAGAAATGTTTAGAGAAGGTCATTGTCTTGGTAAATAGCTTTAAGGTATATAGAGTGCAACCCAAAGCAGCCTGTGACAGGAAGGGATATAAATAATGTCACTAAATGACATTGTTGGTTAATCTGAAATTGTAAGGATTTTAGTTTTTATATTATCTGAAAGTTAATGACCAGCAAGTGATAGTCATGAAGCCATTGAAGAAAAGGGGAAACTGTGATCTTAATTATCTATTAAATAATTGCTCATTTGTAGGAAGATTTATTTAGTATTTTTTCTTTACTTAACGGTATATATTATTAATTTGAGGAAAACCCGCAAGGACAAAGGTGCAGCTTTTCCTGCCCTACTGTAACACATACATTACTGTGCATTGAATTGGGAACAGAATAAATATGGAATTCCAAATATCAGAGGTAGAAGTGAACTTAGAAACCAGGTGGTTTACCACTTAGTTTTATATATTAAAATAAGTAGCTCAAAAAGAGAGGCTGACTCCCCATGGAAAAATATCTGGCTATTAATAAGAGTATGATAGAGATGAAACAGCAAAAGTTTCTGTTTCAGAGGCTGTAAACCTCAGCTTCATCACATGTTAGGTATGTGAGTTTGGAAAAGTTACTTCCTCTTCAACAGAGGTGAACACTTTATTCACTTATTCATAAAATACATATTGAAAATCAACTTCATGTTAATCACTTTGCTAGATTATTGTATTACAAAAATGGAAAAAACATGGTTTCTGCTCTGCTAGAACTTTCAGACACATAAACAATTACAATAAAATAAATACTATAATAAAAGGGTGTATAGATATCTGCAGGGAAATGAGATGTGGGGCCTTACTATAAATTGAGATTAATTTATATTTGTGCAATAAATTATTTTCTGGGACTTGACAGTCTTATCTGTTCACAATCATATTTTTAGCCTCTGGTGTTCTGCAATATTAAGGCTAATCTAATAAATGTTTTAACTTTTTTTCAATTAGTGTGAAATATTATATTTCTTTATCATTGAACTCTATATTTCTCTAAGTAAAATAAAATTCAATTAGTGAGGATTTGTACATCAAACTGCTAAGGATTATGTTTTTTATGTGTGATAACAAAAATTATAAACTAGCTGCCTCTTTCTTTATGTTGAGAAACCTTGTCAATACTTCTTATCTGTTTCTTTCTTAAAATCAGCATTTATTAACTTTTGGTGCTCTATCCAAGTGGTGCTCTGAAAAATGAAAATGGGATGACTTTAACCAAAATTAACAGCCCTGTGTTCCCCTAAACCAGTTCTTAAATTCAAAAAACTAGATTGATAATTAAGTAAAATGATATAATTTTATCACTTCAAAATGAATCTTCCATCCTGAATTATTATGAGGTAACCTTAATATTAGCACAAAAAGCTAGATTCAACTATTTTGAAAATCTTTTGTATTATTACTTTACTTTTCTACAATTTGTATGTCTTCCACTTTCTCACATGAGAAGTCAAATACTTATTTAATAGTAGCAAAAGGATAAATGCCCATCAGTGATAGACTGGATAAAGAAAATGTGGTACATATACACCCCGGAATACTACGCAGCCATAAAAAGGAACAAGATCATGTCCTTTGCAGGGACATGGAAGAAGCTGGAAGCCATTATCCTCAGCAAACTAACACAGGAATTAGAAAAGCAAACACTGCATGTTCTCACTTGTGAGAGCTGAGAAATGAGAACACATGGACATAGGGAGGGAACAACACACACTGGGGCCTGTTGGGGGAAGGTTGGGGAGGAGAGAGCATCAGGGAAAAGAGTTAATGCATGCTGGGCTTAATACCTAGGTGATGGGTTGATGGGTGCAGCAAACCACCATGGCACATGGCACATGGCACATGGTAGGTTTACCTATGTAACAAACCTACACATCCTGCACGTGTATGCGAAAACATAAAAAATAAATTAAAAAAAGAAATATATTACATTTTAGTATATATTCTTCAAAAATCCTGCAAATTTTTTTTTCTTTTTAAATATACCTTTGGAAATTATTCTCTTCTCACTGTACTTCTGTGCTTATGAACAATAAATGATATTAAGAGCGAGCTCAGTGTCTAACCTGTGGCTTTTGTGTGTGTATGTTCTGTGAGGCAAAGCTGGGGCATATCTACTACTATTATTGATGTTGTTATGGAATGTCATATCTTTTTCACCTCTAAGTAAAGGTTGCGTTTTATCTTTATCTCCTAGAACAGAAATTTTCAGAATGTGGCATAGAGATCCCTGCGGGTGCCAAAGAGCCTTTTAAGAGCTCTGTGAGGTTATAATGCTACGCCAATGCCACTTGCCTTTTTTACTCTCATTCTCCCATGAGTATAAAGTTTTCCAGAGGTCACATGATGTATAATATTGTATCAGTTTGAGTACAGAAACAGATATGAGAATTTTGCTATCTTCTATTGTCAGGCACTAAAGATATTTGGAAAAAATATGAAATGATAGATAACATTTTTCTCACTAAATATTTCAAATATGTAATTTATGTTAATATATGTTACTAATGTTAATATATAATTATTAGGTTAACACATAAGTTATATACTATTGTTGGTTTTATGCTAATATTTAATGAGTTTGTTATTGTTGCTTAAAATGAATGCATAAATAGTTTTAAAAATCTCTTTAAATTTTTAACTTGGCAAATATCCATAGAAATAACCAATGTAATTTTTTAAAGAGTTCTTTAGGATTCTTAATAATTTTTATATAATAATTTTTAAGATCAAAAAGTTTGAGAACAGCTCTTGTGAAAAAAAATAAGCAAGTGAAGCTCATAATCCACACACCTTTGTTGTCCTTCTATCTAAAACCTTAAAACTTAGCCAAATGGCCAAGATATTACTTGTGTTGTATAGATGCCCACTGAGGGTTTGAATAGGTTGAATAAGTAAAATATCATGTACAAGGTACATGTTAGGTATAAAAAAATAGACAATACCTAGAATAAGTCTCATGGTAATTAGTAAAGTTTGTTCAACTGAATCTAAATGAAAAGGGCCAAAAACAATTTCTACTTTGGTTATAATTATGACAGGGATATCTCAACCATTCTTGAATATTTGTACTGATCGTCTGGAGTATTTTCCTTAATTTCTTGGTCTGGACAAACTAGGTAACATAGTTAATGCAGATTTCACTACAATCTAAGGACAGTGATAAAGGCTGAGTTGGCTTATACACCCTCACTCGTCTCTACCTGTCTCCTCCACATCTTGACCTTGCTTACTTTCCAAGCCTTGCCTACCTCTGAGTCTACAAATCTATATTGGATATTCTGAAATATGTAATATTATTCCTTTCTCCAATGAAGCGCAAGTCTGTGCAATAAAATCAACATTCACAAACTCTGTTTATATATTCAAATTAGAGGGAGCTTAATCTAAGGAAATATTATTTCAAAGAGGTTTAGGTTTGTTATTTTTATCAGTAAAACATTGTTGGGTATACAAAATAAAGGAAATAGATTTTAAAGAATCAGCCTTGAAATGATCAAATGAACATGATAAAAAGATAAAAATTATAAAATTCTGGGAAAAGTGTATTGATTTCTCCTACTTGATTATCATACATTGAGAAAACAATTTAAAGGGTTGATAAAATTATATAGTAAAAATGATACTCAAATCAGGAAAGTCAGCAGAGATGATATACTTCTTTTAAATTGTGGACCGAAAAGATTTTTTAAAGCAATTACTTTAAGATAGTAATAATCAATTGGATGTACCTATATGGGGAAAAAATATTTAGGGCATTTGTAAGCTTGGTATAGAAGGAAAATGGTCAGTAATTCACAAAACTATGAACTTAGTGTTACATATTATCACAAGGTTTAATAAAAAGGAAGACACTTTTTTTTTTTACCTCTTTTGATGTGGAAAAAAAAGTAATTCTCCCTGGTACCAGCTCTTCTTTTCAAAAGAAAACAAATCATTCTACCAAAAAGACACATGAACTCACGTGTTCATTGCAGTGCTATTCACAACAGCAAAGACATGGAATCATTTTAGGTGCTCATCAATTCGGGGGAAGGATTGAAAAACTACCTATTTGGGTACTAGGCTCACTACCTGGGTGATGGGATTATTTGTACCCCGATATTTTTTGGCTCTGTGTCCCCACCAAATTCTCATGTTGAATTGTAATTCCCGGTGTTGAGGGTGGGACCTGGTGGGAGGTGATTGGATCATGGGGACAGGTTTCCTCCTGATAGTGAGGGAGTTCTCATGAGATCCGATAGTTTAAAAGTGTACAGCACTTCCTCCTTCACTCTCTCTCTCTCCTGCTCCACCGTGGTAAGATGTGCTTGCTTCCCCTTCATCTTCTACCATGATTGTAAGTTTCCTGAGGCCTCCCAGCCATGCTTCCCGTACAGTCTGTGAAACTGTAAGTCAATTAAACCTCTTTTCTTCATAAATTACCCAGTCTCAGGTAGTTCTTTACAGCAGTGTAAAAATGGACTAATACATACGCCAAACCTTAGCATCACACAATATACCCAGGTAGCAAACCTGGACAAGTACCCCCCGAATCTACAATAAAAACTGATAAATAAATAAAAGTAAATCTCATTTTATTATTATTGATACTGCTGTTGTTCCAAAGACACTTCAAATATAGGGAAATCACTGGGAATAAAATTTATACTTAAAATTTTGGGAAAAGACATTTCAAATAGCTGGAAACTTTACTAGGATGTAAGTAAGTTGTTCTCAAGTTTCCACTAGATTAAATATCATGTAGGAGTAGTTTCCAGAGACTGCCTCTCAGGCATTTTCACTAAATGGGACAAGGGTGGATTTCAGATATTTTATTTAGATGAAAATTAGAGATAGATGGCCCAGAATTTTGCTTTAAGAGAAAACAATGGCAGTTAGATGGCAGGAATTTTCTGAAGGAGAGAGGAAATAGATCTGTAACATTTGAGGGGCCTTTCTAGCAGTACTCACTCTGCCTTCTCTTATCCATTCTGTTATAGACAGACCCTAAGGTACCCCTATGATCTCCCTCTCCTGATGTTCTTGGCTTTGTATAATCTCTTTCTCTTGAATATGAGTGGAACTTGTGACTTGCCTCTGACAAAAAGACTATAGAAAAGGTGATGATATTTCATTTACATGATTATGCTACTTCATATAATACTTCATTTACTTGCTCATTCACTCTACAGACTCTTGGCCTGTTGGGAGGACCATATGTCAACGAGTAAAGTGCCTTTAGGTGATGACTAGAAGAAACCAAGGCTCTTAGTCCATGAGGAAATAAATTCTGCCCACTACCTGAATAATTGTGGAAGCTGAGCCTTCTCTAGTTAGTCCTCCTGATAACAACAACACAGCCCAGTGAATATCTTGACTGCAGCCTTGAGCGACTTCAAACAGAGCACCTATCAAACTTATACTAGCACTCCTGACCAGAGAAACTTTGGGATAATAAATGTGTATTGTTTTGATCCATTTTGTGGTAATTTGCTAGATAACAATAGACTACTAAAACACACCCCAGTCTAGATTTAAGAAATACATCTAGACCGAAACTTGATTGCAATACTCTGAAATATTTCACTTAATTGCACCCACTAAATTCTTATTGTAAAGAAATAACGCTCTGCGTATTTTTTGAGAATTTGTCGAATGACTACTCCATCCTCATGAATAGACAATGAGGCTGGATTGGATTTTAACACTGCATGCATGTTTCCCTAAAGCACTTTGTTATCACATCAAATTTCTATATTTTTGCAACCAGAAGTTTTTGTATCTCCCAGTGCAAAGTACTGCTTGAGGGGTTTGAGATCACATTTAAGCCGAGAGAAAGAGGAGAGAGAATAAAAATAAGGGATGAACTTCGGCTGATGAGATTAACCCAGTGGAAAGTGTATACAATTGTACATAAAACTTATACTGTCTGAATTGAATGACCTGACCTATATGAGTGGGAACAAAGGCTTGTATTCAGTGTGTGTGTGTTGTTGTCATCAAGCCAAAGGGTGAATTTCTTGCCAATTAAGTACTATATTGCAAAGGGAATAATCATATTCAGTATACTGGAAATGAACAACATTGATTAGGAATAGAGATGCTATAGATTTTATTCTTCAATGAAAACAAACTTTGGTATGCACAACTGCTATAAGAATAAATAAGATTGCTCTAACGCTAGTGATAAATATTCATGGAAATAATCTAGACAGATAAGAAAATAACCAGTTTGTGCATGTAAGCTTTTATCCCTTGATTTTAGAAGGGATTATTTTAGTAATGTGTTTAGAATTTTTTTAAAAAATCTTGAAGCAGAGTTGAACAAAGAGAATAAAAAGTTGGTAAGTATTGGAATTGAAGGTTGTGCTGAATCTCCCTTGAGCTCCAAATATAATCCAGACCCTCTCACAATGCAGCCCCTTCCAGGAGGCCTGGTATTCTGTCAACAGCCTTTTTGTTTCAGGTTTTAAGAAATAGAGATTTTTAAAATTATTATTATTTGATCACCCTGTTGGATTTCTTTTTTTTTCCATTTCTTAGCTCTGTACCTAAGGCTTATTAAATTTCACCTACAAGTTCTTCCCATGAGTTCTGAAAGATGAGGCCTGGCAAATGGAAAACATACTCAAGCAACACTTTATGACCAGGAGACACATGGTGCCTTTTGCTTCTGCTCTCATTTTGCCTTTGTTCCCTAATTTCAGACTTCTATAGATGGAATCCTAGTTGTTCTTTTACTAGATATGTAATTGTGTGGAGTTTCTTAACCTCCTTAAGCTATATTTTTCTTCTCTCCAAAATGAGAATTATGGTTCCCACTTCATAGCAATGCTGTAAGAGTTAAGTGAGACATTCCATGCAAAGTACACAGAACTAGCATATTATAGGTGCTCAATAAACATTAGGAGCAATATTGGTTTTCCACCAACTACACCCTTTGCCATCTTTCCTAGGACCAAACCTAATTCTCTGTATTATCTCTTTCTGCCTTGATTTCTTGGCTACAAGTCTGATTGGTAGAATGTCCTTCTCCTCAACATTCTATTATGGTATCTTCCTACATTGTCTGCCCTTCCCTTAATTGCCTAAAATTATGTTGCCATGGGCCTATGATTATGTCTAACTGGGGCCTCTCTGCCATTCTCAGTACATATATTCTAACCCCCCAACTAGCAGACAATGTATTGGATTGGAAGTCATTTTCCATTTTAACACAATCTGTGCCACTAATGAATTCATGTTTTTAGATTAATGATTCTCAATCTTGGTCATGCATTAAAATCACCCACGGAGTCTGGTGAAAATTAAAAACTGAGAGGCTACTAACCCAAAAATTCTGATTAGCAGCTTTGGAATACACTCAGACTTTTGAATTTTGTGTGTGTGTGTGTGTGTGTGTGTGTGTGTGTGTTTAAATACTTATGGGAGATACTGATTCAGAGCCAGGGTTCACAACAACTTTCTCATTCACTTAAAATTCATTCAACAACTTTGAAATTGTAAGGCTGTACACTAAAGGTACAATATCTAACACTCCCTTTATCCTGCCAAGACAGATAAGAGGTTTGGATTATGTCTAAATTTTAGTAAAATATTTGGTATATAGTAGATGTTCAAATAATATTCACTGAAGAAGTATAGTGGCTTTGTTTTTTTTTTTTTTTAATTTTATTATTATTATACTTTAAGTTTTAGGGTACATGTGCACAATGTGCAGGTTTGTTACATATGTATACATGTGCCATGTTGGTGTGCTGCACCCATTAACTCGTCATTTAGCATTAGGTATATCTCCTAATGCTATCCTTCCCCCCTTCCCCCACCCCACAACAGTCTACGGTGTGTGATATTCCCCTTCCTGTGTCCATGTGTTCTCATTGTTCAATTCCCACCTATGAGTGAGAACATGTGATGTTTGGTTTTTTGTCCTTGCGATAGTTTGCTGAGAATGATGGTTTCCAGCTTCATCCATGTCCCTACAAAGGACATGAACTCATCATTTTTTATGGCTGCATAGTATTCCATGGTGCATATGTGCCACATGTTCTTAATCCAGTCTATCATTGCTGGACATTAGGTTGGTTCCAAGTCTTTGCTATTGTGAATAGTGCCGCTATAAACATACGTGTGCATGTGTCTTTATAGCAGAATGATTTATAATCCTTTGGGTATATACCCAGTAATGGGATGGCTGGGTCAAATGGTATTTCTAGTTCTAGATGCCTGAGGAATTGCCACACTGACTTCCCCAATAGTTGAACTAGTTTACACTCCCACCAACAGTGTAAAAGTGTTCCTATTTCTCCACATCCTCTCCAGCACCTGTTGTTTCCTGACTTTTTAATGATCGCCATTCTAACTGGTATGAGATGGTATCTCATTGTGGTTTTGATTTGCATTTCTCTGATGGCCAGTGATGGTGAGCATTTTTTCATGTGTTTTTTGGCTGCATAAATGTCTTCTTTTGAGAAGTGTCTGTTCAAATCCTTCACCCACTTTTTGATGGGGTTGTTTGTTTTTTTCTCGTAAATTTGTTTGAGTTCATTGTAGATTCTGGATATTAGCCCTTTGTCAGATGAGTAGATTGCAAAAATTTTCTCCCATTCTGCAGGTTGCCTGTTCACTCTGATGGTAGTTTCTTTTGCTGTGCAGAAGCTCTTTAGTTTAATTAGATCCCATTTGTCAATTTTGGATTTGTTGCCATTGCTTTTGGTGTTTTAGACATGAAGTCCTTGCCCATGCCTATGTCCTGAATGGTATTGCCTAGGTTTTCTTCTAGGGTTTTTATGGTTTTAGGTCTAACATTTAAGTCTCCAATCCATCTTGAATTAATTTTTTATAAGGTGTAAGGAAGGGATCCAGTTTCAGCTTTCTACATATGGCTAGCCAGTTTTCCCAGCACCATTTATTAAATAGGGAATCCTTTCCCCATTGCTTGTGTTTCTCAGGTTTGTCAAAGATCAGATAGTTGTAGATATGCAGCATTATTTCTGAGGGCTCTGTTCTGTTCCATTGGTCTATATCTCTGTTTTGGTACCAGTACCATGCTGTTTTGGTTACTGTAGCCTTGTAGTATAGTTTGAAGTCAGGTAGCATGATGCCTCCAGCTTTGTTCTTTTGGCTTAGGATTGACTTGGCAATGTGGGCTCTTTTTTGGTTCCATATGAACTTTAAAGTAGTTTTTTCCAATTCTGTGAAGAAAGTCATTGGTAGCTTGATAGGAATGGCATTGAATCTATAAATTACCTTGGGCAGTATGGCCATTTTCACGATATTGATTCTTCCTACCCATGAGCATGGAATGTTCTTCCATTTGTTTGTATCCTCTTTTATTTCCTTGAGCAGTGGTTTGTAGTTCTCCTTGAAGAGGTCCTTCATATCCCTTGTAAGTTGGATTCCTAGGTATTTTATTCTCTTTGAAGCAATTGTGAATGGGAGTTCACTCATGATTTGGCTCTCTGTTTGTTTGTTATTGGTGTATAAGAATGCTTGTGATTTTGCACATTGATTTTGTATCCTGAGACTTTGCTGAAGTTGCTTATCAGCTTAAGGAGATTTGGGGCTGAGACGATGGGGTTTTCTATATGTACAATCATGTCATCTGCAAACAGGGACAATTTGATTCCTCTTTTCCTAATGGAATGCCCTTTATTTCCTTCTCCTGCCAGATTGCCCTGGCCAAAACTTCCAACATTATGTTGAATAGGAGTGGTGAGAGAGGGCATCCCTGTCTTGTGCCAGTTTTCAAAGTGAATGCTTCCAGTTTTTGTCCATTCAGTATGATATTGGCTGTGGGTTTGTCATAGGTAGCTCTTATTATTTTGAGATACGTCCCATCAATACCTAATTTATTGAGAGTTTTTAGCATGAAGCATTGTTAAATTTTGTCAAAGGTCTTTTTTGCATCTATTGAGATAATCATGTGGTTTTTGTCTTTGGTTCTGTTTGTATGCTGGATTACATTTTTTGATTTTCATATGTTGAACCAGCCTTGCATCCCAGGGATGAAGCCCACTTGATCATGGTGGATAAGTTTTTTGATGTGTTGCTGGATTCGTTTTGCCAGTATTTTACTGAGGATTTTTGCATCAATGCTCATCAAGGATATTGATCTAAAATTCTCTTTTTTGGTTGTGTCTCTGCCAGGCTTTGGTATCAGGATGATGCTGGCCTCCTAAAATGAGTTAGGGAGGATTCCCTCTTTTTCTATTGATTGGAATAGTTTCAGAAGGAATGGTACCAGCTCCTCCTTGTACCTCTGGTAGAATTCGGCTGTGAATCCATCTGGTTCTGGACTTTTTTTGGTTGGTAAGCTACTAATTATTGCCTCAATTTCAGAGCCTGTTATTGGTCCATTCAGATATTCAACTTCTTCCTGGTTTAGTCTTGGGAGGGTGTATGTGTCGAGGAATTTATCCATTTCTTCTAGATTTTCTAGTTTATTTGCGTAGAGGTGTTTATAGTATTCTCGGATGGTAGTTTGTATTTCTGTGGGATCGGTGGTGATATCCCCTTTATCATTTTTTCTTATCTATTTGATTCTTCTCTCTTTTCTTCTTTATTAGTCTTGCTAGCCGTCCATCAATTTTGTTGAGCTTTTCAAAAAACCAGCTCCTGGATTCATTGATTTTTTGAATGGTTTTTTTGTGTCTCTATTGCCTTCAGTTCTGCTCTGATCTTAGTTATTTCTTGCCTTCTGTTAGCTTTTGAATGTGTTTGCTCTTGCTTCTCTAGTTCTTTTAATTGTGATGTTAGGGTGTCAATTTTGGATCTTGCCTGCTTTCTCTTGTGGGCATTTAGTGCTATAAATTTCCCTCTACACACTGCTTTGAATGCGTCCCAGAGATTCTGGTATGTTGTGTCTTTGTTCTCGTTGGTATCAAAGAACATCTTTATTTCTGCCTTCATTTCGTCATGTATCCAGTAGTCATTCAGGAGCAGGTTGTTCAGTTTCCATGTAGTTGAATGGTTTTGAGTGAGTTTCTTAATCCTCAGTTCTAGTTTGATTGCACTGTGGTCTGAGAGACAGTTTGTTATAATTTCTGTTCTTTTACATTTGCTGAGGAGTGCTTTTCTTCCAACTATGTGGTCAATTTTGGAATAGGTGTGGTGTGGTGCTGAAAAGAATGTATATTCTGTTGATTTGGGGTGGAGAGTTCTGTAGATGTCTATCAGGTCTGCTTGGTGCAGAGCTGAGTTCAATTCCTGGATATCCTTGTTAACTTTCTGTCTCATTGATCTGTCTAATGTTGACAGTGGGGTGTTGAAATCACCCATTATTATTGTGTGGGAGTCTAAGTCTCTTTGTAGGTCACTAAGGACTTGCTTTATGAATCCGGGTGCTCCTGTATTGGGTGCATATATATTTAGGATAGTTAGTTCTTCTTGTTGAATTGATCCCTTTAACATTATGTAATGGCCTTCTTTGTCTCTTTTGATCTTTGTTGGTTTAAAGTCTGTTTTATCAGACACTAGGATTGCAACCCCTGCCTTTTTTTGTTTTCCATTTGCTTCGTAGATCTTCCTCCATCCCAGTATTTTGAGCCTATATGTGTCTCTGCCCATGAGATGGGTTTCCTGAATACAGCACACTGACGGGTCTTGACTCTTCATCCAATTTGCCAGTCTGTGTCTTTTAATTGGAGCATTTAGTCCATTTACATTTAAGGTTAGTATTGTTATGTGTGACTTTGATCCTGTCATTATGATGTTAGCTGGTGATTTCGCTCTTTAGTTGATGCAGTTTCTTCCTAGCCTTGATGGTCTTTACAATTTGGCATGTTTTTGCAGTGGCTGGTACTGGTTGTTGCTTTCCATGTTTAGTGCTTCCTTCAGGAGCTCTTTTAGGGCAGGCCTGGTGGTGACAAAATCTCTCAGCATTTGCTTGTCTGTAAAGTATTTTATTTCTCCTTCACTTATGACGCTTAGTTTGACTGGATATGAAATTCTGGATTGAAAATTCTTTTCTTTAAGAATGTTGAATATTGGCCCCACTCTCTTCTGTCTTATCGAGTTTCTGCTGAGAGATCAGCTGTTAGTCTGATGGGCTTCCCTTTGTGGGTAACCCGACCTTTCTCTCTGGCTGCCCTTAACATTTTTTCCTTCATTTCAACTTTGGTGAATGTGACAATTATGTGTCTTGAGTTGCTCTTCTCGAGGAGTATCTTTGTGGCATTCTCTGTATTTCCTGAATTTGAATGTTGGCCTGCCTTGCTAGCTTGGGGAAGTTCTCCTGGCTAATATCCTGCAGAGTGTTTTCCAACTTGGTTCCATTCTCCCCATCACTTTCGGGTACACCAATCAGATGTAGATTTGGTCTTTTCACATAATCCCATATTTCTTGGAGGCTTTGTTCATTACTTTTTACTCTTTTTTCTCTAAACTTCTCTTCTCGCTTCATTTCATTCATTTCGTCTTCCATTGCTGATCCCCTTTCTCCCAGTTGATCGCATCGGCTACTCAGGCTTGTGCATTCATCACGTAGTTCTCGTGCCATGGTTTTCAGCTCCATGAGGTCCTTTAAGGACTTCTCTGCATTTGTAATTCTAGTTAGCCATTCATCTAATTATTTTTCAAGGTTTTTAACTTCTTTGCCATGGGTTCTAACTTCCTCCTTTAGCTCGGAGTAGTTTGATCTTCTGAAGTCTTCTTCTCTCAACTCGTCAAAGTCATTCTCTGTCCAGCTTTGTCCTATTGCTGGTGAGGAGCTGCGTACCTTTGGAGGAGGAGAGGCTCTCTGCTTTTTAGAGTTTCCGGTTTTTCTGTTCTGTTTTTTCCCCATCTTTGTGGTTTTATCTACCTTTGGTCTTTGATCATGGTGACGTACAGAAGGGTTTTTGGTGTGGATGTCCTTTCTGTTTGTTAGTTTTCCTTCTAATAGTCAGGACCCTCAGCTGCAGGTCTGTTGGAGTTTGCTGGAGGTCCACTCCAGACCCTGTTTGCCTGGGTATCAGCAGCAGTGGCTGCAGAACAGTGGATATTGGTGAACCGCAAATGCTGCTGCCTGATCGTTCCTCTGTAAGTTTTGTGTCAGAGGAGTACCCGGCTGTGTGAGGTGTCAGTCTGCCCCTACTGGGGGTGCCTCCCAGTAGGCTACTCGGGGTCAGGGACCCACTTGAGGAGGCAGTTATCCCGTTCTCAGATCTCAAGCTGCGTGCTGGGAGAACCACTACTCTCTTCAAAGCTATCAGACAGGGACATTTAAGTCTGCAGAGGTTACTGCTGCCTTTCGTTTGTCTGTGCCCTGCCCCCAGAGGTGGAGCCTACAGAGGCAGGCAGGCCTCCTTGAGCTGTGGTGGGCTCCACCCAGTTCCAGCTTCCTGGATGCTTTCTTTGCCTACTCAAGCCTCGGCAATTGCGGGCACCCCTTCCCCAGCCTCGCTGCCACCTTGCAGTTTGATCTCAGACTGCTGTGCTAGCAATCAGTGAGGCTCCGTGGGCGTAGGACCCTCTGAGCCATGTGCGGGATATAATCTGCTGGTGTGCTGTTTGTTAAGCTCATTGGAAAAGCGCAGTATTAGGGTGGGAGTGACCCAATTTTCCAGGTGCCGTCTGTCACCCCTTTCTTTGACTAGGAAAGGGAATTCCCTGACCCCTTGAGCTTCCCGGGTGAGGTGATACCTTGCCCTGCTTCGGCTCACGCACGGTGTGCTGCACCCACTGTCCTGCACCCACTGTCCAGCTCTCCCCAGTGAGATGAACCTGGTACCTCAGTTGGAAATGCAGAAATCACCCATCTTCTGTGTCGCTCACGCTGGGAGCTGTAGACTGGAGCTGTTCCTATTCAGCCATCTTGGCTCCACCCTCCAGTTTTTCTTATTTATAAAATAATTTTAGATTACTATGTCTCAAATACAACCTCCAGGCATACTAAGAAATAAGATTGGAGAGGTCTGAAATAACTTGTCTTTTTATTTCTTATTATTTATTTATTAGAGACAGTGTCTCACTTTGTCACCTAGTCTGGAGTGCAGTGGTGCAATCACAGCTTACTGCAACCTTGACATCCAAGTCTCAGGTGATCCTCCTGGCTCAGCCTCCTGAGTAGCTGGGACTGCAGGTGCGGCACCATACCTGGCTAATTTTTGTATTTTTCGTAAAGACATCTTGCCCAGGCTGCTCTCAAACTCCTTGGCTCAAGTGATCCTCCCACCTCAGCTTCCCAAAGTGCTGCGATTACAGGCGTAAACCACCATGTCTATACTCAAGTTATATTAGAAGAGTTAAGATAGGAGAGTTCTAAAATGAAAAAAACAAAACATAACAATAACAAAATAAAACTGAAAAAACGCGAATAGCAATTCTTATTTTAGAGAGCACTGTATATGTTAGCCTACTAAAGGATCTGAGAAACTCTGAATTAAGTAAATGTGTTTGGTATTTCTTAAAGTCCCTGAATTCAGAATACTTTTTTTCAACATCTAATGGGATGTTGTTTTATGGATTATCTGTTTAAAAAATAATGATTTAAGCTATGGTTATGGTCTCCCGCAGCTTTATATGTCTCGACTTCAAGTCTATAGGAAAGATCATCGTACTGGAGAAGTCAACCGTCAGAATGCCTGGCTCTCCCATAGCCCTATCTGGAGAGAACTGACCTGACCAACTGGGTGTATAATGATTAAGCAGATATTTTACATAGCCCATTACCATAATTTTCTGTGCTAACTGATTAGACAAGAATAGGCATACGACTCAAGGGCTTCCCTGTCTTAACCTAATAGTAGCCAATGAGTTTGACTCTCTAAGCAATTTGAATGAAGACATATTGGGCAAATAAGATATTTACAGCTGAAACTTAGAGATCATTATATAAGACTGGGTTCACAAACTGGTGCAAAGCATGTAAATTTTTGTTTTTAAAAATTGTATTTGACTATCTGTTCGTGTAGCATGCATGGTCCAAATCACTAAGACCTTCCACTCCCTGATGCTTGTATCCTCTGCCTTATTCCTTTATATTAGCCATCAGACTCCTAAGTGCATCTGTGTTTGCCTCCCTTGAATGGGAGCACAACTGAAGTGGCTGAAGTAGAATTCATAGCCCTTAGAAATAATGGAAGAATAAGTGAAACATTGGTAATTCAGGTGGCATTGTGGACATGTACCTAACTCCAGGAAAAAAACAATCAGTTTCTATGAAAAGAAACTAAAATGCAATGAGCTCAACCTTGTATGAATAATATGTTGACCATTTCGCTCTGTAGCCAATTGGTAAGATAAAGAGCAGTTATATCTACTTTATCAGACAATAAAAATCACTGCAGGTGGTGAAGTGCATGTGGGGATGTTCCTACTACTGGTTTGTCTGCATACTTTTCCAGGGACATGCTGATTCCTGTGCGGAGCCCAGGCGGGAGATTTGCCGTTGAGCATCTCTGAGGACAGAAGTCCCTGAGAAAGAGAATACTCGTTAGGCACTGCCACTTGTCTATTTACAACACTGATTCTTCCTGCAGCTTCTTGGGTTTTAAATTAGCATAAGCTGCATAGAAACCACCAGCCCATCATTTTTATGTTTTTACCTTGGCAGTAACAGCCTGCAGTCCATAGCCTGGCAAAAGGAGCTGAACTCCACAAAGTACAAGTATCCATTTTCTTTAAATTACTCATTTAACTTGACCACACACGTTTTGGGTAGCAATTGTTGCATTTTCTTTTTTTTCCTATAATACTTAAAGCTTCTCACTGCCCTGTGGGCAGTGAGTTTCGTTTTCTTTTTTGGCAAAGGAACAGTGGTTATAATTTCAAATGAAATTATTCAGTCTCATTTTGTTGACTCTTAACGGAATCCTTTTAGACATAAATGCCATTGAATTATACTTCCTCTTCATCAACCACAGGTTACTCAGTCCTAAAAAGGCTTTTTCAAATGCTGCTACTTCCAGGGGCAGCTGTTTTCTCTATTTTGGCTTATTCTAAGTATGAAAAAAAAATGTATTACACAAGGTACTCATTTCAGAAATGCAAGAAAACAAATGCTTCTTATACCTTTATTTTTAAGCATTATTGTTTATGAACCAGTGAGGAATAACTGACAAGCAGAGCTTCTGAATGCAAAGAGAGGAAACTGGACATATTTCACATAGACTGCTGAAGTTTTTACAGCTGTAGAGAGAACTTTGGCCAGAGACAAAATCCAAAAAAGTAAATCCTTTCCCACTCTTACTTATAAAATTGCTCCTGTATTCTTTATTTCACAGATTATCATCAAGGTTGTTTTACATGATAAAAATTAGTACAAATATATGTAATTCTCCCTTCAATATTACTAGATAAATTGGAGTGCTTTAAACTGTGCCCATGTACTGTAACACATGTCACTAGATACTATTTAAATATTTCAAAACTGTTGAAGAGGAAATTTTACCTATTACTCTACTATAGGAAAAATATAGAAGGGAGAGATTTAATTTAACCTCTAAGAGGCGGGGCGTGGTGGCTCATGCCTATAATCCCAGCACTTTGGGAGGCCAAGGCGGGCGGATCACGAGGTCAGGAGTTCGAGACCAGCCTGGCCAACATGAAACCCTGTCTGTACATGAAACCCTGTCTGTACTAAAAATACAAAAATCAGCCAAAAATAAATGCAACACTAGACAACCATACACCATGGTTTTGTCCTCTCTTAAATGAAGGTGTGTGTATCTAGATTGATTTCCCATCAGTCAATTTTAAATCTGATATTCCTGTCAATCTAGCGCAGACATTGAGACTCTCAGTTTATTAGTTGGAGAGGCTTGGTTTCAAATAATGACTTTGTAACTTTCTAGTTTTCTGACTTTTGGCAAGTTACTTATCTTTCTGTTCCCCATATCTGCATGGGCAAAGAGAGTTAAAATATCTACTTGACAGAGTGTCTTTGGGTGTGAAATGGGTGGGCATGCGTGTGACATTGATAAAATATCACATGTTACTTGGACTTTTCCCAGGTGAAAGGGTGTGAATTGGGTGGGAGTGAAAAGAGCATGGCACTGAGCCAGGTCCTGCACTGCAGCTTATTCTTGGCTTCATTAAAGCAACAGAAAATAGAAATAGTTGTTTTAAAATATTAGAGAACAGTAATTTAGAAATATTTTATTTGAATTTAGCCAAATTCTTTAACTAGAATTTCGCCTACTTAAAGAAAATATTAGTGTGCTACTCATTCAAGGAATATTTATGGTAGCCTCTATATGCCAGCCTGTCTTGGGATATATCAGAAAGCAAAAGAGACACAATGTTCTGCCCTTGTGGCATTCATAGTCAAGTTTACAAACTTTTAATAGCAATCCTTTACATTTTGAATACATTTTTCCTTTTATTAAGCCTAAGAAGCGACACTTTAAATTACATTAAATTGCTTTAAAATCATAAGAAGACAAGTCTAAAATCTTAGGAATTTAGAACTTTTCTTTAATTTCAGATTTGGGAATACAAATTTATCTTATTCACACATTTCATAACTTTCTGCTCTTACTATTTTTTTTTCTCTTTGCCATGTAATGCTGAGGCATTTGAATGTCCCCCTCAGTTCTCAGAAAACCGTGGAGCAGGAGTTCTCAAATGTAGGAGTCAGGATTCGGAAGCTGGACATGCATGCTGAGGGTCGGTTTCCAGGGGACCTGGGGCTGATTCCAGCCCACTTGTTTTGTGCTGCCGCCAAATAGGCATGATGTGCATGGCCTCTCAAGCAAAATACTTTATAACTATGTGGACCAAGACCTACTGCATAGTTTTCATGATGTAACTAAACTACTTAATCTTTTCTAACAGCACACACAGAAAAAGCTTTTAAAAATTTCCTTCTCTTCTTTTTTTTTTTTTTTTTTTTTTTTTTTTTTTTTTGCCTAGATCAGATCTTACGGTTTATTCAAGGCACTTGTATTATACGGCAATTCAATTTATCCATTAACATTTGTTTATTTAGTAGTATTTGCAGTCTTGTCAAAGGTGTTTGGAATGCCTTCCAGGTTTTCTATTCCCTTCCTCCTATCTGCTTGTTTATTCATTCCACAAACTTGACTGTTTTCTATAAGGGGAATTCTTGCCAAGAAGGAATGTTGCAATGTGTTCTCTGTGTTCAAATATTTATATCCTCTTTGTTTATTTTAAATGACATTGAATTTACTTAATTAAAATACATAACAATTTTAAAATTGAAAGCAAGCATTCAAGACAAATTCCTTTCCAGTTGGGTTCTGAACTCCCAAGTGTAGTTTTAAAACACATTGCAATGTGTATGATTTTGTAGTAATATATGAGATAAATACATATGTTTTGTAGTTTCAGTGACAATACTTGAGAATCTGACCCATAGGAAATATCCATCACTTCAAGATACCAGCTTTGTTCATGGAATAAGAAAAATGTACAGGGAGATATTTAAGGGTGGTAGAGCACATTTGGGGGAAAAAAGGATTGATATAGTTTAAAGGGAATTATTGCATTATTATATGGCATAGGCCATATTGCATATCATCATATACCTCTTGAGAAGGCAGCATTTGAACACACAAAGGTAAGAGGGCAAGACTGAATAAATGCAATGAAACTGGAAACATATTTTGGAGTAGGGATTTCTTTTTAATCTTTCTTTTTAAAAATCTTAATTTGGTAATTAGACATTGATGAAATATTTCATGTTACTTGGACTTTTCCCAGGTGAAAAGATAGATTTAGTTTCAACATGAAACTACTGGTTGCTAAAGTTAAAAAAGTAAATATTGTCAAAATCTTCTGTTTTATTGGTCCTGACATTTTTATTGAGGTTTGGGTTGCTTTTTGGAGTAGCAAGAATTTTGGATATTAAATATTAGCTAATATTTTAGGAAAATTGCTTAGGTCTGTGGTTGGGGTTGGGACAAACAGGTGTCACAATCTTGATGCCCTTATGAATATGATGTATTTTGTCTAAGATGTTTTATCCCCATACACATCTAGCAAAAATGACACTTTAAGAAAGAGATAAAAAATTCATTCTCTATGAAGTGTCTTTCTGAAAGTTGAAAGAGCGTGTGCAACTCCCTTCATTGTGTCTGCACTTAACTAGTTTTGTGATAATGATTATCATGCAGTTTAATGTTATGTCTATGTGGTTCTATCCCTTACTAGGTTTGAAATCCTTGAAAGCACACACAATAAGTATCTCTTTGATCCCTACTCTGTAGAAAACCACATGAAGTAGACACTCAAAACTGTTAGTTGGATCAATGGAATTCCTACTGATTGACTTCAAAATTAATATTGTATTTTGAAAGTTAAAATCAAGTTTAACAACTTTTAGGGAGAAAAAAATCACTTCTTTGATAAATCAATTAATTGTAATTGGCATGACAGTTATTAGAGATAATTAAATACTTGAATTAAACAGTATTTCTTGTAAGCATTTTGTGATGTTATATTTTATAAATACTTTCAGAAAATATAAAGATAAATATAATTTAAATATGTATTACTATATATGTATAATAATTTATATATGTACATATATACAATATTTAATTTATACATATATATGATGGATTTGTAGAAGAGAGAGCTATGCATATACTACCTGTCAATATGTAGATATGCTTTGCTAGTGGCTAGAGTGATGTATATCTTCAGATGTTTTCTAATGCCAGTAACTTAAAATGTGACATAAAAGTTGCTAAAACAGTAAGGAAGTATATTATTTTTCATAATAGAAAGTTGAGAAGTGGTCACGCTTCAAACCTAGAACAATCAGGGCTCTAATTTGATTTTTGCTGCTATTTTTGCAACTTTATCATTCTCTTTGTTTTGGCCTCTTCTCAAGCTCTCCACCCTCAAGTTCCTAAGAAGGTTCTAATAGTAGTTTGATAGTAGAAGAGGCTACATGCCTCCTTTATGTGCAAGGAGAAGAAAAACCTGTCCCCTGTTCCTGATGTAAAAATTGTTCCTTTTATTCTGCTTGACTAGGTTAGGTCCTCTCCATTAGACTTTAACAATAAAAGTTTTTAGAAAAATGCCACACACTTACTGGTTTAATTCTGAATTCCTGAACCAATCAGTAGTAGCATAGATTGTGGGTTTATCGTGATTGCTTCTCCTATTTTGATTCATAACCCAGTAGACAGGGTTGCTGTCAGCTTTCCTGAGTTTCATAGTTATACGAAAAAAGGATGGGCTCCTAAACAAAATCTTCTGTGATCAGAGAATGAGAATGTTGGGTAGAAAATTTATAATGTTCACTATAAACAGCATTTGAATTTTTAAACTACATAATAATATTAGTAGATTTGTGAAACACATCAGTATAAGGTAGAAAACTCATTTTTTATAATTCTAAAGGAAATGGTGAACCAAAAACAAATAGACTATGAGATTATTTCTCCGTGCTTGATTCATCAGATATGGTACCTGCTACAGGTAACATAAAGATCAGTGAGTGCTGTGTTTGCACAGACCCTTGCAGTAGTTTCCCATCACATTGAATTAAAACCACTTTACAACAACCTGCCAGTCCCTCATTAGTTGTCTTCCATTCATTCTCTGACCTCATCTATTGCTGTTCTTCTCCATGTTGACTCAAGTCACATTGACTTCCTCCTTATTCTTCAAAACTGTCCAAAATACTCTGTCTCTGAGCACTCATTCTTGCTGTCCTCCTGCCTAGAATTCATTTCTCCCAGATATCGCAGAAGGAGGTGGGTTTGTTCTCCTACCTCCTTCAAATTTGTACTGTATGTCACCTCAGGGATATCTTTCTCATCTAAATTTTAAAACCTTCAGTACATGGCAGGTCTAGCCCCTTTCCTTGATTTAGATCCCTTCTTAGAAATTATCATTACCTAATGTACTCAATTTTTACCCGTTTATTTTTCTTATCTGTTTCTCTGCTAGAAAATCAGTCACATGAAGGAATGTTTTTTGTCATGCAGTTTACTTCTGTATCCCAAAGATATAGAAAGTGGATGAAAACTCCTTAATCTCAATATTCTGAATACCATGATATAACCTTCGGTCAGTTCCATTTCCTTCTCATCCATCTAAAATTCTTATAGTATCCATTGCAGCATCTATGAGACCAGGCCAGATATTACTTGGGCCTTAGCCAACTGTGGCAGAAAAAAATAAACAAACAACCTCTTATCAACATTGAGATATTTAAAGCCTTTTCCTGATAAACATACCTTAAAACTTGGTAAAATTTTAACATTAAATAAAAGGAAATACCTCCTTTTAATCTTCTTTCGATGTATTGTCATCTTTGTTCTCTCCTCTTTCTTGAACCTTAGTTGGATTCTGCTGGATTCTATTGGGCTGCCTTCTATTCTCCTTCTTTTGGATTTTCTTCGTCTATTAAATTTTCTCCCACTAAATTGAGAGCTCTGGAACATTCTTTCCATTGAAAAATAGGCTCTTGGAAAACTGTAAGACTCCAAAACTCCCATGAATGAAAAGATAGGTAGTGATAGTTCAGTGTTTGTAACATTAACTTAGACAAACATTATTCCCTGAAAATCTTTTAAACATTGTTGTTCACAGTCACTATTATAAATGGTCACTATTTTGCTCAACCACTTTACATTTAACCTCTATTTTATTTTCTATTACTGTATAATCTGTACTGTTACTTCAGAGAGAACATTGCAGCAAGCTACTAAGCATTAACTTTCCCAACCACATACCAATTTCCCTACAACTTACCCATATCTATAGGCATTTTTAAAATAATTTAATTATAATATAATATATATACAGTGAGGTACACAAATCATAAGTATACAGCTCAATGAATATTTGTAAAATGAACATACCTAGTTAATAACCACTCATAGTAAGAACTAGAGTCTAACTAGCATCCTATCAGTACCTCTCATGCCCCCTTTTCCAATTAAACTGTATCTTATGGTAATCACCATTCTGACTTCAGAATCATTTGCCCATTATAGTACATACATTTTTCTATGTCTTCTTTTGCCTGAAATTACAGTTGTAATATTAATTCTTATTTGTGGGTGTACAATAGTTTTAAGCATTTTTATTGCTATATAGTGTTCCATTGCATAAATATTCAGTGCTTGTCTATCCCTTGACTGTTGCTGACCATTAGTTAGTTTTTAGACTGAGAAAATAAAATAGTGCTCTGAGAAATGTTCCTTTATATGGCTTTTAGCGGATGTATGTACACATTTAATTATAGATATACACTTAGCAATGGAATTAATTTTGGGATCCTAGGATATTCCTATGTTCAGGGATATTAGATAATAACAAAGAGTTCTCCAAAGTAACTCTACAAATTTAAACTCTCACCAAAAGTGCATTGGAGAGTACCAGTTTCTTCATACACTTACTAAAATTTGATGTTATCTATGTTTTTACATTTAGCTATTCTGATGAATATAAAGGGCACCTAATTTTGGTTTTAATTTACATTCCTCTGATTTGTCAGAGTTCTGATAAGAGTCTTTGTAGGATACATAGCAAACAGTTTCTTTCTGTAGTTTGTCTTTTCACTTTATTTTTATAGCATTTTAATGAGCATAAGTTGTTAATTGCAATGTAGTCAAATCTATTCACTTTTTAGGTTTATGATTTGTGCTTCTTGTGCACTCTGTAAAGGTACTGTTACCTATTCAAGGTCATATACTATACTGGATTTCAATACTCAGTAGATGGAGAATTGAAGAGAGTGGTGATACATGTACATATAGGTTATTAGAAAACATCTGGAATGAAGTCTGTAGGAAAATAATAATAAAGACTGTAAAAGACAGTGTAGGAGATATAGGGTCCAAGAACCAGGAAGCGAACATACACGGACTATTCAAATTCTTATTCTACTCCCCCACTGGAAAAAAGACAGAGAAACTGAATAGATAGAGAAAATATAAAACAAGTAATGAGATGGTAGATCTAAGTCCTAATTTTTTAGTATTTATTTCATAGATAAACTGGGTAATCCTGGAATAAAAATAAATCAGTATGAAAAATAGACAACTTATTAGACAAGAGGGCAAAAGACTTGAACAGGAATTTCAAATGACCAAAAAGCATATGAAAAGATTCTCAGTCTATTTAGTCATAAGAGGAATGCAAATAAAAATGAATACGAGTTACCATTACATATTTATCAGATTGCTAAAGTTAAAAAGATTGACAGTATCAAGTGTTGGTGAGAATGTGGAGCAACTGAGATTGTCATCTCAACTTATTTGGTCACTTTTGAGGAGGAGGAAAGGAGTAGTGATGGGAAGAAATTATGAAAACCTCTACAGTTCTGGTAATATTCATCTCCCAGACCTAGGTGGTAATTACTTCCATGCATGTACCAATGAAAATGCATTAATTTGTATGCTTATGATATTTGTACTTTTTTGTCTGTATGCTATACTTTCAGAAAATGTTCAGCAGAAATGATAAATTGTTTTAACTGATAAGCTTAATATTATCACCAAGGAAATACAGTGAAATTGCAATTTAGAGATTTATCAGCACACAAGCTATTACGAGTTTAAGATTCAGATAGAAAATTTTTGTTCTATCAAATATTTCTGAGCAGGGTAAAATTGCAGTAAACCAGTAAATAAAATATGAATGTATAGAAAAAGACCCAAGGAGTTTACAAGATTATTTAATATAGTAGGTAGTTTATTGAATTTCATTTGTACATGTCAGGGAGTTAAATGCCAGAAATTTTCATCATGTAACACTACAAAAAGTTCTGTGACCTTGAAGTTCAAGATCAATTCTGGTCTCTCAAAATTTTACCAAGTCTTCCCAATGTTCGAGGAAATGCAATTCATGTACAATCTTTTGTATTACATTTGCAACAATACTTCCCTATGGACATAATGCCTTTCCCTTTTCTCCTCATACAAATATTAGCTTAGTAGTTATTTCATTAGGATGACCTCTCCCTGACTTTGAAGCAATTGTATCATGTGCTTCTTACCTTTGTATTTATTCCTGTAACCAATTGTTACAGAAGTTTGCCAACACATTTTATGAGTTTACTATTTTCCCAAAGCTTTGAAGTCTTCGAGGACAGGTATTGTATCAAACATGAATACCTCTTTTTAAGCTCTGCATAGCACATTCCCCAAATATATCTGAGTAAAGGAATACAGTAATTAATGTGGTGTTTGTCTCTGGCCAATAGTTGAGATAGTGGAGTTTTTAAATTGTGAAATTAATTTTAGAAAACATCTTTTTAAGACTATACTCACAAATAGTGATCTTGAGGTAATCGTTTTTACTGGAAGTGAAATTTTAAAGTGTTCTGCT
Source organism: Homo sapiens (assembly GCF_000001405.40). Taxonomy (NCBI): domain Eukaryota; kingdom Metazoa; phylum Chordata; class Mammalia; order Primates; family Hominidae; genus Homo; species Homo sapiens. The sequence goes on along the minus strand of NC_000007.14, from coordinate 10,259,789 downwards.
GTCCATCTTTAATGTTATTATCTCTGACATCAACTTTAGTAGAGTTTTGCCTTTCTTTTTTGTATATCTAAATTTATCACTTAAATTTAATTATTGCTTTCATAGTAAATAGTTTTGATGTAGATGTCCAGATTTGTCCAATCAGATTTTACCCTCCTAGAGCCATCGGAATAGAAAAGCACAAACCATCTTCATTTTAATAGAATTGTCAAGGTCTCAAACCATGTTTGGATTGTAAATATTTTTTAGTCACTCTGCAACACTTTTTTCCTTCCTGCTTATGATACTTACAACATACTTAGTTTTCCCTAGATAATAATTTCTCATCATTTTATTGTTTAGTAAGTGCATACTAGCACTTTTTGTATACCTGAAGGTTAGCTCTCCGAAATTACCAGTGACTGTTTTGATATTATGTATCATATCCTGAGTCTAAAATATTTAGCATCTACTTCTGTTTAAAAAGGGCCAGTGGGCCTCATATTAAGTACATACTGTCTCTCTACATTCCTCTTACAAATGAAAATATATATACACATACATCTATATTTCTTTCTCCATATCAAGCAATCTGTCTATCTATATTTTTTTTCCAAAGAAGAAGCAAAGCTATCACAAAAACTAAATTTTCCCAAATGTACCATTAAAATTGAAGAGGCCAATCTTGAATATGTACTGAAGGAAATCTCAGAAGTATGAATGATTGCTGTTTGGGGGAGTGTATTCCTCTGATGCAGGAATAATCTACCAAGCTGCCTTCTCACTCTGATCGTTTTTTTGGATTTTATTTCTTCTATAAATGAGGTAATGAGATCTAGAGACTGAAGGGTAGAAATTTAATTGACAATGCAATAAACAGCCATCTAAAGTAAGCTTTTACAAAATGATGCCACCACACATTGGAAATTTCAACTAAATTCAGAATAAATATAAACGGTTACCTTTTTGCAATAGTTTATGAAGTTTAGTACCCTTTGAGAATCCCTTTCAATCAGTATTAAGCAGAAGATTCTTTTAAAAGAAGTGAAGATTAGCAATTATGTTTTGTGATTTCCCAGTACTGCTTTAACATTTCTCCTGTGGGTTAGATGATGTATCTGCACACTTCAGGGCAAATTCAAAAAATGTAATACAAATTGGTTATGTTTTATTAGGCTGGAGGAGAGCAGATATTTTTATAGGCAAAAATATTTTTTCATTTAGCACTAGCACTATTTTGCACTAGAATATACTGCCATTTTTGTGATAGTGCAACTCTAATTCAGGTAATATATTTGGTTATAGTTTATTTCTAGCTGTTGATAACTTTCTCAAAGTGACATTAAAAAATGATGAGAATTTTATATTAGTATGGTTCAACTGTGTAACAACAAAGGGTGCTGTCATGAAAATTCTGCCCAATTAAAAAAGTACCATGTTCCCATATGTAGTATAATATTCCTTAAAATAAAAGTATACCTTATAAAACATTTTTCAGTTCCTTGGAATTAATTTTTAATAAGGAATTTGAACAGTAAAATTAATTTTACTGGGAAAGAAAACAAATGTGCTCATTTGTATTGTTTTTATTTTTAGCTTGATGTAATTTTAGCATTATTTCTCCTGGTGTTAGTATTTCACTAGACTTTTCAAATACATAATATATATATCAAATATATATTCATGTACAAAGACATTTATTAAATAATATATGTTAATATATTTGTATATTTATTATATTGTATCACCTATGTTAATGATATTAAAGTTTACTGTGGCTTTTAAAATAATCTGTTTTGTTATTTAAATATAATTTTACTTCGGGAGGCAAGATACTATGTAGAAGCATGACTACATTTTATTTGTAATTATTTAATCACATGTAACATTCATACTTTATTCTTTTGGAGTATAGTTTGTTTTTTTTTTTGTATCCCACTTTACTTCAATTTTCAGAGTTTATTTCAGAATATTTTTCATCTTTAGAGCCAGATGGCACCTTGGCACCTTACTCTTTGGCTTCGTTAGGCCACTTTTCACTATGAGCAAGAAGCATTTTAAATGATTAAATGCTGTATGTCATTGTTTCATTGTACTTCAGATTTTCACGCCCATCCAATCTGTAATGTGGCTCATCTGTGACTCATTCATCAGGAGCATGAATTTTAGTGGCGAAGAGAATCTGACCAGCCTTGTTCCACAGAGCTCATATGAAATGTGCTGATGATCTTTGTGCTGGCCGCAGGAATGGTAATAAAACCAATTGGACTAACCATAATCCTTCTATAGATTAACATGATTTCAGAATTATTAACCACTTTCACATGACTCTATGTACATAGCCACAACTGGTTACGTTGTACATTATGGTAATCACTATTACATGGTGATTTTGCTTCCAACATTATATACACACATTCAACAAAGCTGATTTTAATTTTGGGAGCCAGATTCTATTTATTCTTCAGGGAAAATAAAGCAGACAAAACCTTCAAGTTTTATCAGTTGAAACATTTCAGTTATAGACATTGCTAAAAATATAGCAAGGTGCAGTAAATGACTTTACAAAGTTGCATAACTCCTTGATTATAATTGTTTAAATTAAAACATGTTAATTAAAATTTAATTTAATTACTTTCATATAAATGATATGCCTTCTCCCCTTCCTTTTGGAAATCTTCTGCCGATATTTAAGGCATAATTCAGGTTATGTTTATATACTTTTGCTAAAACTCATAAAAGTTCCATAAAATAAAATGAGACTAAAATGATAATTACAATGGGAATTTCTTTTTTTTTGTAATCTAGAATACTTATCATTGTTTCTCAAATAAACATTATTTAATATTCATCCAGCCAGTATTCTTTATTTGGTTTTATTAAGTTAAAGCAACAAATGACATCATGCATAAAGCTGGCTCAGTAACATTTATGTTTAGTTATAATTTGTTAAAAGACTCCTTATTATTGTCTTGATTTTTTTTTATCATATGCAAGTGAGGTACTATTGGTTTGAGCAACAATGAAAACCAACATCATACTCCAGGATCTTGCTGCCTGTAGAATAGTTAACAATAGATAAAACACACTTATTCTTGTCAGTCTTTGGAAAGTACCTTGGAGAATTACTGTAGCATTATGTACTATAAGCCTCAATGAAACTACAGAGTAAACTGTGACTTTCACAGGATTTTGTATCCTAAATGTATTGTGTGTTATTAAAGTAGCAAAGCTTTTTATGTTGATATTTGTGTGATTCCTGAAAATGAGATAATGTAATATGGAGAAAAATCAGTACAGTTACAAAGGAGAAGTGTAGCCTACTGAATGCTTACTAGGCAAAAATGTAGGACCACAAAATTATTAATTGGGAAACTGACTTTTGTAACAGGACCTATAATACCACTGCATTGCAGTTTTCTGGACTGTTTCTTAAATGGACACACTTTTTAATTTTGTCAACATCTGCCTTTATGATAACCAGCCAATTACACATACCTGGATAGGCCCCTTCAACTACAATGTGGTATTACTGCTCACCATCAAAACCGTCACTTGTCCTATACAGTGGCCCACCCAATTCATGAGTGAAGAATGATTCCCTGGCATAGAAATGCCTTTCTCTGTCTTTCCTTATAACAAAGGGACAAAGGGAGGATACAGACTGGCAAAACAGAAGGGAAAAAATTATTTTTGTTCATCTGCCAAGAAAAAAACCCCAAAGGATTATGTTGGCAGAGTATAATTTTTGAGAGCAAAATTACAGCATGGTAAACAGGAGCATGAATTTTAGTGGGGAAGAGAATTATTTTTAAAGAAGTGCTAGCAAGTCATACAAACTATATTTTACTTGTTTTAATGAGATGGATGGTTTATTATCAAGGTTAGTTAAGGTAGGATGACCATTAATATTTATTGAATGTCTATAATATACTAAGAATCATATTAGGTATGAACATAGATTTTTGGTAATTCCCATATTGATATGCAATAAAGCCATTTCATTCCATTTTATCGATGAAGAAATAATCCATCAACTTACTTTGCTTTCTGGAATAGCTCAGAACACATCTTTACCCTATTCATAATGTCAGTGTTTGATTGGTCAGGTCGCTATTTATAAAAATTGAGAGTGAGAATAAGCAAAAGAGTCTAATGGAAGTTGGGTGACAATGTATAGAATCCTGTACTCTACCCAAAATATAGGTGTTGTATTCTTTAGTCTGGAGAAAACTTGCATTTAGTAGTGAGATGTGACATTGAAAATGATGCAAGAAAACATAAAATAGAAACGTCTCGTAATTGTCTATACTCATAATTTATATAGCTCTTTCACAAAATTGTCTTATTTGAGCTCCAAAGCAATTCTTTGAAAATAATATGTTTAACTTCACTTAATTGAAGAGTAGACATGTTTGGTGATTTGCACAAATTCTAACAAATATAAGAAGTGTTGAAACTGAAACTGAGCTCTTCTCACTCTAAACCCTGTCATTTTTCAGTTATACTATGCTAGATATAGGTGAAATAACAGTAACAAGAATAATTAACATTTTAGAGTGCTTCCTTTGTGCAATGTTTTTGTATTAAGTTCATTAATTCTCACATCAAATCTAGAAGGTGATACTTTTATTATCCTAATTTTAGAGATGATAAAATCGAGACACAGAAGTTAAATGATTTCCATCCAGTGTCTCAGAGCTGGTAAGTGTCAAAGATATGATTCAGGTACAGATAGGTCCTTGAGCTCATGCCTTAAACACCATGTTCTCCTGCCTCTTTCTGTCACAGTTGGTTGAAAGACTGCCTATAAATCTAACTATAAAGCCAACGTTATACCACTATTACAAGAGTTAAGTGATACATGTAATGATGTTGGAACAGTGTCTGGCACTCATTAAATTTCAGCTACCATTGCCATGGCCTATATATTCAAGCGCTAACGTTACAGTGTCTCAAACTGGAAAGGGTGGCTAATTTGGGAAATTTCTATAGGAAGGTGATCATTGAGCAATATCAATTTATTATCTCTCATGATTTTGCGGATCAGTGTAACAGCTGTTGATTTACATGATATCAGCTGGGGCTGGAGTCATCTAGGGGCTTGTCTGGAACATATAAGATAGTCTACTCACATGTCTATAGTCTCAGCATAAATTTAAAAAATGAGTTCAGCTGAGATGCTGAGACAGATGGGCCTCTGTTTTATCCATGTATTTCTAGGGTCTCCCTGTGTCAGCAGAGCCCCTTCACATGGCCTCCCCATGCTCTCTCTCCTGCAGGGTGCCCAGTCTCTTGCATGTTCCCTCAAGGTTCCCAGAGGCACAGAAGTGAACGCTTTGAGGCCTTTGGAGGCTGAAAACATTGGCTGGAACTGGGACAGCCCCATTTCCTCAATATTCTCATTGTTAAAATGAGTCTGAGTTGACCCAGATTCAATATAGGCGGATAAACACAGGGTGTCTACATATGGTTATCATTTACTGGAGACTATCTTTAGACAACAACCACCTCAGAGACACTTAGCAACCTAGTCACAAAATCTCATGTGCCGTCTTGTAACATCAAGTTTATAAAGTTATAATTTACTCTTTATAGGTGTACCATTCTGAGTTTTGACAGTCATATGTAGGTATGCAACCACTACCACAAACAAGAAATAACATATTTACATCATCCTAAATACTTTCCTTGCTTTCCAGTGTTCCTTGTAGTCAGTCAGCATTCCACACTCCCATCCCTGGACAACCACTGATCTCATTTCTGTCCTTATAGTTTGTCTCTTGCAGAATGTCATTTATTTATTATTTTTATTTTAAGTACCAGGGTATATATGAGGTATGTGCAGGTTTGTTACATGGCTACATGTGTGCCATGGTGGTTTGCTGCACCTATCAACCTATTACTTAGGAATTAAGCCAGGCATGCATGAGCTATTTTTCCTGATGCTCTCCCTGCCCCTGTCCTCCCCTGACAGGCACCAGTGTGTGTTGTTTCCCTCCCTGTGTCCATGTGTTCCATTGTTCAGCTCCCACTTGCAAGTGAGAACATGTGGTGTTTGGTTTTCTGTTCCTGCATTAGTTTGCTGAGGATAATGGCTTCCAGCTTCATCCATGTCCCTGCAAAGGACATGGTTTTGTTCCTTTTTATGGCTGCATAGTATTCCATGGCATATATGTAACACATTTTTTTAATCCGGTAGATCATTGATGGGCATTGGGTTGATTCTGTGACTTTGCTGTTGTAAATAGTGCTGCAATGAACGTACACGTGCATGTGTCTTTATAATAGAATGATTTATACTTCTCTGCCTATATACCCAGTAATGGGATTGCTGGGTCAAATGGTATTTCCGGCTCCAAATCTTTGAGGAATCACCACACTGTGTTCCACAATGGTTGAACTAATTTACATTCCCACCAAGAGTGTAAAAGCGTTCCTATTTCTCCACTACCTAGCCAGCATCTGTTGTTTCTTGACTTCTTAATAATCCTCATTCTGACTGGCGTGAGTTGGTATTTCATTGAGTTTTTTATTTGCATTTATCTAATGATCAGTGATGTTGAGCTTTTTTTCATATGTTCATTGCCCACATATATGTCTTCTTTTAAGAAGTGTCTGTTCATGTCCTTTGCTTACTTTTTAATGGGGTTTTTTTTTTCTTGTAAATTTGCTTAAGTTCCTTGTAGACTCTGAATATTAGACCTTTGTCAGATGGATAGATTGCAAAAATTTTCTCCCTTTCTGTAGGCTCTCTGTTTGCTCTGATGATAGTCTCTTTTGCTCTGCGGAAGCTCTTTAGTTTAATTAGATCCCATTTGTCATTTTTTGCTATTGTTGCAATTACTTTTGGCGATTTCATCATAAAATCTTTGTCCATGCCTATGTCCAGAATGGTATTGCCTAGATTTTCTCCTAGGGATTTTATAGTTTTGGGTTTTACATTTAAGTCTTTAATCTATCTTGAGTTAATTTTTGTAGAAGGTGTAAGGAAAGGGTCAGTTTCAATTTTTTTGCATGTGGCTAGCCAGTTCTCCCAGCACCATTTATGAAATAGGGAATCCTTTCCCCCATTGCTTGTTTTTGTCAGGTTTGTTGAAGATCAGATGGTTGTAGACATGTAGTTTTATTTCCGAGTCCTCTATTCTGTTTCACTGGTCTATGTGCCTGTTTTTGTACCAGTACCATGCAGTTTTGGTTACTGTAGCGTTGCAGTACAGTTTGAAGTCAGATAGCATTATGTCTCCAGCTTTGTACTTCTTGCTTAGGATTGTGTTGGCTATTCAGGCTCTTTCTTGGTTCCATATAAATTAAAAAATTTTTTTTCTAATTCTGTAAAGAATGTCAATGGTAGTTTGATGGGTATAGCGTTAAATCTATAAATTACTTTGGGCAGTAGGCCATTTTCATGATATTGATTCTTTCTATTCCTGAGCTTAGAATGTTTTTCCATTTGTTTGTGTCCTCTCTGATTTCCTTGAGCAGTGGTTTGTAGTTCTCTTTGAAGAGAACCTTCACTTTCCTTGTTAGCGGTATTCCTAGATATTTTATTCTCTTTGTGGCAATTGTGAATGGGAGTTCATTTATAATTTGGGTTTTGGGTTTATTCATAATTTGCTTGTCTGTTGTTGGGGTACAGGAATGGTTGTGATTTTTGCACATTGATCTTGTATCCTGAGAGTTTGCTGAAGTTGCTTATCAGTTTAAGAAGCTTTTGGGCTGAGTCAATGGGGTTTTCTGGATATAGGATCATGTAATCTGCAAAGACAATTTGACTTCCTCTCTTCCTATTTAAATATGCTTTATTTCTTTCTCTTGCTTGATTGCCCTGGCCAGAACTTCCAATACTGTGTTGAATAAGAGTGGTGAGGAAAGGCATCCTTGTCTTGTGCTGGTTTTCAAGGGGAGTGTTTCCAGCTTTTGTCCATTCAGCATGATATTGGCTGTGGGTTTGTCATAAATGGCTCTTATTATTTTGAGGTTTATTCCTTCAATACTTAGTTATTGAGAGTTTTTAACATGAAGGGATGTTGAATTTTATCGAAGGTCTTTTCTTCATCTATTGAGATAATCATGTGGTTTTTGTCTGTAGTTCTGTTTTACAATGAATTATGTTTATTGATTTGCATATGTTGAACCAGTCTTGCATCCTGTGGTTGAAGCTGATTTGATCATGGTGGATAAGCTTTTTGATGTGCTGCTTGATTCAGTTTGCCAGTATTTTACTGAGGATTTTTGCATCGATTTTCACCAGGGATATTGACTTGAAGTTTTCTTTTTTTGTTGTATCTACCAGGTTTTGGTACCAGGATTATGCTGGCCTCATAAAATGAGTTAGGGAGGAGTCCCTCCTTTTCAATCATTTGAAATAGTTTCCGAAGAAGTGGTACTAGCTTCATTTGTACCTCTGGTAAAATTCAACTGTAAATCCATCTAGACCTTGGCTATTTTTGCTTGGTAGGCTATTTATTACTGCCTCAATTACAGAACTTGTTTTTGGTCTGTTCAGGGATTCAACTTCTTCCTAGTTCAGTCTTGGAAGGGTGTATGTGCCAAGGAGTTTATCCATTTCTACTAGATTTTCTGGTTTATGTGCATAGAGTTGTTTATAGTATTCTCTTATGATTGTTTATGTTTCTATGGGGTCACTGGTGGTATCCCCCTTATCATTTCTGATTGTCTTTCTTTGAAACTTCTCTCTTTTCTTCTTTATTAGTGTAGCTAGTGGTCTCTGTATTTGATTGATTATTTCAAAAAGCCAGCTCCTGGATTCATTGATTCTTTTAAGGGTTTTTTTTTTGTGTCTCTGCCTCCTTCACTTTCACTCTGAGGTTGGTTATTCCTTGTCTTCTTCTAGCTCTGGGGTTTGTTTGCTCTTTGTTCTCTAATTTTTTTTTTTTTTTTTTTTTTTTTTGCGAAGTTTGGATGCTGATTTGATGTCTTTCTAGCTTTCTGATGTGGGCATTTAGTGCTATACATTTCCCTATTAACCCTCCTTTAGCTGTGTCCCAGAGATTCTGGTACATTATCTCTTTTTTCTCATTAGTTTCAAAGAACTTCTTGACTTCTGCCCTTATTTCATTATTTACCCAGAAGTCATTCAGAAGCATATTGTTCAATTTCCATGTAGTTTTGTGGTTTTGAGTGAGTTTCTTAATCTTGAGTTCTAAATTTGATTGTGCTGTGGTCTGAGAGTCTGTTATGATTTCAGGTCTTTTGCATTTGCTGAGGAGTGTTTTACTTCCAATTATGTGATCAATTTTAGAGTAAGAGCCATATGGTGCCAAGAAAAATGTATATTCTGTTGATTTTGGGTGGAAAGTTCTGTAGATATCTATCAGGTCCACTTGATCCAGAGCAGAGTTCAAGTCCAAAATACCTTTGTTAATTTTCAGTCTTGATGATCTGTCTAATATTGACAATGGGGTATTAAAATCTCCAACTATTATTGTATAGGGGTCTAAGTCTCTTTGCAGGTCTTTAAGAACTTGTTTTATGAATCTGGGTGCTCCTGTATTGGGTGCAAATATATTTAGGATAGTTAGCTCTTCTTGTTGAATTGGATCCTTTATCATTATGTAATTATCTTCTTTGTCTTTTTTTATCTTTGTTGGTTTAAAGTCTATTTTGTCAGAAACTCGGATTGAAACCCCTATTTTTTTTCTGCTTTCCATTTGCTTGTTAAATTTTCCTCCATCCCTTTATTTTGAGCCTATGTGTGTCTTTGCACATGATGTGTTTCATGAATACAACACACAGATGGATCTTGTCTTTTTATCCAGCTTGCCATTCTGTGTCTTTTAATTGGGGAATTTAGGCCATTTACATTTAAGGTTAATATTGTTATGTGTGAATTTGATCCTGTCATCATGATGCTGTCTAGTTAATTTTGCAGACTTGTTAATGTCTTGCTTCATAGTGTCATTGGTCTGTGTACTTCAGTGTGTTTTTGTGGTGCCTGGCAACAGTTTTTCCTTCTCATGTTTAGTGCTGCTCTTGCAAGGCACGCCTGGTGGTGACAAAATCCCTCAGCATTTCCTTGTCTGAAAAGGATTTTATCTTTCACTTATAAAGCTTAGTTTGGCTGGATATGAAATTCTGGGTTGGAAACCTTTTCTTTAAGAATGTTTAATATTGGTCCCCAATTTCTTCTGGCTTTTAGGGTTTCCACCGAGAGGTCTGTTGTTAGTGCGGTGGGCTTCCCTTTGTAAGTGACTTGGCCTTTCTCTCTTGCTGCTCTTAACCTTTTTTCCTTCATTGCGACCTTGGAGAATCTGATGATTATGTGCTTTGGGGTTGATCTTCTTATGGAGTATCTTACTGGGGTTCTCTGGATTTCTGAATTTGAATGTTGGCCTGTCTTGCTAGGTTGGGGAAGTTCTCCTGGATGATATCCTGGAATGTGTTTTCCAACTTGATTCCATTCTTCCCATCTCTTTCAGGTACTCCAATCAGTCCTAGGTTCAGTCTTTTTACATCATTCCATAATTCTCAGAGGTTTTGTTCGTTCCTTTTCATTCTTTTTTCTCTAATCTTATCTGCATGCCTTAATTCAGCAAGATAGTCTTCAAGGTCTGATATTCTTTCTTCCGCTTGGTCAGTTCAGCTATTGATACTGGTGTTTGCATCATGAAGTTCTCATGCTGTGTTTTTCAGCTCCATCAAGTCATTTATTTTCCTCTCTAAACTGCTTATTCTAATTAACAGCTCCCATAATCTTTTATCATGGTTCTTAGCTTCTTTGCATTGGGTTAGAATACAACCCTTTAGCTCAGCAAAGTTCATTATTGCCCACTTTCTGAAGCCTACTTCTGTCAGTTCATCCAACTCAGCTTCAGCCCAGTTCTGTGCCCTTGCTGGAGAGGTGTTGCAATCATTTGGAAGAGAAGAGGCATTCTGGCTTTTAGAATTTTCAGCGTTTTTGCATTGTTTTTCCTCATCTACTTGGATTTATCTATCTTTGATATTTGAGGCTGTTGACCTTTGGATAGGGTTTTTTGTGGGGTCTTTCTTGTTGATGTTGTTGTTGCTTTCTGTTTGTTTGTTTGTTTTTCTTTTATCAGTCAGGCCCCTCTTCTGCAGGTCTGCTGCAGTTTGCTGGGGGTCCACCATAGACTTTGTCCACCTGAGTATCACTAGTGGAGGCTACAGAACAGTAAAGACTGCTGCCTGCTCCTTCCTCTGGAAGCTTCATCACAGAGTGGTACTGACCTGATGCCAGCTGGAACTCTCCTGTATGAGGTGTCTTGTGACTCCCCTGTTGGGAGGTCTCACCCAGTCAGGAGGCATGGGATCAGGGGCTCACTTAAAAATAAAAGCAATCTGGCTGTCCCTTAGCAGAGTGGGCGCACAGGAATCCCCCTCATCTAGATCCCCTGGACTTTTCAGAGCCAACAGGCAGGAAGAATTAAGTCTACTGAGCCTGAGACCACGGCCACCCCTCTCCCCAGGTTCTCTGTCCCAGGAAAATGAGAGTTCTGTCTGTAAACCCTTGGCTGGAGTTGATGAAATTCCTGCAGGGAGGCCCTACCCAGTGAGGAGGGATAAATCTAGGTCCCACCTGAAGAAGCAGTCTGGCCATGATCTGCCACAGCCGCTTTGCTGCGCTGTGGGGAATTCTGCCCAGTCTTCCTAGCACTGGCAGGGGAAAACTGCTGATTCGATCTGCAGTAATGGTGATCGCCCCTTCCCTTGGGAACTCAATAGTCTTAGGTAGACTCGAGGCTCCTGTGCTGGCCAGCTGGGAACCCAAGCCAGTGGGTCTTTAGCTTGTGGGATTCTGTCTGGGTGGGACGCACTGAGGGAGGCTGGTTGGCTCCCTGGCTTCAGCCCTCTTCCCTTGGGACTAGACAGATCATCTACCTCATTGGAGTTCCAGGAGCTGGAGGAGTATGCAAAAACTCCTCGAGCTCAGTGCCTGTCCAAGCGGCCACCAATCTCAGTGGCTGCTGTAGGTCCGCACAGCTTTGTGTATGGGACCCAAGGCCCTGATGGTGTGGGCTCACGAGGGAATCTCCTGATCCACGGGTTGCAAAAAGTTCATGGGAAAAGCATTCCCCAGGCAGGTAACACAATTCTTCCCCATCTCCCTTGTCTAGGGGAGGGAGGTCCCTTTGTCCTGTGCAGCTCCTGGGTGAACCATCGCCCCATCCTGCTTTTCCTTGCAGGAACTGCCTAGTCAGTCCCAGTGAGAGAATCCAGGCACCACAGTTGGAAATGCAGAATTCACTCGCTGTTTATGTTTATCTCGGTGGGAGCTACAGACCAGAGCTGTTCTGCTCAATCATCTTGGCCCCTCCTTCCAGAATGCATTTAAATCAGCAATCCCCAACTTTTGTGGCATGGAGTTGGTGGGTATGATTTCAGAATGAAACTGTTCCCCCACAGATCATCAGGCATTAGATTTTCATAAGGAGCACCCAACTTAGATCCCTGGCATGTGCAGTTCACAATAGGGTTCATGCTCCTATGAGAATCTAATGCTGCCTCTGATCTGACAGGAGCCAGAGCTTAGGCGGTAATGCTTGCTGGCCTGCCACTCACATCCTGCTGTGTGACCCAGTTCCTAACAGGCCCCAGACCACTACCAGTCTGTGGCCTGGAGGTTGGGGGACCCCTGATTTAAATGGATTCATACAATGTTTATGATTTCAGTCGTTTTTTTTCTTAGCATGATGGTTACATTTTGTCAGTCCACATAGTTTGTTTCTTTTTGTTTGGAGTAATATTCCATTGCATGAATGTATCACAATTTGTTTATCACTTCACTAGTTGATGGAAATTTTGGTTGTTTCTAGTTTTGGGTGAATATGAATAAAGCTGCTAAAAGGATTCATTCACATACAGGTTTTTGGGTAGACAATGTTTTCATTTGCCTTGAATAAATACATAGGGGTGAGATTGCTGAGTCATATGGTTAAGTGCATGCCAAACTGCCTTTCAGAGATCTTACTATGGTACATTCCCACCAGGAATTCATAAAAGTTTTAGTTGCTTCAAATCCTTGTCAACAGTTGGTATTGTTAAGTTTGTTTGTTTCCATATTCTAACATATATGCAGTGGGATATCATTGAGTTTTCATGACCAGTGATGTGAGTATCTTTTCATGTGCTTACCTGCAATCTGTATGTCTTGTTAGATAGGGTGTCTTTTTAAATCTTTTATCCAGTTTTCATTGGGTTAGTTTTTGTTTTTGATTTTAGTTTTTCACTTTTGAGAGTTTATTCTAAAAACTAGTTATTTGCATCTATACACTTTTTACACATTTCCACCCAGTCTATGGCTTTGCTTTTCATTTTGCAACAGCATTTTTTGAAGTCATAAATTTTAATTTTGATATAGTATAATTTATTTCTTATTATTCCTGGTTTTTATTTTCTTTTTAAAAATCTTTGAGTAACTGAATGTCACAAGAACTTTTTTCTATTTTCTTCAAGAAGTTTTATAGTTTTAAATTTTACATTTATGTCTATCATCCATGTTTTGGTATATAGTAGGAGGTATGAGTCATGAGCCGAATCCAAGGACAAAATAATATGTTCTGTTTAATATTTGAATATTCTTTTATATTTCTAATATAAAATGACAAGGAAGGTAAGATGTTGTATGTTAAAACTCTATGGAGGCAACTTGAAATAAATTAGCTTATCTCTACTGGTGATCCATTGGATTTCTTTGCATATTGATTTGGAGTGTTTCCTTTTACACATATAAAAAAGAAAAGGATTTATTTAACTATAAGTTTAACAAAGTCCTAACAAGAATATATATACTGCCAAAACAATTTCTTCAGTCAAGTTGATTTGACTCTAAACTTTTTACTCTGCTCTGTAAGTTTAAAAAATACAGTTCTAAGGAAGAAGGTATTTGAGCTAGTCCTATCACTAGCATCCCTAATTTGTGCTTGGGCAGGTCATTAAACTCTGTTTCAATTTTCTGACAAGAAAAATGGAAATATTGAAAGGAAGAAATACAATATTTTATATGAAAATGTCTTAAAGAGTATAAAATGTTATAATAATAATAATTAATAATAACAATTCTTACTTGACCTCAAACCACCCTAAGTCATTCCAATAATGTCTAATAGAATAATCTTCTAGGCTGATGTTTTATGCCAATTCAGAATTCACTGCCTTCTAATAAGTATCCAGTTCTCAACAGATGTCCAGAAAATGTAGCCATCTGCTCTCTCTTCTGCTCTACCCAATTACAGCTTGGCTTATTCATACCTCAATACTTCTTTTCTCTTCTTCCATTCATTGTTGGCATGCTCAGCAGTTGTCATTCCTTAATTATACTATGAACTTCCTGAGGCTACACAATCAAAATGTAGGAACATGTGGGTTAGAAGTTGCAGAGCTCTGAAAATTTTTTATGGAAGTTTAGAGAGAGGAGGTTCTACTATAACTGATGAAATTGTGGGTACTTATATGATTATAGTAAGGATTAGTAATACATTTTTGGAAGATTGACTACTGTTTTTAGCTTCTTGGCTTCTTTATCATTTATGTATGTATTTATTTCCACATATATAGACATGGGTTAGTGATCATATTTTAAAAATGTTCTATAAGCATTTGGTAAAGAGTTGTATACAAGTATAAAGTATTGTTTTCTTTCTATTGATTGTGTCTTAGAATTTTGCACAGCTTGAGAGAATATGTATCTTCAAGGCATTTTGTCCTATGTTAATTTTGCTTCTCTATATCTTGATTTGATTGATATTGAAAAAAAACTCCATTTCAGCAATAATTTTTGAAAATAACATAGACTGGAGAAATAGAACAATAGTTTATCATAAAATGTTATATTCCCATGTGATAAAGCAATTTCTAATGGTACACGTAAATATTTCAATCACTTAAAATACCACATTGAAAACTGACTGTGAGATCAATGCTTGTTGAAAGAATCTGGCAAGCTCTTTGTGTAAGAGTCATAATTTCCTACATATATTTTAAGATATTGTGCCATAGAAACTTGTGTTTGATGCTCACAAAGTTCCAGTGAGTATAGATTTTATGTCAAATGAAAGTAGCATTGATGTTGCTTGGGTGTAACAGAATTATGTCCTGTTAGTTAGAAAGACAAGGATAGAAGGAAAATAATTCTCTGGCATGAATGAAATACATTAATTTTTTCCAAGTTATTCTCAGATTGTATTTTTATGCATTTCTCTTTTTTCTTCCTTATAACTTCTCTGCTCGTTATTCTTTAATTTTAAGTGTTCCATTATTTTTCAACATTATTTATTCCCTTTCATTAAGAGGGCATGAACCACATATTATGCTTGAATTCTAACCTGCTTAGAGAGTTCTTGCTAAGTATTTTTAGAGCTGTTGTTTTCTTTGTTTATTAAGGAATAAAGCTACATATATTTTCAGAATATTTGGAGGTATTTTATACAAATTTAAAGATAATTCATATTGATAGCCTTTATACTGAACTGCTAAGAGTAAAAAAAGAGAGAGCGAGCAAAGCCAATCTTAATCAGTCACTATTGAAGTTTTTAGATTCAGTTTGATCTCCTTTACTTTTATTCTGTATCTTTTTGCAGAGGCTCTGCAATTATTTGTATTTATTTGTTTCAAATAAGACCTTGATGTTTCTTTTCTTCTTATATCCTAAAAATAAAATGGGGCCTAAATTATTTTTGTGAGTGTCACCCTATCCAAGTGCAGAAATCTTTAGGATGCTGTCATGAAAAGGGAGGCTTGTAAGCCCATTTCTCATGTGTCAAAGACCATGTGAAAAACATAAGCCTTCTTTAGTCATTGCTGTAGAAACTCAATGTATAATTGAAAAAAAAAAGTCATGCTCTGTTAACAACTTTGCTCCATTTAATTAAAAGCTAACATAATGGCATACTGATCCTACACTAGAAACTAATAATTTTAGAATGCTCTAACCAGCATGCATCAAATTTACAATGAGGGAGGGTGACAGAGAAAACTCTTATTTCTGACTCTGTAAATCTATTTAATTTTCCAACTTAACTCCCCAAATGTGCTTTCAGTGAAATACAGCTTCACATTCCAGAAGTAAAAGTGTGACTTCAATGGACTTACATCATTCATTACATCATTATGTGCCATAAAGCATTTATTAGGAATCGGGTGACATTTAGAATTTGAAGAGTTGGAGACATGAAAATTCCTTCCTTTAAATAACTCAATCTGTATTGGGAGAGTCAGGCAAACCAAGGATTTCAACACAGTGAAGTAGTTACTGTAAGGTTAAGTTTGAAATGTGATGTAATGTCTAGTTCATAATTGAAAATATGTCTCTGTAGTTCCAGTGATAGCCTGAGTTACCTATAAAATAAAAGAGGACAAAAACAAATGGAAGAACATTCCATGCTCATGGACAGGAAGAATCAATATCATGAAAATGGCCATACTGCCCAAGGTAATTTATAGATTCAATGCCATCCCCATCAAGCTACCAATGACTTTCTTCACGGAATTGGAAAAAACTACTTTAAAGTTCATATAGAACCAAAAAAGAGCCCGCATGGCCAAGTCAATCCTAAGCCAAAAGAACAAAGCTGGAGGCATCACGCTACCTGACTTCAAACTATACTACAAGGCTACAGTAACCAAAACAGCATGGTACTGGTACCAAAACAGAGATATAGACCAATGGAACAGAACAGAGCCCTCAGAAATAATACCACACATCTACAGCCATCTGATCTTTGACAAACCTGACAAAAACAAGAAATGAGGAAAGGATTCCCTATTTAACAAATGGTGCTGGGAAAACTGGCTAGCCATATGTAGAAAGCTGAAACTGGATCCCTTCCTTACACCTTATACAAAAATTAATTCAAGATGGATTAAAGACTTAAATGTTAGATCTAAAACCATAAAAACCCTAGAAGAAAACCTAGGCAAAACCATTCAGGACATAGGCATGGGCAAGGACTTCATGTCTAAAACACGAAAAGCAATGGCAACAAAAGCCAAAATTGACAAATGGGATCTAATTAAACTAAAGAGCTTCTGCACAGCAAAAGGAACTACCATCAGAGTGAACAGGCAACCTACAAAATGGGAGAAAATTTTTGCAATCTACTCATCTGACAAAGGGCTAATATCCAGAATCTACAATGAACTCAAATTTACAAGAAAAAAACAAACAACCCCATCAAAAAGTGGGCGAAGGATATGAACAGACACTTCTCAAAAGAAGACATTTATGCAGCCAACAGACACATGAAAAAATGTGCATCATCACTGGCCATCAGAGAAATGCAAATCAATACCACAATGAGATACCATCTCATACCAGTTAGAATGGCGATCATTAAAAGTCAGGACACAACAGGTGCTGCAGAGGATGTGGAGAAATAGGAACACTTTTTCACTATTGGTGGGACTGTAAACTAGTTCAACCCTGTGGAAGATAGTGTGGTGATTCCTCAAGGATCTAGAACTAGAAATACCATTTGACTCAGCCATCCCACTACAGGTTATATACCCAAAGGATTATAAATCATGCTGCTGTAAAGACACATGCACACGTATGTTTACTGCAGCACTATTCACAATAGCAGAGACTTGAAACCAACCCAAATGTCCATCAATGATAGACTGGATTAAGAAAATGAGGCACATATACACCATGTGGAATACTATGCAGCCATAAAAAATGATGAGTTCATGTCCTTTGTAGGGACATGGATGAAGCTAGAAGCCATCATTCTCGCAAGCTATCACAAGGACAAAAAAACCAAACACCGCATGTTCTCACTCATAGGTGGGAATTGAACAATGAGAACACTTGGACACAGGAAGGGGAACATCACACACCGGGGCCTGTCGTGGGGTGGGGGAAGGGAGGAGGGATAACATTTGGAGATAACTTAATGTAAATGACGAGTTAGTGGGTGCAGCACGCCAACATGGCATATGTATACATATGTAACAAACCTGCATGTTGTGCACATGTAACGTAGAGCTTGAAGTATAATATAAAAAATTGGAATTCACTGATTTAGAGCTAAAGCTATAGGATGGAAAGGAATTAACTAGATAGAGTGAGTCAAGTGAGATGTAAGGAAAATGGAAAATAGAATCTTAGGAACTTAAGAGACAATGGAAGAAGAAGCAACAAAGAGACAGAGAAACTGAGTGGTAATGATCAAAAGATGGAAAGAACCATGAGACATGAATATCACAGAAAAGAGACGAATGGGAGAGAAGTGGAGAGAGGGATGTGCATGGAAGAAGCAGTCAACT
The DNA here is from genome assembly GCF_000001405.40 of Homo sapiens. Classification (NCBI taxonomy): domain Eukaryota; kingdom Metazoa; phylum Chordata; class Mammalia; order Primates; family Hominidae; genus Homo; species Homo sapiens. The sequence continues at coordinate 10,241,564 of NC_000007.14, read as the reverse complement.
AAAGCAATTGAAGTGTAAGTCAGTATGTACTCTGTAATGTGTCCAATACATTTATGAAAGTACAGCCACTGGAGAAACGCTGGCAGTGAAGGTATAGACAAAGGCCAATGAAGCATATTTACAAATGTTGATAGAAAAATAGGCTAAGGATATGTAAAGACCTATCAAAGAAATTAAGAGAAGAGGAACATTTTAAAAGCAGAAGTTGGTCACCTTTACTGTTGCTACCAATAAATAACAACTATGCTGAAAATAAATCAGCATGGATTTGGCAGTTAGGTGGATTTTAATTATATAATGATCAGTGTGGAGACTAATGTTCATTTTCTTCATTATATGGTAAACCATAGGAGGGCACGGTGCTAGTCCATTTTGCGTAGGGTTGATGAGGTTGATCACAGTGATAAGCAATGGGGAAATTATTCACTGGAAATAAAGAGATTGACAATAGAGGAAAGGAATAACTCACAGAGCAATGCCTTGAGGACAGAGAGGAAAATGAGATTTAGAGCACTATGGTTGGATTAACAGGGAAAGGAGGAGGGACCTTCTTTTATTTATTTCATTATTTTGAATGACATCCTTTAGTTTTATTAAATCTTGAATGTGTTTTTGCTGAGGAGATGAATCTTAAACATCATAATATTGACTGCTTGTGAGATTGGAAAATATAATTTGTCAGGTGAAAATGTAGTTCTTCACATTTCAAAAATAATTTTAGATTCTCTTCCCTATTTTAAAGCTTGTATATCCTCTAAAATGTTAGGGTCCTTTTCTTTTTTCTCTGAGCCAGGTCATTTCAACAACTTCAAAACCAAACACACACCATAATTATATTGAGATTTAATTCTTAAAGTCAGTGGGATAAATTTAAAGCTTAGAAAGCAGTCTTAAGTCATCAACAAATGTTATTCCAGTCTACCTCACTTGTTCTACAACTGAAGAAACATGTACTAGGAATATGATATTTATTTTATCATGGCATACAATTTTCAGACAAACCCTAGCTGCTTCTTATTCAAAAGGAAAATATGAGAAAACTGTCAGTATATGAAGTCATGATTGATAGTATTTTAGCCTCATGCTATACATCCTGTTATTCTTTGGATTCCCTAATTATTTCATATTTTAGTCTTCTAAAGATTTGGCAACACTTGATGGAGTTCTTCAGTGGCAGACGCATCTATGGTGCTTTCACCTTGAGCTTATGCAGAGAAAGTTCTACTATGGAAGGAAGATAATAAATATAAGAGAGACCGCAGATTAGAGAGAGTACTTGTGACCCTTTAATGTGTATATGAAGGGATAACGAGTATTTAGCC